>NC_000001.11:163184587-165684587 GCF_000001405.40 Homo sapiens | reverse complement strand
CCTTTGGAAAACTATTTTGTGTTAATTATACTCAACAAACTTAAGAATGGGGAATAATTTATGCTTGGTGTAAGAATTGATGTATGTTTTCCTCTTAGGGTACCCTCTTTCTAGGGTCAGCATACTGGGAAACAAGTTAATTGTCAAAAGGTTGTTTTGTTGAGTGTAGAGTCAGGAAGGGAGAAGGTAAATTGTTGGTTTAAAAGAGAGTTTAATTTAGACCAGGTTTGAATGTGAACAGATTATCCTTTCTGAAGGAAAATGTCTATTCAAAAATTGCAATATTGATTTAAAATGTGCTGACTTGCCCTTTTAGAAGTAAGCTCTTAAAGGGGTAGACAGGACTGATACTCTTTTCCCTAGTAATGAATGTAGAATGAATGAGTCAAAGCACTTTATACCTCTGGCCTTTATAAGAAATACAGCGTGTCCAAATCTCACTATCCAACTGTCCTTTCTTGTATTTCATATTGGTTTTCATATTCCTACTTTCATCTTTTCTGAGCTTTGTACTGTGGATAGATGCTTGAGTTAGTTTCTGTTGCACTCCATTTTGCTTCTGGCCAGCCTTACTGCTTATCAGTTTTATAAACAGAATGTTCCTTCTTGTCAGTTGCTTAATCTTTTATGTATGTTCTGATAGTCACCCTATTATTTATTTTAAATTGGACCCATAATAGCAACTGCCTACTTCTTACATATTCAATTCTTTTATGTCCTTTAGACCAAAGAAAGGCATTATTTAGCTTTCTTTCTTAGGTCTAATTTCCTAAACCTTTAAGCTCATCATTGGACCATCTATTGAATTTCTTTATCCTTAGTAAGTTGTGGAGCCCAGAACTAGAAACAGTATTTGAAAATAGTATTGATTGAATGCTAAGTATTAGAAAATATTAGAAGAGAATATGCTGCAATTCTTTGGGTGACTTAAAGTGACGCATATTACAACCTCTTAAATGCAATTGTGTGTTAGAATATTTTGTATAATTTCCCTAAGAACTGTTTTCTCTTACCATATATGAGCAAACATACATATTTACGTACATGTACGTATTACATTCATTTTCCAAAATGAATTATTCTTCCACTTGTGAGCCATCCATTTTCTCTCCATTCTCTACCCCTCACCTCTTCAATAAATATACACTTCAAATCAGAATGGGCCTGCCCTGTGACTTTCAGAGCCTCAGAGGGCATGGGTTCATTCCTGCCCGGTCTTGCCCCTTCTTTTACTAACTGATCTTGAAATAAAGTAGTGGTCTTAAATCTTTGTCGATTAATTAACGAGGGAAGAACAGGGCTGCTGTTCAGCTATAAGCCTTTATCTCTCTTCTAAATGTAACACTGCCATTTCTTTTCATTTAAAGTGAAAGCTATTTTTAGTTTTAAAAATTGAGCAGTGTGTTCTATTTAAGCATTAATTACATCAAGACATATTGGAATATGTCTTAAATCTAGTCTTCTGCTTTACCCAAAGGAACGGGAGGATGAAATTGCTACTATGGAGTGCATCAACAATGGCAAGTCCATCTTTGAGGCCCGCTTGGACATTGACATTTCCTGGCAGTGCCTGGAGTATTATGCGGGCTTGGCTGCATCCATGGCTGGTAAGTCCTCACCTGGTGTCTGTGACCAGCTGATAATGAGGCAGAAGAGCAGGGCCTAGTGGTGAAGGGCAAAGATTTTGGAATTAAGACAAACCTGGGTGAAAGTCTTGGGTTTGTCACTTTCTACCTGGGTGGCCTGGGAATTACTTTATCTTTCCTAATCTAAACTGGAGATAATAATTCCTACCTTCTTGGGTTAAGGATTAAATGAGATAGTGCATGTAAAGCACCTAGCATGATACCTGAGCTTTAGACCAAATTGCTGAAAAACCAGTTTTCATAAGAATCGGTTTGTCATATTTACCAGTTTTATCTATTTAGCAAACTTTTTTTTGACAGTGTATAAAGTTTTCAACAATTGATATTGGAAGGTTGGTAGGGCCTAGGAAGGTTGCAAGGAACTTACATGCTTCCCCTGCTGTTGAGTGTTCCTCTCATTTCCATTTTGTTTCATCTAAGCTATCTAATAGAGGCTCAGTAAATTCTTAGAGAGTTGTAAAATCAAGTTAGATGAACATGTGTTTGAAGGATAGGCAGGGTTCTCTATGTGGAGAGAATACGTGGAAGCCAGTGGAAGACTGCCTGGAACAAATAGAAGAATGGAGACAGGGTGAGCCTGGTGTATTGGGAGAAGTGGGGAGGCTGCGTTGACTGGAGTACAAGTCAGACTGGTACAGATGTTGGTGAAATCTTGGGGAGCACAGACCTGCATCCTCCTTTACTCCTGTTTTCCCCATAGGTGAACACATCCAGCTCCCAGGTGGATCGTTTGGTTATACCAGAAGAGAACCACTTGGGGTATGTGTGGGAATAGGAGCATGGAACTACCCCTTTCAGATTGCCTCTTGGAAGTCGGCTCCAGCATTAGCCTGTGGTAAGAATGAATTATCCCTCCATTTGAGAGCCATTCGTTCATTCTCTCGTTCGTTCTCTCCCCATTCTCTACCTTTCACCTCTCTATAAACACACACTTTAAATCGGAAGGGGCCTGCTCTGGGATATTCAAAGCCTCAGAGGACATGGCTCGTTCCTGCCCTGTCTTGCCCCTCAAGGAGCTTATAGTTAAGGTTGTACACAATCATGTCTAGATATTCTCAGGTTTTATTTATTTAATTTTGTATATGAAAAGAAATTTAATTTTTTCTTATTAAATTGAATTAGATTTGTGCTACTTATAAGTTCTCTTCCTTTCTGGACAAGAATTTTAAGGTAGGAGTTAGCACTTAGGAGTTTGACTTCATTTACGAAGCAGAAGATAAACTCCTTTCTTCATTTGGGTCTTAAGAGAAATGATAAGCAAGGCTTTGATAAGCTTCTTATCAAAGAGGAGCTTTGGCTGATTGACATAAAATAGTTTTCTTACAGTATTTAAAGAGAAGAATCTTTGAGGAAAGAAGACTAATTTTATCTTAGAAAAAATTGTAATGTTAGAAAGCATTACTGTTAGGACATTATATTGAAATGCAGCTTTTGTCCTGTTGCCATTGCATGTTCTTGTTTTAGCCTATTTCTCTTTGAGATACAGCTGTGAAAGAGGAAAAATAGTCACTAGCTTTAATAGTCACCAGAATTAAGTCACTAGCTTTGGGGACTCTCATCAAGTGAACCATTCTGGTCTTCAATGTCAACTTTTATAAAATGGAGCTAATGATACCTACTTCATACTGCTGTTGAAAGTGTTAAATGAGATAATATATGTGAAAAGGCCTAGATATGCAAATGTGAGACTGGGCAACTGTAGGGTTTGGGATCTGTTTAATGAGAGAAACCAAGATGAAAAGGACAAGAGTTGTTTACTTATTGATATGGTTTGGCTGTGTCCCCACCCAAATCTCAACTTGAATTGTATCACCCAGAATTCCCATGTGTTGTGGGAGGGACCCAGGGGGAGGTAATTGAATCATGGGGGCTGGTCTTTCTCATGCTATTCTCCTGATAGTGAATAAGTCTCATGAGATCTGATGGGTTTATCAGGGGTTTCCGCTTTTGCTGCTGCTTCATTTTTCTCCTGCCGCCAATGTAAGAAGTGACTTTCACCTCCCGCCATGATTCTGAGGCCTCCCTAGCCATGTGGAACTGTAAATCCAATTAAGCCTCTTTCTGTTCCCAGTTTCGGGTATGTCTTTATCAGCAGCATGAAAACAAACTAATATGGTTATTAATAACATTTTTGATGTAGGATTTGGTTGGGGAAGAGGAAACAATTGGAATCATTTTTGAATTGTCCTCTAGTCCTGTTTTCAGGGGATCACTGGTCTTAGAAAGTCTTTTTATGTTTGTGTCTTGGGTTTATGCAGGTAATGCCATGGTCTTTAAACCTTCTCCCTTTACACCTGTTTCTGCATTGCTACTGGCTGAAATCTACAGTGAGGCTGGTGTACCTCCTGGGCTCTTCAATGTGGTGCAGGGAGGGGCTGCCACAGGCCAGTTTCTGTGTCAGCATCCCGATGTGGCCAAAGTCTCCTTCACTGGAAGTGTGCCCACTGGCATGAAGGTGAGGACAAAACCAGTATTGGTCAACACACATGGCATTTGGATGTGGCAAATCCGGTCCTACCCAGAGTATATTTTGGAGGCTTCTCTTTTGATTTTACCTAGCCTGAATTGGGAATGGGAAGGAGATTTTATTAGGCAGAGGTGTGAAATTTCCTGTAAAAGTATGAAGGGGGAAAGGGAGTACACATGGGGTGATTTGTGTTAGGCCAGGTAGGGGTGGAAATTAACAGCCCCAGCCTAAGGAGAGGATGTGTCTTAGTGGACAGGGGCCTGGGCTGCCACTTGTATTGTTTAGTGACTTAATTTCTTGTATAGAAGAAAGGATTTTTACTCAGGCTATTTCAGATCCATTATTTTGACATTAATTTGTGTTCTGAACTCTGTCAGCCTTAAACACAGTAACAATAACACAAAAGAATTTCTGGCTATGACAATCCTGTGAATTGACAATATTTTTTATTTTTATTTTTTTGAGACAGGGTCTCACCCTGTTGCCCAGGCTGGATTATAGTGGTGTAGTCACAGCTTACTGCAGCCTTCAACTCCTGGGCTCAGGCAGTCCTCCTGCTTCAGCCTCCTAAGAAGCTGAGACTACAGTCATGTGCCACTGTGCCTGGCTAAGTTTCTTATTTTTCTGTAGAGATAGGGTCTTGCTATGTTGCCCAGGCTGGGACAATATTTTTTAAATGAACTCCCTCTTCTAATGTCAGTGCAACTCTGTGGATTCTCTTCAGTTTTCTGGAATAGAATATTTTAATAGCCAAAAGGCAAAGGATATTGACAAGAATAAGGCTACAGGTCACAAACAGTTCAAGATGATTTTGTAGGTTCAGGGCCTAGTTGACTTAGCATGCAATATAATTTGTGTTAAAGTTCTGAATACCTTGTCCTTGTTCTGCAAGATCATGGAGATGTCAGCTAAAGGAATCAAACCTGTTACCTTGGAACTTGGAGGCAAATCTCCACTCATCATCTTCTCAGACTGTGATATGAACAATGCTGTAAAGGGGGCGCTGATGGCCAACTTCCTCACACAAGGCCAGGTATGTACCTGTCCCTGGAAGAGGTGTAAAAGGAATCTCTACCCCCTCATCCAACAGTGTGTTTTAAAGCTTTTTGTTTTACAATACTTTCAGACTTACAGAAAAGTTGCACAAATAGTACAAAGAATTCCCATGTACCTTTGAACCAGATTTCTCAAATATTAACATTTTAACAGATTCACTTTATCATCTTCTTTATCTGCCTGTACATACGTAGGCATATTAAGTTTTTCTGAACCTTGAGAGTAAATTGTAGACATAAGGCCCCTAACCTCTAAATATAAAGTTCCTAAAAACAAGTGCATTCTTTTACATAAGCACGGTACACTTAGTAAAATTAAAAAATTAACATTGATATAGTACTGTTACTGAATCTATAGCCCTTACTCAATCTATAGCCCTTATTCAAATTTTGCCACTTGTTTGACTAATGTCCTCATAGTAAAATAGAACAAAAATGGTTTTTTTTCCGGTCTAGGATCCAGTCAAGGATGATGCATTGCCTTTAGTTGTCTTGTCTTTAATCTCCTTTAGCTGAGAACAGTTCTTCAGTTATTCTTGTCTTTCAGGACGTTGACATTTTGGGAGAACAGGCCATTCATTTTGTAGAATGTTCCTTAGTTTGGGTCTGTCTGATGTTTTCTGTTAGATTCATATTATGAATTTTTGGCAAAAATACCACAAACATGATGTCATATCCTACTCAGTGGTGATTTAACTTTGATCACTTGCTTTAAGGTAAGTCCTCACTGTAAAGTTACTGTTTTTTACTTTGTGGTTAATAAGATCTTGTAGGAGGTATTTTGAGACTATCCTGTTCCTCATCAAACTTTCATGCAGTAAATACTTCTATCACCACTGACGATTCTTGCTGAAAACAATTTTTATTATGGGGTTGCAAATGGTGATTTTCCAATTCCATCATTTCTTCTATATTTGTTCACCTTCTACTGTAAGAAAGAACTTGCCCTTCACCCCTGTTTGTTTTCCATTCATTTATTTATATCAGTATGGACCCATGGATTCTTATTTCATTCTATGTGTTATAATCCAATACTATCATTATTTATTTATTTTTTATTTTTATTTATTTACTTACTTATTTTTTGAGACGGAGTCTAGCTCTGTCCCCCAGACGGTAGTGCAGTGGCACGATCTCGGCTCACTGCATCCTCTGCCTCCCAGGTTTAAGCGATTCCCCCGCCTCAGCCTCCTGAGTAGCTGGGATTACAGGTGCCCGCCACCATGCCCAGCTAATTTTTGTATTTTTAGTAGAGACAGAGTTTCACTGTGTTGGCCAGGCTGGTCTCAAACTCCTGACTTCACAATCCACCCACGTTGGCCTCCCAAAGTGCTGGGATTACAAGTGTGAGCCACTGTACCCGGCCTTTATTTTATTTTTTTATTGAGACGGAGTCTCACTCTGTCACCCAGGCTGGAGTGCAGTGGCACGATCTCAGCTCACTGCAACCTCCACCACCTGGGTTCGGGTTCAAGTGATTCTCCTGTTTCAGCCTCCCAAATAGCTGGGACTACAGGTGTGTGCCACCACGGCTGGCTAATTTTTTTTTTTTTTTTTTTTTTGAGACAGAGTCTTGCTCTGTCGCCCAGGCTGGAGTACAGTGGTGCGATCTCGGCTCACTGCAAGCTCTGTCTCCTGGGTTCATGCCATTCTTCTGCCTCAGCCTCCCAAGTAGCTGAGACTACAGGCACCCGCCACCACGCCTGGCTAATTTTTTGTGTTTTTAGTAGAGATGAGGTTTTACCATGTTAGCCAGGATGGTCTGGATCTCCTGACCTCATGATACACCTGCCTTGGCCTCCCAAAGTGCTGGGATTACAGGCATGAGCCATTGTACCCAGCCTCATTATTTATTTTGATGCTAAAATAATTGCAGATGGCTGGTGGGAATCCCTTTCCGTGACCTTTTGATATGCCCTCATTATTCTTTGAATACTTCATTACTTTCTGGCATAGCAAAGTGTTCCAGACTCATACTTCCCCTGGCTGTGCTCTGGAACCAGCCATTTCTCTGAAGGAGGCCTGGTTCCATTATTGTTTATCTGTTTATTATTAATTTTTGAGACAGGGTCCTGCTCTGTTGCCCAGGCCGGAGTGCAGTGGTGCTTTCTTGGCTCACTGCAATCTCGGCCCCTCCAAGGTCAAACAATCCTCCCACCTCAGTCTCCAGTGTAGCACACCACCACATTCAGCTAATTTTTGTATTTTTTGTAGAGACGGGGTTTCACTGTGTTGGCCAGGCTGGTCTTGAACTCCTGGGCTCAAGTGATCCAAATGCCTCGGCCTCCCAAAGTGCTGGGATTGCAGGCATGTGCCACCGTGCCCGGCCTGTTTTTTATTTTTTGTAAACTTTTTTTTATGATTTAGAAGGACTATCTTCAAACCAGTACAAGTATTTCATAAATAATATCTGATTGTTTTCTAACCAGTTGAGTAATTTGTTGCACGATAAGCCACCTCACATCTTTCAGCAAGAAAAATACTAAGTCTGAACAGTAAAGACATTACACAATGAGTTAGGACACAATTAAAATCTGCTTTAAATATTTTTTTGGGGGAGAGGACACCACACTTCTCTACTAAATAAAGAGAAACAATTTTGCAGTCCAGAGGTCTTTTATTTTTTTATACCTATCATGCCATGAATTCATAGGGAATAGGTTCCAGCAGCTCAGGCTCCTTCCCGTTGGTTCTCACACAGTGGGATTCCCTGGGTGGAGTAGGCTGGTGCTTCAGCTGAAACCAGGTACCTTTCTCTTTGGCTTCCTTCTTTTTCTGATCATCTTCTTTCATGCATTTCAGAAGCTATCTTGGGTCTTAGAGCGCTTAATGTGCTCAATGTGCACGTTAATTCTCTTGGCAAGAATTTTGCCCTTAATTTGTTTACAGCAGTGCCAACAACATGCTGGGTAACATTGTAGACTCTTCCAGTTTTTCCCAGGTAATGCTTTTGGGCATTCCTTTTTGAATAGTACCCGTTCGCTTGATGTCTACAGTATTGCCTTTCTTATAGATTTGCATGCACGTGGCCCAAGGAACAACTCCATGTTTTCTAAAAGGCCTAGAGAACATATATTGGGTAATTCTTCTCTTTCCCTGTGTTTGTCGTTTTGGTGAATTACTGGAAGACGGCAGTACCAACCAAAAGCCCTGGTTCCATTTAGTGGTAAATGGTATTTAGAAACCAAGATCTGAGTGCCAGGTGTGCTTGTTGCTACTGGTGTATCATTGCTTCTAGGCCCTCTCAGAGGCCAGTGCTGGGAAATACATGTTTGTATATATGTCTGTGCACATATCTAGTTCTGTATCTGTCTGTCTACATAATAATAAGTTCATCCAGATACTTTAATTATAGTCTAATACCACAGGGTTCATTTCTGCCTTCTCCCTTTCCATATTTGTATTTGTTCTCTGACAGTAAGAAATTTGACTCCCATTATCCACAATGTTTATCTAATTGCTCATCATAGAATACACTTAGTATTCTAATAATAGTAGTTTCAGATTTGTAAATCCATACCTCTGTGGAAAATAAACCTTCTAATTAGAGCTCAGAATTTTTTTACAGTTGTTTTTATATTCAGCGTGAGAGTATAGTCAGAATACTGTGTTCAAAAGTTACTTGGGTCAGTTCTACCTTTCCTTCACCCTCCTTCAGTGTGGTTATGATACTCATTTAAAATAACAGATTCATTTGTTTGTGTTTGTATTCATTTGGGTTTTATTTCCCCCATCCTTGCTGATTTTAAAATTTTATTTTGATTAGGCAAAACACAAACATGGTTCTAAACATCAGAATTTTACAAAAACAGATACTCAGAAGTGTTACTGCTCCCCATCCTGTGTACTCTGTTTCCAGTGCCTCCTTCCCACCCAGTTTTGTCCATCTCCTGTGGGTAGCCAGTCTGATTTGTTTCTGGTTTTTGCTTCCTGTGTTTCTTTTTCCACAAATGAATAGGTACTTGTATATTTCTTATTCTTCTTTCATACACAAAAGGTAGCACATTAGAGGTACTCTTTTGTACTTTGCTTTCTTTGCTATGTGTGTGTGTGGATGAATATACACACACAAAGAATACATATAGTATAGAATATATAGAATAAATATATAGAATATTCTACATAATCTGTACTATGTATACTTTATATATATATAGAGAGAGAGAGAGAGCACTAAAAATAATTGTGACGTAATGTGAATTTATTTTATTATTATTATTTTTTCGAGATGGAGTCTCACTCTGTAGCCCAAGTTGGAGTGCAGTGACACGATCTTGGTTCACTGCAACCTTCGCCCCTGGAGCTCAAGCGATTCTCCTGCCTCACCCTCCCAAGTAGCTGGGACTAGAGGCATGCGCTACCACACCCAGTTAATTTTTTTGTATTTTTAGTAGAGACAGGGTTTCACCATGTTGGCCAGGCTGGTCTTGAACTCCTGAGCTCAGGCGATCCACCCGCCTCAGCCTTCCAAAGTGTGGGATTATAGGCGTGAGCCACCACGCCTGGCATGAGCCACCATGCCCAGTGTGATTTTAAATATGTATCACAATTTATCCGTTCATCTGGCAATGGGGTTATTTCCTTATCTTGGTTATTGTGAATAATGCTGCACTGAGCATGGGAGTGCAGATATGTCTTTAAGCTACTGATTTCATTTCCTTTGGTATATACCCAGAAGAGGAATTGCTGAATCATAGGATGGTTCTATTTTTAATTTTTTTTTTTTTTTTTTTTGATTCGGAGTCTCACTTAGTTGCCCAGGCTGGAGTGCAATGGCACGATCTCAGCTCACTGCAACTTCCGCCTCCTGGGTTCAAGTGATTTTCCTGCCTTAGCCTCCTGAGTAGCTGGGATTACAGGCATGTGCCACCACGCCTGACTAATTTTGTATTTTTAGTAGAGACGGGGTTTCTCCATGTTGGCCAGGCTGGTCTCGAACTCCTGACCTCAGGTGATCTGCCCACCTCGGCCTCCCAAAGTGCTGGGATTGCAGGCATGAGCCGCTGTTCCCTGCCAATTTTTAATTTTTTAAAGAGCCCCTATCCTGTTTTCCTTCATGGCTATACTAACTTACATTCTTTTTTTTTTTTTTTTTTTTTTTTTTAGTGAAAGGAAGTTTATTAAGAAAGTAAAGGAATAAAGAATGCCTACTCCATAGGCAGAGCTGCCCCAGGGGCTGCTGGTTGCCCCTTTTTGTGGTTATTTCTTGATCGTATGCTAAACAAGGGGTGGGTTATTCATGCCTCCTCATTTTAGACCATATAGGGTAAAATGACGTTGCCATGGCATTTGTAAACTGTCATGGTGCTGATGGGTATGTCTTTTAGCATGTTGATGCATTATAATTAGCATATAATGAGCAGCAATGACGACCAGCGGTCACTCATCACCATCTTGGTTTTGGTGGGTCTTAGCTGGCTTCTTTACCACAGCTTGTTTTATCAGCAAGGTCTTTATGACCTGTATCTTGTGCTGATCTCCTATCTTATCCTGTGACTTAGAATGTCTAACTTCTTGGGAATGCAGTCCAGTACGTCCCAGCCTTATTTTACCCAGCCCCTACTTAAGATGAAGTTGCTCTAGTTCAAACACCTGTGACATTTCCCCTCTCCCTTTTATAAAAGAACCCTTAATCCTAAGGGTTGCAGAGGGACAAAGATCCATCTTCTGTAAACTTTTTCATGCTGAATAGGGGCAATGATATTCCTGTCTAATTATTAGGGTCTCTTGTATTCAGGATAGAGAGGAGCTCAGTCAGAAAGCGTCAGGGTGAGGGTCGCTTATAACTCTGAGTTCCGACAAAAGGTGATATCCAGAGTTGGCCAATCAGTGCTGCAGTCTATTTCTTTTGGGTCGGGAGGATCTCCTCAGTATTGTCCCTTCCATGGTTTGCCAGAAAGATGTTACTGCAAAGGGGCCCTGATCCAGACCCCAAGAGAGGGTTCTTGGATCTTGTGCAAGAAAGAATTCAGGACAAGTCCATAAAGTGAAAGTAAGTTTATTAAGAAAGTAAAGGAATAAAGAATGGCTACTCCATAGGCAGAGCAGCCTATACTAATTTATATTCTCACCAGCAGTATACCAAGATTTCCTTTTCTCCGCATCCTCACCAACACTTGTTATCTTTTATCTTTTTGATAATAACCATGCTAACAGATATGAAGTGATACCTCATTGTGATTTTGATTTGCATTTTCCTGATGATTAGTGATGTGGAGCATCTTTTCATAAACTTGTTGGCCATTTGTATGTTTCTGGAAATATGTCTATCCAGGTCTTTTGCCCATTCGTAATCAGAGGTTTTTTTTTTTTTTTTTTGCAATTGAATAGTGTGAGTTCCTTATATATTGTGATGATTTTTTTGTGTGTATGGTAAAGCCTAATGTAAAATTTACCAATTTAACCGTGTGTGTGTGTGTGTGTGTGTGTGTGTGTGTGTGTGTGTGTTTGTATTTTTTTTATTTTTTATTTTTTTATTTTTTGGAGACAGGATCTTACTCTGTTGCTCAGGCTGGAGTACAGTGACATCATCCCAGCTCACTGCAGCCTCAACCTCCCAAGCTCAAGTGATATTCCCACTTCAGCCTCCTGGGTAGCTGGGACTATAGGCATGTGGCACCATGCCTGGCTAATTTTTGTATTTTTTGTAGAGATGAGATTTCGCCATGTTGCCCATGCTGGTCTTGAACTCCTGAGCTCAAGCAATTCTCCTGCTTCAGCCTCCCAAGGTGCTGGAACTACAGGCGTGAGCCACCACACCTGGCCTTTTTGAACCATTTTTAAGTGTAGAGTTCAGTGACATTTAATACATTCACGTTGTGTACAACTATCATCATTATTCATCTCTAGAACTTTTTCATCACCCCACATTGAAAACTGTGTACCCCATTAAATAATAACTCTGTTTCTCTCTCCCCTCAGCCTCTGGTAACCACTAGTCTAATTCCCGTCTCTATGAATTTGACTATTCTACGTACCTTTTATAAATGCAATCATACAATATTTATTATTTTATGTCTGGCTCGTTTCACTTAGTATAATATCTTCAGGTTCATCCATGTTGTAGCATGTGTCAAAATTTCTTTCCTTTTTAAGGCTAAATAATATTCCATTGTATGTATGTATACACACACAGCACACATACACACACACACAGCACACACATACCACATTTTGTTTATCCATTTTTTTATTTGTGAACACTTAGGTGGTTTCCACTTTTGGCTGTTGTGAATAATGTTGCTATGAACATTGATGTACAGATATCTATAGTAGAAGTATCTGCTTTCAGTTCTTTTGGGTATATATCCAGAAGTGGAATAAGTGGATCATATGATAATTCAGTGTTTAATTTTTTGAGGAACCACTGTACTGTGCCCTACAATGGCAGCACCATTTTACATTTCTACAAGCAATGCACAAAGTTTCCAATTTCTCTACATCCTTGCCAACACATGTTATTTTCTTATTTTCTTGCTTTCTCTGTTTTTGATAATAGTCATCCTATTGGGTATGAAGTGGTATCTCATTGTGGTTTTGATTTGCATTTCCCTGATTATTAGTGATATTGACTGCATATGTAATTTTATAAGATATTGCCAAATCCCTCTCTAAAAGGAAATGTTGCATTCTTTTTTTTTTGTTTGTTAGTTAAGCAATTATTTTATTGCTCAAGTACATAGACAAATTTATGCAACCAGGGCAGAGGCTGTATATGATTCATATTTCCAGTTGGGAGAGAGGACTCACTTGGTCTTATAATATCGAGCCAAACAGTGAATCCGGCTCTCTATCAGAATCAGACAGAATTTAGCATCCTCATCCTTTCTCTTCCTCTCAAGAAGCTTTTGAACAGCAACTGCTGCCTTAATTAAATGGTAGAGATCTTCAGGGAGATTAGGAGCGGTCCCTTAGACTTAAGAATTCTTAAGATTTTATTGCCTGTCACAAATCGTACTTGTGCAGCATCATGTGAATCTCTCAGGATCCCACCGATTTGTGAAGGAGTCAGGCCCTTCTTGGCCAGTTTTTAAATCTGCTCCTTCATGTCGTCAGATGTCAACTTCAGCCCCTACTTCAGCAACCCCACTTCAGTGGGGATGCTGCAGCGATAGAGCAAAGCTGACTGAGACAGACCCTTCCCAGAAGCGTGCATGTGACCCATGATGGCAGCTGTCAGGCAGCAAAAGGAACATTCTTACTAACGATGCATGAGTACCTATTTCTTCATAGCCTTTCTTAACAGCATATATAGTCACAATTTTAAATTTTTATCAGATAGATGAGAAGTGGTATTTCAGTATAGTTTTAATTTCAGTTTGTTTGTTTGTTTATTTATTTATTATCTTTGAGACGGAGTCTCGCTCTGTCGCCCAGGCTGGGGTGCAATGGGACGATCTCGGCTCACTGCAACCTCCATCTCCCACGTTGAACTAGTTCTCCCACCTTAGCCTCCTATAGCTGGGACTATAGGTGTGCACCACCACACCCAGCCAATTTTTTGTATTTTTAGTAGAGATGACGTCTTGCCATGTTGGCCAGGTTGGTTTTGAACTACTGACCTCTAGTGATCCACCTGCCTCAGCCTCCCAAGGTGCTGGGATTACAGGCCTGAGCCACTATGCCCAACCTTGTTTTACAATTATGAATGACATTGAACGTCTTTTTCAAAACTCACATATAATAAAATTCACATTTTTGGTATGTTATATTATGAGATATGATTTTCCATTAATTGTTAAGAGTTTTTTAAAATTAGTGATGATAGCCTTTTATCTGAGGTAAATGTTGCAAATAATTTTATTCCAATTTTTTAATGGTCTTGGCTTAGTTTAAGGTATTTGCCATGCATAAAATTTTTATTTTTCTATAGTCAAATTTATCAATTTTTTTTCTTTAATTGTGTCTAGATTTTGGGTAATAGAAAACCTTTTTCTACACCTAGGTTTTAGAGGAATTACCAGTATTGTCTCTTTTTTTAAAAAAAAAAAAGTCTCGCTCTCTCATGCAGGCTGGAGTGCAGTGACGCAGTCAGGGTTCACTGTGTGTATCCTTGACCTCTTAGGCTCAAGTGACCCTCCCACCTTAGCCTCCCAAGTAGCTGGGACTACAGGTGCGTGTCACCACACCCAACTAATTTTTATGTTTTTTGTAGAGATGGGGTTTCATCATGTTGCCCCAGCTGATTTTGGACTCCTGAGCTCAAGTGATCCGCCCACCTTGTCCTCCCAAAGTGCTGGGATTACAGATGTGAGCCACTGCGCCCTGATTTCTTATTTTATATTTTGATTCCTGATACATTTGGAGTTTATTTTTATATGTGATGTAAGATATGTATCTTATTTTATGTTTTCCACATTACTGATGATTTGTTCTAGCACCATTTATTTAGTTCATCTCTGTCCTAATAGTTTAGCTTTCACTTTTATCATAGACTAGATTTCCATGAGCACTTGGCTGTGTTTTTGGACTTTTCTGTTCTGTGTTCTTACAGCATTTGAACAGTTTTTATGTTCCTTTCTATAGGAGGGTCTAAATAGTGATTATTAGTGATTTCAGAGACAAATTTTTTAACAATTAGATTTAAGACCACAGTTCTTGATATAGGTTTACTGTTAAGTTCCCTTCCATTCTTAAAATATACAGCCAGATTGAGCCCTGATATGAGGAAGTAGGAGAGGTGCTGTGGGTTATATGGATCTAGTAATGGCCTTTAAAAAATTTAAACAAGCAAAATAAGAACTAACTTTTACCTCAAAGGGCAGATTTTGCTTGTGGAGTGGTATGTCCACAATTACGTGTGTGATCCTTCTTATTCAGTATGGAGACAATTTTTAGAAATGGAAATATCCTTTTAAAAAATGTATAGTGTCTCTTTTCAGTTTAAAGTTTTTAGATTGTGTTCATTTTTCCTTTTCCCTTTTTTCTCCTTACACACATAGAAATTGATGTCTTGTGTTTGTCCTTTAGGTTTGCTGTAATGGCACAAGAGTATTTGTGCAGAAAGAAATTCTTGATAAATTTACAGAGGAAGTGGTGAAACAGACCCAAAGGATTAAAATTGGAGATCCCCTTCTGGAAGATACAAGGATGGGTCCACTCATCAACCGACCACACCTGGAGCGAGTCCTTGGGTTTGTCAAAGTGGCAAAGGAGCAGGTAAGAAATAATTGGCAGTAGGGTGGGGTTGGGGAAGATTATACTACTCCTAAATCACATGCTTTGTGCCCTTTTCATGTTAATATTCGTATGACTATTATTCATTGGACTATTAGCATCCCTGGCTGTGTTCTGCTTTGTACCTGCACTGGGAAGACTATGTGTTTGTTCGGGATACAATTAACATTTCAGGAATGCATTTTGGGGTTATATTTTTAATACAACATATCTTTTTTCCTTTTCGGCAGGGTGCTAAAGTGTTATGTGGTGGAGATATATATGTACCTGAAGATCCCAAATTAAAGGATGGATATTACATGAGACCTTGTGTATTAAGTATGTCCTCTTTTTGTTTGCTTTTAGATGATTTGAATTAAATACTGAATAGATAGAGATGAATATTTATAAAATATGTACATGATATAAAGCAAGGGCTGGCAAATTATGTGGTCCTACTACCCAAGTTTAAGAAGTAGAACTGCTCCATTATCTTTGAAGCCTTCTGTGTGCCCCTCCTTTAGGGCACCCATATGTATTAGTTTATCCAGGACCACAACTATTGTTCTGGAAGCAAGGAGCTCAAAAATATGAAAGTGCATATTTGATTAAAAAAATTAATAAATTTAATTCCTTGAGAAAATAAAGAATGTTTTTCATGTGACCTGTAGATCATTGTATTAGACATTTTGCATTGCTATGAAGGAATATCTAAGACTGGGTAAGTAGAAAAGATGTTTATTTGGCTCATGGTTCTGCAGACTGTACAGGAAGCATGGCACCATCATCTCCTCCTGTTGAGGCCTCAGGAAGATTTCAGTCATGGTGGAAGGTGAAAGGGGAGCAGACGAGTCACATGGTGAAAGAGAGAGCAAGAGAGGCACCAGGCTCTTTTAAACAGCCAGCTCTGTGTGAACTCACAGAGTGAGAATGCACTCATTACCATGGGGAGGACATCAAACCGTTCATGAGGGATTTGCCCCGTGACCCAAACACCTCCCACTAGGCTCTACCTCCAACAATGGGGATCATACTTCAACATGAGATTTGGAGGAGAAAGGCATCCAGACCATATCAGTCATCAATATAATAAAACCAGTATGTCAGATAATATACTAATCTTTTTAGAAATTACATAATTTAATAATTTTTAGCACCTCCATTCAGTCTTAAAAATCTAGTTTTGACAGTCAAGGTGTATATGGGCATCCTACTCCCACCCATCTACTTCCCTCCTACTTCAGAGGTAACTACTATTCTCAGTGTTGTTTTTATCATTCTTATGCTTTTCTCTATCATTTTATAGTGTATGTTAGTATCCCCTACAAAAATGTTGATAGTTTTGTAGGCTTTAAACAATTATATGTAGGTTGAACCATGTTGTATAATTCCTTACATCTTATTTGGAGATAAATTAAGCTGGTTTTTGCCCCTAAGGTTAATAGTGGTGTCAGTTTTTAACAACTTCATATTTGATGCAGTATATAACCTTTAATCCTCACTAGAAAGAACCATTGACATTTAAAAGCTGAAAACCTAATGTCCATCCCCCATGAATTAGGTTGCAGTTATTACATGAATATTTAATAAATAGGAAAAGCTTACAATACATTGTTAAATTAAAAATATTGGGGCTAGGTGCAGTGGAACACCCCCAGCACTTTGGGAGGCTGAGGCAGGAGGATCGCTGGAGCCCAGGTGTTTGAGACCAGACTGGGCAACATAGTGAGACCCGATCTTCAAAAAATTAGCTGGGGGTGGTGGTGCACACTGTGGTCCCAGCTGCTCAGGAGGTTTTATTTTAATGTTTGCAGCTAATTGCAGAGACGACATGACCTGTGTGAAGGAAGAGATCTTTGGGCCTGTTATGTCCATTTTATCATTTGACACTGAAGCTGAGGTTCTAGAAAGAGCCAATGATACCACTTTTGGACTAGCAGCTGGCGTCTTTACCAGGTATGTGGAGTGGGACACTGAGAGCAGTTTTGAAGGAGCGGGGCTGCAGTATCTGCTTAGATATTTAATTGATCCTATTCTCTCACTTTAGTTTGCCCTCATAGGAGCCATCAGCACTTTCTGTTTGCTTCAGGTTAAGTCAGAAGACACCAAAGCAGCATTTTGCAGTTTGCTGTAAATGGCCAGAGAACCCTGCTATTGAGTTTTAAATTGAGCTCGTTTAATAAACACTTAAGATTCTGATCTATGTAAAGCATTGGGTTAGATGTCTTTTGAAAACACACATGTCAAGGAATTTAGAAACCTGTAAGTATATAAATTGTGGGCAGTATTCTTCAAAAACATGATTTTTAGTGGCATTATAGTAGTTCCTAATTGGAATGCATTATAACTCATGTAGCCATTTTTTCTGTGGTTGGATATTTGGGATATTGTTTCTATTTTAAATATTATAGTAATATGATTAATATCTTTGTGCATAAACTTTACTATTACAAGTAAAAATGATTTGGGAGTACAATTTCTTTGAAACCAATTGCAGATTGCTTGGTTTTATACAAACTTTGATTAGTCTTTGGCAGTGGAAGGCAGTTTGCTAAAGCGGCTTTACACTTGGGATTATGCTGTTTCTTTGGTGATACATAAAGTTCACATTTTTTTTTTTATAACTTCATGGTCAAGAGCTTGGGAAGAAAGCCCAAGTCTCACTTGAGGACCTGATGTAATTGCTTCTCTTTGAGCTCCGAAGAAAAGATTGAGGAGCTGCTCTTTTGATTTGGGGAGTGAGCAGGTTAAGTGCTCTTACTTTACTTTGCCACCCTCGTACAGACAAAGTCCGGTTACAAAGGCGGGTAACTCCAATGTGCTATTCTTTTTTTCTTACCAGCTTTACTGGGATAATGCACATACTGTACAATTCACCCACTTAAAGTGTACAATTCAGTGGTTTTAGTTTATTCATGGAGTTGTGCAACCATCACCATAATCTATTTTTAGGACACTTTCATCATCTCAAGAAGAAACCTTGTGCCCATTAACTGTTGCTCTTCATTCCCACTCCCCACCCCCAGCCCCTGGCATCCACTAAACTACTTTCTATCTCCATGGATTTGCCCATTCTGAACATTTTATATAAATGGAATCATACAGTATATATTCTTTTGTGACTGGCTTCTTTCACTTAGCATAATGTTTTCAAGGTTCATTTGTGTTGTGGCATTTATCAGTACTTTATTCCCAAATAATATTCCGTGGTATGGATATGTACCACTTTTTGTTCGTCCATTCATCTGTTACAGGCATTTGGGTTGTTTTCATTTTTGGCTATTATGAATAATGATGCTATGAACATATGTGTACAGGCCTTTGTGTGGACATATATTTTCGTTTCTGTTGGGTGTATATCTAGTAGTGAATTGCTGGGTAACATGGTAACTTTATGTTTAACTTTTTGAGGAACTGCTAAACTCTTCCAAATTCGCAGCACCATTTTACATTCCTCCGAACAACGTATGAAGGTTCTAATTTGTCCACATCCTCACCAGCCCTTGTTATTGTCTGTCCTTCTGGTTTTAGCCATCCTTGTGGGTGTGAAGTAGTATCTCATTGTGGTTTTTATTTGCATTTCTGTGGGTTTTCTTTTCACTTTCTTGATAGTCTTATTTGTAGCACAAAATTTTAAATTTTGACCAATTCTAATTCTGTTTTTTTTATCTGTTACTTTTGGTGTCATAGTCTAAGAAATCTTTCCCTGACCCACGGTCATGAAGATTTATTCCTCTGTTTTCTTCAAAGAGTTTTATAGTTCTCAGTCTGACATTTTTAGGTCTGTGATGCGTTTAAGTTAATTTTTGTGTATGGTGTAAGAAAGGGCTCCACCTTTATTTTTTGCATGTAGATATCCACTTGTTTCAGCACCATTTGTTAAAAAGACTGTTTTTCCTCCATTGAATTTTGGTACCCTTATTGCTGTTACTTATTTTAAAGATACCATGTGCATGGGACTATAAAACCCAATCCATATCTGTTTTGCCTGGATGATAAAAGATTTTAAAACATTTTGAAGAAATGAGAATTTAGTAAGATTTGAGAACCCTAGAACTGGCAGTGTAACTTTTCCTGTTAAAGTAGTAGCCTAAGAAACTCTCAATAATGCACACATTTTTTTTTTCTTCATAGGGACATCCAACGGGCTCATAGAGTGGTAGCTGAGCTTCAGGCTGGGACGTGCTTCATTAACAACTATAACGTCAGCCCAGTGGAGTTGCCCTTTGGTGGATATAAGAAGTCAGGTGAGGAGCTGGGAGGTGTGAATGCAAACTAGGTCTCTAGAGCTAGGTCGTAATTCAGACCTTATAAACCAGTATTCCTAAACCTGTCTGCATATCTGAATTACCTGGGGAAATACAGGTTCCTGGTCCTTCCCCAGATCCACTGTAGCAGTCTCTGGGAATGGAAGTCAAGCATCTTCCCCTACCCAACACTCCCTAAATCTTTCTGGAGGGTTCTGATGTATAGCCTGGCTTGTGAACTGCTGATAGATATCTCAAAAAGGTTTATCTTGTGGGTAGAATACTTTTTCTTCACAGCCTGTGACTTCTGTAAGCATAAAATCACTCCCTTAGGGGTTCTGTATCAGGGATGTCCATCATCATCCACTGTGGAGTTTTTAGATTCCATTTAGGTAAAGTGTCTTTCAAGTAATAGCTCAGTAACTTTGTTTCCTCTGTTATGTCAAATTAACAAAATCTTTAAATTTATCATTAAGCAATCAATTATAATCGTTTTCATTACCCTTGATGGCATATAGGAGTGTGTTTCCTTAGCCACTGCTCATTCATTTCATTCATTTTATAGTCAGACATATGTTACCACAACATATAAATTTGTAAGTCTGGTATATCAGGAGAAGGTTTGAGGCATCAGGAGTATAGCCAGAACCTTGAGGTTCTTTCTTTGGAGTTTGTTGCCTGTAAATATTCATTTACATATTTCTCATGCTGTTCTTCTAGAGTGAAAATTGGTTTGGACTTTGTCGAGGCACCATTCTAAGAGTCTGACCTCTAGTTTCTGTGGCAAATATTTACAGCCATCACAGTGTTGGCAAATATATAAACTCTGATGAACACTGATGAGATGGTGGGTGTTAATTTGACAGTCTTATTTGTCCCGGTGGGGTACTCAGAGGAGTCGTACACACAGACACAAGTGCAGGTGGGAACCAAGGTGCCATCTTATTAACATGTAACATATAACATTACATGTTAAGTTTCTGATAGTCCCTCAGTGCAGGGAATTATTTGTTTGGAATCAGCAGCTTAGGCCTTTGGAGGGCCTCCTAACTTTCCCTTTCCTTTGGACCAGACCATGCTATGTGGAATGAGAGAGCGAGAAAGATGGCCAGACGTGCAGAGCAACACCTGGCCTAACAGGCCTGACCAGCTGTGTGCTTAGGGGATTTGGAAAGGAACAAAAGACAGAGTGAGGTTTTCCCAGGACCTTTGTGTGTGATACCATTTGAGTGGTGCTCCCTGGAAATGCACATATTTGGGACCTCGGCCTTGCCCTTGGAAGGCAGAGCCTACCTAAGTCTAGCACAGGGTGTACAGGCAGGGCCAAGGGTGGGATACTACCCTTTTAGCACAGTAACCTCACCCACTAGTAATTGGGCAGTGTCTTGAACTCTGAGTAATCAGAGGGACCTTCAGTGACCCCTCACCAACATGAGTGGGTAGGTTAAGTTACTAGGTTGCTCTTATAGGTGTTTAAGAAATGGTGAATAAGCCTATTGTGTAAAGTTTTAAATTAGCATCAGCTTTCAAGGGTGTCAGGTTGATTATTGTAGAGATTGCCTTTAACACTTGATATAAAATCCAAGCATTTTTCAGACCTCAACCCAGAATAGTAGATACCTGAAATTAAGATTCCTATTGGTGAGAAACAAGATCTGTATATTTCCCTATCCCTATCCCCAAATGCCAGTGGGTCATTTTCCCCATGCCTAGCTCCATTCACAGCTAATATGTGGATTGAGGCTTTATTCCAAAACATTTAGGTTCTATATTCTTCCCTAGCCCTGATTAGCAGTGCTCATCTTTGAAGATCATTGTGACTTTTCAGACTATTGTAGTGATGGCTCAACCTGACCCCTTCTCCTCCTTTCAGGATTTGGCAGAGAGAACGGCCGTGTGACAATCGAATATTATTCACAGCTGAAGACTGTGTGTGTGGAGATGGGTGATGTGGAATCTGCTTTTTGAAAACCTGCAGTGAAACCTATTGACATGGCCACGCTGTGGAATGATGTGAATTGGCCCTGTTTACAGAGGCAGTACAACTGAATGTTATTTTACATCCAGAATTTTGGCGTTCAGTATAAGAGAATGGTTCATGTTACTCTTTCTCTCTCCATCAGCTTCCTCACTGAAAATGTGCATTAAGTGCCTTGTAGATACTAATCAAGAAAGCTGTGATTCTCCTCAAAGCGTATTTTTGTGAAATCTTTTAAGAGCCAGTAACATACTTCTAGAGAACAGGAAAAGAGACTAGGATAATACATCTTCCACACATTTGGCCCACTGATAATGTTAATTCTCTGGCGTATTTCAAAGAACTTGTTCCTGGCTGATCCAAGTGCAGTGGTATTTACAACTAATTGATCACAACCAGTTTGTAGATTTCTTTGTTCCTTCTCCATTCCCACTGCTTCACTTGCCTAGTCTTGAAGAAAAAAAACAAAAAACAAAAAAAAACCTTGTTCCTTTATAGGTTCCTGGTAGAATCAGTAGAGATGATTTCAGCTCATTGACATTTTTTTAAGCTATATCCCCTTGTCATTCCATTGAGAAAGCTGACAACTGGGATAGGGAGGGGATTAGATAATAGATGGGGTCAAATTCTGTGTGAATGTGAACTTGCCTAGTAAGCACTTTGTCTCTGTTCACTACTGCGATAGAGGAAATCTATCTCCCTATCTTGGGTCCTTGAACTACAGCCTGCTGTCTTACACCAGTGGAGCTACCCTTTAAATGTACAAATTATTTGTATGCTAATGTAATATGGTGAAATTAAAATAAATCACACTGTTAATTGTTTTCCTATCGTGTTTTGAAACTAAACGTATCTTGAGGTTATGGGAGGACAGAGGATAGGGCTGATGTTAGAAGCACAAAGCAGGGGGATTTGATCTTGTAGTAAGAACAAAAGAACAGGTTTGGTTGCAGTGATGAACTTTATGGTCCAGGTAAGCATTTAGGCTCCATGTTCATTCTCACCCGGATAAGCAGTGCCTGTCCCTGAAGAGTTGTCAGGTCACTGTGGCTTTTCAGACTATTGCAGTCATGCCTCACTCTGCCTCCTTCTCTTCCTTTCAGGAGAAGAGTTTATAAATCATAGCTAATTTAGTAGTCAGAGATAAGGGATGTTTGTTGTCACTGGGCCTGGATCTAATTATGTATTATGATGAGCAAGTACTGTAGTTTTAGAGCATAAGAACAACCAAATCAGCCTTTCTTGGTATTTCTTTGCACAGAGGACACATATGTGATACTGGACAAAGCCAATAGCGTTACCCTGTGTCCAAGGGGATCCTATGCACCTTAAGCAGTAGGAGCTGCCTGGGAGAAGATAAGTTTCTGATAGTCCCTCTAAAGCAAGCTTGTCCAATCCGCAGCCCACAGTCCATATGCAGCCCAGGACAGCTTTGAATGCAGCCAAACACAAATTTGTAAACTTTCTTAAAACGTGGGTTTTTTTTTTTTTTGGCAATATTTTTTTCTTTTAGCTCATCGACTGTCGTTAATGTTAGTGTATTTTATGTGTGGCCCAAGACAATTCTTCTTCTTCCAGTGTGGCCCAGGGAAGCCAAACGATTGGACACCTCTGCAAGAGAAAACAGCAGGGGAAAGGGAAGCAACATTTAAGTACTCACTGTTCCTACTGCTACATTCCTTCTCATTTAATACACTAAGCCTAAGAAAGGGATTATCTCTGATTTTCAAATGAAGAAACAGATTTGGAGACATCTTGGTCCCAGGCAAGTGTGATATTTTATGCCTATATATAAAATTATGTATCTTTTCATCCATGGTTCCTGGCTCATAAGTCCCTTGGTACGGTTTTTTGTTACAATGTTGGGGCACTTTAGGCCTCAGAAAACAGAATGTCCCTCTCTGACCTTCTGCCCTCCTTTTTACCTGCCCAAGGCTGGGCTCTAATCTTCCACCACTTTTCTGATTATGGGTCATAAGACCTTCATTTCAGAAGGGGTCCTGCCTGCTGCCCTGCAGGAAAAATGCTGCACAAGCCAGGAATCTGAAGACCCTTGCTGGGTTTCCCCGCTCAGCCTCCTTTGTATTAGATCATACCCCTTTAGTCCAGTCACATTTCTACATGGTGTCTGTGCTTCAGTCATGCCTCTCTAATGAAGTCTAAGAGGCCCAAGAGGACGGGCTTCAGGGAGCTCCTGGAGAGCTGAACATGTGGAGGTTTATAGGAGGGTGAATAAGAACATGTGCATGTGCCAGGAAGGTGGTGCACCCCAACTCCACGGGAACAGAGGCTCCTGTGCTTGGGACCCTTGCAGACCTGGCCGTATGTATCCCTTCATTTAGTTGTTTATTTGTGTCCTTTAAAATACTCTTTTTTTTTTTCCCCAGAAACAGGGTCTCACTCCATCATCTGGGGTCTCGCTCTGTCATGTCACTGAACTAAAGTAGAGTGGTGTGATCATAGCTCACTGCAGCCTCGACCTTCCTGGGTTCGAGTGAACCTCCCACCTCTCAGCCTCCCCAGTAGCTGGGACTACAGGCATGTGCCACCAGGCCTAGCTAATTTTTGTGTTTTCTGTAGAGAAAGGGTTTCACCATTTTGCCCAGGCTAGTCTTGAACTCCTGGGCTCAAGTGATCCTCCAACCTCAGCCTCCCAAAGCACTGGGATTACAGGCATGAGCCACTGCACCTGGCCTAGGATATTCTTTTTAATAAACTAGTAAATGCATGTCTCAGTTCTGTGAGTCACTGTAGCGAATTAACCGACCCTCAACTTGAAGCCAGTTGATCAAGTTCCAGAAGCCTGGACTTGCAGTTGGTTGGGGTCACGGGCAGTCTTGTGGGACTGAGCCCTCAACCTGTGGGATCTGATGCTATCTCCAGGTAGATAGTGTCAGAATTGAACTGGAGGATGCCCAGCTGGTGTCCACTGCAGAACTGATTTGCCTGCTTGGTGTGTGAACAGAAAACTCCAACATTTGGTCACAGAAGTCTTCTGTGTTGATTGTTGTATGAGAGCAGAGGAAAAACAGTTTGTCTTCCACATCAGCAAGTCTATAAGTTGACTGGCAACTTCAAGCCAGGTGTGAGTCTCCAATTCCTGTGCTTTCTGCTACCCTCTCTGTTTCCTAGAACTGAACCCAGTATATTAGTTTCCTATGCTTGCTGTAACAAATTACCACCAACTTAGCAGCTTAAAACAACACAAACTTATTATCTTACAGTTCTGGAAGTCAGAAGTCCCAAAATGGTTTCACTTGGCCAAAACCAAGAAGTTGTCAGGGCCACACTCCTTGAAGAGGCTGTAGGAGAGAATCCTTTTCCAGCTTCTAGAGCGGCATTCCTTGCATTCTTTCGCTCGTGTCCCCTTCCTCTTAGATGCCAGCAGCTTAGCATCTTCAGAATCTCTCCCTGCCCTGCTGCCTTCTTCTCTGTGTAGTCAAACTTCCCTTTGCCTCCCTCTTAGAAGAACACTTAAAGGACATTTAGGGCCCACACCTATAATCTCAGCAGTTTGGGAGGCCAAGGTGGGAGAATTGCTTGAGGCTAGGAGTTTGAGACCAGCCTGGGCAACATAGTAAGACCCCATCTCTACAAATAAAAAAAAAGGAGTGTGGCGGCCCATGTGTAGTCCCAGCTACTCGGGAGGCTGAGGCAGGAGGAACACTTGAGCCCAGGAGTTTGAGTTGTAGTGAGCTAGGATCATGCCACTGCACTCAGCTTGGGCAACAGGGTGAGACCTTGTCTCCAAAAACAGAAATGAAGACTCTCAATTCCCTCCTCAGACCTATGAATCTGAATCTGCATTTTAATAAGATCCTCAGGTGACTCATAAGCACAAGAGTCTCTCAAGCACTGCTTTTACAGCAATGGTTCTCCACTTTCACTGCACATTAGAATTGCCCAGTGAGAGCTTTAAAAATACCAAGATTCTCATTTAATTGATCTGGGCATCTGGATTTTTTTTTTTTTTTTTTTTTTTTGAGATGGAGTTTCTCTCTTTTCCCTCTTGTTGCCCAGGCTGGAGTGCAATGGCACATTGGCGGCTCACTGCAACCTCCGCCTCCTGGATTCAAGCGATTTTCCTGTCTCAGCCTCCCGAGTAGCTGGGATTACAGGCATGCGCCCCCACACCCAGCTAATTTTGTATATTTTGTATTTTTAGTAGAGACAAGGTTTTTCTATGTTCGTCAGGCTGGTCTGGAACTCCTGACCTCAGGTGATCCACCTGCCTCAGCCTCCCAAAGTGCTGAGATTACAGGCATGAACCACCGCACCCGGCCTGGACTCCTAAAAGGCACCCAGATGAGCTTAACAGACAGCCAAGGTTGAAAACTGCTGCTTTAAGAGCTGTGCTATCCAAGTATAGTAGCCTTAGCCATATGTATATACTTACATTTAAATTAATTAAAAATTCAACTCATCAGTTGCTGTAGCCACATTCAGCTCAGCCACACATGGGTAGGGGTTATACTTTATTGGACAGTGCAGACAGAATATTTCCATCATGTCAGAAGGTTCTGTTGGATAGTGCTGCTTAAGAGGGAAGGAACTGAGACTACTCAGTTTTTTATTAAGTTAGGAGAGCACCTTTGGAGGCGAGTGCTATTAGGGATGAAATAGAAAGCTGGGCAAACTCTGTGGGTCCTTAGAACATAAAGAAGATAACCCGGTTGCTGACTTTTGCTGAACAAGCTACATCAGCAGTTGGCTCTCGTGCTTCCTACCACAATTTGTGTGGCTACAAGACCCCTGGTAGGCACTGTGCATGCATTATTGTTTGATCCTCATGAACTTTATATGATAAAAGTATTTTCATATTCCCAACTTACAGCTGTGTAAGCTGAGGCTTAGGGAGGCTAATAAGCTTGCCCAAGGGCACACAGGCACCTGAAGGTGGGAATACTTAAGGTTCACTATGGATCAATTAGGCATTTATAGGCTGGTATGGCTGTCTGATTTTCATCTAGCAAAATTCAGAATGTGTTTCCCTTATACAAATAAATGGACTCTTTGGAATGTACACTGCCAACAGATTAGTATTAAATAGTTAATGGTAGAAATACTTATGCCAAGTTTTTCTCCACAAGACAAGGGACTAGCTTGTAAGAGTTATTCTCTAAGCAGTCTTTACCAACTGGATTCTGCCAAGCCCTAGGGTTCCCTGGAAGTGCAGTGAGTGGGGAAGTAGGGCACTGAAAGGCAGAGCTCTCGGTTCTGCACTTCAACCACAGCGCCCTTTATGTACCGAGCTTCCTTACAAAACTCCATCTGAACCCAGTGCGCAATAGCAAAATGACAAACTGGGATCACATTACGGATGCTCAACTTATGATGGGGCTACATCCTGAGAAACCCAGCACACGTTGAAAATATTGTAAGTTGAAATTGCATTTCATACACCTAACCTACTGAACATCATAGCTTAGCCTAGTGACCTTAAACATGCTCCGAACACTTACATTAGCCGACAGTTGAGCAAAACCATCTGACACAAAGCCTCTTTTATAATGAAGTGTTGAATATCTCATATGACTTATTGAATACTGAAAGTCAAAAACAGAATGATTGTATTGGTACTCAAAGTACGATTTCTACTGAATGAATATTGCTTTTTTTTTTTTTTTTTTTTGAGACAGTCTTGCTCTGTCACTCACACTGGAGTGCAGTGGTGTGATCTCGGCTCACTACATGTTCCGCCTCCTGGGTTCAAGCGATTCCCCTGACTCAGCCTCCCAAGTAGCTGGGATTACAGGCATGCACCACCATACCCAGCTAATTTTTGTATCTTTAGTAGAGATGGGGTTTCATCATTTTGGCCAGGTTAGTCTCGAACTCCTGACCTCAGGTGATCTGCCCGCCTCAGCCTCCCAAAGAGCTGGGATTACAGCCATGAGCCACCATGCTCAGCCTGAGTCTTGCTTTTGCACCATCGTAATGTTGAAAAATTGTTAAGTTGAACTGTCATAAGTTGGGGACCATCTGTAGTTTGAAAAGTACACCCTGTTAAGACTTTTAAAGGTGAAAAGCCAGCTTCATCTCCAGGTCTTCCCTGCCCTGCTTCACTGATGCCTGCTGTTCTCTGCAGTGAGAAAGGAAACCTCGGCAAGTTCTCTGGCCTCTCTAGATGTGTTTCTTATGAAGCAAAAACCAAAACCCTGTCTTATTGTAAATTCTCAATTATATCATTTTTTCAAGCCAGGACCAAAAATCCCTACCATTCATCGTCACCATCATTTCATAAAGAACATTTTAATGTAAAAAGTACAAGTCAAAGCTTTATGAAAAACAGTCCCTCATTTTCCTTATTTTGCTCTCCACTGGTGAAACTTTCTCATGAACTAACACTGGAGTGTGTGCTAAACTGGTCCAGCCTCCTCATCAAATGCCCCAAGGGCTCCAGGTGGCCATTTGGCCAAGGCTGACCATCTTCAATGGCTGGCCATGGCATTCTATCCTTAAATGCTTCATCTTCGGAGCTTAAGCAATAAACTGGTACAATGGAAAATGCATGGATTTTAGAGTCAGGACTGGGTTCAAATACTGTCTCTCATCCTCACAGGCTATTGAGCATTTGAAAAATGGGTAGTGCAACTGAAGAACTGCTTTTTTATTTAAATTAATTTAAATTTAGATGGCCACATGTGGCCAATTGGGCAGCGCAGGTCTAGACACTATATTTCCTATTAAGGTAGTTTATGGCCACATCAGTGTTTTGGAGTAACTATCTCATTCTGCCAACTTGGCAGTGTTCTCTAAACCAACTGAAATCTTCTAAGTCTTCCTCATTTGTACGTAGGCAATCAGATCTTTGTTTCTAAATGTAGCAAGTTACAT
The DNA here is from genome assembly GCF_000001405.40 of Homo sapiens. Classification (NCBI taxonomy): domain Eukaryota; kingdom Metazoa; phylum Chordata; class Mammalia; order Primates; family Hominidae; genus Homo; species Homo sapiens. The sequence goes on along the minus strand of NC_000001.11, from coordinate 165,656,202 downwards.
TCATCTCTGTTAACCTTCATCTTACATTTAGTCTATTGCTTCAGTTTTTAAGCAACAGAAACAATCTTTAATAGAAACTTAATTTTTATTTATTTGAGACAGGGTCTTGCTCTGTCACCCACGCTGGAGTGCAGCAGTGTGATCATAACTCACTGCAGCCTTGACACCCTGGGCTCAAGTGATCCTCCCACCTTAGCCTCCCAAGTAGCTGGGACTGCAGACATGTGCCATCATGCCTGGCTAACTGTTGTATATTTTTTTGTAGAGATGGGGTTTTGCTATGTTGCCCAGGCTGGTCTTGAACTTTTAGGCTCAAGCATTCCTTTGGCCTTGGAGTATCTGTAGCAAGTGATAATGCATATCCTGAGAGCTAGAAGATTTTTCTTTAATTTTTCATCACTGTGGCATGACTATACCTACATCACCACAATCAGACTTTTTCTCAACCTCACATACTACAGAAGCATCTGCTGGAAGGGTGAGGAGAGGGCACAATACTTGTGGCTCCTTTCTCATCTAGTAGGACTAGGCTACTGATTTCAGATACAGACTCAAACGGAAATGAGTGGTAAGAGTCAGGAGTTTTAGGTATGAGGCTGATGCCAGGTAAGTTTTTATTATATTTAGAAAAAAAATGTAACTGGAAATAAAGGTAAGTCATTTAAAATGAATGAGAGTTTTTAAACCCCTATAATTCTTTAATGGCAGCATTTGGGTCCACTGCCCAAGCCACTTTTAACCCAACCAAGATGCTGGAAAGCAGAGCACACAGTTGTGCCCACCAAGCCCAGGAGGGCGATGGACCCCAGGGCTCCTCGACTACGCTTGCTGGGTTCTGAAAAAGAAGAAAGAACAGAAGTTACCAGGAGTGCTCCAGAATTATGATGCTTTCAACATTCGCAAGCCATTCTATCATCGCATCTGAGGTTGTACATTAGACAAACTGGCCTTAGGAGGTTAACTAACTCTTTAGCCTGAAGCTGTTGGCAAGTCAGATACCACATGCCAAGTAACGTGCCACAGTAGTATTGCTTGGATCTTAGAAAATTATGGGATAATAATTACAGCAACTTTGCTCTAGGACCTTTGGAAGGAGTTCCCTCTGTTTCAAAGAAGTACAGCTAAAAATGGCTTTTCCTCCTCCTTACTCAGATATAGGAGGTATAGTAATGGTGAGGCTCTGGAGTCGGACTGCATGGGTTTGATTCCTAGTTTACTAGTTTACGCTTAGTAGCTCTGTGACCTACAGCTTTAATCATGCTGAGTCCCAGTTTCCTAATTTGTAAAATGCAATAATATCTGTATTACAGAATTGTTGTAAGGTTAAATAACATATGCAAAGTTCTTAGAGTAGTGGTTGGCACATAGAAAATGCTCAATAAAAATAAGTTTCGTTACAATTGAAAGATTAATAAAAAGAAAACAGACCTTTCACCTAAATATCAGGTGACTTCCCCTTTTCTCAAATTCCCAAGAAAAAAAATATAGTAGCATAAGATTTTATTTTTTTTTGAGATAGGATCTTGCTCTGTCTCCCAGGCTGGAGTGTAGTAGTGTAATCATGGTTCACAGCAGCCTGAAACTTCTGGGCTGAAGCAATCCTCCCGCCTCAGCCTCCCAAGTAGCTGGGACTACAGGTGTGCACCACCACATCCGGCTAATTTTTGTATTTTTTGTAGAGACAGGGTTTCACCATGTTGCCCAGGCTGGTATCCAACTCCTGAGCTCAAGCAATCTGCCTGCCTTCGCCTCCCAAAGTGCTGGGATTACAGGTGTAAGCCACTGTGCCTGGCCAGCATAGGATTTAAAATTTTAAAGTTGTTTCCTTGGCAAATGTCAATATATACTAACCTCCCGTGTAATAGCCATAAGCATAAAGAACTCGTCCAACAATCCAGGCCAAGCCCAGGCCAGAAGCTATACGCTAAGAAAAAAGGGCTACATTAGTATTTGCATGAAAGAAACAAGCAAACCTTTTTTAACACCTAGGGTTGATTACACAATATGTTAGCAAAAAGTTAACAATTTGATGATTTGGCCAACTACTCCCCACGCAAATTAGGTAGAATTAAGTTAGTTTCAGCGGGAAAATAAAATATCTGTGATTCTTCTATGAATGGCTTGGCTTGTGGACCTGGGAGATGAGTATTGGCCTTCTCCTAGACAGGTGGGATAGAAGGAATCCCCCCACTTGCCCTGGGCATCTTGGGGAACTTGTGTCAGAGCTCAAGAGAAGGACATGTGGGCCAGCCGGTCTCAGGGCAGGCCAGAAAAGAGAACTGCCCCAAAGTCAGGACTAGGGGAAATGCCGTTTTCTCAAATGGGCCTCTGAGCATGAGATTGACTGAAGACTCAGCTGCTGTTCTATGTGAAGTCAGTCACTGGCAGGGCTGGGCTCAGGTGGTTCTGCAGGCTACACTGGGGGTGTAGCTCCACTAGAAAGAAGGGGAGCGCTTCTCCCAGAATACATGGTCTTCGAGGGAAAAGTCTCCCTGTTCCCAATGTCCTTGAGAAGAGAGAATAAAAACTTAGATGAAAAATCCATCCCTTTGGCTGTCATGCTGGGGTGACTTCCTTGGTTAAAATAAGCAAGGAGAGAACACAGAAGACAGCATGTGAGAAGGCCGCCTTCCCCAGTGTCTTTCCCACTCAGCAGTGCTACTGTTAGGGATAAGGTTACTGCATCAGGGTTTTTGTTTGTTTGAGTTGATTTTGGGTAACATTAAATGTCAACAGGAGGGTGAAACAAATGAAAATAACACCAGTCCCTCAAGTCACGATATAGCAGCTCTAGTCTCTGCCAGGCCCTTCTTTACTATAATGTTGCCTAATGACTGGCAACCTAGGAACAATTGTTAGGTGCTTGTCCCCAAACTAGCTCTTATTTTTCAGAACTACCCATAAGGAATGGGATCCAGGGATGTGTGATAGGAATGGGGATGGAGTGGGGACACCAAATGAGGACTAATCTAGAGACCTGAGCTATTCAGATCAGCTAGTCTAGTCACTTGCTAGGAATGGGGATCTTTAGAGGCACCAGAAAGATACATTTTCTAAGAGATACAAGAGCAGTAGATGTTTCTTTGAAAAAAATGCAGGCCTTCAAGGTCATAAGCAGTAGATATGCCATTCTGGCAGCTTTTTAACAAAAGTACAAGGCATTCAGGATGAACCAGATGGTTAGGAAAGGCTTAGAACCAGAAGTCTGAAGGGCCACTCTGGTCAGAACTTGGTTTCAGGAGATAATCTGTCCTCAGAAAAGGGGAACACTTCTGTCTAAGACAAGACCCAAATGGCAATTAATTAGAGGCTGATAAACTTGCTTTATTTAGATATGTTTAAGTGCAGACTAAATCTCCATCCCACAGGGCTATCTATACTGCAGAGGCCTGCAAGTCCCCAGTGACCTGCCTCATCACCCCTCTGCCCTCTGTTGCTGCCCCTCTCCTGGCTCCATTGGCTTCTCACTGCTCACCAAACAAACCAGACAGGTGCCTGCCTCAGGCCTTGCTTGTCTTCTGGCTGGAGGTTGGGGAAACTCGTGCAGCACCTGCTCCCTCACCTCCTTTTATACTTGCTTAACTATCATCTCAGCAAAGCCCCCCTCCCTGACCACCCTATTCAAAATTATCCCACTCCACATCCCCTTTCCACCTTCCCCACTTTGTTTTCTTCTCTGCACTCACCACCTCCTAACACATGATGTAATTTACTTAGGTTGCTTCTTCTCTGTGACCACCCCACACCCCACAACAAAAAGGCAAGCTCTATGAAACCAGGGGTCTTTGTCTGCTTTGATCACTGCTTTACCCCAGGTGGTGAGTGAAAGTTTGTTGTGTGAATGAATTACTATAACAAATGAACTCTTATAGACATGAAACTTAGAACCAGACAGACCTGAGTTCAAATTCTAATCCTTCTACTCTGTAGCTATTTGACCTTGTGAAGTTTAAATAGTATATGAGAGGCTTTTCCTTATCTGTAAAATATGAGGAAAATCCCATCTCCTTTAAAGAACTCTGTAAGAAATAATTGAATAAAATCCTTTTAAATATGCAGTGCCTAGACACTGAAGATATTCATTAAATGTTTATTTCCTTCTTCTGTCCCTGATAATAGCTCAGTGAACTACTATCCAAATAGATGAACACCTCCTGGAAAACTTACCGGGTGGTAAACACCTCCAACAGCTAGAAAAAATAAGAAGGGAGGATACACTTCCAACCTGGAATTGACAGAAAGAAACTTTTAAAAAGTGCCCTTTTTAAGTATGCCTGTGTAGAATTATGAATTTTTTTTTTTTTTTTTTTGAGACGGAGTGTCTCTGTCACCCAGGCTGGAATGCAGTGGCATGATCTCAGCTCACTGCAACCTCCGCCTCCCGGGTTCAAGTAATTCTCATGCCTCAGCTTCCTGAGTAGCTGGGATTACAGGTGCGTGCCACCATGCCTGGCTAAGTTTTGTAGAGATGGGGTTTTGCCATGTTGACCAAGCTTGTCTCCAACTCCTGACCTCAAGTGATCCACCCACCTCGGCCTCCCAAAGTGCTGGGATTACAGGTGTGAGCCCACCTCACCCAGCCAGCACTATGAATCTTTACATCTTCCTTGCCAAGTTAGAAGCTTGGGGGTAAAAATAAACATTCACCGCAGGGAGAAGACCTGGTCACTATCATCCACCCTCCTTTGCTCTGCATGGGATTAGAGGTCACTTGGAACATGCTGAGTAAAAGGACCTCACATCTAACAAATGGAAGTGGAAGGTCCTGGTGAGTCAGAGTGGGTTTCCTTACAGCATTCAAAACCTCTTCACTCCCTAGGCCTGGGAGAGTCAACATCGGTTTAGATGGGTCATGCTGCAAAACTGTAGTAGGTAATGCAACCATGAAGACATTTTTTGAAAAGAATATCCCGAAATCCCACCATTCCAACCACTCTTAAGTTTGCTTAATAGTCAATGTGTTCACATACATAATTTTTGAATACTTTTAATGAGGTGCCCATGATTGTCACCATCACTATGACTCAGCAAATACAGCGCACTAAGGGCTGAGGTGTTAGACAGAAAACACCCACTCTGCAGATGTCTTTGGTGCCCGGCAGGGCCGACACTCACGTGTTCTGGTGGGCTCGCTGAATGCAGTTGAAGATGTGCCCATTTTCAGGGTCCGTGCTGTACATGATAGGATACTGTCACAACAAAGCACATACTGATCAGATGGTCAAGAGGAGCATTCAGTGTTGAAAGTTAAAATGAACCTTAAAAACAATATATTCCAAAGTATCTTCTTTCACACCCTTGATAGATGACCATTCAATTTCTGCTTAAATATTTATGGTGACAAGGGTCTCAATTCTCAGAAGCAGAGTCAATGTTTCTATTAAATATCCAGGAATAAGAATGTATGTCTGCGCTGTAGTTGCACAAGGGAAAGAGGCAGCTTTGCGCCAAACTCCGTGCTTTTCATTGACGTTAAGCATCAATGGTGGATTTCAGATGCATTACAAAGATACTGTAGGGAAATAGAGCCTTCCTAAGAGTCATCAAATACCACATCCTTTTAAGATTTCCCTTAATAGAAGAACAGAAATTGAGTGTGTGAGAATCTTAATGGAAGTGTCCACTGGAAGGGAAAAAAAAGAAGAAACTAAATATAAAAACTTAAAAGAAGCTCTAGTAAGGGAGTTTAATTATTAAGTTGCTAAACAGAAACAGACATTTAAAACCACTCACCAGGGACAACTTTGGTAATTATCCCTTCTAGATCACCTAAAACTAAAGGAAGTGTTTAATAGACCACCTTCCTATGTCTAAGTCCAGGCTAATCTCAACACCACATACCTCTTTTCTACTTGGAAAACAGGAAAATCACCATAAGACATCATTTTTAAAGTGGCACACCATGAAACAATATTGCTATTTAACCCTCTGTGGAAAATACAGTAACTCTCTTCCTAGCAAATAGCTCCAAGCAGAAGTGTACTATTGGAATCCCAGCATTCCTGGTCTTTCTACCGAAGAGACAAAGTCAAACAAGATGGAAACTACTCCCTAGCAGGGCCCTGTATTTCTTGCCTCTTTCCTACCATGAAGAAGCAGAATCGCTAACACAGTCCTGAAACTGCCACTTCTCACAACTAGCTCCTTGCCTCTCCCTCCATGGCTGAAAATAAGTTCTTGGCTAAGCCTGTGGCCCCCAGACAAGCCTACAAGGGCACCAGCTTGTGTTCCCACTTACCTCCACTTTGTACTTCTTGCGGGCCTTGGAAACATTGATGGCTAGGTGGGCCACCATTATAAAGCTGGCAGCACCAGTTAGAAGCACAAAACCATATTCCTTAGAGAGGACAGCCATCTTGCGTCTGTGGAAGAAAGAACACGTTGGGACGGCCCCCAGCACTGTGGCTATTTCATGGTGTGAAGCCTTAGGGAGCAAGATGCTTTATTACTGGCAAATGAGTAAATAGAGACCAAAAAAAGGTATGAATCAATCTGATGTTTCTGAGAAGTCATCAAAGACAGTACCATATAAAATAATTTAAAAATTACTCAACTATGCAGTCTATACACAGAAAAGTATACAGTCATGTATCTTTTTTTCTCTTTTGTGCCTGGGAGATTCTGATCAACATTATGAGATTTATCTACACCACTGCAGTAGTCGTTGCTGTAGAATAATATAGCCAACAAAAATCACATTATTGAAAAAATATTTAACATGGTAAAATGCTAAAGTATACATTACATAGGGAGGGGGAGGGAGGGAGTGAGAGGAGCAGGACATGGTGGGGAGAGGGATGGAGAGGGAGAGAGAGGGAGTGGGGAGGGAGGAGAGGGAGAGAGAGAGAGAGAGAAAGCAAGAAAGTGAGAAAGCAAGAAAGCGAGCATCCAAAATAGTATATGCACAGTGATTCCAAGTTTTTTGCCTTCAGACATGGGGGACACTGTGAGGGCAGGACTCTGAGGCCTCCCTTCGATCCTGGGGCACGTGCGGGTGCAGCAGCAGACATCTCACACAGGTAGGGGAAGGCCCAGGTTGAGTACTCTGAAAGCAGAGCATGGCTCCTGAGCCTATGAGGCTTTGGGCAGCTCCTGAGGAACTCAGATTGCCCATCAAATCATCACTTCAAAGGCTTCCACGAGCCAGCAGCTCTGGTGTGTGTTCTGCCGTCAGCTTTAAAATTTCCATCCCTGGTAATTGCCTGGCTTCAGTCCCTGCTTTTAACCTAGGAGAGTTACCCTGATCTGGAATGTATCTAATCATCCTAACAAACCAACCAACAAGATGGTAAATCCTTATTTTCAAAAGAGGTTAAGTAATGTTTCCAAGGTCTAAAACAGACAGTGACAGACCTGGGATTCCCATTCAGATTCATTTGGTTCCAATATTCCCTTTCAGTATCCCTTGAAACTTTAGAGCCAAACTGACACTGTGGTCAGAGCATCTTCCTTAAAACAGAATTTGGGATAGGCATGCAGCTCAGTTCATTAAAAGTAAGTTTCTCTTAGCACAGCAAAATAGGCCTAACTGCTTTTTTTTTTTTGAGATGGAGTTTCACTCTTGTCGCCCGGGCTGGAGTGCAGTGGCACGATCTCGGCTCACTGCAACCTCCATCTCCCGGGTTCAAGTGATTCTCCTGCCTCAGCCTCCCAAGTAGCTGGGATTACAGATGCGCACCACCACACCCAGCTAATTTTTGTATTTTTAGTAGAAACGAGGTTTTGCCATGTTGGCCAGGCTATTCTTGAACTCCTGAGCTCAGATGATCCACCCACCTCGGCCTCCCAAAGTGCTGGGATTACAGGTGTGAGCCACCGCACCCAGCCTAACAGGCCTAACTTCTTAAAACCCCTCCTCCCCACCATGATTCACAATAATTCTCATCAGTTTTCCCCTTCTACCGTCTTCACTCTGAGCTGCTCTCTGAGGCATGCCCGCTGCCCCTCCGGGGGCTGGGGGGCACACACTGCAGCGGGCTGGTTCCACAGGTCAGCAGATCCTGGCCTGTCTGTGCAGCTGCAGAGAGCAAGGAGTCTCTGGCTTCCCTCCAAGCTTCCTTGCCCACATTCTCTTCCCAAGTGTAGAAAGTCAGCATGAGGAGGAAGCCACAGTAGTTATTAAAAGAAAAACAGAGTGTGAATTCTGAACACCTCTTTGAAAATAAATAAAAATGACTGAACCTCCAGCCTATCCTTAAATTCAACACATCTGGGGCAAACAGGTCATTTAAAATAAAGCTGCCACCTAAGCATGGTGGCTCACACCTACAGTCCCAACAATTTGGGAGGCCAAGGTGGAAGGAACACTTGAGGCCAGGCAGCCTGGGCCACACAGGGAGACTCTCATGTCTACTCAGGAGGCTGAAGTGGGAGGATCACCTGAGCCCAGGAGGCTGAGGCTGTAGTGAGCTATGATTGCACCACCTCACTGCAGCATGGGGCAACAGAGCAAGACCTTGCCTTAAAAAAAAAAAAAGGTGTCTCTCAGAAGCAATAAATGTAAGGACAATAAAATTAAGCATATTTGCTTTAGGTTAAAGTTTGCAAATCAGTAGAGTGAGCTTTCAGACTCTAATCTTTGGACAGGATGCTGGGCTCCCTGGCTATGTGCAGGGCTACCTTGTGTCAGCCCAGCACTTTTCAGCTCACTTTTACTCTTCACAAAACTCCTATTAGCTCCACTTTATAGAAAAGGAAATAGAGGCTCAGTAAATGAGGGCAGAGCTAAGACCAGAGCAGGTTTTAGAATTCTCCCCCAAAACACTCCAGCTAGCCCAGGTAACACATTCAAATTTGGTGGCTTAGTCACTGACTTCTATTTTTCTTAATTTTAAGAGGCTAGGGTAGGTAGATGGCAAGATAAGAGAAGTGCCTCTTGCATAGATGCCTGTCACAGCAAAGCAACTGCTCTACAATCCACAGTTAGAATCTATAATTACAAATTAATATTTACTACTGAGCTCCTCTTTTAAAGTATAAATGCAATCTGTGAGGTTAAACTTGATGGGCATTTGCACCCTAGTGAAAGTTACTCTCCTCACACTTTGTTAAGGTATGTATGGCGTTATGAATCTGGATGATGACAAGCAGAGCCAGCAACAGTTAGGACCTTGGAAAGGCAGTGAATTCACAGTAAGGGTACCCAGAGTCTGATGCTACAGCAGTGGTTTGCAGAGGATGCATACTCAGTCATAGGGACAGTGCAAGTGCCTGGGGCAGCAGCGTGACTGTTCTCCCTGAGGGTCCCCCGCACGAGCCATGGACACGTCTGCATAGGTGCAGGAGCAATGCCTGAAAAGCTGCCTGCGAGAAGGGCAGCAGAACAGCCCTCCCTGATACCTCCTTGCACTCCTACCAAGTGAGGTGTCCTGCTTTATACACCATAACAACCTTCACTTAAAACAGAGCAGGACCACGTTTGTCTGGCATCTTCCATGTCAAGCACAGTGTGCACGCTCATAGATACTTACGGAATAAATGATTTGAGCTGCAACTGCAGGTGTCTTTCAGAATGACCACCACCACGCACCCCGTCCCCTGAATACACACCTGAAATAATCTCTATCATCTGGCACAGTGTCTGGTATAAAGTATGCATCTAACCAATTCAGGTTTCCGTTTCTTCCCTCAATATCTATTGAAACCAGGGAAGAAACTGAATGTATTTAAGAAAGACTGGTTTATGACTAATCCAGAAAGAGAAATCTTAAGAAAGAAGAATTCAGAACACAGAGAAAACTCTTGTCGTAGTTGTGGAAAACATAAATGCAATAGGGAGTGAAAAATCATTAAATCTTCTCTTTCAAAGAAAGAATCAGCTTAATTAAATCAACATTCAAAAAAACTATCATTTGCTACATCATTATTTTCTGAAGATTCCAAGGCGAAGAGATAGATATTCCCACTCCTTAGAGAGTGACTTTTGTGTGTGCGGGTGTGCACCAGGAAGGGGATGCAGCTCAGTTCACAGTGGCCACACCCTAGGCAGTCGCAGCCACACCCTGGGTTGTGCCAGCCCCAGAGGTAGCAGATAGCTTCCAGGGACAGGGTGGAAGAACTGATAGCTGGCACCCAACCAATCTCTGGCATGAGCACTCATTTGAACCGCAGACCACATTTTGCTGATTATATACCTACTCTGTGTCACCAGAAACCCTTTCATGAACCCAACAAGATAAAGTTCTTGAGAGTGGGAACTTTGCCCTTGACTTTCTCTTCTACGTAGTGCTAGATACACACAGTCCAAACAGTCCTTTCTGAGCTGAACTTTAATACAGGTGTAGATGACTTTGCAATTCACTTGGTTATATCGTAGCATTTGTTAATCATTATGCAGTTTCCTGGGTTAGTCATAAACCAGCAGTATAAATTAATATTTATGAATTGAAACCTTCTACCACATGCAGCCATGCGTTTCAGTGATGGACTGCATATTTAACAATGGCCCCATAAGACTGTAATGGAGCTGAAACATTCCTATTGCTTAGTGACATCATAGCCACTGTGCCATTGTAACATCGTAGTACACTGTATCATCCACATGTTTGTGGTGATGCTGGTGTAAACAAACCTACTGCGCTGCCAGTCATATAAAAGTATAGCATGTATAATTATGTACAGCACATAACACTTGATAATGATCATAAGTGACAGTTACTGGTTTATGTAGTTACTATACTATACTTTTTAGCATTATAGTGTATTCCTTCTACTTATTAAAAAAAAATGTTAACTGTAAAACAGGTGCAAGCAGGTCCTCCCTGAGGTATTCCAGAAGGCCTTGTTACCATAGGAGAGGACAGCTCCACACATGGCAGGTGTGTCCATGTGACCTTCCACTGGGGCAAGATGTGGAGGCAGAAGACGGATACTGATGATCCTGACCCTGTATAGGCCTAGGATAAGGTGTGTGTTTGTGTCTTAATTTTTAACAAAAAAAGCTTAAAAAGTAACTATGAAATAAAAAGAAAGTTTTAAAAATAGAAAAAATTTCACTTCCAGTTAGAAACCTACAAAGGCCATCAGCTCAAAGTCAGTATGGGTGTTCTGAACTGAATGGTGTTGCTTCTTTAAAAATAAAAAAAGTATTTAAAACATAGAAAAAAAAATCTTATAGAATAAGGATATGAAGAAACAATTTTTGGCCGGGCATGGTGGCTCACACCTGTAATCCCAGCACTTTGGGACGCCAGGGCAAGCAGATCACTTGAGGTCAGGAGTTCAAAACCAGCCTGGCCAACATGGTGAAACCCTGTTTCTACTAAAAATATAAAAAAATTAGCTGGGCGAGGTGATGAGTGCCTGTAATCCCAGCTGCTCGGGAGGCTGAGGCAGGAGAACTGCTTGAATCCGGGAGGTGGAGGTTGCAGTGAGCCGAGATTGCACCACTGCACTCCAGGCTGGGAGACCCAGCAAGACTCTGTCTCAAGAAAAAAACAAAAGAAAACAAAAAACAAAGAAACAATTTTTATGCAGTTACAATGTATTAGTGTTTTAAGCTAAGTATTGTCACAAAAGATTCAAAAGTTTAAAAATTATAGTAAAAAAGCTTCAGTAATCTAGTTTAACTTATTATTGAAGATAAAATATTAAAAAATGAATGTAGTGTAGCCTAAGTATACAGTGTACGTAAGGTCTGCAGCAGTGTACAGAAATGCCCTAGGCCTTCACACTCACCACTCACTCACTGACTCATCCAGAGCAACTTCCAGTCCTGCAGGCTCCATTCATGGTAAGTGCCTTCTACAGGTGTACCATTTTTTGTCTTTTATACCATATTGTTACTGGATCTTTTCTAAGTTTTTAGATATCTTTAGACACACAAATACATACCACTATGTTACAATTGCCTATGGTATTCAGTACAGTAACATGCTGTACATGTTTGCAGCCTAGAAGCAATAGGCTAGACTATATAGCCTGGGTGTGTAGTAGGTTATACTGTCTAGGTTTGTGTAAGTACACTGTACGATATTCTCACAATGACAAAATCACCTAACACATTTCTCAGAACATATCTCCATCATGAGTGAACACATAACTGTAGTTAAAAGTACCTAGTTTTCCCTCTTCTACACTGTTGAGGGAAGTATAAGATAGAACCATCTAGAGGACAGCCTGGCAATAGGTAATTTTTTTTTTTTTTTTTTAACACAGGGTCTCTGTTGCCAAGGCTGGAGTATGGTGGTGCTATCACAGCTCACTGCAGCCTTGACCTTCTGGGCTCAGGTGATCCTCCCAACTCAGCCTCCCAAGTAGCTGGGGCTGCAGGCACACATTGACATGCCCAGCTAATTTCTGTATTTTTAAAATTTTTTTATTTTATTTTATTTATTTTGAGACAGTCTCGCTCTGTCGCCCAGGCTGGACTGCAGTGGCACAATCTCAGCTAACTGCAACCTCTGCCTCCCAGATTCAATCAATTCTCATGCCTCATCCTCCCAAATAGCTGGGATCACAGGCGCCCGCCACAACACCCGGCTAATTTTTTTATTTTTTAGTAGAGATGGGGGTTTTGCCATGTTGGCCAGGCTGGTCTCAAACTCCTGGCCTCAACTGATACGGCTGCCTCAGCCTCTCAAAGTACTGGGATTACAGGTGTTAGCCATCACGCCCAGCCTATGTATATTTTTTCTTTTTTTTTTTTTTAAGAGATAGGATCTTCCTATGTTTCTTAGGCTGGTCTCGAACTCCTGGGCTCTAGTGATCCTCCCATCTCAGCCTCCCAAAATGCTGGGAATACAAGCATGAGCCACAGCACCTGGCCAGTAATATTCTTTTTAATATTAATATTCTTTGGCTCATTAATCCTACTAGAAATCTATCCTGAGGTAACAATCAGAAATGCAAACAAATTTGGTTCAAAGATATTTACTTCAGCAATATTTATGATGGCAAAACCAGAAATACTACATATGTCCAATAATAGAGGGCCAGTTAAATAAATAATATACCCGTTAAATAGAACATTATACAACTGTTAAAAATGGTGTGTACAAATATTAAAGAGGTTAAAACAGGCTCAATATACAGCAGGTTGAGTGGGGAAAAAAGAAAATAAAAGTATATGTAGAATAATCTTGGTTTTCTTAATAATAGAAAAAAATTAAGAAAGTATTAAAATCATAAGCATAGTTATTTCTAGATGGCTAGATTATAGATTTTTCTTTGTAATTTTCTGTAATTTCCAAAATGAGCAAATACATATCTAAAAAAACTTAGAGTGGCTTGACAATCATTATTCATTGAGAAGACAGAGGAACAGGCAGTATGGAATGATGGAACCGAAAGATCAGACCTGACTTCTGGCTTGAGTACCACCACTTATCTGCTAAGTGCAGTTCACGAGACAGCTTTGCAGTTGAATGCAGTTTTGGAATCAAATTGTCTGCATTCAGAACCTGGTTCTCATATTTCCTAGTTGAGTGTCCTTGGGAATATTACTTAACACCTTTCAGCACCTCAGTTTCCTCACTTGTTAAATGGAGATACTAATATAACCTTGGAAGGTTGTTGAGAGGATTAGATGGACATACTGTCTATAAACATTCATCATGATGCCTGACACATAGGAAGGACTCAGTAAATGTTATATATTATGTTACGTTACATATGCTAATGTTTGGTTAACTGTCCTTGACCTGACTCAACGGGGATGTTTGGCTAAATGATAATGAATATACATTTTAGAATTTATAACTGCCATTTTAAAATAGCAAAGTTTAGAACCACATATATCCTCTTCCTTTTCTGAACTCTCAGCAGCCAGCCATGTTAAAATATATGCTATCATGTGAAAGGCAGAAGCAGCCAGAAGGAAGCAGGATTTTAGCACTGACTATGGACATCCGGAAGCTGCAGTCATTCAAACTCTTGCTGCAGCCAGACACTGCTCAGCACTGCATGAGGGTGATCGTGCATTCATTTACTTATTCAGGCTTACTGAGTGCCCACTATGTGCCACTCACTGGGCTAGTGCTGGAGACGAACAGGGAACAGCCAGAGGTTGGTTCTTTATGAAACTCATTTTCTAGCAGGGGACACAGGCAAATAAGTAAACAAGTACCCAATTCCAGATTTTTCCCTTCCTAGCAATAATCACAAACTAGGTATAACACAATAAAACAAAAACAAAATAAATGGGTAGGGAAAGACAGAAATAGGATGAAAGAGTTTCTATTCTTACTTTCCTTATTAGCAATTGCAGAGGTAGCTGCTCCTAGTTAACTGTTTGTTGGCAGTCTTAAGTCAAAATAGATCAGTCAAGAGAACATTAAAGGTTTAAAAGAAATTTGAATTATCTATTTTTTTAAATTAGAAAGTTTTTGTCACTTATTTAAGGGTAGAGATCCTAAATGTTTTTACTCCTAGTGGACTTCAATACTGTTTTATGATTCATCTTTTCCTGTGGGAAATCTACAAGACTAGAGATAGCAGGAATTGAGGAGTCAGACAGACCTGTATTCATACATAGCCCCTGCAAGCTTTAGGATGTATCTAATTTCTCTACAAAACAGGGAAAATACTACCCATTTATATCACAGTGTGGTTTGAAGAATTAAATTAGATAAACTAGATATGTACCTGGTATAAACAATAAATGTTGGTCCAAATATGAAGAAATAAATACTGGTAACTGTACATGTCTGTCCACATATGCAACAGTTCCTAAATGAGGATATACTGGTTTTTCTACAAATCAGTTGTATGCTCTTACACAATAGTTCTGATTTTGTTTAAAATAATTCAAATTTGGCAAAAGGCTGGTCTAATTAGATTGCAAAATAGAGTTTCCTACCGTAGACAGCATAATGAATCAAAGAACACTTAATTCATTTATTCAACCAGAATATATAAAGCACTTGCTGTCTATGCCAGGAACTGCTGAGGGGTGGGGATGCAGCAGTGAACAAGAAAGGGTCCTGCCCTCAAGGCCCTGACCTTCGAATGATGACAGGAGACTGACAACAAACATGCAAACAAAAAACAGCTTCAGGGAGTGGGAACTCTTTTTTTGTTTTGAGACAAAGTTTTGCTCTTCCCCCCAGGCTAGAGTGAAGTGGCACGATCTAGGCTCACTGCAACCTCCGCCCCCTGGGTTCAAGTGATTCTCCTTCCTCAGCCTCCCGAGTAGCAGGGATTATAGGTGCCCACCATCACACCAGGCTCATTTTTGTATTTTTAGTAGAGACGGGGTTTCACCACGTAGGCCAGGCTGGTCTCGAACTCCTGACCTCAGGTGATCCACCTGCCTCAGCCTCCCAGAGTGCTAGGATTACAGGCACCTGGCCAAGAATGGGAACTCTTCTGGGGAAAACACACGGCAATGGCATAGAGACTGGGCAGGGCTGTTGCATCAGGATCCCGGCTGGGAAGGCCTCCTTTGTGTGGCATTGAATATAGTATACCTCTCTAGATGGACTATGTGCTCTTTGAGGACAGAGAGCGTGTCTCCTTGCTTATATTTTTTATAGCAACTTGCATGAAGACAGAAACTCAGTAGAATGCTGCTGTTCTATATCCTAGATCAGTGGTTCTCAAACTTTGGTGGCATTAAAATCACCTGGAGAGTTTGTTAAAACATACCTCAGTCCCAGAGTTTCTGGTTCAGTCATGTTAGGTGGGGCCTGAGTATTATCATATCTAACTAGTTCCTAGGTAATGCTGATGATGTTGGTCAAGGACCACATTTTAAGAACCACTGTTCTGAGCAAAAACAAAATTTGCAGGAGGTGGTGATTCTATCTGATTCAAAACCACAGTCACAGTCTTGTCTTGGTGGTTATATTCTACTACTATCTTTGGAGGCTCCTGAGGTGCTCCTTCTGTACCACCCCTGAAAACAGAATGGGGCTGATGAGATCAGAGACTGTTGTGAAGAGCAAGCTCCAGCTAAGCTCTTCACAATTACACACTAACAGTGTGCCCAGCAGAAGACTGACTTCTTCTTTCAGCTTTAACAGAGGTTCGAGACAACAAAGCAAGTGTGTAAGCCAGCTCAGTATCTTCAGAGTCTCTATCCTGTGACCACCATTGGGTTACCAGATCTCACTTCATGGTCATGGTCACTCACCAGATCAGATTTTCCCATAGTCAAATGAGTCAGAGTTCTAGGTTCTCCATCCTTCAAAAGTAATGCTCATTATGCTACAGAATGACCTCTCTGGGATCATCCCTTCTAATACCATGGATCAGGCATACCTCAACTTCTGAATGATTAGAAACATGACTTCAAATGAAAGGCCTATTTAATGAATCAGTAGGACTTCCAGCCAACTTCTCATGGAATTTTTCATCCCATCTGGCAGAAACAGCAAAACTGAAAATATCACTACTACATATATAATACCTAACTATAAGACCTGGTCCCATAGAGTGCTTCTTTTGTTTTGTTTTGTTTTGAGACAGGGTCTTGCTCTGTCACCAAGGCTGGAGTGTAGGGGTGCTATCTCAGCTCACTGCAGCCTCTGCCTCCCGGGTTCAAGCAATTCTCATGCCTCAACCTCCAGAGTAGCTGGGATCACAGGCACATGTCACTACACCCAGCTAATTTTTGTATTTTTAGTAGAGATGGGGTTTCGCCATGTTGGCCAGGCTGGTCTCGAACTCCTGACCTCAAGCAGTCCACCTGCCTCAGCCTCCCAAAGTGCTGGGATTACAAGCATGGGCCACCGCGCCAGGCCTAGAGTGCTTCTTTTATGGCAGGCACTGTAACAGAGTTTAGATATTTTAACACTTTCCATCCTTACAACAATCCCATATGATAGTTACTATTATTATCCCCATTCTATGGATGAGGAAATGGAGGCAAAGAGAAATTCAACAATTTGCCTAAGGTCCCACAGCTGATGAGTGCACAGCTGGTGTCTGAATACAGGCAGACTGATGCCAGTGTCCATGCTTTTTGCTACTAACACACTACTGGGTTTGTCCCTTACTCAGAAGTTAAATCACCTCTTCCCCCAGTACGGGAAGCACCGAGGGGAAAGTCCTCTGCAACGTTCAATTGAAGGCAATTGAATCCTGCTGCACCACAGGCTTCTACTCCAGGAGAGAAACAGAGCCAGGGCCCAAGAGCATAGGGGAGGGAGAGACAGATCCACGATCGTTGGAATACTTTACATAGAGGATCATACCATCTGCAAAGAGAGACAGTTTTACTTCTTCCTTTCCAATGTGGATGTCTTTTATTTATTTTTTTTTCTTGACTGATTGTCCTGGTTAGGGGCAATGCAATGTTGAATACCAGTGGCAAGTGCCGACATCCTTGCCTCTTTCCTCATCTTAGGGGGAAGCATTCAGTCTCTCTCCTTTAAATATGTTATTAGTGGCTGGTTTCCACAGATGCCCCTTTTAAGAATACTTTAGAAACCTAATTATTTCTAGAATGTGGGTTTTTTTTTTTTTTTAAGACGGAGTCTCTCTCTGTCCCACAGGCTAGAGTGAGTGGCAGAGTGCAGTGGCACGATCTTGGCTCACTGCAACCTCCACCTCCTGGGTTCAAGTGATTCTCCTGCCTCAGCCTCCTAAGTAGCTGAGATTACAGACATGCACCACCATGCCCAGCTAATTGTTGTATTTTAGTAGAGACAGGGTTTCGCCATGTTGGCCAGGCTGGTCTTGAACTCCTGACCTCAAGTGATCCACCCTCCTTGGCCTCCGAAAGTGCTGGGATTACAGGTGTGAGCCACCGTACCTGGCTGGGTTTTTGTTTTGTTTTGTTTTTGTTTTGAGACAGGGTCCCCCTCTGTCATCCGGGCTGGAGTGGAAGTGGCACAATCAGGGCTCACTGCAGGCTTGACCTCTGGACTCAAGCAATCCTTCTGCCTCAAAGTAGCTGATATTACAGGTGTGTGCCACCATGCCCAGCTAATTTTTTGTATTTTTAGTACAGACGGGGTTTCGCTATGTTGGCCAGGCTGGTCTCGAACTCCTGAGCTCAAGCAATTTGCCTCTCTCAGCCTCCCAAAGTGCTGGGATAAGAGGCATGAACCACTGCTCCTGGCCCTATAATGTTTTAAAAACACAGCAGCACTTCTATTTGTAACTTTTACATTTATCAGTGTATTACTTGCCAAACATGATTGTTTTGGAGTACATTATCAAGTTAGGGGAAGAAAACTAGGAACAGTATTTTGAAGCAAGCAGGGTATAGGACGTGGGGGGTAGCAGAAAAGCCCCGGGCCATGGTAGGTTTTCAGGGGTAGATTAGGAGACTAACATGCCCTGGTAAGCAGCAGGGCTCTGACGTCCGTGGGTGGTAGAATAGCAAAAACTTTTCAGTGTAGCCAGAGTTAGCAGACACCCAATGGGTTTTAAGTAAGCTACAACACACACATTTGCAAAGTTTCAGTTTAGGAGTGATCAGACTTGGGCTTAAGATGAGGCAGTGTTGGTCTAACTCCTAAAACACATGCTCCATTCCAGCATTTGAGTTAGCAACACAGGGGTTCATTATGACATCTGGCTAAGGTACTTAACCTCTAGAAATTTTACTGACAGAGTTTCCTGGGAACACAGCTATTCAAATACCAAAATGTTGCTCAACCTTTCCTCTAATTCTTGCTTCTGCCACCATTTGACGTATCTTACTGGGGCAGGGTTCCTTTGGTTGCAAGGCTTACCCAGAAAGCTTCCTGAACTACATCCAATAGAACACTCCTGGGGTAAAGGTCTCCTTCACTACTTCCCAAATTCCTCTTGGCTGCCCATCAGAAATTCCCCAGCACACAATCAGCATTCCACAAACAAAGCAAAAGGCAGGCTTTATGGATTTGGGTACCTGCCTCAAATAATTTACCACTTCTGAGCCATGAAGTGACACTACCTTTTATTTTACTAAATGACAATGAGATTCTTAAGGGAGAGAAGATTATGTCTTTCAGCTCTCTCTCTTTGCTCCCAAATAAATAAAATCCAGCTTTGACAAAAGTAGTCCCTACTTCTGTGTATGATATTGCTCTCCTCAAATTGTACTGCAATTTCTCAACTGCTCTTTTTTTTCTTTTTAATGTGTCCAGGGATGGGACAATGACAAAGCATTCACAGATTAACTTGAAGCCATTCTCCAATGTTTCATTAAAATCCTTATTCGGCTGCCTGTGCTATTCCAATCTTCCTTACATGGCAAAAATCAATATTTTAATGAGAGTAACACACAAGGATAGTCACATAAAGGGCTAGTCTGATCATACCAAAAGGACTTCCCTGAGTCCCAAACACCAGACGGTAGCTTAGAACACTCTGAGGTGGTGCTGAGGGTCCACTTGGCTCACTTAAAGCTCCCCTGGATAGTTGTACAGCCTAACTTCTGCATCCAGATGTTTCCACGAAGGAACAAGCCTCAAAACCATCTCCAGCCAGGGCAGCTGACCCTCCATACAATGCTCAGCGGAGCTCACACAATGCTCAATGGAGAAATTAAAGAGCCTAGAGGGAAGTAACATAAAAACAATTTTTTTTTTTTTTGAGACGGAGTCTCACTGTGTTGCCAGGGTGGAGTGCAGTGGTGCCATCTCAGCTCACTGCAACCTCTGCCTCCCAGGTTCAAGTGATTCTTCTGCCTCAGCCTCCTAAGTAGCTGGGACTACAGGTGTGTGCTACCACGCCCCGGTTAATTTTTGTATTTTTAGTAGAGATGGGTTTTTACCATGTTGATCAGACTGGTCTCGAACTCCTGACCTCAGGTGATCCACCCACCTTGGCTTCCCAAAGTGCTGGGGTTACAGGCATGAGCCACCGTGCCTGGCCCATAAACGCAATCCTCTTGCTCATTACACAATGTATATACGTACTAAAACATCACACTGTATCTCATAAATATATCCAATATTATATATCTATTAGAAACAAAGTAAAACTTAAGCTGGGTGCAGTAGTGCACACCTGTAATCCCTGCTACTTGGGAGGCTGAGGTGGGAGGACTGCTTCAGCCTAGGAGTTTGAGTCTAGCCTGGGCAACATGGTGAAACCCCACCTCAAAATGACAACACACACACCCACACACAAAAACTTTAAAAATGTAATTATCTGTTTCTATGATAGGACAGAAAAGGAGAGTCATGGGATTTCTTTGGGTTCAGACTACATTTTCAGAATGCTAGTTCCAGTCCACTTCTACATTAAACAGATGCTAAAATCTGTTTGAGCGCCAAACCTTCATGACAGCCAGATTTAAATTACACTTAAAAGAAGGAACAGAAACCTAGGTAATGAAAAGTAACTATCCCCCGACAATTGCATTGCATATTCAGTAGATTGTTCCCTAAGGGCTAAAAACAAAAAGTTGAATAGAAATCATATTATTTATCCAGCACTTGATTACTGGTTCAAGTAAGGCAAATAGCAGCAAGCAGGTCCTAGAGTGGGTCTTTCACAGTACCTCACAGTCCATAGTCTTCAATATTCATCAATGTTGCTGGTGGAATATTTGGAGAGTGGAAGCTAACTATATGTTAGGAGGATGGAAGATCTGTCCCTTTAAGAGATAAATATGTTATAATCCAAATATATTCAACTGTATAGTTAAATAGCCATAGTTTGGCCATATAAAATATTCAAGTTTTAGATGTCGTTTTTATTCCAACACTTTGGTAAACTGTTGGTACTGAAAACAATTGCTTAATACATGGCTGCACTGGCTGGGAGTGGGGGAGGGAAGATCAGCAGGATGCTCAAGTTCCAGTGAATGGTTCTTGGTTATAGAGCACAAGCTTGCACTCACACGAACTCTGTTGAAACTCTGTTAAAGCCAAATAAGCAAATTACCTGCTTTCTTCTTCTCTGGAGTGTGCCTTCTGTGTAATAAGGCACTAAACACACATGCCTGATGAAATCTCCTCTGAGAAAAAACTGGTAATTCTGTTCTTCAGGAATCTAAGAATACTAGATTTATAACAAGACAGAATAAATTCCAGGTTCCCCTGCAGGTATAAGGACAAACTTTCCCAGATTCTTGACACAGAAGGTTCTGTGGGAGATACCTAACCTAGAAGCCCTGGGCTTTGCTAGACCCTTTGGAGCTGAGCTTCCCAAGAGATGTGATCCCAGGGACAACCCACTGGATGTTTCCCATGGTCTGCAGGCAGCAACCTCAGAGGGCGGGGTGGAGGGGGAGGGGAATGGTGAGAAGCCATGGGATACAGAAGGAAAAATAAAGACAACATCTCATAATGCATTAAATGAAGCTGATATGATAAATTCAATGTCGGACAAAGCATTTTACCTAAATGGGATGCTTGCCTCAAGTCCATAGCTATCATCTTCAGTATTTTCTCAGAATGATTCCTTCCCTTATTCATCCTTTACTAAATGCCATGTTCCACTCAAGGGGCAGGGCTACTATGAGAATGATCAAGAATGAGAAGGAAGGTCCTGACTCTCTAGAATACACAGTTGAGAGTGGGGGGGAGGGAGGGAGGGAGAGGGAGGGAGAGAGAGGGAGGGAGGGAGAGAGAGAGAGAGCGCATGATTGAGAGAGAGCACGAGTGAGCATGCAGTCAGGGAAGACAAAAACACAGCAGGACCATACCATAAAACATAAGGGTGACATTGCGACAAAGGATCTGAAGAGCATAAAGTGATATGTGAGAGAGAACACAGGTAAAGAAAACAGCAAGAGCAGAGACTTGGAGACAGAAAAAGGCTTGACTTGTATGAAGGAGAGAAAAGAGTCCAGTGTGTCTGAAGGGTAGTGATATAGACTAGAGGAAGAAAAGTAGGAGAAATCAATTATTATTACTTATTACCACCGTGCACAGTATTTAGTAAGGGGCAAACCTTGTTCTAAGCAGTTAGTTCATCAGTATTAACTCATTTAGATCCTCACAGCATCCCTATGATATTACTCCCATTTTGCAGATGAAGAAACGCAGTACCAGAAAGGTTAAGTGACCTGCCCAAGGTCACACAGCGATCACAGAGCACAGCCAGATCCCCACACCCCCAAGCAGTCTGGCTCCAGTTTGTGCTCTCAGCCTTTTGCTATATTGTCTCTCAATGAGGTTGAAAAGCAAGTTTGACCACACCTGACATCTTTTGAAACATTTCTATGTCCCCAGACCCTCTCCTGAGTACAAAATACATTAACAAGAAGAGAGAGCAAACAATTAACTTCAATTTTGCCACTGACTAAAGCCTGAGATGTTTCAAATTGGAAGGAGAAAAAAAAAAAAAAAAAACTTTGGGAAAGTTCCAAACAAGGAATGTTTTCTTTTTAATGAGTGTCAGCACTGCAGTATGACAAAAGAAGTAGAGATTACGAGAAGGAAAAAACTTCCTCCAATCTTTCAGGCATATAGGTTTGCAAGGAGCAAAGTAACACAGAAACTGGCACTTCATTTATATATCATGTCATATAGCTGTCCCTTAACTGGCATTACATAGGAACCAAGAGTCATTGAGAAACTAAGCTATGACTTCCAGAAGGAAAAAAAAAAATCTCGAATGAGTCACATTGACACCACTTGGTAATTTTCTATTACAAGAAATGCAGGCAGACTGTAGTTAATTTGTAGCAGCTGCTGAATGCCCGTTAGGGTACCAACCACCCCAAAGGAAGGAACCACCTAGGCTGCTGGCTTTTGCCTGAAACAGGGGTTCGACCTTTTCATGCCTGTCTACACTTAGAATGAAGCTGTGGTACAACCGCTCCCATTGCTTGCTCATTTATTTATAAAATAAAATATCACTTACTTATTTTTAAAGGGTGGAATAAAAAAATAAAAAAATTAATTTTTGCTTTAAAAAAATAAAAAAAAATGAAGGGTGGAAATAAGGCAACTAAATCGTAGAACGCAAGTTCCAGTTAATGAACAGATCAACTCTAGAAATAACTCAGAAGGTAACAGCAAGATCTATGATTCTAAAGGATAAAATCCTTAAAGGCATTTGCAAATGCATTTGAAAGATAGTACAATTTTCCTGTTGCCTAATTACAGCGTTTCTCCTCAGAGGCAGGTAGGCAGGTAGGTACTGTAAGAGCGAGTGACAGAAACTCAGGAATTTTATTTTACATAGCGATAATCTACTTGCTGCTAACTGCTAAATTTTTTGTTCAGGAAGATGGTAAGCTTACAGTAGCATTAATAAATTGAGCTGCAAAAACCGTAGCAGTATATTCTTCGAAACAAATATTGCTTTAAAATGCTAGATGGTTCATGGTCAATTGTGGTCGGTAATGGTGTTCTAAATATAGATTCAGAAGATTTAAGTATAAACATAGGGCACAATATGTTTAAATACAGATAGATGTGCAGTAGGCACTGAATTGCTTTTGACAGATTGATTTGACATCCACCTCATTCCAGACTGCTCCAGGGGCTTTTTAGCATTTCTCTGAATAGTGGGTAAAGCCCTTCTTTCCTGTATGTTCCTTCTCGGTGCTAATCTCCAGGCGAGGAGGATCTCTTCCAGGATTGTGTCTTTTCAGAACTCTAAGCCAACAGGAAGAAATCTAAATAAAGCGGAAGGCTGCCCTTCTCCAGTTTTGTTCCTTAATCTAAGGAGGCCCCTGTAGCGCAGTTTCTATAGTTGGCGACAGTCTCCCTGCAGATTTATATATAGTAACATTGGTTAAAAAAAATCACTTGACAAAGTTTTCTATTTCCGTAACATTGTGTCAGGAGGGAAGCTTAACGGAAAGTCTTCCCAGGGATGAAAGTATTTGTTTCTATTTTATATGTTAGTTTTAACTCCTTAAATTCATCTCCTATGAGAATAAACATTCTTGATCTGACTCAATGTGCTCTCTGAATTCACTGAAATAAAATATAGCCTGTAACTCTGACCAATAACCTGGGGTGCCTCCCAGAACTGCTGGCTCCAGGTGATCTACAGATTTCCCAAGAGAAGCGCTGCAGCTCCTACCCACCAGCAATCTAAAATCTGCAGCAATTCCGCAGGACCACACCTAGGCCCAACAGCACATACCTGCAGAGCCGGAAGCGCCTTCCCCTCCAGGGCATCTCCTGTCCCCAGGGAAGGAATTAAAGTTCTAACCCCTGCCTCTCCTTCTACCCATCCTAGTATCTGCTTTTCCTTTACCTCGTCTTCCACACTTACTTGCCCCCGACGCTATTATGTAGCTTGTAAACTCGTGACTCTCAAGGAAAGTATCAGCAGAAGCCACAACTTCGGGGAATGACTCACTAAGGAGTCTCCAGCGCCTTCCACCGCCCTGCAACTGCCCCACTACTGTAGCCCTACGGCTCCGTGCTGCCACCCCACATAAAGAAGGGGCATTTTCTGAAATCCAAGGAAGAACCTGAAGAGTCCCCCACCCGCCTAGAGGCGTCTCTTGCTCTAAGTCAGCGGTAGGAAATGACCACCTTCCCAGTACAAATGGACAAACGATTCTAAGAGGCAGGAGGAAAACAAACACAATTCCTTCAGAGGCTCTCCCGACCGTCCCTAGCAACACATCCCCACCGCAGCGGGTGCATTGCTCACAGGCCACTTCTGAAACCAGTGTTACTGATCAGGCCTGCACAACCACTCCCCCGGCAGTGTCCGGCTCGCCATCCTCTGCGCCGGAACAGCAGAGGGCAAGGTCGGGTGGTCTCCGGAAGGCAGAAAGGTGCCCCCAGACTGCAGAGCCCGGGGACAGCAGGAGAGGAAAGGAAGGAATGGAGGAAGGGTTGACCTTGAGAATTTTCCTGAGTTACACATAAATAGGTCGGGCCTCGCTTAGACGCTCCCAACCCACTCCACCAGGGAAAAGATGCAAGGCAAGGGGAGAGCAGAGAGGGTGGAAATTCAGATCGCTAATTTACTGATAAGGGTGGGGGGAGGTTAGAGACAGCGGGTCTCTATTCAGCTCGCATAGGCTGAAATATGGGAGTGCCCTGCGCAAAGGCTGAAGTGCCCCCGGCGGCCCGGTGCTCGTGGCTGCCCGCAGGTGCTAGCACTCACCTGGATCACCTTCGAACAGCTGGAGCAGAACAAAACTGCGCAGCGCGGTGTGGGTGCGGCGCCCTCGCCTGGGGCGGGGCTAGATGAGGCCAGAAGCAGGCCCCGCCCCAGCCGACCAGCGCGCGGCCACGCCCCCAAGGCGGGGCTCCTGGCGCTGGCGCGCGCTGTCTAAGTTGCCAACTCAGGGCCACTGGTTGGGAGGTGGAGGCCTAATTTTCTTCCTGCTCATGGTCGTCCAGCGATTTACTCCTCTCATTCTCAAAAACATATATCTACTCCCCCAGGTGCCTTCGTGGCCATCTTCCTAAACTGTCCCAGCCAGGTCATACCTCCCGGATTGGGTTTGCAGAACAGTGGGACGTGAATAATTTGTCCCCAGCAGAGCCACCGTAGCGGTTTTAGGCGCTCTGCTGTAAGGGCGAAGCACGGGCATGCAAGGCGCGTGCGCGAAAGTAGCCGCGCCTCAATCGATGTGTCCCTGAGGCGCGTAGCTGGGGCGTGGGCGGCGCTTGGTGTCCCAGGTTGCTACACTCCCGAAGTGAATGGATTTATCGCTGTTAGGGCCTTTTTGTTTAGGGCCTAACAAATATTGTTAGTTTTGCCGAGAGCTGGCGCCGAGCCCTGCCCTCGTGGTGGGCCGTACCCACGCCCCCTGAGCGCGGAGTCGCGTGGCTCCGGAGTTTTGTTTTTTTGAAAGGAGTCTCCCAATTGTCCGTGGAGTTTTTTTTGCGGCACATGGAGTCTCTGCCTTCGCGACCCAGACCTTTGATGTGAACACCTGCTCCCGTTACGCTCGGGTCCAGCGTCCGGGGCGGGGCTCGAGGCCGGGTGGAGGAGGGGTGGGGGCGGGGGTCTTGGTCTTGGGTGAGACCTGCAGATACGGTCGGGCTGAAGGAGTAGAACTGGCTTCTAAATGCCGGAAAATCCGAAGGAACTGACTGCAGAAGGCACGTTTCCAATTTTCGCGTGTTTTAAGTGCACCCTCCCGCCACCTCTCCTCTGGACATCCCTCATCCTTTTGAAGATTGCCACACCTGGGCCCCTCCTAGAGTCTCCTCTTTGGAGGATTCCTCACCTCCGAGAGAATGCTTAGGAACCCACCTGAATGATTCCAAGTTAAGGTGTGGAAAGGCAGAAATCTAGATTTTTGAAGGCTCTAGGTTATGTGTGTGTTTCTTTTTATTGGGTTGTCATATTTGCACATCTAGAGGTACTTTGAGAGCTCATTAAATCTTTACTGTTGCTGTTTCAGCAATTTCCAACCATTCTCATACTTTCTGTCATGTTGGGTTTCTGTCATGTTGGATGTAGAGAGGGCTTTGTTTTGCTTGAACATTGAAAGGAAGTAAGTTAGGGAGACAGTTTTGCATTATTGAGGCAAGTTTCTCCACTTGCTGGCTGTTCTACGTAAGAAGTCATTCCAAGGTGGTGGAAGGGATGATTCAAAAATCAGGAGCGGGGATGCACCTTGCACCCTCATTTTACACCGGAGACTGCAGTCTCAAAAAAAATTTGGCCTCTTCTTTGCCAGTTATCTCTGACCACAGACAAGTACTTAACCACTGAGGACCTTCTTTTAAAAATCTTATTACAAAAGCAGTATTCCTTTATATTAGAATTTTCGGAGATACAGAAAAGCCCACAAAAAAATTACATACACACACAATAGAATCATACTGTATATTCTGTTTTGTGGTCTGCTCTGTTCACTTCATAAAATGTAAACCCTTTTTTTGCTTTTCATTTCTTTTTCTTTTCTTTTGATACATAAACCAGAGTGTCACTTTATTGATTTGCAACTGGGAACCTAAGTATGTTGTGGACTAGAAAACTCCTGTCATGCACTCAGTGTATTTTTTTCATGTAGGACGCTTTTCATTTCTTGAACGGTTCATGCTGCAACATTATTTGGCAATCAGTGCATGTCTTTTCATAGCATGGATGTACCAATCCTCTTGCTGGAGTTAGCTTGCTTTCACTTCTTTCCTATTGCAGTGTACAATCTTGTAGATAAATCTGTGTACGTGCTTATGATTTCTTTTTTTCACTGAATTCCTTTGCAGAGGAATTTCTAGGTTTTGATCTCTGTCAATAAGATGCACTCCAGGAAGAGAGTTACAGTCCTCTCCCACACTGGATATTGGATATCATTTTCTTCCATCTCTCTAAAGGGGAATAAGACCTTTCTCACAAAGTTATTGTGAAGTTCAAGTGAAGTGAGGACAAAGTGCTACACAAAAGTCCTGCCCTTTTGTCTCAGGATAATATATTTTGCAAGTCCTATTGAGGTGGGAAGTTAAAGAAAAAATTAAAAAGAGAAGTAAGTTTTCCTGTATTAGGCTGACTTGTTCCAGAGGCAGCAATGGGCACAGCCCAGACCCAGGGAAAGTCTTGATAATACTATCTAAGGAGCCAGGACACAAAGGAATGTGCTCTGGAGACTCTCCCAGCACTCCCTCCACATAGGGAGAAGAAAAACAAATTTTCCTTTGTTTTATGGTATGAGTTTATGAAAATTCCTGTTCTCTGTAACTGGTGACTTCAGGTATTCTGTTTTATCTAAGCAGTAGAGTGAAGGTCATAAACTGTCTGAGCAGGCCACCTGGACGCTATAGTGAAGGTCATGGAATAAGCCGTGCTAGGCACTAGGCAAACCTAGATAATGGACATCTGGGTTGCATAGCAATGGTCATGTGTAATCCTGAGTTATGAACCTGTTACAGTTTAATTAACTGTCTTTGTCCTGCCTCTGTATCCCTGCTTTCATGCCACTGTAAGCCGGCTTCAGGCTGGTCCACACCCCTTTTTGAGGTGTGTATAAAAGTCAAGTGCTGTCTTTGTTCTGGGCCCGGTCTTTGGATGTTAAGTCTGCTGGGTCTGAGTGCACTCAATAAAGATATCCTTATGTATATACCCCAAGGCCTCTCTCTGGTCCTCCTGATTCCACAACACTATTACAACAATATAAATTATGGATATGTAACACTTGCTCAGAAGTTAGTCTGTACTTAACTTCAGTCACCATTAATTCCTTCTCCATTTACAATCTGGCTTCTGCTTCCAAACGTCATCTCACACTGCTCTCTCAAAGGTCACCATTTGCCTTGTAAACGCTCTCTATCCTTGGATTCTCAGACATTGCTATGTCATGATTGTTTTCTTTGTTGCCTCCTTTCCTGGTCCCTTTTTGTCTCCCTACCTCTTAAAATGTGTTCAAGGCTCTCCAGAGTGCTAGCCTCTATTTTTCCCCCTCATTCTTCTATGAGTCGTTTCTTTGACTCTCCCTTAACAATTTCCCCCGTTTCTGTGAATATTTTGGTTGTCTAGAGTCAAAATGCCCTTCTTTTTTTAAGGAAAATCCCTTATTTTAAAATATGTTGTTTGAAAGTAGGTACCTACTGTAAAAAAGTTAAAAGGCCAATTCTCCCTCTCCCTCACTTCAGAGGAACTAAGGGGGTGGGCATGTGCCTTCAGCTTTGCCAATCAGATGCTTGCTCCCAGGCCTCCGATTCTTGAGGAAATTAACAACAACATGGGGACATTTGGAGATCTCCATTCATTATGGTGGCAGCAGTGGGAAGACCAGATCTCTCTCAGTCTTTTCTGATTACTCCGTTAAAAATTACAGCCTCCCTCTTCTCAAGGAACTCCTTATTCCCCTTCCTTGTTTTATTTACTACCATTTTTGGTAATAAGTAAAATTTACTACCCTTTTGTATTTTTGATTTAATTAACATTTGTTTTATTATCTGGCTTTCCTACTCAGTAGTAAGTTACATGAAAATGGAGATATAGTCTGTTTATTGCTGTATCCCTATTGCTCTTAAATGCCTGGCATACAGTAGACACTGTATTAGTCAGGGTTCTCTTAGAGGGACAGAACTAGGGGAGTTTATTAAGTATTAACTTACACGATCACAAGGTCCAACAATAGGCTGGCTGCAAGCTGAGGAGCAAGGAGAGGAGACCCAGTCTGAGTCCCAAAACTGAAGAACTTGGAGTCCGATGTTCAAGGGCAGGAAACATCCAGCAGGGGAGAAAGATGTAGACTGGGCGGCTAGGCCTGTCTCGTCTCTTCACATTTTTCTGCCTGCTTCATATTCACTGGCAGCTGGTTAGATGGTGCCCACCCAATTAAGGGTGGGTCTGCGTTCCCCAGCCCACTGACTCAAATGTTAATCTCCTTTGGCAACACCCTCACAGGCACACCCAGGATCAATATTGCATCCTTCAATCCAGTCAAGTTGACACTCAGTATTAACCATCACAGACACTCGGTAGCTATTTGTGAAATGAATACATATGTGACTTCTTTCCGTTGCCTAGCCATCTGGAACTCTCTGACTTCTTGGCCTTTTTATGAAGCCTGTACCTCCAGCCTAACTGTGACTGTGTGAGCCCTGATAGCCTTCCAAGAATTATCCTATTCAGCAAGGTAGCCAGAGTCAGTTTCTGTTTCATGCAGAATCACCTACTATATTACAGGATTCTCATACACAGCATGTCCAAAGCCACATTCATTACCATTCCAATAAAACCTTTACATATTTCAGCAAAGGAAATAATCTGAGTAATTACATCAGCTGGAAACTTAGCATCGCTCCTTTTCCTTCATTCCTTGGAGGTGGGAATGAGATAGCCCTGCAGCAGAATCCAGAAGAGCCCCTTATTTAGCTGTGTGACTTTGGGGGAAATTATCTAAGTTCTCTGCAACTTGTTTTGCCTTTTTATTTGCAAAATTGGTATACTAACACCAATCTTACTTGGCTGTTGTGAAGATAGTACAGAGTTTGGGCCTACTATAGTCACTTAATAAATAGAGGTTTTAGTTATTACCAATTTGTGTTGATGGCACCTCAAAACAGTTTCTCTTCTAGTCCCTTTGCCCTAGTTCAGGCTTCAGTCTCCTCTGACCTGAGCAATTACCAGAACTCTTTTTTTTTGAGACAGGGTCTTGCTCTGTTGCCCAAGTTGGAGTGCAGTGATGTGATCATGGCTCACTGAAGCTTTGACCTCCTAGGCTGAAGCAATCCTCCTGCATCAGCTTCCTGAGTAGCTGGGACTATAGTTGTGTGCCACCACATTTGGCTAATTTTTTTAAATTTTAATTTTTGTAGAGATTGGGTCTTACCATGTTGGGCAGGCTGGTCTCTTAACTCCGGGGCTCAAGCAATCCGCTTGCCTCAGCCTCCCAAAGTGCTGGGACAACAGACATGAGCCACCATGCCTGGCCACAGTAACCTTTTAACTGGCTCTCCCTTTAAAATTCATCACCAACCACCATTACAGTTATTTTTCTAGAGCAGATATCTTCTTTGATGACTGTGACCAATGCCTTTAGCATGAAGTCCAAACTCTCAAATATGGCATTTCAAGATCCTTACTAGTTTAGCCTCAAACTACTTTTCCAGAATCCTCTCATTTAACTTAATTTAATAAACATTTGTTAATGCCTGTTGGGTGCCAGGTACTAATATAACTTGTATTTTAATAAGAGAGCCTGTCAATAAAAACAATAAGATTATCACAGATTATGACTCTTTCAGCCTGTTTTGTGCTGCTATAATGGAATACCTTAGACTGTTTAATTTATTTTTAAATTTTATTTATTTTTGTTATTGTTGAGACAGCCTCACTCCATCACCCAGGCTGGAGTTCAGTGGTGCGATCTTGGCTTACTGCAACCTCTGCCTCCTGGGCTTAAGCGAGTCTCCTGCCTCAGCCTCCTGAGTAGCTGGGACTACAGGCATGAGCCACCACACCTGGCTAATTTTTGTGTTTTTAGTAGAGACGGGATTTCACTATGTTGGCCAGGCTGGTCTCAAACTCCTGGCCTCAAGTGATCTGCCTGCCTCGGCCTCCCAAAGTGCTGGGATTACAGGCATGAGCCACCGCGCCCAACCAGACTGTGTAATTTATAAGGAACAGAAGTTTATTGGCATTTTGCATTTGTTATTTGAGTTTATCATTTGTTACTTTGTTTACCTGTATAAAACTTTGTGTAAATTAAGGACATTAGTTGTTTGCTTTCCTGTACTGAAAATGTCTTTCTCCAATTTGTCAATTATTTTTTGGCTTTATTGATTTATTTTTGGTCAAAGAGAAAATAAATTTTGTGTGATTCAATTTATCAAATTTCTGTCTTGGTGTTCTCCTTCGAAAGGCCTTTTTCGTTCCAGAATCTTAACTAAATTAATTCATGCTTTATTCAGAAATTGTATGGATTTATTTAATGCAAAATCTTTGATACAATTATAATTAATTTCAGTGTAAATAGTGCTACAAATTCATCTTTTCTTTTCCTAACAATCTTACAGGTAACCCCACACTATTTTATTTACCCCACCAACTAGGTTACATATAAATCCACTGGTTGGAAATGGTGCCTTTATTATGAACTAAAATGCCATGCGTATTTAGGTCTATTTCTGGATTCTGGATTCTGTTCCACTGATGTCTTTTTCTTCTTCTGTAATAGATTATTTTAATTATGGCAAGACTATTTGGGTTTTAAAAACTTAGTTTTTGGATTGGTGCAGTCAACATGGTCAGCAGAGTTGGGGCTGAGGCTTCAGCTGGCATGATTGGTGGCTCCAGTGCCACAGAATCAGCCAGTGTGGCCAGGACGGCTGGGCTGAGGATTGAACTGCTGAGTTAGCGTGTTTGGTGGGATTGGGGCTGATGGTTCAGCCAGTGTGATTGGGGTTGGCCAAGGGGACACGCTGAGAGGCCAAGAGGTTAGTTACATACTAGAGGATTGACTGAAAAAGTAGATATATTGAGACTAAATGGAATCCAGGTTTCTCACTGTCTGAGAAAGGGATTACGAACATGGAAAAGCAAAGGTTGGAAAAAACTCTGGAGTGTTAGTTAAGGATTGGAAATATTGGTGTGAACTCATGGTTTTGAGTATGGCTTTTACAGACTGGCATAAAAAAATATCTAGGCTGTGTGTGTGTGTGTGTGTGTGTGTGTGTGTGTGTGTTCATATATTTCTAGCTCCGTCTCTTGTGAAGGCCTAGAAACAATAATATCTCAGTAGCAATGAGTATGTGTAGTGCCCAGATCTTGGTTTCTAAATACTATTTTCCACTAAAAGGAGTCAAGCTCCTTGAATAAATTGCTGATTCCAAATATGGAACAAACAAGTACAAGATGAGACTGAAGGATATTTTTAGTGCCAGAAAGTAAAATTTGCTTGAAGAATAATAAGCAGTATTATTATTCCTTTTATTCATAAGAACACAGAAACCAACTTAATAAAGTTTCCACTGACCAAATCTGGGATAATTTAAGCATCAAAACAAATAATGCTAATAACAGATATAATCCACTGAATAAAATAGAAATTCACAAGTCTGTGCTGATATGAATAAATGCATGAATAAATGCATGAATAAATAAATAACTGGGGCAGAATGGAAAACTCTACCTTGTAGTAAGATGCCAACTAATAAGCATAGAAGAAATGATAGAGTTAGGATCATTGTGCAATCATTATCATAAAAACTGATTCAAGGAAGACTCATCACTGGATCCTAAAACTAGTAAGTGAACATTTGATAAGGAATAGAATATTTACATAATTCCAAAGTTATCTCCACAGACTACATATTAATACCAAATATTTAATAGTTAATTTTACAATAGAGGAGTCAGACATTATCTTATAAAAGTTAAAACAGCATAGGATAAATGGATATTGTATATGTCCTGATAGGATGCCATTAGAACATAGCATCACTTTTTATACAATTCGGCCAAAAATTGTATAACTTACATGTAATTATGAAGAAATACTAAACAAACCCAAATTGATGGACTTTCTACAAAGTGAGTAACCTGCTCTTTTTAAAAATGTCAAGATCATAAAAATAAGGTAAGACTCAGGAACTGGTCCAGGTTGAAGAAAACTAAAGAGAGATGACAACTACACATTATGTATGATCCTGAACCTATAATAGCTATTATTAGGACAATTGACAAATTTGAATGTGGTCTGTGAATTTGATTGAAGTTCTTATGGAAGCCAAGTTGGACAGGAACACCCTGTGTATAGAATAATGCACAGCTTTGAAAGTTAGGCAATGAATATTTTAGAGCTATTATCCAAGGTGGAGGCCTGATTTCATAAAAAATGGTGGTGTACTTAGGGGTTGATTGTGTACCTACTCTTTATCTAAATAAAGTGCAACTGAGGTACAGGAATCCAATTTTCAGTGTCTATAAAGACTGGTTCAGCTTCAGAGTGAAAGGGGAACTGGGTGGATTAAGATCTTGGTATTCTTACATACTCAAGGAATGGGTATGTAATAGCTCCGTTTTCGAAAAAGCCGAATGCCTTTATGCATCCAAATATTCTTTCTTTAAGTTATTTTGGATTGGAAGTCATTTTCACATCCTTTCTGTTTTTATTTTTAAAATTTCATAAATAGAATTAATGCATATGTTTAAAATCAGATGAGAGAGAGAGAAGGAGGGAGAAAGGGAGGGAGAAGATGTGATGTGTCTCCATCCCTCCCACTCCCTCCCTTTCTCCCCTTTCTCTCTCTCTCTCTCTCTCTCTCTGTCTCTCTCATCTGATTTTCCCACCCTCCAGAATGGTTCTATTATCCTTCTCAGTTTTTCCATTTGGAATTAAGGCATCTTTAAGCAACACAATTCAACTTCAACTTCTTATTCCACAAACAAGAGACTGCATTTCTTAATTCCCCATGTTGGGTCTTGATGCTCCTGCTGTTTTTGTCCCTCTTTAACCCATTACCACTTTGCTACCTCTGTCAACTATAGCTGTACTTTGACAATACACAGATTAATAATATTTACACTATGATCTGAAACTATCGTTAATTTCTCCATAATTTGTCTATAATTCAATTCTATAAGTTGTAATTCAATAACTAGTGTAGATATTATTACAGCAGTGTAAATACTATCTACAGTAGGACCAAATATTGTGTTGAGCTTCCTCTCCTTATTTCATGCCTAATATCATGACCCCCACACATCTTAATGGATAATGTTGCTATACAGGAATATAATGATCATAGTTTAATGTTCTTTAGTAACTCAGGATCATAATTGTGAACGCTAATTTTTTTTTTTTTGAGATGGAGTCTCACTCTGTTGCCCAAACTGGAGTGCAGTGGCGCCATCATCTAGGCTTACTGCAACCTCTGCCTCCTGGGTTCAAGCAATTCTCCTGCCTCAGGCTCCTGAGTAGCTGGAACTACAGGCGCGTGCTACCATGCCTGGCTAATTTTTGTATTTTTAGTGGAGATGGGGTTTCGCCATGTTGGCCAGGCTGGTGTCGAACTCCTGACCTCCAATGATCTGCCTGCCTTGGCCTCCTAGCCTATGCTGGGATTACAGGCGTGAGCCACTGTGCCAGGCCAATATTTTGCTTGCCATAATCCAATGGTGTCAATAGGGTGTACTGGGGTACACAGAGTGCTTTTCTTCTACTAATAATAGCCATAATTTATTGAGCACCTACTAGGTAAGTGTCAGGCAATCTGATGGGCAATTTTCTTATTTTATTTTATTTTATTTTAATAACAACGCTTTGTCACTCCTACTTTTACAGATGAGAAAATACAAGTTAATTAACTGAGAGGGCTAGATTTGAGTGAAGGACTGACACTAAGTTGGATTGACCAACTCATTCCAGTTTGCCTATGACTTACCTGGTTTAGCACTGACAGCCCTGTGTCTTGGGAATCCCCTTCTTGGATAAACCAGCATTATTGGTCACCCTGTAAGTCTAGCCTTTCTCTCTGTTTAAAAAAAATTAATCATCATCATCATCATCATCACAATTTTCATGGCTTGGGCTTCATTGCTCGTCTGCTAGCCAGTTACAAGATTTGCTAATGAATTATTTGAATTGGGAGCTCTAACCAAAGCCTGGGCTGATGTCAAAACTGTATGCGTTTGTAGTGCTGTATGTCTCTTATTTTTCAATATATCAAAAAATGTTCTTCTCAATTAGTCTATATTAGGATGGTAACTTTTCTATACAAAGCATACCTTTGGAGCCTTCCCTTGCTGGTGCCCCCCATATTCATCCTCTACTATGGTGTATCTCAGAACTCAGACCTTGAACTTCTTTTCTGTCTGCATACTTGCATGATGATTTATTTACTGCCATGACTTTAGATATCATCTGTGTGAGCTAATGACCCCTAAATACATATTGTCAATACAGACATCCCCCACAAACTTATGACACAGATACTCAATTACTTATTGGATATCTCCTCTTAGAGGTGAAATAGTTTATCTTAAACTTAAAATATTCAAAAATAAATTTCTCATCTTCCCTGAGAAACTTCCTTCTCTCACAGTCTTCTGCATTTCAGAATAGCAACTCCATCCTATCAGTTGTTCAGGCCAACATTAGAGCCATCCTTGACTCTTCTTTTACTCTCTCAGCCTATAGAAAAGTCTGGCAAATCCTGTCAACTATGCCTTTGGATTGCATCCAGAATTTGACCACCTCTCATTGCCTTCACTCAAACAACACCTGGGGCTGAGCCAGGTCTCATTTGGATTATTTCATCAGCCTCTTAATTGATTTCCTTGATTTCATTCTTCCCCACCTAGAGCCTATTCTCAAGAAAAATCCAGAGTGGTCCTTTTAAAACATATGTAGGGTCACTCCTGTTTTCACAGCTTGTTTTCCATCTCACCCAGGGAAGCCCAGCCTGAGGATGGCCTCATGCTGTGTGCACATCACCCCCCTTACTGCCCTAACCCCTCCAACAGTCCCTCTGACCTCCTTGCTCCTTGAAAACTCCAGGTATGTTCATTGCTGTTCCTTTTGTCTGAAACGCTCATCCCCGAGTTATCTGAAATCAGGACCAGCTACAGAATATTTGGGCCCAGTGTATAGTGAAAATGTGGAGCTTCTTGTTAAAAAACCATTAGGAATGTCAAGGTGGTGACAGCAGAGAATCAAACCAAGTGTAGGTCTCTTCTGAGTATGAGGCCCTGTATGCAAGTCCGAAAGTCCTCAGCACCTTCAGGAGTTTGTTCAACAGTCAACTTCTTATTTTTTATTCTTCTTCTTATTTTCTTTTTCTATTTAGCATTTCTCACTCTCTTAACTCACTGTTTAACTTACTTATTCCACATTTTCTGTCCTCTCCCTGCATTAGGATATATGAAGGCCAGGGGTTTTGTTTTGGTCACTGCTGTATCTTCAGCTCCTGGGACACTGCTTGGCACATAGTGAGCACTTGAATACTTGAAGAAATAAAGAGAGAGAGAGACAGAGAGAGAGAGAGAGAAAGGAAGGAAGGAATGAAGGGAGGGAAGGAGGGAGGGAAAGAGAGAGACAGAGGCAGGGAGAGAGGGAAAGAGGGAAGGAGGGAGGAAGGGAAGGAAGGAAGGAAGGAAGGAAAAAAGGAAGAAAGGAAAGAGAATACATTGATTTTTTAGCTGTCAGGTAGGAATAATCAATTTTTAAATCCATTCTTCAGAGGCAGAGTCTCACAGACCTGAAGTATCTGTATAAAAATTACACGAATTCTTTTATCTGCTTCAGTTTTTACCCCAGGACACACTTGGGCCACAGAGCAGCTGGACCTTCTTGCCTTCTAATAATAAATACAGTCTCTCCATATGGGCTTTTCTTATGCAATCCTGCCTCTCCTTATTAGGTCCTAAAACTGGGGGTTTCTTTCTTTCTTTTATTTTTTTGAATTATTGGCTCTTTTTATCTTTTTTTTTTATTATACTTTAAGTTTTAGGGTACATGTGCACAACATGCAGGTTTGTTACATATGTATACATGTGCCATGTTGGTGTGCTGCACCCATTAACTCGTCATTTAACATTAGGTATATCTCCTAATGCTATCCTTCCCCCCTCCCCCCACCCCACAACAGGCCCCGGTGTGTGATGTTCCCCTTCCTGTGTCCATGTGTTCTCATTGTTCAATTCCCACCTGTGAGTGAGAACATGTGGTGTTTGGTTTTTTAACCTTGCGATAGTTTGCTGAGAATGATGGTTTCCAGCTTCATCCATGTCCCTACAAAGGACATGAACTCATCATTTGTTATGGCTGCATAGTATTCCATGGTGTATATGTGCCACATTTTCTTAATCCAGTCTATCATTGTTGGGCATTTAGGTTGGTTCCAAGTCTTTACTATTGTGAATAGTGCCGCAATAAACATACGTGTGCATGTGTCTTTATAGCAGCATGCTTTATAATCCTTTGGGTATATACCCAGTAATGAGATGGCTGGGTCAAATGGTATTTCTAGTTCTAGATCCCTGAGGAATCGCCACACTGACTTCCACAATGGTTGAACTAGTTTACAGTCCCACCAACAGTGTAAAAGTGTTCCTATTTCTCCACATCCTCTCCAGCACCAGTTGTTTCCTGACTTTTTAATGATCGCCATTCTAACTGGTGTGAGATGGTATCTCGTTGTGGTTTTGATTTGCATTTCTCTGATGGCCGGTGATGATAAGCATTTTTTCATGTGTCTTTTGGCTGCATAAATGTCTTCTTTTCAGAAGTGTCTGTTCATATCCTTCGCCCACTTTTTGATGGGGTTGTTTGTTTTTTTCTTGTATCTTTTTGTCTTTTAAAGGTAATTTTATAGGTGAAATGGTTTCAAATTCAAAAATTATAAAAGTGAAAAGTCTCTATCTTTGCTTGTCCAGCCACCTAGAAAAAAATACCTTGGAAAAAAACAAATATTATCGTTCAAGACTCTTGTGAGTCTTCCCAAAGATGCTCTATGCAGAGACTGTACTAGCAAATACATATGTGATGTGTGTGTATGCCCCTGTTTTTCTTTCATAAAAAATTATAGCATAATAGGATGTGAGAATGGGAAGATTTATGTCTCAGTTTTGACTGAGGTGCCAGAATTCCAGGTTCCAAATACTCTCATGTTTCCCAAGGAGATGGCAGGTGTGTGTTGTAGTACTTGGAAAAAGGGTTTTTGAAAACGGGTATTGCAACCCTTGAGCCTTTGCCACGTGAGGATATAAAAGAGGTTGGAAAGCCCAAGGTGGAATTAGAGATTGATGAGGAGGAAGCTGTTGACTTGAACTTTGAGCTCCATACCCCATACCCACAGGGAAGCAGGATTTCCCTCACTTTCAGCCCAGGGCTGAAGTGGCTTGTCCATTAAGGTGATTTTGCCTCACAGGGGACATTTGGCAATGTCTGGAGACATTTTGGGTTGTCCCAGCTCGGGGGCTGCTGCTGGCATCTATTGGCTAGTGGCCAGAAATCCTGCTTGTCTTAGTCTGTTTAGGCTGCTGCAACAAAATATCTTGAAATGGGTAATTTCTAAAAACCAGAAATTTACTGCTCACAGTTCTGGAGGCTGGAAAGTCCAAGATCAAGGTGCTGGCAGGTTTGCTGTCTGTTGAGGACTCCTCTGTGCTTCAGAGTTGATGCCTTGCTGCTGCATTCTTATGTGGTGGAAGGGACAAGCATGCTCCCTCAAGCCTCTTTTATAAGGGCATGAATCCCATTCACAAGGGTAGAGCCCTCATGACCTAATCACTTCCCAAAAACCCCACCTCTTAGTACTATACCTTGGGTATTAGGTTCCAACATACGAATTTTGGGAGGACACCAACATTCAGAACACAGTGCTGCTAAACATCCTCAAATGCATATGATAGTCCCCTGCAATAACAAAATACATGCCCCAAATGTCAATATCATTGAGGCTGAGAAACACTGGCCTAAGGAAAGGGGCTTCTTTAGTCCCTCTGTGAACTGGTTAAATGTCTTTTGCAGTTGGTGGATGCAGGGGACCCATGTTTAGAGGCTGGGGCTGGCTCTCTGTGCTAGTGGAGGGGAGAGGCAAAAGTGCTGAATGGGGAGTCATCTCCATCTCCTGATAGAGGATGCTGAACAATTGCTGTGGCCCAGATAAGGTTGGTGAGTGAGAGAGTGTGTGTGTGTGTGTGTGTGTGTGCAGACGCGCGCACGCGTGAGAAAGAGAGAGAAAGAGAAAGAACAGAGAGAGATTGAGGGAGCACTGCATGGAGAGGTGAGCTCAGGTGAAAGAGACTGGAGGGAAGCTCTGGCAGAAGGGAGCAGTCAGGAGTACTAACCTACACCAAGGGAGACACAGGCAAAGGTGTCTCCAGTTGGGGGAAGGTGTGGTGCATAGCGGGGTGCCTCGAAAGAACTTCTCGAAGTACTTCAGCAGAGAATGAGTCTGCATCAAATACCTGGAAAGCCCA
The DNA here is from genome assembly GCF_000001405.40 of Homo sapiens. NCBI lineage: Eukaryota > Metazoa > Chordata > Mammalia > Primates > Hominidae > Homo > Homo sapiens. The sequence continues at coordinate 165,617,067 of NC_000001.11, read as the reverse complement.
GAGAGCTGACAACAGTTCTCAACATTATTAAGCAAGTTAGAGCCTGGCTGACACTCCAGTGGCACACAGAGAATAAAATCCATAGCTCACAAGATCCTACTGGATTTGACCACTGCTGGCCTCTCTAACTTCATCTTCCCTTTATTATTTTGCTCTGGCCACAGTGGATCTCAGGCTGATCCTTGAACACACCAAACTTGCTCTGACCTCAGGGTCTTCATGATTGCTTTTTCTACCTTGCATCTCTGTTGCCTCTCTCCATGCAAGTCTCTGCCCAAATGCCACCATCTCAGAAAGGCCTTTCCTGATCAGTCCTTCTAAAATAGGCAAGCAATTGGTCACTATCTCCTTCCCTTGCTTTATTTCTCTTCAGACCACTTACTATCTAATCTTTTGTTATAATGTATTCACTTACTGTGTCACTCCTCCATTATAAAGTAATATCCCTCCAGGAAAAAAACTTCACCTTTATTTTCCCAGGGCCTATGGCAAATTTAACATCTGATAAGTGTCAAATAAATATTTGTTTAATAAAGGAAAGAACAAGTATCTGAGCAAGCTGCTGTGATTTGCCAAGCTGTTTGATTTGGCTTCTCCTTTGTGAATGAGTGGAGTCTTAGCATCACTTCTGCCTCCTCTGATGCTGAGCTGTTTTGCAACAGCTGAGCTGTTTGCTCAGGTAGTGTTATGAGCACACCTTATGTCCAATGTCTCCTCAGCAAAGATCTGCTCGCCTCAGCTCTGACTCTGCCCATTCACTGACATTCTCCTGTCAAATTCCCTGGTCCCTGAGCAAAAGACATGGAGGGCAAGGGAATGGTATGGCAGGGCCAAACACTTCACACAGCTTTTCAGATAAAAAGCTCTCTAGGACCTCCCTGTTTAAGCACTTCAGGTTAAAAGTTGTAAATTAAAAGAGAACAATGACTGCCTGTGCTCTATTATTTTTCTAAGTCAAGTATGGCTGTGCTTTATTTATATTCTAATTTAAGAGATATATCTTTTCACCTTTTTTTTTTTTTAGACAGAGTATCACTCTGTCCCCCAGGCTGGAGTGCAGTGGCACAATCTTGGCTCACTGCAACCTCTGACTCCCGGGTTCAAGTGATTCTTGTGCTTTAGCCTGGATCCTCACCTCTAACCTTATATAAAAACCAACTCAAGATGGATCAAAGACTTAAAATCTAAGACCTGAAACCATAAAGATTCTAGGAGATAACATCTGAAAAACCCTTCTAGACATTGGCTTAGGCAAAGACTTCATGACCAAGAACCCAAAAGCAATGCAACTAAAACAAAGATAAATAGATGGAACTTAATTAAACGAAAAAGCTTCTGCATAGAAAAAAAAAATCAGCAGAGTAAACAGACAACCCAAGAGTAGGAGAAAATTTTCACGATTTATTCATCTGACAGAGGACTAATATCTAGAATCTACAAGAAATTCAAACAAATTAGCAAGAAAAAAAAATTTCTTCCAAAAGTGGGCTAAAAGACATGAATAGATAATTCTCAAAATAGTTATATACAAATTTATTTTATATACAAATGGCCAAAAACATGAAAAAATGCTCACCATCATTAATTATCAGAAAAATGCAAATCAAAGCCACAATGCGATATTATCTTACTCCTGCAAGAATGGCCATAATTTAAAAAATAAAAAAAAATAGATGTTAGTGTGGATGTAGTGAAAAGGCAACACTTTTACGCTACTGGTGGGAATGTAAACTAGTACAACCACTATGGAAAACAGTGTGGAGTTTTTTTAAAGAATTAAAAGTAGATCTATTGTTTGATCCAGCAATCCCACTACTGAGTATCTACCAAGAGGAATAGAAGTCATATTATGAAAAAGACACTTGAACATGCATGTTTATAGCAGCACAATTCACAATTGCAAAAATATGAAACCAGCCCAAATGCCCATCAATCAACAAGTGAATAAAGAAAATGTGGTATATATATACCATGGAATACTACTCAGCCATAAAAAGGAAAAAAATAATGGCATTCGCAGCAACCTGGATGGAGTTGCAGACTGTTAATTCTAAGTGAAGTAACTCAGAAATGGAAAACCAAACATCGTATGTTCTCACTTATAAGCAGGAACTAAGCTAGTAGGCCAAAAACGCATAAGAATAATGTAATACAATGGACTTTGGGGACTTGAGGGGAAGCATAGGAGGGGGGTGAGGGATAAAAGATTACACATTGGGTACAGTGTACACTGCTCAGGTGATGGGTGCACTAAAATCCCAGAAATCATCACTGAAGTACACATTCAGGTAACCAAACACCACCTGTTCTCCCAAAACCTATTGAAATAAAAAATATATATTTTATAAGTTTCCTGCTAATGGTCAGTTTAGAGTTTTTTCTGTCTTTCTTAAAATTTTTTTGCAATTACAAAAACTGTAATGAAACTAACCTCATAGATTATCTTGGCAAACTTAAATTTTTTTAAACATTTTATTTTAGATTCGTGGAGTACATGTGCATGTTTATTACATGAATATACTGCATACTGGTGGGCTTCTAGTGTACCCATGACCCAAATAGGGAACATCGTATCCAATAGGAAATTTCTCAACCCTCTCCCCCGCTCCCCCTTCCCTCTTTTGGAATCCTCAGTGTCTATTATTTCCATCTTTTTGTCCATGTGTACCCATTGTTTAGTTCCTGCTTACAAGTGAGAACATGTGGTATTTTATTTTCTATTCCTGCATTATTAGTTCACTTAGGATAATGACCTTCAGCTCCATCCATGTTGCTGCAAAGGACATAATCTTGTTCTTTTTTATGGCTGCTTGGCAAACTTCTGTGAATCTATCCATAGTATATCTCTCTTTTAGTGGGAAAGCTGGACCAAAGGGGCTGTAAATATGATAGCTGCTGCCAAATATTCTTCCCCAAGATTCCATCAGTTTATTTCCCAAAAGCCTGCTTCCTCATGTCATCAACAACATTGGCTATAATCAAACTTAAAAATGTTTGCTAATCTCACAGATATTTCACTTTTTGTCTTGATTTGTACTTATCTAAGTTTATTTATTTGTTTTTCATGACTGTAACTTTTTTTGAAAACTGCCAGTTCTTATCTTTTGCCCATTTTTATATTGGGTTGTCATTTTTTCTTATTAACTTATATAGACTTTTTATAAATTAAAGAAATTAGGCTTTTGCTATCATATATATTGCAAATATCTTTTTTTAATTTGACACTGGTTTTTAGACTTTGTTTAGGCTACTTTTATTTCATACTTAAAAAATTTTATGTATTCACATTTACCAGTTTTTTACTTTATGATCTTTAGATTTTATATCCTTCTTGGTAAGGTTTTCATCTTCACTCATGCTTTCTTTTTGAAATTTTATGGTTTATTTTATGTTCAACTCCTTAATATATGTTAAATCTTTGATAATTTAAGTTTAAATCTTTGGGTCTTTTTAGACACAGGGTCTCACTCTGTTGCCCAAGCTGGAATGCAGTGATGGTATTATAGCTCACTCACTGCAGCCTCAAATTCCTGGGCTCAAGTGATCCTCCTGCCTTAGCCTCCAGAGTAGCTGGGACTACAGGTGCACACCACCACACTTGACTAATTAAAAGCAATTTTTTTAGGGATGGGGTCTTGCTATGTTGCTCCTGGGCTCAAGCAATCCTTAGCCTCCCAAAGAGCTGGGATTACAAAGCCTGAGCTCCCACACCTGGCATATGTTTAGTTTTTGAGGCACCAAAAGGACAGAATGCAGGAGGAATCTAGCCTTTCCCCTTAACAATTTGTCAATGAATTCATGTTTATCCTCTTTGTTTAAAATGTAGCCTTTACCATGAACTAAAATGCTCTAGGCATTTGGTTTAATTTTGGACTCTCCACTTTGTTTTACTGATGTCTATTTTTTTCTATAGGAACTGTTTTACATTTTGCTCACTGCTTGGACTTAAAAAAGCAAAAACATCTTTTTTCCTTAATCATAAAGTCAAAGCCACACATAGGCACAAAGAATGCAAGCACCGGAAGCACACCTTAGCAAGGGACTGTGGGAGATGGATTAATGTGTGGCCATCTGGTACACACGATAATGGGTTGTTGGGGCCAGGGGTACATAGGTATAATATTCTTGTGGATTCTTGATGGGAAGAAATGATCTGTATAAACATAGCAATGGAAAGTTAGGCAAGCAATATATATTAGGGCCAATATCTTGGGGCAAATTCTAGTTTCATTCAAAATAGTAGTGTACCTAGTAACTAGTTGATTATTTAAGTAACTAGTTCTTTATTTAAGGAGTTACAGTGCAATCAAGCTGGTGTTTAGTGGCTATAGACAGGAGATGAAAAGTGGTCTACTTCAGAGAGGAAGGAGAACCAGTATAGTAAATTTCTGGCTGTCTTATATCCCCAAGAAATGGCTCAGTTTTCTAAAAAGACAAACGCCTTTAAATAATACAATATACTTTATATTTACTATTTTGAATGGGTAAGTTTCTCAGATGCATCACAACCATCCCTCTCATATTTCTAAAATTTTTGTTAATATAGATCAGGCACAGTTGTGAATAAATCAGGTAGCACAGAAACGCAACACTCCTCAGTCTTACATACTCCTGGTATACTGGAGCAACTACGTTTTATCTCTTTCTACATTTGATTTTTCTGGTGGTTTCCTCCTTACTTCTATATGTCTTCTGCATACTACTTCTTGATATGTCATCTTTAGACATTCTATTTTGCCTGTATGCTATGATAGTTGGTGTTTGCTGCCCTGTACCCACACCTACCCCAGCCTATGCAGTTACATCACCTTCCTCTCTTCTTTCATGATTGCCCATGCATGTCAATTACTCATGCCTCTATTGCTTTTTCTTTTCTTTTTTTTTTTATTTGAGATGGGGTTTCACTCTTGTTGCCCAGGCTGGAGTGCAATGGCATGATCTTGGCTCACCGCAACCTCTGCCTCCAGGGTTCAAGCGATTCTCCTGCCTCAGCCTCCTGAACAGCTGGGATTACAGGTGCCTGCCACCATGCCTGGCTAATTTTTTGTATTTTTAGTAGAAACGAGGTTTCGCCATATTGACCAGGCTGGTCTTGAACTCCTGACCTCAGGCGATCCACCCGCCTCTGCCTCCCAAAGTGCTGAGATTACAGGGTAGAGCCACTGCGCCCGGCCCTCTATTGCTTTTTCCATGGGCTCAAGGCACCATCCCTTGACTCTCCCATTTTTGTCCTTTGTGCTTACAGCTCATTCTCCCCTTTCTTCTCCTTTCCATTTCTCTACATTTTTCAACTATGTTTTTACTTTTACATTATCAAGGTTGATAACATCTGTTCTCTGTTCTAAGAACACAGTTAACACTCCAAAGATTTGTTCAGTTATGAGGGTCAGAAGAAGGTGATGCTGTCATAGGGCCAGAGGTAGCACCCACACCGCCTTCAAGGGGCTTACAGTTTAGGAGAGGAGAAAGACATGTAAACAAATAACAGGCTGGGTGCCATGGCTCATGCCTGTAGTCCCAGCACTTTGGGAGGCTGAGGCGGGAGGATTGTTTGAGCCCAGGGGTTCGAGACCAGCCTGAGTAACATGGTGAAACCCCCTCTCTACAAAAAAAATAAAATAATAATGATAATAAAAAATAAAAAAAATTAGTTGGGTGGTGTGACGGGCATAGTCCCAGTTACCCGGGAGGGAGGCTGAGGCAGGAGAATCATCTGAGCCCAGAAGGTCGAGGATGCAATGAGCCAAGATTGGACCACTGCACTCTAGCCTGGGCAACAGAGCAAGACCCTGTCTCAAAAACAAAAAACAAGCAAACCAAGAAAACCACATACACAAAACAAATAAGGGCAATACAAGTATTAAATGTTCTATAAAGATGCTTTTAGAGTGCAGTGGGACTCCAAGCACTCTAGCAGCTCCCTCCTAATCTATGCATCTCCAACTCTCTCTCTAAAATTTTCATCCTTCAGGTGGTGAAAGTGCAAAGGTTGCAAAACCAGTTTTCAGGAACCTTGTTTCCAGGCTCTGCTTCAAATTACGGTGGTGGTTGGCACTTAGAATTTGTCATCTGAACAAAACAAAACAAAAACCAACCAAACAAAAAACTAGTAATGTTTATTGTCTCTGGAGAGGAAACTGAGTGGTGCAAAGACAGGAGTGAAAGAGGAAGCTTCCCACTTTTGTATGTCTTGAATTCTAAGCCTCTATTACCTCCCATAAATATAAATTTAAAAATATAGCCAAGAATTACCAAAAACATTTTCTGACATGTCAGTTTGAGGACTTCAGAACGACAGCACCAAGGGAGAGCTGAATTAAAAAAGAGTCTGGGTGCCTTGCAGGACTCCCGAGGAAAACACGCATCTTCCGGTACAAACACGTCCTGAGGTGAAAAGCCAGCTAGATGAAAGGAGCTCACACTATTTTCACGTGTATATTGAAGGTCCACGGGACGCCCCTTCTAAGAACAGACTTTAAAATTTGAAACTCTTCTCACCCAGCGACAGTATCTAGTTTTCATAACTAACATTTTTTACACCAGAGGTTGCAATGTAGACAAGCTGGGAAAGGTACAACTGGCTGTGTTTCAAGAAGAGCGGTCTGCAGTGTGGCAGGTCCACCCTGCTCTGAAGGCAATCCAGGCTGTTTCTTGCTCCAGGTCCCAACTTCGCAGTCATATATGTAATCAAGACTAATGAAGCTCAATTCGTGAAATCAGTGAGGGCTATGTTTTCCAAATGGAGGGCGGGCATTGTATCACAGTAAGAAATTGATTTCACGTTGCAAGCCAGTATATACATTCATAAAAACTCACACATTCATATATACATTGGAAATAATACTTCCTTTAAATAATAATTACTTAAAATAATAATACTTCCATTTTTCCAAAAAATAATACTTTCTTTAATCACATGAGATGGACTCAATTTTCTTTATTTTTTACTGTTATTATATATATATATATATATTTTTTTTCCTTTTCTTTTTTTTTTTTTTTGAGACAGGGTCTCATGCCATCACCCAGGCTGGAATGCAGTGGTGTGATCTTGGTTCACTGTAACCTCGACCTCCCAGGATCAAGGAATCCTCCCACCTCAGCTTCCCAAATAGCTGGGACTACAGAAAGGCACCATCACGCCTTGCTAATTTTGATATGGGGTCTCAAACTTCTGGGTGCCAGGGATCTGCCTCTCTCGGCCTCCCAAAGTGCTGGGATTACAGGCATAAACCTGGCCATATTTTTATATTTTTATGTTTATTTTTATTTTTTGAGACAGGATCTCAATCTTGTCCAGGTTGGAGTGCAATGGTGCAAACACGGCTCACTGCAGCCTTGACCTCTTGGGCTCAAGCAATCCTCCCACCTCAGCCTCCCTAGTAGCTGGAACTACAGGCGTGATTATTTTTTATTTTTTGAGACAGGGTCTTGCTCTGTTGCCCAGACTGGAGTGCAGTGGTGCATTCTTGGCTCACTGCAGACTCGACCTCCTTGGACTCAGGTGATCCTCCCACCTCAGCCTCCTGAGTAGGTGGGACTACAGGTGTGCACCACCACACCCAGCTAATTTTGTTTTATTTACTTTTTTATAGAGAGGAGGTCTCATTATGTTGCCCAGGGTGGTCTCAAACTCCTGGGCTCAAGCGATCCTCCCAACTCAGCGTCCTGAAGTGCTGGCTTGGGCCACAATGCCTGCCTGGCTCTCAATTTTCTCTTCAGTTCTTTCTGACTTGATTTTTTTTCAGCTTTATGAACTGGAAGGGTCGGATTGACAATTTAAAATTGCATATATTTAGGCTGTATGATGTGATGTTGTATGTATGTATGTATTGTGAAATGACTCCCACAATCAAGCCGATTAACATATCCCTCTCCTCACACAGTTACCATTTCTTTTTTGTGGTGAGGACACTTGAGATATACTCACCTAGCACAGTTCAAGTATGCAATACATTGTTATTAACTATAGTCACTACGCTATTCATTGAGTCTCCAGTACTTATTCATCGTATTTGATTTTATTTTTTGAAACAGGATCTCACTCTGTCACACAGGCAGGCGTGCAACCTCTCACTACAACCTCTCCTTCCTGGGCTCAACCAATCTTCCAGCCTCAGCCTCTCGAGTAGCTAGGAGTATAGGCATAAACCACTAGGCCTGGATAATTTTTATATTTTTTGTAGAGATGGGGTTTTGCTATGTTGCCCAGGCTGGTCTTGAACTCCTGAACTCAAAGCGATCTGTCCACCTCAGCCTCCTAAGCTGCCTATTTGATATTTTTTAATGCTGATAACAACCCACCAAATTTATTTTAGACCCATAGTTTGGAAAATCCTGAGCTAGACTACAAACATGTATACTGAGTCATGATATAAGAGGCATATTTTACAATGATCACTTTAAATTAAATTTGAAAAACAAATTACTAGGCCATATTATAAACGTTGAAATTTGCTTGTGTTGTCATTGTTAAAATCTCTTCTGTCAAGATCTCTTCTGGCTGGGCATAGTGGCTCATGCCTGTAATCTCAGCACTTTGGGAGGCCTAGATGGGTGGATCACCTGAAGGTCAGGAGTTCGAGACCAGCCTGGCCAACATGATGAAGCCCCATCTCTACTAAAAATATAAATTAGCTGGGTGTGGTGGCGGGTGCCTGTAATCCCAGCTACTCTACTAAAAATATAAAAAATTAGTCTGGGATGGTGGCAGGTGCCTGTAATCCCAGCTACTTGGGAGGCTGAGGCAAGAGAATCACTTGAACCCGGGAGGCAGAGGTTGCAGTGAGTTAAGATCGTGCCATTGGACTCCAGCCTGGGCAACAAGAGCAAAACTCCTTCTAAAAAAAAAAAAAAAAAATCCCTTCTATTTTTTTTGGGGGGGATTTGCATTCAAGGGACTCAGTTTTAGAAATATTACAAAATAAAAACCCAGACTCTTCCAGTCCTTTAGTAATTCTTGTAATGCACTAGGCTTCTTTGCTTTTTAAAAATGCTTTATCACTCCAGGGTGCATCCCTAAACACTATAGTTAAGTTTTATCAGTTTAAAAAATGATGTCTTTTAAATCTCTTTTAATCTATAATTCGCCATATTCTTCTTTCACCTTGCACTTTATTTGTTGAATAAACTAAATTGCTTCATTAATAGATTCCTACAGTATGAATTTTGTTAATTACATTGTATGGTGTAGTTTAGCATGTTCCCTCTCACTTGTATTTTCTGTAAATTAGTAGTTGGATTTAGAGATTTGATTAGATAGGTTTGATTTTTTTTGGCAAGACTACTTTGGAGATGATACTGTGTTGTGTCCTTTTACCAAATAGCACATAATGTCATGTATGTGTGTGTGATGTGTGTGTGTGGGTATGTGTGTGTGTGTGTGTGTGTATGTTAGCAGCCATTGATGCTAATTGCCTAGTTCTATTAACATATTAAGGGTTTCAAATGATATTTGAATTCAATCACTGTTTCTTAATTTATTAGCTTTAATGTCTATTAAAAGACCCCTCCCCTGACTATTTGGCTACCTAATAATTCAGTTCATATACGAAAGGCAGAACAAGTGTCTGATTCTTTCCCTTTATTTAAAAGTTCTCAAAATAGTTAAGTTGCTTCCTAATCATACTCCACAGGTGATCAAATAGAGTTTTTTAAAAAGGTAACATTTTAAACCCATGGATTCAAACATAATTTGGTGCATTTCAAATGATTTCAGTTTTTATTCTTCTTGATGCTTGTGCTCCAATTATTCTGTCTTTGCTAATAAGTGACTCCTGAATTCCTTTAACATGGCCCTAATTGTGGGTGAAGGATTACCCAGGTGCCGAGGCAGGAGACCAAAGGCACAAGCTGTAGCAGTATAATAAAGAAAATAGTTGGAATAAAAAAATACAAATTAGATATAGAGATGATCGTGGACAATTATCAATCATTGGTATAAATGTTATTAATCATTAGCTTTTAATATTACTCTTTGTTGCATTACTAATATAACCTAGGAATAACCGGCAGGTATAGGGTCAGGTACTGAAGGGACATTGTGAGAAGTGACCTAGAAGGCAAGAGGTGAGCCCTCTGTCACGCCCGCATAAGGGCTGCTTGAGGGCTCCTTGGTCAAGCGGTAATGCCAGTGCCTGGGAAGGCGCCCGTTACTTAGCAGACCGCGAAAGGGAATCTCCCTTTCCTTGGAGGAGTCAGGGAACACTCTGCTCCACCAGCTTCTTGTGGGAGGCTGGATATTATCCAGGCCTGCCCACAGTCATCCGGAGGACTAAACCCCTCCCTGTGGTGCTGTGCTTCAATGGTCACGCTTCTTGTCCGCTTTCATGTTCCTCCCATACTCCTGGTTCCTCTTTGAAGTTCATAGTAGATAGCGGTAGAAGAAATAGTGAAAGTCTTAAAGTCTTTGATCTTTCTTATAAGTGCATGGAAGAAAACGCTGACATATACTGCCTTCCCTCTTTGCTTCGGCTACCTAAAAGGGAAGGGCCACTACCGGTCTCTGTGTCTTGGTGGTAGTGGTCCCCCGGGCCCAGCTGTTTTCTCTTTATCTCTTTGTCTTGTGTCTTTATTTCTTACAATCTCTCATCTTTGCACACGGGGAGAACACCTGCTAAGCCCTGTAGGGCTGGACCCTACACCTAATGATCATGTGTAGCTTCCTTCCTTCCTTTCTATTATAAGATGTTCCAGACTCATCTTGTACATTTCCTGCCCTAGATCTAGAATCAGCCATGATTTCTTTTAATGGAAAATAGATTTCAGATTCACAATATTGGCTCTAGAGATATTCATTGATACTAGGTTGATCATTATTTCTTGGCTTTTCAGTGGACAGAGCAAGGGAATTTTTAAAAGATAAAATACCTTACAAGTTAATATTGATACTTCTCTATTTCAAATTCAGCAACACAAGGTTTTAACTTAACTTCTTCTAATACTTTATCATTGTTCTTCCTTATTGATAATTGCCTTAACTTGCCATGATCAGTGGTCCTTTAGGGCTATAGATAGTTGGGTGAGGGTAGGACTGACTGATCCTGATGGAGCGAAGACACTGGAGGTACTCTTTGGGAAAAGCTCAGTTCCAATAGGGTAAGATATTATGGTTAGTAAGTTAGGCCTGAGCTTCTTCAAGTTATCACTGTACTAGAATTTAGACCATGTTAGTAAACTAAACCTAGGACAGGGTCAATAGTTGGGGTTCAAGAACAGGTATAGGGCTGCAACCAGTAAGCAACCAGTAACCAACAAGAACCAGGAAGGCACAGTCTGCCAGAGAGTCCAGGACAGTGGTTGGCAGAGGCTGAACAGGCAGAATGGAACATGGAAATCAATGAAATTCCCAAGGAGGCATAGCATCTTTAAACAACTTACCTAAAGAGTGAAGGTAGGGAGGGGTTTGGAGTCTTGCCAAGAAGTCATGGCTGCTGGTGGTGGTGGGCAGAGTTCAGGAACTTAAATCAAGACCTACTAGAGAAAACCAAATGGCTCACACAAATGTATGGTTGATCTAGGAGATGCTGGGGGTACCCACCCACATCTCAGCTGCAACCATTACCATGGATTACAATTTCCAGCTGTCAGCAGCTGCTATTCTTTGCCTGAGGGCACTCTCTGACTGCTGAAACCACTCTACCTGGGCATGCTGTAGATAGTGAATAACCTGAGGCTCCTCCACACCCCGCAGCTGCCTCCCAGATTGTATTTTCCAACCGGGTTTGGGTTCCTCTCTCTCCTTGTGCCACAGGCCCACGTATTTTCCAACCGGGTTTGGGTTCCTATCTCTCCTTGTGCCACAGGCCCACATGGACACTATATTCTAGTCAGTAGGATGTAGTTCCTCCAGCGGGTCATTCTGTTTCACATCTTTGTACCTTTGTACATGCTGTTCCCTCTGCTTCAATTCTCTTCTCCCATGCCAATCTTCTCCAACAATTCCTCTCATTCTTTAAAAATGTCTAAATGACCATCTCTTTGAAGCTTTCTTTCCTAGTTTCAGGGGTCTTTTTCTTATGTTCTTATAGCCCTAGGACATAATAAATATCCATTGAGTATTTGAATTAAGTATGGGCAACAGCAAGTAAGGATCCCAGGCACCAAAGCTCACACAGTTTCAATTCTGAGTGTCCTTCTGCCTCCATCAGCAAATTTCTTCCAGGAAGGATCCAATCTTAATAAGTTCCAAGCCAGCAAGTAGACACAGGGAAGCAGATACAATCTGGTTGGAGGCAATAGGAAAGGGCAGAAATATGAGACATGTCTTAATAACTCTCCCTATATTAGTTTTCTGGAATTACATAGCAAAGTACACCAGCTGGGTGGCTTAAACAACAGAAATTAATTTTCTCATAATTCTGGAGGCTGAAGTCTGAGATTAAGGTGTTGGCAGGGTTGGTTTCTTTGAAGACCGCTTTTTTTTTGGCTTGTAGATGGCCATTCTCTTCTGGTATCTTTACATGATCTACCTTTGGTATATCTGTGTCCTAATCTCTTCTCCTTAAAAGACACCAGTCATATTGGATTAGGGCCCATCCATATGACCTCATTTTACCTTAACTATCTTTTAAAGGCCCTCATTCCAAATACAATCACATTCTGAGGTTAGGACTTCAGCACATGAATTTTGTGGAGACACAATTCATTCCATAATACTCCCCCAATATAGAGAACCCATGTTCCTAACATTAAGTCCTGAAAAAACAACAGAGGTATCAATCCTGAGAGAGAGTTTCCAGGCTCTGGAGTCCTTAACTTGAGTCATGGGCTTTGTTTTTTAAACCTGTCTCTCTGTTTAAGGCCAGTACTAGAGGGCTAATAGGTTAAAGTCACAAAATGATTCTATTCCTTCATAGCTGTTATGATATCCCATAGCTAGTCTAGAGACCAAACTCCATCTAGGAAGTTCCTAGGACTGAGGGATGTTGTTGAGGTTGATTATTGGGAGATGAAGAAAATAACTGCAGTGAATTTCCAAAGATTATGCAGTGTCTCTTCCAGATTCGGAGTGACCAGGCACAGGCATCAGGGTTTGCAGAAAGAGCTGACTCAAGTAATCATTAACTTCTACCCAGAGCATCCTGGACACTGACATTTGCAGTGTCTCCGGGCTCTAAGAGGAGGTAATAGGGGCACTGGAAGGAAGCCACTCCTGAGGGAAGGATCACAGGGTAGTCTTTCTGCTGGGACCCTGTGCTTTGGGAAGTTGCTGAGCCCTTCCCACTCTAAACTAGCCATGTCTTTGGCTGAGGCCACTCCCTATTATTATTTTTTTAAAGACAGAGTCTCCCTCTGTCACCCAGGCTGAAGTGAAGTGGCGTGATCTCGGTTCACTGCAACCTCTGCCTCTTGGGTTCACGTGATTCTCATGCCTCAGCCTCCCAAGTAGCTGGGAATACAGGTGCATATCACCACACCCAGCTAATTTTTTGTATTTTTAATAGAGATAGGGTTTCATCATGTTGGCCAGGCTGGTCTCGAACTCCAGATCTCAAGTGATCAGCCCGCCTTGGCCTCCCACAGTTTTGGGATTACAGGCATGAGCCACCATGCCCAGCCCACTCCCTGTTTATATGTAGTCTTTGATTGAGGGACAGGAAACTGTTCTGCCTCTTCAAAAGGTCTGGAGAGGAAGGAGTTGTAGAGAATGCTCACAGAAGTGTAAAGCAATCCTATTTTAGTTCTTGATAGCCCCTGTTCCCCTAAAATCAGGAGATACTTTATTATTCACTTGCTGCCAGACTTCCATTAATTTATGAGAGTCATCATTGTAATAAGGTATAGAACATAGAATATTAACATTGGAAAAGACTTAAAGATCTAGTCCAGTCCCTCCTCCCCCTACTATTTTTGAGACAGGGTCTCACTCTGTTGCCCAGGCTGGAGTGCAATGGCATGATCTTGGCTCACTGCAGCCTGAACTTCCTGGGCTCAGGCAATCCTCCTGCTTCGGCCTCCCGAGTAGCTGGAACCATAGGCACAGGTGCATGTCACCACATCCAGCTAATTTTTTGATTTTTTTTTTTTGTAGAGTTGGGGTCTCACTTTCTTGCCCAGGCTGATCCCCAACTCCTAGGCTCAATCTATCCTCCAGCCTTGGCCTCCCAAAGCGCTGGAATTATAGGTGTGAGCCACAACACCTGGCCCAGTCCCCTTCATTTTGCATATGAGGGAAAAAGAGGAAACCAACATTTATTGAAGTAGATATTTTACATGTTACAAATCCTACAAGATGGATATTACCCTCATTTTATGGACAAAAGGATGCCACTCATAGAATTAATTAACTGGCCTAAACATACAAGCTATGTGCTAGGGGTGGGATTAAAATCCAGGTCAGTCTACTGACTCCTAGGCCACTTGTCTTTGGGTAATAATTCCTTAACAAACATCCAGTCAGGCACTGCTTTCTCAATTTTAATGCCCTAATCTATTTCCTCTATAGAAGATCATATCATCTAAAAAACTCAAACTGACTACTCAGGAAACTCTTGAAGATTACATAAAGTCAATCAACAGCCTTCTGTTACTCAGCCCTGTTGGACCCCAACGTGACTGGTGAAATGGCCAAACCAGTGGACTCTGCTGCATGCCTCACTTAGATTCCACTGAATGTGTGACTTGGAGATGCAGTGGAGGAGCTCACTTTTCTATTTTATTTATTTATTTAGTTTTTTTTTTTTGAGACAGAGTCTCACTCTGTTGCCCAGGCTGGAGTGCAGTGGTGTGATCTTGGCTCACTGCAACCTCCGCCTCCTGGGTTCAAGCGATTCTCCTGCCTCAGCCTCCCAAGTAGCTGGGATTATAGGTGCCTGCCACCATGCCTGGCTAATTTTTGTGTTTTTAGTAGAGGCGAAGTTTCACCATGTTGGCCAGGATGGTCTCAATCTCTTGACCTCGTGATCTGCTGGCCTCAGCCTCCCAAAGTGCTGGGATTACAGGCATGAGCCACCGTGCCCTGCCGAGCTCACTTTTCTGAAGGAGGAATTGCCGAGTACAGGACCAACAAGCAGGGTCACCTGCGAGTAAAGGGAATCCATGCTGAAACAATGAGAATTGAGACCTATTGAAAGAAAAGAGGAACTAGGGAAAGAGGACCACTGACTACGGAATGTGGGAGAAGAAAGGCACGAGGGTGTTTGCAAAGACAGCTTTTAAGGGTGCTAAGTTGTAAGAGGGCAGGGCAGCAGAGACAGAGCCCTTATGCAAAATGGAGTCACTTGGGAGGAAGGGAGTGCTCTGTGGCTGTTGTCCTATGCCACCTTGTGGCCACTTATCACTTCTCATCAAATGTTCCACCTTCTCTTATTCACTTTATATTTCTAATTACTCCTATATCCTGGAAAGTCAGCGTCACTTGAGTTTCACCCACAGCAATGCTTAATTTCAGTGGTGGATCTCAGGACACTGATTTCTTTGGACTCTCCTTGGTAGTGTGGAAGGAATTGATTGTGGAATACTGAAAGTTACGAGAGAAAGAGGTGGAAAGCAGTCAAGGTTCTCATATATTTCTTTTTCCACTGTGCTGCTAACATACTCATAGAGAAGCTATTGTAGAGAATTTCCACTATCAATGGATGACAATTCATACTGACCCTTGTATTAAAGTAGAAATGAAAATGGATTATGATGCTTTTACTGAATTCTAAGCAAAAGCTTGTTTGCTTAATTAATGTCCTGGACACCAAGTAGAGCCTATAACAATAAAAGAACAAGTAACTATGAGAAAGAATGCCCCACTGTCTTTGCTCAAAGAATGGTTGTATCAGAGACACTCCTGTGGTGGCAAGCTGCTGTGGGTTTGGGATTATGGCTCTAGAATAATAATAGTTAATACCTATTTAGCACTTCCAAATGCCAGATGCTATTCCAAGCACTTTATATAATCAACCTATTCAATTGTCACAACAACCCTGTGAAGTTGGTGCCATTAGTATCCCCCTTTTACGGACAAGGAAGCTGAGGTTGAGTAACTTGTCTAGGGTCACCACATAGTAATCACCACAGTGGAAATCAGAACCCAGGAGTTTGTGCCAGCAACCACTAGAGTGTTCTGTCTTCCTTATACCCATGTTCTATTTACAACATCGAGTTCACATACGTCTGAACTCTGGCCCTTCCTCTGTGTATCCTACTATTTCTAGAGTTGTCTGCCCTACAGTGTCACTTCTCCTGACTAGGAGCTTTTGAGAAAAGGCTTTCACTTCAGCTTTTTCCACTCATCTTTGTTCTCCTCTCACCGCCTCTTTTCCAAACACTCAAACTATACTGATTCAGCAATGAATAAGAATGTCCAGGATATTGTGATAGTTTAAAAAATGATGGAAGAGTAGGAGTTAGGGAAGGTGAACCCTATTTGAGCCTTTCCTCCCCAAGGTTTAGCATGCAGAGAGCCATTTAGATGGCTACAAGGTAACATCAGAGAACAACATACACCAATCTGCCAACATCGTGGGGAGTGATACTGAGCTCTTAAGGCCAGTGGATCTGAGGTCCAGACGTTAACAATCTTCCTTGTCCCCTTAAATGGCTTGAAAGCCTGAAATATAATTCACCTAAATTCTAGCAGCTAGAGTGACTTGAAACATCAGTAAGGTAGACCAGCTATATGAAAAGAGGAAAGGAAGAGTCAGGAAACAGCAGAAGCCAAAAAACTTTCTATTTGAGTTGTTAGAAAATTAAAGAGAGTCGGCCGGTCGCGGTGGCTCACGCCTGTAATCCCAGCACTTTGAGAGGCCGAGGCGGGCGGATCATGAGGTCTGGAGATCGAGACCATCCTGGCTAACACGGTGAAACCCCGTCTCTACTAAAAATACAAAAAGTTAGCCGGGCGTGGTGGCGGGCGCCTGTAGTCCCAGCTACTCGGGAGGGCGAGGCAGGAGAATGGCGTGAACCTGGGAGGCGGAGCTTGCAGTGAGCCGAGATTGCGCCACTGCATTCCAGCCTGGGCGACCAGCGAGACTCCGTCTCAAAAAAAAAAAAAAAAAAAGAAAAAGAAAATTAAAGAGAGTCAGCCTGCTGTTTCTAGTACCCCTTTCTCTGTTATACCATTTCAGAGCTCTACGGAGAACAAGACGCTAGACTCCTAATGAAGATAGATTCCAGCTAAGATTCAAAAATAAAACAAGAAAAACTCCCGAGGGACCTATGGGGAACTGACTGGGCAGAGCTGCTCAAAGATGTGAAAATTATAGTAACACTGGTTTTATAAGTCAGAGCCCAGATCATCAAAGCACAACGTAACATGGGTATATCTCCATAATGGAAAAGGAAGACCTTTCCTTTTATTAATAATGTTCCTGGAAAAGCAACTCTATATATAGGGAACTCAGAATTACAGCACCCTTTGTGTAGTCAGAAACAAGCTTGGAAGTGAAGTAAAAACAGTATAATAATGTGAGCAATGGGAAGCGACTTCAGCAGAATGGAGGCAAAGCCATTGTGAGAATAGGAGAGATTCAGCCAGGCACCTTCAAAAGAGAAGGGAAGGGGGTGACACAATGATTTGAAAAGTACAAAGATGTAATGTATGTAGGGCTTTAAAAATTAACATTGTTTTTCCTTTCAGAAAATAGACAAGGTCTGCACAGCTAAGAACAATTCCATGTTTTATGTGCATTTGATGAAAAAACAACTGAAGTAAATCTAAAATAATTCTGACGAAGAACTGACCACAGTCTATGACTCCTGAAGGTTTCTGAAGAATGTAGCATACATGCTCTGAGTGTTGATTGGATGCAGATTCTTTGCTGGTCATTCAGGCTTCCTTCTATCCTTTCTCTCCTGGGCCTATGAGTTAAATCAGCCATAAGACTGACAAACACGCAGCTTGGATTTTCAGGGACAGGACTAATTTAAACCAGCCACTTTCTCCACAAGTTCAATAGCTTTTTTTTCCATCTTGTATCCTGATAATGGACCAGAAAATACAGTCCTTTTATCCATGAAACAAAAGCTTGCAGAATTTTCATTTCCTTCTATTTTCACCTCCATTGGTTCAGCTGTTGTCTTTCTTCTTTCAAACTTTTCAATTATTTCTTTTTTCTTTCCTCTCTGTTATCTTTCATTATTCTCGTATTTTCCCCCTGAAACTCTAGTCCTTGCTAGGTCTCACTAGTGTGCAGAATGGGATTGGCAGAATACCAATCACCTCACCTCACCTTCCCTCCTCCCCTCTTCTCCTCTCCCTTGATTTCCCCTCCCCTCCCACTCCCTCCTTTCTTTCCTTCCTTCTGACGGTATTCTCTTCCCCAGAAGCAGCATTTTCTTCTTCCACTCAGAACCTTACTTCACCAACATGCCCACGCCTTCCCTGAACCTACAAAATTAGTGAGTTTCTCATGAGACCTGCTGCAACTGTCCCCACCCAGGGCTGTCATTACTATTATTGGGTTGTTTTGTTTTTCGATCTCAGGAGCAAACTCTGGAGTCGAGATCCAGTCACCTCCTTCAGCACACGACGGCAGGGTACCCGCAGGGTGTGATCTCAGACACGCAGGGGAGGGCTCCGTGGGCCCCTCGCATATCCCAGCACTCTCACTTCCTGGGATTTCTCTGAAACCATCCTTTTGGCCCCACAGGAACACTCGACTTAAAAGTCTCGGCTCCTCCCTTAACTGGAAAATTGAGCTTTAGTCACTAACATCCATTTCACACGCCAGGGGAAATACAGCCCCCTTCTCCGTCCTGTTTCTGCACCCTAACCCCGCCCTCCCAGGCAAGCTGACCACTCAGCTCGGGCGTGGCAGAGCCTGATTGGTGGATCACAGAAAGCGCGCTAGAGAGGGCGGAACTCATTGGGCAGACTCTCCGCGCTTGGGAAGTGCAGTCGCTCACGCAGGGACTTTGACTGCTGCTCTGGGCGGCCTGTTGCCACAGCAACCGTTGAAGCTCTGGGCTGCTGAGGTCGCCTGGCAGCGCGCTGAGCCCCACGCAGGTCCCGGGCGTGCCAGGGACACAAACCCCAGTTCCTTCAGAAAGCCTTCCAGATCGACGAGGAGAGATGGTATATCCCCGATGGCTCCGCCTCGGCTAGCCGGGGGAAGCCCTTTTATTCGTCATCCCCAAAGCATTCTTATTATTCACCCTTAAAGTAAAAATCCACTTGCTTTTGACCGGGGCACAAGAAATACTTTTATTTTATGAGTCAGTGTAATTGTTTAAAATAAGTAAGCTCTGAAAAGGTCGGCAATCAGCCTTTCTGTCACTTCCCTACTTTTGGCCTTTTATATGAAAAACAAAAACAAAAACAAAACAAAACAAAAACAAACAAAAAACCTTTCCTGATGTTTTTTTATATACTTGCTAGACATTTACATTTTGTTATTTGGGTGCTTACAGTGTGTTTCCGCCCACGTAGAGAGATTACACCACGAATCCCTTCCACCTTCTGAGGAAGTAGGTGCAGTTTACCTACTTTCCATTTTCAGATATGTTAAAAGAAGCAGAAAGAGTAAAGGAATATGTCGAAGTTACTCCCGGTGGGATTGGGGCTGGCCGTTGTAAGGGACATTCCCACCATCTCATTTCGAACCACCTTGGTTTACAGAGAAGAGACCTGGTTTTCTGTCAGAAGGTGGAGGGTACTGCTGGAGGAAGTGGGTAATAAGCAGACAAAAAGGGAAAGTGGGAGAATGTACCCGGCATTCTTGGGTATCCTCAGTGTAAAAATATTTTCCTTTCCCGAGTCGTTTTTATTTTATTTTTATGTATGCATGTATGTACACATTTTAGCAAATAGTCAAAAAGCATCTGGAACTAAGTAGATCAATAAGCTGGTTGGTGCCATTTTCTTTTCTTTTCTTTCTTTCTTTCTTTTTTTGAGACAAGGTCTCACTCTGTCACCCAGGCCGGAGTGCAGTGGCGCTCTCAGCTCACTGCAGCCTCCACCTCCTAGGCTCAAGTGATCCTCCCACCTCAGCCTCCCAAGTAGCTGGGACTACAGGCATGCGCCACCACACCTGGCTCATATTAGTATTTTTTTGTGGAGACGGGGTTTTGCCATGTTGGCCAGGCTGGTCTCGAATTCCTGAGTTCAAGTGATCTGCCCATCTCGGCCTCCCAAAATGCTGGGAAACACAGCGCCCAACGTAGGGCTCAAACCCATGACCCTGAGATTAAGAGTCTTATGCTCTACCAACTGATCTAGCTAGACACCCCGTTTTGGAATTTAAAAAGAAAAAGAAAAAAATATGACTGTTAAAGAATGTACTGGTTTTCTTATGTAACTTGGAAAGTGATTCCAAAGAGGAATTCCATGAACGTTCTGATCAGTGTGGCAGCGTCACTTGGAATTAGATATGTAGCTATAGGGAGTCCTTTGAAAGACAATGCTCATTTGGGTGTCTAAATTTCGATAATTAAAATTAGTCCATCTTTCCTTCTTTCTTTCTCTCTCTTTCTTCCATCTTTGTCTCATTTTCACACAAAGGATTTGGAGAAATGGCTTAATAGAGTCATTTCATTTAAAGCTACTTTGAAATATAAACAATAAACAAACATGAAGTGTATTACTATTATTTTAGGCATTGCCAAATTTATTACTGAAGTTCTTACTTCAGGTGAAACCCCATCTCTACCAAAAAATACAAAAATTAGCTGGGCGTGGTGGCACACGCCTGTTATCCCAGCTACCAGGGAGGCTGAGACATGAATCACTTGAATCCAGAAGGTGGAGGTTGCAGTGACCCGAGATTGTGCCTGCCACTGCACTCCAGCCTGGGCTACAGAGTGAGGCCCTGTCTCAAAAAAAAAAAAAAAAAAAAAAAATTCTTCTTAGTTATCACTGATTATATCCTGTGGTATTCAGATTAAAAGAGGCTATAGGTATGTCACTGAAAAAAATTATACATCTAAAAATAGAAAACATTGAACAAAATAATTTCCTGTTGACTTTGTAATTTGAGAAATATATTTTTTAAAAATTTTATTTCTGCAACCTTTTGTAGGGATTCCTAATACTCTCTTTAAATTTTTAGTGCCAATGTTGTTAATGAAATGTATAGCTTGAATTGCCAGAATTTGGGGGTTTTTGGGTCAAAAAGAGTCAAATATTTGCAGTTTCATATGATTCAACCTACTATGTGAGTAGGGAAATTTTTATTTAAAAATATTTTTGAGTTAATCCTTTTTTGATATGTGATTATCTAATGTATTGGTTTTATAAGTTAAGATTTTATACACTTACAGCAGGACCCACTTAGACTTTACCAGACTTTTCTGTTTTGCACATGTGTGGTATGATATCCTGACTAGAAATTCAGGAATTTAAGGGCAACCAGAAATCTTTCAGCACATGTCTTTCACAGCATTAACCACAATCTTCCCTGACAAGTTGGAGGTTACTGACTTTGAAACATAGCCAGCTGCTGGGAACTCAATGTGTATTCTTTCCATGACCCTTAGAAACTGGCTTGTTTCTTATTAATGATTTTTTTTGTTTTGTTTGAGGCATGTTATGGTCCATTTTTTTTTTTTAGTTAATTTCCAGATCTTCTGCCATTCTTCTGGTACAACTCATTTTCTTTGTGGTGGGTCTTAGCAAAAGATACCGTGTACAGAAAAGGGGCTTCTGGAAATTATCATGTTTCAGCAACAAAATTGTTTAAACATCTGACAATCATTTACAACCAAACATCTCTGGTCTCATCCATGGAAAATATCACACATAGCAGAGAAAATTGAAAAGAGCTGGCAGAAGATATCTGTTGAGTTTGTATTGTGCACTATTCAAGTGGGTTCCTAGGAAACCTCAGACCAGGGTTTTTTTTTTTTTTTAACTTCAATTTAACTTATTGGGTCTGTTCCCTTATGCTGAAAGTGGGGGATCAGAGTCTGGTTTTGAAGGCGAACTTGAGAAATTAATTAGTCCATTCTCCTCCTGTCTGGAAACTCGGCATCATGATTGACATAGACCCTGACTCCAAGGGGCAGATGGAGGCTCTTTGAAATTCTTGGACAGGCAGAATGTCTTCTGCCATCCCAGAATGTGCTCTGCCTGCCCAAGAACCCTGCTCATGAAGTCCAGTCTCAGGTACCACTGTGCTGAGGGCTCTGTAGAAGGAGCACCTCCATATGGTTTGGACCAATTGTTTGTCATCCTAGGGAGTAAGCCTGATCTTTTAATTCCTGGTTAGAAACTTTGACTGTATCTTGTCTTTAGGAGTCCATTGGCCTGTAGATTTCTCTAAGTCCATTTTTCCAGGATTGTTTTTGATAAGAAAAAGTTGTAAGGAACCCTGGTTAGCCTGAAAATAAGCCTTCGAGGTAAATAGGTTTAATCCTAGGATGTGACTAGCCTTTGGTTCACAATGACATTTCCATCTGCTTTAAAGACATTGAACTAGGTAGGGGTGAGAAGATTCTGCAGCGTCTTAGGAACATGCTTCTGAGGGGAATAGTAATAGCTCAACTTTCTCTAATATGAGAAATGTGAAGTTATTGTTGAGCCTGATAGAGCATATTCTTCTAGTATATAAATCACACTATTATTAATGTAATCTGCAGGATAAAAAACTTTGGGATAATTAGTGAACAAATCAGTCACTCATAAGGCATACAACCAGAGAAAATCAGGCTTCATTAGTTTGCTCACGATGAGAAGCTCCCGGTTAATAATTATAGTTGTCTTAATTGAACCTCAGATGGCAGTTTTCTGCCTATCAACTGAGCAGGAAACAGATTTTGGTTTCATGCCTGTGATCTTATACTAATTAATGTATGAAATGCGTTTCTTTACAAAAGCATGTTTGCATGTCTTTAAACCGGCGCTATCCAGTTGAAATACAGTGCCATCCAGACATGTAATTTAAAATTTTCTAGTAGTCCTGTTAAAAAATAAAACAGATGAAATTAATTTTAATGACATACTTTATTTAACTGGATATAGCCAAAATAGTGTCATGTCACTGTGTAATCAATATAAAAATAATTAATGGGATTTTAAAATTTTTATATGAAGTCCCAGAAATCCAGTGTGCATTTTACATGTACAGTGCATATCAATTTGGACTAGCCTAATTTCAAGTACCAATGGCCATATGTAGATAGTGGCTGTTGCTACTGTACTGTATCTATAGTTAGACAGAGGATTTTAGAGGGGAGAGAAAAATGGGGCAGGAAGGAGAAAGGAAAAAAAAGAGCCCCTACGGGTTAAAGAGAATCTGTGGCACCAAATCTCCCGGCATAGGCATCCCCTAAAGCTTTGGTTTCCTTTATTTAACACCCCAGCAGGAGATTGTAATCCGAACAATCTTATGTACTCAATATTTGCCTTAAAAAATTTGAAAAGTGAGAATAGGTGGTTTTGGTCTGTTAAAATGAGAATGGGCTTTTGTGACAGGGCAGACAGACCTGAGTTCAAACCAGCCCTGCTGGGTCTGAGCTGTGAGCTTATGCAAATCTGTACCTTTTTTTGGCTACACTCTAATAATAGGGACCCAATAATGGAGACGAAAATGCTAGTCTGGCAGGGTTTTAGTGGGGATTAAATTAGATTCCTTATGTGAATGTACCTTGTTGAGTCAGTGTGTGGTGTATGGGAGGTGCTCAGTCTCCTGGTGCTGTTATCTTCCTCTTACTCCATCTGTTTTTCTAATAAGGGCGCTTTTCTTAGCCTTTATTCCCTCTATTCCCTCTTTCAGGATTTGAACTGATTTCCTACTCCACATTCACAGAATTAAGGAAAAGTACTAGAGTACTTACTCCTTCACATTCATGACTCTACTTTCCTACTCTACATCCTCAGTTTCTGCCGCACCCCCTGCTCATAGGATTTAGTTGTGATTGTGTTAGGACTAGAAAAACCTTATTGTTGAAGCACCAGTAATGATGGTAATAACAATTCAGTGACTACCTATTCCAAATCCATATGAAATTTTCCATTAAGTCGCTCTAAATTTGTTAAGACCAGCCGTACTTCCATTTTTGGTCGATAGGTGGCAGCATTGTCTAAGTCACTGATCTCTGAGCTGCTGGTCTGTCAGCCAGTTTCCTTTTTGGTGCTACAATTGTAATTTTCTATGGTTCATTTTCTTAACCTGGAAAACTTTTTCTTTTCGTCAAAAAGTCTAGGGTAACTGGCTGGGCGAGGTGGCACGTGGCTTGTAGTTCCAGCTACTCAGGAGGCTGAGGCAGGAAGAATGCTTGAGCCCAGGGGTTCGAGACCAACCTGGGCAACGTAGTGAGACTCTGCCTCAATTAAAAGAAAAAAAGTCTAGGGCACCAGACTACCATGCCAAGGTGCCTATTAAGCCCCATTGGGGCTGGGTCCCTGGTAGGGGCCTAGGAGGGTGATGGCAGGAAAGAGCACTTTCCAGTAGGAGATCCCCAAGGGTCAACATGTGAGGAATGAGAGTGGAGAAGTGGACCCAGAAGGCTGGATGAAAGCTGGAACAGCTTCTATAGACAGAGACTGCTGATAGGCATCAAAGACTGGTCTTCTGGCAGGTTCACTGTAATAACTGGGAGCGGTTTTATTGCTCTCATCCCCCCTTATAAGATGTGTCATCTTTAAATTAGAAGAATACATTTGAAAAAAATATTCTGTGTTTTTAAATATTTTGTCACCTGGAGTTTCTATGCATCTTCTCTCCCCTCAGTACAATGAGAGTTGGTATTCTGAATGACAATCTTAGGGAATCGCATTATCCGACTATTTGAATTAAAGAGAGTCTAATTGTATTTGCAAACTTAAAGTTCTTACAGGCTTTCTTTTGCATTTCATCAGGTGAGTTCATTTGACTTATTTGGTGTGGATCAAGTGATTAACCAGAGAACATTTGGAGAATGCAGGAAAGATGCCATAGACAAAATAAAATGAAAGAAAGCTTTGGTTTCTTTGATTTAACACCCCAGCAGGACATTGTGATCAAATATCCCATTAGCTTTAAAATGCATGTATCTTAGAAAATAGGATAGAAACTATTAGTTATTATTCCAGAGGATGGACTAAACCAGAAAAACTTTTGAAGTCAAGCTACATGAATTCTATGACTGATCATGCTAACAAAAAAGAGAGCAGGAAACCACTAGGGTTATCTTGGTTTGTCTGTATTCAGTCATTTATTTATATATTAAAAAAAATTGGGCCGGACACCGTGGCTCATACTTGTAATCCCAGCACTTTGGGAGGCCGACGTGGGTGAATCACCTGAGGTCAGGAGTTTGAGACCAGCCTGGCTAACATGGAGAAACCCTATCTCTACTAAAATAATAATAATAATAATAATAATAATAATAATAATAATAATAATAATTGGCCAGGGGCAGTGGCTCACACCTGTAATCCCAGCACTTTGGGAGGCTGAGGCAGGATGATTGAGTCTAGGAGTTCAAGACCAGCCTGGGCAACACAGTGAGACCTTGTCTCTAGAAAATATAAAATTAGCTGGGCATGGTGGTGTGCACCTATAGTACTAAGTACTATGGAGGCTGAGGTGGGAGGACTGCTTGAGCCTGGAATGTCAAGGCTGCAGTGAGTTGAGATTGCGCCACTGCACTCCAGCCTGGGTGACAGAGAGAGACACTATCTCAAAAAACAGAAACAAACAAACAAAAAACCTAGCCACGCGGGGTGGCTCAAGCCTGTAATTCCAGTACTTTGGGAAGGAGGTGGGAGGATCACTCGAGCCCAAGAGGTCAAGGCTGCAGTGAGCTGTGATCACACCACTGCACCCTAGCCTGGGTGACAGAGCAAGAACATGTCTCAAAAAAAAAAAAAAAAAAAAAAAAAAGGCCGGGCGAGGTAGCTCACACCTGTAATCACAGCACTTTGGGAGGCTGAGGCAGGTGGATCACCTGAGGTTGAGAGTTCGAGACCAGCCTGGCCAACATGGAGAAACCCGTCTCTACTAAAAATACAAAAAAAATTAGCTGGGCCTGGTGGCGCATGCCTGTAATCTCAGTTACCCAGGAGGCTGAGGTGGGAGAATCGCTTGAACCTGGGAGGTGGAGGTTGTGGTGAACCAAGATTGTGCAGCTGTACTCCAGCCTGGGCAACAAGAGCGAAACTCCATCTCAAAAAAAAAAAAAAAAAATTAAGTACCTTCCATGTGCTATGTATTGTGATAGAGGGAGGGCAGAGGAAGGAGAGTTGAACAATGAATGAAGCACAGTCCTTACTTGTAAGTCCTTACAATTTATTGGAGAAGAGAGACAAGCAAATCAGTAATTCTAATGTGGTAAGTACCACCATAGGGAAATACAATTTGTTATAAGAAATAGAGAGAAAGCCACTTACCTGCCCACTGGTAGCCAAGAAAGCCTTCACAGGGAGGTGACACAAACTGTCTTAAAAGGCAATAGGAATTATCTGAATTGGGTATAGGAAGTTGGAAGAAGGCTATTCGAAAGAAATGTGCAAAGACCTTTATATTAGGTGGCTCAATATTTGTGAGGAACGGCAAGTACATTGATATGAAGCTGAACCACAGGGTGTGAGTGCATTGGGGAATGAGAGAGTGGTGGGAAATGAGTTTGGACAAAAAGCAGGAGTGAGATAATGATGAGGTTTTCATGCCATGTTTAGTAGTTTGGCATTGTATCTTATAGGATTTGATGACAGATGGATGTGGGGGTAAAGGAGTGGGACAATTGTGGGATGATTCCCAGGCTTCTAATTTGGATGATAGAATGAATGTTGGGAATACAGAGGGGCAGGGTTATGGGAGGTGAGAAAGACAATGAGTTTACTTCGGGACTTTGAGGGATCCTGCCCAGGTGACAACTGACTGTGTAGAACTGGCTATCAAGAGAGAGATCTAGATTTCCAGTTGCAGATTTTGTTCAATAATAATTACCATTTACTGAGGACTTACACTGTACCAGATTTCATATTAATCCTCATGTTAAATCCTCTTAACAACTCCATAATCACATTTTACAGATGAGAAAGATCAAGGTAGGTGACTTGTCCAAAGTTACATGGCCAGCCAGAAGTAGGGCTGGAATGTGAACCAAGGCTGATACTACTAGCATCTGCATCCTTAACCACTGCTTTCTGCAGGAGCCATCCACATGGAAGTGGTAACTGCAGCAACAGGTATAGATGAGACTTCAGGGACAGGATGTGCAATGAGAATAGCAAATGACTGAGGCTGCAGTTCTGGAGAATACAACCATTTGTGGGACAAGTAGGAGAAGAAGAGCTCATACAGACGGAAAGAATTGCCACAGAGGGAAGAGGAAAATGAGGAATGGATACTGTCTAGAAACCCAAGAGGAAAATTTCAAGGAGGAGAGGGTCAACAATGGCAAATACCACAGAGATAAGGTAACTGGGACTGAACAGTATCTTTGGTCTTCCAAAGATACTTCTGTGACTTCCTGACACCAGGCCCACATTTCCAGTGGATGACCAAACATAAGCATTTGGGATTTCTACAGGCATCTTCACTTGCTGAGTTCCTTTTCTGTTGATAATATTATTATCTTTTCAGACATCCAGAATACACCCATCAGGATTATCTTTCATGTCCTTCTTCCACATGAGCACCAATGAGCAAATCATGTTGACCCTAACCTGACAACATTTCTCTCATCTACCTCCTCCTCTCCTTGCCTTCTCTGACACCACAGTTCTTTGCTTTTTACCCACATCACTGTATTTCTATCCTGATTAGTCTTCTTGCCTCTGCTCACATTCTCCTCTAATCTGCCTTGCCCAATTAATCCTTCGGAAGCCTCACCCTTGGCATACCACTCCCCAGCTCAGAAACCTTCAGTGGCTCTTTTTTATGACATAAATTCCCAATTCCTATTGAAAGCCATCTATAAAATGGCTGTCACTTATTTTTCTACCCCCCTCCCCAAATTATGTGCCTTGCAGCCTATTCTCCAGCCAGACTGAAACAAATGTGTTGTTTCCTGTGTTTGTTTCCTTAGATTCATTGCTTAGAACGATCTTTCCACCTGGATGCACTTTGCTATCATCTTTCAGGTTCAAATCCTGCCTACCCTTCAAAGGTCATCTCAAATACTATTTTCCTC
Source organism: Homo sapiens (assembly GCF_000001405.40). NCBI lineage: Eukaryota > Metazoa > Chordata > Mammalia > Primates > Hominidae > Homo > Homo sapiens. Next base: position 165,589,080 of record NC_000001.11, on the reverse strand, counting down.
TGTGAAATTTTTCTAGACTCTTTCCATCAGAGATAATTTCAGCCTCTCTGAACTCACATGAGTGTGGCACTTTATACCCCTCTTAGGGCAATTAATGCTTTCTACCTTATTTTTTTGGGGGGTGGGGAGGGTTATATATGTCTTAGTTTTTGAAGGCAAGGTCTATTTTTAAACTACTTTTTTATTTCTCACTTTGCTTGCCACATGGGTGTTCTATATGCAGGTGTTTTTATTGAATATTTATTTATTGAATGAATGGACAGATCTGGCAAAGAGAGCATTTCAATGGGTGGTTGATGTCACTGTCAGAAACTGTGCAAACTCTGGATATTTCTTTCTTAATTATCTCTTTAGATAGAGACTCTCTAGTGCCCTGACATCTCAGCTAGATGGTAAAGACCTATATCTAATGTTTGAGAAAAGTTCATTTTGAGTAGTGTCAGTGTCTGTGACAGAAGGGTTTAAGCAGATATTTGGTTTCTCAGATATGCTCTGAAGAGCTACATTTTCTTATTTGGGGAAAAATCTGCAGTTCTCTAGGGTATCACAACATCCAGTATGGTTATTTTTGAAATGTTTAATGTAGTCACCCTCTGCAGAGGCAACGTTTAGAATGCGCCTCTGAAGGTGGGTAGACAGCAAGGTAAAAGGAAAAGGTGCTTTTCTTTGGAATGGAATCCTGGATCTCTTGGAAATGTCTTCATGTTTGGTGACTGTATACCATTTCTAGATTTTCCCTTGACTCATAGATAGAACCAGATTAGGGAATTAGAAGCCATAGCCAGGACACTGGACCCAGTTTGGTGGTGCCTGTCTGTCCTGCTCGTGAAATTCAATCTGGAGTATGGAGTTTCCATGGATGAGCCTTCTATCCTGCATGGGTCTCTTTGGCCTTCTCTGGCCTTTGAGGTATTTTCTTCTCTAGCCACATGTGGATGAGCTGCTTGTTAAGCAAAATGCAGTGGAACTCAAGGGAAACATCAATGGAAAATGTCATATGGCATTATGTTTATTTAGGTTTCAATGTCAAATTTAAACTTTATAATTTGAGCACGTGGACAGTTGGAGTTCTTAGCCTCTTACCTGCTTGGGCAGAGCTAAATTGATCCTTTGGGCTAAAAAAAGACTATTGAATTGCTCTCTTTGCTAGTTCCTATGCCAGGCAAATAATCAACAACAAATTTAATTTCTCTTGGTCTTCTTTAATGAAGATAGCATATCCTTCCCAGATGCTTATACCCAACCTTTCTTGTCTATCTTTTTCCCTCTACTCAGTGATGGGTTAGCCAAGAGGCAGCTGTGAACCAAGGTAAATGCCACATCTTCATCAAAAGGTGAAGCACAGCCCATCCTGGAGGAGGGGAGGAAAGGATACCCACCACCTGCTGCATTTCTTGAGCAGGTGCTGCAGGGGCTGTCTTATTTTTTTTCATGCCTGGGACATAGGTACTCATATCCCAAATGAGAAGCTCAAAGATTAAGAAGGTCCTAGCTATGGGTGCCACCCTCTGTCAGCTTGAATATCACTTTGTGCTTTCATCCTCTCTCTCTTTATACCGCCTTTTACCCAATCTCTGACTTATTCACAATTACACCTTCCTACATGGAATCTAAAGGGATTGATTTGGAATCATTTTCACTGCAAATCAGTAAATTCACATGTGCTCACAATTTTTTCATATTCTATTTTAGAAGGAATGGTTTTGGTATTTTTGTGTAAGCACTCTAGTGCTTTTCCTTAATTCTTTGTTTCTTTGGTTTTGAGTTCTACATGCCTTTCCCTTCTAATTTGACCCCATTTATTTCCTGTCCTCTTTTAACCTGTGCCTGATGCCTTTGCCTGCTATTCATTAGAAACTTGATGGTGACAAGGGTCTTGATTTATAGAATAAGAAATTAGATGGGACTCTCTTTTTAAAAGGGGGGCTCAAGTCAGAAACACCTTTTGTGCTGTGGTCAGAAATTTTATATGGCGCCTGGAGTTTAGATATTTTATATAAAGTCTGGAGTTGAGAATTAGGAATTTAAATTTATAATTGATGGTCTAAAGACTCTGGATTCCAATTTATGGAGTATGCCAAAATGGGTTGGTAGAATCAGGTGGCTCACTGCACAAGCAAAGGTAACCAACCTTTAAGACTTTAGTCAAGATTGTGAAGAGTGACAGACTTAACAAACTATATCTCCAAGTAGCTGATTAAACTTTATATAATAACATGGAATGATGTATATATAATATTCTAATCAATGTAAAGAATTAAAGCCAGTGGGATTGGAAATCATGTTCATAAAACACTTTATGGTTTGTTATTCCTACAACAAAACATGTTTTTTCATTTAATCATCACCATACCCTTGTGAAGAAGGCATTACCGTGACCTCATCTTATACATAAAGGAACAAAGGCCAGAAAGCTTAGCTTAATTGCCCCAAAGTCACACGCAGTGACTGAGACAATCCAGGTCATCTGGCTTCAGATGTCAGCCTCTTTCCATATATTTAAGTCTTTATCGTGGTGAGCAAATGTGACAAAGACAAAAACATTACATATGCACATTCAGAATCTTTCCATTCCTCCTGCCTTCTAAAAGAAAGTAGGTTTCTTGGATGGGCAGCTGCTTTTGTTATGTGGTATCTGATAATGAGAAGGGAGAATTGAATGATTGAGCTACATTGGTTAGGGCAGAGAGGTACTGGAGGGAGAGAAGAATATTCCAGAAAGGGAAACAGGAAGGGGATGACAGCAAATGCAGGCTGAGATTTGAGAGCTAGTTTTTGGGTGTTTGGGGGAGTGTGAGACATGAAGTTGGTAGCACGTCTGTTCTCACGAGAGAGTAGGAAGAGGATGGGGAAAGAGGGTCTTGAGAAGTTTTATTTTTATTATGAAAGGAATGCTCCCTTGGTGCCTTTTAAAGAAATTGCAGTAACAATTTCAGTTTTCAGATCTCTTTGAAGGCTAACTTCTTCTTTCTTTAGATTTAATGCTTCTCTGCAACTAGTCCAGCTTTACGTGTGTTACATGGGCTCATTAACGTGTAATATGTTAATCCAAGTTTTCACTTTCTCATGTGCAGTTAGGCAGGGAAAGAGAGGTCAACAATGTGTTGAACCCAAACTCAACAATGCCAAAGATAACTCTGAGGAATACGCAAAGGAGAAGTTTCTCTCTTCTTGCCTCAGGTCTGTTGTTGGAGGCCACACTCAGGCCTGAGCTAGTCTCAGGTTTGCATTGTGAGACTCCTCACTTCACAGGTTCTTCTTTTCTTCTTATACTTAGGAAATTCTTCTTGGTGCTAATCTGATCCTTCTGTAATTGAGTAATGACCATGAATTTCCTTTTATTCACAGGAAGAGAAACAGCACAGCTCTAAAGGGAGGTTTTTTTTTTTTTTTCCGTTTTCTCATATTTCAAAGCTTGTGGTAAGCATGGTCTTGTGACTCGATTCCACTGGTGTAATAGTCTGGACAGCAGTGGTAACCATGGATCATGAACTGGGTATAGAAATGTGCTGCCTTGGCTGAACCATTGATATTGTCCCAGGAGAGAAGCCACTGAGTCTCAGCTGAGTCAAGGCTGGGAACAGGAGAATCTGGGGCCAAAGGTAGACCCTGGCATATGACTTATCTGAACATCTGGGGACTTTAGGTTTGATTTTGTTGAGATTTGGTACTTTATCTGCAAGCTTCAGGCTATTACTTCAGGGATAGGAAGCTGATTATTCATTAATTTTATACCAATGTTCAGAACAGACTGACAGATCAAGAGCCTATAGTTTTAACATGAGTGGAAGCAAGTACTTTTCTTCCTGTCCCTTGAGCTACTCCCTATGACAACATGAAGTAACTAGGCTTGCAAAATCATGTACATTATTCATTCCAAAATACTGGCCAGTGCTTGATCAATACCATCATTTGGGGGCATTTTTTCATAGCATTTCCTCTGGTTGCCTACTTACTTGCAACTTCATTTTCCTTAAGATAACTACTTCGAAAGGAACTGCTGTCATTTGGATGAATACACCTTGGTATGTGAGTTTTAAAAGAGTCATCCACATTATTTTATTGTTTCACCTTGCAGGTGTTCATTTTTGTCTTAAATAGGACTCTTTGGGTTGTAAGCAACAGTTAAAAAGTGAAGTTATTTTAATCTAAGCTGCTATAACAAAATACCATAGACCAGGTGGCTTATAACCAACAGAAATTTATTTCTCCCTATTAATGGAAGCTGGGAAATCCAAGATCAAGGTGAAGGCAGATTGGTGTCCGGTAAGGGCTTGTTTTATGGTTCATAGATGGCACCTATTTGTTGTGTCTTCACATGGCAGATCAGGCCTCTTTTATAAGGGCACTAATCCTATTAATGAGGGCTCTATGCCATGACCTAATCACCTCTCCAAAGGTCCTACCTCCTAATACCATAACCTTGAAGATTAGGATTTCAACATAAACACTCAGACTATAGCCAAGTCAAACTAAAGTAAAAGTGGCAATTTAATTCCTCATGTGACTGAGAAGATCATAGATATATTAGTAAGGCTTGATTGTGTCTTGAGGGTCCAACTGTCTTCACTTCTCAGACTGGCCTCTTCCTGGTTGGCTGCAATTTTGTCTATGTTGGCAAGATATTTGCCAGCACAGAGCTGGCAAATATGTGCCTAAAGAGCTATGAGTAACTGGAGGGGCTCAAATAATTTGGAACTAGTATGAGAAGTCTAATGACCTTGCTATACTTTGGTTTCCTCATCTGTAAAATAAGATAATAACACTACGTCCATAGAGTACTAAGTGAATATTTAATGAGCTAGTGGAAGATGTATACCTCCACAGTTAACATGAGCTTTGGAGTCACACCTGGTTCCATCACTTACTCAGTTACTTGTGTATGAGGATACTTATAACACTTGGTCATAAGTTGTTTGAGATATAAGTTTCTAGAGTGTCTATAAAACCTCTAATAGGGTATCTGGCACAGAGTCACTCAGTAAATGGTAGCTATTAATTGAGTAGAATTTTGAGAAATTACCATCAATGGCTTGAATGTAAAGCTAAACTCAGGCACGGGGAAGGGCATGGGCAGTGATCCATAAAGGAGACACTTTGGGCTTGGGGCAGCGAGGTAAGCTTGGGTAGCACCCACGGGTAGAAATGGGACTCTTACTCTTTGTGTTAGAATTATGGTAAAAACACACACACCAAGAGACGGTCTGGGGAAGAGCCTGCCAGCCTAACAAGAAGTTAGCACCTTTGGAGGAGAGCTCTGGTTCCATCAGAGAGGCTGTGTTTTTGGAAGGATCCTTTTTGTAGAATTTCAGTACTTAGCTTAGTGTTCATTGCACTGACTTGAATTGCCTCTGAAGTCAGAGGGAGTCTTCTTAATATTCTTCATGGCGGCAAATCTTCCGCTTATGAGGTGGATTCTACAATTCAGAGCCACATCTAATGAATTAGGTAGGGGATAAAGCCAAGTAATTCTGATTCAGATTAAAAGAGAAGACCAAACTAGTGTGATTATTTTTTTTCCCCCTCTGGCTTAAGCTGGCTTTTGAAAACAACAGTATGAGTAAGTTATATAACACTTTAAAAATCAGTGTCATAATTTTATATTTTACAGGTGGAATGTATATATATATTACAGGTGGAATATATATATACACACATATATGTATATTTTACAGTTGGAATATATACACATATATGTATATATACACATATACATATATGTATGTATGTATGTGTATATATGTATGTATGTGTATATATGTATGTATGTGTGTATATGTATACGTATATACATATATGTGTGTATATGTATACGTATATACATATATGTGTGTATATGTATACGTATATACAATGTATGTATATATGTATACATATACATACATATATACATGCATGTATGTATATGTGTATATATACATACATATACACATACATACACATATATGTGTATATGTATACACATACATACACATATATGTGTATATGTATACACATACATACACATATATGTGTATATGTATACACATACATACACATATATGTGTATATGTATACACATACATACACATATATGTGTATATGTATACACATACATACACATATATGTGTATATGTATACACATACATACACATATATGTGTATATGTATACACATACATACACATATATGTGTATATGTATACACATATACATATGTGTATACGTATACACGTATATATGTATACACACATACATACGTATAGATGTATACACACACATACATACGTATAGATGTATACACACATACATACGTATATATGTATACACACACATACGTATATATGTATACACACATACATACGTATATATGTATACACACACATATACGTATATATGTATATAGACACATATACGTATATATGTATATATACACACATATATACGTATATATGTATATATACACACATATATACGTATATATGTATATATACACACATATATACATATATATAATGTATATACACACACATATATACATATATAATATGTATATATACACACACATATATGTATGTATATTTTACAGGCTTAATTAACTTTCTTTTTCTTGTATAAAAACCCTATGTTGTAGCTACAGCTGGAGCCTGGGTCCTCTGCACGGAGACTCTGGTGTGGGTCTTGGCGAGGTGGTCAGTGAATTCTTGATAGGGACACTTGGTGAATACAGCCGTCCTCCAGAGGTCAGGGGTCAGGTAGCTGTAGGTCTTAGAGATGGCATCAAAGGTGGCCTTGGCGAAGTTGCTCAGAGTGGCAGTGCAGCCCCTGGCTGAGGTGTAGCAGTCATCGATACCAGCCATCATGAGCAACTTCTTGGGCACAGGCGCCGAGACGATACCGGTGCCTCTGGGCACGCGGATGAGGCGCACGAGCACGGAGCCGCAGCAGCCCGTCACCTTGCAACGGATGGTGTAGGGCTTGCCGATCTTGTTCCCCTAGTAACCTCTGCGCATGGGGACAATGGAGAGCTAGGCCAGGATGATGGCCCTGTGGATGGCAGTGGCCACCTCCTTGGAGCACTTAACACCCAGACCGACGTGACCGTTGTAGCCCGCAATGGCCACAAACGCCTTGAACCTGGTTCGCTGGCCGGCTCCGGTCTGCTTCTGCACCGGCATAATCTTCAAAACCTAGGCCTCGAGAGAGGCCCCCCAGGAAAAAATCAATGATCTCAGATTCCGTGATGGGCAGGGAGAAGAGACAGATCTCCTCCAGGGAAGTGATCTTCATGTGCTTGACCAGGCAGCCCAGCTTGCTGACGGGCATCCACTCCTTATCCTTGGCCTTGCCTCCGCGAGCTCCGTGGCTTCGGCCCCAGCCTGGTCCACGGCAGTGACCCCGGCCTCGGATGCCACTGCCGAAACCTCCACGGAAGCCACCATGGTTCCCCATCCCAGGGCCCCGGGGCCTCCGGGACTCCCCCCGCAACCCAATGCCGGCTGCGCCGGCGTCATCCGCCATTTGGTGTTTTCTCGGAGAAGAAGCTACATGTGGAATATATTAACGCAACAAATTGTGCGTACTTGCTAGACATTAGGCATGATAGCAAGTGCTAGGGTTACAAAGTATTGCTTTTTGGGGAACCCATGGTTGTTGGGGAGAAACCAGAAGATCAGTCATCACAGTGCGGCAAGATCAGACTTGTGGTTTGTTCAGGTTCTGGGAGCCGTCACTGCAGTGAGAATGGGTGAGTTGGGGCAGGCTGTGGTGTCTGGGAAATTTTAAAATAGAAGTGATACTTGAGCAAGAAGTTGAAGGATGAATATGGATTTATAGAATAAGCAGGGTGTAGAGACATGTGTGCATGTGTGTGTGTATTTCATAAAGAAAGACATGCATGTGCAAAGGCCTGGAGGCTGTTGATGTCAGCAGAATGTTCTGAGGAATGAGTAAGATGAAACAGATGAAACACTTAAAGGCATTTTTTCTCCATTAGTCAAGTCTAGGAGAGGCATTCAATGTCTAATGTCTAACTAGGGTTAGGATTTGAAGAATCTTTCTAAGATGTCTGGTCTTTTTTTTTTTTTCTTTTAGAGATGGGGTTTCACTGTGTTGCCTAAGCAGTGGCTATTCATAGGCACAGTTACAGCACACTGCAGTCTTGAACTCCTGGACTCAAACTATCCTCCTGCCTTGGCCTCCAAAGTAGCTAGGGCTACAGGCACATGTGACTGTGCCTGAGTAAGACGTCCCCTCTCAAAAGTCAGCAAATAAAAGGCAGCTTAGAGAAAGCCATGGTTCCTACCTGATCACCCTCCCAACCATCCTATGAGGATTTTACAGATGAGGACCCTGACGTTCAGTGGGTTTAAGTAATTTCCCTAAAGTCTCTGCTAGGAAGAAGGAGAACTGGGCTTTCCATTGGAGTCTGCCTCACTCCAAAGCCCACGACAAATTGTGAACATAAGTTCCTCTTTATCTGATGACTTGGGACTTTGTCTCACCTTAGGACCAGTCTTCTGTATGTGAGATTATTAGGTAGTTTGGTAGCTGGAGATGTAGCAGCAGATGCAGAGGTCTGAGCACATGGACTGGCCTTAGGCAGTGTCCAGACTAGTGGGCCTCTGACTTCAGAGTGCCTAAGCATCCTCTGAGGGACTGCTCACAGTTCAGATTCCCAAACCCTGCTTCAGAGGGTCTGTCTTGTTATGACGCACCTAGGGTGACTCTGATGCAGATGGTACATGGTTCACACTTAACATCGCTCTTAATGAATTTCTTATATGAATTTGGTTGTCTCTCCCTCCCTCCCTCCCTTTCTTCTCTCCTGCCTTCCATTCTCTCCCTCCTTCCCTTCCTCCTTTCCTCTCTTTCTCCCTTCCTTCTTTTTGCCTTTATTTCTTTCTTGGTGTTTTGCTTATTCTCAGATTGCAGGATTGGGAAAAGCCAAAATAATCAAGGCTTCTGTCAGTTGGTTCCAATGACTTGAGGAAATCACTCAAACTACTATTCATTCTCTCTTTCTGTGTGTGTGTTCCCTGTCTCTCCAACAAGAGTATGCATTCCTTGCAGGCAGAATTCACGTATTTTGTGTGCCTTTCACAGATGCTTCCATGGTCATGCTCCCGGGTACACTGGGTGCCTAGTACCTTTTGACTACTTTTCAACTAGGCATTTTGAAAAATGTAATTCATCCAAGGCAGGCAGGCTTAGCTGCTTGCCTCAACATTCTGTGCTGTCCTGTGGACTTCCTGTGAATGTCCTCCACACAGCCTCTGTCTTTTCTAGCTCTTCTGCCCTTCACACCATCCTGGAGAGTCCTTGATGGGTGGAACATAGACTCAGGCCTAGTGACTCTTTTCCAGTCTCAGCTCTCAGCGTTTTCACAGCCTCTGGTGAAACTTCACCCCTTGGGAACCTGCAGACCTGTGCTTCCCTAGTCATGCTCACCTATTTGATGCTTTTATCATCTTGTGTTTCTAAAAAAGGATATCCCTTTTTGGTTGACTTTTGATTCAGCTCTCCTTGTTGCAGTTGGCTTAATATCTAGGTAGAGCTGTGTGGATGATCTGACCTTGTCCTAGTTAGGCAGTTTTCTCTTCTCTTCTGGGCTTTTAGTGACAAGAACCCAACCTTCTTAGCAGGCTGGAATCTTGCACAACATCACGCAAATGGGAGATTCCTGTCTGTGTTTCTGCCTTTCTGCCTTTCTGCCTTGGCCTATCTACCTGAATTCTGAAGTCAGATTACATGGGTTTGAATTCTGCTTGCTGACTCTGAACTTGGGCAATGTTTTTTTTTTTTTTTTTGTCTCACTCTGTCACCCAGGCTAGAGTGCAGTGGCACGATCTTGGCTCACTGCAACCTCTGACTCCCTGGTTCAAGCGATTCTCCTGCCTCAGCCTCCCAAGTAGCTGGGAATACAGGCACGAGCCACCACGGCAATTTTTTAAAGCGCTCTAATCTCCCATTTTCTCATCTGTAAAATGAGGATCATAAGGTGGTTACAAGGTTTAAAGAAAAGGATGCTCGAAATGAGAGAATACCTGGAGTACAGTAAATGGCTATTGCAATTATTGTTATTGGGTGATTTTTTTTGTTCCTTCACTTTCCCAATTCACATTCTATTGGTCCTACAAGGCCCAGATAGAACTGTGCCCCATCCACAAAGCTTTTACTGTCCACTGAAGCCAGTGGAGAACTCTGTCCCAAATTCTCATGATTGCTGATGTCTGAGATTCATGCTTGCTTATTTCCTTTAATATTTAATGTGTTACTACTGTACTGGATGCTAATTAATTTTATTCTTCCTCCCTATTGTGGAGAAAAGTCCTTGAATACTGAAAATAGACTTATTTTTTCTTTTAGCCTCTCCACTATCAGTTATGTTAGACACCCTTCTTACGGGTGTCATGATTAAGGACATATAAATCAATACACTCAACATAAACTCATTTGGGATAAATTGAGATAAATTGGCAGTGTCTACACTGCAAATGACAACATCCTGTTGTCTGACATTCAGCCATCTTTATCCTGTTGCTTTTACTAGATGAGGAAGAAAGTCCTTTTTTAAGGAGTAGTGCATTTTGGGCTTTGAGTGAGTCACTGGTAGAGAATAGGTGGAAGAAACCTGTCTCCTAAAGCTGGTGATTTGCAGCCCTGGATGAGCAGGAGAATTGCCTGAGGAGCTTAAAAACAACACAGATATTAAGCCATATGGGCCAGTTAAATCCATATCTCTGTGGTGATTAAGACTTATAGAAAATACTATACCTGATATAGTATTTTTTAAAAGGCTTACCAGGTAGTTTAATTATGCGGCTGAGGTTAAGAACCTTTCCCTGTTCTGAAGTCAGGTTCCCCAACCCCTATGCCTGATGAATGGACTTTGAATTATCTGCATCCAGTCTGTTTTTCTGGGGTGATGGCTGCAATTAGCTTGTAGGAATTAGCTTTTAATAAAGCATGGTTTTCTTAAGGGTCCAAACCATGCCATTAAAGAGGTTATGATGCCAGAATGCCTTGCAGCCTTGCTCACTGACACTCAGTATACCTACGAATAGAAGTTTCCTTGCCCTAGGTCACTAGTGGCATAGCAGAGAACTGACTGAGCTCTCTAAGGACCTAAAGTATTTATAACTCTTATAGTATTTCTGCAAGGTGAGCTTTGCTGCCAGAAGCCTGAATTGGGGCCGCTAAGTCTCTAGGCAGAGAAGTCCAGTACAGCTGCTGTAGGCTGCTTGGGGAGACAGTTCTTAGTGTGGAGAGGTAGGAACTCAGGTGCCCTTCCCAGAGGACACAAAGGAGAAAGGCTGGAGAGGAGATTTATCAGGCTGCCTCCTTTGCCGTGTTTCTGATATTTTGCAAAGGAATCATTAAGACCTTTTAAAAAACAGATTTATTGAGGTATCATTTGCATACCATAAACTTCATCTGTTTTAAGTGAACAATTCAATGAGGTTTCATAAATTTGCAGAGCTGTGCAACCATTAGCACAATCCAGTTTTAGAATATCTCCATCATCCCTCAGAAATCCCTTGTACCTATTTGCAGTTAGTTCCTGCTTCCAGCCCCACATCCAGGCAACCAGGAATCTGCATTCTGTTACTATAGTTGTGTCTTTATTGGATGTTTCATATAAATGAAATCACACAATATGTAGTACTTTGTGCCTGGCTTCTTTAATATTCCTGAGGCCCATTCATGTTGTATCATGTATCAGTATTTTTTTTTCCTGAATTGTTCATTGTGTGGCTATGTCACATTTTATTTATTTATTCAACAGTTAGTGGGCATTTGGATTATTTCTACTTTTTGGCTATTGTAAATAATGCTGCTATGAACATTTTGTACAAATTTTTGTGTGGAGGTATGCTGTCATTTCTCTTGGATAAATAGCTAGGGGTGAACTCACTGGGTTGTATGGTAAATTTATATTTCAGAAACAGCCAAATTGTTTCCCAAAGTGGCTATAGCATTTTGTATTCTCACCATAATGCATGAAGTTTCCAACTTCTCTACATCCTCACCACTCTCGTTATTGTCTGTCTTTCTGATTCTATTGGGTGTACAGTGGTATCTTATGGTTTTAATTTACATTTCCTTAATAATGAATACTGTTGGCATTTTTTCATGGGATTATTTGTCATTTATATATCTCCTCTGTCTAAATATCTCTTCAACTCTTTTATTCATTTTCAGATTGGTTTCTTGTCTTATTATTTAGTTGTAAGAGTTCTTTACAAATTCTGAATAAGTACATTTTTAGATATATGATTTGCAAATATTTTCTCAGTGGCTTGTTCTTTCACTTTCTTAATGGTTTCTTTTGAAGCTCGAAGTGATTAAGTTTGATGAAGTCCACATGTGATTTTTTTTTCCTTTTTGAGTCATACTTTTAGTGTTCTATTTAAGAAATATTTGCCTACCCAAGATCAAGAAGACTTTCTTCTAGATTTTAGGAGATTTTAGATTTTCTTCTAATACTTTTATAGCTTTAGCTCTTACATTTAAGCGTGTGATTAATTTTGAGTTATTTTTTCTGTATGATGTGAGCAGGGGTGTACATTAATCTTTTTGTGTGTAGATATCCATTTGTTCCAACACTATTTTTTGCAAAGATTATCCTTTCCCCTTTGAATTGTCTTGGTGCCTTTGTTGAAAATCAATTCACCATAAATATAAGGGATTATTTCTGGACTCTCAATTTTGTTCCAGTGATTTATATGTTTATCTTTATAGTCAGTACTACACTGTGTTGATTACTGTAGCTTTATGATACATTTTGCAATTAATTATAAGTCTTCCAACTTTCTTTTTATTTCCAAATTGTTTTGGCTACTCTGAGTCCTTTGTATTTCCATGTAAGTATTAGAATCAACTTTTCAATTTCTGCAAAAAAAAAAAAAACCTGCTGGGATAATATTATAGATCAATTTGGGGGGAATTATTGGTACCTTAACAATACTGAGCTTCCAGTATATGAATGAAATGTTTCTCCCTTAATATAGGTTTCCTTTAATTTTTCTGAGCAATGACTTAATTTTTGGTGTACAATTCTTATAATCAATACCTTCTTGTGAGTTTGTGTGGTCCTGCCAGGGACACTTGTTTTTTTCTCAGAGGTCTCATTGAAAGCAATGGACAGAGATAACCAGCTGAGCAGCTAAGAGCAGGAGGCAGTGTGCCAAGTGGGAAAGGCGTGGGCCTGGGGGTCAGGAGGACCGGGTCTGAGCTGTGGCAAGCCACTTAACCTCTCAGTTTGCTGACCTCTAAAATGAATGTAATACAATTTGTTTTGCTTCAATGTTGTAAGCACTAGAGTTAGAAAAATGTTGGTATAGAGTGGGTGTTCACGATTTGCTGCCTGACCTTGTTGGTGCCTGTGATGATGATTATACAGCATTGTGCATGCCATTAAAGGGGAGGGGAGGAACTTGAGAGGAGATCTTAGGGCCCTAGTCCTGGCCACAGAGTCTCCTTGCAGCCCAAGACAGAAGCTGATGATTCACAGTAGAGAAGAAGTGAATATTCCAGTTCATTTTATCTTCAAACAGCTAATTGGATTAGCTACTATCACCCGAATTTTACACCAAGAAAACTGATGATCAGAGAAATAAAGCCAAGTTCCTAGGACCACAAAGTGGGTAAGAGGCAGAGCAGGATTTAAACCCAGATTTGTTTGACTTCAAAGCTTATGCTTTTTCACTATTTCTCCTCACACCCACTGACCCCACAATGTCTCATAAGGGGATCTGCAAGGCAGCCCTAAATTCCAAGCAGGACATGTAACTCCTCAATGGACAAATGGACACTGGTAAGTGATTACTATATCTTGCTTCTCCTTGTTCCTTAATATGTTAAAGGTTTAACTTTGCCTCAAGATTCAGAAAGGTAGTTATGACTCCTATTACCAAGGATCAGGTGGGAAACCCAAGCTGAATTCATAAGGGGTGATCACAGTGAGCTATTACAAAAAGTCACCTGGCTATAGAGATTGAGATAAAAATGTAACCTTTGTTTCCAATGTTTCAGTGCGACCTGACTTGAGCACCACATTTCACCAAATTTCAAGCTATAAGGCTCCCATTTTCTCAGCTATGATAGTTTGTGAGAGGAAGGTGGAGCTTGTGGCAATATGAGCTTCGGATCCGGAGCTGTAAATATTCTCCTGCTGGTTGCTCTTGGCTTGCTCAACAGCAGCACAACTGTCAATGTATTAATATGTCTTGTTTCCCATGTGGGAGACTTACGTTTTGATATCTAGGAGATTCATTTCATTAATATGGCAATATAGAGAATGCATGGGCTTTGGAATCAGTTAGATGAATTTTTGTTCCATTTCCATTATTTATTTGCTAGCTTTGTGATCCTGAGAAATGTATTTAACTTATCTGAGCCTATTTGTTCATGTAAAATGGTGAAAATAATTGTCATGAGGATTAAGATGAGATGATGTCTATAAATCACTTATTAGTGCCAGGTATATAATACAATCTAGACAAATAGTGCTATTTCTTCTTTGGACTGGAGTTTAAAATAAGTAGATTTGGTGTCAAAGATATCTCACTGTGGACAAGTATATTAGTCAGCATTTGCTGCAGTAACAAACAGCCCCCAAAGCTCAGCTGCTAAAAGTCACATTCAGGCCAGGTGTGGTGTAGTGGCTCATGCCTATAATCCCAGCATTTTGGGAGGCCAAGGTGGGAGAATTGCTTGAAGCCAGGATTTTGAGACCAGCCTAGGCAACACAGTGAGACCCCTATCTCTACAAAAATTAAGAAAAAATAGCTGGGCATGGTGGCACACACCTATAGTCCCAGTCCCTCTCGCTGAGGCAAGAGGATCACTTGACCCCACGAGTTCAAGTCTGCAGTGAACCATGACTGGGTTACTGCTTTCCAGCCTGGGCAGCAGAATGAGACCTCAACTCTATAAAATAAAAAAAAAAATCACATTCATTTATGTATTGCTTATGTTGGGTTCTGCTCTTTGTATCTTTTCATTGCAGGACCCTGGTTGAAGGAACCTGTTGTTCTTATGGTGGAGGGCAGAAACCCAAGAGGGCTGGAGCCAATCCATGTAAGTGTATTTAAAGTCTCTGCTTGGCCATGGTGTGTATCACATTTGCTCACATTCATGATCATATGGTCAAGCTCAGAGTCACTTGGTAGGTAAGTGTACTTCATCTAAAGGGAAACATGGTAGGAGCTTTGTAAATGAATAGTGTAATCTGTAGCAAGGAAGAATTTTAATAGAGGGAATTCTTGGTAATACAAGTATTGATCATTGCATACATGCAATATTCGAGCCTTTTCGTTTCTATCTTTCCCTTTGGCTATGGAAGTTTGTGTCCTTATTCAGTTTTTCTTACTTAAAGCAGAGCTGATGAAAGATAATTTGTCAATATCTGAGAAAAGGTTTCCTGTTTCTCTTCCACCCTCTTATTCTCAGCCACTTGTGATTCATCCTTCTGTGCTGCTGGCATTCTCAAAGCTTTCATAGGCTCCTTTTTCTTCTTCTTCTATGCTCTTCTACAGGTGATCTTATACATAAGCATGGCTTCAGTTAAGTACTCTCTGTTGATTCTTACTTCCACATTCTCAGCACAGAAGCCTCAGAGTCCCAGACCCATATAACTTACTGCCTGCTCGACATCTCTGCTATGATTTCCACATAAATGTCAGTATAGTAAGACTTAACTCTAGTCACCGTAAGTGTACCCTCAAGGACAAGGCCATCCAGCCAGTTGTTCTTGGCAAACACTTAGAATCCATTCTTAGTATCTCCTTCTCCCTTACTCTCCTATCCAATCAATTTACAGATTCTCTTCTCTTTATCTCATTGGGGACCCTGTGATCAGCCACTTCTTCCCATCCCTACTGCTACCACCAAACCATGATCCTCTTTCACCTGGCTATTGCAATGTCCTCTAACTGTCTTTTTACATCCTTTCTTTTTCCTTTCTAGTCAGAGTCTTTTTATTTAAATTCAAACTTGGTCATCTTCTTTTGGCTTAAAACTCTTCGATGACTTTCAGTAGCTTTTAGGATAAAGACCAAAACCCTTTCCATGGCCCTGCTGATTTGGCCTTTTCCTGTCTCTCCCATTTTATTTTGCACCACTCTTCTTATTGCTTATATTGTAGCTTCAATGTTCTCCTCTTTCAAGTCCTTGAATATGTCATGCTGTCACCTACCTTGGCGACTTTGCACATGCTTTCCTCAGTTGCAATGTTTTTTCCTGACCTCCATCCTTGAAATCCCAGCTCAGATGTCTCCTTGTTGAAACACTCCTTAGCTTCTCCAGACTGAGAGAACTCTTTGCTCTTCTGTGGTCTAAAAAAGTCTAAACATATATTTATGTGTGAAGAATCCATCTTATAATGTTATTATTTGCTTATATGACCCTCTGCCTGAGGTGCAAAGTCTTAGAGTAGGGTACCATTTCATTTTCCAAACAATTTTTAAAAAATCTTTTTCTGTCAAAAAAAAATTTTGCAAAACCCAGCTAAGGCTTAGAGAAACCAAGATTCCCCACTTGAGGACTTCTTTTAAATGAAACCCGATACTAACAAGCGTAAAAAAATTGGAGGCAGCTGGGCACGGTGGCTCATGCCTGTAATCCCAGCACTTTGGGAGGTTGAGACGAGTGGATCATGAGGTCAGAAGTTCAAGACCAGTCTGGCCAAGATGGTGAAACCTCTTCTCTATTAAAAATACAAAAATTAGCCAGGCGTGGTGGCAGGCGCCTGTAATCCCAGCTACTCAGGAGGCTGAGGCAGGAGAATCACTTGAACCCGGGAGATGGAGGTTGCAGTGAGCCCGAGATCATGCCATTACACTCTAGCCTGGGCAATAAGAGCAAAACTCCATCTAAAATTAAAAAAACAAAAAACAAAAAAAACAAAAAAAAGGAGGTAGGGGGAATATCAGAGCTCTAGCCCACAACCTTTATTTTTACTAACAAAGAAATTGAAGGCTAGAGAGATAAAATTGTTTGCTTATGATTATGCAGCTGGTGGTGTCAAGCAAGAATGAAACATGAGTGCTATGAGTCCATCTGAAAAAGAGCATTCTTGTGTGTGGGTGCTAAGGTGGCTCATTCTCTCCCCCAAACCACCAGTTTTTTTGAACACCTAATTTGTGCTAGGAATGATATTAAAGTCCTTTATATGAAGAGTCTCTAACTTTTAGAACCACAAGGCGAGTTTAATCCCCATTTTAATTTGAGGGAAAAGGAGAATAACAGAGATTATAATGTGTTCAAGGCTCATGTCACTCACTAGGAAATGTCTAACCATGTCAATAATACTTATCATTATATTATATTTCTTTTTACTTGTTTATTGGGCAGGGTGAGGAGTTAAGGCTAGATCAGCCTAAGGAGATTTTCACTGGAAACTGGTAATCCCTGAGAAGCTTTCTTAGTAGGAGACTTGAGAGGTTTCAGCGCTTCAGTGTAAGTTGTTGCAGTATGAGTTTCAGTGAGCCTGTAATTCAAAGAGCTTTATGGAGCCCCTACCATGTGTACTGCATCATGCCAAGTTAAGTGCAGGTAAAGAAGAACTAGAAGCCATGAGTATGCGCCAGTCCTGATCCATTTTGCTGAATGAGAATGAGCCCAGAGTCACTTAAATGAGTGCGAGGAGTGGCATGCAAGTAAACTCTAAGTTATGTACCTGAGTCTGTTGTTCTTTTTTTCTTTTTTTTTTTTTTGAGATGGAGTTTTGCTCTTGTTGCCTAGGCTGGAGTGCAGTGGCGCAATCTCGGCTCACTGCAATCTCTGCCTCCTGTGTTCAAGTGATTCTTCTGCCTCAGCCTCCCGAGTAGCTGGGATTATAGGCATGCGCCACCACACCTGGCTAATTTTGTAATTTTAGTAGACACGGGGTTTCACCATGTTGGTCGGGCTGGTCTCGAACTCCTGACCTCAGGTGATCCGCCCGCCTCGGCCTCTCAAAGTGCTGGGATTACAGGCGTGAGCCACCGCGCCTGGCTGTTGTTCTTAAATGTTAATCTCTTGGCCTAAATAGTCGGCCTGCTTAAAACATCAACCAGCCCTAACCCTTTCATCATCTGATTCTTGTCAAACACGGAGTGTTGTGTTGAGAATTCCCCACATTCTTAGTGGTTCCTCTGTACTCCTCAGTAGTATCAGAACTATTATTGCCAGAGCTGATTGACAGTGTGCAGTCTTCACCATCTGGCTCCTTGCAAAGAGCGGATAATCCTTTTAAAGTCTTAATAGTAATAGATGATTTGTTTGGCCTTATTTTCTAACATTAGCTTTTAGACAGACTGTGTCAAATCCACAGGTTTTGAATTTGCATCCTAGCCTAGAGATGGAGAGCAGTTACTTAGAAACAGGAGAGCTGAGAACAGGGTCATGCAAAATAAGATTTGGAAAAATGTATTTTGCTAATTTCCCTAACATGGAAGTCTTTTTATCTGTACCTAGTGGGAGAGTAAGTTGGTAGAGAAAACGTGAAACGTGGTGTCAGGAAGACCTGGGTTGCTGAACATCTCAGTTGTGCTGGGGACTAGCCAGTGAAACAGGACAACTGTGAATCTTTCTAAGCATTAGTTTTTTTAACCCATACAATGAGGACAGTAGTATCTTTCAAAGTTGTGGAGTGATTTGTGAGTTAGAAATCATTCTAAAATTATTAGGTAGTGTTCTATGTGGAGCCCAGTCCTTTCTTCCTCAGGTGGGCCGGTGTTGAGGAAATGTAGGGAGGTGGGTGGGGTTGTACATGGAAGGGTTGCTTGTGAGGTATCCTCAGCCCAGTAACGACCTTGCAATCTCAGAAACAGCTGCTGTGTAGATGGGCTTGGCAAAGACCCGGCAAAAGGAGAAACTTCAACAGATGGGCTCAGGGGAGGTGACCAGACACTGCTTCCCTCCTCCCCTTTTGTTAACCTCAGGTATAGAAGGTTGAATTACTCAGAATCCTCCCTTAATGGTGTGTTATCATCCTTGATCCAGACTAGGCTCCTCTCTTATTTTGTTTAATCCCCTTTATCGCCAATTCCCACTCATCATTTTCTGCATGTGCATTCATATAATGTGTTTAAAAGTGTATTTAAAATAGTGCCTTTTTTGGGACAGGTTTTGCTCTCATTCTTGGGAGACATCAGTGAACAAAATAAGCAAAAATGCCCATTCTCAGGGAGCTTATATTCTAGAGGTGAAGGTGGGGATGAGAAGACAGTACTTATTGCCTTTTAGACTAGGATACAATTTAGTTATTATAATTGATTATTGTCTAAGTTAAAAATTGAGCAGGGTAAGGGAAAAGGAGTGTGAATGCATGTGTAGGGTACTTTGAAGGGTTACAAGCCCAGGAAGAGGGAAGAGCCAGTGCAAAGGCTCTGTGGCAGCATCAATGCCCCATATCATTTCATGGCAGCAGGGTGGCCAGTGAGGCTGGGCAGGGTAAGCAATGGGGTAGTGATAGAAGATGACATCAGTGAGGTAAAGAGGTGGTGGGGGTAGGGGTGGAGGCACATCATTTAGGGCCTGGTGGGAGATTGTGAAGACTTTGGCTCTTATTGTGAAGGAAATAGGGAGCCATTTCAGGATGCTGAGTGTTATAGAGTGTTCTCATTATATTTATTCTTTTTTCCCTACTCAGCTGTATTCATCTTGTTGCTAGATGTATACCTAGTTATTTATTTCTCTCTTCTTTTTTCTTTTTTTTTTCCTTTTTTTTTTTTTTTTTGAGACGGAGTCTCACTCTGTCGCTCAGGCTGGAGTGCAGTGGCATGATCTAGGCTCACTGCAAACTCCACCTCCTGGGTTCACGCCATTCTCCTGCCTCAGCCTCCCAAGTAACTGGGACTACAGGTGCCCGCCACCATGCCTGGCGATTTTTTTTTTTGTATTTTTTAGTAGAGATGGGGTTTCACCATGTTAGCCAGGTTGGTCTTGATTTCCTGACCTCATGATCCTCCCACCTCGGCCTCCCAAAGTGCTGGGATTACAGGCGTGAGCCACCACAGCCTGCCCCTAGTTATTTATTTGTAACTGTCCTATAGTAATCCACAAATTTTCCCTAGTCAGTCTTCCACACCCCTGCCATTACAAATAATACTGCCATGGATGTCTTCATATGTGTTCCCTTGTGGACTTGTATGATCATTTCTGTGGAGAAACACCCAGGAACAAGTGGATTTGCTGGGTCCCAGGTCCCACTGAATTTAATTTATTAGTGCCAGATGACTCTCTAGGCTGGCTGTGCCCATTTAGAGTCCCTTCAGCAAGGCATGAGGGTTCCTGCAGCCCAATATCCTTGCCAAAATGCAACATCCAGATTTCAAAGCTTTGCAAATCTAATAGAGACACAGTGACATCTATTGTTTTCATCTGCATTCTCTGATTACTGATGAGCATCAGCATATGCTTGCTAGTTTTTTTTTCATCTCCTATCCATTGCCTGTTCATATTCTTAGCCAGTTTTTTCTATTGGAGTTTCATGCTTTTCTTTTTGATTTGTAGGAGCTCCTTGTATGTTCTGGATATTATCCGGAGTTGTTTTTAGAAGCTTAGATTTAGAGGTGGCCTTTGAGGTAATCTAGTCTAACCACTTCATTTTACAGTTGGGGAAACTGAGACTCAAGCAATAAAGTGATTTTTTTCAGAGTACATATAGAGTGGAAAAGCTGAGACTCGAAATCCCTATATCATATTTAGTGGGAGGACTTGCACTGAGGCAGGAATGAAAGTCAAAGGTAAGCAGGAGCTGCAGGGCATTGCTGCTTCCCCACGATCTGCATTTCTTTGCAGGCAGAAAAGCCACTTTACCTGACTTGTTGGCCAAGGCTAGCTCTGGACCCAAGAGACCCTGGGTCTGATAACCATTTCCTCCTCCCATTCGCACTGCCATGACCTTATTTCAGGA
Organism: Homo sapiens; assembly: GCF_000001405.40. Lineage (NCBI taxonomy): Eukaryota > Metazoa > Chordata > Mammalia > Primates > Hominidae > Homo > Homo sapiens. The sequence continues at coordinate 165,568,196 of NC_000001.11, read as the reverse complement.
CTTTATCCTCTTGCTTGACTTGTGTTTCTCAAATTTTGGTGTGTATGAAATTCACCTAGCGAACTTACTAAAATGCGGGATACTGCCTATCCTTCCTGAGCATCTGAAGGACTGAGAGATCGTCAGGATCTTGATGTGGGTCCATGAGCCTTCTTTGGAGAAACATTTACCACTTTCGTGAGCTCCCTGATTGGTCTTCCATCTCCATTTTCTAGTCACCTTCATTTGTCTTCCAGGCTCCAAACACAACTACAGCTTTTCCCCTAACACATCTGTTTGCCATACCTCCATGCTCTAACCCTTACCATCCATTTGAAATGCTCCTTCCTGTGTGAAATTCTATGATTTTTCAAGATGTAGGTCAAGCATAATCTCCCCTAAAAAGCCCTCCTTGATTTTTCTGAGAATTAAGTGCAGGGGCCTATTGCAAATGGGGAAATGTGGCAGGTGGTATGAGTGTCCCACTGACTAGTACCCTACCCTTTGTAATCACAATGGACATCTCACCATTTAAGGTGGTTAAAGACAAAAGACACCTCTCAGAGGAAAGGAGCAACATCCTAGACCAGCTGGTCTTTCCTTTAAAAAAATTCATTTTTATCAGATATGTATGCACATAGTTTAAAGAGTAGCAGTTGTACAAATTTTTTTAAATTAAATAGCAGTCTTCCATTTTTTGTCCCAGTGTTTTTTCCTCTCCAGAGGCAAGCACCTGGAACTCTTTTTGCTGATTTCTTTTGATATGTCTAAAAATTATGCCTTTATTGCTCCCATTTGATTTTTCAGTGTTAGGCACCAGCTACCGACTTTCCACTGAGACAATGAGGATATAACCCTCCATCCTCCCCATATCCCTTCCCCATATTTTATTGCCCAGCACATTTTTGCATCCAGTATGCCATGTGGTGGTTTTCTCCTCCTTGGTGACTGATGCTGCCAGCCACCTGGCTGTCCAAATCAGAAATTTGGGCCCTCTCCTTAACTCCTTCTTCTTTCTCTGAATCCTCCCTCCATTAATTCTTCCCCAACATCCCAAATCCAGTTACTCATGAAATTCTGCCAACTCTACCTCTGACATAACCTCACAAATTCATCCAGTTCTGTTTGTTCCCACAGCCACTGCCTTTGGTCTATCACCCGCACCCCCTGCTAGAATACTGCAATACTGCTAGTCTCCCCATTTTCCGTCATGCCTCCCTCTGGTCTCTTCTTCACCTTACAGCCAGAGTGAGTTTTCTCAAATACAAATTAACTAGACTTGGTGGTTCTCATGCTTACAACTCTTGAGTGTACTTCATGAGCAAGTCCCATATCTTATCCTGGTGGGGCAGAGACAATTCCTTGTTTTCCACAGCATTTTTGGCACACAGACTATGTTTCTCTTCAGTAAGGTTGGGACCATGTGAAATGTGAGTTGAAGTGACACGTGTCATTTCCAGGCCCAGTAGTTACAAGCTGTGTGCCTATGGCCTCTCTTTTCTCTTCTGGAGTGGACCTCTGAGGCCATGTTCTAGGTGCTGGAGCTACAGGGTGGGAGGGCTCCCTACCCACATGGGACTCTACATGAGTGACAAATTAGTCTTTGTTGTGGTAAGCCAATGAAACTTTGGGGTTAATTTGTTATTGTAGCATAGCCTATCATAATCCTGACCAACACAGGGATATAAAAGGCCCTTCAGGATCTGGCCTTGCTTCTCTCTCTAACATTATTTCTCTTTTCTTCCTTCCCTTATACTCTATATTCCAGTTATAATGGCATGCCAGGCTCTTCCTCACTTCCAGGCCTTTGTAGATGCAGTTCTTGTTGCTTAGGATGTCTTTTTGTCACCCACATCCACTTTACCACTTTGTCTGGTGAATCTCAACTCAACTTTCAAGCCTCAGTGTAGATGCCTCTTCCTCTGAGAAGCCCTCCAGGATGCCCTACTGCCTCCTGGTTGAGGCGCCCTTCCTTTGGGTCCCCTTAGAATACTGTGCCGGCCCTTCACTTACCACTCTGTCTTGAAATGGACTTTTTTCTTGTTTCTCCACCAAACTGAACTGGAAGCTCCTTGAGCTTTCACCACTTTGCCACGTTCACTGTGATCTTCCCAGGCCTTGTCAGAGTAGGTGCTCAGCCCATTTTTGTGGAATTACTTATTGTTGGAAGATCCAGGCGAAATCTTAGGGGAGAAGCTATCATGAAAAGCTGCAATTCACATTTCTTTTGCCAAGACTTTCTTGGTAGTTTAAATTCCTGAGAGACAATATTGATTAGTGATTTGGAGGAAACAGTCTATAGTCAGCCACAGCTGGTTTCACTTCTGGTTGTACTAGATGTGTAATGTTTAGCAAGTTACTTACCCTCTTAAACCTCAGTTTCAGGATCTGATGGGAATAATGCTTACCTCATAGGATTGTTGTGATGATTCAATTAGTTGAGATGTGTGTGTTTGTGTGTGTATGTGTATGTGTTTGTGTGTATGTATATGCACTTAGAACAATGCCTAGCATATAGAAGTGCCCAATAAAGTTAGACGTGTTATTATATTAAAAATATCCTAAATGCAAACGTGGTATCCTAGATTGGGTCTTGGAACAGAGAAAAGGGCATTGTGGAAAAAAAAACTAATGAAATACCAATAAAGTGTGGAGTTTAGTTAATAATAGTGTTCCAATATAAATTTTTCAGCTTTGATAAATGTACCACTGTAATGTGAGATAACGTTAGGGGGAACTGGGTGAGAGGTATGTGGGAACTCTGTGCTACCTCTGTAGCTTAGTCCAAAGTTATTCCATAATAAAAAGTGTATTAAAATAAATTCTTATTATAATTGATATTCATTGTATTCTCAAAATATCCCTATATAAGCACTGCAGTGATTGCCACTTACAGATGAAGAAACTGAGACACACAAAAGTTAAATAACTTGCCCATGGTCACTCTTAGTTCAGGATAACAAAGTAGGAATGATTGGTGGGTTGGGATTTAAATAGAATGCAGTAATAAACACTTATTTTGTGGAAGTTATCACTCTATATGCTGTGTCAATAGAGAACACTGAAGGCAAATGGTCTCTGCTCTCAAGGTCATTATAAGTAGGAAGCCCAAGTTCACACAGTGCTAAGTGCAGAACTGGGGATAGAGATCCAGCTCCTGAGTCTGGACCCATGCTCTTAAGCATTGCACCAAACAAACTGGAGGGCAAGTGGTGATTAGAGTCACATGCAATTCACAGTGGAAGTGCAGATGTAAAAACGGGTCTGGTTGGGGGTTTAGAGACAGCTAGTTTCATGGGTGGGGGTTTGATCTGAGTCTTGAACATGAGTATAATTTGATCTGAGTAGAGCAAAAAGGAAAACCTGGAATGGGTCTTGGGGCCTGGGTTGAGCCAACCCTCTCTTCACTCCCTTTGCCACATGTCCCTGAGCGCAGGACATGCTTGTGTACACTTGGCTATTCTGTTTAGTGCTCAGTGATAAACAGTAGCTTGTAGTGAGAGGGCATGGACTTTGGCATGGGTCCAGCAGTTGCTCTGCTCTTACCAACTATGTGATCTTGAGCTGGTGACTTCATCTCTCCATGCCTCAGGAAAACGATGGTGACAATGACCACCTGACCTTGTTGTCACGCACATTAGCCCAGGGGGAAATGTGCATAAAGCTGGGCACAATGCTGGGTACTTGGGATGGACCCGCTGGGTGGTGGCCACCTTTGTGTGGCCAGGCTTACATGATGAACCCTTGGTTGTGCTGCTAAATATTTATATTTCATGTAAAGGAAAGAACATGGACTTTGGGAGGCTGTGTTACTTACCAGTTGGGTGACCTCAATCAGTTGTTTAACTTGTTCAGGCCTCAAATTTTCACGGTAAAATAATATCAATATTATAGGATGGCTGTGATAACTACAAGATGGAGTGTGAAGATGGTACATGGATGGACACATTCCATTAATGTTAGTTCTTATCATTGTCTTATACTTTTCTCCATTTGATTAATATTAATCTTCACTTCCACTTAAATTGTTTGCTCTTTAGGGAAGATCTTAAATCTTGTATTCCTTGTATCCATCCCTCCAGCACTTAGTTTGGGGACATAATATGTACTTATTAAACATGAGATGGCTTACTTTTGGGGTAGACTTTCTCGGTATTTAGGTGCATCCAACAACGTTTCTAGATTTTGTTCTACCCCATCCTGCTGAGCTCAAGGAATCATCCTCGGGCTGGTGCAGTGGGAAGGGACCAACCTGTGAAATGGCCATCAGAGATTTTATTTATTTTACTAGAAGGTTTCAATCTCTATGACAGCTCCAAGGTGGTGGGATGGGGAGGGCAAGAGAGAAAGCAGGGAGCCTGGGGGAGGCACATAAGATAGTGGTCTCTGGCAACTAAATAAGCTGAGGGAACTCCTGGACCGAGCTCGTCTGGGTTTGAAAAATCCGCCGGCTGACTTCCACCCTAGTCCCGGCCTCGTCCTCATCTTCTTCACTCGACTTGTGGCGGGTGTTCTGGTAGAGCACAGCACACACACCTGTGAGCCAGGCAGCCACAGTTCCCGCGGCGAAGATGCAGAAGCCGATGAGCAGCAGGAAGATGTAGTCTTTGTGGTCCAGGTGCGTGATGCACATGTATCGGAGTGGGTTCCCCACCCGGGTGATGGGCCACCCTGTCAGCTCTGTGGGCTCCACACATGTGGCATTTAGATCATCTAAGAAGAAAAACACAGCAGGCAGGGTGCTGAAACAGCGTGACTCCCAGCGTCCTAAGGCCAAAGGGGATCAGGAGGGACCATCTGCACCCTCAGTGCTCCAAGTGTGGTCTGTGGGCCAGCAGCATCGACATCACCTGGACCTTGTTAGAAATGCAGAATCTCAGGACCCACCTGTGACCTCCTGAATCCAAATCTGCATCTCAACAAGACCTTCAGGGTATCTGTTGCACATTGGAGTTTGAGAAGTACTGGGCCTGGACTGTTCCTTGTCCCCAGGCTTTGCTGCATTCAGGCCATGAAAATGCTTCTTAAGGATGCTCAAGGAAGGAGAGGCCACAACAGGGGTGGGGAGGTTGGAAGGTTAGGCAAGATTGCCATGGAGTGTTGACATCTCTCTGTTCTTTACCAGTCACCTCCCTCTTGCCCCTCCCTTGCCTCCATCCCGACTTTCCCTTCACCTTGTCCCTTTCTCTTTAGCAGTAGCTGAGTCCAACCTGGCATCACTAGCATCCCCCGAGAGCATTGCAAGCCACTCAACTATAGGCTTCAGGAGACGAGATTCTCCTGAAATGTTTACTGTGTGTTCTACCCGCTCACCACTTTCCCCCCGGAGCAAGTCAGGGGAGCCCAGGGTAAACAGGTTGCCAATAGGGAAAGCAGTTCTGCTTCTTGGTGGTGATGTTGGCCATCACTGGCTGATTATGTCATCGACATGAGTCTTCAGTCAGTCTTAGTAGCTGACTCAGCTTCCTGGCTACTTCTCTGAGCACCTCCCCATATGTAGCGCCATGGCCTTCACTATATAACAGAAAGAAAAGTGGGCTCTGGAGCTAGACAGGCCAGGCTTCTAATCCAGATTCTGTTACTTGCTAATTTTGTAAACTTCAGCAGGATACCGGATTCTGTCTCTGAATTCCGTTTCCTCATCTTACCAGTGCAAAGAATGACACTTCTCAGGGTAGTTGAGAGAACTGACTGACATAGGTAAGAAGGCACAGGTGATTGTGCCTCAAGCACGGAATCCTCGGAGCCCTATCACTGCCCCTACATTTTTCTAACTCCATATACTCTTCCATGCTGAGGCTGAGTGCTTGTGTGATGTGCTCAGGTGAATGTATCCAGCACACACTAGATCACTGAGCTCCGGCTCAGGGCTTGAGACAACCATAATCAAAATTATAATAGCAGCCAGTATTTGCTAAGTGCTTACTATGCACTAAGTTATTTACAAATATCTCATTTAATTCTAATAATAACCTTGATGCACATAATATTATTTTCCTTGTCTTACAAATAAGGAAACTGAGATTCAGGAGATCCCATAACTTGAAGGTTTTAGATAACTGCAGAATCTAGATAGAAGATAGAAGACAGAAGACAGAAAGCCAGTGTGAGCTTGCTTTGCGTAAGTGGGATTTGCAAACAGGAGCTATTGTGGAGAGGAGTTTCCTCTAAACTTCAGGGCAGGAACTGCCTGACTAGTGAAAACATCACTATCCTTGGTGACCCAGGATGTTAGGAAAATCAGGTTCAGTTAGGTAAATCCTAATGGGGGCTGGAAGCAGCATTCAAAGAAAAAGTACAGAAGTAAGTTGGCTGGGGAGAAGGCATTTGGGCTTATGGGTGGCTGGAAAGAGCAGTCCTCTTCACCCGGACACCAATACTTGCCTCTTGCTTCTGTATCAATGCACCTACAGCAAAGTCATTTTGTTTTGTTCAGGAAGATGGTGTGCAGTGTGTAATGCTGTTTAGGACTCAAGCTTTTAGACACAAGAGGGGAAGCCAGTGCACGAACTGTGTCATATCCACTGTTTGTAATGATTACAGAGGAAGGGAGAGGAAGAAGCCTCTCTCTAGACAGTGTGGGATGGTGGCCCTCAGGGCAAACCTGCCCCACCAGAGAGCTCTCAAGTAGAGGGAAAGGAGTTGAGGGCTGAAGTTGCAGGAACACAATTATGCCTCTGTACCTCTTTCTAGTCAGCCTGGCTTGAGGACCTCTGTGGCTTTGCCCAGGAGGCCTGGGCATGGGGCTCCCATGAGCAGGGGAGGCGCCTGGGAGCTCTCCAGGAATTCTATCGAGAGAGAGCTCAGGTCACCTGCCCAAACTGTGGGAGACACATGAATCTTCAAAGAAAGATGTATTTGAGAAAGGCAAACATGGGATTCGGAGGGTCTGGGATGTGTCTAGGGGGGTTTATCTCATTCTATTTTTAAAAAGATTGGGCTTTCAAATTGCAGCTTGGGCGGCAGAGATGAGACTAAACATCACACACGTTTCCCCATTTTGGAGCATTAACTTTGAAAGGAGCAATTAGGCAGTGATTTTAATGCATTGTTAGGCTGCTAAGTGAGGGATGTGGGTGGCTTTGTTGGGAGGGAGGCCTGGGTTTCTCTCCCACTGAATTATCTCCCCCTCTTCCCAGTCGCAGTCACTGCCAAGATTTGGGCTCTCCCCTCCCGGGCTCCCTATCTCCATTGTTTCCTTTTCCCAGCTCGGGGCCATTTCACACACTTCTGCCAAATTGCCTTCCCCAAGTACAGCTCTTCTCGGTCACACTCTGGCTCAAAACAGTCCTCTGACCTCCTGTGAACCTCAGAATAACACCCAGACCATTTGGCCTGGCATTCAGAGCCCCTCAGCAGCTACCCTTCTCCCCTTCCCTCCTTCTCAGCACTGCTGGTAACCTTTGCTCCAGTTAAATTAAACTACATATTATGCCTTGATTACACCTCACCCTTGCCCTCATCTATAGTTACTTTGTTACACTGCTCCTTTTTTGTCAAATGCCTCATACCCCTAGTTTTGCAGGATCATGTTCTTCCCATCTTTTAAGATCTAGCCTAAATGCGTCTATTCCAGGGAGACCTCCCTCAACCACCCCGTCCTCAGAGCTCAGAGGACATGTGATTGTTCCCACTCGTGAACTCATCCCTAGCATTTCCTTGTGTCATTCTTAAGTACCTATCACATTCTATCTTGCATGATGGTTATTTACAATGTGCATCCTTTCTCCCCTACCAGGTAGACTTTTAGCTCTTAAAGGTATAAACCATGTCTGATCATTATTGTTCTTGTTAATAAGAGCTATCATTCATTGACTGAATTGTGTAATTTGTAAAATTGAGGGATGTTCTGGTACTTTTTTAAATTATGAGATTCTAGGTTAATCCTACTATTCTGGTTTAATTCTATAGAAACACTCTGATCCTTTGAAATTTCTTGAGAATTTGCTATATGGCTGAATGTAAGGTCAATTTTGGTACATTTTCCATGTGCTACAAATATATTATACAGTAGATCCTCTAACAACATTATTTCATTCTATGTCATTTTGTTACAATGTTAATGAGAAAAAAAGTATTCCCAGCCAGGGCCACTGTCTGTATGGAGTTTGTGTGCGCTCCCCATGTCTGGACAGGTTTTCTCCAGGTGCCCTGGTTTCTTCCCACATCTCAAAGATGTGCATATTAGGTGGACTGGTGTGTCTAGATTGTGCCAGTCTAAGTATGTGTGAGTATGTGTATGCATGGCCCCCAATGGAATGGTGTCCTGGCCAGGGCTGCTTCCCACCTTACACCCTGAGCTGCCAAGATAGGCTCCAGCCACTCACAACCCTGAACTGAAATAATTAGGCAAATATTATCTTACTTGTTTGTATAAATCTTTCTTAAATGTATGTATGTTTCATATTTCAATGCTAAATATTAGAAGGGTTTTTTGATCTTTATTAGAAGTTTGATGATGTTTTTGTGACTAGAAATAAGCTTTAGAAACTTAACTCTTGCTTCTATCAATTAGCCTATGGTAGAGTTGGCTTTGCTATATGTCATTTTGCTTAAAGTGGCAGTTTCTAAGAACCTATGGATATTAAGTTAGGATTTACTGTATTCTTTGTTGAGTACATTGTTCTATGCATGTCAGTTAGGTTGTGGTGGTGTACTGATTTTCTATACCCTTATTGACTTTTTATTTATAAACATCTATTGTCTCTTAGTTATTATTAGACAATCGTCTACTAGTTCCTCTAATTATTTAAAATTACCAGTTTTTACTGTGCATTGGTCTGCTCCATATAGTTCTTTCAAGTTTTGCTTCACAATTTTTTTTTTTTGAGACAGAGTTTCACTCTTGTTGCCCAGGCTGGAGTGTAGTGGCATGATCTTGGCTCACTGCAACCTCTGCCTCCCAGGTTCAAGTGGTTCTCCTGCCTCAGCCTCCTGAGTAGCTGAGATTACAGGCACACGCCACCACGCCCAGCTAATTTTTATATTTTTAGTAGAGATGGGATTTCACCATGTTGGCCAGGCTGGTCTCGGACTCCTGACCTCAGGTGATCCTCCTGCCTTTGCCTCCCAAAGTGCTGGGATTACAGGCGTGAGCCACCACACCTGGCCTTCACTTTACAAATTTTAAAGCTGTGTTATTAGGTGCATACAAAGTTATAATTGTTAGGTCTTCCTGGTAGAATTACCCTTCTATCATTGACCAATATCTCTCATTATCTCTAGTAATGCTTCTTGCCTTAAAGTTTACTTTGTTTAACATTAGTATGGCTGCATTGAAATTCTTTTGGTTAGTGTTTGCATTGTGTATCTTCTTCCGTCCGTTTACTTTTAATCTTTCTATGTTCCTATATTTAAGGTATATTTTTGTAAGCAGTATGTAGCTGGGTTTTGTTTTTCATCCAAGCTAGCAAACTTTGTATTTTAATAAGCCCATTGACATTAAATGTAATTACTGATATATTTGGATTTATACCTAGTATCTATTTTTTTATTTGTCTCACTTATTTCATGTCCTTTTTCTAACCTGTTGCCTCCTTTTTTTAAAAAAATCATTTAACTTCCTTTTCTTTAGCTCGTTAACCATACCTTCTTTTACTATTCTAGTATGATGACTTCAGAGGTTTTATACCCATCTACTGATCCTGGAGTGCCTGACATGTGCTAGGCACTATATGAGATGCTTTACAAAATTAAGCTCTAAGCTCTACTTTTGATCACCCCACAGGGTAGTTTTAATTATTCCCATGCTATGGAATGAATAAACTATACATCAGTTCTTCCTTCTCTGGCTTTCTTAATTTCCTTGCCTCTCACACAGGGGGTCGGCAAGTACTGTTTTACATGCTGTGCACTGCACAACTCCAGGAGCTTCCATTAATTTTATAGACAGGTGACCCAACTTTATGCCATCCCTTTCCTCAGCCTCACTCCAGTGGGCCAGGCATTAACTACAGATGTCATTAATATTGAACTTCTTATTGCAAATAGTTCCTAAGGAAACATAAACCACCACCTGGTTTATTTCTGTACACAACATATTGCTCAAAGGCAGAAAACCTCTTTGTCAGAATCAGATGCATGGAAGAACTACGGTGTCTGGGTCCTGGAACCACACCTATTAGTGTAGGAGCCAAGGAGGCCTCTCTTTCAGAAAACAGTATTGAACCCGCCAGTTATAAGGGGAAATGGTTCTTTTCTTGGTCTTCAGGAGGGACCCCAGTTCTGCCCAGGGCTGTGCTGCAGGTTCCCAGGGCCTTGGTGCCCCCAAAGGAGCCAGGCCATGGGCAGGTTGCTCGAGCCCCTGTGGCAGCTTGCTCAGGAACCTTCTGGGCTGACTGGAGGGGTGAGCATCTAGGCAGTGGCAATGGAAAGCAAGAGGGTGGAATCTGAAGGCATTGCAATTACTTCTCAGTGAGGAAATTATGTTTCTATCAGCTTTATGCACCTTGTCAAGCACTTCGTCAACTTCTACCCTGGATCTAGAGAAAAGCCTAATTCCCCCATTTTTTCTTTTAGGCCCCAGTCCACCCAAATATCACTAGATGTACAGTGCTTTGCCTTCCATTTTTTTGCAAGCTAAATTATGTTTTTGTCAAGGAAATTGATTTGCCACCTATTCATTTTTCTGACTCCACTCATTAGATTACAGATACTATGAGCATAAGAATTTTTTGTCTGTTTTGTTCACTGACGTCTATCAGGATGCTAGAGCACAGGGCGTATTTGTTGAATGAATTGATTGTTATTCAAACCCCTTGGGCTCACTGTCCCTGACGTAATGCTCAGGTGGAGGAAAGGGAACCTGAGTGGTAGAATACCATAGGTGGGTCAGCTGACCTTGGACTGCCTCGGACACTCTACACTGGGTGAGTACCAATCCCTATGAGAGTCTGGGGAGGGTTCAGTGAGCTAAGTGAAGCTCCAAGGAGGCAGGAATGGATGCTCTCTAGGACCAAATGGAGGTATAAGCCTTGAACTGGGAAGAGCACCTCCTCTGTCCTGTGAGACTGAAGAGAAGGAAACAAGGGTAAGAGTATGAGGACAAACTGCTGCAGACATGATATCAAAAGGTAATTATTATTATTTCCAAATTACTTTTCGAGAACTGTTTGAGAGCAGAGACCCTTTTTCTGTACTCTTGTATCCTTAGTGCCTGGCACACAGTAGGTGCTCAATAAATGAATGCAAGGGTGGATTATTGGTCTGATCTCCTATAGCACTTTTAAAACTCTGATGTCTTTGGCCTGTTGTTTAGGACAGGTTCCCCAAATGGAATATGAAGGGATCACTATTATATATTCTGTCGTACTACAGGTGCCCAGAGGAGATGATTCCCTAGAAGGAAACCTAGGTTGGGCAATATGACTGCTCAAGAACACCAAAGCCAACTGGCCAACAAGGCCCCTTCTCAGATCCTCATGCACAAACCTATGAGAATTTCAAGCCCTGGCACTGGCTTCTACCTTTGCCTTTCTGGAGCTCCACTTACTCATTGCCCAGCTGTCATGCAATGATGGCATAAGCCAGGGGTCAGCAAACTACAACCTGTGGGCCAAATCCAGCCTGCTGTTTTGTAAACAAAGTTTTATTGGAACACAGCTTTCCCATCCTTTTGCATATTTTCTAATGCTGCCTTCACCTTAATGGCAATGTTGAGTAGGTGCAATGAAGACCCACAAAGCCTAGAATATTTACTATTGGCCTTTTCTGGAAAGTGTGTGCTGACTCCTGGTCTAATCCATCCTAGGCACCTTAAAACCTTAAGGATTTGTGTTATTTGGGCTTGTGCAAAGTATAATTCTTATCTGGTATTCACAATTTCCCCCCCTTGTATATAGAGTCTATAGATTTTTAAAGGTTAAAAGTGATTCATAGACTCATGGAACATGGAGATGAGACCTTGACGTTTAGCAAGTTCAACCTGATTATTCCTGTGCTTTACAGGTGTTTTAGGTTACAGAACTGGTCTCGTGTATAACTGGTTGCAAATGGGCATGATTCAGAGGCAAAAAGCTTTCTTTTTCTCATAATTCCTTCTCATGGGCTTGTCAGTACCCAGAACTCTGTCAGTGGGAGATGAAACATTCCATTTCACCAATAAAATAACACTCAAAGTGTAAAGTTTTCTGAAAAAGAAGCAAATGACTTAATCCCTACTCAGGGGTAGCCCCCTGCTACCACCTTTTGGTGGGGTGAGGGGAACAAGCTGCATGGTGGGGCTGGCGGCTGGGACCAGGTTCTTCTTGGAAGTTAAAAATTAAATTTTTTTCTTCTAGTTTCTTCTCAGTTTGGCCTAGAGCTGAGCCTGCTTAATAACTACCCATCTGCTCAGAAAAATCCAGAGAGCAGACAGTTGTCCTCATGGATAACAAACCATTGTGAAACCCCAGGAGCCGAAGGGCACCATCATTCACCAGTTCACCAGGCAGAAACATCAGGCAGAAATTGTTTGCTTCCTCTTTCACATTACATGTTCAGATCATAAGCAAACCCTGCTAGTCCTACCTTCAAAATGTATCCTGATTCTTACCTCTTCTAATTACCTGGACCATTGCCCTGGTCCCAGCCAGTGTCCTCTTTTGCCTGAACTGTGTTGGCCTCTGAATGTGTGTCCTTGCTTTTTCCTACAATCTCTATCTGGAGACAGCAGTGGGAGCAATCTGTAATTACAGATCATGTCACTTCCCTGCTCAAAATCCTTCCATGACTTCCCATCACACTTAGAATAAAATCAAAAGCCTCTCCATGGCCTATCTACCCTACGTGACCTGGCCTCAGTAATTTTCTATCTCATTTCTTCCCTTTCTCCTTTTCCTTCACTCTGCTCCAGCCATATTCCCTTTCTATTCCAGCCCAGAGCCTTTGTGTTCGTTCTCCCCTTGGTCTAGAAAGACCTTCTTCCACCCCTTGTAATATTTCCTTGGCTTCTCTCTCACTTTATTTCAGTTCTCTGCTCAAAACCACCTCCGCAGGCCCACTGAGCCTGAAGTATCTGCCTTGTTCTCAATCTCAGGCACACTCTTCTCTTCCCCTCTCTTATTTTCCTCCATGGCACTTGTTATTTGACATTATGTCATATGTCAATTTATTTATTGTCTTCTTCTCCCACTAGAATGTAAGTTTCATGAGAGCATGTCTGTTTCTGTTCACACCAGTATGCCCCGTGCCTGGCCAAGCGGCTGGCATCTGATTGGTGCTCAGTAACTGTCAGTGAATGCATGTACTCAGATCCCAGTCTGGGCTCCTTACCTCTTTGTAAATGTCAAATAGGGATGACAATGCCTGTGCCTCATCTCAGCCAAATGCTGTGACCAAAGCATCTTGGCTGTTAGAAGAAAATGCATTGAAAATTACAAGGGTTTGTCTAACATGACTTTAATTCCATCTTAACTATGTTTTAATTGGATGCATTGGATTTTTAGTTATTCTCTTATTTGGGTTGAGGAGAAGGCCAAATTCTTCTGTGTGATCAAAAAAGCTATCATTGGCCGGGTGCAGTGGCTCACACCTCCCAGCACTTTGGAAGGCCAAGGTGGGTGGATCACTTGAGGTCAGGAGTTCCAGACCAGCCTGGCCAATGTGGCAAAATCCATCTCTACTAAAAATAAAAATTTGTCTAAGCATGGTGGCACATACTTATAGTCCCAGCTCCTGGGGATGCTGAGGATCACCCCAGCCTGGTAAGTCAAGGCTGCAGTGAGCTGGGATTGCACCACTGCACTCCAGCCTGGGCAACAGAGCAGCAAGAGTCTGCCTCCAAAAAACAACAACAACAACAACAACAACAACCACCTATCATTGCATATGGGTCATGCAGCAGATTAGGTGTTTTTTATGACATCATCTTGGAAGCTTTAACGTCCCCCTCAAGAGCTCTGGCTCCCCCAAGTTGAACTCCTTGCCTCTGCTCACCCTGTTTGTTTCTGCAAACCCACATTGCTTTACCCGTCCTCTGCATCTCGTGTGACACTCAGAATCACTGCCAGGCAAAGAATTTGTAACAACAACGACAGCTAGCATTAATTGAACATGTACTGTGTGCAGTTCTAAAATCTTCATGTGGGTTTTTTCATTTAATTATCACAACTTGAGGAAATAGGCACTATTTTATCTGCATTTTGCACATGAGGACTTGGGTTGGATGGAGATTGTTGCCCACAGTCAAGTAGTCGGCAAGTGACAGAGGCAGGATGAAATGACAGGTGGCCTGCATCCACAGCCCACCTTGGTGTTGCCTGCTCAACTAGGATGTGAGCATCTCAAGGACAATGGATATTTTATAGTCGCCTAATTGGATTGGTGTTATGGAAGCTTCATAGAAAACATTACATGAAAATGTGTACTTTATAGATATATAGTCATTTTTTGTCTTTCACCTCACTGAAAGAGAAATACAGGCACCAATTGGGCCCCTCAATTGTATTTGTCCCCTGTTATTACAGTCACCCCCATCTATGTTTACCCTCGCCTCCTTCTCTGCAGTCCCAGAGGGCAGAGGGGGTGCCACTCCCCTTTCAAGGATTACCCCTTGGAGATCATCCATCCATTTCTGTCCTCTCAGGGACTTTACCCCACCAATGACTTCCCCTCTTTCTTGTATCTTTGTCCTTTTTCTCTGCATCGACTCTTTCCATCAGCAGATAAACACATGGTTGGATCTCTTTTCTCCTAAAAATCCTCCTTCTTCATTTGTTTTCTCTCCAACTAGCACCCTATTCCCTTCAGTCCACAGCCATGCTTTCTAGAAGAGTAGTTTACATGGTTTACTCCTTCACACCTTTTATGTTCAGTTCATAGCCCATTATGGATTGGTGTTCACTCTCATCATGCCAGCAGAACTGCCCAAGACATCAGGGATCCCTGGTGCTAAATCTGATGGACAGTTTTCTGTCCTTATCTGACCTGCTCCCACTTTTTGGAACTCTTTGGCTTCCATGAATTTATCCTGTTCTAATTTCCTTTGTCTGGGGGCTCCTGCTGTCCTACATGAGTTGCTCTTTCTTACTTGACCCTTTAGTATGTTGCATTCCCCAAAGCTTCTGTACTTGGCCCTTATTATCCTCACTTGAAACTCTTTTTCCTGATTGATCTCATCTTCTGTTAGGTTTCAGTGATCACTAGTAAGTTGATGATCCCCAAATATATGTATATTTTATGCCCTGTCCTCTATTCTGAATTTCAGGTCAGAACATACAAATGCCTAGTGTTTTACAGGGACTTCCCACTCAGTAAGGTCAAGATGGGACTTGACTTCTAGCCTGACTTCCTCACTGCCCTCCTCCAAGTGTGTTTATGTCAGCAAAGCCCCCACACTGTCCAAGCCAAAGTCTTGGGAGCTACCATTGATTTTTCCCTTTTCTATATTTTCTGTATCTCATTCATTCACTCAGGAAACACTAGTTGAGCATTTTCTCTGTGTCAGGCCTGTGCTTGTTTCCGAAGATCCAGATCTGCTGTCATAGAGCTTCCGGTCTATCAGGGAAGACAAATGTTAAATGAATACACATTTATTAATTAGAATTGTGCCAGAAGTTACAAAGGGTGCACAAGAAACTATGAGAGGAGCTAGTTCAGTCCCAAATCCTGTTGCTTCTGCCTTCTAAATGATTCCTTCTCAAATGTCTACACCTCTCCTCCTCACTGTTGCCATAGGCTGCCATACTGTCTGGCTTGAACGCCTACGGGAGCTTCCTTCCTAGCCTTACCTCCAGCTCACTTGCCTCCCAAGACTTCTTAGGATATATTGCATGTTCCCCAGAAAACCATTCAAGGCCCTTCCTAGCTGGGCCCCCATTCTTTTCTCTAGCCACATCCATCCTTTGTAGGATTACCTCCAGGATGAGGAGCTCTTCACCTTTAAAGATGAGCAAACTGAGGTTGGCTGCTTTAGCCAGACTTGAACTGCTGTTTTTCAGAGTCCTGAGTGATGCTGGGTGACCTGAGGGGCCAGGTGTAGAAATCTGGCATTTCTGAGCTTGGAGTAACCTTCGATCACCTACTCTCAGGGATCCCAATTGGCCTGAGTCAGGGAGTGTGTCAGCATCACCCAGGGGTTCCTAAATGTCCCATGCTTGCTGCTCCTATCCCTTCTTGGATTTTCTGGGTGGCTTAGGGATCACTGACTCAGTTGCACCCCTCTCAGCCCCCTCCTTGCCCTCAGGAGGCTGCTGTTCTGGCTTTCAACAGCCTTGGAAGCCTTGGAGCTGCTGGTTGCCCAGCCTTTTTTTTTTTTTTTTCTTTTTTAGCCTTTGGTCTTTATTTTAATTTCCCTGATGGAGGACATGGGTAAGCATTGATAGTGGAATAACGTGAGGACCTGAATTCATTCCGGAAATCTAAGTTTGGGCACAGTTGTGGATGACTTTGTACTTGGTAGGTAGAAATGGGGCCATTATCCCATTACAACAGTCTTGAATACAGGATGATATAACCTCGTAATGAAACTAAGATGTTCTCTGCTCAAAACGCCCTCAAAATGACTTGGACCTGAAGCAGCACATGACTCAACCCATCTGCTCCCTGCAGATGGCCCTGAGTGGCTTTGTCCACTGCCTCTGCAGCACCCTTGCTCAAGCTCCTCTGATGTGTGGGCCCCACCATCAGGCTCATTTAGTACTGGCTAAGGCTATCAGAGCTGACACAGAGGGGACTCTCTGTCCTCAAACCGCCCCACTCTAGCCCCTGGTAGCCTGTCACTTTCTGAATTCTCACTGTTTCTGGTTGTTCCCTGTCAAATTGCAAATGCTCCCTGAGGGGATATTTCAAAACACTAGCCATTAGCATCTCAGAGCAAATCGATTCATTTACTAATTGGAACAGCCACTGAAGGTCCAGAACACAGGCCACTGTTCTAGGGTTTCTGAAAAGTGGCCTAAGGACAACCGGCATGAAGAGTTGACTGAATCAGAACCTCAGGGCATAGGACCTGGGATTCTTGTGCTCATTAGAGTTTGAGAAGCACTGTTTGAGCAG
Source organism: Homo sapiens (assembly GCF_000001405.40). Taxonomy (NCBI): domain Eukaryota; kingdom Metazoa; phylum Chordata; class Mammalia; order Primates; family Hominidae; genus Homo; species Homo sapiens. The sequence goes on along the minus strand of NC_000001.11, from coordinate 165,551,243 downwards.
GTCTGGCCTGGGAGGAAAGTCTGGGGCAATGAGTTTCTTGGGGTGGAGGCATTGTTTTAGTGAAGTTGAGGGTGCTTAATATAGGAGGTGGGAGAGTACAGGAGTTAGAGGCATCTGTTTCTTAAATGAACTTCCTAATTATGTGATGTAGCCCTCATCACTGGGAACACCTTCGCCTCAGCACTTGCCACTCTGCACTTGCTCACCTGGGACCTTGCCTGCTGAGCGCTGTTCTCCTCTCACCTCCTGTGTGCTTATCTTTCTATTTAGGTCCATAGGCTACCAGCTATAGGAGGCCTTTGAGGATCTCTAACCCAAATCCTTTATTTTAAGGACAAGAAAAGTGACTCTTGAAGAAGGAAAGTGAGTTTCCCCATATCACACAGTGGCATTTCTGGGATCAAGACAGGGCTTCCTGGCTTTCAATTCTATTTTCTGTTTCTCGTATCCTAGATTATCTTATTCAAGACAAAAATTATGACTTTTTTTCTCGGTGAAACAGCCACCCCAGCATTATAATGCAATGTTGGGGACATAATGAATATACAATAAATGTTTCAGAGTTAAATGGATCATGATGTGCTTGACAGCAAAGAAATATCATGGCATCAGGGAAAAACATTGAACTTGGATGTCAGGATATCTCTGTGCTGGGCTTTTCTCTATAGCCACTTACCTGTGACTCTGGATTCTAAAGTTCCAGCTTAAACATCCTATGTTAAAAGGCTACCCTAACCAGTATGGTAGCCAGTAGCCTTAGGTGGCTATTTAAATGTATTGAAATAAAATAAAATAAAAATTCAGTTCATTTGTTCTAGCCAAATTTCAAGAGCTCAATGGCCACATGCGGCTAGTGACTACTGTATCCGACACCATATATATAGACTATTTACCCTGTTGCAGAAACTTCTATTGGACAGCATTAGAGCAGACTTTGCGGGTAGAGGGGAATGGGATGTATGAGGCTAGGTTTTGTATGTTTTGGAGCTTAGAGTTTGAGTGAGTTTTCGAGAGCCTCCTGAAAGCCATTCAACCCTGTCCCCTGAGGGAAATCAAATATCCTGGGAAGAACTCAATGACCACTCTCACCTTCAAGTAGCATTAATGACTGGAAAATAACAGTGCTGGCCAGGAATTAGTCCTCCCACTTGCTAACCTGGGCCAGAAAGGAAATGGAATGTGTGGGTCTGTTTTCAGTCTGTATTGGTCAGGGCTCAATAGAGCACCCTAGCAAGGGACACATTACAACACACCTCCATTTCTGCTGTAACTTTCGTGTTTAAAAAAATGACTACATTAACTCTTTGAGAACTGAATACTTTTCAGTACATCTGGTGAGTATGCCATTGGAGAGTTTCTTTTGAATCAGACCTTTGATTATGGTGCCAGATCTCGCCAACTTGAGAAAGTTTTGATATTCTTGTTCAGTGTAGCCTTATGATAAAATAAAATGAATGAAACACTGGGCTTCCTCTACAACCCCTCTATGGGGGAGGTCCTTAGCAAAAATGTGGCACATTTTTTGAAGAAGCGTATGATATTGCCCTCATGTCTTTTCTTTTAAGACCTCTCCACTTCCTTCTTGCACCTCTGTTTCCTTCAAGGTTCTCCACTGCTGCAGAATTAATCTTAGCTAATCAAATTCCCAAGAATTAACTCCTCCTTCTGATATGAGAGCTGATAAAGGCTTAAGGACACTTGTCTTATTCTTCCCAGGAGTTCATGTATTTTTGCAGTTTCTTTTTCAAGATCATAACACATAATTGGGACCCAAAAGGATGAACCTCTAGTGACTAATTTCAGCTTAGTGGTAGGAAGTGGATAGGGACACATTGGGGCAAAAGTATTTATTGCTCAGTTATACCATGTAGGTGAAGTCTTTCTCCTGAGGCTAGAGAAAGTTGCCTACACATCCCTAGAATGTAGTCTACACATCCACACCTGCCTCTGGAAGTGGAGCTTGTCTTTAGGTAGAGCTTTGGTTCTAGGTTCAGGTGACTCAGGAACAGGCACCCTGCTGCTGCTGGTCCAGCCCCAAGTCTCATGGCCCAGGCTGAGACAAAGTCTTGATTTGAGCTTCTGCTTTTGTTCCTTAGGGTCTGAAAACCCATGTTCTTAACTTATCTAATAATACCCAACTTAGTCAGAATGTGACATAGACTTGTCCTGTCCCTCCAGGATTCTCCTTGCCCCATTTTTGTATGGATTAGAGTCTTAGAAGCAGCTACCCACCTTCCCACATTCTATCTATATTCCCGCCTGCATCTCTATAGTCATATTTCTAGACAGGGTGCGTTGTCCTCTAACACCACGTATGCTGAGCCTTCCTGAAGTCCACTGCTTATCTAGGGGAACACTTGACTGCTTTCTGGTATTCTACTCTCTTAGTATCCTGTACCTTTCCTCATCTACCAACCATTTGTTTTTTGATTGCTTATGGTGTGTCAAACTTAAATGCTAATGGTACTTCATAAATGTTCTCATTTCATTTTATGACAGCCCTAGGAATGTTGGTTCTATTATTATCCTTGTATTCAAGATGAGGAAATTAAAGTTCAGAGAGGTTAAGTAACTTATCTTATATCCTGCAGATAGTCAGCATCAGGGCTAGAATTATAACCCGTCAATTTTATTACAGAACCTGAGCTCTTAACACTGGGCTCTGCTGCCTGAGGGTGACTGTCCTTCATCTCTTGGAGGACAAGTGGCTGCCCCAAGTGCCTGTCACCCCAGCAGGCACATGCTGGCCTCGTTTGTCCTGCCCTGTTTTGTTCTGTTATGCACAACTAAACTATGACATAGATATGGCACAGATGACCTAGAGTTACGTAAGTCTCCATATGCAACCTCAGGTTTCTTGGTTAGTTACCTTCATGAGCACTTGTTTGGCACATAGTAGGCACTCAATAAGTATTTAAATAGATAAATGGATGAACTGAATTGTAGCATGGAAGTCCTTTACTTCACTGCATTGCTTTTCAAGGAATATATATGCACTCTCATATTGCCCTTAATATTACACTACAGTGAAAATTTCCCAGGGCTAAGGTTCAGTATTTCCTTGGGCCTAAAATGAGTCTGTTTGTGAAATGGATTCTGTTTTATAAACACCAGATAACTCAGGTTATTTCATAGAAATCTTCCTATCTCCTGAAATGTGGATATATGTAGAGAGATACATGGGCTCCATGCTAGAATATGTCAAAGATCACCATTTTGATAACAAATGTGGTATAAATAGGTGGGCTTAAGTTTGAAACTTCACCAAGAATGTTTGCCAATAGCAAAGATATTTCCACGTAGCAGAGACCATGAACCATCATTTGAGAGTCAAATGAATTAAATACCTTTCCTTACATTGAGGTTTGGCTAGAAGGCAAGAGAAGCAGCTAATGAATTTTACTGTATGTGTGTTCAACTTTATGGGTATGCATGTATCTGTTCATGTATATGAGTGTGAACTTGTACATTTATGTGTGTGTATGTAATATGTGGATGGGTACGTAAGTAGGTATGTATGTATAAATGGTATATACGTGTGGGTATGTAAGTATGTATTTATATATGGTATGAACATATGTATATATGGTATATACAAACCTTTGTGTTTGCATATGTGTGTGTAGGTATTTGTGTTTGCATGTGTGTTTGTGTGCATATTTGTGATTGTATGTGTGTATGGGAAGGAAGAACCAGACTGATTAAGGCCCAAATGAGAGCAAATGCTAAGGTTAGATTCACCCTTTTGGAGTTGGGGTAGACTGGGGTGAAACCTGGGTTTGCAAGGGAAGTACAGGCATATCAATGGATTTATGACGGTTAGTGCTTATTATCCAATGAAAATGATCTCAAGATCATTTCCCAGTTCCAAGCGGCAGCCAGATAGAAAATAAAGCTGAAGTTTAGATGCTGTAGCCATATGTTTATAATATAACTTATATTTATAACTAAACTCACTTACAGGATGATAGTTATGTAATTTGAGGATTTACGAGATAGTATAGTCTTGTGGAAAAAGACCTGCATTTGAAATCAAGGGGTTCAAGTCACTTTCTTGCCATTTATCAGCTGTGTGATTTTGGGCAGGTGAGTCTATTTTCTCATCCAAGGATAGGGTTAAAAATACCAATCCTAGACTCTTCCACAGGCTGAGGGCACAAGTTTAAGTGTTGGTGTGACACTCATGCTAAAGGAAATGAGGTACCATGTGTGGAAAAATGGAGGGAGATGAGCAAATTAGCAGTTGTGGGTACGTGTGTGGGGTCCCACGGCTGGGGGATGAAAGCTTTGTCTACCTCACAAAACAGACTCTTCATTCATGAGGAGCTTATAATCTTGACAAGATAGACACTCCTTTCTGATGTCTTGGAAAATATGCGGTGAAAAAGATCTACTTTATAATCCCATTCAACTGTGGATTGAACTGAAGAGTCAAGGAGTCCAAAGTGGTCAGCCTGAAAATTCTGAGAAGATACAACTGTGCAAGCAGAAATCTGATGAAGGGAGATGGAGTGGGAGGTGAAATGGTAGGCTTAGGTGCTGGGGTGGAAGCCAAGCTATGTTACTCTTGTCATCTGGGGTGGGAGGTCCCACTTGCAACCTGATGGGCTATACTCAAGGAAAAGTGCATGTATGGTGGGGAGGGGCAAAAGAAGATGACACCCTTCCACAGGCTAATTTACAGGAACATGGACAGGGGAGAATCCCCTTTATGGACCACAGGTCATGCATGAGGATGATTAATATTGAACCTCTTTGATAGTGCTTTCTAGACACTATCACAGTTTTGGAGAAAAGTAGAAAACATTATCTCTGCCTCCTAGAGTTGGTGTTATAGAGAGGCAAGGCAACCTACCTGAGATAACTGCTTCTGCATTCTAGTCCTGTTGGAAGATGGTCTGACAAAGTTAGTTTCTTTTGATTTATTCTAACAACTCAAGTTGAGGTATCTGGCAGTAGGGTCAGGTGTCTAAGGCACAACATTTAAGGAGGCACTGACTCACAATGTCTTATTCTCAGTGCACTCGCTCTCAGTGCCTCCTTAAATTTTGCCTCCTAAAAGCCCTGCTTGCCTCATCCCAGTCCAGACTCTGCCAGGAGGACTTTTTGAGACACACCCATTGGGAAGCCAGGAGGGCACGTTTTTTACTTACTGTCACCACTTGATTCTCTCTCCCCCAGTTCTCCTTGAAGTCTGTCATTCTGGCCAGGATTATTTCTAGCATATTGCCACCTGGGCAGTACTTCATGGTGGAAGTTTCAGCAGGAGTTTTATGAAGCTGCGTCTATGAAAACGTTTTCAAAGGCAAACACCCAGGGAAGACAGAAACTACATGGTTTTGACAGGATTTGATTTTCTACCCAGAGTCCAATTTTGCCGGATTACATCAGTGGCTCCAGACTTTCTGTGAGGAGTTATTTCTCATTTTTCTGAAGCTCTGACTTTCCTGGGTAAAAATGCTATTATTGGTGGAGAGAAGAATTGGAGGGTAAGGATGAGACAGTAAAGTCCCTAAGATAAAGAGGGAATGAAGCACAGGGGCCGTGGCAGGCCGGGTGAGGACAGCGGGTAGAGTGGTGGCAAGGAGCTTGGAAATCTCCCAGGTAAGAGCTGAGCATCTATCTACCTGTAAGACTAGAATCTCTCTGCTTGACACAGTGAGCACTGGACCCTTTCTCCATTGATTCATGCCATTCTCTCCTTCCATAGGAGGCCAGCATCTTCAAAACAAAGCAGCTATCAAAAGCCCTTTCTTCCTTCTTCCCTCCCTCTCTCACTGTCTGGGTAGCTCACGTGCCCCTCCTTCCATCTTTATGTTAAACTTTCCTTTCTATATATCATAATCCTATATGAATGACTGAATTTACTTTTTGATCCTGGAAAAATTCAGTTGCTGAATTAAACAGATTAAAACAGTTTACCAACAGAATACAGTGTCCCTATATTACCTTGTCACTTTGCAATTAGAGTACTTCATCATTTCTACACACATCATATATTTGATGCAACTCTGTGCCTTAGGTAATATTATTGTCCCCACTTTATGGATTAGAAAACTGAGGCTCAGAGAAATGGTGACATTTTCAAGGGTAGCCAACTGGTAAGTGCTGAGTTTGGGACCAGAACTCAGCTCTTTGAATTCCTATTTCAGAACTTTTTCTTACTGCTACTCCAGTCAACCCAAGGGTGGGCCCTGCAGAGTAATAAGAATGCATTCAATCAGCTTCACCCAACTTTTTCTCCCATTCTGACCATCTTTTGAGTTCACCTTTTCTGGAGCCACTTCAATCACATCCTCTTCCCCACACCCAATCAAGCCCTCACCTGAGGGGTCCATATGGAACACTATTAAGAAGATGGCGAAGTCCAGGAAAGAGCAGTTGCACTTCCAGGGGTTTCCACTCAGAAACAGGGTCTCCAGAGTAGTGAGGTGGTATAAGGCAGCACTGTCCAGGGTCTGCAAGCCGGTATTTCTGAGGTCCAGGTACCTCAAAGAGGTGGTGTTGGCAAAGGTGAACTTGTGAAGCGATAACAGGTGAGGGTTGTTGGCAATGTTCAGCTGCACCAGGTTGCTGAGCACCGAGAAAGTGAATGGGGAGATCGAGGTTAGGTTGTTGGAGCTGAGGTCAAGGTAGATGAGTTTGAAGACCCCGATGAAGGTATAATCCATCACCTCTCGAATCCGGTTGTTCTGACAGTCCAAATAAACAAGGTCACTGAGGAGTCCTAGATGCATTGCTGGCAAACTAGTGATTCTGTTCTCGTTCAGGAACAGCCTCCGGGTGTTCAGGGGTATGTCAAGGGGGTATTCGGTTAACTGCTTCCCTGTGCAGATTACTTCTTGGGCTTGACACAGACAATTATTTGGACACTTTGACCCTGATACCAGCCCCATTCCAAAGGAAAAGAGTAACCACCCAGGGCCAGGGCCTGAAGCAAGGGACATAGTAAGAAGCCACAACCACCCTCCTTTCACCTTCCTGCGGGCTCTGTCCTCTGATCCGAAGGCTGCCGGTGGGGGGGTGGGGCGGGGGAGGGGCTCTGGAAAGAACTGTAACACTTTAGCTTTGTGCAAAGCAATTTTCCATTACAGGAGAACTGAACAGAAATTGAAACGCGAGGCTCAATGCCCTGCCGCCCAGCTTGGTGGCTCTGTCGCTCGCTCCCAGACTGCTGCTGGAAGCTTGCCCACTTGGCAGCTTTGAAAGGTCTCACCCTTTCCCTGCGTTTGCAAGTGAAGGGGAGCCAGGGGAGAGCCACATGACAATGAGGTTGCCAGTTGACACCTTTGTGATGTCAGCAGCCTCAGGAGACTGCCTGGCTGAGGGAAAGAGATTCCTCACCTCTCCTTCTGGGTGGTGTGAGGGTGTTTTATGTGTCTTGGTAAGCCAGCTGGAACTCCCTGGGGGAGTTGGGGCCTCATGGGTAGGGGCCTGCAGCATGTGTGTGTTGGAGACCAGGCTGGGTTCAGTGTGTGGATGTGTATAGTATCTGTACCCGCTCCCCATGGAGCTGTAGTAGATTAGGTGACATTGGACCCCCTAATCTGCAGGCCATAGAGGGAACATGGGACATCTCCAGGCCAACTCCTTTTCTTAGTGATGAGCAGTGACTTGCTTGAGGTCAGTTCTCAGTGTGGGTCTTTTCTTGGATATTGATTTGGATGGGTGCCAGTTTTTCAGTGTTGCCAGAAGAAGATGGGAAAGGGGGTGTTTCTTTTGAAATGAGGCAAGGGGAATTCCTCTGATAAAGTGGTACTCTTTTCAGACTTTATTCCTAGGATGTATACATCTCTGTCTGCATTTTGAATATATATATATGTGTATTTTTAAAAAGTTTTTGAATAAGTGTAAGCTACTCCTTCTAACACAAAACCCAAATGTATATATAAAAAATCTGAGTGCAACAATAGAAGTATTTTTTTACCACTCGTATTCTCCTAGGACTTTTAAAATAGTGAGTGCCTCTCTAGTACTTCTAGTGTGAGTTTATATTCATTAATTACTTGTCAGGTGATTAGTCTTTTGGAGCGAGGGATAGAAAACCTGGAAGCTGAAGAGTTGGGATGTATCACACACCCCGTGGAGGAAGGCATATCAGGCAGAAATAAGATAAAACATCTGAGGAGTTGAAACTTTTATTTTTGGGAAAATTGGATTTCATTTTTTAAAAACATTCATATATACTGAGTTGTGAATATTAGTAACATATTGAAACCTAAGCACAGTGCCTGGCACCTGGTATGTAATAAATGTATAGTGAATGAACAATGTGAGAATGTTTCTGATGGTTTGCTTCCTTCTCTTGCTTCTTTGCCAAGAGAGAAATTAATAAAGTCAGATGGATTTGTGGCTAGTTAGCTAATGCTTGATTGTTTACTTACTCAGCATTCCTTGGGTGACTGGCTGTGAATTAATATGATGACTTAGGCGTGTTTACCAAATTGAAAGTGACCTTATTTAAGTAGACATTTCAAATACTTAAAGTAATGACCCCAATGATAGCTGTACTAATTGAAGCATGACTTAATTGATAGGGCAGACACCCTTTCCTCATAATTAAAACAAATTCTATTAAAATATAAGTTCCTTTCTAGATCTTATGTGATTGCCGAGGAGAGAAATCTAGCACATGAAGTCTATAGAAAAGAATTAATTTCCAAAGTGACTGCTCTGGGAGCTGTGGCGAGGGTGTGTTTTGCTGGTGGAGTGTGGCAGGGATACTTTGTTTGGAAGGGCTGTGTTTGTTGTCTGCTTCCTTTCCATGAGAAATGATCACTGATTCACTCGCCAAAGCTCATGGAGTGATTTTGCTGACGTGTCACCTTTTCTTTTATGCCATTCTCCCTCTTTCTGACTTCTTCCCCTCAGACGGCCCCATCTCCAGGTTGCCCTACTTCATTTCCAGCCTCATTATCCATACTAGCTTTCTCAAGATAGTAGTCTCAGGATTAGGCCTACCTGTTTGGCCGTATGGTTACAAGTGCTCTGCTTAGAAAAGCCTTAGGTAAATATATCATGCTAAAGGTTATTGACTGACACCAGTCAGCTATGCCTGGCTCTGGAGTATTACCATTTTCACAAAGCACTATGAGTGGTTTAACCTCAGGGAATATTCTTTTTGTTTGAGGTAGCTGTATTGTTTTTGGTCCTGAAACCTGGACACTCATGGGCTAGTTTCAGCTTTGCCAGGTTAGACCACATCTCTAAAGTGTGTACCTCATTTTGAGACTGAATAAATATATGTTCGATAAAGAAGAAGCAGACTAGACAAAGAAAAGAGAATGTAGCATTGCTTGAATTACCTGATTTCAGAACCTTAAATAAATTTTGTTTTCAAAGAACAACTTGTGAAACTATTATTTCAGAAATCCTGCTTTGGGAAGTCCTAGACTAGGCTGTTTGTTCTTGGTTGAGGTGCTTAATTTCTCTGGGCTTTATTTCTGTCATCTACATATTGAGGGAAATGAAGTAGATAATTTCCAAGTGTCTTTAGGACTTCCAAATTCCTTCATAATGGAAAGGTTTCAGGCATCACCCAGCAAACCAGTAGAGGCTGGAGTGCAATGGCACGATCTTGGCTCACTGCAACCTCTGCCTCCCAGGTTCAAGCTATTCTTCTTGCTCAGCCTCCCAAGTAGCTGGGATTACAGGCCCCCACCACCATGCCCAGCTAATTTTTTTTGGTATTTTTAGTAGAGTGCAGTGGTGTTATCTTGACTCACTGCAACCTCTGCCTCCCAGGTTCAAGTGATTCTCCTGCCTCAGCCCCCCGAGTAGCTGGGATTACAGATGTGCGCCACCACACCCAGCTAATTTTTGTATTTTTAGTAGGGACAGGGTTTCACCATGTTGGCCAGGCTGATCTCAAATTCCTGACCTCGTGATCTACCCGCCTCGGCCTCCCAAAGTGCTGGGATTACAGGCGTGAGCCACTATGCCCGGCCGCCTTTCTACTCCTTCTAATCACACCATATAGTCCCACCTATCATGTGGCTGCAAAAAGGACAATCTCTCTACCCAGTGAGCGGCTCATGCAGCTTCAGATGCAGCATGGTCGCCCTTCGTGTGTGTGGCTGTTTTATTAGCCTGCCCCTGCCCCTTGGATAGCTGGTGTGCCCATCCTTCCAGGAGGACAGGTGAAGCATCAAGTGAGCACTTGGAGAGGCCCCTCCTGTCTCATACAATCGCGCTAGCTGACTCTGCTCTCAGGCAGGCTCCTATTTTTAGCTGTATCTGATGGAGGCACTGTCTTCCCAGCTTAATGATCCCTCTCAGGTGCCAGTGTGCCTCCAAACAGCTCTCTGGTGATCCAAAGGACAGGTGGGCACAGGCCCTGATATCATACAAAGAAGAGGCTGGGTGATATAGGGCAAAGTGAACACAATTGAGAAGCTGAGGCAGTATGACATCGTGCCCTCTCAAAGCCCTGATTTTCTTTCTGTAAAACAAGACAGGACGCTCTCCAAAGGCTTTCCCAGTTTTAAAGTTCCATCAAACTTCAGTTGTGAAGGGAGAGAACAGATGATTGAAGCGTCAAAGCCCAAGCAACTAAGACAGAGTCAAGCGATTACAAAGCAGACCATGAATGTTAGCTAGTAAATAGTCCACTCAGCTGTCTGGGTACAAGTGCTAAGGGATATTTAATTTTGGCATGCTTTTATTTTCTCAGGAGAAAAATAGCAGAAGGAAGTGCACATGCCATTTTATTCCATTGAAACTGCCAATGTGCTCAACTTAGGACTTACATGGGGTTAGCAACGTAGGGGCACACAAGTCAGTACTTTGTTAAACTGCTCCCCAGGCAGGGAATGTTGTGGGTTCAGGTCTAAAGAATGTAACAGTCTCAAGGACTTTGGTGTAGGAGCCACTTATGGTATCCAGTTCACTCCAGACTTTTGACACTGCCTGGGCCCTCTTCAGCAAACTCATCTCTCAGCAGGTGTGGGGCTTGGGGACAAAAAGTTCAGCCTGAAAGTGGAAAAAGAGTTCCAAAACATGCCGGGAAGGCTGAGGCCTAAGGGCTGAATATGTGTGTATCTGTCTATTCATGAGCCTTGGTTCTGTTTGCTGTGCCAGCTGGTAGAAACTATTTTTGTCTTTTCCCTTCAGGCTGCCGGAGTCTCCACTAGGGAGATTGGACTCTAACAGAGTAAAGGCCAGAGGGCCAGAGGAAATCACTCCCATTTGTTGCATTCCCCAGGGATATCTTTGATTTCCAGGCTTCATCCGCATTCTATACTTCTGCAGGATTCACTGTCCAGAGGAATCCAAGGGGAAGCCTGTAAATTGTATACCCTTTTTAGGGGCAGAATTAGATCATGTTTTCAGCTTATAGCAAATCAATAAACTGTTGCCCATGGCTAAGATTATGTGTAGCAGTCCTTATGCCTGAAACTTGATTTGAGACTGCCAATAATGGTGGCTGTCTAAGCCCAGTTGATTTGGGAAGAGAATATGGACCCTTTATAGGAGACTTGTAGATTTCAGAATGGGAGAGAAAACTGTGGCACAGTGTGAGCTTTGTAGTGAGAAGATTCCTCTGTGGGTGGCTTTGGGCACACATTTTAGCTTCTGTGGGCATTGGTTTTCTCTTTGGTAAAATAGAGATGATGAATATTGCTTTTCCAGTGTTGTTACATAGATTGCCTGTGATTTAAGGAAACACGATAGCCACTATTTACTATTTACCCTGTGTCAAGAATGTGATCCTCCCAGCAACGCAATGAGTCATATTGCATGACCCTCATCTTATGAATGAAGAAACAGAAGCTCCCAGAGGTGCCACTCGCCCGTGGTCACAGAGCTGGTGAGTGACAAAGGCTGTATTGGAACAGGAAATTTTACTACTGGGCACAAGCTCTAACTACTGTACAGCATCAGTGCCTCAAAATGCTAATTGTTTTCATCAGCTCCATGGAATACATTGTCCCTCTCTAGCCCTAAATGGTGCCTTGACTTCAGACCAGATCAAACTACTGTTTTTAATGTGCTCTATTTATGCTTTTGGTTCCCTTGTCTTTCAGAAGGCTTATGACATGTTTCAGGCTTTAAGTTCTTATATTAACCGTTGAGATTAAGGTTAATGTATATATTATATATATACACACATATATGTACACACATATATATATATATAAATACACACACACACACACACACACACACACACACACACACACACATATATATATATTTTTTTTCTTTTTCCGGGTAAGGAAACTAAGTGGAAAAACAATTTGCCTAAGCTTACTCAGAAAATGAGTAAATATCTAGGTACCTAGGCTGGTGAGAATGTAGCTGGATAGAACATAGATTTCCTAATGTTTTTGAAAGGCAATTTCTTTTCTGGCTGGGGTGGCTAACAAAGAGATGAATGGAATGATGCGATGAGGGCTATCTCATCACAATATTCCTGAAAGGACAAAAGGATGAAAGGATGACTTCCATAGGTAAGCTCTTCCTAGCACTTCAATTCCTGGACACACTGAGAAAGTTACCTTTAAGACTTGGCCATTGTTCCAGTGATACCAAGTTAAAGAAAAGCTGAGTGGTCAGCTTTTGGATCTATACTTTCGCTTTTGTTGCCAGACATGCTGCCATTTGAACTCTTTACCACAGGATCCTCCATGATGACAGATGTGGCAAAGGCATCCCTCCCCCACCTCTTCCTGGTGTCCTTAGATTAGTCTAAATATCAGAGGCAGCTGGGTGCAGTGGCTCACGCCTGTAATCCCAGCACTTTGAGAGGCTGAGGTGGATGGATTGCTTGAGCCCAGGAATTCTAGACCAGCCTGGGAAACATGGCAAAACCCTGTCTCTACGAAAAATACAAAATTAGTCAAGTGTGGTGGCACACAACTGTAGTCCCAGCTACTCCAGAGGCTGAGGTGGGAGAATCACCTGAGCCTGGGAAGTTGAGGCTGCAATGAGCTGTGACTATGCTACTGCATTCCAGCCTGGGTGATGGAGTGAGGCCCTGTCTCAAAGAAAAATAAAATACAAATCAGAGACAGTATTGCTAATCTGTCATGGGGCTTCAATAGCTTCAGCTCCCTAGATCTTGCTATCTTCCTTCTTGGAAAGCCTGTTTCAAATGTCTCTACTCCCCAAATTGTAGAGGGTGAAAGGTCTAAAAAATGTCTATGTGAAGTCTTGATCCACGCGGCTTGCTGCGTCACTTGGCCACTTGCCTTCAACCCCGTTTTCCCAGCTTAGAGCCACCACTCTTCTGTGCAGAAACAGGCTACGATGGGTTCTCTCTGAGATAGGTTCTTTTGCTGTTGCCCTAGTAACAGAATTATTAAACCAAGTTCCAGCCTCGAGAGTATTTGTGCCTGGTGAGGTAATGTCTGTCGCATCCAGCCTTTCTTTTTGTTCCCACTCCCACTCCCTTGCTTCAGGCCCTCTGTACCTCACATCTTGACTGATGGCATTGGTATCCTCCCTGGCCTCTGTGTTTCCAGTCCGCTCTCACCGATGGGGCTGCCCCTCACTCAGCAACACTCTTTCTCAGGTTCAGACACTCTTCCTTGGTCGAATTCCCTATCAGCCTGACATTCAAAGCTCTCCACGATTGTTCCGAAATACAACCCACTGTGTGCCTGTGCTTTAGCAGAGCAGGATGTGGCCCAAGGGTGGTGACGGGGTAGAGCCAAGACGAATTGGAAAGAGGAAACTGTAGGGCTTATTGAGCAACCTGTTTGTTGGGAGGCTATGTAATATAGTGTTTAAGTGCATGGGTTTTGACTCAGACTGTCTATAAAATCTTCCTGCTCTCACTTAATAGCTGTGGAACCTTAGGAAAGTTTCATAACCTCTCTAAGTTGCACCTTCTCCAAATGCAAAATAGAGATAATGACAGTACCTTCCTCATAAAGGTTTTCTTCTGCCAAATTAAAGAAGGTCATCTTCTAAAGTGCTTGGCTTGGCATCTTCAAACTTAGAAAGGCACCAGAAATGTTAGGTGTGATGATGATGATAGTAGAGGAAGGTGGAAGGGTGGTGGTTTGAGAAATGGAACTGAGAATGGCTCCTGATTTTGGTGAGTGGGTGGAAATCATGTCAATAGAGAATTCAGGCACAGAATGAACAGGTTTTTGAGAAGAGATAATGATTTCATTTTTGGGCTTATTGACTTTGATCATCATAGCTCACTTTTATTGATTCTCACTGAGTGCCAGGCACTACACTAAGCATTTTGCATATATTGTCTCTTAGTAATTCTCACAACAGTTCCTTGCAGTAAAGGTTATCAACCCATGCAAACTTCAGTAACCAGCCCACAGTTATTAACTTGCCCATAACTTGTCCACAGTTATAAAGGTGTAGAGCTGGGATTTGAACCCAAGACTTTTGTGTCTCCAGAGGCGGCACACTTTACCACTATATACACTGCCTCTTGAATATCTTTACTATGAATATTAAATTAATCTCTTTTTCATGTTTTTAGTGCTAAGATGGTCTTTGGGGGAACATAATGGTCCACGCTGCCTCTTGCCTAGGTTGTGTTTTGTCCTCTTGTTTGCAGTCCCCTTGTATAAATTTGACCCCCAGACTCCAGGATTTCTTTTATGACATGTGCCTTCCTGAGTTTGTGCTTTCCCCCTGGATGGGATCTTTGATCTTGAAGTGAATTAGTGTCTCTAAGCATCAGTTTCCTCTTCTGAACAATGCAGTTGTAGAATTGTAGTAAATGTCAAGAGACAGATGGAGTTGATTGAGGAGAAAGGCTGTTTCTGATTTCTGTTAGCATTCATGGTACCCGGGCCAGTTCTGGGCATATATCAGGTGCTCTCTGATCATTCAATGAATAGATGACCAACTCAATACATATGCTGGAGTATATCATGAGGGCTTGCCCCTTTTGTTTGACTAGTGGCACTGCTTCCTTTTTCAATTGCCCTGCTGTCCCAGGTGATTACCCCAACTTAATGTGGTTTTTTTGGGTTGACTTTTAAAGAACGTTTGGAGTCATGTACACCACAATGGTAAACTGGGTTATGATATTAGTGTTGGGTGGTAGGCACTGCCTACATATGTGGTGGGGAATGAGGAGGTGTGGAGGTACATGGGGTGGACTTGATCATATTTCCTTACTTGACTTTCTTTGTAGTGAAGAAAGATGCTCTAAGAACCCAAGGGACATGTATTTAGCTCCAGTTGACGGAACCCAGGGCACAGTAAATTGTTTTTTAACAGACGTTTTCTGTTATTTTAATAACAATGCTTTAACGTGGCAACTTTCTAAGTATTTTTTCCCTATCATTTCAGGTACTTACACTTTCAATAACCTGCATATGGATTTCAACGCTATTTAATTAAGCTCTAAACCTATAAAAATGCACATTTAATACTCAGAGTAAACCCTTGCCTTGTTCTTTCTGAAGGTAAACAGAGGAGATATCTTCTTGAGCTCAGCGTTCTGAGATAATTACGATTAGTTGCCATAGAGAGAAAGAGAGAGAGAGAAACACATTAAAATGTATCTTGCTTTCTGTGTTTAGGAAATTCATTTAATGAAATATTGAGAGCCACCAAATCTACCCAGGCCCAGATACCTATTAATCTGTTAGCCACTTGGGCTCCAGAGGGATCTTTCTTTGCCAGGAAAGCTTTTTGATTGCTCTACTCCTGTGCTCAGAAACTTTTAATGGCTCACCATTTTCCTGTGTGCAGATGGAGTTCAATCTTCTTAACATGTGAGATTCTAGGCCTGTTAGGGTCTGGACCCAACTGTCCTTCTCAATCTCATTTGTTACCACCTGGGTAGTAACACAGGGGCTTGTTGGCTCTGCTGGCACTGACGGTGGTATCCCAAGCCTCTCTATGGTATTTTCCCTTTGAAGTTCTCTTTCATGCACTCTGTTGGCCTTGAAGCTCCTGCTCACCCTTCAAGACCCAGTTTAAATTCCATATCTAGTTCAAATGCCAAGCCCCCTTGGATTCCTCTAGACAGAATTACTCTAAGCTTTCTTGGACTTTGTACTTTCATGGCAATTCTAATCACAAATATAAATTTCTGCCACTAGACTGTGAGTTCCTTGGGGACCACAGACCTCATCTTGTTTTATTTATTTGTATTTTTGTATAATGAATAGCTCATAATAGGTCCTGATTCAATCTTACTGAAGGAAATTATGTTAATGACATATTGCCAGTTAATAGTGTGAATTACGGTGTCATAAAGTTTTTTTAGGGGAATGAATTACCTAACCCAGATCTCAACTGTAGCTGTGCATATAAAAGTTCCACAGTTTCCTATTGAAGGAGGATTTTCTTCACATACATGGCAGCAGTAGTATGAAGATAAATCTAGTGTTTATTGCTGCCCCTTTGGTTAACTAGCAGAAAGCTCCAAGTTAGAGTCTACAACAGAATCACTTCCTTCATGATGCCTGTAGCATACTATAAATGCTCTAAATACTCAGGAATGGGATATCATGTAACTTAGTGGTTAAAACATGAATGTTAGAGGCAGGTGGACCTGACTTATCAGCTGTACAACTGGCAACTTATCAAACATCTCTTCAGTTTTGTTACCTGGGGATTATCATAATTTACTACTAAGATTGCTTTGAACATTAAATGAGCTATTCAGGCCATTTGATTAAAAGGGCACCTGGCATACAGAAAAGTGTTCAATAAAAGATAGTAGCTATTATTTTCATTTCATTTTATGGTTATGAATTATTAATAAAATAGCAATCCAAAATAATATAATAATATACATTCCCCCAAAGAAATAGCAACTGCAGTAAGAATTACTAATTTGCTGGTAAGTTAGAAATGGTTTGTTATTCTGAGTACTGTCAGAGGTTAGAGCCAGACCCATAATTCCAAAAGAGCTGCTCGGCTAAGGTTATCCTCAGAAGCTGTTCAGATATCCATGGTTCTAAGCACAGCAAGAGCAACTGGTAAGGTTTCTGCATGAAGCAGTCAAAGTCTATGTATGTTCAGGACCCTCCATGTGAATGAGGCTGGGACACAGCTGTGTGGATACAGACCTGCAGCATTGCCACACAAAGCATACGTGATGCAGGTAATCTATCTGCACACAATGCTGGATTGCATGACACTGTCATCCCCTGCACTGGATAAAAGCTCTTGACAATGAACTTTCTTGGGGGTGTTACAGGAAGGCTACTCTTAAAGCTTCCTCTTGATTCTCTCCTATCAGACCTGTCATTCTCAAATCTTGTGGTGCATTCTGACTAGGACAGGTGAGTGTGTGTGAGTGTGTAACCTTGGATGAATAAATTCATTAAAAATGGGATCTTATGTCCTTGGTGTCTTTTTAAACATTCCTCTTTATGATCATGCATTACCAAAGAGAAGTGTTGCTTTATTTGATCATTTGATCTTTGCTTTTACAATTACCAACCTCCGGCTGGGTGCGATGGCCTGTAATTCCAGCACTTTGGGAAGCTGAAGCGGTTGGAACCCTTGAGCTCAGGAGTTTGAGACCAGCCAGGGCAACATAGGGAGAACCTTGTCTCAATACAAAAAAAAAAAAAAAAGAAAGAAATTATCAACCCCCATCCTTTTTTTTTTTTTTTTTTTTTTTTGGTATGAGGTTTCTGCAGGCAACTTAAAGTACAACTGACTCTGATTCTTTTTTTTAGAGCATGAGAGGGAAATCATGTGTGTGTTGAGGTCTGCAAAGAAGGTCCGAGGAGATTACTAGGGTGTCCTTAAAAGACCCAGGAGTGTTCATGAGCTGGCCTCTAGCATTTGCCAAATCCATGAGAGGCCAGTGCCCCTTCGGAGGCTCCGGAAACTGCCTTGGCTGGGCAACTCATTCTCCTCCTCCCTCTTCTTGCTTCAGCTCCTGCTGAAAGTCAAGCATGGAGCCACGGAAAAGGCTAATTGGATTGGACTTAGGATTGGGGTGGGAGATCTAGCTGGAAAGAGCCTGGAACTGGAAATCTGGGGACCTGAATTTTAGTCCTGATTCTTTCATAAACTCACTATGCAACTTTAGACAAGTATTGCACTCCATAAACTTGTTTCCTCATCTGTGAATCAAGACAGCTATGGCTTTGGGTCTCAAGTTCTGCGGGGGCCAGGCCAGGGACAAACAGTGGCATGTGAAACAGCTCCTTCTCCTCCTAAACATTCTAGCTGTCCTTTAAAAATAGTATTGTCTAAACTAATGTGAGTGGTGCACCCTGGAATTGGCTGCGTGAGGTCTAGAACATCCAGGAGCCACTGGGAGAGGAGCGGACACTGTAACCTGGGGACAGCAAAGCTCTCAGATTCCTTGGGACGGGAGTGGAGAAGTATCCTTCCACAGAAGAGCCACTGAGAGCTCAGGAGAAGGACAGACTCTGGTCTTTGGTCTTGGAGGTGAGGAACCTCCCTCCTGCAAAACAAAATGAAACAAAAACAAACCTACAGGATGCGGTGATCTCCATTCAGATAACAAAGTGAACTTGAAAAGCTTAGGGACCCTGGGAGGCAATAGATGAGGCTGAGGAGTTCTATTGATAAGGCAAATGTGGCTTAGTCCACTGGGCCAGTTAGAACACCACCAGTGACCAGATAGAAGGAGATTTTTATAAATTGAAAAAAATAATTCATGTCCCTGGGGATAATTTAATACAGTACAAAAAATTATCATTGAAAAATAGGTTTCTCTGTTACTGGCTCCCCCTTGGTGTCCATTCCCAGAGGCAACCACCTTTTACAATTTCTTGTGTGTCCTTCCAGAAGGAGTCTAAGCAACAGTTGCACTTTGCTGTTTCATGGAACAATACATCTTAGAAATTGTTCTATACCAGGACACATATTCATTAATTAAACTCCTTGCCATGGTCACAGGGCCACATGGGCTCGTCCCCTGTCCATTGCTGTGATGTCCTCTCCCCTGACTCCCGTGTCTCACTCTGCTTAGCCACACTGGCCTCCTTCCTGTTTCTCTAATGTGCCAACACGTCCCCATCCTGGGACCTTTGTCCGTGTTGTTCTCCTCACCTGGAAGGCTCGTCCACCCTGTCCTTGGCATGCGTCACTCCTGTATGTCACCTCCCCAGACTGGCCCTCCCTGGTCATCCCATCTCAAAGAGCTCCCATCACTTACGTCTTCTTACTGTTTTTATTTTCCCTCACAGCACTTAGCACTACCTGGCATTATAGAACATAATTACCATTCCCTTGTTTATTTTCTGTTATTGCTGCTGGAATGTTAAGGAGGGCTGAGACTTTGTCTTGTTTTTCCACTGCTGTAATTTCAGTGCCTAGAACAGTCAGTGCCTGGCCCTTAATAGGCACTCAAATATTAATGAATACAATATTCAGGAAGCAATGAGATGTTTAGTTTAGAGGGCATGGCTTAGACTAGAGTTGGAGATAGAAGTTTGGGTATCATCAGACACTATTTTAAACTTTGGGATTGAATGTAGAGAGAGAATATAGACAGAAGAAGACCAGGGACTGATTCCTGGGTCCTTTTCACATTTAGATGTTGGGAAGAGGAAGAAGGTCTGACACAGGTGACTGAGATGGGACAGCCAATCAGGGAGGAGGGAAATATGAGAATATGGTGTCCCAGAAGCCCAGCCTAGATAGTATTGGCTAAGTCCGCTAAATCTTTCATATGTCTGCATAGTATTCCATTGCAACGCTGTGCCATAGCTTATTTAATTAGTCCTCTATCCACTGGTGTTTGAATTGTTGCCAGTCTTTGGCTGGTAAATAATGCTGCAGTGAATGCAGTTGTCTTTATCAGTAGTTCTGGGTGAGGCAATAGCAGGGAACTATTTAAAGATCTCAATTTTCTATAGAAGCAGAATGCATTCATGAGTTATTTAGATGTGGCATGGCAATAGCACTGGCTTGCTGAGAGCATTATATACATATATAAATGAATGTATTAATTGCATATGTAATGCACAAATAAATGAATATTGAGAGAGTCAGAGGTTAAGGGCAGGAAAGCCCTTTTGAAACCACTAGCCCCAGCCACTGCCTCCACGAGCAAGAAAACAAATTGTCCAAAGTCATCTGATACCTTGAACATAGCCAGGGTTAGAAAACAAGTCTCTTGACTTTCTGCCCACTCTTGGCAGAACTCCACAGTGCATGCAATGGCGTTTCTGATGATCAGCTTTGCCAAATTTGCTGAGCTGCAGGATATGGATATTTCTTGATTGAAGGCACTAGAGATAGATGAATGAGCAAAGATTTGAGACCAAACTGACTGGAGTGAATTTTGTCTCCAGCTTTTACTAGATGTGTGGCTACATACTTGACTCTGGACCTTGTTTTTTGTAAAACTCCTACTCTTGCCCTGTATGTAGCAGGCAGTAAATGTAAACTCCCATCTTTGCCCACCCATACTCTTTCTGTTTCTTCCAATGCAGTCCAACAATGAGAGAGAAACTGGAAACTTCCTTATAAAACTTGAAGAAAAACAAGACCACAGAAAGCAAACCAAAAGCAGTACTCTGTGTGTGTATGTGTGTGTAATTTAAGGCTTTGTCTTATTCTGGAAATAATGTCAACACAAATGTCTCTAAGCAAACTATTAATATGAATACATTAGGACTACCACTCTCAAAGGATGGGTGAAGATGGAAGTAAGAGAGACTAAGGAACACAGAAATCCCTAGATAGTCCTCATTTTAAAATTAAAAAATCCTATTTTTCTGAGTATAATACTTTTTTTGTGATTATTATGCTTTCTGCAAAAACATGAAAAATATAGAAAAGTACAAAAAGGAAAATAAGTTTAATGCATAATTCCATTATCACTATTAACATTTTGGTACATTCCCAGCCTTTATTCTATGCAGATACAGTTGTGGACCACTCAGCTTCCCCTTCCAGAAACACCTTGACTCCAGCTGTTAGCTCCTTCAAGACTGGGCTTAGCATTCGAGCCAAGGTCCCACTATTTTAGTGGTGGTCCCAGTAGGTGACTGGGCCAGCTTGTGCCACAAAGCCTGGCTACTTCTCCCAGTATAGGGCTCTTCTAAAGGGCGATCTTTGCTTTGTTGCTACTTGTTGGGCTGGCACTGATTTTCCACCTCTGCACTGTAGTTTGAGGGTCCCATGCAATTCTGCTGTTTGTCTTTCACAGGTATTACTCCCTGATAAAATATTTTGCTTTCCTAACTCCTTATTGTCTACATCCTGGAGAACCTAACTGTTCATACATATAGTTATATAGTCAAGCTTATATTATTAAATACAATGTGTATGTGTGTGTGTATGTATATATATGTGTGTGTGTATATATCATATATTAAATGATATAATATTTATCATATTATTAAATACAATGTGTGTATGTATAATTATTAAATACAATGTGTGTATATATATACACACACAGTATTGTCAATACTGTGTGATATTTAATATATGATAATATATAATATTATTAAATAAAATATGTGTGTATGTATATAATGTGTTAAATACAATGTGTGTATATATTATTAAATACAATGTGTGTGTATATATACACACACAGTATTGCAAATACCATGTGATATTTAATATATGATGATATATTATATTATTAAATACAATGTATATATATACATACACACATTGTGTTTAATAATATATACACACATTGTATTTAATACTATTTAATAATATGATAAATATATCGTTTAATATATGTTATATATGTTATATGTATTATGTATAAGATATAATAGATTATATATATTTTTATATATGATAAATATATTTGCTCTTTCATTATAATTCTTTATATACATTATTTTTTATTAACATTGCTTAGTATTTTCATTATTTGCATATAATAGAATGTTGATTTGTGCAAATTAATTGTGATTTAAATATTGCTGATGAATATTAACATACATAAATTTTCTAGAATATCCCCTATTGTTTCCATGAAATAGGTTCCCAGAGTGGAATTACTAGATCAATCTGTCTGAATATTTTTAGGGTCTTGGTAGGTAGTTATTAATTGCTCTAGGAGGATTACATCAGTTTATACTTTCATCAGTGTAATGGTTGTGTACACTTTACTGCACCATCACCTGCATTGTGTATTGCCATTACAATTACATTGACAGGCAAAAATAGTGTTTTATTGTATTATTTTGTACATCTTTGATTTTTACTAAAGTTGAACCTTAAAAATAAGTTTATTAGCTAATTGTATTTACTTTTCTACAAGTTGTCTGCTCTTTTTGTAATATCTTTTAATTTAGAGGGATTTAAAAATATTTTTGCCTGAAATCTATAGTTGAGAAGGCACTCCTTTCTCAGGCAATTCTCCCTCAGACTGTTTGGCTTTCTATTTGGTTTTGTGACACATAAGTGTTTTATATTTTTATGTAGACTGATCTTTTCTTCTCTTTTTTTAATTTATAAAGGAAAGAGGTTTAATTGACTCAGAGTTCCATATGGCTGGGGAGGCCTTGCGATCATGCAGATGGCGAATGAGGAGCAAAAACACATCTTACATGGTGGCAGGCAAGAGCAGAATGTTTTTCTTTTGGGATTTTTTCCATTGCTTTTTTGTGTGTGTATATGGGCGGACAGGGTCTAGCTCTGTCACTCAGGCTGGAGTGTAGTGATGTGATCATGGCTTCCTTCAGCATCAATCTCCTGGGCTCAAGTGATCCTTCTGCCTCAGCCTCTCAAGTAGCTGGGACTACAGGCATTTGCCACCACACCTGGCAAATTTTTTTTTCTGGTAGAGATAGGGTCTTGCTATGTTGTCTGGGCTGGTCTCAAACTCCTAGGCTCAAGTGATCCTCCTTCCTTGGCCTCCCATAGTAGTGCTGGGATTACCAGTGTAAGACATTGCACCCGGCCTCCATTGCTTTTATGTGTAGAATACCTTTCTTCATCTAGTGATCAGGCAAATCTTTGGCTTTCTTCTTAATAGTTTTATTTTTTTGTGTTTAACCATTTAATCCATCTGAGATTTATTTATGGTGTCAGGTGCAGCATCTACATGGAATTATTCCCAAATAATTTTCCTGGCCCCATTTATTGCTTGACCAAAGGCAAGTTTTTAAATCTCCTTTAACTTCCATTTCCTTATTAAGAGAGGATTATGCAAATGATACTTCACTGGGTTATTTTGAAGAAAAATAAAATAAAGTCATGGATCAGAAAGCATTTTATAAATGCTATAGAAATAATTGGTTTTTACAGTTGCTATCATTCACATGACCTAAGTGAGGAAATACTATGCGAAGAAATGCTTGTTTGATGTAGTCCTGTCTCAGTTCATTGACAACAACAACCCCAAACAAGGCTAGTTCCCTAGATCCTAACAAGCTCAAGACTTCTTGGACCGCCAGAAAGGGTTTACAGTATCACAGATGAGTTAAAAGCAGGCTATTTATAGTGAGTACACTTCAAGGGCACATATATTTAGGAGTGTGGAGCAAAGAAGAATGCAAAGCCTGATTGGGGTTGGGGGTGTGATCAGGGAAAGTGGCCAAAAGCCTTTCGTGGAGAGACAGGATCTGAGGAAGGGAAGGAGTTCATTATTATTCTCTGAAGTCATCAGGGAGCACCAAGAGGGTGGGATTTCAGGAAGTATTTAAATGAAAGGAGACACATGGCTTGGCACAGTGAGAGGGAGGTTTTCCAGGCTTCCTGTGCTGTCTTGGGGACCTGCTCAGAGGCTGGACCGCGTCATGCTCAGAAGGGTGAGTTGGACTGTACTCTCTTGGCCTGGCCATGGGTTCAATTCCTCATTTAGACAAGAAGAGAGACGTCTTGTTTCTCATCAGAGGGAGATGCAGAAGATGTTTTCTGGCAGTTGGAGGCCACTCTTAACCACTGAGGGGAGAATGGCTGAAGATCTAACATTATAAAGAAGGCGCTGAGAATTTAACCACTTCCCCTTTGAAGCCAAATTATTTACTGGCTTGTCTTTCTTCTCTTTTTAAATCTGCCAGCATGATTAAGATGTGTTTAGCAAGGTAGGGCTACAGAAGGTTTGATGGAACTCCTAAACGAATACTGTCTCTAAGAAATAGTAGAAGAGGAGACAACTGTGACAGAAGAAAAATAAGAGGAAAAGACATTCTTTGAGGTTAAGAATTCTATCTTCTTCATTTTTGAGTTATTTAGGGAGTTTAGTACATGGATTATTAGCATGTAGTGGGGGTACACTTTAAGCTGGTTGGTGGAAATAAATGAAGCACAGACGGCTTCATCTGTGTGAGAAACTGCCTTGGCTAGCGAGGAGTTAACATGGTGCTCTTGAGGAGTAATTGGTGGTGGCTGAGTTGTGGTAATAATGCACATTCCCTGCTTAAGTGCACATTTCCTGTTCAGGACAAGGATACGATGGGGTCTCTTAGAAGTAGGTGACTTGGGCAGTTCTTTTTATTGGGGGAAAAAAATGAAGATAATTTGGCCAGGCTTTGGAACCTAATTTCCCATGATTCTCATCACAGGGCCTTCATCCTAGCCGGGCGAGTCTACTCATTATTCTTTACATCTAAACAGACTGTGCAGATCCTGCTCGGCGCCCTTGTTTACGCTGTTCCTGGCAAGGGCGGCGCCTGCTTCTCTGCCCTCTGCTGGGATCTTACCCTCCTTCAAGGTCCAACACTCGCTGCTTTTGCAAAGCTGCTTTAAAAAGCGTTCATCCTTTTCCAGTAATTTCTCCCTCTCCGAATTCTTTTTATTTTATTATTTATTTATTTAGTTATTTTGAGAGGGAGTCTCGCTCTGTCACCCAGGCTGGAGTGCAGTGCGCGATCTCGGCTCACTGCAAGCTCCGCCTCCCGGGTTCACGCCATTCTCCCGCCTCAGCCTCCCAAGTAGCTGGGACTACAGGCGCCCGCCCCCAGGCCCTGCTAATTTTTGTATTTTTAGTAGAGACGGGGTTTCACCATGTTGGCCAGGATGGTCTCGATCTCCTGACCTCGTGATCCACCCTCCTCGGCCTCCCAAAGTGCTGGGATTACAGGCGTGAGCCACTGCGCCCGGCCTGAATTCTTTAACTAGCTATGATTGTCTATGTGACTCAAATAACACTTATATACTGTGATGTAAAGTTAGTGTTTTACACACATATGTTTAAATCTCTAACGAGATAATGTATTTCTTATGATCTGAAACCTAGTTTTATATCCTTCTTACTGCTCCCTTCCCACTGTGGTGGTTAGTACAAATCTGGCCCCATGTCAGGTGCTCAAAGATTACTTGATACGTTATTTGACGATTTCAGAAGATTCCATGAAGCTCATCACCAGGTAAATCATGACATCTTATTCTTTTTGTGATGCTAACAAGGTAGGAACAAAGGCTGTGTCCTAATTAAGCTTAGCACATTGACAGCACTCTCAAGGGAAACAAAATAGTTGTTGTGAGGGTGGATAAGTAACTGGTCAGTGTTTCTCCTCTCGTATTCTACTGGCAAAACTGGCTCCATGGATGCAAAGTCCATTGAGGCATGGCCTGTTCTGTTTGCACAAGCTGAGTGTGGGAGACAATAGGGCACTGATGATTACAAGACAGTGTGGTAAATATTATAATAGAGTTGTGTATAAGAAGCTATGGGAGTCCAGAGAAAGGGCCTGGAAATGAGGCTGGGTTAGGTTGTCAGGGAAGGCTTCCTGCAAGAGGTAGTGCTTGACTTGAATTTAGACTTAGAAGAAAGGAAGGAAAAGATTTTTTTCCGTCACAGCCCTAGTTAGGAAAGAGTGTTTGGGGAAATTTAGAAGGGAAACTTTTCTAAGATAAAGTTATTTTATGAAGAAGCAGCACTGGGAAATTAAGGAGATTTAATTACAACTGCCTCACGAGCAGGATTTGAAAAGGAGTGGGAGGCTCATGGAAACCTTAATTGCTGAGAAAAGTTAAGAGGAGAAATATGACAGAAGTAATGGGTCTATATGTATGTCATGTCTGATTTGTCACTTTTCTAGACAGGCACTCTGCCTCCTGCCTTATTCTAGGTTAGAGAAAAAAGGATCCTTCAGCAGCTAAGGTGAAGATACCATCCAGGATGCAGAAATGGGACCTGGAAAGACTCCGTATTCCTTTTAGGGAAGAAAAGGTCCATCTCGAATTACCTCATTGTTCAGAGAATAATAAGTATTTGTTCAGCAATAACAATGTGTGAGATGCCTGAAAGAGAAATCAGGCTAAATAATTTCCTCATTCCTTTGGAAAATACAAAACAGCTTGCCTGGTTTCTCTTCCAATTTATTCTTGTGGCTTTTTATTCCTTTGGAGATCTGGGAGGATGCTTATTTTATGAAACTTGTAGACTAGCCCTTCTGTATTCAGGGAGGATGTCCTTGTGTGCATTAAGCTGGGTCTTTAAGATTAATGTAATACATGGGAAAATGTGATAAATGATGCAGCATTAGCAGCTTTTAGCTTGTCAAAGTGGCCGCATGTTGAAAGCATCTGGAAAAATTGCAAATTGCAGCATGATCAGAGCATAACTGACAGATGTCAACACAGAGAAGTGGCCAAATGAGCGGGATGGAACCAGACCCAGCTTCCTGGGTTGTGTGCACAGGGATTGCTAGAGAGACGGCAGGATTTAAAGATGATGTCTTTTGTAACTGTTAGAGCATAGAAGTGCTAGAAGGAACAAGTCTGTTGGTACAGACAAAAGAGAATCTATGTTACTGAGAAGAGAATAGTTTTCATACACAAGTAGAATGATAAGACTGGATCTTCTCTAATGTCCTGTCCAACACGAACTGGGATCCCATGACTCTCTGAAACAGGATTTAATGAGATTTTGTATAGGCTCTAATATCTCATAGACCAAGGGAGCCCTTGGATACATATATATTTTTCTGCCATCCTTAAGCTTTAATAGTTTACATTTGTGTAATACTTTACAGTTTGTGGGAGCCTAATCTCCCAGACTATTGGTTATCTGTTGTCAAAATAATGCTGTGTAACAAACAACTATGAAATCACAGGGGCATACAACAATATGGGTTTATTGCTCGTAAGTCTAGAGGTTTGCTACATGACTCTGCTGATTTTGGCTAGGCTTATTCACATACTTGGGGGTTTGGGGCTGTCAATTGATCTGAGCTATCAGATGACCTGGGGGACTCAGCTCTGATCCATGTGCCTTTTATCTTTCATGAAGCTAACCTAGGCATGTTCTCATGGTAATGAAAGAAAAGATAGAAGAGGCACAAGAAAGCAAGCAAACATTGCAAGGTCTCATATAATGGCCAAAGCAAGTCACATGAATTCCGTGCCAAGGTGTGGGGAAATGTACTCCATTCCTTTTGATAGAGAAATTTCACCTGGCAAAGGGTGTAGATACAGGGAAGAGAAAATAATTAGTACAATTATAGCAATTTACCATACAGATATTGCCTTGTTTAATCTTCATGGTATAATCCTTTACCCATGAAAATTGGTATTAATATTATTCCCTCTTTCGCAGATTAAAAAAAAAAGGAAACCAAAGTAATAAGAAATTGCTGGGTGTGGTGGCTTGCACCTGTGATCCCAGCTATTTGGGTGGCTGAGGTGGAGGGAACTGCCTTAGCCCAGGACAACATAGTGAGACCTCCATCTCTAAAAAAATAAAAGCAAATTAGCTGGGCATGGTGATGCATGGCTGTAGTCTCAGCTACTTGGGAGGCTGAGGTGGGAGTATCACTTGAGTCCAGGAGTTCAAGGCTGCAGTGAGCTATGATCACACCACTGTGCTCCAGCCTGAGTGACAGAGTGAGATTTCATGTCTAAAAAAATAAAAAAGATTTTCTTCTAAGGCCACATGGCTGGTCAGTAACATTTCAGAAAGAATAATGCTAGTCTCCCTATTGCAAATGTAAGGAAATTTCCATTGTACCATACCATGCTTAATTAAGATGATAAATCCCAAGGATTTTGTCAGAAACTTCCTAAAGGTAGACTGGTAAAATAAAGTGTGTGGCCCTTGATTTTGTGTGAGTTGGAGAATACACAAACTTTTACTTAGGTTTTCTTAATCTATTTATGAATTTCTTAGTGCCCCTATAAGATATAACATTTTCACGTAATAATATATTAATCCAAGGAATTCACTAGCCATGTGAAATTTACTTTACTTGTTAATTAGGTAGTTACTAGGTCTATTTGTAAGAGTAGGTGAGCTGCTGTAACTATGTACTCCTAAATCTTAGTGATATAGAGTAATAAAAGTTTATTTCTTATTCATATTGCCCAGAACTCAGGCACGTGGCCACATCTAACAGCAAGGGAGTCTGGAAAACACAGTTCAGCTGTGTGAAGGATATTTATAAACATTTAGCAAGATCCAAAGGAATGGACCATAGCACAGGTAAGTTTTCCAGGGAGACTAGGAGATATATAATAGGTAAAGGAATATGGAAGAGAAGAGTCCATAGCTGAAGACTCTATCCAAAAATTTGTTTTGGCTTCTAAGACATTGCACACAATCTACTCCCTACTTAGCAGGCAGAGTGATCATTATGAATTAGGATTTAAGAATTTGAATCTGATTATGTCACTCTACTGCTTAAAAACCTTCACTGTTTACCATAATAACAAATGCTTAATGTGGTTACACAGTCTTCCAAAATGAATCCTCTGTCAATTTTATCTATTGCACCTTTGCATTCACTCTTTTCACTTAGTTATAAGTCTTTTTAATTTGCCTAAAGTGTGAGGATCTCTCCTTACCTGTAGGCTACTAATCATGCCATTTCTTTTGTCTCTTGGACCCTCTTCTCTGAAACATTGCTTACCCTTTCTTTTTCTGACTAAGATCTCCTTCTTTAGTTCTCAGCTAAATAATTATACCCTAATGTTAGGCAAAGTTAGGTCCAAAATTAAGATACCAAATTACAGATCCAGAAAACTCAGAGATCATCAAGCAGGATAAATAGCAAAACACACACATCTACATATATAATCCAAATCACTGAAAATGAAAAACAAGGGATATTCTGAAAGGTAACCAGAAGTAAAAGACACATTGCATTTAGATGAACAAAGACAATTACAGCAGACTTCTTAGTGGAAACAGCCAGAAGACAGTGGAGTGGCATTCTTACAGTTGAAAGAAAAAAAATTGTCAACCTAGAATTCCATACCCAGCAAAACCATTTTTCAAAAATGAGGAAAAATTACAGATCTTAGGCAAACAAAAACTGGAAGAATTTATTTCCAGCAGACCTGAGCTACAAGAACTGTTAAAGGAAGTTCTTTGGGCAGACAAACATGATACCAGACAGAATCTTGAATTTACTCAAAGAAATGGAGAGCACTGTAAATGAAGGTAAATTTAAATATGTTATCCAAACTTTTGCTTTGTGTTCTTTTCTTCTGCGATTTCAATTACACGCATATTAGACTTATATTGTCGCACAACTCTTGGGTGCTCTGTTCTTTTTTTGTTGTTGTTGTTGTTTTGCCTACTCTTTTTTCCTTTGGGTTTCAATTTGGGTAATTTGTTGTTGTTGTTGCTAGATAGAGTCTTGCTCTGCTACCTAGGCTGGAGTGCAGTGGCATGATCATGACTCACCACAGCCTCTACCTCCTGGGCTTAAGGGATCCTCCCACCTCAGCCTCCCTGGTAGCTGGGACTACAGGCACACAGCACTACACCCATGCTAACTTTTTAAATTTTTTGTAGAGATGGAGTCTCACTATGTTGCCCAGTTTGGTCTCAAACTCTTGGGCTCAAACAATCCTCCTGCTTCAGCCTCCCAAAGTGTTGGAATTACAGGCATTAGCCACTGCACGTGGTAAATTTGGGTAATTTCTATTGGCTTATTTGAGTTTCACTTATTCTTTCCTTGGCTGTTTCAAGTCTACTGATGAGTCAGTTGAAATCATTCTTCAGAGCTGCTGTCGTATTTTTTATTTCTATCATTCCCATTAGATTCTTTCTATAGTTTTCATCTCTCTGCAGAAATTACCCATCTCATCATACCTGTTGTCACTTTTTCATCTGGAGTATTTTAACATAATAATCATAGTTATGTTAAATTCCCCTTTAGATAGTTCTGCCATGTGTCATATCTGAGTCTGGTTCTGTTGATTGCTATTCCTCTTGACAGTGTTTTTGCTTTTCTTGTTTCTTTGTATACCTTCTAATTTTGTGATGAATGCCAGACATCTTGTGTAGTTTAGTAGAGGCTGAGTTAAATACAGTCGTGTGACACATATGATGTTTTGGTCAATGACAAACCACATATACAACAGTGGTTCCATGAATTTATAATATTGTATTTTTACTTTGCTTTGTGCTTAAATATGTTTAGATATACAACTACTTACCTTTGTATTACAATTGCTTACAGTCTTCAGTACAGTAACAGGCTATACAGATTTGTAGCCTAGGAGCCATAGGCTGTACCATATGGCATAGCCTAGGTGTGTAGTAGGCTACATCCATGTTTCTGTAAGTACACTCTGTGATGTTTGGACAACAACGAAATTGCGTAACAACACACTTCCCAGAATGTATCCCCTCTGTTAAGAGATAGATGACTATAGCTGTTAGACCTGGAACTGGGCTTGCTTTTCCTTATTCTTGGCATTTAACGTAGGAGATGAGTCAATCCTCCTAAGAGTTGAACCAGTTTGGGATTTTTTTGTTGATATGGTTACCCTCAGCGTAACACAGTTTTCATATTCCTCCATATCTTGTGTTTAGGGTGGGGGCTGGTTTGCCAGAAGGTTTTTTCCAATATCTGCTCTATACTCAGCTTTAGGTCTTCCCTTTGCATTGTGCCCAGTGAGGGTCTCTCTCCCTGCTTTTGCATCTCTCTCAGTAGTAGACTACTACTATTTGTTACTAGATTCTTGTTAGCCTGGTGGTAGGGTATGGGGGAAGCATTCTCTGTTGTTCTAAATAAGCCTCAGTTGTAGGAAGTCCTAACCAGAGCAATCAGTCAAGAGAAAGAAATAAAAGGCCTCCAAACAGGAAAATAAGTCAAATTATCTCTCTTTGTGACAATATGATTCTATACTTAGAAAACTTCAAGACTTTACCAAAAGGCTCCTAGACCTGATAAGCAACTTCAGTAAAGTTTTAAGATACAAAATCAATGTAAAAAAAATTAGTAGCATTTTTATACACCAATAACGTTCAAACTGAGAGCCAAATCAAGGATGTAATCCCATTTACAATAGCCACACACACACACACACACACACACAATAAAACACTGCTGAAAAAAATCAGAGATAATACAAACAAACGGAAAAACATTTCATTTTGGAATGAAACGTTTTTCATTCCAAAAACATTTGGAAGAATTAATATTGTTAAAATGGCCATACTGCCCAAAACAATCTATATTCAGTGCTGTTCTTATCAAATTACTAATTATCATTTTTCACAGAATTAGAAAAAAACTATTTTAAATTCATATGGAATCACAAAAGAGCCTGAATAGCCAAAGCAATTCAAAGCAAAAAGAACAAAGCCAGAGACATCACATTAACTGACTTCAAACTGTATTATCAGGCTATAGTAACCAATACAGCATGGCACTGGTAAAAACAGACACATAGACCAATGGAATAGAAGAGAGAACTCAGAAACAAAGCCAGACACAACCATCTGATCTTTGACAAGGTTGGCAAGAATAGCCAATGGGAAAAGGACTGCCTATTCAATAAATGGTGCTGGTGTAACCAACTAGCCATATGCAGAAGAATGAAATTGGACCCCTACATTTCATCACATACAAAAATTAATTCAAGATGGATTAAAGATTTAAATCTAAGACTTCAAACTATAAAAATCCTAGAGGAAAACCTAGGAAATACCCTTCTGGACATTAGATTTGAGAAGGAATTTATGAGTAACTCCTCAAAAGCAATTGCAAAAAAAAAAAAAAATAAGACAAATGGGACGTAATTAAACTAAACAGCTTTTGCATAGCAAAAGAAACTATGAAGAGGGTAAACAGATAGCCGACATAGTGGGAGAAAATATTTGCAACAATGTATCCGACAAGGGGTCTAATATCCAAAAATCTATAAGGAACTTAAACAATTCAACAAGCAAAAAACATATAACCCTATTAAAAAGTGGGCAAAGGACATGAACAGACACTTCTCAGAAGACATACAAGCAGCCAACAAACATGTGAAAAATGTTTCATATCACCAATCATCAGAGAAATGAAAACGCCAAAGCCACAATGAAATATCATCTCACATCAGTCAGAATAGAAATTATTAAAAAGTTAAAAAAAAAAACAGATACTGGCAAGGCTGTGGAGAAAAGGGAACGCTTATATACTGTTAGTGATAATGTAAATTAGTTCAGCCACTGTGGAAAGTAGTTTGAAGATTTCTCAAAGAACTTAAAACAGAACTACCATTTGACTCACCAATCCTATTAGTGGGTACATACCTAAAGGAAAATAAATCATTCTACAAAAAAGACACATGCACTTGTATGTTTAGTGCAGCACTATTCACCATAGCAAAAATGTGGAATCAACCTAGGTGCCCATCAACGGCGGATTGGATAAAGAAAACGTGGTACATATACACCATGGAATACTATGCAATCATAAAAATGAATAAAATCATATTCTTTGCAACAGCATGGATGCAGATGGAGGCTATGCTCCTAAGCAAATTAACAACAGGACCAAAAAACCAAATATTGCATGTTCTCACTTATAAGTAGCAGCTTTACATTAGATATTCATAGACATAAAGATGGCAACAAGGCCGGGCACGGTGGCTCACGCCTGTAATCCCAGCAATTTGGGAGGCTGAGGCAGGCGGATTGCGAGGTCAGGAGTTTAAGAACAGCCTGGCCAATATGGTGAAACCTCCTCTCTACTAAAAACACACGTGAACCCGGAAGGCGGAGCTTGCAGTGAGCCGAGATCGCACCACTGCACTCCAGCCTGGGCAACAGAGGGAGACTCCGTTTCAAAAAAACAAAACAAAAAAAAAAGATGTCAAGAATAGATACTGGGGACTACTAAAAGGGGAGAGGAGGGAGGGAATAAGGGGTGAAAAACTACCTGTTGGGTGCTACGCTCACTACCTGGGTGACAGAAATATTCATACTCCAAACCTCAGCATCAAGCAATATACTCATGTATAGCAAACCTACATATGTACCCCCTGAATCTAAAATCAAATTTGAAATTATTTTAGAAAGAAGTCTCAGGTATAGGCAGGCATTGTGTCTCTGAGTCTTGGGGGTGGGGCTTTCTCAGTGGTCCTCTTTTACCGTTAGCTCTAGGTCTGGGCCCAAAACATATACTTGCTTCTTCCTATAGCTGTAGAGTTTGCCCCCCACCTCTCTCCTTCTCCCAGGTGCAATGGTTTCTTTATCAGTGCTCTAAGAGTGACAGGGATTGTTGCCTTCCACCAACATTTTAAGGCTTTTGTTCTGTGGGGGAGATATCAGGGACAAAGATCCAAATGTGGCTTTATGCATTTCCCGTGGGGGCAGCTGTTACTTTCTCCCAGGCTTGCAGCACATGGGATGCTATCTGAAGTCTCTTGTCCTGCTCCCCATCTTTTATGTGTGTACTCAGTAAGGTCTGTGGGGAAAAGCCTGCAAGAAGGGGTAAATTCTCCTTTGTCTGGGTCCCCAGGGCTTTAATAGTCTCTTGCTAGCCTAAACTCAGCCCTTAACAATTTGCTAAAAATTTTCATTGAATTATCCTTATCTGGGAGCAGTGGCCTCTGCCCTTGGTAATCAAGTGCTTGTGTTTGTCTCCCTTTGGAGATGTCCATGTTTCCTTAGATTTTGGGTTTGCTGGTTTCCCTTTCAACCTCAGCTCTCTGATAGGTTCAAGAAAAACAAATTTGTAGATTATCCAAAATTTTGGGGGGTGTAAGGGTAGAAGCAATGTTCTTTCCAGTTTATAAATTCTAAATGGGAAACAAATGAATAATTTAAAAACATTGTTTATTTTTCCAGTTGACAAGAGTTTAGAATACTATTTCTCATGGTGTCATCTCCAGACCATCTGTAATCAGAATGGTGAGCATATTAAAAATGTTGATTCTGAAGCCACTCTCTAGACTTACAAATCTGAAAATCCAAGGGCATTCATTTTTTGAAGCTCACCAGGTGATTCTTATGCATTTTAAAGTTTAAGAATTGTTGGATTCAAAATGAGCAGTTCGAAGGTCAAAACACGATACTCCAAAATATGGTTCTTTCGTGTGCTACATACTTAGAATTGAAAAAGATTGGAATTGGGAGGCCGAGGCGGGCGGATCACGAGGTCAGGAGATCGAGACCATCCCGGCTAAAAACGGTGAAACCCCGTCTCTACTAAAAATACAAAAAATTAGCCGGGCGTAGTGGCGGGCGCCTGTAGTCCCAGCTACTCGGGAGGCTGAGGCAGGAGAATGGCGTGAACCCGGGAGGTGGAGCTTGCAGTGAGCCGAGATCCCGCCACTGCACTCCAGCCTGGGCGACAGAGCGAGACTCCGTCTCAAAAAAAAAAAAAAAAAAAAGAAAAAGATTGGAAGGGTCTCAGAAACAAGGTCTTTCTGACCTGTCTCCCACCTGTCTTTCTTTCTGGAAGTGAGTCACATACAATTCCTCTCCCCTAAAGCAGGTCACAGAAACTAAAACTTCTCTCCCCAAAGCAAGCCACAAAACCTAAAAAGTTCACTCTCTGATCTTCTTCTTTATGTGACAGATGTTCTGTCCTATGCATGGAGGAAAGAGTGTTACACAGAGAGGTCAAGAAGAATCTGGACAGGCCTTGCTACTCCCTCTCCCAACACCCTAAGTCTACTACTGTTAGTTCATACCCTTTTGTCCAATCACATTTTTACACAGCTATCCATTCTTCACTGAAACCAAGCATAAAAAAAATCAATATTTTTCCCTGGGTTGTTGGTTCTTCATTTCCTTCTTTTTTCTTTTAAGAGACAGGGTCTTTCCACGTTGCCCAGGATGGACTCAAACTCCTGGGCTCAAGCTATCCTCCCACCTCAGCCTCCTGAGTAGCTGGGACTACAGCAGGCACCACCATGCCCAGCTCTTAGGTCTTCATTTCCGAAGTCTCCTGTGTCACATAACATTTTGGTTTTAAATAAATTTGTAATGCTTGCCTCTTATTAATTTGTCCTTTATTATAGGAGTGTTGGTTGTAATCCTTGTGATGGGTGATCAAAAAGGCATTACACATTTTTTCACCCCTACAGCAGGAAAAATGTATTAGCACTTGTGTTGTACCAGTGTAGGAAGAGAATTGCTTTCATCTACTCTTCTAGGTTCTTTGCTGGCCTACAAACTAAATTGACATAAAACAGATTAACAGGAGAAAAGCCATTTTAATAGTGTATGCATGGGAGTCCCACAAAAATGTGACTTAAAGAAATGGTGAGATGATTGAGGCTTATAACAGCATGCTGAGCTACACTAAAGAATAAGAGTTAGGGGCTTCTGTGGGGTATGCATACTAGTTAGGAAAGAATGAGGGGAGGAAATGCATGGTGAACAAAGATTGTCTTGTTATGAAGATAAAAGTTTCTCAGGTGATAAATGTTATCTTGGAGCAGCTCTCTTTCTGGTACAGACATCTTTACTAATAAAAATTTCCTTTATAAATGTAAATTTCCTTTACAAAAGGGCAACTTTTCAGAGCTACGCTGTGTCTGCAATTTCTCAAAATAACCTGCTCAAAATGATATGCCAAAAAGGTCTATTTTTGGGGTGGTGTATTTTGGTCTCCTGCAGTCATATTTTGGGGTGGTGTGTCTTGAGCTCTAACACCTGTCATTTTTTTTTTTTTTTTTTTTGAGATGGAGTTTTGCTCTTGTTGCCCAGGCTGGAGTGCAATGGCGTGATCTCAGCTCACTGCAGCCTCTGCCTCCCAGGTTCAAGCGATTCTTCTGCTTCAGCCTCCTGAGAAGCTGAGATTACAGGTGCCCGCCACCACGCCAAGCTAATTTTTTGTATTATTAGTAGAGATGGGGTTTCCTCATGTTGGCCAGGCTGGTCTTGAACTCCTGATCTCAGGTGACCTGCCCACTTCGGCCTCCCAAAGTGCTGGGATTACAGGCGTGAGCCACCACGCCCAGCCAACACATGTCACTTTTTACAAAGATTATCTTATTTAAATCTCATAACAAACCTCTGGCATAGGCACTTTGTTATTCTCTTTACATACAATGTAACTGGGCCTCAAAGACAATTAACATGTCCGAGATTACATAGCCTCTATGTGGCAAGACCAGGATTTGAACACAGGTGGCCTGATTCTAAAACCTGAGACCTTTTAAAAATTGAGATATAATTCACATAACTTTATCTTTTGAAGGGTACATTCAGTGGTTTTTAGTATATTCACAAGGTTGTGTACCCATCACCACCATCTAATTTCACATTTCATTTTAATCACCCCAAAAATAAACCTCATACCCACCAGCAGTCACTCCCCCATTCCTCCCTCTCTCCAGTCTTTGGCAACCACTAATTTACTTTATGTCTCCATGGATTTGTCTATTCAGGACGTTTCATGTAAATACAATCATAAAATATCTACATAGTGTATTTGGCTTCTTTCACTAGTGAAGCTAGAGATCTTAGTCACTATGCTAGAAAATCAGAAATGGCAATTGTACCTACGTAGACAAAAGTATGAACACCTTTCACCTTGCTCACCCAGGAGATAGGATAAACATAAAACACAAATATAAGAATTCCATTAAATTTAATAAAGACTTATTGAGTACCTCCCCTGAGCAAGGCCTAGGGCTGGATACTCTATCAAAATTACCTGTAGAGTTCGATAAAAACAGATTTCTGAGCTCCACTTCTCAGAGATTCTGATTCTGTACTGGGCCCCAAGTTCTGTGTCTAATAAGAAACTCCAGGTGATGCTGATATAACTGGTCAGGGACAAGCTGGCATGCACAACTGGAGGGTAATATTTCCCGACTTTCAATGCGCATATGAATCACCAGTGGATCTGGTTAAAATTCAGAATCTAATTCATTAAGTAGGTCTGGGATGGAGCCAGAAAGTCTGCTTTTCTGATAAGCTTCTAGGTGGTGCTGATTTGCTATTCTGAGGGCCACCTTTTGAGTGGCAAGGCTGTAAGGGATGAAGGTGAAGGATAGGGAAGGCCTGGTTCCTTCTTAAGGAGCTTACTGTCAAATGCAGAGAGACCTGAATACAGCTGACTAGGTCAAGGCGAAGTGGGCTAACTGTCCCAATCAAGACCCAAAGATGGTATGGATGGAGAACTCTCCTCAGCCCTGTGGTTCATTCCATGTTCATAAGGAGAGATCCAGGAAAAATGGTGTATGTAGTATTTGTTACACCATTTAGCAAGATGGGAGAATGTATTACATGTTTGACACGTATTTCCATCCCAACTGGTTAATATCTTCAGAAAAAGAAAATCAGCGCTAAAGAAGTACGCCCTGGAAAAGCAAACATCATATGTGCTTACTCATATGTGGGAGTTAAGCTATGAGGACACAAAGGCATAAGAATGATACATTGGACTTTGGGGACTCGGGGGAAATGGTGGGCAGTGGCAAGAGATAAAAGACTACTCTTTGGGTACAGGGTACACTGCTTGGGTGATGGGTGCACCAAAAATCTTAGAAATCACCACTAAAGAACTTATTCATGTGGCCAAATACTACCTGTTTCCCAAAAAACTATTGAAATAAAAAAACCTGAAGATTAAAAAAAAGGGGTAAGCCCTAATTTTCCAGAAAATTCACTGATGTGGAAAACTTCATTTCCCAATAATGCTGGGTAAATCTGTGTTTTGTAGGATGTTCCATATGTTATCGGTGCTTATGAATTGTTTAGTTTTATTATCCTCATTAACAGGGATAATGGTTGCTTTTTAACAATCATGATCACCATCTGGAGCCTGGAAAAGCATAGTTTGAGGCTCAGGTAGAAAGACGAGACTGTCCTGACTGGGTCTCAGCCCATTTCCCCGCTGCCAAGCCCTGTGTGTGCCCATGTGCTTGGCTGCCAGGCATGGCAAGAACCACACTGATGGATGTGGCGTTAGTTCAAGCAAAACTGAACAAAATTCAGAGAGTGCAGGGCACATTGGCTTGACTGCTTAATCACATTCTAATCTTAAATATTCACAAAGTAGCTTTCCATGTGTGCTCCCCTCACAGCCCCGGTGACCCCTAACTTTGCTGTTGACATTGTGACAAGCAGACGATGTGACTAAGTCACTGCTCCCCCGGCTCTTGGGGTGAATTGGGTTTAAGCATCTTCTCTGTGCTTCACAGAGAAGTGTTGCCTTGTTGGGAGGAGGTGGCTAGACAACCAAGCTGCCAGGTAACCATAGCAACCATGCACGCCTGCCCTTGTGAGTTTTTTAGGACTCTTCTCCGGACCTTTCCCAGACCTCTATTTTCAAGCTCTCTCAACCTGCAAGAAAGCAGCATCTGAGATCAACTCAGCCCTAACATACAGGGGCAATTAGGGAGTGCAGATCGGCAGCCTTTTCCTGGAACCTAAACAGTTAGCACCCCATGGGCTAAGGGGAGAAGCTGGAAGAACAGGGAAAGTGATGAGGACAGAGTCCATAAGGGAAATAAAAGAGCAGCTTTTGATAGACTCGAAACAGGGGAGGGTAGGATGCTTACATTCAAGAATGCACTGGACCCACTCTAAGGAAATGTATCTAAAAGTTTGCTGGAGATACAGCCAGTAGGTAGATTGGTCAGGATGGTTTTCTAGAGGAGAGTTTCTAGCAGGATTCTGGGGGCCAAAAAGAGGGCTTCAGGGGTAGGGATGGCAGGGAAGAATACTGCGAGGCAGAGCAAATGGAACAGGGTGTTGGGCACCTATGGCTGGGGCTTGCAAACCTAATTCACCATCGTAAATCCAGCCGATTCCAGGGAGTGAGACAGAGAAATCAAGCTTCCCCAGGTTCTGCTTTTCCCGAAACTCCAGTCTTTCTGTCTGCCGCTCTCCAACTCACCCTTCACAGCATCCTCTTCCTTGACTGTTGCTTCCAAAATGTCAGTGTCATTCGATCAACTGGTATCAATTTGAAAGAAACTGGGACACATGTTGACTGTATTGATGCTTAAGACACTGTTAGGGGTCAGCCAAATCAACCCCTTTGGTTTCTTGACCATTTCTCTGATCCCATGTAAACACCGTGAATGTTTACAAGAAAGAAAGTCGGAGGATGTGCATTCTAGCTGCCCCTCACTTCACCTCCCCATCGTCTCCTACAAACAGATGTATCATTGGAGATGGAGTGGACTACTACATCTTAAGTATAAGGAATATTTCACCATAGAGGGAATGAATAATGGTGTTACTTCCTCCACCCCACTTTTTCGCAACAAGTCGGGGGTGATATTTTACATTTAAAAATAAAAATATTCTACTTGATCACTTTCAGAAGCTTTTGAGCCATTGATCTGTATTTCTCAACATCTATCTTTGAATAGGTCCAGGTTAAGAGTTAGATCTTCTGCGGCATCTAAAAAGAGTGAGAAATAATGACTTAAGCTCCATAGCATTTTAAGACTAGCTATTTTCTCTTTTTGACTTTTTTTAATGCTCTTTTAAGTAGCTCACCTACTGTATTAGTGAATTAGTGCTTCTATGACAACATATCTGAGACTTAGGGAATTTATAAAGAACAGAAATGTTCGATGTCTTGTGGGGGTCTGGTCTCTGCTTCCAAGATGGTGCCTTGTTGCTGTGTCCTCTGGAAGGCTGTTTTCTAGCACAGTGGAAAGGTGGAAGGGCCAAGAGGGCCTAGCTAGTTCCTTGCAGCCCTTTTATAACGTTACTAATCCCACCCATGAGAGCTCCATCTTCATGATTTAATCATCTCCTAAAGGCCCCACCTCTTAATACCATCACAATGGAATTTAAGTTCCAACATATGAATTTTGGAGAGAGACATACATTCAAACCACAGCACCTACCTAGCATATTTCAGTGTTCCGTAGCCAAGTTTTAATGTTTCGCTGATTGCTGCCAATCTACCACTCCAAGGGATTGGTATCATTACAAGTTTTAACTTTTCCTAAGGCTAGATTTTCTCAGTGGCAATTCAAATGAGATTGGCCATATCTATGGTCCATAGGTAAGCCAGACCTAGGCTGTGAGATTAAGGCATATTGACTAGTTGTTTGGTTTATTTTAGTGGCAAAGCCGTGTCTCTCTTCAGGATTGCTGTAGCTGTCTTCTGCGCTCAGGAGATGCCGCTTTGATTGCATACTAACAGAGTCAACTGAATATAGGACTCAGACTCTGGCACACTCCGCTGCATGCAAAAATGAGTATTTGGTTATGTATGTCTTAACAACATGGCTTTATGACAGGAGTAAAACCCACATTGGTAAAGTACTATACTTTTTTATGGACCCCAAACTGCTGGACTGTTTAGGGTAGAAACATGCAGCCAGATTTTTATTATTCGTTGTTTGGGTGATACATACATCATATTAGACCTACCTCATGTTGCATTTGGCTTTGACTGGGTGAGATCACTATCCTGCCCTCTGAAGCTAGAGGGTGACTGTGATGTTTTCTCATGGACTCTACATAATAACTCTTCTGTAATTTATTGGGTGATATTGGACACTGGGCTTAGCATCTCTGGGACCTGCTTTCCTCAGCTCTGAAATGAGGGGAGAAGAGGTAGAGGGAATTGAACTAGATGATAATTAACACCCCTTCTGGCTTTAACCTTCTGTAACACTCCTGAGCGCTGGGCAAGGCTCAAGTTTTAATTATAGAAATGCCCGTGAGCACTTTTCATCATAAGCTTTAGTACCATCCTCTGTGGCTGTGGCTAAAAGTGATCCCTTCTGTGGTAGGGGCTTTGGGCACATGTCCAGATGCCTAATTGGAATGTGCAAGGCCACGAAGTACCCAGGACACAGCATAAGAGGCAGGAAGGAAGCTCCTTGAGTGGAGGGGTGATCTGTATCTGAAAAGATTAAGTGCAGCTATATACAATGAAAAACCTAAAATAACTGTCTTAAAGCAGTGGTTCTTAAAGTGTGATTCCCTAACCAGTGGCATTAGCCTGACTTGGGAGCTCATTTGAGATATAAAATCCCAGGCCTCATAAGAATGATGTAATGGACTTTGGAGACTTGTGGGGAAGGGTTGGAGGGGGATGAGGGATAAAAACCACACATTGGGTACAGTGTACACTGCCCAGTTGATGGGTGCACCAATATCTCAGAAATCACCACTAAAGAATTTATCCATGTAACCAAAACCACCTGTTCCCCAAAAACTATTGAAATGAAATAAAATTAAATTAAAAAATAAAATACCAGGCTTCCCCACCATACCTGATGAATCAGAAATTGGAGCCCAGAAATCTGTGTTTTAAAAAGTCTCCCAAGTGATTCTGATGCACACTCAAGTTTGAGAACCACTGTCCTTTTATCGTGGAAAAAGAAGCCTAGAAGAAGACCATCCTGGGCTGACTGAATGTTACCAGGAAACCAAACCACTCAAATCTGCTTTATCAGACTCAGGTCTGAATGACTTTGACTTTCTCCCCCAAATAAAATCCACTCTT
Source organism: Homo sapiens (assembly GCF_000001405.40). NCBI lineage: Eukaryota > Metazoa > Chordata > Mammalia > Primates > Hominidae > Homo > Homo sapiens. The sequence continues at coordinate 165,509,784 of NC_000001.11, read as the reverse complement.
AAAGCAAAACATTGAACAGCCATTGAGGACATTTAAGATAATTTGGTTCACCTATTGAAAATAATTCCCAAATATGAATTCTAAAAATATTTTGACAACAACACCATCATTGGGCTAAATGCTTCCTAAGAAGATATACCACTCACATAGATAGACAGTCGTTGGTATATTTATTTGAAAATTAACCTCATTAATTCATGGTCATATATCTTAACAATACAATAGAATTATAAGGCCATGTCTTATGATCCTTTTGTATCTCCCTCATAACATGTTACTGATCACAGAGTAAGCTTTCAATAAATATTGAATTAAACTGATGACTGTTATAGAGACCTAGGCAAAACACAGGTTGGGCAAGATAAAATCAAGAATCAAAATTCTGGATAACAAAATCGGTGCAGATAGCAACTGAAAAAGCTTCATAATTTTAAATATTTGGTTCTCAATAGTAGATATATATTTTTTCAATATAGTTTGGGTTGTATTGATTCGAACAGTGTACTGGGAGCTGAGAACCAAATTTTACCTTATCTCTGCCTCTAAAATTAGGCAAGTTACATAATTCACTTTGTATCTCATTTTCCTTTTCTTATGGGCAAGGAACTCTTACAAATACAGGGATTGGACAAGAAGAACTAGTCCATGAATGCTTTCTTCTCCTGAGGGAATATGTATATGGAGCCTACCATTAGGAGAGAATGGGTCAGTAGCACAGTTAAGGCACACCAGGTACTCCTCCCTGATTCTACACTCCTTCAGATGAAGTCACTTTCTATCAGGTCAGACATAGTTGTGCACACCCATAATCCCAGCATTTTGGGAAGCTGAGGTGGGAGAATCACTTGAGGCCAGGAGTTCAAGACCAGCGTGGGTAACATAGCAAGACCTCATCTCTACAAAATAATAATAATAATACAATTTTAAATAGTAGGAAAGAAGAAAAGAAATTACTTTCCATTGGTCTCTGTGAATCTATAGGTGGGAGAATCACTGAGTGAGTCTGAGGACAGAGAATGACACAGTGAGTTTTCATTTCTAATTTAACTCAGAAGTCTTAATAGCTTAGAACATTGAAGTAACTTCTTTTAATTTTCACACATAGCTGTGGTTTCCAAGAGAGAACATCAATGTTTTTGACCAACTCGTAATTTCAAAGACTGGAAAAACCATGCTTATATGCGCAGCCTCTTTTCTGAGGAACAGACTAGAGGATGTTTGTTTATGCCAGCAGAAAGCAAAGCCACTTCTAGATCAGATCACCTGCTGCTGACAGTCAGATCAAATCAACAGCACTGAATGAGCTCCTCCCAGGGACAGTGCAGGTACTCCAGAAGACATGAAAGTGGTGTGGCTGATACTGCAGGTTGTCTACTCAGCATTCATTCTCTTATTCCCAATCAACAGAGCTCCTGTATCACTGAGGGCAGCAATGTGCCCACTTAAAAACTACATTTCTTAGATTCCCTTGCACCTGTATGTAGCCTCGTGACTACATTTTGGTCATTGAAATCCAAATGCAAACTTTATACGGATCTCCAGGAAGGCTCTTTAAAGGGAGGTGACTCTGCTGAAAGTGTGCCTATTTTGACTTTTTTCTGTTATCTATCCAGCTGCCTGGAATTTGAATGTGGTATCTGGAGCTTCAGTAGTCATCCAGGACTGTAAGTGTGAAAGCCATGCACTGAGAGTGGTGGAACAGAAGGTGAGAAGGAATCTTAGTCTCTGTATACGTTGCCTTCTTCTTCGTGTGTGGTTTTTTGTTTGTTTGTTTGTTTTTGTTTTTGTTTTTCGTTTTTTTGTAGGGGAAAAACTTTTTTATGTTTAAGTCTCAGTTATTTTGGGCATTCCATTATATGCTACTATACCTAATCCCAGTTAATACAGGTGGTCCCTGTTCTTAGGGACCTTTGTGCCTCTGGTTACTGGTACATTCCAGGGACATGCATCCCTACCACAGAGTTTATCATTTTTCAATCAGAGCAATGGAAGATGAATCCAAAGCCTGAGACAGAATGACTCAGCAGATATTAGGACCTGAGGCTTCCCTATCACCAGTGAAATGGTCACAGAATGTTAGAAATGGAAGGGATGTTCATGATGACCTGGTTTAGTTCCCCCCACCCTACCTGCCCCTCTACATTTCAGAGATGAGGAGACTGAAGCCCAGAGACACTAAATGGAGTGTCCCAGATGACTCAATACATTGTAGGAGGGTTCTGACGTAGAATCCATGGGAAAGTATTCTCCTTCCCATCAGTAGAAGACTCTTTCCATCAGTAAAGGGGAGCAGCATGGCCTCACCCAATAAGGACCAAATACTAACATGAGGGCTAGCGTGTTATAGAAGGTCTGTGTATCAGGCCTGGTTTCCTGGTGTGGTTTTAAACTAACTCTCAAAGTTAGTTCAGATGAAAGCTCTCAAAATGTTTTAGCAATGATTTGTTCATGTATCTTTTAACCTCATTCTATCCCCACTGTTGAGAGGTTATTGCAGTGAGAGCTAAAAAAATTTTGACTGACACACAGAAAGTCATATGAAAGTTTTATAGGCTTCATATTAAAACAGATTTCTGGGAATCGGATCTTTCAAATTAGTCTCCAAGTGAATGAGTATGTGGGGTAGGTTCAGATATATGCATTACCCATGGGAAAAAGGGCGGCTACAAAACAAGGCGATTTTGCAGCAAATATGTCAATGAGCCCATCCTCAGAGGGACAGATTAGTGGAGTATTAGGAGCTTTAGGGCTAGAGGTGGTGGTAGATAAAAGATGATTATAAGGTAGGTGGAACCAAGAAAATAGAAGAGTATAGGTGGCAGGTGTGGTTTTTGCACAAGTTTTCTATAACTCAAGAGTAAGCATTGATCTTAGCATGGAGGGTCTAAATTTTATTACTATTTTGGTAATGTCTTTTTACCTAATATTAAATCCCATTCAGCTGCTGGTAAAATACAACCTGCTGAATAGGGAGCCCACCCAACTTGAACCTATGAATGCACTCCGAATACCATGTTGTAGAAGGACCTTAATTATAGAGAACATCTACAAATATCACTTTGTTTACATGTGGTTAGTGATGGCCTTAAAATGCTCTGGGCTCTTGAGTGTCTCCCCGACCACCCACAGCCCAGGACCTGCTGAATCCAAGTGGTTTCTTGCTTCTGCTCCTGTTCCAGGACCTTCTCCAGTTTGGGAATTTCTCCGATCTTTGATAGCAGGTGTCTCTGGAGTCTTCTGCTTTCTCCTTATGACACTAGAGCACTTTCCACAACTTGTCTCTTTTTTCACCATTTCTATATTTGCTCCTCCTGAAATCTCCTCACCCCAACCAAAAGCCAGAATGCAGAGCTCCTGTTGATAAATATGCAGTATCCCACAGTACTTCACATTTGCAAGTCTTGGGGAATCTTTTGAAGACTTGGAGTTGAAGGGTTGTATAATTTTTTTTTCCATTGCTGATTTATTCTACAGAGACAGATCAAGTTCAGTATCTGGTACATGTACAATGGAGAATTCAGAGAAATCATCAGGGGTTACTGGGGCTTGGAATGAAAGCTTGGACCACTGAATCAACAACTCTGCTTTAAGCATGAAGTGGAGACAGGATTACATAGGTGGTAATCTCTCTGTGTTTATCTGGATTTCAGCTGCAGAATGCAGCTAAGGAAATAGGTATAGGCTTGGTTCTTTGGGTCTAAGTGCTCTCTTTGCACCTACACAGAAATTTTTAATTAGCTGCACTGGTCTCAATTGAAGTTGACCATCGATCCCAGCTTATAATTCCAACTAAAGGGGCATATAATAGGTTTATTATTTTATTTTACTTTTACAAACATACAGTAAAATTTACTTTTTGGGAGTGTAAAGTTTATGGATTTTAACACATGCATGGTCCTGTAACTACTACCACAAACAGGATACAGAACGATTCCAACACTACAATTTCCTCATGCTACTTTTTTTTGTTGTTTGTTTTTTTGTTTGTTTTTTTTTTTTTTTTTTTTTTTTAGGCAACTTCATTCTGTTGCCCAGGCTGGAGTGCGGTGGTGTGATCTTGGCTCACTGCAACCTCTACCTCCCGGGTTCAAGCAATTCTCCTGCCTCAGCCTGCCAAGTAGCTGGGACTACAGGTGTGCAACACCATGCCCGGCTAATTTTTTTTTGTATTTTTAGTAGAGATGGGGTTTCGCCATGTTGGCTAGGCTGGTCTCGAACACCTGACTTCAAGTGATTCACCCACCTTGGCCTCCCAAAGTTCTGGGATTACAGGCATGAGCCACACGTTTGGCCCATGGTAGTTTCTTTTAAAAACAGCTTTATTAGAGATATAATTCACATACCAAGGCCAGGCATGGTGGCTCAGATTGCTTGAGCTCAGGAGCCCTTCTCTTAAAAAAAAAAAAAATTGCCAGGCATAAGGGCACACACCTGTGGTCCCAGGTACTCAGAAGGCTGAAGTGGGAGGATTACTTGAGCTCGGGAGGCTGAGGCTGCAGTGAGCAGAGATTGTGCCACTGCACTCCAGCCTGGGAGACAGAACAAGACCTTATCTCATAATAATAATAATTCATATACCATATAATTCACCCATTTAGAATGTGCAATTCAATAGTTTTTAGTATATTCACAGGTATGCACAACCATCATCACAGTCAATTTTAGGACATTTTCATCATCACAAAGAGAAACTCTTTATCCTTTAGCTATCAATTACCTATCCTTTCACCCTCCCCCAGGACCTAAGAAACTAGTAATCTATTTTCTGTCTCTATAGATTTGCCTGTTCTGGACATTTCATATAAATGAAATTTTGTAACGGTTAGTCTTTTGTAACTGGCTTTCTTCACTTAACATATGCTTTCAAGTCTTATCCATGCTGTAGTATCTATTACAACTGCATTCCTTTTCATGACCAAATAATATTCCGCTGTGTAGAGATACAGCATATTGTTACTCATTCATGAGTTAATGGACACTTGAATTGTTTCCACCTTTGGCTATAGTGAATAGTACTGCTTTGAAGACTTGTCTACAAGTTTTTGTTTGAAGATCTGTTTTTGATTCTCTTGGGTATATACCTAGGAGTGGAATTGTTGGGTCATTTGGTACTTTTATGATTAACTTTGCGAGAAACTGGCAAACTGTTTTCCACAGTGGCTGCACCATTTTACATCCCCACCAGCAATGTATGAGGGTTCCTATTTCTCCACATTCTCACCAACACTTGTTATTATCTGTTTTTGTTTTGTTCTTTTGCTTATAGCCATCCTAGTGGGTGTAAAGTTACATGGTAGTGTTTTGAGTTCTAAGATTCTCACAGACTGGGAAGAAATGTGGAGAGATTTTTGTCCTTTTTTTTTTTGCCTGCTGCTGATCCAAACAGTAAAATATAAACCTTCAGAATGAGAGCTATAAAAAGTAATGGACAGAGAAAATACATCAAGGGGAATTGTCAAATAGGCACTGCCAGAGAAGGAGCAGAATGTTATGATGGGAAAATCATGAGTTCAACGTACTTTAAGTCAACACATGTAATTTATTCCCATGTGCCAGGCTCTGTGCTAGGCACTGAGGCCCTAAAACGAGTTAGACAGAACCAAGCCTTCAAAATTCTTATTGTATGGAGGGAGAGCAGAGAGTAGGGTTCTTCACATAGTCTAGGTATCAGAAGGGGCTTCCTGGGAGTGGAGGGATGAAAAATAAAGAAATTCTCATCAGATAATAAGGGCCTATAGCAGTATATGGGGAAAAAAAACTATGCTGAAATATTTGGGAAATATCCTCCGGATGGCCTACTTTTCTTTGGTCTTTGGGTAACAATCTTGATTAAAGTTTGGTTTCTTTCATTTCCCAGTCAGTAATTGGTGGGTACAATTCTTTCTGGAGGAAAATAAGTCATAACTAAGACCTTTGCAAATATTGCTAGCTTTTGCTTATTTGCACTGATTAAAGGGGAACATATAATTCAGGACAGGACCTATCTAAACAGAGTTCATATTTTGCTTTGGAATATGTGTTTTTCTCTTGCCTCCCAGATGTTGCTATGTCAAATGTTCTCGGAACTCACAGATCCAACTAAGTCATGAAGCCCTAGGAAACGGGGACTGTAGTCTCTCAGGATGATGTACTGGCCTAAGCAGAACAAGTTTCTTTTGACACTGCTTCTTGTTCACACCTTTCCCGTGGTGAGAAATAATAATTTGAGTTTTATATTTTCTGTCTAACTTCTGCTAGACAGGAAGAATCATCCAGAAACCTTTTGATCTATTTTAGATGTGTTAAAAATACCCAGAGATTACCTTTGCTACTCATTCCCTCCTGGTACCATAAAAACTTTTTGTCAAATTCATGAGAGGAAAATAAATTCCTTTGATGAGACTCTGTGGCTTTTTAAATAATCACCAATAACTTATTAATTCATGTCCCAAATGACAGCCTAGATATCATCATAAAATATACCCAAATATACACTAGACTAGCTTCCCAATGACTTGTTTCTGGGAGGCCACCAATGGAGAACTGACTCTAATCCCAAATAAATAATATACTAGTTGGTCAAAGTCAGGGCAGGTTCACATAAATACAATAAAACCTGAAATTTATTTGGGCTATTTATGGGGAATGAGCAACAAATTTTTATTAAATATTTCCTAAGTTGTAGAAAATAAGCATCCTTAGGTTTCTGGTTTGAATGAGTGATAATAGTAATTTGTAATTAGCACATGAGTTATATATTGGTTTTCTATTGCCCAGAACAAATTATCCCAAATTAAATGACTGAAGGCAACAAAACACATTTATGATCATACATGGTTTCTGGAAGTGGGTTAGCTGAGAGATTCTGGCTCGGGAACTCTCATGAGGCCGCAGTCATTTGCAATCTTGACTGGCACTGGAGGATCTGCTTCCAACATGGTGAACTTGCAAGGCTGAAAAATGGGTACCTCAATTCCTCTTCAGGTGGAACTCTCTATAGGGCTGCTTGGGTGTTCTCACAGCGTGGCAGCTAACTTCTCTCAGAACAAGTGGTCCAAGAGGGCAAGGTGAAAGCAGCAGTATCTTTTATGACCTAGTGTAGGAAGGCAGACATCATCACTTATGCCATCTTTTATTTGTCACACAGACCAATGCTGGTAGGATATAGGAAAGGACTACACTAGGGCATGAATACCCAGGAAAGGGGGATCACTGGGAGGCACCTTGGAGGCTGGCTACCAGAAGTTGTTAATAAGTAAATTGTAAATGAATCACTTAAAAAAAAAGAATTGGTTGAAGTACCTCTCTGTTCCTGCAATTAGTATCTGAATATTACTGTTTAAAGAATTCCAAATGAGTGAAGCCAGATTATAAAATTATTAGAACTCTTTTAGGGAGAAAAAGATTTATGATCAGAATCGGATGGATCATTAGTCCAGGGCTATGCAGGACCATCTGTAATTAGCTTGATTCTTCCTTCTGTTGCCATTGTGAGCATGGAGCACTGGGGTCTTCGTACCTCCCCAGATTCTCTGAAATACATAGCAGGCCTTCAACAGCTATTCCATGTCGTCTCTTGTGTTATTTCCATGAGGCTACTCAGTTTTCTTGGCCCCAGCACTTGTTTCCCACCATTTCCTTCTATAACTGGTTAGGTTCCCTAATGTCATGTCACACCCATGAGTAATCCTCAGATTATGTGCAATTCCCAGACCACTGGCTGTTTTCCCACTCTTTCTCTTTAATTCAAAGAAACCATTGGAATACCAGTAGGAGAGGAGTTATCACTCAGACAAACTCAACTCGGTTCTAATTTATATAAGTAAATAAAGCACATATATAAATAAGGCCTTTACAAACTTTCACACATTAACCACTGCTAGTAACACATTCCTTAACTCTGAGGTTGAGAGCCTCAGGAAGGACACCAATTTGGCGAGTCTGAGTTTGAAAACTGGGCTGACCTCCCAGTTCTTCCAGTTTCATGGCAGGCTTGCAAGCATGTGCCATGACTGGTAAGGTGAGCTGGGTGAGAGAGTATCTGTGTGATCCCTTCCTGTCCATCTAAACAGGTCCAGCTGTGGATATTGGCTTGCCACTCCAGAAGTTTCCTCAGCCTGTCCCCTGTTATCCTGTTTCAACTCACTACTTTTGTTCTTATGTCTCTTTATTCTCCAGCCCTGTTTTCTTTAGACGCTGACTCCTGCTGTCTACCAGATCCTCGTGGTACAATGACTGGTGTAGACTGGCTTGTTGAAGTCACTCTCTGGATCTGAGCAACGCTGGCTGAGCCGTGATGAAGTATTCCTATCCATCCACTATGCTTCACAGTGGGAATCTCTCACTGTTCATCACCGCTGCCCTAGCAGCCGCAGGTGAAGGATCACATACACTGATGATTGCATCACTGCTTCCAGGGGGAATAGTAGTAGTTTTCCCCTAGAAGCAGTAACACATCAGTACTTCTAGGGGAAAACATGTCAGTGACCATTAGTTAAGATCATTCTTGTAACTTTAATTCATAATTCTAAGAGTCAACATTTGTTCATTCAAGTCTTTTATTCATTTCTTAAATGAGAGTTTTTAGGTGGCGAGTTTTCTTCTCTCTCATTTAACAAATGAGAAAAACAAGCCTGGGAGAAGTTAAGCCACACAGCCACCAAGTTATGGGGACAGGATTAGAATCTCAGCCTCTGATACTTGGTTTAAATGGTTCTCATTATGCTACAAATGGCACAGAAAAATGTCAGAGTAGAGGATGTCACAGACCAAAACTAATGAATGGGTGATTTGATGAGAGTGCTTAATGATACACCTTTAAGAGTCATCTTTTGAGAAAAACTGGACTTTTTAAAAAAGGGATGATATGATGGCTTTCACTATGAGGATGTACTAATAGTCTTCAAGCATTAGGAAATGAAGTTCAAGTTAGCAAGGTAAGTTGGGTGGAAGGTTAGTGGCAAAAGTATCAGAATTACAAGGCATTTGGACAGAAGTGCAGTTGCAGTGCTTCATACACATACTTTGAAGTATGAATAGTGAAGAGCCAACTACTGGAAGTGTTTTTACTTCTCAAATATTTATTGCAACCTACTGTAGGTAAGGCAGTTGCCTTGATATGTAGGTCCCTGAAGGGTCTATATTTTGCAGAATATTATATCCTAGAGTGTGCTTTGAGAGCTACTCTAATAAATGTACTGTGAAACATTTTTTTGTATTTAACTTGGAGATGCTGTGGAGAACATTGTAGACCACATCATGTAGTATGCCTTTTAATGACAGGAATATTTTTTAGATCTCAGTGTGTCAAAGAGCTTCTAAGAAACTGTAAATCTTAGCACCTGTTGTGTTTCCTTCTTTGAGTTTGTCTTATGGTTTGCATCTTTGTGTACTAACTTTATCCTGTCTTTATCTTACAGAATCGCTTAGTTTGTATTTTATCTGTACTATGAGTTCCCCACCCACATATGTGTATTTTGTTGTTCTACATATCTCTGAAGTGACTCTGAAGTAAACGAATAAATGAATGAGCTTATAAGTTAACCTGGGGAGGCTGGCATGGTGGCTTACGCCTGTAGTCCCAGCACTTTGGGAGGCCGAGGTGGGTGGATCACCTGAGGCCAGGAGTTCGATACCAGCCTGGCCAACAAGGTGAAACCTCATCTCTACTAAAAATACAAAAATTAGCCAGGCGTGGTTGCGGGCACCTGTAATTCCAGCTACTTGGGAGGTTGAGGCAGGAGAATTGCTTGAACCTGGGAGGCGGAGGTTGTGGTGAGCCGAGATCCTGCCATTGCACTGCAGCCTGGGCAACAAGAATGAAACTCCGTCTCAATAAATAAATAATTAATTAACCTGGGGAGATATAATAACTTTAAAAACATCTATAAAGAAAGTTTTAGCAAACAAATGAGATTTACTATTTGCATCTTCTTGTTTTAGAGACAGAGGCTCCCTCTGTCACCCAGATTGGAGTGCAGTGGCTGATCTTGGCTCACTGCAGCCTCAACCTCCTGGGCCCAAGTGTTCCTCCTGCCTCAGGCTACTGAGTAGCTAGGACCACAGGTGTGTGCCATCACACTCGGCTAATGTTTTGATTTTTTTTTGTAGAGATGGGAACTTGTTGCCCGGTTGCCCATGCTGGTCTCGAAATCCTGGCCTCTAGCAGTCCCCCCACCTTGGCCTTGCTGTTGCTTAATAACGCTCATATGCTTAGAAACAATGTGTTATCAACAAAGGAGTGAGTTTAGATAGAAAAATGAAGAGGTGCCGGCCTGGACCTTAATTTCCCATGGACTGTATTTCCAGTCAGTGGCTCAGAGAGGCTCCACCCAGAAGGCTGGGATTCTGTTCCTGACACAGTGATGCCTGAGAAATAGTTGAGGCCTCCTGAAAGACTGGCTAGTTGATCTTGTGAGATTACTCAGTATAACTCATCTCTCATTGAGCTTTGTATCTGGAGTGGAGAAGTGTGTGGGGAAGAAGAAAGTTCTATCAAGAATTTTCTCCAGAGGTAGAATAGCACAGACAGTGATTCTCAAATGTGTGGTCCAGTATCATCAGCATCACCCTGGAATGTGCTAGAGAAGTAAATCCTCAGGTCTCACCCAGGACTACTGAATCAGAAACTCTGGGAGCAAGGCCCAGCAATCTGTATTTTACCAAGCCTTCCAAATGCTTCTTCCTGCTCAGGTTCAAGAGCTGCTGGGATATAGCAGTTAAGAGATGAACCCTGCAGCCTGACTTCCTTTGCTAGAATCCTGGCACTGTTACTTATTCCTTGTATGTCTCTAGGTAAGTTGCTTGATCTCTTTGTGTCTCCGTTTCTCCACCTGTAAAGTGGAGATAATGATAGTACCACCTTCAGAGAGTTTTAAATAAGGATTAGATTAGGGAGTACACTTAGAATAGTGTCTAGCACATAGTAAAAGCTCAATAAATGTTAGCCGTTATTATTGGAAGACATGGTGTCATGGAAGACTGTGGGAGTTTCTCTCCCTAGCCACCCTCTTTCCATGAGAACCCCATGAAGCTTTCTAATGCAGCCTTCTCTGAGGAGTAGGTACAGGCTGGAGTAGCTGGGATAGGGTCAGAACTAATGCTCAAAGCCTTATCTGAACACGTCATATATGTTGCCCTAGAGGGAGCCTTAACTTTTGAAAAACTTTGCTCTCCTTCTTAGCATTGGCAAGACTATTTCCTGACCTAAGGGGCAGAAGGTTGATTCCTTGCTGGATTTTTTGGGAGAAACCCTGAGTGTCTAAGAGAATGCAAGATTATAATGAAATTCACACAGACATCTCAAAATCAAAATCATTTACAATTAACTTTAAATATTTTTAAAAATTTCTTTTGGGGGGCTGGAAGTTGATTTTTTAATAATAACATACAATGGGGAGAGGGTAGAGGAAGTTGGCTGAGCTGTCTGGGGTGCTGTGGCGTGGTGAGCTGGCTACACTAACTGCAGCTGCTGTTTGGGGGCTCCCTGGATGGCTGGGTCTTTGGCCTTCTCTGCAGCTTCCAGTGCTGTCTCCTTTGCCTTCTCCTTGGGTCCCTTAGCTGTCTCAATAAGTGTTTTGGAAGGGGCCACACTGTGCAGCTTGGCCAAGATGTATTCAAAACCCTTCCTAGTCGTGATCACGTTGGTTTTGAATTGGGTGAGACCAAATTGCTGGACAGCTCTGGAGATGGTTAAATAAGCTACAGGAGACCCAGGCTTTCCAGTGGATTTGGGTCCAGGCGCTGCTGTCAGAGTTCCCAGAGTAAGCGCGTGGTTCCTCTACCACCACAGCTGGGTGTGGTTGATGTTCCAGGTGAGGTGGTCATGTCTGTTTCCGTGGCTTCACAGTAGAGTGTTCCAGGATGGACACCGAGCGAGCAGCACTGGCAGGAAACAGTGGCTCAGCCCAGCAGGGCATCTGCTGGTCTTGGTCAGGTTGCCAGGACAGGAGCCTCTGCTCAAGGGTCACCACCCTGTGTACTGTGTTTGCTGTAGGGATTTGGGTACCGCTGTCATTAGGCGGCGAACACTTGGACCCAGGACCTCTGGAGCACACTCTGGCCCAGGAAATACTTCACCATCATCCTGGCTGGGATGGGGTTGGCACCCACTCAGCATCAGAGTGCAGAGGGTGGGGAGTATGTGGGGTCAGGCCAGGCTAGGCACCTGCTCCCGACCAGGCCCCACAGTGTGCCCAGGCACCGGCACGGTCAACTTTAGATTGTATGTTTGGGGACAGAGTCCATACAGAACCAAATGGCTACGTGATGTTATAACCCCTCCCAAAGTTTGGAGGTCACTGTTGCAACTTTTAAATGGACTGTTTTCTCCAGAGTTGCTATAGACACATGCATCAGCACAGCCTCAGAACCCAGTTTCCAGTCGAGATAGTGGACATGGTGATTCCCCTTCTTCCAAGGTTTGAAACTGTCCCAGGATGAAATACAGCTTGACTGAATTAAATTGTTGTCAATAAGATTTTTAAGCAACCCACCATATCAATTGGGGTTTTACTTTTGGCAGCCCCAACAGCCAAACTGACTCATCCATATGGCTGATCCATTAAATAATGCGCAAGTAGTTGATGACATGACCAGAAAAAGTGATTTATCTGGGGAAAAATGTTTGGAATTGGAAAGGGCTGGGATTTAAGCTTAGGAGCTCACAGGTTTCAGTCTAGGCCTTAGTAGCCTCAGGGTTCAGGCAGCCACTTTTCCTGCTTTTAGCAGGGTCATTGACTAGAAGGATAGGATAGAACTGGAACAGGCTGGGTCAAGGTCTTTCCAATCAATGTGTATCTTCGGACCCATGCAGGCACGTAGGCTACAATGTGCAAACTGGTGTTCTGAAGATCAACCCAAGAGCCTTCCATCTCCCTCTCTTTATCCTGTTTCAAGTCTGAGAACCTTTTGAGGCCAAAGAAAATGAATTTGAAAGCTCAGACTTAGATCCAGGAGTCAGTGTGAAAGCATGTGCCATGGAGATGCAGCCCAGCATTGCAGGAATGTGTTCTCTGAGGACCAAGTGCTTTTCTTATCTCAGTATGTTTTCCTCTTATCCCACCCCTCCCATCTGACCATCTCTCCTCATTGAATCTCCCAGTGAATTCTCATGTTGCTTTGACAACAGCTGGAAAGTGGGTGTGGGGGATGGTGAAGTGGAAGACTGGAAATACCACATCACCCTGTGGTAGAATTGCTGCTGAGATCCAGAAGGGAGCGCAGCCAGAATGAGATGTTAGCTTGAGGCTTGGAAACAGCAGTGTGGGATGATTTGCCCTAGAATTGAGGGGCTTCTCTTGCTCCTTTTCCTGATCCTTGGAATCCTCAAGGACTCTGAAAATAAAGGATATATTTCAGGGGACAGAGCTGGTATCTTTCCAAAAGAAAGGCAAGCTGATGGCAAGAGGCTGAAGCCTCCAGTCACAGCATAATTTACGATGGGGGCTTATCAGCCTGAAGGAAGCAGTTTGGGGGTGGCCTGTTTGGGTCTCTCCCCACAGGAATGCTCTGCTCAATCCTCCTGCTACTTGAAAAATGAAGTGTGGTGGACTAGTGGGGAGACCTCGTAATGCTTGGATGATCACACAGATTTGGATACGGAGCCTGGTTTCAGAGCATAAGAATGGACCCAGGCAATACCACTTAGGGAGTAGAGATAAATAATGGCAATTCACATAAGAAGATCAAACATATGACTTCAAATAACATGTTTTTTCTCCAGCTGAATTTTCTAGAGTTGAATGAGGGTCAGATTTGCATCCACGTATCTTTCCTTAGCTCAGCTCATAACTTTCTATGTTTTCTCCCGAGGGGGTATTAAAAACAGAGCTGCTTCACATGAATGTAATGGTTCCCATTCAGAACCCTGTCACGACTTTGTCTTTTCTCTATCATCTTGACAGGAAAATTATGCTCCATAGTTTCAAGGTCAACTGTGAGCTATTTGGGCTTGGAAATGAAATGAGACCCTTCGAAAGCTTGTCCCTCTCTTCATTCATATTTTGCTGATGTTTAATAAAACTCAGTTATTCTCCAGCCTGGGGTTGGAGGTCAGGCAGCCATAAACAGGCAGCCATAAACCTGTCCAGAAAATTTCATTAGGTAGAATTATTTTTTCTTTTTTTTTTTTCCTGCTATAAAAGGAAGTGTGTGTTTGTGTGTGTGTGTGGTTTTATTTTTATTTTTGGTTTCGTTGTTTTGTTTTTAAATTGTTTGCTTTTGCTTTGTGTTTTGTTTCTGGGGCTTTTTAGAGCTGGTCTTATAGCCTGAAGGAGTGCCTGGAAATGAATGTGTAAACAGTAGTGGCCTCTCTCCTTGGGCCCCAGCCTGCTCCTTTAACTTTCAGGCTCAGAAGCTGGAGTCCCCAACTCCCCAGGGGGCAGACTTAGCCTTGCCCTCAGCATTGGGGTTGATTTTATTCCTGGCTGAGGGAATGTCAGGGCACTAAGGTCAGGAGTGGGATGACTTGCTGCTGTCTGGTCATGCTCTGATCTGGTGCTCTCCATCCCGAATCACACCCTGGTCATAATGATCTGTCTTCAGCCCTCTTCCTGTTTGTCCTCTCTGCAGCACTGGCCCTGTTGACCATCACCTGCTCCTCCCTTGGTTTCTGGGCAACCACTTGTTTCCTAGTTCTCCTCCTACCTCTTCTTAAGTCTTCCAGCCTCCTTGGCAGGCTCTCCTCTGCTGTCCCTAAAATGTTGACATTCCCTAGGGCTCTATCATTTGTCATCTTCTCTGGATAATCTTCCTTATACCTGTAACGCTAATCACCAAGTCTAGGGTACTGGCTTCCAGCCACTGAACTACAGATAAAAGTTTCCAGGCTTTCTGGTCACGTCAACTGGTGTGCTCTTTAGTAGCTGAAACTTAATACATTTCAACATGAACTCGTTAACTTCTCTCTTGTCTTAGTCCCTTTGAGCATCTATGACAAATTATCATAGGCTGGATAGCTTATAAGCAATAGAAATTTATTTCTTACTTTTCCGGAAGCTAGGAGGTCTTAGATCAAAGTGCTGAGAAATTTGCTGTCTGGTGAGACTTGCTTCCTGGTTTATACATGACTGTCTTCTCACTGTGTCCTTACGTGGCAGAATGGGCAAAGACGCTCTCCAGGGTGGTTTTTTTTAATAAGGGCTCTGATTCCATTCACGAAGTCTCTGCCCCATGACCTAATCACCTTTCAAAGGCCCCACCTCCTAATACCATCACACTGGGGGTTAGGATTTCAACATATGAATTTTAGGGGGACACAAACATTCAGTCTATAGCACCTCTCAAGGTAGATCTTCTTGTAGTTTTGATTTTGATTGGTAGACTACCACCCATCCAGTCCCTCAGGTCAAAATCCCAGGGTTGTCCTAAACAATTTATTTTTCTTCATTCCTTGTGTTCAATTAATCTCATATTCTAATGTTTTTACTTCAGAAAATTTTCTTGAATCTTACCTCCCCTATCCATTTTCACTGCTACTACTTTGGTCCAAACCCCCATCCTCCTTCACCTACAAAAATACAATATTATGATTCTTAAACAAGCATAAGCTCAACAAATAATAAATGAATGAATGACCTATCTGGTACCAGACAGACTATTGTGAGAGTTAAATGAGGTACTTTATGGAATGCACACTCAGTAAAATGATTGGCACATAGTTGGGGCTTAATAAATGAGTTATTATACATTATATATAGGAAATATTTAAAAGCATGGACTTTGGACCTAGGCAGCCTGAGTTCAAATCCAAATTCCATTATGTACATTTATTATGTATATGATCTCTGTGCCTCCATTTGCTCATCTGTAAAATGGGGATGAATATAATAAGGCTGTTGTGAAGATTAAATGACTTATTTATGTAAAGCACTTAGAACAGTGCCTGGAATATAGTGCATGCCCAATATGTTAACCGTCACTATTATTGTTATTAGTTTCCTGTTTCCTATCTTTTATAAGTCAACATGTCGGCTTTATTAGAGGAAGAAAGTTGAGTTCTTATGCATGGCACCCTAAAATTACATAGAGAAAAAATCATCACCTAGTTTTCCCCAAGTAAAAGTCATGTCTATCAGTTATGAATTTCATAAATGCTGAATCACAGTCTTTTTTCATAGTACAGTGTTTCTAATAGCCCTTTTGGGTGGGTGACCAGCCATCTTGGTTTGCCTGAGACAGTGGAGGCGGGCGGGGGCGTGGGCAAGGGGGTTCAGTTTTCTGGGATGGTGGACTTTCAGTGCTAAAACTAGAACAGTGTTGGACAAACCAGGATAGTTGGTCATCCTGTTTTTTATGAACTTCTGAAGTTCATCTTCCAAACATAATTCCTCAAGCATATTTCAAAGATGAAACAAAATATAAGAATTAAGGTGAGGGAGTTGAATGGAAGGTTGGGGACATAACCTAGGAGTCCTCACGTACCATCTTCAGTTCTTATCCATCAAAATGTCCACTTTAATGGGATTTCTGGGACAGATGAAGGATTTTTCTTACCGGTGAAAAGAACAACTAATTTCTGGCATTGTTCTGAAACACTGCAGCTCTCTTCAGCGTAGTGTCTGTATTGAGCAGCCAGCTGAAGTCCAGTTTCTCATCCCTCAGGCCTTCTCCTCTTCAGATGGACTGCAGGGGGCCACGAGACTCCAGTGGCAGCCGCTCAACTCTGAACACAGCCACTGCATAGAGGGTTCAGTGAAGTGAGTGGGGTTGTTACTCCCCACCAAGCAGTGAGTGGCTTTCTGCTGTTCCACTCCAGAGGCCTCACCTCCTGTGTTTTTAAACTCCAGTTTCTGTCTTTCCCTGTTGGCACCAAACTTATCTTCATAAAATATAAATCAAATCACATTATTTCCCCATGAAATTTGTTGACGCCTGTGGCTAGTGGGATCGGTGCCAAATCCTCAGCTTACTCTGTAAGATCTTTCACATTCTGGCCCCCAGCAACTCTCAGCACTTCTCCTGGCACTCCTCAGGTGACCTCTGCTTTAGTAACCCAGGACTCACCAGTGTTCCTCAAAGCTCACTATGACTTTTCATTAAGTCAAGCTTCTGCATGTGCTATTTTCTCTGCCTTGCAAACCCTTTCCCTTGCTAGGCAAATTCACACTTGTTCCCACATAAAAGATGATCTCCTCTGTGAAGGTAATCCTTGGCTCCCCTCTGGGTACCTATAGCACTTTGTTCAGACCTTAAAGAAGTTACTGCTTTGCATGAGAACACATTTGTACATCCAACCCTCCCTGGAGGCTTTGAGCATCTTGAGGGACTGGACCGCTGGTGTATTCTTCTTGGAATTCACTGTGTCTAGTACAGGTCTGTTGAATGATGGAATAACAGCAGCAACAAACCCACATCCACGACAACAACAGTTAACCTTGACTGGGAGCATTTATGCTGTGCTGAATGCTTTGCTAAATGCTTTACAAGCCTCAGCTCAGTCCTTTAAGGAAAGTGACACTACTACCCCCATTTTTTGGTGAACGTAAGTGCTAATTTGGTCAGGACCTGGAGTTCATCTTTGTTTTGCCTAGGGAACAAAAACTTATGAGGCTTACACATATCACCAATAGAATGTTTAAAAAAAAACTTTAAAATACTGGAGTATAACTTTTTAAATCCATTCTAACATGTTAGAGGCTCTTGCTTTCATATGCAAAGAGCTGATGTGCCAATCATAAATTCAATCTAACTGCTAAAGCAATCTCCAAAAAAAGAAAAATTGTTTAAGACGTTTCCTTAACCCAATGTCACTTTTAGCTTGTATCTGAAAGTTATAAAAGTGTTTCCTTGGAAAATATCCTTAGTGAAGGTGTTTAATGGAGCCACCTTGGCCTTGCCCTGGTTAGTATGAATCAGGCTTAAGAGCCATCGATGGCTATGCCTCCTACTCATTTCCCAGGCAATATCTATGTTAGCCTTTGCCAATGCCAGTGCTTTGTACCACATGCCCTGCTTTGGTGTACAATTTGAAATGCCGAAAGCACTCACTGAAAACTTAAGCCAATCCACAAAATATGGCTCTGAGAATCCTTCCCATAATGGATTCAGTTATAGTTTCATCATTCTAGGTAATTATAAAGGATAGTAAAGATAACTATAATTTCTTAAGACCCTCTTATTTTTCAGCTGTGCATTGCCTCAAACCCCATATTCCATTTACAGAGGAAGAAACTGAGGCTCAATAATTTGTGTAATTTGTCTAAGATCTCCCTGCAAGTGAACGTAGAACTTGGGAATGGAACCAAGATTAGTCTTCTAAGTCCTATGTTCTTCACCAGTGAGCTACACAGCCTTACGGTGCAGATAGCACAGCGTCTGTGGGCATCCAACACTCGAATAGTTTGGAAAATCATCAGCCTGTGTTCCCCAAATGAGATCTGGTGCCTCTTCTTGGCCTCAGTATTTCTAGGGGAATTCCACATTCTGTGTTATCAGGGTAGGTTAATCCTAAAGGTAACTGGGTACTCGTTCACTATTCTGTAGGGTTGGAGATTTCCTTTGGACATTTTCCTTGGGCATGGTGATGAGTGGCACCAGGGTAAGGATGTAGTGGGCGACAGCTGGCATAGTAGCCTAAGAGCAGGGTAACTGGCTGACCTGCTTAGTGGGCCATGTTTCAATCTGTCCCTGATCTTTTCCTAAGCACTCTGTTTCTATCTTATTTTGTTTCTACTTCTGGCATGATCTAGACGAATCTAATGATGAATAATGACAAAACTCAAGAAATGTTCTTATTACTATGATTTTTAATCTTGAAAATGAGGATTATGTGGGTAAGCAGAAACTCCAGGCCAACTCCATGTAAAGACCTGGGTGGCCCTGCTAACTCTTTCGTATACTGAGAAAATCTTGGGTTTACAAAAATATTGCAGCAATTTGAAAATAGTTTTCTCCAGGCTATAAAATTTACCTAACTAAAACCAATCTAATCCCTTGATCTAAAGATCAAACTTTTTGCCAGGTATAGTTTTACATTGTTATTTTAACCTTCAGGTGGGAAAGCAATTGTTTCTGTAGAGAAACTGTCTCCATAACCAAAAGGAAGTGCGGGTGGAAGCAATTAACTGGACAGTTCGGTCAATTAACTCAGAAACTTACTGACCAGAGTGTTCAGAGCTACCTACCTTTATTCTGGTTTTAATTTTGTAATTTATCAGAGTCCAGAATTTCAGTCTGGATAACTTTTATTTAAACACTTGATTTCTGAAACTGGCCTTGAACTAGTGCTTCTTTGGACTTTTTTTTTTCTCTTCTCCCTTTGGTTTGCTCTCGACAGCTGGAATGAGAGACTGGATGGCGTTGAAATGAAATGCTGGAGCCATCCATCCATGTGCTTCCAGGGTGGCTTCCTGGCTGTGAGAACACAGTGACCCTGTGAGGCCAACATGGACTCGGTTCTCCTGACATAACATGGCTGGAGGAGCTCCAGCTCTGGGATGTTATCTTGCTGTTTTACACTGGTGGTTCAGCCAGCCCATGGGAAACTGAACTTGGGCTGGGAGACCTGGCAGCAAATCCAAACTGAAATAAGAATCAGCACTTCGAGTTCAACTGTGAAACAAATGTGGGCCCAAGGCCTAAATGCCCGAAAGACATAGGGAAGGGTTGAAGTGGAATAAAGAAAGCTTTTGGTGACACTATGGGAAGGGCTATTGAGTATCTTCTCAGGACAGTACAAAATGTCAGAGGCACAGCATATTTCGAAACCTATTTTTAAAGCTGCTTTAGATTTTTTAACTTGATGGATAGATATATTCATTTTTTAAAAAAAGAAATGGTGACCCTCTTAAGAGGCAAAGTACGAGCCTCAAGTGTTGTGGGATGTATCCATCATTGGTTACTAAGTTTTCCAATGGCTCAGACACTCCCAGAAGCGAAGACTCCTGAGCCAAAGGAAGATGAGAGCTGAAAGGAGCATCGAGCTCATCCAGTGCAATGCTTCTCAGCTTGTGCCCACTTTGGATTCACTTGGAAATATTTTAGAAATACTGATGCCTGGGCCCCATTCCAGACCAGTTAAATCATACTATCTGGGAGAGATACCCAGAAAGTGGTATGTTTTAACACCTCCTTAGGGATTCTGCTGATCAACCAAGGTTGAGAAGAATCAAACTAGACTCATTTTACATATGAAGAAATGGAAACCCAGATATTGAGATAAAAAATGTTGCCCAAGTCACGTAGCTAGTGTCAAAACCTGACTCTTAATAAATGCCCTTATGTCACACTAACTTGCCTCTCTTTATTGTGGTTTTGCCATAAATTAAAAGTATACTTGAAAATGTTAGTTTACAAAGTAATTTTAAGAAATGGATTTCATTTTAAGGAAAACAGTGATTCAATGGCCAATACACTGATGCTTTCTGCATGATCTTCAGACCAGTCTACATGTTTATTATGCTTGGGCCTTTGAGTCAAACACTGGCTCCTTTTCTGCTTCTCCATTGTCAGCCTAGCATGCTTGAATTCTGTTTCTCCTCTGGAAACCTTGCACACTACTTTGATTCACCTTGTTAATGGGAAAATGGAAAATACTCTCTACATTTTTTTTTTTTTTGAGATGGAGTCTCACTCTGTCACCCAGGCTGGTGTGCAGTGGTGTGATCTCGGCTCACTGTAACCTCCAACTCCTGGGATCAAGCGCTTCTCTTGCCTCAGCCTTCCGAGTAGCTGGGATCACAGACTTGCACCACCATGCCCAGCTAATTTTTGTATTTTTAGTAGAGACTGGATTTCACCATGTTGGCCAGGTTGGTCTTGAACTCCTGACCTCAAGTGATCCACCTGCCTCAGTATCCGAAAGTGCTGGGATTACAGGCATGAGCCACCGTGCCTGGCCCTCTCTACGAATATTTAGCTGGTGATACGTTTCTACCAGAGAAACATTTTTTTACATAACACTTCATGTGGGAGCCATGCGTCCAAGAGAGACATCATTTTGGGTGAAGGGCACATCCAGACATGTGCCAGCATTACCCTACAAGATACCTGGTTATCAACTAAATGTCTACATTGCATGTCAGCAACCATCCATGGAAACTTACTATTTTTTATCCAGCTCACCCTGTTTGCCACATTCCAATTAAAATTCATAGCCAGGCTTACCCAAAATACCATTTAATCACATTTTATAGACAAAACTTCAAGGTGTTCAGGTCCATGTATAAAAATTTAAATGTCTTCTTGTATTAAGAAAAGGAACAATCTATGATCCAAATTTCAAGATATTTAGAAAATTGCCTTATCCAGACTAATGGTCCCCAACTCTGACCACATTAGACTCACCTGGGGAATTAAAAAAAAAATACATTGATGCCTGGGCCCCACCCCAGAGATTCTGATAGAATTGGTCTGGAGTGGACCCAGAGCACTAATATTTTCAAATGTTCCTCAGCTGAGTCTCACAGGCAGCTTGGTTGAGAACTGTTGCACCTGACTGTAAAAGAGGGCTCTGAGCTGGGAACTTTTTTGCTGTGACCTTATTGCTCTAGCATTTTTATTTCATTTTACATATTCAACAAATTTATGTTTAAGAGGGAAATATTTTTAAAATACTTCTTTGGGTATCTTTTCTCCCAATAATCCATACACTCTTCTCTTCACCTTGCAACCTCATTATGGCTAAGGCAGAGATTTATCACCCCTGGGAAGGAGAAGCTGGGTTCTGCCAAGAACGGTGATTTGCAACCCTAGATGCCCTTTAGAATCACCTGGGGAGCTATAAAAAAATTGCCAGTGCCTGGAATCCACTTCAGACTAATTAAATCAGAATTTGGGGGGATGGGCTGAAGGATTACTACTATAAAAGTACATCAGGCTTAATACTTTTTTATTATGCAGCTAACATTGAGAACCATGGATCTAATAAGAAATGACTTGTCAACTTAAAATAAGATTCTTATTTCTTAAAATCTCTCATGTTCTAACCCAAACTTTTAAAATTCAGAGAAAATAATTTACTTACCTATAGCTGGAGGTGATAGAGGTTATTGACAATATGATTTTATGATTTAATCTAATATTTATTGAACGCTTACTATATGCAAGGCAGATGTAATTGAAAACACCTCCTGGAAACTTTTTTGTTTGTTTACTTTGGGTCAGCTAGAAGGAGCCTGGGGTGAATGTATGAGTCTAGGTCCCTGCAGGAAAGAGATGGCACACTCAAACTGGAGATATGGCATAACAGTGCTAGATAAGAATTTGGCTTTGATACTAACTAGCCACACAGCATCCTAATGTTATTTTGGAAATTTCTGTTCTGATTTTCCTAGATATAGAGGTGTGACTTGGGCACCATGGAGGTAAAGATGCTCCTGAAGATATTTAGGAAAGTAGCTAGGGATGGTCTCCAGAATAAAGAAGAGATTTCCATTCATTCAAAAAATAATTTATTGGGTGACTATCATGTATAGACACAGGGCCAGGTGTTAGGAATCTAAAATAAAGACAGAATCCCTGCCCTCAAGGAGACTAGTTTCATGGGGATTCAGGAAAACACATAGAGGTAAATAGTAACAAGGTTTACCTGGAGGTTGTGGAGTCAGCTTTCTGGAGTCTCTTGAAAGTGGCTCAGTTGCTTTTAAAGAGAAGGATTTGAGTATCTGCCAAATATTTGTGAGTTGTGCATGTGTGTGTTTGTATGTGTGTGTGTAAACATACATGTGCATGCTTGTACACACATTCTTCATATAGAAAGAATTCTTACTGGGGTATAGTGGGGGAGGAACGAGGGAAAATCTAGTAGCTTTTTTCTTAACATTTTTTTCTGGTGTGAACATAAGCAGAAACTCAACACAGCACAGGCTGCGAGGGAAGGAAAATTCATCAAGTCTAAACTATCTTCTCTCTTCTGGCACAAAAGTAAGTGACATCAACAGGATGTGGGGTTTCAGGATGAGCCTTGAGTCCGATGAAATGAATTAAACCTCACAACTCTTTGGAACAGGAACCTGTTTTCATGTGAGTTCCCCAACAGCTTTTGGGGGAGCCTTGAAACAAATGGATTTAGCATCTGGAGATTTTTGGTAGGTTTGATTTGCTTCTCTAACATCCGGTACTTTTGCAAAAATCTTTGAACACAGAAAGCTAAACCAAAGCCCAGGAGGAGGCAAGTGTCCAAGAACATATGGAAGCCTAAGAGGTGAATATGCTCCTCTTTGCCTCTGTCATGATGTACATCCTTTCAGCCTTGACTTTTAGCAAGTGACATTTAGCAGAGATGTGAGGGTCTGTCACTCTGACATTTGACAGCTATGAAGATTCATTCTCAACAGAGCAATAGTTACGGGTTCAAGGGGCAGGCTGGTTGGCCTATTCTAGTTTTTGTGAGGGAGAAACAATACCTTGGGAGATCGATTCTCTAGTAATATGTATTTGGTTGTTGTTCAACCTCAGTGAGACACAGAGACTGAGATGGGTCCCAGAAGGAGTAGGGAAGAGGGACTGAAGAGGGTCTGAGTGAGGGATGGAGGTGGTTGTTGGCATTTATTTAGGAGCATTGCAGAGTTGCCTTTTAAAGATCTCTTTAAAGACAATAGAAAGGAGTAGAGACCGATCCCTTTATAACGTGGGGGTTTAGCATTATCTCATTTTTGATATGCAGAAGGATATCTCATTATTGTGTTGGATGCCCCTTAAATGCTTCAAACTTTCTTCCTGAATGTACCCAGGGCAATTTTGGGGGTGTTAATGTGGCCTCGCAGGCAAAGGGAGATGAACAGGATGACCTCTTGCGAGGTAGTCCTAGCATCTCTAACCCTACGGTTGTCAAGTCTCTGACACCATTCTGCTTCTGACGTGTCTCTTAAACTTCAAGTGACCTATATTTAGGAGATTACGTAAAAAGTATTGAAAGCAAATGGCCATTCTGCTCTAAGGTCAGAGTTCTGCTGTGGCTGATAATGCTGCTTTGATCTCCAGGCCCCTGCCTGTCTGTATCTATGGTATCTGTCAGCCAGCTTCACTCTGGACTTGACCTTTTGCTGGCCTAGACCTGTGGTTACTGTCAGGGGTCTAATCTCTTAGCATGTCACCTCTGGCAATTTTTTAAAAAATCCCCAAATCTTACAATTCAGATATCTCAGATTTTGCTTCAGCCCATTGCAAAGTCTTTTCGAAATTAAAAAAAAAAAAAAAAGAAACAAAACAAAATAAAACAAAAACAAGAGGGCAAAGAAATGGTTTTAAGAGGAAATTTCAACAAATGATAAGATCGATGATGCAGTAACAGCAGTTTGTTTGGCAAAAGCCTTATAGAAGGCACATAGAATCATAAATGAATTCGAATAGAGCTGGGTAAAATTGAGAGATTATTTGTTCCAGCACCCTGTTTGGGGGCAGGTGACCCTCCAACAATCGAAAATAGATGCTTATCTTTTGTCCTTTTGAAAATTTTTGGATGTGCTTTCATTTGATTTGCTCATTTTGATATTTCATAACCCTGGTAGCCAAAAACTGCTTCCTCATATTCAGCTGGAATCTTTGCTACTTAATTAAAAAATCTATTTTCCATCCTGTGGCAATTTCGGTTATTTTTTATGGATCTCTTCCAGATGTGTACATGGTTTTCACAATGTGGTGAACTAAGTTGGACATGATACTCTGATAAGGGTCTTACTGCTGTAGAGTATATTGGAACCACTGGGCTAGGATTCAGAAAGATTCTAGCTCCTTGCCTGCCAGGAACCAATGATTTGACCTTGGACAAGCCACTTCCCCTGTCTGGACTTCATGCTCTTCATCTCTAAAGTGAGAGTATCTGACTACATGATCTCTTAAGATTTCTTCCAGCTCTGATGCTTATGTTCAATAATTTTGCTAAAATTAACATACCTCAGTCAATGAATCTGTGCTTAGCATGTAATAGATGGATAATAAATGTTTGCCAAACTGAATTAAATCATAGGAATTTCCACTGAAGTTTCCTCTCAGTATGTACTAAAACTTTTAATCACCCTGGTGTCCTCTGTCCCTTCCAGGAAGGATGTATGTCTTTTATAGAAATCAGAACCAGCGCACAGTGGTGAAGTTGCTGTCTTCCCAAAGTGTCACAGGCACCAGCATTGGAGGAGTGAGGATTCTCAGGTTTCACAGACAATCAGGCCCAAACTGTTTCTAGTCACTTCTCTACTGCCTTAGCCAATCTATTAAAATGCCTGTGTGATTCTGGAAAGAAAACAAGTGCCCATGAAAATGAGGTTATAAATACATCCAATTATAAATATATCCCATTAAAAATAGATATTGACAAGGAGCTCCAGATAGAGTTGTCCTCAGCAAACTGAGCTGAATAGAACAAAGTGGCCTATTATCCAGAAAGCAATAATACTTTCTTAAGTGATTCCTTAATAATATCTTTGGAGTTATATATGCCTCATAACTAGCTACTAAATAGTGTTGGTGGTCAGTTAAGAATTGGACTTGAAAGGTCCAGTAAAGATAGAATTAGGACTTAATACATATTTTTCCTCTCTATGTCACAGGACTTATAAACCCCAGTGACTATATTGCTGGGAGGACTGAGCTGACTTTCGAAAGTGAGAGTGGCATGCAGTCCTTAACATCTCTGGTCTTTAACAACTCCCATGGATACCCCTGGCCTGGTGTGAGAGAGAACCACAGACCTGGAACCAGACCTAGGCTTCTACCTTGGGTCCTGCATGCCCTACCTCAATGATCTTGGTGACATGGCTTGGCTCTTTGTCCCCACACAAATCTCATGTTGAATTGTGAACCCCAGTGTTGGAGATGGGGCCTGGTGGGAGGTGATTGGATCATGGGGGTGGTTTCTAATGGTTTAGCACAATCCCGCTAGTGCTGTCTTGTGATAGAGTTCTTTTTTTTTTGAGATAGAGTCTCGCTCTGTTGCCAGGCTGGAGTGCAGTGGTGTGATCTCAGCTCACTGCAACCTCTGTCTCCCAGGTTCAAGCAGTTCTCCTGCCTCAGCCTCCTGAGTAGCTGGGACTACAGGTGCGTGCCACCATACCCAGATAATTTTTTTTGTATTTTTAGTAGAAATGGGATTTCAGCATGTTGGCCAGAATGGTCTCGATCTCTTGAGTTTGTGATCCACCCACCTCGGCCTCCCAAAGTGCTGGGATTGAGTTCTCACAAGATCTGGTTGTTTGAAAGTGTGTAGCACCTCCCCTTTTTCTCTCTTTCCTGCTCTGTCATGGTAAGACGTGCTTGCTTCTCATTCGCTTACCACCATGATTAAGTTTTCTGAGGCCTCCCAGCCACACTTCCTGTACAGCCTACAGAACAGTGAATCAATTAAACCTCTTTTCTTTATAAATTACCCAATCTCAAATAGTTCTTTATAGCACTGTGAGAATGGACTAATACACTTGGGGAAACTACTTAACCTCTTTTGAGCCTCAGGTTTGCATTAACAATTAAATGAGGTAATATGTGAGAAAGCAGCCTAATATAGTGTCTGGCAGGTGGGAAAACTCAAATGTTAGTATCTTGTAGTAATGGTCTGAGGTCAGGTTGTGATGTAGGAATGAAACAGCAGTGATTTAGCTGGCATGTGTTGAGGCCCTCCCGGGACACCACATTCAAATTGTATGGGAGCTCTTTCCCCAGTGTTTTGTCTGCTAGGGTTGCCATGATAAAGTTTCACAATGGGCAGCTTAAACATGAGAAATCAATTTTCTCACAGTTCTGGAGGCTGGGAGTCCAAGCTCAAGGTACCAGCAAGGTTGATTTCCTCTGTGGCATCTCTGCTTGGCTTACAGATGGCAGTCCTCTTGCTGCCTCTGCATGGGGTCCTCTCTCTGTGCACTCTTGTTCCTCGTGCCTCTTTTTGTGTCCTCATCTCTTCTTTTTATAAGGACACCAGTCACATTGGATTAGGGCCCACCCCAACAGCCTCATTTGAGCTTCATCACCTCTTTAAAGGCCCTATCTCTATAGTCACATTCCGAGGTACTGGGGTTTAAGATTCAATATAGGAATTTAGGCAGGGGGATACAAATCAGTCTATAAGAAGACCCAGGAACTCACTGAGACTACACGAGGAGCTTAAATCACAGGGCTGTGTGGTTTTGCAGTGCAGCCCCGTTTGTAATGTATGAAATTCTATGCTCAAAGCTAGTCTTCTTCCTTCCCCCCAACTTCCTCTTCTTTTCCTGGTAGGAAGACTCAAGCGAACATCTCCATTTTGACAAGTATATATTTCTTCTTTCTTTGCAGGGATTCTTCACCCATGGTTGCTTAGGTTTATAAGCAAGGAAGCTGAATGAAGTCCCTTTCCTCTCTGGATGAGCCCCTGGGTTTCTGGAAGAGTCTTAAAATCACCCCTAAATGGCTTCCAAGCACTGAAGCCCGAGATGTTAGCTGGCCTGTGTGAGGCCTTGAGACAGAATGCCACAGCCACACCCCAAGGATGCTGAAGGGGATTTCCCTCCTCTGTGGTTTTTCTCCTTTCTTCCCGCAGCACTCCTCCTACGTGGTGAGTCATCCAGAACTCCAAACACACAGCCAGCTGTTTGGAACACAAGAAATAACCATAGCCAGAGGCATCTTGGGCCCAAACTCTTCTCTCTTTTATTGCTCATTTCCCAAGTCACTTCCTTTCCCCTCCCCTACTTTCCCTCCCCGTTCTTCTTAGGACTTAACACAGGTGTCTGGAGACATTGGGTCTTTGTCAGTCAATGTCAGACCTCTTCTAACATTGATATTTATCAAAGTAACGGTTACATCATAGCCCTCTTTCATATACTCGGAGTATTGTTCCTTCCTTCCCTACCTTCCTTCCTTCCCTTCCTTCCTTCCTTCCTTCTTTCTTTCTTTCTCTCTCTCTTTCTTTTCTTTCTTTTTTTCTTTTCTTTTCTTTCTCTCTCTTTCTTTCTTTCTTTCCTTTCTTTCCCTTCCTTCCTTGCTTCCTTCTTTCCTTCTTTCCTTCCTTCCTCCCTCCCTCCCTCCCCTGTCTCCCCTCCCTCCCTTCTTCCCTTCCTTCCTTCCTTCCTCCCTCCCTCCCTCCTGTCTCTCTTTCTCTCCTTCTCTTCTTTCTCTCTCTCTTTCTCTTTCTTTCTTTCTCTCTCTTTCCTTTCCTTCTTTCCTTCCTTCCTTCCTTCCTTCCTTCCTTCCTTCCTTCCTTCCTCTCTCTCTTTCTTTCTTTCTTTCTTTCTTTTTTCTTTCTTTCTCCTCACTCTGTCACCCAGGCTGGAGTGCAGCTGGAGTGCAGCTGGAGGGATCCCAGCTCACTGCAACCTCTGCCTTCCCAGTTCAAGCGATTCTCCTGCCTCAGGCTCCAGAGTAGCTGGGATTACAGGATTGTGCCACCACACCTGGCTAACTTTTTGTATTTTTTAGTAGAAACAGGTTTTCGCCATGTTGCCCAGGCTGGTCTCAAACTCCTGGGCTCAGGCAATCCACCGGCCATGGCCTCCCAAAGTGCTGGAATTACAGGTGTGAGCCACTGCGCCGGCCTGCGTTTGTTTCTTAAGGTGTGATCACTTTCCTTGTTGAATCTAGAGTATTAGCTAATATCTAGAATGTTAGCTTCTCATGAACAGGGATCATACTGTATCCTCCATGGCCAATGCTTTACACATAGTCATGCTCAAACACTTTTTGAAGAAAGCAATGAAACTTTTAAGAAAAATATTATTCTCTGAGAGGTATAGGCTTGCAGTTAGCTTTACAGAAACTTGAGGAGTCCGCTGAGTTATGTAAACCTGGAGTCACAGTGTGCCACTAGTACAGGTGTTGCCAGTTACTCTGGTGATACCATTTCAGACACTAAGCTTAGCCACAGGTGTGGTTTATTTTAAAATATACATATAACTTCTTTTGATACTAAAA
Organism: Homo sapiens; assembly: GCF_000001405.40. Taxonomy (NCBI): domain Eukaryota; kingdom Metazoa; phylum Chordata; class Mammalia; order Primates; family Hominidae; genus Homo; species Homo sapiens. The sequence continues at coordinate 165,480,993 of NC_000001.11, read as the reverse complement.
TGTAAAGCAGATAATCACATAAATTCATTTTTATAGACATAAATGCTTAGGTAAGATATACCACCACATTAACTAGATATGATTTTATCATGTTTATTTGTTGTGGCACATGTGCACCATGGAATACTATGCAGCCATAAAAAGGATGAGTGCACATCCTTTGCAGGGACATAGATGAAGCTGGAAACCATCACTCTCAGCAAACTAACACAGGAACAGAAAACCAAACATTGCATGTTCTCACTCATAAGTGGGAGTTGAACAATGAGGACACATGGACACAGGGAGGGGAAAAACACACACTGGGGCCTGTTGAGGGGTGAAGGGCTAGGGGAGGGACAGTATTAGGAGAAATACCTAATGTAGATGACGAGTTGATGGGTGCAGCAAACCACCATGGCACGTGTATACCTATGTAACAAACCTGCACGTTCTGCATATGTATCCCAGAACTTAGTATAATTAAAAAAAAATAAAATAAAATAAATTGTGACAAAAATAGATTGGTATATAATATAGTTACCTATTGACTCTCACTTTCATTTCTACAGAAAGAATAGGTTAATTCTGATATGTAATAAAAATCATCCATATGAACCTTAAAATATATATAAATATATTATATATTTAATATATAAAAATATATATTTATATATATATATTTTTTTCCTTCTTGTGGCTTCAAAGTTAGAAATACCCTCTTAGATACTTGCTCTGATATTAAAATCCCTGAAGTTTCACTGAAGTTAATGCCTTCAAGCTTTAAAGAGCAAGTTTAAGAACTTCAAGCTCTTAAACAGGTGGGGGCAGTGGGCTCTGACCCCATCCTAACCTTGCTGGCTCTCTTTCTCTCCTCTCTCTGCCATCAGAGGAAGAGGAAGGCAATGAGGAGATCAAATGGATCTCAGTTTTTCATCTCTGACCTTTCCTGCACTCCTTTCTGCTTAGCAGAAATAAAGATGGGGTACACATGTGAAACTTGTACTTATTCATTCAACAAATATTTAATATGAACCTACTGTGTGCCAGACATTTTGCCAGGTTCAGGCACTACAGAGATGAGAAAGTCACAATCCTAGCCTGCAAGGAGCTCATAGTCTACTGGGGAGTAGAAATGCAACTGAATCATTCTTATAGACTGAGATATTGGAAATATGTATAAAGGACTATGAGAGTACTGAGAAGGGGTTTGCCTCTTAGTCCAGGGTTTCTGTAGATCAGAGGTTCTCCAAATGAGGTCTCCAGACCAGCAGCATCACCTGGGAACATGTTAGAAATGCAAATTACTTGGCTCCAGCCTAGACCTATTGAATGCGAAGCTCTGAGGTTGGGCCCAGCAGTCCTCATTTTAACCAGCCCTCTGGGGATTCTGATGTTCACTCAAGTTTAAGAAACTCTGCCCAACCCTAAAGGATTTTTACAGTTGAAATCAAGTTAAAATGAACACTAGTAGAAGATTAAGGAGAATAAAGGCAAACAGAAATGGATAGACTGATAACAAGTTACAAATAAACAAGATGGGAAAGCTAGACTCAATCTTGTGCTGCTGAGTCAGAGTCAGAGGTATAAACTCATACTGATTTTAGTATATGTAGGCAGATAGATATAGGACATATAGATATGTGTATATGGGCTGGGCACGGTGGCTTATGCCTGTAATCCCAGGACTTTGGGAGGCCGAGGCAGGTGGATCATGAGGTCAGGAGATCGAGACCATCCTGGCCAACATGGTGAAACCTCATCTCTACTAAAAATACAAAAATTAGCCGGGTGTGGTGGCAGGTGCCTGTAGTCCCAGCTACTTGGGAGGCTGAGGCAGGAGAATCGCTTGAACCCGGGAGGTGGAAGTTGCAGTGAGCTGAGATTGTGCCACCGCACTCCAGCCTGGTGACAGAGCAAGACACCGTCTCAAAAAAAAAAAAAAAAAAAAAGATATGTGTATATGTAGGTTAGTACACATGAATATATTTCCTACCTCTGTCTGCTGAGAGGTCCTAAATGCAGTGATACCCCAGCAGCAATAAGCATGCCTAGAAGCCAGATTTTGGTTTCTAATTATTGTTCTCTGATAAAAGAAACTTAGGGTCCTTTGGAGAAATGGCAGATTCTAGGGGGAGCAGGAATACAAGATAAGCCTGGAGCATCTTATAGTTTTAGAACCCCTAAGGAAAGCAAAGAAGTTCTAAGGAAACAAAAAATTAAGGTACATCAAAAGGACACAGAAGCCAACCTGAAGGAGTTCCCAATGGCCAGAGCTGGAAGAATTAAAAAAAAAGAAATTTTAAATGTTATTTCAGTAGTTTTAGGGGTACAGGTGGTTTTTAGTTACATGGATAAGTTCTTTAGTGGTGATTTCTGAGATGTTAGTGCACTCATCATCCAAGCAATGTGTGCACTGTCTCTTACCCCCTCTCAACCTTCCCCCACAAGTCCCCCAAATCCATTATATCATTCTTAGGCCTTTGCATCCTCATAGCTTAGCTCCCAATTATAAGTGAGGACATACGAAATTTGGTTTTTCATTCTTGAGTTACTTCACTTAGAATAGTTGCTGCAACACATTACTTCATTCCTTTTTATGGCTGAGTAGTATTCCATGGTGTATACATACCACATTTTCTTTATTCATTCATTGGTTGATGGGTACTTAGGTTGGTTCCAGATCTTTGCAATTGTGAATTGTGCTGCTTTAAACATGCACATGCGTGTGTCTTTTTCACATAATGACTTACTTTCCTTTGGGTAGAAACCCAGTAGCAGGATTCCTTAATTGAATGGTAGTTCTACTTTTAGTTCTTTATGTAATCTTTTAGTTCTTTAAGGAATCTCCATACTGTGTTCTATAGTAGTTGTACTAATTTATATCTAGATTACACCTAATTACACCACCTAGAGCATGAAGAATTTAAGCAATAAAATAAATGATGATAGGCTTGTATTATAACAACAACAACTATATACATATATATATATATATATATATATATATATATATGTTATATATTCACTAGCCCATGCAGGCTTAAATAAGTGATTGAATAAATAAATAAATGAGGGAGGCAGGGACAATTATTTTTTACAGAAGAGTTTTCAATAGTATAGGTAGACCATTCCTCCTTCAGAAAGTGGAGCTTAAATCCTCTTCTCTTGAGTGCAGGCTGGACTTAGTGATTTATTTTCAAAGAGTAAAATATTGAAAGGGACAAATAGTAGCTTTATGGAGCACTCTGGCAGACATCATCTTAAACAAGCAATGGGATTAGCATCACTAGTGATGTCATACACCCTGGCTATGATGATGAGAAGCATCACACCTCTGTGGTATTATCTTTAAAAACTCATAACCTCAGTCTAAGCATGCAAATCCATCCAACAGACTCACATTGGGAGATATTCTACAAAATATCTTACCAGTACTCCTCAAAAGTATCAAGGTCATAAAAAAGAAAGACTGAAAGACCGTCCCAGACCAGCAGAAACTAAGGAAACAAAATGCAATATGGTACCCTAGGTGATTCCTGGAAGAGAAAAAGAACATTAGTGGGAAAACTTGTAAAATCCAAATAATGTTGGTAATGTAATAGTAGTATTATATCAATGCTAATTTCCAGTGTGATAAAGAAGCCATGGTTATATAAGATGCTAGCGTTAGGGGAAATTGAGTGAAGTATGTACAGGAACTTTCTGTACTATATTTGTAATTTTTTGTAAGTTAAAAATAATTCCAAAATAAAAATTTATTAAAAAATAAAGATAGCTTGGTGACGGCAAGATAGCTTGGTAAGGCCTAATATTACGTGCTGCCTTGATATCTAGTGCAACTGGAAAGGCTTCAAATGACCTAACTGCAAGTTCTCCTCTCTACTCCACTCCTGCAGCTAACATCTTCTAGTCAAACAACTCTCCTTTTCAAAGGGACCAGGCACAGTTTCTGCTTATCCCTGAGTAGCAGTGTTCAGTTTCCTGCCAGCCTGTGGAGTTTTTCAAACAAGCCAATCACCTCCTCCTGTGGGAACTGAGAAGCACCCCACCCTCTCGATACTACAAAGCCCCTGCTTGTTCCCTAGTGCAACTCCCATGTGGTCCTGTGGAGCATATGGTATCTTCCTCTTCTGGGCAGTGAGCATATGTGACTAATAAACTATCTATCTCATCTGTTCAGTGCCAGGTGTCATTTGTTCTGCCATCCCATGACCTAGGGTGGGGATTCCTTCCACACCAACAGGGTGAATGCAAGGTGATTAAAACAAGAAGCCTCTTCAGGATCTATATCCTAGGGAAAAAATTAAACAACAACAACAAAACAAGAAGCTTCAACTCTGACCCTGTATTCCAGATGTGTTACAGGGGCCTGTCTCCCCAGAGCCACTCTCCAGGTCAGAGCTTACCTCCCCTTGCTCAGGGTTAGGAGCTCTGGGCAGGAAAAGGACATCATGTTAAAAGCCAGAGATGAAGAGGGGAATATGGTAATGAGACAAAGGAAGAGAAGCCAAGGAAATAGAAAAAGGAGGAGATGACACACCTTGAAGGCTCCGGCCAGTGCTTAGGATATGCCAAAAAGCATTAGGGTGCTTTAGGCCAGTGCCACAAAGTGCCTGGCATGTAGTCAGTGCTCAATTAGTATTGGAGGAGTCTGAAATTTTTACTGCCATAAGGCTTGGAGCAGACTTCAGTGGAAAGGGACTGGATCCAAGCAGTACATCAAGAACTTGATCTAACCATGCAATGGGCACTGCATTGGGTGTTACAAGCTTGGAATGTTGTTCCCAACACACCATCTAGCTGGATGACCTTGGACAAATTCTTCAGTCTCTCTGAGTGTATATATTCTCAACCGTAAGTGAGGCTAATGTAACCCATGTGGTTCATACTTACCAAACTGGGTGAGACCCAAATATAATGTTCTATGTGAATGTGCAAAAAGTGTTAAATATCATAGCTTTAATAAACATATTAAACACACTGACTTATGGGGCAGAAAGATTATGAGAGAGTATCAGAATAAGGATAAAAGATGTGGCTTCTGTTCTCAAGAAAGGTGTAACCTATTGGGAAGGAGCACACACAGAGGTCACAACAGTTCCAGCAAAGTCAGAGGTTCCATGGAAGAGGCGTACACAGCATGCAGCAACAGGGAAGACTTGACCTGGGGATGGATAGAGATTCCACTGAGGAGGTATGACATGAATTGGACCTTGAAGCATGAGTAATTATAAAGTATTATGTGGGGTGACACCAGCAGGATTGGAATGAAAAGACTGGTTCAAATATTAGTCTCTATACTTACTGTTTCTGTGACACTGGGCAAGTTTGACTCTTTCTGTGTCTTAGTTGCCTCGTCTTCTAAAGGGGATAACAATATCTATAGTTGTGATGAGAATCAAATGGAAGATACAAGTTAAAGTGCCCCACAGGGTGCCTGGCCTGCAGTAGGTGCTCAGTTAGTGTTGGCTGAGTCTGAAGTTTTTATTGTCATAAGGCCTAGAGCAGGCATCCCTGGATGGGGGTTCAATCCAAGGAGCAGATTAAGAACTTAGTCCATCCTTGGAGATTTCCCAGACATCATTAGACTTGTTCTGAAATACTTCCCATCAGCCACAGAGCCTTCAGAGCTACCTTGGGGATAGAGAGTGGGCCAGGGAGTGAGGCCTGGACAGCTGGGTTCCCAGTGATTACAAAATGAGGTGGGGAAGTCAGCCTCCCTCATGTGCTGTCCACGCTGGGGACTGGGCAAAGGAGGCAGGCACTGGCTTTCTGACCTGGCAGTTATCGGCAAGCATATGGCAGCTGGCTTCAGTGGCTGCCACCTCAACAGGTGGTCCACTTAGCCATCACCTGCCATCTTAAGCTCAACACATCCAACCTGAACTCCTGATCTTCCACACCCACCTGCTCCGTCTAGCTTTCCCCATTCAGTGGACGGCATCTCCATTTTTCCAGGTGCTCAGGCCCAATTCCTCAGAGCTGACTTGGATCCTGTCTCCTTCTCCCTCTCTCCCTTCCCTCTCCCACAGCCCACCTTTCAGGAAATCCCACTGGCTCTCCTTTTATAATGTAGCCAGAACTGACCACTCCTCAGCACTGCATTGCTGCCCCTTGGTTCAGATACCATGGTCCCCACACCTGGAACACTGCAGCATCCTGCTGGCTGGTCTCTTTGCTTTTACCCTTGACCCTGCTTTACAGCCTGTTCACAAGAGGGCAGCCAACTGATCCTACTAAAACTTAGATCATTTCAGTCCTCTGTGTGAGATCCTGCACATGTCCCCATTTCACTCAGAGTAAAAGCTAAAGTCCTTACAATGTCCTACAGGATCCCCTGTGACCTCAGGACCCGATTTCTGTTCACTCTCTGACTTCATCTCCTGCAACTCTCCCCCTTGAGTCCTCTGTTCCAGCCACACTGGCCTCCTCCCTCTTCCTTAGGGCTTTTGCTCTGGCTGACTCTCTGCTTGGAATGCCTTTCCTCCAGATATCCATATGCCAACTCCCTCATTCCTTCAAATTTTTGCTCAAATGTCAACCTCTCAATGAAGCTCTTGACAATCCTATTTAAAATAGTAACCTGCACAGCTCCCCGCCTTCCCCCAGCACACTCCAGCTCCACTACCCTGTGCCTCTTTTCTCACGCAGCACTCATCATCTATGGACCTTTTAATGTACTTGGTCTTTGTTTTCTGTCTCACCTCACTAGAGCATAAGCCACATGAAGGCAGGGCACTTTGTCAGGCCTGTTCATGGATGTACTCTAAGTGCCTGGAGCACTTAGTAGTTGCAGCTAAATATTTGCTTGCTGTTTTTGTCCTTGGCCCCTCCATACTGCTGGATGGAGCAGGTCTACTGTACCTAGGAGTCAACGCGTAGTCTGGGTTAGCAGCCTGGCCTTCATGTAGGATCTCTGAGGTTCTAGGAGTGAACTGACTTGCCTAAATCCTCGAGCTGAAGTTGAAGGCTAGACCTAACAGGGACCTCAGGGGATCTGACTCCAAATGGGTCTTCTGCGTCTCTGAGCATCCCAGGTTAAGAGAGGATTGGAATGGGAGATTGGAGCAGGAAGGAAGGGCTCCTGGGCAGGTAGGGGCTTAGGGACCCCCGTTTGTTCTGAGTGGGGAATTTAGCACACCTGCAGGATGTGCCCAGGGTTAGCTGTCTCTTTTTGAAACTGCCACCTCCACCCCACTAGTTGCATGAGCCTCAGGAGGGCATCTCTGATGTTTCCGTAGCTGAGTGGGATGGGGAGGATTTTGGATGTTAGAGTTGAGCTTGCCAGTGAATGGACTCTGGACTTTGAACTGAGCCTCCAGGAGAGGGAGAGAACCATGGGCAGGAGGTTGGGAGCTCGGGGTCCCCCTCACTCCAGCTGCTAGGCCATTTAGTTTTCATCTGTTCAAAGGGAACAGTTAAGCCTGCACCGTCTCCCTTCTGGCGTTCTGAGGATCAAGTGAAATAATGTATATGAAAATGTTTTCAAAAGAATAAAGAGCTTTGCCAGGATAAACGATTGCTTTTATTCCAAGTGATAAGTCAAGGGTGAGATTTCTAACAAGTATTTGTGTGTGGGCTGTTTTTTTAAAATTCTGTTTTGTTTGTTCAAAAACAAAAAAACCTCATGATCCACCCGCCTCGGCCTCCCAAAATGCTGGGATTATAGGCATGAGCCACCATGCCCGGCCAGCTGGTCCTGCTCTATCAAGAAAGAGTGGAGTGTGATGTGTGGCTTCACAAATCACCCATCTCTCCACAGCTCAGTGTTCTCTCCCACTACTGTGGGGAAGGCCCTTGCCTTCCCAGTACTTAGATGTTCTCAGATGGGGATGTGCTGGGTGGCTGAGTGTCTGGCCATCAGCACAGCCCTTGCATACATGGGATGGGGCCGTGGTTTTGCAAAAGCCAGATCAGTGCTGCTTGGTTGTGAGGGTGAACCACTTGTCCCAGAGCTTCATCGGCACAACTGGGAGGTAGGGGGATGTTGGGCCAATTCCTTAGTTTGTTCAGGACCTGAATGGGGAGCAGTGGAACAAGAGGAGGAAAACGAATATTTGTAGGATTCTTTTCTGTGCCAGGAGCCATCATTCTTTCACCTCACAATAAACCTGCATCTCTCTAAGGTTTATCATCACTGATTTGAAAATTAGAACACTGAGACTCAGAGAGGTTAAATAACCTGTCCCAGGCTTATTAGTCACCAGCAGGAGTGGCACTAAAATGAAGATCTGTCTGGTTTCCAAATCTGTGCCCTTTTCATGGTACTGCATTCCCCTTTGCACAGATTGATGGACTGGGTTCCAGTCTCAGCTCCTTCCCTGACATGCATGACCTTAGGCAAGTCACTTTACTTCTCCCGTCCATTTCCTCAGCTATAAAATGCAATGATAACTTTCTCCCTCAGTGGGTGGTTGTGAGACTCCAGTGAAATAATATATGTGGAATGATCAGAAACATTGAGCTAGATGTTACATGCAAGCAAAGAATTACTATTATAATTTTGAAAGCATTGCTTTCATTCTGTGACTCAGGAACCTTAAGTAAGTCACTTCCTTGCCCAGAATCTGCTGGGTCCTCCCCATCTCTTATGATCTCACTGCCCCTCCTCCAGCTAGCCTTTCTCTGTGCTATTTTTATTTTTTGTTTTTTTTGGGATGGAGTCTCACTCTGTCGCCCAGGCTGGAGTACAATGGCGCGATCTCAGTTCACTGCAACCTCCACCTCCCTGATTCAAGCGATTCTCCCGCCTCAGCCTCCCAAGTAGCTGGGACTAGAGGTGCGTGCCACCACGCCTGGCTAATTTTTGTATTTTTAGTAGAGATGGGGTTTCACCATGTTGGTCAGGCTGGTCTCGAACTCCTGACCTTGTGATCCACCCACCTTGGCCACCCAGAGTGCTGGGATTGCAGGTATGAACGCAGGATTACTGCACCCAGCCTCTCTGTGCTCTTTTAAGTGGCATGTCCTTTACATGACATGTCCACTCTGCCACCTCTCTGCCAATCTGGATCTTTCCCCACCTTTAAAACTTAATGCACACTGGGTCTGCTTCCTTTAGGAAGCCCTATTCTCCAGGCCCACCTGGCTGTGCCACCAGCTGCAAGTCGAAGTGCTGTTCGGTTGTTTCAGAAGCAGGAACATGTCTTTTCAAGGAGGTTTTCAGCTCCTGCAGGGTTGAGATCATGGTTCTGTGCTCTTTGAATTTCTCACCATACTACATGCAGTACTTGAGACCTATGAGCTAAATATTCAGAAAATGTTGATGGATGGACTGATCCAGGGAACTGGATCAATTCCTCTACTTTCTCATGGTTGTACTGGGTCATGGAAAGGTGGGGCAGCTTTTCCAGTCCCTCTCTGTGGTCCTCAGCTGTATTCTGGAAGAGACAGCTTCTTGCCTGAACTCACAGAGTCCCCAGCTTGAGTCTGCACCCCCTCCTCTCTGCCTGGCCTGGCTCTGTCCTTGTGGCGCTGCCCTGCTCAGGGACTCTGACCTTCAGGATCTTCCTTGCCTTGTACCCCTTTCATACTCCATCTCTGAGCTCTTGCTTATGCCCTTGGCTTGTTTTTCAAGAACGCTATTGGTCAGCCATGGGCATGTAGTGGGTGCTCAGTACTTACATTTTACCAAGACTGGATGCTGATCTCAAAGGGTTAGCTGAAGTCTGCACACCCAGATTGCAAAAGCTTCCCAGATGCCTCTTTTTTTTTTTTTTTTTGAGACAGGGTCTCACTCTGACACTCAGGCTGGAGGACAGTGGTGTGATCTCTGCTCACTGCAACCTCTGCCTCCTGGGTTCAAGTGATTCTCCCACCTCAGCCTCCCAAGTGGCTGGGACTACAGGTGCATGCCACTATGTCCAGAAAGTTTTTGTATTTTTTTGGTAGAGACAGGGTGTTGTCTACCAAAACGGTAGAGGCCATGTTGGCCATGCTGGTCTCAAACTTCTGACTTCAAGTGATCCACCTGCCTGAGCCTCCCAAATGCTGGATTACAGGTGTGAGCCACCATGCCCGGCCCCCAGATGCTTTTTAGTATTCAGAATGCAAGCATAGATTCCCCAAGCAAGGGAAGGTAACAAAGAAAGCCTAGCTTTGGTATTGATCACATTGGCTTAAACCATGCCGCCGGGCACATGACCTCATCTCTGAGATCCTTGATTCCTTGACACATAAATTGTGGGTGACGATAACACAGACATTATAGGGCTGTATGAGCATGCCTTTAAATTCCACCCCAAATTGTGTCTTCTCCAGTCCCACTGTTCAGGCCTTAGTTTAAATGCTTTTTACTCAGAAAGCATCTGAGAAATTCCTTCTACCCCCAAGGAAGTCCCTTGTGTTGTCCTGTACCATAATGCCCTGTTATTTTCCTTCTTAGCACTTCTACAATCTATAATTACTATGTATGTCTACCTGTATATTTTGTTTTCCCATTAGAATGTCAGCTCCATGAGAGCAGGGAACACCTCAGTCTTAATCACCACTGTATCCTTACCTTGTAGAATGATGCCTGACACTTAGTCGGTGTTCAATAATTTTTGGTGACATTCCCTTCTCTTTCCTCAGTATATAGCACATTGTCAGCCTGGGTGTCAGGAAGATAAAGGGTCTCCTGTAAACCACTCAGACAGCTCCTGTGAGGACATGAAGGGTGGAGCGTGCACACGTCAAGAAGGAGCTTCTACAACATAAAAACCTTTTCTTCAGAAAGAGGAAGACAGGCAGTGGGGGTGGAGGGTGGAGACAAGTGCTGGTGACCTTTTCATCTGAAGCAGCAGAACAAATGCCGCTCATACCTACTGAGCTGGTTTGGGGGTCTCCTCTGCCTCCGCAGCTGGATGCCTGGAATCCCCAGGCCATGAGGATGAATCTCGGCTGTTTCCACCTGACAGGGAGAGGAGCTGCAGGGGCTGGGGCATTTCTGGAAGACTAGCCTGGTCTCGTCCTCCTTCCTGCCACCCAGCCCTTGCCTTCCCAGTACTTAGGTAGCACCAGGCCTTGCCACTCCTGGAGTCTTTCCAGGTTCAGCACACTGCCACGTGGCCACCAAAGAAGCTACTAGAGCTGCGACCTTTCTCACCCAGTATACTGCACAAGGGAGATGAACATGAGTTTGTGTGTGTGTGTGTGTGTGTGTGTGTGTGTGTGTGTGTACACGGGCGCACATGCAGGACTTTATTTTACACTTGAGAGAGGAAAAATGGGAAAGGACAGAAGAGAAGAGAGACGGGAAAGGCAAAAGCAGAGTGGAGGAGAATGGTGAGGTGACGAGTGTGGAGAGAGAAATGTTAGATGAAGGGACTTTTACAATTTAAATGCGGGAAAGGTTCAAGCTTATAGAGAAGAGCCCGTTGAGAGGGAGAGTTTGAAACTATGGCACAAGAGGAGGCTAATCACTAGAGCAGAGTCTAGGGTAACCAACTGTCCCAGTTTGCCCAGAACTAAGGGTTCTGTGATGTGGGGCATTCGGTGCAGAGGCCGACATGTGGGACTTCTCTGTGGCCAGGCATTTGCACAAGTGTGGCATTGGGGAGAATGGGGTTGGGGTAACTGAAGGGCCACCTTTCCACATATACCTCCTGATGTTTTCCAGGTGTGGAACCAAGAGTTGCTGGCCTCACTGGCACCTCACCCCCACCCCTGGGAAGGTAGCATTCTCCAGGGTCATAGTGTGGCTCTGTATGTGTCACTTGAGTCAGCTGGGCCTCATTTTCCTCATATGTAAAACAAGGACATTGGATTCAATAGGGTCTGAGACATTTTCCAGTCCCTGCTGAGCTTTTGCAAGTCAGTGGCATAAGTTGTGATGATTTTGCTGGCCCTGGCGGAGGTCTGTTAGTAGGAGAATGTCTCAGGAGCCTCCGGTGGAGAAATCTCCAGGGAGGACTGCTTCTGGCTGTCATTGGAGGCCCCCCTATTTTGAGGACCTGGCTTTGGAACAGCCGGACCTTACATGAATGTAAATAGATGAGTGCGTGGGTGAACACTAACGCAGCAGGATCGTCCTCCCTCAAGAAACACTGTTGTCCATGTAGGGGTCTAGGCTAGCCAGGCATGGGCCCAGCAGTGACAAGATATCAATCTGTGTGGGGCTGTGTGGTTTCATCAGCAGCCCCATGTGGCAGGGGCTACAAGAGATGACAGCAGGAAATGGGAGTGTGGGAGGAGGGGGCTGCTGAACTGATCAGATTTCTCAATTATTTCCTTACACTAACCAATTTGGGCTAAGTGAGCACCTGGGGCTCTTCAGTTTTGGGGGAGGAGATCCCAAGAGATGTGAAACTGGCCATCCTTCATTTTGGGCAGGTGGTGACTTGAGTGATTAATGTGCATATGAAAAACAGATATCATTTTATTTATTTTCCAAGCTAATGGAGCAGGTCATGCCAGTCACATTAGTTTTTAAAAAGAAACAAAACAAAAACAAATAATATGTATGGGTCTGTGGTGGTATTCATGTGTGTTGTATGATGGGGGCGGTGGCTGAAATCCCAAATCAATAAGGTAATTGAGTTACTTCCTCCAAGTGTTTAAGGCTATTACTTTAAGTGAACACAGGGCAGTTGACTGTGTTTGCTCGACTGTAATCAGCTTTGGACTCATTGGGCATATTGATCTCTTTCAGTGCTGCTTGGTGTTATTGAAATACCAGCAAAAGTCTTCCCCTCCTCCTCTCCTTTCTCCCCTCCTTCCTTCATTCTCCAGGCTTCCAAAAAGCAAAAATGCACTTCTTTCTATGAGCTAGGCTGTAAGTTTTCTGCTCCACATCATCATCTCTTGTTCTAAAAGCAAAATTCAATTTTCCAAGACTCTTTACGCTTCTACACACACACACACACACACACACGCGCACACATGACCTCTGTGCTCAACAATGTGCTTTTTAATATAGAAAAAAAGCAAAAACAACAGGTCCACTATAGTCCTGCAGTATCCTCCGGCAGGGAAGCCATTCCCAGTCCAGCAAGAGACATTGTCCTCATTGAGGCGGCTATCCAGCTCTGGGCGGCTCACAATCCCAACCTTTGTGGTGACCAAAGAATTGTGGCCTGTCCCCTTCCCTTCAGACTCCACCCTACTGGACCCCAAAGGTCACTGACAGTGATGTCACGGAAAAGCATGTGCTCAGAGAACCTTTCCTCAGAGGAAGCCCTGGAAACTATTGGCGGGTCGCTGAATGCTGGTGGAGTTATCCTCCCTTCCGCCCAACCCCCAGCCCTAAGCCCTGGAGAATGTCTTCAGCTTGGAGAGAGTGCACTGAGGGAAGGAGTCCTTTTGAACTTGAGTGGCCCAACTGGGAGATTCCACTGAGAGGGTGTGGGCAGTCCCCTTCTGCAGTGTCCATGTGTGCCCACCCAGGTGACAATGAGGACTACGCAAGCTGGGCGCTGATCCCCTCTCCAGGCTTTCATCTACTTTAACCCTCTTTTGCACAGCTGGATTTTGCTCCACTTTTTTGCGTTCATTTGCTTTATCCAACCCTCTTTCCCTCCTCCCTTCAGCATGAGCAGTACCTACATATGCACATGTGTGTGTGTGTGCGCACATGAATACACCCCCCAGGGTTCCCCATTAGCCTAGCTCTCTATACGTGTTAGCCCTATCTCAACTCCATGCCAGAAAAATCCAAGCAAAGCCTTGCTGGAGCAGCATCGGCAGTGCAATTAGCTAGAGCCTACATATGTCCCTTGCCTGTCAAAGATAGCTTCTACCTAAAGGCTTAGGGGGCATGGAACTCTTGGGGTATTGTAGAGATGATCTTAAAGAAAACAAAATTTACATTAAAATTGCATTGACTGAAGACTTCCTATGTACCAGGACCTGTCCTAGGTATTTCATATATATTTCCAACAATAGTCTCAACTACTCCAGGAAGGAGGTGTCACTACTGCATTTTAGTGCTAAAGAAGACGAAGCACAGCAGTGAGGCCAAATGCATATGAACAGGTTTGAAACCAGGCCCTTTAACTCCAGATCTAAGACTCTCTATACTACCTTGCAGTTCAGAAACTGCAATAGGTAACTAGGATCATTTACATTTTCTAGAAGGGGAAGTGTGTGCAAATGTGTGTGTATGTATATGGGGGTGGGGTAGACAGTTTAAGGAATTTGGAGCCCAGGTAATGGGTGAAACAGCAATATTGTTATGTTTTCCTTTAGTGCCTTCCTCTCTGATACATGTCTATTCTTCTGGGGATCAGGGTCTTTCAGCTGAACTCTGCCCAAGGCTCCACAGTGGCTCCTACCACCCCACTATTCTACTGCCACCAGAGAAAAGATTTGGCTTCCTCTCTGACCCCTCACTCCTTTCCACCCTCTCTTCTGCTGGCTCCTCTCTGCTTCCCTCCCCACTCCACTGTGCATTACTTACTGTGCCTCAAACATCCATGTTCTTTAAGACTCAATCCTTTGTATTGGCTGTACCCTTTGCCTGCCATATCTCCTCCTTGCCACCCTTTTTGGTGACCTCCTACTATCTTTTGAATCTCAACTTTCGACACTTTCTCTTAACCCCCATCCCCCTTGTGTCCCCATGACACTTTGCATATCCATTTATGCATTCCAAGTCTGATGATCAGAGCTGTGTTTGAGAAAGTTCATTGTATTGGTAGGTAGAGGTTGTTAGAGAAGAGGCTAAAGGCTGGGAGAACACTAAGAGTTTGTTGCACTCATTTCAGGGAAAGATGAATTAAAGCAGGGGATGCAAAGAAGGGGCCTGCCTGGGATGGGGAGAGTTCCTGGAGCTTGAGAGTACCAGGCATGGAGCTGATTTTGATTCTAGGGTCAGATTAAGAGAGGCTACCACCTGCCCAAAGTGGGTTTCGGGGAAGTTTTGCCTCACTGCAGGAGACTTTTCTAGAAGACTTTTAGAAGACCCTTTCAACCCTTTAACCGATTTTGTTATAGCTGTGGCATTCTTCGGGTTGCTCAGAAGGCAGAAGCTCTAAAAATAGAAAGCATTATTATTACCGATTAAATTTCTTTCCACCTACGGAATTTTCTGAAAGTAACAAGAAGAGGAAGCCTGAGTCTCTGCTTAAGTGTTCGGGGAGCAGAGATGTATTGAGAGGTGATGAAAGAAGAAGGAGGGTGTGGAGAAAGGGAGGCTAGGCAGGTAAGATGGGGTTAGGGTAAGAAAACACTGATTGAACCCACTGATGAGTAAAGGGACCTTTCAGCAGGCACTGACTTTTCAAGAGAGATGCACTGCATATTAAAACAATAGAGTCCCCCTGAGGCCCACCGTCTCAGCTGTAGCAGGTCCAGGCTGCCAGATGGAATGGGGTTTGTCCCTGTCTCTGCATGGGTGCAATGCGGGAATGCTCTCCCTAACTCTGACAAGTGTGCAGCCTCCAATGCCTTCACTCTCTGCTTCCTGAAGCATTTCATAAAAACCCATCTGCAAGGCTGCCTACAGCCTTGCAGTTTCTGAGGAGAGCACCCATAGTGACTAAGGACGTATAAGATCACATTAAGAGATGATTCAGAAAATATCCAATTTTACATATGTACTTATTAATTTTTTTGAAAAAGAGGAGCCTTCAAATTGATGGCATCAGGTCCTACAAACTTGGATTTAACCTTGTGGCTCTATTAGAATATTTTAGAATGATTTTAATGCCCCTTTCTTTTCTTTTCTTTTTTTAAAGATAGAGTCTCGCTCTGTCGCCCAGGCTGGTGTGGAGTGTGGCGTGATCTTGGCTCACTGCAACTTCCACCCGCTGGGTTCCAGTGATTCTCCTGTCTCAGCCTCCCAAGTAACTGGGATTACAGGCGCCTGCCACCATACCTGGCTAATTTTTGTATTTTTAGTAGAGACAGGGTTTCACCATGTTAGTCAGGTTGGTCTCGACCTCCTGAACTCAGGTGATTCACCCACCTTGGCCTCCCAAAATGCTGGGATTACAGACATGAGCCACCACATCTGGCCTAATGCCTCTTTCACATGACACAAAAAAGTCCAAGTTACTTTCCCTGTGTTTCCTGTATCTTCTCTTCTTCCATACAGCTTAGTTCATTGTCCTGGGTGCCCTCCCCAGTCATCCTTGCAGAAGTGTTTTCAACAGCATGAAATATATCAGGACACAGGCTTGAAACTGGGTTCTGCTAAGAACTGACTTGGGCTACTTGCTTCTAAAATTAAATTATTCCAAATTGCTATTGTTCATAGGTAAAAAAAAAATGGTTGAATAACAGCATTTTCACATGGTTCAACATAATAATTCCTCTGTTTTCTCTTCTACAAAATGGAGATAATAAAGCCTGTCTCACCTGATGGTGGTGAGGATGGAATGAGATAATCTATGTAAAGTGTTTTGCACACTTCCTGGCATTTGGTCAATGCTCAATAAATGTTAGCATTTATTAGTAGTATTAGTATTAATAGTTGTTGTTCCCAAAAGTGGCATTCTCTTTTCCCAAGCTAAAATCAAGTTGTCTCTCTAATAGTTAAGGAGGGGAAAAGCTACGGGGAATCATCACTGAACAGAATTGCCAACACATTCATTGTTGTCCTTAGGCTCCTCCTTAAGCTGCAATTTGTATTCTTTATAATGGTAATAATAGCTAACACTCATCTTATGCTTTGTTCTACATGCTTAACACAAATGAGCTCATTTAAGCCACATCAGACCCCTCAAGGATGGGTATAATTATTTTCCTCACTTGCCTGAGGTCACATAGCTAGTAAGTGACAGTCCAGATAAGGCCGAGTGTTGCAAAGTCTATAATTTTGACCACTAAGTCATATGACCTTCACCCAGCTCTCCTTGCTGCAGAGTCTCTAGTTTAGACCACTTAAAATGATTGGCTCCTCTTGAGCCTGTGGCCAACTACAGCCCTTTAGGCCTATGCTCTGTAACACCTGGAGGGGTGCTCACGGGAGGGAGCTCCTGGAGGTTGCTCCTTACTCTACGGCTTTTCTGTTCAAACAACCTTTCCCTCAGAGAGCTCTGTAGCTGAGTCCCTTGGCCCAGAACTTCTGTTTATTTACATTTGCATATTCTTCACTCACTATTTAGTTAATTAGAGTAATATATGCACAGAGACATAAGTACCTGAGCCATATAGAACAATATAAAACAAGAGTTAAAATGTCGCTTTCCCCCCGTCACCTGTCTCTAGGTTTAACCTTTTCTGTTTCTAGCTCTTCTGGTGGTTATGTCCAAACTTTAATTGCCTAAATGCTTATATTGCTTTTTCTTGGTTTTTCGACTTTAAACAGTGTTTATTGATTTTTTTACTGTAGAGGAGGAAGAATTTATAACTTGTTTATAGTAGCCTCCTAATTTTCCTTTTGCTTTATTTTTGTTGCCTATGTGATTTTAAATAATATATTTAATTTATATTTTGAAAGACTATCTTTCTCGATATCTCAACTTCAGACAGTATTTCCTAATTCTGCACTATGAAATAAGAAATTCACCCTTTCTCCACAACCTGTTAGCTGTTCTGTCACTTTTACATTGTTTAGGTTGAAAATATTTAAATTCTGTTCTGTAATTACCATTAAGTCTTTGTGTTTTGTTTATATGTTGATTTTATAAGTTGGAAATCAATCAGTATTTACATTATGATTATGTAATTAGTATTCTCTTCAGAACCAAGTAGTGCAATTAGACACAGAGAGAGGATGAATTCTATGTTGTTAAATCTCTTTTATTCGAGAGGGGGATGCTCTCAGAATCAATGTCAGATGTGTTCTGTTTTCATACATTCTACTCATGCTCAGAATTCTGTTATATTTCCATTTTTGTATATTTAGACCATGATTCCATGATTTTCTTTTTAGCTCTTTGTTAATTTTCCTGGTATTCTTAACTGTTTTTCTTTCTTCTTGCTTACAAAATAATGTTATTATTTCACCTTATCATTGAGGTCATCTAGCTTCTTATTCCAGTTACTTGCTATAGGAAATTTTCTTGACTCTTGAAGACATTTTTCTCAAACAGCTCTGTTCTCTTTTCTAATTTTCTTGGTTACTTTCTAGGCGGCCCTCCAGAGAATTGCTACTATAGGATATCAATTCATTTCCCTCTGGTTTACTTCCACTTTTTTTGGATCCCAAGTTCTCCTCTTAGATGTCTGTTTCGCTTGGTTAGAGTATGCTTTCAAATGATCTTTACACAAGGGTGCATTAGAGGTTAACTTTCTGGGTCTTTGCATTTCTATAAACTCATCTACTCCCATCTCCTTAATTGGTTTGGCTAGAATTCTAGATTTAAGATGATTTTTTCTTTGATCATTGACTTCTAGCATATAGTTTTAGTAATGATGGTCTGATACTTGTTGCTTTGTAGGTGATGAACTTAATTTTTTCCTCTCTTAGAAACTTTTCGGATATTTTTTATCCTTGGTGTTTCTAAACTTTACCAGGGGATATATTTAAATGTGGACCCAGTTCGTAATTTTTTTTTTGTAAGCTCTAGGCATTTGCTTGTTCTTCTTTCTTTTTTAAATTATTTTCTCCCTTCCATTTACTCTGCACTCATTTTCTGGAACTCTCATTGAATGGATAGTTCATCTACGGCATTGATTCTCTATGTTGCTTAACTTTTCTCTAATATTTTCCGTCCCTATGTCCTTTTAATCTGTGGGTCTGGAGGATTTTCTTGAATTTGTCGTCTAGTTGTTCTATTGATCTTTTTCTTTAGCAACTCCATCTTTAATGTGCAATAACTCTGGTTTGCTCTTTGAATGTTTTATTTTTACAGCACCAATTTTTGTTTTATGGATGTAATATTTCTTTGAATCTCTGAGCACACTAGTTAGAAATATTTTAAAAGTTCACTTCTATTTGGTTTCCCCTGTGGTCAGTGTTTTATTTGTTAATCTACATTTATTTGTGATGGTGATTTTTCTCAAATATCTAGTGATCCTTAGAAGTCTATTTATATTTTTTGAATGAAAGAGTAAGTTGATTAATTTCTGAAGCCAGCACAAATTTCCTTTATGGGTATATAGTCCTGTTTTCTTACGAGACTTCTTTACTAAATAGAAGACAATTAAGGTCACAAAGTTTCTGCCCTAATGCTATTTATAGTATTAGGAGTACACACAACAAGATATGTTATGTTATATATATAACAGAATCAGTAAATATAAAACTCTGATAAAATTACAAAGAGAAATAACAAGGCTTTGTGAGGGAGTATAGCAGACTTGGGATAACTTTTCTGAGGAGGTGACATTTATACTGAGGTTTAAGGTGGCTTGGAGTTGCCCGGAAGAGTGGGTGTAAGAGCCTTCTAATCAGAGAGCATAGCATGTTCAAAGGCTCTAGAATAGGAGAGAGGATGGTGTGTTCTAGGCACTGAAAGGAGGCTTGTGTGGCTATGATGCAGTGATCAGGGCAAGAGTATATGAGGTTAGAGTTGAGAAAAAATAGCCAGGGGCTGGGTCATGGGAACCTCGAAGATTAAGTTACAGGAAGAGAATTTATTTCTCAGTGCAATGATAAATCATTAAAGGACTTTAAGCATGGGAGTAATATGATCAAATTTGTGATTTATAAATACCGTTTTGGTTATTTTGTGGCTAATGGAATGGAGGTCTTAGCAGCAGAAACAGGGAAAGAAGTTAGGAAGTTTTTACAGAAGTCTAGGCAAAAGAAGATGATAGGATAAAGTGAATACATCAGAGATAGAGAAAAGTCACAGCATCAAATGAGAAATAAGGAGTTAGGGGGAAGTGGATTCATGAATGACTCTTAGATTTCCGGCCTGAGTAACCTGGTTGGGTCGAGATACCATCTGGGAATAGCAGACCCTGGAAAAACCAGGTTTGGAGGGAACATCGTGAGTTTAGTTGGGTAAGGTTAGGTGTGAGAAGATTATGAGATATCCAAGTGTGAATGTCTAGTGGGCCCCTTGACACTTGGATCTGAAGAGACTTGTGCCAGGAAGGCCAAGTGAGCCTGCTTCAGGAAAGGAAGGGAATAGTCAGTTGTGTTGAGTGATGTCACGCTTGCAAATAAACATAGATAAGATTTATTCAAGTTTGAAGCAAAGGGATTTTTTTATAACCTTGGAAAGAGTGGTCCTATTAGAGTGAAGGATGTAGAGGCCAGGCTGTGTGGGTTGAGAAGGAAGTAGAAGGTGGGCATGAGGGTTGCTTAAACAACCCCTTCAAGGGTAGCTGGGAAGGGGAAGAGAGGGCAGCTATGAAAGAACAGTGTCACATAACACAGATTTCCATATCAAAATTATTCATTAGGCTGTGCACTCCGGAGAGCAGGAACCATTTCTTCAACTTCTTTCATCCTCTGGACCAGCACAGTACCTGGCAAATGGTAGTTCATTAAACCATATTTATAGAACCTATCGGAAAATACAAATCCTTAACAAAAAGGACCATTCTACTGCTCCACAGCATGTAGAGCTGGCTCAATGCTTACCACCCCCTGCTGTTGTTAAGATTGATGACAGGTCCAGATAACTGCAGACTGTTGACAGCCATGGCTTGTGTAAGTTATCCCTATCAGCCTGACCCCTTGGGGGTTAAGCTGCCGAAGATTCTGCTTGGGAAAAATCAAAAGGATCCAGTGGATGTCTTGGTTAACTCCACGGACTGGTTTTAGGGTTGAACTGTCCTCTCAAAATAAGAATAGCTGTAGACCTTCCTTATATTTATTGAGCACCTACTATGTATTGATCATGGTGTCATGTATTTTTGTACGTTTTTCAATCTGATTTTCATAGCTATCATCCATATTTCATAGATGAGAGCATGAAAGCTCAGAGAGGATAAGTATATTTCTGATATGGTTTGGCTATGTCCCTACCCAGATCTCATCTTGAATTGTAATTCCTGGTGGAAGGTAATTGAACCCTAGGGGTGGGTCTTTCCTGTGCTGTTCTCGTGATAGTGAATAAGTCTTGTGAGATCTGATGGCTTTAAAAATGGGAGTTTCCCTGCACAGGCCCTCTCTTTGCCTGCTGCCATCCATCTAAGATGTGACTTGCTCCTCCTTGCCTTCCACCATGATTGTGAGGCCTTCCTAGCCACTTGGAACTGTAAGTCCATTAAACCTCTTTATTTTGTAAATTGCCCAGTCTCAGGTATGTCTTTATCAGCAGCATGAAAATGGACTAATACAATTTCCTATGTGTTGTAAATAGCTGAGTCAGGATTTGAACCCAGGTCTTCTAATTTCACTGGGCATACACTTTATAAAGGTCAGAAAATTAGCAGGATAGAGGAGGACCAAGACAGGCCGTAATAATCCAAAAATATTGATGGTATGTCTTTTCGGTGACTTCTGAGGGACTTGAAAAGCAGGTAATTAAATGATCAGGGGTGGGAGGGAGTATAGAAGAGAGGAGGAGGAGGAGGGGCAACTGAAGAGTTTGAGTCATTGATGGGATGAGATGTCTCATGTAATTCAGGTGAGTGGGCCTCTGAGGGGCTGTATCCAGGGATGCTCATAAAATGTTGGTTTTCTGGTCCAGGCTTTTTTATTTTTAATGCATTTTGTTGTGTATATTTAAGGCACAGAACACGATGTTATAGGATACATAGAGATAGTAAAATGTTTCTATAGTAAAACAAATTACTATATTCATCATCTCACATAGTAACCCATTTTTTTGTGGCCAGATCAGCTAAAATCTACTTATTTAGCATGAGTCCTATATGCAGTACAATTTTATTACCTACAGTCCTCATGTTGCACACTAGATCTCTAGGTGTGTCATCCTATATATCTGTTGCATCTCCCCCATCTGCCCTACTTGCACCCCACCTCTGGTAACCACTGTTTTGTTATCTCTGTATATGTGAATTTTTTTTTTAGATTCCACATATAAGTGAGGTCATGTAATATTTTTCTTTCTCTGTCTGGCTTATTTCACTTAGCATAATGTCTTCCAGAGGCATTCATGTTGTGGCAAAAGGCAAGAGCTCATTCTTTTTTAGGGATGAATAGTATTCCATTCTATATATGTACTAGAGTTTTTTATCCATTTTTCTATCAAAGGACACTTAAGTTGTTTCCATATCTTGGCTATTGTGAATATGTTATTGTGAATATGGCTTGGCTTCAGTGAACATGAGGGTGCAGACCTCTTTATGAGGCAATGATTTCATTTCCTTTGGGTATATTTCTGGAAGAGGAATTGTTAGGCCACGTGGTAGTTCTATTTTTAATTTCTTTAGAAAGTTCCATAATGTTTTTCATAATGGCTGTACCAATCTACATTCCCACGAGTAGTACACAGAAATTCCCTTTCTCCACACCCTTGCTAACATTTGTTGTCTTTGGACTTTTTGATAATATTTGGCTTCAATCTCATGGCTTTTTCAGGGAGATGAGGATTCCAGGCTATTTTTGTTTGTTTGTTTGATTATTTGTCAGCTGCTCACTATATGAAATAGAATGTATGGAGGAAATGGGCTGTGACTTGTGATATACCAATGGCAAAAATAAACAAGTCAAAAGATTAAAGAACATTTTTGTTTAAGATTTTAAAATATTTTGATTATTTTTCTCATTGTAAATGTAATACATGGTCATAGAGAATTTGTTAAAATATTGAATACTGTAAAATAAAATAAAAATCACTTCAAGATTGTGTGGTCTAAAGTTCAACATTGTTCAAATTCTGTTATATTTCTTTCCAGACTAAAGAATGTTTTTGAAAAATCTAAAGCTACTTGAAACTTAGATAAAATATTGAAAGGAATGATGGGCAGTTCTCTTTTTTATCTGCAGGCACATTTGATCTTACACTAATGAAGGAAAAGAAGAGTCTAGTTTTTCTTTAAAAATTCATAGAAAGAGGATATGTATAGCCACCTAAGGCATTACCTTCCTACGGACCCTACAGCCTGGAAGCCAGGAAACTCTTTCAGTTTCCTAATCTAAATCACTCTTCTTTTTTTATACCCACCTCCTTTAGTCCTGGCAGCAGTAGAAACACCTATGAAATAAACACACAAAATAGTCACACTCAACTTGCCTTTGCGGCAATTAATATTTACCAAAAGAGCTTAAGCCAAAATATAAAACCAAGAAGGAACTAAACTGTCTTCATTACTGTGATTGGCTCAGGACCTCAGTTATAAGTGAGGAAATAGCAGGAGGTAAAAACCAAAGCAAAGGTTAACTAGAAGACAGTTAGTGACCACATGAGGAGGAAGCTCTTTTAATAACAGAATCATAATAAAGTGTCTGTGAACAGATATGCTTCTCTTTAAAAAAAAAACCCAAAGCTCTCATAGCTGGCTGGTGGCAAGCTGGGTCCAGGACCCAAGCTATCAGACTCTGTGGCAGAAACTAATGTGCATAAGTGCCCAGTCCAGTGTCTGAAACATAGAAGGACTCATTAGGCGTGACATTTTTTTCCTTTGCCCCATCTAATGTGCTTTTCATTGCACCAACACCCTTCTAAGCTGTGCAGCATGTCCTCAGATGGACCAGTAGTATTTAATAAGGTTATGAAGTTTCATGGCATGGACATTGGCATTGGCATTGACATCTTCACAGTGCACAAATTTTCTGGTTCTCCACGTTGGTAGGACTTATGGAAAACATCTTGGGTCACAAGCCTGTTTCAAACAGTTATGAGAGAACTTGTTAAAATAATCCATTGGTGAATACAAAAAACTTGGGTTTCTAATTTTTTTTTTTGATCACAACCTGGTTTTATCCAGATTTTACATGTGCTTATGTGTTTAAAAAGCCATGGGGGCTCTCAGTTTAAGTGCATGGGGTTCTAAAATTGCAGTAGCACCCAAAAATCTGGAAATGTTCAAGAAACCCCGCAGATAGCAGGGCCCAGACAGGAGAGGCCACTCTGAGAGACAGGAACCAACAATATTGTTTGTTCATTCCCGCTGGTGCTCACTCTATCTATCCACATTTGCGTTTTCCTCCACTCCCATCCTGTGTGCATCCCCACCCCCTTTTCCCATCTGCAGGCTCCCTATTCTTATCAAAAGCTGCTCCTCTTCTCCAGATCATGTAATGCCCGTTACCATAGCACCCGGGTACTTCACATTATTAAGACAATCTCTTTATTAGTAAGGCGGCTCCTCCCAGGAAGCCAGGGGCCTTGGAGCCCATTTGACAAGATGATGAACCTGTGTCTTGGAGGCTTAGAGATTTATCAGGGGGTCAGGACAGGCAGATTTAGAGAGCTTGGACCTCATGCTGCACTCCTGGCCCACACCTCACTGCTTAGAGAGGGACTGAGACTCCTCACAGCCATATTTCACTCCGTTGCCTTTTCCTTTTCATCATGCACCCACAATAATTATACATGTTATTACACTTCATGTTTTACAAAAGGCTTTCAGATACACCCCTTCTTTCAATCCTCACAATTTCCCTGTTAACTAAAAATTTTATGCTCATTTTAAAGCCTGAAGAAACTGGAAACTGACATTTAGAGGGCCCTAACTACTCAAGATCATATAGACACTCAGGAGCAAAGATGGACCCAAAACCAGACCCTGCACTATCTCTACAACCACTTCTCTAATCCTAGACAAGCAGACAGATGGACAGATAGATAGGCAGACAGATAGACAGATAAAGAACCCTATACTTTTTGCATAAAGAGTGCTTAGTAATTATCTGTTGATTTATTGGACTAAATGTGTTTTCTTTTGAATCAAATGTGATGCCACTGACTCACCATCACATGCCTTAGATTACTTGCCCATTAGAGGAACAGGTTTAACAACTATTTGTTTGAGTACCTACTATGGACAAGGCACTGTTGAAAGTGTTGGGGGAATACAAAGGGCGTCCTATATCAGTTATATTCTTAAAGACAGTGAAGAGTGAATGAGACATACACTGTGCACACAAAGCTATAAGCAGAGTGTGATAAATGCCATTCATTTATTCACCAAATATTTATTGCCATCAACTATTAATACATTCCAGGCACTGGGAATTCAATGATGAATAAAAGAGGTATGGCCTTGTCCCCATGGAGCTTCCTATTGTGGAGGAAGGCAGGTGTTAAACTACTGGTTAGACAGTTATTTAATTATAATTGTGATATGTGCTGGAGAGGAAGAATGCATGCACAGTAAGAAACTTGTGTGGAAACATAGGTGCCAACTTTGGCCAGGATTGGGGGATGTGGGGCACACTTGGGAAAGGTTCCTACAGAGGAGACTTTGATCCAGATTGGTGGAAAGACATGCCTGGCCCCCAAGAAGGGCACTGGGCTCCCTGTCTCATTACAATTATGCCAAGCCCTTGGTGTGGAGGCTAAACATCAGCTAAAATGCAAAGGCAAAAGGCATGAGGAATGAGTTTTTAGTAGCAGCAGGTTAAGTGATAGCAGTCTGTGAGTATGCTTCACATTGAGAAAGATTCAAAGATTACACAGTTTAGTAGCTAGTGCAGATCAGAAATAGAGGTACATGATGCTGGGGGCTGGGGGCTGGGGATGAGAGCTCAAAAGCAGAGAGAGAGAGAGAGAGAGACAGAGAAAGACATGCACAGGGACACACAGAGAGATGGAAAGCAAGATAGAAGGAGACAGCGACTACCTAGTTAGGAAGGATTAGGGAGAGGAGCATTTAGGACGCCCAGAGAAGGATGAGATGGGATTCATCTAATAGGGTGGGTAGTGGGTAAGATGCTATTCCAGGACGGGAAAGCAGTTTGAGCAAAACCTGGGAACAAGGAATGTGCAAAGTGTGTATGGGAGAGTACATGTGCACTTTTCTAGACACTGAAATGTGCTCAGTCAAGTGAGGGCCAAAGGGCATGGAGAAATGAGATGAAACCCAGGGTAGATATCTCTCTGGGCAAAGGAGAAGCCATTAAAAGTCTTTGGCTTAAGAGCCCAGCATGGTGGCATGTGCCTGTACCTCAGCTACCCCAGAGGCTGAGGTGGAGTAGTTGGGCTACAGGCACATGCCACTGTATGTAGATTGCAAGAGCCTGGGAGTGCGAGGCTGTGGTGAGCTATGATCACACCACTGCAATCCAGCCTGGGTGATAGAGCAAGACCCCATTTCTTAAAAAGGATTAAAAAAAAAAAAAAAGGCCTTCGGTCCTAGGAGTCCCATCAGAGCTGTGCATTAGGAAGATTAATCTGTCAGAAGTGCATAGGATGGGATGGGTGGGAGAGGTAGGGAGGAAGGGTGGCAGCCCTCCACCTCCCTCACAGCGTCTTCCTGGTTTACCACAGACAAATCGGTCAATAAATCGAAGTTTTAAAACAGTCCTCTGCCCACTCTTTCACAGGAAATGGGTGATTCATTTTTAGCGCTGATCATTACTGCTTTTCTTAATTACCAGGCAGGACTGATCCCTCACTGAAGTATGGAGAGGGCACATCCCTGTCCCTCAAACAGTCAGGAAGCCATGGCTGTTCAAGAACTACTTATTGAATTTCTTCCCTTTTTGCTTTTGCTTTTGGTGGCCTGATGTCTTTGGAAGCTCTCTTCATCTGCCAGGCTGTCAAGGAGAAGTCTCCTCCGTCACCATTGCAGTCTCCATTTCTGCCTTCACACCCTTTCAGTCTTGGCTGGCTGAGGCCTGCCAATGATCTGGACCACAGGTGTCTGTGCAGGACCAAGTGGCCTCCTGTGGAGGGGAGAGGGGGTGCAACATCAGCCTCACACATAGCCTTTGATTTGGCGTCAGAAGGGCTCTGGCCCCTAAATGTCTGTATCCCAGTCTGCTGATGTGTCTAAAATTCCACCACAAAAGTTGCTGATGTTTGGGCCATTTCAGAAATAGCGTAGCATCCTTAACAGCTGCTTGTGGGTGAGGTCACAGACAGCCAGAAAAGCCTTCCTCTCTGCCAAGGAATTGTTTCTAATATTGACTCCACTACTAATAACTGTGACTTAGGAAATTGGACTAAAATGGCATAATATTGACTCTTCAAAGTAACCAGAAGGCATCAACAAATAATCCCTGATGCTGTCATGTGGCATACCAAGTTCACACCTGACTTTCTGCAGATACCATTCTCTAAGGCCGTGATTCTCACATCATGCTCATGGGTGGGAATCATCTGTGGAGCTTGTCAAATGGACATATGTCTAGGCACAATCAAGCCCCAGATTCTGATTCAGAGGGTGGGAGCAGGCCCCTTAAGTCTGTGTGTTTAGCCACCTTCCAGGTGAGTCTGATGTAGATGGTGCCAGGAGACTTGGAGCCACCCTGCTGCAGGTGGAATGTCTCAGACCCCATCTTCCTCTACCTCCCATGGATGCTACTCCATGGTTGATACCAGCCAAACTGGGTCTAGTCCTTCTTCAAAGGCTAATATAATACACTAAATACAGAGGTTTCTCAAACTCTGATATTGCTACACATTCTGACTATGTCCTTCTGTACCTGCACCCCCCACCAAACTTTTCCCCAATCAACTATTTCTCTACCTACAGCTATGTCTATTCATTTTCACTACTGGACAGAGTTATCCAAATGCTGGTGGTTAGTGTGGTTTTCTCTCAATTCCTTCCAAAACTAAATGCCTTCTGGCCTTTTGGTATTAGCTGCCTGGAAATAGGGATGGTTACAGAAGGGATTATGCAGTGTTTGGCTTTCAGCAGTAAGAAAACTATGTCTCTATTGAACACCTACTCAAAAGGCCTTCCCTGCTATAGAGGAAATCACTATGGCAAGATAAATTCTCATGTCTTAATATCCAATATCATTTCTGATTGTAGCCTTCTTGAATTCTGCTTTAACAATATTTTATACCCATTTATGAATGGGCTACAAAAGCATATTATAAATTATCAGGTGTTATACATGTAGACAATTTCATTATTTAGTTATGTAATTGCAAGACCTTCTTATGATGCAAATGCCTGAGAACAGAACAAGGTTGGTTTTGCCTAAGGCCTACCTTGTGACATCTACATGCTTTGTTCAGTGGGTCTTTGGAGGGCATCACATAGTGCTTTTCCTGCCATACAAAACCCATTCTCAGGAGCTCTTAAATGAAAACCAAGCCAAATAATAGACATTTGCCCTTATGTAAATATAGCTCTACAAGTGGTGGGGGCCTTTGAGTTGTGCTGAGGTTAATGGTGAGGCTCCTGACGTCCCTGTCTGCCCCACCCTGCTCAGCTGCCAGCAATGATAATCTGCCTCCTGCAGTCACTGGGTGGTATATTTAGAGCCTCTCCCCAAGAGTAAGTGGGATCTGAAAATAGACTGCTTTGCCTGTGTGTGATTGGGTTGCAGCCTCCAAATCTACACCTGAATACATGAATACATGTAGCCAGTAGCCATTACACAGTGGTTCTTAATACATGTCCGTTCAACAAAATCCAAGTGGCAATGACTTGGTCTCAGAGGCTGGGCTGTATTTTTAAATTGCCTCATCTCTCTCTCAGGGACTTGAACAGATTTTCCTGAGCTCTAATGCTGACATCTACTTCTTTGGCTGGGGTTCCTTGGATCTGGACCCAGTCTAGATTAGAGAGTCCCATATTTGCACTGCTGTCTCCTCTCTAGAGGGGACCAGATGTTTTCCCCTGGTCTCAGCCCTATTCTCTCAGTGTGGTCACAGTTGTTCTGTATTCTGAGAGCTCCCATGTGCACTGCAGCTGTGGTGGAGTTGTTTATGACAGGAAAGGTTTTGTGATCATCATTTGGCTGGGAACCAAGAGATGGAGGCATCTATGCAATGGTTCCTTCTACCTTGAAAATTTTGTAACTGGTGTTACCTAGTTTGGAGTTAAGGGTAATTATGTTACCCTTAACTCATAGCTTATAGCTCCATAAGAGCAGAGATAGCGTCTGCCCTGTTCATTGTTGTAATCTCAGCATTCATGCAATAAGCATTTATTAGGCACTTACTGTGTACAAAGCAAAATGCCACATTCTTTGACAATATAAAGATGAATAAAAGATTGTCCCTGAACTCAAAAGAAGATTCCAGTTTAACAATTAGTTTTGATACTAAGGGAAATTAAATTCATGCTGTAATAAAGAAGTAAGAATTTTGAGAGAAAGTGGAAGTATTAACTACTTGTAAGGGAAGACTTGATAGAGGGACTGGCCTTTAATGAGCAAGATTTTGATAGCAGAGGCAGTGTTGTGGGAGCATGCTATGCTGAGGACACAGTGCCAGGAAACCTCAAGTCAGTATATTCTACGTCTACACAGCAGATGGCCATAGCCACCATATCTCCCGCTAAGCAAGAGCTTCTTGGACTCATAAGCCCCAATTGTGTGTACTAGCAGATGGGTAAAGTGGATCTTATTAGTTCCCTGGAATTATCCAGGGAAACAGTTTCTCATTTTCTGCTGTTGGGCTTTTCTTAGCTTGTTATGAGAATGTTCTCTTGCTGCAAGTCAATGGTTCACAAACTCATCTGCACATTAGAATCACTGGGGTTCTTTTGGTAGTTCCAAAACCCAGACCACAATCCCACATTAATTGAATAATCTCTGGAGGTGAACATGGGTATGAGTAATTTTTTAAGCTTCCTGGATGATTTCAACTTGCAGATAAATTTGGGAATCGTTTCCTTAAGGCAAACTCAGTCAGTTGGTTTCACCAGTGACTTGATCAATTAGCTATGATGCAAACTTATTGTTGGTTCCTAAGCCGTGTGTGACACATTTTAGATTTAATTTGTGTTTTTGGACAGGCCTTTTGGAAATGGTCCTGTTTTGGATCATAGACGAAACTGTTCTAATTTAAAGCTAATCATCAATCTTTCTGATTTAGGTGCCTCATTTCCATCGTCAGTGGGTCTTAGTCATCAAGACTGATGTACCGCACTAGCGCCAGCATTGAACCTGTCCACATAGGAGTCTGCTTCCAGGAAAAAGGAGCTCATGAAAATGAAAATTGGGCTGTTAAAAACTATTGGAACATAGGAATGGGAACACTCATTTCCTTATGCCCAGTGACCTGGAGTTGACATCAGGATATCTCAGCATAATCAACAAACTTTTATTCATTCATTCATCATGTATTTACTGGGTTTCTACTATGAGTTAGGTTCTGGCGTTAAAGGCTTTTGGAGCTACAAAAATGACTTGGATTCAGTTGCTAGTCATCTAGTAAGAGGGTTTTTCAGGTGCAGTCATGATAATCATATAAGAAGGAACATATTGAGAGACACGAGAGTGGTGAGTTACTGGGGAGTGTCATAGAAAAATGGCGAGTCATTGATCTGACCAGCAAGTGAAGGTGAGGCAAAGCCAGGAAGGATGGTTTTCTGGCAGCACAGAGCCCAAAGTTGACATGGGCATGTCAAGCAAAAAATCATAGGTGAGACAATGAAACAGCGGAACTCACTGCAGGCGGGGCAGGGGATAAGAATGTTCAGAGCTCCCATGTTAGATGGCCAGACCATGGTTAGACCTCCCATGTTAGATGGTTCAGATCTCCCATGTTAGATGGCCCGACTGTGTCAGATGGCTCATGTTAGATGGCCAGACCACCTCACATGGGAGATCTGAACATTCTTACCCCCCAGCTTCTCGGATGCACTGACTTCAGTCCCTCCTCAGGGCTGTTAGACCTATTGTTCTCTCTTTCTGGTCCACCCTCTCCTCATCCTCCTGCTTTCTTCCCCAGATTGGATCCTACTCAGCCTTTAGATCTGAGTGTAACTGCCATTTTCTCAAAGAAGTCTGCTCTGACCTCCCAATTTAAATGAGATTTCCCTGCTATAGTCTTTCATCTCATCCAATTATTTTCCTTCATAGTTCTTATCATGGTTTATGCTGGTATATATTTGTCTACGAATATTTGTTTAATATTCATCTCCTCTATTGGGATGCATAAGGGACTATATCTATCTTTCCCCTTAGTATATTCCTGCTGGTTGTCAGATAATAAGCTCTCAGTAAGTGCTAGCTGAATGATAAGTGAATAAGTGATTAACAGCAACGAGAAAAAAAAAAAAAACTATGTATAGAGAAACCCCATCCGCAGTAACACAAACATAGATAGGAAACATATCACTAATGAGAGAAGGATTGTGATTTCACGAAAGACACATTTACTAGACAGCAGAGTTGGGGACCTGGCTTTTACACCCATTTCTTTCACTACCTAGTTGTGAGACCAGATCCAAAACCCAATTTGTTAGAGTAACTGTCTTTCATTCTCTGATTTCATAGTCTTAATCTCAAATTGCCCATTTGTAAAACTGGGGTAACAAAGCCTGCCCTATTTAAGTCTAGTATTGGGGATAGCACATGGAAACTTAATGTACTATTATGTAGGTAAGGTATTATAAAAATATAAAAATATTAATACATAATATTAGTATGGAGATATTTGCATCTAAATTCTATAGCTAAAGTTTATTGGCCATTGTCAAATGAATGAGTTTGGTTTTTCATTTGTATTTGCTGCAAAATACTATTTTATATCACCACGGGTCAAAAGAGAAAAAAAGAGCAGACGTAAAGCTATATCCTTTGATTACCAGGGTGAATATTAGATATTATTGGCCGAATTTGTGTCAAACAGCCAAACATACTAGTCAAAATCCATGCTCTTTCCACTTATTCAAAGGCACTAATGGCTTTAGTAAAAGTAGAACATATTATTTAAGAGGACTAGTTAACTAGCCTTGACAAGAAGTAGGCCAAGAATTCTTGTGAATGAATTAGCTAATTCCTACTGTAGACTTTGAGCATTTGGTCTTTCACTTGACATCCTAATGAGAATTCAGTAACAGCTGGAGACACAGTTGTGACTGAAGTCAGTGGAGCTGTTTGGGAAGGGCTTATGTTAGAAATACCAGCCACTTAGGATAACGTTGTTATACCAATAATGGTCTTAGGGAAGACACAATGGTGCCAAGAAAAAAAAAAGTGGGTTAAAAAGAAAAAACCACATTCATATTTGTTGATCTTTAGGCAGAGCTTATGGTTTGTTATGGGGTATTAAGCCATATGGAAGGTATCATAAGAAAAGCATACTGGGGTACCGTTTGGTATATTGTTTTTGATGTATTTGACTATGTCAAGCATTTTTGATACAGAAATATTTGTTGAGCACCTACTGTGTGTTTTAGCACTTAGGTGAGAAAACAAAGAGACATAATACATTATCACTATATTTGAAGAGTTAACAATCATGTTATGAAGATAAGACATATTCAAAGGAAAGATAAATAACCATTCCTTGCCATTTCACTGGGGATGCCACAAGGCCATACATACTAAGTGTCACCTGAACACACTGGACAATAAGTTTTATCAGACCTAGGTTAGGGAGACATCTTTTTGGATAAGTGTTTTCATGGTGGGAAATGAGCTGGAACTTGAATGATAGGTAAGAATTTTAGTGATGAGAAAAAGTAAATGGGCATGAACAATGAACTACGTGTTAGTCCTTTTAGTGTTGTTATAAAGAAATACCTGAGGCTGGGTAATTTATAGAGAGAAAAGGTTTAATTGGCTGACAGTTCTGCAAGCTGTTAAAAAAAAGCATGGTGTCAGTGTCTGTTCAGCTCCTGGTGAAGCCCATGAGGCTTTCAATCATGGTGGAAGGCAAAGGGAGAGCTGGTGTGTCACATGGTGAGAGAGGGGTCAAGAGAGTGGAGGGGGAGGTCCCAAACTCTTAAACAACCAGATCCCCTGAGAGCTAACTGAGCAAGAACTCACGCATCACCAAAAGGATGGCACTAAGACATTCATGAGGGATCCACCCCATGATCCAATACCTCCCACTAGGCTCCACCTCCACCATTAGGGATCACATTTCAACATGAGATTTGGAGAGGAAAAACATCCAAACTATATCAAACCGGAAGTTGGAATGAACATACCGTACCCCTACAGTGGGCAAAACAGCCAGATCAGAAGGAACTCTCAGAGAAAGGGAGGAAAGAAAATCAGGAAAATATTAATTCTTTGCATTTGTTTTACAAAGCCATTGTATAGAACTTCGCAGTGTAAAAATGAGCACGTGCCCAACTCTCAACACATCTGATCCACAAAATCAAAACTAAATCCAGAAACCTTAGTGAGGCTGGCAGCATGGATGTTTTTCCCAGAGAGTGTGTATCCCAAGCCTTGTGATTACTGCCCCAAAGCACTTTCCTCTACATAGAGCTCACATGATAGGCCGAGACACCCCACAAATGGTGAGCCTTTTCCATGCCAGGTTAGGATTTGGTTTTTCTTCTGTGAGGAAAAGAAATAGACAATGTACTGAACTTAGAAAAAGGTGAAGAAAGAGTCTATCTGTTGGTGGCTTAACCAACAGATCATCTTGACAATGACCTTGGACAAGTCTGTAGACTGTGATTTTTAAAGAATGGTTTTTGAGTACTTGAGTACTTGGAAAAACCCTTGAAACATGGGTTCACACACACACAAAAAAACAGTTTAAGTAACTCATTTCCTTCTCTGACATGCGTACAATAGAAAACTGTAGATTGTAAGACACTTGCTTCAGATACCACTATGGAGAAAATGGACAATTATGGAATGGGTGATGCATTAGTCTGCGTTCAGTTTTAAAGCTGAAGATGATATTGGAACCCATGTAGCTCTGCTCCATCATTTTACAAATGAGAAAAAGGAGAGGAGCCATAAAGTGACTTGCTTAAGGTTACATCCTCTTCCTCTTTGACCTCCTCCTCCTCCCCATCATTTGCCTCAAATTAGATTACATGTATCGAGCATTTAGTATTTATCTGGCGTATTTCAAGTGCTTAACATGTATTGACTCATTTAATCCTCATGGTAACCCTATAAGGTAACTGAGGCTCAGGGAGATTTACTCATTTGCCAGTATCATGAGGCTGTAAGCAGCGGAACAGGGATTTGTACCCAGCAATGTTGGCTTGTGAGTTGGTGAGTTGGTGCTTTTACTATACATATAGCCTTTCAAGGCCATATAACTAGTGAGTAGCAGAGCAAAGTGTCTAAGGCACTAATGAATGGACTTTTTAGTGATATAAGATGTTGTCTTTGCTATGTCTATGTCAACATTTTTATCAATGAGTCGAATAAGATATGAAAAAGCAGTTCATCAGATTTTCAGAAGTCATGAAATAAGGGTATGAATAAGAAATATTTTGGACAACAGAAGCAGGATCCTAAAAGATTTGGGATGATGAATGAAGCCAAAAAGTTTTAACTTCAGAGGAATATAGGAAGCATTTCATGTAGGTCCCAAAACCAATTGCCCAAGGATGGGATGAAGAATATGCATAAGAGAACACAACTTAGGGGAGGTAGGGGTGGGGAGATTTTTATCGAGTTAGTTCTACATGAATTAACATGCAGAGCTGCCCACCTAATGCAAGTGAGCAAATGGTCCTCCTGTATTCTATATTACTTATGTCCACTGGACTCTCATCCCAGCAACAGTCAAGGCAGCTCTGGGCTCTCCAAAGCTCTTTACAGTGAAGGCCTGGATATTTCTTCCTCCTTTGTGACATGCTTTTGCTTTGATTCCCCATTTTGGCCTCCTCCTTTGTCATCATGACTTTGTTCCTGACTCTGGTCTTTTATTCTACGTTTTTGTTTTGGCTTCTCCTAGCATTTGAATCTTGATTTTTTACTCTGGGACCCTGATTTGACTTACCTCTCTGGCTCTCTATGTCTTATGCTGCATCAGGAGAAAATCTCTTATCTTTTTTCCAGCCCAACAGAGCTCAGCCCATGAAACGGACCTTCAATGGGTATGTTGACAGCACCCCATCACCGTGCCAACACATATACCATGAGGAAAAGGTTTGGACCATATCTGGAGTATTGCATCCAAGTCTGGCCAACCCCCTTCCTCACTGTGAGGGTATCTATGTAAACTGAAGTACATTATTAGAAAAAGGATAGGTTGGGAATAGACATGAACCCTTGGTGATACATAGAATTACTGAAAGAGCCAGAGATGCCTAGGGAAAGGGGGATTATGGGCACAGCAGATCAATCTCAGGATTTGCAGAGGATCCCACTGTGAAAGACTTTTTTGTCTTTCAGGCTTCTCTTGTGTGGCCCCTGGGAGCAGTCTAGCACCTGTGGGCAGAAGCTGTAGGGAAAAGGAGCAGATTTTATCTCTATAAGAAACTTTCTTGTGGTGAAAACTATCTAGAAATGGAATGAGAAAGTGGTGAGCTCCCCATTATTGGAGGTGTTCAAGTATAGGCTGAGCGGTGACTTGTCACGAAAACTGTATGACAGACCCAAACATCAACGGGGTGCTTAGATTCTTTGATCTCGGGTCAGTTCCACACAAGACAGGCTCTGTGTTAGTGAGGACCCAGTGGTGTTTTTGAACAGGCGGCAGGATAACAATGGTATATAAAATAAATGCAGAGAAAGACCTCCACATCAAGCCAACCCCTCCTCCCTACCTGTAAGTTTTCCACCTGAGTGAGCTCTGGCTCCAGCTGCACTTGTCAAACTCCCATTGTTAGAGCACAGATAAATGCTTCCGGCCACCCAAGCAGGAGAGGCCCACCTCAACTTAAGGGCTACTCTATTTTAGTTTTCCGTAGCTGGAGATTGAGTATCACGCTTTTCTAATCTTGTGCTTCTGAAAGGGCCCTGTTCTCTCTTGAACCCCACCCCCTCCTCCTTTCACAGATCAAATACCAAGTACATTGGACAGATAGAAGTTCGAATGAGAAAATGCATTTTAATAAAATCCCATTGATTTTTGTGGATGTAAGTCAAGGAACAGGCACCTAAAGAGTCTTCCATCCCCTGCCGTCTCCCGCCTCTCTCCTGACCTACACCGGGCGGTCATACATCGATTGGCTTCCTAGATAATAGATCGTGCCACCCGGTAGGGACCTCTGGGGACGCGCCGGGAGCTGGAAGAGTCGCACGCAGCAGCCCAACCCTGAGTTAATCAAACTAGCAACAGGATCTCAAGCAGCAGCGACGGCGGTGGCAAGAGTAGCGGTGACGGCGGCGGCGGCGGCGGCGGCAGCATTATGCGTGATTACTGACAGGCACCAGCTGCTGCCGCCACAGCCGTCTCAAACGCACTATGTGGACTCTCCGATCTAGAGGCAGATTCCTGACTAA
The DNA here is from genome assembly GCF_000001405.40 of Homo sapiens. Taxonomy (NCBI): domain Eukaryota; kingdom Metazoa; phylum Chordata; class Mammalia; order Primates; family Hominidae; genus Homo; species Homo sapiens. The sequence goes on along the minus strand of NC_000001.11, from coordinate 165,445,052 downwards.
TCCCAGAGGGCTGGCCCAGCCTGTGCTCCCCGGGCTGCTAGGAAGCGATGACCACTCTTGTTAGCCCAAGTTGAAGAAAGCCGGGCTGTGCCTGGGAGCCGAGAGAGGCGGTAATATTTAGAAGCTGCACAGGAGAGGAACATGAACTGACGAGTAAACATGTATGGAAATTATTCTCACTTCATGAAGTTTCCCGCAGGCTATGGAGGTAAGTATCTCCCTTGGGCTTCACTGCGTGGACCTGTATGAGAGACTGAGAAGAAATTGGGAAATACGAATGACTGGATTAGTATTGAATTAAAAGGAGAACATATATGTTTATATGCATATATAGTGTGTATATAGCGTTTCAGCGTGTGTGTGCACGCGTGCATGAGAGAGGAGAGGAGGAAAGAATGGTCTGTAGGTGAGGATACGTTTGCATATCAGAATGAGGATACGGGGATATTCTAAGGAGAGAGTAAACCAACATGCTTGAGAATGTGTCTGAGACAAAGATAGAATAAGAGCATTGTTATAACCCAGTGTGTTTGTGCGGGTGTGAAAAGTGGAAGAGTTAACGGGGAATTACTATGATGTTCCTATTAGCCAACTTGTAATGAGAAAAAATGTGATTAAAAAGGTTTTGCCTATCTTGAGGGTTCCTGGGATACTTTGTAACAAGGGCATGATTGTTTTACTCAAAAGCAGATTTCCCTTTAATTGGATTTTTAAAAAGAAAACATAGTGCTTTAATTTGCTACTGTGTTTTCCTTCCCCTGTTTTCTTTCCTTTGATTTGCTAATAGCCTCTTCTCTCCTCCCCTGCTGCTGCCCCCAATTCTACTGCAAGAGTTGCTGCAATCACTTCCACTCTGGGGGTAGAGATCTGGGGATGGGGGGTTGGGGCTCTTAGAGAATTGGCAAACTGAAGATTCAAGTCACCGTGCCAGGCAGGGCAGCCCAGTCACACTTCACAGAAGCTTCCGGAGACTAGGTCCTCAGGCTGCCTTAACGCCCAAGCACATCCGTCCCAAGGATCCCTTGATTTAGTGACAGAAACAGTACAGCCGCCCAGCTCTGAGTAAATGGAAGCAACAGCTGACCAACTGGCCTGTCGCTTGTCAGTTGGAGGCATGCAGCTTATGTTGCTGGGAGCCAAAGAAAGATTCTGGCAGGCAAGACAGCAGAAATTCTTATAAGGTTTTGAAAATTGAAAAGTCCCTGCTCTCCAGACTTCCTCCGTGGACCAATTCATCTGAAGGCTTGGGACTAAAGCTTGCCTAACTTGGCTGGGCAGAACCCCCTGGGAGGCATGGTGACACACTGCAAGGTAGAAGTGATCTCTGTCACCAGGAGGTGTTAGACCTGGGAGTTTGCACATTCATTCAGGGTAGTTTTTATGAGGCAGGCATGGTGTTGGGCACTGGGAATACAAATATGAATGAGACACAGTCTCTGCCCTTTGGGACTGGGGCAGGCTTGTTACACAGGCACATTATAATACTGCATGATGTGTGTAATAGCAAACGTAGGTTGTACTTGGACTTGGGGTGAGGGCCATGGAAATGTTCCCGAGGTGATGTTCAAGTTCTTTGGGCCAGTCTGATGACAGAGTGAGAGCGGTGGCCAATGCTGTGACCTGGGCATTTGATCTCTAGTCTATGGTTGGGCTCCAGATGTGAAAAGCCTCCTCAATTCCCACCTCAGTCCCATTCAGAGCTGAGAATTGCTTTTTCCTTTACATCTTAGTTCATTTGTAAGAGGTGCATGCTCATTTTCAGCCAGATTCGTGGGCCCCCCAAGGTCTGTGAGACTGTGGCTTCATTAATGCCAAAGAGACCCTTGGAGACAGTTGGGGTGAATAAAAGGGTTGAAGCTAGAAGGATTTAGGGAGAGAACTAAAGTAAGAGCCAGAGAAAGAAGATCTAGTTAAAATTCCATGGGGGCTGGAATCTTGGAATGTTAGCATCCTAAGGACCTGAAACAGCATCTTAGGCTCTCATCTTATAGATGTGTAAACTGAGGCTCAAAAGAAGGCAGGGACTAGTCCAAATTTATATGGGGCTGAGCTGCAGAACACTTCCAGAAAAGCCCTTACTCAAATTTATAATATTGTTGCTTTAATATAGTGAAAAGAGCACCAGGAGGAAGAGGAGGCAGGAAGAGGTAGTGTGCTGAGTTTGGTTCCCAATTTTTCACCTAGTAGCTGTGTGACCTTAGGCAAGCTAGTGAACCTCTCTGAGCCTTAGCACCTTTCTCTCTAAAATGGGATTTATAATCTCATCCTTAGAGTATTGTGAAAATTAAATGAGTTAGCATGTGAAAAACAGCTGCTATAGTGTTGTCCATATATTTGCTACCTAATACAATATTTTCTTCCCCTCTATTTTACTCAGAGACTAACATGCAAAATAGTTAAAAATCAGACATTATTGTAAAATAATAAATAAGGAATCTGGGAAAATAAAATTAAATCCACAAAGACCCTCATATTTTGCTGGCATAGATTTTCATAATTGTGGGGGCTCTGATATTTAGCGTAATTAGATTTCAGATAGAAGTAAACACAATGGTTCAGCTATGGAAGGAAATAGTTCAGTATAGTATAGGGAACTTGAGGGGAAAGGGTCATGTAGGTTGTCTACATGTCTCCTGTAAAGCTACTTTTCTTTGTCATTCTTGAGGGAGGAGAAGAATTATTTTGTTTAGTTCTGTTGAGGTTTTCCATTTTGTTGGCATGTGCCAGTTAAGAGGAGGCCTAAATGCTGAGCCAAAGGACTCTGCCCCCGTCTGCAGGGAGGTCTGTTTGAGAACTTTCTGTGATGAGGGAGAGGGACAGAGGACTCACAAGCAGGCACAGGGGAAAGCAGGATTAGAGTGGACGTCACCTTTGGCCTCTAACCTCCCCTGCCACAGTGCAGCAAGTTGCACGGCACTTATTAAAATACTTGGTGTATAACCCCCTGCCCTGTTACATATTAGCACATGGAATTACAGAGGGCCCCATGATTTGTATAAGAATCTCCAGGGAAGCAAAGTCACCTTTTGGAAATAACACCTGAGATTTGTGTCTGGGACCATGCTTACCAGATGTCAGAGCATCATCTGATCAGTGAGCAACAGATTGCTCAAACTGGCCAAAGTGTGGTGGCTACGTGGTGGCTCCACAAAGGTGCCCAATCTCCCAGCTTTGGGCCCTACCATGTAATGATGAGAGAAACCTTCTCTTCTCCTTCTCTGCCAAGTCCAGGGTTTGCCAGCTGCTCAGTAATAGGTTTGTTTTTCTGGGATGAGACAGTTGCTGCCTCTTAGAAGATGGCAAAACAAAGCCTGTAATCCCCCCCATCCAATTGTGCAGTAATCCTCAGGGTGAGAAGGAGATCAGGGAGAGAGAGGACTTCTCTCATTTCATTTAACAAACACACTGTAACACTAATGCTCGCTACTATTGTAAGCACTTTACCAGCCTCGGCTCATGTAATCCTCATAACAACCCTAGGAGTAGGTACTGTTACCATTGTTCTCGTACTCCTTTTAGAGACAAAGAAACAGAGGAATTGAGAGGTGAAATAACTTGCTTAAGGTCTTATAGCTAGAAAATGGCACAGCCAGGGATTGAACCCAGGCAGACTAGCTCCCAGAGTTCACACTGCTGAGCTGCCTCTCACAGCTTCTGTGAGTGACACAGTTGCTCTGCAAAGCCAGGGGCAGCAGCACACCCCCAGGGAGCTCCCGGTGCTCCAATACAACCTCAGATATGCAGCCTCAGCACTGACTGGTTGTTGCAGACCCAGTGGACTGGCCATTGAGGAATAAGCCATGGGATAGGTTAAGAGCAACGGTGATCTCTGCAGAATTAATTGGTGGCTTCCCTTGGGTACATACTTATTTGCAAGAGTCCTGTCCAACTGACCCTGACCATTCATGTAGAATAGTTGCTTTCACTTGAAAATAGCCATAGAGAAGGGGTTGAGTTGGACCTGCTTGTATGTGTGCGTGTGCACATGTGTGTATATGCTAGAACATATTTTTCCCCTCCACAGATATGTGGGTGGCTAATTGGAACCTATCATGGGCATAAGTGGTTAAGGTTTATGTGGAAAGGAGTAACTGTTTATGAGATTTAGGAAGGAACATATTTCGTATAAACTATTTTCTAAAACATTTACAATCTCACCAAGAGATAGAGAGCTGAATAGCAACTGGGGGAAGAAATTGTGCAAAGAGAATCTAAATGCCCCACCTCTTCCTTCCCCTCATTATGAAGCTTCTAGGTCTGCAGAGAACTTAGCCACCAGCATTGGATCGCGGGTGTGCCAGGGGCTCCCAGAGGAAGCTGGTGTTTTCTCCTCTTTTTAAAAGTAGAAGACACAGAGGCCCAGGGAATGAAGTTAATTTTCTAGAATGCATGGGCTTTGGTGGCTCTCATGAGATTGACTCAGCCCTGGCTCAGTGATCCTCAGAAAAAAGTGAAAATACAGGTTGAGTATCCCTAATCCAAGCATCTAAAATCTGAAATGCTTCAAAATCCAGAACTTTTTGAATGCCAAAATGATGCTCAAAGGAAATGCTCGTTGGAGCATTTTGGATTTCAGATTTCTGGATTATAGATGCTCAATTGGTAAGTATAATGCAAATATTCCAAAATAAAAAAAAATCCTAAATCCAAAACACTTCTGGTGCTAAGCATTTTGGATAAGAGATACTTAACCTGTATCAACTCGTTTCATAACTAAAACACCACTTTAAGGTCGGTAGTTTTATTACCCCCATTATACAGATGTAAAAACTGGGGGACAGAGAAATTAATAATTTGCCAAAGGGAACTTGGCTAATAAATGATAAAAGTGGCATTTGAATATGAGGAAAAGCAGCAGATCTGGATTTTAATCCCAGCTCTACCATGTACTATACTGTACTACTCTGTAAATTCTTACAGCAGTTACCCAGCACAGACCTTCCTGCCCCTTCCCAATTCAATACTTGGCCTCTCCCAGGATTTTGACCCTGGCCTTTCTCACTAGAACACTCCACATCTTGACTCTATCTCTTCACAATTCAACCCCTAGTTTGGGTTCCCTTCCTCAGGGCTCCCAGCCCAGCCTAATCTTCTTCTCCCTCCTCTTTCCACATAACAGCCACTCAGACACCAGGGATTAGCTAATATGCATTTCTTATATTTGAATTATTATCAGCATATTCAAGGGGACTTTCCTATAAACATTTAGGCTGCACAATCACCCTGAGATGGAATGGGAAGGTATTTTATAACTGTTTTACTGGTGCAAAGCTTTACATTTTAACCGATGTAGAAAACAAGATGTTAGACATTAAATTTCCAGTGAATGGGGAGCAGAGAGAAGCTTTCTTCTGATGGGAAGGAAACCTTCTCTGCTATGGAAGCCCTTTCTGGCTTCCTCAGTGGGGAAAAATCAAGGAATGTGTTGGAGAGTGGAGAGCATGTAGAAGAGGCCCTCCTTCTGCCCCCAGAGGCTCAGGCCTCTCAGCCTCTCAGTGGGAATGTGAGAATGAAAGCATGCATTAGCTGATGGGTTGACGCTGCTGCATGCTTCACGCAACCCCAGTTCGGACCAGCTGGCTAGCCTTTCGAAGCCGCACAGGGCAGTTCCACCTGGATTCATGTAGCCCCCAGAGAAGGGCTGATGAGCTGCTCAGGGTGGGAGCTGGGGTTGCTTCCGGTGCTTGAAGGAAGGGGGAGGGAGAGAGTGGCATCCCTGCCTCTCTCCCTCTCCTCCACCCCCCTCCTCCCCTCGCTCCCACTCCTCCCATCTTCCTCCACCCCCGCCCCCCTCCCCTAAAATCTGTAATGATGGAGGTAGTGAAAAGCAGGGAAAGATTGATAATCAGCCTCATTATTACCAGCATTATATATAATTATAGCAAAACCTCACTCATTTGGATCAATTGAGAGAAAAATCAGTCTAAATTCGTGACAAGTTGGCAGATTACTTTTAAATTACAATTTTATTACTTCTAAGTAACACATGTGAACAGTTTGTGTTTCAAGTACCACAAGCTAATGGTTACTCAGTGGGGATTTTAGAAAACCTGCTTTAAAAGATTCTTTTGTAATTAACACCCCGTTAATATGCCAATGTGCTCCTTCTATGCTTTTTAAATTGCTTGAAAACATATGTATCTTAAATAGGCTTAACATTTCTACCATCTTATTTGCTTAACAAACCTTTTTTATTATTATTTTGTGAATGAACAAATACAAACTAGTTTATACCATGACCAGTTTAGTCACCACTCTGAATTAATTATGTTGTAAATTAATAAGACCATGTTGGTTGTTTTTGTTTAGAAATCAGACTTTTAGAACTTGAAGAACCACCTCATTTTATAGAAGAGAGGTTGAGAGACTTGCCCAAGGCCATATAGGCAAAAACAGCAGGTCTTCTGGCCCCTGGGTCCAAGTTTATTCCGTCTGCTAGATAATGCCTTACATTCCTAAAACTCTTTATGAATATGTGCTATTTATTTCCATACCAATCATTGGGTTATCTGTCAAAAAATATTTGGTGAGTGTCTATTCTGTGCCAAGCCGTGTGCTTAATCCCCATATAATGGGGATAATAAAACTACGGACCTTAAAGTGGTGTTGTAGTTATGAAATGAGTTGATGCAAGTTAAGTATCCCTTATCCAAAATGCTTAACACCAGAAGTGTTTTGGATTTGGGATTTTTTTTTTATTTTGGAATATTTGCCTTATACTTACCAATTGAGCATCTATAATCCAAAAATCTGAAATCCAAAATGCTCCAATTAGCATTTCCTTTGAGCATGATATTGGCATTCAAAAAGTTCTGGATTTTGAAGCATTTCAGATTTTAGAGGCTTGGATTAGGGATACTCAACCTGTATTTTCACTTTTTTTCTGAGGATCGCTGAGCCAGGGCTGAGTCAATCTCAGCACAACAGATAGAGGGGCCCCTCCTGGAGGCCACCGTCTATTTCATTCAAACTTCAAACTGACAGTGTAGTCCGTAAGGCGGAAATTATTCCCATTAGACAGATTAGGAAACTGAGGTTTAGAGTGATAAAGTGGCCCTTTTAAGGCCTGCTGCAAATTATTATAGATCTAGAATTTGAGTCTAGTCTAGCAGAATTTCTGTGAACATTTCTGCATATAATGAATGACATTTTGCTTGCACACCACCTTTCCCAGCCAGCACCAAATTATAGACCTTGCTAGTACAGATGGATATTATGCCATCTCTAACAAATGAGAGGCTCCAGGGGATCCTGCTAACGAGGACCGGCTGGCTGTCCCTTTAAGCCAATTCCGTATACTGGTACATCATGTACCAGTTAGTCCATGGAGGCAGATGTCAATGAGTGTTTGAAGCAGATGCCAATGAGGGTGCCCCCAGTTCTCCTCTCGTTCCTAAAGTCCTTGAACATCAATTATGTGCACACCCAGCTCTTGAATCCATGACCTCTGTCCATTACTGTCTCTGGATTTCTTGTTCAGATAGGCTCTCTCTATCTGAACAGGGCAATCTCTATAGATTGTCTTCTAAAGACGGCAGTCTCTTAAAATACAGCGAACTATATTCCTAGTCCCATGTTACCATTGGGTAATATTCAGAACATTATCTGTTCTCAGGTTCTAAATCCCTGAATTCTTTGAATCCATTCACTTAAACTCAGCCCTAAGAAAAATGTGCAGAAATAATTAATCTCCAAATATTTTGAAGACATCAGAGCTTGTAACTAGTTTGTACATTCTGCCAGGGCAGGGAATGGGCTTCATGCTCTTGGTGTCTTACACAGCCCATATACAAGCAGATGCTTAGCCAGGCGTGCTGGCTGACTGACTGACTGGCATTCTTCTTGGTCTAGGGTGTTCTTCCCCTGCTCTCCAACTTCTGCTCTCCACATCGCTAGGGCTGTGAAAACAGATACTGTGAGCCCTGAACCCTCCAGGAGGCTGCTTCCCCATGACACTAGTGACCAGTAAAATGAAAAGGAGGAGCAAAGGAGATTTTGAGTCACAGAAATGAAACCCAGGCAACCAGCCTAGAAGAAACACTCCAAGATATTCATTAAGTGCTTTGTTTCCCGTTCCTCTGACATCTTGTAAATGCTTTTTGAATTAAAGATGATAACAGGCTTTTCCACTTTTCAAGTTTGGTTGTTAATTCTGAAATCCCACCAGGAGTTTGGGATTGATCTTTAACCTTGAAACTCTTGCTGTCCCCCACTTCTGTCCCCATCTGGTTACAGTAGCTGATAAAAGAGGCCAAGGAACTCCAGGTTGTTCCATTTGCATTTGAGGAAATGGAGGGGGTCAGGACTTCTCAAGGTCACTGCCTGGGGTGAGGGTCTCCTGAAAATGATAGGAGTTGGAAGTCCCAGGTCATGGCTCCCTTTCTGTCTGACCTCATGAGTGCCTGCCCTGGGATGATTTGTTAAAACGTAGTTTTCTGAAAATGGTGCTCCCTCCGAGGCAGAATCCATGTCTTATTTACTTTGTCAGCATCTCATAGTGTGCAGTCTGACACTTTAAGAACAGGCGAATCTCCTCTAAGAAAAAGGTACATACCAAATTCTAGCTAAATTTAGTGCCATAGTCTCCAGATTTTCTATAAAGGGAGCTAACTTTTATTATGTGTTTACAATTTTCCAGGCTTGATTTTATTTAACCCTCACACTGTGGAAGGTTAACCCTTACCCCATGTGGTTGGTGGCATTGAGCTATTTTACCAAAGGGTGGGAGGAGGACTCACTGTGGTTCAGCCCCCTCTACTCCCCTTCCTGCCATCCTAGGTGGCTCCAAGGGGACTCAGGGAAACTCAGTTTGAAGACCACAAACAGCCACAGGTCATGGGCAAGCCATACCTCCTTTCCCCAGTGTCCTTGCTTGTAACCGAGGGGTTGAACTCGATGATCTGCAGGCCCTTCTGTGTAGCTTTGACAGTCAATCCAGCTCTGTGAGGGGAAAGCTGGAGGAAGAGCAGTGTGGAGCTAAGGTGTTGGGGATCACTGCTAACTGAAGAGCAATCAGAAATGGTAATGATAATAAAACTTCTCCAGAATGATCCCCTAGAGGTCTGCAAGCTTATTGGAATGCAGCCACATCTGTGTGCACTAGCTTACCCATTGATTGTGGCTGCTTTCACACTACAAAGGATATTGTGAGTAGTTGTCACAGAGATGGTACAGCCAGCAAGACTGAAATGCTTACTGTCTGACCCTGGAAAGAAAAAGTGTGCCAACCTCTACTCCAGAATGCAAAATTGGGTTTCACATATTAAAATAAATTGAGGTCCACCTGGAAAAGTATTTTAATCCTTGTTTTATTAGCACCTTTGGGGGCCCAGTCCCCTGCCTCCCACTCCTAGTCATTTTGTTCATTTGGTGCAATTATGTGTGTTCAAAAGGAAAAGAATGCATTATGATCCATAAGTAAGTTGTGAAGAGCATAGGGTAAGAATTGAGTATCTTAGTTGTTCTTACATATAATCCACCCATTTGGGGCTTATCTGGGCTTACCTTCCACTATCTCCCCTCCATCCTGGCAAGTGGCAAGCGCAGTGCAGGAGTTCAGCACAGCGGCCCCGGCACAAGACTGCTTGGATTTGGATCCTGGCCCTGCTCTTTACCAGCTAGCGGGTCTTGGGCAGTTTGCTCAATCTCCCTGTGGCTCCACTTTCCTGTCAGTAAAATGGGGATGAGGATACTAATAGTACCTTATTTCCAAGCGCCCTTGAGACTATTAAACAAGATGATGCATGCCATGCCCTTGGAAGGGTGCGTGGCACATAGAAGTTGCCTAATAAATGTTAGCCACTCCAAGCTGAGTATCCCTTATTGGAAATGCTTGTGAATCAAGATATTTCAGATTTTGAATCTTCTTTTGATTTTGTGATGTTTACATTATGTGCTTACTTGTTTTGCATTCCTAATCCAAAAATCCCAAATACTCCAATGAACATTTCTTTTGAGAGTCATGTCAGTGCTCAGAAAGTTTTGGATTTTGGAGCATTTTGGATTTGGGATTTCTAGATTAGAGATGCTCAACATGTATAAAGTGTTTAGAACCATGTCTGGCTTGTGGCAATTGCTCAGTAAATATTAGTTATTATTATTGTTACACAACAGAGGAGGTGACAGTCAGTTGTTGGTTGAAGTGCCTGTACCTGGCAATCTCCTGCCGACCTTGCTCAGCAGCATGTCTGTGTTAAGAGCGAAGCAGGGAAAGGATATATGAGTAAGTTTGCTGCAGACAAAGAAAAACAAGCCAGGTGTCTGAGAATCCTATCATTGTTGGGCCTTCACACCATATCCCTCCACTGGAGGAACAGAGACAGGCTTTGGTGTGTGACAGTTCCACTGTGGGAGAGATCAGAGTGGGATAGGGCCCCATGGTGCTCCCGTGACTTCATATGGAGACTCCTGACTCTGAAAAATGCCAAGTCTTTAGCTCTGTCCCTTTCCCCATGGGTGGGCATTAGCCGTTATCAATGATTCATTACAAGTTTCCATTCCAACCTGAAGAGGGTTGCTAATGGGAGAGCAAACTCTCTACCCTTCCTGGCACAGCAGCAAAGGGGTGGAAACACCAGGCCATTTGCTCCCTTGTCTGGCCAGTCAGAAAAACTGCATGCTTGACATTTTGCTTTTATTGGCTGAGGATGAGGTTGCTAAGCAACTTCCTTACCTTGGTAAGAATTCTGTAGTTCTAAGTACCCTGGCTTTTGTGTCCCCTTTCTCAGTAAGTCTCTCTCTCTGACACACACACACACACACACACACACACATACACACATGCAATTCATTGTTTAGAGATTGTGGTTCTGGTAAACATCAGGAACATTGCTTTCTTATGCAAATAATTTCTGTTGATAAACTTTATACCTACTTGTATACATTAATTAACAAAAAATTAATGGACCTCATAGTCTCAGGAGCTCTCAGCAGTCCTCTGAGTTAGGCCTATTTGTCTCAATTTATGAATGAGGAAACTGCAGTTTACAGAGGTCATGTTCCGTGCTCAAATTTACATAGCTGGAAAGTGGCAGAACCTCAACCTAGAACTCTGACTTCTGAGCTGTTGTCTCCTCCTCAGTCCTGCATCCCTGAAGCCATAGTGCCATCAATGCACACAGGGACTTTTGGAGTCATTGTAGAGTTATGCACTGTACAGATTCCCTTCTCAGTTTTGGCTCCTGGTGACACTCTTAGCACCTTTAATTGGAATGCCAAATGGTTTGAAGGCCTAACATGGTCCAGTTGATGGTGGGAGGTACCCCTCAGCATCTGGTCCAGACTCAGACCATTCCAGACCACCAACACCTGCACTTCTTTCTTTTCAATGCCAACAAGCCATGTCCTACCCAATGCTCACGAAACATTAGTGCTGGAAGGGATCTTTCAGGTCACTGAGTGCCAGCTCCTTACTGGGGGAAATGAGACCCAGGAGTATGCAATGCTATTCTTGGGTATGTTACCAGGAGAGAAGAAAACCTTTTGAGGAACTCCACTAGCGCTTTTTCATTAGATAAGTTATTTTGCAAATAAAATCATTGCCTGAGCAAAGATAATGAACTCTGCAGAATAGACTTGGTGCATTTTCCAGGCATCTGGCATAGGTGCCTGGAAGATCAAGAGGGCACAGGGGAAGGCAGGGAGCAAGGTTGATGAGATGGCGGGGCCAGGGGTCATGCCACAGAGTGAATTGGGCTGAGAGACTGGATCAGGCCATTTGTGCTGCTGGTATCTTGTGCTACAAAATACCTCAGACTAGGTAATTTATAAATAATAGGAATTTATTGCTCACAGTTCTGGAGACTTGGAAGTTCAGGATCAAGGCACGAGCGGGTTCGTGTCTGGTGAGGTCCACTCTCTGCTTCCAAAGATGGTGCCTCACATGATGGAAGGGATGGAAAAATGGACAAATTGTGCATCCTCTGATGCAGAAGGGATGAAAGGTATGGAAAAATGGACAAATTGTGCATCCTCTGATGCAGAAGGGATGAAAGGGCCAAGTAGTTCACTGAAGTCCTCTCTTATAAGTGCATTAATCCCATTTATGAGGGTGGTGCCCTCATGGCCTACTCACTTCCAAAAGGCCCCACCTGTTACTACTCTCTTATGGTTTAAATTCCAACACAAATTTTGGAGGGACACACCCATTCAAATCATTGCAAGGACCAAAAGGGAGCATTAGGGAAAACCTTGACTTAAGATTTGGACTAGACTTATCCTAGGCTGAGGGCTAGACAGAATCTCTCCTGGATAAATTTGCAAGAAACACCACTCATCCTTCAAACAGGAGCCTGCCTACTTTCAGCTGGTGCTGAAGGGAAACCTGTCAGTTTTCTGCCTAGTTCATAGCTTAATCAGAAGGCTCTCAGTGGGGAAGGAAAAGAAATAAGATATAATCAGGTATCTGGAAAACTTGTGGTGCCTTTTGGTATTGGCTGCAGTTTCCATGGGGCTGTGGAAAAACAAACAAAAAAAAGGAGTGAGAGAGGCTGACAAAAACATCACAGACAGGTATGCATTAGTGTCTATTTGGGAGAATAGATTAATTTTCCATTGAGAAACACTTTTGTCATAAAAGTTGTTGTTTTCTAACTTGTCTAAAAGCAAAGCTATTTATTTCTAAGAACTACTGGGACATTGTGAGAGGCAAAGAACTAAAATGCATTTGTCTAAGATGTATTTGTCTTTTAAAATTCTATTTTATTTTTTAAAATGTAGTTATAAAATAGCCCACCTCTTCTGGGTCATTGACTCAACAGAAATAAATCATATTTTAAAGGCCATTGAGAACCAAACTTTAACTCATTATTTCATTGTATCTCAACAATGTACCATTCTCACCACTGCTCTCAGTAGTCAAGTTAACTTACTTCTTATTAATAATGATAACAACAACAAAAATGTACTTTAATTTTCAAATCACTTTCACATCATTATCTCATTTTATTTTTGAAACAACTCATGAGTTCTTCAAAGTCCATATTTGTATATTTTTATGCAGGTTGATGTTTTTTAAACATCATTCCTTTGCATACTATTTTCATGATATTTTATATATCCTCTGTACTTAGACTTTTTCTTAAATCAATTTACTGTTTTAAGAAAGCTTAAATAGCTATCTTTAGGAAGATAATTTTATAACAAGAAATGAGAGCTCAGTCCCTCCCTATAAACAAAAGGAAACAGAAAGCATAAATATAAAACTATTAATTTTTTTTTTAAGTTTGCTGACATACCACTTAAAATGCCCTTTGTCACTGGTGGCAGAGGGACCACACCCTGGAATTCTTGGGGTGATGAGTGTGAAGCAAACTCTTGCTCTTGCCTGTGCCCTCAGTCTAGGCCTGATGTCAGGCTTTGGTTCTTGACCCTGGGGATAAAGAAATAGAAAGGCGCAGTCTCTCTGAGATCTGTTTAAAGCAGAATAAAAAGGAAAGTTGCAGGGTGGTCTGGTCTGTTTTTGGCAAGCCTAAGCAAGAAGGAAAAGTCAATTTCCTTCAGATAGCTTGGTCATGGGGGAAGGACAGCTGTCTTCTCAGTGGAGTTTATGGCTCCTCACCCATTGAATCAGGGCTGGCGCCTAACTCACCTGTCACACTTTATCTTAGTAACAGACTCAAGGTATACATTGGCCTCGTTAAATGTCACAGCCCCCAGGGCCTCAGAAGAGTCTAAAACTGCTCTTTCCAATGAGTGGCCACCTGAAGAGTCTTGGTTTTCTTGGCTTTCAGTTCTTGAGCGCTGCCCTCTTTTCTCTCCTTCAGATGAACTTTCAGCTTGAGATCACTTCATAATTGAGTCATCTTGTACTCTTGGTGCAGATGGCTCTCCAATCATCTTTGCTGTCCTTGATAACAAACACAGAGGAGAGCGTGGGTTTCAGATTGGCAATTTGAATCAAGGCTTTGCCACTAACTACCTGGGCAGTGCCAGGTAATCTGATAGAGATGGAGAAACAAAACTGGACATGGTTTTTTCCTTTTTGTTTAGTGGGAAAGACAGGGAATAAACAAATATAGTGATACAGTATAACAAATGCTAAGATACAAGTAGGAACAGACAGTTTTAGGAAATAAAAAAAGGGCAGGAAACCAGACCAGGAACACCAGGAAAAGCTTTGTGGAGGAGGTGGCACTTGAGTTAGACCTTGAAGGTTGAATAAGAGCTTCTAGACAATGGAGGCAGGGGTAAGTCATCCTGGAACTGGAAATGGTATGGGGTTAGATGGAGCCTAAGTTTTCTCATCTGCAAAAGGCTGAAATGATTTTCATAGGCTTATTGTCAGGATAAAGAGTTATGGAAACTGCCTGATGCTATTGAGGACACATAATAAATGTTTGAGTTATTAATTTTAACCACTTTGCCATGCCCCTGTGGGCCCACAGCATGTGTTTTCTCCTTGATTGTGGTACTTAGGACATGGGGTATTGGGACTTATCTGTTTATGAGGCAATTGTCCCTGATAGACCAAAGCTCCATACGTAGAATGACAAGAGGGTCACAGCTTCCTTGGAGTGACTTCCTTCCACAAGTAGCCCTCAACTAAGCTAGCAGAAGCTCCAAGAGAAACTGCAGGTTGACATTTTTTCCAGTGGAATATTTACGTTTAAGAATAGTTTCACAGTTATATTTCTGACACTTCCTGCTCTCTACCAGAACTTGAAAGAAGCCAGTTTCTCCTAGCATCCTACTCCTGACATTACACTTAGCACCCACTGATGTTGCCCAAAGGCTTAGGACAGTGCCTTGCATGTAGTAGGCACTCAAGAAATATTTGTTGGATGAATAATGAGCCACATAAAGTCAGGCATATGACTTCCTCCACTTCTTATCCCATCTGCTTGGCAAGGTGTCTGACCCACAGTAGGCATCTGAGAATGGGGTAGCTTCTCCAGCAGACTGTGCTTACTGAGCACTTAATCCTCTCCCTTTCTATCCATGTGGACAGCTTGGGTGCCATGGATGTGCTGCGTGCAGCTACTGTGCACATGGCTTCTTCACATCTGTTCTTGCATGCTAGCTGCACAGGGATCTAGTGATGGGATCCACGGTGGGGTGCCCTGTGGTGTTTTCTAGTCTCTGCTTTGCTGCTACAGATCCTAAAGCTTATAGCTCCTCTCTTCTGGAGAGAATGTTCCATGCGGGGCTCCCAAGATGACAGGAGGGCACTCTCCTGTTTCATCTCGAGTTTGCTACTGACTACAGGGGAATGTGGGTTCAATTTATTGGAAGAAAGTGATACTGATGACCTCCTCACCCAGACCCTGTTCCACAGACACTTTTGGCTGCAGCATTCTATTCTTGGAGGCAGAAATGGTCTCGGCAGTCTGGTCTGCATTTGCCTTCCTGTGCTACCTGGGCCTCTGTGGCCATAAAGCCATGCCTAGCCATTCCAAGTCTTCTCCCCTGAGTGCTAATTAACCCTGTACTATAGAGAGGGACAGGAAAAGAACATCATGTACATAAAGCTTCAATAGATATAGGAAACTGGGGGTATGACAACAGCCACTGCCTTCCCCATCATTATTATGGAATGTGACTCCTGATGTCAGCGACTGTGTGCTCTTCTGCTCTGAATCCCCAGCACCTGGCACCCTAATAAATGTTTGTTGCATATAAATGAATGAATCTCAGCCCTGCCCTGATTATCAGAGCAATATGAGTTCTAGTCAGGGAATTATGGAGCAGCCTGGGAACCTACTCACTCTCCCCATCGAGGTTTGGTATAGACTCACCTTCCCTGGCTGGCTGGCCCAGGCCTCAGTCACTCAGGCTGGGGTCTTCTGGACTGTGCCCCTTGTTGCACTGGCTGTGGATCCAGCATAGTCCAGAGTGGATTCCAAGCTGGGCCCCAGAGAACATCCATGCTTATTTCTGTCCTAGAGCAGGCCCTCTCCCCTCTGTGTCCCTCGCTTGTCTTTATACCACCAGGGTAGTGTAGGTGAGAGCACCTAGGGCTTACAGGTGTGTAGGTGTGGCTAAAAGAGGGGCAGGATACAGGAAAGAAAGGTGGGGCTAGGCCTCTGTCCCCCAGGGCCCCTTTCCATGTTCCCCAACCTCCCACCATCTATATTCTTCTTCTTACAGGCTCCCCTGGCCACACTGGCTCTACATCCATGAGCCCATCAGCAGCCTTGTCCACAGGGAAGCCAATGGACAGCCACCCCAGCTACACAGATACCCCAGTGAGTGCCCCACGGACTCTGAGTGCAGTGGGGACCCCCCTCAATGCCCTGGGCTCTCCATATCGAGTCATCACCTCTGCCATGGGCCCACCCTCAGGAGCACTTGCAGCGCCTCCAGGAATCAACTTGGTTGCCCCACCCAGCTCTCAGGTAAGTGTTCTTCCTCTCCAAGGCCTTTCCAGCCATCTTACATGGTTTCACCCAGGCTGCTCCTGGAGCAGAACCAGCACTCAGCAGGTCCATAATGCGTGCTTGCCAAAGGGTTTGAATGGTCTCTGCAGACGTCCCTCAGGCAGGGCCTTCATTGCATGTGTCCTCAGGCTGAGCAGTCCTGAAGAACTGACAACTCCTCATGGTCCAGGAGACTGTGACCAAAAGGGGGCCTTCCTTGTAGTTTTAGCAGTTCAGCCCTGGCTGTGATTTCAACATCTCTCAGCAGAATGGACCCCTTTTATTCTTCTCAATTCAATCATGAGCATTTATTGAGTCACTGAAGTGCCACGTGCTCTTGTTAAAGGCAATGCAGAAATGATCAGGAAATGGCCATTGCTTTCCAGGAGCTTACAAATGAGAGGAGAAATAGGCAGGTATGTCAATGGATAAGTTGAGAACAAGGCAGACTGCATTACATGCTATGCTGTCTCTGAGACTATGGGAGGTTGGGAAGGAAACTTTCCCTTAATTTCGAGTGCCTTCTGCTATGATGGAGGAGAAGAAGTATGTGCATGGTGCATGCTAGATTGCTACTCTGCAGAGCCTATAGGATGGCCAGATATCTTTACTTCCTTCTAGCAATGCCACACTAAGTTCATCATCCTTCCCATCTTGTAGTGGTTGGCTATTGCTGCAATAATGCTGCATAACAAAAATCCCCAAACACTTATCTTCTCACTCATATGTCTACCTTAGGCTAGGACAGATGGCTCTGCTTCAGATGGTGGGTGAGTGGGCTCAGCTGCAGGCTCCTCATGTTTCAGTAGGAGTGGCAGCTACTTGGGGGCATGCTTTTCTCATGGTGTATCATAGAAATGCAAAAGTCCAAACCCAATCCAGAAAGCACAGTGAAGCCTCTGCTCAAATCGTGCCCACTGATATTCCATCAGCCTAAGAAAACCATGACTGATTCAGGCCGGGCACGGTGGCTCATGCCTATAATCCTAGCACTTTGGGAGGCCGAAGTGGGTGGATCATGAGATCAGGAGATGGAGACCATCCTGGCTAATACAGTGAAACCCCGTCTCTACTAAAAATACAAAAAATTAGCCCGGTGTGGTGGCAGGTGCCTGTAATCCCAGCTACTCAGGAGGCTGAGGCAGGAGAATTGCTTGAGCCTGGGAGGCGGAGGTTGCAGTGAGCTGAGATAGTGCCACCATGCCACTGCACTCCAGCTTGGGCAACAGAGCGAGACTCCGTCTCAAACAAAACAAAACAAAACAAAACAAAACAAAACAAAACAAAACAAAACATATGACAGATTCCAACATTGATGGGGCAAGGAAGAAGGCTGTGTCTATATTAGTGGGAAGTACTGCAGAGAAACAATGCAAAGAATATGAAGAATTAAAAGGAGTGAAGTATTAGGAACAATAATCCCATCTGCCACAGCTTCTTCTCTCCCTGTATAACAGCCAGAGTCCCTGCTGCCCCAACTACCAGCACACCTAGAGGCAGAACTGGCAGGGCCTTTATGTGTCAACTTGACTGGGCCATAGGATGCCCTCATATTCGGTTAAACATTGTTCTGGGTGTTTCTGAGAGGGTGTTTTTTGGATGAGATGAACATTTAAATAGGTAGACTGAGTAAAGGAGTTTGCCCTCCCTAATGTGAGTGGGCATCATCCAATTAGTTGAAGATCTGAATAGAACAAAAAAGCTCACCCTCCTCTGAGTAAGAGAACTTTCCTGTCTGATGACCTTTGAACTGTGACGTCATTTTTTTTCCTGTCTCTGAACTTGAACTGAAGCATTTGCTCTTCCTGGGTCTCAAGCCTGCTGGCCTTTGGAGTATGTCATGAGCTTTTTTGGGTCTCCAGCTCACTGACTCACCCTGTGGATCTTGGGACTTATCAGCCTCCAAAATCATGTGAGACAATTGCTTATAATAAAATTTAAAATATATATATACACACACACCTCCTATAGATTCTGTTTCTCTGGAGATCACTGACTAACAAAGTCCCAAAGCCTCCTTTGAATACAGTTTTAGAGAGGAGGAAGGGCTTCTTTTATGTCAGCATTTTCTGCTACTCCAGAGAGAACTTCAGTGACCATGCCTAGAGTCTCCTCTGAGACACCTCATATTCTAGGGTTCTGAAAACAAATTCATGTGGAGTTATAGCATAGAGCCAGTAAGGACTTCAAAAATGTATTGCTCCATAGATTAGATAATTTGGAGACGGCCTTAGAGATCAGCTAGTGTAGGGATTCCAGGAGCTGGGCCCAGTCAGGTAACACAGGTGAGTGAAGGAAGGGTTGTGTAAGTCAATGGGGCAGGTGTGGACTGTGGAGAGCTGCCCTGCTCCCTCAAAGCTGTTCAAATTCAAAGACTTTTAAAGCATTCCTCAGGCCAAATAAACTACTTTACTGGGTATAATTTGGCCAGTAATCTTCACCCCAGTTTCTAATCTTATGGTTCTCACCTGTAGGACCTTTTTCAGAGTACACATTTCTCTCTCATCCCATATTTTGACCCTTGTGCAGGTAGCAAAAGCCCCACAGGGGATCCTAACTGCCCCACTCTTGCTCAAATGAGGATCACTCATTCTGTCCAAACCCTTTATGTCACAAATGAAGTACCAAGACTTGGGGAGCCCAAGTGACTTGTGCAGCCTCACACAGCCAGTCAAAAACAGAGCCACAATGAAATCCTGTCCCCTGGCTTGCAGCCCTGTGTTCACAACCCTGCATTTGCCTAATGCTGTGATATATGCTGACTTGCACAGTGACCCCAAGATCTTCCTGTTGGCAGCCAAGGATTAAAAGATGGATAATCAGTGCTCCCGGGTAATCTTGTGGGAGAGGTGGCCACATTATGCAGATCCATTGCACTTCAGTGCTGTCTGTGTGCTGTCATAGACGCAGGAGCAGACCTGAAGGGAGCAAAGAGAGTGAATTATAAACTGCTTAATATATATTCCTTGACCCCAGTGCTCAGAGGAGTGGGGATGGGGCAGCAGTGGGGGTGTACATGTATTTATGCCACCCCCACCCACTATAATCAGCAAGGCCATTGATACCCTATGCTTCATAATGTATGAGGTTTGTTTGTTTCCTTTCTTTCCTGTGAACAGAGTCCAGGAAGGCGAGTAAAATCTGGTAGTTACAGACAGAAAGTACATTGTAGTTTGGGGATGAAAGTACAGTTTTGCAAAGGGCATTGACATTCATCCCAATAACTACTTATGTGGACCTGCTATGCATCAGGTACTAATTGATACTGTCCTAGGTTTTAGGGATAAGCACGGAATAAGGTGGCCAAGGTCTTTACTCTCATGGCAATCACACAATAGCAGGCAGGACAGGCAAAAACCTAAGGAATAAACAAGATAGTTTCAAATAAAAATCGTAATATCTGAAAAGAAATAAAATAGGGTGAGGTGGTAGACAGATCCTGTGGGTAGGAATTGGGCAAGGCACCATCCCTCTGAGGCTGCTTTTAGCAACCACACTCAAGTCTGATTGAGCCAAACATGGCCAGTCAATTCATCTTCAGAGCTGTGTGAGTAGCAGGGCCGCTATTCCTGGACCATATGTCTGTACAGAGGGATTGGGGTTGAAAGGTCAGATGGAAGCTTTGGTCCTGGCCAACTGGGCTGTGTGCAGAGGCCAAGGCCAAGTTTGGCTTTGGGGAGCTATATTAAGCTTGCCAAGTGCTGGGGAAGCTCAGCAGCCTGAGACCCTGAGCAGTGTTCTGGGCTTGGGCTCCGGAACCACACTGCAGCAATGCTTTGCTCGGTTAACGAGATGACACTGGAAAAAAGGCCTTGGTGTTAGCTACAGTGAGCTGGACTCTGGATCGTCTGGGCAGATTATTCCTATGCATCCTGCCTTCCTCACCCAGGACTGGTCTGAGAGGGATTCATGATGGAAGCATGTTCATTCTGTGACCTGGTTCTCGCGTAAGTACAATTTGGGGGGTGAAGGGAGGAGGAAGTGTCTAGGGGTGGGAGCAGCAGGCAGGGCCAGTCTCCTCTGTGCTCTGTCATTTCATTGTTTGAGCTTCTCTTTTTGCAGTTGTTGGATTTTTGATCTTGAGGAGTAAAGAGATCGGAACTGGTACGATGAAGGCAGGAATTGTGTAATCTTTTGCAAACCACTTTAACTTGTTTCTGTTTCAGTTTCCTTTTCTTTATCGTGGGGTTACAAATACTTGCCCTGATTACCCTACAGGGATTTTTTTAGGCATGTCAAAGAAGATGTGGATTTAAAAATCACTTCTCAAGACGTGCGATGCTCTATAGCAGTAACTTGGTATTATTAGGATTATTCCCAGGTGATAGTATTATACACTTAGGTAATTCAGGTGTACTGTTTCTGAGAGGTTCTAGAGAAGTTCATTTCAACAAGCATTTATTGAACCAGGCCCAGTACTGGGCACTGGAGATACCAAAAATGTGTATGAGATTTAATCCCTGCCCTGGGGAGCATCTAAGTGGAGTGATGCAATTTCTAAAGACATCAATATATCATTGGGAAGATATTTATGTACTTTGTAGATAATGTGATATAGGAAACATTTTTCTGAGTGTGTTTGTGTGTGTATGTTTGATACTGCATCTTTGTCAGCATGATGTCTGCTGGCTGGACTCCGGAATGGGCCTCACAGATCTTTGCAATACTCCTGTCTTTTTCTCCCCTCCTGAACTCTGCAGCCTGACCTGGGTTCTATCATTGCTAATTTCTGCTTAGATATTTATTGATAACTGAATTATTATCCTCTTGAGTCTGTTTGCATTTTCATAGAAAATAAATAAAAATTGCAAATGTTAGAGCTGGAATAGACCTTAAAGTTCATCTCGTCTGATGATTTTAAAAAATTAAGTCATCAAGTCTTTTCTTCAGATGAAAGCATAGTTGGAAGCCTGATATACACATAAGATAAAAGCAGATCTGGTTGAGCCAGGGACAAAAGACTTGAAGCCTCAACCTCCCTCCCCACCGCCCCCAGCAACACACACACTCACCTAGAAATGGGGAAATAGAGTCTTTGCTAAGTGAAGTGACCTGATTAGGAAGTCGCAGGTTTAGACCAAACCCATGTTGGAGGTCCAGGCTTATTACTCCTCATGATGAAGGCCTTAGCTAGATTAAGGCTGTGCCACTATAAGAGTTCTGCTCCCTGGAACGGGAGTGCCTGCCTGCAGCCTAACCTTTGGTGGAAGGATTTGGGCTGAACACAGTTCAGAAATGCAGGACTCAATGTTCAAGGATGGCTCCAGAAGCATGCAGAATGAATTGGTCCCTGGCTGAGTCTGCAAAAGGGAAGACGATCCAGCAGACAAGTATGTTTCTTTCCTGTTCTCAGGGAGCAGCTGGCTTGCGTGCAGCAGCAGATAGGAGTTGCCTGGTGAATCCCGGCTCTAAAGTGCTTATTTCAGTAGACTGTTTCTAATGGAACAAGACAGCCGGGATTGGGGGACTTGGGGACCAGGCAGCTAATGGGTTTATGCTCTGATGGCTGCCTTTGATCTCATCTGCCATTGCTCTGAGCCCAAAACAAACCCCAAGCCAGCCAGAGAGATGGACAGAGAAAACATCAACCAACCTGTCTCACTGCCCCTCCTGCCACTATCCACTCATGAAGAGGAGGAGTGTTGGAGAGGGGCTGCTGGCTGAGACTGGGGAGAAAGTGCCCCAAAGCAAGTCTGCTCCTGCAGGGGCTCCTGGCCAAGGAGGTGAGGAAGGAAGCTGCTAGGGCAGTTGAGGATTGAGGATCACCTCTCACCCAAGGCAGACAATGTGGTGAATGGGGAATGATGATCTGAGATCCAGGATCTTGGGGTTCTGGCTCCAAGCAGTCAGACCTGGTAAGGTACCTAACCTGGTATCTGGGCAGGTGCAATACCTTGGATGTCTCCTCTAATCTTTCCTCATGCTGTACCTCATTCACTGTATTACTGAAATGGTTTCAGGTAATTATTTCTCTGCTCCAAGCCTCTAGTGGCTGCTTATTGCTTCCCAAACTAAATCAATTCTCCTAGCAAGGCAATTCAGCTTCTAGGCTTTGTCATAGCGCACTTCTCAGCATTATCTCCCATCCATCCACTGGACATGTTTGCTCCACAAACACTTGGGCTTCCCTCTAGGCCTCTGCTCTCAAAGCCTTCTGCCCATCACTAGCCCATCCAAATCCTACACATTTTTGAAGGCTGTCGTCCCAGCTCAAATGCCACTTCCTTCATGAAGCCTTCCCTGATCTCAATAGCATGTGATCTTTCCTTCCTGAATGATCCAAACTGACTTTTAATCACATTAATGGCCAATTCCTTGAGGCAGTGCCTGCATCTCCTTCCGTTTTGGATCTCCATATTGTTCCTGAATAAACAAATGAATAAACCCACTTTAAGGCTCAATGTCCTTATCTGTAAATAGGAAGACCTCTTAGGGTTGTTGAGAGGATTAACATAATTAATTAGCACTGAGCAAGCTTTCCATAGATGGTAGCAATGGCAATCATTACTATCCGTGGTTGCTGCTGGCTGGTGGCAGTGGAGCTGGTCCTGCTGGAGTTGAGGGTCGGAGGAGAAGGAAGGGTGAGGACCCCTTGAACCTCAGGTGGTGGTGGTTTCTTCCTTATTCCCATGACTTTTCTTGTCCCTCTGAGGACTTGGGGACAGAGCCGTGGTCAGCTAGAGGGCTCTCTCTGTGGGGTCATCTGACCTAAAGTTCTTCCATTTCATGAGTCGGATCCAAGTGCTAATCTCTGTTTCTTTGAGGCACTTGAGGAAAGTTATTGCCTAGAAGTCACGCTATGGCAGTGGTTCTTAACCCTGGATGCACATTAATGTCATCTGGTGAAATTAAGAAATGCCAGAGCCAGCCAGGCACAGTGGCTCTCCCCTGTAATCCCAGAACTTTGGGAGGCCAAGACGGGCAGATTGCCTGAGGTCAGGAGTTCGAGACCAGTCTGACCAACATGGTTAAATCCTGTCTCTACCAAAAATACAAAAAAGTTAGCTAAGTGTCGTGGCATGCTCCTCTAATCCCAGCTACTTGGGAGGCTGAGGCAGGGGAATTGCTTGAACCAGGGAGGTGAAGTTTGCAGTGAGCTGAGATGGCACCACTGCACTCCAGCCTGGGCAACACAGCTGTCTCAAAAAAAGGAAAAAAAAAAAAAAAAGAAATGCCAGAGCCAAGGCCCTACCTCAGACTCATGGAATCATAATCTCAAGACATGGATGAGGTCCATGTTTTTTTTCAAAGCCCCCAGGGATGAGAACCAGTGTACTACATGAAAACAAAGCAAAATACTGGTTACAAGTTCCACATGTCTTCTCATAGCCTTGTATAAAAAAAGGGGTGGTGCTGGAAGAGGGAATTCTTCTATCACATATGTGTTGTCATTTATTATGCAAATTAATTTTTAAAAATTAACAGTGATGTTGATTTCAAAACAAAGCACCAAAGGCTGTGTCTTTTCTTTTTTGTATCCCTCATAGTGTTTAACTGAGAGCCTCTGTTTGCCTCCTGCGCTCAATAAATATTTGCTTAGTGAATTGAAAAAGCTCGTGAATTTAGAAGGAACCTAGCTTAGGCTCTATTGTAGTTTCTGTTTTATTGAACCTTTCTTCTGTCCCAAAGGCCTTGAATAGAGAGGAAAATCATACCTTTGATTCAGTTTGAGTATTATTGTCCCTTTGGTTAGGCAATATGATTCAAAATTCAGACAAACCATGGGAAGTCAGTAGTTCCTAACCACTAAACCTTTACTTCTATTGGACAATTACGAACATGCATATCCTGCACCACCTTCGTTTGAACTTGCTTGTAAGTGTTCTTATTTTTTTGTGCATGTTCTGACTCCTTGATGACATTGTACATTTTTGAGGAATGAGAGATATACCTTCTGGGTTTCTATTGCTGATTGGATGAGTGGCTCAAATGTATTCAATTTGCTTTCTTTGGTGAACACAAGATACTTAGCCTCAGTTTCTGAGGAATCTTACCAAGAGCACTGGGAGATACAGGGATGGTGATGGGGAGCTGATATTAACTTACAATAAGGGATGTATTCGAGTTAGCATCTTCAGTGTGCTTGCAGAGATGACCATTACACATGTCCTTTCTCATTTTACCGTGAACTCCTTCTGGGTGTGTATTTTTCTTTGCCTTTGTACCCCAGAGCCTGGCACAGTGTCTGGCATTCTGAGTGCCCAGGGAATATCTGTTGATTGACTAATGAATGAATTTGCATTTTTTTGCTTGGCTCTCTTAGAGTGTAAGTCTTTAGCCTGAGGGTCGTAGTTCCTCTTGCAGCACGGCTGAATAGGCAGTCAATAGTTGATAAAAATTTTAAAATACACAGTTGACATTGTCCTGGGTGTGTAATTTGGCATGGATTTCTAGCTTAAATAAAACATATGAGTAAAATGAATAAAAGCAGATAGACTCTAATGGAGATGTGTTGTGATTTTTGGTTTAAGTTTTGGCTTCTAGAAATAATTTTGTTCCTCCTATGGCACTTTTATCCCTCCCTTAAGTTCATCTCACAGATAGGCAGTTTCAAATACTCTGTACTTGGAAACTGTTTCTTGAAATAGAACTTGTTTTTTCTTGAGTAAGCCCTCATTGCCTTAGGCCTTGGGGATTGAATTTACTCTGGCTCTGTGCTTTACAGTATTTTTTTCTCTTGCAGCTAAATGTGGTCAACAGTGTCAGCAGTTCAGAGGACATCAAGCCCTTACCAGGGCTTCCCGGGATTGGAAACATGAACTACCCATCCACCAGCCCCGGATCTCTGGTTAAACACATCTGTGCCATCTGTGGAGACAGATCCTCAGGTACATGCAGAAGCAGACACTCCCTGAAAAGTGCCACAGAGAAGGGGCTGCTCACTGTCTGCCTGGATACTTTGTACTCAATGAAAGGAAAATGGCCCTTTAGGATGGGCTAACTGGGGACCCACCTATACGTTTATGTCACTGGGTTCACAGGCTGCCGTTTTGATGAATTTAAAGGATGGCTTTATTTTTTGAGGATGAGATTTACAGGAAACATTTCAGAAACCCTTCTCTGGAGTCACACTATTACACATGTATCTGAGAGACAGAAGCTGTTGTGATTATCAAGTATTTCTGCTGGGTGTGGTGGCTCACACCTATAATCCCAGTGCTTTGGTGTAGTCCCAGCTACTTGGGAGGCTGAGGTGGGAGGATAGCTTGAGCCTGGGAAGTCAAGCCTGCAGTGAGCCATGATCACGCTACTGTACTCCAGCCTAGGCCACAGAATGAGACTCCATCTCAAAAAAAAAAAAGTATTAAGAATAACCCCTCCCAGATAAGCAATTGTAAAAATAATGTCCTAATGTAGAGGATTTGAACGAACTAGAAAACTGCAAAGAAAAGTAAAAAAATTACCCATAATGTCCCCAAGAAAAATAAACCCTTTAATATTTTAGCGTATTTCTTGCTATAACATTCTAGATTTTCAATATGCTTTTATAGGCAGAAATAAATGTGTTTTCACCAACTTATCTTTGATTCTCTTCTCCTTTTCTCAGTTATTTCTTTCCTTGCTTCTTTCCTCTCCATTCTTCCTGCCCCATATTTCCCTCCCCATCAATTTTGAACACATCCGAATCTCCGATTTGATTATTTGAAGAACAATAATAAGAGGAGGTTATTCTCTTTTCTATAGCTGTCCATGATGGCTAACTGAATATTTCCTTATACTCTTAATGCCACCAAAGCCACTAAAGAATGTCACTCCATTGAAAGTTCCAGGCACCTAGAACTTACCTAGCTGAATGGCTGATGTTTTCTTGCTCTCAAAAAATATTTCCCAAATCATGCAGACTTGGCCATTGCCATAATAGCACACCAGCCACAGCCCGACAGTGTTTTCTCTGCTATGCTTATTCTAGTTGAAAGTCTATGAGGTTCATTTAAATATTGAAAAGCCATGGGAATGACTATGTCACACAGTTGAAAAATTGGTCCCATATTTCTCTAAGACAAATATTTCAGAACTGAGAGCACTAGGTTTTCTGGGCCCAAGATAAAATCCTGTATTTATCATTGCTGTGAGTTCAGCAATGTGAAAAGCCGGCCTGTAGTATGGTCAACCAATGAGGCAAAGGCTGGCTTTTCTTCAGGCAGGCTATCTGTACCCATCATTTCATCTTACAGTGGCTTCCTCTGAACTGTAAACTCCTGAGATGCTGGAAACCTAAGTAAAACAGAATTAGAAAGTCATGTCATTTCTGTAACTCAATGACATCACATATTACATTCAAAGAATCAGACACAAATATGTTTTGAATGATTTGTTTCCTTATATTTTTGAAGTTCTGCAATTTCAATCAATCAAGCATAGTGCCTGGTATTAAGAAGACTTCTACCTAGAAAAAGGATTGTGATTGATTCATGATGCCTGTCTGAGGATGGGCTTGGTGGCTCTCCTGACCTAAATTAGCCACCCCTGCCTGGGGTAATTGAAAACTGCATGTGTGGACAGGTAATAAGGGCAATGAAATATGCAACAAATTAGTCTGGATTAAGCAAAATCACCTTCTTTTTTTTTTTTTTTTTTTTTTTTTTTGAGACGGGATCTCGCTCTGTCACTCAGGCTAGAGTGCAGGGGCATGATCTTGGCTCACTGCAACCTCCGCCTCCAGGGTTCAAGTGATTCCCATACCTCAGCCTCTGGAGTAGCTGAGACCACAGGCATGTGCCACCATGCGCGGCTAATTTTTGTATATATATATTTTAACAGAGACGAGGTTTTACCATGTTGGCCAGGCTGGTCTAAAAGCTCCTGACCTCAAGTGATCTTCCCACCTCAGCCTCCCAAAGTGCTGGGATTACAGGCGTGAGCCACCATGCCCGGCTGCAAAATCAGCTTCTATCAGATCTTTATGTCATAGCTTGATTGTCATATGATGATATAAAGATCAAACAGCAATTAATTTCCTCAACAGTCAATAGCACTTAACAATTCATAACTCAGAATTCTGTTCATAGTTTATGGTAAAGGATAATAAATTTAAATAGGTTTCCTAAGAACTTGGGTCTCAATTATAATTAGTTAAGTTGGGGTTCTTTTCCTGCTAGGTAATACGTGACAAGCATATATATTTTTATTTATTATTTACACTAATGTTTTGAATGGAGGCAGAACATTTGCTTAACTAAACCCAAGAGTTGCCTTTATAAAATAAATATAAAGAAAGCCTTAGCTTTAGGAATTTTCTAATAATTCTCTCTGGAATTAGTAATGCAGAGGAAAGACACGAGGACAAGTGTATTTGCTGTGTCTTAGTTTGGTTCCTGTGATCAAGCCTGCATTCTCTGCTAGTGATTATTTGCTTTCTGTCCCAATGCCCAAGTGATATGCCTGTTTCTCTGGGGGAAGAGCCAAGAGGTTCTTTTGAATGAAAGATCCAAATAAACACAAGAACAATCTATGGAATGTTCTTTTCTTCTAACCAGGAAAGCACTACGGGGTATACAGTTGTGAAGGCTGCAAAGGGTTCTTCAAGAGGACGATAAGGAAGGACCTCATCTACACGTGTCGGGATAATAAAGACTGCCTCATTGACAAGCGTCAGCGCAACCGCTGCCAGTACTGTCGCTATCAGAAGTGCCTTGTCATGGGCATGAAGAGGGAAGGTGAGACACATTCAGTTCCAAAACTCGTGTCCGGAGAGAGGCATTTCCTAGGCAAGGGGACATTCAACTGCAATACACGAGAAGTCATGGTGCCCAAAGTCATCCTAATCTCCACTTCAAATTTCTTTCCCACAGGGCTCTAAAGAGAAGTCTGAATAGGAAATTAGGATGACTTTGGGTACTCGTGTATTGCAATTGAATGTACCCTTTTCCTAGGAAGTGTGTCTCTCCAGAGCAGAGAGGGCAAGAGGCATCTTCCTCCTCCACATTTACCCATCCTCTTCTGGAGCCCAGATGGTGATCCCCAAACTGGACCGTCTCCTTTTTTCTTCCAATAACCAGGCAGCAAGTCTCAGAGCCAAGGTTTCAGGGTCCTTATGATCTGCTCTACCAATGGATCGTCAGACTGACCTTCAGGGTGGAGGTGACTTTTCTCCTCTAATCCTAGGTCTCTCTCTGGGGCAAACTGTAGGTTTCATTTCACTCACTGAGTTTTTTTTACCTGGGTCTGCTATCAAATCTTTGATATTGGTATATTCCATCATCTTTTGGCATTACTGGCATTACACAGGTTTGACAGACCTAACCTTCCCATTCAGAGAGACCACCACTGTGTGTTGAAACCATCACATCTTTTAATTTATAGTGTGGTTTAGCTGGGTATTCTAGTATGAGAGAAAAAAACCTCAGAAGGTGCTTTCTGTCCCGTTAGTAGACAGAAAAGACTTTCCATTAAGTATCACAGATAAATTGAAGTGGGCAGTTAATTAACTAGTGAGCTCAAGCAGGGACATGGGGATAGTGGTGAATCTTAATAGATTTTAGAGTAAGAAGGTCCTGCCTCTCTTTAGGAAATAAGAACAAGGAGTTCAGTCAGGCCCAGCACGCTCCTCATTCTTGAGGAACTTCTTTTCTGTGAGAAGAGGGCATCTTACTGAAAGGGTCAATGAAGAGGGGCTCTTTGTGTCCCTGCTAAAAGTGAATGTCACCCATGAGCAAACAAATTCTTGTAATCTTAACATGTCAAGATGCTAGAGGTGGCCTTACAGAGTCACCTAATCAACTGTAACCATCCGCCAGATGAGAAAACAGGCTCACAGAGATGAACGGAGTTTCCTGAGGTGCCAAAGGCAGTTAATGAACTGACCCCAGGTCTCTGACTTTCAGATCAGCCCTAGTCTGTGTCTCCTTCCCTGCCAGGTTGTGAAGGAACTGAAGATGGCCCTCGCTGTGACATTTAACAGCAACCTCAAAAGTGAGAGACCCAAATCTCAGCTCCTGAAAATCTGCCCCACACCCCAGCCTGTTCCTCACACAGTCTTCCCCTTTCAGGAAATGGCCACTTATTTTCCAGTTGCTCAGAACAAAAACCATTGACTCCCCTCTTTTTTCACACACCACATGTAGCGGGTGAGGAAGTCTTGTCTCTTCCTCAAACTATGCCCAGAATCTTTCCATGTCTCACTACTTTTACCACTAACCCCCCAATCTAAGCTAACTGTATATTTTGTAGTGATCTACACAGCATCCTAAGACATCTCCCTGCTTCCATCTTTGTCCTCCTACAGTCTCTTCTTAGCACAGTAGCCAGAGGGAGGCTTTGAACAAGTAGATTGGGTCAAGGTGTTCCTTCAGCAGAATCCTCCAATGTCTTTCCTTCTCACCCAGAAAAAAAGGCAAAAATCTTTGTCATGACTTAAGGTTGTACATAGTCTGGATGCCCTGTTGTCTCTCAGCCTCAGCCTTCCTGGCCTCTTTGGTGATCCTCAACTATACCAGAGATGCACCCACCTCAGGGCCTTTGCACTTGCTGTCTGTCTAGAATGATTTTTTTTTCAGGTATCTGATGGCTCACTTTTTCTCATCCTTCGTATCTTTACCCAATTCTCACTTTCTTGGTAAAGCCTTGCCTGGTTATATCATCTAAAATTGCACCAGCCACCCCCAACCCTTCCTTGTCTCTTTTACACAGTAGTTATCATGATCTAACACTTGTACTTATCTTGTTTACTGTCTGTATCCATGAAGGCGGGGGCTTCATCTGCTTTTTTCCCCCACTGCTTTATCACCAGTGACTAATACATTGTAGCCATTTAATAAATTGTTGAATGAATAGTTTAAACTGAATGCTGAAATCAGAAGTTTTAGAAGTGCAGGAGCTCCTAAAAATGACTCATTCATTTATTCATTGAGTATTAGCTGAGTGCCTACTCTGTGCTTACGTCATACTTGCTGTGGCAGTGGGATCAATGATGTTACAGATTGGAGCATGCGATATGAAATACCTGCTGGTGAAGAACATCTTTTTTCCACCAGGATAGAATTGGATACTCCTTGGAGCTTCCCCCACCATGATTATCAAAATGAAACTAATGACTACAAGTATTTCTCCCATTAACAAGAGTCCAGTGACTGCAGGGTCATTTTTTTCCCTCCTAAAACACTTGAGATAAGTTTCCAATTGACTTGGAACAGTAACAGTTTTCATTAAGCACATGATATTGAATTAAAGGAAAGTGAATGGTCTCAGTCAGAGAAACCATCATTTCTATTTCTCTAGAGTTATTCTAATCCATCTCTGAAAATGCAGGCTGAATATCCCCAGCTCAGTTAGGGACAGAGTGGTCAATAGGCCAAATGTTGGGAACTGTGGTTCGTTAAATGTTTTTAAAAAAGGAAGGAAAACAGGGACATGTGAACTGTAAGAGACACTTCTATGGTTTGGGTACTTTAATAGAAAGTTGGACCCAATTTTTGCTCCTGCATTTTTTAAAAGAATGTGGAGAAACAGAAAGAATAGTGAAAAGCTGAGTAGTAAAAATTAGGAGAGGGAAAGGAGCTCTTAGGGAACTTTCTGAAGAGATTGGCACCATTTACCCTGACAAAGGGAAGGCAAAGAAGTGAATCAATTCCTCCGCTGACTATATAAGGGGGCGCATTTCAAAAGGCTACTGGATAGCCTGTCCACCGCCATCATTTCTGGTCTTGATTTATAGAATTTGGGGCTCAGTTTGAACACTTTCTTGAGGACAAGAATAATAACATCCTGGAGCAGATAACAGAGAGACCATGGAAATCACACAGATAAAGAGATGGAATTGGGGTAGGTACAGAATTTACCTGCCTGGGATCAGGGGCCAGGACCTGTTGCCCTTTTAGGATAAATAATGTTAAAGCTAGAGTGGACATTTTCTATTCTCTAACGTAACACGTCCATTTCCTGAAAGACAAATTAGAGGTTTGGAGAGCCTAGCCCACACAAGCCCACACAGCAAGCACATGGCAGACCCTGTATAGGACTGGGACCCTCTGATTAGTGGGCCACCTCAGGAATTCTGGAATGTCTATTTCCATGATTTCTTGTCATATACATGTAGTTTCAAGACTGGTGAATGGATTGCCTTTGAGGCAGTTCATGGGCAGCATTGGTATCCTTGTGAGCCCTGTGTGGTCTTTATTAATAGACCTAGCCCAGTACCTTGGAGGCAGTACTGAGAGGTTAGAGATGGGCCCAGGAGGAGCCATTGTGGGTGCATGTGCTGGCTCCATCATGGCCTACCACATGCCCTCAGATATGTTACTAGTTTCTCTGTGGCTCGTAGTATGTCAGAGCATTATTGTGAGGATTAAATGAAATGTAATCTATCTAAAATGTTGAGCATAATTCCTGACACAGAGAAAGAGCTTCATAAATTTTGCCTATTGTAATAAGTGCGAAATAAACACGTGTTGGATGAATGGTTAAAATCCTTTCCTAAGGCAGAAGTTTGGTTTTATTTTTAATCATCCAGGGTTCCCTGGATGTACCCTGATGTGTGTCGTAACAGTAGCTCAGAATGTCTGACAAGTAGAAGCTACCCCCCAATAACAATATATGACTCCTCATTTATGACAGGAAGACTTAAGGCACAAAGAGGAAAAGTGAATAGCAAAGGGTTTGCTCATACAAAACCAGAATTCGAATCAAATTCCCTGACACCAAGGATATTTTCTCTGAAGCTTGAAGGTTATTTTCCTTGAGTGTTACAAATCTCTAGAAGACATTGATTGAGGACCACGAATGAAACTTAACTTAGTTTGCTTTCCCTCATCTTTTAAAGTCAAGACAAATAGAAGCTCATAACCTACCTTTAAAAAAATTAATACAAGAAGCATTCAACATTTCCCAGTAAATCCAAATATAATAAAAAATACATATTATAGTTTCTACATGTTGTCAGTGAATGAAGTCTGACAGAGTGAGCAGAAAGTAAGGATGAGACAGAAGGAGGAAGAAAACAGGAGAGAGAGGAAGAGGCCAAAAAGGGAGATGGAGAGATGAGCCCAAGGGGGTAAAAAGACACCAAAGGCAAGAGGAAATAACTATTTGTATTGAGTTTTTATAATTGCTTCATTCATCCTTACGATATTATTTCAGTTAACTACTGAAGAGTACCAACCTTAACTAAGTACCAGCCTTAACTATCTCAGTTAATCTCTGCTTCACAGATAAGGGATCTGGGGCTTACTAAGCTCAGTCATATGGCCAATGCCATTTAGCAAGGAAGGGGTAGAGTTATATGTGAAAAAGTTTTCTTTGACTCCAAGGCACAGGTTTTTTCCCCTCTTTTCACTATTTTCTCCTCTCTGTTCTCTCTCCCTTCTGTTTCCTCTTTTTCTCACCCTGTTTTGTTGTCTCTTTCCCTTATTCCTTTTCTTCTTTCTACCCTCCTTGCCTCTCTCTCAATGACACAGTACCATTCTTGTCTTGAAGCTTTTTGGCGTATCTCCACTAAGTTTTGGAGCATAAGTTGTGTTTTTGCAGTCATACTCTTCTCTGACCTACCTTGAGAGACTGATATGGCTCGCATGACAAACTAGATGTTCGGCATTGCGATTCCAGTCCATTCTGCAGCCTCTGGGGCTCATTATCTCCTCAGAGAGTAGGAGGCACTCTTGCAAGTGGACTATGGGGAGGAAGGGAGAGAAACAGAAATAGGAGCTGCTAGTGGAGTAGCTGTCATGGAGTTTCAGGCTAGTCACCTGCTTAAAGGATAATTTTCTTGACTTTGGGGATGTAAAAAATGTGTTCTAATATTGAATTCTGTTTATTGCTGCTGTGAATAAGATGGAAACTACAGCCTTCTAGATGATGGAAACTAACCCAACAGAGACTTTTCTCCTGATGAAGAGCATAGAATTGGAGGGGGCAGCAGTCTGCTTTCAATCCTAATGTATAGACATGGAGGGTTCTGAGAGTTGCACTGAACCTTGATGAAAACCCTAAGCTTTGGAGAGGCTGAGATAATTTCAGCCTACACCTTTGCCTATGTACCCTCCCCAACCTCCAAAATGAGCCACTGATTCTGAAATGTCATCTAGGTGACATCCCTCCACCCCTTCACTTACTAAATACCCACAGCTGGCTCCCTAAAGATCTTCCCTGACAAGTCGGATCAGGTGATGTTGTGTTCAAGCTGGTGCACTAGGGGCAGACCTAATGGGACGTGAATGCCAAGGATGATGCATAGGATCTGACAGAGGGAGTTTTTAAAGTAATGTGCTTGTTACTTAACTATTTCATGCTCACAGTTTTTTAGAGGCAGCAGGTAGAGCAAGAATGTGGGGATCTGCAGGGATAGCAAGGAGTGGTTGGCCCATTAAAAGAGAGGATACAATTAGAGTTTATTAAAGCTTAAAATGGATACTTCCTAGTGTCGTCACCATAATGCATTGGAAAGAATATGCACTAAAGAACCCCTCATTCTCCTTAGGCATAAGCAAACAGCTTTGCTTTCCTTGTTTCATCTGTCAACATTCCAACATCCCCAATTCAGGATCATAATGATTCCCCTTTCATAGATGAGTAAATTGAGGCTCATGTGGGTAATAAACTTTCCCACTGTTGTCCTGGGCATTATGGTAACCTCTGCATGTCCTGCTGCATGTCAGCTGTGCAAGAAGAAAGACAGAGGAGCCGAGAGCGAGCTGAGAGTGAGGCAGAATGTGCTACCAGTGGTCATGAAGACATGCCTGTGGAGAGGATTCTAGAAGCTGAACTTGCTGTTGAACCAAAGACAGAATCCTATGGTGACATGAATATGGAGAACTCGGTATGTGCTCTTAGACACACATGTGTGTTCCATTTCTTGGGTAGGGCTGGAAATGGGAGAAAGGGGTGTATTTGAGTCCTGGGACCTGTGCCTCACAGTACTTTGTTCCTTTTTCAGACAAATGACCCTGTTACCAACATATGTCATGCTGCTGACAAGCAGCTTTTCACCCTCGTTGAATGGGCCAAGCGTATTCCCCACTTCTCTGACCTCACCTTGGAGGACCAGGTCATTTTGCTTCGGGCAGGTAAAGCACATTGGCTGCCTTTTTTCCTGGGACAATTTTGAAATTGCTCTTGGGATCCTAAAAAAAGTAGCCTGATGGAGCTGCAACATGTCCAAGCTATGTACCATGCTGATGATGAAATAACCCTGTGCGGGGTTGTTCATTCCCAAAGGAAGCATCGTTAATGAAGAAGTGGGACTCTTTTCCCATGCAAATTTTACCACGGCTTTATAATTTGCATAAATTTTAAAAAGACTATTAAATCATTTTATTGAGGATAATTTGAAGCAGTGGCTCATTATTGTAATGAAATTGGCAAATAGAGGTATTCCCATTTCATAGGTGAGATAAAGAAGCCAAAGATGTTTGCTCAAGCTTGTACTAGACGGGTTCCACTGTCTTCCTATTTTAAGACTCTATGTGCTGTATTTTCTTTTGCCTCCTATTTCTGGGACACTTGCAGGCCGTTGACATATGCCATATCTCCTCTTTGTCACTGAGCCAGCAGGGAAATTTCATGAAGATTGGCTGAGCATTGGGAACCAGTCCACTCATTCATCCCTGTTAGATAATGAGCACTCACTGAGTGTCAGCTGAAAGCTACAGACTGTGTTGGGTGTTACTAGACAATGCCAAAGAAACAAAACTAGGTTGTCAGATCCTAAGGGGAAAAACTGCAAGGTATATTAGCTTTATCCACCATGGCAGCTAACATAGTGACTATTATCCGCTAAATGTTCAACCCACATTTGTTGACTGATTAAAAAAAAAAAGAATCCTTGTCTTCAAGCTGTCATTCTGGGTTGCATCTGAGAGAGAGTGGGGGGATGTGCAGAGCCATAAGTCAGGAGACCCCAGTCTTATCCTTTGTTTCTTCGCTAATGAACTGTGTCATCTTGAACTAATTCTTAACCTCCCTAGATTGTCAATTCTGCTTGTGTTATGTGGGATAATAGTACATGCCTTGGGTGATTATAAGTAAAGAAAGAATGTGTTCTGTTTTCCCTCAAGACCTCCTCCTTATCCTTGCAGGGTGGAATGAATTGCTGATTGCCTCTTTCTCCCACCGCTCAGTTTCCGTGCAGGATGGCATCCTTCTGGCCACGGGTTTACATGTCCACCGGAGCAGTGCCCACAGTGCTGGGGTCGGCTCCATCTTTGACAGGTGTCTCTCTCCTGCTTCCAGTATTTGTGTGTATTATGTGTGTGTGTGTGTGTGTGTGTGTGTGTATACACATGTGTACATACATGAATTCTCACGTGGGCATGAACCTCTGGGTAGTGCTGGGATGGAGGATGGGCAGCCCAAACAGTTAGCTACACATGACCATGCAGAGACCACTAGGCACATGAAACTATAAACCTGGGGAATGAGGGAGAGATTAAAAGAAAGATTGAGATCACAATAAGATGGAGCCACTCAGAGGCCAGCACAGTTGCCAGGCAGTTGGGAGAACCTATTCTCCCAATGGATTTCCTAAGGAGAGATTAGATCTTGACATCAGCTAGTAAGTTGTGGGTGGAGAGGGTGAACTGTTTATCCTGGGGGCCAAGGATGGGAAAGGGATCAGGATCTGTCCTCAAGAGGCCAGGCAAGATGGACTGTTTATGCTGGGCTCTGGATG
Organism: Homo sapiens; assembly: GCF_000001405.40. Lineage (NCBI taxonomy): Eukaryota > Metazoa > Chordata > Mammalia > Primates > Hominidae > Homo > Homo sapiens. The sequence goes on along the minus strand of NC_000001.11, from coordinate 165,409,097 downwards.
ATCTCAGAAGGAGGCCTGCAGCAGGAGCAAACCCATCTTCGTCAGGCAGGGATACCCTGACAGAAATTCTGTGCCTTAAATGATACTAAAGGAAAATTAAGCCATCTGATAAGGAGTTGAATAAAATGAGTAGTTAATGACTTGAGAGTGAGAGGATGGAGAACTGGTAAAGAGGAGAATTAAGTTGAAATTAATCTCTCTGTCCAATGCCAGGGCCCCGTTGTCCCTTTCTACCTCCATCGTAAATGGTCTTCTTTGGTCATGTGCACATCCACTGAGCTGTATCTATTACTTCCCTGCCCTTTCCCACATGTTCCATGTAGAGCCCAACATGGTGTTTGGAATGACTCATCCCCCTTCGTGGTAACCGGACCTTTCTACCAGTTCATTGAATGCTGCCCTCTGCTGTGTTTTTCTAGACATGCAATCCCCTTACCTTGCTGTGCCTGTTGCGTTTCTAATTTCCAAGACTTCCATGATGCCTTTCCATTTCCCTGCTTGGAGTTCATTGCTTCCTCTTTGGAACCCACTTGGACTTTGCTCATGGCAGTTATATTCCTGGGCATCGTGCTGCTGCTAGTTTTTAATGTCTGTTTCTTTAGTTAAACTGTAATCTCCTTGCAATGAGGGGTTGCATCTTTTTCATTTCTGTACCCCTAGTAACTGGTACATCATCTGGAAACAGAGTGGGCTTATAAAAATTTTGGTTGAATTCATTTTATTGGCTCTTGGCCTGTTACTTACGGTTTTCTCATTACCTGCTTGTTTCCTGTTAACAGAGTCCTAACTGAGCTGGTTTCCAAAATGAAAGACATGCAGATGGACAAGTCGGAACTGGGATGCCTGCGAGCCATTGTACTCTTTAACCCAGGTAACCGCCCTTCAACCCCAGGGGATGTGTGTGTTCAGCCCTCTTCCACGGTCAACCTCCAGTGCTCCCATGTTATTGGTCCTCCATCTCAGCTGAGACACAGATGGCAGAGCCAGGAATCCAGGAGAGCTCACAGTGTCAGCTAGAGCCATTTTGGAAAATGTTTTGAATGAGTGTGGCAGGCGCGTGTCTGGGGCAAGTGGGGAAGATGAAAGATGACGGTGGCCCAGGGTGGCAGTGAAGGGGGTGGTAAAAAGCGATCACATTCTGGATATATTTCTAGATAAAGCCACTGTGATTTGCTGATGGATTGAATATAGAATGAGAAAGAAAGAAAGGAGTTATAGATGACTCTCTGGGTTTTTTTTTTTTTAAGTTTTGTTTTCCTGAACAATGGGAAAAATGAAGTTCTTATTCACCGAGATGGGGAAAACTCCATGAGGAGCAAGTTCTGACAGCGGGTGGGTAGGAATCGGGATCTTGTCTTTGGACATTAAAATAGGAAATGGGTAGTAGATATCCAAGAGTGGCTGCCCAGGAAGCAACTGCTCATATGAGTCTGGACTTCATGGGAGAAGCCATGTGCATCTGAGAGCTGTCAGCCTCTGCCTGTGTAAGGCTGTGACACTGGGGTGAGATCATCTGGGGAGATAGAGCAGAGAAGATGGCTGGGGACTGAGCCCTGGGGCATGCCAACATTTAGAGGTCAGGTAAAAAAGGGAGAGCCAGCAGAGGAACCTGAGAAGGGGCAGGCAGTGAGATAGGGACAGAATCAGAAGGGTGGTGTCCTGGAGGCTCGAGGGAAAATAGTCTTTCAAGAAGGAGGCGATCAGCTCCAGCAAACCCTGCTGTGGTCAAGAAAGATGAACCTTCAGAATTATGTAGTCATTCATGCAGAGGCTTTATCTCCAGAATTAGGCAGTTAGTTCATCAATGCAGGACATGTGCCAATTCAGCTTTCGTGCCCCATCTTATGACTCAGTCCATGCTCAGCACATAATAGGCACTCGGTAAATGTGTGCAGGTAATATTTCGAGAATGGTCCGGATAAAATTAAGCTCTCCTCCTTAGAGTCAGTGGTGGGTACATTTGCCTATTCATGGAGTTTAAAATCTTTGCCCCAAGAGTTTGTTGGGTAAATTGGGCACAGAAAGAAGAGCAAGGGGGCATGAATGACCAGCTTTGTTTATTTCACACTTGTCCCCATCCAGGGTGTCTCTAGTAACTCTACAGAGAGTGGCCAGAGAGAATGGGGACAGCCTCTGCTGGAGGGTGTGTAATCAAAGGCTAACTCAGTCATGTCTTTTAGATGCCAAGGGCCTGTCCAACCCCTCTGAGGTGGAGACTCTGCGAGAGAAGGTTTATGCCACCCTTGAGGCCTACACCAAGCAGAAGTATCCGGAACAGCCAGGCAGGTGAGACAGTGCTGGCAGAATCGTAGTAACAGCAGCAACTACTCCCACTCTTCATCTACTGAGCCCCTAAAGTGCAGCAGGCACTGTTTAGGTGTTTTTAAATGTTATTTAATCTTCATAACAAGCTGAAAGCCACAAAAATGTTAATTCCATTGGGCTAGCGGCCTTATCTGTCTTGCTCACCATTCACTCCTCTAGCCTCAACACGTAAAATAGTGCCCGACACATAGTACACATCTTTAAATGGAGGATGAATAGCAAACAAATGAATAAATGTGGGAATTATTATCTCCAATTTCTATCAAGAAACAGAACCTCAGAAATGTAAGTAACTTGCTGAAGACCATAATGCTAGCACGCGGTGGAGGTGAGATGTGAACCCTGTTCGTGTGATTTCACAGAGCCTGTGTTTGAGGTGTGACTGCATTGCTTTCTGGTCTGCCCCCATAGAAACCCCCATGCAGTAGGAAGTACAGGCTTTGGCAGCCAGAAGATATGGATGCTGGTCCCCAGGGTGCCACGTGTGTGGCATCTGGGAAGGTGCTGGGTCTGAGTCTGGGCTCCTCATTTGGAAAGGTGGATGTTGGTCTAGCAGATCTCTGAGGCCATCTAGCAGATCTCTGAGGCCATCTAGCAGTATAGGTATTTCTGAGTTATTAAAAGATATTCTCAAAACTTTCTTCCAAAGTACAGCTAAGCCAAAGAGTTTTCCCTCTCTGCTAATGCCAGTTAAAATGAGAAAGTATGATCCTCAAATCTCATAGAAAATTGGAAATGAAACGGAAAAGCCTGTCTTGAAGACATTAATTTTGTTTGGGGGATTAATTTTACATGCTCCCAATGCTCACTAATGGTTTCCATTCCTCTGTGAAGTCTAATATCTACTTAGCTGTTTATCCTGAATCATAAGCCAACCTCTAGCAATTGTCCAGAAGAGACTGAGCTGTGTTTTTTGTTGGAGGCTGTGGATGAATTTGAGTAGGTGGGTTTTGGCCCTTTGGTGCAATGAATAGGCAGGGCCTAGTATATTAGTGAGATTAAGCTGTAATAGACCCACCAGATGCCACCAGTTTAACACAAACATCTATTCCTTGCTCACAAATCTGGGTGGGCAGTCAGTTCAGAGAGGTGGTTGCCTTGCATGCCATCACTCAGGGACCAAGACTCCTTTTTTCTTGTGTCTCCACCATGACCCAGAGCCATACTGTGTTTTGCATCCAGATGATGGAAGGGGGAAGAGGTGGAGGGGCAGAGAGGCTAGGCCATATGGGCCAGACCTCGGTCTTAGAGGGCCCTCACCTTTTCATTCACTTTCATTAGCTGATGCCAAGTCACGTGGCCCAGCTGGCCACAAAGGAGGCTGGAGAATGTATCCTGTTGTATGCCGAAGAACAGAAGAAAATATTGGATTTTGGTGAACCTGGTAGTTCACTATAGATGAGATTGAGAGAGCCCTGGCCAAGGGGTCAGGACCTGGCTGCCAGCAATAGCTTGGCCTCTGTCAGGTGTGAGCCTTGGGCAAATCATCTTAATTGAAGCCCTGAGTTGGATGCTTTCTATCAAATCTTCCATTTTTTGAGCACATATTATGTGCAGGACATTACAAATAATGAGAGTCGTACATATCATTTTCCTGAAATTGTCTCTGTCTTGCTGTTTATCTTAAAAAACCAACAAAAAACTCCAACTCACTTTTTTCCTAACTATAAAAGCAATGCATGCTTTGGTTAAAAAAATTATAAAAATATTTTTTAAAAATATGCGGTGGCTCATGTCTGTAATCCCAGCACTTTGGGAGGCTGAGGCTGGCGGATCACCTGAGGTCGGTTGTTCAAGACCAGCCTGACCAACATGTAGAAATCCTGTCTCTACTAATAATACAAAAATTAGCCAGGTGTGGTGGCATGAGCTTATAATCCCAGCTACTCAGGAGGCTGAGGTAGGAGAATCGCTTGAACCGGGGAGGTGGAGGTTGTGGTGAGCTGAGATCATGCCATTGCACTCCAGCCTGGATGACAAGAGCGAAACTCCATCAAAAACAAAAACAAAAACAAAAACAAAAAACAGGTAATAAGAACTTATTGTAAATATTTTGGTATATTTCTTTCCAGTGTTGTCGTGTATCTATTATGTCTCGTGTGTATCCTCGTGTAACTATTATGTATTACGCATGTCATGTATGCATTTCTAGATATGAAATTATACAGTTTGGTGTATTATTTTCTTCCCTTAGCCATTCTAGAAATTTTATTCAATTACTGACAACTACAAATTATCATTTTCAATGGTTTTGTAATATTTTGCAGTGTGAACATATCCTAATGTATTTAGTCATCGCCCTGTGATTGACATTTGGGTTGTTTCTAATTCATATCACTTTGAAAACTTTGGAACTTGACTCTTCTGCCAGAATATGGCTGGCAGGGGGCTGGGCTGCCTCCACACTCTGGGGAGAGAGGCCAACACTTGTTGCCAGGACTAGGGCAGAACTTAGAACTGCAAGGAGGTGGCAGAGTCCCCTGCATAGTCTCCTGGGTTTGTCCATCACAGCTTGGACTGAGGCTGACTGCCCTGATCAAGTGTTCATAGTTGGCTCAGTAGGTACATCAGGGGTGTCACTGGCCAGGCATGTGGGTGTGCTGAGGGCTGGTCACCTCTGGTCCGCAGAACCTGGTTGAAGGGGATCCTGGCACAGCCAGGTAGAGGCAGATTTCTCAGTGGGAGAGTGCTGCCACTCTGTGGAAACATTTCAGAAGTGCATGTCACAAGGGCCACATTCTGCTTTCACTCTGATCAGAAAGCAGAGATCAAAAGTCAGGTCACAGAACTCACACACACACTCTCTTGCACACACAGCAGGCACCTTCAAAGGCATAAATGCCCCTTGCTGCTAACCTGTGGGTGAGGAATGCTGTGACGTTCATGGGTGTGTTTATTTCTATTAGCCTTGATCTCAGTTCCTAAATCCAGGTCACACAACAAAGAGGGTAGTATGATGGCATACTTCGAATTTTAGATATTGTAAAATCGTGGCCTTTTTAGAGTTAAAAAAATTTTTTAAAGTTAATCCCAGTCTAACTTTGTACTTACAGAGAAGCTGTTTCCTTTGCCTACTTCCATAAAGCTTAACGGCAGAGGCACGGCCGGGAGTTCAGCCTCCTTATTCTCTAACTACCTCTTTCCTGAATGGTGATGCCACTCAAATGCTTTCAGGGGCTTTACCACTGGAGGCTTTTGAAGTAATGTGTAGCATTGGCATAGATCTTTAATTTTTCCATGTAGGGAAGCAATTTCTACTTTTTTAGATGGTGCCGCTTTATTTTCCTTGTATTGCTACATTTCTTTAAAATGTCTTATGGCATAAGTGTAGAAATATACACATTTTCAAGGAACATTGAAATTCTAATTTGTAACTTTTTCATGAAATAATGTTGTGACACTCAGTAAAGATTCATCTGGAACCAGAAATCTCTGACTTAGGGCCACAGTGACTAAAGTGATTTTGGTCCTTGAGCTTTTTTTGGAAGTTGTGAGTAGAGTGACTTTATGTCTAGTAGCATTAATAACGTTAAAAATGAGCTGGCATTGCACTGTGCACAGAGGGTCACACAGACAGAGTGAAAAATGTCACAGAGAGAAGTACCCGAAAGGACATGCAGATGGGAGATGAATTCCTTCACACACTGGTCTTTCTCCCTTTTGTGAATCTCACAACAAATGTCCTCAGTTATAGAAAAATGTGTGTGAGGGTGTGTATGAGTGAGTGTGTGAGGGTATGTGTGTGTGCATGTTGTAAGAACATGTTAGAGTGTGAGTGTGGAGTGTGTCTGCATGTGTGTATGTGTGAGTGCATGCATGCACGTGTGTGTAAGAGTGTGCATGTGCATGTATGTGAGACCACAGGCATGAGATATGTGAGAATGAGTGTGTGCACATGTGTGAGTATGTGTATTGTGTATAATGTGCATGAATATAGTGTGAGAGCATGAGTGTGTGGATGCGTGTGCAAACATGTGAAGTATGTGTGAAGGTGTGTATGCATGAGAGTGTGTGAAGGTGTGTGTGCATGAGTGTGTGTGAAGGTGTGTGTGCAGGCACATGTGAGTTCATGTGAAAGTGTGCATGAGTGGGCATGTGTGTATGTGTGAGGGTGTGTGTGTAAGTGCATGTATGCAAGGGAATGTGACAGTGTAAAAGAGTGTGAGTGTGCGTGTGTGAGTGGTGAGGATGTGTGTGCGGGCACATGGGTGTGAAGCATGTGTGAGTGTGTAGGATAATGTGTGGGTCAGTGTGTATGCATGTGTGCCATGTATCCTCTCCCCAAACAGACCATAGACTCCTCAAGGGCAGAGACTATGATTTTCTCTTTTCCTAATTTAAGGGTAAGCATAGACTAATAAGTTGATCATAAAAATTGGTAACAATTGGCCGGGTGCGGTGGCTCACGCCTGTAATCCCAGCACTTTGGGAGGCTGAGGTGGGTGGATCACCTGAGGTCAGGAATTCAAGACCAGCCTGGCCAACATGGCAAAGACCTGTCTCTACTAAAACTACAAAAATTTAGCCAGGCATTGTGGTGGGAGCCTGTATTCGCAGCTACTTGGGAGGCTGAGGCAGGAGAATTGCTTGAACCCGGAAGGCAGAGGTTGCAGTGAGCTGAGACTGGGCCATTGCACTCCAGCCTGGGCAACAAGAGTGAAACTCGGTCTCAAAAAAAAAAAATTGGTAACAATTGGTTACAAATTGGCAACAAAAATTTGGTGACTGTGGACCCCAAGGCATGTGCCTGTAGTCCCGCCTACTTGGGAGGCTGAGGTGAGAGGATTGCTTGAGCCTAGGTACTCAGGTCCAACCTGAGTAACATGGTGAGAACCCATTCTTAAAAAGATTTTTTGTGGGGGCTGGAAACTAAAGCAAATTGATGGCATGATGGCTAGAGTAAGGTTCTCAAACGTGTCATCTAATGGTGACAGCTACCATGGGTTGAGCACATTCAGTGTCTCACGCTTGGCTCTAAGTGCCTCAGCAGATCTGTGCGGGTACCCGAGGGACACAGAGAATGTGAGGAGCCAGTATGGCTGGCAAAGTGAGTGGACACAGTCATCTAGTTCTTCCTCTTCTCCACTGTGAATGAGGGGAGCTGAGGGCAGTCCTGGGACATGGCTACAGAATTCAAGATTCTTGAAGGGTCATGCGCTCCAGCTTCTGTTAAGGCTGACAAGCCCTCCAGCCTGTTTCTGAAGCTCTTTAGGCTTAGAGATTCTGTGACCCCCTTGTCTACCCTTCCAGCTCTTTTATCACAGATGGGTCGAGAAGGCCAATTGGACGGCCTCCTGCCAGCAGGTGCAGGTGTGCAGTGCCTGCCCGTCCCTGTCCCTGATGCCTCTTGGCTTCCCTGCAGGTTTGCCAAGCTGCTGCTGCGCCTCCCAGCTCTGCGTTCCATTGGCTTGAAATGCCTGGAGCACCTCTTCTTCTTCAAGCTCATCGGGGACACCCCCATTGACACCTTCCTCATGGAGATGTTGGAGACCCCGCTGCAGATCACCTGAGCCCCACCAGCCACAGCCTCCCCACCCAGGATGACCCCTGGGCAGGTGTGTGTGGACCCCCACCCTGCACTTTCCTCCACCTCCCACCCTGACCCCCTTCCTGTCCCCAAAATGTGATGCTTATAATAAAGAAAACCTTTCTACACATGAGACTTTTATAGGTGGACTTTTGTATAGATGTTAAAGGTAATACGCTTTGCTGTCTACAGGGCTGGGAGACTTTCTGGAAGTTCTTGGGAAAACTAATCAAGCCTCTGTACATACAATTGGTTTAAATTATTTTTTCACTTGCCCTGGAAAGCAAACAAATGAGTAATAAAATAATATGTGTGAAATTGGCACTGCTGGAGCATGGGGTGTGTTATTGTGCTACAGGGAAGTCGTCTCAGACATAGAGAAGGGATATCAGAGGCTGGGGTCGAGGCTGGGGCTGGGGTCCTGAGACCATAAATCCCAGAGCACAATGCCTGAATCTAAGCTGGGCTTTGCTGCACAGCCAGCTTTGCCCCAGGGCACATTCTGGGGAGACTGGGAAGAGATGCTGTCTTTCAAAATTAACTTGGTTTTTTGTTTTTGTTTTTCTACTAAGAATAATGAGCAGAAAAAGACTTATTCTAATTGGAGGCAATTGAGTATAAGGCCACAGGAGAGATGTTCTCTGTCCTGGGAGTTGGTGGAAGATCTCCGGTTCTGGGAGTTGGTGGGAGGCGGTAACAAAGGAATAGATTTTTCTGTTATATCATGAGCTAGCAATGATAGTCAAAAGACTAGAGTACACCAAATTTATTTTCTAATCTTATCTAACCCTGTGCAGCCTGTTCTTAAAAGGGAAAGAGAGGAAACCTCTCCCACCTTCTAGTCTAGGATGTCCAGAGTCACCTAGTTTTTGAATCCCAACCATTGGCTGGACAATGAGCTCCTTGAAGGTATAGACTGTGTCTGACACCACTGACAGCCCATATAGCTCACTGTCTTCAACTCACGTACCTGCCATCTGCAGGAATAGGGCTTAACAGATACACAAATCGATGTATGCTGTGAATTACATGGTACCCCCTAGGGTTGTAAATGTAAATGTGCAGCCTGAACAACTGCACACGGCAGTCCTGCTTTACCTTTTCCATACCACCAGAACCTGACCCAGGGCCTGGTGGACAAAGCACACAGTAATCTGTGTTGTTGAACTAGGTTCCACACAACTAGAAAAAATCCCCTAAAGGACAATGTGGATGACATTTGTCTCATTCCCTGTCAATAACTTGTCCCCTCAAAACCCCCATGATTAACTCTCCAGTCCAAATACATCCCTCAGTGAACATACAATGGTAGAAAAACTAACATCGCTTTATTACTAAGAAAAATCTAGGGATCTCTTAGCCTTGGACATTAAGCAATGGAATGAAAATCTTAATTCTGCTGTTCTTTCCCTTAACTTGTGTATCTGCATTTACTGTGAACTATGATGAAAATGGTTGGAGGTGGGTGTTAAAATTTAATTGTGGCCTCCTTGATCTCTTTCCTCTGCCAGCATAATTCACTGGACACATTCAACTGCCTTACAGGTAACAAGGGCCTTCCAGGAAAATTCACTTCCCCGCCACCGCTGGTGGTCACTTGTGTCCCATTCCTTTTTTTTTTTTTTTTTTAAGATGGCCTCTCACTGTCGCCCAAGCTGGAGTGCAGGGGTGCAATCCTGGCTCACTGCAACCTCCACCTCTTGGGTCTGAGCCATTCTCCTGCCACAGCCTCCCAAGTAGCTGGGACTACAGGTGTGTGCCACCATGCCCAGCTAATTGTTTTGTTTTTAGTAGAGACGGGGTTTCGCCATGTTGGCCAGGCTGGTCTCAAACTCCTGACCTCAAGTCCTCTGCCCGCCTTGGCCTCCCTAAGTGCTGAGATTACAGGCATAAGCCACCGCACCCAGCCCCATTCCAATCTTTGATCCCTTTTCCAGCCAACCCTAGCTCTTGCCTGCAGCAAAACACAGAGTGGTCAGGGCCCAGCAGGGTGCTGCACATCCATCAGGTGCGATGTCTCCCGAACTGCTGCTAGGGAGCCTCACTAAGCCTGAACAGAAGCTTGGCAGGAGCTGGGCTGTCTTCATTGCATGGGCTGGTCCCATGAGATTCAGAGCCTCAAAGGCCACCTCCTTCCTGAGCTGGTCCTCCTTATACCCTAGGAAGAGCAACTGAGTGGATGTTCAGCCCCACCTGGATTGAGGTTCACCTTCCTGAAGGCCCGGCTCCACAGAAGCCATGACAAGCTTCTAGGGCCCCACATCGCTGAAGAGCAAAAGCTTTCCTCATTCCACATGCCTCACCTACAAGCGGAATCAGCTGTGTGAGGGGACAGCGCAGTCAAGGCTGACGAATGTTTTTGGAGTCCCACACCCTGTACTACGTAGCTGACTTAAAACAGAGGGATGAAGCCTTATTTTCCACAAATTCTCGTAGAGCCTGAGCTCATGGCTCTGGGGTGAAAAGCTTGTCACTCTGGACTTAGGCAGCCAGAGCCTGGCTCCTGGCTCTGCCAGCAGTAGTCTTGGATTTAGGGAAAGTTACTCACCCTCTCTGCCTTTTATTTCCTTCTCTTATTTGTAAAGGTCAGATAATAATACACATCTTATAAGGATAAAAAGATGAAAGATGCATAAAGCCTAGTGTAAGAGAATGTACATAAGACATACTTGGGTTCTGAGTCCTGACTTTGTCATTCATGATGGACTTAAACCTCGCTGAGCCTCAATCACCGAATCTGTAAAATGGGATTCTTGTGAGGATTACATAAGCTAATGCTCTTAGTGCTGTGACTGGCACGGAAGATGGGCAAAAATATTAATTTATTTTCTGCTGAAGATTGAGATTGCAATTAAAACACAATCTTGGAGTTTCGAGGAGATTGCCAGAACATTCTATTCCACAGCCTGCCTTGGATCATCCAACATACTGTAAAAGGGACAAACAATTTCTAGTTTCTAGTTTTGGTTTAACGCTTTTCAGCAGGCAAATGGCAATGAACCAACCCATTTTGCTAACAAACAGTGCTGATAACAGGAAAGCCTGGGTGAGCTGCAGGGACCAAGCGAGTGCAGGGCTCTGATGACTGTGGAGCCTGCCTATGAGTCAGATTGGAGGAAATGCAAGCAGGAAGGGGCCATGGTTACAAACACAGGCTCGGAGTCAGCCCAGCCGGCCTCAATTAAAATCCCATCTGATCACTGAATAACCCTGGGAAAGTGATTTAACCTTTTAGACCTTAGTTCTCTACCTTGTAAACTGTGAAAAATAATAGTACCTATCCACAGGGGCCTGTTGAGAGAAGCAGATGAGATGATCTACGAACCATACACAGGGCTATGTCCAGCACGTAGTGAGCTCTCAGTTAATTTTAGTACACCATTATTATTATTATTATTCATCCAAATATCTTCTACAGGATTCCTGCTCTGGAAAGAAAGTCCAGACTCCATGGAAAAGCCCCGCCCTACACCTAACTCCTTCTCCACACCCTACCTAACCTGAGAGCTCTCCGCACCTTAGCCCCCATCCTCCACGCTGACAACTCACCCGTGCAGTGTGGGCCCACCCTTCCTCACATGGTTGGTGTGAAAGTTAAGGGAGATAATTTAATGACAGTACTTTGTACACTATTAAAGACTGTGAAAAAGATGTCATTTGCACAGTAAGTATTTCTTGGCCTTGGCCATTTTTTTCATATCCTTTAGTGAAATCAACCAAATATTTGTTTATAATTTTATACTGCTTTCTTGTTCAAAAACTTTCAATGCCTTCCTTTAGTCTATTAAGCAGTCTCAGGCCAGGCATGATGGCTCACACCTGTAATCCCGGCACTTTGGGAGGCAGAGGCGGGCGGACCACCTGAGGTCAGGAGTTCAAGACCAACCTGGCCAACATGGTGAAACCCCGTCTCTTCTAAAAATACAAAAATTAGCTGGGCGTGGTGGCAGGCACCTGTAATCCCAGCTATTTGGGAGGCTGAGGCAGGAGAATCGCTTGAGGCAGAGGTTGCAGTTAGCTGAGATCACGCCATTGCACTACAGCCTGGGTGACAAGAGTAAAACTTGGTCTAAAAAAAAAAAAAAAAAAAGTCTCACCAGGGAACAAGCGTGTCCCTCCCCACCCCCAGGGACATTTGGCAATATCTGAAGACACTTTTGATGGTCATGACAAGGGGAGTTCTGCTAGATGGAGGCTGGGGATGCTGCTAAGCATCTATAATGCACAGGATGGCCCCACAGCAAAGAATTATCTGGCCCAAAATGTCACAAGTACTGAGATGGTGAAACTCTGCTACAAAGTGTCACTAATGGAATAAAATACCAAAGAGTATCTTCCTGTCGTTTTGGAATTTTGGCTAAAGCCCCAAGGTGAGGCCATGAGGTCCCCTCATGTTCTAAGGACTTATGAAGGTAGATGAGCTGGTTCTGTGACTTATTCCTCTTCTTGAGCCAATGTTCATAGAAGATTGGAATTTAAGGAGAGAAGTCCGTAGAATAAGGAGTATTTGGGGAGTAGAGTCATGGCTTTACCCTACCCCTTCAGGGTATACAGCGAGAGGGAGGGATCCCCATTCCCGTGGCAAATGAAGGGGGCAGAAAAGAGCCACTTATTGAGTGGGCGTGGGTACCTACACAATGGGGAGGCTGGCACCTGGCATCCTGGCTGATGCTTGCCTAGCAGCAGAAACCCACTGCCCCACCTTGCCACAGAGGGTGGGGAGGGAGAGCTGGGAGGGGCCTGAGCTACCGTGAGCATCGAGATGGATGTCTCTTCTTGATAGAGACCTCTGAGGACAGGGGCCCATTGTGAGGGTGTAAGTGGGGAAGGAAAGGGAGAGCACTGTATCCCACCGCTCCCCTCCCTGTACTTCGTTTGTCCAGGATATGGCATTTTCTGTGGGCCAAGTGAATTCCCTGGAAAAAAGTTGTGTTTAGAATATCCCGAAGGTACCAAACCAACAGAGTGGCCTCTCAAGGCAAGGGGACTCCCGCAGTAGGAGGCTGTGGGTTGAACTGCTGTGGGCAGGAACTAAGGGGTCAAGCAGAGCATTCGCTGCCCATACCTATTAGCTCGCAGCACAGAGTTCCCCATGGGGCCTCCTGAAAGCTCACCATGTGCACTAAGAAGACCCACCTGTTGATACTTGCCACATGGAAGGCATCAACAGCACCACGTACTTAAGAGCACTTCTCTCTCTTCTCATCCTTTCTCCAGGGCCCAATTCCCTGGTAGAGAGTGAAGGAAGACCCAAAAAAGGAAGGAGGGGGAAGAAGGTAGAGGCAGAGAGAAAGAATTGACCACTAAGTTTGGTTAAGACCAGACTTTATAACTACTGAAATGAGATATTCTGGGCTTTGCCTGAAGTACTGTTAATAGGCAAGGAGTGGGAACAGCAGAGAGTTGGTTTGAAGACTGGCTGGAAAAGCATAAAGCTTTTCTGTTTGCATTTCATTGACTGTAGAGGCTTTGCAATACCAGCTGCACTTGTAAAAACCCAGGCCCCAGGCATGCACCAGCTTGACTTTGCCTTCTTTGGTTACCAGTCTCTCAGACTTAGCAACATCATTTTCACTTCTGCCTCTGGAATAGCCTACATGGCTTGTCTGAGTCCATCTGCCCAAAGCATCAGCTGTTATGATTTAGTTCTGCCTCTGAGATAAGCCCCAGCTTTTTATCAGGGCAATTAAGGCTGTCCATGGCTAGGCCCCAAAGAAAAAGTTCCCAGCTCTCTCCTTCTGTACATCACACACACCTCCAGCTGATTTAGCTATTTCTCAAATGACCTGCTGTCTACGTCTTTGCTCAGACATTCCTCTCTGCCTGGCATGACTCCTTCACCAGCTGTAGCTACCTGAGTCCTACTCATCCTTTAAGACCAGTTCAAAGGCCACATCTCTGTGAAGCTCCTCCTGATCTCTCCATCTTTGTAACATTATCATTATTCTGTGTCTCCACTGGGAACCCATTCAGCACTGCACGTTGCATTATTGACTCGTTGTATACGCTATCAACTTTACTTGTAAACTCCTTGAGAGCAGGAGATCATGTCTGATTCAACTGCATATCCACAACATCTTTGAATGGAGTGCCCAGCCCAAAGTTGGCATTCAACACATGTTAGTGCAATTGGCACCTCTGGTTTCATTCCCAGTACACGGCAGCCCACTGAAAGTGGTGTGTTCCCATAGCAAGCCCAGGAGCCTCCCCACTGGAGCCCTGAGCCAGAAAACCTGTCCTGGGTAGGATGTTAAGATAAGGTATGAGGTCTCCATTGACTGCCAAGTTACCCTTCATGGGCACAGTGGGCAATGGCCCAAGAACTTGAGGCATGTTCTTTGCGTTCAGGGAACTTACAATGGAAAAAAGCAGAAAGCACAAGGATCAAGGTATCCTAAGCAACAATACACCTACAGCACTTTGAAGTTCACAAAGCACACACGAAGATCTGTGGTGGTAATCTGGCCTTGGAGAAGAAGGCAGGGGAGCTGTTGAGGACTCCATGTTAAAGATGAGAAACTGAGACTCTAGAGATTCAATGACTTGTCTTGGGACACACATGGTGGTAGCATGAGGAACTCAACTACTCTCACGGCAGATGCAGAGCCAGTGCCACTCAACTCCAAGACCTCTGGGCCTATATCCTCAGTGATTTTTTTTTTTTTGAGATGGAGTCTTACTGTGTAGCCCAGGCTGGAGTGCAGTGGCACGATCTCAGCTCACTGCTACCTCCACCTCCTGGGTTCAAGCAATTTTCCTGCCTCAGTCTCCTAAGTAGCTGGGATTACAGGTGTGTGCCACCATGCCCGCTAATTTTTGTATTTTCAGTAAAGATGGGGTTTCACTGGGCAGGGGAGCTGTTGAGGTCTCCATGTTAAAGATGAGAAACTGAGACTCTAGAGATTCAATGGCTTGTCTTGGGACACACACGGTGGTAGCCTGGGGAACTCAGCTACTCTCATGGCAGATGCAGAGCCAGTGCCACTCAACTTCAAGACCTTTGGGCCTATATCCTTGTGAACTTTTTTTTTTTTTTTTTTTTGAGATGGAGTCTCAGCCGAGGTTGGAGTGCAATGGTGCAATCTCGGCTCACTGCTACCTCCGTCTCCTGGGTTCAAGCAATTCTCCTGCCTCAGCCTCCCGAGTAGCTGGGATTACAGGTGTGTGCCACCATGCCCGGCCCTCAGTGAACTTTTTATATTCTGTGCCCATGAAATATTTGTAGGTTGAGGGATTGGTATATATGAAGAACAAACATAAAATAATAAGGGATGGTGTTTTTTAATAAATGTGGAACTTGGATAAACAAACCAACATTTAGCTAACATCTCCTTCAGGAGTTTTACTACAGTGATATTTTCCTTGGATAGTTCCCTTTTACATTTGTCTTCAGAGCTGGTTTAAGGCCACCTAAGATACATGATCTCATGATTCTATAGTAAAGACTTATTAAATAACAACAACTATAACATATCTCCTGGTCCAGGTTCATGTAACATGCCCATCAATCCGGAACCCAGCATACACCAGGGCCCAGGCTGGCACATTCATATTCTCAGCTTTATTTCCTACATTGCTCAAGAGATTTGGAGCTGAATGGCATTTGATCATTTTTAAAAACCAAATCTACCCTCTATGAATGAAAATTTGCCACCACTTCTGTAACTCAAAAAAACTGACTCAGGCTCTGGAAGAACTGGGTCTTGGAGCCAAACGATCTCAAGGCTTCAGGCAATAAATCAACAATGCCTTTCCACTAGGAGAAAGCTTGGGGCGGCAGCTACACGATTAATTAAGGAGTTACTGGGAGGGGCTAAGTGCGGAGTGGAATGGAAGGCACAAACCCCTTTTCTCCGAAGGCAGGCAGGGAAGGCAGATTTGAATAAGAGGTTTGTTAGTTTATGAAGAGAACTGGAGACCCAAACTCTTTCCCAGCCAGGAAGAGCAGCTTTCACCCTCCTCTACAGAAAACTCCATGGAAATGTCTCCCGTGACAGTGCTGGCGCACACAACCATCTCTGACCACAGACCACAGACCACAGACCACAGAGGAACTGGCCCCGCCCAGCCTCCCCAGGGGAGGCATCTTGGGTTGTGCAGCTGCGAGGGACTCTTGCAACCTGCCCCTCCCGGCTGCACACTTTGTGCGGGAAGATTGTTAGGCATGGGCGCCCTCTGCTGTCCGCTCAGGGGCATCACATCCCGGAGAAAGCCGCTTCCAGGAGGACTGAGAGGGAAGGGACTTTAAAAATTGAAAACAAAAAGAGTAGTTTGAGAAATGAACTTCAAATAGACTCAGAGGAAAGGGTGCCCTTAGCCAGATACTCACTCAATGGAGTGTTTACTTCAGACTCGGGAAATGGGCTTAGAAGAGGAATCTCAAGGGGGAATGGTTGGAGCATCCCATAGAGAATGCATGAAAAGGAGTCAGGTTCAGGCTGGGAAAGAACAACCTCCTCCTCACCTGTCAGCCACCCCACTAGCTAAAGGGGACACAGGTATGTAACTGCCAATTCACCGGCATCACATACAAAGCCGAAGGCTAATGCCACATCAGGACTGGTTCTTCAAAGCGGGTGACCACTCTGTACAACAATATTGTTCCCACAGCAACATGACAGTCAGACCTCTTTCCCACAGGTAGAATTTGAGATATTTGAGAATGGCTAAATGCGAGCTTTTAATGGGGAGATGTTTTAGGGAAATTTTCTGTTGTTCTTTTCCTGGTTGTCATGCAGAGTACAAAAGTGCCAGATCAGCCCTTCCCAAATTTGCAGAGCCAGATGTGGGTGTTCACAGCAAGCTGAAGTTGCAATGCCCTTAGGAGGAGCAATGCTGATGGCAGGTGGCCCAGTGGAAGGAGCAGGGGACAGGGAGTTAGAGGGCAGGTGAGTTGTCTGACCTAGGCATGTCTCTAAACCTCTCAGGCCTTCAGCTTTCTCTTCCGTAAAATCAAAGATTCTAACCAGATAATCTCTAAAGTTCCTTCTACCTCATCAAATCAATAATGTCTTTTAGAGATAGATTGACATTCTACTTCATTACCTTACATGAAAGCAGGAGCTCACCCTAAGCTCTGGGCACTGGTTTCAGAGAGAACGCTGAAAAAGTCCTATTCCTTAGAAAGCCCAGGATCTGAAGGATAAAACACACAGATTAAAAAATTATTAAATAATTATGAGTTGAACACCTGCTATGGGTTTAGTGTGCTGTTAAAGGATAGATTTATAAGCCTGGGCAAGATAGCAATACCCCATCTCTACAAAAAATACAAAAAACAAAATTAGCCAGGTATGGTGGTGCACACCTGTATTCTCAGCTACTCGGGAGGTTGAGGTGAGAGGATCTCTTGAGCCCAGGAGGTCAAGGCTGCAGTGAGCCGTGATTGCTCCATTGCACTCCATTCTGGGTGACAGAGTGAGACCCTGTTTCAAAAAATATATATATATAGATTTATAAAGATGGTTTCTAATCCCAGGTGAGCAGAATTGAGTTTATCTATCTCAGTTGATGGCAAAACAGACCATCCAATTTACCTCTTTTGTTTATTCTTCTCCTGTCATCTGCTATCTCAGATCCAAATCTTCCCCAAAGATTCCAAGTTCCTATTTTTTTTCTAGTGGGTCCTTGAAAATCCACCTTCCAAAGGTTTATTTCTATACATGACATCCATGGAAATTATATGGTATTATTTTGTTGTTTTAAAACTGTATACGAATGACTTTTTTGGTATCAGTTTCATTTTATCCATTCTTCTTTGTTTCTCTCATTACTGTGCTTTGCCATCCATCAGCGATGCTCTGTGTAACTCTGGCCAGTTCCTTTTAATTGCTGCACAGTGTTTCAGTAAACACGTAGATGGCTGACAGCTCTTTACCATGACAGGCATTCTTGCATACGTCTCCTTGCTTACCTGTATGGGAGTGTCTCTGGGGTGTATACCCAGGAGTAGGAATTGCCTAATTGCAGAGTATCCACATACCCAGTTTCACTGTACTTTCCTACTGTTTTCCAAACATTTGCACCTATATATATATATAGTATATACTCCCACCAGTGCATAAGGGTCTCATTTCCACACATCCTTCTTAGCATTTGTTATAGTTCAAATTTCTAATTTTGTCAGTGTGCTTCATACAAAGTCTTTCTCTGATTTGTCTTTCTCTTATTACTAGAAAGGTTGGGATCTTCTCTTTCCTTATTAGCCATTCAGATTTCTTATGTGTGTTCTATTGCTTATCTTAAAAGAATTACAATTTAGGCCTGGCCTAGAAGGGGCAAGTGCTTACTATATATTGCAATGGACTGAATGTTTATGTCCCTCCTCCCCATTTCAAATGTTGAAATCTTAACCCCTAAGGCAATGGGTGAGGTGGGGCTTTTGATAGGTGATCATGGGGGCAGAGAATGGGATTAGTGCCCTTATAAAAGAGACTCAAGAGAGATCCCTTGGTCCTTCCACCACATGAGGACACAATCAGAAGTTGGCCATCTATGAGCCAGGAAGTGGGCCCTTATCAGAAACCAGACTTGCTAGTCCTTTGATCTTGGACTTCCCAGTCTCCAGAACTATGAGAAATTTCTGCTGTTTTATAACAGAAATGTTACAAGTAGTTTCTCCCAATCTAATACCATCTGTTCACTCCAGCAGAATCTTTAATTTTGGTGTGGTCAAATCCATCCGTTTCTCACTTTATGGTTTGCAATTTTGGGGTCTTGTTGGAGGAATCTCCTTCGTCCAAAGGTCCCAGAATCATTTTCTCATTAACCTAACAACAGACTCAAGGAGCCAGGTGGGGATCAAAGTATTTGCTTTGTAAGAGACCGATCTTGAATGGAGAACATGACAGGCTTTTCTACCCTCTTCCCTTCCTGAATTACAGATGTCCAAGTCCACAGTGCAGGGCTGACCTGACTTACCTATGCTTTCCCAGGTGGAGAAGCTGAAGAATGGGGACCTTCTGTGGTGAGAGTGCCCCTGTTCAGGGATTCATCCCATGGGTCCTGGAAGCATGTGGCTCACTGAACTTCAACACATGCAGGTCCAGGCAACAGGTCAAGATTTTACCCCTCCACCTTGCCCAAGGCAGAAACATGGCTGAACAAATGGCTGCTTTTCTTAATCTCACCAATCTGACTAGTTACCTCTCTCCTATGAAGAGGAGCAAGTGACAGTGCGGACAGGGAAGCCAAAGGATTTCATCAAGGACTTTTATGTCCAGTAGAAAAGCAGGAGCCCTTCATCTTTGGGCTAAAATGAGTATGTGAGATTAGGAAGAGTAGAAAGTTCCTTTCTCTAGCTAATCTTAGTATCTTTATATTACAATTGAAGAGGAGTCTCAGAGAGGCCGAGTCACTTGCCCATGGTCCCACAACAAGTAGTAAAGCTGAAAGTCAAAATTAATCTCTAAAGTGAGACAGACTCTAACTTTTAACCACAAACTCTTAATTTCTCCTTTGTCACCAAAAACCTAAGTATAGACTGTGATTCCCCTATACACTATTTCCTCCAAATCATAGATGCTCAGGATGTTGCAACTTCAGCGGCCCCTTCTTACTTCTGCCTGATCTCACTGTAGAGGTCCTAGAGACCCAGAGGGCAAAGGGACTTGTCCAAAGCTGCCAGCAAAGTAGAAGCAGAAAAAATACATGTTTTCCAAACATCATGAAGAGTTCTGCCTCACTGCTGGATGCTTTTAGCCTTGAGCTTCTTTTTTGAAGAGGACTAATGGAAATAATACAGGTCCAATTCAATCTGGTTTAAGAAAAAAGTCTCACAAAACTGAAAGTCTTAGGACAGGACCAGCTGCAGGTACAGAGGGCCCAGGCACTCGGATAATGCCTTCAGGACTCTTGCTATCTCTGGGGTCTGTATTTCTCTCTGTTAGAGTCATTCTTGGTAAGCTTGACAAAAAGTGACTTCCAGGAACTCTAAGTTGGCATTCTTGTGGGCCAGTGACCCTAGCCAAAGGAGGAGAGATCTTCTCTTTGCCCACGTTCCAGCAGAAATCCCGGAGCAGATATTCACAAGCTCTACTTTGTTGGAATTAGGTCCCAGATACACCTGTGAGAATGGTGGGAGGGATAGCAACATCTGAATCACATGGGCTGAACCTGGGAAGGAGTGGTTTCCAAAAATGAAAACTGAGGTGTGCTCACCAGAATTGGGAATGGATCCAGAAAGGCAAAAACCTAGATGTCAACACAACTGACAGATTCAACATGCAGCCATGTCTGTGTATTTCTCTATTACTACCATTGCTCTACTACCAGGCAACCTACATTGCCTGCACATGGTACTCCAGACATTGGGCCAAGCATTTCATATGTATTGCCTTATTTTATCCTCAGTGCACTTCTATGAAGTGGCTACTATCATGATCCCCATTTTAATGGAGAGGATATCAACGCTTAGGGAGGTTTTATTACTAATTGTGTCACATAGCTAGTCATGGGCAGAATCCAAACTCGAATCCATGAATGCCTTAATTTAAATCCCATACTTTTAGCCACTGTATTCTATTGCAAACAAAACAGTTAATTCTAGGAAAAGAGGACAGTCTTTATTCTGCAGATAATATAAGTCCTTCTCCTCCTGCCCTCCTTCCCCATCGGCAACCAAATTGTAGAACAGAAAGCACAAATCCATACCATCATTGCTTCTGATTTCTTCTTTGAGATTCTGGATTTCCACTGTATCCACAGACACTTCCTTTCTTGGATAAAGCTGACCACCCACACAAGAGAACCGATGCTATAAGGTGACAGCTGCTTTGGGGTTGTCCATAGCCAGAGATACACATTATTTGTTTTTCAGTTGAAAAAGGATATTCTCCCCCAAATTGCCTGAATCCAAACTGGCTAAACCACTTTTGTTCAAACTTTCCAAGCAATTTCATCCTTGGGGTGGAAACAGAGCATGAAATGATTTGGAGCAAGAGGACAATTTTTGGGCAATTTTAAGTGAGTGAAAACAGGAGGTTATAATGGAAGTTGTCTTTCAACCCTTAACTCCAGCATTTTGTAACCAAGAATTCTGTCTCTCAGGTTTGGCTGGTGGGAACGTAATGCTGAGCAGTTGTCTGGAGCTGCTTCTAGATATTCAATAATTAGAAACAGCAACGCTGACTCAGAAGCCTATCAGCTGGCTTTCAGAGTGCCACTTCACAGAAGAAAAAAGGAAAAAAAAGTTACAAACTTCTTAACAATTGAACAAAAATCAATAAATATGTCATATACATTTTAATAGTGATTTGTACTTCTCCTTTAAAATTGCATTGTCAAATGTCTAATATAAATAAGTCCTATATGAGGAATGAATTGGAAGAAAAGTTGAAAATTTTTCAGTAATGACGGGAGGGCAAAATCTCTTATTTGGGGCCATGTGGTCAATGGAAGGAGACAGTGTGGTTTAGTAGTAATTCAGGTGACACAACTAGGAAGCTAATTTGTCTGCAAAAATGTCTTTTGAAATTTGGTCCAGGATGGGATCAGTCATGTTCCAATTTCCTTGAAGAGATTTAAAAGCTGGAAAACACCCAGCTATTGTCCATGACTTAGACACAGGCTTCCTGGAGACAGAGAAACATTTTTTGGAGTGTCCTTTTCTACTCAGTGATTTTTCAGGGCCTTTGTCTTTCCATCTTACAATGGGTGTGATAACACAGAACATATGGAGAGGACACACACACACACACACACACACAGAGAAAGAAATAGAGAGAGAGAGACTGTAATCGTTCAGGCACTAACACTGCTGTAGCAAATGGTAGAAGAAAGAACAAAAGGCATACGTGGAAGTAGAAAATTTTCCTACAGCATGGAACAGAGCTGGACTTAAGAGTAGAAAAATTTTCCACTCACCTATGAGAGCACCCATCGCAGCAGCCTCAGACATCATAGCCACTGTTTTCTTTCTTGGGTCTGTCTGAGGCAGGTGGAGCCAGGAGGCAAGTGGGATGCGGACTCCTGCACCTGGATTTGCCACTCCACTCCATTCCTGGGATTATTCTGGAAGTGGTCATGGCCAGGGCCTGGTACCCTGTCTGGTACTTTATTCTGAAAATGTCTGTTGAGGGATGAAAGATACCTCTCAGACCAGGGTTAGGGATCTGGCCTGTGGCTGTCCCAAATCTTCAATACAGACTCTGAACGCAAAGAAGCCTTTCTCCATCTCCAAAAAGAACTAAACGGGGTAACACTGGGGCTGGAAACAGAAAGACTGTCTACACACATATTGTACTCTGGTGCCCAGGGAGGTGTCACCTCCACCTCCTCCACATGGCTGGCAAACAGTGCTTTGTTCACATCTCTTCTCTGCACCCAAGGTGCTCACCAAAGCACACACCCACTAACAGAAGAAGCCGGAGAACCAGCTGCTTACCTTGGACCTGGCCCTGATGCTCAGCATTAGGTGGGTGGGCCTTTTGAGAAGTTTAAGAAACTCAATACTCATCAACCTATACAGAGCAAACATTTATTCTATGTGTAATTCTATGCTGAGATTCAGGGCAACGCATAAAGTATATTCTGTTTATGCAAAAAATACCCATATAGGTGATTTGTAAGGTTTATATAACTGCACAGAAAGAAGCTAGGAAGGATGCATACTGCTAACGGTGGTTACCTCTGGGAGCAGCATGGAATTAGAGGTAGTGCTGAAGTGTACTTTCATTTTTTACTTCATCTTTTCTATTTCTTTTTTATAATGAGCATGTATTTATATATTACTTCCAAAATTCTTTATAACATTTATCATTTCTCGTCATGAAATACATATAAATGTATATAGATGTGTTTATTTTCTGTCTCTTTCATGAGGACAAGGACTATTTGGGGGGTGTCAAGGACTAAGGGATGTTTATTTTGTTAACCATTGTATTCCTGGATCCCCAAACAGTGTTTGGCACAGAGTAACTGTTCAATAAATATTTGTTGATCAAATGAATTACTTACAAAATTAAAAACTGGAAAAAATATATGGGTTCCAATCTGAGGGCTTGGTCTCTGGAACACAGCCTGGCTCATGCTAAATACTTACCACGTGAATTTAAATGAAATACTTTGGTGCATAAGCCTTCATGCCTGCTTAAAGATTTCACAACCCAGGCATGTCCAGGGGAGAATCGGTTCCGTGTCTCTTCCACCTTCTGGTGGCTGCCGGCAATCCTCGGTGTTTCTTAGTTTGGGGCTGCATCATTCCAAACTCTGTCTCTGCCTTCACGTTGCCTTCTCTGTGTGTGTCTGCCTACTCTCCCTTGTCCCCTCTTACAACGATACATGTGATGGCACTCAGGACCCCCTAGATAATCCAGGATAATCCCCTCTCAAGATGCTTACCTCAACAATTTTTGCCATGTTAGGTAATATTCAAAGGTTCTGGGGATTAGGAAATGAATATATCTTTGGGGAGGGGACACTTTTTTTTCTGCCTAGCACAAATGGAGACGATTTTGATATGTGGAGAAGGGAAGAAGGGGGTTCCGGGTGGAAAGGTCAGAATATACTGGTCTCTGGAGGCAGGGAATCATGAGTCATGGTCCAGGGCTGGTGAATGGTTTCAACAGAAACCTAGGTGTTTACGAGAGGAGTGGATAATTCTACTTCTTGGTGTATATTCCAAAGAACTGAAAGCAGGAACTCAGATATTTTGAATACTAATGTTTATTGCACCATTATTGACTATGATACAAAGGTAAAAACAGCCCACATGTCCATTAACAAATAAATGGATAAACAAAACAGGGTTTATCCATACAATGGAATATTGTTCAGCTATCAAAAGGAGTGAAGTTCTGATACATGCCACAACATGGGTGAACCTTGAAAGTCATACTGAGTGAATGAAGCCAGTCACAGAGGGACAAATGTATGATCCCACATATATGAAATATCTAGAATAGGAAAATTCACAGAGGCAGAAAGTAGTTTAGAGGTTACCAGGGCTCGGGGAAGTAGGGAATGGGAGTTACTGCTTAATGATTACAGAGTTTCTGTTTGGGGTGATGAAAAAGTTTTGGAAATGGATAGTGATGACAGATGCACAACATTGTAAATTAATACCACAGAACTGTCCATGTAAAAATGGTTATGATGGCAAATTTGTATATATTTGTACCATAATAAAAAAGAAAGACAAAAGAGAAAAAAAGGGAGGGGTGGGTTCTATAGCAGAATGGGAGGTAGGCATGAGTGCCAAGCTGAAGAAACAGAAGTGGATAATGGGGTCCCCTTCTTAGAGCCCTGCTCAGGGTCCACAGAGCCATGCCCTGGCTGCTGGGAGCATCACCTGCTGATGTCTCCGAGCTGTGTTCCTCACTAGGCACTGCCTTCGGCTGCAGGGAGCTGTGTTACCTGGGAATATGCCCCCTTTGTGGGGTGGGGTAGACTGTGACCAATGAATGGCTGATGTCTGGAAACTGGGCTCAATTTGGGACTACTCTGCAGGGCCATCCCAAATCCAGAACTCCCGATAGAACCAGCAGAGGCCTCAGGTATCACCACCTGTGGGCCAGCTTCTTTCTGGGGCCTATCCTGTCTTCCTTACTTCCTTACAGGTCTGTCTCCCGAGAGCATTCCCCAGGAAACTTTCTGCATGCAATTCTCCTGCTCGAACTCTATTTCCAGAAAACCTGAACTATGATGGAGACAACTGGGAATTTGTTTTTTTGTTTGTTTTGTTTTTTAATTTAGGAGTGGCAGAATGAGAGCTGTGGCTTAGGGAGATCATCTTGGCAGAACTGCATATTATAAGTTGGAGGATGAGAGAACAGAGGTGGGAAGATTATCTGGGATGCCATCACATCAGAGTCAAGCAAGAGGAAGAAAGGACCTGAAGTAGGATGATGGCAGAGGGAGGAATGGACAAAAAAATTAGAGCTAGAATTGGCAGAGGAGGGTAGTTAGCTGGGTAGAGGCTGTGAGGTAGCTAATTCACAGCACGATTCCATGAGATTCCTAGGAATTGGAATGCACTTGCCAACCAAGGCAGCCACACACCTTGCCCTCTGCTGTGGGGCCTGGCACTAGGTCCAGGCAAGTACCCAGCAGCCTGGCTGCAGTATACCAGCTGAGAGGCCACCCTGAGTTCTGCCAAGAGGCTGTGGGGAAGCTGGAGGTCTTCCTGCTGATTCCCTGGCATTGCTGCAGTTTCTTCTTCAACCAAGCCCACAGCTAATGCTGCCAGTGTCAGGATGCCAGAATTTAAAGGGCAGAGAAGTCCTGGGGCGGGGGTCTATCAAGAGGAAAATCTGAAGAAGCTTTGCAGTAAGCCAGCTAGTTCTGTGTAGGCCAGGAAAGCATTTCCTGGTGGATGGGATTTGAGAGGGAGCAGTGTCCAAGGACCTGCTTTGGGATGAAACTGCTCTGGTCTAGAAAGGCTGTCTTCCGTGCAAGTTTAGATGCTGTCTCAGGGAAGCCTTTTGCTTACTAATCTTCCCAGCCCCTCGACACTTTGTCTTACTTTCCTCACAATGGCATAGCTTGGGAAGTGGATTTGAAGCCCCATGGAATCCCACAGTCCCTCTGGAATTTCTGACTTTGAGTGGCCACTGGAGTTCTGGCACAGGCCTCAGACAAGTTTTCCCAGAGGTCTGGGTGGACTCCAGGGATAGCTAAAACACCTTTGGCAGAAACAGATGGGTCGTGAGGGTGGATCCCAGGCACTGAAACAACAGAAAGGGCATCCTAGAATGGTCTAGCGCCGTGACGCCCAAATCTGCCTGTGCTTCAGTGTCCTTTTAAAAGTTGTTTAAAACTACAGAGGCCTGTGTGCTGCCCCTGATCTGCTGAATCAGAATCTCTGAGGCTGGGTGGTGATTTGTCTTTTTAAAGCTCCCCAGGTGATGCTAATGTGCAGGCAGGGTTGGAATCCAAAATGCTTATTCCACAGCTGGGAGGTTGGCCCAGAAAGGTGAGTCACCAAGGCTGGCCGAGCCAGGCCTGGAACCCAAGTCTTCCAGGACCCAGTCCAACCTCACATTCCCCCTGCTGACTGTCAGGCTTCCCTGGACACGGACTGCACTGCCCAGCCCCAGGCTCTCTCACGCCCTCCCGACCTCATGCAGATGCGCATGCTCTGCCCTTCCACGTGTTCATAGTGTGCCTGCTTTCTAACTTGCTTCTTAGGGTCAAAATAAGTGTTTGCTTATTTCTCCAATTCCTTCATTGAATCATAAGGTCAGCGAGGCTGTAGACCACAACAAATCAAACTCCAATAAGCCATAGTTGCAGAACAAGGGCTGTGGGCCCCACAGGATCCAGAGAAACATAAAAGTTGAATCTTCTTCAGAGTAGAAGACAACATAGTATAGTGGGAAGGGAATTGACTTTGGAATCCGTTAAATCAGCTTTGGAATCAGTTTTTGAATCTGAGCTTCAGTTTCCTCATCTGTGCAATGAAACTCACAGGGTTGCAGTGGTCATCACATGAGTTAATGTATGGGAAAAGAACCTGATTTATTATAGGGAGGCTACAGTCAGGATAGGCTGAGCTTCCACTATAACAAACAACCCCAAAATCCCAGTGCATAAAACAAAGCTCACTTCAGGTTGAAGGGGGAGTTCGAAGGGAGGACTCGTTGGTGGTAGACGCTCAGAGGCCCAAACTGCAGAATCTCCACTGTCACCTCAATATCAGGCTTCAGGTTCACAGTGACAGGAAAAGAGAGCATGGAGACTCGTGCTGGCTCTAAAATATTCTCCACCAGAATTGACAAACGTCCTTCCACTCACATTTCACTGGCCAAAGCAAGTCACAAGGATACATCTTACATTGAGGGATATGTGCTCAGAAGGAGAGGAGAGTCAGAAATCTTCGTGAACACTAGTCATGCCCACATTTTATGTAAGGACTTATTACTGTCCTGGTGGCACAGAGATATTACCACACCAAGACTAGATCCTCATCTTTCACAGCTCGCGGCTACCAATGGACAGTTAGCGGTTGTATGAATTCCTCTCCCTTCTGAGTCATTTGCCTTTTTTATAGTCAAATGCTGAAAAGAAACATTTCAGCACACATAAATGAGCAAAGAGAATGAAATTCCATGGTCAAACCTTCCAGTTCGAGGACTGTCCTTTCTTTCAGGGCTCATAACTTCTGTCATATTTCTAAATGGCTTATGCTTGTCAACAATAGTACTTCCTCTGTAAACAATGGAATTTGAAGTATGACATACAAAAGATATATCACTCTTCAATACAAGCTTTTGACTTGGGTGCAGAAGTGGGGTGTGTTGTCAGTGTACATCCTGGGTCCCTGAGCAGTCATTTGCAAAGAGCTCTTCTCTCAGATGACTTCCTCTGGAAACACCTCCATCATTCATACTGGAAGAGCCCTGGCTTTTGGGGGTGCCCCAGCTCTGTAGAAACCACTCAGGCACTAAGTCCACGGAAACTCTGACCCATTAAAATAAAGTCAAAGAACTCAGTGGGAAGAGGGGAGACAGATTCAGCTATTAAACCTCTCCCAGTTTACATAAAATTCTTCCTTATGAATCAAAAGTACTCCTGGAAGTTCTTTTAGTCACTGATTATAAATGCATATCATATTCAGTGCCTACTATAAGTCAGGTTTTGTTCTAGGCTTTGGGATTCATCAATGAGTAAAATAATTTTCTGCTCTCATAGAGTTTAGAATCTGGGGCAGGAATAGAAGCGAAAACAAACTCATAAGTAAGTAATTCTACTTTAGGCAGACTACATGATAAAGAAAATGATTCAAGGTAAGGAGAGAGAGGATGCATAGACTGGGGGAGGGAGATTGCTATTTTAGAGAGTAGCCAGGAAAGACTTTTCTGAGGAGGAGTCAGCCAATCAGAGATGTGAATGAAGAGAAGGGACTAGTAATGCTAAGATATAGCAGATACACTCAGAGATGTGAGGGTGTGTGTGTGTGTATGTGTATGTGTGTGTGTGTGTGTGTATGTGTGTGTGTGTAGTAATGCCCACAGGCAGGACAGGTAATACCAGTAATAGGTCCATCATATTTTATGCAGGTTCGTTGGTACATACTTGTGGTGCTAAGTTCAGCATGCCATATAGACAGGGGTAACAGCAAGTGTAAATGCCCTGTGGCAGAAAGTAGCTTGTAGAGCAGAAAGTATCAGTGACCACTGACTGCTGCAAGAGGAAGACAGGGAGGGGAGGAAGGGCCACATTAAGATTGGCCTTGTTGGCCATAATAAGGATCAAATTCTTATGCACCACCACATAGCCCTTTCCAAAGCCCACATTGATCTTCATCCCCCACAGCACCATCCTGCTGTACAAAAGGGCCCAGTTGTGATAATCACTACAACTGGGGAGATGTTGGTCATCACAGGCTCTGGGGGTCTGGGCAGGATAGAACTGAGCTCCGTGTGACCTTCACTACCCCCCTAAGCAATTTAGCATCACTCTGTAGCTGGCCTAAGAAGAGGGCAGATCCTCCTTCCAACTCTACTCGCTTCTTCCCACCTGACTCCACCACCCACCCTTACAATTTTAAGTGTTTTTAAATCCACCTACTTCTGGGAAATTTCTGGGGCTCTTATTGAGTCCTGCTAAGAGCCTGAGGGAACTGAGAGAAAGACAGGAGGCTCTCCCTTTTAGGAATGGATTGTGGGTCACTGAGGTTCAGAAAGTGGGGAGCTCTGGGCGGCCTCCAGCAAAAGACCTGATGGTCAACCCTGAGGTGGAACGAGTTTAGAAAACAAACTATTTTTGCCCCATTCATTCATGTCCACCAGCTGCTCCCTGAGCTCCATCGACCTGGTAATTGTTTTTCTTGGCATTCCAGGGTAGTAGGTCACGTTAGATTCTTTTCTTTCAAATATTCTACTGACATCAAAGTGGAAGGGATGTAAGGTAAAAAGAAATAAATCGGGGAGGATTCTGCATGTTTCACAACTGCTTTTATGTTCAGGATGTGCAGGAATGCCGGGGTGGGCGCAGATTCTGTTACCTCCCCCAGTTCAAGGAAGAGTGGTGGGTGGGAGTGTGTGTGATGTCCATATGCAGAAATGATCTGGACTGACAGTAGGGCAGTAGGCTGCACAAAAGCAAGAGTCAAGGGCAAGATTTTTCAAATTGAGATAGTGTAGCGGATAACACAGGGCTTAGATTGAGCAATAAAACATGAAACTGGTGGGAGGCAGCTGGAGGTGATAGCAGTAAGGTGGAGAGACAGGAACGAGGCTCCATTGCTTGGTGTGTGCTCTTGGGAAGGGCATGTTCCCTCCCAGAGTCCAGATTTTCTCACCTATAAGGTAGATTCTGTATGTACGACTTTTCCACATCTTAGATCTTCCTGAACAGTTCTGATTTGGGTGGTTAGCCAAAGAATCAAAAGCAATTTCATTTTCATAACATAGCCTTGGTCCCTGGACTTCAGGAGTTTGCAGTCTGATGGAGGATTTAGCATGAGCATGTTACAGAGATTGCAGAAGTCTCCAGCAGTGCAAAGTGAAGGAGCACCGGAAGTCTTCAGTAGAGAAGAGTCTTAAAGAGAGCTTCCCTGGAGTAAGCTGTGGAGAATCTGGGAAGACTCAACTAAGACACTTTTAGAAGCAGGGGGCAATAAAGCCGGTGGACAGAAGGCTGGGGAAGAGCCAGGTTATAACAATTATAGATTAGAGAGGGTATTGTTTCATGTCTGTTTTACTGAATGAGCCCATTATTGCGTTGGGTACACAAGGCTCAAAACAAGTTTAATTTTTTAAAAAACTTCTTCCTGACTCCCTCTTTTCAGTGAAATTTATACACTCTTTCTATAGTGCAGTGTACCTCAAGAAATTTCAAAATGGTTATACACTTTCACCCGAAAGTTCTACTTTTAGAAATGTGTTCTAAGAAAATAATCAAGGCTATCAATTGCTGTGTGCCAGGCACCAAAACAATTTATATATACAATTTTGTTCTCACAATAACTCAGTAAGGAAGATATTATTATCGCCTTATCTGTGTGTGAGAAACATGAGATCTAGAAAAATTTAGTAAATGTGGTTAAAGTTACATCCAGCAAGTGGTATAGACAGGATTTGAATCCAGGTCTGAATGAGTCAAAAGCCTATTTTCAATCTCCACAGTTTTCTTCCACTTTAGGGACATGCACAATGATGTATGTACAAGAATTGATTAAACCAGATATAGTTCATTCATGTTGAATATTGTGAAGACATGAAAAATGATGCTGTAGAGCACTTCAAAGCCATGGAAAATTATTTATAATACGTTACGTAGAAATGTGATGACATATTGTGTATGACATGAGCCCAATTTTATAAAAAGATATGATAATGCTTAGGTACTAATCAAATAAAATGTTGATATTTTATGCACTATATTGGGATTGTGAATTTTTTATTTTCTTATCAATGTATTTTGTAGTTTCAAATTTTTCTTTAAAAAATAACATTGCTTTTTTAATCAGAAAAAATAAATGACACAAAACAGTTTGCTTTTAATCATAGAAATTAATGCCTGGTCAAAAATTTTAGAAATTACCTAAAAGTAGAAGTAAGGAAGCAGGCCGGGCTTGGTGGCTCACACCTGTAATCCCAGCACTTTGGGAGGCCAAGGCTGGCAGATCACCCGACGTCAGGAATTCGAGACCAGCCGGGTACGACATGGCGAAATCCCGTCTCTACTAAAAGTACAAAAATTAGCCAGGCATGATGGTGCACGCCTGTAATCCCTGCTACTCGCGAGGCTGTGACAGGAGAATCACTTGAAACCAGGAAGTGGAGGTTGCAGTGAGCGGAGACCAGGCCACTGTCCTCCAGCCTGAGTGATAGAGCCAGACTCCATCTCAAAAAAAAAGGAAGCTTGACAAATGGGATCTAATTAAACTAAAGAGCTTCTGCACAGCAAAAGAAACTCCCACCAGAGTGAACAGGCAACTTACAGAATGGGAGAAAATTTTTGCAATCTACTCATCTGACAAAGGGCTAATATCCAGAATCTACAATGAACTCCAATAAATTTACAAGAAAAAAACAAACAACCCCATCAAAAAGTGGGCAAAGGATATGAACAGACACTTCTCAAAAGAAGACATTTATGCAGCCAAAAGACACATGAAAAAATGCTCATCATCACTGGCCATCAGAGAAATGCAAATCAAAACCACAATGAGATACCATCTCACACCAGTTAGAATGGCGATCATTAAAAAGTCAGGAAACAACAGGTGCTGGAGAGGATGTGGAGAAATAGGAACACTTTTACACTGTTGGTGGGACTGTAAACTAGTTCAACCATTGTGGAAGTCAGTGTGGTGATTCCTCAAGGATCTAGAACTAGAAATACCATTTGACCTAGCAATCCCATTACTTCATATATACCCAAAGGATTATAAATCATGCTGCTATAAAGACACATGCACACGTATGTTTATTGCAGCACTATTCACAATAGCAAAGACTTGGAACCAACCCAAATGTCCAACAACGATAGACTGGATTAAGAAAATGTGGCACATATACACCATGGAATACTATGCAGCCATAAAAAATGATGAGTTCATGTCCTTTGTAGGGACATGGATGAAGCTGGAAACCATCATTCTCAGCAAACTATCCCAAGGACAGAAAACCAAACACCACATGTTCTCACTCATAGGTGGGAATTGAACAATGAGAACACATGGACATAGGAAGGGGAACATCACACACCAGGGCCTGTTGTGGGGTGGGGGGAGGGAGGAGGGATAGCATTTGGAGATATAGCTAATGTTAAATGACCAGTTGCTGGGTGCAGCACACCAACATGGCACATGTATACATATGTAACTAACCTGCACGTTGTGCACATGTACCCTAAAACTGAAAGTATAATAAAAAAAAAGGAAGGAAGAAAACAGTTATCCTATAGCTATTTTGGTACATTTCATTTCAGTCTTTTATCTGTGCACGATCTGCTTATTAGTGTATTTTACATAGCTGTGCTCAGATTTAGATGTGAACTATGTTGTTTTAGTGACAAACTGGAGCCAGAAAATTTCCTTGTTTCTGTTCTCCTCACTTGACTGTAAAGTCGTTAAGGGCAGGATAATTTCTTTTGTTCGTTTTTGTATTTGCAGCCCATAGTTCAGTGCCTGGAACCTTGTAGATGCTCAATAAATACTTGCGGAATGACGAAGTGGTGGGGTAGGGGAGGGAGAGGCTATAAAGTTCTGCATAATCTGACCAGAAGTTTTGCACTGGAAGATTTTGGATAGAAGGCCGGTGAGACAGGGCAGGCAAGATGGGGGGCCTTCGGGGAGGGCCTTGATGCTCATAGTTAGAAACTGAGATCTGACATATGAGGCCGCTGGGACTCACTCTGGTCTTCCAAGTGGGGATGTTACATGATCAAAACCGTGGAACGGAAAGGCGATTCTGGCAGCTGTGCTGTGGATGGCTGGGTCGGGGAGCCGCAGAGGGGAGGGTGCTGAAGGCAGGGAGGTAGGGAGGCAGGGAGGTGGAGAGGCTGTCCTCGCTCGTTCCGGCCAACGGACGCTTGCACTAATCCCTGCCTGGAGAGGCTGGGCTTGGACCGGGGCTGCGAGTGCGCACAGCGAGAGAAAAGGGAAACTCGCAGCTCTGCTTCCAGGACCAGGCGGGGGCCAAGGGAGGCCAAGGAGGGAGCAGAGTCAAAGACAATGGGGGGCGGGGCTAAGAGCTTCTGAGGCCGCGGGTGCCAGCAGCCGGGAGAAACTGAAGTTAGACAGTCCCCTCCCCAATCCCCCATTTCTTTTGGCTTTTTGGTTGCCTGGGTGTACAGAGGAACAAATTTGTGGTGTGGAAGGATTCCAGGCCAGTCATCTATCATGCACAGTGAATACTCACTAGGCGCTCATCACACGCTCGGCGTCCTCACCCTCTCCAAGAGAGCTCTGGCGGCGGTCCAGGGGCTGCCCAAGGTGACTTGCCAGATTCTCCCTTGAACTTCGCTCTCTTCCTTGCTCTAGTCCCTGTTTTCTTTTAATTCAGAAAAAGCAACAACAAACCCTTCCCAGCCCCCTCCCTTCTCGGGCTGTTCCCTCCCTGCGGTTTGGCGGAGAAAGGGCCTCGGCAGTCCCTGAGAAGATTAGCTAACGCCGCGTGCTCGGGGAGAGCAGGAGCCGGCGGGGCTGGGCGCGGGGCGCCCCCGAGAGCTCTGCCCGGCTGAGCCCGCCCTCTGCGGGGGGCCCCTCCGCGCGTCCCCGGCCCAGGCAGCCTGCGGTTCGGGCAGAGCAGCGAGTTAGCCAGGCTCAGGGTCTTGGGCCGTGAAAGGTGAGAGACAGGCCCCACCCCACTTACTGGTCTGTTGTCCAACTCAAATGCGGAAACACTCATTTATTCAGTAGTTGTATTTAATGTTATTAATTGTTAGTATGCTCAAGCACGGCCTTTAAGGTAAATATAAGGAATCTAACTGGCGATCTTCTTCTTGTAATTCTGTGCTGCCTCACCCTGACAATGGTCTTGTATGCTCATGTCGTAAAATGTTTTATGATGGTGTTTTCCACCAATTATTTGTGCAGTATTATGAGCTTACAAAAAGAAAACGTTTTATGTTTTAAGAAGCAATGACATACACAACACGATTTTTAAAAAGCCTCCAAAATTAGAAATCCTTGCCTAAAATAGACTTATAAAATTTAGCTCATTATAGACATACAGGACAGATGAAAAATGAGGATATAATACCAAGTAATTGGGGATATAAGGCAAGGGGCTACAGGCAGAGCCACGTTTCAAGGACACCACGACCACTTTCTTTAAGGGCTTCCCTCGATGCCACTTTGGAATGATCGGAAAACACCAGGTTAGGTCTTACTTAGAGGAATTGTCCTGTGCTCCCACCACAACTGTGTCTACCTGGAAGCACCCATGGCACAGACCTGAAATTTCTGCTTTCCTTGGCCAAGGTTGCTGGCACTAAGCAATCTTGCACCCAGTGCATTGGTCAGCACCACTGGGGCCACAAAAAGTACCAGAGACCATTGATTACTGAAAGGCCCGGTGGGCGTGGCCAGTAATTAACAGTGGAGGTTGGGCGGCAGTGTGGAAGTCAGAGTGGTTTCATTTTATTTATTTACTTATTTTTGTGTGAAAGCAAGTTTATTAGGAAAGTAAAGGAATAAAGAATGTCTACCCCATAGACAGAGCAGCCCAGAATGGTTTTAGGTGGATGGGTCAAGAGGGTCTTTTACCTCAATGGTTGGCTTTCCTTGCTTCTTTCCCCAAAACACACAGGATGGCTGCAGGGTCCCATCAATTTCGTTAAGTACTATAAAGGTGAGATTTTTGCTAGTGCAATTGACTCGAAAGGAAACAAGCTCTAATTGTTGTCAAGCTTATCTTGAGATCGATTTGGGTGACTTCATTTTGGAAGGTGATTAACTTGTGAGAATTTTTTAAATATGTTTTTAATTCTCCTCCCAGAGGGCTAGTGGAAGTTACCCATGACGACTCTAAAAGCAGTTTAGGAAGTCTGTCAGATGATTTCAGCCCAGGGAATCAGCCTTAAAAGACCGAACATGAAACCTGCTGTCAGTAGTTCAAGTGACTGGGAAATCCACTGGGATTGAACTCCCAGTAGCTGGGTTTTCTCACCTGCAAAACCAAGACTACCGTGTCTGGCCTTCGTGCATCTCTCAGGGTAAAGAAAAATAGCAACTTATAAAATTTTCCACAGGGAGCTTAGTGAAGGGACCATGCCAAGTCTGAGGTCTGTGTGCTTGGGCCCTGCTGGTGACTGACAGCCAGAAAGGGGAGAGATGAGGCCACTCCTCCCTCCCAGGTGGACAAGTCTGGCGACAGACAGGCACAAAGCTGAATCGGGTGAATCTTTAGAGTAAGTCAATTTGCTAAATGTAAATATCACCTTTTAAATAACACAAACTTGGAATAAGCCATTAAAATATTTTTAAACTTTAAAACGCACAGGGAATCAGCTCCTGTCAAAACCAAAATCTATATGTTTCTTTTTATTAAAGAAAGATGTTCTGCTTTCTAATGGTAATACAAGGGTATTAAAAATATATGTTCACAGAAAAAGTAAATGGAAGGGAAAAATTTACTCTAAGTTCTACTCCTGAAAATTTAACCATTGTTCACTTTGTGTGAATTACATAATATGCACAAGTATTAGAATGATGCAAAACCTCATGAACATGATCTTTAAACAAAGGCTGAATACAAGACTTCATTTAGCTTTGCCTTTTGGAGGTTGGAATAATTTGGGTGTCCCTGTGGAGGCAGCAGCCCTCCGGGGAACAAGGTCCATTCTCTCTGGTCTCTGCTAGGCCACCCGCACAGGAAAAGCAGGTACACCAAGTTCCGTTTCTTAAGGGCGCCGGCACTTGAAAAGGGAGCACAAATGTCTGGAAAATGTCAGTTCCCACATTTAGGTGCATATGGGCATCACAGGGTAATGAAGACTTTGAACATCCATGCCTGGAATTAACTCTGCTGGGGCCAGAGATGGTGGGAGGACACCCCGGAAGTCCTGGCCTGTGATTGGAGAGGGGAGTCCCTCCAGCACCCTGTGAAACAGATAAGGCCGAGCTGGGCTCCTGGAGCAGTTAGAGATACATTCTTACTACAGAAATGTGTCCTCCAAGATCTCATGCGTACATTTTAGGCTTGGGGTCTGCCTCAAGGCGGAAGTGCTGCTGGGACCTGTGGCATGTGTGAGTGAGAGGCTTGGCTTCCGTGAGGTACTTTGGGGCCACAGCCTCAGTTAGAAAAACAACTAAGATGGATTTGGGAATGGAAATAATTCTTGAGAGCTGCCTTACAAATTACTCAATGAAACCTGGAGGAAAAAATCAGTGTCAGGTAAGAATGTCCAACACACTGTGGACCGGACATGGCGTGGGCTAAGAGGGGTTCTTTCAGGGGCTTTTTAGGACATCTCCCAGGAATCACAGCCTGTGCATCCCATCCTGCTCTGCAGGAACAGCTTGGAAAGAGCTGCGGTAACCTAGGAAGTTTCACTTGTTCTGCTTACAGTTCCAGGCTGAGAGCTGACAGATTTCACATGTGAGCGGAAAAGGACCACTTGTCTGGCCCTAAACCTCCAAATTACCAGCCCGTCCCTGCCCCCCGTGACCCCAGAGCAGTGGAGAAACTCACCTTCATGTGTAGTTTCTGCTTGCACACCAGATAGCAGCAGCTATTGTCAAAGGATCGTGGATGGTCCAGATTTGAAAGAAAAATATGCACACGTACAAGCCCAGGGTCTACTGAATTCAGAACTGGTGATCATACAAAAATGTTCCAATTTGAAATCCATATTCGCACTGAAAAAAGAAAATAGTGCAAGCGAACAGTGAGAACAAAGTTATAGGGAGATTGCTTAAACTACTTGAGGCCAAGTAACATTCAAGGCATTTTAAAGTTATTCTTTGCAAAAAATAAATGGGCCGGTTATAACAATCCAAAAATTTAGCCCAGTCCTGCAATAATTTGAGTTGTCAACACATCTGGACTAGGAATTCTAGGCAAGTCATATTCTGGATACCTGGTTCGTGAAAATTCAAAGAAATTGAGCACTCTATAGTCTTCATAATCACTGTGGAGGTTTTATGGGGGAAGGCTGACTTACGGACTCCCTGGTTATCAAACGGACCAACACAACAGTGATACCGTAGAGTCACAGGGGAGTCCCAGAACTGAATACCTCTGCACTGGGCTTTCTATAGTTGGTGTATTTGACTTGTCTTCCCTCTTGGCCACTTCTATTCTCCATCATCATCTGCTTTGATTGACAGCATATTTCCAATCTAAGTTATAACTTCTACTTCTCTGGACATAGGCCATCGCTGTCCACCCGATTGTTCCTTGTTATTTGTTTTTATTTCCACCTTCATTATTGTATTCTCTGTACCTCCGTGTCATCATCTATAAAATGTGGACAATAATAGCACATACCTGATACCTGATATGGTTGTTATATAGATTATGTAAGTAATACATGTAAAGCAATTGGAATAGAGTCATGTACTAAGTGTTCAATAAATATTAGTTGTTAATGTTGTAGTTGTTATTATTACTGTTATTATTGTATCTGATTCCCCTTTTTTTTCTTTTTGACTTGGGTGCTGGTAAAGTTTTACTTGTATAGGCATTGAACAGTCAATGAGAGTAGCACTTTCTTTTGGTTAGCAAAATAACTGAATCTCAGCAGATTTCCCTTTTGGGGCTATTTTTGGCTACTTTCATTGCTGCTGATGCCTGAAGGACTTCCTGATTATTTCTGGGTTTGTGGCTTTTCTTGGCAGTTGAATTGAATTAAAGAGATATTAAGTGTCTGAGTGTTGAATAAGGAGGGTGCCCTGAATTTGAAAGTAATCAAAGTGTATTCTATTACAAAATTTAATAGTCTGGACTTTCCAGTAATTCACTTTTGCCTTATGTCCAATTAGCCTGAATTAGTGAGGCATTTTACACGTGTTGAGGATGTATGTTTTGTATGTTTGTTTATATTGTACATTTTTGTGCTTATATCAGCAAAAGGGAATAGGGATGTTTGCATTCACAGTTAAATTATTACTATGAACTTTGCTCGAGGTACATAAGAATGCTGTGTGAGGAAGACCTCACTTGAAGGTTTTCCACTTTTTGTATCTTACCTCTGTAGCAAGTCGCTCCATGCAGAGAGCGGGTGGTTCCCTTGAAGAGTGAGGCGAAAGTTTTCCCCTTTACAAACTTCTTCCTTTGTTTATTTACCCACATATTCATTCATCCATTAAGCATGCATTTATTAATAGCCTACTGTGGGCACTGTGGAAACAGCAACAAGCAAACCACAAGATGAGGCTCTCACAGACCTTATCTTCTAGTAAGGGAAACAGAAAATCAGCTCTTTGATAACCAAATAATAGGTTTGTGGCGATTAATGCTATGAAGAAAACACAAGGTAAGAAGACAGTGTGGAGATGGAGGTGGAGGGTATGGGCTTATCTAGAGAGATCCAGGAGCACTTTCTCTGATCAGGCAGTAATTGAATGAGACCTAAAGAAGTGAAGGCAGGAGGCATGGAGGCATCCGGGGGAAAAGGGAACAGGCTGAAGGGAAGAAGTGCAAAGGCACTGAGGTGGGACCATGTTCAAGAACACACCAAAGGAGCACAGATAAAAATTTATAAAAAAAGAGGAGATGGAGAGGAACTTGAGATTTTTACAAGGTCATAGCAGAGCTGATTTTGAGTTCAGATTTGGAATAGTGAATATTCCAGATGACAATAAATCACATATTTGTGCTTTGAGGATCCTAACTTTAAAATAGGCCAGAGGTAGCCAGAAGTCTGGCTAAATCTGATTTGAAGTGGCTATTTTGTGTTCACTGTGGAGCAGGAATTTGAACTGCATCTCAGCTCACTGTTGTGATCAATGAGTTGATCTTCGATGGGAGCGTGTGTGTGTGTGTGTGTGTGTGTGTGTGTGTGTGTGTGGTGGGGTTGGGGGTGGCATGAAGGCCTTATATCTGCCATCCTAGAAATAGGGCAGTCTGAAGGGAAGGCACTTGTCTTCTATCCAGGTATCCAAGAGATCTCCTTGTTAGTGGACACTGGAACAGAAGCTGGGGGAGATAAGCCCCTAGAGTAATTCCTGACCTCTCAGCCCCACACCTGGCTTTGATCTGGGCTCCTCACACACTGGCACTGTGCACTTGACAGCTCGAGTGGAGAGGGGTGCTTGAGAACTATTTGCATCCCCTCGAAATTTCTTGAGAGGGGACTGAATTAATCCGTTCTTGAATTGCTATAAAGAAATACCTAAGACTGGGTAATTTATAAGGAAAAGAAGCTTAATTGGCCCATAGTTCTGCAGGCTGTACAGGAAGCATGATGCTGGCATCTGCTCAGCTTCTGGGGAGGCTTCAGGAAGCTTACAATCATGGCAGAAGACGAAAGACGAGCAAGCACTTCACATGGCTAGAGCAGGAGCAAGAGAGAGAGGGGCAGGAGGAGATGCCACACGCTTTTAAATGACCAGGTTTCATGTGAACTCACTCAATATTGCAAGAACAGTATGAAGGGGATGGCACTAAACCATTCATGAGAGGTCTATCCCCAGAATCCAATCACCTCCCACCAGGCCCTACCTCCAACATTAGGGATTACAATTCGACATGAGATTTGGTTGGGGAAACAGATGCAAACCATATCAGGGACTAAATCAAAGAATTTGAATTCTTAATGTTCATTAGGAAATGAAGTAAATTCTTGAGAAAGGAATCCATCCCTAAGTGGGATAGGGTGGACTGTGCTTACCCAGGCACTCACCTCTTCAGAGCCATAGTCCACAGCTCTCAGAAGAGGTGAAAGGGGTTGACCAGTTAGCTATTCTGGTCCAGGGCTTTCATGCCTGAGGTCAGCTGGAAGAGTGGGTCTGGGATGGTTTTCTCAATGTAATTTCTGTGCGCAGTTCCCTATGGTTGGTTCTCTTCTTCTAGGCCTCTAAATCCAGAAAGCCCGAGGGTTAAGAGAGAATCTCTTCCCCTTGCCCATCCCTGCCCCAACTCCCACCCCTCCAATTGTCCATAATCCAAGAGCTGCTCGTGGTCGTTTGAGGAGCCAAGACTTGGTTGGGTTAAGCAGATAGTCTTGAAACAAAAAGGGGACTGTGGTGGGGTCCAGCAGGGCAGGGGCCACGTGGAGAAAGAACTGGATAGAAAAACCAGAAAGAAGATGGAGATGAGGATGCTGAAATCTGTTTAACACCACAAAAGTGTGGAAAGAGAACAAAAGTTTGGGTAAAACAACTTTCAAGTTCAAAGCTGCTGTGCACACATGTGGCATGAAGATGTGGCAGGGAAGACGGTCCTTGTGTCTTTGCAGCCACTTGCCAGCAGGGTGCGCTCAAGTTCACAGCAATGCCCAGTGCCGCTGGAGCGTTGGTGGGGGCATTCTGGGAAAAGAGGGGCAAAGCTTCATTAAAAGGAATCCCAGATAATTTGGTTGAGTCTGTATTTTCCAGTGATGATGACTGAGGAGGCTCTGTTTTTAAATGCTATAACCAGCACGATTCATTTCAGTGGCTCCTGAAGAGAGGGCTTTGACGGGAGTTGCTGGTCTGCAAAGAGTCCAGCTTTGTTTTTAGCAGAGACACATCGGCCTCCTTTTCTCCCTCTTCAGCCCCTGCCTGCCCTCTCGTCGTGCTCTTTCCCTTGTGCAGATCCAAATCTGCTGCTGGGCATTTTTAGTCGAGCTAAGCTGTCGCAGAGATAAGTTCTGCGCCCACTTCTCTGTGCCCAAGGTGGCGTCTTTCTTCTCTCCCCAGGTAAGGTGCTGTCTAGAAAGAATCATGCTTGAGAGTGAGGGATGTCTGCCTTTCGATGAGATCTATGAGACTGACTCTCATGCCAGGCCATTGTGGGGCAGGAGATATTATACTTCTATTTTTCTGCGTTCCTTTGTCTGGATGGTGGGACTTGTCGGGGGGGCGGCTAGGTGACAGTTGGCCAGAGGAACAAGGAAGAACACATGTTGGGGAGGGAGGCAGCCAGTCGGCCTGCATTGTTTACCATTCCAAAGCACCAGTCACGGAGCTGCCTTGCAGGACAAGGCAAAGAACCAGGGTTAGACCTCGGAGTAAGGGTCAGGAGTAGGGGACCCGAGTTGATCAGCAGTGCCCATTTCTCAGCTTCAAGACAGTGCCTTTCACGTGTAGATGCACAGTGGGCATTTGTGGACTTAATTTTTCAGGTGGAGGATCTCTGACCCAACGATCACAATCAAATCTCTCATTAGTTTTAGTCCTGACAAAAAGTATCTATCAGTCAGAGTTCAGTTAGGAAACAAAAGCCACCCCCAGTTGCTTGATTAGAGAAAATTTAATATAAGGAATAGATAACTAGTCATAACTGAAAATGCAGGAAGAGAACACTAGGTTACCATAAATGGAGCAATTGCAAAGGGCCTACCACCCATAGGGCTGTTGGGGCAGAGTGGAGCTACAGGAGAAGGAAGAAGTTGGAATGATAAAAATTAGAGCCTTGGAGGAGATGCCTAGTGGACTCAGGACACAGACCTCTGAGGACGGGGCACAGGCAGCTGGTGTGAGTGTCTTTGAGGTGGGCATGGTGGAGCTAGCTCTGCATGAGTTGGGGAAGATGCCAGCTGGCTTCAGCTGCTGTCAGTGGGATGCTACCACTGGGATGAAGAAGCATTTCTAGGTGTTGCTCAGAACAACAGGTAGAAGTAAGGAAGTCCAAACAAGCAAACTTCTAGTAAGTAAATGCATCCTTCCTCCACCCTAACCTAGCGGAGCCTACCATGAGCCACCTGGCAAAGCAGAGAGGGGGTTTGCAGGGTCCCGGCTTCAGCGTTGCAAGGCAGGATAGAGAAGAATGGGGTTAGAGCTGAGACACAACAGCTGAAAAACTGGGACAGTGTGCTGGGCTGGAATATAGCAAAAGAGGATTTGGGAGTTGGCAAGAAGAGAATGAAACTAGAATTTCTTTTCCTTTCTTTTAAAAAATTCCTGACACTTCAAGAATAACAGATTTGACGATAAGCCACCAAGATGTTGGACTATCTGCCGGGTCTCAGAAAGCTTATATAGGTTTCTGCAGAGTAAGATGGCCCCATTCCTGACCATCCAGCTAGAGAAAGTTCTATGGAGGCTCAGCTAGCAAAGCGCTCAGGTGGGCTGGCCGCCCTCCAAAGCTGGGAAGGCCACCAGAGAACTGCAAACAGGAGAGCTACTGCCCTCTTGTGGACAACTGTGGTTCTGCAGGAGGGTAATGGGACTTGCAGGGTGCAGAGGTGGTTGGCTGGCCCACTACACCTGCCCATCTTGAACTCCAAGAATGAGTAGCTGAGAAAGGTTAGCTTGACCTTCTGATGCAAATGAGGAATCTCTCAG
This sequence comes from Homo sapiens, assembly GCF_000001405.40. Lineage (NCBI taxonomy): Eukaryota > Metazoa > Chordata > Mammalia > Primates > Hominidae > Homo > Homo sapiens. The sequence goes on along the minus strand of NC_000001.11, from coordinate 165,367,422 downwards.
CATTGGTTCATGGTGGCGATGCTTTTCTTCAAGAAGAACAAAAGTCTCAGCACTGAGATCCTATTTGGCCGGGTACAGACACCTAAAGCTGAAAGAGATGCATCTGTTTCATCTGGACATCTACTTTGGGTCTTATAGTATCTTTTAGAACAGGGTTTGGCAAGCTTTTTCTGTGAAGGGCCAGAGAGCAAATATTTTAGGCTTTCGACTTTGCAATTCCAACTATTCGACTGTGTTGCTGTAGGGTGAGAGCAGTCATAGGCAGTCACTAAACAAAGGAGCATGAAGGTGTCCTAACAAAACTTTATTATGAACACTGAAATGTAAATTGTTCATATAATTTTCACATGTCACAAAATATTTTTCTTTTAATCTTAAAAGTCACTTTAAAATGTAAAAACTTTTAGTTTGCAGGCTGTGCAAAAAACAAGCAATGGGTTGGGTTTGGCCCCTGGCTGTAGTTGATGGACCCCTGATCTACAATCTTGAACAGTTAAAGTCATTAGGTGGCCAGCCGGTATGGTGGCTCATGCCTGTACTCTCAGGGTTTTGGGAGGCTGTGATGGGAGGATCGCTTGAGGCCAGGAGTTTGGACCAGCCTGGGCAACATAGCAAGACCGCGCCTCTACAAAAAATGTAAAAAATTAACCAGGAATGGTGGCACATGCTTGTAGTCCCAGCTTCTTGGGAGGCTGAGGCAGGAGGATCACTTGAGCTCAGGAGCTGGAGGTTATAGTGAACCATGATCATGGCACTGCACTCCAGCCTGGGCAACAGAGTGAGACTCTGTCTCTAACAGAAATTTCTTTAAAATCATTAGATGGTGCCATTGCAAGCTGAAATCATGGAAGCAGCTTCTCACTACCTTGCCAATCCCCAGGAAGCTGCAAATGTGTCCACAGAGTCTGGCTCCATAGATGAAAAGGTGGGGTCGACCAGGGCTATCAGTTCCCTGTATTTGGGGTTTGAAGGGGTTTCTGTGGGAGGAACTCTGGCTCTAAATTTTACCCTTTTTCTCACTAGACAGAGAAACTTGCTCTCTTTTAAATCTGTGTTACTGGGTTCTAAAAGAATGAGGTGTTAGCAAATCTGAACTGAATCAACAGTTTGGGGAGTAGCAGAGTATACCACTTCCTCATCGGTAAGAAGATACACTCCTGAATATCTTTAAACAACATGCCCCTTCAATGCACTGGAAATGTGACTACTTTAATACAAATGTGATTTTACATAATTTCCCAGGAACTCAATCATTTTTAAAGGCAAGATGCACCTGTACTGTGACTTACATTAAATGTGTGGTATTATTTGTTTCATGGATAGTTAAACCTATGAGTTGAAGATCGGAATAGAGGGAGGATGAATATGAGAAACTTGAAAGATTTTAAAGGGTCTCTGTAAAAAAAAAGTTTATGATTTGGGTTACAAAGCGGGAAGTAAAGGATCTATATTTGTGTTGTGGTTTTTGGGGTGTATGCTTAAAGAAACTGAAGGATACCTCATAACCTACTACCTGGCATGTTATGTATCAGGGAGAGCTGGGCAGAGAGCAGGGACTGGAGGCAGACTTCACTGTACCCCTTTTTTTGCACCCTTGGTTTGTAAACCCTATTATAATCTGCATTTTTCCTTCTTCATTTCCCACATCTGTCACCAGGGCCTGACTCTGGGAGGACACTAAGCTCTCTAAGTCACACATCTGTGTGTTTTCTAGTGAAGGAGGCAGATATCTAAAGGAAAACTGGAGATACCTTGTGATAAATGCTAAACAGCCTGCCAGGCAGAGGAGGTGCTAATTACCTGTCTGAGGGCTTAAGAGGTGGGTTTTCAACAGGGCAGAGAAGAAAGGAAAGTGGACTCCTGCCTGAGGACACTGCTGATTGGGTAGCAGAGCACAGACCTGTGCCAGGAAAATGGATGGGGAGTGTCTGAGTCACAGTGTGTGTGTGTCGGGGTGGGGGGGGTGTAATGTAGAGTTGTGAACGCCTGGAGTTGAGTGAGGAGGAGGGAAGAGAGAAGGGGAATGAAGGAGAGGAGGCTGGAAATGTTGAGTGGGACCAGCTTGTGCAGAGAAATTTGGATTTTCCTTGGGATGTAGGGATCCATAAGAGGCCCCAACATATATATCTGAAAACCAACAGATGACAGCTGGGAGTGGTTGTGGCTACAGACTGGAGGCCCCTCATCTGCGAGGTGAGAGGCTAGATCAGCTCTGTGCTGGAGCCCCGTCCAGGACTGACTTTTTATGACTAGGTCAGTGTTTCTTCTCTCTATGCAATTGCTTGTGCCATCCAACTGAGGCTCAGCCAGGAGCATGCAGAGCCCTCTCATTAATGTCTTGCTGTCCTAAGGAGGTGAGAAATATTATCTGTCCCATTGCTCAGGGGAGAAGTTGCAGCCTGGGGTGAAACCACTTGCCTGTGCCTGGAAGTGAGTCAGTGGTGAAACCAGAGCCTGCTACCCAGCGGGAAGAAAGATGAGACACTAAAGAAACTCCAATGGCTGTGCTCCTCCCTCCCCACCCTGCCCAGATGTTCTGGGAGACTCTGGCTGAACTCCGGGGCACACCCATCCATGTTCCTGGCAAGCATGGCAGGCCGCAGTGTTTTCACTACCCACTTTTTAGCTGCTGCTGGCTCGGAGCCAGGATGGGGTGGCTGAGCCCTGGCGAAGCTTTGGGGCTGCCTGGAGAGGGCAGGGCACCTGCCAGTGGGTGCCCTGGTACCACCAGAAGGATCAAGGCATACGTTTGCTCATTGAAACTTGGCAGCTCTAAACAGGGGCAGAGCAGTTTTCAGCTGACATTCAGGGTGGATCTCACTCTGTTTGCATATGAAATCAATGAGATAATGGATGGGAAAACATTTTGAAAAGTCACCAAACTTCTTCTTGCACCCCATCCTGCTGCTTTCCTCCTGCATTTCCTATTTCTATTACTACCACACTGTTCCCCAAGCCTCTTTGATGCCTTTTCCCCTTCATTTCTTCTCACTTCACAGCTAAACAGATGCTGGACTTTTTGACTTGATTTCTGATATTGCTCTTACATTCATCCCCCTCAAGGTCATTTCCCTGCCCTGGGCCAGACCTTGAATTTCTCACTTATACTAGAGTAACTAAGTTTATCTGCTCTACCTCCCTCTTCTCCTTTCTTTGAATTCATTAGCCACACTGATACCAGAATTAATAAGCATAGGCCAAACCCCTGATTATTTTACTCCTCCAATCCCAATCTTCCAAAGGCTCTCTATGGCCTGTGGAGTCATAAACTTAAAGTCCAGTATTCGAACCTCCTGTGTTGCCCCATTTCCTTCTGTGCACAGAGATTTTCTAACTTACCTTGACTTTCTCCCCGGATGCCTTTGCTGAAGCCATGTCATCTACCTGGAATACCTTCACCTTCAATACCCTCCTGACAATTTTTTTTTCCTCTCTGAACTTTAAGGTTGAAAAAGGATTGGGGATAAGTTATTGATGGGATAGGAAAGGAGGAAATGGAAACACGTCTTAGATGTATCAAAAACCCTTTATTTTAATGATCTTATTAATATATTCATGCAACAAATATTTATTTTATGCAAGGCACTGTGCTGAGGAGCGGGATGGAAAGATTCACTGTTTACTTCCTTGGGCACAAGAATCTGGAGGTATGAGGATTAAGGGTACATTTTCTTTTGTGTTTAATCAAACAAATCCACAATTACCACTCTAATCCAGGTGCAAAAATATCTATAAGCTGGTTATTTCTCTTTTTGCCCTAGCCGCCAGGAAGCTCAAAGGCAAATTAGACTCTCATTCACGGTATTCATTTGCTCAAATGTTCACACATAACAAGTGCCAAGTACATACTTAGAACTATGTTAGATTGAACCGTGTTATCATAGTTGCTGCCCTCAAAGAGACAACTGTTAACTCTTATATTTAATATTATCTGTTTTCTCTCTTCCTGTTTTTGTAGTTCCACCTTATTAACTTGTTGTATATATCATTTGTTTTACATTTGCTATAATTCTTTTCACAAGAGGTGAGATACAGTCAATAAACAAAAGTAAAAAATTTTCAAACACTGTTCATGAGGTCACAGGTCTGATCTCCATTGTCATGAGTTACATATGTTCTTTTATTATAGACTCTGTCCTAAGCCAGCTAGACATATAAATAATGTTGGAAACACAGTTTGATTGGATCGTAACAATTTTGTAAAGCTTTACTTTTCTCTGTGTCACCTTGTAAACACAGAGTGACATTTAACATTCTATCACAATTCAAATATTTAGCCCCACATTATTATTTTGGTGGGGGTATGATTTGTTTTTCTGCTCCCAGTATATAATTTTAATTTAAAAAATTCATTTCACTATTGGTAGTGTTTGTCACCTCAAATCCTGTTTAGAAACTAGGAGAGATATATTATATAAATAAATTAACAATGGAATAAACACGGCATATCCATCAGAAGAATGAGGATGGATGTACGTTCAGGGGCAGGGGCATTCTCAGTTCCATTGTGGTTTAATGCTCTTGGTAGGTGAAGACACAGGTAGAGTCCCTTCCTGAAAATACCTGTAGGAAGCTGGAGTCTTGCTACTGGCTTGATGGAGATGGTCTCTGCACCTGTTGCAACACAGCGCTAATTCAGGCCAGCTGCCTCTGCCCTAGGCATTGCCTGCCTGTGGGGCCTGTTCCTAGCTGTTGTAGCCAGCACAGGGACACCCTAATGATGCAAAAGGCTTCAGCCAGGCTCCCAACTGCTCCCTGTGCATTGTCCCCGAGGACCTCTGCCAAATTCATCCATACATTCACCGCGTGGTAACTGAGATGTGGTGGCACATGAACCAGGCCCAGGAGCTAACAGACCTCACCTCTTCACAGATCTCTCCCTGTTTTGATGTCTGGGGGAGTTCACTTTTCATGCCCCACCCTCCCCCCATTATTTCCAGGTTTCTGGTATTTGGTGTGAAGTATCACACATATATGTCAAAGATAGGGTTTGCCAGAGCCCATGAGTGAGGGCTTCATGCAGGAAGCCTGCAATCTGGGGACTTGTTAGGGAACACGTGGGACTGCTCCAGGAGAAATGCCATCTCAAGTGTGGGTGGAACCAAGAGCCAAACACTACGTGAGCCTCACTCAGCACCAGGGACTGTCTTCAATTCAGTTTGGTTTAGGTTAATTCAAGTTACATTCTCTGGACACCTATGTTCAAGTGTTAGGTATATCAGACGTAAATAAGACATGGTCCTAGAGCTGCTTATTGTTCAATATTGGTGAGAATGATAACAATAGCAGCTACGATTCACTGAATCCTTACGATGTTCCTAGCATTGTGCTAGGTATTTTGTATTTATTATTTTATTTAAACACACAGAAAAACAGCTCAATAATTTCCTCAGTTTACCAAATGAGGAAATGGAGGCTTGGAGAGATTGAAGAACTTGTCCAAGGCCATCATCAGTGGCAGTGTCAACAACCAATCCCATGTCTGTCTGTCCCCAGGGCCCGTCTTCTTAACTGCCCTGCAATGCCATGAGCCCAGCCATGGAGGACAGCCTATCCCAGGCACAGAAACCCCTCAGTTACACCAAGACAACTGCTGTCACTAGGCACAGGGACTCTGCCTGAATGCTGGTGTGGTTCCTGTTTACTCATAAGAACAGGGCAAAGCCAAGGTGATTTCCCTTCAGAAACTCATTCAGAGGGATGGTAGAGGAGACTTACAGAGTCTGAACATTAAGTTGGTCAGATTATTAGATGTTTCACAGCCATTGTCACTATTAACTGTCACAATAACTCCGGGGGAATATCATTCCTCTTCTTGTACCAATAAGGAAACTGAAACATGGAGAGGTTGAATAATTTAAGATTAAATGGCTTACTAATGTCAGTGCTGGGATTTGAACTCAGGCCTTTTTCCACTCCTGACTGTAGTGAGAGCTCTACTCATTCCTCAGCCAAGTAAAGGGCATTTGTTCATCAATTGTATGTGTCTAGGGTCTGCACTAAAAGTGATGTGACTTATGATGTGAGTTAAGGCATGCTGAGCTATGGCATGAAGTAGACGATGACCTCAGGGCATTTGTACTTAGACAACAAACATTCATGGAGACTCTTCAGTATGTGAAGCACTGTGCCATGCTGGGGAGAATCACAGGGGAGTCTGACGTGGAACCTTTTCTTAAGGAGCTCATGAGACAACAGGAAGATAAAGTGGGCATGTAGATAATTCTACTGCAAGGTCCAAAGAATGTGCTGCTTTCAATGGTACTCTTGTTAGCCTGGACAAGTCTCCTCCTTGCCTAGGGCTGTCCTTGCCAGGCTGGAGGGAGAATCTGCCTTAAGCTTAGGGAACAATATCCCCATTTGCATTGTCAGACTTTCCTCCTATTCCAGCAGCTGGTTTGGGATGGCCCTTTCACCCTAGAACATGAGAGGCACCTGGTCCTCCAGCTCTGTTGAGAGATCTGAATGTCAACACAGGACTGGGGGATTCACATGAAAATAATCCAGGTAAGGGTAGTGTGTAGTTCAAGTGTGTCCCCACAACCATGAGCCAGTCTTTGGCTGTCCTCGTTAGAATATTGCCATTCTAGGCGGTAATGTTCCTGCTTCTTTTCCTCTTGCTTGAAATGCACTTTGACATTTTTAAACAAATAACACAATTTTCCCTTTGTATTTCCCTTAATAAAACACAGAAATGAGAGCGAGAAAAGGAAAGTAAAAAAATGTGTTCCTGTCATCTCCACTCTATAGCAGGATGTCTGTCCTCCTCCCTTTTTTCTTCCCTCTCACCAAGCATTGGTCTCTCCTCTACCCTCACTCCTCTCCCTAAATCTCAGCCACAAAGACTCATGTATCTGATATTTTTGCTTCTCTGTTTTCTGCCATAGAAGGGGTAACTCCACAGCTATTTGGCATGTCCCACCCCCATCTTCTACAAATCGCTATTGGACTGAAGACAGATGACAGAATTGGAACAGGATCAGGGAAACCTTCTACTTGGAGAAGTATCCCCAAGTTACAAGGTCTTGCTACCCCTGGGACCCACAGATACACCCATTGATTGGTCCTGGCCTGTCTTCCTCCAGTGATGGCGCTTCCAGACCAGCTTGGCAAGGGCCACATATTTCTCTCTCAAAACAAGGCACTAGGCTTAAGACATAGTTCCTGGATCTCTTGGGATCTGCTTGAAGTTGCAAGATTTCTGATACAACAGCTACCTGTCTCTTAGCAGGGATAAATTTCACACTTGGATTCAAACATCAATTGTACAAACGCGATATGGCAGAGATGGGCCCTACCAGCAGACCATGTGGAAAAGGACTGAGGAGGTTTTATTAATGACACATAAGTGTGAGTCAACAGCAGCCATTGAAATGCACACAAGGCCGGGCGTGGTAGCTTACACCTGTAATCCCAGCACTTTGGGAGGCTGAGGCGGGTGGATCAAGAGGTCAGGAGATCTAGACCATCCTGGCTAACACGGTGAAAACCCATCTCTACTAAAAAGACAAAAAAATTAGCTGGGCGTGGTGGTGGATGCCTCGGGAGGCTGAGGCAGGAGAATGGCTTGAACCCGGGAGGCGGAGCTTGCAGTGAGCCGAGATCGCACCACTGCACTTCAGCCTGGGCGGCACAGAGAGACTCCATCTCAAAAAAAAAAAAAAAAAAAAAAAAAAAAAGAAAATGCTCATACAAAATCAGGAACATTAATGGGTGTTATATTGCTTGAGAAACACCCTGAATACACTATCACTGGAAACTCACAGCAGGCCTGGGTGCCATAATTTATAAGAGACAGGAAAACTGGATCAGATTCGAAGACTGGGCAGGAGAGTGAGGCCAGCTCTGCCTTCATCTAAAAGTTTTAGAGGCAGGATTTGACTTCCTGAATGGCTAGCCCCGAGGAATCAATGGAACAGAGGGTGGAAACTTTAGGGAAATGAATTTTGATCCATTACAAACTAAATGGTTGGACCACATGAGCTTTAAAATCATTTCCAACTCTAAACGTGTAATCTTTTGAGTCCCCTCTGAAGCCTATTCACCTCATTCCCATGTATTCTCAGAGTACTTCTTTTTGATAAAAGGGAGAAGATGGCTGATTCTTCATAAATGGCTTCTGGGCAGTGGCTCTGTGGCATCTTCTTTCATTTAAAAGGTAAAATAAAAGTGTTTGAGTTTAAATCACAAGGAAAAACACGAGGCATGGTTAGGAGGATCTTTCATAGAGGGGTCAGAATGATCCACCTGTGATCGTCTCACCCATCCATGTCACTGAGTTGGATAAGGCCAAACTGAAACAATCCTTGGGTAGGAATGGGATTCATGACTCCTACTTCATTGAAAGAGGGCAAATAAATCACAAAAGAGAAAACTCCGAATAAATAAGTTTTATCTTTATTGGTTTAGACACATCACTTAAACACATCAGCCAAGACTATACCTAGGCAACCACTGCTCAGCACCTCATATGGATCTGTTGGTTCTACTGCCTACCCCACTGGCCAAAGCTACCCCACTGCCTACCCCACTGGACTGGTTTCACAGACTTTAGACTGTGAGGGCCTGACCAACCACATAATGTAGACCCTTCATTCCAGAGAGGTATTGACATCTAAAGAGGTGAACTGATGGCCCAGACCAATTCAGTGGCAAAGCTGGGAATGGAACGGAGGTCCTTTGATTCCTGACCCTTCACTGCAGTGCCTTCTGACTGTAGTGAGAGTTCTATTCATTCCTCAACCAAGTAAAAGGCATTTGTTCATCAATTGTATGTGTCTAGGTCTGCACTAAAAGTGATATGACTTATGATGTGATTTTTGAGGCACCGTCCCCATCCTGAAGTGCCCAATGGCTGGGGAGACATTCTCACCAAAAACCTGTGTGATCTACACTAATCAAGCGGCCTTGTGGGTGGATGTAAGAATTGTTTGAAAGATTTGAGTTTCAGGTCAAATGACAATCTATCTACTTTCAGGATATTCACTAAAAGGAATAGTCTTACCACTAGTTAAAATGTATTTCATATATTTCATATAAGACCTTTAGTGAAACCAAAATTCTGCCGGGTATTTACATAAAAACATTCCTTATGGTTGTATCTGCCCTATTCCATTTTTTTCTTGCTTAACTTCTATTTCACATATTATCCTAATAATACTTGTAGTTTGTATTTTTTTACACCCTGCTCTACCTGGGGTGACAGAAAGGACAGAGGTCAGGTGTTAGGAGACATGCCACTAGCCATCTGGGCAACATCAGGGAAATCTCCCAGCCGTGCTAAGCTCCAAAGATTCATCTGAAACAAAAGATAAAACTGTTCTGCCTACCTCACAGGTTTGCTGTAAAGATCAAGCAAAATCATGTATGTGAAAATGCCTGTAAAGCAGCATTCGAATATAACGTATTAGCCTCTTTGCCATTTCCCCTCTTTCTTCTGGAGTCATATTCAGTGTTTGGCTTGTGCCTGCTGGCAGAAAGCACTTAGAATGGCTTTTTTAGTGCTTAGTGGGGTCGCTGCTCCTAAGCACATTAGAGCAAGTTGCTGCCAGCACTTTTTCTTTAGGAATAAAGAAGTGGCTCTGTCTTTGGAGGAGGTAATAGAAAAACCCTGGCTATGTGGCATCTCCTCTGCCTGAGTTCACCATGTCAAACGGCCTGCCAATTTCATCTCAGTTCAGTTCAGTTTAGGAACTGAAGGTGCCCCAGAGAATCACACTGAATTGAACTGAACCTTCCCATGGTATTCAGATGATGGGACTCGGATTCCATGAATTCCCTTCCATTTCCCTCAACTGTAAGATTGGGACAACAATTGTCTCCACTTCATGGGGGTTGTTGTAAAGATTAAATGAGGTGACTGTGTAACAAAGCTGGCACAAAATAAACGATAAACGCTAGCCAGCATTGTAATTTATTTATTGAGCATCCACTTGGGGTCACACAACATGCTTACCTCCTGGGCTATACAGACGGATAAGGCCTTATTCCTGCTCTGGAGGGGGCTAAAGGTCTGTTATTGTAAATTAAAGTTAGGAGGTGCAGATAATTCACATTTCTCCCCAGATACTTTGTTCCCCTAACAATGTCCCTTTACCTGATTTCCTGTTGAGTGTCATTGCAAGTTCATCATCTGGGGGGCAGATCCCACCTAGTGTCTCCCAAGAGCATGATTCTTAGGCCGTGAGTCCCATGGCCTCTGTACGCCCCATGAGTGAATATGGTTCGACCTTAAAGGAAGTTGGAAACTGGCATGAGCCCTCGGGTGATGAGGGGTTTGAGGAGCTAGGAGCTGCTGGGCCCACATCTACTGGCGCTAAACAGCTTCTCAGCGCTTCCCGGGGCCCGGGTAAGGATTGCAGCGCTTTTATAGCAGCAGTTGGAGAGCGGCGGGGGAATCCTCGTGGCGGCACCGCTGTCCAGGAGGCGCCGACATCTCCGCAAAGGCCCAGTCGGGGTGAGGGGCACTGGGGGGCGACCGGGCCAGAGCGCCCCGAGGTAACAGTTACACGTGGAGGGGAGGAAACTTAGCGTGTCCGAGAGCTCCCAGAGGCGGAGGGGCTCAGAGGGCAGCGGCCGTGTGGTGGCCGCGCAGCCAGGCTGGGAAAGGGAGCACCACGGCCCCGCCACGGGACGCGCTGCCAGCCCCCCGCCCAGCGCACCCCACCCCCTCTCCGCCGCCGCGCACGCAGCGCCGCGGCCCCTGTCAGAAGCTGCAGGATCCGCCCCGGCGAAGCAGGGCCGACTCGCACCCAGGACCCTGGGCCTCTGCCTTCCCTCCTAGCCTTGGAGAAGCAACTGGCCCTCTCCTCCCGCTGAGGAGCGACGCGGGCTGGTAGGACGTCCCGGGAAGGCCGGCAGCTCGCGACCACGTCCCGGCCCAGCCTGGGCGCGCCGAGGAGCAGAGCCAGCGGCCGGCGTTCGCTCCGGCTCCCTCCCCGGCGCTCCGAAGCCGAGGGCGGCTCCTCCGGCTGCAGTCTCGGGGGCGACGCCTTCCCGGGCAGAAGCTTCCAGCAGCGCTCCGCAACTTCTCTCTGCTCCAGTCACTGGGAGAGAGCTCGCCTACCAGGTAAGTAAGGCTGCCCGTGCCTAGGCTGTGGCTCGGGCGGGCGTGTTTCTGAAAGTTGACTTGAAATGCATCCAAGAGTGAGCCGGGCCAGCCGGGGCTCCTCCCCGAGGCGACTCTTTTGCTTCTGCAGACATTCCCGGCACTGGCCGACTGGCGGGAGGACCTCCCCGCGCGCCCCGCACACCGGCTCCTGCGCGCACCCCAACAGAGCGCAGCGCCAGGAGTCCAGAAGCGGGCGGGACGCCCTCCGGGTCCCTTACAGTGCCCCTTCTCGACCTGGGGCAGGTGAGGGCCGCAACGGGGCGGCTGGGACGCGGGATTGCAAACCCCATCGTCCCGCGTGCCTGGACCCGGTCGCTCGAGGGAGGGTACCCACTCTTTATATACCCAATATACCCCAGTAGCTGCGTTCCTGCAGAGACGTCCCGAGGGCCCACCTTCGTATAGGTTGGGGCGGAGTCGGATTCGGGATGGAAAACCTGGGGCAAGGGATGTAGGTGGGGGTGAGGGGGGCAGGAGAAGGAGAAACGCAGTTGGGGGGCGGAGGCCTAAGTACATAACGTGTTGACTTCAAGTGAAATCAGATCAGCCAGAGCAGTTCGCTGTGACTGATCTCTCCTCCCACCCTACATTCTCTTGGCTGGACCCTATCCTCCTGGCTGATTCTGGTCGCCCTGGACACTCCCTCAGTTCTTTCCCAGGAGTGCGGTGGCTGCTGGCGCCGAGTCCCAGCGGGCACGGACGTCAGACGCATCGTTTCTTCTCCTCTACAGGTCCTCCCGGCCCGGCCCGAACATGCTGGACGGCCTAAAGATGGAGGAGAACTTCCAAAGCGCGATCGACACCTCGGCCTCCTTCTCCTCGCTGCTGGGTGAGTGTTCAGGCCGTGCGTCCTGGGCGCACTCTCTTTCCGCTTGGCGCTGAGCTCTGGAGCCCCGCTCTCTGGGACCTGGTCCGCGATAGGGAAGCTAGCGCCCCTCTTCATACACTAAATTGAGCCCCATCACTATCTGTCCGTCAGTGCTTGTGGGTCGTCCCTACCCAAATAAATCCAACAAGCCGCCCCAGGCCTCACGCACTGGGCACCGAATTCCCCAAAGCCGCGAGGGGCGGGCGAGCTTGTTCGTAGGCGTCTGAGTGGCAAGTGATTAAAAATACCCAGGGCTGGATTTTTAATCTCGGAGCTGATCGACGTCTCATAAATGCCGCCCTCTTCTCGCGGCCTAGAGGCAATAGCATCCGAGACCCGAGGCCTGGAGCGCCCAAGTTCGAGGAGGCTTCTCTCCCCCACCAACTCCAGCCCCAATTTCAGCCATGGGCAAGGCCGAGAGAGACTTTTCTGGGCCAGTAGGCAACGCAGCGCGGGGATTAGACCGCGCGGCTGGGCCCTAGGCTCCGCGTTAATTAACTGGAGCTGGATGTCGGGTCCTGTGGGTCCCCCCTCACAACTCCTTTGCAGCGACAGAGGAGGAGCAGCGAGTCAAGGACCCCGGAAGAGTGTCCACACACGGGTCTTGCAGAGCTGAAGCCAGAGATTCTGGTTACGGCTCCCCCACCCACTCTGCCCTTGGAGCTTTTCAAGTTTGGGAAGCCCGTATTTTATTTTATTTTATTTTATTTATTTATTTTTAGCAGGAGGGAGTTTTCCTTCTGTCCTTTAAACCTCTTGCCTCTTTCACTCGGAACCGCTAGAGCGGCATGAATGTGGAGGATGAGACAGTTCTGCTGGAGAAACCAAATCCAGTGAGGAATCTCCCCACCCCCAACACCCTAGATGAAACGAAATCACGTGCACTGAGCGCCCCTCTTTGAACCCCCCTTTCGGGAACTTTTGGACTTGCCCAGCCTCGGAAGAGAGCGGAAGCCAGAGCAGGCAGTACCCGGGCGGGCAGCGGGTGCGGATTTATGTATACAGCGGGCGTCGCTTTTTACTCTGTGTCCTCCGCTCGGCCCACGTTCGCTCTCAACGTGGCCCAGGACGCCGAGACCCTACCGAAAGAAAATAGAATTGTAAAATTGGGATCTATCTCGCTGCTTCTCCTAACCTTCCTCATCCGCTCCCAAAGCGACCGGCCCAGCTCCCGAGCCGGTGGCCGGGCCTCTCGGAAGGGGAGAATGAGAAGAGTGCAGCCGGGAAATGGGGAGCGCAAGAGTGTTGGTACTGGGGGGACAAGGGCAAGAGTGTTGTTGCTGGGGGACAAGGCCTTCTTTAAATAGCTGTGAAAAGTGCCAATATAGGTGGCCAAGCGTCGCCACCTGAACCACCTCTCCGCCCCCCACAAACTAAAGGAACAAAACACAAAGTCCAAGGGGTAGCAAAGAGTGGATTTCCTGCCTCCGCTGAGTCACTTTGAGGCCCGTTTCGCCCTCAAGCACTGCTGCCGAACGCGCCTGGCATCGGGAATCCCGGCCGGGACACTCAGCGGCTTGCTTCTTCCGCTATTTTTTTCCCTCCCTCTGTTTTGACGCTTCTTAGTTATCAAAAACCCATGTGCAATATGCATGCCAGTCAAGACGCAGCAGTTTGGGGTTCATCGGTTTGAATAATATTAGGTTTGCTTCGGAGTGAGACGGTATTTTTCTGTACCCCCAGGACTTTTTAGGAAGAAAAGAGAAAATTTTGTTCCCCCTCAAAAAATAGAACAGAACTCTGCGTTTTAACAAAGAAAAATCCAAATTGTTCTTATGCATTCTCAGTTTTTAAAACAGTCAGTAGAGACAGGCATAGTGATTTAATAATTAATTACGACGTAATAAACCTGAGAGCACAAATTTGTATGTAATTTAATCTTACAGGATGTGCAGACGTTTGCGAGCATACCTGGGTATGTTTGTTAATTAAAGGCCAATTATTGATTTCTATACCCTCCCCCGCTTGGAATTAAACCTTCTCACATAGTCTCCGTTTATTAGAAACGCCACTTGGCTTGATTTTTTCCAGGTTTCAGCTTGGTTGATTAGCAGGAGTTCCCTGGGGTGGGGGGCGCTGGGGGAATCCGTGGATGTGAAGGGATCAGGAGCGGGTCCCGGCCAGGTTTGGCATGGTCTACCTGCCCGGGCTGCTCACCCGCCAACGTCTGTTGTGGCTACAGGCAGAGCGGTGAGCCCCAAGTCTGTCTGCGAGGGCTGTCAGCGGGTCATCTTGGACAGGTTTCTGCTGCGGCTCAACGACAGCTTCTGGCATGAGCAGTGCGTGCAGTGCGCCTCCTGCAAAGAGCCCCTGGAGACCACCTGCTTCTACCGGGACAAGAAGCTGTACTGCAAGTATGACTACGAGAAGTAAGTGGCCGCACCCCCGCAGCGCTCCCCGCGCACTGGCATCAGTGTGCGTCGAGGACTTTGTCCTCCTTTACCCTAGTCCTTTTCTGGAAGGCCCAAGAGACACGCCCAGCGAGCAGAACTTCCCTTCAGCGCAGTCGTGTACATTGCCCCTCACGGGAAGGTGGTAGGGCAGAGATCCGCGCGGGTGCGCGCAGCAGTGGCCCGAGTCCCGCAGAAGTGCGCGCAATGGCTGTCCTCCACGGTCTGCTCGCCTGCTTTCTGGTCCTTCCAGGCCCCTTTCTCTGACTCGGCCGTTTCCAGAGGCCACTCTTTGTTAGCCTTGGAATCCCTCGAGCTTGGTCTCCCTCTTTTACCGGGGTGCCCTGCGGGTTGCCAGTGACCCCGTGTCTCCTTGCTGGTTCTCACCCCATGTTACCCAGGTGTCCGCGCCAGCGTCGCGCCTGTGCCTTGCGGTGAGACTGTATTGACCCCGCAGCTTCTGTCCCCTGTGCCCTGTGCGCGTTTCCCGCTCGGGTTTGTTCGCTGGAGTCCGGACAGTTTGGGCTCGGAAATGGCTCTGCTGCCATTCGGAGCTAAGCGCACAGCCCGTTCGCCCTTTCACTGTCGCCTTCCTGGTTTTCTGCAGAACCCTCGGATGCAGGGGCTTTTAGGACAGTAGTTGGGGCCTGAACTGAAGCCCTCTCCTTCAACCTGTGCCGCCATCCTAGTTCAGGTGTGGGTACGCTCTTCTGCCACGGAGCAAGTTCAGTTCCCTCCTGTCCACATGAACGTTCTGGTACGTTCAGAGGAGAACTGGGAGGCAGGAATTTAAGAAAGTGGATATTTCGAAACTGGATTTTTATAACACTAAAGCCTGGATGAAGCCAGAAAGTGGGAGGTAGAAGAACTTCCTTATTCTCTCCGGGCGTGCCGGGAGGAGCTTAGGAGGTGTAAGGAGAGGGAACGGTTTTTTCCTTGCGAAATGTTTAATTAATAAGTGTATTGGCTTTGCAGGGCTTTGGAGATGATTGAAGAAAAGTGGCTGATCCAGAGGTCTCTGTTTTTGTGCATTAGGACTGGTGTAGGTTGACTGTGTGGACGCGCGCGTGCACGCGCAGAATTCTGCATTTGTCACTGGTGAATGAAAGGGACAGCATTACATGAAGATAATCAAAGGAGGGTTAGCGTGCGTGAAAAGCAGTTCTATCATGTTATATAAAAACACAGTGAGAGGGGCTGAACGGGAGAAGTCTCTGTATAACAAAAAGCACTGAGAATAAATAGAAGTTTATTTATTATTGTTGTCTGGGGCTATGCAAGTTTAAAAACTTGACAAAGTGATTAGACCCTGTGACCACACAAAAAAATTGTTTCTGCCACTCCGCTTTTTTGCCCTAAAATTCTCGAATTTTAACCCCATGTGGAGAGAGTACTAGGCATTTTCTTTTGTCATTTTGAAAAGATAATAGCTTGGCTTTTTTCAGAACTAAAAGAAACGTGTGCTGGATTTTGGATGAGCTGGACAATACAGAAATATATAAAGAAGTGAAAACTCCCTATGACAACCTATGAAGTGATCATTATGGATAACATTTTTGAGAGAAGATGTGACTGTGTATTCTTGGTTGTCTGTTTATTGACATGTTGTCTGAGTGAAAAGTGTAATTTTTAGGTAGTTAAATAGATTTAGCCCACATAACTTCAAGTATCACCTTTGAATAAAGCTTCTGGCTGATTGCTCGCTTTTTTCTCTCTCGCTTTTCATCGAAAGCTTTTGGTATTGTGTAGACCCAATCTTTAACTTTCTGCTTATAGATTACTGAAATGTCCACATCCTTCAGGCACAACACTAGCAAATTCACAAGTATTGGGGCTTAGGAAAGGATTTGGGTTGTGAATTTCTATTCTGTTTGTTAAAAAAAAAAATCACGAATCAAAGAAGGCTTAAGGGTCAACACAGCTGTCTGGCCAGTCAAATCTTCTTTAAGGAAGTCAGGCTGTGTCAAGAGGAGAAGAAACAGTTGTTGTAAAGTACTTAACACAACAATGTCCCTTCCATTTCAGCCCTCCAGGTTTGGCGCGGTTTGGGCTTATTAGCCCAGGAGGGTCAGTTCTCTCCTCACAAAGCTATTTCTGCAAAGGGAAAATTGCAGGGATCAACTTGCCAGCTGTTAGCCAGAACCAAGAAGATTTTACAGAGGGATGTGAGCTACATTGTTCAGAGAGGTGCTGACATTTCAGTGAAGGATTTTAATTTTATTTTAAAAATATTTTTGGAACCATAGATTTCCAGAATTGAGGTTTTTGTCCTCTTTAGCTCATGGCATCATAGCAGTACTGGCCTGTGCTTAGCCCATCAGTTGCTTGTTAGATTAATTTATTCCTTTTTAAAATTCCTTTTTTCGTTTCTCTATCCTCCATCCCAATTATATTCTTTTTCCAATAAAATAGGGTTTTAATATATTTGATAATCTTAATGGTCTTAGTCTGCGTGTTGGTATCTGTAGGAGAAAAAGGAGAGAGATTTTTGTTTGTTTGTTTTGTAAAAAAAAAAATAGGCTCAGGACAAACTTCTTTATTCAGTAAGCTTTTATGGAGCTTCTGTATGCAAGACGCTAGGCTAGATGAGGAGAGGACAATGAGAAAAAGTCTCAGAGCCTGCCTTCAGGAGGCTTATAGCTCAACACTTTTTGCATCTGTGTTGTCCTTGCCATCAAGTATTTCTCAAGGGCTTCTTCCATTTAGAGTGTAGGACTAGATATTGCACAGAAGCTATCTGGAATGGCCAGATATTTATCCTCCAGGGGGAATACAACTCAATTGTAGACAATAGTCCTGAAGCAATTACAAAGGACATTTTCCTCTTTAAAAAATACATTTGTAAACATAGCTTTGCTTTTTTTTTTTTTTTTTTTTTTTTGGTGGATCTTTGAAAAATTTGAGGCCCAAACAAAGTAAATGGGAAGAAAATGAGGTGAAAGTTAAGTGGTAGGACAATGTTGATGGTAAATTAGGGAGCACTTAATAAAAAATGAATATGCAGGCAGTGCCTTGGTTTCCAAAATTCATGAAATTCAAATGCTATTTCTACACATTTAAATGAAAGAATATATAGGGAATGCACAGTTTTCAGTGTCAATCATAGGCATAATATTAACAAAGCAAGTTTATCACATTTATCTTAGCCATCTGTATGTGCATTTCTTGCTGTTGGGCAGTTTTGCATTTGAATTATTAGCTGTCTCTTTATGGTGTTAGGCAACCAGTTAAAAAGTTAAAATTTCATTCTCTCAACTAGCTATTACACCTTTACAATGTCAAACACCAAGTTTTTCTAATTAAAAAAATAGAATTGACAGTGACGTCTTGCACACACAACTATGCATCGGAAGACTTCGGGACGTTTTATTAAGTATTTTTCTCATATACTGCGATGCCGTTAGGAATAATTTATCTTCTGATTACCAAAAAAAAAGCATTTAAGGTGAGAGTGTAGAACACTGATTTACTAATGTATAGAAATTAAGAACTGAAGGCTATAATTGTTATGACATGTCAACATGGAAAAATTGCTAGCTTGGTGGGATGACAACATTTACACAATTGATGAATCTGTACCATGTCATATGAAACATGAGGATACCATAGGTGTAGATGTTTTAAAAGTGGATTCAACTGTCTTCAACGTTCCTGAAAGTTAGCAGACAATCAAAATATTTTCCAGCCTAGGGGACTTCTATTTATATAACTGTTGTTCCCTATTTAACTGAGTCCTCTATGATCTGGTTAGTTTGGAGTTTTCCCTGAATTTGTTCCAAACAAATACTGCAGTTGGACTTCAGTCTGAGACAGAAGAGACTGCTGAATAACGGGAATGTGGTAATACAATAGATAATTAAGCCCTCTAGAAGGGATCCCACAGTTAAATCAAGTTTTTATTGTTTCTTTCATGTGCCTGGCTCTGTGGGTCAGGCGGAGCCCTCTGCCCTCACATATGAAGTTTATCATGATCGCTTGGATTGCTCTGGACATCCTAGGAGCAGTGTGGGATAGTATTGCTGTCATCAGGGCTGTTCTCATAACATCATAACTCCCCGCATGTCAGCAAATCACAGGCCTTGGGAAACCTTTCCTCAGAGAGCCAGTGGATGTTTTCTTCCCTTTCTTTTGGAGAAGACCAATTTTCCAAAGAAAGGGACTGAAAAAGGGGAAAGTGGCTGTCACACTTAGAGCTTTCTCTGCATCTTTCTTTGGACCCGCTGATTGGCAGCCCTGTGGTGAAAACGACTTAGGTAATGATATCTATTAGCATCAGTAATGAACTAATTCTGCATTTTATCAAGGTAGTGGAGGAAGTGTGTGTGTGTGAGGAGGAGTCAGTTTGGTTTTATTACTGTGACATTACTTGGAGATCAAAATTGGGCATGCAGTTACTCATGAAAGGAGCCCACAGATGAAATGACAGAGGCAATTGTTACATTTTTGCTTTACTTTATCTTTTGTTGTCCCTACTCCTGGCACAATAAAATTTCAGGAATATAAAAATCAAACACAGCTAGGCAATAAACTGATGTCTGTGTTAAATTGCAGGGGGCTTAGCTCGGCATAAGCACCGTCCATGGGCCGTGGCTGTGTTTGTGCAGGCACTTAATCTCTCTCTCTTTTTCTCTCTTTTTAATTTTGGAGGGTGATTGGAAACATTCTTTGCTCAGAG
Source organism: Homo sapiens (assembly GCF_000001405.40). NCBI lineage: Eukaryota > Metazoa > Chordata > Mammalia > Primates > Hominidae > Homo > Homo sapiens. The sequence continues at coordinate 165,348,379 of NC_000001.11, read as the reverse complement.
GTGTTTTCTCTTTTTATATGTATTGGTCCCTGGGTAAGACTTTCTTGGAATCTAAGACTTAAAATTTTGAAATAAAATTAGATAGCAGGAGTAGATATTAATAGTATTCTGGGAATTAAAATACTAGATATGAACATTCCTTTTTACAGTAGGCTTATGGGATTCTTTTGATCCTTACATAAATGGAACACATTTTTAAAAGTTATTTATTCAGTCTCGTTTTACATATTACACCTACCTGGCTAGGAAATAGCTTTTGATATTCAGATTTTAGTGTGAATAACTTTCCTGATCATTCATTGTTCCCTTGCTTTTTGTTTTCATTTTTCTTATTTATAACATTTGTATTAATCAAAAGACCATTACTAATTTCAGGGAAGCCTCTTGATTGTTGCTTTTTAATTCTGGGAAGGTTTTTGGAGAGAGTGAGCAGGAGCTGTTTCTCTAATGACAACAATTCCAACTATTTCATTATCAGCTAATTTTTCTTTTATGGTCAAAGAAATTATTTGGGTCATAGTGTTTAGAAGGGAGAAAGTAGACAAAGGTTTAAAATACTCATGATATGATCAGAAATTTACTAAAGCATCTTAGAATAAATGCATTTTACAAAATGTCATTGTTGAATTTTATGAAGTTCAAAATAACCAATACTGAATGTTATGATCTTGGTTATTAAGTACAGTTATACAACACTGGAAAATGAATTATGAAGAAAAAAGTGCAATCACATCCACAGGGAAAGATTTAAAAATAATTTCTGCCCTAACTCTGAAACCTTAGCTCTACTTCAGTGTTTTTCAATTTTCTTTCTTTCTTTTTTATGAAGATTTTTCTGACATGGATTTGTAAATGCTCTTTCACATCTTCAGAGAGAAGTTCCCATATAAGCCACTTGGAGGGTGAGATATAGGGATGGGGTGAGGTGTGTCTCTCCCACCCTCTGCATAGAAGCAGAAAGGCTCCTATGTGGGAGGACTCAGCCCTATTTCCAGCATGCCTGAGGCTTCCTCTTAGGAATACTCTATATGTTTTTCTTCAAGAAGTCTCTTAGGAACATTAGGACAGTCACTGCCAGTGGCCTTTTCAGATTTGGTTTGGGGAAGTTGCTAATTTTGAGAGCAAAGTGTAGAAAAGGTTCTGGAGCAAATATCAGAGAGGAGAGAGAAAAGATGCCTTTTTTCCCCTTTGTGCCCCCTTAGAAGGGCCTGTTTTCTGAAAGAGAGGGAGACTTTGTCTTGATACCCCATAGGATTAACATTTTCTCCTTAGTCTCCTTTGACTAGCATGATATGAGGTGTTTTAGTTATTTTATCACAACTAAAATTAGTTACGTTATCATTGACCAATGTCGACTGCAGCTTTGTGTCTCCTTGTCATATATTAAATAAAATCTGGCCAACTGTCTTGCTAAAATGAAGCAAACACCCCCCAAATGTCAAATTGTTATTTTAGTAAAGCACAATTATCTGTCTATATTTTTAACCAAGATGAAATTAATAAAATTGCTATGGCCCTGGTGTTAATTAACGGGAGGATTAGAGCTATATCGGCTAAAAAGGAGGTGTAAACACTGTAATCTTGCTACATGTTTGTTTTCACACTACTGAAAATAAATAAAATGAGACTTAGGATAGGGATTAAGTTTCTTTTGGCATTAGACAGCAGATGCAACTGGAATGCAGCAGAAACCCTGAAGTATTAGTGAAGACATGGTGTAAGGAAGAAAACTGCGGCCCTTCATCGGTTTCCTACCCTGTGGGTATACTTGGTCCTGTCACAAATAGCCCCATCTGGGTAGTTAAAAAAGGATTTTGAAAGCCTACCTCGGTGCTGTTCTTACAGTGGTGAACCAAGGCAACCAAATCATCTGTAGAGCTTGTCGCCTTGCTGCCATGCACAGATTAGCTAGAATTTAATGAAACGATTGCCAGATTCCCCATTATTGCACCATAATGTCATAACAACTAAAAATACAAAGTGGACTGTGCTTTTCCTAGTCCTCTAACTGAAGTCACATGAAAGAGTTTGATCTCTTCCAGCCTTTCAAGATTCCAGTTTGGGGATCCTATTTTTGGATAACAGCAAATATGTCTGGCTTTTCTGACTCTCTGGGCCTCCAACGTCTCCTTGCACCAATAGATCGATCTGTGTTTTATTACTGTTGTTGTATAATAGAGTGATAGATAGATCTGCCTATCTCTGAGAGCTGTCTGGCCACTATGGATTGGAGTGCCTTATCCTACAGGTTTGATTGAACTCCATCGTATTAAAAATATCTTAAGTGTCCAGCTTTGCTGGGAATGGACCACATGCTGTATCTGGACTTCACATCTGCCTCTGTCCCCTTCTCCCTCCCCTATACCCTGTAGAATTTTATTAACTTGACTCTTTCAACCATCCATCAGATGTTGCTTAAACTCTATTTCATCAACTGCCTCATTTTTTGCCCAGACCATTTTTGTGGACTGTTAGTGCTCTTTTGATTTTCTAATTAGCAGTTTATTTATTTAGTAGCGACAGAGTCTTGCTATGTTGCTCCGGCTGGTCCTGAACTATTGGCCTCAAAGCGATCCTCCCACCTTAGCCTCCCAAAGTGCTGGGATTATAGGCATGAGCTACTGCACCTGGCCTAATTAGCCTTTAGAGGCACAAAATAACAGTCATGTGACCACTCAGTTGGGTGGGGCTCAGGCAAATAGACGGTGAGTAGCGTAACTCTCAGGTATGCATAACCTCACGTCCATTACTCTTTGGGTAACCATTTACGGGCCTCTAAAAACCTTTCTGACTGTGCCTGGCACCTTAGTAGATGCTGGATTATGTCCTGCTACTACAGGTGGGTGTGTTTTGGTGGGTGAGAGAAGTGCCAAGTGCCTGAGTCTGATACTGTCACCAATAAACCAGGAGAGTCATTTGGCCAGAAGCCTGGCTAGCAATCGGTAGGATGTAAACACATCACTCATTTTCAACTCTTGGCTGCTTCTCTGAACATCACACTTCTCCTGCCTGGAAAGAAGCATCCTTCATCTCTTAGCACCAGGTTCTACTGCTGCTATGAGAAGAGCTCTTTGGAGCAGCTTCCTCTCTAATTCCATCCCACCCCTTCAGTTGCACAGCAGCCACGCCTTGACTCACAATTCTGTTGCCTCCTCCCTATCAAGCCTCAGGAATCTTTAAAAGGACTTTTCGAAACAAAACAAAACACCCCCTCCTGAACTCCAGATTAGCCTCTTAAGCTCATTAAAGTTCCTTTAAATACCAAAATGTTGGGCTCCTGGGGACTATCCCCCCAAACCATATTTTCATTCTTAGCATTGTTGTCATTCATTGTGCAGCAGATTAAGGCCAGCTCCCCCTGGGCCCAGAAATAGGCCCCCTGTCTCTGCAGGAGGGTCCGAATATGTCTTTGTTTGAGCACCCGACAGCCTGAGCCTGAGTCGGAGCTGATGCCAGCTTGGCCTGGGGCCCCCAGCTCCAGGGTGGGGAGAGGTTGATGTCTCTCCTGAGCATGGGGCCCTGCAAAGGGAATGGGCAGTTGAGAGGAGAAGGTGTTAGTTTTTGCAGTTTTGCAGTTTCACAAGCTTGGCAGTCACTGGGTCCTATCCAGTCACTGGAGAGAATCAGGAATGGGCAAGTGCTCTGATGGCCTGGATTTAAAGAGCTGTCCTTGTCCTAGAGAATCAGGGTGGTTTAGGAGCCTTTGAGAAACACTAGAGCCTAGTTTCTGCGCATCCCCCAGGCATTCCTGGTCCATCACAGTCCAGAGGTGGATTTTTATGGACACACCTGCCTTTTGCCTAATATTTCTTCCTTTATTTCAGCCTCCTTTCCAAAGAGCTTGCTTAATAACATCCTGCCTCCTCTCTGTCATTGCAGGCTTCCTTCTCTAAAGCTGGCTCTTGGGGAGAGCTTTCTGGTTTTGACAGTGGAACAAATCCTTTTAAACATAACCATCTAGAGTTTCCTCCCCTGCTATTGGCTACCGCCTCACTCTTTCTCCTCTTGCTCCTCCTCACATTGTGGCAGGAATTCCTACTGTGCATGTGTTCTCTGGTAATGACAGCCACCGTCTTCACAGGGATGCAGGCATAGCTCTTCAGAGATGAAAACCAGTTGGCAGTGCCATGAGGTAGACTCTGGAAACCCAGAAGGGAAGAACATCCCAGGAGACTCCTCTCTCCTCTTTTTGGCTGGAGTTTTGATTGCACTCCTCTTTTCCCTGGAGCTCTGTGCACCTTGAATTTCTGGATTCAACCACAGCACTTGTTTTCCTAAGCCCCATTTTCAGAATCTCAGCTTGGCTGTGCCTTCTTGCTTGTCTCATGCTCTGAACCCATCTTGTGACCTTTTATGGTTCATATTACTTTGAGTGCAGGCTAGAGTTGGCTCTTAGCTAGCTGTCAAATTGGGAGAATGTTATGAAATAATTCACATTGGGATGGACAAGATAATGTTCTATTCTTCTGAAGATACTTTTTAACCGGAAGGGTGTTCAGTCAAAGGAATGACTATCTTAGGGTAGAATTTTAGGCTCTAGACTGGAACCACTAGTGGAGGACATAATTTTGTGCAAATAACACTTTGTAGGAGGCTTCCCTGTTTATCTATATGAATGGCTGGCCAGTATTATGCACCCACTTTTTTTCTTATGGGCTTTATTTTCTTTACGCTTTGTCTTTGGTTGGGATCTTCCATTTCAAAAACCCATATTCATAGCTGGAAGGGGATAGACAGGTGGGTATGAGTGGTTTGGACACTGCATAGCTCTCTCCATTACTGAAAAAGTAATTTGAAACGCATGTCCTATTGTCAACAGGTGTCCAAGCCATGGTTTTCTCATCTATACAATAGAATGTAAGAATAAAGTTATTGAGAGAATTAAAGAAGATAATTAACCTGAAAGGCCTTTTGGTAAAGTGTAGAGTACTCTACAGGATTGGGTGTTATTATTATTATTATTATTATTATTATTATTATTATTTATATATGAGTAAAAGCTTATACATAGTTTTAGAAGCTGTGTATGATAAGCCAAGACAGTGTAGTTGTTAAGAGCATAGACTTAGGAACCAGAGTATCTGGGATCAAATCCTTGTCCCGCTGTTCCTTAGCTGTGTTACCATGGGCAAGGGTCTTACTTGTTCTGTGCCCATTTCTTCTCTCTAAAACAGGGATAATGATAGTACCAAACTCAAAGGTTCACTTTTGTTTAATATTTGAAATGCATGCAGATCAATGCTTGGCTCATAGAAAATGCTGTAAAATGATTTGCTGAAAAAATGTATCCTTTTTAATTTTCAAAGAACCTTCACATATATTATCTCTATTGATCCTCACAACAGTTTTAAAAGTTAGGTAAGGAGAGGTTTTCAGTTTTCTCCTCTTACATTTTATAGCTGAGGAAATAAAGGCTCAGGGAAGTTAACAACTTGCCCAAGGTCACGCTGTTGGGGAAGAGGAAACTGGGATGCTGTCCCCAGCCTCTAACTCCTGGTCCAATGGCCTTTCCACTAAATCACACCATCTGCTGCTTGAATTCTGGTGTTCACACCCCAGTGAGATCACAATTCTCAGTTTGTCCTGTTGAACCAGCTCTTGGAAAACAAGTCCCCACCTGCTAGATACTTGAGCTTTCAGGCAGCCTCCCGATGGTCAGCTGTTTATAGTATTCTGTGGTTTTAAAGGAAGTTTTTAGGATTTGGGGATTGCCTCTTTGTTTGTATGAGAAATCAGCTCATATACAATCATTGCTCTTGTTTGTCAAACTCCTTCACACACACAAAGCTGTCCTAGCCCATCCTTTCCTATCCCACACCAACCCCATTGATCTCTATTGCCCCTCTAGCATATAGCATAGCTCTTCTTCCCCCCAGCCCCCAGAAGAAGGACAAAAAGGCAAGCAGAATCCATTTTCTTTCTCTCCAGCTCCCAGGGTTTGCTATTGGTGACTTTTGTCCTGGGAGCTTGTCTGCACATTTGGCAGCAGAACTGTTGAATATCATATCCGGAGCTTCCAGCATAACTTCCATCGGGACCAGCCAGCAGCTGTCCATCCATTCCTTGCATAACCCCTTTCCAAGTTTTCTTCTGAACTGTGTTGTATTTTCAAACAAGTCTCAGCCTTAGCTAGAAAAGATCCCACTGTGCCCCCAGTGGAGGCTGATTTCCAGAACTGTTGACATCCCTCTTGTTTTTTACTTGGCCTAGCTGGATCAAAAAGTGATAATGGAATCCCAGTTTTTAAGGAAACTGAGTATTCCTGTATTGTATTATTTCTCTCACCATTGCTGAAATTTTATTCTCTTAAAACTAGTTCTAGTCCATTTTGGAGAGATGAAATATGTGTCTGAATTTAATGTTTGTAAACTGGTATTTAATGAAACTAGAGATTTCAGGTAACACATGAGCAACTGGAATGTACTTTACCTAGTTGCATGTGGAATTTTCTAATTTAGAGTTAAACAGACTCTTATAAACAGTTGGTTCATTAATTAAATCACTCATTCATTCATTTAATCATCAAACATTCGTATTAAATTCCTGTATGTGTCAGGTATGTAAAAATGAATAAAACAAATCACTCATGTACTAAAGGTCTAGCAGAAACTGTTTAGACATGTAAATTAAGCAGATGCTTTGAAAAAAGAATAACATTATTTTAAGAAAGGCATGGCCACAGGGATAGAAAACCAGGTTATCTAAATTCCTTGGTTCTGTATTACTATGTGCTATTCATCATCTTCAAGGCACTTATTACAATTTGAAATATATATATATATATATATATTTGGTTTATTGTCTGTCTATGTCACTAGACCATAAGCTCTATGAAGGAAGACACTTCTTGTTTTGGTTTTGTTTTATAATCCCTACATCTCCATAATCTTGCATAGTATTTAGTGAATGCATGTTAGTTGAATAGATAAATTAATTACGTGACTTGCTTGGGGTTGTTTAAAAAGCTTCATGGAAAAGGTGACATGTTAACTGGCTCTTGCAGGATGAGTGGGAGTGTAGGAAAAGAGGAGATGATGGGAGAATTCCAAGTGGAAGAAGAAACATGTGCAAATGGATGGAGCCCGGAAAAGAAAGTGTGCTAGTTACTGTGGTCACTGGTCATGGACATGGTGGTGCCACAACATCAAGAGCATTTAGGGTATGGCTGGTTGTGGACTGCAAAATCATGCCAAGTCACTATGAGTGTTGTGTAACATACAAAGAACATTCAGTTTCATACTGTGGTTAGTAGGCAGCCAGCAGGGATTTCTAAGCATGAAATATTGTGGCCATATTTATTTTCTGGAAAGGTAATTCTGGTGGCAAACTGGGGCACTGGTAGGAGTGTGGGTAGAGACTGGCAGAGACCACTTAGATAGTTGTTGCTATAGTCTAGGCAAGAGATAATAAGGATATGAATTAAGGTGAGAGGTTGGGAATGAAGAGGACAAACATGACCTAGAAAATATTCCTGACGTAGGATAAGTTGAACATCATGACTTTTGACTGAGGAAAGGGGTGATAAAGAGAGAAGATTTGAAGATGATCCAGAAGGGACAAGGTGGACTGTTACATCAGTACCTGATAGAGGGAATTTAAGAAGTGAGCAGGAGACAGGCAGAAGCAGATAATGAGATAACTGTGAACATGCTATACTAAGTTACTGGTGGGACAGTCAGGTGGAGATGTCCAGGAGGCAGTTGTGAAAGAAGATCTGGAAACTAGCCAGGACACAAAGCTTTGGGATACATTGTCATATAAATATCAGAAGAGGGGAATGCCCAAGGGTGTACTACATGAAAAGAGAGCCAAGGTTGACTCTGTGGGGGAACACCAGAATTCAAAGAGCTTTGGGAGATTCTGTAATGAGATGACACAGAGGCAGGGGAGAACATCAGAGTGAGTGGAGTTCTGGAAGGCAGGGCAGTAGTAGGGAATTTCAAGAAGTAGGGCTTCCTGTTTGCCCTTACCAAGCGTAGTTTTGGCCAGGTACAGTGGCTCATGCCTGTAATCCCAGCACTTTGGGAGGCTGAGGTGGGTGGATCATTTGAGTCCAGGAGTTTGAGACCAGCAGTGAGACCCCATCTCTAAAAAAATAAAAACAAAAACATTAGCCAGGTGTGGTGGCACATGTCTGTGGTCCCATGTACTCGGGAGGCTGAGGTGGGAGGATGGCTTTTGCTCAGGAGTTTGAGGCTGCAATGAACCATCACCATTGCACTCCAACCTGGGCAACAGAGCAAGACCCTGTCTCAAAAAACCAAACAAACTAGGTTTGCTAGAGGCATAGAGGGTACAGGACAGCATTTTATACCATATAAAGGCTATATAGTAAAAAGAAGTTGAAGAAATAGGGGGAGTGATGTGGCCACTCTTTCAAGAAGATGCGTAGTGAGAAAAAGATGGGGGGCAAAGATACCACTTGGGGTAGAGATAGAATGAAGGGAAGATGCTTTGGGATGAGGTAGTTTTGAGCCTGCTTGATGGCTAAGGTGAGTTTAGCCAGGGAAGGAAGGAAGTTGAAGATCCAGGAGGGACAGTGGGGCATCCATGTGATAGAGGAGAAGCCTAGGGAAGGGTGAGGGGCACATCTGGGGCACAGGTTCTGCCCCTGCTTTGCTCCTTCCCAACCACTCCTTCCCTTTGTTCTTTTGTACATTTCCCTGTGGGTTTGTTAGAACTGATCACTGCAGTACAGGGGCTGGCAGAGGTGGGTCTGCTTTCCATCACTCCTCAAGGCCTCTCAGTAGGTGAGAGCTTCTCACAGAGCTGCTTTGCCAATGCGTTCCTGGGTCATGGGCCTGGGAATGGCAGTAGAGCGAGGCTCCCACCTATTTCCTTCTTCTTCAGATACCAGTCATCTCAATGCGAAGCTCACCGGCCTGACCTCTTTTTGTTTTTGCTCCTGATCCATGCAGAACTCTATTGCATGTTGTCAGAAGTATACCACCACATGGCCAATTCCCCAAGACAGGTCTATAAGCCTCCTCAGGCCTGGAACCAGTCAGCTGTGCCTATGCACATGCCTGTCAGTTGAAGAGCTTTCGCTTTCTGTGATGCTTGGGAGGACTCTCAAAGCAAGGGAGTTCAGGGTGTGGGTACCATCTTCCTTGTTAACCAGACTGCAGTAACACAGTCTGTACCCAGCTACTGCTGTTTTGTAGCGTTGTCCACTTGGTTGGTTAATATGTTTACTTCCCCAGACTGGAGAGTAGGGTGACTAGTGGATAACAGTGGGTTTTTAGAATCTTTGAGCTTTAATTCTGTCTTTGCCTCTGCTTTGGCTGGCTGGGCCTGGGCAAATCATTTAACCTCTTTGAGATGATCCCATTTATTGCAGTGCCTTTACCTTGAGCTCTCTGAGGTGTGGAACATGCTCACAAACAGCCTGATGTGTGCAATGGTGGAGAATTAATTGTTTTGACAGGGAGAGGGAGAACAGTGTATGGTCAGGTGGGAATACTTCCCTAGGTCTAGGGCTGTCATATCCATATAACCATAGAAAAGAAACAGTGACAAGGTCATAAGGGGCCAGACCTCTGAGCTTAGAAGGGAATTAAACTGAACTTGGTGCTACCAAGGAAGCCAAGTATTTTCCAATGGCTCTGCTTCTGTGGCCAGTAAATTCAGTGGAAAATATATTAGTGACAGGTTATTTGATATCATAGACATCCAACTAATTCATGGAATGGATTTTTCTACTTGTCAACTGGTTGTTAGACCTTAGTTTGGACTGCGCTCAATAGAGCTAGAAGGGAGACTTGGGTAGAGAACTGTAATACAAATTGCAACACTTAATGATGTATTATTTTTCAATTTCCCTGTTGACAGTTAAGAGCAAGGGCCAAATGAAATGCACTCTTTTAAATGGCAACATGGACACAGTGGGATTGTTGGAAAGCCATTAGTAGCCAAACCTAGTTAATATCAGCTCAGGTAAATGCTCTCCATCACCGGCCCCTTTCCCTCAACTCAATTATTAAAGGATTAAAGGACTTTCCCAATGAACTCCCTTAAAAATTTAATGGTGTGCAGTATTGCAGAGGTCAAACTGTTATGATGAAGTGATTTCAGCTTTGCCCTGACATTGCTGGCTATTCAGAGAGAAAGAGGGTTCTGAAGCTCACATTACCTGTAATGTGGTAAGGCCCACCATCAATAAAGTCACATGCTGTGGAATCCAGGGAGCTCATATTCCTGACTTTTACCAGATTGTGCTAATTTCTGGGGACAAAATGGAGGGAGAATATGTCCTTCTGGTAGCCTTCCAATTAGTGTGGCATCTGTCCAGATAGTACTTATTCGTTCTTAGGATTGGATAGTATTTTTAAGAGATGCTAATGGAAAAAGATGTGTCCCAGACCTTGGTTTGATGTTAAATTGTGCATAAGGGGTGAATCAATCCTCAACAGCTGCTGGCAACCTTCTTAAACATGGAACATGTACTTTGAGTTGCCGTTTCTGGGGTAGTAACACACACACACACACACAGAAACACACACACACAGATGCACAGACACACTCTGTCCACTAGCATAATTGAGGATATGCCTATGTTGGGTCAGTGGGCAAGGTCAAAGCTGTAGCTTCTGGCCAACTAAAACTGAGTCAACTCCTCTTGGTGTCTTTGAGAACCCAACCCATATCCTTAGACTCAGGGGCACCAAGAGGTAAATAACGGCGATAACCAGCCACAAGCAAGCTATTTTAAAATCCAAGGACATCAGTACACAGTCAGTGCTCTGGAAATGCAGCTCTGCAATAGGGAATGCAGTCAGGGGTGAAGATGGTACTTCTGGATTAGTGGCATCTGTCTTACCAAGTCTCCATGGCAAGAGACAATGCACCTCATGACGGCCTTATTAGTGAGTCACTTAGCATGGAGAGGCCCCAGATTTCAAGAATCCTTTCTAATTTTAAAGCTCGTTTTGGTATAGGATCTACTATTTGTTTCTTTGTTTTGTAAAACCCATTCCTATTTGGTTGTTTTAGAGTTGGAGTGCAGATTATTATCATTTTTCATGCATAGTTGCTTTTCAATCTTCCCTTCAAAAGGTGAATCCATTGTGACTGAGTTTCTTTTCTCTATGCTCTAAAATTATCATTTAATTAAAGATATTGTTATGTTTAGAGTAAGATTTAGAATTGTGGCCTTAACTCTCAGTTTTAGCTTGAAAGATAAATTTTAATTCATTCATTTATTTTGTCTACTAATACTTATTGAGCAACTACTATGTATGAGGCATTGTTACAGTTACTTGGGATACAGCAGTGATTATATTCAAGATGGAAAGAAAGAAAATAAACAAAATACATTTCTCCAGATATCCACAAGTTTGACTCCTCCCTCATGTGTGTACTAAATGTCCATATTCTCCCACTCTGACCACCTATTTAATATTGCAACCCACTTCTACTCTCCCCATCTTCCCATAATTTCTGCATAGTTTCTCTTTTCCCAGACCACTAATTATCTTCCAGAATATGCTGTAGTTTATTTCTTTAGTATTTAAATATATTGTTTGTTCTCCCCATCAGATTTTAATCTCCATGAATGCAAGGATTATTGTTTCGCTCACAAGTCTGATGCCTGGAATAGGATAGGCATTAGGTCGTTGAGGAAGGGCTGGAGTAATTGAATGTGAGAGTGAATGAAAATGAAGACAGAAGGGTGATTCCAAGATATTCCCCCTGAGCTGGGTGTGTGGTGATGCCCTGTACTGAGATGGCAACGGTGTAGGTGGAGGGGTTGGAGTAGGGGTAAATAATTAGCAAATTTGTTAAAGAGGCTTATGGAGTAGGGGTAGAGCAAGGCTTTTCTTGGATATGGACAAGATAATATTCTGCTTCTTAGCACCATTACTTTATTCTTTAAAAACTTCTTCAGAGGCCAAAAAGGAAGGGGAAGTGTAAAGGAGGCAAGCAAGTGAAAAATCCAGTGATGCTGATATTTGCGGGCTCTCTTTGGGTCTGTTTGTGTCTGTTTCTGGGGAAGAGGGTCCCTAGATTTGAGTAGATCTTCAAAGTGTCCTGTGATCCCGAAATGATTAAAGGTTAGTGATCTAGAAGAAAGGAAAAGTATTAAGTACTTTTAATTAGGCACATTCTAACAAGGAAATAACACTGTGAGAAGGAAGGACAGGAAGATACATAGAGAACCCTTAACCCCAAACCCCACCCCACCCCTGACAATAGGGATATGGGTTCAAATCCCAGCTCCGTTAACATCTGGGGAATCTCTTTCCTTATTTCTAAAAGGCAGGCACTATCTCTTTACATACGTTTTAGGGATTAAACATATGTATGTTATAAAGCATTTAGTAAAGATCCTCGATAAATGGATGCTAATTATACTAATAATTTACTTGGTAATGTTTAGCAATACCAACCAATTGCAGAGTAGGCTCACGTGGGCAATTTTATTCTCATACCAGTGGTTTGTTTCTTTCATTACCTTTAAACCTCAGCATTACTTTTTCTAAGAATTCTCGGTGGATATACCTAATATTTTAAAAGGATGTAAAAGCTGACAGATTGCCTCATAAAGTAAAAACATACATCAGATTCAAGAAAAAAAATCAAGAACAAGAAATACTTGGTTTGGAGCTTCAAATAGAAGATAAAATATACTTGCCCTTGTTGATTTATACAAACTGACTGATGAACTTAAACTGTGATCATCCAGTATTTATTTGGTACATTAATCCCAAACTGAAAAATAATTAGCAAATTTGTTAAGGAGGCTTATGTTTACCTTTCTTTGCTAATTGTGATCATTTGTTGGTAACTGAATGTTGAACTGTATTCCACTGACTTGATTATAGCTGTCAGGAAGGAAATAATGCGAAAGAAGTGGGCCTCTTAAATCATACTGTATTTAAGAGGCCCACTTTCTCTCAGAAGGTATGCATAATAACAAGACTTACTGAGTTATTGATTATCCTTTATAAACAAGACCACGAAATGCTCCCTAATTAATCCATTTGTTATTATTAATTTAGTGAATGGACATACACTCACATTTTCAAATGTATCTATAACAATTATTAATTTATGCATACATTATGTATTTTTGCTTTTATAAAAGTTCAAAGTCTTCAAATTTTTATTTTTTAAGAAAATCATATACAGTTTCTCTCAACTCTTTTAAGATTCATTTTGAAGGTACCATGCAAAACTGTGGGCAGTGAATATTGAAAGCTTAAAAGAGAGGAAGGTCATATTTTAAGTAAATAATATAAATCATTCCTAATTTGTAATCCTATATTCTGTCTTTCTATTTCAGAACCCAAACTAATTTACATAGAAATATTTTCTTTCAAATTTGAACACACAGTAAACCTCTTAACAAAGGGGTGGTGTTTCAGCAATACAATTCAAGGTAAAAAACATTCAGGACTTGCGGGAAGAATTACTGCATCAGGGAATACTCTAGGACAGAGTTTCCTCCCTGGCCACCCTTGAAGGGTGACTCTAGACCTCCTGAGACTGACTGCGTTGGGCTATAGCTCCCAGGCACGGTGGCCAGAGACTGGGCATTCCTGGAGGGCTTCTGCCCTTCTCTCAGGAGATCAAGAGACTGGTCTTGGGCCCCTGAAAGAGACCTCTTCCCTTAGCTTGTTGCACTAATGCCTCTTCAGTTATAGACTTGCTGGGTGTAAAGAGGAGTGAAGTTCTTCTCAATTCCTTTCATGGTCAGGACAACATCAGCATAAAAAGAATTTAATTTAAGCAAAACGGCACAGTATTTAGCTTCCTCATAATTAGTCATGTGATTATGTATGTTTAGTTTTGAAATAGTGGCAGGGTATGTGAGAGTCAGACCTGGTTTGAAACTTGTCATTTATTAGTTGTGTGACCTTGGATGGGTATTTGATATCTCTGTGCCTCAGTTCCTTCACATTTAAAGTTAGGATGATATATTACCAACCTCAAAGGAATGTTTTGAGTTTTAAATGAGATGATCAATGTAAATAACTTAAAACTTACTGTTATTAAGCTGATGATGAGTTAAAACTTAACTCATCATTATCATCAACATCATTATGGAATTGGAGACAGCAGTGATTGTATTGCTAGAATATTCTGTGTCTATTCATTTTTGCTTGTGCCTTTTCAACTGAATTGCAGGCTGGTTAGTTGATCTATCCCGCAATCTATTCACTGCTTTGTTCATATTATTTGTGGGTCAGTCGGCAGTCTCAAGTAAATGACTCATACTAACTCAATCTTGGGTTTAGTGGTGCAACTGTTTTGTGTGTCTTGACCCAGCTCTGTCTATGTGAGTCCATTTATCAATCATTAGGCTACCCTTCACCTATGTCTTTGCCAGTTACTGTGTTTAAGTTTCCTTAGCTTGAATTTATTCACTTCTATAAGGGAGATACTAATCAATTTATGTCACAGGTGGTTGTCAAATGAGACATTCTATGCAAAGGTGCTTCAAATCTGTAGAAAGCCATACAGCTGTGAGTTCTTATTAATATTTAAGATTCATAGGCAATCCCTACAAGGGATATTAGAAAACACCTAATGTAACTGCTTCTTTTTAGAATGAGGAACCCAAGATCCAGGGCGGTCATCATTATTATTGAGCCTGGTGTTTTCATTGTGTGTGTGTGCGTGTTTGTGTGTATGCATGTGTGTGTGTATAAACAATGTCCTTGGGCTTCAAGAACTATAAAGTATTTTGGAGGGTGAAGATGTATAAAAATAAAACATGTAGAGAACAAATGATTTTTATCATTTAGAGAAAAACTGTGTAGAAGAGACAGTGAATGCAATGGGAAATTTTTAAAAATTTTAAATTCAAATTTAAAAGTGGGAGATTGATGCTGTTCAAAACTTGGAGTATCACCATGAGAAAAGTGGCCTTGAGTGAATCCTTGAAGGATAAAAAGCAAATGTTGAGAAGAAAAGGGGGCCTAGCACAGTGGCTCATGCCTGTAATCTCAGCACTTTGGGAGGCGGAGGTGGGCAGATCACCTGAGGTTGGGAGATGGAGACCATCCTGGCTAACCCGGTGAAACCCTGTCTCTACTAAAAGTATAAAAAATTAGCCGGGCGTGGTGGCACATGCCTGTAATCCCAGCTACTCGGGAGGCCGAGGCAGGAGAATCTCTTGAACCCAGGAGGCAGAGGTTGTGGTGAGCCGAGATCGCTCCGTTGCTGGGCAACAAGAGTGAAACTCTGTCTCAAAACAAATCAAAACAAAACAAAAAGAAGGAAGGCAGTCCAGGCAAAGAGGTAAGAATAAAGGCCTAGTGAATCTAGGAAAACAGACTCTGTATCATGTAATTATCACCACAATCTTATTGGAGATAAGGAAATCGAGGCTCCAAGAGGCTAAGTGATGGTCCCAATGCCGCATGGTTTCTAAAAGAGGCATAGATGGGAGTGAGGCTCAGGTTTTCTAGTGGCAAGTCCGGTGCTCTTTGCACTGTGTCACAGCTGCTTTGTGTGTAAGACAAAGCCCTGGAGATGCTGTCTGCTTCAGTCACCAAGCTATGTGGAAAGGTTATGCCAACCCTTTCCATGAAAATTTAAATGCAAATAGCTCTGAGACAGTTCTGTTGCTGAGAAGATAGGTTTAAGTCACTGTCTAAGAATAAGTGAAGTGATTTTTCTAGATACAATTATCCCCAAACTCCATCTTATTACTTGTTAGAATGAATGTTGTTGAGAAACAAAATAAGCAACGGTGGATGTGTTTGCTTGATAAATTTTCTTTTCCACAATTTCTTCTGGGTTTGGGCACACATTAATTTGACAATTAATTATTGTAATTGTATCCTGAACATAAAAATATTTATACATTATATACTTATGTGTGTATATATATGTGTATATGCATATACTCATATACATGTGGAATCATTGGACTTTAGAAATGGATAGTACTTCATATGTTATATATAGTGTAATAGTTAAAAATAGGAAAGATTGCCTTATTCCTAATCTTTGTTTTTTTAAAGTTTATCTTCTGTAGACAGTAGATAGCTGAGTCTTGTTTTTTTATCCATTCTGACATTCTATCTCTTTCTTTTAATTCAAGTGTCTAGTTCATTCATTAACATTTAATTTAATTATTGATACAGTCAGAGCCAGGTCTACCATTTTGCTATTTACTTTTTATTTATGCACTCTGTTGTTTGTTCTCTGTTCCTCTTTTCATGCCTTCTTTTGGTTTATGGAATTTTTAAAGAATTTTATTTTAATTTACTTATTGTTTTTAACCTATACCTCTTCACATTATTGTTAATTTTTTAGTGGTTGTTCTCAGGATTACAATATACCTCCCTAAAAATTCACAGTATACTTAGAGTTAATATTGCACATAATATGTAAGAGCCTTGGAACTATATACATCTGTTTACTCTCTTCCTCTATTCCTTTTACTATAGTTGTCAGTCTTTTCCCCTCTGTGTTCTTTATTTACTTTTTAATTTTTATTTTATTTTTTCGAGACCGTGTCTCACTTTGTTGCCCAGGCTGGAGTGCAGTGGCACAATTTTGTCTCACTGCAACTTCCACCTCCTGGGTTCAAGCTATTCTTGTGCCTCAGCCTCCTGTGTATCTGGGATTATAGGCACCTGCCACCATGCCTGGCTAATTTTTGTATTTTTAGTAGACACGGGGTTTTGCCATGTTGCCCAGGGTGGTCTCGAACTCCTGGGCTCAAGGGATTCACCCACCTTGGCCTCCCAAAATGCTGGGATTACAGGTGTGAGCCACCGTGCCCGGCCCCACCTTGTGTTCTTTAGATTTGAAAACTTCTATTTATCTATCTTTAAGTTCATAAACTTTTTTGTCATTTCCAATCTGCCATTAAGCTATTCTGGTGAAATTTTTACTTCAGATATTGTTCTTTTTAGTTCTAGAATTCTACAGCCTAGTAGCCACTAGCAACATTTGCTCATTTAAATTTAAATGAATTAAAAAGATTTCTTTAGTTACATGCCACATTGCCAGTGTTCAATAACTACATGTGACTAATGACACTGATTGAACAGCAAAGATACAGATCTTTTCCATCATTGCAGAAAGTTGTATTGGACAGTATTGCTATTGAATTTTCATTTGATTTTTTATAGTTTGTATTTCTCTGGTATTTCCTATCATTTCCTTTTTTGAACATATTTTTCTTTATATCCTTGAGCATAGTTATAATAGATGCTTTAAAATCCTTGTCAGCTAATTCCAGCATCTGGGTCACTTGAGGGTTGGCCTCTGTTGATCATCCTTCCTCTTGAGTATGGGTCATGTTAATAATTTTAAATTGTGTCCTGGACATGACACATTATCAATAACCTGAATTGTTATGTTCATTCAAAGAATATTTATATCTTATTTTTTAAAATTGCCAGTAGGCAGTTAACTTGGCTGAACTCAAACTGCAAACTCTTTCTTCCCTGTGGTGAGCTATAGGGAAAGAATCTACAGGGAATCTCAGTTCAATTCTTTGATCCTGAATTGGACTACTTGGAGTATGTGTGTAGGTCAGGGCTCAGCTGGACATTTGGATAAAGCTTATATATAGAATTTGGAGCTCCTCTTCTCTGTGTCTTTCCAGGTTTATTCCCTCACTTTCTAGCTGCTGTGTTTACCCCAGATTCGGTGCCCTGGTTGTTCTAGTCAGTAAGACTATGGGTTTTCCATCTGAGTTTCTTAGTTACCCTGTATGACTAAAGCCTGTAAGAACAGGAAAATCAAGTTCCAGTTCCTTCTTCCATGTGGTGACTCCCTTTCAATATCTGCCTACTTTTGGTCCGTTGTCTGCTATCTTCACATAGTTGTTTTCTATATTTTGTCTACGGTTTGTAATTATCTGGGGGAGGTTGGTCTCATAGGAGCTACTCAGCCATTACTGGAAGAGGAAACTTGTTTCAGATTTTTATTTGTTTATTTTTGAGACAAGGTCTTTCTGTTCTGCCTAGGCTGGAGTGCAGTGGCATGATCTTGGCTCACTGCAACCTCAACCTCCTGGGTTCAACCAATCCTGCCACAGCCTCCCAAATAGTTGGGACTACAGGCATGTGCCATCATGCCCAGCTAACTTTGAAATTTTTTGTAGGGACAGGATCTCTCTATGTTGCCCAGGCTGGTGTTGAACTCCTGGGATCAAGTGAACCTCCAGCCTTTGCCTTCCAAAGTGCTGGGATTACAGGCATGAGCCACCGTGCCTGACTTCACATCTTGGCTCAGCCACTTTTGTGACCCTGTTATTAACCTCTTATGCCTTAGTTTCTTTATCTGTAAAAAGAGAATAATAATACCTGCCTTACGATATTGCTGGGAAGATGAAATAAGTGCAATTATATAAAACACTTAGAGTTATTTCTGGTACAGACTAATTGCCCCATGTCAGTTGTTGTTAACAGTAGGATAAATTCAGTCTTCTCATTTTGCATATAAGGAAGTCACATTGCTAATGAGTGGCAGAGCCAGCACTGGAACCCTGATTCCCAGCTGGGCCACACAGATAGTCCATAGACATACTCAAACAATGTGTCAGTCTTGGAGATAGTTATTTGCCTAATAATAACATTTTTGATTGTTTGATGTGCTATAACTCTATAAATTATTTTATACTTCCACAGTTTTTGATTTTTTGAGAGTTGAGTGAGTGGACAGTCTGATAGGTTTTACTAATAACAGCCTCTTCTGTCAGACTCCACCAAAATTTTCTGTATCCTCTGATTTTTTTAACCTCTTATTCACCCATATCACTGTAAGGTTTTTTTTTTTGCAGTGGCGGGGGTGGGGGGGTTGCATGTGGGCACTTACTGCCTCTGCCTTCAACTACATTGTTCTGTTCTCTTTTCCCATTTAGTGGGGATGTTCAATTTTACTCCCTTTACTCCATGCATGAATTAGCCTTCTCAGACCGTGTCATGCTGGTTGCCCTTCACTGAATGGCCTTTGGTTTGCTGACATGTTTTGGGAACAGAGAGGCCCTGTCTTGCTTGGAGATCAAGCAGTGTATTTGCACATCTCCTCTGTGTGGGAGACTGATATGGTTTGGCTCCCTGTCCCCACCCAAGTCTCATCTTGAATTGTAATCCCCATAATCCCCACATGTCGAGGGCGAGACCTGGTGGGAGGTGACCGGATCATGGGAGTGGTTTCCCCATGCTGTTCTCATGATAGTGAGTGAGTTCTCCCAAGAGCTGATGATTTTATAAGTGTTTGACAGTTCCTGTTACATACGCTCTCTTTCTCTCACCTGCCAGCATGTAAGACATACCTGTTTCCCTTTCTGCCATGATTGTAATTTTTCTGAGGCCTCCCCAGCCATGCAGAACTGTGAGTCAATTAAACCTCTTTTTTAAAATAAATTTCCCAGTCTCAGGGAAGTTCTTCATAGCAGTGTGAAAATGAACGAATACAAAGACCTCTCCAATTCTCAGCTCAGGGCTCTCTTTTGCCATGGGGGAGGTATGCCCTGATGCACATTGATACCACAATGAGCATCATTTTGTATTTTGAGATTTCTGCTCCAGAGAGATAAATTGCTTCATTTTTCCTGACAATTGCACTGTGAGCTGAGATTATTTCTGGAAGCCATGTTCTTTCCACGTGGGATAAGATCTTGAGATAAGACAAGAAACACAAAGGAGTAAGACATGAATGGGACATGCCTTTGCCTTTGCTATGCAGGAGGAAACCTAGGACTCACTGGAAAATTAAGGTCTGCTTCATGTTTTATTCTAGTTGTGCCTCTGTGAATATGACTGAGTTGGATGGGGCTGAATCTCTCTGTTGGTCCACCTCCCTGAGTCTCACTCATGCTGCTGTGCCTCCAGCAGGATGCCAGCCATCAAGGGCACAGGTGCATTGTAAATATGGCCCTGTTGGGTGGACCACATAGTTCAGTCTTTGTTGGGTTTCTGGCCAGATACTGGGACAGAGTTTCAGGTAGGTGGGAGTGCTGCAGAGGTAAAACAGAAAGCCTGCTTCCAGACTGCAGGGCTTGTATCGGGCTCACTTGTATCCTCTTGTGAACTTTCCTCACTGTGGACATAGCACTATGGGACAGCCTCCTGCCCAGCGACAGATGTACATCTTTATGTGATCTGTTTATGTCACATGCTAACAGTTTATTACTGGAGCTAAAATCTAGATGAGTGAACACTGTGACCTCAACACAGGTCACAGAACGGATACTTTGCCTGTGGGCAACTGACCAGAATCCACAGGTTTCTGTTTGAAACAGTGAGAAAGAACTAAACAAGGGTGCAGGTTGGTGTTTTTGTTAATGCAATTTTCTTTCTCCTGGCTTGTGCCATATGCTCTCCTCCTTATCTCTCCTTCCACTGACATTGTTCTTTCTTTCCCCACTAGTCTCAACCCAGAGACAGAGTGAAGTCATGCAACTTCCTTGTTTCCATATTAGATAGAAATATTTTTCCATTAAAGTTCCTTCCTGGACTCTCTAAGTCGAGGTGGTGGCTGTCACAGCTTTGCCCTCTCCCCATCTTTGAGAATTCCCTGGTAAAGCCCTCTTAGTGAGAAGGATTTACAATGGACACAATGCTGCTTTCACAGCTTTTAATTACACTTGACTCCTTCTGAAGCTTCCTGCTGGCAGCAGCTACCTTGTTGAAGAGGGACTGGATTTGGGCTGTGAGCAGTGTGGGAGTCCCTCCCTTTGTGCCTGGGTGGTGTGTCCAGACCCAAGTGGCTCCTACAGTCCAGCTTCAGCTTCATTCCCTGGTGGTGGAGTGCTGTGGGACGAGAAACCTGAGGCTGTCAGTTGGGAGGGGATTCCTAAGTGCTGGTTGTTCAGGGCAGTGGAGGAATCGCTGCCTTTGTGTCTGTGTCCTTTCTGGATGGGTTCTGGGATAGGACCTGGAATTCAAGACTCAGCTCCAGGATTTGGCAGCAGTCCTGCCCTTGCCTTCTGGTGGTTCTGCACGCTCAGAGGGCCATCTTCAGTAGCTCTTTCTCTAAGTCAGGCTTGGCTTTGTTGGGATCAGGGTGACCTGGGGCTTTTTCTGGGTGTCCATGTCTACTGCAGTAGTCCTTTGAAACATGGCTTGAGCCTCTGCTTGGTTGTATTGCAAAGGTAGAGTTAGCCCATTGTTTGGGTTGCACTTGGATTTCTTCTCTCCTTGGAGTACTGCTGCTTCCTCCTTTCGGTCCCTCTGTGGTCCTTTCCCACAGTCCTCTCCTTATATCTCTTTTGCCTACCTTCTTCCAGCCAATGAACTTGTCCACTCTCCCAGTTTCAGCTGGCGTCTCCAGAGGGTGACTTCTGGATCTCAAACCTACCAAATCCATCTCTACCCTAGTCTCTAGATGCATGTTTTCAGCTGCCCATCAAGGAAATTTCAAGGTAATTGAGTTGTTGAGCCATGGTGGATGTAGTAGGGTTTCTCTGTCTCAGCACTATTGCCATTGTAAGCCATATGATTATTTGTTCTGTGTGTGTGTCTGGGGGTGAGGGGGCTGCCCTGCACATTGTAGGGTGTTTAGCAGCATCCCTGGCTCTACCCACTTGATGCCAATTGTGATTGCACTTGTAACAATCAAGTATATCTCTAGACATCTAGAATCTCTCCTAGTTGGGGATCACAGGGGCATAGTGATACAAATCACTGAAATAGCAACTACGTGGAACTGAGCAAGTTTGGGGGAAATGGTTGAGTTTGACAGGAAACAGGATGAAGAGGGCCTAGGAAGAACTGGGGAAGAAAAGGATGCAGCCAGGTGCAAAAGGAAGGTGTGCTGGAGATCAACAGGCCAGGCGGCCAGTCTAGAAACTCCTCTTAACCAGCTGGCCCAGGCACACTTGACTTTGCTGGGCTTCAGTTTCTTCATGAATAAAATGAGAAGTTGGCCTAGATGAATTGTAAGGCCCTGCTGCCCTGTGATCCTTTCCCCACTTGTTTAATACCATTGACCAGTTCTAAAAGAATTCCGTCTCCATTGATTCCTCCAAAGGGAAAGAAAGCAGGAGAGAGAGGAACACATTTGTGGGGAGTCTGCAAAGCAGTTACGGTTAATATTACCCTGATTTGAGACATTCCTAGTGGATCCTGGGAGAATCATGCCTTGCCTAGAGGGTGCAGGGAAGTACTGATCCTCAGAAGCCATCATATGGAAATCGGACTCAGTGACAGCTCAGGCATGTCCAAAACCCAAATATCTTCTCCCCTATCTCATCTACCCCCCTTCCCCTCCTCCCCGTCTCTAGCTCCTTTAATCATCATTTCCACCCAGCCTTCTCATGCCTATTGGAAAGATCTGGGAGGCCAGTGATGGATTTGACTGAACAGTGTGTAATATAAAAGGGCAGAGCTGGGCCTGAAGGGACCAGGGGCTGCACGAGCTCCAATATTGCTTCCTCCAACAGGGCAGTGCCGGGGAGCCCCCCTGGGATTACTCACACAATATTACTGCCACTGGTGAGGATGGGGGAAGGAAGAGGAGGCAGGCAGGCCCGGGGGAGGGTCTTAGGGTAGCTGCAGATAAGGCTGAGAATAACAACAACAATCATAATGGCAATATTTTAATAATAGTAAAAGTAGTGATAATTGTGTTTTCCAGGTTTATTAACTTTGGGAAGTCTGGTTTATTAACTCTCCTGGCTTATTAACTTTGAGAAGTCTTTGCTCGTTGCAGCATATGCCTGAGGCTTGCTGGTGTTTGAGTTCATCAGTCTCACGCTCTCAAAGAGAAAGAGGGGCACAGGAGAGAGGGAGGGGGGAGGCACGGTGATATTTGAAGTAATTAGAGAGACTTTATTGAAATCAAATGCACAGGCAAGAAATGGTAATTAACTGAGAAGAGGATGCTCTGTTCTCTCTCATCCAAGGACTGTGGGGCTGTCATAGATAATCCTCATCTTGGGGGCACTGGATAGCTTGTGAAAAGACAGTGTTGGAAAGAATGTATACACACACACACACACACATATGTATATACATATACATATACATATATATTTTTAAATAGTGATCTAAATTGAACAATGAAGGAAAGGAATTATACTATCCTCATCTAGTTATCATTGGTACAAAATACACAAAAGGAAAAAAATAAAAACAATAGAATGGTTTAATTAGAATGTATAGTTCTGTTTCTCCAGTTATTCACTAGTACAGATAATCCAAGAGTAAGTAAGGGGAACAAACTGATTATACAAGTCTGGGAGGCCAGATAGAGATCTTCTAACGAGAATTATGGTGAGGAGCAGGGTCTTGTTTTGAGACCAACATGATGATGTTGTGATTAAGAATCTAGTAGGTAGAGTTTGCTTGAGTTTCTTTTAGGGTCTGTGCAGTAGCCTTTGGAGGGTTTTAGAGATGATGATGTGGTGGTCATCTGGGGGCTAAGGAGTGGCAGGGGCTCCCTGGAGAGACATTTAGCTCACATAAGGAAGACTTTGTAGCAGTGCTTTAAACTTGGAGTGAATCTTTGTTATAACATTGGTATAGAAGGCATTCTAGAATCTTCTTATATTAAACATTTACTTACTATGTTTCAGCACAAAGAAGAAAGCTGGCTTAACTAAATGATGCTGAGATCAAAAGAGCACTGTATTTGGAGTCAGAAAACCTGGGCTTAAGATGCCCTTTGAACCTCAGTTTCTTCATTTGTAAAAATGGGCAAATTATTTCTCTGATAAGGCTGGTATAAAGATCATATGGGATAATGAAATTTGAGTAACACTTTGTAGACTGTAAAGAGCTATGCTCCTTTAGGATTAAAAACAATTCATGTTGTTATTAATATTTATTATTTTATTAATCCAAAACTCCATGGTCCTGTAGTTGCAAACATTCCTTTTCTCCCTATATCTCTGGTGGTTTTGCTTTACGTTTGTCCTCCTGGAGCTGGATGATAAAGAGCTGGTCTGTCAACATTGACACAAGGATTGCTCTGGGTCTCGATGTATTCAATCAGTAATTTCACTCACAGCTTCTTTTGTCACTGCTTTGAGACTCATGGCCAAAATGCACTGTGGACACTCAAAGGCTCTCCTGTATTATAGAGATTTACTTCTAATTAGTAGAGTAGCAAGCTGAGGACTGAGCCCCTCATCAGGGTAGAGCTGCACTTGGGCTGGTGGAAGGTGGTTTTGACCAGAGCCCTGAGTTCAGCTGCTCACAGCTCGGATGTTCAGCCCTAGGTGGGCGTTAGTTTTCACACGCTGACTAGTCTGTGCCCCTCACCTTCTGCAGGTGGTCTGTCTGAAAAAGCAGGCACTGCTAAGTAATCATCTCACTTATTCAACATCCATTCCACAGAATCGACTGAATGCCTGCGATGTGCCAGGCATGAGTCTTATTTTCACCTTTCTCATGGATTGGTATCTGTATTAGGCTATTAGTGTAGCTACATATAGAGTAGGAAGTGATGTGGGTTAATTTTGCTCTATCTTTAGAAATGAGATGATAGGTTAACTACAAGCATTTAGTAGACAATTAACATCCAGTCAACCTTTTATCCATTCAGTAAATGTTTTTGTGCTGTAGTTGGGCCTATGGGAGGAACTAAAAGAAACAAGTCAAAGTCTTTGCCTTTGGTATTTTACAATCTAGTACAGAAGAAAAAGCACAGATGTGAAAGTATTGAGAACAGTGAAGTTAAAACACACAAAAGTGATGGGGTATAAATTAAACACGCAAGGACTTATCATGAAGGAGCAAAGAAGTCCTAAAATGGGATGAAAAGTAGATCAAGGGAGGGGGAGGTTTTCTAGAGTAGGTAAATTTGGATTCAGATCTTTAAAAAGGCAGTTTGCAGAGATCAGTGTTTACCATGTGTGCTGCTAGAGATGGTACAGAAGGTGACTTTACGTGGCATCTGGGTACGCATTTTATATTGTTATGGTAGTGTCTTTATTTTTAACATGTATAGAAACATTATAACATGAAACCAATGATGTCATGGCAGTGATATAAGCTTTCTATTTTAAAATGAATCTGTTTAAGTAAAATGAGTGAGTTGATTACAAATGTTAAGTTATAATTTTATGGTGGTGAGACTTGGCATACACCACTTTTGTGATATGAAAATTCCTGAAGCTTGGGAAACAGTGGCATAGATTATATTATGACCTTACATAGATTTGGTGCTTTATAATTCATGAAGCATTTCTGTATATTTTGTATGGTTAACTGACCTGTATAGTGGGCTGGGCAGGTAATATTACTCTAGAACAAAGCAGAATTTTGATACATATATTTATTAATTGAAATTTGACTACTCATTTTACACGTAAAGAAATGAGGCTTGGAAAAGTTGACTTGCTCAAGGTAAGACAGTAAGTAGTGATCTGGAATTACATTCTGGCCCTTTTGATTCTGAGATTTTTTACATGGTAGGGGAGTAAGGGAGGTATTCCAGGTGAAGAAAATAGCATTTGAGGAAATAGAGTTTGGAATCAGCAAATTGTGTTCTGATCTAAGGGGCACAGCACTGGTGTACTGAATTAGGACATGAATAAAAAGGAATGGAAAAGTCAGAAAAGAAAGGGATAGGAATAATTGAAGAAGTGCTTTCAAAGTCTAGGTGTTAAGGAACCATAGTGGGTAATTTTTTTTCTGTTTATTGAGATAAAAGTCATATAAAATTGTAAAGTGTATAATTCAGTGGCTTTTAGTAAATTCACAATTTTGTGCAACCATTATCTAATTCCAGAATATTTCCATCATCCCTGAAAGAAACTCTGTGCCCATTAAGCAGACAGCCCCCTTTCTTCCTTTACCAGAGCCCCTACTTGGTTTTCTATCTTTATAAATTTGCCTATTCTGGATATTTCATATAAAATAAATCATACAGTATGTGGCCTTTTATGTCTGGCTTCTCTCACTTAGCATAAGATTTTTGAGGTTCATCCATGCTGGAGCATGTATCAGTACTACGTTCCTTTTTATGGGTAAGTAATATTCCACCGTATATATACACACCACATTTGGCATATCATTCATCATTTGGTAGACATTTGGGTTGTTTCTACCTTTTGACTATTGTGAATCAATGCTGCTATGAAGATTTTGTACAAGCTTTGTTTGAACACCTATTTTCAGTTCGCTTGGGCCTGTGCCTAGGTGTGGAATTGCTTGGTCACATGACAATTCTATGTTTAAGTTTTTGAGGAACTGTCAAACTGTTTTCCACAGCAGATGTACCATTTTTCTTCCCACCAGCAATATATGAGGGTTACAATTTCTCCATATCCTCACCAACACTCATTATTTTTCATTTTTATATTATGGCCATCCTAGTAGGTATAAAGTGGTATCTCATTCTGGTTTTGATTTGCATTTCCCTAAAGACTAATGATGTTGAGCATATTTTCATATGTTTATTAGCCATTTGTTTGCTATTTCTGGAACAATGTCTATTTAAGTCCTTTGCCCATTTTAAAGTTGTGTTTGTCTTTTTGTTGTTGAATTGTTTAGCACTCTATATATTCCGGATATTAGACTCTTATATATGATTTGCAAATATTTTCTCCCATTCTGCAGGTTGCACTCTTTATATATCCTAGATACTAGACCTGTATATGTTATATGATTTGCAAATATTTTCTCCTATTCTGTGGGTTGTCTTTTCATTTTCTTGATTGTGTCTTTCGATGCAGAAAAGTTTTCAATTTTGGTAAAGTCAAATGATTTATTTTTTCTTTTGTTGATTGTGCTTTTGTTGTTATATCCAAGAAGCCATTGCCAAGTCATAAAAATTTATCTCTATATTTTCTAGTAAGAGTTTTATAGTTTTTGCCCTTGCAATTAGGTCTTTGGTCCATTTTGTGTTGATGTTTTATATGGTGTGAGGTAAGGCATGGTGGGTTCTTGACCGTAGAAATTATTTGATGGCAGTATTAGGAAGATTATTCTGGCGTTATCTTTAGAGTGAAACAGAAAAACTGAGAGAAAAACAAGGAAGCTATTGCAGAGGAGAGAGGAATCAAAACATATGTTTATTTTTTTAGTAGTAGTTTTATTGAGATATAATTGACATACCATAAAATTCACTCTTTGAAGTGAATTGTACAACTCAGTGGTTTTTTAGTATGTTCACAGAGTTGTGCAACTGTCACCCCTATTTTCACTATCATTTTAGAATGCTGTCATCACCCTCCAAAGAAACTCTGTATCCATTAGCAGTAACTACCTATCCATAACTCCCCAGCCCTTGGCAACCATTAGTCTACTTTCTGTTTCTATGGATTTGCCTATTGTGGACATTTCACATAAATGAAATCATACAGCGTGAGGTCTTTTGTATTTGACTTCTTTTACTCAGCATAATGTTTTTAGGGTTCGTCCATGTGTAGCACGTATCAGTACTGCATTCTTTTTTATGGATGAGTAGTATTTGATTGTATGGATGTACCACATTTTGTTTATCATTCAGCTGTTGGTAGATATTTGGGTTGTTTTAACTTTTTTTGGCTACTATGAGTAATGCTACTATAAACATTTATGTAGAAGTTTTAGTATGGACATAATGTTTA
Organism: Homo sapiens; assembly: GCF_000001405.40. Taxonomy (NCBI): domain Eukaryota; kingdom Metazoa; phylum Chordata; class Mammalia; order Primates; family Hominidae; genus Homo; species Homo sapiens. The sequence continues at coordinate 165,320,907 of NC_000001.11, read as the reverse complement.
GCTTTTGTGTAATACTACATGGCATTTTGTCATTGCTTTCTACCTTTATCTTTTCTTACAATGTATCTGACTTATCACATGGAATTACTATTCAGGCAGCTAAAACTACCGGCTTCCCTCTTAGGTGGATGGCCTTATCTCTAGGCAATACTCCTAGCATCCCAGAAAAGCTGGGTTACTTGTGATGACAATCCTATTTAGAAAGATATGCAATGAGCAAGACCAGGCAAATATTAATACTTCACAGGGTACACATTTGATCTTAGGGATTCCTCTGAAGTTTCTGCTGAATGTATGAACGTCTCTTTTAGGTTTGAGATGACTCTGTGGAGCCCCCTACTAGAGTACTGGTGCTCTGCCCTTGAGAAGACCCATATGGCCAGTGACCAAAGCTTAATGCAGACACAGTCTCTTCTTTTCTCTCATTCTTCCTTCTGCCTTGCAGAATATCCTTCAAGACTCACATCCTGACTCTTAATTTTTAGGGGAAAAACACATTTCAGTCTCTACATTTAATTTGTGCTTAGTGTCTTAGCTAACAATCACATTGGGGTGGGCTCGAGACCTCAGCAAACCAAAGACATTGACTTCTTTGTGGCACGCTCTCTATGGTGTGGGTGTTAGCCATCCTCACTGTATTCAGCACTTCTTGGGTTGAGTAGTCCAGGTTATGAGATATTTATCAGTAGTACTGCCTGTTAACTTAATGTCAGCCCCTAGAAAACCAAAGGACAAAGGACATGAACAGACACTTATCAAAAGATCCCAATTTTCTATTCCAGTTTTCTTAAGTGTTTGTAAAAGGAGTTTCTAGTGTTTATAAAAGAAGCATTTTTACTTCTTCACTAGGGAGAAAACAAATGTTCCTTACTACCCTATAAAGAAAAAAAAATCTAGGTGGAGGTAGAGGTTGTGCTGTCTTAGTGGTTGTTATGCAGAACTATAACCCTGACAAAGCTGGTGGTCCATGTGATTGAGAGTTACCATGTTGTAATGGTCAGAGACACTGAATTACAAGCTAAGTAAATGCTTAGTAGAGAATATTTGGAAAATATTAAAAATATAAAGAAATGAAAATAATCTATGATCCCACTATTTACAGATTACCTTCTTAGTATTTTGGTGTATTTCTTTCTAGTATTTTCCCCTCCCCCATTATTCGTGTGTGTGTTTGTGTGTCTGCCTGTCTGTCTGCCTTTTGCCTATTTATATGATGTGTACAGTCTTATAAACATCTATTTTCATTTAACATTATATTGTTAATGTTTTCTCATGTCATTAGTCTTTGAGAATATGGTTTTAATATTATCGAACTTAAGTCATAGAATAATTTGTTTACCTACTTATGATGTTGCTGACACTTAGGTGGCCTTCCTGATAATACATATTTATTATATATTTATTTATCATATCTTGGATTTTTCCTTAGATTACTGGAGGGAGGATTATAGCATAAAGCATATTAACATTTTTAAAGGTTCGATTTCTCTGTTTTAAATTTTGCTTGTTACTAGCAACATAGAAGTGTTTTTAGTTTTTATATATTGTCTTGTGTCTCTTATACTTTAATAAATCTATACTTGTAAGCCTTTCCTTTATTCTCTTGGGTTTATTCATTTGCACATCATAACTATTTTATCTTATTCTTTCCAGCAGTTGTATCTCTATGTATTTATCTATTTTTTAAGACAGAACTTCTTAAGTATTTAAATAGTAGAGGTAATATGGAGCATTCTTGTCTTTCTCCTGGATTTTAAGGGAAAATGAATGTCTTTCAACTGATTAAAATATAATGTTGGCTGTAGGTTTAAGATTGCCATTCTTTATCATGTTAAGGAATGTCTAGTTCCTACTAAGAAGTTGGGGTGTGTGTGTGTGTGTGTGTGTGTGTGTGTGTGTGTGTGTGTGAGAGAGAGAGAGAGAGGAGATCTCAGCTGCAATACTTTCAGCTTCAGATAACAGAAAACCTAATTAACCCGGGCTTAACCAGGAGGTAAGTTTGTTTCTTCCACGTTACAAGATTCTGAGGATAGGCAGTACAGAGATGGTATGGTGGCTCATCGATGCCATCAGCAATCCAGGCCCTTTCTATATTTTTCCTTTCCATCTCTTTAGCACATAGGTCTTTATTCTCAGGGCCACAGGAAGACTGCAGCTGGAGCTTTGTAATCACATTCCAGGCAAGAAGAGTGTAGGGCCAAAAGGTGAAGGGTAAAAGGCCAAAGAATCACACTAGCTGGGTCTTGTCTCCTTTAAAAAGCAGTCTTGGAAGCCACCCAGGGGCTTCCACTTACATCTCATTGAGTCAAATGGGCAGCTCTTAACAGTAAAATTGTCTGGGAGAAGGGGCCTGAGGATGTGAGCTGGGTTAACCAATCCACAGCATCTACCACAGCTTACGAGCAAATGGCTTGGAGTCCTCAGAGAAAAAAAAATTATATAATGCCTTAACAAATGCTCTGAACCTGAAGCCAGCAGATTGTTTGAATTCTGACTTCTCTTTTGACCCTCTGCCAACATGAACAAGTCACCTCTCCGTTCTTTGGCTGATATCTGTCTCAGCTACCTGGGAGGATGCTTGTGGAGTGCAGATAAAGTCAAATCCTGGAAGGACTCCGATTTTCATTTCTTTTCTGCATTGGGATAATTTGTTTTTGGTTAATTAGTAAACTGCTCTTTCCTCATGATTTTTATGGTGTTATTATTAAATTACTTTTGCCTGAACAGAACCATAAGGTAAACAGGATACCAAAAAAGGTAGCATGGACAGCTGTCAGCAACAGGAATGATTTCTTTTTGAAAGGGGAAAAGAAAGTGCTAAGAGAAAAAGCCAGAAAGTTACCTCAGCCTCTCTCCAACCAGGGGCAGAAGGAGGATAGAACATGAAGCGAAATGATTTAGTGCTTTTCCTCAGTCAGCTTTGCTTCCCTTCCCTGCCTTGGGGCATGAGAAGTGCCGTGCTCTGAAGTTTTGTTGAGAAAAGCACCCTGAATCATGTTGCTTTTGTGGCAACTATTAATTGCTTCCTGAATTTATACAGCATAAATAAAATAGGTTGCCAGGGAATGAATTACGCAGAGGATAAATGGTGGGTCATTAATGTAGCGTTGACCCTGAACCCAGAGGATGACGTGAGATCGGTGAGAGCTCTCAAGAAATTTACCAGAACCCATTTCAGCTGGAGGTGATGTGTTTTAAATCCTCCTGTAATGCAATGAGGGGAATCAAATTAGATAATAGTTTGCAGAAATCTTCTGGGCCTGGAGCCCCACTCAAAAGGATTTTGTCCTCTTCTATTATCAGGCTTCACATTTGGGGGCTGGACCTGTGTCCCAGTGGTTCCCAGAATGGCTTTATTTTTTCCCCGTGTGGTAAGAGCCCTGGCTGACACATCTGAAATGCCTTGGTGTGCATGCATGCTCTGCCTCTACTTTTTAATACTGTAGTTATTTTGTATTAATATGTACATTTCAATTTCACCTTATTCTGAAGTCCAAAATCCTAACTAATACAAAGAGAAGGGTAAATCTAGAATGCAATTTATTCATCCTGCTGCCTCCTTTATAATTTTCCCTGTAAAAATATTCAGGTATTTCCCATGTATCCCATAGTTGGAATCATTGGAGCATATGTATTAATTCTATCTATGGATAGTTGCATTTCTATGGGCTTAAAAATAAACTAGACTTGGAACTATTGGGGTTTCACCTCTCTACTCTCCTTGTTCTGAGTGGGTTCCACAAATTCAGAGCACCCCTCAGATAAGCAGAGTAATGAACATGGGCTGAGGGCTCACTGTATATGATGGACATGCTGGGTATTGTGGTGATGATGGAGGGGGTTCAGAAATGTATGAAGGAGAGTTTACTTTCTTCTCAAGCCATTTACAAGTATCAGTTCCGTAAATAATCCTATCTTTTGGGTTTTTTTCTTTTTCCTTCTAGGTTTTCTAAACTCATTCTCACTGAACTGGATCCTGATCAGAAAATGTACATGTCTCAAAGGGAAGGGAAGCCTCAATCCTGTTTAGGGAGGCAGCTTTGCCCGGGCCCGAGTGCCCTGTGGGATCCGGATGGGGAGGTGTTGCTGCAACAGGGCTGCTGGGCTTCTTTCCAACTCCTCCTCATCTGCCATTTTTGTCTTGTGCTGTAAAAGTACAAGTACATCTGCCTCCATGGCCAGCCTCCTGTGTGTAACTCGGATGCCCCTGGGAAACCGCCTGGATGTGGATGAAAATGAGGGCATGTTAACTTTAAAGATTTCTCCTATGGCTCCAGCCACCTCCCCGACAAAGCACTTGTGCGTATGTCTCAGTACCAGCCGGGAAGCCCCAGTTTTTCCTGCCCAGCGCCTCCCTGCAGTATTCTCTGCTTGTGAAGCAGCTTGAGGGAGTCATAAGTCTTACTGCCAAGGGTGCCCATCATGAGGTTGCTAGTGTAGGGACCAAGGAGCAGGTGGTATCAGTGCCCCCAGGACCTCCAGTCCTCAAAGTGACCGTGGTGCTGGTTCCATAGGCAGCTGGGCGTTTTGCTCTGTCCCTGGGCCCTGAAGCAGCAACGCTGTGCTCCCAGGCCTCTCTGCTCTGCCCTCCCCATCTCCCCGTGGTAAGCTCTCAGCATGTGTTCATGGGGCTGGGAAGGGGACAGATGCTGCCCAGTGTCCACCTGTCTGTCCTTCATGCCTGTGTGCACTGTGTCTCACACAACATACACATGCACATACATAAAGACAGAATGTCACCAAGGCAGCTACCCAACCAAGAAAGAAAAACCTTACTCCTGTCAAAAAATAAAATGTCCCCTGCATACCATGTCCCATGGACAGACTGTGGGTGAGGGGGTGTCTATGCACCCATCACCTGACCTTGACTTTGGCACTCTATTATAAGAGACGTCCAGTAGGTCCTTACTTGACCAGTGCACATCTGCCTCCCATGACAGGATCTGAAATCCTACCAGAAAGAAGAAGCCCTTTGCGTCTTTAAGATTTCCAATTTTCAGAACCCCTGATTTAAAATCAGTACTGCTGAGAGAGGTGTTCCTTGAATGTTTTTGTAGGCAGAACCCTGGTGAGGATCAACTCTCAGCTGCTGAAGTCAAGGTTCTAGGAGAGAGGCAGAGGTATTTGATGCGTCACATGTGTCAGGGGTGGATGGGACTCTCTGAAACCGCATGGTGCCTCCTTGATGGTTTTGAGGTTTTTCCTGGGGGTAGAGGGGGCCAGATCTCAAGGCTGTCAGACACAGTGTGGGATTGTGAAATGCTGTGTTGTACTTCAGCCTAACAAGGAGTCAGGGTGACAAGGATTTAGTTTTACAGTGTTGGATTACGGACCAAATACAACATGACTTGGATAATTTCCACTTTGCTGGCTCCTTAGCTACAAGTAATTTATTTTAACCTTCTTCCATAATGCCAATTACAGCTGTTAGCACATACTTCAAAGCCAGTATTCAAAGTACAAAGCTATAGTTAAGATTTCCGAAGTTCCTGTGCTGATGTGCTGGGCCTGGGGGGCTTTAAACCAAGGTTGGAATGGGTAGAGATGAAAGGAAGTAGGGCTTTTCCTGAATATTCTTTCGTTAGTGTGGATGTTGGGAGAGGGGAGTTTAGGAAGGTGGCTGGAATCAGCCCAAAGGAGGGAGTGGCCAGAGGGGAGTTGTAGATGTGGTTCGTGGGGACATCCCCTTCATAAACATAAAAGTTGTGACTTACTAGAAAGACTTTCACTAAACAGGGAGGGGTAGAGAACAGAATGAAAGGGAAAGATGAAGATAGAGAACAGCCCTAATGAGAGAATTAATTGATAAGACGTGCCTTGCTGAACATGTCAAGAGAGACAAGCAGTGCAACTCCAGACTGTCCTGTCTTGTATAGGTATCTGATCAGTCACCTAACCTAGGGTCTGGGAAGCAAGAGAAGGAAGTATGTCACCAGTCTAGTAGGAGCCTCTGGGGTGTTGGTGTTCAGGGCTTCTGCCTGGGATGAAGTGGGGCTGCCTGTGATTGCTGTGCTCCATCTGATGCCAAGTGGAAGCCATCCGCCACTATCTGCTAGTTATGCCCTCATTACTCAGATAATTCTAATAATTATTGGGTGCTTAGTATGAGTAAAGACAACATGCTGGCTACTGTAGAAAACAGAAACTGCTAGTTTTGCTTAAAGAGAGATGCTGGACCCTAGAAATCTTGTGGATGTGGAGACCCTGAACATCTGTGTTCTCTCTTCGTTCAAGCCCTGAGAGACTAAAAAAAGAGAAAAGGGATGGGATCTACAGAATGAGAGGTAATAAAAAAAAAGATATTGGAAGAAATTACAGTTTTGAAAGGGTAGAGAAAAAACTAGAAGAAACAAAATGAAGAAAGACAAAGCTAAGACCTAAAGAAGGAAAAAGGTCAATAAGATGGGGGACCAGCTAGAAAGGGGACTGATCTAACATTAGAGCTACTGCACCCTGTCTCCTGTCAGATCTTAAAGGCAGAAAAGGGTGACTTGTGAAAATGCTACCACTGACCTGGGAGCACCCTGCACTTAAGATGCAAGCATAAAGGTGAAGTTGCTTTAGCCCTTTTTGAAGCATCTGGGATGCTGCATTCATAGAGGCTGGTTCCAGGAGGGTAGGGGGATGTTCTTAGGCCCCCTTTGCCATGCTCTCTGCTTTGTTCTAGAGCTCAGCTATTGCACATGTGGCGACTGTCCTCACGCTGTCACTCCCCCAACCGCTGCCACCCTTAGGAATGTTCCATACAAATGGCTGAGACAGCAGTTATTTCTCAAGGAGGTGTGAGCTTGTGGAGTTATTTGCTGCCTGGCTTAGGGAGCTGGCTTGGTTGCCTCTCTCTGTTGTTAACACTCCTTCCCATAGCTGTGGGGTGAGGGCTGGCCCCTGCCATCTCTAGCATAACCACTCACTGCCTTCATTACCTCAGCTACCGAGCTCAGCCCTGATTTCTGAAAGCAGTTTGGGAAATGTCAGCCAAGGGGTTCCTCCTGTGATGCTGTTTTTGTTGTTGTTGTTACCTGCAGGGATAAGTGAGAAAATGTTGAGTTTTTCTGAAGAGGGCTTTTCTAGCTTTCTTAAAAATACCTTAGCTTTCATGTATGCTCCTATGAGACTGGCTTGTATGCCATGCCTCAGTGAACTCATCTGTCCTCTGGCCTCTCTTGGTTTGACCAGCAAGAGGCACTGGCAGAAGAGCTGAAGGCAGAAGGGAAATGAGCTGGGAATTTATTCCCCCAGCTCCTTCGTGGGCTCTGGTAACTGCTCCCTTCAGGCCTAGGGCTGGCAATAGCTCCCTGAAGTTTCCAGCCTGGGATTCCATACCATTTTTTGTTGCTTTCCTTAAGCCCTGCCCACACCTTTAAAAAAACTCTTCTCTATTATCCAACCCTGACCCCAATAACAACAACAACAACAAAAAAAAAAAAAAAAAAAAAGGAAGAAGGTGTGTGTGACTAAGTATGAAGAAGTTGGTTGATCATTTTAAAGAATGGTTCATGACACCAGGCAGATTTTGGCTTTTTCTAAATGAAATATCAGGTAAGGAGTGGAGGAGATGGGCATCTAGGGTTTAGGATATGTGTTTCTATGATATGGATCAGATCAGCTAGGCCATTAAGCTGGGATGCAGGGCAGCTTCTTGGTTTAATCATCTGCTGCTCCCTCTTGAAATCATTTATACTTTTATATATAATTATTAATTTTTCAACATGGAACTCTGCATTTTCACTTCACCACTGGGCCCCATAAATTATGCTGATCCTGCTGGGATGAACTTACCTGTAGACTCTATATTGTTTCCAATTGGCATAAGTTGAGCATGACTAAACCTCTGTCAATGATGAGGATATAAGGTCATTAGACAAGAATGCCACTTCTTCAGGGGACTTTTTTTTCCCTCTGATATTCAGTCTCTTTGTGTGAGCTAGAGAGGTATAATTGAAAAAGATAATTCCTTTATATTTGGTTCCATTCCATTTTCTTCCACTGAAGTCTAAATATAAATTCCTATCATTCATTGGCACATAACAAACCAAGCCAAAATTTAGCAACTGGAAACAACAGCCACCATTTATTTTGCTAATGAATCTGCAGTAGGGTAGGGCTCAGCAAGGATGGTTTGTTGTTGTTTGGTACAGTGTCTGCTGCAGGCGGACCAGCTGGGGATGGAGGATCTGTTTCCAGGATGGCTCACACATGGGGCCATTAAGTTGGTCCTGGCTCTTGCCTGGGAGCTCGGCTGGGGATGTTGGCTAGGGGATCTTATTTCCTCTCCATCTGAGCCTCTACATAGAGTTGCTTGGGCTTCCTTACAGCATAGTGGCTGGATTCCAAGCATGAACAATCCAAGAGACAGGAAGTGGAACCTACCAATCTCTTAAAACCTGGGCTGGGAAACTGGCACAGTGTGACTTCCCCTGTCATAGAGCCCAGCTAGACTCATGGAGGGGGAAATTGTCCCAGTTCTTGGTGGGAAGACAGTCAAATAATTTATAACCAGATGTCTTTAATCTGGATAAGCATACCTGTTTTATGTATAAAAAAACTAAAAGTAACAGCACAATGAAATTTTCTCAGAGCAACAGCAAATAGGGGCAGAGCTGGACTTAGAGCTCATAAGCTCCTGATTTCCCAGACTGTACTGTGCCTATCATACCATACTGCTCTTTTGCTAATCTAATACACAGCAATAACTCTTCCTTGTTCTCATGGCCCTGGTTTTCAACCTCAAAGCCCATTAGAATAATAATAAGGGAGAAATTCCAGTACTTTTTTAGAACTGCTAAAATAGAGTCCAGGCATTTGAAAACAAAGGAAAACATCCAAATCATTAAAAGCAGAAGCAATTATCATTTGTCAGAGTTGAATAAAGAATATGAGGATATAACAGTACGTGGTTGCCTCTTGCTCCTCTAGAGGCAGAGTGGGTAGCTCAGGACCATCTGCTAGAATGGCCATGGTGGCACTAGGAGTTCTGTTTTGGGTCACTGCAAAGCTGCGAGTTAAGACTGAAGGCTTTTGAGGAGCTCTCAGCCATCGTGAACGGCACATCACACATCAGTGCCCTCTGAGATGCTCTGAGGGAATTGGGCCTTATAGCAAAAATTTGCCCCATCATCCTTCAAAGATCTTGAATGCCTTTGTGCAGGAGAAGCCTGAAGAGCTTGCTTTTCCAGGAGCCTCTGGGGCAAACAAACCCTTCTCTTTCTCTTTCAAAGCTGGGGCTACAGTTTAGAGGTTGCCTAACTCAGGGTGACATCCCTTAACCTTTGATGACAATTCTGGGAAGGAGGCTGTTGGTCTTCAAAGTTTGGAGTGTGTGGCCCTTGGTATGGTATGCCTATCTTCAGGCATGTCCATGCAGTAGCTTCAGGGGCATGAGGGTGTTAAGAGCCAACCAGTGAGCTGGGCCTCCACAGCCGACAGCTGCAGTACCTGGGGTTCTGAGGGGCAGGCCACTCCTGTCGTGTCATCCCTTCAGTGGAAGTAGAATGGGCTTGGGAACTTCTGATGATTTCACTATCCAGTTGAGAGGAGGCTTCTTGTCACACAAACCCACATAAAGCTGGGAATGTGGTCCAAGGATAACTGGGCCTAAGATTCTTTTTACAGATGGGAGATCATTTTTCATATAATTAGGAACCTCCAATAAAGTATTTATCACTTCAGCCCTTTGGGCCCATTATTTTGAAAATCTCTGATGAATAATGCAGTTTATTCTGATCACTCCAATTCCAGTCAGGCATTTCTAGGGAAGAGCAAGGGGCCCTGGCGGAAGAAAAAATGTAAATCCTGTTGATTGAAATACTTAGTTCTCGGAATTCCATTACATCTGTGGATGAGATTGCAGATAAGCCTTAAACTTCTTGAACATTAGAACTTAAAGAAGTGGGAAAGTCAAAATAGAAATAGACTCCCAGATCTGGGGGACATCATGGTGAATATTGTCATAATGGTAACTTTTGCATATAAAGTTCTTTAATTGTCCTGTGGATGATCACATTTATCCAAGATTATTCCGGGAATCATAATCAAATACAACATACTTTCTCAAGTCCTTGTCCGCATCGCATTCCCTCTGTATTGCAAATGCCTGAGCAATGCAGATGAAAGCAGAGTTGAGCTCTCCTCACTTGTGGTTTGACTTTCAGTGGTAATTACTTTCCAGCAGCCCTCAGTACCCACACCTCAAATAAACCAGGATCATTCACTAACATGAAGCGATGCCCAAAATAAAGGAGTGTGGAGAAGGAAACGGGGAGAATAACAGTGCCTAGGCAACATCTGCATCTCCACCCCATTGGATGCATGAGCCTTCTGTTGGTTGCTCATACTGCACAGAGAGCCAGATTGGCTTGGCTTCCAGTTTCGTCAGGGGGTATAATGATGGCTAGCTATGCATGATAACTCACTTTTACTTACTGTTCTATCTTCAGTGCCCTGTGGCTTTTGATAGAGGCAACTTTGACTTTGTAATACTATACCTGATGAGTTTCTATTAAAAACACAAAGAAAACAGACAAAGAAGGTGCTTTTTGTCACCTTACCCTGCTCATTTATTTCATCACTGGAAGCCTGTCAAATCTTCCTGCCTGGTAAGAGCTTGGAGGGAAGGTACAGAAAGTTAGGAGGGTGGAAAGAGACCAAATCTGGGTTAAAGAGGAAGTATCATTTTGTCACCCATCACTAATGAAGAATTCAAATTCATACTGCATAGAGCTGGGAAGAATTTTGTTGGGGTGTCAAATGTCCCTGCCTTTACAAAACTATCAAGCCACTGTGGTGGACAAGAATTCAGAGAGACTGAAACTCTGTGAAATGAAGCAGAGAGCTATGCCCTTTAGTTATAATACTGGGATTCAAATTGTGACTGCCACTTATTGGCAGTAGGGCATCGGATAACAAAGCTGAGGCTTTTGTTCATCTGTAAAATGAGGAGAATATTTGTGCCATAAGATTGTTGGGAATATCTAATGAGACATCTTTGAGGAAATGACTGTTCAGGACAAGTGGATGAGCATTTTTCTCATTTTTTTTCTCGTGAAGGCAGTGGGATGGAATACATCCTCTCTCTGGCACCTTACAATGTGGTGACTGTTGTAGAGGTTGCGATGCTATGATTTGGCTTGTCAAGACCAGCTTACCAACAAGCCTTCAGTTCCAGACACAAAGTTCATGGGGAAGGTGGGTGGTTCACTGGTCTTCTTGAGCATCCAGCAACGTCTGGTCCCAGTGGTTTTTGCATTGCTTTTTGGAGAGGCTGCCGAGAGCCATGTGGGGAGTACAAATTACCCCAATAATCTACAGCACAAGCTGAACCTACAGGAAGGATTGGGCAGATCTTGGCTGGAGATGGTGGGAGGGACTTCCTCAAGGAAAAGAAGAAGCCACTATATAGACAGTTGCTGCTGTTGTTGGCTTTGAGGCAGAAGGCCTGGGGGAAGGTCACAGGGTGCCCTTGCGTCTCTGGCGGAGGGTAACAAATGAGCTGACAGTCTGCCCTCCAGCCCCCCACCAGGACTTCCTCAGTTTTGCCACTGGGGGCTCTTGCTAGGCAGAGGTGCCTTCCCTGCCAGGTTTTTGTTATTAAAGTTGATCCCATGTATCAGAAAATGGAAAGCAAGACTTGGAAATCAGCATCCAAGTGGGATTCCAGGCTCTCTGTAGCAGCGTGTGCCAAGGGCTGGGGGTGGGGAGCGTGCAGCAAGCTCTTCGCTCAGCATCCAGGAGCGAGCCCTCAGCATCATTCACTCTGTCAGGGTATCTCGGTGGTAATCACTTCCAAATGGTGGCAGGGCGGGGAGGGGGCTCCCCTCCAATCACCCAAGGAATGTCTTGACTCAGGACAGAAAGGGAGGTTTTCCATAAGCATCTCTTCTTTCCAAAGGGGACTGGAGATAGAATATGAGACACCCATGAGCCTTTCTTAGCATCATCTATAATAATATTCAGGTCAACAAAACAGAGGGGGAAGGACCAATAACCCAGGATTGTGTCAGGTCCCATTGGCTAACCTGGGAGGTGCTTTCAAGATGAGCAGATCACCCCTCCAGATGACACATGACTTCTCAAGTGTCTTCTGAGGCAGAGACTGGGAGTGGATGCACTGGCACAGATTCTGTCTCTAAATTAATAGGCCCAGGAAAAGTCACTCATTACACTCACATAGACCCAAGCTGTGGAATGTAATGCAAGGGAGTAAAAAGCCACAAGTCCAGGGGACCAATCAAGTCACTTAATCTTTCAGAGCCTCAATTTTCTTGCCTGTAAAGTGGGGATTATAATGTTTGTTTTATAGAATCGTTGTGAGGACTAAATGATACAACTTTGAGAAAGTGCGAATCACCAAGTACGTGCTCAGTACTGTTTTAAAAAATTATATTAAAGAGATTCAATGTCTTTCCTATCATGTTACCTTAGGGACTTTGCTTTCTTCAGTTCTTAGCAGACACTTTGCAGAATCATGGAATCACATACACATGGTATCTAAAATGTATATAGAGCCTTATTGAATTCAGAATGATTCTGTCTGTTTCTTGCTGCAATTCTTACCATTTCCATTTGCACTGGAGGAACCTGAGTAAGGCTGGTGTGACTTGGCCACAAAGCTTGTATGGAAGGTGTTATCGGCTCTCCTCCCTGGCATCTGGTTCTCAGAGGGCTAACTGTGGTTCCTTGGTGTCCAGCGAGTATTCCCCAGTGGTCCAGGGACCAGCCTCCTGTCCTGTGGATATGTTGAATACGATAGCATCAGTGTATCTCTTTCAGTCTTGGACTAATAATTTCCTTATGAAAATATTGACTGATTTTTCCTCAAAACTATTTATTTAATGTGTGATTCCTTCCCTTCTTTTTTTCTTCTTATGTTGTCAAGCAAGTTCCAGAAGCCCTTCTCTGGCTGCTTGACCTCCTGAAATTGTTCTGACTCAACATTTATGGAACCAAGGAGGAAGGGGGAGGAGCATTTGTAGCCATGGTTGGTGGCCTTCACACAGTCTTTTTAAAAATAAAGTTAAAATTTAAAATGTGTTGTTGTTCAGGAACTGTTTTTCATTTAAATTCTGAGTCTAAATGCCAGTCTAAATACATATGGTCAAGTGACGGTCATGCTAATAACTCATTGTACTTTTCCTTGGTCCTTCTACCTGTGGTCCAGGCTCCTATGGATGAAAATTCCCTGGAGGTATGTGCAGAATGCCAGGACCAGCTGACGTGGGTAGGGGTTAGTTGCAAACTCACATGGATCTGTTGTAAGGGTATTGAGGGTTGGAGGTTATGGGAGTGAATCTACTACAATCTCAGCACATATGTATAGCATGTATGCACTGCACACCTCCCAGAATCCCTTCTAGGCATAGCATAATCTTGGGGAGGGGATCCTGATGCTCTTCTTCATTCTGCCTGTGGCATAGGCCCCTTTGTAACTAAGAACTATCCCAAGTTGTACTGTGGCCTTGGGCTTACTCAAACCAGCTCATTTTTTTCTACCTATCTGGCACCTTGGCTATCCAGAATGCTTGTGGAATGTCATCAACCATGTTTTCTGGATAGCAAATATTTATAAGTTTTAAGCCTTTCTGGAACTGGATTTGGTAATATTTGATGGACAGAGCTGTGAAGGCCAATGATGTAATATAGAGTGATTCACACTAAAGTTGTAGTTGCGCTCCCACTTTCTTTTTCTCTTTCTCCCTTTATCTTTCCTCTCACTTTCTTCCCACTTCTAGAGCTGTGCCCTGGCAATCCTTCCTGTATTGGTCAGCACAAAGAGTTTCCTGCCATTTGTTTCACTGTCATTTCTGGAAAAAGAAGGGAAGTTTGGCCTGCTTTGCCTGCACTGCCTGATTCCCTTGCATGAAGCCACAGGGAATTCTCATTACCACTGCCCATATGCACAGACGCAGCCTCTGGCTTCTGCCCGAGAGGACATGGGGAGAGTTGCTGCCAGCAGCTCAGGCTGAGCCCCTCTCCTGCTGACCGCTTCACTCTATGTGCTGCCTGGGCAGGGGGAGGCGGAGGAGGGTGGTATGGCGCACACAGCTTTCAACAAGGACTGGAGAGTGGAAATCCTACTGATGGTGGGAAGTCAGGCAGAGGCAGCCAAACCACTAGCCATCTCATCTCTGGGAGGTACCAGGCACTGTGTATTCTGGATATATTGTGGTGTGAGTGCCACCAACAGGCTGTTGGGGATATTCAGAGCCCATCCTGTGCTGACTACATTTGGGAAGGAGCCATCACTGTGTTATACAGGAAAATACAGAAAGAGCAAACTAGCAATCAAGTTGAGCTTTTCTGAGAGTGTATTGGTTAGCTATAGCTACAGGACTGTTGCATAACAAAGCATCCTAGAACTAAAGACTTAAAAAAGCCAAACACTTATTCTCACCCTTGGGTCTCTGGGTGGGCAGGGGCAACTTTGTTTCAGACTATGGGTCACCTGGACTTACCCAGGCTTCAGGCGGGGTCCAGGTATTGTTCCACATTCTTTTTGGATCAAGAGCCACTTAGATGTGTTCTCATGGAGAATGACAGAAGCCAAACCACACACTCACATTTACTCACATTCCACTGCCCAAACAAGTCATATGGTGAACCCAACCTAAGTGGAAGAGGGAAATTTATATCCAAAGGGAGGGGCAACAGGAGAGTGACTATTTATTAAGTGATAATCTAAAATATCACACAAGGTTACACATCTACAATTTCCATTAACCTGAGCTCTGGAGACTAGATGAACAGGTGGGAGGAAGAAGGTTGGAGGAGTAAAGGATGTCTGATGGGTGGGTATGAATTTAGTGTGGGGAGAGCTTAGGGATACAGGTTCAGACAGGAGCTGGGCAATGAGAAAGCTGACTTTTTCTGTACGCACGTCTGGGACATGGTTTTCACAAATGACGTTCATGCTAGTAACGCATTGTACTTCTCCTTGGTCCTTCCTCCTGTGGTCCGGGCTCCTATGGATGGAAATTCTCTGGAGGTGTGTGCAGAATGTCAGGACCAGGGCTGTGCTCGTTTTGCATGTGCTATGGCTCTTGGTTGGTCACTCCTTGGCTCACTCACCATATCATATCTCATTGGCCCTAACTCTGGAGTCTTGGTACTTAACCTGCTGTGGTTTTCAAAGAACTGTGAATGTGGGCTGTGTGCCCATGAGTGAGACCAATAATAAAGATAAAAAGAAGCCAGATTCAAGTTGGATACTGCCAGTACTTTTGTCAGATTTCTGTATCTCTGTGTTTCTTTGGAGCAACTGATGGATATCCAATTTGACGTTTTCACTGTGGAATGTGTAGTTAGCTAAGCTCTGCCCAGGAGCTGTGTCAGAAAGGACAGTGGTTGTAGGGACTCCTCTGCTTCATGATACTTAGCCCCTCTTCTTGCTTTGGCCCTGAGTGGAGAGGTTTATTTTAAAATGTGATATTTGGCCTACTGGGTCCTTTCATACTTAAGCTTCAAGATTCTCTGCTTGATGTCTTTGTTCCCTCTCACGCTTGCTTTCTAGAACATTCCATCCCAGATGGTGTTATATGTCATAAGTTTGTCTCCCTTCATCTCTCTTTCCTCTCCCCTTTGCTCAGTCATAAATTTCCAGTGGAGGGGCCCTTTCTCCAGGATCCTGCCACTGCTGGGTGGCAATATGTGTCGACGAGTCCATCGACCCCATTACCTGGGAAGTGTGCTATTTAGCTAAATTACCGCTACCTGTTGACTAGTCCAACTGCACATGTCTCTCACCTTCCTTTCTGTGTTTCCTTTCACTAGCACCTACTATGTGCTGGGCACCTGAGACACACAGACATACACACGCAAGAGAGACAGACACACTCCTTGATCTCAGGGAGGGGGCACTCTCTAGAGGGCCCAAGAGACAAGGAATAGAGATCCTTATAATGCAAAGTGGTAAGTGTAGAGTGATGAAACAATGTGCAGGTTATAACTGGAGCATGAGGTAGATGCACCCAGCCTGCTGTGGGGCAGGTGGTGGGGGAAGGTGCATGACAGGTGTCTGGAAGGAGATGATGCCTGAGCAGATTTGGCAGACGAGGAGAGGGGAAGTTTTCCAGGCTGATGGGACAATCTGAGTAAAGGCACCAGACAAGGAAGAGGATGCCAGGCACCAGGGAGAAAAAAGAAGTTCAGCATTGCTAGATTATGAAGGTCCAGACAGGGACTAGCAGGTGATGAGGCAGGGAAGGGCAACGAGGGTCAGATCATGGAGATCCTTGGATATCATGGAAGGGACTTGGGTTTAGGGATCTTTGAAAAGCTTGAAGCAGGGGAATGACATGGTAAGATTTGCATTGTGTTTATATAAGAACATTAACCATGTGCAGTTAATTCTTAATTATCTGGGTCGAGGGAGTAGAAATAAGTAGAAATGAGCAGACCCAATCATAACTGATTTTCATCTTTGACTGTATATCCAAACCAGTCCTGCATGCTCCTGATGACCAAGTTTAGAAGTGGCATATCTTGGGTGACATAGTCCCCAAACAGGAAATGTGTTGTTTATATAAATAATTGAGAGAAGCCTGAACCAACTCTCATGGTTATTGAGTTCCTTTTTCTTTCTGAGACTGGACTACAATCTTGGAGGACAAGATATTTTTGGGGTGGGAGAGGCTAAAGTTTATATGACACTTGCCCTAAGCCAGGCACATACCATGGGCTTTCTGATCCCATGAGATGGGCTCTATTATTGTTCCCACTTTATAGATGAGGAAACCGAGGCCTGGAGAGGTTAAGTAACTTTCCCAGGGTTACCCTATTAGTAAAGAGTGGAGCCTGGCTTCACCACCTCCATTCTGATCACCTCCAGAACTGAGGATCAGTAGAACCAGTAGAACTGAGGATTAAACCAATGTGTAATGTAGTGACCACCGTGACCCTTTCCTTTCTCAGGCCCAGGGTTTGTGCACCTTAGATGAAGGGTGTAATAAACTTTGCAATTTAAGAAAACAACAATCTCTGGCGTGGGGTAATCCCACCCATATACTAGATATAATATCTGCGTGGAAGATATGGAAAGCTTTATACTCTGTTCCTACTGCTTTAAAGTCCACCCCAGCCTCCACAGCTTGGAATGAGGCTGTTTAGAAAAATAATTGTTAGAGCAGAGGGGTCTTAGGATCTAGCAGGAGGCTGACTCTGGGGGAAGTGGCTTCCTTCCTGGTCTTACCTTGGCCCTTTACATTCCTGTCCAGTACCCGCCTACTTCCCATCATGCTTTGCGTCCCTGGGACCCAGAGGGCTGGTGGTCTGAGTGAAGGATAACTGACTGCAGGCGTAGGCGATGTCTGGAGGAACAAGTCATTGGGCTGCCGAAGCCAAGTCCGTGACCAGCACAATCCCAGGAGGGCCAGCAGTTTGTGGTTACTTGGCCACTCTTCCAGCTGAGGAATGTACTTCCCCCTTCTCATCTGTCTTGTGCTTTTGTAAATTTTGACGAGGATCAATGAACAACCCAAAGCACCAGAGTGGGTACAAGGTCAGCCAACCATGAAGCGTTCCCAGCCCCCAGCACATTGGGAAGAAGTAAGATGCCACTTCTGAGCCATAAAGGAGATGATCACTTTTGTGGATAAATGCAGCAGAAACACTGTGGGCTATGGAATGGTGGAAGCACAGGGAGCAGGTCCCAGATTTACCTTAAGGTTCAGGAGCATCTTGGAGTTCTCTGACTGTTTTGTGTGGTAATTTTGGCACACAAGGAGCGTTCTCACTAGCTCAACATTCCTGGTTTTGGACCAAGATGCATGAAAATTATACATTATCTTTCTCCTCAAAGCTTGAAAAGTCTTGAGTGTTTCATTATGATTATTTATACTCTATCCTTCCAAAGAAGATTTGAAGCAATTTATAATGAAGACAAAGATATAATAAGATGATTGTAAAAAGAATAGAAGAATAACAGCAAAGTAATGAAGGGAGTAGTGTGGAGCAAGAAGTGTTCCAAACAACATAGGCTAAGGGGATCATTTCAGTTAAGCACATGAAACCTAGTTCTGAGCTTCCTAGAAGCTGGGAGGAAAATCAACTATGCTGAGTTACAGGAGGCTACATTTCTAGCAACTGGTAGCCTCCTCACATACCTAGAGAGAAAAACCTAACCCTGGCACTTTTCTCTAAGGAGGAGGAAACATAAGGATGATTGTCCTAGGGTCATTGAGCAATTAGACAGCAATAAAAATGACCTTACCAAAAATTCAGTGGTAGTGCTGTGTCATTCGTCTTCATTATGGCCAGGTGAAGTAAAAGTGATTGTTTAGGCACAGATGGTTTTGATGGATAGAAGTGGAAACTGAAGGCAAGGACATGGATCGTCATTGCAAAGGGTAGTGAATGAGTGAGGAGGAAGATTTTGAACAGAAGCAATGTCAGCATCACCAGCCACATCTCAGAACATTCTCTGCTTTCTTTTCTTTTCTTTCTTTTTTTTCCTTTATTTTATTTTATTTTTTTTGATGGAGTCTCACTCTGTTGCCCAGGCTGGAGTACAGTGGTGTGATCTTGGCTTACTGCAACCTCCATCTCCTGGGTTCAAGCAACTCTCCTGCCTCAGCCACCTGAGTAGCTGGGATTACACGCATGCACCACAACACCCGGCTAATTTTTGTATTTTTAGTAGAGATGGGGTTTCTCCATGTTGGCGAGGCTGGTCTTGAACTCCTGACCTCAGGTGATCCACCCCGCCCCCCACCGGCCTCCCAATGTTCTGAGATTACAGGTGTGAGCCACCACACCCAGCCTCATTCTCTTCTTTCACTAGTACAGAGGGAGGGAAAGCAGAAAAGGGGGTTTGGGAGACTTGGTTTCTTATTGTCTCTGCTGTTTTGAGTGTCTGTCTGTGTGAACTTGGGGAAGTCACTTAATTGTGGTTGAGCAAAATTCAGGCCTTACAGTTTCTTCCTCTGTAAAACAAGAAGACGAATGATGTTTTGAAGATCCCTTTGTACTCCAGCATTCTATGAGTTGATATTCCCCCCACCCCCAACCAATAGCTATAAACTTAAGTGGAACCAAGTGAAATAAGTCATCTCACAAGGAAATACTTCACCTTGAAAAAGTAAGTGGCTTTCCAGGGATAAATAACTTGGCAACAGTTTAGAACAAAAGAAAAAGAAAAGAACCAGTTTGTTCTTTCATTCTTCTTATTCTTGTTCTTGTTTTGTTTTGTTTCTGTGTTCACTATCCTCATTGCTTGATTTTGTTTTCTTTTAAAAGTACATCTTGGAACCTGGCTGTCATTTTTGACACTGGAGGAGCATATTTAGCAGCGCATTCTCACCTTTTATGTTTGTTTGTTTTTTAACACCAAATTTCCTCAGATTGGAAGCTGCCTGTCTGGGTAAACAGGGAGAAGGGCACTTCTTGGAATGGGCATTGAGTAAGCAGGAATGTTAGCTTGGTATGATGCAGTGCATTTCCCAGCTCCTTGTCCTCTGTGTGTGTGATGTAAATAAACTTTAGGTTTTACAGAAATCATAATGTGTTATAGAATTGTACTGGCAGAGAAGTGTGTGTGTGTGTGTTGTCGGGAGTGTAATCTTGGACTCAGGCTAGTTTTGGTGTAAGCCAAACGTTGTGCAGCGATGGGGGGCTCTGCAATCAGGTATTCAACCATACAGTTGCCAGGTGGGACGAGAGGCAGGTGGGTGTAACACCCAATGGAACCAGAGCAGTGGAAAGTCCACGTGTTAAAGGGGAAGGGATATTAAAATGGCCCATCAAGGGTTTCCACAGATGGTACAGTGTAGCTGCCCCACGGGTTCTCACCAGGTTTGGAATTGTGTTAAGCCGGTCCTGAGAGTTGGTGGTTTTGAGTCAGCATCATGCATATTTGCACAGTGGGCAGTGAGGAGAATTTTCCTATGATTTCATAAATAAGGAAAGCAGATATCTGGGCTCCATTTCATTACAGATTGAGCCTACTGCTGTCAAACTCCTGGCCCTCAGATCCTCTAGCCCTTAGATGCCACCTAGGGTTTCTCTACTTTAGCTCCCCAGTGGGCTAAGTCCCTCTGTAATATACCTGGGTTCACAGACATCCTGGGAATCATGAATGAGGAGAAGCAGGCAGGGTGAGAAGGGGGAAGGGAGAGTTCTCGGCATTTCTACAATATTATATGCAAGTGCTCTGCAAATAAAATGCAAATTAAAACTGAGCGCTCTGGCACTGAGCAAAGGTGATGCAAATTTGCTTTTAATTTCTCTTCTGTGCAGTTGCAAGCACTACCAAAGCATCCAGGGAGCTGTCATGGGGACCAGAGAAGCAGGGAGCCTCAGGGAGGAGCTGAGGCTGTTTTGTGGTCAGTTATGGACTTGACCATTGGTCCTTCCTGCTTAATGTATGCATAAAGTGCTGCTCTTCTGAGAACAGCTGATGAGAACCACTTTCACTCTAGAGTTTTCTCTGTAGTAAAAGCAAGGGAGGCTTGGGAGAAAGAAAAGCCCTTAACTTGGGTCAGCTCAAGGTTTTAATGGGAAGAAGGATGGGTTAGGCATTTTCTTGTGAGTCTGAGCAACTCTGTTGAGGAAAGTCTTGGAAGCTGCCCCAATCCAAGTGAACATTAGAGATGAGAAAGCCCTTTCCAGAAGGTTAAGTGGGTAGTTAAGTAAACAGGTCACACATCGGGCCTAAAGTTGTGAGCATATTTTAATTGATAGCAGGCTCTGGTCAGCTCCAAGCTCAAAATGATTTGGTGAATGCTCCGGATTTCAGCTGAGAGTTGTAGGGGTTCTGAGAATTGGACAGGTGAAGGAGTTGACCTGGGACCACTCGTTGGGGGGCATGCTCAGCAAGGTGTCCAGTGAGATCAGAAGCACCATGAGACTGACTCTTCCCAAAAGGGTCTGAGAAAGAGTCTCCTGATCCAATGGCTCTTATCTCACCCAAGATTCTTGAGCAGCCAGGCCTAGGTGTCAGAAACAGTGACCCTATAGTCGTACTGGGTCAAGTCTAGGCTCCAAAGCCAGGCTTAAAATTTCCCTGTCTTGGGGGAGGTCAGGGAGAAAAGAAGGTATTTGGGAGATAAAGTAAGGGGTCAGGAAGAACTAACTGCCACCTCTTGCAGGTTGCTAATAGTACAGTATAGTTACTAAAATAATACTACTACTTTTTTTTTTTTTTTTTTAGTGTGTTTCTTGGTTTCCTTGTTGTCAGACATACGTGCAGGAACTCCAAGAGAGAAATATGTTTTAACATCCCGAAACTGAATTATTAAATGGGATTAACTTGGTGTTGACTTTTCTTCATGGTCGATTTGCAGTATAAACTGGGTTTAAGGCATCTTTTACTAAACCTTCTGGATTTCAGTAGATCGCATTGGATGAGCCATTCATTAAAGATTTCATGCTGATGTTATTTGTTTAGGCTTTGATGCCCTTTTTCTGTTTTCCCTCCCCTTTTGTTCAATAATGATATCTTTCAGGCAGAAAATACCTTCCGTCCTATGGTATTAAGGGCTTTCCAGGATAGAGAGCATGGCCCCATGGCCAGTGTCTAGGCAGGAAATAGAGAACTTAGGTTCCCTGCCTTCCTGATCCCCAAACAGCCATCCAGCTAGGACTGGCTACAAGAATGGAGGGGCGCTGGACTCCTTTAGCTGCTTATTGAAGCCTCAGATCCATTAAAAAGGGAGCTTTCCTTTTCATTTTACTCTCAAACATCCAGAGAGAAGTAATGGCTTAAATTTATACTGACGTGTAAATGTCCATTACAGCATTCTTGTCAGAGAGCAGATACTGAAGAGAAGAGGAAGAATCAGGCATCTGGGGCTGAGATATACCAGAAGGATGCTGGGTTTTGTTAAAGTCATGGGTCTGAAACATACTACCCTTGGACAAGTTATTTAGCCTCTCTGAGTTTCATTTTTATCATCTACAAAATGGGAAAAATAAAAATATCTCTTGGAGTTGTTGTAGGGTTAAATAAAATTATTATTGAAGACAGCTTAGTATATAACACATGCTCAGTATTTGATCTCTTCTCACATGCAGACACTTCATATAGCTGAAATCATACTGTTTGTATTGTTTTAATATGCTGCCTTATAAAATAAGCACCTTCTGTAATTCTGCAGTCTTTCACTCACTATTGTTAGTGGCTGTCCAGTGTTCTGTAGGGTAATTTGCTAAATTTATAATTCTTGGTCATTTTGATTGTTTCTAAAAGCTACAGTCCTTTCTGTAGGCCTTGGAGGCTCCTTTTATGGGGAAGTTACACCTTATGTGGGTTCATAACAGAAAATGCCACCTCGGTTTCTTTTGGAACACTGACAAGAGATGATCTCAGATGATGTGGCAGCATTTCACATGGGCCAGCTGCCTTGGCCCTGGACAGGGGTTAGCCGCCAAAATCCAGAATGGCAGGTAAAATATCATTCCCAGCCCTTTCAGCCCCCGGTTAATTGTGTGTTCTTGCACCTGGACCTCCTGACTGTGTGTGTCCATAGCAGCATGTCCTGCTTGCCATTTAGAACTATGTGGCCAATTGTGCTGAATTCCTCCCTTTGTCCCTGATGGCTGCCTCAGCCCCAGGCTGTACTTTCTCCCTGACGGGCCTGCAAGCCTTTCAGCTGAAAAGTTGCTCTTGAGCCCCCAGAGTCATTTCAGCCTTCAAGTGATGGAGGCCCTCACCGGCAGTAAATCAGCTCTCATCTCCGCAAATAGCTGCATAAAAACCAGTCTGGCCAGAGGAAAGCACACCTGCACTGAGGCGCTGGCGGGCTCTAATGAGCAGAAAGAGAATCAGCCCTGAGCTTGGGTACTTGCACCCAAGGAGATGCCCCTCTGGCACATTTTAGGTTTCAACTCTTATCTCAAGTTTATTTCTTTCAAGTCCTGTAAGGTTACTTCTTCAAAGAACATCTTGCATTGTCTTTATGCCACATGTCTGCTTTCCTGGCTTAGGAAACAAGAATTAACTTTTAATGTGACAGACATTTGACATACATTGTCACATTGAAGCCTCACGGCTTGATGCAGTGGACTGGGTTTTGTTATTTTTATTTTATAGATGAGGAATCTGAGAGGCTGAATGACTTGCCTGAGTTCCCACAGCTATAAAACATTGATGCCGATGATGGGGCTCAGTTACGCTGACTCCAAAGCTTGGCAGTGGCTCAGTAGAGTGAGCCTTCTTCTCCCTGGTTCACAGGCTTCCCTGGAGGCTGGTTGTGGAGGGTCTCAGAAAGGGTCATTTGGGACACAGCCCTGGAAGTCACAATAAAAGCTCAATGTTGGGGCCTGGAGTCTCTTGGGAACCCCTTTCTATTTCTACTAGACTCTAGCCACTAGCCCATCCTGATCCCCACTGTCTCCATCCGGAGTGTGGAGGCCATATAAGACCTTTGCTTGCCATCCTGCTTTTCAGTGTTGAGTGTTCTGCTTCTTAAGTGCAAACTGAGGACAGCCAGAGACTTTGTTTTAGACTGTTTCAACTTCCACTAAGAATCCAGACTTCCAGGGCTGTTTTCAGCCCCATGTTTTCCAGCTGAGATAAAGGATACAATATTCCTTCCTTGGGAAGCTTTAGAAAATACTAATGCCTAGCCCCTGCCTAGACCAATTACACCAGAATTTCTAGGGATGTGGCCTGAGCATCTGACTTTTTAAAAACTCACCTGGTTATTCTAATGTGCTGCTAGGGTAGACAGCCTTTATTTTAATTTCTGAAGGAAAGAGATTTCCAGCACCTGGGTGAACACAAGGGCAGAAGTGGGAAGGGTTTGAGTGAACAGAGGTAGAGACAGGGAGTTTCACGTGCTCATTCATTTAGGACCTAGTGTGTTCCAAGCACTGTGCTGGAAACTGAGCTCTACAGATGTCTAAGACATCCACTTCCTTCACGGTCTGCTGGGGGAGACAGACACACAGAAAATGAACTGTGATTGCACTCAGACCAGGACACCTGTTAGGAGTTTGCGGACCTTCCTGTACATCTAACTCATCCAAGGAACTTGTTACAAATGCAGAAGCCTTTTGGCTAACACTTTTGCTAAATGTGGGTCCACCTTCTTGCTAAATCAAGCAAAATTAAACCCCACGCCTTTCTTGTAATATACACAATAATGGAAAGGAAATGTGCATTCTTTAAAACAAAAATATAAAAATACATTGCTTGCAACATTAGCCAGTTCAGGAAGCCTTGTTCACCCTGAGATATCTGTTCATTCACACAAGAAACAGCAGATGTGAGAGGGAAAAGGGGCAGAGGCCCAGATCCCATTATATGAGGTCTGATATAGGAACCTTGGGTGGGGCCCAGACATCTGCCGTTTATACCACACTAGAGGTATGAAGAGAGTGTCTGAGGGAGCAAGGGGAAGGAGCAGTTAATTCTGAATGGCGACATTGAAGAAGGTGACACAGTCAACGTGATACCTGAACTGACTTTCTAAGAGCAGGCCCTTCTCCACTGAGCCACATGCAATTGGGCACACAGAACACTTTGCAGGGTATGATGGTGCCTCTCCCTTGAGAAGGTTCACTGTAGTGTGCCCTGTGGGGCCTGCTCCTGTGCCATTCCCTGCCTCACTCTTCACACTGTAGTATGTGTCTCTGTGCCTTGCATGTGTGCTTCCCCTGGTTGTAACACCCTTCTCGCTTTTCCTCAATGGATTAATTTCTCTTCGTTGTTGAAACTCAAGCCAGGGCCCTTCTTTTGCAGGAAGATTTTGCTGTATCTGAGACTTGCACTTTGAGAAACATGCATGTTTGGTGCTCACCATTTCACCATGTCTTTTGAAAAGTATGTAAGGATGGACAGAGTGTGATAGACGAAGGAGGGGAGATATGTTGGGAAATATAACTAGTTTGATTGGTGCATCAGTTTCTATATATGTATATATTTTGAGTGGGATTGCTAAACCAGATCTTTAATAAGTTCTCTAAAGGTTACAACTGTTTCCAACAAACCTTTTCTGGCCAAAGAAATATTTAGAGCAAGAGAAGAATAAATATGCAATATCCCCTCCTGTAGTCCAGGATGGCACCCCAGACCTGGTGTGCAGATTCCAGGCCCATATGTTCGATTTGCTTCTAACAGCAACATGAACTTTATGTTTATCCCGGTTCTTTTCCTGTCTGCCTCTGGGAGGTAGTTTTCTCCTGGGCATGTGACTGAGACCTGCCAGTTGGGGGAATCCTCTCCTTAAACAGCAGGGACAATCTCACCTTTCTGCTTATGGGTTTAATACCTATTGTTTCACCCTATCTCCTAAAAGGGGAGAAAAGTATCTCCACTTTTACACACAAGTATGTGGAATGTATCAGCATCCACTGATCATGTACTTTGATTTCAGTTAGGTGGCTTTGACACAGATGCCTTTTCCTTGGGAAGGCTGGGATCTTATATCTGGGAGTTGGGAAAAAATGAATCTTCAAGTTTGTCAAGGTGATGTCATTATGTTATGTCTCCAATATATTAATAATATATATTATATATATATTTTATATATTATAAAAATATAAATATTTTTAATTTATATCTGATTATAATAGGGCTACCTATTTATTACGGCAAATTTGGAACTTATGAAAAAATAATAAAGAACAAACAAAAATTACCCATCATCTTACTATCTATAAATAATCACTGTTAATGTTTTGGTAGTTAGCCTCCCAGATTTTTTTTTCTTTTTTTCTGCCTATATATTTTAGTGGGGATTATCTTCTACATCTTATTTTATAATCTGCTTCTTCATTTAACAATTACTGTGAACACTTTCCCATGTCATTAAAAGTTCTTTCACATTTCCAACATCAGTTTAAATCCTGCATTAAATTGAAGTCTTATACCATATAATACAGGTACTGAACATCAGTGATTTCTTTTTAGGTATTTATAGCTGAAATTTATAGATGGGCTTCAGAGCAACATCAGTGCATCCTCTATAATTGCATGCAAATGTTATGTGCGTGTGATTTTTTTTTTCTTTTGAGATGGAGTCTTGCTCTGTCACCCAGGCTGGTGTGCACTGGCGTGATCTCGGCTCATTGCAACCTCTGCCTCCCGGGTTCAAGGGATTCTCCTGCCTCAGCCTCCCATGTAGCTGGGATTACAAGCATGTGCCACCACATCTGGATAATTTTTGTATTTTTAGTAGAGATGGGGTTTCACCATGTTTGCCAGGCTGTTCTCGAATTCCTGACCTCAAGTGATCCGCCTGCCTCGGCCTCCCGAAGCGCTGGGATTACAGGCATGAGCCACCGTGCCCAGCCCGCATGTAATTTTTATAAGGAGAAGGACCATAGCTTTTATCAGATACTCAAAGGCTTAACTGCTAAAGGGTCAAAAATAAACAAACTTAGGCAATAATTGTTTAACTTAAATTATTAGAAGAGAAACTGCCGGGTTTAAATGATCTGTATGTTTTTGAGGTTTCTGATGATTTCTCCAGATTGTCATCCCAGAGGGGCTGTGGTGGTTTATACTACCATCAGCAGGAGCTAAGTGTTCTTGTTTCTCTGTGTCCTGGCCAAACTTTCCAACTATGGCTCACACTGGGCATGACCTCTTTTGAAATTTATCAACCTATTACTGGCTGTTCCGGCACTTTGCTTATAATTTACCATCAAGTATGGTTGAGTTAGTGCAACCACTGGAGTCACAGCCACTTGAAAATACTGTGTGTGAGTGGTTCAGCTGAAAGAGCCTGGGCTCGTAACTGCAGTATCTAGGCTTGTGTCCTAAGTCAGCATGGTCACTTCCCGTGCAGGGCTGACCAGACGGTGTGGTGGTTAGAAATGCAGTTGCTAGCGTCAGACTTGGTTTTGGTTCCACCTTAGTCCCTACTGATCAGCTGTGTTACCTTGCACAAGGTGTGTAAGCTCTCTGTGTTTCAGTTCCCTCATTTGTAGAACATGGACCTAATGATAGTGCCCATCTCTTTCATAGGGCTCTAATGAAGATCAGTGAGAAAACTCTTATATGGTACTTTCCTTAGTATCCAGCATATGGAATGCTATGGCCTGAATGTTAATGTCCTCCCAAATTCACATGTTGAAATCCTAACCTCCAACATGATGGTATTAGGAGGTGGAGGCTTTGGGAGGCGATTAGATCAGGAGGCCTGAGCCCTCTTGAATGGGATTAGAGCCCTTATAAAAGGGGCCTGAGGGAGGCTGGTCATCCCTTCCACTCTATGAAGACACAGCAAGAAAGCACTGTCCAGAAAATGGGCCCTGACCAGACGCTGAATCTGCCTTGATCTTGGACTTTCCAGCCTCCAGAATTGTGAGAAATAAACATCTGTTGTTTCTAAGCTGTCTGGTCTACGACATTTTGCTATAGCAGCCTGAATGGACTATAACACACAACATGCTTAACAACTATGAACTATCCTTATTAGGTGTAATGTTCTCAGGTCTCTTTTGCTCTCTGAGTTTTAGTTCGAATGCCGAGAATCACAGCCTTACAGAGCTGGAAAAGGTCTTAATAATCTTGTAGCCCAATTCTCTTATTCTACAGATGAGAAAACTGAGGTAAGAGTAGTAATGTGACTTGCTCACAGGGGTGTTGCTACTACCTGGTTCAGATGGTTATTTTGAGGACCAAATATTATTTGTGAAAGTGCTATTTTAAACATTTACACATTTATCCAATGTTAGTTGATTGTGCACTGTCTATATGGCCCATGAAAAATAAAACTCAAATTGAAGGAACACTCAGTGAACTGGGTCTTCTTAAGCCCTTGCTTCCCTGAGGACATCTGGTCTAGTGTCTTGCATACAGCTGTAATCCAGTAAGGTTTTTTTTTTGTTTTGTTTTGTTTTGTTTTTTTTTTTGAGATGGAGTCTCTCTCTGTCGCCCGGCTAGAGTACAATGGTGCAATCTCGGCTCACTGCAACCTCCACCTCCCGGGTTCAAGCGAATCTTCTGTCTCAGGCTCCTGAGTAGCTGGGATTACAGGCATGCACCATCACGCCTGGCTAATTTTTGTATTTTTAGTAGAGACATGGTTTCACTATGTTTGCCAGGATGGTCTCAATCTCCTGACCTCGTGATCTGCCCACCTCAGCTTCCCAAAGTGCTGGGATTACAGGCGTGAGCCACCGCGCCTGGACCCCAGTAAGTTTTTTATGAAGACAATGAATGTGACACGTGGGTAAAGCCCAAGACAACAGACTAGAGTGGAAAATCTATAGCCCTGGGTTGTTATTTGTTTATCTGCTCCAATTCCCTGGGTCCTGTTCTTCTCTGAGTTCCAACATATAGCATAAAATTTCAGAGAATGAGCAAATGAATGCTGCCTATTTGGAGGAAATAAAGTGAAATAATTTTCATCCTCAGGCATTTTAATGTACAAACCAGTCAGGCCTGTTAGCTGATAGGTGCACAGATTGATGCCACAGTCTCAATAATCCTGCCGCACAGGTGACCCTCCCGGTTGGAAGCCACCTGCTCTTCTCCATATGAGCCTTATAGCCACTTCGTATATCTCTCATATCTTTTCTTTCCCTCACTGCCTTTTGATACATAACAACTCCTTCTACTTCTGACTCACTTTCCGGAGCTTTGCTTCCAGCTTTTACCTGTGTGGTTCTCAGATCTTTAAAACTAAAAACAAATGTTTTCTGAATAGGTAACTATGAGTCTTGAGCTACTGCGAAAGACATGTTCCCAGTAGCCACACTTATTTTGATCCACTTGTTAAAAAAAGAAAAAATCTAGCATCCTATTGGAACATGATTCCAAATTCTGCTTTTTACTGTTGGTTCACTTTGGCAGTCTTTCAAAGCCAGAAGTAAGTTAGACTGCCTTCCTGATGCGTCTCTGCCTGCCTTAGTCCATGGTGAGCAGGCATATAGCATATTGTTTTTTTTTTTTTTTTTTTTTTTTGAGACGGAGTTTCGCTCTGTCGCCCAGGCTGGAGTGCAGTGGCGCGATCTCGACTCACTGCAAGCTCCGCCTCCCGGGTTCACGCCATTCTCCTGCCTCAGCCTCCCGTGTAGCTGGGACTACAAGCGCGCGCCACCATGCCCGGCTAATTTTTGTATTTTTAGTAGAGACGGGGTTTCACCGTGTTAGCCAGGATGGTCTCGATTTCCTGACCTTGTGATCCGCCCGTCTCGGCCTCCCAAAGTGCTGGGATTACAGGCGTGAGCCACCGCGCCCGGCCGCATATAGCATATTGTTAAGAGTACAGGTTTAAATCCCAGCTTTGCTACTTGTTAGCTGTATGATCTTAAGAAAGTAATTTAAAATTTTTCTGTGCCTCAGTTTCCCATCTATAAAATGGAAATGATGCCAGAACCTCTCAGGGTTGAAATGAAGAATAAATGAATCACAAAGTTTTAAACCAGTACTTGCCCCAACTCATTCCGTATTAGGCATTATCATTATTTTGAATTCTGGTAGCACTTCTGGCTGTACTCAGAGTCATAGATGATTAGACATGCTCCAGTTTATTTGCCTCACTTTCTGGATGAAGAAACTGAACCACAGAGAGGTAAAATGATGGGCCCAAATTCAGTCAGCTGGAACATAACAGATGGAAACAGGCAAGCCCAGAATGAACTCTCCTCTTCATCTCTAAGCCAGGTACAGGTATCTGCTGCTACTTTCCATCAGCACTTCACATGCCTTTGGTGGGTTTCTCCATTTTCATCATCACATCCTTAAAGCCAGAATCTGTGTGTTATATCCTTTTGTATTCCTTTCTGTGCCCAGGACAGTGCTCTAGACCAGAAGTTGGCATTTAATCATTAGCTGCTTAATTACTCAAGCGTGGGGCTGTGCAAATTGAAACTGTTGCTAAGGTGGAGAATATTGGTGATGTCTGGTGTTTGTAGGGTTAATGGTAATAATCTTAGATCTTATGTTAGTAATTCTGAGCCATTTTTAACCATTTTAACAGTAAGCAATGCAGTGGGCAGGTATATAAATTGTTAGTATTTAAGCCAAAGCTGGATATAATTTAGCAGAGATGCTGGGGAAAGAACACTAAAATAAAAAAGTTCATTCCCACTAGACTGGTGGCTCTCAAACATTATGTGCATCAGAATCACCTGGAAAGCTTGTTAAAACACAGACTGCTGGGTTCCACCACTGAGCTTCTGACTCAGAAGGTGGGTGGGGGGCAAGAATTTACCTTTCCAAAAAATTCTCCGGTGATGTTGGTGGTCCGGAGACTACACTTTGAGAACCGCATTTCTAATGTCTTGTCCAAATCTGAGAGTCTGTGATCCTTAATAATCTTTCATTCCTTGGGAGTACAATAGGGTCTTTTTATCTGCTATGTTCTCAGCATTTAGCACAATGTCTGATCCATAAAAGGCATAGTAGACTGAAAACGTTCCCCAAAGACATCAGGTCCAAAAGATCTTTGTAGATGTGATTAAATTAAGGATCTTGAGATGAGGGCGTAATCCTGGTTTGTCTGGGTGGGCCTGAAATGCTATCGCAAGGGTTTTTATAAATAGAGACATTTTACAAACACACACACACACACACACACACGAAGGCAATGTGAAGACAGGCAGAGATGGGTGTGATGTGGCCATAAGCCAAGGAATGTTGGCATTGGCAGCCACCAGAAGCCAGAAGCAGCAAGGAATGGAATCTTCCCTTAAGCCTCTAGAGGGAGCGTAGCTCTGCTGATATCTTTGTTTCAGCCTAGTGAAACGGATTTTGAACTTCTGGTCTCTAGAACCGCGAGAGAATAAATTTCTGTTGTTTTAAGCCACCAATTGTCAGGTAATTTGTTACAGTGACCATAAGAAATAAGTGTAGTTGATAGTCAGTAAACATCAATGAAATGAATAGGGGAGCCAGATGTAGACTATGTGATGTCCATTTAACTGATACATAAACTGAGGGCTTCATGTCTCAGGTCCAAATGTGCAGTGTATGTTTACTGAAAGGGAGGCCCAAATCTGTCACCTACCTCAGTTTCCTTTCTACTAGCCCAACTGCACAATGAAATCAGACTCCCTAAGGATGGGCCTGTGCTTCACTATTGTTTCAGAAGTTCACCAGCCAGGATTGAAAACTGCCTAGACCGAGCTATGTCATAGAAGCTGGCTGATCCTCAGTATGACTGCTGAGAGCTTAAATGCACACCAGAGGCTTTAGAGTTTGCACAGTACTCCTATCAGATCTAACCCCACAACAGCTGTCTAAGGCAGGCAGGGTGGGTGCCATCATTTCCCAGATGAATAATGAAGCCCTGGGGAAAATTAGCTATCTTGGAGCAGCCAATCCTCCAACCAGACTCAGCTCTCTGACTCCGTATCCAGAGCCTCTTGTGCTACACGGCAGTTCCTGCCCTCAGCAGTGATGTGTGAATGTGTGCACCTAATGACTATTCAGGTAAATTCATTGTCAGCCCTGAGATTTTGGACACTGGAAACATGAACATTTTACATGCTGAATTACTTTAAACTTATTATGGGAGAAGAGGTAGGTAAGATTTGAAGCCAGGGAGCCTTGGCAACCCTTCTTTAGAGGGAGTTTAAATTCATCCCAAACCAGTTCCTGGGGCATTTTACATCTGACTCTTGGGCTAGACATGGGTGACAAATGGTTCCAAACACATGCTAGAATGCTCATATCAGCAAACGAAGGATCTCCCTTTGGGATAACTAGATCTGTAGTGCCATTTTGCTTGTGTGAATATCCAGGCAACTGGCTCTCTCTCTCTCTCTTTTTTTTTTTTTATCAATAATCAGAGAAAAGCACTTGAGCACACATTTCAGTGACTTTGGGTCAGTGGATTTTAAGGTGAATCAACAATACCCTTACCCCCTCCCAACTCCAGATGGACATATAATCATAGCTTCATAAATGTGACCACAAAAGATTAGATGAAGGCACAGGGCAAGGAGGCTGGAGTCTCTGGTGTGGGTGTTTTGTAAGACACCCCCAGCAGGGGCCAGAAGTCTGTTTGCTCTGCCTGCTTGGCCCAGCTGCCAGCTCTGATGATTCACTCTGCCAGTTGGATATTACCTAGTGATTTTTATGGAGTTAAATCTAAAGGAAATTTGAGGAGGAGATCGCTTCCTCTATTTTAATTAGACTTCTGAGACTGTTTGCTTCAAATGCAACTGCACCGCCACACATCTGTAGCAGACTGGCTGCTGGAACAGCAATAAGGCACCATGAATTTTAACTATCTGGAGAGGGTTATTTGAATAGCCAGGTCATGATAGCTGCCGCCTGAGCCTGTGTGTGAGCACAGGCGCGCAAACACGCATACACACGCACACACACACGGTGTACCTCATACAGATGTTTGAACAGTCCCTGGGGAACACACATTTTCTGTTGTAATAAAGGAAAACACAGTCCTCAGCTGTAACCTAGGAGACATGGGATCCCATCAGAATTGGAATCTTTAACCGCATCTTGGCTGCTTGCAGGACCGGCCCAGGAGGGGTTTTTCTAGCACAGGCTTCACGTTGCCTTGTAGTTCCCGGTGGCAGCCGCTGCCGAGGAGACAGCTGCCTGCTGTTCGCTCACACATAAATCCCTGGGGAGAAATAAGAGCTAAGTGGTTGTTACAAAGGGGTGATGGGTTTGACTCCCATAGCTAGTCACAGAAACATTCCTGCCTCTTCCAGACCACACTTTCTCATCCCGAGACACCTTTCTGCCCCTAATCTCTGTGCATGTTTTGGAATCACAGGGCTGGAAGTAGACTCTGGGGGCCACCTACCTGTTTCCCCACTGCTTGTCACTTCCTCATCCAAGCAGGCCCAACCCAGGAGAGCTGTCCATCCCTGTTACCCCTTGGGAAGGGCATAAATATTGTTATCTCCATTTAATAATGTGGTGCTAGAGTAAGGTAGAGAATATTTGTTCCAGGAGAAATGACAGCGGTTTTCAGCCTAGTGACCTGGAGGTGATTTAAACCCCCTCATCTGGATTTGTTTAACACACTTCAGTTTTATTATTCGGTTTTCACACAGGAAGTTAATGAATAACGCAATCTGGCTCTGAAACTATACAACCAAACAAGGCACCCTGGCTGGGAAGCTCACTCTCAGGACAAGTGTACCTTGATTTACACAATAGCAGCATTCCTGGGAAATTGTCTATAAATCAGAATTTTGAAATAAAAGAGCCTTTAGAGAAATATAAGGCATATAGTACGTCAGTCTGTTTTTAATTTTTTTAATTTAATTTTATTTTTTTTTAGCAAAGCCAAGAGCCATCTTGGAACATGAATAATTTTCCCCTAACAGATTTTTAAAATAAATTTGTTGAGTTAGAGTATTCCTCAATAAACCTCTGTATTAAGCATGGCTCACAGGGCTGGTGTGGCCCTTGTAGGAGGTGTTGCCTGGGAGTTGAGTGAATCCTGGAATGTTTGGGCTGGGAGACCTGGGCAGAGGGACCCACCTTCACCCTTCCCAGATGAATAACTGGAGCATACCAGTGCTCTGGGACACAAAGGAACAAAAGAATTCACAGTTGTAACTCACCCTGAGGGCCCAATTCCAGCCCAGTCTTGTCACCGCCTCCCTTTTGGCAAATTACTTCTTGAATCTGGGCTTCTTTCTTTTAGGAGAGGTGTAGTCCGAGAGGTGTAGTCCGAGCTCCAATTTACCTATCAGGAATAGAGGGAGAGAGAGTTCAGTTTTTTTAGTCCTTTAGAGAAATGGACTATCTCACATGTGAAGAGAATTTCTAAAGTCACTGGTCATATTCTGCCCCCGAACCATCTTCAGAATATGATGATTGGACCGGATCAGGTGGATTTTATGGAAGGAAGCCCACTCTGTGCTACTTGGGGCAACTGGCTAGCCAATGGGGTAGAAGGCAGTGCAGATAATTAGGTAGTTTGCTTTGAAGCTCCCATGTTTCCTATTATCAAGCATAATAGGGGACTGTTTTGATTTATTCTTTCTATTAACATATTATTAATATTAATTCCCATTGTATTTACCCCCTGCATTTTAATCTGACTAGGCGGTGAGAGGGGGCAGAGAGATGGATGAATTAATCTGGATTCACCTTGGACTCTGTGGTACTCAAGAATTGTTCTCTTTCAGCACCAAACTTCACTTATAGGGTAATATTATCATTTACTTTTTTCTAATTATTTCCAGATACAGTCTTGTAAATGCTCAGAACACCTCTGTGAGGTCTTTAAGATTGGAAAGGGCTTGTTTTCAGAGCCAAGTAGGCTGGGTTTGAATCCTGGTCAAACATAATCTATATGATTTCGGGTAATTTACTTTTTTGAACCTCAGTTTCTTCATCTGTAAAATCACTTAATAGCAATAACCCTGCAGGATTCTTGTGAGGATTAATTTACAAAAATGGAATATGCAGAGTCTGGTGTCTGGTACTTGGTGGGCTCTCTCCCTTCTACTCTGGGTACTCTCATTTTATTTTTACCAAATCAGGGGAAACTGAGGCACAGAGCACTAAAGTAACTTTCCCAAGGCAAAACCAAGTACCAGAACCTCAGATTCTGGTTCTGAAACCTGTGGTCTTTTGTTGTCCAGGTATTGTCAGAATTGGAGTAATTTAGGCTGATATATGGTCCATCCAACAAACTGGCATGTCAGACCCACCCTGGCTCTTCCCTGGCTGCTGTCTTTCAGGTGGGATTTCTGCAGTCTATCAGGGCACTTCCTGCACAGATCCAGAGTCTACCAGGAAGTAAACAAGGAAGCTGACATTTATTGAGTGCCGACATACTCTGTGCCTTTACATAAATTATCAGACACAAGAAGCCTGCAAGACTGGAATTATTGAGACTATTTTACAGAGGAGGAAATTAAGATTCAGGGGTTTTAAGTAGCAGGTTGTTCATTCACACAGAGATTGTGAAAGCAGTGGAAATAAGAGTCAACCCAGGCCCCTGGACTCTAGACAGGGGCCCTCATGCCAATTCCACTTCCCCCTGTACAGCAACCACTCAGGGGTCTTGCCTCCCCTTGGATTTTAGCCTATGAGTCTCGATAAGCCTTGGACTGTCTTTTCTTTACTGGCCAAAATGAGGAGCTATAATTTTCCTAATTAACTAGTCTATATCTCTGATCAACACCAGGGAGCAGTGTCACATGGCTGGCAAAAGAAAGATGTCTCATAGCCCCCGTCCTTCCTCCCTAAATCCATACCCAGACAACTGAGCCACCACAGATAGACAAGGGTCCATTGGGCTAATAAAGGCATTTGGAAAAGAAGCTTACACGCTTTCCTTAGTAACCCGTTGCTGTGTTTAATAACCCATCCTGGCTAAGAATGCTTCCCTACTTCTAGCCTAAGCCCTAGTCCATCAGGCTGAGCCCATTCCTTTTGGTTTGTTCCTCAGTGGAGATGGTGAACAGCTGGTCCTCAGGCTCTTTCATAATCTTCCCGAGGAAGCCCATAAGCATGTGTTCACCTTGGAGATTGAAGGCTTCTCTTGTTTTCTGTACAAGAGGACTTTACTGCCAGACAACGCAGAGACACAGAACAGCTCTTAGAACAGAAAAGGTGTGCAGCATCTCTGAGCTGTCACTGATTTCTTTGCAGAATGGGCTCTGATTTTGTGGGTATCATGGGAAGGAACAATAAGACATATAGCATCATTGTGTTTAGAACTGGAAGGATTTTCAAACACAGTCTGAATGGGTCTCATTTTATAGCTGAAACTCATCCTACAGGGCCCACACTTAAGCTGCATGGATGGGGAAGTGGAGTCTAGAATTCCTCCAGAACTCTCTCCACCTAAGGATTTCCTTCTGGGTGTGCTATGGGCCAAAACTATGAAGCAGAGGTGAGGATTATTTTATTTTCTTCACTGGATCCTTGCCTCCAGGCTGGGAGATCCTTATGCCTTTTGCAGATTAATATTTAAAACCAGGGAAACTAAACATGTAATCTTTTTAAGAACAGCACTGTGGATATGTGGCTAAGGTATAAATTGACATTCTTCCAAACACCAATCACTTCCCATCTGGCATAGCCAGGCAAGGTCAACCCATTTCACAGATAGAGAGACTGAAGCACTCTTGCTCTCCTAAAGGCAACAACCATACGTGATTTTCCTCTGGCTGTGGCTCTTGGTTCTGGCGGCTATTGCAGGCTGGTCAGAAACCCGAAAATCTCCTCCCATCTCTCCATGTGCTCTTCCTGGTGGGAAAGAACACCCAGATGGAGGCTGCTTTTCTTCCCATGAGGGTGCTACGGCGGGTGCTGGGTGGCCAACGCTTTGTAAGCTGAAGGACTTCCGTGTTGGCAAACCTGCTTGCGCTCAGCAGACAAGCCTATAAATCTTGCTGAAAACAAATGCTTTAACTAGAGGAGGAAAGTTTAAAAGGCCCTGTGGGCATATTCTAATCACTGCTCGCTAATATCAGCTGGCTCAGATTTAGACTGTGGTTGTTCCCAGCGGAGGGGGTCTGGGTAGGCACCGTGTAAAATGCCGCTAGCTGTAATTAACTCTGACCTCCACAGCCTGCCTGCTCATTCACTCTTAATATTAGCTTTGACTCCCAGAATGAGCGTTCAGTGTTTGTTGTTAGGATGTGTTCTTTGAAATTCTTCTTTAGCAGTCCTTCGTCAGCTCCTATTCTAACCTCAAACACGCATGGAGCCAAGGTAATCAGATAGTATCAAATGAAATCAATAATTAGGTAGATTTTGCAGTTTTGGAAAATTCCACCTATCTCAATACCGTTAATAATCCATACATTTACAGCTCACGCTTTACAATGTGCAAAGTGCTTTCATATACTTACTTGTTCCTCAAGACAGCCCTGTCAGGTGGGCAAGGCTGATATTACAGTCATCTCGCAGATGAGAAAGAGTACAGGTGAGAGAGGAGATGTGGCTTGTTTGGCATCGCCTGTGCAATTAGGGGCCGAGCCCTGGACATTTATGTCTTTTGACCTCAACACTGTTTCTTAAATACCTGATTCAGAGTGGACCATAGAGATAGACTGTAATGATGAAGGTTGGGGTGAGGGGGAATGAGTTTGTATCTTTACCTCCTGCCAGTCCAGGCCATGAGTATTCAGCAATTTCTTTCTTCTGCCTCCCAGCAACAAAGGGGCATTAGAGATAAAGTAAGCATAGGCTTGTGATACATGGCATATTGTGGACAATGAGAGTAATGAGGACAACCCGCCTGATGTGTTAAAAACTGAATGTTTGTGTTTGTGTGTATTTTATTGGTTAGAAGACCATACATTTGAAAAATGTTTTAAGAACCTGCTACGTGCCAGGCTGTGTTTTAGCCATTCAGACATGGTTTCTCTACTCATGAAATTACATTCGAGTTGGAGAAAACAAGCAGGAATAAACAAGCAAATGAAAAAAGCAATGCTATGCAGGGTATGTGGTAAAGTGACCAGATGGCTACATTAAGATGTGTGGTCAAGGAAGACCCTTTTGAGCTAAGAGCTGAATGTCAGGAGCCATTCACGTGGGAGATGAAGATGAGTGTGAGGACAAAGAAGAGAAAGAGGAAGAGGAGGAAAAAGAAGAGGAGGAGGAGGTTCCAGGCAGGACATTTGACCAGTAAAAAGCTTTATGTTGAAAATGAGCTTGACATACAGTCATGTGTTACTTAATGACTGGGATTCATTCTGAGAGATCTGTTGTTAGGAGATTCTGTCATGTGAACATCACAGATTGTACTTACTCAAACCTAGATGGTGTAGCCTGCTACTACACATTTAGGCTGTGTGGTAGAACCTATTGCTTCTATGTTACAAACCTGTACAGTATGTGACTGTACTGAACACTGTAGGCAGTTGTAACAACATGGTATTTGTGTATCTAAGCATATCTAAACATAGAAAAGGTACAGTAAAAATATGGTATTATAATTTTATGGGTCCACCATTGTCTACACAGCCTGTCATTGACCAAAGTCTTTATTCATCATATGACTATAGTTGAGGCATGGAAAGAAATCAGTGCGCTGGAGCTGAATGAAAGAGTATGTGTGACTTGGGGTTGGAGACAGTGGTGAGGATCAAACTGGAATATGTTTTATAAGTCAGAGTAGAGGTTTGGGTTTTTCTTCTGAATCCATTAGGAAACCACTGGAAGGCTTTACACTGAGGACTGATGATTTACATTTTAAAAAGATTACTCTGACTGCCTTGTGCCAGTTTAGGAAGGCAAGGGATGGAGGTAGCAGTGGAGATAGTGAGAAGTACAGGAACTCCGTACATGATTTGGAGGCCTAGAAGGACTGGTTGAAGACTTAGAAGTGGGGTGAAGGACAGAGAGGAACCAAAGGTGACTCCTAGGTAGATGGAGACCCTACTAACTGCCACGTGAATGAGTGGAAGCATGGATGGAGGCATAGCAAAGGGTTCTGCCTGGCCACGTGAAGCTTATATTTGTGTTACACAGTCGGCCTCCATATCTGAGGGTTCCAGAGCCACAGGTTCTGCATCCATAGATTCAACCAATCATGGGTTGAAAATATTTTTAGAAACTAACAATACAATAAAAATAATACAAATTTTAAAACAATGTAGTATAACAATGATTGACACAGCATTTATGTTGTGTTAGGTATTATAAGTAACCTAGAGAAGAATGAAAGTATACAGAAGGGTGTGCGTAGGTTACATGCACATACTACATTTTATATCAGAGACTTGAGCACCTGAGAGTTTTGGTATCCGAGGGGCTTCTGGAGCCAATCCCTTGAGAATGTTGAGGGGTGACTGTATATTCAGGTGGTGATGTCAAAGAGGCAATTGGATAGCATGAGTTTGGAATTTAGAAGAGTGGCTAGTGATAGAGATTTGGGATTTATCAGGCTATAGGTGGTATTGAAAACCATGAGGCTGAATGGATGACCTGGGCAGAGAGTGTGGAGAAGGAAGAAACACAAATCTGGGGCCCAGGGGTCAGTGCCCAGCAGGAAGCAGAGTGGCAAGGCTGTGGTCTGAGGGCTGGCATGTGCCAATGTATTTCCTTCTCCCTGTTGTCTGAGGTATCTGTGCTCCTAACCACAGTTGGCCATTTCACACCTGGGGGTCATTGATCACAAGAGATCTAAGTGAGAAATTGATTTATCAGTGAAAACTCATTGCCATCTCTGGGGAAAAATCATATGGATAATCTAAAAGTCAGCAGAATTGCTGGTCAGTCGACAGGTAACTTTCTGAACATTTATCAATATGCTAAGCAATATAGCTTCATTTTGAAAGGACAGTGGCTTCACACACACACACACACACACACACACACATACACACACACACACAAAATATTGCCTGTGTGTACAGTTGGCTAAGTGGGCAGTCTTTAGCAAACAGTTGCTGTTTACACATAAATGCACACATTGATCTCCTGCATACAGTTGCAGCCATCATTCATAAAGCCTGCTTTCCTCTCTGCCTGTGGTCAGCCTGAAACCTTTCCTCCAATGCAAGTTCCCTTATCTTCACCTCTAGAAATCCTGGAGTCTCTTCAGTCTCCTGGGTTTGAGCTGGACTTGATTGCTAAACTCCATGCTCAATGTGTTTCCTGGACTCCACGTTTGCAGCGATCACCACTTAAATCTACCAGACCTGAACTGAAGAACATTTAGGTCACAGGTCCAAGTAGACTTTGCTCCTAATCCTGATGGAAGCCCTGGTCTGTGCTTTAGAGCTGGGTATGCCAGCTCAGCTGACACCTTTCAGTGGGAGACCAGGATTTAAGGTGGCCACATGTAGGAAATTCAAGAACTAAGTAGTCCTGGAAATTTTTCAGAAAGCTTAGTGTCTTGCATTTCTGCTTTTTCTTTTTTTTTCTCAGAGGTACTAAAAGTGCCTTCTACTCCTTTTCCTATTCAGTCCTGAATGAGAGGAATTGTTATTCTCATTTTATGGGGAAGAAGGTTCCTAACACAGAATCTTGCTTGAGGTCACAGAGTTAGCAAGGAGTGTCAGTAGGACTCCAGCCACCAGACTACTTCTCCATGTTCTGGGGTGGGATGGTGCCACCTTCTGCAGAAAATGAATTGATCTCAATAAATTTGTAAGTAGCATATCCATCAGGATCATAATCTGGTCTCTAGACCTTAAGTTTCTGCCCCCCATTGACTGTTACGAAGGCCCTATCCAATGCACAGATCCTGGGGAATTTGAGTAAGGGCTCACTGGGATACCATGCGGTGGGGGTGGGGTGGTAAAAAAGAGTGGAAGCTGCATTGAGTAATAATAAAGTTCAGTACTGTTTGTGTTTGGCCCCAGATATATAAGTCTGCTTCCATAACTTTTGCCAGTTCTACCTAGTCTTATACCCTATGCAATAGAAAAGCAGACTAAACCACAAATGCATGCCTACTAGTTTATCAAGCTGGCTTTCTGTATGGGTGCATGAATACTAATAGCACTAATGATAACTATTGTTTAAAAAATAACAGTGATGGTCGCAAAGCCAAAGAAAATTCCTCAAGTTGAATTTTTGGGACTGTAGAAATAAACAGTCTAATGCAGCATTGAATAAATATGAGAAGTGTCACAATGGTGAGACATAGAGGTGAATCCCTGAATGCTCCCCTTCATCTTTAAGAAGTCAGCCCTCAGCCCACTGAAGAGGCTGGCTTCAGATGATGGCTCATCAGGGTGGGGTGCTTTGGGGTGGGAGACAGTTGTTTTTAAGGGTTAGGATCAAATTTAAAAGCACCACCATTTACCTTGGTTGCTAAGCCTCCCTGAGTCCGAGGTGAGGAATTCTGATTGGCAGAATCTGTAGGAATTTAGACAAGGGGAGCAGCACGGAAAAACGGGAAGCTTAGGATGGGGACCCTGGCTGCAAAGCAAGTCAGTGCTTCAATAAGCCCGAATCTGCTGAGAATACATTTTACGAACATGCAGCTAAGTTGGCTGCCTTTGTTTGGGGGTTTGTTAAGCATTATCTAAAGAATGCCATGGTTCAGCCTGCTCGGTGTGAAGCCTAATTCTTCCCCTTTCTGGAGCCACGGCCTGGTGTGTTCAATTTTTCTCTCTCCGTAGGGCTGCAGGCTCTCTGGTACTCCAGCCAAAAAAACACTCATATTTTAGCAAGCTTAGTCCCAGTCTGGTTGCCAGGCAGTAAAACGAGCACTTGCCCGCCCCAGGGAGAGGGGGACCACGAGATGGAAAAGGGTCATGTAAACGACTCTCTCAAGCCCTCCCCCAAAAATCCCCACTTGAGAATCTTTGGGGCAGTTGATATGTTTATTGATGTGGAGAGACACTGCCATATAAGCCCAAATGGTGGTCATTTGTTGGAACTAATAATACAAATTATTTTTATTATTATCGAGTCACTAATAGCAGGATAAATTTGCCCTATGCCATTTGTGCAGTCCTAGA
Organism: Homo sapiens; assembly: GCF_000001405.40. Lineage (NCBI taxonomy): Eukaryota > Metazoa > Chordata > Mammalia > Primates > Hominidae > Homo > Homo sapiens. The sequence continues at coordinate 165,279,651 of NC_000001.11, read as the reverse complement.
TATACTCAAATGAATAATGTTGTCCTGGACAGGCAGCATCAGCCCCATTTAACTGAAGGGGAAACAGAGGCATAAGGAAGCTGAGCTTCCCAGACAGAGAGCACAGAGCCAAGCATCAGCACCAGCCTTCTCTCTCAAGGGCAGATGGCATTGTAGATGGAATTAATGCCAGTTTCTCTCTTGGATCTTCTCTCAAGTTCCCTTGTGGTAGGGAAAATTAATACAATGAATTTCAGTCCTGGAAATGCCTAACTCTGAGCGTTATTGTAAAGAGGGTGCTGAGCTGGGCACTCTGGTGCTTCTTCCAAGGTCATCTGGAGCAGGAAACAAACTTGAGGCCTGTGCTTGCTGACCGCAGAGGCAGTTATTGGGGACGAGGCCTCTTCCCACTGGATGAAGTCTCCACCCGCTTATTTCTCACAACCACAGGAGCCCCTGCAAAGGATAACAGACTTCAGCCTTCATTGGACAGGTTTTGTAAGTTTGCAATCCAAAGTGAAAAGGCTCCTAATTCTATTCTGGAACTCATTGATGAGGGAAAATGTATTGAATGCTCACAGGCGATATACAGCTGGTGGTAGAAGTTTAACTTTAAATTTTGGACTCCTCCAAAATTCCAGAAAGTGCCCCCATGAACAGAGAGAAGCCTACCTTCTTTGATGCAGAGTAGCTCTTTCCTGGTGCCCTCCTGGGCTGAGGTTCCCTCAGGGTGTTGTATAATAAGTCTGAACCTCAGCCCATGGCCCTTGCGGGGTCCTGCCCTGTACCTTCTCTCAGCCTTCTGGGACCTCAGCAGCACTGGGTGCAGGGTTAATGCTCCAGTTCCACTCTGTCAGCCTCTTTGAGTGGCTTCCTAGCAGGTGAGTTTTCTCTGGGTGAGAAGCAGGCTTTTGTTGTGCTGTGTCTGAGGCCTTGCAGTCCCCTGGAGCAGAGGGTGTGCTGAATTTCAGTCCTGCCATCTCCTATACAACTGCCACTCAAACTAGGAGGTAGGCCAGAAGAAGGTGGTTGTGGGCTGTCCCCGGGGTTTATGGAGCAAGTGAGGTTCAGAAAGACTGCAGGTGAAGAGGGAGGATGGGGAAGAGAGAAGAGAGAATGCAGCAGGCAGGAAGGAAAAAAAAACTTGTGGCAGCAAAAATCCAGTGTTTGATTAGGAACTTGGCAGCAGGTACTCAGTGCCAAGTAGTAAGAGAATGTGAGAAAGAGGTTACTCCAAAAGAAAGAGGAAAGCTGTCCAAGAGGGAGCTTAGATTCTGGAAACTTCATTTTTTCCTGGAGTAGCTGCTGAGCTACGGGAGCACGTCCCAGACACAGCTCTTGATTTTCAGTGTACAAAGATGAGTAAGTCATAGCCATACGCTAGATGTTGATAGCAAGATGTCTTCATGACAGTTTGAGTTTGTGAGGTCATGGACCTCTGTGAGAATATGAAGTAAACTGGGACAGGACGTCAAGGTGGTTATGAGCAGGAGCTCTGGAGTCAAGTGGCCTGAGTTTGAATTCTGGCTCTGCCACTTATTAGCTTTGTGACCTTCCTTGGCCAAGTTAATAAATCTCTTGGTACCTCCATTCCCTCATTTTTAAATAGAGGTTAAAAACAATTTATATCTCCTATCCAAGGATTAAATTAGCTGATATGTGTTAAGCTCTTAGAATAGCAACTAGCACACAGTATTAGCTGTTACAACTATAGTTATTCTCAAAAGTTCACATAAAAACACTTAAAGCCATATAATTTCTGGGTGTCCATAGACTTCCCTGATGCTCAACCATAGAGTCCCCTGGGTAAGAACTCCACTTTATTTCTTCATTTATGTGACCCAGCAAAATGAAAGAAGCTTGATTCTTTTTGCCCCAAATGACATCAGATCCCCACCTTCCTTGCTCTGCTATTTTAGCAGCAGGCATTTTAGGTGCTGTGTGGAGCTGTAGGAGTTGAGGCTGGAGTACACTCAGCAGAAGGATCAGACCTGCCTGTGGCCAGCACTGACAGAGCAGGGGATTCCAGGAATCTGAAGCCCAGAGAGGGCTGGTAGAGTAAAGACGGACTTGGGTTTTCCTGGCAGTCAGGTGCTTTGCACAATTTATATGGCACAGTGACAACCCAGGATAAATTTGTCTCTGACACTAACATACATTTGCCCAAGGAGAGAGGGAGTGTCAAATGAGGGAAGACCCAGTGAGTGATATTGGAATACTCTGTGACCCCTGAACAGTCTCCCAGATTCCTGCACAGCCCTGGAATTCCCCTTCCCAAGGGGGGGATTTGGCAGAGATGTCTTCTGGAAGCTGGCGCTCCTGGTAGTGAGCCCTGGTGGAGAGTGGGGAGGTGGGCCGATGCCAAGACAACTTCATCGAGTGGACATGCCACCCACAGAGCCTTTCTGACCCCCACCTTCTATGACCAGTGTCTTCCTACTCTGGCTCGCCCTGCATTTGCAGTTCCACCAGCCCAGTAAACTTGCTGTACCCTCCTTACCTGCATCTTTTACCAACAAACCCACACAAATCCATTACTCAGGCACTCACCATTCCTGTGGCAAACAGTCAAGTGGAAGTCCCCAGAGCTGTTGTGCTCTTGCACCCTGCATGTAGCTTCTACCGCTCAGTTGTTCCTTGTCTTGAAGCTGCTAATAATTATTGACACAATTGTGGCATGCCTTGCATTTGGCTGATGATGGACTTCAGAGCCCAAATCTTGGGCTCAGGTAAGTTCCTCCCTTTACCTCTCTGTATCTCTTTACTGTTCAAAGCCCTGTTTCCCCTCCTGTAAGGTGGAGTTATCAGCAATAATGATAACAATGTCCAGTTACATGTACAGAATTCCTATGCACCTCATAAAGTATGTTCACATGCATTATCTTACTGATGCTATCCTCCTTCTTAACTTCCTAATTGTATGCTTTTTTCCCCCAACTCCTCTCTTCAGGTCTGAGTTTATTTCTTCCAAGAAAGAATAACATCAGCCACACTTAATTTTTTTTTTTTTTGACTTTTCTTTACAAACACTGCATCATGTAGTATAGCACTGTCTAACGTGACTTTAGTGGCCCAGTCAGGACAGGGTGATTATAATCTCAATCTTTGAGCATTGTGTTCACCCTGGTTTGGAGCATATGGTTGTAGGGCCACTGGCTGTTCATTCTCCTGAGGCTGGAAATGAGAATTGCTATCAATCATCAGAGTTGCATGTGCAGATTCTTTCTGGGACTTACAGCTACATGTTTCTGCCTGAGCTTTACCAAAGATAGGAAGGGTGAGGGTGGAGAGGCGGCTGCCTCAGCTGGAATCATTTTATGTTTAAAGAACTCTTCATCCTCAGGGGTCTGTTTTTAAAATCCCAGCAGGCTCTCAGTATCAGACAAGGAGGAGCTTGTCTCAGCATTCAAGACCTCTCTATCAATCAATTGATTGGTCAATGAGCAGGAAAAGGTAGAGAAGCTTTGCCAAAATATGCGGTGATCCAGGAGTTGAAGTTTGGCAAGAAGAATCAGAAAATGTATTCTCAGGATTGTAGCCAGGGATGATGCACTCTGAAGGGGCACACTTGATTTTTCCTTTCTTCTTTACATCTTGGCCCCTCCCCCTCTTCTTCCTGCCAGCCTCTCGGGTGGGGTGTGTGCATCCCATCACTCACACTCCAGCTTCCCTTTGTGAAAACTCAGCGACATTCCCAAACACAGTTGTGGCCATCTCCTTGCCTAGCCCCAGTCTGCTCTCATTCTCTGAGTTGGCTGGTGTTCAAACTCACAGGGAGGAAGACAAACACACACACACACACACACACACACACACACACACACATACACACACACCCCAGCGCCATAAAAGCTCTAGAAACCAGAGGCATGAGAGCACAGTCCTCCCAGTTGTCGTTCCTGTGTGCTGCACATTTTCATCCCTATACTTTTTTCTCCCCTTGCATCTGCCTCGTCCCCTCCACCAGCCCCCTTCCAGTCCCAAGAGTGATTCAGCAGCTCTTCTTCCCTGGAGAAGGATTACTTCTTGTTTGATGAATTGATTTGCTATAGAAATAAGGAAGGGGGCTTTGCCAAGGAACTGGATATGATGGGGGGCAACAGAGTGTAATTGAGGGGAACCCAGTAGGGATATATGGGAAGGAAGGGTCTATGAATATTGGGAGATGACTAGAAGTTACGTGGAAGTATGTAAACCTCTGTCACCCCAGTCGGATTTAGCGTGATAGCCTTTGGTATTTTTACTGGGATGTTTCCCACAAATGCTAACGAGCAGTTGCAGTGGGCTCTCCAACAAAGCCCAGACTGCTGCTTATTGGGGAGTGTTGTTCACAGTTGCTAATGAATAACTGCCATTAATGTATTAATCAGCAAAGTCAAACAAGTGACTCGAGGGACCCAGAAGCAAATTGCTTGCCTGATAGAGGCTCCAGCCTAGGACTCGGGGCTGTCGGGTGCTGTGAAATTGGGAAGAGTTGAGTTCTGTGCACTTCAGGGGCAATTTCAGATGTCAGTCTGGCTGTGTTTGATCAATGGGAAGCCTCATTTATTGGAAACCATAGGGTTCCTTTCATCATTAACTCCAGAGCTCCTATGAACCTATGAATCCTATATTTAAATTAAAAATTAAAATAAGACCAAAAAAATTCACTCTGGCAAAATGAAATCATGCTAGAACTCATATTCCCTCAAACAGGTAAGAAAATGGGAATTACTACCAATTATTGAGCACCTACTATGTGTCAGTCACTGGGCCTTATTGTATTTAATCCTCTCAACTACCTTATGAGGTAAGTGTTATTATTTCCATTTTACAGATGGGGAAACTGAGTGAGGCTCAGAGAGGTTAAGTAGCTCAGGGTTGCCTGTGAATGGGTTCCCACCAGTGTTTCACCTCTAGGGGAATTTCACGTTTTACCTTCATGGCACGTTACATCCGTGACCGCCATGGCAACGATGCCATAAAGTTTCAAGGGACATAGCAGCCCTGAGGCTGAGGCTGGAGACTGCATCCCACAGCTCTTTATGAGGGTGGTGGCCATCCATCAGTCCCACTGCCACTTCTGATTTCTGCAGTAAATACTCACTCCTGGAGGCCAGTGCTGGGAAGGTGGATTAGCTAAGGGCTGTTTGGCCATTCCTTAGCTCTCAGAATCAGCAATAAGTCCTTGCTTCTATGCCCCAAAACCGAAACCCCAAATTAGTTCAATTCAATCCAATCTAAATCAATCTGACCAACATTTATTAAGTACCTACTGTATGCTAAGTAGTATACTATGTTCTGAGGGTGCAAAAATGAATGGGTTCCTCTAGAGACACAAAGTAGTGAGGGTGGCAAATATAAACCAATATTTATAAATATTATAACATAAACCAGGGTAGATGTGTAAAATATTCCTTGAACACAAAGATTAAAGTGCAAATACATACGTGTGTAGAGGTATTGGCAATGGATGGGGGTGGCCAAGGAAGGCCATAGTTGGACCTGAAAGGTAGAAAAGAGAGAAAAAGTCATTCCAGAAACCCAGGCAGGTGTGCACTGTCCAGGACCCAGGACAGATGCATTACAGTCAAGCTAGGATGAGATTATATGGTCACTTAACCTCTGCATACCCAATTTCCTAATCTGTAAAGTGGGGATGACAATTATGTTTGACTCAAAGGGTGGCTGTGAGGAATGAATGATGTAGTCTAGCAGCTTGAGGAACGTCTTGGGTATGTAAGGGTTGGTGAGCACGATGATGGCCACATCTCTTGTCTCCACTGGGCACTACTTGTGGCAGCTCCTCATGGTCCTCTATGCCCTCCCAAGGGCGCCTCATTTGTAGTTGGCCTTCATTAAATGTCCTCTTGCACCGTCATCTTGAACTCTCACCTAAATTTTGTATTGTCACTTAGTTTTTTTCATGTAAATGCTTTGCACCTCCAACTAGATATTAGACTTATCTTGGTAAGGACAATATATGTTTTTGTGATACACATAGCATGGGGGAACTTGATACAGTGGACGCTTCATAAATACTTGTTTATTACAAATAAGATAGTATATAATGAAGTGCTGAAATGTGTTTGGTGGAGGGTGGAGGGAAAGAGTCATATCTAAGGAGACGAAATAATATTTAAGTGGTCAATATACAGGATCCCAGATGGGAAGGTGAGGTCTCAATTGACAAGCTCCAAGAGGTTCCTAGTTGGTTCACCTGACTTTCTTGACAGATTGTTTTCTCCTTTGAGTTGCCTGTGTGAATTGGCTGTGTGAATGGGCTTTGTATGGATGCAGATTGTGTGTCTTGGGACTTGCTGTTAGGAGGTGCCTACTGAGGGATATTGGGTTGCTTGAGAAGATGGCCAAGTGAGCCCCCTTCTGCAGACCACACATGCTAGTCACTTCTTGGAAGGGCTTGGGGTATGAGTTCCAAGTCATGACAGGTCATTCACTGACTATGCTGGCATCAGATATTCCTTCTCCAAGTGGTTGCTCAGAAAGAGTTCTCTGTCAGCCAGACACAACACATCTGCCCTTGCCCAAAGAGCAGTTCAAGGAATTGCTCTGGAGACATCCTCAGTAGTGCTCTTGCCTGAGCCAGGAGAGCACTTAGAGCTCCTCCCCGTTCATGTCTCCAGCTGGGTTGGTGCAAATTCAAACCATGAATGCTTCTTCTGGGACAGATGGGAATGTGGAGGCAATGCACAGCCTCCTACTTCCCTTTCATGCTGCCAGGGATGTGCTTATTAATGCCTCTGTGGTCCGTGGAAGAATGTTCATGGAGATCTAAGTCCTTACTTCCTCCCAGCTATCTATGTTGTCTGGGGACTTCTCCAGGCTGCATTCTAGGCTGAGGGCCTTGTTAGCCACAGGTTTACCCCCACTAAACCACACCATCAATAACTATCGCTCATAGACATTATGCAGACCCCTAGCAAACCACCCTGACTGCTCTGGGTACTCTGGAGCTGCTGGGTTTCTCTGTGGCTCCTATTTCAGCACTCGCCAGGCAATGAAACACAGCCAGCTGACTTCAGTTCATCCTCTTCCTTCCATGCTTTCCTGACATCATCTCTCCCTGCCCCCACAGCCCTGGTCCTCCCAAATCGCCACTATGGTCATTGTTCTGTGTTGATAGAGGGGTGCACACTCTCTGGCCTGGAATGTGCACTTGTTTGGACCCAGTGGAGGTGGAAACAGACTGAGGGGGAAGAGGCAGGGAAGGAAGCAATGAGGGTCTCTTCCACCACTTGGTTGCCACCCTTACTTTGCCCTGCTTTCAATGAGTGAATGAGGGTGGTTGATGCTTCAGCCACCAGTGTAACCAGATCTCTGTGGGCTCTTAAGAAATGGAGCTCTCTTCAGCAGCAAATGTTTGCAATTAACTTTAACATATGGTGGAATTTGTTTTTGTGTTCGTAAAGTATGATAGGCAGTGAGGATTTGGCAGGGAATGCATCCAGCTTGTCAAGCCCTGGGCCTGGCTGGTGGGAGGGATCTTTCTTCTCAGTTTGGAGGACCAAGCCCCTTGGTGGGCAGTGTGGTCCTAGATGAATTAGCTGGGGCCCTGAGCCCTTCCTCTGGTTGATAGGTGCAGCAAACCACCATGGCACACGTTTACTTATGTAACAAACCTGCACATCCTGCACATGTACCCCGAAACTTAAAAAAATATATATTAAAAAAAAGAAAGAAAATGTCCTCTATCTGTGCTGTCCAACATGGTAGCCATGAGCCAAGTTTATATGCTCCTGGAGAAAAAGTACTGAGATGCCTTAAAGTAAGGCAAAAGTGGGAAAGTGAAGACTTTGGTGCATTCTTATAGACAGTCTTATTCTGCCCCCAGCTACCTGGCATGGCTCTGTCCTGTCCACCAACCTAAATCCTTCCCAGCCCTCAAGAGTCAGCTCTTCTGGCTTCCTCTGGCTTGGCACATCCTCCTCCTGCCAGGTATTTCTACCTGCCCAGCAGCAAGGGAAGAGTGTGGCTCTCTTCCTTTTATGATGGGGATCAGCATCCTCTAGCCTTGGTGACTGTTGCTTCTCGGTCTTGGCCACTGCCCAAGACCTGTGCTCTTGGTCCACTGCACCCTCAATTGCAGGGATGTCCTGCAGGATCCATGTACTTCGATTAGCTATAGGAATAGGAATCACAGATCAGCTCTGTGGCCAGATCCCAGGTGAACTATATGAGTTTAGTAGGTTTTGGGCTGCAACAAACACAAAACTAAATGAACAGAGGCTTAAACCAATAGGAGAACTATTTTTACTAAACCTGAAGTCTGGAGGTATGTGATACTGTGTTGGTTTGGCAGTTCAATAATGTCATCAGGGATCCAGCCTCTCTCTATCTTTGGGATGTTGGTATCATTGTCCAGCTTGCTACCTAATACCTGCATGATGGCTTCTCATCCTCACAGGACAGGGTCCAAAGTATGAAGGAAAGAGCTGGGACCAGGGGGTTCTTCATTGTTTACTTCTTACTCACAGAGCAAAAAAATTCTTTCTTAGCAGATTTGCCCTTATTTCTCTTTGGCCATAACAGGACCACATGTCTTCCCCAAGGCTAGCCTTGGTAAAGGGGAAAGAGATGGGTTGGCCTAGCTAGGATAAATGAGGACTCATCCCTGGGTGGGAAATATTGCTACCTAATAAAATCAGGGTTCTCTTTGCAGGCTAGAAAATGGTGATTGGGAGGGAAATGGCTGGCTGTTGGGAAGGTAGCCAGCAGTTATCTGTTGTGGTGAGGCTCCACTGTTGGAAGAGGAAATTGTCACTGGGTTGTTTGAAACCATCAGAAAAGGAGAAGTCATTCCTGAGAAATGAAAGGCATTGGGATACGGGATCCCAGTGGTCCCTACTTTTCCAGGATTCTTTCCCATCTGTCCTGTGTGCTGGTCCTAACAGAATATTCTTCCCACAGTGTTCTTTGTTCAAGTTATCCCTATGCTCAAAAATGTGTTAAGACTCCCCATTTCCTATAAAATAGAGACTGAAGTCAGCACTCAAGGCCCTCTTCCATCCCACTCAAACCAACCTCAGATCTGGCAGGAAATAAGAATTTTCTAAAACATCCTGATACTCCCCTCTGCCAAAGAGGTATCAGTAAACCTGGTTCATTTTCTAACTGTTTGACACACCTTGAGTGGCTTTTGGCCTCTACACCCTTGCTCATTCTAGGGTCTCCACTTGGCTTGTCTGAACATATAACTTGGCCTGCTCAGATTCTTAATGTTTAAGGCTCCCATTTAAGTTATCATTTCCCTGGAGAATACTTCCTTGCTTGCCCCCACAGGAGTTTCCTGAGTCTCCAAATTTCTCTAGCCCTTGTTTTCAGTGTACCCACATGAGACACAGAATTGGACAGGCATAGATGATTTTATGGGGGGTATGAGTCTTGAGCTGACTCTTGAGGGCTGGGAAGGATTTAGATTGGTGGAGAGGACAGAGCCATGCCAGGTAGCTGGGGGCAGGATAAGACTGTCTATAAGAATGCACCAAAGTCTTCACTTTCCCACTTTTGCCTTACTTTAAGGCATCTCAGTACTTTTTCTCCAGGAGCATATAAACTTGGCTCATGGCTACCATGTTGGACAGCACAGATAGAGGACATTTTCTTTCTTTTTTTTAATATATTTTTTTTAAGTTTTGGGGTGCATGTGCAGGATTTGCAGGTTTGTTACATAAGTAAACGTGTGCCATGGTGGTTTGCTGCACCTATCAACCTATCACCCAGGTATTAAGCCCAGCATTCATTAGCTCTTTTCCCTAATGCTCTCCCTCACCAACTCTCCCCGCACAGGCCCCAGTAAGTGTTGTTCCCCTCCCTGTGTCCATGTGTTCTCCTTGTTTGGCTCCCACTTATAAGTGAGAACATGCGGTGCTTGGTTTTCTGTTCCTGCAACAGTTTGCTGAGAATAATGGCTTCCAGCTTCATCCGTGTCCCTGCAAAGGACGTGATCTCATTCCTTTTTATGGCTGCATTGTATTCCATGGTGTATATGTACCACAGTTTTTTAATCCAATCTACCATTGATGGGCATTGGGTTGATTCCATGTCTTTGCTATTGTGAATAGTTCTGCAATGAACATAGGCATGCATGTATCTTTATAATAGAATGATTTATATTCCTTTGTGTATATACCCAGTAATGGGATTGCTGGGTCAAATGGTATTTCTGGTTCTAAGTCTTTGAGGAATTGCCACACTGTCTTCCACAATGGTTGAGCTAAGACATTTTCATCATCACAGGAAGTTCTACTGGAGAGGGTTGATCTAAAGGGTCACCAGGGGAGATGTCTAGTGTGGTTGAAATTCTGGTATCTTTTGGTGCAGGGGCAGTTCCTGCATTTATTCTATTAGTTTGCTGAACTCTTATCCGCAATGTCTATTATGAGGATGGAAATGCAGGCTCTGCGCAAACAAACCTTAGGGAAGCTGATTCTCGGCAGGATATTCTAAGCAGCCCTGCTCTCTGCACTGGGAGAGATAACACCCTCTGGAGGTAGTCTCCAAATTGAGAGTCTAAGCTCGTTATCTCACCCTCTTTTGTCCCAGAGCCTCCAAGGGACTGAAATGTTCTTGGTGAGGTGATGGGAGTAAGTGGTGAAACAGGAAATCCATCTCTGGGTAGCTCTTGGTGAGCCTTTGGAGGCTTAGCCAGGGATGAGGTAATGAGTCTAGACTCTAGAAGAGGCCACATACTATTGGAGATTTCTCTCTGTCCTATTCCTTGGCTTTGGTTCCAGTGTATAGAAAGTATAGCTCTGCTTTTGAGGATTTTTATGTTGCCTGTCATATGGTCTTTGCAATGGCTTACAACAATTTTCATAACAATGTGAAGCACATGTAGACAGCTAAAGCCTGACTATCTGGATAACTGTGTACTATTTTACAAACTGCTTTTAGAAATATCTCCTTATTTGCTGCTGATGACTGGTGCATGGGTGTCACTAAGCCCATTTTACAGTTGAAGAAATTCAGGCTCAGAGAGGTTAATTACCTTGACTAAGGTCACACAGCTAATAAGTGGTAGAGTGGGGCCTCGAATCCAGACCTTTCAGTGCTCTTTCTGCTATATCATAGCTGCCCTTAAATACTAGAAAAAGGTATTTTAAACATACCTCCACCTTACTTACTATGTGTACATATTGGCATTAGATGTGGGAATATTTACTAGTGATCTTGGTAACAACATCTCTCAATGCCATTCCTAAGGCCTCAACGTTATGCATGTGGTTTGAGGCGCAGGGCTTAGTTTATCCAGTCAGTGTGCTCACTCCTGAGCCATCTGCTTCACCATTCATGATCTTGGCCTTAACACTGGCCCCAAAACATCAAGAGAAGAGTAAATATGTGGCATAGCAAAATTATATTACACAGTCAAATATGAATGCTTTGGTTTATGCAATATTTTGGCTTAGACTTGGCTTCCCTCATTATTAGATCAAATAATCCAGAGTGGTCCAGACTTTAGGCTCTTTCCAATATGAGTTTCTGAGAATTCTGCCTAGAGCATCTAGGAGTCTTTACTTGCTCTAAGTTAAGGCTGACACTCACTCCACAAGTGCCCTAGTTCCCCTCTGATCTCCCTCTCATTTACTTGTGGAATGTCACTCCAGTACTCCTCCCCAACTTCCCTCCTACATCCTGAAGATTTCTCTAGTACAAAATTATTCTTATCAGCAAACATTCTGTAATTACTCTCATTAAAAACAATCTTTTGACCCTAGATCCCCCTCTGTCTGTCACTCAATTTCTCTGTGTTCTTTAGTAAAACTCTTTGAAAGAGATGTTTACTCTGGGTCACCATGTCCTCTCATTCCACTGAGGCTTTCTCCCTAGACATGTCTTCCTCACTGACCTCCCCAGTACTGAATTCCACTGCCAGTGCTCAGTCATCATCTCACTTGATCTGTCAGTAACCTTCGGTGGGTTTCATTACTCCCGTTCCCTTGAAATATTCACTTGAGTTGGTTTCCACTTCACTTTCCTGTTTTCTTCCTGGTTTCTTCCTCTCAGTCTCTGTCATCTCTTACCTGGGGTATTTCAATAGCCTTCTCACTGGCTTTCTTCCTTCTGTTCTTATCCTCCCCACAAGTATCTCTCAACACAGCAGTGATAGTGATTCCATTAAAACTTCATCCTAGGTATAGGATGAAAGAATTGAAAACAGGCATTCAGATAACTACATATGCACACATGTTCATAGCAGCACTATTCATGACAAAAGGTGGAAACAGCACAAATGTGCATGAATGGATGATTGGATAAACAAAATGTGGTCTATCATACAATGGAATATTATTTAGCCATAAAAAAATGGAGTATTGACACATGCTACTGAACACATGTACCTCGATATATGCTACTGAATGCAATGAACCTAGAAAACATTGTGCTAAGTGAAAGAAGATAGACACAAAGGGCCACATATTATATGATTATATGTATATAAAATATCCAGATCAGGTATATCAGTAGAGACAGAACTCAGATTGGTGGTGGCCCACATTTGATGACAGGGAAAATGGTGGGAAACTGCCTAATGGGAAAAGGGTTTTATTTGGAAATGATGGAAATGTTTTGGAACTAGATAGAGGTGGTAGTTGTACTACATTGTGAATGTACTGAATATCATAGAATTGTTCCCTTTGAAATCTATGAATTTCTCCTCAATAAATAAAGGAAAGAAGGAAGGAAGGAAAAGAGAAAGAAAGAGAGAGAGAGAAAAAGAGAGAGAAAGAAAGAGAGAGAGAGAGAAAGCAAGCAAGCAAGCAAGCAAGCAAGCCGGGCACAGTGGCTCACGCCTGTAATCCCAGCACTTTGGGAGGCTGAGGCAGGCGGATCATGAGGTCAGGAGATCGAGACCACCCTGGCTAACGCGGTGAAACCCTGCCTCTATTAAAAATACAAAAAATTAGCTGGGCGTGGTGGCGGGTACCTGTAGTCCCAGCTACTCAGGAGGCTGAGGCAGGAGAATGGCGTGAACCCGGGAGGCGGAGCTGGCAGTGAGCCAAGATCGCGCCACTGCACTCCAACCTGGGCGAGAGAGCGAGACCCTGTCTCAAAAAAAAAAAAAAAAAAAAAAAAGAAAGAAAGAAGAGAAAGAAAATTAGTTCATCCAGCATGTTGCTTCTTTGCAAAATGCCCTCCCCTGGTTTCCAGAGGAAAAGTTGAACTCCTCCCTGTGATTTACAAGGCCTCTCTGACCTATCTAGCCTTTCCCTTGTAAATTCTCTAATCTCAGCTCTTACCTCTCTTTCTTTTGCCCCATCTTTGCCCCAGCCACACTGGACTCTACTATTTGTCCAAAGTGCTGGTCCTACTTCTACCTCAGGGCTTCTGCTCCTGCTATTTTCTCTGCCTAGAATGTTCTTCCCACAGATATTGGTAAGGCTCATTCCTTATCAGCTCCTTCAGATGTTTGCTCTAACGTCAGTTATCCAGGGAAAATTGTAACTCCTCCAGACCTGGCACTTCTCATCCTCCTTTACTCCTTCATTTTCATCCATTGCACTCATCTGACATTTAGTTGGTACCAATTTGTTTTCTATCAAATGTAAACTCCAAGGTCAAGGATTTTCCCCTAGTGTGTTTACTGTTATATTCCTAGAACCTGCAGTAGTACCTCAATATTAGCAGCTAGAATCATAGGCACCCAATAAATATTTGTTGTATATATGAATAAAACCCCTCCCTTAAATAACCAATCATTTAGGTTCCCTGATTACCTTTTTCACTATTTACTAATTATAAGGATCCTTGTGTGTCTTTGCGGGAGGTGCTATGAAAGTCATATTTCTCCCAGTTGTGCCTATAAATTAGTTGGTCATGAACTTTAAGTTGTTTTCTCGTTGGTGAAGCTGTGTTGTGGGTTTTGTCTACCCCTTTTCCTCTGCCCATCTCATGCAGTTTGGGAAAGAAATATTTTTCTTCATGGAGTTAAGGTACTGACCTGTTCTTGGAGGAATTCAGCCCATGACTGAAGTCTAAATAGCACTACATTTCAATGACAATAGCAATGACTAGGTTCTCTTCCAGGGTAGCTCTCATTGGTACAGTGCAATGGAGGTTGATGCCAGTGTGTATGGCTCCCTGTTCACAGTGGAAAGACGTGCAGGGCTCAGGGAGGCACTCGCTTTTGAGTGCCAGAGAAGTCTCTTCTTCCTGGATGTCTGGGGCAGTATCTACAAGCCTTTTGAAAGGGAACTCCACAAGAGCTCCTCTGCCTCTTCCTTTGCCAAAAGGCAAAAGTCTCCCTGCCCTTGTGCCTGGCTCTAGGTAATCTGCCAGTCACTGAATGATAGAGGCAGGTGTTTCTCTTGGAACCAGCAAGAGAAGCCTCTGGCCTTATCTTTTGACTTGGAAGAACAGGTCTGCAACTTCCTATTTTTGCAATTGTAACTTGGAACCTGAAGGTCCAAGCAGGGAAGGGGTGGACCCCTGGGGCTCCTTTTCCATTTTTTCTTTTTTTTTTTTTTTGAGACAGAGTCGCTCACTGTCGCCCAGGCTGGAGTGCAATGGCACGATCTCGGCTCACTGCAAGCTCCACCTCCTGGGTTCCCGCCATTCTCCTGCCTCAGCCTCCTGAGTAGCCGGAACTACAGGTGCCCGCCACCATGCCCGGCTAATTTTTTTGCATTTTTAGTAGAGACAGGGTTTCACCGTATTAGCCAGGATGGTCTTGATCTCCTGGCCTCGTGATCTGCCTGCCTCGGCCTCCCAAAGTGCTGGGATTACAGGTGTGAGCCACCGCGCCCGGCCTTCCTTTTTTATTTCGAGGCAGGGTATTGTTCTGTCTCCCAAGCTGGAGTAGAGTGGCTTAAACATGGCTCACTGCAGCCTCGACCTCCTGGGCTCAAGTAATCCTCCCCTAATTTTTAAATTTTTTTATTGAGACGGGGTCTCCCCAAGTTGCCCAGGCTGGTCTCAAACTCTTGGGCTAAAGCGTTCCTCCTGCTTCTGCCTCCTAAAGTGCTGGGATTATAGGCATGAGCCACCGCACTAGGCCTCCTTTTCCTATATCAACATTCCCTTTAGTTTCACCTTATAAGATCTGAGAGTGCACTGCCGCAGCAAAATGCAGACATCCCTCAAAGGTCGTGCTGTCTTGAAGACTTCTTCTGGTTGAGGACACCCTAACTTGTCATTATTTATTTCCATGGTTGGGAGGGGCTGTTATAAAAAATTCCTCCCCAAACTTCTGGCTGTAGCATGCTGTGTGGATTTCTAGTCTAAGGCAGCATGTATGTGTGTGTGTGTGTGCGAGCATATGCATGCTTTATGCATGTCTGTACACATAACTAGTCACTGTGATTTTAAACCAAGAATCCTGTTTCACAGGGATTTTTGTGGTTCTTTAGCTACTCATGTCTGTCCCTCTTCTTTAATCCTCTGAATGGAGCTGGGTATGGGGAGCAGAGCCATATGAAAGGCATCCAAGATGAAAATTATATTGCAGACTTGCACATGAGTTTTGTGGTTGGGGTGCTGGTGGGGGCTGTGTGCAGGCTTCCACCATTCCTCCTGTTTTTTTTTATTTTTACCCAGTCCCTCCTTGCTTGTTTCAGCGTAAGTCACAAAGTTAATTGATGCTCTCCTGGGTTAGACTCATCCTGGATTGTTGATCTCATTCTGGATTTTCTTTCAAGTATTGGAAGGGAAACTCTTGCCTTTCCTTTCTAGGTAAAATATTTCAATATAATTGATAACCTTCTTCATTCAGCACTACCATATCAGGAGCTTGTGTTGATAATGGTGGTAGTATTACCTTGTAGTCACACAGAGCTTTTAATTTGCAAAATACCATCCTACCATTTGATGAGGACAACCCCAAAGCTAAGTTAGGCAGTGATATAATGGCAGACTTGATTTAAATCCTGGCACCCCCAAATACTAGCTGTGTAAAATTGAGCAAATTACTTAAACCTTCATAAGTCTTTGTTTTCTTGTCTGGAAAATGGGAATGAAATAGATTGCTAAATCACAGATGAGGGGCATGATCTGATTTAGGTAGTAGGATAACCCTGAGTGTTGTGCTCAAGATCAGCATAGCAGGTGACAAGAGGAAGCAAGTGGTCCATTGAGGAAGTTGTGGAGGTAACCCAGGGAAGATATGGTGGAGGCAGGACTATAGTGGGAGCTGTGAGATAATGCAAAATGACTGTCCTGGCTATTCTTTGAAGGTGGAGCAGAAATTGCTTGTTGGCAGATTGGATATGAGATGCGGAGGATAAAGAAGTCAAAAGTGAGTCCATGATGTTTGTCTTGAGCAACAGGTAAGATATAGGTGCCATCCATCAATGGAAATGGAGAGGTTGTGGTTGGAGCAGATTGGAGCCAGAGTGAGGTGGGTGGGAAAAGATCAGGAATTTTATTTTGGTTTTGTTAAGTTTGAGACTGTGATTAGAAATCCAAGTGAAGATGTTGAGTAGGTAGTTGGGTATACAAGTTAGATTCAAAAGAGCAAGCTGGGGTGGAGATAGAAATGTCAAAATCATTTAGCAAATGTATGATATTTAAAGTAATGGGACTGGATAAGATCCCTAAGGGGAGCGAGCATAGATAAAGAAGAGAACTAAACATTTCATGGTCAGGGAGATGAGGAGAAATTGGTAAGGAAGAACAAAGCAGGAGTGACCAGGTGGGAGGAAAATCAGGAGTGAGCAGTCCTGGAAGCCAAATGATTGATGATGTCCAAGCCTGCTGATGGGCTTAGTACAATGAGGACTAAACACTGTGGAGGTCATTAGTGACCTTCACACGACAATTTTGTTAGAAAAGGTGGGATAAGTACCTGATTGGATTGGTCTAAAAAGAAAGGAACTGGAGATAGTAAATAGAAGTAATTAAAATTTTTTTTTTTCTACAAAGGCCATCAGATAAATGAAAAGGTAGCTGGTAGAGGAAATGGAATCAAGAGAGGAGTATTTTTTTTTCCAAAATGGGAGAAACAAGAAAAATATTGTAAAACATATTTGCAAAGAGGGAGAATATATGATATAGTTTTTGAGTAAGCATGAAGTGACAAAGTTTAGCACCTAAGTGGAAGAGTTAGCCCTTGATAGGAGTGTAGGACATTCAAGAAATCAAGTGGGAAGGGGTATCCCTTTGGCAAGTCAATATGAAGAGACTTGAGCAGGATTGCATTTGGCATCATATAATTCTGTCTTGACTAATTTTAATAGAGAGCTTTAATTTTTCTCACGAAGAGGGAGTCCAGAAGTAGGAAGTCCAAGGAAGGTGTAACTGCTCAAGAAAGTTTTCAAGAATTCAGGCTTCTTTCTTCTTTTTCTGCATTCTTAACAGGTAGCTTTCATTCTCTTAGTTCCAAGATAGCTGTTTTATCTCTAAGTATTGCATTTTAATTCCAGGCAGAAAAAAAGAGAAAAGGTAAAGAGCAAAATGTATGCACCAGCTGAGATTGTCTCATTTTATTAAGAAAACAGTAGCTTTTCTAGCGCTTTCCTCACCAATAGAATCCATGTACTACCTCACATGGCTACCCCTAGCTGCAAGGGAGGCTGGTGAGAGTTTCACTTGGGAACATAATCACCTATATTTTGGTTATAGAAGGTAGAGCATAAATGATGATTGTGTCTTCCAGTTTAAAAAAATTATAATTTTTTATTTTTAAAAAAGTATGGTAAAATACACCTAACATGAAATTTATCATCTCAACCATTATTAAGTGTACAGTTCAGTGGCATTAAGTACATTCATACTGTTGTGCTACTATCACCACTGTCTATCCACATAAGTCTTTTTATCTTGCAAACTAAAACTCTATGCTCATTAAATAGTACCTCTTCATTTTCTTTTCCTGGAAGCAACTGTTCTACTTTCATCTCACTGAATTTGACTACTCTAGGAACTTCCTAAGTACCATCATACTGTATTTGTCTTTTGTGACTGTCTTATTTCACTTATCATAATGTCCTCATTATGTTGTAGTGTATGTTAGAATTTTCTTCCTTTTTAAGGCTGAATAATATTCCATTGTAGGCATATACCACATTTTGTTTATCTGTTCCTCTGTCAGTGACACCTGAGCTGCTTTCACCTCTTGGCTACTGTGCATAATGCTGCTATGAACTTGGGCATACAAACCTCTCCTTGAGTCCTTGTTTTCAATCATTTTGGCTATATATGCAGAAGTAGATTGCTAGATCACATGGTAATTCTATTTTTAATTTTTTTGAGGAAACTCCGTACCGCATTCCACAGCATTGCACCATTTTACATTCCCACTAACAATGCACAAGAGTTCCAATTTCTCTACATCCAACACCTGTTATTTTCTTATCTCTTTGAAAGTAGCCATTGTAAGGGGTATGGTGACTTCCAGTTTTTAGTGGATGGAAGGAGAGTTGAAATGGAAGGATGGGGAGAGAGTTGAAGAATAAAAAGTGTTAAAAAATTGAAGGATATAAATATTTTTAAAAATCAAGAAACAAGAACGGTGTCACTTCCACCGGATCAGACTTTATTGAAACTTCTATGGGGTTCTCGAGACATCTGAAGTCTAACATGAAAGGAAGGCAACATAGTTCTGTGATAAAGAGGCTGCTTTGGGGATTCAGGACCCTGAGCTTCTGTGCACAGGCTCCATTACTGCTGGATTTTGGAGTGTGTATAATGTGCCACATTCTGCTGTTATGCCAGTTTTGCCCTCTGTATAATGAATGTAATTGAATAAGATCACAGAATTTGACCCCCTTCTCAATTATTTCAGAGCTAAGATGTTTACACAAGATTGCATGTGCTTTGAGATCCTTGAACTAAAGGCATTCTGGAATTAAATAATCCAGAGATATTTTCCACCCGTCAGTTAGAAAGGGAAAACCCCATAGCAGCTCCCTGTGGTTTTTATGCCACAGGGAGATTTTTACTCAGATTGTCAGTGGATGCTTTTCTTTTCTTGTTTGCCTCCCCTACAAGACTGGGTGACCCTTGAGAACAGGAGTCATGTTTAAGGAGGAGGATGATCATCATAGCTGTCAGTGTTTTGAGCATTGTTATATGCTAGGCAGTGCACCAGATGATTTAGGAATGTAATCATTGGTTTTCAGAATAAATTTAGTTCCTAATATAGTGCTGCTGGAAACAGTTGATTCTAGGAGCTCTTCAGCTGTGACACTATGGCTTTAAAAAAAGTTTCTTTTTGGACATATAGCACAATGGTAATAATAAGTGAAAAGTGATGTTGACCAAAGCAAACAGGATTTATGGAGAGTTTGGTGTGGCTTGCTGAGATCCCAGAATCTTCCCCATCAAAATACCATCAATAATACCCTTGTCCTTCCTGTTATCACACACACATGCACACACACACAGACACACACACACACACCAGGAAATATACATTCTTTGCAAGAGTATACATTGTATTGGCCACGTGCCATCCAGCCAAGCCAAAAATTGTGGAACAATAGGAATCTGTGCCCAGAATATCAGCTAAAAATACCTCATTTCTTCTGCTCTGTTGTTTTCTGGGTATGTTTAAGAGTGTCCCAGGAGGCTAATGAGGATGAAGCGAAAGGAAAACTGACATTTTCAAAGGAAACCAAACCTTAACTCCCTAAAAGGAAAACGGATATTTTCCATATGTCTGTTTTATGTTTCTTGCCATTTGTGCATATCTGTGTGGCAATATGGAAAGTCTATAAGTTGTGCCACCTTGGCTTGAGTTATTGAAATCCACACTTTCACCACAGTCTTTTGCTCTAGGGCTTGACTCATAGATACTTTTCAGGTTTCAACAAAGAAGAGGGGGAGGAAAAGAAAGCTTCCAAGTAGGAGAGACTCACTGTCCCACACACAGTGCACTCATTCAGCTTGTCTGACATTGTCTACTCATTTAGTTGTTCAGAACACTGCTTAAGAGCCTGGAGGAGTACCTTTTCATCTCTCATTGGGCCATGGTATAATCTCTTTAGTTTCTTGATCATTGACTAAGTCTCAGGCTCTGTCTGATCCTCTCAGCAATCATAGCTTTCTTTGTGGTCTGAGGTAGATTATTGCCCCTTTATCGGCCTTGGTTTCTTTCCATTTGTAATATGAGGAGAGAGGTTGACTGCTCTCTTGGTGGACAGGAGGTCAGATAGCCAGGGAAGCAAGGCAAGGATAGGGATGTCTCAATACGTGTCCACACAATAGTCAGCAGCCTCTGTAAGAAGCAGTCATATGAGAACCAAAATGATGTGGGGAAATGGTCTGTTTTAAATATTTGCAAGGTAATGTCAGCATTAACCAAATAGCAACTGTTGGCTCTGGTTGGCTAAACATGGAGCTGACAACTTCCTGAACATATGCTGGGTGTTAGGCAATGAATTTGTGTGTGGGTCAACACTCGTGGCCAGTGTCAATATTGACCTTGGGTTAGGGTAGACCATAGCCATAGCTGCCTGAATGAGATGTACCCTCAGTTTCCTCTCAAGTGTTTGGCCTTTCACAGTTGTTTGTTGGTGTCTTCTCCAGTAACATATGAAAGGCTGGTTGAAGTTTGATTTGATTTGTTATAATAATGAGGGACAGAACCTTGAGATACATATAAAGTTCTATTTTTGGCTCAGTTGGCTGTCTTGAAATAAATTATCTTATATAAATATTTACATGGGCAGATATGGTAAACTGATTTTAATAAAGGGAGTTAATGGCTACTACTTATTGAGAGCAGCTAGTATGTGTCAGATACTTAAAATACACTACTTACTTAATCTCCAAAATATCTCATAAGGTTGTTATGATCTCATTTTTAGAGATAAAGAAGCCGAGGCTCCAAGAGAGTTTGTAACTTGCTCAAGTTCTTAAAGATAGAACCAAGGTTTGAATACAGGTTTAATCAGATGTCAAAAGCTGTCCTCTTCCCACAGTGTCTTGCTGATTCTGGAATGGACACCTTGCGAGAACAAGAAAAGCACTTAGTTAGTCTACCATTTCAAGGTAGAAACCACCCATCGCCAGCAACATTTGTGATAGATGAAAAACCATGTGCATTACCCTGCCTTTCTTGGTGAGGCCAGTGCCTTGCGGAGCCTCTGGGACGTGCAGACATCATACTTAGCAGTTCTCACTCCCACTCGTTCATCCCATTGTATGGTCCTCCTTATAGCTCCCCAGGAGCTGCAGGCAGACAGAGACCCTGATTGGCTCTGCCAGCCACTTATTGTTTCCCATTTTCTCACCACTGCAGAGTCTTGAGACTGTCTCCTATAGAAGATCCTGCCACTCTATTGTCCATGCAGACTTTCCCACCACCCCAGGACCATGTGCTCAGTTGCTTATTGTGGTGTTGTTGGCTCAGCCTCAAGGACAGAGACCTTGAGCCAGCTGACAAGGTTGCTTGTGTCACTACTTCTAAGGCCACAAGCCATGCTTTTGGTTCCCAATACTTTTGAATACCCTTCTCTCACCATCTCTCCTTCAGTTTAGCCACATGGTCTCCCAGACTCCCAGCAGCAGATTTTCCGGCAGACAGTTTTGGCTTATGGCCAATCCCTGTCTCTGCCTGGATGACCTCAGTTACCAAGTCAACATGGCACTGAATGAATGCTGCTATGCTGCCCCCTGGTGGAGAGGTGGAAACTGAATGATACACAGATTCCTGCCTTGTTAAAGAGCTGCCCCAAACCCTCTGTTACTTTCTAAACCGGAGGGTTCATATATCTCATCAAAACTCATATCGGTGGTGCCTGGAGAAAGACAGCTGAACTGTAGTAGACTACTGTCCAAAGCTACAGATGGCTGTGATTTCTTATTTTGGTGGGGGCAAACACAGTACACTACAGTTGGCTCAAACTGGCATCAGGGTTTTTCATGGGTTTGCCTTGTCCTCCATCCTTCTGCTTTTTTGTCTATGTTGTGGAGGCTTTGAGAAGCTCTTTTTAAGGTCTGCAGGACTTTGGGATGAGGTTGATGAAGATCTTAGCCTCTCTCTGGGTGGACTTCCTCAGGTCTTCCTGGGTCCAACCCTGTCCCCATTGGCTACATTTCTGCCTATATCTTGAAAAGAATGACCTGACTTGCCAGGCTCCCAAGGGAATGGGGTTCCAGCAAGATTTGTCTTGTTTCCCAATCTCTTTGGAGTCACAGTAGACTCTTGGCTGGTGGTGTTGGGTCAGAGTGTCCCCACACACTATTTGTTCCTAACCCACATCCATAGAGGGTAGGCCTCTTTCAGAAATCCCTTTGGGTATTTTGGGGTCCATGAGCTGAGTAGCCTCAAGGGATCAACTTTTTTTTTTAACTCCTGCCTTTCACCTACCTACATGTCTGCAGTGGAGTCTCAAGACCTTCTACAAAACCATGGGCCTGTTTCGTGACCCCCTCATGAGCTGAGGCTGCCATCTTAACTGCTTGATCTTTCTACATGTTTCTCCTATGAAGACAGTGCTAGAGAGCATGTGAGAGAGAAATACAAAACAGGACCCATGAGTTCGCCATCCCAGAGTGGTTCTCTCCTACGGAGAGAACTGAAATATGGTCAGATTCTCTTTGAGTTCATAAAATAGTTCTATTTACCCCATCCCACAAATTTAGTTAGATAATGGGTAAAAAGAATATCACACTTTCTAGCACTGAGTGGGTACTCAATAAAGATTAATTCTCTTTTTCCTGTCCTCCACAAGCCCCCTTCCTTTGCAGAAATATGATTTTTGGAGCTGAAATATGTTCTAACAATGAAGACACTGATGTTCAGAACAGTAGGGTGATTTTCCTAAGGTTACACAACAGGCACTGAAATCCAGGAGTCCCTAGGGTGTCTCGGTGTGTTGTCATCTTGCTACCGTAATGCCTGCAGTACAGGGGTGTGCTGTTGCATCCCGAAATTCAGTGCTTCTTTGTTGATTGTCATAGACTTGTCCACTAGTAGTTTCTCAGGCATCAAACCTTCATATGTGCTTTTGAAACATTCTTGTCTCCTTGGTTACAGAGGAGGCTTCTCAACTCCTGTAATAAAAGCTTGAAATATAAAAATGGGAGTAAGAAATTATCCAGCCTAGTGGGTTTCCAACCTGCCTTAGGAGCAAAATGTTGTCTTCCAATGATACTCTTCTATTAATAGAATAGATATCATGTCTTTTGGCTTTAGCTGTTTTATATTTATATATATTTGAATGATATGGTTCTGGAAAAGATTTTGTTTAAGAATTACCATAGCAAGGCAGTGTCATGGTAAAACACTATCTGGAGACCTGAATTTAGGTGTGAATGGAGTGGGTTTCTCTGGTTGAAAGTGTGTGGAGACCTAGGAAACAGAGTCATCCTTCCTCCTCAGCCTCTAAGTTCTTGACAACTCTGATCTAGGACAGAACTTTTCCATTGAGAAATGGATGATAAGATAACCAAGATTCAGGGAAAGGTGGTGGCTTTTCTGAGGTCCCTTGGAAAAGGCAGCACTTTTGAGCCCAGATTTCTCATGCCAAGTCCCGTGTTCTTTCCCCAACACCTCACCTAGGGCAGGATGGCTGAGTTTGGTTACAAGAAATACTGCTTCGATCCGATTTGGTGGAGAGAGGGAGAGACGCCCACGGCTTGGTGTAAGGAGCATGTTCTGCCTGCACCACGAGCAGTGTGTCTCCTTGGTTCATCTTCTGGGTCAGCACTATGCTCTGGAGATGCAGTCATGCCCATGTCAAAGTCATGCCCACGCTCATGCTGCGGAGGAAGTGTTCTCTTAGAATGGAACTCACAACATTCTTTTTTTTTTTTGAGACGGAGTTTCGCTCTTGTTGCCAGGCTGGAGTGCAATGGTGTGATCTCGGCTCACTGCAACCTCTGCCTCCCGCGTTCAAGCGATTCTCCTGCCTCAGCCTCCTGAGTAGCTGAGATTACAGACATGCACCACTATGCCTGGCTAATTTTGTATTTTTAGTAGAGACAGGGTTTCACCATGTTGGCCAGGCTGGTCTCGACCTCCCGACCTCAGGTGATCCGCCCACCTCGGCCTCCCAAAGTGCTGGGATTACAGGCGTGAGCCACTGAACCTGACCAGAACTCATAAAATTCTTAAGCAACAAGAACGATGTTTGAGGCAAGAAAGAAAAATCTGCAAAGGTCAAATGATAAAGGCCCAAAAAATTGCACTACACCTTATAGGTCACAAAGTACTCCATGTACATTTAATCCTCATTAGTCCAGAGATGAAGGCATCATTATTACCTTTTACATCAAAGCAAACGGAGGCAGCAAGTGATGAAGTGGTGTTCTCCCAGTCATGCTGCCTGGATGTGGCAGAACCTGAGAACCCAGGCTCTCTCACCAAAACTGAAAGTTATGCATCTTATAGCTTGCAGCTGTGCAAGAAGAGATGTAAGCAAGGCATTGAATAGCATTTCAGCCAACCTCTATTTTCCTGCTTGGCAGAGTGAGTGGAAAAGAGAGAGTGAGAGGAGGTGCAGGGAGAAAGAAGAAAAGAAGATGAAGTGTGAGACAAAAGATTCTGTGACCTTTAGCCTAAGCTAAGCGCATAGGTCTCTTCTTTGTGCTATTCCCAGCTATTTCTCTCTGCATATCCCAAACACATCCTACTGAGGTCATTTATTTAGAGTCTGCTGCCTTCCAGAGAATGTGAACTCCCTAAGGAGAGGGACAGCCTTATTTATCACGGCATCCCCAGAGCCTTCCCCACAGAGAGTGATCAATAGAGGAACAGCACTGAGTGCTTAGTCTCTGCAACTAGTACTGCCATGGATGCTTTTCCAGGAGGTAGATACTATTATTCCCATTTTACAGGTGAGGGAATTAAATGCAAAGAGGAGATAAGGAATCATTTGCAGAGCTTTCAGGGGTAGGAGAATTTATGACATCAAGGAAAGTTGGGTGGTGTTATGTATGCCTTGATGAGCTGGACATCTCTGGAAGCCTTTTCCAGCTTGCCAGGGCACAGCCAGGCTGCCAGGCTCTGAACCCTCAGCGATGTCTCATTAGCATTCAGTGGGGGAAGTAACCATGGGGGATGCCATCCAGAGCATTAGGAAGAGACAGGCTGTGTTTTAATTATGACCTGGACTTTTGAACAAACCCTTTTCTCTGCTTGTCTGAGCCTTAGAGAAAACAACTTGTGGGAGGTGTACAGTCAGCAGCTGGGTCCACAGCGGTAGCCGTACAGCTGTGTATACATCTGGCACACAGGTGGTGGACCACATGCACCTTTTCTCCTTGAATTACTCTGGGGTTAGTGAAGATAACAGGAGTCAAGGTAGTAAGACGAAGTTGATCTGGTTTGAACCCAGAAAGGGAGGGAAAAACAGAAGGAGAGAAGAAAAAAACAGGACTGCCCCACTCTTCCTGGTCTGTAATCCCCAGTGACCATGACCATTTCAGGATTTGAGCCCAGACAACTCCCGCCACTTCCTCTAGCGACTCCTGAGTCAACATGGTGGGCTTTCTTTGTTGAACTCACTCCAACCCTCCCTTCTCCAACTTGGGGGAAATTTTTGGAGTGGGGGATGAAATTAAGAAAGCAAGAAAAAGAGGAGGAGATTAGCAGGGTGGAAGTTAGACAAGCACAGATGCTACCACCTGCTGTTGCAGCTTCTCAAGTGCTTGTTGACTCCCTGGGAGCATTTGCCTTGAGTCTGTTTAACAGTTAATTCCAGGGGAAGGGGAGGAGAAGGAGAGCTTGGGGACAAAGGGCCTTTGACCAGCTCCTGGAAAAGCATTGATTAGTTTGCTCAGGTTGGCAAACAGCAACCGGGGACTTGGGGCCCAGGGATGAACTGGGTGGATTTTCTGCCCAATGACAGCATCCAGCATAGGGGAGAGGGAGTCAAGGCAAATAGTCAAAGGACTGATGTGCCAGAGGTTTAGACATAGAGAGAAAAACCACACTGGGCGAGAGGACAGGGGAAGGGCAGCTGGAACCTGGAGTTCCAGGCTCTATCATACCTGTTAGTGATAAACGAGCCATTCCAACCCCTTGGACTATCCCCCAATTTCACTTCCTTTCTGAAGCTGAGAGGCAGAGGAGAAGCATATCGAGATAGGTTATTCTGAGGTGCTTCTGATGGCCAAGGGCAAGGAGGACTGGTGTGGTGCTTCCAGGCAGCTGTTGAAAGTAACACAGCACAAGCACTTCCAATCCTGCAGCCTGGCCTCTGTTCCAGGAGGCTGTTTCCTGAGAGGTGGCTTCATCATCTTTTCCAAGCCTTGCCTTCCTTCACTCAAAGAATTAGAATGGCCCTCTTTTTTTGTGTCAACCTGTGAGTAATGCCTCCCTGGGAACTTCTCCTTAGCTTCCCCTTCATTCCACCCTCAAAACTCTTGTCTTCTTCCAGGAAGCTTCCAAGATAAACACACAGTGCACATGTATTGACTTAGAATCATAAACCCGCACAATTTAGAGTTGGGAGGTGATTAAATATTATAATTATATATACTATAGCTTTATGCCATTCTATTTTATATTCATGGGACATTGCTTTGTATTGTTCTTTTATCCTGTTTCCTAAAGGTAAATCCCTAAATGTAGATATGATTTATCTATTCGTTTATGTGTTTGTTTACTCTCTCCCACTAGCATGCGAGCTACATGAGGTCAAGGATTTGTCTGTCTTGTATCCTCTTGTGCCTACAACAATTTCTACCACATAACAGACACTCAGTATATACTTGTTTATGTACATGAATGCTGTTGGGATGGTGGTTTCTTTTCCTGCCCTCCCTATAAAGACACAGAGTTTGGTATATTTCAGGGTGCATAGTGGATGCTTCTGAATAAATGAAAGAATGAATGAAAAGAATAAATGATTGTATGAGTGCATGAATGAGATTTTGAGTGAATGGATTGGCAACCCTTAGGCCATCATGGTAGTTGGCCTGTGTATAGGAAAATGCTCTTCAGTTGTTCATGTTTTCTTAGCTACTGCCAGGGTGGGGCTCATTAGCAGAGCAAGGTGGCCTCATCTCCCTGGATAGGCTCTGAGTCAGCTCATATCTAGCTTTATAAAGAGGAGAGTGGTGTGGAGTTTTATCTGCTCTCTCTGGCCATTCTGTGCCCCCTTGACTTTCTCTCCTGTACGCTATCTGACCTTTCCGTATCTACTGACTTCTCTGTCATGTGGGTATGAAAAGAGTGTTTTTGAAAGTATTTTTGCCTCTATTTTGCTGCTACTTTAAAAAGAAAAAAACCTCTTTATTTTGGAAATAGTAAAATGAATGCTATAGTGAATGAATCCCAGAGATATTCTTAGGGTATATTGTCTCTGTGCTTATGCCAAAGTTGTGACAAATGCAATTATGGTATCATCAAGCAATTTTAAAAAGAAAAAAGAAACAGAGGGATCTGCTTTAAATTTTAGTTTTTTCATAGGTTGCCCTGAACTATGATTTCTCTGGAGTGACAAGGAAGAGAAGAGAGACATCTTTATTGGATATCTATTATGTGTCAGCTCCTATGCTAGACTGTTTATATATATTATGTTATTTCAGAAAGAGGGTGAACAAATTAGATCCATGAGTCAAATAATATCAACTTTTAGTGAGTACCCACCATGTGTGAGAGTATATAAATATTCCATAGGCCTTGTTCTTGAAATAGGAGCTGTTGACAAGATAAGTTATAAACTTGGGAAAAGTAAAATAATAAGGCAAGAGTAAGATAATATTTTGAGCCAGCAATTGCAAACTCTGATGGTAGAATTTTTGTTGCTGGAGGAGACTGGCCTAACATCTTAACAACAGACAGAAAAAAGGAAATATGAAGGGGCGGGCTAAACAACCTGCCCAAGATTTTGCATGGTTATCTGTAGAGCTGGCAGCAGAGCCCAGGCCTCCAGTGCCCACCACTTTTCATATTGTAGTTTTGAGACATCTCCGGATAACTGTGGAATGACCCACAGAGATAGTTCCTGGTATCATCATTCAAAGGAGGGGCAGTCACTTCAGGCTAGGGGGCACAGATCAGGGCAGGATTCAAGGAGAAGATGGAAGCTGCTGTGTCCTGAAGGGTGGTTTGGGTTCAGATATATTAAACAGGAAAGGAAGGCTTTCTAGAATGGGGAAATGGCATAAACAGGCCCAGAGGTAGGAAATGAGTAATTTTGTATACTGGAGTCTTGGCATTATCATTACCTGCCAGCTCTGACCACCAGGACCCTGGGAGCCATGCCCCATGCTTTCCTATCTTCCAGCTGTAGGCTCTGCCCCCTTCTTTCTGTCTTACCTCTGCTGTATGAGTCCTGACCCTGATAATTTCTCAGCTGCTCACTCATCTCGCTACCTCCATTTCCATTCCACTTTTCATACAGCCAAGAGTTCCTTTTCCAGAACTTGGATATTACCGTGTTAAAAAACCATTCAAGCCTGGAGCAGTGGCTCATGCCTATAATCCTAGCACTTTGGGAGGCCGAGGTGGGAGGATCACTTGAGGTCAGGAGTTCAAGACCAGCCTAACCAACATGGTGAAACCTCATCTCTACTAAAAATACAAAAATTAGCTGGGCATGGTGACATGCACCTTTAATCCCAGCTACTCAGAAGGCTGAGGCAGGAGAATCGCTTGAACCCAAGAGGCAGACATTGCAGTGAGCCGAGATCACGCCACTGCACTCCAGCTTGGGCGACAAAGTGAGACTCTGTCTCAGAAAAAAAAAAAAAAAGCCATTCAATACTCCCAATTGCTTGCCAGATGATGTCCAGCTCCTTAGTGTGTGATTGGGTCATGACTTAACCTCACCTGTCACCTTTCTGGAGGTACCTGCCTCTAACTTGGTGGAGTGCACCTTACAACCTGAGCATCCATGCCTGTTCGTGGCTCCAGGCCTTCACACAGGCTGTTCCCTCCCCTGGGACTGTCCCTCCTCCCACCCCTTTGTGCCTGCCAGCCTGGCTTCCTTACTGTCTTTTGTTTGACTTATATGTATTGAATACATACTAAATGCACCCCCTGCTCACTCCCTGCAGGTTAGTTGTTTTCCCCTCTGTACTCCCACAGCCCTCTACTTTAATTATTTGGATATGTCTGTTTCTTCCATTAGCCTGAACTCAATTCTGAGAGGGATTTTCCTTTATTCATCTTCATATCACTAGCACTTACTGCTTTTGGCTTGGCATATATAATAGATAGTCTAACTGTTGTGTTGAAAATAAATGAAAGAAGAGTTAAGTCTTGAGAGATAGGCTGAATCTATTGAATATCAGGCTGGGAAGTTGGGATGCAGTTTCTCAAAAACTAGACTACACATTTAAGCTCTTACACACCTCAAGAGCTTATTAAGAATTCACAATCTGGGGCACATCCTTTTATATGCTGATAAGAGTGGGCCTGGACATTTTTGTTATTGTTGATTTAAATAATTTAAATAATAAGCTCCCCCAGGGATTCTGAACAGCCTGCCTGGCGCCAGTCTGTAGACCAACCTTTGAAAGCACTGTGTCATGAACCACAGCAAATACATTCTGGGCATTAACTCAGATACTCCTCTTTTTTTTTAATTTTTAATTTTATTTTAAGTTCTGGGGTACATGTGCAGGATGTGCAGGTTTGTTACCTAGGTAAACGTGTGCCATGATGGTTTGCTGCACTTACCAGCCCATCACCTAGGTATTAAGCCCAGTATGCATTAGCTATTTTTCCTAATGCTCTCCCTTCCCCCACCCCACCCCCTGACAGGCCCCAGAGTGTGTTGTTCCCCTCCCTGTGTCCATGTGTCATTGTTCAGCTCCCACTTATAAGTGAGAACATGCAGTGATGGGTTTTCTGTTCCTGCATTAGTTTGCCGAGGATAATAGCTTCCAGTTCCAATCATGTGCCTGAAAAGGACATGATCTTGTTCCTTTTTATGGCTGCATAGTATTCCATGGTGTATATGTACCACATTTCCTTTATCCAGTCAGACACCCTTCTTAAGCCTTTGAATGACTCAACTGAATGCTTCAATTCAATCTCCTTAGGGAATAAATAACCTGGATTTAAAGTACATTCCATTCTAACGTTCATATCCCAGTTCTTGAAGTTCCTTTTGCTGTTGACTTCAGGGGAGACCCAGGACCAAGCCAGATTTTACTCATGGTGCATGTACTTCCTTTCTCCCTGCTGCCAGGCTGTTTGCTGTTAAATGTGGGGGCTGCTTCGAGGCCATCGCTCCCAATGAGTTTGTTATGCGGGCCCAGAAGAGTGTATACCACCTGAGCTGCTTCTGCTGCTGTGTCTGCGAGCGACAGCTTCAGAAGGGTGATGAGTTTGTCCTGAAGGAGGGGCAGCTGCTCTGCAAAGGGGACTATGAGAAGGAGCGGGAGCTGCTCAGCCTGGTGAGCCCAGCAGCCTCAGACTCAGGTGAGTGCCAGGTGGTGGGCAGGGCTGCGGTGGGGTGGGTAGAGTGGAGTTGGGTGGCTGTCTGCATTGTTTCTTCCCTAGATGGCCAGCCTCCAGGGCAGCCTAGCTCCATGGCAAGGCAGTTCTGTGTATTTCAGGAACTTTCTTTGTAAGCTCAGAGTAATCTCTTATCAGTCAGTGATTACCATGACAATGGTGCATAACAAATTACCCTCAAATTCCATGGCATACAACCATAAACACTTCACACACACACAGAAATGTCCGGGTTAACTGGAGTTAACTGGACTTTGCTTCAGGCTTCCAGTTAGCTGGAGTCTGCTGATCTCAGCTGAGCTTAGCTCCAGCCTGTAGACAAGGTTTAGGTATACTCTGTGCCATTCATTCCAGGATCCAGGTTTGGGGAACAGCAGCTGCAGGGCATGATCTTCTGACAGTGGTAAAAGTGCAAGAAGGCATGCCCAACCACAGAGCACATTTCAAGCTTCTGCACACATCATGTCTGCTAATATTCCATGGGCCAAAGCAAATGGCAATATCAAATCCAAAGTCAAGAGGAGGAGAAATATACTCCATGCACCACAAACCCTTGCCCAGGTATAGATACATAATACTATTAAAGAGGATGATGGATTGGAACCAATAATTCAGTCTACCACAATCACTGAACTGCCCTAAGCTTTTGTTTCCTCATTTGTCAAGTGGGAAAGATGGAATCTATCTAAGGCTTGGCAGGTCACATAAAGAAAGGCACTAGAATGATTTCGTTCTTTCTCCTCACCACCCGCTCGACCCTCCCTCTTACTGCCTTGAGGGTTGGCGAAAGAGAGGAGACAGGCGAGGTTAAGAGATTTTATAGGGCAGGTTTCACAAGGTCAGAGAAATTACATTAAATTAACACTGACTACATTAAACATGGAATGCCTTTTTGGAGTGTTGGTCCCCACAGCTCAGCATTCATCTTATCCATAGGAATCTGTGAGATCCAATTAGGTAACATCTATGTGACCTTACTAGTTCTTGCCATTGCCAATTCTAGTCCATTTCCAAGCCCCCTGTAACCTCACTCTATCCATCCCTTTGGCCTCTTTGGGAGTTTCTGATCACTCCCACCCTTCACTCCAGCCTTACTAGGCCCTAGCACCTGTCGTTGTGTCTCATCTACTCTCAAATCTTAAAAGTCTATTCCTTTTCAGCCTCTTTCCCTCTCTCTTTTGTCCTGCTAGCTTATCCAAAAGGCAACTTTATGGGGAAGGTCTCTTAATCCCTCATGCTGGGTGAGTTTACCCTTAACTTCTCCTACTGGGATATTTACTTCATTGTAGTTACATGTTTGATTGTTTCTTATTCTTTTCAGAGTGCTAAACTGTGTGAAGGACAGTGTATGTCTTATTTACCACTATATTCCCAGGTCTAGCACAGGCTGGGACACTGGGTGCTTGATAAACTCTTTGTTAAAGAGTGAATAAACACATGAAGAAAAACCATTATGGCATGGTGCTTAAGTGCAAAAGCTTTGGAGACAGACAAGTGGGGTGCCTTAGCCAGGTTATATCACTATATCTCTGTGACTTTGGGCAAATTTTGGAACCTCTCTAAGCCTCAATCTCCACAGCTATAAAATGGTGATGATCATACCTACTAATAGGTTTATTGTTGGAGAATGAGAGAGAATGCATATAAAAAGCCTGGTGTTCAATAAATGTGGGTGCTTAACATCCACTAGTCAGTGTTAGCATCTTTGTAGCAGCCGTGTTCGGCTCCCTTTACCTCCAGGTTAGTTCTTGCCTGAACTTGCTTGCAGCCTTAAGAAAGCTGGCATCAGGAAAGCCCCAACTTCTACTGGTCTTATTGGCCTTAGGTTTTCCTGGATTTATTTTGATTTGAGGGAAATTTCTCCTTGTCAGGAACACTGGCACTAACATATGGAGTATCTTCTTCAGGGGTAGTTGGGCCCATTCTAATGGGTATACACTTGGTATAGAAAGGCCAATTTACCCTGTCATTTTCCTCCAGGTATCTTGCTGTGTCCGCCCTCTTAGGCTTCCTCCTCAAAATCCTGTAGAATTTCGAATTTCCCAAGGGCTTAGGTGTTATGGTGATTAGAATACAGCATCATCATAGAAAGATGTATATACCCAGAGGGACATACTGTGCTTTCTCACATGGAAATAAATGCTGTGGTCTAGCCTTTCATGATAAACATTTGTCTGGAGGCTTAATCACTAAGTTATACAGTTGGACCTATGTTAACGGTTTACAGATTTTACTTCACTAGAAAATCAATAAGAGGCATTAGTGGATTGGCTCCACGCCCCTAACCCTGCAAAAAAAAAAAAAAAAAAAAAAAAAAGAAAAAGCTGATCTGATCTAAGTAACATTTACAGATTAATAGAATTATAATGCTCAGTACCAGGGAACTGCAACAGGTTCACTTTCTGATCACATTTTCAGCAATATGTTCAGTTATGGAAATTTCTCTTTGAGGCTGATATTGACATATTGGAGCTTTCCAGTTTATTCATTCATGTATTAATTCAGTTGACATATCTTGAGTGCTTGTATCATGCCAGGCACAGAGTCAAAATATGAATGACAAGAATGATGTGGGGATGGGGAGGTCCCAAAACCATATCAAATGAAGGAATTGTGTATGTTTAGGATAAAGAAGTCAAGACTGAATGAGGACATAATTGTTGCCTTCAAATGATTAGATCAGACCTATTTTTTTCCAGTTTCAGAGAACAGATTTAGAATTCATTCATTTAATTATCCAACAAAATTACTGAGTGTTTACACTTTAGATAGAAAGGTACAGGGAAGTAATTTTTGATTTAACACAGGAAATGCTAGAATGTCGTTCTAATTATTAGATCTAACAAAGAGTAAAACTACTCAAGAGATAGCACTCCCTATTCATTGAAAGTAATATTGATGAGGTGGGAGGGGAGGGTAGTTCTAGAAGACCTCTGTTATCGCTTTCAACTCTAAAAATCTATAATTATTGTTGTAGTTTTAAATGAAGTGACATTAAAGCCTCAACCAGAATCAAATATCTTATCTGAACTACTCATTTCATCAATTATATCAATGCTGCCTGTCTTGTATCATAAAATTTTCTGTGTGCCAAAGCTTGCCTCTCTACTGAGAGGACAAACTTCTAGAGAACAGGGTTGTAGCTTTTGGTTGCTTTGTTTCCTTAACAAAGCTTAGCATGATGCCAAGAGAAGAGTAAGTGATCAATAAGTACCTAATGAATTGAATTAAATCTTCATGGAATGAAGTCCATCTCATTGTTAACAGAAAGCAAACAACTTTAGGATCTGCCTCAGTACAAATACAGTTTATCCTCTGGTTTCTGTCTTGAGCACCTTACGTATATATTGTAGGTGTTTGATAAGTGTTTGTTGAGTGAATGACTGATCTAGTATCCTTAACCTTTTTATCAATGACTTGGATGAAGACACAGAAGGCAGGTTTATTTGGTTTACAGATGACACAAACCTGGCAGGGAAGGCTGGTGTGGCAGTGGATACTCCCGATGTTCAAAAAGATTTTGACAAGCTAGCAGAACCGCGCAAAGACAGCAAGATGAAATCTAACCATTGTCTCCCAAAATTCAATTGTAATTGTATGAAATAGTGCCTGTTTTGAGGGAATTCCACATGGGGTTATAGTGGGCAATAAATCCAATAGGAGCCAAAAAGACATGCTGCATTAATAGAACTACAGTGTCCCTAATGTGTAATTATAGTTTCAGTATTTTTTTTTTTTTTGCCCTGGTCAGAGCACATTTAGAATATGTGGGCTAATTTTAAATGATGCATTTGAGGAGGTCATTGACGAACCAGAGAGAATCTTGAGGAGAGTAATTAGCTTGTTAAATCATAAATAATTAAAGAGACTCAGTATATTAAGTAAAAATAAGGCCAAGGAACATATGAGAGTCACACCCAAGGTTGCCGACCCATGTACTGGGGAAGAAATGACAGATTTTGGTTCAACGTAGGGTAGAACTGTGTCTGATAAAGGGTCAAACTGGATTGCCTTTATGGGAAATAAACTGCTTGTCCCTTAACATTTTAATTGCAGTTGGTGGAAGACTGCATCAATGACCTCTAGGGTGGCTTACATCTAGGATTCTAGAGGGAGGAAGGAGAGCGGGGGGCAAAGGTTGAAAAACTAACTCTTGGGTACTGTGCTCATTACCTGGGTGATCAGATCACTTGTACCCCATACCTCAGCATCATGCAGTATACCCATGTAAAAAACCTGCACATGCATGCCCTGCATCTAAAATAGAAGTTGAAATTATTTTTTAAAAAAGAATCTATGGTTCTGTGATGCTGACTGATCTTACACAAAAGCATGTGACACGTTCACAGCTACATGGGATACCAAACTCAGGACATCTGCAACTGCTGTGTGCCCTTTTCTGGTGTGACCCAGCCTTTTTGTCCTGGTCCCTGCTTTGCTGATGGCCTTGAAGCAGCCTCCCAAGCAGATGAATGGAATTTGTAGCCAGAGTCAGATGATTTTTTTTTTTTGACACTGGGCAACTTGGATGCCCAAGGTCTCCAGGAGAGACTCCCCAACATTTACAAACTTCTAGAGAAGTGTCTAGAAGAGCTCTTTTCCTTCACCAGAGAATCACGAGCTCTTGAGATTGGTAGACACTTTGGAGTTTATCCAGTCCAAGTTCCCATCAGATGCTTATCCAGTCTCTACTTGGTCATTTCCCATCATGGAGAGCTAAAGAGATAGAGGGGAAAAATAAAAAATTGCTTTTTCTCCTCTCTGCTCTCCACTCCACATGACACTTCTGACACCAGCTGTGTAGGGGTTTTCCCCACATACCAAGCAATTCTCCAGTGGACACCAGCTGGGTATCCCTTAATTCAATTTAATTCTGACACTGTCTACCTAGAGGTAACATCAGATCCCACAGGTTAAGAGCTTGATCCCACAAGACTGCCAGACCCCACCCCGCTTAAGAGGCCAATCAATCACAAGTAGTAGGTTGTCAGCTATATTTCTAACTCACTGGCTATAAATTGCGGATCCTAGGACCTCATCTTCAGGTTGACTAAATTTTCTAGAGCAGCTCACACTTTACTTACATTTACTCATTTACCACAAAGCATATTTTAAAGGATACAGATGAACAGACAGGTGAAGAAATTCATAGGGCAAGGTATGGGGGAAGGGGTGCAGAGCTTCCATGCTCTCTCTGGATGCACCCCTCCAGGAACCTCCACATTTCAGCTATCCAGAAGTTCCCTAGCTTTGTCCTTCTGAGTTTTTGTGGGAGTTTTATTACATAGGCAATGATTGATTACATCATTACCCATTGGTGGTCAGCTCAACCTTCAGCCTCTCTCCCCTCCCCAGAGGTGAAGGATTAGGGGTTAGGGGCTGGGGCTGAAAGTCCCAACCTTCCAATCATGCCTTGGCCTTTCCAGTGACCAGCCCCCATCCTGAAATAACCTAGGGGCTCCCAGCTACCATTAGCCAACAAAAGATACTCTTATCACTATGGAGTGTTCAAGGATTTTAGTAGCTTTTTGTCAAGAAACTAGATGAAGACCAAATATATATTTCACAATATCACAGGAGCCCTTGACTTCAATTCTGGGGGTAAATTGTCAGAACTGTTACATTGAATTCCAACATCGGTCTCCGTATGTAAACTCAAACCATGGTCTTGGCCGTACTTTCGGGAACTCACAAAGTAAGTGTTTCCTCTACATGGGGCAACCCTTCAAGTTCAAGACAGAAATGCTCCCTAAGATGTAAGATATTTTCTAAGTTTTGTCTTTTCCTTTCTAGTTCTTCCTCATTATTCTAACTAGCCCTCATTACAGACTTTCTGTTTTCTATCTATGAAAATACTACGATCTTTTTCAAAGGTACAACCAAGAAGGGGATACAGTTTTCCTTATGTGGTTTGAACCAGCACAGTGTTATTGCTGCCTGTCATAGATATTATGTTCTGTTGATGTAGCCCATGATTTCATTAGCTTTTTTGACCTGGGGGCGGAGGCAGGGGCTTGGGGCCTGGCTGTGGGTAACCATGGCTTCTGGCTGGTCCATGTTGCATTTCTTACTTATCTACCCCTCTTATCTTTACATTTTCTTTTAAAATCAGAAGTCGTCTGAGAGTGTCCTGTGAAGCAGTTTTTAAAAACTTTTAAAAATAAAAATGTTTTTTAAATTTACAAAACAGTTGCAAAATAGGACAGAAGTTTCCATATACCCTTCATTCAGCTTCCTGTAATGCTAACATTTTACATAACCATGGTACACTTATCAAAACTAAGAAATTAACATTGGTATAACCCTCAACTGAACGATAGACATTATCCCATTTCATGAAATTTTTTCATTAATGACTTTTATCCATTCCAGAATTGAATCCAGTACATCGTGCTGCAATTAGTTGTTTTATGTTTTTGTTTTGTTTTTTTTTTTTTTTTTTGAGGTGGAGTTTCGCTCTGTTGTCCAGTCTGGAGTGCAGTGGCGCAATCTCGGCTCACTGCAAGCTCCACCTGCCGGGTTCACGCCATTCTCCTGCCTCAGCCTCCCAAGTAGCTGGGACTATAGGCACCCGCCTAAATGTTATCTTTACATTTTCTTTTAAAATCAGAAGTCACCTGAGAAAAAATTAGCCCAGCTAATTTTTTTTTTTTATTTTTAGTAGAGATGGGGTTTCACCATGTTAGGCAGGATGGTCTTGATCTCCTGACCTCATGATCTGCCCGCCTCAGCCTCCCAAAGTGCTGGGATGCAATTAGTTTTATGTTAAATTGCCTTCCTTTTTTCTTCATTTTTGGAATCACTGAAAAATCTTGAGTCAGAATTTCATTTTTGCTATCTCAAACAATATCTTTATTTCCTTTTAGTGTCTTTTATCATGGGATCCAAATGCTTTTTTTTTTTTGCTTTTTTATGTATCATTTAAAATTTTTTCTTCCTGAAGACCAGTTTGCATTTTAGATTATGCCTAGGATTTATTCCTTGGCTAAGGCAAGGCTCTTTTAGGTGCTCTGCTTTTGTAGAGGGATTTTCCCAGAGGAAGCCTGGTTGTGAAGTCCCTGTCATGAGGGCCCCTTTCTGCAAAGAATGTTTTATGTTTTGGATTAACGCAGCAGTTCCATAGCCTCCGTTTATTGGGCAGTCTGAACTGCTCTGCGAGGCTTATGCTGCTTCACTCCTTGTGTTCAGCATTCATCTGGCCCTAACATGGTGCCTGGCATGCAATAGGCACTCAGTAAATGTTTGCTTATTGTGTGAATAAATTCACTTTGTCCTGTTCATATTGGCCTCTGATGTCCTTGGCAAAGAAGCATCAACTTCCAGTGTAACTTTTCTTCTCACCGAAGCCAGAAAGAAGATTCCTCACATCTGCTGGAGTCTGTGAATCCTTCTTCCTCCTAATTTTCTGTGGGATATAGGATGTTTTGATTTGGAAGATCCAAATGCCTCGCTTGCCACTCTCATTGTGTAATACGTCTCTTTCTCCTCTTCTGGGCCATGCTCTCCACTGCTCGTATTTAGACATTTGTCTTAATTTCCTTCTACAACCTTGGAACTGTTTTTTTCAATTCGTTACAAAAGTATTTCATCTACCCTGTCTTGTAAATCTTCTTGTTCTCCAATAAATTAGACTAGAGAAGCAGCAGTTAACTCACAAATTCTAGAAAATGCCCAACTCTTCTCTGGGATTATCCTTGTCAGTTCATGGTCCTGAATTTTCCAGTGAAAGATAGAAAAGGTCAGCAGAAGTTATGAGGAAGTCTCATCCTCCGTATTGTAGTGCATAGGATCTAAAGCTAGACAGGTCTTTGATGCTTTCCCTACACTCACAAGCAGTGTGACTTTGAGCTAGCCACTTCTCCTCTCCAGGACTCTATTTCCTAATCGGTAAATAGGGGGTTACAATACAGCCTTTGTGGGTTGCTGTAGAACTAAAAGAGGTAATGAAAATCAAGGGCTTGAAACTTGATCAATGTCCAATAAATGACAGTTACCATTATCATCTCCTAGTGTGAGAGCCAGTGTATTTATGGATGGCTCCTGGGTCATAAGTTTATTTTACCAAAGATCCATCATTTTGCAAGTATCTCCTCTTCTGTCTTTGCTCTTTGGTTTTAGGCACTTATGGATAGCATACCTGGGGCACCTCATGGTGGTACAGATAGGGCCTGTCATTTTGGGTGGCTAGGGTGCATAAAGTAAAGATGGGCTGATTCATACCATGGGGCCTGTGTGTCTCAGAGGCACTCTCTGGTTTCTGAACATCCTAGCTAGCTAGTGTTGCATCCTGGAAAGTCAATGCAGAAGACTGGGGGAAAAACAGTCTTGAAGTTACTTCTGAGATTTAATAGAAATTTCAAGCAAGAATGGGAAGGATTTATCAAACGTAGCTACCTTTCTTTAATAGACCAGAAAACTGATGCATACAGTGGTCATTATTTGAGCTATTTTAAATACCTAAGTGCCTCCTTATTCCTAAGCGTTACACTTCCTGGCATATAGTTATCCTGGGGATGGAGCTCTCTGTGCCTCTTGGTTTGAGGGTGATGGTATGTCTCCCATCTTTAAATGAGTTGCTTTCGGAGTCGACTTGACTTTTCTCTTGCAACTGGAGTCTTTGAGTCCAGAAAGGACATTGAACCTGACAGTTAATGAATGCAGTGTACAGCTGAGCCAGAGTTACTCTATTCCTAAGTAGGCCTGCTAGCATTACTCTGTTACATGCCATAATCTATTTATGTCCTTCCAGGCGGCCACCTGACCAACCTTTAATTCAACAAATATTTCTTACAGACACCCACACTGTGTTGGACTCTGTGCTGAATGCTATGTTTTAGTTGCAGAAAAAGAAAGGCAGAGGAATAGTGAATGCTGAGCAGCACAATTGAGAAAAACATCTCAAAGCCAACATCTTAATGTCAGGGGAACAGGGGCCAGCTTTGTGATAGAAAGGAGCTGGCAGATGGGAAAAGGGACATAGCTTGGAGATCAATCTAGCCATTCTTCTTTTTAAGAAGCAGAAGGGTAAGCCACTTTAAAAAGAAAAAAAAAAACCTTGAGTAGGTATTTAAAAGTACTCTGCTAAACATATTTGTGAAGAAATATATTTAAATCATATTTTACATTTTCCTCTAGAGTCATGTTTTCAAAAGACTCTATGGTAGCACTTTTCAGAAAATCTTAAAATACATTTTTTATCATAAGCTAGTATACACATTTATAGGTGTGTATATAAGTTTCAACACTTAGACTGACTTGCTGATTGCCCTATGTGCTGATATTGTCTATTCCATTTATTTTTAAATTCTATTTTTAGCCCACTGTAGTAATTTCATAAGCTACTCATGGGTCATAACAGAAGTTTGAAAAACACTGCTTCAAAGCACAATTACTTGCAAACCTATTCCCACGTTTTGGAATTGGTATAAATTCCTTAAATGTCAAGCCAATAAATACGTCTTAATGATACTTACTGTGCCAGGTGCTGTGAATAAGACAAAAGGCACAAATGATATCATCTCTGGGCCCAAAGGCTTGGTGCAGTGGCCTGAATACAGTAAACATGTAATAACTGTTGTCTATTTTTATTGTTGTTATTCTTATTAAGGAGACATCAAGAGTTCACATATTTATATCATGACTAGTACAAAGGTCTTCATGAACATTTCCCGATTTATTAATCTGGCATCTCTGGATGATAGGCAAGAAGCACTTAGAACTGCCTGAGCCTTTCAGATTGTTTTCAAAATCAACAGATTTGTCTCTTACACAGTATCACTACCATAAAATTCACTACCGGAATTGTTTGT
The DNA here is from genome assembly GCF_000001405.40 of Homo sapiens. Classification (NCBI taxonomy): domain Eukaryota; kingdom Metazoa; phylum Chordata; class Mammalia; order Primates; family Hominidae; genus Homo; species Homo sapiens. The sequence goes on along the minus strand of NC_000001.11, from coordinate 165,239,562 downwards.
TGCTCTTAGTTTGAGGCTCAGCATTTCTTTTCTATGCTGAACTTTTGTCTTCTAGTGTATTTGTTTTGTCTTCATAAAGTAGATGGAGAAATAAAGACACAGGATACTTGAGCCAGGGATAAGCCAGAATAAGAACTTAATTCTACCAATTACCGAGTCAGGACACTTGATACTGAAACAGAGGGGTTCAGTCCTTGCTATAATTATGAGTTGGGTAAAGTTTATCTTTAGTGCTTAAAAAGTTAGAGGCAATATACAGGTTCAGACAATGCATTGTCCTTTTTACATTGACCATACTTTATTTTTGAAAATGTGTTCACACAATAATTTTGATTAAAATGAATAATGAAAACCATAAGTTAATATTTGTGCAGTTGCTTCACAGCATATTTAATCAGCAATAGTGTGTTATCTGTGTGCATTCATTTCTCCTGCTCCACCTCTGTAAAAAATAAAATTGGCCAAATGGGAAAATGATCACATCATGATTTTTTCATGATGATGATGATAATGATGTCAACAATTATTGAGCTTTTACTCTGCACAAAGCATTACTTTAAATTATGCATTTTACATGAATTATTCTGCACACCAAGTTGATGAGGAAAGCAATGTTATTATTTCCGTTCTACAGAGGAAGAAGATGAACATGGAAAAGTTAGTAATTTGCTTACAGTCCTACAGCTAACAATGGAAAGGACCAGAATTCACATCCAGTCTAGCTCCAGCACCTGCATCATTAAACACTATGCTGTGTTGCCTGGTCATTTAAAACGTACATGTATATGAAAATGAACCTTATGTTTTGTTCTCAGGTTTCACTGACAGCTCTTTCTGGCTGGCTATGGCAGTGCTCCAGGTACTCAGTAGGACTTACTACCTGAGAGACCCCAACTGAAGGACCTTTTCATATATAATTAAAGCGATGAAAACAAGGTGATTTGAACTGAGTTTACACACGCGTTCAAAATCAGTCACAAGTTCACCTTGCTTTTAACCTCCAGTTCCTCCCTAATCATTAATCACTATCACTATACTTCTCATGGGTACCTCTTCTAAGGCAATAGGAGGCTTTGAAGGATCTAAAGACAATGTGCTATATGAATGAGGAAGTACTTTAAAAGTGCACGTAAGGTACTATTACTGATTTTTTGTTTTATGTTTATAATTATTCAACAAACTCCTGGTTCTTCTGCTCCTGTGGCTTATTTGATAGTAGTAGGAAAAATCAGTTGACTTTTTGTCCAGATGAGAGGTATCAGCTGTGCAAACCACAGCCCCCATCAATCAAATGAATAAAAGCACGACAGTGAAGTAAATTGGTACATATCAAAACTTCTTCTAACGTGCTTCTTCTACAAGCTGACCTGTAATGTCCTACCATCTTTTACAATTGTACTCTTCAGAGAAATGAACTCAATTTTGTTTTTCCAGTGGCAATGATGACAATGTGCTTCTGTCTATCCACCTTTACATTGGGTCCTCTTTGGGTACAATGATGGGGCAGTATGACTAGTAAATTTTAGGATTGCATTCTCTGGACATGCAGAGCCAACCCATGACTTCAGTCTTTCATATCTGAGCTAAATGACCAGGGACTCACTTTCTATTGTGTAATAAGGATCGGGGAGGAGGTGCAGGGAAGACACTGGTTTTCTTGCACTGACATTCCAGCCAAGCCTACCAACTTTAGATTTCCATCAAGAGGTTTCAAGATGGATCTGAAGATGCTTTAGACAGTTTACTGAGCAAATGGAAGAATCACCTTCAATATTTCCCTGTGCCCTGGTTTCTGTGACCAAGGAAAACCCTCAAAGTCCAGTTTACTAAGGATTGGTGGCAAACTAGGTACTCTGCTATTTGGTGCTGTAAAATTATATTCGAAACTGGGTAATTTTAGAACCATCTGGATTCTTAGTGTTCCAATTCCAGGTTTGCACGCTGGAACCTGGAGGCATGCTTGGGTTTTTTTGTTTTGTTTTGTTTTTGTTTTTCTGATTCTGATCAGGGATTTGCATATTGTGTGTGCATGGGTGTGCTAGGTGGGATCAGTGGATCCAGATGGTGTTCAAGATGGAGTGTCCTTGGGAGGCCGAGGCGGGCGGATCACGAGATCAGGAGATCGAGACCATCCTGGGTGAAACCCCGTCTCTACTAAAAAATACAAAAAAATTAGCCGGGTGTGGTGGTGGGCACCTGTAGTCCCAGCTACTTGGGAGAGTGAAGCAGGAGAATCGCTTGAACCCAGGAGGCGGAGGTTGCAGTGAGCTGAGTTCGTGCCACTGCGCTCCAGCCTGGGCGACAGAGCGAGACTCCATCTCAAATAAATAAATAAAGATAGAGAGTGTACAAGCATTCCTTCTTAGGAATCAGTGAGGGTGGGAAAGCAGTGACTGAACTAACTCAGCATCTGTTCCATCCATAGGAATTTGCTGAGCATTTACATTGGGCAAGGATTAGGTTTGGGGTGTGGAACACATAGAAGTGTATGAAGTTTGACTAGCAAGCAAATACTTTTGAGTACAGAGTATGTAGCAGTCCTATTGTAGGTGCTGGGATGATACCTCTGCTCTCACACAGCCTACATTCTTGTAGAAGGAAACCATCAATAACTAAATAAATGGATAAACAATATTATATTCTTGAGTTACCCCTCAAAGTATTTACCCTATAAGACTTGTTCTACTTATGTACTAAAAAAAAAAAAAAACTTTGAACTCCTGTGGAATAGACCTTCAGGGATTTAATGGTCTGGGGTGCAGCCTGGGATTTTTTTTTTTTTTTTAAAGCTTCCTAAGTGAGTTAATGTGCAGCAGGCTTGAGAGCCATTGCCCCAGGAGAAGGCGAAGCTCAGAGGGATGGAGTTGAAATACCTTAATCAGCCATTCTTCCAGTTGCAGAGCCTTGGTGCTGAACCACAGAGACTCGAGTTAGAAGAGAACGCAGTATTTTGCTTAGAGTGAGCAGGTATAGTTAGGGTTGTGAGAGGCAGCAAACACAAATCCATGTGTAAGAATAAACAATGAATAATATTTTTGTATAAGTGTGTCCCATGCAATACAGAAATTATTGTTTATTGGAAATGCAAATTTAATGATGTGCCCTGTATTTGACCCGGCATCTCTAGATATGGCAAGAATCTGGCAGGGGTGGGGGAGAGAGAACCCACAGTGTGGTGATTGGTGGTGGAGCCTGCAAGCCTGTACGATAGATTTTTGTTTGATTGATTTATGATAGGGAAAAAGAAATGTAATTCTGTCCCAAGACACCCGTGTTCCCAGTACCCTATGTGCGCGGGCTTGGCCCTAACCCAGCACGCGGAGGCTTCCCTCTCCCCAGCCTTAGCGAAAGGGCGGCGGGTGGGAATCACCCGTTACCTTGGCAACTCCCTCCTGCCGTCTGCTCACAACAGTTTGAATTACACCCCTGCCAGGCAGTCACCAGTCCGATTTCTTTCCTTTCTAGCTCTCGTTTTCCCTCTCAGCGCTCAGGCTGGGGGCGGCGTCGGTGCCAGTCTAGTCCAGGGCGAAGCTTCCAGGGCCGGCTCGGGCCGGGCTGCGGGACCCGCCGTGGAGCGCAAAGTGCCTGAAGCCCCCGCGCGCATTCGGCCCTGTCTTCAAAGGCCCCTTAGAAATGCAAGAGGCCAGGCGCAGAAACACACACGGACGGCAGTTTTATGAGAAAATGCAGATAAAGAGCCCGGCGGTAGGGCCATATGTTCCCCATAATCTCCAAAGCCGTCACTTCAATTAGAGCCTCCCCTGAGTTCTAATGCCCAATCCTGAGTAAACAAGCCGCTCTGAAAGAAGAACTCGGTTTCCAATTAAAAGTGTACTAACATTTCTCCTTCCTTTAATTCCCGCGGAGCAAAGCCCCGCGCGGGCGGAGGCGAGGCCAGGTCGCGGCGAGGTCGTCCCGGGTCCGCGCCGCCCCGCGCCGCCGCGCGTTCCCAGGTGACGTCAGGCGGGCCCGGGATTAGGGCCCACCCTGCGCTCCCCGCGCCGCGCCGCAGAGTTAATTAAAAGTAATGCCACGGTAAATCCAAAGGCTCTCCGCTGGCGGAGCCGCGCCTTCGGGCCAGCCTGCGAGAGAGGGCTTTCCGAGGCAGGTGCTGGGGATTTATTTGTGTGTGAGTGTGAGTGTGTGTGTGTGTGTCCGCGCGAGCGCACGTGTGAGCGCTTGTGCTGAAAGGGAGAGTCCCCTGGATTTTTTGGAGACCGAGATTGCCTTCCCTCTTTCGCTCATGCCTCCAGCCCTCCTCGCACATGCACTAGTGAAGAAACGCACGGACACCGTCGCTACCTGAACCCTGATTTCCTTTGGACTGAGCTGACTCCTGGTTTGGTCCTAGCTCCCGGGTCTTCTGGGTACTGTGCTACAGATACCATCGACTGCATCGCCCCCTATACGCTCTAACTGTCTCTCCTTCATGCCCCAACCTTGAGAAATCTAAGGGCGTAAATAAATGGTGGCCAGATGCGAGGTGATTTAAATATCAGGAAAGCAGCTGAACACCTCCTGGCATTCTTTAGGAGCTCTTTAGAGTGCTGAATCTGAACATTGCAGGCCCTTCGACCTCCACATTATGACATTCAAAAAACTTGCTTTCTATGAATGTTTGCTGTTCAACAGGACTGGTTGAAAGTCGCCTGGTTTCAGATGGGAGAATGATTGTTAGATTAACTTTCTGGCCTACTCTCTATACCATGAAAGAATCAAAGAATTGAAGCCATTATCTGAAAAATTCCAGAAACATCAATAAGCAGAAAATCCTCACTAGATCATTCAAATGCAAATGGTTTTCCTTCTTTCATGAATTATCTACCCAAGTAATTACTTTAGTTTTTAGTTTGGCCTTGGCGGTGAAGACCTCAGAGAATTAGTCTCACTAAGTCCATGGCTGTTTGTTTATTCCTTACTCTCTGATTGATGTTAACTAAATTAAATTGAGGCCAGTTCAGCAAACATTTTGAAAGCCCGTCTATATCTGTCAGACTCTGGGTTAGATACTAGTGATTACAAGAGCAATGGAAACCACCTCTCTTTTCCAGACCCCCAGGTTCCTCAGGGGATAAGAAACTCCTATAATAAAATAAAATATACATTAATATTATCGTAGAGATATAAAGTGCTATGAGATCATAGAGTCTGGCGCAATCATTCCTCTTGGGGTGTGTATATGTGTATTAGGGCAAAGGACTTGGAACTATTTAGAAAAGGTTTCACAATGGGTATGAAACTGTAACTAGGACTTGGCAGAGTAGGTAACTTGCCGGCGATGAAATGAAAATGAGTATGTTGTTAGAAAATGCAGCTTAGTCTGTACTGAGTTGCAGGGTAGGGTTGTATCCAGGCATGAGAGGAAGGGCTGGATTGTAGTGTTGCTCTGGAGCACTGAGATCCTGGTGTGAGTGAGAGTAAGATTAACGCCAAAATGTGAAGGATTTTGTATATCTTATTTGAATATACTCTGATGGTTGTGGAAAGTCAGATCAGAAGTTTGTAAACAGGATTGTGATGTTATTCAGTCTGTTTTTTCAAAAGAGGAGTGGGGAGGATGGATTGGAGTTGGGGTAACATTGCAGGCAGGGAAAGTGGGCAGGAGACTATTGCAGTGTTCCAAGTGAGAGATGAAGGTTTGAACAAAGGCAGACCTTAGAGAGGGGTTTCAGAGAATTTATTCATTCATTTATGCCTTCAATACTTCGTGAATCCCTACTAATATGTCAGGCATCATTCTAAGTGCTGTGGACACAATGATGAACAAAACAGGCAAAGCACCTGCCCATCAGGCAGCTTAAATTCTAGAACTTAAATGACTATGAAATACAGGAAGAGTGGTTGAAGTTGAGGATGACTGAGAGTTCTAAATGTTATGAACAGTGTTGTTAAAAGAAGAGATAGAATGTTCAGAAAAGAACCAGGGATCTAGATAAAATTCGGGTGGGGCATGCTGAGTTTGAAGGTTCTTTTGGACCATGTGACTGTAGATGTTTGGTGGGCAGTTGAACACATAGATCTGGGATTTAAGGGGGAGGTCAGATGTGAATTTGGGAATCACAGAAAAGCTGAGGGTTTAAAACTGGGTAGTTTTTCTTTTTCTTTTCTTTGAGATGGTCTCCTTCTGTCACCCAGGCTAGAGTGCAGTGGCACAATCACTTCTCTCTGCAGTCTCAACCTCTTGGGCTCATGCAATCCTCCTGCCTCATACTCCTGAATAACTGGGACCACAGGTGTGTACCACCATGTCTGGCTAATTTTTAAATTTTTTGTAGATACTGGGTCTCCCTGTGTTTCCCAGGCTGGTCTTGAATGCGTAGGCTCAAGGAATCCACTCACCTTAGCCTTCCATAGTGATTGGATTATAGGCATGAGCCGCCGTGCCCGGCCAAAACTGGGTAGTTTTAAACCAGTGTCTCCATGGATGCAATTGTGTGAGTCTTCATGGCTATGGGAAAACAAACTTGTGAAGCTTGGATGGGACAATATATATAAAGTGTTTATGGTGGGGGTTGTAGGGCACAAAGTAAGGGTGCAATAAAGGGAATTCATTATATACATAAGTATTGGGACTTCTGCTGGTCCGTTCAACATCCTATTCCTACACCACCTAAGGAGAGTTAGGAAGTCCAAGAAGTGGAGACACTCCAAGGACATCTTCCTGACTCACCAAAGTGCCCTTTTCATATGGTTGGGAAGCCACATGTTAGGTTGCTTGACAGTGATGCAAGGAGTCACAGCTAGCTTTTCCTAATCTAACAGCTGGGGTGTGACCAGAGGGAGTTTTGGTTCTTGAAGGAGGGACAAAGGACTCCAGACACAATCTCTGCCAAGTGGAATGTGCCAAAGGGGGTGTGACATTAGTTCCAGCACATTCCCCAAGAATTGGTTTGGATCTGTGTGTATGAAGCAGGCAGTTTATATCCAATTGTGTTTATTTTCTTCTTATATGACCAGCTACAACATAAGAAGCTCCTCATCTTTGTAGAAGTGTGTGCTTTCCTGAAAGCAGACCAGGTAATGATGCCAGAAGCCTCTTCCTCTGAAAAAAAATATGGAAATGTTCACCTTCCTCTACTTCCCCCTTTGCCTAGTGTCTCATGGCTCTCCAGAATGCTGTATGCCTATTCCATATTACATGTAAGGGAGATCCATTGAGCCCTGGTTTTCCCTTCAAGAGGCTGATAAAACCATGCAATGGCATTTTCTGGTGCTTTTGCAAAATTTGAGAAAAGGAATGGAAAATGCTTCCCTCTCTTTGATGAACTCTGGGTCTCCAAGCCCAGACACAGTAACTTCCAAAGGAAAGGGCTCAGGACAGGGATGTAGATCTCCTTCAAAGTGGCAAGGTTCCCCTAAGCTTCTCCATACCCTGGTCTGGGGCCCTTTGCTGCTCCAGCACAGGGATGCATCCGCAGCCTTCCCTGCTCTGTGGACCTTGAGGCTGGTTTCACAGAGCTAATCTCCAACCCGGTACTTCACTTTTTTTGACCTTGGGTATACCCAAGCACCATGGCACATCCTTGTGGGACAGCAGAAAGAGGGTTTTCTCTTTTCTTGTCTGATAGAATGCTCTCAAGAGTACCTTGCCAGGTGCATAAGACACACTAGTTTCAGTCCGTGTGCTCTCAATGCATTTGGATAGTCTGTATAGGCGAATTCCCAGGAATCGCAGATTTGTAATCATTAAGTTCCAAAAAGTTGAGATAAACTTGCCTGTGAGTGTTTTAAGTGTTAGAATACTCAAATTATAAGCTTTAGAATTTAGATTTTTTTTTAGAACAGGTAAAAATAAAGGTCTGTTAAATGAGTTTACATCGGGGAGAAAGGATTAGTCAGATAAAATAACAACAACTATAATTTTGCACCAAACACAGGTTCATGGGAACCAAGTTAACTAGAGTTCTCAATTAAGCAGACTATATAATTTAAAACTCTCTTCTAGTATAAAGAAAAGGATTAATCAGAACATAAAGTTGTGAACATAACATTGGCTCACATCTGCAATTCCAGCTCTTTGGGTGGCCAAGGCTGGAAGGTCACTTGAAGCCAGGAGTTCCAGACCAGCCTGGGCAACAAAATACAAAATTAGCCTGGCATGGTGGTGCATGCAGGCTAATTAGTCTCAGCTACTCAGGAGGCTGAGGCTGTAGGATGGTTGAGCCTAGGAGTTCAAAGCTGCCATGAGCTATGATGGCACCACTGCACTCCAGCCTGGGTAGTAGAGTTGCGACCCTGTCTCCAAAAATAAAAATAATAAAAAAAAAAAAACTAAGCCAGTTTCTAAGATTTGTTTTAAACAACACCCTCAAAAAAGTATTTTCCAGAGTTAGTCCTAATCAGCCCAATCTCTTATACTTTCTACATGTGCAGTTATATAAAGCAATTGCTTTGTTAAGACAGTGCTTCTCATGACCCATCAAAAGATTGAGAACCATCACTTAAAAATAAATAAATAAATAAATAAATAAAAATTTTAAAAAACCTAATTATTTCTACAAGCTCTAGTTAGTGAACCAGGGAGGTGAAATAATTTACTTTAGGAAATGTTTTATTAACAAATATTCAGAGTGTTAGTGCTCCACCCTCTGAGTTGAGTGCATGGAGTTAATGATCATACCCCATTCCCTGGGCAGTGGGCAAGAGTTCTCCAGTCTGCTCAGCAGGACCCTGAATTGGAACTGCTGGGGCCTTTCTCCTCTCGCCACCTGTGACAGACACTTGGAATGGGGAAGGAGCACTGGACCTGAGCCAAGAGACTTGAATCCTAGATTTGGGGGCTGCTAAGTAGGCATGTGATCTTGGATAAGCTCCTTTCCTTATCTGTGACTCAGTTTCCTATCCGAGGAAATGTGAATGTGAAATTGTTAGTCTAGATGCTCTCCAAGTTTCTTTATTCTCAGACGCTGTGCTGTTTTCCAGCATGTTGCAGCAAGGGGCAGCTGGAGGGTAAGTCAGACATCCACATTCATGTAGAGATTTGTGAGCAATGTGGCAGGGCAGTGGAAACCTGTTGGTTCCGCTTACCTCAGCCCAGAGTTAAAGTTATTGTCTAATATGTAGGGATGTTCCTGCCACCAGGAAAAATAAAACTTGAGAAGTTCATCAGAGAATATTAAGACACAGATTACTATCTAGATAGCAAACTGGGGGGGTTTCCTTGGGCATTGCCTAAGTGACAGCTCCTAGAGCTATCCATGTTAAACCACTATAATAAAATTAAATTAGACAGAAATCATTATGCAAAAAGAACATAAACTGAGAGATTTCTGTTCATCATCATAAACACCTTCTCAGAAGATTCCTGTTTTTGTCTGCTCAGGCTGCAATAACAAAATACCATAAACTGGGTGGCTTATAAACAACTGAAATTTATTTCTCAGAATTCTTGTCGCTGGAAGTTGGAGGTCAGGGTCCAAACACTGCTGGGTTCTGGAGAGAACCCTCTTCTGGGTTTCAGATTGCTGATTTTTCCTTGTGCTCTCAAGTGGCAAAAAGAGAATGAGAATGCTCTCTGGAGTTCCTTTAAAAGGCCACTAAAAGCATTCACGAGGGTTCCCCCATTATGACCTAATGACCTCCAAAGGCCTAACCTTTTAAAACAATCACATTAGAGCTTAGGATTTCAACCTATGAATTTCAGGGAGACACAAACCTTCAGTCCATAACAGTCTTGGTCTGCATTTCCCAATGTAAGCATTATTGGCATTTTTGGTGAGGCAAGTTGCTATATTGCATCTACGGCCCCCCTCCACTAACAACCAGAAAAAAGAGCCCTCATGTATTTACAGATATCCCTGAGAGACAGAAAACAACAACAACAACAAAAAACAAAAAAACAAAAAAACCCTCCTGATTGAGAACCAGTGTTCAATTCAGTGATCATAACCAGGAAGCAGATTTGTTAATATTTTCTCCTTTCATTTGTAAACATAGATGATTGTGTTGAAAGGAATCTAAGACATCATTTATCACAACTCCCTCATTTCATAGCTGAGAAAATTGAGGTTAAGTGCCTTGTTCAAGACCATGTTGTAGTAACTGGTAGAAGTAGGTTTAGTATCAGGCTTCCTCCCACCCACTGCGGGGCTCTTGTGCTGCCTCATTTGGTGTCATAAACATGGCCAAAGAGATAGTTGGGAACACGTGAAGGAGTTGGGACTAATAATAGAAGTGACGGGGGGGCCATCTATAGCTTCCATTAATAAATGCTCTCCCCAAGGTCCTGAATCTTGGGGTTTTCTAGATGAGCAGTCTCTTAAGCAGTTTCTCTGTTTAAGAGGACTTGGGTACCTTAAGCAGAGCTGATGCTCTATTTCATGTTCTAAGACACTTTTTTGGGGTTGTGTTTTAATGTATCCAAAATTGAGATCTGATTCACAGTTGATGTGGTGGGAAGGCATTGTATCAAAGTTTAAATGGCCACATTTTTTTCATTTCTTGGTGGTCCATAAAATAATGACATATTTTATAAATTAAAGGCAGCTGATATTTGATGAAATCTGATAGATCACTTTCAGAACAGGCTGCAGAGATCATTTCTATTTTAACTATTCCTAGAGGTGATGCAACACGTGGAAAAACCTGTCTCTTTAATTGTTTGGTCTATATATGACACAGCAGTACAGATAGTGGAGACAAATTGAAGAGCAGCTCTGCAAGCAAGATGATAAGGTATCCAGTTCCTCTCTTTGGTCCCTGGAGTAAGTTTCCTTTAAAGTCATTTCTGGCCTCTGGTTTTTGCATGTGGCCTCCTGGATCTGGCCATGGTGCTGACTGCTCGTAGAACTTTAGTACTAATTTCCAATGAATTCTAGACCTAAAGCCTAAATCCTGGGGTGAATGTTTGCCATGTCTTATTACCTAACTGCTTCTCTAGGATAAGCCTTACAAAGCTAGGTTCAAGGAAGATAACAAAGAAAGTGAGAAGATGATTTGAGCTAACTTAGTTTTCAATATGGCTAGTGAAATCAATTGCATGGAGGTGCTTACCTGGCAAGTGAAGGGACTGTTGCCCAACCTGTGAAATCCTTTGTCACCCTGAAGAACTAAATCATCCTGGGGCCAGCCTGGGGAGAAGACACAACTGTTGACTTTTAGAACAGAGAGAGTTTAATACAGAGAAGTGATTAGATGGCTGATGAGGTTGTTGAGATGCAAACGGACCAGGTGAGAAAATCTACAAATTAGCAACAAAAGAAAGCTGCTACTACCTGCTAGCTGAGGGACAGAGTGAGGAAATGATGTAACTGCTGCAGGCATCTGGTGGAAGCTGGAGCTGCAGTGGGCCTGTCAGGTATGAGCTGGTGCCATGGAGGAGCTTCAGCAGGGCTATCTAAACTATAGCACCGTTCTCTCCAAAATAACATCCATCACTACTGACTTCTCCATCAGTCACTGTTTTCAATCTATGCTTATCACTTTTCACTGTTTAAATTTTATTTAGATTCTAAAATGACTTAGATCATGCTTTACTTTTTTGATATATCTTCTCCAAATAAAGGCAAGTTCCACAAGAGTAAGAGGTCCTGTCTGTTTAATTCACTACTGTATTCCCAGAACCTAGAATGACAGTTGCTACAACATTATGTGGAGTAAGTAAATGTTTGTCAAATGCACGAATGAAGGAATCTCTTTAAATGATATTGTAATTATCTGCTTGTATGACTATCTCCCTAGCTTGTGACTAAAGAAAGTCTTTTTCCATTTCCTTCCTTTTGTTTTAAAAAAACAAAAACCAAGACTTTTTGGTATTTGCTCATATTAATAAGACCCTTTTGCATAGGGTATATAATATTACTTAGCTGTGATGAAAAATATTAATAATTTGAATTTCTTGAATGGATACTATGGTGCTCAGTACAGGAAGCTGAAATTTGGGGAAAATAAGTACTTTTTTCCCAAAACAGCCAGCATTGAATTCCAGGTTTCTCTGACTCAAAGCTCTAGACTGCTCTTAACCATTTCCCTCTGTTGGCTCTGCATTGTATGTATGTATGTATGTATGTACGTATGTATTATTGAGATAGGGTCTCACTCTGTTGCCCAGGCTGGAGTGCAGTGGCTCAATCTTGGCTCACTGCAGCCTCCACTTCCTGGGTTCAGGTGATTCTCTTGCCTCAGCCACCCAAGTAACTGGGATTACAGGTGTGTGCCAACATACCCAGCTAATTTTTGTATTGTTTTTAGTAGAGATGGGGTTTCGCCATGTTGCCTAGGCTGGTCTTAAACTCCTGAGCTCAAGTGATCCACCCGCCTTGGCCTCCAAAAGTGCTGGGATTATAGGCGTGAGCCACTGTGCCTGGTTGGCTCTGTGTTTTAAAAACTGAAACACAAGGCTCTACTCTGTCAGCTCTGCTAACCCCTCCTTCACTGTCCATGCTTCTGTCTGCTCTCTTGTGCTAGAATATTTTTGCTTTGTCCTTTATTTTAAATTTATTTAAATTTAAATCCATTCTCTTTCTGTAAGCCTTCTTGAGGAAGCCTGCCCTGATCCCCTGAGACCACATTAGATGCCCCTCCGTTGTATTCCCTCAGCATCTTGGTCTTTACCAAAACACTTCTTAGCCTGTCTTGTAAAGGCCTGTTAATCTTTCTTCTCCTCCACCAGACTGTGATGAAGGCAGGGACTCTGCCTTGTTCACAGATGTATATTAGGCACTTTGCACAACAAATATGTTTAGATGAATACATGATGATGGAAGTGTGAGGATCCTCTGCATACTAAAAAATATTTATCCCTGAAGATAAAGTGTCTATGTAACTAAGAACTCCTTCATTGGGAAAATAAAATTCAACCTTACAGAAGTTTGGTCTATGTACAACTTCTCAGATGCACATCCCTTATATAGAGCAAGGCATTTGATACAAAAAGAAGTAATGTCAACTTAGAACCTGACAGCAAGGTTAAGCTCAGCACCTCTTTACCAGCTGCTGTCATAGCTCATCAGCCACCTATGATTCCCGAAGCTCAGCTGCACCCACAATGGCAAGTTTTTTTCTTGTTTGCCGTGCTTCCCTATAATCTCTTGCTCTAGATCTCACTGGCACTGATGGAGGTGAAACAGCTGACTGTGAGGGAGGACTCATTGAAAGACTTGATCTAGGACACTGAGCTAAGCCCACACATTGGATGGCATTTGTGCTTTGTGAGAGATGCATGACTTTGAATTCACCAGTCTTGCAAACAGAAGGGCTGTTCAGCATTTTGCCTCAGTCCAGGAATAGATGATGGGGAATAGAGGTGGAAGAGAGCACCTTAAGCATGAAGGTAAAGGGGAGATGAATCATGATGCAGATTCCTTTCAGGGGCTCGCTGCCTGCTTACCCACTTAGATGTCCATGGCTTTGGTGCTTAACAGCCATCACACTGATAGAGAGGAGAGAGGCTTGGCCTTGTGCTTGGTGGTGTACTTCCCAATGATGCACAACAAGGGCCAGCCCTGCACCTGCCCGTCTTAGGTTACGTTATACTTGTCCTCACCTTTTCCTCCAGTCATACCATTATTTTTAAAGAGGAAAAGATGGTTGTAAAAAAAAAAGTTTCCATTCTCCCACAATTATCAAAACTAGCAGGAATCACTCTGAAGAGCTGGTTGAAATAGTTGAAAAGGCATGAAGATTCTGTTGACTGAAAGTAAGAATGTGCTGTGATTGCTCACATCTCTTCAGAAGCTCTTACCCAATCTCCTTGTGTGCACCTGCAGGGGTGGGAGTGTAGGGGTGGGGAAAGAGAGAGGTAGAAACATTCTGGATCAGTGATTCTAAAGGTGTGGTTCCTGGACCAGCAGCAGCAGCAGCATCACCTGGGAAATGGGTAGAAAGAGAAAGTCACGTACCCCATCCCAGACCCACTGAATCAGCAACTTGTGTTTTCACCAGCCCACCAGGTGATTTGGGGACATGCTCATTTTGAAAACCACTGCCCTAGAGTCCAGACTATAATTACAGCGGTCTTAGGTTCGGAGTAACAATGTTTTTCCTCTAACCCCTATTTCAACAATAAACTCTGTCTTTTACAAGTAATGACAGTATTGAAGAGTTTTTAATGTTAGAAATTCAAGGCTAACTAATTACACAAAGTGTTTGTGATGGTACTGTCAGCAATGATTTCATCAACATTAAGATCATCTTGAGACACTCAATTTCACCTAAGGGAAATAACCATAAATAATTTCCGAATGATTGTAGTGGAGTTCACTGCATACAATTATAATCAGTTTATAGCAATCTAGGGCAATCTTTCCTTGCAAACAGTATTTATACTTTCCTCACTTAATCTTGTGTTCTCACCAATGACGAAGCATGGCTATGGGAAGGTCTGTCCAAGATTTCTCAGCTGGGAAGCCGCCCAGTCTGCCAGGGCTGAGGGCCTCCTGACCAAGTGCTCCCCTCTTTCCCCCAAGCTGTCCTTGGAGACTATGTGTTGCAGTCACATGAGGACTGGCTGGATAACAAATTGCTGATTGTATGTTCTCCACAGTGCTGTCCACCTTCTCTGCCCTGTTTCCATTTTATTTTCTTCAGTCGCCCTCCTTCTCTCCATCCCTAATTAGCATAATTTGGGGTTTCTCTTTTTCATGACCTGCTCTCCTGTCTTCCTATTGAAACATAACTGGATGGGTACTAATGAGAAGGTGGACTGTTGGTAGCATCAATATCAATGTGAAAGAGATTCAGATTGTAGTTCAAGGGAAATAAATTTCATCCCAGGTGAACCCTAACTGTGGAGGTAGCTAATAATTTCTATAGTGACTGGAAGTTACTGGTTGGCATTGGTGAATTGATTTGTGAAAAGATGGAAAGGCAGAACTCTACAGCACATTTGTTTGTGCAACGCATTGCCAGTGTGACCTTTGGCTTATTTCTCTTCCTTCTATATTAACTGAAACACAAGCTATTCAACAGCTAATTATTAATCTCCTGAGCACTCAGTATGTTGTTGTGTTGTGGAGGATACAAAGATGATTTAGACTTGAACTCTGTTTTCTGGAAGCTTATTCTAATTATATAGAAGACACACAAAATTATAATGCTGATGAAAGCCGGCATTTAGTTAATTTCTTACCATTAACTAGATACCATAAACACTGTACCCCATAGTTCCTGTAACTATCTTGTTGGGTAGGTGCTTTCAACGACCCCATTTTATAGATGGGGCTGCCTAGACTTAATGCAGAGGGAATTTTTGCTGTATTAGTCTGTTCTTGTACTGCTATAAAGACATACAGGAGACTGTGAAATCTATAAAGAAAAGAGTTTTGATTGGCTCATGGTTCCAGAGGCTGTACAGGAAGCATGGAGGCATCTGCTTGGCTTCTGGGGAGGCCTCAGGAAACTTGCAATCATAGAGGAAGGTGAATGGGGATCCAGGCATCTTACATGGTGGAGAAGAAGCAAGAGAAAGAGGAGAGAGGTGCCACACACACTTAAGCAATCTGATCTCATGAGGACTCACTATCATCATGACAACACCAAGAGGGATGGTGTTAAACCATGAGAAACTGCCCCCATGATCCAATCACTTCCCACTAGGCCCTGCCTTCAACATTGGGGATTACAATTCAACATGAGATTTGGGTGGGGACACAGATCCAAACCATATCACTGGCCAAGGCCACTAGCTAGTAAATGACAGAGCAAAATATTTGAGTCCAAAGCATCTCTCTTAGTCACTCTGTTATACTGCCTCCAGAAGTAGGTCAAAACAGAATCTTTATATGGGTGTAGTACACTAGTTTTTTTTTTTTTTTTAAAGTTTGTACTTAGAGCTTAGGATACTGTTTTCCACTAAAATGGTTGGAGAATAATGTAAGACAACATACAAAATTGTCTTCTTGTTTGAATATGCTTGAGTAACTAAAGTATTTGAGATAGACAAACACGTGCTCTGGGTATTTGGAAAGGGAAGAAATTACCATGGACAGGAGCTGAGGGAGGCTGCAAAGAGCAGATAGATTTGGACCTCCCTGTTAGCACAGAACTGTGAATTTAAGAAGCCTTTCTCACTCCTGCAGTCATTCTTTATCCCATTGCTCTGTTTTCTTTTCTGTTTTTCTTTATTCACCATCTTCTCCTACTAGAGGTAGGAAGGCAAAGGCTCTCTTGATCTTGTCCATTCCTCCTTATTCTGGGTCTAAAAGAGTGGTTACACATAGTAGGCACACTGAAGCTGGAGTTGTTGAATGATGGAATTTTCCATATGAGGAGTTTGAGTTTCTTAGCCAGTGGGGATATGTGGTAAGTTCACGAACAGCCAAGAGTCATAATAAAAATATTTGAAATATCTTACACTTTTATTACAACTTTTTTCAAAGTGCATTTATCTACTGTGTCTGTACTGTGTTCATAACAGTCCTATCAGGGTGGCTTGACAGATCTTTATTATTCTGATTTTACAAAGAGAAAAGTAGGGCTTAGAGAAGTTAGGCCATTTTTTTTTTCTTGAAGTGTATAATTTAATAGTGTTTAGTGTATTCGGAGTTGTACAACCATCACAGTCAATTTTAGAGCATTTTTTATCACTCCCCCACCCCACCACCAAAAGAAACTCTGTATTCATTAGCAGTGAATCTCCATTTCCTCCCAAACCTCCTCCCAGTCCTAGGCAAGGTTAGGTAATTTGCCTTAGGTCACACAGCTGGTGAGTAGTGGAGGTAAGAACAAAGGCTAGGTATCTGACCCTGTTTTATCTTGCTCTTTCAGATAGCCTGTTAGTGGTTTATGGAATGGACTGGAGTCTGAAGGCATAGACCCGGCTGGGTATGGGCCTCGGCTTTCCTCTCCAAACCAGCAGAAGGCCTGGTCGGGAACCACGGTGTCTCAGCCAAGGGCTCAAGCAGTCTGATCAGCTGTGGTCATTCAGGCAACTTCTCTCTATGTTTAAAACCACAGTGAATTTGACCAATGAGGACTCACTTTTGCAATGAGAACATTTTGAGTGTTAGTCAACTTACCGCACCTTCCTAACCACCTACAGGATTGTTGTCTTGGTCTTTTTCAATTTGGAGAGATAATTAACCCTTTGTCTTCCAACCCTTGCCTAGAAACAATTTAATTTTCTCAGATAATTTATCCTTCAAAAGACTAGTAATTAATATAGCAGAATTGGACTACTCCAAAGAGAGATGGTATTCGATCCACTTAAGTTACTTCCCAAATTAGGACAAACACACTCAAACCTTATTCATTTGAACCTAATACAATGTCATGCATATAATACTCCAAGCCTAGTGAACCATAGGGAAGCTGGATTAATGAGCTTTTATCTAGACTGAGCTCTGAGCCCCAAACATCTGAATCGACTTGTTATGAGCTCTACAGTCTCCTTCTTGGAGGCTGGCCAAATCAAAACAAAACGAGTTATGGTTTCAGTTAGTATATTTACCCAGGCTTGATTTGAATACAGTGATGTTGGTGGGGAGGAATCTTCTGATATTTCAGTTGCCAGTATTTGCAGTTCTGACAAATCTATGTGTAGGTACATGCAGTATACACCTGTGCTTATCAGTTTGGACTACATTTGGCCATGTTTTTATTAGATAGGAGAGAGAAAGAGATGGAAAAATTCAGAGAGGGAATGATGGAGAGAGAGAGAAAGCGTGTGTGTGTGCGTGTGCGTGTGTGTGTGTGTGTGTGTGTGTGTGTGTGTGTGTAGAGTGGAGACAGAGCTAAGGTAGGTGTTAGCTTAAGATCTATCCAAATGTGAAAAGGCCTGAAACTGATGCAAATCCACAGTAATTCTACCAATCAGTCCCAATACTGTCCTGTTTCCCTGAATACCTGCCAAGCACAAGGTTTCCCTTCATGAGCACCAGCCAGCTGAGGAAAGCAAAGGGAGAGGCATCCAGGCCGTGGCGGGCTGCCAGCACTCAGAGTGGAGACACACAGCTCCCCTTTGGGGCCTGCCTGGACGTCTGAGCTGAAGTGCCCTGCCTCTGACCTGCCCGGTCCCTCCCCCTGCCTGGCCCAGAAACCCCCCTCTGCAGTGGACATCTTTGAACAAAGGTGTCTTTCTTGGGACACTTTACCTACGGCCTGACTCTGGCATGCAGCTTGGTTTCTGTCTGCTCTGCTCCTGGAGTGCTTAGTGCACGGTGCTTGGAGATTTTCCTTGCATTCGCCCTGGTGGGGATTGCAGTGGCAGGGCAGGATAGTTGGGGGGAGTTGGGGGGAGACGGGAGGGTCTGAGGAGATATGGGGATTTAAAATAAGCTCTGCCCCTTTTGTACTGAAAAGAATGGCTTTTCCAGCAGGAGCTCAGGGTCAACCTTTCACCCCCTCCAGAAAGCCTTCCCTTTCTTTCTTCACTCTTTAATAACAATAATGCTGCCTGCAGTTAGACAGCACCTGATATTTTGCAAGCACCACATATCCTTGGATCTTTACAACAACCCGTGAGGCAAATCAAGCAGGTAGGGAGAGATAGGGGTTGAAGAAAGAGCATCCCAGCTGTGTGTCCTTGGGCAAAAGATCACCTTACTTTCTTCTTGGGCCTCAGTTTGCTCATCTGTAAAAAACCGATAACAAGGCATTTCCTGTCTCATAGGGTTGTGGTAGAAACAGTGAAACAATGCAATTATAAAGTGATGCCATGTCAAGTATTAGGTAAACATAAGGAATTTTTAATTCATCTCATAGATGAAGAAATTACATCTCAGAGACATGAGGAATTTTATCCAAGGGCACACAGCTTAGTAGCAAAATTAGAACTAGGATCCAGGTCTCCTATTTTACGGTCAAAGTTACTTTCCACCACTCCACACACCTTCCCGTAGAAAGAGTAATCTTTAATGGTTATTAGTAATTAATGGGAGACAAAGCATTTGATTTTCCACACACTTGGCCCAAGGCATGTACAGATGACTGTCAATTGCTTACTATGTCTGATATGCTGGCTAAACAGCCTGTTCCTTTCCTCCCTGCAGGGGTGCCTCTGGGCCTGGTCCTGGAAGTAGACAAGCCTTGCATGAAACCTGACCCTGCCACCTATGCCCTGTGTCTTTTGGGACAGGTTTCTGCACCTCTTTGAGGCTATGTTTATTCCTCGGTTAGGTGGAAGGCTCCAATAAGACCTTCCATGCCATGAAAGGCTGCCTGTGGCCCCAAAAGGCCCACACTTATCTCTGCACACACCTTCTTCCTTTCCTTCCTGTCCTTTGTAACACCTCCTTCTTCCCACTGGGCTTTCTAAATCCTCTCCTTCCTTACCTGGAAGCCTCCTTCATTCATTAACTTCTCTGGCTAATTGATACTCCTCTTTTCTAAATGCTCACACTTTTTTTTTTCAGTTTTTACTATGCCTGAAGAACTTAACTACTTACACTTTAATATACTTTAGTATCTTTTACATGCCAACTCACTGTAATTCAGTTTTATGTTCCTTAAGAGCAAGGGGTTCTTCTTTTTTATCCCCTCACAGTACTCGGAACAGTGCTGAATGTGTGGTGGAATGCCAGGAACATTCATATTTGAGAAGCCTCCATTCCAGGTCAATGTCTTGTTTCCATGTCATTAGGTATTTTATGCCCTTGGCATAAAGTGCCCTCTCTCCCCTTTTCTCCCTGGCAACTCCTGGTCACCATTTGTGTCATTCATTTTCAGCTCAGGTGACACCTGCACTGTGAACCCTTCCCTAGTCCCCTCTCTTAACTCCTCTGCACAGTTATTATTTTGGTGCTGGGTCTTTATCCTCTACTAATCACATATATCTGTGAGAGCAGAGGCTGAATCTTCATCATCCCTGGATCCTAGGATTGTCCCTGTGCAGTGCTCCACACATTAGCCCATAATAAGTGCTAAGTGTAAGAGTAAATGAAAGAACTCCAAGTCAAATCTTTTACCAGAAACTGTTTTTGGTCTGAGTAGAAACTCCCTTGAAGAACTATGTGTCAGACAGTTTCAAAACAGTAGCTACATGGACTTTGCTTTTCTAGAGAACTGCACTTTTTGCCTCTTGGATTTTAAATTCTGCTTTGAGTTCATTGCATTGAGAGTTGATCGCTGCTATTGTCAGGGAGAATGGAATTTTAGTCCTATAGTGCAGGGCAGTGACTGAAATAGCTTCCTATATATCCTGTCTTCATAAATTCCTCCCTTCTTTCTTTCCCTCCTCCCTCCACTCACAACAAATCCCAGACCCTTCCTCTACTCCCCCTGTCTAAAAGACATTTATGAGGCTCATCTCTGGGGAAGCATCTGAGGCCCATTCCTGCCTCTCCCTGCCCTAGCATGAAGGTCTCTCATCCCCTCCCTCACCCTCGCCTCCTAGGCCAAGCTCAGATATCTCTTGCCCTGTTTATGGGCCGTTGGGATTTTTCCAACAACCTGAAATGAATCTCCGAGGCCCCACAGGTAGTGCAGCTCCGTCTCTGAGCCATAAACCATGGCTGGGTCTTTCATCTGCCATTGCTTATGTCATAAACGAGTGGAAGGAACAGCAAGGGGGAAAACAGCCCTGAACCATTCCAGATTTTTTTTTTACAAGAAAGGGGAAAGAAAGGCCCTGAGAAACATGTTCAAACTTTGTGCCAAGCAAATTCATTTCACTCTGGTAGGCTGTGTGTGGAGACTTAATCTCTGGACTTCCCCACTAGGAGTCAGATTTATGCTGCGTTTGTGTCTAAACGGCCTCCAGGGATGCTGACATTTGTTGTTGGAGAGCAGCGAGTGGTGTTCCTTTCATCTCCGCTGAGGGGTGTCAGCTTAAATTATGAGGGATCGCTCCAGCCTGCATCTGGGAGTGGGAGTCTCTGGCAAAGGAGAGGGGCCGCCTCTCCCTCCACTTCACTGCTCTGCTGTTTAAAGGTTTTTCTTCATCTTCTGCTCTCCAGTACTCCTCTTGGTTCTGGGGGCAGTCTCCTGGCTCTTTTAGAAATGTCCTTTCTCGTGAACAAATCGATCAGTGTAAATTTTAGGCACTGCATATTTTCATGGAGAAGCTGATATCCAAGTCAGGCAGGTCTGCCCCTGCTGAAAGAGAAAACAAAAGCCTCAGTGAGCACCCCAAGAGCAGCTTGGAAACTCCCCAGGAGAGTCAGAGGGCGCCACTATACCCATAATATTTACAACACAGTAGATGGAAGCTGGGTGATGGTTAGCCAGGGTCTGGATTCCTGTTGGCAGCTGGCTTGTGGCATCTATCTGTACTTTGAGAGGTGCCAAAAGGTTCCTCTGTTCCTCCATCTTCAGAATCTTTCTGGCTCAGATGTGCCAGGATGCCCAAAATTCCACATTGGTGACTGTTGGGTAGTGGCATTTCTTATTAAATGCATATATGTTATTGACTGTGGGAGAGAACATATCAAACCATGCTAACCATCAGCAGTGTTTCCTGCCTCCAGAGTCAGAGCTGGAAGAACGGGACACAGGATGTGTAAGTTTTGATGGAGAACAAGAGGTCAGGAGAGGTCTAGGGCAGGGGTCAGCAAACTATGGTATGCAGGCCAAATCTGGCCTGATGCCTGTTTTTGAAATACATTTTATTGGAACACAGCCATGCCCATTCATATTGTCTGTGGTTGTTTCTGTGCTACAATTGCAGAGTTGAGTAGCTGCAACAGAGACTGTGAGGCATGCAAAGGCTAAAATGTTAACTCTGGCATTTTAGATGAAACGTCTGTAGACTCCAGCTCTAGAGCATGAAGTGCTTCTTAGAAAGCAAAATGGAAGATGTAAAGGGATGGAAGAGAATGAGATATTGAATAGCAGGAAGGAGGACTCAAAGAAAGAAAATGCACCACAAAAGCAACAGAAACACTCCAGAGACAAACCACCACTACTACTGCTACCATTAACCCTGAGCAACATGGATTTGAACTGTGCAAGTCCACTTATATGTGGATTTTTTTCAACCAAATGCGGACAGTATTCAAGGGCTGTGAAACCCACATATATGCACTGTGGGAGACCCACTTTTCCTGTAGCCAGGTTAGGCAGGACCAGCTGAGGGACTTGTGTATGCACAGGTTTGAGTATGCACTTGAGTATATGCAGGGGTCCTGGAACCAATCCCTCGTCCCTTTCCCCTTCTCTTCTCCTCGTTTTGAAAACAAATATGTTTTTCTCTTTTCTTTCAGGGATGCGGAGAGAAGGAAGGAGCAGCCACCTGTGGTGCTCACCACCTCCCCTAAAAATAGGCCCCAACGGCTAACCTAGGAGGTGTTCTCCTCCCCTCTCTTTGTTGGTTCACGATGGCACAGCAGTTCTTTGGGGGATGTACACATGTCCCAGGCAAGGCTGAGTACAGCAACAGCAGTAGGAGGACCCCAGAAGGCCCTTAGCCATCCTGCCTCTGGGGCTCTGAACAAACTTCAGAAATTGCACTTTCCTTCTGCAACTAGCTCTAACTCTGCCTCCCTCTGTCGCTCTGCTTTCTCACAAGCACACAGGCACAGTCCACAAAACCAGCTCTACATGTTGGCTAGGGTCATATCTGCAAAGAGAGAGAAATGAACACCTGCAGTGTAAAACCTTAACTGAGACCCCCCCACTGACTGTAATTAACTGACAACACATGTCAGAACTAAGAATATGTCTTTTATGTTGAAATAATAATGATTATTATTGTGATTTATTAAATACCAATTATTTCTGGGTGGTGCTAAACCCTTTACATATATCATCCCATTTAATTCCAACAACACTGTTACTTTCCCTGATGAGAAAATTAAGTCTTGAGAATGTGTTCAGAATCAAACACAGTAACTGGCAGAGCTAGAATTTAAGCCTGAATTTATATAACGCTAAAGGCCATGCTTGTAGATACCATGTCACATTGCTTTCCTGGATTGTATCAATATAAATGAACCATTATCATTATTTTAGACTTTACATTTTCATTAGTTATGTTATCAATATACATTTGCATCAAACTATGTGAGGAGTGACTGTAAAAGGGTCAATGCAAGTACTGTTTTATTGAACAGACTGGTATGAGGGATGAGGTTTCTGGAGATAATACAACTGCATTTTAAAATATATTCTATACTGGGAATCTCCCAGCTCTCTTTCTGAGCCTGGCCTGCAGACTCAGCCTCTTTTCTTGCCTACCTTGAAGGAGATCTGCATGATCCCTGGGGTGGAGCATTAGCTCCATTTCCTCAGAAATGTCACTGAAGTCATCACTAGTGCTAAAGAAGCATTGTTTTTACCCCAGGGAGTTCACCACCAGAGAGAATTGCTGGCCTCACTAAACACCAAAGTTTGGGGTGCCTCTGAGCAGTAGGATCAATAGGGTCTATCCAGGGCAAATCTGTGCAGTCAATGGCTTTCTTTTTTCTACCTTTTATCCTCCTGTGGGATCTTCTTATTTTCCTGAGGCTCTTAGTTCTTAAGTGCTTGTTTTTTCCTTGCCACTCTGAAAACCTTCTAGAAAGATTTTATAATCCCTTCACACCAAGGTTATGTCTGAGATCAGCTTACCACATCACCCCCTGGAAAACAGCAACCTCAAGACTTGAAAATGCCAGAGTAGCCACCCCTTGTCATGAGGATTCTTGCTTTAACTCTCTTCTTTAATCTTGTGGGGGGTTTTATTTGTACTATTGAGAGGGGTGAGGCAGAGGGAAAAGACACCCTTTTCATACCATCTATTAAGAGCCGCCTGAGTGCCAGGACTGTGTTAGTTGCTTTACACACAACAACTCTACTTCTGTGACACCCACTGTGTGGTATTTATTGTTGTTGGTATGTAGTTATGGAAACCAAGGCTCAGCAACATGACATAACTTGCACAGGGCCATACTTACAGCATGGGGTCAGAACTGGGATGGAAACCTAGGTCTGCCTGTATCAGTCCCTTTTCATTTATATTGAAAGGGTCATGTCCTCAGGAACTCACAATTTAGTGTTCCCTTCATGTTCAACCTTGTATGTTCAAATGTTCGTGGAAGGAAGAAGCCATTATCCTTTCAGATTAAATAAGTTTTTTTGGCTCTGGCAGAGCCAAAAATGAGAACTCAGCTAATGTCTACACTAAAACAGCATAGGCCCATGGGCATCCTTCACAGAGGAGGACAGGAGGAAAGAAAAAGGATGTGTAGCTCACACACAGTAGGTCCTTTCATCTTTGCTTTCTTGAAGTGGCCAGAAGGGACTGGCACAGCTGTGGGAAAGCCATTGAGGCAAAGATGTTCACCAGAGAAAAGAGGGCAGTTGAGCTCTGTGAGAACCCAGAGAAAAATGAGGTTCTTGTTAGATCATTTGGGCATAGAATTGCCTATGGCTTTTATTATTATTATTTTGTTTTGGAGACAAGAGTCTTGCTCTGTCACCCAAGCTGGAGTACAGTGGCGTGATCTCGGCTTGCTGCTGCAACTTCCACCTCCCGGATTCAAGCGATTCTCCTGGATCAGCTTCCCGAGTAGCTGGGATTACAGGCACCCACCACCACATCCAGCTAATTTTTTGTATTTTTAGTAGAGACGGAGCTTTGCCCAGGATAATCTCAAACTCCTGAGCTCAGGAAATCCACCTGCCCTGGCCTCCCAAAGTGCTAGGATTATAGGCTTGAGCCACCACACCCGGCCTGCCTATGGCTTTTAATGCCAAAAGTAAAAAGAAGTCTCTCTTACACAGGTATGCCCCAGACCCTAGAAGCACCTTCTCAGGAGTGTGATGTCTGTGGAATGTAAGAGGTAGCCTGGAAAAAAAAGTGACGTATACTAGAGATTTTATTTCCTTTCAGAGTTAACCCTCATGTTGTTCACTGCTTATAGAGTTGAAGTATTTCAAATAGTTAGACAATTACTTTAACAGTAGAGAGTTATTTACTTTACAGAAAAGCAATGTTGACTAGTTATCAGTGTTACCTGTCCATTCTGAGTTATCTGTACTGGCAGGTAATCTAATGCTTTTCTCTATGGCCTTTTTAACAATAATATTTTCTACCACTTGGCAGTAACTAGAGTTTCAGACATAGTGTCTAGGTCTAGTCTTGAAAAATGACATCTAAGAAATAATATTAATCATCAACAGTCAAGGCTCATTGGCATTTAGGGCACTCAGTGCCGTACTGGTATAAACTCATTTAATCCTCACAGCAACCCCAATGAAGTAGATCCTCTCATATATCACTATTTTGCAGAAGAGTACATTTAGTTGTAGAGAGTTAAGTAACTTGCCTGTATTAGTACATTTTCACACTGCCATAAAGACATACCGGAGACTGGGTAATTTATAAGGAGAAAAAGCTTAATTGACTTGCAGTTCTGCATGGCTGGGGAAGCCTCAGGGAGCTTTCAATCATGGCAGAAAGTGAATGGGAAGAAAGCAGGTCTTACATGGCAAAGCAGGAGAGAAAGAGTGTGAAAGAAGCCACACACTTTTAAGCCATCAGATCGTGTGAGAACTCACTCACTATCACAAGATCAGCATGGGGGAAACCGCCCCCATGATCCAGTCACCTCCCACCATGTCCCTCCATCAACACGTGGAGATTACAATTCTGGGGACTCAGAACTAAACCATATCATTGCCCAAGGCCACGCAACTAGTAAATGCGGAGCCAGGATATGATGCTGTGATAAAGCCTGAAGTGTAATGGTGGACTTTCTGCTGCCTGTCTCTGGGTTTTAGAAGTATTTTTCTTAGCCTCTTCCTGGAAGCTTTCAAAGCAATACCACATAGATTATTGCTCTCATACATAAAGCCATCCTGGAAATGTGGACCTGGAGGCCTTGCTATGGAATAACATACAGCTCCAGGAACTGGCTTTCAGGGACTCACAACATTGTCTTTTGCTTCTTTCAGGTAAAAGTGATGATGAAGAAAGTCTCTGCAAGTCAGCCCATGGGGCAGGGAAAGGAACTGCTGAGGAAGGCAAGGACCATAAGCGCCCCAAACGTCCGAGAACCATCTTGACAACTCAACAGAGGCGAGCATTCAAGGCCTCATTTGAAGTATCCTCCAAGCCCTGCAGGAAGGTATAGGAGGGAGCAGGGAGGAAAAGGAGCTGGGCCCCACTTCTCTGTGTGCACTCAGACCCCTCTGGGATCTCAGTGGGCATTGGGGGTCACAGTGGTGAGGAAGGCTGTTCAGACAGAGCCTGCACAGGCGGCTCAAGCCTGTTGGAGACTCCAGAGATCACTAAGCTGTGGCCAGGGTGTGATAGACTCTCCTGAAGCTTTCATGCATGCACACCAACTCCAAATGGCCCCTGTCACACCTTTCATTTCATAGAGCACAATGGGAACAGTAATAATGATAGGTGTCCATTGTGGTGTAGACCCAGATGCTGTAAAGCAAAGAGTATAAAAACACAGTGGCTTGCAGTACTCTTTTTTGAGTCTGGCTTTTTCCACTTGGTGTGGTGGTTTGGGGATTCATTCATTCCTATTTCAGCATTCCACTGTATAGGTGTGCCATGATTGGTTTGTCCATGCACCTGTTGATGGGTGTTTGGGGTTGTTTCTAGTTTGGGACTGTTTCAAATAGGACTGCTATGGACATTCATGTAAAAAAAAATACAGTGGTTTAATGAGACAGGAGTTTATTCTCTTCTGTCACAGTCCAGAGGTGAGCAAGGCAAGGCTGGTGGGTGGCTCTGTTATCCATCTCCTGTGTCCAAGCGACTGCTCCAGTTGTCACCATGTTTCCAGTCACCAGGTAGAGAAAGAGGAAATGGAGGGCAAGCGCCCTGCTTTTTAAGGATGTATCCAGGGGTTGCTCAAATCATTTCTCCTCATATGTGTTGGCCAGAATGTAGTCCTGTGGCCACACTTCCTGCAGGGAAAGTTGGGAAATGAGTCTGTCTGGGTGACCAAGAACTTGCTAAACTTAGTGATTCAATTACTCATAGGATGAAGAAAGAATAGATATTGGGGACAATTAGCAGTCTGCCATAAATAGCAGCGCCCATTTATTGAGTACTTATTGTTTATCGACTGCCTGTCATATACTGAGTACTATCTTTTACATGATAAAAAGAAAGAAAATAGGGTATTCTTTACTGAAATTCATAAAGGAAATACATTTTGAAAAAATGTTAGCATTATTTTTCCTGCATCCTTTTTTGCATTAGTCAGCTTTGTCTGTGATAAAAAAAAAACAAACAAAAAGTCACCATGGTTCCCAACAAACATGTATTTTCTTTTCTTGGGCTGTGCATTGGCTGTGGCCCAGCTGGGTGCAGGTTCCAGCCTGCTCCACCTGTCTATCATTCGAGGGTCCAGGCTGAAGGAGCAGCCCCCTCCTGGGCTTGTTGTTCTCATGAGGTTGGCAGGAAGCAAGAGGCCAAGTCAAAGTGGGAAGCCCATCGAAAATCTCTTGCTGGATATCAGACACATCACATCCCACAGGCCAAAGCAAGGCATGGGCTTAGCCCAGCGTAGGTGCAGTGGTGAAGCACACACCCACCACGGAGCAGGGGAGGGAAGGATAGATATTTGTTGAGCAATAGTCCAGCCTATCACAACTTCTGATATTTGGAAAGATTCAGCTGCAGACTCACTTTTTCTGCCCTTGCAGCTCCTTATGCTCCAAGAGAGGTATCAGTAGAAAGTAAAATGCCCCCAAATTGGGCTTGCACTAGGACAAATTACAGTCTTCCTCACTTATTTACTTCTTCCATGTATACTAAACTCCCAGCCCATGTAGGGCTTTGTGCTGGGTGCTTGTCCCCGGGCAGCTTCCAGGTAACCAGCAAGAAGGAGATGCGTGTACACATTACTGTAACACCAGAGAGGGGGCTCTGAGGACCATAACAGAGGGGAAGCCAGGAAGCAAGGGAAGGGAAAGGTCACTTTGGTCTGGGCAATCAGGCAAGGCTTTGTGGAACAGGTGGCTTTTGAGCTGGGCCTCTGAGGAATGGATAGGGTTTCAGCAGGTGGAGGTGGGCCCCTGAGTACACTCCTATTTTAGTTGGCTTAGCAGAAGGATGTGCTATAAAAACCTGTTCTAATCATTCCACTTCTAAGCCTTTCCCCAAGTGGCATGATAAAGGGGAAGTATTTCTCAAGGCTTCCATTTGCTCTACTCACACGTTTATTCAAGGAGCTCTTTCAATCCCATCTCCTCCCCAGGATCTAATCAAGAGAGGTCAGTGTCTCTCAGGCCCCCCTCTGAAAATCTGTGCTTCTTGCCCCTTCTCTTCTCAACACCTTGCCAGACCCTCACTGTGTGCCTGTATGGTAGGCAGATGTTTAAATGCATCTCTTTATTATCTGGATCCCAGTTGTCCTGTCTCCACCACAGCCCTGGCACATGTGCTGGCCTCAGAGTTGCCTACCTGGCTCTGCCGGGTTCCAGATGGCTCTCATTTTATTCTCTTTGGGCAGGGCTCACTTGGGGTAGCAGTCACTATGGATATTCATGAAACACCCAAAGTTACCTAGAGATATGAGGGACAAAACCAAAAATTAAGGTCAATGAATTTAGGCAAGAGAGGAGACCAAGAGAGAGCCATTTGTTTTTCCAAAGTGATTTTCACTCTCAGATCTCCTTAAGTAGGTCAATGCATATGCATGGCTTATAGCTAAAGCACAACAATAGACTAAAGTCTAAACCACTTGAAGGCCTAATTTCCAGAGCAAGAGAAATCCAGAAACACCTCTTGGGAATGCACATGTAAATTAATAATTATTATTTTGTTTCTTTACCTGGTGAAGGACTTTCTTTCTACCTGAAGGGAAGCAATGTTCTCGTGTTTGTGTGTATGCTCAACATTAAAAACTATTCAGCTCCTAAAGCAGATACAGTCTTTTGGCCTCCTCAAGTATTATATAGGAGATGTTCTACCTCCTACCCTGAGATGCCAGTGTGTCTACATTTCTCGTTCAATTTTTCCAAGGTGAGAGAGACTCTGGCTGCAGAGACAGGGCTGAGTGTCCGTGTCGTCCAGGTGTGGTTCCAAAACCAGAGAGCGAAGGTAACCTGCTTCTTACTTTTATCTGTCCCCATGTTGCTGGTTTCCTGAAATAATCACAGTAGGACATTGTACTTGCTGCCAGGTTTTCTCGCCTTAGCTCATTGGATAGAGTAGTTCTCTTGATTCAAAAATTCTGTTATCAATAATTATTTTGGCCACAGCAGCCCTGCAGAAGGGGAGAGAGAAGGCATTCATTTTAGTGAAATTGCTTGTATTTTCCTAGCAGCCATGACTGTGGTTTTGGCCAGCCATCTGTATGAATAAATGTCTTTCTGTGTCTTTTGGTAAAAGCATGTTCTTTAATTCATATTTATTTAATGCAAATACCAAAGTTATTTTAAAAGTAGCATGCATATAACTGGTCCAAGACAATTTTATGACAGGGTAGAATGAGTGCCTTTTCTTACTTCTCCCAGGGCCCAGCCCTCACTAATATAGGCCCAAGCCATCATACTGTCCTCTGGATCCAATGAAGCTCTATATTCCCTCATCATGGTTTTAGTTTTAGACCTTTTGCTCATTCATCTACCTACCTCTAAAAATACATGTGCCCTGTGGACTGTTTCTCAAGAGCCCTGATCTTTAGTGGATGATATGAGGAAAAAACAAACTCTATGTTTCCTCTGCTCTTACACTACAACAATCAGCGCAGAATGCTTCTGTGACAAAATATGTGGAGATATTCTCCATACACCAAGCAAGCAATCAATTGTGCAGTGGATACCAACTGGGTGTCCTCTAATTCTGACACTCTCTACCTGGAAATAGTGTCAGATTTCACAGGTTGAGGGTTCAGCCCCACAAGACTGCCCTCCTCTTCAAATGCCAATTGCAAGCTCCAGGTGGTTTTACCTATGCTTCGGATCAACTGGCTATAAATTGGGATTCCAGTGACCCCACCCCTTGGATTTGATTAATTTGCAGAGCATCTCACAGAATTCAGGGAAATACTTACTTATATTTACTGCTTTATTACAAAGGATATTACAATAGATGTGAATAATGTGATGCATATGGCGAGAAATGGGGGAAGGGTGTGAAGCTTCCATGCCCTCCCTGTGCACCCCAGCCTCCAGGAAATTCCATGTATTCAGCTGTCTGGAAGCTCTCTATCCCCATCCTTTTGGGATTTTATGGAGGTTTCATAATGTAGGCATGATTAATTAAATCACTGGGCATTGATGGTCAACTTAACTTTCAGCCCATCCCTTTTCCACAGAGGTTTGGGGGTGGGGCTGAATGTTCCAACCATCTAATCATACCTGGGTCTTTCTGATTATCATTCTCCACCCTGAAGCTACCTAGGGGCTGACAGCTGTCAGTCAGTCATTAACATTCACATAGGTATCACTCTGGAGAGTCCAAAAATTTTAGGAACCGTATGCCAAAAAACAGGGTCAACGACCAAATATATGCTTTACAGTATCACAGGTTATCTCACTATTTGATCATGATTGGTTAAGGTAGCATTTCTCTAACTGACATCCTCAGAACAGGGCTGTTGATGTGTACCAAAGAAAGACTCCATAGTGCAATAAGTTGCAGAGGCCCTATAGCCTATGGATTCATAAAGCACAGGGACACATTTAAAGCTCTGAAAAATCTTGCAATAAAGAAAATTTTTACAAAAATCTAGTGTTTCCTACACACAGACACATACACACACTCAAAGTATATGTCATCATCTCGTGGAACCCTAATGCTCTATGGAACACAGTTTGAGAAATATTGAGTTAAAATATTCCTTCAGGGGGCCGGGCGTGGTGGCTCACGCTTGTAATCCCAGCCCTCTGGGAGGCCGAGGCGGGTGGATCACGAGATCAGGAGATCGAGACCATCCTGGCTAACATGGTGAAACCCCGTCTCTAGTAAAAATACAAAAAAATTAGCCAGGCGTAGTGGCGGGCGCCTGTAGTCCCACCTACTCGGGAGGCTGAGGCAGGAGAATGGCGTGAACCCGAGAGGCGGAGCTTGCAGTGAGCCGAGATCGCGCCACTGCACTCCAGCACTCCAGCCTGGGTGACAGAGCGAGACTCCGTCTCAAAAATAAAAAATAAAAAACTATTCCTTCAGGGAAGCTTGCGTGTTAGCAGGGTGCTTTGGAAGAGGCATGAATCTCTGGGTAGGCTCATCTCAATCTTAAGGGCCAGCAGACAGGGAGGAGGAAAGGAACAGCCTCTTAGCTTACCCCAAATCACAACCTCTTGTTCCATACGTCTAGGCTGGGCTGCAGATTTCACAGTCACACACTTATTACCTAATGTAAAATGGTCACACCACAAGCAGCAAGTTTTATTTACTGAGGAAAAAATCCCTATTCCTGCTAAGACAAGCTGCACCCCTGCTTCCCAGCCAGCTGTCTTTATACTGCTGCAGAGTGGAAGAGCTCTCAGCTGCAATGCTTCTCGCATATGGGGCTGGCCACTGTTGCTCCTTTACTAAGTAAGAGCCAGAGCTTTGCCAACAAGCCCTCTCCCGGGGAAGGTGTCACTTCCAGGCCCCCCCTTACTTTGTGAACATGCTGCAGGCCACCTGACTTCTAATCCTATGGTCCTCTCCTTATCAGATGAAGAAGCTGGCCAGGCGACAGCAGCAGCAGCAGCAAGATCAGCAGAACACCCAGAGGCTGAGCTCTGGTAAGCTGGTGCCTCCTCCCAGGCAGTTCTGGCTGGAATCCAGGCTGTTCCTACCAGAGGCCTCCCACTACCCAGCTCTTTGGATGACATATCTGGACTCAGTGAAGCCTAGACCACACCCACTGGAGAAATAAGGCCTTCAAGGGAAGACTGAGCCACGAGGAACTTGTGAGAGGGTTGAGGGCTCCTGAGCTGCAGGCTTAGAACTGCTGATTGGGGATGGCACTGACCTTATCCACAGCGTCCAGGCCTGGATCCCACCACAGCGTCAGGGACTGCTTGCAGAGTCACAGATACGTTCAGTTTCTCATCTTGCTTAGTTCTCCTTCCAGGCTAATTGATTTAATAGAAGACACCTCGGTGACTTGGCTCTTTCCAAAATAACATAAAGTAGTAAAAATAATGATAGTAAAATAACAATGCCTTCCTTTGTTGAACACTCTTATAGATTGGTGTTCTCATACATGCTGACTTGACTTTTACAACACCCATTCCTGGAGGCGAGTGGAGAAGTTGTTATTATCCCTATGTCACAGATGAGCAAACAAAGGCTCTGCAAGATTGAATGTGGCCCTAGATCGGTAAGGGCAGGGGGCTGGGACTAGAACTCTAACTGTGTTCCACAGGCCATGGGCCTTCTCATCTCTACCCAGATGTGCTTTTGAAAAAGTCAGGGTGATATGAGGATTAGGGAGGAGGGTGAAGAGGAACAGACTGTGGGAGACTTCATGGAAGTTAAAGGAAAAAAAAAAAGAAGAGTTACTATATTAGAACAATGTCATTCTTAAACGCTATGCCCCTGGCCACCCAACTCAGCTATCCAGAATTCCTTGAATGGTCTGTACCTTAAAACAGGGCTTCTTACATTTTAATATGCACGTAAGTCACCTGCGATTTTGGTAAGGTGCAGATTCCAATTCATAAGGAAGGTCTGGGTGGGCCCCAAGATTCTGCCTTTTTAACAAGCTTTTTGGTGGTGCCATTGCTGCTAGTCTGTGGACCACACTTTGAAATCTGTGGACCACACTTTGAAGTCTGTGGAATGTGATCCTAGTTCTCTGGCCCCTCAACAGAGCCTCTTATCCTCACATGAACCCTGCCTTGTGCTTGACACTGGGTCTAGGCTTAATCCAGAATTTGACTCTTGCAGCCAAGAGTTCCCTTAGTTTCTTACCTTCTAGACTAAACAGTATGTTAACAACAAGGTAGATGTTAGGGAGAGAAGAAATAAAACAGGGCATAGGTGTGGGGAAGGGTGGAGCAGGAAGCTGGTTAGATCTGAATTCTGCCCTCAGCTCCACCCCTAAGGCTCTTTATGTGGGACCAACTTTTCCTTGTTCCTCAGGCTGTGTGCATCCCTAGGGTAGGGCCCTAATGCCTGCTAGTCCTACCTCACAGGACCCCTGTGCAATTCAAAGGGAGAAGAATGCATCAAAGCATATGAGAACACAAACTCATATGGCTTGGGACTTAGTTTAAATAATTCTAAAGGCGCTCCAAAGGTAGACTTAAGAAAGCAGAGGCTGGTGGGAAATAGTCTCTGTTCTTCCCAGGTTCAGAGAACCTCAGCAAGATGTGGAGGCAGGAAGTGAATCCTGCTTTTCTTATAAAATTCTATCTACAAGCATAGCAAGATATAATTCCAAAGCATACACAGTCCTATGGAATCTTCCCATCAACCCAATGAGGTCAACTGGTCACAACTCCCACTTGACTGATGGGCTCATACTGGGTTATCGTAGAAAGATCTTTAGATACATCTATTCTAGTGACTGCCAAACATGTGGCTAGCATCAAAACCTTTGTTGAAATAATATATTTCAAGGATGTTCTCAAAGTTCAACATCCCAGCCCCTACCCTGTTCCTGTCCTCCAAGGTGATTCCTGATGGCCTCTGGTAGGACAAAGGCTGGGACCACTGATGTCACCTCATCCCATTTTATTTTATAAATGAGGGAATCAGGACCCAGGGAAATCACATGCCAGGCTGCACGTTGAGAATGACCTGGCTTCTTCTTTGTTCCACAGCTCAGACAAACGGTGGTGGGAGTGCTGGGATGGAAGGAATCATGAACCCCTACACGGCTCTGCCCACCCCACAGCAGCTCCTGGCCATCGAGCAGAGTGTCTACAGCTCAGATCCCTTCCGACAGGGTCTCACCCCACCCCAGATGCCTGGAGACCACATGCACCCTTATGGTAAGAGGGACTTAAGCCCCTCGGGCCCTCTCATAACTTGTGTGGGTTTCTCATTCCCTCCTAAACACATCTAGGCAGTTCCCAGATGCTCACCGAAGTTCCAAAGCAGAATAATGTGCCCTACAAAATACTGCCAGAATCGCCTAACCAATGACTACAGGAGAAAGACCTTCATGCATATTCATTATTGACACTTCCATTTATCTTGTTTTCAAAGCTTCTTGTTTGTTGGTTTTAAATGGGAAGTTGTGCTCTCCTTGTAGACCTGTTTGTTGTCATTGAATTGCAAGTCTTGCGCTTCATGCCAGAGATCAGCAGTATCAGTGCTACAGAAGGCCTTAATTAAGCAAACGTTTACCTAAAGTAAGAAAAGAAATAAAAAGCACAGAAGACAAATTTTCTAACTGGACTATCCTACTATGGATACTAATAGGTGCTCTAATTTAACTAGTGAAACATAAACTGACTTGTAAAGTGAAAGTATCTCCCTTATACCCACCCCACCCAAAGAAGCATTGATTTAAATGCTGCATATATGGGTAGCTGAGCCTCTCCCACTTACCCAGCTTCGTGCTTAAGCTAATGGACAACAACCGGGGGCCTGAGGACCCAGAGTAGGGGGCTGGGTGAGCTTTGGAGTGAAGGCTCAAGTTCAACCTCAGCCAAGTATAGGGCATTACATTTTATACAGAGAAGGTTAGTGTTGTATGTAATGCATTGGTCTGTACTGTGTAATCTGATAGATTACACTGATAGTTAAAAAATAATCTTATGCAGCAAGTCTTCAAAACATTAGTATCAGAGATTCACGCCACAGATCACAGATTTTGCCAAACAACTTTTTTTTTTGCCTTCATGAAAAAAAATTCTGTTGTTAAAATCACGCCTACTTTCCCATATCACACATTCAGCAAACATTTATTAAGATTTGGCCCTTGACAAGCCCTTCACTGGCTGACCCCACTCATTGGATGTTCAGTGATAGCCACCCTCTTGGCTTCCTTAGAAGGCACAGGTCACATCTGTACCATTCTTTACTCCACAGCTATCGGAAAACAGGGCAAACACATTTTTTTGCAAATTCTTTTCAGAGTCTCAGGGATTGTGTTACATGAAGTATCCCTGTGATGAGTCCTTTCATAAAATGAATATTTAAAGCCCCATGACAAGTTGTATAAACTCCAGTTTTCACCTCTCCTATTTACTTGAAGCAGAGGCAGAACATTCTTTGCCTCCAGATCCTGGTTGCAGTGATTTCTCAGCTGTTCCAATGTGTGCCCTACTGGCTTCCCTATCAAAGGTGTAAATTAGTTGAAGGTAGGCACCTAACCTTCCTTTTCTTTGCATTACAAATTTGGGGTAACAGCTGATAGTAGACCCTTGGTGTTTGAAAGAACAAATGTTATCACAGGAGTTTTCATTAGCTTCACTCAAAGAGCTTTCTTTTTGTTTTGTTTTTTTGTTTGTTGGTTTTACCATCCCTCCTTCAAGCATCATTTTTCAGGCCCAAGTCCTATAGGAGCTCTGCCCTGTCTCTCCAGCCTCTGGTGACATGTCCTGCCTACTCCCCACACTCCCTGTCTAGACATTGTGACATTTGCTTATGCTGCACTCAATTTAGCACTTTGTCATATCCTGGTTTAGATTGTTTTCACTTGTTGCACTTTGGACTTGAGCCCCCTAAAGAGAATATAGACTTTTTGTAGAAAGTTTCACCTGGAGCCTGTGCTCAGGCAACACTTGTTGAATTCAGCTGAATATCCTAGCACTGAAATGAGTCACTTCTTCAAGACCCTCATGCCAGTGTTTCATCTCCATTTCAGGTGCCGAGCCCCTTTTCCATGACCTGGATAGCGACGACACCTCCCTCAGTAACCTGGGTGATTGTTTCCTAGCAACCTCAGAAGCTGGGCCTCTGCAGTCCAGAGTGGGAAACCCCATTGACCATCTGTACTCCATGCAGAATTCTTACTTCACATCTTGAGTCTTCCCCTAGAGTTCTGTGACTAGGCTCCCATATGGAACAACCATATTCTTTGAGGGGTCACTGGCTTTAGGACAGGGAGGCCAGGGAAGAGGTGGGTTGGGGAGGGAGTTTTGTTGGGGATGCTGTTGTATAATGATATGGTGTAGCTCAGCATTTCCAAAGACTGAATACATTATGGATTGCATAGTTTAATGTTTCTAATAAGAGTCTTAGCATTAGATATGAAGACGTGTTTATCATTAAGGACAGAGACTTTTAATATAGACATTCTCATGCAAACTAGATACTTAGGGACTCCTAACAACTTCCCACCATGTCGGGGAAGCTCTTGTCAAGAGGTGCATATGTCTATCCATCTACACACCAATAGACAGAAGGACAGATAGATAGATGTGTGTGTGTGAGTGTGTAACCTTTCGTATTTTACCCTCAAAGTTTATTCCTAATTATAACAGACACCAACTGTACAGCAAAAGTAACTTTATTTTCAGTGTGAACTATATTTAAGGAAATGCTTGATGCACTTAAGTTATAAAATGAGATAATTTACTTTTATAAACTTTATTTTTAGCTTGACAAGACTTGTCAGCAGGGCAGAGAGGGCTGCTCCACCTAGCCCCATAGCTTTGAGTGCTGGGGTTCATTCTGTTTTCAGAGTGTCTTTCAGATCTGGAAAGAAATTCTGTGTGGCTGATGGTGTTCTCTCTTGCATTCTTGCTCTCTTTGGGGTTGAATCACTGGGCAGGGGTGGGACAGAATAATCTCTGATCATGTTCTGAGAAAATGTAAAGCCCAGACTCCTGGGCTTTCTTTTAAATTCTGACAAGTGGTTGTTGGGCAGTGCTAGGATGATTGGTTCAGCTCTTGAGCTTCAGCATCTGCAAATGTGGATGAGGCTAATAGTATGTACCTACCTCACTGGGAAACACCAAGGCTTAATTCATTCCCAGGACACATGAGCAGGGCTGAGACTAATATCTGATATTTGTTTAAGATACAACCAGGCCACTCACTTGGCAAAGGAGGGTACATAGGGTTGCAGAGCAGGAGGGCTCCTGAACTCCAGAGGGCAGTTCTGCCTGCTGAAGTCCCTCTGCAAAGCCTGTGCTGAAGGAGACACCAGCTCAGAGCAGTTCAGAGGGATCCCAGAGTCCCAGAGTGGGGAGGAGGTGAAGGCTGAGGGGATAGAGGAGGGCCTGGTGGTGTTCTAGAGCAGGGTTGGGCAAACTCCTGCTTGCGGGCCTGCTTTCTATGGCTTGCCAGCAAAGAATGGTTTTTACTTTTTTTTTGAGGTCATTAAAAAAAAGGAGAAGAAGAATATATAACAGGCTGTCTGTGGCCTGGAAAGCCTGAAATATTTGCTATCTGTATTGTCTGGCCCTTACAGAAAAAGTTTGGGGCCCCTTGTTTTAGAGGGTCTGTTTCTAAAGAACCTCATGGCGCTCATAGAGGCAGAAGGTTCCAGTGGAAACCCTTGGCTCTTCCTTCCAACTCACTCCTCTGATCCTCGGCACAGAAGACCCAGCAGCCATTGTACATGGGGACAGTTCCACACCCTGGTCTCCAGTTGCGGTGCTAGGATGGTATTGTTCTGTGCTAGGAAGTCTCCTGGGAACCCAGAATGAGTTGGTGGGGAAGACAGCGGGTCACTGTGGACCCATCCAGGAGGGGCCAGGATAGGCTTGGCCTCATTTCTGGGGACATCATTGGAGACTTGAACACAGAGACACGTCCCTATCACTCTGGCAAGGCCAGAGGGAACATGTCCCCTTATGGTAGAGTCTATGTTGTGTGATTTTTGTGCTCTTGTTTATAATTTATGCAAACCACCAAGAAACCCAAACCAGTCTGATGAGTGAAAATTATGCAGATGCTGTATGGCCCCACAGGTTTCTGTGGTAAAGACCAGTTGGAGAATGTAGGAGATACTATGTGAGTGAAAATGAATAGAGATCCTTATTCCACTCCTTAATGGCATACCAAGATGAAATTAAAATCTCTTACAAATGAGCTGTTGTTTATTCAGGGGTGGGATGGTTGGTGGGGAACCAGGGGGATGTGGGAGTTTTGTCTACAAAGCCATGGGGATGAGCTTATGGCAAAGCTTTGAATGAATGGAAAGGATGACTACAGCAAAACATAAGGAGAAAAGGGTCTTCAACTTCTTGCCAAGATGGACGAAGACTCCAGTCTTTACAAAAAAAACCCCACAGAAGGAGGCAGTGGGAGCTTTCCATCACCACCGTCAAGTTCCCTCAGGGCAGAGCAGTTTGTGATACGTGATGAGGGAACATTTGCTTGGAAATCAGAACAGAGTGATGGGGCAGGAGAAGGATTTCTCATGCAGGCCTGAAGGCAGATGCCTAGCCAGGATGGGAGAGCCAGGCAGCAGATCGTGGCTCCCTGACAGAGTCTCCCAAAGTTCTCAACAATTTTAAATGTGATGTATGGTGGGCAATTAGGACTATGGAGAAAAGAAGTCAGGAAACAGTATGGAGATAAGACCAGGAGACATACTCACAGGGTGGTATTGTTTTTTGTCTGTTTTCTCCCCCACTTGCATTTGTTCAAGGCCTGCAACCTCTACCTCTGGCTCACTCACCACATGTTAGAAGCTGGCTCTTCCTCTTGCTGAGGGCCTGGAAGGAGAGAGATATGTATTATAAGGCCAGGCTGACAGGAGGAGCCCACTGAGGAGGCCTTATCTCAGACTGGCCTCCACTGGGCTGGCCTTAGTTCCTAACTCCAGCTTCCTGGGAGAGCCTAGGCACAACCCCTTTACCCCTCTTATTTGCCTAGTTGGCAACTACCTAGTCTTCAGAATCAGCATACTTGGCCTTCTCAAGCCTACAAGGCTGGGTTAGGTGCCTATATGGACTACTTGGACTAATGCTCCCTGCTGCAACAAATAAACCCCCAAATATTATAACAGCTCAAACACAACAGAAATTTATATTTTTACTCACATAAAAGACCTGGGAAGGAGTTTGGGTTAGAAGCACACCTCTCTTCCATGCACAATGAAGGCTCTGCTCCTGGCTTCCAGGCTTTCACTGGGGATTGGTTGTCTCCATTCTTCTTTTCCCCTTCCCACTGGAAGTGGATGAGTCTAGATTGCAATCCCAGCTCCTGAACTTACTAGCTGTGTGGTCTTGGGCAGTTTCCTTCACTCTGCTGAGTTGATTCCTCAGGGATGGTACTTGTGGCTACCTCAGGGGGGTTGTGAGCACAGGTGAGATAATATGTGTGAAGCACTTAGCCCTGCACTGGGAGTATGGTAAGGGCTAGATGAGTGTTAGCTGCTGCACCGCAGGCCAGACCTGCTCTTGGAGTTTGGTCATTGATGAAAGGCTGCTGGGAGTCTCAGACCCTATCTGAGGAAAAAGAAGAACACATCCTGGTTCACCTGAGCTCAGAAGGCATCACTTCTCACCATCACCTCCTCAAATCTCAGCGTGTGTCTTACAGAGCCTGAGCCAGAATTGTGGGGGAGTGGTTGCTGTTTTGTTTTAAAGCATGCAGATAAAATTCCAATTATGATGACACATTCAGATCTCTGACCCCCAAGGAGGAGTCAGGTCATAGGAAATTCCTCCAGCCACCTATTGTCACCTGCTTTTCATGACCTGCATGAGGGGGAAGGCCTTAGGGCTAGGCTCAGAGTGGAGAGCCTGGATCCACAGGTTGAGCCTTCACGCCTCAAAGGGCCTGTGCCTAGGCTGTCTCTGAAGAAAACGAGTTGACCTAAAATGAATAAAAAATGGGAAGAAAATGGAGTTAATTTGTCAGTTCCAAACTCAAAGACAAAATAAATTTTAACTGAATTGCAAATGAAATCAAAGTTTGTCTATCTATCTCTTTCACTCTCTCTTTTTCTTTCTCCCTCTAAATCAAACTAGGATGAAACCTATTAATAATATGATTTCACTAGAATAAAACTGTACCCTCAAGAATTAAAACTGAATCATAACTTGACACCCTGTTTCCCTGAATCCCTTTATTTGGCATGTTTCAACATTATGTTCAGTGACAAGGTAAGAGGTATCTTTAGGGCTCAAAAGAAGGCCTTGAGATTTTTTATGCTAAAAGTATATTCCTTGATGAGGAGATTACCTGGCTTTGAAGTTCCCTAGATGTATAACCTTAACAAGATGCTGAGCCTTCATTTTTTCATCTATAAAATGAAGCCAATGACACTTGCATGTCTTACAAGTTGGTTGTTGTGTATAAAAAAAAAAAAATTACGACAGAGCTCTGTAGACTTTGAAGTGCCATACAAATGGAAGCGCTTATTATTTTGTCCCAGGAGACACATGCAGATTAGCCACGTGGGCAGCATAGCATCCACATAAGCAATGCTCCTGCTTGGGTAGATGCCCACAGCAAGTAAGGGATGCCCCAGATCAGAGTGCGAATAACTTATTTCCTCTCCCAGCAGCTGTGGATGACTGCTGCCACCACCTTATGGGCCTTCTACCCTCCAGGGGAGGGTTCTGGGAAAGAGTCTACCATGGCCCAGCCCCTAGTGGATGGTGCATTGGCTAATCTGCACTACTTTTAACTTCTTTCCTGCCACTCCGTGTGCCTGGGAAGGGAAAGATGGTGCCTGCCCCTGATTTGTGGTTGGAAGGACCTACTCCAGATACTTGTGCAGCTGACCAGTTTTTCTGGCCCTTTTGGAACCTATTCATTCATTTATTCACTCATGTCATCCATCCAATAATTATTTACTAAATATTTAGAATATGCCAGGCTCTGGAATATGTAACAGAAACTCAGAAGTGAGCAGAAAGACATTGGCCCTGCCCTCAGAGTTTACAACTTATAGGAGAAATGGCCATTAATTGAAAACTCAAATTTAACTTGCGCTGTATTAGCCACAAAGGAGAAGACACAGAGCTATAAGAAAGTAGAATGGAGGGAGGCTTGACCTAGTCAGGAAGGTCAGAAAAGATTTCTCTGAGCACATGATGACAGAACTGAGATTTTATTTCTCTCTCCTAGTGCTCTCCCTCCATCAGGGAGTCATTCTGTTTCCCTTTTCTGTAAGATCTTGTTCTAATTGCCATTGGTAGAAAGAATCTGATAAACTGATGCTCTCCAAGGTGTTCACTGATAAGGTCTAAAGAAATCACTTGTACTATCTTATAGTGCAAAATATCTTCAGAATTAAAGGAATGGGCCACTGTCACTCAATCAACACATGGTTATTAAGCCCTATAGTGGATATTTACTGCTTTCTGACCACCCAGCATCCATTCACCCTACTTCTGATAACATCACTCTGATTTCCTTTGGGGACTTGACCTTCCTCTATTGTGCATAGGTAGTCCTTGTGGGACCATGAATCAAGGTTACCTGGTCTGCTGTAACCAAGGAGTGGGAGCATATACCCAAAGCTTGGCCAACCAGTCTCTCCCAGAACATGAATCTCATGGAATGGCATAACATTGGAAACTTGGAGCTAGTTCATTTCTGGCAATGCACCTGACAAGCTGGTCAAACAGTTCTTGCTGCCTGGACCCCAGAGCTGCCCTGCACCCCATCTCTTTCCAAGACTGGTCTGGACCCCAGACACACTTTGATTCTGTGAGCAATCTGCTCTGCTATTACAATAAAGACTATTTTTGCTCAAGTTAGCAAGAGCTGTTGGCTTCTATTGCTTACAGTAAAAAAACAAAACAAAACAAAAACTCGGACAGAAACTACAGACATATGGTTTGTGTGGTGTTTGCCTTATGCCAAGGGTGTGTGTGTGTGTGTGTGTATGTGTGTATATTCCTTAACATAGCCCTTTGGACTAGGTTAGGCAGGTCTTTTTGTATTTTATACATGAGAAATCTGAAGCTCAGAGAAGTTAAGTTCCTTGCCCAGGGTTACAGACCTAGTTAGGGTCAGAGCTGAGTTTCTGATTCATTTCTCTTGGCTCATGGTCTTATGCTAATTCCCCCAACCCTGACTTACAAGTGGCCAGGTACATAGAAGTTTTAGAAGCATATGTATGCCTAGGTATCGGAAAGGTGCAAAGAAGTCATGATAGTTTTTCTGCCTCCAAGGAGTTTACAATCTAGTTGAAGGTGAAAGACATGCATGTGAGCTAAACATATATGTCTATATATGCCAAGAGTCAGATGACTAGTGTAGATAATGTGAGCTATGGGAGTTCAGAAAGAGAGCTGTTATTGGGACAAAGGAAGGGAAGAGGAGGCTTTTCCAAGAAGGTAAGGCTTGAGCTGAGCCTTCAAAGATGGGTAGAATTTAGATAGGTAGAGAGGGGGATGGAGGGCATTCCAAACAATAGGACCAGTGTAGGTAAAAGTATGGAGGAAAGGTTGCAAGGCATCTTTCTTT
This sequence comes from Homo sapiens, assembly GCF_000001405.40. Lineage (NCBI taxonomy): Eukaryota > Metazoa > Chordata > Mammalia > Primates > Hominidae > Homo > Homo sapiens. Next base: position 165,197,525 of record NC_000001.11, on the reverse strand, counting down.
ATATGTGAGTATACAGAGACCATTCTGGTTGGAGTGGTGGGTTGACTAATGGTGGAATTTGAGTCAGTGAGTGAAGCAGATGATGAAGGTGTTGGTGATAGGAGCATGTTGCCAGTAATTTCCTAATACAGATAAAAGGTACTGTGTTTCAAGGTGCAGCTGAGGCTGCTAGTCATTCCTCATAATCTATTCTCCCCTAAAATAAGACCCTCTATTTTTAGCTGGCAGAAGCAAAAGTGTCATATGGCATCTTTTAGGTACCTTCCTTTAAAAATAGCTGGCAAGTGTTCTTCTTTTCCTCTTCTGTGTCACTTCTGTCTTCCTGGATGGGGTGCAGATGTGCTGGCTGGAGCTGGAGCAACTATATTAGGCCATGAGTTGGTCTCGAGAATGGAGGCCACACATGGTGAAACAGTGTAGAACGAAGCCTGGATTCCTGAGAACTTCTGGGAGCCAAGCTGCCATTCCAGTCCTGTACTATCTACATTTTGATTTATATATACAGTCTGCCTTTCATATTCATGGGTTCCACATTCATGAATTAAAATAATCACAGATTGAAAATATTTAGAAAAAAATTGCATCTGTACTGAACATGTACAGACTTTTTTTCTTGTCCTTAAACAATACACTGTAACAATTATCTGTATAGCATTTACATTGTGTTAGGTATTATAAGTAATTTAGAGATGATTTAAAGTATACAAGAGGATATACATAGGTTATGTACAAATACTATAATATTTTATATAAGGGAATCGAGCATACATGGATTTTGGTAACCTCAGAGAGTCCTGGAACCAGTCTCCTACAGATATTAAGAAACAGCTGTATATGAGAGATAAACTTATTTCTTTTTTTAAGTTACAGTTATTTGTGTTTCTTTGACTCATAGCCAAACCTAATCTTAACTAATACCCAAAGACAAACCCAATTTGGAAGAACTCTAAGCCCATTTTGTTTCCTTATGCTACTAAGTTAAATATTGAAAAGTCCAGACAATATATCCTTGGGTAATGGGAATTAACTGAGGCAAGGCAGATAGAGGATGGAATGATTGTCTCGTGACTTTAGAATACATAGATCATCTAAAAAGCACAGACCTTACAGCTGGTTCCTCTCATTCCTTAAAGAAAGGAAGATCAAGGTGGTTTGTTTTCTTGCCCACTCCATCTCAACAAACTTCTCTGTCTCCCTATTTGGGCATCTACGTCCCATGAGGAATTTCATTAAATTACTCAGCCTCCTAAAGGAGAATGAACAGGCAATTCTATGCATTGTTTCCTACAGACCCCAGTTCTAGCCACCAGTGCAACTTTAAAAATCACAATATTCATATACACACATGTATATATGTGTTTGTATGCACACATATGCTTGCATACACATATGTATGTACACAAACACATATTTACAAGGTGGTTTGGCTAGAAGTCACAATCCCTTGGCTGGCCAGTTATTTTCCCTTAATTTCGGCTCTATGTTATAATTTGAACAAAGTCTGAGAATGGTTGTATTTGTGTGCTGGGATCCAGGAGAGATGGGAGTTAAGGAGACTCAAAATGTTCTTTTCATCTCCTATAATAATAAGAATGCTTCTTCCAACCATCTGATATAATTTGGGGGAGAAAGCAGAAATGAGGAGACTGAAGTATTACTCTAAGTAAGTTTGCTCCTATTCTGAAGTAGGAACAAGAACCTAGAGACACCATAGCACCCGACCTACACCATTCCACCTTGAACGGACAGACACGCCTGAGGAGAGGACCAATTTGATCGTATCAGGAGAGGATTAAGGCATTTGGGAAGCCAAGTGGATTGAATTTGTTCATACATCATGCCAATAACCAGCTGTGTATTGACTTTAGAGAGGCGGCTTCACTCTTCTGAGCTCATGACTCTGTGTGAGTTCAGCTAGAGAAACACTCCTGACTTTCTCCTCACCCTTAACTGGCTTCTCCTTATGGGAAGACTATGAAGTATCTGATGGGTGATTGGGGAGAATAAGCTAAGCATGCCTGGCTCAGTCCTGTGGGGCCTGTGGGTAATTGGTGTCTTTCTGTGACCTGGACTCAGCATATGGGTGTTCTTGTTTCATCCATGTGGAAGGTTACTGAGGCAGAAACACAGTTTGAGGGAGAGTTCCATTCAAAGAGATTGCATTAGGGATCCTGACTGTGGCTACAGATTTAAGTTTCATCCCTTAGATATACCAATAAAGATGATTTTTTAAAAATTTGAATTTGGCCAATTTCTTTGAGTATTTATCAGTTAGTTGCAATCTGGGAAGCAAAGGCATTTATGTTATGTATTGTTTTCTAAAATTCCAACAACTGAATACTCATTAGGCACACCATAAAAAGTTCTGTACTTGTATGGCCAACCTGTATTCATTCATTCATCCACTCAATATTCAAGACAAACTTTTAAAGAACTATCTCTGTGCCAGTCACTATGAGTATAAATTTTAGTTTGGAAACAGCTTTGTAAAAAATAATTATTTTCTATATGGCAACCTAGTGTCTAGTTTCATCAAGGTTGAGTTTCCCTCTCCAACCTCATGGCCACTTATAGTTTTGGTCTTGGGTAAAGCCAAAGTGGTGGAGGAGTTAGAGAAAGGAACTCATCAGTTACTGGCTCTCTGCCGTCACCTTGAGGTACCTTTCACCACAGTCAATGCCATCAATGTCTTTCTACATAACTGCTGTGGTCCTGCTGCAAACCTGGGCATGCTGTGAAGTCATTTCTCTTGAGTCTTCTGACAGCCTTAGCAGGAAGCCTGAGTAGGTTCTCGTCCTTTCTCCTTTTTCCTCTAATCAAGTCAGGAATCCCTTTTTTAACTGGAAAAGCTTTTCTTCATTATATTTCTGATCAAAACATTTTTTTCTATATCCTGATCCTCACTCTTTTTGTCTCTGTTTAATTCTCCTATGATAAAATAATATTTTAGAAGCTATATATTTGCCTGTCACCCTAGGTTCTGAAAATTATCTTACATAGTATCATTCTAGCTGGGGAGAAAATATTTGTAAATGGATTGTTAGAACTGGGCTTTTAATGAAAGTGTATACAGAATTCCAAAGAGGCACAGAGGGGAAGGGGGTTAGGAATAACATCATGGTGGAGGTGATATTTCACCTGGGCCTGGAAAGATGAGAATGCCAGGAATGCAAGGTGGAGAAGGACAATCCAAAAAGAGGAAATAATTAGAGCATGAGCAAAACACACTGTTTATGGGGAAGACAGCCATTATGGCTGGAACACTGGAGGCGTGGGGAAGAGGAGTTGAGAAATGACAGGCATGAGGCTATGAAATTAGGGCTGTCTTGATTGGGAAGGGTGTCAGATGCCTCCTTAACAGATTGGACTTCACCCACTGGGCATCAGAAATTATTCAATTCGACAAATCTTTATTGAGCATCTGCCAGAAGTAGGCACTGCTATGAGATGTGATAAAGACAAAGACACAGCTTCTATCCTTAGAAAACTTAAAGCTTAGTAAGGAGATAAGGCATATTATTAATTATAGCATATTTATTTAACAAAATATATAAGACTAACAATCTATATAAGACAAATAAATATAAAACAAAATACAGTCAGTAGTATAACAGAGACTTAAGTATAAATCCCAACAAGTCTAGACTCCAACATGTCAGCCAACTGGATACTACAATCTCCAGCAGTCAGATATTTGCAACAACTAGGGTTCAAACCCACGAAGTCACTCCTAAGCCCCCTTTACCACTATGCCTGTTTGGATTACATTTTTTGGGTTAAACTTTCACCTTTCATCAGACCTTGGCCAATGGATAAACCAACACAACTTAGAAATGGCTTCGGTTATTTCTTTTCTCATGATATTGAGATGGGAAACCAGCATGGGAAGAGTGCATACTTAAGGTATAATCCTGCCACTCAATGCCACACTTTCTTTCCCTCTCCAATTGTTGTTTCCTTATCGGTGAATGTGGATAAAGATGCCTGCTAGCCAGACTGGTATGATGAATAGAAGTGCAAAATCAGTAGCTGCCTGGAATGTGGTGGCAAATATTATAGTCACTCTGGATGCAAAGCAATGCCATGGTAGAGAGCAATGGGAATGGGAATGGAGATAAAAGGGTACTCCTTTCAGGAATCATTCAGTGGCAAAAGTCACAGGACTTGATCACTGATCAGACAAGGGAAGAAGAGAGGGGGAGAGCTAATGACATTTGGAGCCTGAGTAACTGGGAACATGGCAGTGCCAAACACTTCTAGCTATTCTGAAATACACAGTACATTGTTGTTAACTGTAGTCACCTTACTCTGTCATTGTACATTGGAACTTACTCCTTCTAACTAACTGGGTATGTTTGTACCTCTTAACCAACTTCTCTTCATTCCCCTACACACACACATTCTATGCATGTTACAAAATACCACACAAACCCCATAAAAATGTGCAAATGTTATATATCAATAAAAAAAATTTAAAAAAGACCATGGCAAAAAAGCAAACACAACTCAAAAAGTCCCTTTTCTTCTACCCGGTAGATGCTACTCTAGCTATTAGCTACATAAAATGTGGAGCCAGCACTTTGTGTTCCAATCCTGGTTCTGTTCCTTAAACATAATGTAAATTTGGACAAGTTACTCAATTTTTCTAAGCCTCATTTTCTTCATAGTAAATAATAAATGCTAACTATCTGTGTCTTTCCCTTGTATAACAGGAAAATAATGAGGGAATACTGAGTACATCCTGCCACATCCTGTCCTCCTTTGACAAATACAAACACAACATGGAAGTGGGTGTGAAACAGCCCTATGGGATGTCAGGCATGTGCCTGGGATTCAGCCTGGTGAGGGGAGCTCCTCAGAGCGAGTTCTCTAAGGAGGCTGCTCCATGCCTGCCATTATTCCAGAGCTAATGAGACTCTGGAAAAGCAGGATGCTGGGGAGACTCAGAGATGAGGGGTCTTCTTTGTGAAGAGGTTTGCAGGGAGAATGAAAGTCTGTTTAGGTGCGGGAGGGTGAGGAGAGAACAGATGGATTGGGATTGACCTTCCTGGAAGAATTGGAACAGTCCATCAACAACCCCTCCTTTGTCCTCAGATGTTGCCTGATAACCAGCCTGAGATTTGCTTGGAGATTGCCTTTTAGGTGAGGAGTTCCACGTGATGTTATCAGGAGAGGGAAAGAGCTTGCTCTGAGTGATCTTACATTAATTACCTTGCTTTGCAAAAGCAGGCAGAGGACCTGTGGCTTGGAGTTAAATGGCGGAGTTTTTGACCAAGCGAAAAGGAGAATAGGGAAGAGGGATGACTGGAAGCAGAACTCTGTTAACCTGAATGTAAGACGGTGAGTTGAGGCTGGATCCACAGTATCCAACAGGAATATGATGTCAGCCACCTATGTAATTTAGAATTTTCCCATAGCCATGTGAAAAAGATAAAAAAGAAATAGATATTAATTTTAATAATATATATTATTAAACCCAACATATCCCTTAAACTGTGTTTCAACATATCCTACTAGCCAGATTTAGGTAGTGGCTACTATATTAGACGGTACACATTTAGACAATATGGGACACAGAATTTCTTTTTTCTTTCTTTCTTTTTTTTTTTTTAGATGCAGAGTATCACTCTTGTTGGCCAAGCTGGAGTGCAATGGCACAATTTCGGCTCACTGTAACCTCTGCCTCCTGCGTTCAAGCAATTCTCCTGCTTCAGCCTCCCAAGTAGCTGGGATTACAGGCATGTGCTACCACGCCCAGCTAATTTTTGTATTTTTAGTAGAGACAGGGTTTCACCATGTTGGTCAGGCTTGTCTTGAACCCCTGACCTCAGGTGATGCACCAGCCTCGGTCTCCCAAAGTGCCGGGATTACAGGCACGAGCCACTTCACCCAGCCTGGGACACAGAATTTCAAACACTGGGTCAGTGGCCAAAAGGAAGTTGTTGTAGTTTTAGCTTGAAATATCTGAACAAATAGCTCAATTGCAACTAAAATTTATTAGCATTTAACTCCCTTTAACTGGCCAAGTGTGCCATAAATTGAATTCTCTTTCTTGCATCATCTCTCTATTTTCTTCTTCTCTCCTTTTACTCTCATATCTGCCAGCAAGAAAACGCTAAAAGAATGAGAGAACAAGGACTTGGTCAATTTTGCGCATCATTATTCAAGAAGAATCATGGCAAAGCGTTGTTGCATACTGGTAAATCTGACCACTAGCCTGCATAAAATATTTCCTACATTCCATTACCTACAGTAGCTGTCTACACTCTCTGAATTCACTGGATAATTGCATTTGCATTGTCCTATTTATGTCCCAGGATTAGGGCTAAATTTAGATGCAACTGACTGCTCTATATGAACTGACTCTGGATGTTCTTAACCACGAAAGGCAGGTTAGGGGCAAACATAAAGGTGACTAGTTATTTCCTGCTGGACCATAACATCCACATGATCATCTTTCCCCCAGTGCCTAGCACAGTGCCTGACATGTAGTAGACATTTGAAAAATATTTACTGAATGAAACTAAATGTCAAAAGAGGCAAATGCCTGACTTTTGTTCCTGTAAAGAAGGAGAAACAGAAACATTCACTCAGACGTAAGGCCAGCCTAGTGGCCTGGTCAGTCTCTGGAAAAGATGAGTGTCCCTGGATCAGCTGTCTATTTACTCCTTCAACACATGTACTCTGAGCAACAAATATATGCCTGGCATTTCACCCTGCACCAGGGTAAAATGATGAATCAGACAAGTCCTTACTCTTGTTTAAGAGAGAAAGAGATGCAGATACATGAACAGATAATTACAAGCACTGCAAGACATGTATTCAGAATAGAAATTGTAGAAAGAGGTATGGGATTACAGGGGAGGGTAAACTTAAATTTGGGGAGTCAGGGCATGCTTCACAGAAGACGTTTGAGCTGTGTCTTGGGAGGTAAGAGGAAGTTGGCCTGGGGACAAGGAAAGGAAGAGCGTTCTAGACTTAAGCATCGGCATGGTATAGATAGACAAGGGTTCCAGAAAGGTGAGAGGGTGTAGAGAGACAACAATGAGTCTGGTGTGGCTAGGCCAGTGGCTCTCAAACATTTTTGTCTCAGATCCACCTACTTTTTAAAAAATTATTGATGACCACAAAGAAATTTTTATGTACATTGCATCTATTGGGATTTACCATTTTAGAAATTTAAACAAACAACATTTAAAAACATTTATTTATTAATTTAAAGTAACAATAAAAAACTCATTATAGGTTGGCATAAATCCCACATTTTAAAAGAAATAACTGTATTGTCTAAAACAAAAAATAATTTATTCTTCCATTTGTTTTTGATGCTTGCACATCTTCTTAATGTCTCTCTCAACAGAGGACAGCCAGATTCTCAGTCTGCAGCGGTCAGTCTGCTGTGGTATGTTAAATCTGGTTTCATACACATGCAACAATATGTATATGTAGGGAGTAGAATTTTAGTAGCCTTTTTTTTAAGGTCATGCGGATATTCTTCGTTCATATTACATCCCAGACTGAAAAGGTGTAGTTTCTTAAATTTATTTGAATCTGAAACGATGTTCTCTGTTACATTAAAGTACATCAGTACCCCTTTCCTAGATCTTGGTTTCTAATATCATTCTGTAATGTAAAAGAAACTGGGGCTCCTGGGAGAAATGGCTGATTCTTGTGGGAATGGAGCCTGAAATATACAAGACAAGCCTGGAGCATCTTGTTGTGCCTGAAAGTAAGGAGGTGCTCAAACGCCACCCCCACAACTCACAACGATGTGGGTATGTCAAAGGCAGGGACACAAGAATCAACTGAAAGAGCTGCCAATGGCCAGAGCTCAAACAACTTAAGCAATACGATTAAAAAGGTAGTATTGAGTTAGAGCCTAAAATATAAAATATCCATAAATCCACACTGATATAAATGAATGATTATATTAATAAATAGGAGAAATGAGGTAAATCTTCTGTGTGAATTCCAAATAATTTATATGCATACCGCGCCTTCAAGTAGGTGGAGCTTAACTTCCCACTCTTTAAATGTGAGCTGTAGAAGTGACTTCCCTCCAAAGAGTACACCGCAAAAACGGAGGAAAAAGTAACTTCACAGTGGAGAAATCTAACAAACCCTACTTCAGCCAGGTGATTGAGACCAACATCAGCATTCGTAGACAGTATGTAGCTTTGATATGATGTGATGAAAATGACACTTTACCTATATGGTCTTCATCCCCAATATCATAACCCCAGTCTAATCATAAGAAAAAAATCAGAAAAATCTAAATTAAGGGACATTCTGCAAAATACCTGACCGGTACCCCTCAAAACTGTCAAGGTCATCAAAACAAGGAAAGTCTGAGAAATTGTGAGACTGACAGGAACCTAAAGAGATGTGATGACTAGAAGTAACATTGTATCCTAGAAGAGATCCTGGAACAGAAAGAGGAAATTAGGTGAAAACTAAGGAAGCCTGAATAAAATATAAGCTTCAGGTAATAAAAATATATCAATATTGGTTCATTAATAGTAACAAATGTATCATACTAATAAAATATGTTAATAGTAAAGGAAACTGGGTGTTGGTTATGTGGGAACTCTTGGTATTATCTTTACACATTTTTCTCTAAATCTAAAACTGTCCTAAAAAACTGAATTCTATTTTTTTAAATCCACTGGTCACTTTTGCACTTTGGTCTCTTAATCCATGCTTGATTTTTGTAACGTTATTCATTGATCTTTTGGAAATATTGTTCACACTTAGGCAGATCTTCCCAAGTGATGACACATTGGTTACATCATATTTTTAAAAAAATCTGTTAATGTCACCATTGAGCTCACCAGAAAAGTCTTTTAATATTGGGGAGCGGTCATGTTCATAGGCAAATACAAGCTTTCCAAAATTCTAATTTTCTTTCGAATGCTCAAATTTTATCACTGACAACAAAAATGGTCATTTTTTTTTCTTGAAACAACAGGCTCACTTTGCTCATTTCTGAGAAAATGTCTACTAAATATGTAAGTCTGCATGACCTCAGTTAGTTATTTTTTTCACATAAAAATGGTGTTCCGTGAAAAGTACAGCGAGTTCAGCTCTCTCCACTCAAGCAATATACAAGTGCATGAACACAACTGACACACTTCTGTGCTTTGTGCATGCTGCCCATGTCAACACGCTAAATATTAAAAAGACGTGTTCTTAAGGGTTGTGATTTAATAAAATGAATCTTTTTTTAGTGGTTCATCTATTGCATTAAGTAAAAATGATTATTTTTTTAAACGAGAATGTGTGAAAGTGAAGAATGCAAGGACACGAGGCACAGTTTGGTGTTACTGTCTTAAATCATGCTTAAACCTCCAGAAGTTTGCCAATTGCTGCTTTGAAGATTATTAAGCAGATCTTTGCCAGATATCTCCAGCAGCAATGGGGAGGATTGACTGGAGGAGGACAAACCAGAGGCAGAAGGACGGGTTGCAGTATTCCCCAGAAGAGTTGGTGAGCTCTGCTGCTACTTGCCCTGGGTTTGCTTCCTGACTAGGTCAGACCTGCCAGCCCAAGGATGGTGCCTGCCTGTGTGCCACATGGATTCTTCTGTTAGGGGGCACATGGGTCACTATAAGGCAAGACATGGTTTCTTGCCCCATAAGCCTCTAGCCACAATGCTGGTCCTTTTTCTTGGAGGGCATGCTTACAGGGCCTTCATGAGTCAGCACAGGAGGAGGCTCTGTGAGCCTTCTCTAGGCCCTCCTTTGAAGCCCTGCCCTGCATCCATAATAACAGTGTTTTTTTGCCTGTCCTCTGCTGCAAGGGGATCAGTGGGTAAAGCTATTCTTTTTTCATGTGCACCCTGAAGCCACAATGAACATTCTGAAGGCAAATTTTATAATGCTGCTGCCAGCTTTAAACAGCTAAGGCTTCTCTTTTCCCATTTCCTCCACTTCCCTTTGCACTCCAAGTTCCAGTCCCTAGACCACCACTTCCTCCAGCCTGCCAACCTCTTTCCTGCCTCTAGGCATTTGCATAGATTCTTTGCCCTTCACCCCTCCCCTACCTTCCCATGTACACACACACACACACACACACACACCCCTGACTAATTTACTCATCCTTCACATTTCAGATTAGATATTACTTCCTCCAAGAAGTCTGCTGAGCCTCCTTCCATGTCTGGGGCCTCTTCCCTTCTTAGAGGCTTTCAGAGCTCCCACCAGGCTATATCGTAGGCTATACAGGCAGGCAAGGAGTGGGCTGGGTCTGTCTAGTTCACTTTTATATGCCTGGCTCCCAGCCAGCAGCAAGCACTTACAAGCACTAATATCTGCTAATCCTAGAGGGCTCGGTCTGACTATTCTGGTGCTGCTGTGGTCTTGGCTTTATAACATGCCCTGTGGACTCAAGTCAGAAACCCAACCACAGAAACAGATTTCTATTCTCAATGGGCAGAAGAGAAGAATGGTTAAGACAATGGGTTCTGGAGTCAGGTACCACGAGTTCATAAGATTAGCTCTGTACCCCATTATCTGTGTGAAACTCCTTGTGCCTCTGTAGAATGGGTATAATATCAGTCCCTACGCCTGAGGCAGTTGAAATAATTAAGGACGCCATGCACGTAAAGCACTTGGCACATATAATCATACAGTAATATGGGGCTCTTATTATTTTATCATTGCTACTGTTATCTCTCACCACTGTCTCTCTTTGACCCTTCAGTTTGGCCAATACTGACTCTACCCTCCAAATGGCTCTAAATCCCACACTCCTGAGGACTTTTGGCTACTGCTATTGTTGCTGCTGCCACTCACTCTGCAACCTGAGTCTCATTGACCTAGAAGCCTCTCAGCAGTGTCCCAACTCCTGGCCCTTTGGGTGTGAAGCACGTGTGCTGTCCTGGGACAGGTGCTAGGCAGTAGAGGGAAGGATGTTGGTGCTAGAACTCCCAGCAGAGGCTCTGCTCAGGAGATGATGGCAGGCAGGCCCGTTGGCAGCAAGTGGGCTTCTCCTGCAGGAATAGCCGTGGAAGGGCTGCCCCAGTTCTTCTAACCTGGGCTCTGATACATGGCCGGAAAGACTTGAGACATGGGCATGGCTCTTCTGTCCCTGTGTCCTAGTGGTCCACTTGCCTGCTGGGTGCAGCTAGGCTCAGATTGGACAGGACTCCTAAACCTCCAACCTTTTAGACTGGGAGTGGGCGGGGGGAACTGTTGAGAAGGTGGGGAGTAAGGGAAAGGGGGATATGAGTGAGTGAGTGGCACAGGGGAAGGCCTTTCTCCTAAGGTGAAGAATGGGTTTGGATTCCAGCCCACCCTCTAGCCCCTGGGGCCCTCTCAATTTCTTGACCTCTCAATTTCATTCCTGACCTGGCTGTGCCCCCTGAGGTAAGCAGGTCATCTTCACCCCATCACAGTCTTCATTCACACCCATTCAGCAACACAGTACCTGTGCTGCTCTGTGAGGCAGGTGAAGCTTATTGTCAACACCCTTTCTGTATCCTTATCTCTGATTGCAGGAGAAAGACTGTCTGCCATTTGAGGGGTTTCAGTTAATGGCCAGCAGGAGGGGGAGGGGTTTACAGCCCCAGGGCCCTCTGAAGGCCAATGATCCAGAAACTTGTTTACAAGGAGGTCTAAGACCTTGGAGCCAAAACATTTGGGAAACAACATTTGCATAAAACTTTAACAGGTGACCAACCATTTTCCAAGCATTGTTGCACTTGAACCTCACTGCCACACTGCTATAGGGCATGTTCCCCTTTAGACCCCAAGAAAACAGATTCCCAGCACTTAGTTGACTTGCTCAAGGTTATAATGCTTGGAGCCTTGACTCATTCGCAGGACTTGCAACTCTACAGACTGTGCAATAGGGATTTAAAGGATTCAAATATGTAAACACCATGGACACGACCTTCCTTCCATCGTTTCTTCCTTTCTTCCTCCCTCCCTCCCTCCCTCTCTCCCTTCCTTCCTTCCTTCCTTCCTCCCTCCCTCCCTCCCTCCCTCCCTCCCTCCCTCCCTTCCTTCCTTCCTTCCTTCCTTCCTTCCTTCCTTCCTTCCTTCTTTCCTGTATATGTTAAGTGCCAGGCATTGTAGATTCTGAAGATATAATAGGGAGAAAGGCAACATCCCTGTAGTGGAATTTACTTTGCAGAAGTTCTTCATATTGGAGGGAACCACTAGAAAATTTCTTTTGTCAATTTTAGTTCCTTATGCATCAGCAGCTGTGTACGCAGAACTATCTCCACTTAGTAACCTCCTTGTGTCCTGAATTAGTTGAGGGCAGTAGGCTTTAAATTAAGCACAGGCCATGTTATCACATTTAGAGCTTACTTTAAAAATTAAAAATAATTCAGCATAGATAGCATGATACTATACTGTATGTATATATTTTATATATGTATTCTTCTAAGACTTTTTTCACTCAGCATTTGTCTTCCTGAGATTCATCCCTATAGTCACATGTAGCTGTAGTTTATTCATTTCCACTGCTGAAGAGTTTTGCACTATAAAAATAGACCATAATATTTTTATTCATTCTTTTGACAGACATTTTGCTTTTTTTCTGATTCAGGGCTATTATGTAGCAAGGCTGCCATGAACATTTTTGTATGTTTCCTGGTGCACATATATGAGAGCATTTTGCAAACTGTGGATGATGGGTCACTTCCTGATTAACATTTTAAAAAATGGATTTAAATAAAGTTGAATGTATTGGAATGTGCCTCACATAGAAAGAATACATATTTGAAAAGGGCAAGAACTGTTTTCTGAAACCTTTGTTAGAGTTATTTATAGATCTCTTTATGAACATACCCATACTCACTTGTGTGCATACACACACACACACACACACACCCCTCACTCCTCACATCACATACATTTCAGGGCTGTGGCTGCAATGTGAACAGTCCCTCCTACAGTTGCACAGTGTGCCTGTAGTGCATATCTCAGTGAGTGCATGTGTGAATGTACACGTGTGCTCGGTCCCAATGTACAATGTATTTTTTTATGTTTTTACTGCGAGTGAAGCCCAAAGACTTTGAAACCCTTAAGTGTATGCAAATGGAATCGCAAAGTCATAGAAAATATGTATTTTCAGCTTTACTAATGTGAAAATATTTTCCAATGTGGCTATACATGCTCTATTAGTCTGTTTTCATGCTGCTGATAATGACATACCCAAGACTGGGTAATTTACAAAAGAAGGACGTTTAATTGGACTCACAGTTCCACATGGCTGGGAAGACTTCACAATCATGATGGAAGGCAAGGTGGAGCAAGTCACATCTGATGTGGATGGTGGCAGGCAAAGAGAGCTTGTGCAGGGAAACTCCCCCTTATGATACCATCAGATCTTGTGAGACTTACTTACTATTACAAGAACACACAGGAAAGACCTGCCCCCATAATTCAATCATCTCCCATCAGGTCCCCCCAACAATGCGGGAATTATGGGAGCTATAAGATGAGATATGGTTTGGACACAGAGCCAAACCATGTTATTCTGCCCCGGCCCCTCCCAAATCTTATATCTTCACATTTCAAAACCAATCATGCCTTCCCAAGAGTCCCTCAAAATCTCAACTAATTTCAGCATTAACCCAAAAGTCCAAGTCCAAAGTCTCATCTGAGACAAGGGAAGTCTATTCTGCCTATGAGCCTATAAAATCAAAAGCAGGTTAATTACTCCCTAGATACAATGGGGGTACAGCCATTCCAAATGGGAGAAATTGGTCAAAACAAAGGGGTTACAGGCCCCATGCAAGTATGAAATCCAGCAGGGCAGTCAAACCTTAAAGTTCCAAAATGATATCCTTTGACTCCATGTCTCATGTCTGGGTCATGCTGATGCAAGAGGTGGGTTCCCATGGTCTTGGGCAGCTCTGCCCCTGTGGCTTTGCAGGGTACAGCCTCCCTCCCAGCTGCTTTCATGGGCTGGCGTTGAGTGTCTGGGCTTTTCCAAGTGCATGGGGCAAGCTGTTGATGGATTCTGGGGTCTGGAGAATGGTGGCCCTCTTCTCACAGCTCCACTAGGCAGTGCCCCAGTAGGGACTCTGTGTGGAGGCACTGACCCCACATTTCCTTTCCACACTGCCCTAGCAGACGTTCTCCATGAGGGCGCTGCTTCTGCAGAAAACTTTTTCCTGGACATCCAGGCATTTCCATGCATCCTCTGAAATCTAGGCAGAGGTTCCCAAACCTCAATTCTTGATTTCTATGCACCTGCAGGCTCAACACCATGTGGAAGCTGCTAAGGCGTGGGGCATCCACCCACTGAAGCAACAGCCCAAGCTGTACCTTGGCCCCTTTGAGTCACAGCTGGAGCGGCTGGGATGCAGGGTACCAAGTCCTTAGGCTGCACACAGCACGGGAACCCTGGGCCTAGCCCATGAAACCATTTTTTCCTCTTAGGCCTCCTGGCCTGTGATGGAACAGACTTCCATGAAGACCTCTGGCATGCCCTGGAGACATTTTCCCCATTGTCTTGGGGATGAATATTTGGCTCCTTGTTACTTATGCAGATTTCTGCAGCTGGCTTGAATTTTTCCTCAGAAAATGGGATATTATTTTCTATCACATAGTCAGTCTGAAAATTTTCCAAAGTTTTATGCTCTGTTTCCCTTTTAAAACTGAAAGCTTTTAACAGCACACAGGTCACCTCTTGAATGCTTTGAAGCTTAGAAGTTTCTTCCACCAGATACCTTAAATCATCTCTCTCAAGTTCAAAGCTCCACAAATATCTAGGGCAGGGGCACAATGCTGCCAGTCTCTTTGCTAAAACATACAAGAGTCACCAGTTCCCAACAAATTCCTCATCTCCATCTAAGACCACCTCAGCCTGGACCTTATTGTTCATATCACTATCAGCAATTTTGTCAAAGCCATTCAACGAGACTCTAGGAAGTTCCAAACTTTCCCACATTTTCCTGTCTTCTTCTGAGCCCTCCAAACTTTTCCAACCTTGCCTGTTACCCAGTTCCATAGTTGCCTCCACATTTTTGGGTATCTTTTCAGCAACACCTCACTCTACTGGTACAAATTTTCTGCACTTGTCCGTTTTCACACTGCTGATAAAGACATACCTGAGATTGGGCAATTTACAAAAGAAAGAAGTTTAATTGGACTCACAGTTCCACATAGCTGGGGAGGCCTCACAATTATGGTGGAAGTCAAGGAGGAGCAAGTCATATCTCATGTGGATGGTGGCAGGCAAAAAGAGCTTGTGCAGGGAAACTCCCCTATATAATAATACCGTCAGATGTCATGAGACTTATTCACTATTACAATAACACATGGGAAAGACCTGACCACCATAATTCAGTATGCTATTTTTATTTACAATTGGCTAATAGTGAAAGCATTTATTGTTGTGATTTTAATTTTCATCTCTCTGATTGCAATGTGTGTAAGCATAATTTTCATATGCGTGTCAGCCATTCATATTTATTCTGTGAATTGCCTGGGCAAGTTTTTCATTCATTTTTTTCTATTATTTTCTATTGATATGTAGAGTAGAGTCACTATTCTGGATATAATCCTTTGTCTATTTATATATCCTGCAAGTATCTTTTCTCATTTTGTGCTTTTCTTTTCACTTTCTTAATTCTATTAAGGAACAGAAGACTTCTTAATTTTAATATAAATGTATCTTTTTATGGTTGACACTTTTTGTAACTGTTTAAGTAATTTTTTTGCTACCCTGGGTTTATAAAAATAGGTTTTCCTTCATATTTAAATCTGTAATCCATTTGGGATTATTTTTGACTTCTAGGAGTTCTACTTAGTTTATTTTTCAATTTTTGTTCTTGAGTTTTCAGGTTTCTATTACTGAAATTTTATTACTCATTTCTTATTCTTATATGATAATTCTAATTTGTAATGTATTTGCAAGTTTTGTTTTTCTGCCTGCCATTTTTGCAGGATTTCACTCATGGTGCAAGCTTCCATGCTAATTTAATAATTTTTAACTGAAAGCTCTTTCTTCTTTGGCATCTTATCTTTGAAAATTCAGTGCCTAGGATGGAGGTGGGTTTCTGTGGAGTGGATTTGCATTTGCTTGTGCCAGCTTAGGACCATTTTGAGTTCTGGGCTCGAGGTTTTTTGAACGATCCAAATAGTATGAACATGTGCTTGAGCTCTGATGTTTAGTGGAGATAATACCCCCCACCTCCATGCAAATACAGAGTTTGATACAATTGATTTTGTTTCATGTTAAATATGTGGTTCTCTGGGGTCCTCACTCTATGTAGAGGTCTTCTGTTAGAATACCTAACTTGTAACTGTTTCTCAATTCCTAAAAGCTGAGAAAATTGATGCTCATGTTCACAAAACTGGCTTGGTCTCCATTACCATTCTAGGCTCACTCCTTCACTTAGATATTGAGCTTACTTTTCTTTACATTTTTAGCAACTCATGGATGCATTTAGGAGGATTGAAAAGTTTATCTAGCATTTTGAATTATAGTTGATGGGAGGGTTAGTTCAGGTATGTAATCCACCATACTGCTGAAAATGAAAGCCATCAAAAAATTTCAATTATATTTGATTTCTAGAAATTCTATTTCACTCTTTTTCAAGTTTTCTTGGTAATTTTGATAGTCTCTTGCTCCTTACTCACATTTTTAATTCTTACTTTTATTTCTTAAAACAGATTTAGCATACTTATTTTATAACCTGTGACTGATAATTCTATCACTGAAGCCTTGACAAATCTGATTGATCTGTTGTTGTTTCTACTGACTCTCACTCATGGTACCTTGTTTTCTTCTACTATTTTGCGATTTGTTTTTAAAAAAACTTACTCCAAGTTGACACTCCTTAGAATATATCTGTGGGAATTATTTTATGCCTGGGTTGAAGATGGGTACCTTTAGAGAGGATATGAAAGTGATAGGGTATGCTACAAATGTGGGATCTTTTTATAACTACATTTTTGACTTAGGACTTTTTAGAGAAGTCTGATAATAATGAATCTGGACTTCAGACACTTTTGAGGGCTGGCTAATGGTTATGAATTTTTAGGGGAGAATTTTTCCTTTACTCACCTCCCAGGTTTGAAATCATTACTTTTTTTCCTCTTCCTAGGTGGGGGGATTTCTAATTCATTCTTCACTGAGGCTATAACCCTTTGGGCTTCCAGTTTTATTTAGGGTCTTCTATTAGTCTCCCCAGTGTGCACACTTTCTAGTCTTTCTCCTGCTTTGCCTGTCCTGGGAAGTATGAAATCTAAAACTCACGATTACCTGGCTTAGGCAAATGCTCTCAGAGAGAACACCAGCTTCAGGGCTTTGCTTGTCTGTCTTCCCATTTACCCCTCAGGTTTTGACTTCTGGGACATCCTTACTTTCCTGTATGTTCTTGAAAGAATCCCAAGATTTTTTAAAAAAAACTACCTACCATTTTTTGATTATTTTCAGAGAGGCTGTCTGAGTTACCTAGCATCTCACACTTTAAGAAATGGATGTGCTCTGCCCACTATTAATAAGAGTTGTCAGTATATCCAGTGGTCCCAACAAAAGAAGGAGCCCCATGGTCCCCACAGGGAAAATCTGGGTGATGAGACATGCACTTAATCCTTATTGTTATGTCACCTGGAGTCCCCTGTGGGATTTCTTATTTGACTGGAAGATACATACCAGTTTCTCGGGATCTTCTGGCTGTTGGAAGGACACATGCCTCCCTCTCACTTCTCTCCACTGTCTATGTGTGTGGTACTATGGCTAGAGTAGTGAGAAGCTAGAAAGCCTGCTTTTATTTCACTCATGTCTAGGGAGACCACATTCTCTCTGTAAAAACCACTCATTTAGAGAAAAAAGAACAAATGTTTAGTTTCACAATTGGAATATTACAGAAATAAGTCTTTAATTAGATATTCTCTTACATTCTCATAAGTATATATAGTCCCATTTGCCATATCGTGTCCTTGACTCTCCCCTGACCCATTCATCTCATATGCATGTGGACACGCACACACACACACACACACACACACACACACGCACACACACCCCTACCTCTCCAAAGGAAATCAATAGCATGTGGGCCTTAGGGTCAAAGGAGGGATTGGCAAAGTCCATGAATACACTGAACAGCATAACACCACGTGAGCAGTCGTGCCACTTGGTGGTCTAGAAATCACGCACTCTGACTCCTAGCTCCAAAGCTGTTCATTTAATTCAGTGGAAAATGAGCATACACTGTGTGGGAACTACTGTACTTGGTGCTGGGAGGAAACAAGGAGAATCGTCTGCTCATCTCATAGACTGGTTGGGAAGTTAAACACAGGCATAATATTTCTCTACAAAATAGACTTAAACAAGTACTATAAAAGTACTATTCAAGCAAGTTTCTATGAGAAGGCACAGAGGAGAAATTAATTTCAATCGAGAGGATGGTATTTAAACTGGATCTTTAATGATGAACTTCAACAAGCATAAGTTGGGGAAGTACATTCTAGGCAGAGGGAACAAACAGCTTGGACAAATGCAGGGAGAGCTACAGAGGTGAGTGGACCTTGGAGACTGGTGGCATAATGTGCTGTGATGTGGTGGGAGAAGCATGAAGTCAGTAGCCAGACCAGTACTGACTTTGGCAGATGAAGCAATTTCAGGCTTGGCTCCTCACCTATGAAACGGAAATAACAATATTAGTTATAGTGTTACTGTGGGTATTCAGGGAGGTTCACATAGTAAGAAAGACACTTTAAAAGTATAAACATCATCTACAGTGTAACTTCTACTTTTGAGAGAAGAGGGAACCAAGACCCAGCGAGGCTGCAACTTGCCCAAAGCCACATGATCGGTTAGAGGCAAGACATTTTTTCACTGTTTTTTTACTAAGTCATGCATAACCACATGGTTCCTTTTTCAGAAAAGTTGTGTACCCTTTTATTGACTTGCACAGTGACTGCTACACATATACCAACTGCTCAAACATGTTGACCAACAGGTGAGTAATTGGTTGGTTTTGGGCCCAGCTAACTGTATTACAGGCAGCATTGGGGGGTTCTTCTTCACTGTCTTTTCTCTTTACTCTTGTTGTGAATTTCTTTAAGAGAAACTTGACTGGGTTCTTGTATTCACTGTTAGTGCTAAGTGAAATTATGACTTTCTCCAGAAAAATAATACAATATCCAAGGAGAAGTGATATGGTTAGGCTTTGTATCTCCACCCAAATCTCATCTTGAATTATAATCCCCATAATCCCCATGTGTCAAGGGGGAAACCAGGTGGAGCTAATTGAATCATGGGGGTGATTCTCCATGCTGTTCTTATGATAGTGAGTGAGTTCTCATGAGATCTGTTGGTCTTATAAGGGGCTCTTCCCCCTTTGCCTGGCACTTCTCCTTCCTGCCGCCTTGCAAAGAAGATGCCTTGCTTCTCCTTCACCTCCTGCCATGATTGTAAGTTTCCTGAGGCTTCCCCATGCTAAACTGTGAGTCAATTAAACCTCTTTCCTTTATAAGTTACCCAGTCTTGGGCAGTTCTTTATAGCAGTGTGAAAACGGACTAATACAAGAATGTTTGCTTTGAAGTATGGCATGAGATGCTTATTTAGAAGGATATGAGAGCAGAGTATCCCATTTTAGCAGGCAGATAGGAAAATGGCCACAGGAACAGGAAATGAGATCTCAAACTTAGTCGCTTTTGTCATTGCTGTCAAAGACAGCCACAAATTTAGTGGCTTAAAATGTTTGTTCTCTTACAGTTCTGGAAGTCAGAAGTCTGAAATGAGTCTCTTAGGGCTAAAATCAAGGTGTCAACAGGGATGGTTCCTTCCAGAGGCTCCAGGGGAAAGCCTGCTCCTTACCTCATTCCACCTTCTGGAGGCTGCTGGCATTCCTTGGGCTTCCTTGGCTCATCAGATCACCACAGTCCCTCACTTCCATTGCCACATCTCCTACTTCTGTAGTTAAATCTCCTTTTGCTCCTTCCTATGAGAACACTCATGATTGCCTTTAGGACCCACATGGATGATACAGGATAATCTTCCCATCTCAAGATCCTTAACTTAATCAAAGTCCCTTTTGCCATATGATGTAACATTCACAGGTTCCAGGTGTTAGGGCATGGGTATCTTTGGGACCATTATTAAGACCGTGTACCACAGTGTGTTTTCCTCTGCTGGGCACAAGTGTGTACCTTGAAATCTTTCTTTTGCACAATATCCACAAATATCATCTCATTCCATCCCCTTATTGACTCAAGCGATGCTTAGAGAGGTTAAGTGGGTTTGCGTGTTGTCATACAATTAAGTCACGAATCTTGTAGCTGAGTCCAGGGCCCATCCTTTTACATTATAGAAAGCAAACAAGTTCACACCCAGGGGCCTCTTCCCCCATCAGAGCCAGGATATGATATCCTCAGTGCTCAAATATTGCTGGTGCCCAGAACTAAGGAAAATGACAGGTTTTGGGGTCTTAGCTCTTTGGGCAGATTTTTTTTAAGAAAAGATTAGGCGATCCTTAGTTCTCCTACTCTTACAACAGGAAAGATATTGATTTTTCACAAAGACTCAATGTCTGACCTTTGACCTTGTTACATGCCCATGGTCCTAGGTAGTTCAGTACAGTTGCAGAATTAGAATGTGATTAGCTTAGGAAACCAAGTTTCTAAAGGTTGTATTTCTCAAAGAAGAAAAAATACTAATTTCTAAAAGTAGGCTAGCGGATATTTATGTAATTTAGGCACAAGATGATGGACCCCTCTCCTCAATTCTATGTTGCTCTTGCGTTTAACTAATCATTTTAGAGTAGCTTAAGACAGAAAACTGAGACAAATTATACATAGTGATTGGTCTATGCCTGCAACTTATTTAAGACAAATAGTTGGTTAAAATGTCAAAATGTTGGTTATGAGCATTCATAAATGAACTTTCTAGATCAGTTAGTGCATTTTTAGGCTACATTGACTGGTATCAATACAGCCCAGATGGTTCAATCAATAAGAAACAAAAAAAAGTCGAACTGATTCATGTGAATTCAATGAAAATTTCATCAAGCATCTGGGTATCAAACACTGAAGTACTGTGCTTTTCTTTCTCACTTTCAATTATTAATTGGGCATCGTGTCCATCCAATTCTGATAAGGCTGCATTCATTGGTGTTTCATTGCATTCCCAATTCACCACATATTTGCACAGCCTTTTAGTTTTTTATCTAAACATAACAGCATCAAACCACGAGTTAGTGTGTTAATTGGATTAAGAGTAAGGGCTACAGAATCAGCCCTAGCTGGCTCTAACTTTCAGCTTTATCTATAGTGTTACTGAGCTGTGTGGCCCCCAGGAAGTTACTTTATGTCTCTGGGCCTCAGATTTCTTATATGTGAAAGGGGTAATAATAAAAATACTATACCTACCTCAGAGTTGTGAATCATGCATATAGAGCACTTAGAATAGGATAGGGAACATAAAAAGCACCCTCCAAGAAAGTAGTTATTAAACTTTAAATGTGTACACATTTGAAGCAGTGAAGAAAATTGATTTCTCATAGAATGGAATCCAAAATAAACAGGTAACTCTTAGATTTAGATTCATAATGTCAGAGATTTCCAATAGTTATTGATAATGTAACAATTTCCTTCTTTCTAATGGTATTGGTGCCACAGCTCTCAGCACATGGTTACCAGTATACCCCAAAAAAGACATTTCTTATATTCACCAAAACAATATGCATATCCGGCTTAATCTAATCCACAAAACCTTGGAAGTTTATCCCTTGCACACTACTGTGAGTGCGCTGCATGTTTTTCAAACTTTATCGAACAGGCCTGGGTTGGGGGAATTGAAAAACCTGAGGATCAGAAACGACCTGCTGCATTTAGCTTTTCACCCAGAAAGTCTTCTAAGACTTTCCCATCTTGGCAACCTCTGTTCCTAGCAGGTAACTGGTCATTAAGGTCTGACCTTTGACCAGTTAGTACATGTCTCACCGTGGGTTCCCTAGAAAGCAGAACTGAGATGAGGTTTTCAGGGAGCAAGAGTGAGGCAGAACAAAGCATGGGAGGAGTGAGCTGGCTCCCAGCACAGGTGACTGCTGGAGCCCACCAGACTTGCTAAGAAGCCCCATGAAATGCATCTCAAGACCATCTGCAGGGTTGTAAAGGGGAGGCATTTACCCACCACTCCTGTCTACCAGTGCTCAAAGTCTTGCCCCATAGGGGTATTCATTCCCTTGCACTTCAGGATTGTGCAGCTGAGGGCTTCAGGTATGTTTCTGAGGTGGTCCAAGCCACAGTGTCAACAGGAAAGGCCAGAGGTAAGGGACGAACAATGAAGGTCTGAGATGTGGGATTGTCAATCATACCTATGTGAAGCTGTCAACTACCTCTTGCAGTCATTAGGCCAAAAGGATCTGAAGAAGTGCAAGAGGGGGTGTCCAGTAGAGCACACCAAAAAACACCAGTAAATGCTTTTATTGTACCCAGTACACAACACACCTGGGCAAAAGGTTTAAATGTTTTCACTTCAACCAGTTGTTTTGACACTGCATAATGGGGCTTTGAGAAATGGTATGCAACTAAATGTTGATAAATTTGTATTTTTTTCATTAGTGGGCTCAGAACAGAAACTAACCCAAACTCTTTCAGGCAGTTCTTGCCTCCATTGTCCAATTAAAGCATCTGTTCCTTGAGTAGCTACACCCAGTTCAGTACCAGCTGATATGAACTTGGTTTCAAGCTGGGTTCATATTAGCACTCTTCTTTTCTGATGGGGCCCTGATCCCCACCTTCCCATTCCAGTATACTGTGCCCTGGGCCTCTGGGTCACACTTGATGGACAGTTGTAAGTGCCCCATCCCCCACCCCATCTGGTATGTTGCTGGGATCCATCCAAACCCCTCCTATGCAGAGCACGCTCTGTTCTCATGACACGGTACTGTGCCAGCATCTCATGATGGAGAATGATGTGCCCAGCACGGCCCTCTGCTCCAGGTGCTCACACACGTGACATTCCTCCCCACCTCTGGGCCACTCTACAAATGTGCATTTGAAAGGCTCTTCCCACACTCTGCTATATTTCATGATGCTGTTCTGCACTGACCCAGTCACACAATGATCTTTCTTTTCTCAGAATTCTAACAACATTTGATCTATGTTAAGTCTTCATACACTTTCTCTGAAGAATCATTAGTGCTAGTGGTGTGCTGGCAAATCTTCTTTCTCATTTTTTTTTAAAAAAACAAAACCTGATTTGTAGCATTTGCCACTTTCCACAAGGTAAATATTCCTACCTATCTCAAGCTGCCAACAGTTTAACAACCAGTTTGTAAAATTCTTGAATATTTAACAATGGGCTCCCTGCAGAGGACAGTATCTATTTACTCCCCTGATAGAGTTGATCACTCCATTTTTTGTTTTGTTTTTTGTTTTGTTTTTGTTTTTGTTTCTGTTTTTAGAGATGGAATTTCATCATGTTAGCCAGCCTGGTGTTGAACTCCTGACCTCAAGTGATCTGCCCGCCTCGGCCTCCCAAAATGCTGGCATTACAGGTGTGAGCCACTGCACCCGGATGACTTTTTTTAAACCACCAATGTTAGTTATTGCACTTGGTAAACTGTACTGTGGACATTTGATTACTGGCACAGTTCCCTGCTGAAGGGCAGAGCTTAAGAAAGAGCACAGGCTCTGGAACCAACCCTGATAGGTTCGTAAACCTGATTCTGGCATTTGCTGGCTATATGATCTTGCTCAAGTTCTTTGCCTCCCTATTTCTGTTTTCCAATCCATAAAATGAAGATACAAGTTTTCTATTGCTGTGCAACAAATCACCACAAGTTTAGCAGCTTCAAACAATACCCATTTATTAGCTCCTAGTTCTGCAAGTCAGAAGCCTGGGCATGGTATGACTGGGTTCTCTGCTCAGGATCTCACAAAGCTGCAATCACGGTGTCAGCCAGGGTGTGTTCTCACCTGAAGGCATTATTAAGGAACAACCTGTGTCCAGGATCATTCAGGTTGTTGGCAGAGTTCGAGTCCTTGAGCTCTAGGGCTCAGGTCCTTGCCTGCCTGCTGGCTGCTGGCCAGGAGTTGCTCTCAGCTCCTTGATGCTGCTCACCATCCCTCACTGTGTGGTCCCCTCCATCTTCAAAGCCAGCCATGGAGAATCTCCTTCCATCAAATCTCTCTCATGCTGTGAGTCTTTTTAGGAAGAGCCCAGTCCCTTTTAGGGTCTCATCTGAATAGGTCAGGCTCACCCAAGAGAATCTCCCTTTCTTAAGGCCAACTATTTAGGGACCTTGATTACATCTGCAAAATCCCTTTTGCCAGTGAACAGAACATAACCACAGGGTGACATCTCATCAAATTCACAGCTTCCATCCACATTCAACAGATGGACGTTATACAAAGGTGAAAGTTACTGAGGCTCATCTTGTAGGAGTCATTCTGCCTCCTACAATACAGCTCATAAAAGGGTTGTGATTATATATAAAAAGCATTCAGACTAGTTCTTTGCAAATAGTGAATGCTCAGTAAACATTAGCCAAATGGGAGCCAAATGAAAAAAATTTTTTTTTTTCAGAAAAGGATTTTTGGATTATTTATCTTGGCTCCAGGGTCAAATACCACTGGGAGTTCAATAGATGTTTGTTAAGCGAATGAATAAATCTCTCTCTTACAAAGAATGTTATAACATAACATTTCACCAATACAAGCAAATTTGGAGGTCATAGGCTACCATGCACATTTGAAGTCTAGCAAAACTGAGGCCCAGTTTGGTGGTGACAATGCAAAGTCATCTACTAGGGATGAAGGGCACTAGATGACGAACCTCATGATTCTCTAATAGATTTCACTGCATCCACTGCACTGAAGACATTGACCAAGAATTATCTTCTCAGTCATTTTATCCAGCAAGACCCTCAGCTGCTTGGGACAAGGGAAATGGTTTCTACTATAGTGTCTCCTAATAGCATCTACCTTAGCACTAGGCAAACAAAGGATGAGTGGACTGAATTATACTAGCTTGTAACATTATGGGAGTGATTTGACTGCATGGCCAGTTTTGATGCCAAAGACAAACTACCTCCCAACTTACCAGCAAGATCCCTGGTGTGATCATTCACAGGCAAGCAGATGTTTTTAGGAGTAGACAGCCTTTTAGACACATTCTAGTACATAATTTCCCAGGTTGTATTTTTACACAAAGTCAGGTCCAGAGATATTCATAAGAATTATTCTTAAAGAATATTAGTCACTCATCTCTTTCTTTTAGTCCAATATTCTTGCCTAATTAATTGTATTTCACAACCTTTTTCATCATTTAATATACTATCTATTTTAATTTTTTATTTTGCTTGTGTTATGTCTCCCCCAGTTAGATGTAAATTCCTTCCAGGAAGAGATTTCTGTGTTTTGTTCCCTGCTGAATCCTGACTCCTGAAACTGCCTGGTACAAAGTAGGTGCTCAATAAATACTTTTTGAATGGGAAAATGAAAGGGGCTTGGGGAAAGCTGTATTGAGAGAAATTAAACTTGATTCTTGACTTTAGAACCACTCAGAGCCTTTATTATAAGAGTATGTGCCAAGACGCTCTGGGAGGATGTGGCGTAACTGCAGCGTTTGCCCTCAGTGAGCACATCAAGGAATATGGCTCTGCAGCCTGAGAAACACTCACATTTTCTTATTATTATTGCTTCAATGAGGAAACTGAAGCCTGGGGAGGGTAAGTCATTCACCCAGGGTTCCACAGCTCATTCTTTGGGCTGGAACCTCAAATCTGCTGATGTTCAGACCACTGCTCTTTCAGCTACACTCTTCCTGAAGCATCATTAAATTCATTTCTCTGTCAGATAATAGCTAATGTTTTAAATGACTACCTTGGTCCAAACATCTTTTATCAAGAGGAAGCATGAAACTTGATAGAACAGTTCCTAACTATAAGGAAGCACAAAAGATACCTAAATGGACATATAGATCAAATCTCAGGATTAAAAAAAAATGCCATTAGTCATCTAAATTCCTTCCCTGTAATGGAATTTAATTATGATTATACTCACGTGAAGCTGTATTGTCAGGAATTAAAAAAAAACATATCAGGCCTCTAAGCTCAATGATGAATTTGAAAATAAGGGAAAATGTAATGAACACAGGAAGGAAGAGAGGGCTATCTCTCTGTCTCTGTCTTTGTCTCTGTCACACACACACACACATTTATTTTACTCTTCTGCCTGCAGATTATAGGATTCTGGTGAGTTCTTTGTTAGGTGATAAGAACTCTTTGGAGGGAAGGTTTGAGGGCAGTTGAGAGAGAGCTGGACCTGGAAGCTTCCAACCTGGGTTTCTTTCTGCCTCTACTACTAACCAGCTATGAGGATTCAGGCAAGTCATTTCCTTGGGTCTCGATGGCCAGTGAAGAGAGGTCATCCTACTGCTATGAATGGTCAATAAAGGCTGAACATTCTTGTCCTTTCCTTCAATAGTCAGTTTAGGTCTTAAGCTTAACCTGTAGAGCAATAGTTCTCAAACCTTGAAGTATATGAGGATCACCTGGAGTGCTTGGCAAACATGTGGATTCCAAGCCATGTTCCCAGAGATCCCGTTTAGGAGCTCTGAGACAGGGCCCAGGAATCTGCAGTTTTAACACTTCTAGAGATTCTGATACAGCTAAACTTAATATCACACTTTCAGAAGCATTGCTCTAAAGTTTCAGGATTTCCATTCAACTTTGGCAAATTGATCGGAAATACCATCTGTATTTTCAAGATCAGGCTACCATGTTGCAGCCTCACTGCAACTTAATTGAGAACACAATTATGAGGAGAAAATTAAAGCCAGGGAAAATTAAAAAGGACAAAGAGTAAGATAGGCCTGCGAGGGAGATTAATTATCTCCAGGCCACAGAGCTAAGCAATGCTCATGGGGCTCACTGGATGCTCCTGTCAGACCCAGAAGGAGATGGAAAGGGAAGGGGAAAGGGTTAGTGGAACCCAAACACATTGGTGAAACATTTAATCTTCACAGCTCCCTGCAACCTTCGCACAGGAAGTCCTGCTGGCTTGGTATAGTTTATTCCCCATTTCCAAAGGAGAAAAATAAGACTAGTGACTTATCCAAAGTCACACAGCTCCTAAACAATAGAAGCAATATTTAAAGCCAGACCTTTCTGGCTTTGAAGCCTTTTTGCTGTCTCTCATATACCACACTGCATCTGTGTTACAGAATGCCCGTGAACATACATATGGATACTCCCTCAGGCTTGGGGTTGATGGGATAAAAAGAGAAACAGAAGAAATTGAATGAAAGAAGAGAAATAATGGAGGGAGAAAGGTAGAAAATGCAGACAAAGAAAAAATAAAGAAGGATCCGTGGTGAAGAATATCAGGATTGCTGATATTTAAAATGGATGCCAGTTGAGACAGGGCCAAAAGTACTTAGAAAAATTGAGAAGGAGGTGACATTGATTTTGGGACTTGGAATTCTCTTCAGAGTACTCTTAACTCCACAACTCAGATAAGAAATACTGAGGCTAGGAGAAAATTATATAAACTGATATACAGTGAAAATGGCTGATATGGTCCAATGCACAGGCTGCCAGGTATGTTTGCATTCTAATAGGAAAAAAAAACTACTAAGCTGAAGGAATGCATGTGTAATTGTGGAATTTCAGACTACAATGGACAATTAGGCGTGGGTAAAGTGGCCTCCCTATTGCAGCTTAAGAAAAAAAAAAATCCCACCAGATGCGGTGGCTCATGCCTGTAATCCCAGCACTCTGGGAGGCCAAGGTGGGTGGATTGCTTAAGGTCAGGAGTTCGAGACCAGCCTGACCAACATGCTGAAACACCTTCTCTACTAAAAATACAAAAATTAGCCGGGTGTGATGGCGGGCCCCTGTAATCCCAGATACTCGGGAGGCTGAGGCAGGAGAATCACTTGAACCTGAGAGGCGGAGGTTGCAGTGAGCTGAGATCACGCCACTGCACTCCAGCCTGGGTGACAGAGTTAAGACTCTGTCTAAAAAAAGAAAAAGAAAAAGAAAAAGAAAAAAAAAATCCTAAGATCTAAGAAGCTTCCAGATTTGGTTGTACTTACTGCAGAGGAGAATAGGACATTGTCTAGTCACAGGTTAGACACTTTTCCATGGGACAGGTTGATTTGTGGCCTGTATTCTGAACCTTAGAGATGTTTTCCGAAGTTGAAAGAAGGCTGATCTCAGGCTATTGTCTTCTGATTAATGACCCATTTTTCCCCTTCACTTCTATTCCTGTGCCCCTGTGCAGAAGGAGTTCCTGTGCAGAGTCATTCTTCCTCATCAGAGTAGCCCCAGGGCTAGCCATTGAGTGAATACCACACCTCTTACAGCTACCTGTGACTCCTTTATGTGGCTGGTTACCTGGCAGCCAGGGAGACCTGTGTTATCAAGGAAGCCTCCCTGACCTGTACAAGTTTCCTTCATTCAGTCCAGCAACCTCTGCAAGCCCTTTGAGGTCTGGAGTCAATGACTTCAGCAAATGGTCTTCATGCCTCTTGAAGAGGTGCCCTCAGGCAGGGAGTCTTTCACCCTCTGTCATTTGATAGGAGAAAGTTTGCCTCTCTCTTGAGCCAGCCAACTGCCCAAAGATCAATCCCACAGGCTTCCCACCTTTATGCTGCCTCTTCCAGATCCACCAAGGGATTGGAGAGTTGACCTTTTTTCTCTTTTCAATGAATGTATTAATTGTCAAATAGTTATTGAACACCAGTGTTTGCCAGTCAGTGTACTAAGTACTGTGGGTCCAGAAGGAGCCCACAGACTAGTTGAAGGGAGACAGATGAGTGAACAGGCAATTACAATCCAGTGTGTTAAGTGCAGTGATAAAAGGAAGAGCAGGAGGCAGTGCAGACACATGGCTGTGGGGGCAGGGCACCTTGTACAGACTAGGGCGTCAGACACAACTTCCTGGAAGAAGTGTCAGCTGAGCTGCATCCTGCAGGACTGTCAGCAAAGGGAGGAGTATTGGGATACGAGTCTTCCAGACAGAACGACCAGCATGTGAAAAGACTCAGACGCCAGAGAAAGGTTGCATGGTGGAGAAATTCCACATGTCTTGGCAGTTACAATGGAAAGGGTTGTATTGGAGAATGGGGTAGGGGTGTTGAGAGATGAGGCAAGACTAAAAGAAGTAGGCAGGGCCAGACCTCAAAGCACCTCATAAGCATTGCTAAAAATTTGCTTATGAGTCTAAGAGAAATCCAATGTCAGTTCAATTCCTTGTCCCCATGTCATAACCAATGAGCATATGGAGGATAACCTCCATCGCTGTGTCAGCACCAAATCCACCATGGTCATGGAGACTATCTGTTGACTTCTGAGAACCTTACATTACCTCACACCGTTCTCCCAAAAGCCCCAGGAACAAATACGGCATTCTCATTTTACCCCCATATTACAGATTTTTCAAACAGAAACTCAGCAAGGTTAACAGACTTGACTCAAATCATATAGATAGTAAGCGGTAAAGACAGGACATCATGCAGGTTAATGGCAAATAACAATCTAATAGGGCAACGAAAAAAGATAAAGAAGCAGAGTTATGATGAAGGTTAAATCTCAGGACACTTATTTCCATTTTAACGACCTTTGGATAGATCCTCACAAAGTGTTCATGTGGTCATGGATTTTTTTTGTAAAATTTTCATGAGTAAGATATTTAAATAGCAACTAGTGAAGACACTTTCTTTCCACTATGACCATCTCTGCATCCCATTTCCCCTGGTGCTAAGTAGTGCTGGAAGAGCTGAGAACAATTTTGAGGTTTGGTGAAGGGGCAGTTGAGTTGGGATTACACCTACTTTGGGATTTGTGTTTTTTACAGTAATTTATTTGTATAGTTAAGCTACTGCTAGCCAAGCTGGTACAGAAATGGCTTCCAGGAATACATCTACCACTAGAATTCCAATTCGCTGGTGGAAAAAAGATGCAGCAGGGCCAGACATGTTATGTCTGGTACCAGAAGTATATAGGTCATGAGAACAAACACGATTTGAAATAAATGGAACCAGAAGCTAGTCTTTGGACAATTCATTCAAACATCAAATTGTACGTGGAGAATTTTGTTTAATCTAAATGGAACTTTTTTCCAGGGCAGGAAAATACTTAATACATAATTATGAAATATAAACATGCACACCCACTAAACATTCTTATGTAGAATGTGCGTTTGTATGTGGATATGTGTAATGGGAATTACATGAGAGAGAATTCATTAGAATTCTTGATATCTGTGTTTGTAGAGACAAATCTGCAGCTGTTATACAAAATGAAATAAATCTGTGTGTGTTTACGTATTTTAAGCATCCCAAGTTTCAATAGTAACAAACAAATTTTAACTTACAAAGCTAAAAGAAAGACTAAATTATATTTTTATTATCTTTGGTAGAAGATGTTATAAAACTATGTATGCACACAAAATTGTATGTAGCTAAAAACGTTTTTTGTGTACATGGTTTTGTAGAGAAAAATACAAAAAGTGTATTAGGCAGTTAATTCATAAACATGCATTTTTTCTGAATTGTCTGATGTTTATTGTACTTGCCAGCTTTTAAAATTTCATAATACCGTTTTCTTTCGTTCTAAGTAAATATTTACTTTTCTGTCACATCTGTACTATGATTTTGTCTTTCTTTTAAAAAGCCCCTTCACTCTACCTCCTCTAAAGTGAATAAACTTAATCTTAGACAACCAGGGTCTGCTCTGGCCACGTGTACTGTGTAGACGCTGGGTTATTATAGTCTGCTGGGGTTGAAGAAGGCTTGGCTGAGGAGATGTGATTTGAGCTGAGCTTTAATGAAGGATGAAATTCTCTAAGTGTCCTAACCAGCTATGTCCCGGGGAATTTTAGCCATGAGAAAGTTTTATAAAAGCATACATGGATCCTTCACAGCAAGAAGGGGATCCAAACAGCCATAAGGGCTCAACCCAGCCATAGGAGACGGTGGGTGAGTCTCTGTTCAGGTGTGATGTGAAGGGAACACGGAGGCTCTTCTCACAGAGGACTTGGAACTGCTGGCCTACAATCGTTGCCAGTAGGAGGATCACTTCTAACATGAGTGGGAAAGGTGGCCTAAAGGCTCATCTGAAATGAAACCAAACCCAAACCATCACTCAGTCCACTTTCCCTTATCACAGGCTCTCCCAGGACCTGGCTGCAAAGCTCCCTCCTTTGGGAAGTTGTCCCTGCCCCACTTACCACCAACACTCTGGGTGGAATGGTTAGTGCTGACCTTCTTGTCCAGCTCTCCTTGTTTCACCAAACATCTTTTAGCAGACTCATTGTGTTTTAATATAAGTACTTTTAAAATTTTCTTGTTTTCTCCATTTTCCTTTAGACAATACACTTTTTTTAAATTGAGATGGAGTCTTGCTCAGTCGCCCAGGCTGGAGCGCAGTGGCACAATCTCGACTTACTGCAACCTCTGCCTCCCGGGTTCAAGTGATTCTTCTTCCTCAGCCTCCTGAGAAGCTGGGACTACAGGCCTGCGCCACCATGCCTGGCTGCTTTTTGTATCTTTTTTAGCAGAATCGGGGTTTCACTATGTTGGGCAGGCTGGCCTCAAACTCCTGACCTCCAGTGATCTGCCCGCCTCAGCCTCCCAAAGTGCTGGGATTACAGGTGTGAGCCATCACACCCGGCCCAGACAATAAACTTCTTTAAGGCTAGAGCTGGGTCCTTTTCAGATTTTTACCCAATGTCTAGTGTAGAACCTGTTGATAGTGGATGTTAAGCAGCTGTTGTCGATGGTTGCTAGAAAGGGAGGAAGAAGGGAAGGAAGCAAGGAGGGAAGGAAGGAATTGAAATTGCATGGGTAGCTATTTACGTCAATATTATCCATAATACTAAAAAATTAGGAACAGCCCACATGCCCAACAATAGAGAAAAAGTTAACTACATTATGGCCTTTCCACTGAGAGAGATATTTTACAAGTACAAATATATAATTATAAAGCTTATGAAAAGACATGGAAAAATTAAAATACAGGAAACTATTCATACCTTGTGATAAAAATGGAATAAAGGAATATCTGCCCTAGGATTTTGACTAAATAACAATATTGTTATTTAATCAAATAACAAATAAGCAAAGTTGTAGAAGAACATAAAAAAATAGTCATGGAGGATTCCTACCAACCCCCATCTGCTTCTTGCTATGTTATTTCTTCAAGGAAAGTAACAGTTAAGACAAAAGGAGCAGTGAGCTGCCTAGGATGCCCAGCTGACCTCTCCCAGAGTTAGGCTAGTTCCCATGCTTACCAGGTGGCCTCTAGGCTTGACAAAGCAAGTCTGCCCTGGCCACAGGTATGGGAACCATTTTCCTCAGAATGTGCCCGGCGAGAGCAGAGCATAAGAAAACCAGAGAGTGTACGAAAACTCCTTATAGTTTGTGAAGTGATTCTCCATACTTGTCAAGTGCAAAATGCCCTATGAAACATTTACAAAACACACTAACTTGAGCCCAGACCCCTGAGGCTCTGATGTGGTAAGTTCTAGAGGAGGTCTGATGGATCTGATCATCTGAGATTCCAAAACACTCAACCAGTAATTCTGATGCACATCAAATATTGAGAACCAGTGGTTTCATGGGTGGTGCGCGGTGAGAGATTCGCAGCACCTGGCATTTGCTGCCAGACGGTCTCTGATTTTGGATCTTGGCTCTTCCTTTATCAACTGAAAAATCCAGGGCAGGTTATTAAACCTTTTGTGCTTTATGTTAGATTTTTATGGAAATATCTTACTTATTGGGCCATTAGGCTCTTTAAAAGAAAATGATTATGAAATCATCAATAGAGCACACGATATATGTTCAATAATTGTTAATATTACTTAATATCTCTGCAACTCAGTTTTCCCAAATTTCCATATGGGTTTAAGAGGGTTAATAGGGTTGTTGTAAGACTTAAACACTATAGCATAGGTAAAGCCCCTAGCACTGGCCTGAATATACCAGGCAATACACAAATGTCACCTCCTTTCCATTGCCTTTTCTCCAGTGTAATGTGCCTTCACTACTTATTCAAACTTTGGCGTGGCCTCATCTTCCTCTCCAAAGTGCACAGAAGGTCTCTGGGGGAGCACTCTGCCTCCTGCCTACCCAGCGTGATCAGAGGGTGCCAAAAACATCTCTTGCCTCCAATTATGTCCTTCATTGGCTTATTTCTTCTTCCCAGCCTAAACTTCTCAACAGCAAGTCACTAGTTCAGAAAATATTTCCTGCGATCTATGTACCAGGCCATTTGCATTCTTACATCTATTCATGAGAGAGGTGCTTTGTTATTGCCACTTTATTGATAAGGCCTCTGAGGTCTAGAGGGGCAACATGACATGCCCCAAATCACACAGCTGGTGAGTGTGACAAGCAAGGATTGGCAGGGGCTGTCTGTTCTCCCCGGCTGAACTCTTTGCCAGTTTGTTATCCTGCTTTATTTCACTCCAGGCCAAACTAAGCTCCCTGATGGTTGTATCTTCAGGGCCCCCCTACCAGACCTTGCCTAAGGAGGGGCACAATCAATGTGGGCCATCAATGGAGTTGCAGGTGGGAGATTGGAAACCTCAAAGAGCAAATTCTCATGCTTTTGTGCAGCAGTATTCTTTCTGGATGTGGCACTGCTCATGAAACATGGGTGTGGTTTAGTATCATTAAAAGGGCTATGGTATTACATGTCTGGCTTTGATTTATTGTCGGTTTATTTGCTGATTTTCTTCTGATTTGGGCCAAATTCTACACTGTACATTGTTAAGACCTTAAGATGTATATTAATCTATGTGATAGGGCTACTGAGATGTATTCTAATAGTTTGGCGGTGGGAAAGGGCACAGAAAATCCATTTAATACTAAAGCTACTATTTTTTGAGCATCTACCATGTGCTAATTTGTCTGCATTTACTGTCTGTAATCATCACATCAACACTAGCAAGTAGGTACTATTGTCTGCATTTTACAGATGAGAACACTGAAGCTCAGAGATGTCAAGAGACTTGCCCAAAGGCACACAGCAGGTTTGTGGTAGGGTGCAAATATATATCCAGGGTTGTATGGTTCCCAAATCTGCTCTCACTCCTGCAAAAGATATGATTTCTCTCTGTGATGACCAGATCTTTTCTAGTCTATATCAAGCTTCCAGTCAAGTTTTGTGGTTTGGCCACAAGGCTTGCTGCTCTTCATGTATAATTGTGCACTCAGTGTTCTGATGGACTCCAAAAATTGAAGCTGAGAAGAGTCACATCGTCCTTTCCACCCAATGTCAACTCCAGGGCTGAGCCACATCCTACACAATCCTATGCAGGGTTTTGGAGCTGGAAGTCAGGAAAGAAAATGCTCTGATGACTGCAATGTTAATAAGGAATGGGCCTAAATATGATTTGTCCCGCACAAAGGCCACTCTGTCCTCGCTCAGCAGCATGGGAGTCCTGTTTCAGCTTGGGCCCGGCCACCCTGGCTCAGCCGCTGTCTTGCCGTGTGGAGCAGGCCAGCCTGCCTGATAACATCACTCTGGCATAGTGGTGCTTTGTGCACACTCAGGGCTCCGGTTACCTGGGGCAGGCAGGATGCAGGCTCTGGTGCCGGAGGCCAGGAGGGAGGCAATGACTAAGTGAAAACAAGCATGAAAGGGGAGTGTTTTGGAAACCCCAAAGGAAGCTTTCTTTCCCCCTGTATCCTCAAGGTGCTTCCCAAGGAGGCTGCTTGATCACTGCCATCAAATTCGGCAAAGAAAAGGAATTCAGGCAAGACATTTTAACCGTCAGCTGCCTGGGATTTGTGTGTGTTCCTACTCCTAGTTGGATGTGCGCCAGCCTGCTAGTTCAGACACTTCTTCCCGGTCCCTGGAGCATTCCCTGTGTGACAAATCAGAGGCAAACTGTCTTTCCAACCAGGTTTGGGTTGCCTGTGACTTCTTCATCTGAAGCCAACAGCTGTGAATTTGCCTTGGAGCACAAGTCGGATGGTTCTTCAAGCTTGCACTTTAGAGAAATGCAACCTGAGAAAGCTTTTAATCCACCTTTTTGTTCAGCCCAGAGCCTTCTCTGCAGAGGTTATGTTGGACTGGCTGCTCCTTTGGGGAGACCTGGAGCCCTTTCCGGGAAGCAGTCTGCTTCTCTGAGCCGTGGGCTGGAACCTGCAGTGACATAAAACCACAAGAACATCAAGGCCAGGGTGCAGTCTCTGGGGTTGGCCATCATCACCCCTCAAATGCCCTGTTGCTGGCCCTTCCTACTCCTCTTTGCCCTACTCACCCCAGTGCCAACATTCCCCTGTCCCCCAGAGTGTTCTGATGTGGCCCCTCTGCCACATCAGTGTGCCCCCTGGGTCTGCTCTTCACTCTCCCTGTGTCCAACATTTCCTCCTGCTCCTGTTCCCTTCCCTATAAAATATGAGGGGGACCAGGCCCCAGAGCTTTGAGGTCCAGGAAAGCAGCAGAAGCTAATATAATAAACAAATTCTAAGGTGTTGTATTAGTTTCTTGGGGCTGCTGCAACGCATTGCCACACTCTCAGTGTCTTACAACAGAAATGTAACTCTCACACGTGTGGACGGCAGCATTCTGACATCGCGATGTGGGCAGGGGCTGAGACTGAAGGTTCGAGGGAAGGATCTTTTCTTGCCTCGTCCAGCTTCTGGTGGCTCCAGGCGCTCCTTGGTTTGTGGTTGCATTATTCCAGTCTCTGCCTCCATCTTCACGTGTCCTTCGCTCTGTGCATGTATTTTCCTTTTTTCTCACTTACAAGGGCACTTGTCACACATTTGTAGGTTCTGGGGATAGGATGTGGACATCTTTTGGGAGAAGCTGTGATTCAACCCACTACAAGCATTAAAGGCAGATAACATTCGAATGTGTTATCACCAACGTACCATGTTTGTATTTTTAAAAATGGAATGGGACTTCAGTTTTACTTTAAAAGAGTGATACATCGTGGACATTGTAGACATTCCTCTAAGCAGGCCTGTGAAGGCATTTTGGAGCACGATTTTTCTGCTTGTTATTTGCTTATTTCCTTCCAATAACACCAAGTGCTCTGCCTGCTAAGGCCACTTAGGGGGACAAGCTTCAGGTTTGTCCTACAGTAAATGAATGTGATCCCAGGACCAAGATGGGAGTAACCAGTGGGACGTTTTCTGAGTTGCTGTAAAAGGGTTGTTGTCCTCCAAGGAGCTGAAAGGGAATGGTGAAGCTGTTTCCAGGGCTCTCTTCATGAGACACTTGCTAGAACAAAGAGGGCTCATTTGAAGCTGGGCTCTGGGAAAATCCCTGCCCACAGACTGGTGGCTACGTTCCAGCTGATCCTGGAAGAGGTGAGCAAAAAAACAAGTTATCCCTTTCCCCCAGTTCTCAGTGCTTGGCTTTTCCGCAATAGAGCTGGCCAGGCCCTCACGCTGCTAGTGCTTCTAAAGGAGGCAGGATTTTGGGAGACCTCTTGTCTCTTTAAAAATGTGCAGAGTGGAGCTCATAAACTCAGAGAATGTACTTGTTCTTCCCACTTCCTGGAATGCTTTTCTCCAAAGTATCCACATAGTTCAAGTGAACTTATATCAGGGAGGCCTTTCCTGACTACTTTATTAAGAATAGCACTCCCATAGGCTATGGACATAGGCATGGGCAAGGACTTCATGACTAAAACACCAAAACCAATGACAACAAAAGCCAAAATAGACAAATGGGATCTAATTAAACTAAAGAGCTTCTGCACAGCAAAAGAAACTACCATCAGAGTGAACAGACAACTTACAGAATGGGAGAAAATTTTTGCAACCTACCCATCTGACAAAGGGCTAATATCCAGCATCTACAAAGAACTCAAACAAATTTACAAGAAAAAAACAAACAACTCCATCAAAAAGTGGGCAAAGGAAAGGAACAGACACTTCTCAAAAGAAGACATCTATGCAGCCAACAGACACATGAAAAAATGCTCATGATCACTGGATAGAGAAATGCAAATCAAAATCACAATGAGATATCATCTCACGCCAGTTAGAATGGTGATCATTAAAAAGTCAGGAAACAACAGACGCTGGAGAGGATGTGGAGAAATAGGAATGCTTTTACACTGTTGGTGGGAGTGTAAATTAGCTCAACCATTGCCGAACACAGTGTGGCGATTCCTCAAGGATCTAGAACTAGAATTACCATTTGACCCAGCAATCCCATTACTGGTTATATACCCAAAGGATTATAAATCATGCTAGTATAAAGACACATGCACATGTATGTTTATTGTGGCACTATTCACAATAGCAAAGACTTGGAACCAAACCAAATGTCCATCAATGATAGACTGGATTAAGAAAATGTGGCACATATACACCATGGAATACTATGCAGCCATAAAAAAGATGAGTTCGTGTCCTTTGCAGGGACATGGATGAAGCTGGAAACTGTCATTCTCAGCAGACTATCACAAGGACAGAAAATCAAACACCGCATGTTCTCACTCATAGGTGGGAATTGAACAATGAGATCACTTGGACACAGGGCAGGAAACATCACACACCCACACTGGGGCCTGTTGGGGGGTTGAAGCCTGGGGGAGGGATAGCGTTAGGATAAATACCTAATGTAAATGATGAGTTGATGGGTGCAGCAAACCAACATGGCACATGTATACCTATGTATCAAACCTGCGTGTTGTGCACATGTACCCTAGAACTTAAAGTATACATATATATGTATATAAAAATATATATATATACACATAAAGAATAGCACTCCCTCCCCTTTATTGCTCTTTATCCCCTTCCTGACTTCACTTTTCCTTCTAGTGCTCTGCCTCCTACCTTGCAGATAGATGGAGCTTCATCAGGATTGTTCACTGATGCATTTCCCAACACCCCTGGCACCTATATGGAGTTTGGTAAATATTTTTGACTAAGTAAATGAACTGTGGACCAAGAAGAGATTCATAAAACCATCTTATTTGACCTAGCCACCTGCCCTCAGGTAGGCAAAGTTTTATTATCATCCTTATTTTACATTAGAAGCAGGTGAGACTTGAGGTGGTGGAATGATTGCTTGAGGTCACAAAATTTTAGGAGGTGAGCAAAGGAAGCTTGCATCTCATGATCTTTAGTTCAGGGACCCTTCTACTAACTATTGGATGGTTACATCCATTTCTCTTTGGTGTAGGTGTAGAGTTGAACTGAACTCCACATCTTCATTGTCAAGTGGTTTTCTACCGGGGTGAGATGAGGAAGCCTGGAGGGATAGTGGGCAAATGTGTATGAACGTGTCTGTCAGTCAATAATGGATGTCCAGCTAAACGCAGTGCATTGAGAGCAATTTTCAAAAACCTTGAGATGAAACATGTTATGACGATAATAATAGCAGCTGATTGTGTATTTCTGTGTATTGTGCACATTCAAAGGTGGGGAACCTTATGAATATGTGTCAGGAGGAAACTGGGTAGAAAACAGAGTAGGCAAATGTTTTATAGCAAGCTAGTAGTTTTATTGAATCATCTCTATCCTTCTTATCTTTGCAAGGATCACATTTTTTTTGCAGGCAGCTTTATTCCCCCAGGCTCTTTGGAAATTAAGATTTCAGTTTTCCTCCCACTCCTCCTGACTGGCCCAGCCCTTATGCCCACTGACCCTTACCAGGCAAGATGACCTGGGGGAGGCAGTGATCATGCCGTCTTACCTCATCACAGCTGCCCACGAGCAGATGCATGTTTATGTCTTTCCTAATTCAAGAATCACTCTTTATATGAAACTGCTTCATAGTTGGGCTTCAGAGACTAAAGATTTAAAAAATTTTAAGAAGAGCCTGTGCAAATGATTAAAGGCTTGGATAAGTACCCTAGAAGAAAATTGAAAAGATTGGTGCTCTTTGCCCTGAGGGAAAGGGGAGCTGAGAGGAGATAGTCTAGCATGGCTGCACAGGCACACCAAGGATGTGAAGAAGCACTGGCTTAGGTGGGTGAGGTGGAAATAGCTCTGAACCAGCTCTTAGGTCTAGTTCCAACCATGCAACTTAGGGAAGTCCATTAACGTCCTTGGTACTTGATTTCCTTATTTTTAAGGTCTCCAAACACTCCTACAGGTCTATTTTCCTGCAATTCTAGACATCCTCTTCTACTCTTTTAGAAATAAAAGCAGGTAAGAAATGTTCTAATTTTTGTTGATTCTTCTGTGTGCATAGACAAATCATGACATTTGCAGTGTTTGCACAGATTGAAGTTAAAGTAAGTATGGTGTCATGAGTGCGGGCTCTCATATCAAGCTGATTCAGGTGGAAATCTTGGATTTCCTGGGCTCTTGAGAGCCTCCCACCTCAACTCCCTGAGTAGCTGGGATTACAGGCATGCACCACTGTGCCTGGCTGAATTGCATTTTTAACCAAAGTAGTCTAGATACACTCTATTAAGAAGATGGCTTTTGAGCAAAAATTTAAAGAAGTGAGGGATTTAGACCTGTGGTTGTCTGGGCATTCCAGGCAGAGGAAATAACCAGTGGTAGCAAGGAAGAACATGATACAATAGCTGGCTTCTGGATATATTTGAAGGCAAAACCAGCAGAATCTCCTGCAAGACTGGATGGGGAAAGAAGGAGAGGAGTCATGGAAGACTCCAGGGTTTTGGCTTCAGTAACTGGAAGGATGACATTAATTAAAATGGGGGAAGGATGAAGGTGAAGTGGGTTTTTGGGGAAGATCTGGTAGTCATTTTTGAACATATTAGATTTGAAATGTCCATTGAGTGTCCAACTGCAGATGTTATGTAGCCAGTTGGATATACAAATCTGCTGTACAGGAGCGCAGCTTGGGTGATAGATACAGATTGGGGAGTTAGCAACATATCAGTGGTATTTAAAGCAACGAGGTTGTATGAGATCACCAGTGGAGAGAATGCAGGTAGAAGACCAAGGACTAAATCCTGGGGGGACTCCAGTGTTGAATATGAGGAGAGGAGGAAGAAACAGAAAAGGGGATTGAGAAAAAGGAGCCAATGAGGTGGAAGGAAAGCCAGGAGAGTGTTGTGTTCTGGAAGGTCAGAATAAAAATACTTAAAAGAGGAGGGTGGGATCTACTCTGTTGAATGCTGCTGATAAATCAAGTAATATGAGGACTGAGAACTTACTCCATGAATACATCTCTAGTGAGTGCTGAAGTTGAAAGAGCCTCCAATAGTTTCTCTGATTCTTATTGTATTCAATGAGTTATAACCCATTACTATCGTTATTAATTGTGATGTTTAAATTATTCCAGATTTGGCTATGAGGAGCTTCTTCCAACTACCCCCTGTGTCCTTTTCACAAGCGCATGTTGTTCTGGGAGCATCACTTTATTTTATGATGGACATGTCAGATTTTTCTCTATGTACTCCACAGAATATTCCTCGACAGACAGCTTTGTATCTTAGGTCACTCTATAAACTTGCTCTTATTTCAGAACATATACTAATTATTTTCATTTCCTGCCATGCATGTTTTCATTAGTATTGCCTACTTTATTCCCTTGCAATGAGCATTTGTATATTCTTTTCTCAAAACAGAAGTTACTTTACTGTTTGTTTCTGATTATCATGCTTACTGACAGTATGTCAAACAACATAAGAAAAATAAAATTTTAAAAGTTACTTAAAAGCCCATCATATTGAAATAATACATTAATAACATTTGGTGGAACATGGTTTCAGACACTTAATTCTTGTTATGTAACATATAACTATGCCTTGTGTGTATGTGTACACCCATAACTTTTTCTAAATTAGTTCATAATCATACCAATAGCTGTTCTGTAATCTATGGCTCTTCCACTCAATAACATAGAACATACATTTTAATATATGTTAAAACAGAATATAACCAGCTTTGCAAGCAGAAAGATAGTGATAGTTTTTTCCCCACACAAGGGCCACATTTTCTCTTTTTTTTTTTTGGTCTGATAAATATTTTTATCAGAGCATCTACTTTGTGCCAGGTTCTCTAACACCTTTCTCTGGTTTCATATTGGACGTGAGTGTTTGGGTAATCATTACTGGTATTGGTTAGCATTCGTGCTATCCTCTCCTTGGGTGTGGTCACAGGACTTGCTTTGCATAACGAAGTGTGAGCATATGTCACTTCCAGGACAAAGCCTTGGGGCCAGTGCAGGACTTGCCACATCCTTTCCTCCCCTCTGTGGGACACTGGAAGCACACTTTGATGTGGAACTTCTACCTTCCTGGCTCCCTGAGTGACTACACATAAACCAAGTCCTCTGCCAAGTTCATTGGGTAAGAAGTACACTTTTGTTACATTAAGCCACTGGGATTTTGTGATTGATTGTTACTGCAGCATAGCCTCTCCTATCCTGACTGATGGTATCTAAACAGCTGTTAATTTACTTAATTGTGTCTACCCCATAAGAGACTTTCTCTCATGCCTTGCTGAATGGTAGATCTACTGCATTTACAATGTGTGACCAATCTACCAGGCTAATAATCTTATGAGTATGAAATGGCAAATTACCCTAAACCCAGAATATGGTGAGGAAGAAGGCTGCAGGTTAATCACTATTTATCAAAATGTGCAATGAAGAACACCCACATCAGAATCATCTGGGTTACTTATTTACAAATGCAAGTATCAAGGTCCCATCAATACAATAGAATCAACAGATCTGTGGTGTGTATTTCTAAAAAGCTCCCCAGATGTTTTTTTTTTTACAAATTCCAAAGCCACTGACATGAGGTATAAGATCAAAAACATTGACTCACCACTTTTTTGGACTGTTAAAAGGAGTTTATCAGTGCTGACTGAGTGTGTCCTACATGTCAGAGATTATACTGGATCCTGCAAATACTAAGCCAAAACCAAAGCCAAAGTAAAGTTCCTGCCCTCAAGAAGCTCATAGACTATTTTGTGGGAGACAGTTGTATAAGTAAGTAATTTCAATCAATTGTTGGGATGGAAGCCTCTATAGGATACAGGGTGGGCCCAAAGCACAAGTGGTCACTTTGCATGTAGAAAGGCATTAAGGTTAAGCTGACATGGACAGGGATGTGTTGAAAGCCAGTATAGCTAACAAGAGCCTGATAGGATATCTGATGAGAAGGAAATGCTGTGGTGGGCTTTGAAAAGAATGTTAGACAGTTACTGGGCAGTTCACTTTCAGCTGTGAAGACAGTGACTGAAATCAAATATGTCATCATCAGAAATTCATCTTTAGAGGTGGCAAGAAAGAAATGCACTTGGCTGGATGGGTGTGTTTTTGCAAGAGTGAAGAGAGGGGTTGGCTCCAGGTGAAGTTTGACTTGAACATCTGTGCCTTTGCTTTCAGTGTCAGTTTGCCCTCTCATTCCACCTCTCCCTGGTATTCCTGGTGTTCTCCAGAGGGAAGAGACCTGGTGAGCTAAAATACATGGATATATGCATATCCTGGCAGCAGTATTTGCAGAGAAATCTCCTACTCGAAAATAACTAAAACTCTAATAGATGATAGGTCCAGGCAAGACTAGAAGTTAAATGTTGTTGATTGATCTACAAAGGAAAACCTGGGACTAAGGATGAGCCACTACTGATAATAATCTTCTGAGGGTGGGATATGGCCCTTTGCTCTCAGGTTTAATGTTTCATAAGCTAGGATGCTGAACAGAAGCTTCCCTTGAAGTTGGCTTGAAGGGAGATCAGGAAACATTGGCCTGCTGAGGTGCTGTGGCTGGCACTTAGGGAAAGTGCTCACCTTTTCCCAAAGCCTTTGTATCTGCCCTGCCTGAAACTGAGGAGCTGTCACAGGCTATTCCAGCAGACATTGCATTATCAGGACAGCAAGTGGAACTAAATACACGATTCTGGGTTTCCTTAGCTTCTTCATGATAAACCCATCCAGACCAGGGTGAATGGAAAGCCAGGGTCCTAAAGCCACATCAGCTGAGAAACTGTGGGCCTGACCGTGGAGGGTTAGACTGCACAGGAGAGGTCTGTGGGAATCATGAGGACAGCAACTATTGGAAGAACAGTTAATGGAACCATAAGTGGACTTTCTATAAACTTGTCAAGCACAGTGTCTAGCACATAATGGATATTTGATGTGTCCTTTTGTCCCTTTGTCTAATGGCAGAATAAAGACCATTGTGTGGAAAGAAGACATAGGCTCGATGTAAGGATGGATTTTCTAATAATTATAGTTGTTTAAATATGGTGTAAGTGGTCTTAAGAGAATACACTCATCTATATAGTCAACGATCATTATTGGAACACCATCTAAGTGTCAGGTATTGCAGTAAGAGTTGAGGATACAAAGATAAATAATATGTGGCTCTCTTCCTTTAAATGCTCAG
This sequence comes from Homo sapiens, assembly GCF_000001405.40. NCBI lineage: Eukaryota > Metazoa > Chordata > Mammalia > Primates > Hominidae > Homo > Homo sapiens. The sequence goes on along the minus strand of NC_000001.11, from coordinate 165,154,307 downwards.
AGACAAATGGGAGAGACAGATATGGATGAAAAAGATAAATTCCAATATAATGTGTTCTGATGAAGTGAGGGTAAAGTGCTGAGGGATCACAAATTATGGAGTAACCGATATGCCTGGCTGAGTTGGGAGAAGCCTCACAGAGCAGATGACATTTGATCAGGGTCTTGAAGGATGAGTAGTAGTCTGCTATTCAACAGTGTGGAGTTCTTTATCACTGAAAGTGTTCAGACAGAGACTGAATGGCAACCTGTCAAAGGTATTGCAGAGGGATTGCTAGAGAGATGGAAGACTGGTCAGTTAGGTGACCTCTAAGGCCCTTCCAAATCCAAGAACCTATAAAAGCGCCACAGTAGTGGGACATTATTGTTCCCGCCTATATGTTACCATCTATCAACACATTATTCCCAATTGTCTGCCTCATGGGGCACAAGGGGGCTGCTGTGAACCTAGAGAGGGTTTCAGCTGGAATGAGGAGGGGGAGAATTTACCTTTTCTTAGCCCTAAGGGTGAGTATCTCTTTACACTTCTCAGCTGAGTGTACTAAAGTGGAAATGTATGAAGGACTTAAGAAAACACTGAGAGTTGGGGATGGAAGAGATAGCTCTGTTCCTCTCCATACTTGGCAGAGTCTAGGGTGGGGTTTTCTTTATATCCAGGTGGTCTCATATTTCTCCGGTCTGTACAGAACAGCTGAAGCTGCCTCCTTTGCTGTAGCCCTGCTTGCCTGAGCCAAGACAGCCATTTGAGGCTTTCTGTCTGCCATCCAGCACTGACTTCGCCCTTCTGCCAAGAAAGCAATGAAGACAAAGGAGGAATACCTAAAGAAAAAAGTACATCCAGCTACTCGCAGTCATTGCAGCTGAGTTTTTAGGCTGGAGAATGCTTGAATTGTTCACATTCTTGACTCTGCTCGGGTGAGCACAGGTGCACTCAGGTGAAGCCACCATCCTTTTTCTTCACCTGCAGGGCTGAGAGGCCCCACTGACAGGCGGGCAGACAGACCTGCTATTGTCACCCTGCATGGGGTGGTATATCAAATGCATTTTAAGAAGGGCTTGAGGCTTGAGGCTCTTGGGTCTCCTAAGTACAGACTTACGGGGAAGAAATGAAGAAATCTTAAAAGGTTAAGCTTTTCCTCTGAGGAAAAAGAACATTTAGGCAACTGAGTCCAGCCACTTTCTTGGGGACTTCTCGTGGTCAGTCAAATGCAGACATAAATCACTTTACTTCCAGTCTCCAAAATACAAACCTTGGCTTTCACACTCGTTAAACTCTGGAACTAGTTAGCACATCAAGTTTCTTCTGGGATGTCTGTCAAGAAGGATTAGCAGCCAGTTGATGGATGTGGGTTCAGGCTGCAGTGAACTTGTAATATCCACTCAGCTCTGGAGAGCTGGCTCTGTGTCCCCTGCTGACCCCTACAGGCTCCTCGGAGTCAGGAAGAAATGGAACCTGATCCCATTGACTTCTGTGGTGTGTACAGATTGTGCCTTTTCTGTAAGCCAGTAATAATTACAATATTAACTATTATAAGGAAATATACAGGCATCTGCTTATTTTTGCCAAAAGAACCACAGGAAGGATAAACCAAAAAGTAGTGAAACCAGTTATTTACAGGGCATGGTGGGAATGGGGTGCAAGGAATTGGGATGGAGGAGAGGGATACATCTTTAAAAATACCTTTTTGTACAATCTTAACTTTTGGAAGCAAGTTAATGTTTTACTACTCAAAAAATTCAAATCAATAAAAATCCTGAAAAAAACCATAAAATTAAATCCAAACAATTGGATCTATTTGCATTTCATATGAAAAACAGTCATATTGAAGGAGGAAATAAAACTAATCAAAGTAACTTTTGAACACAGTATTTTCACTGTATGCCTCCAATCCAAAGAGAAAAAGAGCTATAAACAAATATTGAATGCTAAATAGTGTTTGTTTTTCATGATGGCATAGGTGAGTAATTCTGAAACTGCTCTGTGCGTGTGTTCAAGCATTGGGCAAATGAGTAAATACGTTGTAGGTGGGAGCCAGGTTTTTCACTGTCAGAGAAGGGAGGTCCAAATCCGGAAAGGGGAAGGGCTAGAATAAACTCGTAACATTGGTTTGAATGGAAGTACCAGTACGAATTCATGTTTTCTTTATAGGCATATTAGGTTTAATATGTATGTTTAGCATTATATGTATGTATTATGTTTAAATATGTATGAGCTGTCATGGGACAATGAGTTTATCTATATATTCATCAGTCACTACCGGAAAATGTTTTAAAGTGATATCAGTTCACCAAGAGGGCCTAAAACCAATGATACCCCAGTAGCAATGCACATGCCTGGAGGTCCAGATCTTGACTTTTAAAGATGATTCTGCACAAAGAGAACCTGACTAGATCCCTTCAGAGAAATGGAGAATTACAGGGCAGAGGAGATACAAGATAAACCTGGACCAGCTTTTTGTGTCAGAAAGCAAGGAAGTGCTTAACAAAGAAATGATGGAAGCGTGTCAAAACGATGGGGATCCAGATTGAAGTGGTGCCCACTAGCCAAATCTGAGATGTTTGAGAATCCAAGCAAATGCAATAATATTAATGGATTAAAACTTATTGAGCAAAAGAAGAATCCATGAGTCTATAAATAAATGAATAAATACATAAATAAATGGGGCAGAAGGAACAGTTCCACCTTATGATTCTAACTTTACAAAGTAGAAGAAAGGACGGCGTTAACAAATTACCACTTGTGACCATTAGACTTCACTCAGCCAAGAATCACCAATGAATACTAAAATTAGTGGTTGTGAGCTTTACGAAGAACAGAATATTTACATCATGTTAAAGTTTCTCCCCACAAATATTTAACTACAAAGGGAGAAAATAGTAATTATGTTGCAGTGGAGAAACATGGTGGACATCACCTTATCCAAGTGATCAGAGCTGCCTGTACCAGTATCGAGACAACCTGACGAGCCATGCCTCTGCTGTGATACACTGAGAAGGGCATAGCATTCTTCTGTGGCATTTCTGTCCAAATTCTGCAACCTGAATTTAGTCATGAGGAAACACCAGACAATCCCCAAATAAGAAACATTCTACAAAACAACCGGCCTTTACTCCTCAGAAATACCCAAATCATGAAGGACAAAGAAAGGCTGAGGAAATGTTTCAGGTGAAAGGAGGCTTAAAGAATCATGATAATAAGTGCATCATTGTAGATTGGATCCTGGAATGGAAAAAATAGCTGTAAAGGACAGTTTGAGAGAAGGGGCAAAATTTGAATATGGACCGTGGGTTAAATAATAGCATTATATCAATGTTAAATTTGCTGATTCTGATAATTGTACTGAGAGGATATAGGAGAATGTTCTTGTTCTTGAGAAATATATACCAAGGTATTCAGGGATAAAGGGACATGATAAATGCAATCAAAGCAAGACAGTGAGAGGGGGCAAGGGAGAAAATGGTTAAGCAAATGGGGCAAATCATTACTAATTGATGCATGTGATGCATCCCGATAAAAGACCGATGGGCTTTTCGTTGCTGTTGCTGTTGTTGTTATTGTTGTTGTTTTGAGACAGAGTCTCCCTGTGTCACCCAGGCTGGAGTGCATCAGTGTGATCTTTGCTCACTGCTACCTCCTCCTCTCGGGTTCAAGTGATTCTCCTGCCTCAGCCCCCTGCCCCTCGAGTATCCGGGATTACAGGCACCCATCACCATGCCCAGCTAATTTTTGTATTTTTAGTAGAGATGAGGTTTCGCCATGTTGGCCAGGCTGGTCTCCTCCTGACCTCAAGCGATCCACCCTCCTTGGCCTCCCAAACCTATAGGTTTTCCCCCCCCTTTCTTATAACTTTTCTGTTACAAATGATATACAAAAAAATCAAGATACTATAAAAGAGAAAAATGTAACTATTATGGGCATTTTTTTACTTTCTTATAACTTTCCTGTAGTTTGAAATGATGTACAAAAAATCAAGATATTATAAAAGCGAAAAATGTAAGTGTTATGGGCATTTTTTTGTACTTTCTTATAACTGTTCTGTAGTTTGAAATGATGTTTCAGTGACAAAAAACATCATGATAAAAGAGAAAAATTTAACCGTTATGATGGTGATTATTCTTACCCCATCTTGCACTGCTTTGGAGAGAATTAAATATCAATTATATTACAAGAACTTTCATTTGTATACTATTTCAGAGTACGCAACATGCTTTGACATTCATTATCTCATTTAATTTTCACAATAGCCTTTTGAAGTAAACAAGGCAGGAATTTTATTGTCCCAATTTTACAGGAAACCCAAGGTTAGACACCTTATGTCCCTTTCTCAAAGTTACGGAACTAAAAAGGAGTAAGGTCGGGACTTGGACCCAGGCTACCTAACTTTTACTACAAAGCTTCCGCCATTACACTAAGATATGTCTGACCTCTGCAGCATGTGTGCTCCCTACCGGTCAGGTGTGGAAGACGTGATTATGATTAGAGTGTGATAATGTTTGGGTGCTCTGTAACTGCAGCTCTATCACGGCACTCATCTTGGATTATACCCTTCTGTAGTATAGCCTTCTAGCAAAGTATTACAGACATTGTCCTATTTAATATTTGTCTTGTGGTAGGTGGTCATACCAGTGTCAGTGCCCAGACATTACTATACACATAGATTCAGGTCCCTTTTCCCTCACACATGCTGCTGTGATCTGAATACTTCTATTTGCCCAAAATTTATACGTTGAAATCCTACCTCCCGAGGTGATGGTATTAGAAGGTAGGGCCTTTGGGACGTGATCAGGTCATCAGGGCTCCACTCTCATGAATGGAATTAGTGCCCTTGTAAAAGAAGACCCAGAGAGATGCCTTGCCCCTTCCACTGCGTAAGGACTCAATGAGAAGGTACCATCTATGAAGCAGGAAAATAGCCCTTAGCAGGTAATAAAAGTCCACCACTGAGGAGGGGTCATGGGCAAGTGAAAGATAATATGGGATGAACAGCAAATGAGGCAAAAGATCAGATGATAGGAAAGTCAACAGCAGACCATGATGATTGGTCTAAGGTGCAAGTCTTGGAAGAGTTTCCAGGATTTTTCACTTAGAAGAGTGAAGATTAGAATTTCAGAGCACCTTCTCTTCAGAGTAAACAGGCAGGGAATTCCCTGGGATGAGACTCTTAAAATCTATAACCAAGCTCCTCAGATTTACCTTCAGGCCCATTGCAAGCCTTAATGTTTCCTGATACATTGTTATGACCCTGCCATTTCTATAGCATCTTTCCTGTTCTGAATCCTTAACCCTCTGATTATTTGTGTCCTTCATTTGACTCTGATCACATATCACCCTATTTGGAGTTGCTTGGGGGCTTGCACGCAACCACCACACACTCCTTAACCTGGAAGTTAGGTTTCTGCTTTGTTGAAACAGTTCTCCAAGTGGTCACCAACTCCAAAGACCTGCTCTGAGTCTTTACTCTCCTCCATTTACCTAGGGCAGGCATTTTTAGCCTTTTAGGATATGACCAGAATGCAGATATGCACATATATACCATATTACCTACAATTTGATCATCTGTTTTTTTTAATCCTTTCTCTTAAAAGTATAAGGAACAGGTTTTTATTTTTTTAATTATTTTTATTTTTATTTTTATTTTTGAGAGGGAGTCTCGCTCTGTCGCCCAGGCTGCAGTGCAATGGCACCATCTCGGCTCACTGCAAGCTCCGCCTCCCGGGTTCATGCCATTCTCCTGCCTCAGCCTCCCGAGTAGCTGGGATTACAGGCACCCGCCACCACGCCCAGCTAATTTTTTGTATTTTTAGTAGAAACGGGGTTTTTTTGTTTTTAACCTTCTTACTTTATGAAGCATGGAGTCCAGATACTTGGCTTCAGGCAGCATCAAGAGGCACTGTGTGCACTGTGCTTACCTTAGCAGCCAGCAGGCCTCTCTCTGCTGCTTCTCCCTGACCAAGCTTAGTTTTTAAGAGACCCTGGCTTAGCTATAATCCTGTCACATCAAACTTCTATGAAGTGTGCTCAATTGAGAAAGACAGGCAGAGAAAAGGTGGGGACAGAAAGCGTGTCTCCTGACTCCACTTCCACCTTCAGATTGTTTTTCCCCAGTCAATCCAGCCTCAAAACACCTGGGTAGTTTTCCTATGTGACATCAAACATAAGCGTTGACTGCCAAGTTATATGAACTGATCAAACAGACTTTAAAAATCACACTGTGAGCTTCTAAAATGCTTTCTGCTTCATAGGGATGTTTGGAGATGGATTATACCACATCTGGGATGAACTTTGAGCTTCTTGGGAGAAATTATTATGCAACACTCTTTTGTAAATCTTTTCCAAAATTGCCAGGTGGCCAAAACTGTATTCTTCCACAAAATTGACTTTAGCCTTCCCCACGTTTACCAGCATCACATCTTAATCACCAGGTTGTCTCTCCTCCAGCTTCCCCTCACTTCTTGAAGATGAATGAGAACTCAGGAGTTCTGAGTCCATGTCCAGAGCATGTTCCATTACAACTGCTTGAGATGCGATTCAAGGTGCAAGTCAGGGTTGAGCAATGATAACGTGGATAAAAAGAAAGGCACCTCCACGGTTTTCCCTTGAGGAATGTACAACATGGTTTGAGAGTGTGACTTACGTGTGCCAAATCTAATTCTGTATGTCAGCATTTCCGAAAGTGAATTCCTTGGCATTTTAGTTTCCCCCAAATCTGAAAGGTGTTACATGGGAGAGAAAACTCACCCATTCACGCTCGGTGGGATGAATCGGCCAATGATTAGCCATCCACGGTCCAGTACTTTTAGGACACATGGACACACAATAGGAACTCAGTAAAAGTTTGTTTAATGAATGCATGACTAAAACCCTGAGTTAAACAAAATTGAATGGGGTTCCTTGTAGCATGGTGGGTCAGGTTCTCCAGAAGCAGACCTTGAAGTGAGGACATATGGGCAAGGAACTTATGAAAAAAGTGCTCCCAAAAGCAGCCAATGAAGTAGGAAATAGGATAGGGAAGGGAGAAACGAAGACCAGGTGCCATTTCAGGTGATCACTTAGGCCCAGGCAGCTCTGGGGCTTGAAGTATTTCACAGAGTTTGTTCTACTTAAAGGCAAAGGGTTAGGCTTCTCAACATCTGCCCATCATTGTCGTCATTGACCATGAGCCTCCTGAGGGACTGTGAATTCTCAGGTACTTTAGGCTTTCTGTGCATCCGCCAATACTCTGAAGAAAGTTGTGAAGAATGCCAAAGCTTGGGATGAGCACAAAGAACTGTAAAAGATCTCCAAGGATCTGGGTAGAGCATTAATAACTTCTGCTACATGCAGTTTCTCAAGACCTTTACCATATAGATATAAATTGTGAATGGCCAAGAGAAAAAGTGAACACTTAGTGTTTTCCAAATTTATTTGACCACCGAGTACGCTTTTCCCCTCAATCCTTCTCAGACTGTTTTTTTTCTTGTGCATGTGTGTGAAACATTCTTCGGTAAATGCTGCATATATTTTTCTCTCTTTTGAAAATTTTGTTTTAAAACATAGATTAAAATTGTGCCAATGGGCATGAGTTGGCTAGTGATTCCCTGCTTTCCAGCCCATTTCAGCTTATTGGCCTGCATGCCGCTCAAAAGTATGCAATACTTTTGAGAGCTGAAGATATTTAATGTCACCTAGGGAAAGTGAGGAGGTGATGGTCCTTTGAGATTTAAATGGCATTTTGGTCTTGGGTTTCAGGAACTAAAAAGCATGTATATTACAAAATAGGTGAATATAAAATTTGCATACCTACAAACAATGATAAGACACTAGATAAAAGGACAATATTAAAATATCTTCTTTCTAAATACTCCGTTGAGTAACAGCTAGTAATTTTCCCTCTTTGTAACACCTCTGGCAGATATTAACCCAAGGCCAAAGCCTGGTTTTGTCCACTTTTTCCAGAGAGCTGAGAATTAGTAAAGAATGCTCCAGGCTAGGTGCGGCAGCTCATACCTGTAATCCCAGCACTGTGGGAGGCCAAGGCAAGTGGATCACCTGAGGTCAGGCGCTCGAGACCAGCCTGGCCAACATGGTGAACCCCTCCTCTACTAAAAATACAAAAGCTAGGGGGGCATGGTAGCACATGCCTGTAATCCCAGCTACTCAAGAGGCTGAGGCAGGAGAATCGCTTGAACCCGGGAGGCGGAAGTTGCAGTGAGCCAAGAGTGTGCCATTGCACTCCAGCCTGGGCGACAAGGCAAGACTCTGTCTCAAAAAAAAAAAAAAGTTCCAAATTTAATAAATCCATCTCAGATACAGGGAGAAAGAGTAGGAAGGGGGAGAGGAGAGAAGAAAGGGAAGAAGGAACACCCACCATTTCTGTCCATGAGACCAACCACCCAATCACTGGAATGGCAGGCTACATTTATACCCTGTCCCGAAGAGTTTGCAGAAATAGCTCTTCCAGATCTAGAGAAGTGTGAGTTTATTTTTTTTTAACCCAAAACATTTCCAAATTCTGAGAAGGAAAAATGTCTTAGTGTCGCAAGAGCCAAATGGTAGAGGCAATAGTTGAGTCCTATACAATGTTATTCTCCAAGTGTAAAACTGCCAGATCGGTTTTTCACATTTAGATTTGCAAGACGCCAGCAATGTCAGAGCCAAACTATCATCCTGGTTAACTTTCTGATTACAAGAGCTTTGGAGAAGATTCATGCAAAAACTCAAACAATGAAGTATAAATGCTCACACTGGCTCACCAGAATGCTCACCAGAAGAGATAATAATTTTCAAATGTTTTTTAAAATCATGCTTTAGGTATAGTTCCTACCCTGGAAGCAGACATTTTTCTTTTATTTTATTTTAAGCAAAGGCTTGCTGCCTTAGTTAGAGAGTTACCACACTGAATGCTTGTAGAGTTTTAATTTCCCATGGTGGTTTAATGGTAGCACAGCCCACCAGCCATTAAGCTGTCGGCAAGAGCTTTGGAAAACGGGAGCAAACAAAGCAGCAGGGCAAGGATGGACAACTTCATCCCTGGGCCACAGGACTCTAGCCTTTAGCTCGTACATTTGCATTTAGTACACATGCAACCTTTCTACATACTCATCAAATTCACGTTGGGCTGAGACCCAATATAGCCAAGAAGGAAAGCTTCCCCCCAAAATGAACAATTTCTCAAGTCAGAGTGGGAGAGTTTACATGGAACTTCTCATATAGTGTTTGCTTTCCATGAACTTCTATTACCACTAGTTTAGTTCTGGATGCTAAAAATGTTAAGTCCCTGCACTCTGACGTCCTTTTAGTTTTCTGTTTTCTGGGGTGTGAGAGTGCCCTCTGGTGGGCATTTGTTGGAAAGTAGCACTGAGGAGGCTCTCCACTCTGCGAGGGAGAACAGTACATTCCATGGTGCACATGGAGCCTCCACGAAGCGCACGAACCAATGTGAACTCTCTTCATTCCTCCTCTACTCCTGCCTTCATTCCTCCAATGCCTTCATTCCTCCTCTACTCCCGCAACCTCCCCACGGTCGTGTCAGAGACCATGTATTGTCTAAATCAGTGCTGTCCAAGAGAACTTTCTACAATGATGTAAATATTCCACATCTGTGCTGCCCAATATGTTGGCCGCTAGCCACTGAGCATTTGAAATGAGCCTAGTGGGACTGAGGAAGTGAATCAACACTTTTACCTTTACATCAACATTTTTAATGAGGTGAAATCCACATAACAAAATTAGCCGTTTTAAGTTGTACATTTTAGTGGCGTTTAATACTTTCATATTGCTGTGCAACCAGCATCTCTATCAAGTTCCAAAATATGTTCATTACCCCATAGAAACCCTGTACTTATTAAGCAGTCACTTCCCATTTCCACCCTTTACTCAGTCCCTGGCAACCATCAATCTGCTTTCTGTCTCTATGGGTTATCTATTCTGGATAATTCATATAAATAAAATCCTACAATATGTCAGCTTGTGAGTCTGGCTTCTTTAATTTGCCATAATGTTTTGAGGTCCATCCATACTGTAGCATTTATCAACACTTCATTCCTTTTTATGGCAGAGTAATATTTCATTTTATGGGTATACCACATTTTGTTTATCCATTCATCTGTTGGTGAACATTTGGATTGTTCTAACTTTTGGCTACGCTGAATAGCACTGCTGTGAACATTCGTGTACCAAGGTCTGTTTGAGTACCTATTTTCAATTATTTTGAATATATACCTAGGAATGGAATTGCTAGGTCACACAGGAATTCTTTATTTAATTTTTTGGAGAGCAACCAAACTCTCTTTCAAGGTACTCAATTTTAGATTTTATATAATGTTAATTAGTTTAATCCCAACTTTGCAACAAGACCTAATGATTCCAGAGCACCTTGATTCTTTCTGAGCACTAGAGCAGGGTGCTCAAGAACTGCCAAGGCAACATTTAAAAAATATATTCCTACAGGGAAAACATAGGTAGCCATAATCTTAACATTTTCCCTGCCTACATCATAGGGAAGAGATCACGACCGTGGAAAGTAAGAATTGAAAATGGCTTTAGGGGCAATTATCCCAGCCCTAACATTCACAGATGAAGAAACTGAGGCCCAGAGAAGTGACATTTTCTTCCTAAGTATTTGATGGGCACCCCACTCAGGGCAAGGGCTGGGAGGAGTTGAAGGCAGCACATGGGCACTAGGTGGCAGCAGAGAGCACGGGGGTAATAGAAATAGGAGGATTGAGGGGGTGGCTGCAGTGAGACTAAAACCTACTTACTGTCTAGTGTGTTGGCCAGAGGGTGGGTATGTGGGGCTGTTGCCAACTTGCCTGGGTTAAAGTCTAGACTTCGTTGTGTCCTGAGACAAATCCTATGGTCCTAGCTTCAGAGATAACATGAATCCAGCCAATTATCACTACCTTTCTCATTACCACCCTGGCCCAAGCATGGACTACTGCGTGGCTTTCTATTCAAAACACCAACTTGCCCTCCCACCCCCACCAACTGCTTCCACTATTGTCCATTTACAGCCTTCCCCAGCAACTGGTACGTTCTCATTACACATTTGAAATCCAAATCCTTACTGTGGCTTCCAAGACGCTATACATATGTGCTCTGGCTACTTTTCCTATCATTCTCTCTCCTGTCCTCTTCTCCAGTAACAGTGGCCTTCTTGGTCTTCCTCACACTTGCCAAGCATGTTTTTCATTTGCCCCTCCTGTCTTTCATTCAAGTCTCTCCTCAAATGTCATCTTGTTAGAGAGGACTTCTCTGAGCATCTGTATTAAATAAAAGCCCTTTTACCACCATCCCCACTCTCTATCCTTGTCCCATTTATTATTATTTTACAAAGCTCTTCATTACCTGGCATTATCGTAGCATATTATGTAGAGAAAATTGTTTTACCCCCCACTGGAATGTGAGGTCCATAAGGGCCAGGACTTTCTGTCTTGTTTGTTCTCTGTTGTGCTTATAGAGACTTGCATATAGTGTATAAAGAAAAGGAGGAAGAAGGGAAGGAAGGAACAAAGAAAGGAAGAGAGGGAGGGAGGAAGGAAGGGAGGGAGGAAGGAAGGAAGGAAGGAATGAAGGAGAGAAAGGAGGAAGGAATGAAGGAAGATAAGAAATGAAGATTATCTTGTCAAGTTAGCCAATCTCTCTTAAATCTTGGTTTTCTTACCTGAAAGGTAGGATTAAGAATCATATCTACCTCACAGAGCTGTTGGACCTTGAAATGGCTCTCTTCCATGTGCTTTCTATTAATGCAATTATATGAGAGGGATCTATTGCCAACAATTTATCTGATCAGTATGCCTTATATGAAATAGGGACTAATCATCCTTAAACCAATACCCATTCCCACCTCCTGAGAGGACCATCATATTAATCAGTCTGGAGCTGATGCAGGTGTTTGGGAAGAAACTTTATTTTCCAAGAATCAATAGTCAGGAAAAAAACATGTTGCATTAAAACACGTCTGTATTGTTTTTAAGTGAGGCCTGGATATACTTAGCTCTTAAGTTCTAATGATGGATATTTTACATTTCTCAGTATCCTATCAATGTCTTTTGGTATTTGGAGCCACCTTGACCCAATTGATTACCCAGGGGTTCATAACTCCTCAATTGGTAAGATGGTCATGCATGAAAAAAACATAGCTTAACTTGGGGGTACCTACAGTACCTCTGTAGGGGCTCTGTAGCTTATGCCTGGGGCTGGTAATTATACTTAATAATAAGGTTGGTTCAGGGATTGTATAGTCAAAAATGTGGTCTGGAGAGTTCAAAAATTCATCTTGTGGCTGCCTCCCTGTTCTTCATTCCTGGACCCAGCTTTCTCAAGTTACTTTCCTTTTGACCAAAGCAAGTCATAATCACAGGGAAGGGACTTCAACCAAACATCTGCTCGAGAAACAAGTAGAGCTATTCACCTGTATAATCAAAGAGGTTCCTAAATTACACAGGGCACAGCAGTGACCTGGAATCCAACCACAGGAGGAGCCATACTGGAGGTCCTTCTTGTAGTAAGAAGAAACTGACTGAGAGGGAAACTTGTTTATAGCGGGTGCTAAAGCCACATAACCCCCAAGCCCACTTAATTCAGAGTCCCAGGCCAGCACAGATCTTCTTAGGTGGAATTCCACCTGGGGCAGGGGGAGGAGTTGGTGGTAAGAGATGGAAGAATGATGCTTAATGGAATAGGAGGAAGGAGGGTGGAACAGGAGGAAGGAAGGAAGGAAAGAATAAAGATATGAAAAAGAAAGGAAGATGATCTTGGCAAGTTGGCCAATCTCTCTCTTTTTTAGACGGAGTCACGCTCTGCCACCAGGCTGGAGTGCAGTGGAGCGATCTTGGCTCACTGCAACCTCCACCTCCCAGGTTCAATCGATTCTCCTGCCTCAGCTTCATGAGTAGGTGGGACTACAGTTGCCTGCCACCATGCCTGGCCAATTTTTGTGTTTTTAGTAAAGACGGGGTTTCACCATGTTGGCCAGGATGGTCTCGATCTCTTGACCTCATGATCCACCCTCCTCAGCCTCCCAAAGTGCTGGGATTACAGGCATGAGCCGCCGCACCGGCTTGGCCAATCTCTCTTAAATCTCAGGGCAAAAGACAGATATATGGCAAAAGAAAGTTGAAATCTACTTCTGAACTGTAATCGCTCCTTACATAGAATTAATTGATCTCCTAGAAGTTGAACGCTTTCTTTTTGCAAATGAATTATCCAAATAAATTATTTACTGAACATTGAGACTTTAGTTGCTTTGAAAAAATTAGTCTTCCTCTTTTTCATTTCTGGAGTCATCTCAGGCTAGCTTTCCTAGTAAGATACGTTTTCTTGTGGGACTCATCTTCTAAAGCAACCACCTCTTTTGCCTTGTAAAAGCTGACTCTCGTGCTCTGGAGAAAGGACAATAAAGCTTCTGAGCTGACATACGCACCTGTTACCTGTGGTCCCCTGAAGCCAGTGAGCCCTGCTTGTTTCCTGACCCAGGAGTGATGGCAGTTATGAGATGGTGAAGTCAGGCCAACTGCAGCATCCCAGCCTAGGAGGGTGGGACAGCACAGAGGCAGGAAATTTTAGAGCCCCTCAAGCCAGAGCAAGGACCAATCACCTCCTCTTTCTTTGCCTAGGGGACAAAACTTGTTCCTGAGCAAAGAGCTAGGCATACATTCAGCAACACACAGTCTACTCAAAAAATATTAGAAAAATTTGCCCTTTTCTGGAAGAATATCTTTCTGCTGTTCCCTGAGAGCTGCAGTGTGGGACACCCCATATATGCCCGTTCTAGGGTTGCCATCCATGTGCACACAACAATGCTCTGCAGGGCTCTCTGTCACCTCTTCTGAATGTCATTCCACCCTCCTCCCCTCCTATAGCCTCTACTTTCTCTCCCTCTTCTTTCTTCTTTCCTTCTCCCCTTTTCTCCTTACCTTCCTTTTTCTTTCCCTCCTCCCATTCTCCTTCCTTTCCTGCCTTCCTTCTTTCCATATTCCTTCATTCACTCATGACACATGATGGTTGAGAAAGGAAAGAAGTGGGAGGCAGCCCTGTATGACCACAGAGTGCAGCACAGAGCCTTCGTTCAGTCTGTCCACCCCTTTTGAAGTCCCAGCTCAAGGAGTTCAGCTTTGCGGAGTTTTTCCTTAGTGCCTCTAAGGAGAGCCAAGTGCTGCTTCCTCTGGCCTCCACTTTTCTTGTTCAAAATTTCATCACAGAATTTCCTAATTTGTGTTATTATCTGATTCTATGGGGCTCTCCCTACTGGACAGTGAAAGCTTGAAGAGCAAGGACTAATCTCATGGATTTCTGAGCTCGCAGCTGATACTTGTTCTTGGTCCACAGTATGTGCTCCATAAGTGTGAACTGGATAAATGAATGAATAAAATGCATGGTTGATTTCCTGCAATCTGGAGAATAATATCAAAGTTCTTTAGGACAGTCTCAATGCGTTGCTCAGTCTGCTCTCAACTTGGTCTATGTGATTTGAACACTCTGGATCATCCAGAATAAACTATGCATTGCCTCCTTGATATCTGCATACATTCCCACCTCCTTTTCTTTTTTCTTTTTCTATTGTTTGCAATGCCTCCTTCTCCTCTCTAATGATATAATCCCTACTCATTTTTCACTGTGAGTTTTCATCTCAGTCCTCTGTAGAGACTGTCCTGTCCTCTGCAGCCCTACTTTCCTACTCTGATATACTCACACTGCACTTAATCATTTATGTCTTGTAGCATCTTTTATAGTGGTTTTGAAATTGCTAGTCAATGATCTATAACTTCTTAAGAATGTCTTTCCTGTTTCTTTTTTCTTTTTCTTTTTTAAACAGGGTCTGGCTGCTCAGGCTGGTTTGCAGTGGTGCAATCTTGGCTCACTGCAACCTCCGCCTTCCAGGCTCAAGCAATCCTCCCACCTCAGCCTCCCAAGTAGCTGGGAATACAGGTGCATACCACCATGCCCAGCTATTTCATGCCCAGCTACTTTTTTTTTTTTTGTAGAGCCAGGGGTTTCACCATGTTGTCCAGGCTTGTCTCAAACTCTAGGGTTCAAGCAATCCTCCCACCTCTGCCTCCCAAAATGATGGGATTACAGGCATAAGCCACTGTGCCTGGCTCTTTCTTTTTTCTTGCAAGCTTTCTGAAGGCAGAGGTGATGTCACCTACTTGTGCAATTGGCAATGACTCCACTTCTTTCCCCTGTCCTTTCATCTTCACCCTATTTCCTTGTTCTCAGTTTCACGGATTACCATGCAGCAGCATGTCTTCTAGAAATGCAGAGCCATTTTGCTTTTGTCCTAAAACTGCTGTTATAAACAGAGGAAACCATTTCTCTGCCAAATTTTCTTTCTAAACTATGTGTTCACCAACTCTTGATGATACCTAAAAGGTAACTTTACCTCTTTAAAAAAATACATATGCACCCTGCTTATTCCCCAAACATTCCTTGGGAAAGATGACTCAATATAGGGGTTTATTTGATACCACTGGGCTTTATTTGGTCCCACTTTCTCTGAGATTAGATTATATTGAGTTGTTTAGCTGCAGTCTGTCACTATTCATCTTTGTACCTGGCTCTTATCGTAGGCCCTGATTCCACTAAACTCAAGTGAATCTTCTTTATAATGGCAGGGTTGAATGTAAGTCTGATATTACCTTAAAGACCACCTCAAAATGTGGGCCATGGATCAGCAGCATCAGCATCACCTGGAGATTGTTTGAAATGCACATTCGCTAAATCTATCTTGGGGGTGGGGGAGGCAGCCATCTGTGTTTTGGCAAGTCCTCCAGGAGTTTCTGATGCAGACTCGGGTTTAAGAACGACTGATAGACTATCCTTAGCAGTTAAACTTGTCCAGTAATGAGTTGTTGTGTATTAAGGGATCCAGGTTTGTCCAAGGTTCTGGTACATTGTATGGAAATATTCAGGGGGCAGAGTGGCAGCTGGAGCTTGTCTTCAATCTCTGATAGTCTCCAAACAGGAGAGAGAGCTGCCTGTCTGTCACCATACACGCCCTGGCCTTTTTTGCTGCCCCTGATTTGCACTTAGCTGCCCTGTTCCCAGCATCCAAGGGATAAGAGAAGTAATAAAGACGGCACTTCATGCAAGCAAGCCCTCCTCTGGGCCCCTGTGCTATGCATGGCATTCCCATAACCTCGCCAAGCCACCCAAGCCCCTGTTCTGCTGAGATTCACCTGCACCAGGTAGACAGTGAGGGATTGTTCAGAGCAAAACACTGTGCAATCAATTGGAGATAACAGAGGCCCAGGGGTCAGGCGGGCTGCCCAGAGCATCTTTCATCTTTGACTTATATTGGTAGGGTGTAAAGTGTGGCATCAGCCTGGCCTGCCTCACGGTCAATGGCTGCCTTGTTCTGCCCTCCATTTATCTGCCATCTCTCTGATGTCACAGGTTTCATTTGGGTAGCTGACTTCAAAGGTGCTTTTCAAATTTTTTTAATTTTTCTATTTCAGGGATAATAGCCCAGCTTTTCAGAAGCATTTTGCTCTGCAATCAAATCAAATATTCTTAAACGGACAGGGCCAAGTCAACCCAGCCCAGGCAAAGAGGATCCCAAAAGATTGCCAAAAACCTGGTGCCAGCTCTGACAGATGGACAAAGGTAAGCTGTGTTTTCTGTCCTCCTCCACTGTATTCTTCTTCTCTCAAACCCATCCTTGTGCTGAGATGTAAAAAACAAAACCACCCCTCACCATTCCCTGGTTTCTGTGTAAACTGATTAAATGAAAGTATTTTCTACAGGGGTCTGCAATAAACTACCCAGGGACAACTGGGCAATGGAGCCAAATACCTGGCTCACTGAGTTTTTCTGATAGATTGACTGTAGATCCATGGAAAGGCCACGTTGGCTCTGGCCTTCATGTTTCGTAGACTCGGATTTGAAGCCATCTCTATAAATAGACCATAGAACCTGCCACTTTGTGCTCTGTCCCTTTCTTTGTTTGCTTCTGTTAATGACAGCCCTAGGACCAAGAAGACTCGGGCAGCCCGAATGCTCTTGGTGGCCCTGTTTGGCCAGCACACAATTTCCTCCCACCACCTGCCCACAGAGGGGATCCCCATTGTTTTGCTTCCCCAGTCCCCCTCCCTCATTCTGGGCACTCAGGTTGAACAGTTTTCCCTGCAAATGCACACAGGCAAGGATCTTTAAAGGCCAGGCACTTTAGTTAGCCATTGGCGTCGTGTTTGAATACCAGCGTTTTATATTTATACATAGAGAGAATTTTCTAATATAGCCAATTATATGTGTACATATATATGTGTACATGTATATATACACACACATACACACCTGTATAGACAACCCCAGCCATTCTCCCACTCCCAGAGAGCTCTTTTATGTGGGGAATGGGATGAATCCCCATCTGTGCCTTGACCATCAAAGCTGGAGCTCTAGGTGTAGAGGAGGGCAGCCATGTGTCCTGACCACCCAGAGCCTGGGCTTTCCAGGGAAAGGCTTTGTGCAATTGCCCGGGTTTTCTTTTTTTTTCTTTTTTTCCATGTGCCTCCCCCACCCCCAAATCTCTGCACCACAGCTTATTGCAGGCAATGTTGAAAGAGAACTGCATTTGAAAGAAAACACAAACAAAAAAAAAAATCCAAAAAACTAATGAGAAGAAAAAAACCCACGATAGAGCATTCATTCTTGAATACTCACTTGCCTGGACCATATGGTGGCCTGAGTTGACTTGTAGGCAGACTCAATGGCTAGATACAAGCTTGGGTCTTTACACTGAAGGGACATATTTCCAGTGAGTAATAATAACTGATGTTAATTGGCATTTGTTAGTTCCTAGACACTGAGCTGAGTGGTTTACAAACATTATCTCACTTAGTTCTTATTCAGTTCTCACAATATTACTCCGTGGCAGGTTATGTCATTATCACATATTATAAATGAGAAAAATTAAAGCTCAGAGAGTCTGGGATTTAAACTCAGGTCTGTCTGCCTCCAGAGCCAAGGATCTTAGCCACAGTGTTTTTGCTGCACCTCAGTGTCCTGCTGCAGATAGCATCTGAATAGGGAAGTACAGAGAAAAGAGAAAGAGGGGGACAATGGTTTTTGACCAGAGAATAGATTTCTCTGGACTTCAGGGAAAATAATTCTGCAAGAGATAAAAGGAGCCATCACTTTTTGGATTTTAGGCCCACTCCTCTCCCCTCAAGGCCTGTCTTCCCTCTGAGGCTAAGGAGAGCCCTCCACTTCCTCTATAGGAAGGGGGAAGATTCCATTGGTGTTCTAAGTGATGAGGAGTGGGCAATGATGGTTCAATATCATGTCTGAAGAGCTAGGACAAAACTCAACTCTTCAAGCTCTATATTTTCAGCACTTGACTGTTCATAGTCCCCAAGAGTGTAGGGCAGAGTTAGATATGTCCCTTATATTTTAGAGATATAATTTCAAAACACTCAGAATAAAAGTTCAGAGAAAAGGTAGGAAAAACTCCACAGACTAAGACCAAGGGGGACTCATTTACACAGAAGTTCTCAAAAACAAATTCCAATATAGTAGGAAAGAGGAAAAGAATATTCACAAAAGACCAAGGTTGTCTCCAGAAAATGTATCTGCAAGTTCAGAGGTCAAAGACATAGAGAGAGATGAATATAAAAAAAGATGAACAGGCGCCATGCCACTGACCACTTTGGGGGGCAGAGGGGGCAAACTGCAAATAAACCAAAAGGTGTCAGATGGCAACACACAGGTTTTGAGCAAGAAAACAACAACAACGACAGTGAAAGGACAGTTCTGCTGTAGGCTAATATTGAAATGGTAACAGGTCACAGAGAAAACAGAACTCTCCAATACTTGTTTTGCTTCTATTCTTATTTAAGGAGAAGGACTGTTCAGCTGTAAAGGTGAGCATCGATATTGATGGGACAGAAGTTAAACTCTGGAGAAAGGGAGAGGTGACAAAAGAGAAACTAGGGGATCTATATGCGTGCAAGTCTCCTGGGTGGATCCATCTACTTTCAGGGTAGGAGAGAACTTGCATATGAGCTGGCTGGAAAGATCTTGAGTAATTTCTGAGGAATCTTGAGATCTATGGTCATTGAGAAGCTGGCTTGTGAACACTTGGACTCAGATCCAGCATGAATGTATTACAGGCATTTAATGAAGCATTTGACAAATTCATGGTTTGAAGCTGGCCCTGCTAACTAATACACTGAATGAAAAAATTAGAGTCGCAAAGGTGTGGGAGGACTCAGCCAGTAAACTAAACCTAACAAGATAAAAATACGATAAAATCACTAAGTGTTCAGTACAGAATAGGGTAAGGTGGTTTAATGAGCATACCCTTAAAAAAACAAACAAACAAACAAACAAACAAACAAGAACCTAAGGCTTTTAGGCAATTGTAAACTTGATATGAGCCTGAGATGCAATATCTCGCCCAAAGAGTTAGTTCAAATGTGATTTGCATGAATGAAAACATAATGTTGAGAACTATAGAAAAAAGAAACCAAAATATTTTAATGAATGCCTTCCTTCTGCAAAATATTTTCAAATATTTTGGTTTTTTTCCTACAACCTATAAGGATTTTTTTTTCAGATGAGTTAGAGTTCAAGACACAGAAAGCTAATTAATTTTCCTGAGATCATGTAGCCAAGAAGTGGAAACGTCAGAGTTCATAGTCAGGTCAGTCTGATTCCAAAGCACTGCTCTTTCCACTGCCCCACAATAAGGCTTCCGCAGAGCCATGTGGCGTTCCATTAACATGCAGCACAGTGGTGGGCTTGGTGGCAACAGCTGTGCTCTAGCAGAGGTCTTGGTAATCTAGAGTATTTTTAGAGGCCAATTCCCTTGTATTACACTCTACAGTGAATTAAGGGTACTAATGTCTTCTGGATAAGGATGAGAACGAAAATATAGTTATAATGATGAGAGGTCTGAAAACCGTCACGTAAGAAAACAATAACAATATTTAGCTAGCAACTTAAAGATTTACAGAGGATCTGAAATGTGTTTTCAAATAGTTTAATGTCTGCCATGGGGCAGAAGGAAGCAGATGTGTTTTGGTTACTCCAGAGGCAGATCTAGAGCCAATGGGGGAAAGTTACATGGACGTTGGTTTCCACCCTATATTAGTTTCCATCCTACTATTTAAAAATTTACTCCAAATTTAGTGGCTTAAACAGCACAAATTTATTATTTGACAGCGAGGTAGGTCAGAAGTCTGATACGGGTCTCATTGAACTAAAAGGAAGGTGTAGAGAGGCTATGATCCTTTTCGTGGCTCTAGAAGGCCATTTTCCTGCCTTTTCCAGCATCTAGAGGCTGCCCACATTTCTTGGCTCATGGTTCCCTTCCTCCATCTACAAAGCCAGCAATGTTGCATCTGTCTACTCTTCTGTAGCCACGTCTTCCTCTGACCCAGGTGGAAATGGCTCTCTACCTTTAAGGACTTATATTCTACTAGGAAACAGAAAATAATGAACAGCAAACGCAATAAATATGTAAATTATGCAATATGTTAGAAGGATATAAGAGTTAAGGAAAAAAAAAAGAGCATAGCCAGGGGCATCAGAAATATCCGTGGGGCGCTGCAGGTTGAAATTTTAAATAGACTAGTGAGGGTAGGCCTCATTATGAAAGTGAGATTTGAACAAAAACTTTCAGACGAGGGTGTTAGGCATGCAGATGTCTGGAGAAGAGCATTTAAAACATAGGGAACAGGCAGTGCTAAGTCCTAGAGGCAGGAACATTTCTAGTGTGTTTCAAGAATAGTAAGACAGTGTAGCTGGAACAGAGATATATGGTTATCGTGGTAAAGGAAGAAGGGGGGAAAATGAGGATACAGGAAGGGAGAAAGGAGATGATGTAAGAAATTTGTAATATCCAAAGACCTACAAAACTCTAAGGTATTGATTTCGTGGAGTAAGTTACAGCGGGTGGGGATCATGTAAAATTCATATCTGAATCTCCAGACTGCCTAGCAGAGATCTTCACAAGGTAATTGTCCAATAAATGTCGACTGAATGAATGCTTATATTTTACTAAATTTGGTGAGTCTGTACCATAAATACAGAACCAATTAGCCTAAAACTTGGTCTAGATGATTCCGTCTCTGCTAACCATTACTTAATGACAACTGAAAAGAGCAGATTACCTGGTTTGTTTGCAAAGTAAGTCACTTCTCCTCACCATCCCTTAGTGTCTTCCTTTGCAACATTTGAATAAACCTGTTCCCTAAGTGGGTGCAGTGGAAAAACATTAGGATTTGGAACAATTTAAGTGTCAGATAAATTCTTCATTTGTTCCCTGTAACAAACTACAAAAAAAAAAAAAAATTCTGCTCCTTAACCTCTTTAAAATTTCCCTGTGCCCTTTATTTCTCATTCATTCGTTCACTTATTTCACCTTAAATTGTAATCCTATCCTTTTTTCTTCCATCCCAGCATCTGCTCTCGGCTCTGAAGAGAGTTTTCTCATCCAAGACCCTCAGTGAAAGACTGAACTCATGATTCTTCAGAAGCTTAAACGTGCTCTGTAATCTCAAGTATTTAAAACCAGAAGAAGTAGCCAACTGCTCAACATCTTCATTTCATCTTGAGTTCTCACCAGGAAGACTTTTCTGATTTGAATCTAGACAAAGCAAGACTTATCTTCAAATCAGACCCAGCCTGAACTTGCCCTGAAGGTGAGTAAGGTCCCTAGTCTAATAACTTCTAGAATCACCTATGGGACTTTAAAAAACTACCGATACCAGGACCACACCCCAAGATCTACTGAATCAGAAATCTCTAGGTCTTGGGCCCAGGAATCTATATTTTCTAAAATCCCATTGTTGATTCTAGCACAGAGGGTCCATGGATTTAGTTCATGCTATTTCCTTCTAATAAGATGGCACTTATATCATCTGAGGTATCTCCCTTATTTTTAAAACTGCCCCCAAAATAAATTGCTCAAACTGCCTCTGCAATTCATCCAATTTTCTCATAAAAACAAATAACTGTGTTTTTAATGCTTTAGAAAATTCTCTTTCAGGAGAGGTGAGAGTGGCCATGTTCATCCTTCATTCATTTTACTAATAGTTATTAACCTAAGCATTTTGTTTGCTGTTGGAAATATAGTGATTAATTAGACATTGTCCTGGCCCTCCTACTACTCTCCCTATAGTAGGAGAGACAGAAAAACAAGCAATGTTTGGTGGGAAGTACTATTTAGAATAGATACATGATTTGGAATATTAGTAGGCAAATACTCAAATAAAGGCATCACAGAAGATACATGCACATGTATATTGTATGTGCGAGGATAAGTGTGTGCACAGATCCATGTAATTTGCTCACAGATCCTTTGTTCTTACATTATTTTCAACTTTCAGGTTGGAATGATCTAGTCTAATTTACTTTTTGCTCTTTAAAAATCATGCTTCGGATATCTGTTAAACACCTCCCTGTGTAAGCATCACAGTTGCCCATAAGCACATGGGAATGCATGAATGCAGAAGCCCATGAGAAAGCAGAGACTCCACAGCCTTCACCACCCAGGCCAGCAAAACTGGCATCACAAGCAAGAACATGACATTTTTCTTTGTAGTTTATAGCAAGTGTGATTCCAGGTCTCTACTGAACTCTGGGAATTCATAGCATCTATTCTATGTATCAGGAAAAACCTTGTGTATAACTTTGTAGTATATGTACCCTCTCCCTCAACTCACACATTGCAAAGTGGTTACCTTACACATCCTCTTTTTCAGATGTATCAAAGTCCTGCAAATGGCTCTACATTTTCTGCAACTTGCGTCATTTCGTAGAATTGTGGTGAATATCCCCAGGGCAGAAGAGCAGGCAGAGGTTCTCATAAGCACTGCTGAAGAATTCTTATAATGAAATAAATAAAAATGCTTTACCTCTTTCTCTCTCCGTGTGTGTGTGTGTGTGTGTGTGTGTGTGTGTGTGTGCCCACGTGTGCCTCTATACAGGGATCAGTGTAGCCTTTACTATTTGTGGTTAGGGGTTTTTTTTATTTTTTATTTTGTATTTTTGGAGACAGAATCTTGCTCTGTTGCCCAGGCTGAAGTGCAGTGGTACGATCTCGGCTCACTGCAACCTCCGCCTCCTGGGTTCAAGCAATTCTCCTGCCTCAGCCTCCCGAGTAGCTGGGACTACAGGTGCACGCTGCCAAACCTGGCTAATTTTTTGTATTCTAGTAGAGACGAGATTTCACTGTGTTGCCCAGGCTGGTTTCGAACTCCTGAGATCAGGCAATCCGCCTGCCTCAGCCTCCCAAAGTGCTAGGATTACAGGCATGAGCCACTGCACTTGGCCTAGGGTGATTTTATTTACAGTATTTCATTTCATCCTTCCAGGTCCATGAAGAAGGCAGAGGCAGTTGGTATTATATACATTTTGCAAACAACAACAACAACAAAAATAATAGGCTCAGCTTGTATCTTATTCAATTTTAATAGCTAGTGAGAGGAGGAGCCTGAATGTGAACCAAAGATTCTGGCTTCATATAATTTTTATTTTTTTATTATTTATTTAGTTTAGAGACATGGTCTCATCATGTTACTGAGGCTAGTCTCAGACTCCTCGGCTCAAGCAATCCTCCTGCCTTGGTCTTCCAATGTGTTGGGATTACAGGTGTGCACCACCGTGCCTAGCTAAAGTTTCTGGCTTCAAATAGAAATGTCTTTAGTATATATCATCCAGATATACAAGTACATTCTTTGGCAATTCATACTCTACAACACTCCTAAGGAGTGCTGAGTCTATGAACTGGCTACTTTCAGAGTCTCTTTGTATGGAGTTCAAACTAAGGATGATGCCCTGTTGTTTTCTCCGTGAATATTTAATACTGGTTTCTTGGGTAGAGTCATCCACGCTGGCAATTCATTAGGGCTTGAATGTACCTTTAATGAGTACCATTAGTAACGCTGATCACTCATGGCTATCACTCCTTCCTCACTACTGTTGGCAATGGCTCTTTCTGGTTTGTAGTGTGACTTTTGTAAGTTGTTTCCATTGTCTGTATAAAACGAGACTGCCATTAACAAGAGGGATTAAGTGTGTAATAGAAATGTATTTTGTTTGGGACAAACTGGACAGGGGTAAGATGAGAACTCTACGTCTCCCTACAGCTCTGTCCATCATAGCTGTTGTCATTTACTGTAATGAGTTACATGGATTAATTCTGATAGCTTCGAAGGTACTGGGTTAGGATAATTTTGCCTTTATGAGATGTCACCCTGAGGTCAGGAAATAAATGTCACAGGCGCCTAGAAAAGCAAGTTGAAAAGGTGAGGGGCATGAAGTCGTGCCTCCAGGGTGACTGAGGGTGTTCCCAGCACACCCTGATGACAGCCTGCACCGTTTGTCCTCATCTTTAGGGGGACAAATTCCCTGGAGCCTGTGATTATTAATGGGGCACCAGCTGCTTTGTCTTTATTGCTGTCAGTCACAGTGTCTGCCTCTGCCAGTCTGCAGGGATGTGGCTTCTGTGGTCAGAGTGCAGAGCCACCAATCAGTGTTTACTTTCTCCCTGCCCTTTCTTACCTTCCACACCAGCTCCGGCTTACTTGCATGAACAGTTCTCTTAATTCCATGAGCTGCCTCAGTCAACTGATGTCAGAGAGCGCCACCTGCCGAGCTAAGAGGTGACATTGAAAATCAGTATGCTGTGAGCCTCTACAAGGAGCTAGCCAGCCAACCCACCTGCCCACTCCATGTCTGCTTGCTGGGTGGTCTAGATGTAAAAAAACAACCCCAAAAGACAACTTGAGGTAGAGAAAGAGAGCAGAGTGGTGGTTGTCAGGGGATATGGGAGGGAAGAATGGAGAGTTACTGTTCAATAGGTATACAGTTTCAGTTTTGAAAGATAAAGAGTTCTGGAGGTGGCTAGTGATGATGGTTGCATGATACGAATGTACTTAATACCACTGAACTGTATACTTAAAATGCTTAAGATGGTAAATTATGTGTTTTGCCACAATAAAATATAATCCATAGAACTATATGAAGGAATAAATTTTTTAGTCAATGAAGCATCTTATTGGATCATCAAAATAAATAGATAATGAATAAACAAACAAATAAATACAATTTGAGAGTTTCCTGGCACCCAATACCATTCCTCTGCAAAACTCTTTCTTCCCATCTTACTAATCTCAAAATTGATTATGAGAGGACACAGGCACTCATTCAGAGAGGTGGCAGAGTAATAACTGAAAATGTCCCCATATCATGAGGCCTGAGTTCTAATCTCCAACTCTGTGACCAGCTATGCCAAGAAATTTAACCTTCTTGAGCTGACCTATTAAATCATCTATTGCAAGAAAAAAAAATCTGAGATTTCTTTCAGCTTTAAGAATAAAAATTCAGGCCAGTCACAGTGGCTCACGCCTGTAATTTAGCACTTTGGGAGGCTGAGAAGGGCGGATCACCTGAGATCAGGAGTTCAAGACCAGCTTGACCAACACAGTGAAACCCCATCTCTACTAAAAATACAAAGTTAGCTGGGCATGGTGGCACATGCCTGTAATCCCTGCTACTCAGGAGGCTGAGGCAAGCGAATCCCTTCTACCCAGGAGGCGGAGGTTGCAATGAGCCAAGTGCAATCACATTATTGCACTCCAGCCTGGGCAACAAGAACAAAACTCCGTCAAAAAAAAAAAAAAAGAAAGAAAGAAAGAAAAAGAAAAGAAAGAAATAAATAAAATAAAAAAGAAAAGAAAGAATAAAAATTCAGCTGTTCCTTGTGAAAGTAACAATTTTACTCCAGTTCTCCGTATGACAGAGTTAACTGAGACCATGTCCCTTCTTAAGTGCAGGCTTTATTTAAGGAGAGAGGACCAGTGGAAAGGGAACTTTAACAGGAAAGGATAACACACGCTTAGATGAGACAGTTTTCTAACTGAGAATTCTAATTTATTAGGGGGTTGTGAAAAGAGTTTATCAGCTTTCATTTAGTATTGTATAAAAGCAATAAGAAAATATTTGACTGCATTGCACGTAGTAATGGTGTTTTGTGAAGTTTTTATTTCGGTTATTGATCCGTGCTGTTCTCATCTTATGCTCTAGTTTCTCTTCAGATCGTATAAATATTTTGCCTTTTACTATCCATGCTGCTCTCATCTTCTAGCTTGTGAGTCTAGGTCAGATAAAGCAGGTCAGAAGTTGTATAGAGAGGTAGACAGGTCATGAGTCGGCACTCTGAAGACCCAAACTCCAAGCCTCATTCTTTGAGTGTTGGGTGTCCATGGCTTCAGGTTCTGCATGCCATCACACCTCACCTGACACTGTATCCTTTTCATAAATCATACATATCTGCAGGCTTGGGGGGCATGGGTGGGAGGAAATAAATAGACAGTTAAATGATCAGTGCTAAATTTTCCAGACCTTGCAAATAGTCCTACTAAAAGTGTCCATCCACCCGATTGTCTCATTTGCAATCTTTTCCAACATTCCATTCCGTAAACTAGGCAATTGCCTATAGAGATTTTAACTTGCAAATATATGTGTGAAATGTTTGCCAAAATGCAATTAGTTTGGGTTTGTTCTCATTCTTTCGTGAGATTTTGTTGTATAAAGAAGGCTTTTAAGATACTCAGAGGGAGGTTTTCATAAACTCCCAATATTTTCTAACAAAGTTGCCTTACAGTGGAATAAGATCATAATAATGGGATCAGTTGCCTGCAATAAATGAGAAATTTATAATCCCCAGTCCTATCTATCTAGTATTACCAAGGTAGGTTAAATGCAGTAGAAAAACAACCCCAAAACTCAGTGGCTTAACAGAATAAATGTATTTTTTCTTGTTCATACTAAAATCCAATATGGTATTCCTGGTTTGTTGATTCTTTGGGGAGGTTTTCCAGCAAGTGGTGACTGAGGGACCCATGTTCCTTCCATCTTGTGATGCCAGCATCTTCAACAGAGTCTTCAAGGTCACTGTAGAAGGAAAGAGAATATGGAGAAGGCATGATGGATATTAACAATCTTGGCTTAGAAGTAACACACATCACTTACAGTCACATAACATGAGCCAGAACTGGTCGCTGAGATGCACAAGGGCTTCAGCGTGTAGTTCTGGTAGGGGAACAGCTCGATTCCATGGAAAGGGAACATACATCTCTGTTGGTCAGCTAGCTGCTGCTGCGACACCCTGCCCTTAGGACAGTACATCAGAGGCTTTCAATAAACATCTGCTAAATGTATACTGCTAAATGTATAAAGGGATAAATGAATGAACAGTAGAGCTCATCTTTTTATAATTATTTCATTATTTTCATGACTATAGCTTCCTATCTTATTTTAAATCATTTTAAAGAATAATACAGAACAAGCACTCATTTTAGCTATTTAATCATTTTGCTGCCTTCCATGGCAGGTCTTTCAAGATGATTCTATATCATGTCTCGGGTTAGCTTAGGTGGAATTTTCCTTAGGAAGCAATGCAGGGGTCTGTAAATGAACTTCAAATCCCTTCTGATTTGACCTTTGCAAGCTACATAAACTCCTCCTTGGTATTATCCTTAACCAAGCATAGTTGGTGGCATGTTTTCTTTCAGTAATTTTAGTTCAGCTAATTTTGGAACCTGGCTAATGAAGCCAAGGAAATGATTATAGCCAGCACATAAAAGAACCATTTGTAGCTAAGAAGACCAATTAAACTGCAAACCATTCAATTTAATAGTAACTTGTCTTACATTATACTTTGGGCTCATGGTGACTTTAAAAACAATCAGAAATTTAAAAAACTTGTCAGCAGTTTTCAGTACTAACAGAGAGAATATGAAATGATATAGTCAGTGGTTACAAAAATTCTGGTCACAAGAGAGACATACTTTACCGTAGGATAGAGACATTCATTAAGCCTTTCTGTAACTTGAATGAAATATCACACAGAGAGATATAATTTGTTTTGATCTAAACCTGTGCTTGTTCCAGAATCTAATTTCTCTGTAAACACTGTTAACTGATTACTCCTCGATCAATGTGCTGAACTGACCAATACTCTCCATTCCTTCCATAAAGCATACATGCCCACAGTATCTGCCATGGAACAGAAGTCTGGAAGCTGGCAGTCCAGGCTCACATGACAGTTCCATAAGGTTGCAGAGGGTTCAGGCTCCCTCCTAGTTTCTGCTCCGCTATCCCTGGAAAGTGACTGTCATCCCTGTGGTCCAATATAGCTTCCAGAGCTCCAATCATTCAGCAGCAGGATAAAGAGCCCAAACCCTCTCTCTCTTTTCAAGAGACTTTCAGGAAGTTTCCCACATATTTTCAAATAAAAATGTTTAATATGTGTTTGTATCGTTTTAAAATGATTCTTCGCTTTAACTAATTTGTCTAAGTTAACAACCAACCATCAGTTCTAATAGTATTGGATAAAAGAGCTTCTAATTCAGTTTCCCATGGTCTTGGATACTGAACAGGAAAAGAATGCTCAATGGAAGGAATTAAACATTTTTGTTTTGGGAAATGTGTAGCAGTGGGAATTACAAAGAAATTAGCATTTGGTTTATACATCAGTTTTGTGCAAGCATGGCAGTCTGATTATATTAGTTACACCACAGTCTAACTTGCTGTAACAAACAGACCCCAAAACATACTGACTTAAATTAGATAAAAATTTTTCTCTCATAGAGTAGTCCAGTGGTAATTATGTTGCTCAGGGCTGGTAGGAGCACTCTACATTTTTTTTTTTTTTTTTGAGACAGAGTCTCACTCTGTCTTCCCTGGCAGGAGTACAATGGCTCAATCTCAGCTCACTGCAACCTCCACCTCCCAGGTTCAAGTGATTCTCATGTGTCAGCCTCCCGAGTAGCTGGGACTATAGGCACGCACCACCACGCCCGGCTAATTTTTGTATTTTTTTTAGTAGAGACCAGGTTTCACTATGTTAGCCAGACTGGTGTCAAACTCCTGACCTCAAGTGATCCACCTGCCTTGGCCTCCCAAAGTGTTGGGATTACAGGCATGAGCCACCGCACCCGGTGCAGTCCATCCCTTTAAAAGGTGTTATTCCTTTCTGGACAAAGGTATTTTCTCCAGTGCTTCACCCTGTAGTGCAGTGGGAAGATTTTTTAAGAAGGACCGGGGAAGTATATGCCCAATCCTCTTAGGAGTATCCAGAGTGCCACACATAACTCCTACTCACATTCCATTGGCCAGAACCTAATCAGATGGCCATACTGAGTGGCTAGGTAGCCAGCTAAAACTTGACTTCTGGGGAAGAAAGGGAGAGCAACTGCCGGTTGGAACAAGCAGCAGTCTCTTACAGTAATTTGTTGCTATTGAGTCTCATCAACTCTGGACCATCAGATGGGATCCAGTGTCTGAACACGTAAGTTTTATGAACAAACCTTGGACTGTGGGAAACTCACATTTTTACAGATGGTGAGTCAGTAGTGAGAACACAGAGGGTAAATAAAGCCATTGATCTTGATTAGTAAGTGGTACCAGAGTCAGCCTTCCCACCCTGAAGTACGTGCACCAAGCAAGGCCAAATCTGTCACTGTGGGATTGCCCAGTACCCTTTCGTACTGGACCATGTGGATGGAGACTTGTGGTGTCATGTGAACCTAACATTTCAGCAATTTCACTTAACTTTTCATTTTCTACAATCGTGTAGTTAACATGCAAAGGTTTCCTAAAAGAAAGGTTTGAATTTAAAGGAAGAAAAAATCTTCATGGTCATCATCATTATAAAATCAATTTGCATCAACATTTTTTGGAGGGCAAGGAATAGATTCAAGTTCTGAACAAATGGGCAGATAAAGAAAACCAGGGTTTTTTCCCTTTCAGTAGGCTGACAAAATATTTGACTGAATCAACAGGTTATTTGGCAAGGAAAAAATGTCCATAGACCTCATTGCTCTTCATTCAGCTTATTGACTACATCATCTGTTGTACTTGGTGAGGATAACAGAATTGTGGTTGACTTGGAACCAGGTGATCCCCTCAGTTTATAGATGAGAAAATCAAGGTACTCAGCTAAGGTTTTATACTCCCTGATGGAGCTGAGGACCAGAAACTATCCCCTGAATTCCAGACCAAGTTTCTTTCTGCTGTACCACTTTACTCCTGCCCCTTCCTGGTTGCCTGTTGAATTTCTCAACTGACCTTCCTGAAAAGCAAGACTGGAAAGTGAGAGTTTTGCATAGCATTTAGGGTCTTCGTTGAAGACAACTGGGTTGACTGTTGGGACACAAGGTTAGAGTATCTGGGCATGTAGATGTGATCCATTTTTTCTCTTATTTAGTGGCAGAACGGTCCCGAGTTGCAAAGGGCTTCTTCTGTGCACAGAATCTGTCAGTGAGGCATTTTGGCTGAGGGTCACTCTAGCACAGGAACAGATGACAGGACGGCAGGCAGTCTGTCCCCTTCTAGGGAATAAGGCAAGGATTCCTTTAACACAATGTGACAACTAATCTCTCTATAGCATCTGACTGAGAGGTTTTAATTACTACTGTGATATACGCACGTGATTTCTTTACACACATGCACAGCCGGGCTTCTATGTGTTTCTTTATTATTTTGCAGAGCATATATCAGCACAGAGTGGGTTTATCCTGAATCATTCTCCTTCTTTCCTCCTTGTCTCTGCCTTTCTTTCTTTCCTTCTTTGTTTTCCCCCTCCTTTCATTTCTTCTTAATTTGTTAGAAAGGGCTTATTGATTTTATGCTTTGAACATAAGGCTGGGTCCTTCAGCTCTCCTTCCCCTCTCAGAAACAGCAGTAAACCCTGTGGTCACAGGGATTGGAGGTGTTTTCACAGCCTTGCTGGCATTCAGATAAAGACCTCTTTGGGAAAGAGTGTGTGTGTTGGTATGAAATAGCATTGTGCAAGAATGGCAAGAATCACAAAAGTGAATTTGCAAAGAACACTCAAATCAGTTTCTTCTTGCCAAATAATTAAACTGTGACCCAGTTCTGAGCCTGTGTCATCATAATATTGACTATCTGTATCATTAGCTATGTAAAAATATATGAGTCTCTTATATTGTAGAGTATCTTGACTCTACAATGACAAGTGTCTGAATATTTGGAAGCATCAAAACATTTTACTTAGATTATTTGCTTATATTCAAATATGAGGTGACTCATGTGATCAGTTTGAAAGAGTATTTGAAAAATCCACTTGTAAATCTCTCCAATGCTAGGCAAAACAATATTGCAAAAGATGCCAAGAAAAAGTTCTAGCAAATGGAAATACTGATCAAGCATTGTTTGATCACCAAGGTCTTCCTTGATGAAGAATTTCCCAGCAATTAAATATGTATACATGGGCATCTGTTTAATTTAAAAAGAAAGAATATGAATGAAAGAGAAGGAATCTGAAATCATTAGTATGATGACACCCTGTCAGAGTGAGGTCAATACTCAGTTTTTTTTTAATTGCATACTCTGATAATGCCAAGCTTCAGGAGGGTAATTCTCTTCCCAAGTTTTATATTACCCCAAGTGCTAAAAGAATGTTGAGGGTTCATAACCCTCCCTCCTCAATTTCAGTCCTTACCAGGCACAAAACTAGAGCACTTTGAGAGATGAATTGATGACACTGAACCTGCTATTAAAAGTTTTAGTGGAGGGGAGACTTCATCACCCCTGATCCCAACTCCAGAAAAATCCTATGAGTTAATGTCATTCACCATCTAGACGTACTTCCTTCTGAGCACTCCAACAATTTTCATCTTCTGCACCTCCTAAGTCTCTAGCATCTCACCCTCTGTTCCCTGCTATGCTGCCCTTATCCTTCTGCAGCATGTCTTGCTTTGGCCTGATAATGCAACAGTTTCCACAGCTCCTGCACATGGCTCAAACCATGGCTTGCTGACCTCATCTAGCCCTTGGTTTGACTGGGCTCCACAGGGTTTTAGCTCTACCAATCTTTCAGGGTCAATTCCATTATAAGATGTTTCCCTTCTACCAAGTATCTGACCAAGAATTGGATGGTTTTTCTGTAATCCAAATCTGCCCTGCACTTCTTCATTTCTAAACTTTTGTTTGCTTTTCCATCCTCTTGGAATGCCCTTTCATCTTTAGTACTGTCTCCAACCTGTCAAAATTTTACTTATTTCTAAAGATTCAGCCTAAATGTCTTGTTTTCTGGAGGGCCTCTCCTCTAAGCCTCCATAGCACTTTGGTTGCAACTCTTAGGAGCTCTATCACACTCTTCATGGAGTAGGAGGAGGAGCCTTGGTGGGAGTCAGGAGGACAATGCAAGCTTCAGCTCTGTGACTGAAACGGCATGTGGCCTTAAATGCATTCTGCAGTCTCCTTAAGCCTCTGTTTCCTCATGTGTCAACATGATGGCTTAAATTGCATGGCCTCTAAGAAGCCTCTGATTAAAGCCCAGTGATTCTATGATTATAGTTTCAGAGTCTACATGTTAATTCTCCTACAAAGCTGCTAAGTTCTTGAGGGCATGACTGATACCTTATTCACCTAAATATTCTCTTTCTTCTTAGTGTAGTGGGTACCCTATAAATGCTTGTTAAAGAATGGATGAAACAATATCTCTTGCTGCAATTTTACCTCACTTTTTGTTTGTTTTCAGAAGATATGGAAAAGAGATGATGTGCACTGTTTATTTAATAACTACTTATTACCTCCTTGTGTTCATATACAGTGCTTGTTTTGGCTAACCAGTTACATGCTGGACAGCAAATTTGGATTAAAATAAAGGTGGCTTTCCCATCCTTCTTTGTTTGATTGTCATTGTGTGTGTGTGTGTGTGTGTGTGCATATGGATTTTTGTTTTCCTAAATAAATTGTATGAGAAAATCATCAATTTACTTGAGTGGATATATTTCAACTTTCTGTCTCTGTCACAAAATAAGGCAGGCTTTCTATTTTTGAAGAGAAGCCCAGTGCCTCTATTTAACTTCCCTCTCTGTGTTGGTTAACTGTATGGAGTAGGTGATCAGCCATGTGATATGATTTCAAAAATAGGAGTGGGGCTGCCATCTGCCTAGCCATTGGTTGTCAAGAAAGAATTACTCTTTTGGTTCCAGAAGGCTTTGCATTTCCAAGGTAGCCTGGTAAATTAGTATATCTCAAACTATTATTGATGATCCTTTAGGCCAGCAACATCTACCCAAAGTGTATTCTACAAACCCCAAGTTCTATGAGATGCTAATAGTTGTTCCATAAAAATGGGGCCTCAGTAATGAAATCCATTTAGCATCTACAATAAATTAAACCAGATTTTCTGAGCTGCAAGACTTATCAGAGCCTTAAATAGGCTAATGTGCACAGTGGTTTCCCAAGAGGCAGGGGCAGGAGGTCACAATTCCAAAACACATATGATGATAGAACCAGAAATCTCCCAACTATTTATTTTATTTTATTATTTATTTTTTTTTTAAATTAAGTGATTGATGGGTCTAGATTTCCACTAAACATATTCTGGAAAAGCTGCCATAGAGGGCTAGAAGAGCCAGGCAAACACCAAACTCAGAGAGGCAAGCAAGACTGAAGTGAAGAAAAAGATGTCCCAAGACAGACTAGACAGACTGCTATCTCCAGCAGCTCAGCAAAGCTCTGCATGGCAGGTGGAGATGCTGAACAGGTGGTAGAGATCTCAATTCTGTCTGAGCCTCAGCTATCACCTTTCCCCTCACAAAGGTGCACCTGATTCAGCTTTAATTGGCTGTCCTCACACCTCCACTGGATGACCTTGAGGGATCAGAGAAAGTGGTGCCATTTTACCAGCACATTTGCTGAATGCTGGGCTCTGCACTTGGCAGGCAGAGGAAAGCTATGAGAATCCTAACTGAAGCAATTAAGAAGGCATGCCTTTCCGATGCCAGAAGTACTGCTTAGCTCATTACATCAAGAATTTAGTCTGCTCTGGGAGGTGGTATCAATGGTAGGAGTGAGTTGATTGGAAATCAGTAAAGCCTATTTCTTGATAATGCATAGTTAAAACTAGACAGTGATTGGTTGTTTTACCTTAACTTTCCAAAAAACTTCCCGGATCTTTCTGTATGAAAAATCCCAAAAACAAACAGGTGGACCACAAACATTAAGAGAAAGAGAATCCATTATGCAGAGAAATTTCAACTTCTCACAAGACTGATGTAGAAAATGAAGGAAACCCACTGTGCCGGCCACATGGGAGGCAGAGAGGAGATGAGGAGTAGCAGTGAGCCCCTCAGGCTCTGAGCAGCCCGGGCCTGTGCTACAAAGCCCTAGGTTGGAGCCTGCTGTTCGTGGTACATAGGAAGAGAAGAGTACAATGAAAGGAGTGGCTGCAGATTATGCAAAACCCTTTTAGAGCAGGTGCTGTGCCCATGCTGGTCTGCAGCACTGGGCAGGCCCGCTCTGTCACAGCCCCATCCCACCCTGTTCCACTCTGCCAGCTCTCTCTGCATGCTCGGTCTTTCCCTCACCCAATGTCCCTGCTCCCACTGTGCACTTTGCCTTAAATGTCACAGGACTCAGTCTTCATCTCCCTGCTGTGACCTCCTTGAGGTCAGGGGAACACACCTGGACTCATCCCTGTAGCTCTCGTCAGTAGCATATCGTAGGCCAGTTAAGTATTTGTCAAGCCCTAGCTCCTCATTTCCTTTAAATTCATTCTACTTGTTCCTCGAGCTACTCACTCAGCATCAAGACATCTCTTGCATTGCTGTGCTGTTATTTTCCTTCGTACATTGTGATATCACCCCGCCCCAGTTAAACTGCAAGTGTCTGAAGGAGCACCCTTGTTCTCTATCAAGGTGCCTTGCCCATCCTGCATGGTCCAAACATGAGCTGATTGAGTGATGTGAGCAACAGCCCACACTTAACCAAGAGTAAAAAGTGCCTGCTGCTCTAGCTGGACAGCACAGTGGAGAATGTTTCCTTTACATTTAATGAGGACATCAGAATGATTAGACACAAGAGAGCCAAGGATGAAGCTAATTTCTCTGTTTCCTCTCTAGCTCCCTGATTCAAGGGCTGGAGGAGAATGAGGAGAGAAGGCGACTGTTCGCTTGGGTAGGGGAGGGGTGGGAGCGGCAGGATGGTGGTCCAGGAGGTGGAGCTGGGCTGAGGACACAACAGCACTTCCTCATCTGCCAGGGTGGCAGCCCGGCAGGGGGCTAATGAGAAGTGAGGTGTGAGGCAGGAGCTTCTGCAATAAAGGCAATTATGGGCTGCTCAAACTGCTGACAGCATGCAGTCAGCTGCAGGGCCGTTGGTGGTAACTGATGCTACCTGTGCCACAAAACCCCCTCCCTCCTAATGAGGTTATTACTGTCCTACTGGTTGAGGGACCTCCAGGCCCTCTCTAATCCCCTCTTCTCACTTGTGGGCCCAAGCAGCCCTCCAGCTCTCTAAAAGGAAGATGGTCTTAAGGTTTTGTCCATATAGTTAAGGGGGAGAAATGCCCATACCTGCCCAGCTCTTGGCCTTCTTTGAGTTCCAGACTGAGCAGAGGGAAGTAGATGATTGCTATGGTGCCCCCCAGCACTAACGATCTGGCCTGCCCCAGGTCTAAGCTTGCCTCTCTCCGTGCCCAAATTCTGCCACTGATTCCTGATGAATGCCTGCTCAGCCTCAGGACTCAGCTCAGAATGTCCTTCCCAGGAAGCCTCCCTGGACCCTAACCCTGACGCTCCCATCCCACCTCCCACCCTGGGTTGTCATGTTGCCTTGTTTTGCTCCCTAGCCTTACCTGTAGACTCCTCCAGCTCCTCATCTTGGTGCCCATCACAGTGTCTGCCCCAGAGTTAGGTTCCATAAAAGTTGTGGACTGAATTAAACAAATGAACCAATCATTCAAACTGGCCACCTAGGTCAATCCTGAGTGGCGGGATCTGGAGAGACCAAGGAGCCTATCTCAGCCTCTCCAAAGATTAGAGCAGTGCTTAGGACCCTTCCTGGCATGCTGTGGGGGCTCAATAAATGTTAGGACCCTTCCCCTTTGCTTTCTCCTCAATCCAGGGAGATGCATGGCTCATTCTGTTAGAATATTATCATCAGGGTGGTTTTCAGGACACTTCTGTTATGAGTAGGGAGATATTCTAAAACATCTTTGCAAGACTATTTTTTAAAAAGGGTATTCCCTCTCTAATCATATTGGGAAAAAACCCTTTGCGATTTTGCCAATACCAGGCCTGTATCTGCTCCTAGCACTGTTCTATCTCCCTCCTATGCTCAAGCCAATTCTTGGAGGTGCAGATCCCCTCTCAGCCCTGGCATCTTACTCTCCCCGTGCCCAAGCTTCCAAAATTACCCCATTCACTCTCTTCTCTTCCCAACCCCAGCCCATATTTTCCTAAGCAGAAAGAAATGAGATCTAATTTATTCCACAGTATTGATAGTGGCACAATGATTTCATTTGGGGAGAGGGAGAGATTTCTGGTAGTTCAGGGGACAGGAGTGCTGCCTGATGCCCCTTTATGGACCCCTGAAACTTCTCCTTTTTCCTCCGTACCCAACCTCCTGGCTGTGACCAGGAGGAAAGCCAGGAGAAAGAAACAGAATGCTAGTGCCCAGAGCCTCCAGCCTGCCCTAGCCTTGGAACAAAGACGTGGTCGCCTGCAGGAAGCAGCACACATTCTCCACAGGCCCGTCAACCTGCCCTCAGCCTCCGTCCTGGAAAACGCCCGCCGCGCTCCACCTCTCACAACAGCTGGCCCGCGTGTCACAGCCAATTAGGCTTTGGAGGGAGTGAGAGGGAAAGCAGTGACACCGCATATTGACCCCTGCTGGCACGGGGCAGATGTGGAGGCCAGCACGCGTCCCCCGCACGGCCACGCCGCTAATTAATCACCTCGGCCACCGAGTCGTGACAGCGCTTTGCGCTCCGCGAGGCGCACTCGGAGGCAGGGGCCGGGCACCTGCGGAGAGAACGGCCGGCGGGGAAGCACTGGGCCACCAGCCGTTCCCTCTCTCAGCTGGCCTGGCAGGTTGTTTCTGGCAAGTTTTCACTAAAGCTGTTGGGGTTAAAAGTAAGGATGGAAAAGGAGGAAACTTTAAAAAGTCCTAAGTCATTACATGTAGGACAGGTTGGTGGAGCCAGCGAGGTGGGCACAGAGGAGGGGATTGGAGGGGAGCCAAGCAAAGGAGCTCTCTCTGGGGTGGGCGTTTGGGAAGAGCTAATGGGGTGCTCAAGGGAAATGAGCCTGGAACTAGGTGGCTCTCAGTCTTGGCTTACATATTTCCTCCTGCCTTCTCTGCAAATCGCCTTCATCCTATTGTTGCTTCACCAGACGTGTAGGGAAGGGGTGAAGTCATTGACCAAATGCCAAGGAGAATGCCTTCTTACACATCTCTCAAGATTGACTGAGACTTGACCTAGACCTCACTGCCTCCAAGAAACCGTCTGGAGTACACTGTGGGTGGCCTCCCTGTGACCCCCACTGCACCCTGAACGTTCCCAATCATAGCACTCAAGACACTGAACTGGAATTGTCTACGGAGTGAGCACAAGGGCCCTACCAGTGTTACTCATCTCAGTCACTCCAGGCCCTAGCACAGTGTGTGGAGCCAGCTATGAATCATATGAATCATATGTGGAATGATTCACGAACAAAGCATGATCCTTACCTTCAAGGAGCTCATGGCCTGCTGGAGAGAGCGGCTCATACCAGTTAATTGCACTGCAGACCGTACAGGGTAAGGGGTGAAGGTGGAGAAGAGGCATGCCAGCCCCAGCTTAGCCACAAAGCACACAAGTGTTCCTATTTGTGAGCAACTGCTTTTGTTGCTTTTGTGGAAATCTTGGGTCAAGTCTACTCTGATTCTATTCAAGCTCGAAATAATAGCTGAAGAAAGTCAACCACTGTATAGTTTATTCTTAGGCAAAAACTCTTTCTTTCTTCCAGATAAAGCTAGCCCTGGTCACTCAAAAGCTAAATATAAGTGAGGCTGCCTGAGGGCATGTGAAACACAGTTTGGGAACAGGGTATATGCTTCCACTTGGTTTTAGGTTGTTACAAGTTTGTTCCAGCACTAAGACTTATGGCTGATTTATGCCTATGAGATTAAGCCTGAACTCTTAGTGTGTGTGAGAGGAATGCTTTTTGGCATCCGGCCCTGACAGATAATCATACTGACATTATAAGAAGAAGAAGGAGGAGGAGGAGGAGGAGGAGGAGAAGAATAAGAAGAGGAAGAAGAAGAAGAAGGAGAAGGAGAAGGAGGAGGAGAAGGAGGAGGAGAAGAATAAGAAGAGGAAGAAGAAGAAGAAGGAGAAGGAGGAGGAGGAGGAGAAGAATAAGAAGAGGAAGAAGAAGAAGAAGGAGAAGGAGAAGGAGGAGGAGGAGGAGAAGAATAAGAAGAGGAAGAAGAAGAAGAAGGAGAAGGAGAAGGAGGAGGAGGAGGAGGAGAAGAATAAGAAGAGGAAGAAGAAAAAGGAGAAGGAGAAGGAGGAGGAGGAGGAGAAGGAGAAGGAGAAGAATAAGAAGAAGGAGAATGAGAAGGAGGAGAAGAAGGAGAAGATGAAGAGCAGCAGGAAGAGGAAGAGGAAAACAAGGGGTCAGGCAGGCATTCATTTTGCTGATATTATGGATACCAAGTGGGATGGGTTAGACATTCTCCCTGCTAAGAAGGTTTTAGTTTAGTGACAAAAGCCATTTAATTTCTCCAGGTGTTGGTGTCTTCCCTTGTCAAATGGGAATGATTATGCTAATCTTGAAGTATTGGTCACACCACGCCTTGTTTGGACATTTTTCTTAGAGAAGTAACCATTCTTGTGTGCATTATATTTTGACTTTTGATACTTCTTTTTTATGTATGCTATGCCACAAATTCCAGTTTGTGACATTTACAACAAAATTTTGGTGAGCGATAAAAGGGCCAATGTTTGCTTTTTCAAAATAAATTTAC
This sequence comes from Homo sapiens, assembly GCF_000001405.40. Lineage (NCBI taxonomy): Eukaryota > Metazoa > Chordata > Mammalia > Primates > Hominidae > Homo > Homo sapiens. The sequence goes on along the minus strand of NC_000001.11, from coordinate 165,115,550 downwards.
CCAGAAAAGAGCTGGTCAGTTAAATGTTTTCTTCCTGCTATTTCAAACGCTTTGTTTTTGTTTCTTTGCTTTTGCTTGATGTTCAGCACTGTGCTAGGTACTACTGGGGAAGCAGAAAAATGTTTTATTTTTCTATTTTTTATTTGGGATCTATATGTAAATACATGCTGTAAGTCTGTGGGTGAATTTGAGAGTGTGTCCGCGTGTGAAAGAGTATGTGTAAGTATGTGTGTGTGTGCTTATAAGTGTATGTATGCATACTGTGGAGGACAAGACGTGTGGGTGAATGTGTGAATGTGTGTTTGTGTGAAAGTGTTTGTATAAGTGTATTTGTGTGATATCGACTGTGGGTTAGTAAGCACAGATGTGAGTATTTTATGCATGTGAGTTTATATGTGTGAGTAGGTGCGTGAGTGTGGGTATATGCGTAAGTGTGTGTGTGTAACAATGAGCATGTGTGAGAATGTATGGTTGCATGTGTGTTGGCATGAACATGAATGCATTGTGTGCACATGTGTGAATGATCATGTGTGCCTGCAGGCGTGTGTGTCTGCAAGTGTGTGTGTGTGTATAACGCAGCATGTTTGTGTATGTCAGTGAAAGCACCATGATGTCTCTTTCACTGAGTAGTCCTGAAGAACATTTACACTCATGAGAGCAGAAGACGGGAAGTCTTAGTAAAAACTTAAAAGGGCAGTCAGTCAACTTGTTTCTCAGTAAATCTCCAAATGACTTTTTTGACAAATCTTTTTTCCCCTAATTAGCCTTTAAAATTCAGAATCAAGTTAAATAAGAAAAAAAAATAGAGGAATTCATCTGAAAAAAAGAGTGGAAAAATATCCCAGGAAACAAAACCCAGCACAAATGAATAGCTGGTAGGCTAGTGGTTGGTGGTATTGAAACAACGCAAAAACAACTAATTTCAGCTCCTTCATGGAGGGCAACGTGGAGCTCTGGCTCTGCTCAGATATCAGCAAAAATCATGGAATGCTCGACGACTTCTCTCCCTAACCTTTTGGCTTTCCATGAAAGATGGGCAAACGTTTCCCATTTAAGAGGCAAAGGCTCCATCGTGTGGTCAAAAACAAAACTGCAGCTCCTCTGGTTTATTCATTTCAAAATAAATTTATAAAACAGTCTAGAGCACAGGGTAGGACCTGCAGGCAAACGTGTGAGGCTAGGCAAGTTGCCTACATCGCAAAGTCCTCCTCTTTTTGCAGCCGCGGCCTTTTCCTCTTTGCAAACTCCTCCGCTTCCCTTCAAAGATTCCTTGCACTCTGCCACCAAAGCTGGCGAAATATCTGTCATTTACATCTTTTCCCTCATACATTTTCTCCTTATAAGGCAATGTTGCCACTTTACAAAAGAGAAAAGGTCAAGTTCAGATATCTGATTTCTGCACTTTAATTACGGAAAGGATGGGAGTTGAGTTTTGCCTAAAAGGATAGCAGAGAGTGTGAGCAGTCACCTTTAAGAGAGAAAATTCACAAAATCTGCCTATTTGCCAGTATGGATACCACTTGTGATTTGATCCTTGGCTGAAGGTGGGCACAGGCAGGACCATCAGCCTAAATAAGGAAACCTGGCTTGTCAGGCAGGTCATGTCTTGCAAGGGCCTTTAATCTGCTGATCCACTGACATTTTTGCAGTTGCCTCTTTGAGTTTAAGGGAAATTACTGGCAGTTTTCCTGGCAGCCTTAAGGACCTAGGATCTAGTATACCCCAACAACTTAAGGAAGGTCCTTGGCTTTTATCATGGACATAAGTTACAGGATTGTAAACTAGAGCACAGAATACTCTCCATAGAATACAAGACTGTTGCCATTTAAAATGACTTTATGGAAAAATCATAATGGCTAGCATGTTGAAGTGCTTTTGATGATACCTGGAAGCTATTTAATAAACATTAACCATTATGATTATCCATAAGGTCACTTTCAACATCAGTGCAAACTTCCTAATGACTTTATGATTATAAATTAATATTATATCTCTATTTTACAGATGAGAAAACTAAAGCTTTGAAAAGTTAGCCACCTTGCTGAGACTCTAGTTAAGCTGGAACTCCAATCCCAATTTGTTTGACTCCAAAAATCAGGCTCTCAAGCACTAGGCCAAGCTATATTTAAGAAAATATAAAGGTTAGGTGCAGTGGCTCACATCTGCAATCTCAGCACTTTGGGAGGCCAAGGCCAGAGGATAGCTTGAGGCCAGGAGTTCGAGGCCAGCCTGTACAACATAGCGATACACCGTCTCTAAATATCAAAAGAAAAGAAAATATAAAGACATGGAAAGATATTCATAATATATTGTTATGTTTAAAGGAAAGGCTTACAAAATAATACAATATAACCCGATTGTGCTTGTGTATGTGCATATGTAATAGAGAGATAAATGTAGATACATACAAATGGAGTGAAGGAGTTAAGAGCAAGAACTTTGGAGTCCTTTTTCTGGCTTCAATGTCTGGCCTAGCCATTTTTTAGCATTGTTGGGGAAGTACAGACTAGGGTTACTTTTTCTGTACTTCAATAACCGTCCTGACAGGATTATTGTAAGGATTAAATCAGGTGGTGCCGGTAAAACACTTGAGATCGTACGTGGCGCTTAGCAGCCACTGAACACACCATAGCTCTTATTAAAGATATAGGCTGAAACTTTACAACGATGATCTAAATATCGTGTGAATATGGGTGATGTTTATTTTTTTCTTTGGTTTTATCTATATTTTCAAAGCGAACTTGTGTTAATTGTATAAAAAAGGAGAGAAAGCATTTTTAAAAGGATGCAGGTAGAGCAGGATGGTTAGAGAAGGAGCTGTGAATCAATAGTCAGCCAAAGGCCAAGTGGAGACCATGGTGGCAAGGGGAGGGGGCTCCATGCATTCATACTCCCAACTTCAATACGGCCGGGTGGAACTGAGGGATTACATGGATAATCAGATATGGTTCCTGCTTATCTTAGTGCAGTAGAGACAACTAGCAGTCCCCAGCATGTGGTTTTCCTTTCCTCCATGATAACCTCTGGCTGGGTTCATGTCTACCTAGAATACAGAATACATTTTTCAGCTTTCCTTGTAGTCGGGTGTGACCACGTGACTAATTCAGGCGCATGGGATATCCATGCTATGTCACTTCTGGGAAGTGTCTTTAAAGGTAGAGGACATTGGCTCTTCACCGTTTCTCCTTACTGTGTCTGGAAGCTGTGCTTTATAGTTGTAGCTAGAGTATTTGGGGCCATAATGAGGAAATCATGTGTTACTGATAGAGCGACAAGAAGAAGGAACCCCAGTCACTGGTGGTCATGGAGCCACCATACTAGCCGGGCTACTTATTTTGGGACTTCATTTACATGAGAGAAAAATAAATTTCTGCCTTCTTTCAGCCACAGTTATTTTGGATTTTCTGTAATTCACAGGTTACTGGCTTATAATGTGCCAGAAGACACATGGCAATGCCTGGAGACACTTTTGGTTGTAGCACCTGAAGAGGTGCTACTGGCATCTGGTAAATAGAGGCCAAGAAAACCGTTAATGCCCAGGACAGCCTCCACAACAAAGAATAACACAGCCCAAAATGTTAGTAGTGCTGTAGTTGAGAGCCCCTGCTTACAGCTGAATTCCATCTTACCTGAAAGGAGCTTCCTAAGAACATATCCATGATGACTTTTTAAGAAGATTCGACCTGCTGAAGTATGGGCCTGAGGTTAGTCTGAGCAATGGAAAATCCCTCCAGGTTGATTATAGCATGTGCCAAGGGTCAGTGGGAATAAAAAACATATCCTCCTGTTCTAGGCTGAGCCTCCCTTTCGGAGTAAGCATCGGATGATCAAATTAGGTTAGTTGTAAGGATCAATTCATTAAGCATCTAGATTGGGGCAGGTTGATTCCAGCTCAGGTTCTGGGTAAGAAGGCTGAACATGGTAGCCCATGGATGGACACATTATTCTCCTGATGTGTGTGGTAGATGGTGAGGTTGGCAGTTTTCTGTTCCACAGGGCTTATCATCTCTCTACTGGAGCTTGAGGGAACTCTTTAAAATCTCTGGATAGGCTTGTTGAGAGGTTCTTGTGATCAAAGAGGCAAAATGATGTAGGTAACCAGTGTTAAAGAGTGGGAGTTCTAAGGTGACAGAGACTAGATGGAGAAGAGAAGCCAAAGATCAATAGTAATTAAAGAAGAGTGAGGACTTTGAAAGTAGTTGCTAGGGCAACTCAAGTGACTTAATTTAAAACTGGTCTCTGTAGCCAAAAAAAAAATTTAAATTATACTATGTAGAAATAAAGAGAATAGTATTATAAGTCCCATGTGGCCATCAATGCATGGCCAACATTATTTCATTTTGTACCCCAGCTATTTCCTGCACTACCCATACCCTAAGATTATTTTGAAACAAATTATATTATTTTTATACAAATACCTTAATAACTACCTCTAAATACAAGACTATTTTAAAAACAACTGTAATATCATTATCAAACCTAAAACATTAACAATAATTCTTTAATATCATCAGATATTTAGTGTTCACATTTCTCTAATTATCTTATAATTTTTTATAATTTGTTTTGAATCAGGATACAAATAAAGTTCGTTCATTGTGATTGATTGACATTTCTTAAATCTCTTTTAATAGGTTCCCCCTCTATGACTTATTTTTCCCCTTGCAATTGGTTTGTGAAGAAACCACATTGTTTGTCCTTTACATACTCTCATGGTCCAGGTTTTTCTGTCTTCATTCTTATGGTGATAGGTAATATATTACTGTATCTCCTATATTTCCTTAGAAATATAGGGGTGCTTATATCTAGAAGATTGGTCAAATTTAGATGTGATTTTGTTATTGTAGTTTTTGTTAAGGCTAATTCAGAGGTGGTCTTGTGTATTTCCACTAGAAAGTACATAAGGTCTTGTTATCTCTCTTTCAATAATTATTGCCTGTATCCATTAGTTCCTGGGGGTTGCAAAATAGTGATCTTGAGCTATCTCTAATGGTCCAGGCTATACAGTTGGGTATCTATAAAGGCACGTCACACACTTTCCAACTTTTTATTTATTTCCACCTAAGGAAAAGTATTTCCAAAATTTCTGAAATCAGTATAGCATCATGGATAAAGTCAAATTGCTATTGGTTGAAATCCTAGCCCCAGCATTTAATTGCTATATGACATGGTATGTAAGTTCCTTAATTTCTCTGTGCTTTGATTTCCTAATGTGTAAAATAAAAATAACAGAATACACCACATGAAAAATGTGGTGCATGTTAAAAAGGCTATATATCAGATACTTGATACAAAATAAACTCTCAGTAAAAAGTAACATTTATAGTCCCTTATTTCATTGATTTTAAGATGCATTTTTTTCATGTTAGCATCCCTAAAATTGGGATGTATTTTATCATCTAAGGTATCTTGGGTTCAATGACATACGATTGCAGTAGAAATACCTTTCTCTTGCCCATGTGCCTTGAGTCTAAGTCACTGGTATTGCTATGGAGACTCAGATAATCATTCAAAAATGGGCTTTCTAAAGTGAGCATATTCTGTTAATAATTTCAATTGGCCTTAGAATTTTCCAGTGTTTCACAGAAGTTCTCCATTCTAGAATACTAAGTATGCATTATGTATGCCTTGTTTATGACCCAACAACGTTGAATTCTCAGAAATACTTTCCAAATTCTAAAATTACTATGTGTTATTCAATAGTTAAGAAAAAATAAAATACAAATCTAAAAAGTCAATTGCCTCCTTGGTATGGGTCACTTCAGGTTCTTCCCTCATAGCTCTCCCTTTCCTTTCCCCTTCTTCTCCCACCATAAAAATTTAATCTTGGGTGGAGTCACTTCGAAAATGGCCAAATAGGAACAGCAGGAACAGCTCTGGTCTACAGGTCCCAGGGAGACTGATGCAGAAGACGGGTGATTTCTGCATTTCCAACTGAGGTGCCTGGTTCATCTCACTGGGATTGGTTGGACAGTGTGTGCAGCCCACGGAGGGTGAGCCAAAGCAGGGTGGGGCATTGTCTCACCCGGGAAGTGCAAGGCACTGGGGGATTTCCCTTTCCTAGCCAAGGGAAGCCATGAGTGACTGTACCTGGAGGAGCAGTACACTGCTGCCCAAATACTGTGCTTTTTCCTAAGATCTTCACAACTGTCAGACCAGGATATCCCCTCCCATGCCTGGCTTGGTGGGTCCCATGCCCACAGAGCCTTGCTTGCTGCTAGTGCAGCAGTCTGAGATGGACCTGGGATGCAGAAGCTTGGCAGGGGGAGGGGCGTCCACCATTGCTGAGGCTTGAGCAGGCAGTTTTATGCTCACAGTGCAAACAAAGCAGCAGGGAAGCTCAAACTGGGCGGAGCCCACCGCACCTCAGCAAGGTGCCTCTATAGATTTCACCTCTGGGGGCAGGGCATATCTGAACAAAAGGCAGCAGACAGCTTCTGCAGACTTAAACATCCCTCCCTGACAGCTCTGAAGAGAGCAGTGGTTCTCCCAGCATGGCATTCGAGCTCCCATAACAGACAGACTGCCTCCTCAAGTGGGTCCCTGACCCCTGTGTAGCCTGACTGGGAGACACCTCCCAGTAGGGGCCGACAGACCCCTCATACAGGCGGGTGCCCCTCTGGGATGAAGCTTCCAGATGCAGGATCAGGCAGCAACATTTGCTGTTCTGCAGCCTCTGCTGGTGATACCCAGGCAAACAGGGTCTGGAGTGAACCTCCAGCAAACTCCAACAGACATGCAGCTGAGGGGCATGTTAGAAGGAAAACTAACAAACAGAAAGGAATAGCATCAACATCAACAAAATAAAACATCCATACCAGCCGGGCATGGTGGCGCACGCCTGTAATCCCAGCACTTTGGGAGGCCAAGGCGGGCAGATCACGAGGTCAGGAGATCGAGACCATCCTGGCTAACATGGTGAAACCCCGTCTCTACTAAAAATATAAAAAAAGTTAGCCGGGCATTTTGGTGGGCGCCTGTAGTCCAGCTACTCGGGAGGCTGAGACAGGAGAATGGCATGAACCTGGGAGGCGGAGCTGGCAGTGAGCCAAGAGAGCGCTACTGCACTCCAGCCGGGGTGACAGAGCAAGACTCTGTCTCAAAAAGAAAAAAAAAATTCCATACCAAAACCCCATCCATATAGGTCACCAACATCAAAGACCAAAGGCAGATAAAATCACAAAGATGGGGAGAAACCAGAGAAGAAAGGCTGAAAATTCCAAAATCCAGAATGCTTCTTTCCACCAATGGAACACAACTCATTGCCAGCAAGGGAACAAAACTGGATGGAGAATGAGTTTGACGAGTTGACAGAAGTAGGCATCAGAAGGTTGGTAATAACAAACTTCTCTGAGCTAAAGGAGCATGTTCTAACCCATCGCAAGGAAGCTAAAAACCTTGAAAAAAGGTTAGACAAATGGCTAACTGGATTAACCAGTGTGGAGAAGAGCTTAAATGACCTGATGGAGCTGAAAACCACAGTATGAGAACTTTGTGAAGCATACACAGGGTTCAAAAGCCAATTCAATCAAGCAAAAGAAAGGATATCAGTGATTGAAGATCAATTTAATGAAATAAAGCAAGAAGACCAGATTAGAGAAAAAAGAGTGAAAAGAAATGAACAAAGCCTCCAAGAAATATGGGACTATGTGAAAAGGCCAAATCTACATTTGATTAGCGTTCCTGAAAGTGATGGGGAGAACAGAACCAAGATGGAAAACACTCTGCAGGATATTATCCAGGAGAACTTCTCCAACCTAGCAAGGCAGGCCAACATTCAAATTCAAGAAATAGAGAGAACACCACAAAGATACTCCTCGAGAAAAGCAACTCCAAGACACATAACTGTCAGATTCACTAAGGTTGAAATGAAGGAAAAAATATTAAGGGCAACCAGAGGGAAAGGTTGCATCACCCACAAAGGGAACCCCATCAGGCTAACAATATATCTCTTGGCAGAAACCCTACAAGCCAGAAGAGATTGGGGGCCAATATTCAACATTCCTAAAGAAAAGAATTTTCAACCCAGAATTTCATATCCAGCCAAACTAAGCTTCATAAGTGAAGGAGAAATAAAATCCTTTACAGACAAGCAAATGCTGAGAGATTTTGTCACCACCAGGCCTGCCTTACAAGAGCTCCTGAAGGAAGCACTAAACATGGAAAGGAACAACGGGTACCAGCCACTGCAAAAACATGCCAAATTGTAAAGATCATCAACGCTATGAAGAAACTGCATCAATTAACAGGTGAAATAACCAGCTAGCATCATGACAGGATCAAATTCACACATAACATTAACCTTAAATGTAAATGGGCTAACTGCCCCAATTAAAAGACACAGACTGGCAAATTGGATAAAGAGTCAAGACAGGGTGCCATATTCAGGAGACTCATCTCACGTGTAAAGACACACATAGGCCAGAATAAAGGGATGGAGGAAGATCTACCAAGCAAATGGAAAGCAAAAGCAAAAAAAAAAAAAAAACAAAAAAAAAAAAGCAGGGGTTGCAATCCTGGTCTCTAATAAAACAAACTTTAAACCAACAAAGATCAAAAGAGATAAAGAAGGCCATTACATAATGGTAAAGGGATTAATTCAACAAGAAGAGCTAACTATCCTAAATATATATGCACCCAATACAGGAGCACCCAGATTCATAAAGCAAGTTCTTAGAGACCTACAAAGAGACTTAGACTCCCACACAATAATAATGGGAGAATTTAACACCCCACTGTCAATATTAGACAGATCAATGAGACAGAAAATTAACAAGGATATCCAGTCCTTGAACTCAGCTCTGGACCAAGCAGACCTAATAGACATCTACAGAACTCTCCACCCCAAATCAAGAGAATATACATTCTTCTCAGCACCACATCACACTTATTCTAAAATTGACCACATAATTGGAAGTAAAGCACTCCTCAGCAAATGCAAAAGAACGGAAATCATAACAAACAGTCTCTTAGAACACAATGCAATAAAATTAGAACTAAAGGATTATGAAACTCACTCAAAACCACACAACTGCATGGAAACTGAACAACCTGCTCCAGAATGACTACTGAGTAAATAACGAAATGAAGGCAGAAATAAAGATGTTCTTTGAAACCAATGAGAAAGAAGACACAATGTACCAGAATCTCTGGGACACATTCAAAGCAGTGTGTAGAGGGAAATTTATAGCACTAAATGTCCACAAGAGAAAGCAGGAAAGATCTAAAATCGACACCCTAACATCACAATTAAAAGAACTACAGAAGCAAGAGCAAACACATTCAAAAGCTAGCAGAAGACAGGAAATAACTAAGATCAGAGCAGAACTGAAGGAGATGGAGACATAAAAAAACCCTTCAAAAAATCAGTGAATATAGGAGCTGGTTTTTTGAAAAGATCAACAAAATTGATAGACTGCTAGCAAGACTAATAAAGAAGAAAAGAGAGAAGAATCAGATAGATGCAATAAAACATCATAAAGGGGATATCACCACCGATTCCACAGAAATACAAACTACCATCAGAGAATACTATAAACACCTCTATGCAAATAAACTAGAAAATCTAGAAGAAATGGGTAAATTCCTAGACACATACACCCTCCCAAGACTAAACCAGGAAGAAGTTGAATCTCTGAATAGACCAATAATAGGTTGTGAAATGGAGGCAATAATTAATAGCCTACCAACCAAAAAAAGTCCAGGACAAGATGGAATCGCAGCCAAATTCTACCAGAGGTACAAAAAGGAGCTGATACCATTCCTTCTGAAATTATTCCAATCAATAGAAAAAGAGAGAATCCTCCCTTACTCATTTTATGAGGCCAGCATCATTCTGATACTAAAGCCTGGCAGAGACACAGCAAAAAAAGAGAATTTTAGGCCAATATCCCTGATGAACATCAATGTCAAAATCCTCAATAAAATACTGGCAAACCAAATCCAGCAGCACATCAGAAAGCTTATCCACCACAACCAAGTTGGCTTCATTCCTGGGATGCAAGGCTGGTTCAACATACGCAAATCAGTAAACGTAATACATCACATAAACAGAACCAAAGACAAAAACCACATGATTATCTCAATAGATGCAGAAAAGGCCTTTGACAAAATTCAACAGCCTTTCATGCTAAAACTCTCAATAAGCTAGGTATTAATGGAACGTATCTCAAAATAATAAGAGCTATTTATGACAAACCCATTGCCAATATCACACTGAATGAGCAAAAACTGGAAGCATTCCTTTTGTAAACTGGCACAAGACAAGGATGCCCTCTCTCACCACTCTTATTCAACATAGTATTGGAAGTTCTTGCCAGGGCAATCAGGCAAGGGAAAGAAATAAAGTGTCTTCAATTAGGAAAAGAGGAAGTCAAATTGTCCCTGTTTGCAGATGACATGATTGTATATTTAGAAAACCCCATCGTCTCAGCCCAAAATCTCTTTAAGCTGATAAGCAACTTCAGCAAAGTCTCAGGAAACAAAACCAATGTGCAAAAATCACAAGCATTCCTATACACCAAGAACAGACAAACAGAGACCCAAATCATGAGTGAACTCCCATTCACAATTACTACAAAGAGAATAAAATATCTAGGAATACAACTTACAAGAGATGTGAAGGACCTCTTCAAGTAGAACTACAAACCACTGCTCAACAAAATAAAAGAGGACACAACAAATGGAAGAACATTCCATGCTCAATAGGAAGAATCAATATTGTGAAAATGGTCATACTGCCCATGGTAATTTAAAGATTAAATGCCACCCCCATCAAGCTACCAACGACTTTCTTCACAGAATTGGAAAAAACTACTTTACATTTTATATGGAACCAAAAAAGAGCCCACATAGCCAAGACAATCCTAAGCAAAAAGAACAAAGCTGGAGGCATCACACTACCTGACTTCAAACTATACTACAGGGCTGCAGTAACCAAAACAGCATGGTACTGGTACCAAAACAGATATATAGACGAATGGAACAGAACAGAGGGCTCAGAAATAACACAACACACCTACAAACATCTGATCTTTGTCAAACCTGACAAAAACAAGCAATGGGGAAAGGATTCCCTATTTCATAAATGGTGCTGGGAACACTGGCTAGCCATATGTAGAAAGCTGAGACTGGATCCCTTCCTTACACTTTACACAAAAATTAACTCAAGACGTATTAAAGACTTAAATGTAAACCTAAAACCATAAAAACCCTAGAAGAAAACCTAGGCAATACTATTCAGGACATAGGCATAGGCAAAGACTTCATGACTAAAACATCAAAAGCAATGGCAACAAAAGCCAAAATAGACAAATGGGATCTAATTAAACTAAAGAGCTTCTGCACAACAAAGAAACTATCATCACAGTGAACAGGCAACTTACAGAATGGGAGAAAATCTTTGCAATCTATCCATCTGACAAAGGGCTAATATCCAGAATCTACAAAGAACTTAAACAAATTTACAAGAAAAAAAAAACATCAAAAAGTGGGCAAAGGATATGAACAGACACTTCTCAAAAGAAGACATTTATGCACCCAACAGACATATGAAAAAATGCTCATCATCACTGGTCATCAGAGAAATGCAAATCAAAACCACATTGAGATACCATCTCATGCCAGTTAGAATGGTGATCATTAAAAAGTCACGAAACAACAGATCCTGGGGAGGATGTGGAGAAATAGGAACGCTTTTACACTGTTGGTGGGGGTATAAATTAGTTCAACCATTGTGGAAGACAGTGTGGCGATTCCTCAAGGATCTAGAACTAGAATTACCATTTGACCCAGCAATCCCGTTACTGGGTATATATCCAAAGGATTATAAATCATGCTACTATAAAGACACATGCACATGTATGTTTATTGCAGCACTATCCACAATAGCAAAGACTTGGAACCAACCCAAATGTCCATTAATAATAGACTGGATAAAGAAAATGTGGCACATATACATCATAGAATACTATGCAGCCAAAAAAAAAAAGGATGAGTTCATGTCCTTTGCAGGGACATGGATGAAGCTGGGAACCATCATTCTCAGCAAAATATCACAAGGACAGAAAACCAAACACCACATGTTCTCACTCATAATTGGGAGTTGAACAACGAGAACACATGGACATAGTGAGGGGAACATCACGCACCGGGGCCTGTTGGGGGGGTGGGGGGGTAGGGGAGGGATAGTTTTAGGAGAAATACCTAATGTAAATGATGAGTTGATGGGTGCAGCAAACCAATATGGCACATATATACCTATGTAGCAAACATGCACATTGTGTGCATGTACCCTAGAACTTAAAGTATAATAATAAAAAAAGTATATACGTTAATTTAAAAATGCTGCTTAAAAATGCTAACAATCATCTGAGCCTTCAGTTGTAATCTTTTTGCTGGTAGGGGCTCTCGCCTTGATGTTGATGGCTGCTGACTGATCAGGGCGATGTTGCTAAAGGTTGAAGTGTCTATGAGAATTTTCTAAAATAAGACAACAATGAAACTTGCTGCATTAATTGTCTTTTCTTTTTCACAAAAGATTTATCTGTAGCATATCACATATCATTGTTTGATAGCATTTTACCCATGGTAGAATTTTTTTTCAAAATTGAAGTGAATCCTCTCAAGCTCTTCTGCTGCTTTATCCAATAAGTTTATGGAACATTCTAAATATTTTATTGTCATTTCAACAATGTTAAAACATCTTTACCAATAATAAATTCCATTACAAGAAACCACTTTCTTTGTTCATCCACAAGAAGCAACTCCTCATCTATTAAAGTTTTATCAAAAGATTGCAGTAATTCGCTCAGATCTTCAGACTCCGCTTCTAGTTCTTTTGCTATTTCTACACATCTGCAGTTACTTCCTCTACTGAAGTCTTGAACTCCTCAAAGTCATCTATAAGGAGTAAAATCAAGTTTTTCCAAAATCCTCTTAATGTTCATATTTTAACCTTCCTCCGTGAGTCATGCATATTGTTAATGGAACCTACAATAGTGAAACCCTTCTAGGTTTTCAATGTACTTTGTCCAAATCCATCAGAGGAATCACTATGTATGTTAGCTATCATCTTATAAAATGTATTTCTTAACTAATGAGATTTGAAAGTCAAAATTACTCTGTGAACTGCAAAATGGATGTTGTGTTGGCAGGCATGGAAATGACATTCATCTCTTTGTACATCTCCATCAGAGCTCTTGGGTGACCAGGTGCATTGTCAATGAGCAATAATATTTTGAAAGTAATCTTCTTTTTTCCTGAGCAGTAGGTCTCAATTATGGAATTAAAATATTCAGTAAACCATGCTGTAAACAGATGTTCTGTCATCCAGGCTTTGTTCCATTCATAGAGGTTAGACAAAGTAGATGTAGCATAATTCTTAGGGGCCATAGGATTTTCTGAATGGTAAATAAACATTGGATTGAACTTCAAGGTACCAGGTGCATAAATTAACCCCTAACAAGCAAGTCAGCCTGTCCTTGGAAGCTTTGAAGCCAGGCATTGACTTCTCTCTAGCAAGGAAAGTCCTAAATGGCATCTTCTTCCAATATAAGGTGATTTTGTCTACACTGAAGATTTGTTGTTGAGTGTAGCCACCTTGCCTTGATTAATTATCTTAGCTAGATTTTCTGGATAACTTGTTGCAGCTTCTACATCTGCACCTGTCACTTCACTTTGGACTTCTATGTTATGGAGATAGCTTCTTTCCTTAAACCTCATGAATCAATTTCTGTGAGTTTCAAATCTTTCTTCTGCAGCTTCCTTCCTTACTTCTCTCAGCCTTCATAGAATTAAAGAGAGTTAGGGTCTTAATATGGAATAGGCTTTGGCTTAAGGGAAAGTTGTGGCTGGTTTAATTATCTATCCAGACCATTAAAACTTTCTCCATATCAGCAATAAGGCTGTTTCACTTTATTATTGTTCATGTGTTTACTGGAGTAGCACTTTCAATTTCCTTCAATAACTTTTTCTTTGCATTCGCAACTTGGCTGTTTGTCATAAGAGACTTGGCTTTTGCCCTATCTCAGCTTTTGACGTGCTTTCCTCGCTAAGCTTAAGCTTAAGGAAGAGACAGGGGAGGGACAGGTTAGTAATGTAGTCAGAACACACACAACATTTATCAATTAAGTTCACTGTCTTCTATGGGAGTGGTTCTTAGCATACCAAAACAATTACAGTAGTAAAATCAAAGATCACCAATCACAGATCACAATGACAGATTATAATAATAATGAAAATGTTTGACATGCTGTAAGAATCACCAAAATGTGAAACAAAGTGAGCACACGCTGTTGGAAAAATGGTGCTGAAAGACTTGGTCAAGGCAGGATTTCCACAGACTTTCAATTTATAAAAAAGTGCAAAAGTGCGGAAGTGCAAAGTGCTATATAGCAAAGTGCAATATAATGAGGCAGACTTATATTTCTTTTTTTGTTTTATTTTATTTTTAATTGACACATAATAATTGTACATATTTATGGGACACAGAATGATGTCTTGATACATGTATACATTGTGCAATGATTATATCAGGATAACTAGCATATCCATCACATCAAACATTTATTATTTCTTTGTGGTTAGAACATTCAAAATTCTCTCTTCTAGCTATTTTGAAATATACAATGCATTATTGTTAACTGTGTGCACACTACTATGCAATAGAACACTAGAACTTATTCTATTTATCCAAATGTAGCTTTGTACCCACTGACAAACCTCTGCGCTTCCCTTCTTCACCCTCCACTGCCCAACTTCTGGTAATCACTATTCTACTCTCTACTTCTCAGAAATCAACTTTTTTTAGATTCCACATATGAGTGTGGTATTTATCTTGTGCCTGGCTTATTTTACTTAATATAATATGTCTTCCAGGTTTATCCATGTCATCAGTGATGAGATTTTATTCATTTTTGTATCTGAATAGTATTCCATTGTTCACATATAACACATTTTAAAATCCATTCATCCACTGATGGACACTCTGACTGATTTCATATCTTGGCTATTATGAATAGTGATATAATAAACATGGGAGTGCAGATATCTCTTCAACATACTGATTTCATTTTGGGGATATTTACCCAGTAGTAGGATTTCTGGATCATATGGTAGTTCTATTTTTATTTTTTAAGAAACCTTCATACTATTGTTCATAATGGCAGTACTAACTTACATTCCCACCAACAGTGTATACTTACTACATTCTTGCCAACATTTGTTATTTTTTGCCTTTTTGACGATAGCCATTCTTACTAATGCAAAGTGCTCTCTCACTGTGGTTTTGATTTGCATTTCCCTGATGATTAGTGATGCTGAGAATTTTTTCATATACCTGTTGGCCATTTGTATGTTTTCTTTTGAGAAATGTCTATTCAAGTCTTTTGCTCATTTTAAAAATTGAATTATTTGTATTATTATTATATTTTGTTATTGAATTGTTTGAGGTGCTTAAGTATTTTAGATATTAACCTTTTGTTAGATGCATACTTGGCAAGTATTTTATCCCATTCTGTAGGTTGTCTTTTTGTTCTACTGATTGTTTATTTTGATAAGCAGAAGCTTTGCAGTTTGATGACTATTTTGTCTATTTTTGGTTTAATTATCTATGTTTTTAAGGTCCTATTAAAAAAATTCTTACCCAGACCAATATCATTAAGCATTTTCCCTATGTTTTCTTCTAGTAGTTTCATAGTTTTGGGTCTTAAATTTAAGTATTTAATCCTTATTGAGCTGATTTTTGCTTATGGTTAGAGGTAGGGGTCTAGTTTCACTCTTCTGCATGTGGATATCCAGTTTTCCCAGCATCATTTATTAAATAAATTGCCCTTTCCCCAATGTGTGTGCTTAGTGGCTTTGTCAAAAATCAGGTGGATGTAAATATTTGGATTTATTTTTTATTCTGTTTTGCTCCATTGGTCTATGTTTCTTTTTTATGTTAGTATCATGCAGTTTAAGTTACTATAGCTTTGTGATATATTTTAAGTCAGATAATGTGATGCCTCCAGCTTCATTTTTTCTTTTTGCTCAGCTATTTAGGGTCTTTTGTGGTTCTAAGAATTTTAGGATTTTTTTTCTATTTCTGTGAAGAATATTATCTATATTTTGATAGAGATTGCATTGAATCTGTAGATTGCTTTGGGTAGTATGGATATTTTAACAGTATTAATTCTTCTAATGCATGAACATGGGATAGTTTTCCATATTTTTGTGTCCTCTTCAATTTCTTTCATCAACATTTTATAGCTTTTCTTGTATAGATCTTTCACCTTTTTGGTTAAAATTTTTCCTAGGCATTTTTGGTAGCTACTGTAAATGAGATTATTTTCTTTTTCAGATAGTTTGCTATTAACATATACAAATGCTACTGATTTTTTAAATATTGATTTTGTATCCTGCAACTTTACTGAATTTATTCATCAGTTTTGATAGTTTTTTTTGGTGGAGTCTTTAGGGTTTTCTGTATATGACATAATAACATCTTCAAATAGGGACAATTTGACTTTTTCTTTCCAATTTGAAAGCCCGTTCTTTCTTTCTTTCACCTAATTGCTTTGGCTAGGACACGCTTGTCCAACCCACAGCTCATGGGCTGGATGTGGCCCAGGACAGCTTTGAACAGGGCCCAATACAAATTCATAAACTTTCTTAAAACATTATGAGTCTTTTTTTGTGATATTTTTAAAAGCTCATCAGCTATTGTTAGTGTTTTTTTGTGTAGCCCAAGACAATTTTTCTTCCCCCAACATGGCTCAGGGAAGCCAAAAGACTGGACAGCCATGGGCTAGGAACTCCAGCACTATGTTGAATAGAAGTAGTGAAAGTGAGTATCTTTGTATTTTTCCAGATCTTAGAAGAAGAGCTTTAAATGTTTTCTCATTCAATATGGTCTTAAGTGTGGGTTTGTCATACCTGACCTTTATTGTGTTGAGATACATTCATTCTATATGTGATTTGTTGGGAGTTTTTACCATAAGGCGATATTGAATTTTATCGAATGTTTCTCTACATCTATTAAATTGATCATATGCTTTCATTTTTGATTCTATTAATGTGACAAATCCCATCTATTTGTTTGTATATGTTGAATTACCCTTATATCCCTGGATTAAATTTCACTTGATCCTGGCCAATGATGTTTTTAATGTACTGTTGAATTCTGTTTGCTAATGTATTGTTGTGAATTTTTGCATGGATGTTTATCAGGGATATTAACCTATAGTTTTGTTTTGGTTGTGTCCTTGTCTGGTGTTGGAATTAGGGTAGTGCTGGCCTTGAAGAATGATTTCAGGAAACTTCTCTCCCCTTCAATTTCTTGGAATAGTTTGATTTGAGGAGAATTCATATTTGTTCTTCTTTAAATGTTTAGTAGAATTCAGCAGTGAAGGCATCAGGTCCTGGGCTTTTCTTTGATGAGAGACTTTTTATTACTCATTCAATTTCTTCACTTATTATTGGTCTTTTCAGATTTTCTATTTCTTTATAATTCAGTCTTGTTAAATTGTATATCCAAGAATTTATCCATTTCTTCTGTTTTCCAACTTGTTGGTGTACAGTTGTTCATAATAGTCTCCTGTGATCCATTATATTTCTGTAGCATAAGTAGTAATGTCTCCTTTTTTATCTCTGTTATTATTTATTTGGGTTATCTCTATTTTTTTCCTTAGTCTAACTGAAAGTTTGTTTTATTTGTCTTTTTAAAAAATCATCACTTTATTTTGTTGATCTTTTATATTTTTGTCTCTATTTTGTTTGTGTTCTGATTTATTATTTCTTTCTAATGTTGGATTTAGTTTGTACTTGTTTTTTCTAGTTCCTTGAGATGCAACATTAGATTGTTTACCTGAGAACTTTCTCCTTTTTTGAAGCAGGCATTTATTGCTGTAAACTTCTCTCTTATAGCTGCTTTTCCTGTATCTCATAGGTTTGGTATGTTGTGGTTCCATATTCATTTGTCTCAATAAATGTTTTAATTTTTTAAAAAAATTCTTATTGACCAGTTGGTTGTTCAGAAGCATGCTGTTTAATTTCCATGTATTTGTACACTTTCCAAAATTTCTCCTGCTATAGATTTCTAATTCTATTTGGTTGTGGTTGGAAAATATACTTGATATAATTTCAATTTTTAAAATTTTGTTGAGACTTGTTTTGTGGACTAATATATGATCTGTAATGGAGAATGTTCCATGTGCTCTTGAGAAGAATGTGCATCCTCCAGCTGTTGGATGGAATGTTCTGTAAATGTCTGTTAGATATACTTGGTATAGAGTACAGTTTAACTCATGTTTCATTGTTAATTTTGTACCTAGATGATCTGTCCATTGCTGAAAGTAGGGGGTTGAAGTCCCCGACTGTTATTGCCCTATAGTCTATCTCTCCCTTTAAGTATATTCATATTTACTTTATATATTTAGGTTCTTTGATGTTGGAGATATATATATATATAAATATATATATATATATTTGCTGTGTTGGCCCCTTTATCATTATATAATGGCCTTCTTTGTCTCTTTTTACAGTTTTTGGCTTAAAGTTTACTTTATATATTACAAGTAGAGCTACTTCTACTCTTTTTGGTTTCCATCTTCATGGAATATCTTTTGTCATGCCTCATTTTTGGTCTATGCATATCTTTACAGATGATGTGAGTCTCTCATAGGCAGCATATAATTGGTGTTTGTGTGTGTGCCTGTGTCTGTGTGTCCATGTGTGTTTAATCCAGTTAGTGATTCTGTGTCTCTTAATTGGAGAATATAGTCCATTTACATTCAGTGTTATTATTGATTAATAGTCTCTCTACAGCCATTTTGTTACTCATTTTTAGGTTGTTTTGTAACTACTCTCTTTCTTAGTGTCTTTCTTTGTGGTTAAGTGATTTCTCTTTGGTAGTGTGTTTCAACTTGTTGCTTTTTGTTTTTAGTGTATCATTTGTAGGCTTTTGCACTGTGGTTACCTTGAGGCTTACAAAAAAGTTGTATAGATATAACAAGCTATTTTTAAGACATAACCACTTATCTTAGATCACAAAAAAAATTCTTTTCTTTTTGCGTATTAGTGTTTTTTTGTTTTTGTTTTCGTTTTTCGAGACAGAATCTTGCTCTGTCTCCCAGACTGGAGTGCAATGGCCTGATCTCAACTCGCTGCAACCTCTGCCTCCTGGGTTCAGGTGATTTTCATGCCTCAGCCTCCCCAGTAGCTGGGATTACAGGCATGCACCACCACACCTGGCTAATTTTTGTATTTTAGTAGAGATAGTGTTTCACCAAGTTGGGCAGGCTGGTATTGAACTCCTGACCTCAGGTGATCTGCCCACATCAGGCTCCCAAAGTGCTGGAATTACAAGCATGAGCCACCGCACCCAGCCAGCACATTAGTGTTTTTTCTTTTGGATTGAAGAATTCCTTTCAGCATTTCCTGTAAGATGGGTCTGGTGGTGGCAAATTTTCTCATTTTGCTTGTCTTGGAAAGATTATCTTGCTTTTATATTTGAAGGATAGCTTTGCTAGATTCAGTATTCTTGGATGGCAATTTTTTTTTAGCAGTTTGAAAATATCATTGCACTCTCTCCTGGCCTGTTTGATATTCATTGAACAGTCTATTGCCAAATGAGTTGGAGTTCCTTGACATGTTGCTTCTTTTTTCCTGTTGCTTCAAAGAGCATTTTTTGTCCTTGATTTGAGAGTCTGATTATGATATGCCTCAAAATAATGTTACTTGGGTCAAACCTGTTTGGTATTCTCTGACCTTTTTGTGCCTGTATATTTATGTCTATCTCCAGTTTTGGAAGGTTTTGTGTTATTATTTATTTGAATAAGATTTCTGTCTCCTTGCTCTTGGTCAATTCCTTTTTAAACACTGACAATTCTTAGACTTAGTCTTTTGAGGTAATTTTCTATATCTTGTAGGTTATCTTCATGCCTTTTCATTCTTTTTTTCTCTTCTGACTGTGTAATTTCAAATAGTCTGTCTTCAGGTTTACAGATTTTTTTTTACTGTTCTTTCCATTCTGCTGTTGAAAGCCTCTAATAAATTTTTCAGTTAAGCATTTATTTCTCAGTTTCAAGATTTCTATTTGATTTTTTGAATTATTTCAATCTTTTTGGTAAATTTCTCTGATAAATTTCTGAATTGATTTTTTTTGTTTTCTTGGAGATCACTGAGTTTCCTTAAAACTGCTATTTTGAATTCTTGGTCAGAGAGCTCACATATTGCTACAAGTCAGACACTGATTCCTTGCTTTGTTCATTTGGGAAGGTCATGATTTCCTGTTTCCTGTTATTTCCTGTGGATGTATGTTTGTCTTTGCATTAAATTATTCATTATTTATTACAGTCTTCTCCATCTAGCTTGTTTTGATTTTTTGTTGGGTATATTTGCACAGAGATTTTCCATAGCTTACCTGTTCAATTTCTTATTTTTTTCTTGATCTTGCCTCCTTTTTGACACTAGATAATGCCTCAAGCCTAGGTTTGCCTCAGCTGCAGCAACTAATCAGAGAACTGACAATCCTGAATGGGGGAGTCCCAAAGGTGATATCCTGGTAGTGTGGAAAGGCTGGCTAGGGGTTTATGCCCAGAGGACCTGTGAAATGTACCTCCTACGCTGTGGTGCTGCTGAACAGCCCCTCTGATGTTGTATCTCCTTTGGCCAAGTTACAGAGCAGTTTCCAGGGCTGGGTATGAAAGTCCCACCTACTCTTTTTTTCTCTGGCTGTCTTCAGAGATATTTCTTCCTTCAGGCAGTTACGTTGCTTCCCATGAATTCAGGCAGAGATGGATCTGCTGCTAGGGAACTCAAGATGGTAGGGAAGCTGGTTGTTCATCTTGACCTCATTTTTACCAGTGTAGAAACTGTGAGTTGAGGGAAATTTTCTACATATTTGGTGTCACACAGTTTGGGGAAAAGGTGTCATGAATATGGAAATCTGATTCTGTCACCATTTTCAGAGTTTTTTTTTTTTTTCTTTTACTTCTCTGTGGCTGTAAGAACAGACTCATCTTCATATTTGGGTTCTGGGATATTGCTGGTGATAATCTCAATGCTCTATATTTGTTTTTGGTTTTCTGTGGGGGCAGTGGAGCCAGCTTGTATCTACAGCACCATTTTGGAACTGGAAGTCTTATTTCTGTTCTTTTTATTCCCTCTGAATCTGTATTTTTAAATAATATGTCTTTGAGCTCACTAATTCTTTCTTCTGCTTGATTAATTCTACTGTTGATGCTCTCTATTGCATATTTCATTTTGTTCGTTGTATTTCTCAGCTCCTGAATTTTTGTTTGCTTTTTAAATTTTAATCTCTTAGTTAAATTTTCTCTGGTAAACTTTTATATTGTTTCTTTGCATTTTATTGAAGTTAACTGAGCTTCCTTATCACAGCTAATTTGAATTCCTTGTCTTATAGATCACACATCTTCTCTTTAGGATCTGTCACTGATGCCTTATTCTGTACATTTGGTGAGGTTATAAATCCCTGATTGTTCTTGATGGATGTGGATGCATGTTGATGTCTGCACGTTAAATAATTATGTATTTAATCTAGTATTCATAGTCTGGGTTGATCTCTGCCCATTCCTCTTTAGTGGTTCTGTCCAGATATCTAAGCAGACTGACTATTGTGAAATCCCATGGCCATTGCAGACATTCTAGCACTACAGGGCCCCCTGAAGCCATATTTATTGTAAACCTCATGAGAGTTCTTATGTGGGCATAGTGTCTTGGCATGGATGGACCTGGGGAAGACCTATGGATGGTACCCAGTCTATGTAAGAAAGCTGGCTAGGGACTTGAGTCAGGAAGCATGACCTGTTGGCCTAGACAGGCATGCCTTCCAGCAGTTCCCTGCACAGGTAGAAAAATTCCCTGACTGCAGTGAGAGGGGCTAGAGCTGAGACTAGGCCCCTTCAAAATCCATGAAGGAATGGATGCCAGTAAGCCTACCCTGGTGGCCCAGGCAGGTATGTGTCTCCTAGCTGTTTCTAGCAGAGGCAGGATGAAGGGGGCCAGCCCCTCCACACTTGTGGGTGTTTCTCGTCAGGTGGGACAAGAGACTGAGAAAAAAATGAGACACAGAGACAAAGTATAGAGAAAGAACAGTGGGCCCAGGGGACCGGCTCTCAGCAAATGGAGGCCCTGGTCTCTGAGTTCCCTCAGTATTTACTGATCACTATCTCTACCATCTTGGTGAGGGGGATGTGGCAGGACTAAAGGGTAATGGTGGGGAGAGGGTCAGTAGGAAAACATGTGAGCAAAGATCTCTGTGTCATAAATAAGTTTAAGGAAAGGTGCTGTGCCTTGATGTGCACGTAGGCCAGATTTATGTTTGACTTTACACAAACATCTCAGTGCATTAAAGAGCAGTACTGCTGCCAGCATGTCTCACCTCCAGCCATAAGGTAGTTTTCTCCTATCTCATTAAATAGAACATACGATCAGGTTTTACACCGAGACATTCCATTCCCAGGGAGGAGCAGGAGACAGATACCTTCCTCTTATGTCAACTGCAAAGAGGCCTTCCTCTTTCACTAATCCTCCTTATACAGACCCTTTATGGGTGTCGGGCTGGGGGATGGTCAGGTCTTTCCCTTCCCACGGAGCCATATCTCTGGCTATCACATGGGGAGAAACCTTGGACAATACCTGGCTTTCCTGGGCAGAGGTCCCTGCAGACTTCCACAGTGCATTGTGTCCCTGGGTACTCGAGATTAGAGAATGGCGATGACTTTTACCAAGCATACTGCCTTCAAACACATTTTTAACAAAGCACATCCTGCACAGCCCTAAATCCATTAAACCTTGAGTCAACACAGCACATGTCTCTGCAGGCACAGGGTTGGGGCTAGGGTTACAGATTAACAGCATCTCAAGGCAAAAGAATTTCTCTTAGTACAGAACAAAATGGAGTTTCTTATGTCTACTTCTTTTTACGTAGACACAGTAACAATCTGATCTCTCCTTCTTTTCCCCACAGCAGGACAGCTTTCTGACTGTAGTGAGAGGGGCCAAAGCTGAAACTGACCCCCTAAGCATCTGCTGTGGGACAGAGGCTAGCAAGCCTGCTATGGAGGCTCAAACATATAGGTAATTCCCAAGCTGTGGAACAAGAACAAGTCTCCCTCTGGACCCTTGTGCAAGAAGTATTCGCTGGAGCCACAGATGAGGGGGTTTCAGCCAGTTACAGGATAATTTTCAAGTCCATTTCTAACACCAGTTGTAGCAGGCAGATGAGACTAGTGTGCATGATTTCTCCTGCACCTCTTGGAAGATGGCTTTGGTTGCAGGCTCAAGGCCAAGTGAGGCAGTAGCCAAAACCCTTTGGGGAATGGGGTTGTCTTCTGGTTTGAGCCCAGGTGCATGACTGGTGGGTCTGCCACCTAGGTGCTAGTCTGCACTCTCAAAATGGCCTTTTTAGGTCTTGGGCTTTACCAAGGATTCACAACTTTCTACCTGAATCCTAAGGCTCCTGAAGACTTTTGTCTGTGGACGGGTGCAGAATTCTCATTGTTGTCAAGAGACATAAGTAGGTGACCTCCTATTCCTCCATTTTACTTATGTCACTCCACAGTAAACAGCTTTAAATGAAGTATTTTAAAAAATTGTTATTTTAGATGATTTATTTAGAATAGATGCCCCCAAATGAACTCAAATGCAACTGTGGTTAAGCAAAGTGATTATTATAAAAAATTATTTTCAAAATTTTGTTTTTAATGGGGCCTTCCAAAGGCTGAGAGAAGTTTCCTGTAAGATAGGAAGTGCCAAAAGGAACAGGAGCCTGATCGGGACTGGGTGGGTCAGAGCCCTAATCAACTTGTGTGGGCCCAGTAGGAGCTGATGAGCTGATTAGCTGATGATACACATTTCCATAAGCATTGCTTCTGTATTAGTCTGTTCTCATGCTGTTAATAAAGACATACCCAAGTCTGGGTAATTTATAAAGGAAGTAACTTTAATTGACTCACAGTTCTACATGACTGGGGAGGCCTCACAATCATGACAGAAGGCAAAGGAAGAGCAAAGTGACATCTTATATGGTGGCAGGCAACAGCATGTGCAGGGGAACTGCCCTTTATAAAACCATTGAATCTTGTGAGACTTTCTCACTAACGTGAGAATAGCACGGGAAAGACCTGCACCCTGATTCAATTACCTCCCACCAGGTACCTCTCACAACATGTGGGAATTATGGGAGCTACAATTTAAGATGAGATTTGGATGGTGACACAGCCAAACCATATCATTCTGCCCTGGCTCCTCCCAAATCTCATGTCCTCACATTTCAAAACCAATCATGCCTTCCCAACAGTCTCCCAAAGTTTTAACTCATTTCAGCATTAACTCAAAAGTCCACAGTCCAAAGTCTCATCTGAAACAAGGCAAGTCCCTTCCATCTGTGAACCTGTAAAATCAAAAGCAATTTAGTTATTTTCTTTTTTTATTTTATTTTATTTTATTATTATTATACTTTAAGTTTTAGGGTACATGTGCACAATGTGCAGGTCAGTTACATTTGTATACATGTGCCATGCTGGTGTGCTGCACCCATTAACTCGTTATTTAGCATTAGGTATATCTCCTAATGCTATCCCTCCCCCCTCCCGCCACCCCACAACAGTCCCCAGAGTGTGATGTTCACCTTCCTGTGTCCATGTGTTCTCATTGTTCAATTCCCACCTATGAGTGAGAACACGTGGTGTTTGGTTTTTTGTTCTTGCGATAGTTTACTGAAAATGATGATTTCCAATTTCATCCATGTCCCTACAAAGGACATGAACTCATCATTTTTAATGGCTGCTTAGTATTCCATGGTGTATATGTGCCACCTTTTCTTAATCCAGTCTATCATTGTTGGACATTTGGGTTGGTTCCAACTCTTTGCTATTGTGAATAATGCTGCAATGAACATATGTGTGCATGTGTCTTTATAGCAGCATGATTTGTAGTCCTTTGGGTATATGCCCAGTAATGGGATGGCTGGGTCAAATGGTATTTCTAGTTCTAGATCCCTGAGGAATTGCCACACTGACTTCCACAATAGTTGAACTAGTTTAAAGTCCCACCAACAGTGTAAAAGTGTTCCTATTTCTCCACATCCTCTCCAGCACCTGTTGTTTCCTGACTTTTTAATGACTGCCATTCTAACTGGTGTGAGATGGTATCTCATTGTGGTTTTGATTTGCATTTCTCTGATGGCCAGTGATGGTGAGCATTTTTTCATGTGTTTTTTTGGTGCATAAATGTCTTCTTTTGAGAAGTGTCTGTTCATGTCCTTTGCCCACTTTTTGATGGGGTTGTTTGTTTTTTTCTTGTGAATTTGTTTGAGTTCATTGTAAATTCCGGATATTAGCCCTCTGTCAGATGAGTAAGTTGCAAAGATTTTCTCCCATTTTGTAGGTTGCCTGTTCACTCCGTTGGTAGTTTCTTTTGCTGTGCAGAAGCTCTTTAGTTTAATTAGATCCCATTTGTCAATTTTGGCTTTTGTTGCCATTGCTTTTGGTGTTTTAGACATGAAGTCTTTGCCCATGCCTATGTCCTGAATGGTAATGCCTAGGTTTTCTTCTAGGGTTTTTATGGTTTTAGGTCTAATGTTTAAGTCTTTATTCCATCTTGAATTAGTTTTTGTATAAGGTGTAAGGAAGGATCCAGTTTCAGCTTTCTACATATGGCTAACCAGTTTCCCAGCACCATTTATTAAACAGGGAATCCTTTCCCCATTGCTTGTTTTTCTCAGGTTTGTCAAAGATCAGATAGTTGTAGATATGTGGCATTATTTCTGAGGGCTCTGCACTGTTCCATTGACTATATCTCTGTTTTCGTACCAGTATCATGCTGTTTTGGTTACTGTAGCCTTGTAGTATAGTTTGAAGTCAGGTAGCATGATGCCTCCAGCTTTGTTCTTTTGGCTTAGGGTTGACTTGGCGATGTGGGCTCTTTTTTGGTTCCATATGAACTTTAAAGTAGTTTTTTCCAATTCTGTGAAGAAAGTCATTGGTAGCTTGATGGGGATGGCATTGAATCTATAAATTACCTTGGGCAATATGGCCATTTTCATGATATTGATTCTTCCTACCCATGAGCATGGAATGTTCTTCCATTTCTTTGTATCCTCTTTTATTTCCTTGAGCAGTGGTTTATAGTTCTCCTTGAAGAGGTCCTTCACGTCCCTTGTAAGTTGGATTCCTAGGTATTTTATTCTCTTTGAAGCAATTGTGAATGGGAGTTCACTCATGATTTGGCTCTCTGTTTGTCTGTTATTTGTGTATAAGAATGCTTGTGATTTTTGCACGTTGATTTTGTATCCTGAGACTTTGCTGAAGTTGCTTATCAGCTTAAGGGGATTTTCGGCTGTGACAATGGAGTTTTCTAGACATACCATCATGTCATCTGCAAACAGAGACAATTTGACTTTCTCTTTTCCTAATTGAATACCCTTTATTTCCTTCTCCTGCCTAATTGCCCTGGCCAGAACTTCCAACCCTATGTTGAATAGGAGTGATGAGAGAGGGCATCCATGTCTTGTGCCAGTTTTCAAGGGGAATGCTTCCAGTTTTTGCCCATTCAGTATGATATTGGCTGTGGGTTTGTCATAGATAGCTCTTACGATT
The DNA here is from genome assembly GCF_000001405.40 of Homo sapiens. Classification (NCBI taxonomy): domain Eukaryota; kingdom Metazoa; phylum Chordata; class Mammalia; order Primates; family Hominidae; genus Homo; species Homo sapiens. The sequence goes on along the minus strand of NC_000001.11, from coordinate 165,088,950 downwards.
TTGAGATATGTCCCATCAATACCTAATTTATTGAGTTTTTAGCCTGAAGCGTTGTTGAATTTTGTCAAAGGCCTTTTCTGCATCTATTGAGATAATCACGTGGTTTTTGTCTTTGGTTCTGTTTATATGTTGGATTACATTTATTGATTTGTGTACATTGAACCAGCCTTGCATCCCAGGGATGAAGCCCACTTGATCATGGTGGATAAGATTTTTGATGTGCTGCTGGATTCGGTTTGCCAGTATTTTATTGAGGATTTTTGCATCAATGTCCATCAAGGATATTGGTCTAAATTCTCTTTTTTGGTTGTGTCTCTGCCCAGCTTTGGTATCAGGATGATGCTGGCCTCATAAAATTAGTTAGGGGGATACCCTCTTTTTCTATTGATTGGAATAATTTCAGAAGTAATGGTACCAGTTCCTCCTTTTACCTCTGGTAGAATTCGGCTGTGAATGCATCTGGTCCTGGACTCTTTTTGTTGGTAAGCTATTGATTATTGCCACAATTTCAGAGCCTGTTATTGGTCTATTCAGAGATTCAACTTCTTCCTGGTTTAGTCTTGGGTGGTGTATGTGTCAAGGAATTTATCCATTTCTTCTAGATTTTCTAGTTTATTTGCATAGAGGTGTTTGTAGTATTCTCTGATGGTAGTTTGTATTTCTGTGGGATCGGTGGTGATATCCCCTTTATCATTTTTTATTGCATCTATTTGATTCTTCTCTCTTTTCTTCTTTATTAGTCTTGCTAGCAGTCTATCAATTGTGTTGATCCTTTCAAAAAACCAGCTCCTGGGTTCATTAATTTTTTGAAGGGTTTTTTGTGTCTCTATTTCCTTCAGTTCTGCTCTGATCTTAGTTACTTCTTGTCTTCTGCTAGCTTTTGAATGTGTTTGCTCTTGCTTCTGTAGTTCTTTTAATTGTGATGTTAGGGTGTTGATTTTGGATCTTTCCTGCTTTCTCTTGTGGGCATTTAGTGCTATAAATTTCCCTCTACACACTGCTTTGAATGTGTCCCAGAGATTCTGGTATGTTGTGTCTTTGTTCTCGTTGGTTTCAAAGAACACCTTTATTTATGCCTTCATTTCATTATGTACCCAGTAGTCATTCAGGAGCAGGTTGTTCAGTTTCCATGTAGTTGAGCAGTTTTGAGTGAGTTTCTTAATCCTGAGTTCTAATTTGATTGCACTGTGGTCTGAGAGACAGTTTGTTATAATTTCTGCTCTTTCACATTTGCTGAGGAGAGCTTTACTTCCAACTATGTGGTCAATTTTGGAATAGGTGTGGTGTGGTGCTGAAAAAAAAATGTATATTCTGTTGATTTGGGGTGGAGAGTTCTGTAGATGTCTATTAGGTCCGCTTGGTGCAGAGCTGAGTTCAATTCCTGGATATCCTTTTTAACTTTCTGTCTCGTTGATCTGTCTAACGTTGACAGTGGGGTGTTAAAGTCTCCCATTATTAATGTGTGGGAGTCTAAGTCTCTTTGTAGGTCATTCAGGACTTGCTTTATGAATCTGGGTGCTCCTGTATTGGGTGCATATATATTTAGGATAGTTAGCTCTTCTTGTTGAATTGATCCCTTTACCATTATGTAATAGCCTTCTTTGTCTCTTTTGATCTTTGTTGGTTTAAAGTCTGTTTTATCAGAGACTAGGATTGCAACCACTGCCTTTTTTTGTTTTCCATTTGCTTGGTAGATATTCCTCCATCCTTTTATTTTGAGCCTATATGTGTCTCTGCATGTGAGATGGGCTTCCTGAATACAGCACACTGATGGGTCTTGACTCTTTATCCAATTTGCCAGTCTGTGTCTTTTAATTGGAGCATTTAGTACATTTACATTTAAAGTTAATATTGTTATGTGTGAATTTGATCCTGTCATTATGATGTTAGCTGGTTATTTTGCTCATTAGTTGATGCAGTTTCTTCCTAGCCTTGATGGTCTTTACAATTTGGCATGATTTTTCAGTGGGTGGTACTGGTTGTTCCTTTCCATGTTTAGTGCTTCCTTCAGGAGCTCCTTTAGGGCAGGCCTGGTGGTGACAAAATCTCTCAGCATTTGCTTGTCTGTAAAGTATTTTATTTCTCCTTCACTTATGAAGCTTAGTTTGGCTGGATATGAAATTCTGGGTTGAAAATTCTTTTCTTTAAGAATGTTGAATATTGGGCCCCACTCTCTTCTGGCTTGAAGAGTTTCTGCTGAGAGATCCACTGTTAGTCTGATGGGCTTCCCTTTGAGGGTAACCCGACCTTTCTCTCTGGCTGCCCTTAACATTTTTTCCTTCATTTCAACTTTGGTGAACCTGACAATTATGTGTCTTGGAGTTGCTCTTCTTGAGGAGTATCTTTGTGGCATTCTCTGTATTTTGTGAATCTGAATGTTGGCCTGCCTTGCTAGATTGAAGAAGTTCTCTTGGATGATATCCTGCAGTGTTTTCCAACTCTGTTCCATTCTCCCCGTCACTTTCAGGTACTCCAGTGAGATGTAGATTTGGTCTTTTCACATAGTCCCATATTTCTTGGAGGCTTTATTCGTTTCTTTTTATTCTTTTTTCTCTAAACTTCCCTTCTCACTTCATTTCATTCATTTCATCCTCCATCACTGATACCCTTTCTTCCAGTTGATTGCATCGGCCCCTGAGGCTTCTGCATTCTTCACGTAGTTCTCGAGCCTTGGCTTTCAGCTCCATCAGCTCCTTTAAGCACTTCTCTGTATTGGTTATTCTAGTTATACATTCGTCTAAATTTTTTTCAAAGTTTTTAACTTCTTTGCCTTTGGTTTGAATTTCCTCCTGTAGCTCGGAGTAGTTTGATCATCTGAAGCCTTCTTCTCTCAACTCGTCAAAGTCATTCTCCATCCAGCTTTGTTCCATTGCTGGTGAGGAACTGTGTTCCTTTGGAGGAGGAGAGGCACTCTGCTTTTTAGAGTTTCCAGTTTTTCTGCTCTGTTTTTTCCCCATCTTTGTGGTTTTATCTACTTTTGGTCTTTGATGATGGTGATGTACAGATGGGTTTTTGGTGTGGATGTCCTTTCTGTTTGTTAGTTTTCCTTCTAACAGACAGGACCCTCAGCTGCAGGTCTGTTGGAGTTTGCTAGAGGTCCACTCCAGACCCTGTTTGCCTGGGTACCAGCAGCGGTGGCTGCAGAACAGCGGATTTTTGTGAACCACGAATGCTGCTGTCTTATCATTCATCTGGAAGTTTTGTCTCAGAGGAGTACTCGGCCGTGTGAGGTTTCAGTCTGCCCCTACTGGGGGGTGCCCCCCAGTTAGGCTGCTCAGGGGTCAGGAGTCAGGGACCCACTTGAGGAGGCAGTCTGCCTGTTCTCAGATGTCCAGCTGCATGCTGGGAGAACCACTGCTCTCTTCAATGCTGTCAGACAGGGACATTTAAGTCTGCAGAGGTTACTGCTGTCTTTTTGTTTGTCTGTGCCCTGCCCCCAGAGGTGGAGCCTACAGAGGCAGGCAGGCCTCCTTGAGCTGTGGTGGGCTCCACCCAGTTCGAGCTTCCCGGCTGCTTTGTTTACCTAATCAAGCCTGGGCAATGGCGGGCGCCCCTCCCCCAGCCTTGCTGCCGCCTTGCAGTTTGATCTCAGACTGCTGTGCTAACAATCAGCGTGACTCTGTGGGCATAGGACCCTCCAAGCCATGTGTGGGATATTATCTCCTGGTGCACCGTTTTTTAAGCCTGTCAGAAAAGCACAGTATTAGGGTGGGAGTGACCCAATTTTCCAGTTGCTGTCTGTCACCCCTTTCTTTGAACAGGAAAGGGAACTCCGTGACCCCTTGTGCTTCCTAGGTGAGGCAATGCCTCACTCTGCTTTGGCTCACACATGGTGCGCTGCACCACTGTCCTGTGCCTGCTGTCTGGCACTCCCTAGTGAGATGAAACCGGTATCTCAGATGGAAATGCAGAAATCACCCATCCTCTGCGTCACTCACGCCGGGAGCTGTAGACCGGAGCTGTTCCTATTCGGCCATCTTGGCTCAACTGGGTGCAATTTAGTTATTTTCTAGATACAATGGGGGTATAGGCATTGGGTAAATACACCCTTTCAAAATGGGAGAAATTGGCCAAAATGAAGGAGCTACAGGCCCTGTGCAAATCTGAAATCCAGCAAGGCAGTCAAATCTTAAAGCTCCAAAATGATCTCCTTTGACTCCATGTCTCACATCCAGGTCACACTGATGTAAGAAGTGGGTTCCCATGGTCTTGGGCAGCTCTGCCCCTTTGGCTTTACAGGGTACAGCCATCCTCTTGGCTGATTTCATGAGCTGGCATTGAGTGTCTGTGGCTTTTCCAGGCACATGGTGCAAGCTGTCAGTGGGTCTACCATTCTGGGGCCTGGAAGATAGAAGCCCTCTTCTCACAGCCCCATTAAGCAATGCCCCAGTGGGAACTCTGTGTAGGAACTCTGACCCTACATTTCCCTTCCACACTGCCCTAGCAGAGGTTCTCCATGAGGGCTCTGCCCCTGTAGACAACTCTGCCTGGACATCCAGGCATTTGCATATGTACTCTGAAATCTAGGCAGAGGTTCCCAAACCTGAATTCTTGACTTCTGTGCACTAGCAGGCTCAAAACCACATGGAAGCTGCCAAGGCTTGAGGCTTGCACCCTCTGAAGCCATGGCCCAAGCTCTATATTGGCCCCTTTCAGCCATGGCTGGAGCAGCTGGAACACAGAGCACCAAGTCCCTAGGCTGCACACAGCATAGGGACACTGGGCCTGGCTCACAAAACCACTTTCTCCTCCTAGGTATCTGGACCTGTGATGGGAGGGGCTACTGTGCAGACCTCTGACATGCTCTACAGATCTTTTTTCCCATTGTTTTGGTGATTAACATTTGGCTCTTCATTACTTATGCAAATTTATGCGGCTGGCTTGAATTTCTTCTCAGAAAATGGGTTTTTATTTTCTATCACATTGTCAGACTACAAATTTTCTGAACTTTTATGCTCTGCCATCTCTTGAACGCTTTGCCATTTATAAATTTCTTTTGCCAGATACCCTAAATCATATCTCTCAAGTTCAAAGTTCCACAGACCTCTAGAGCAGGGACAAAATGTCACCAGTCTCTTTGCATAGCAATAATGACTTTTACTCCAGTTCCCAACAAGTTCCTCATCTCCATCTGAGACCACCTCAGCCTGGACTTTATTGTCCATATCACTATCAGCATTTTGGTCAAAGCCATTCAACAAGTTTCTAGGAAGTTCCAAACTTTTCCACATTCTCCTGTCTTCTTCTGAGCCCTCCAAACTGCTCCAACCTCTGCCTGTTTACACAGTTCCAAAATTGCTTCCATGTTTTCGGGTATCTTTACAGCAGCAGCCCACTGCTGGTACCAATTTACTGTGTCGTCTGTTATCACGCTGCTAATAAAGATATACCCAAGGCTGGGTAATTTATAAAGGAAAGAGGTTAATTCACTCACAGCTCCACATGGCTAGGGAGGCCTCACAATCATGGCCGAAGGCAAAGGAGGAGGAAAGTGATGTCTTACATGGCAGCAGGCAAGAAAGCATGTGCAGGGGAACTCTCCTTTAGAAAGCCATCAGATCTTGTAAAACGTATTCACTATCACAAGAACAGAATGGGAAAGACCCGCCCCCATGATTAAATTACTACCCACTGCATCCCTCTCATGACACGTGGGAATTATGGGAGCTAAAATTCCAAGATGCAATTTGGGTGGGGACACAGCCAAACCATATCAGCTTTTTACCAAGAATGCTTCACTTTTGGTACTGGTGTTATCCTGAGCACAGAATGCCATGTAGTCTTGAGGGTTTCCTTGATTGTTTATCACAAAGGAACAATGCTTTGGAACTGCATAATAATAAAAAGCTCCTTACTGCCATGCCTAATCAATAACATCTATGCTTTATTTTTAACAAAAGCTTCTCAATCCTCTCCTTTGGAAAATTTTTTTTTTTTTGAGATGGAGTTTCACTCTTATTGCCCAGGCAGGAGTGCAATGGTGTGATCTCAGCTCACTGCAACCTCTGCCTCCCAGGTTCAAGTGATTCTCCTGCCTCAGCCTCCCGAGTAGCTGGGATTACAGGTATGCACCATCACGCCCAACTAATTTTGTGTTTTTAGTTGAGATGGGGTTTCTCCATGTTGGTCAGGGTGGTCTCCAACTTTCCATCTCAGGTGATCCACCCACCTTGGCCTCCCAAAGTGCAGGGATTACAGGCATGATACACCATGCCTGACCAGAGATTTTTAAAATGATTTTATGTCATGGTGATACAGAACAGGTTACTTCTTCCTGCATGTGACATGCCTTTTCATGTCCTTACCTTGGTGCATACTTTTCCCTCTGTCTGTAGGACCCTTACTCCCTTTGTTAGCAGATTGTCTTCTTGTAGCAGACTAGCTTGCTTGCCTATCAAACTGCCATTTTCCCCTTCTTCCTTCCTAAAAGAACCCCAACTTCCTTCTGGTTTAGAGCAGCCATGAACTCAGTGTTAGTGGACACTTCCTGCAGCCCCAGGGAAAGAACCATGATTGGTCTAAGCCAATCATGGCAATCCCATGTTCTTTTGCCAAGGGTTGATTTAGGGCACTGTGTGATGAATCCAATTATGGCCTGAGAGAGAGCCTTTGGAGACTTCTGGAAAATATTTTTCACTCTGATAGTAAGAGTTATCTCCTTCTTTTCCAATTTGGAACACTGTTGTTTTGAGAATATTGACAAAAATATTTCTTTGCCATCCTTATCAAAGTGAAAAATATTTTCCAGAGCTTGGCTTTCCTTTTGATTTTTGCTTCAAGCCTGCTGATATGGTTTGGTTCTGTGTCCCTACCTAAATCTTGCCTTCAATTGTAATCCCCTGTGTTGGAGGTGTGGCCTGGTAGGAGGTGATTGGATCAGGATGGTTTGGGTCTGTGTCCCTACCCAAATCTTGCCTTCAATTGTAATCCTCTGTGTTGGAGGTGGGGCCTGCTAGGAGGTGATTGGATCGGGGGGCAGTTGGGGGGGCAGGTTTGTGTGTTGTGTAAAGCTTTAGTAGCTATTTTGCATCATGAGGGGGCAACATGTCAGTGACTAAAATGTGGGCTAGAATGACGGAAAGAGCCTGAATTCCTCAGAGAATGAAACTGCTCACTGTGAGTGGGCACCAGCAGTTTGATTTGATTATAGTGACTTAATTAAACTTAGGCTTCTTTTTCACTTTTGACATAAAGTTACGAGATAAATAATCTAGGGCTGATATGGTGGCTCTAAAATGGTGTCAGTGTCCCAGGTTCTGTCAGTCATTCTGCTTTGTCATTCTTAGCTCGGGTGAAAAATATTTTCCAGAGCTTGGCTTTCCTTTTGATTTTTGCTTCAAGCCTGCTGATATGGTTTGAATCTGTGTCCCTGCCCAAATCTCGCCTTCAATTGTAATCCCCAGTGTTGGAGGTGGGGCCAGGTAGGAGGTGACTGGAGGTGGGGGGCAGATTTCTCATGAATGGTTTAACACCATCCTCTTGGTACTGTCCTCACCATAGTGAGTGATTTCTCACAAGACCTGGTTGTTTAAAAGTGTGTGGTACCTCCCTCCTTGCTCTTTCACTCCTACTTTCACCATGTGATGTGCCTGCTCCCTGTTCACCCTCTGCCATGATTGTAAGTTTCCCGAGGCCTCCCCAGAATCTGAGCTGATGCCAGCATCATGCTTCCCATGTGGACTGCAGAACTGTGAAACAGTTAAAACTCTTTTATTTATGAATTACCCAGCCTCAAATATTTCTTTATGGCAATGTGAGAATGTATAAATACAGCTGCTTTACCTCCACTCTTGTGTATGCATTCTAGAGAGTATGAAGGAGGAAGAGACAAGCACAAAGGGTCAGGGCTTATAAAAACAAACATGAAAATTTCCTGACAATATTCATATGTTCCTTACTGGCCAGAGTGGTTACAGGACCACCTTTAGGGGAGTCTGGAAAGCAGGGTGGTTCTTTTTTTTGCTACCCCATGTAGACCTGGGGATTTGTGAACAAAGAGCCAGGGGAATGGGTTAGGTAGTGTACTAGTCCATTTTCATGCTGCTGATAAAGACATACCCAAAACTGAGCAATTTATGAAAGAAAGAGATAATGGACTTAACAGTTCCACATGGCTAGGGAGGCCTCACAATCGTGGTGGAAGGCAAGGAGGAGCAAGTCACATCTGGCATGGATGGCAGTAGGCAAAGAGAGAGAGCTTGTGCGGGGAAACTCCCCCTTATAGAACTATCAGATTTTATGAGACTTACTCACTTTCCCAAGAACAGCGTGGGAAAGACATGATTCAACATGATTCAATTACCTCCCACTGGGTCCCTCCCATAACATCTGGGAATTCAAGATGAGATTTTGGTGGGGACACAGTCAAACCATATCATTGCCCCCAGCCCCTCCCAAATCTCATGTCCTCACATTTCAAAACAAATCCCAACAGTTCCTGAAAGTCTTAACTCATTTTGGCCTTAACTCAAAAGTATACAGTCCAAAGTCTCCTCAGAGACAAGGCAAGTCCCTTCGGTCTATGAGCCTGTAAAATCAAAAGCAAGTCAGCTACTTCCTAGATACAATAGGGATACAGGCATTGGGTAAATACAGCCATTCCAAATAGGAGAAATTGGCCAAAACAAAGGGGCTATAGGCCCCTACAAGTGCAATATCCAGCAAGGCAGTCAAATCTTGAAGCTCCAAAATGATCTCCTTTGACTCTATGTCTCCCATCTAGGTCACACTGATACAATAGTTGGGTGCTCATGGTCTTGGGAAGTTCCACCCCTGTGCCTTTGCAGGATATGGCCTCCCTCCTGGCTGCTTTCATGGGCAGGCATTGAGTGTCTCCAGCCTTTTCAAGTGCATGGTGCAAGCTGTCAGTGGATCTACCATTCTGGGGTCTGGAGGATGATGGCCTTCTTCTCACAGCTCCGCTAGGCAGTGCCCCAGTAGGGACTCTGTGTGGGGGCTCCAACCCCACATTTCCCTTCCACACTGCCCTAGCAGAAGTTTTCCATGAGATCCCTGCCCCTGCAGCAAACTTCTGCCTGGACATCCAGGCATTTCCATACTCCAAAATCTAGGTGGAGGTTCCCAAGCCCCAATTCTTGACTTCTGGGCACTGGAAGGCTCAACATCACATGGAAGCTGCCAAGGCTTAAGGCTTGCATCCTCTGAAGCCATGGCTTGAGCTCTGCATTGGCCCCTTTCAGCCCTGGCTGGAGCAGCTGGGACACAGGGCACAAAGTCCCTAGGCTGCACACAGCACAGGAATCCTGGGCCCAGCCCACGAAACCACTTTTTCTTCCTAGGCCTCTGGGCCTGTGATGAGAGGGGCTATTGTGGAGACCTCTGACATGCCCTGGAGACATTTTCCCCCTTGTGTTGGGGATTAACATTTGGCTCCTCATTGCTTATGCAAATTTCTGCAGCCAGCTTGAATTTCTCCTCAGAAAATGGGATTTTCTTTTCTATTACATTGTCAGGATGCTAATTTTCCAAACTTTTATGCTCTGTTTCCCTTTAAAACTTAATACCTTTAACAGCACACAAGTCACCTCTTGAATGCTTTGCTGCTTAGAAATTTCTTCTGCCAGATACTCTAAATCATCTCTCTCAAGTTCGAAGTTTCACAAATCTCCAGGGCAGGAGCAAAATGCCACCAGTCTCTTTGCTGAAACATTACAAGAGTCACCTTTGCTCCAGTTCCCAACAAGTTTCTCATCTCCATCTAAGGCCACCTCAGCTTATCAGCATTTTGGTCAAAGCCATTGAACAAGTCTCCAGGGAATTCCAAACTTTCCCGTATTTTCCTGCCTTTTTCTGAACCCTCCAAACTGTTCCGACCTCTGCCTGTTACCCAGTTCCACAGTCGCTTTCACATTTTTGGGTATCTTTACAGCAGCAGCCCACTCCTGGTACCAATTTACTGGATTAGTCTGTTTTCACCTCTGATAAAAGCATTCCCGAGACTGGGTAATTTACAAAAAAAAAAAAAAAAAGAAAAAAAAAAGAGGGTTAATTGACTTATGGTTCCACATAGCTGGGTAGGCCTCACAATCATGGCAGAAGGCAAGGAAGAGCAAGTCACATCTTATGTGGATGGCAACAGGCAATGAGAGAGGGCTTGTGCAGAGAAACTCCCCCTTATAGAACCATCAGATCTCATGAGACTTATTCACTATCACAAGAACAGCATGGGAAAGACCTGCCCCCATGATTCAATTACCTCCCACTGGGTCCCTCCCACAACATGTGGGAATTCAGGATGAGATTTAGGTGAGTCCACAGCCATACCATATTAGGTAGGCAGAAACAGTGTCTGGAAAATGCTCTAATCACCCTACTGAAATGGACATGTCCCTGGTGTTCTTCACTCTCTAGGTGAGTGGAAAGGAGTCACAACAGATGGACATCAAACTTGCCACCAACCTGGGCTTGAGCCAGAATTATATAAAGCAACATCACATTTCTTGTTCCCCAGTGCCATGAAGCAAATTATACCTATGAGGGCCAGAAAGAAGAAATGGATTTCATTTAAAACTAGCACAGTCCTTCCTCCTGAAGACCCATTGGTCTCAATCTTGACTGCATGCTATTACCACCTGGAGTGCTTTATCAATTTTTTTAATGCTCAGATCTCCCACTAGACCGATTAAATCAGAATCACTGGAGATGGGGCTCAGGTCTCAGGATTTTTTTAAGTTTCCCAGGAGATCCCAATATGTAGCCAAGGTTGAGAACCCCTGTCCTAGAGCAGTGGTTTGAAATCCTGGGCACATATTAGAATCATCCAGCAGGCTTTTAAAAAATCCTGATGCCAAGTCCCACCTGTAGAGATTCTGGCTTAATTGGATTGGGGTGGGGCCAGGACAGTGATAGTTTTTAAAGCTCCCCAGGTGACTCTAATGTACAGCCAGGTTTGAGAAGCACTGCACTAGAGCCACAAAACCAAAGAAGGAAGGAAAAAATCTCTTTTTTTCTTTCTTTCTGGGCAATAAAATTGCTGAAGCACTGTCACCTGGCATGCACAGCCAGAAATGTGGTTCTCAGCCTAAGGTGGAACATTAGACTCTCCTGGGAAAGTTTTAAAAGTTTCTAATTCCTGGGCTCTGCTCCCTGGGATTTCAATTCAATTATTCTGGGCCCTGACATCATTCGGGTTGTTTTTAAAGCTCCTCTGATTATTATTTATAGGCAAGGTGAGGACCATTGCATAATAATAGTAATAATGATAATAATGGTTCATAAAAAGTTATAACTATTTCAGTAAAAGACCATGTTAGTTCAGAAGGGGGCATGTTTTATTTATGCCTGGCGGGGTGGGGGGTGGGGGTGTTAAATATCAGTGTTTGTATCTTTTCCCATTGTTGTTAATTCAGTGTACTTTCTGCATCCATAAAGAATGATCTCGTTTAAGAATAGGGCCCACTCATTCCTTGCCTGCTTTTTACTGTCACCCAGCATAATAGAAAGTGCCTGGAAGTATTATAGGTCAACTCATAGTGTAGCTTAAGATATCAAAGTCTGAAGTCACCTGTTTACGGCTGTATCCAATTCTCTATTTAAATGATGTCAGCCTTTTCTGACGCCTCCCTGCCCTACCCCATCACTCTTTTGTGAAGATCTTAGTCCGACTGGTTGCTTTGGGTTGTATAAACAAAACAACCAGACTAAATGTGTTATGGCTGTGACAGATGTTCCTGGTGATACAAGTGTGCTCTGCATGTTAGGAGCCATGGCTGCCACACGGCTCGGTTCTCCCCCTCCCTCCACAGAGGCAGCAGGTGCTGGCAGGAGGGTACCCAAGGACAGGAGCCTCTCTCTTCCTCTGCACACCACAGCCGATACCAGCATGGCAGATGCACAGGGCTGCTGAGAGGAGGACAAAAAAGCAAACTTAGCTACAGGTGGAGATCTTGTCCTGGACTGGGCAGCGGATAGATGTTGGATAGGGCAGACTCTCTGGTAGATGCAATGTTCTCCTCCTTTGTTCCTAGAGCATCTCCCAGCTCCACCATCTGCACTGTTATCACCTTAGGGCTCCCTGGAGTTCCTTACAACTCACCTCCAGTGGTTGAGAGGGAAGTGACACACATGTCCATCTGCTCTGTGCTGTGTGCTCAAGGGACAGAAGCCTGAGCACTCAGCAGTGTGTCCCGTTGAGACACTGACCCCATATCCCTTTCTCATAGGTTGTGTCTCCATCTTCCTTTATACTTTCAGAACTATTTCTTTAGACTGAATTTGATCTAAAAGACAAAAGTTGGAAATTATAACTCTGGTTGAAGAGTGAGGCCCCCAGACCCTTCTGTCAACCCCCAAGTTCTGCATATCACAGGTTGAACGCATCTGTGGACCCACTGGGCATGTTGAGGGGAACATGTAGCTTATTGATGCCCCTCTAGGGTACCATGAAGGATGTGGCTCTGAATTCAGAGGGGCCCAGGATGAGCCTGTGAGCCTTGGAACACAGCCGCTCTCCAGTTCCTTCTCAGCAAAAAACCTGGTTGCTTTGAAGGCAGCCAGTGATTCCCCATAGGTGGGGATGCTGCAAATTTCAGAGAGCTTTGCAAAGACAAGAAAGGCTACTCCTTCCTGCCTCCACTATCCTCCTCTACAGAAGGGATGTGCAGAGACAGCAGAGGGGAGGGCATTTATCAGTATCCAGGTGCACATTATCTAGAAGATTAGAAAAACCCAGTCTCTTCACCCGAACTGCTTATGTCTGCAGTTTTCCAAGGTCCAGTGGAAATTGTTAATACGGTTGTTGAATAACAGCAGTCAGCAAGGAGTATGGTCATTGACTAGAACATAAAATTAGGCTAGAAATTTAAGAAAATGAATTGATTCCTTTTCTCTCTGATATAAAAAAAAATAATAAGAACAACTCAGAGTTTCTCAGCCTCAGCACTATCGATGCTCTGGGCAGGAGAATTCTTTGTTACTGGGGACTGGTCTGCACATTGTCGGATGTTTAGTAGCACTCCTGGCCTTCACCCACTAGGGGCCAGTAGCACCCTCCAACAAGCTGTGACAATAAAAAATGTCTCCAAACATTGTCACATGTTCCCTGGAAGGCAAAATCGTCTGAACCATTGTTCTAATTAGTTGGTTTGGAAGGTCAAAGACTATTTGCCAAGCCAATTTTAGGCCACAGGCTGAGGAAATAAAAATCCCTTCAGGGATAGAGGAGGCTGATGTTTTTTCTGAACCTGCGGGAAGAATATTAGATTCAGCAACTAACAGAGTTTTTCTGAGAACGGGCCCTCTGGCCCATCAACACACAGGCCAACATCCCTGGTGGGGAATGGGCCACATGATGCAATGATAGAAATCCAGATAACTTTGGGGGTTCTAAAGCAGAGGACCCAGGACCTCAATTCCATAATGTAGCTTGGGGAAGCTTCCAGCCTAGAAATGTTCTGGAGCTTCTCACACCTGCTTGTGGTGTAGGGAAAGAAGCTAAAATGTCTGTGCACTGGAGAAGGCCTTGGAAGAGCATTTGAATGAGGGCTGGCAGACCCAAAGGGCCCCAAGAGATGGGATGATTATGGCCAAGGCATCAGGGTGGAAGGCTAAGGCCAAAAACAGACAAGACCTATCCCCTTGGCAGTGGATGTCCGGAGCGCAGAGCCTGAAGACCTGGCACCCTCTCCCTGCCAAAGCCTGGAGAAGTAGGCCCCACCCTAACTTTATGTCACCCACAGGAAGTAGAAGAGTGAAGGGGACAGCCCTAGACTGACAGAGGTCACTTGCTGTAGTGGAGTCTCCCTTGCATTGTTGGTATTAGTATTTTTTCCTAAGACACCAAATAGGACTAAATTGAAAAGTTAGTTTTTGTTCCATTTTAGAAAGTAGTTACATTTTTGCACACCGGAGTTTGTGAAATTTATGCCTGGTATAAGTCATTTAAGCCAGCATTTCTGATCTTGTTTAATAAAGAACACTTCTTTTTTAGAGAAATATCTATGACTGGCCCCAGTAAAGTGAGCGTCCCTTCAAATACAGTTTGGAGAATGTTGGCTTAGAGTGTAGAACATTTGCGCTATTCCCAAAAAATAAACAAACAAATAAACAACAAAATCTATTCTCGGATCATCGTGCTGTTATTAATAATCTCTGTTGAGTATATTTTGTTTTTATTAGGCATGAAACATTTGCAACTAAGAATTAGAGAGTTGCGCTCTCAAAAGCCTGAAGGAAAAATTATCAGAATCCTAGCAGTGTGAGGCCAACTATGCCCCGCTTTGAACTTAAGATAAATAACACACCCAGGAGAGCCACTGGTGCAGAGCTACAACCCTGGAGTCTCATGGTAATGAGATCTGGCTTCAGAACCTGGCATTCCACCTCCCGTGCTGCTGTGGTCAGGTTGAAGTGCTGTGCTCACCTCACCTACTCCACCATTCACCAGTTTGAAGCCTCTTTTTTGCTCTCCCCTCCCAGCTCCCCCAGGAACACCCTGTCTGCAGTGTCAAGAATTCCCCAAATTAGGAGGAAAAGGTCAAGACCCCATAGTTCCAAGTCCTGGAGTCAGCCCCAGGGGAATACCCCCATAGGGTAGAAGGGCCCTCTGTGTTGTCAGAGGAAGGCCCGGGCAGCAATGCTTCACAGGGTGGTTCTTTCGCCAGAGGCTCTTTGGTCATTTGCATGGGAGTTTTTGATCACTCCATCGATGAGAAGTCCTATCACTATCTGTGGGGCAGGACTAGGGTTGGTAAATATTCTACAATACAGAGGACAGTCCAGCAAGTCCAGCGTGACAGAGAATTGCTGCAGCATCCCCAGCAGTTTTGGAAAGCTTCACTAGAACAGGAGAAAAGCCTCTATATAATTGCCTGGGGGGCATTTTGCAAAATTTGAATATACCTTAAGTTTCCTAGGGAAGACTGTCTTTGTCTAGTTTGGAATTTTACCATTTTTTTTTAACTTATTTTAAAAAATTACCTAACCTATAGCAATGCTGCTGGTGGCCCTTGAGGCCAATATAGTACATTTCCACCTACTGGATTTCTGGGTTTTTGATGAGTCTAGGACTAGATGCAAGTTTCCAAGTAATTATGTCTTCTAGAACACCCAGATGTGAACATTTATATCTTCGAATATAGATTTTCTTTTATTTTATGTATATATTTATTCATTATTTTTATTTGATTTATTTTATTTAAAAATTACTTTGAACTTTTGTATTACAATTAGAATTTTTATAGATTATTTGAAAATTATATGCATTGAGAAGCTATTTTCAATTCAAATAGTAAAGGGAGCACAAAATATGTGTAAGGGGAGACAGGTTTGTTAAGTGCAGAAATTAACGTCTTAGTGTCCCGGGGCAATGAGGGTAATTCTAGAGAACCTCCACTGGAGGTCACTAGAATCTCACCCAAATATGTCAGGGACAGCTACAGGAGAGTTCAGTTTCTCCCACATTAAATCAATAGCGATGCAAATTGCTATTAATGACATTCATCTCCCCTCCCTCCCCACAAGGGATTGTTTTCTCCCAAGTGTCTCCTTCTCTTTTACATCTTCCCTTTCACTTGTATGTCAGCACCAGCCTCCTTTATTCATACCCAGTGCTCAGGCCTGTGTTCCCCTCTTCCCTGAGGTTTAATTTCAAGCATACAGAGATGTCGAGCTGCATGGGAGCATGACTGCCTTATCTTCCTGGTCTGGTAAAAGTCAAATAAATCGGCATTTTGAAGAATTTAAAATTAGACCATGCATTACACGCTGTGTTGAAGTTTACCATACCAGCATTGCTGCCCCAGGGGCAAATAGACTGAACTCTCTTCAGCAGAGCTGTGTAAATGATACAACTCTTTTAATGTTAAAGTAGAGAAATGACCAAGGAAGGGGAAAGGCCTCAATATTTATAATAAATCTATTTGGCTAGCAGAGGAAAAACGTTTTTTGATATAGCACATCTTCATGGCCTTAGCACCTTGTAGATTCCTTGGCTGCAAGATACCTCACAATGAGCTATCTTCAACATGAACTGAAATCTCTGTTTTTGTGTGTGTATCTCTCACAACATTGACTTGCCTAGGTTTTTTTCTCCTCTTTAGAGATGTAAAATATTTGCGTGGCACAATTTCTGAGGATTGCCAGAGAAAATGAAGCCAGCATTAAAGCCATAAAGGTGGAGCTTTAAAAGATGAGATGACAGTCACTTTGCCCTTTCCCGCCTTAAAGATGAGAAAACCAACATCTTGCAAAGTAAAGTAGGAAGATGAAGATAAGCATCAGGACATGGTTGCCTCAGGTGAGGGGAAACAGAGGGACAGGATAGAGATAGAACATCTAGGGACGGGTCAGTTAGTGACTATGTTCTATTTTTTGTGTTGGGGGAGTGGCAGGGCAGGCACAGATATTTATAACATAAACATATAAACAAGCCAAAAATGGGCCATGCCCAGACCAGTGATGAGAGGGTATCATGATCCAAAGACCATGATAAATCCAAGTCTGTGTACCTGAGTTCCAAAAAGAAAAAAAAAAAAAAATTAAGGTGGGAAGGAATAGAATGGTTCCTAGGATCATACTTCCAGCTCTCTCAGACTTAGATCAACAGCTGGATCTAACCTAGTGCTAACCTACATTAGCCCTGCCGTTAGTCACTCTACCTTCAGCTCTCAGTTGCCTTGCAATGCACACTATGCTAGAAGCTAGTTAAAAAAAAAACAAAAAACAAAAAACTAATCAAAGTAATCAAAGTAAGCAAAGGGATTACAGGGGTCCAAATGGGTGGAATAACTCACATATAAACAGAGCCAGCATCCTTTACTTGACCAAACAAATTCTATACAGTCTAAACCAGTTGCCCCTGCTTGTCTCTGAGGGCTGCAATGATTATACTCCAAGAGGTTACCCACCTCTGAGAAAGAAAGTCTTCAAAGGGTCTATACCCCATGAAGAAAATCCAAGAAGCTAGAAAATAAATTAATAGCCCTTCCAGAAATAGCACCCATTAGGGAATTTCCTAGTTTTCTTTTTCTTTCTTTCAGATCAGGATTGAGCAAACTACAGTCCATAGGCCAAATCCAGTTTGCCACTTGTTTTCATAAAATTTTATTGCAGTGGTTTTAACTGGGATGACTTTGCTCCCCTATGGCAATGTCTAGGGATATTTTTGGTTGTCATTAGTGGAGGTGGGAGCACTGTTGGCATCTAATGGGTCAAGGTCAGGAATGCTGCTAATCATACAGCAATGCACATAACAGCTCAGCAGCAAAGAATTATTGGGGAAAAATGTCAACAGTATGGAAATTGAGAATCCCTTGTTTTGTTAGATCCCTACCACATTCATGTTTCTGTACTGTCTCTGGTTTCCACAACGTGCTACAATGGCAGTGTTGAGTAGCTGAAACAGAAATCATACAGCCCCCAAACCCCAAATATTTACCATCTGCACCTTTATAGAAAACGTTTGCCAAACTAAATCTAGAAAATGAGTTAAGAGCAATGAACAAGCAAGAAAATCTGTATTATTTTGAAAAATGGCAATGTTTTGTCTGCAATATATACAATATCCCTTAGAAATTCAGTTTTGACCTTTCATGGCTACATTTTAATTCTATATCCTTCTGACGACCGCTCCATTATCTCTATTTATTATGGCTCTGCTTGCATTCCAGGCACTGAGGTGAGTCCTCTGCCATTCAAATAGAGGCCCATTTCCTGCTCTTTGGGGGATGGATAGCCCAGTGGGAAAAACAGACATTAATTAAATCATCACCCTAATGAATGTATAATGAAAAACTATAATAAGAGCTTGTAGGCTAGAGACAGGTTCTATCACAGTTGACTGGGGCTTGGGAGAGGCTCCCTGAGGAAGTAAGTTTTGAACAGAGGCCTAAACAGTGTACAGAAGTTAATGAGACTAACACAGCGTGTGTGTGGTGGTGATTTTGGGGCAGAGGGGTAGTGGTGGTGAGTTAGACCAAGGTGAGGGAGAGATTGGAACATTGGCGGAAATGACAAAAGACCAGCATCGTTGAGGTTTAAAGAGCCTGGAGGAGTGTGGTTGAAGATGCAGCTGGAATGGGAAGTCATGAGGACCAAGGAACAGCATGTGGGACAGATAGTGTGTTTGGTCTTTATCCCAAGAGCATCAAGAGCAAAGAGAAGCCATTGAAGGGCATGGGAAGGGGAATGTGATCTGATTTGCATATCAATATCACAAATGGTCAGATTCGAAAACTGAAGAAAAGTTAAACTAATTTAAAAACCTGGTTGTTTTGAAAAAAACTAGCTGATTGATTAACTTTGAAATATCTAACTAAAGCATTGTGTTCTCTTTTTTTTCACCCAACACAGTCAGCGATGAGAGTGAATTTGAACATGATCATTTTCCTTTTTACGAAGCAGGTTTGTGTGTGGAGACTCAGCTGGAATTTATCCTACAGTGATTTCTAAGGTCATGCTTCTTTTGAAGATCAGTTGAATATTTATGTGTGTGTGTGTGTGTGTGTTTGATGTTAAAATTTCCAATTCTCACTGTGCCTTCTAAGTTTTCTAGGACTTTAAAAATATACTCACCAGAGAGTCGGGAGAATCAATGGCTCATTTTATAATTCTCTATGATGTAGACTATCTAGTTTTCCTGTGCAAAATGTGTTTTTTAACCAAGTTTTAATTTCCTTTTTGTTTCATCTATATAGCCAATTGTATCTAGCCTGTTAAATGTTATTACTGTCCATAATCTGTACATTATTTACTAGTAGTACCTTTGGAAATTTAGGCTACAAATCCTCTATGTGACTAAAATCAACTAAACATTCTATTGTATGGGTTGAGGGGTGGACAAAGAGATGCAGAAAAATAATAGGATGTGATTCTGGTTATTGTTCCTTTGAATTATTGACCATTGTCCTTTATCAAACAACAGCTTCTATTCCAGAATAGAGGTTGGCAAACTATCAAGTCCAGCTGGCTGCCTGGGTTGTACACAAAGTTTTATGGGGACACAGTCACACTCCTTTGTTTACATATTGTCTATGGCTGCCTTCATGCTACTATGACAAAGTTGCAAGAGAAATTATATAGCTACGATCCTAAAATATTTACCATCTGAACCTTTATAGAAAAAGTTTGCCAATCTCTGTTCTAGAAAAAGCAGATGAAGCTATTTATATATTCTTTTCGTGTGAGAATATTTAGTGGTAACTACATACATAGCCTTTGCCCTCATTGCCATCATGAAAACCCAGCTTTTCCCCCAGAGCTTAGGTAAGACCCTGCTAAAGGCTGATAATGGTTTTCAGCACTTACAACGTAAGCAACACTTCACTAAGCATTTCATATATGTTATCTCACATAATCCTCACTGCAGCCCTGTGAATTAGATATTATTATCCTCATTTTGCAAATGAGTAAATTTGCATTAAAGAAGTTAAATAACTTGTCTAAGTTCACAGAACTTGTAAGTGGCAGAAATGGGAATTTGATTCAATTTCTATTTCTTTCCTGGGCTGCTAACCACTCTACTCTGTGGCAGTGGGTACTCTGCACATATTCTATCAGAACCAACTGAAAAAGGAAAAATGGCTGTTGGCTCCAAAAGTAGGATCTAGCTTCCTGTAATGGGTCTAAGGTTGTCAGCACTCTGGACAAAAGTACCGCCAAGTGCACAGATCTGGTTTCCTTCCAGAAAACCAAGTAGACTCTATACTTAAAATGGGTGTTCTGAGGTCTAAGCAAGAACTGTTGATGGGTTTTATGTTATCAGACATGATTCTTGGGATTTATTTTCAGAGAGATTTAATTTCATCTTGAAGTGTACATGAAAAAGAACCCTACAAAGAAACATCTCTTGACCACCATGGGGTTCCAATATATGCCACATTCAAGTCTCTCCTTTGCCTAAGACCAGAACATTTGATGGAACTATAGAATTATTTTAAAAAAAACAAAACACTTCTTCCCAGCCCCATCTGTCATCATTCGAGTATTTGCATTTCACAAGCAAAATGAACCGCCCTATGAGAACACTGCTGCTGACATCACAGAGCCACTGCCACAGCTGCCCCAGCCCTGAGATGCTGGGGAGTTCTTCTGTGACATTTTATGGCATTGCCTGCAGCAACACGAAACCCTTGATCTGTTAGTCACTGACTAACAAGTCAAGTGACTTGACTGCAATCGAACTCACCGGATGGGCCTTTCAGAACCTGAGTCCAGTTGCTCCCAGGTGCACCAACTAACTGATTTGTGCAAACAAATTCACATCAACCCTCAGTTATTTGAATTCAACAGATTATTTTCAAAAAAGCCAGATATTTGATGGAATTCAGATTTCTTCTTTTTCCTTGAAGCAATTTGTTTGAAAAAGTAATATTTTTTTAAGACTCTTTGAAATAGAATAATACTACACTCAGGAAAATTTTCATTACTCCTTTATGGATGAATCAAGTATTATTTTAAATCTCTTCTGAACACAGTGTTACCCCATTATCCTCCTTGGTATAGAGACAGGTCACTAGGGCTGAGTAGGTTAAAAAATAGAATTTTTTAAGTCCCCAACTATAAAATGAATTACCCAACTGATGCAGCAGACTCTGAAGAAATCATTAAGAGCTATTTAGCTAAATAATATCCGTGCTAACAAGTCCCATAAAACAGATTTCGGTGAAAATGTGCATTCTACAATGGCTCTAAACACACATCACACCATAAGGGTTCTATCAGCTAATTAATATAGGGTGAGAAATTTAAAGAAATGAAATTAACTGAATAAGATCCTCATAACTCATTTCCCTACTGAAATAGGACAAAGAAGAGATATTTGCATAGCTCCGAGAACATCGTGTCTCCCTTTGACTTTGTTTTGGCCTCTGAGGACAAGAACCATTCCATAGTTTTGTCTTTCTCTTACCCTTTCTGCAACTCTCTCAGAAAATATGCTTATAAAGCAGTTATTTGATACTACTGCCACAGCATGAGCAATGGACATTCTCAACTTATAAAAGTCAGTCCTGATCTTCTGCAGAGATACTCATTCATTCTTTCTTTCAACAACATGTATTGAGCTCCCACTGCATACCAGACACTCTGCATGTGTTGTTGATGGGCATTGCTGCCTTCACTCATTCATGAATTTGACTTTGTCAAGCAGGATAACACTTGCTGGTCAGCACAGCTCCACTTAGGGAAGCTCTTGAAGTTCAAGTAAATGAATCGGAAAAGCTTTCTAACTCTGCCATTCTGTGAGCAGTTTGTTTCAACCCCATAGGGGTCTTTTGCAACTGTGGTTAGACAGTGCCAAAACTTCCTAGCTTTCAAAACATCTAAATCAGAAAGTTGCACTAAATTGATTGATGAACACATATGTGATCAAGTACCATTCCATCCCTTTACACCAGAGATGTCCTGGCAAGGGATATGGCCTGATTATGAAAATGTTGTCATATAAGTTCATGTTAAAATTAATTTTCTCAGTCCAGGCATGGTGGCTCATGCCTGTAATGCCAGCACTTTGGGAGGCCGAGGCAGGCAGATCACCTGAGGTCAGGAGTTTCAGAACAGCCTGACCAACATGGAGAAACCCCATCTCTACTAAAAAGATCCAAAATTAGCTGGGTGTGGTGGCACATGCCTGTAATCCCAGCTACTCGGGAGGCTGAGGCAGGAGAATTGCTTGAACCCGGGAGGCGGAGGTTGCGGTGAGCTGAGATCATGCCATTGCACTCCAGCCTGAGCAATAAGAGCTAAACTCTGTCTCAAAAAAAAAAATTAATTTTCTCTCCTTCCTATATCAGACTTATCCTCCAAAAGAAATCATGGTTACATACATTTCGTTCTCTGGCTTATCAGTTAGGGAATGGATGGTAGAAGTACATGGGTTTTCTGGGTGTATGGTCTTTAAGTATGAAATCAACATCCAATTACTCTAAATATACATGTGGTTTGTAAATTATTTATAACCAGTAAGAGAAATAGCCAGTAAACAATTGCGATCGGGTGTGATAGATCAACAATAGAACTATATTGTAAAGCCTGCTAGTTGCATGAAGAATGGAGTGGCCATTGCTGCTTTGGCTGGAGGGTTGGGAGTGACTTCTCAGAGGAAGGCATGAAACACTGAGTCAGGGAAATACGTTCAATTTAGAGGACAAGGGTGGGAGGAATGAGCATTTCAGGCAGAGGAACTAACAAGGTAAAGCTTCCAGTAGAATAGGATGGTAAGGTCAGGATTGCATTGGTAGTTTGGTACTACTGAGGCATCTGGTACAAGGTGGAGAACTGCTAGAAAGGGATTCAAGAGATATGTGGGGATGGCATAGCAAAGAGCAAAACTTAGGTTATATTATGTATGCTAAGCTATTTGAAAGCAACACTGCCTTATATTCATCACTGCATTACCCATAGCATAGCATCAAACATGGTGCTTGCTCTTATTTGATGCTTATTACTTATTATTTACTTACCTGTTGAATGAAGTACAAAAACAATATTTTCAACCATTTATTGACTGTATTCTATACAATTAGCCGGATCATCAGTATGATAAATAGAATCTGATCATGCACTATTCCTAACACGTGGAAAGCAAGACACCTTTAAATAAGAATATGCTAGGAATAAGTTGCCAATCACTGATTGGAAAAACATATACTAGAGGGAATGCAGTTGGATCTGTGGGAGGAGAACTGTATAGAGGGGTTTTGGAGGATGATTGCTTTTTAAGAACCATGCACCTGAAACATGATGGAAGGGTACAGTATGTGCCCAACTCTGACACCCTTGCTGACCTACAGAATATAATGCAAGCCACATACATAATGCAGTAAAATGGCTACATTAAAAAGTTAAAAGTAACTAATGAAATTGACTTTAATAATATTTTATTTAACCCTTTATAGGTAAATTATTTCAATATGTAATCAATATAAAATTATTAGTAAGAAATTTTACATTCTTTTTAAAAATTACATCTCCAAACTCTGGGGTATCTCACATTGAATACGTTTCAATTTGGACTAACCACATTTCCTTTTTTTTTTTTTGACAAGGAGTCTCGCTCTGCCACGCAGGCTGGAGTGCAGTGGCGCGACCTTGGCTCACTGCAAGCTCCGCCTCCCAGGTTCATGCCATTCTCCTGCCTCAGCCTCCCTAATAGCTGGGACTACAGGCGCCTGCCACCACACCTGGCTAATTTTTTGTATTTTTAGTAGAGATGGGGTTTCGCCGTGTTAGCCAGGAAGGTCTCGATCTCCTGACCTCGTGATCATCCCACCTCGGCCTCCCAAAGTGCTGGGATTACAGGCGTGAGTCGCTGTGACTGCCTGGACTAGCCACATTTCAAGTGCTCAATAGCTATGTATGACTAATGGTGACTGTATTGGACAGTGCGGTTTTAGTCCATCTCCAAATAACCTGAAGACAGAAATCACCAAAATGCTGCCATAAGTGTGGTTGATCAGCAGGTTATTGTCCTATACTAAAGATCAATTACTTTCAAATTGATAAAGTGAAGTCCATGCCTAGTTTTCTTGCACCCTGGGGTGGTGATATCCTGTTGCATGCTGACTTTCATCGTGGCTGTTAACTCTCACAAGAGGCCACAGAGGAAAGTGAAAACAATAATCCCTAAGATTTATTGAATACTTACTATGTGCCAGACACTTCCTGTGGATTATTGCATTTAATTCTCACAATAAACTTATGAGATAATTGCTCTCAGTATCTTCTGAAACTCCACAAGTAAGTTACCCGCCCAAGTTACATGAATGTGAGTAGAAGGAGGGACGGGATTCCAGTCTAGGCACATGACACTGGCTGCATCACTGTTCTGCCTCCTAGCCAGCATGAGTGCCTTCAGTAATGAGCCCACATCTTTGACATATAAGACTTTGGTTCTAGTCAACCAAATTCAATCCAGCGAACCTTCCCACAAATAGACTCAACAGTCAACAAACAACCTTAAGCATCCAGACTCTGGGTAGGAAGAAATTAATAAGGCACTAAACCTGTTCTAGGAGCTTATGATTTAGTGAGAAAGACAAAGACTTTACGAATTGAAAACTATTCATACATTAGTGTTACTAAGAAGGTAGAACCCCAGGTCCAAGGAAGAAGAATGTATTCAATTCAGCTGGAGGAAACTAGAGAAGATTTTGGAAGGAAGGGCCTCAGTGTCGCATCTGGAAGAATAAGCTCCCCTGGTCCAGATTTCAGTCAATAACTTTTCATTATTTAATCAAATGAGTCAGTTTACCCAAGGGACATAATATGAGTAAAATGGAACCCATGAACTAGTTTTCCTTCTTCATTTGAAGGTCTCTTTTCTCCAGTATAGAGTTTGTGTATACTCAGGAAATTAATTAGGTGAGTCGAGTAGCGTTTATCTTAATGAAGTGAATTCAACCAGTAAAGAACAACAGGTATCAGGCGGAGTTCTGGCCTTGGGATTCCCATCTTTCCTGGCAACCAGACTTTTTTCCTAGTAAAAAGTCATCTCCAAAACATCAGATATTGATCTTGTGTGTTTGCACTGAGTGAGGATTACTGTTATTTTATTAGACTTTTACTTTAATATATGTATTGGTGTGCAATACAAGATGTATTTCATACAGTGGGTATGGTTGTAAAAATTCGAGAACCACAGCTCACTGTGTGTGTGATGGTTGAGAAGGAGGTGTCTTTGTCTTGCCTGACACTGGTCTGGCTGTGTCTCCTCCCGTCTCTATCAGCCCTGCTACAGGCTGCCCTTCACTTTGGTACTGTCAGCTTTGCAGAACTCTTGGACACAGCTCTCTCAATAATAACATGTGTGTTTTCTGCCAGGATGCTTGTTAGTGAGGAGTGGATTTGGGGTGGCCACACATCCCTAACTTCCTCACCTTCATTCTCCATAGTACCTCTCCCCAAGCCCTGAGGTACACCATCCTCGACTGAAGAGTTGAGTCTCTTACAGAAACAGAAAAATCTTGATTTTTCCCTTAGCCTGTGACAAAAGCACCCCAGATGTTAAAATATTCACAGGGAGAGCATTCACTGACATCTGCATTTCTTAATCTTATTTCTTGGCTTAGTCTGCTTTCCTCTATAAGGATACCTCTTTCTCTAATGTCCACTATGCCAATGGCCCTGACAACATTCAGGCAATCTTACAGCAGCCTGGGATTCACATCCTTTCTGGCAGCTGGACCTATTTGCAAGTCTGAGTTTCCATTACGGAATCATGCTCAAGACATCAGCCAGGACAGTCCACCCAGGCACACTGCGTGTGTGCGTGCACACACATGTGAGAGAGAGAAAGAGAGAGGTACACATCTGTTTGTGTTTGCACATACATGCCCTCCACTGGCAGGGAAAGATTTTGACATTCCCTGTCCTCCGGAATTGCTCAGGGCAGATATAGGCAAGCTAAATCCCATTCATTTTGAGTTGTGAGTTACCCATCTGCCTCTCATTCTTTCAAACGCAGATGAACTATTGGATCAAACAAGTTTACACACACACACACAAACACACTTCCCAAAGACCAACATTAATCACTCAAATACTACAATTTACACCAGTTGTTTTTAAATGAAACATGTATTAGGAGCATTACTGGAGCTTGTTAAAATTTAAATTCTTGGGCCCTCATCCAAGGAATTTTGGTTTTGGAAAGCTGGGCAGGGCCTTATAATGTGAATTATAATAAACACTCCAAGCGATTCTGATGCAATCCTAAGGACTACCCTTTGAAAAAAGTTTCTGTACTTCTTTGAGCCATTTTCCTACTGCCAGCCACTACAACTGGCAAGGCCAGCTCTCCACAATGGAGTCAGGACTTCATATAATTATGCAGTGTTTTTGTTCTTTTTTTTACCTCTAGTCTAAGACCCCTCTTGCCCTTACCTTTACCACAGGCCTAACTAGAAAAAGAATCTAAATGGACTCTTTACAGAGCTATCAACTTAAGTGGTAGGGCTATCACCTTCAGTGGCAGCTTCCTGAAACGATACATCATATTGAAATCTTGAAATTAACACCTGCCTGTGAGTGCTTAATTAGATGTGTGCACTGAGGCCTTTCTCCTCCTGAACCTCTTTCTAGGGGTGGGGGTGAGATATGCGTTGAGGGTAGGGTGTTTGGTCTTCCAACCACAGTTACATGCCTCCTACGAGTTACTGGATCAATTCACACTTCATAGAGACATAGATGACTTGGGAAGACCTGGAGGACTGGGTTGCTTAAAGAGCCTTTGAGGTGGATCTTGACCAGCAGCAGGCACACGACTGCCTGAGGCGGTCTTCTTTTGGGGAGGGGGTGGAAGTGTAAACCTGTACCCAGGAATACAAATCTGAGAAGAAGGCAAGCCAAGGCTGTGGGGAGACATAAGTCCTGTGGTTCTTCCCCAGGGTCGTGGCCAGTCCTCTGTTCTCTGATAGGCAGCAGCAGCTCAGCTTGAGTAATTTACACTTGAAAACAATCAAGCTTACTCTTCTACTAAGGGCTCCAATCTGCAAGCCAGTGGACCAGCAGGTCTCTAACACTGCTTCTCTTCTTTTTTCTTTACACTTTACTCTATGGGTTTATACCTTTGCCAGCCCCCCTTTCCCCGTGATCTCCCTTTTCCTCAGATTTGGTTGTATTTCTTGGTCTTGTGCTGAGGAGCCTCTACCCCTTCCCCAGATGGCTTTTTCTGGGCAGTGTTCCAGACCCTCTCTGTGGCCCCAGCTCCCTGGCTCTGTGCACCTAATTCTTTTGTCTTTTTTTGTTTGTTTGTTTTTTGTTTTTGAGATGGGGTCTTTCTCTGTTGCCCAGGCTGGAGTGCAATGGCACAATGTAGGCTCACTGCAACCTCTGCCTCCCAGGTTCAAGCAATTCTCTTGCCTCAGCCTCCTGAGTAGCTGGGTTTACAGGCACCTGCCACCACGTCCAGCTAAGTTTTGTATTTTTGGTAGAGAGGGGGTTCACCATATTGGCCAGTCTGGTCTCGAACTCCTGACCTCAGGTGACCTGCCCACCTTGGCCTCCCAAAGTGCTGGGATTACAGGCGTGAGCCACTGCACCCAGCCCATGCATCTAATTCTTGTGGCTCTCCTGTATTTATAGATTGCTATCCTGTGATTGCACACTGCTTCCGATAGACTGCCATTTTGTTAACTTTTAAAGAATGCTTTCTAGCCTTTTACAGTCACATGACTGCCCTTTCCTCTGGTTGAACCTAACAAGAGTCTGAATGTTCTCATATGATGTGGTCACTAATAGGGACTACACTGTACCCTAAGTTTCAATCACACAGACCTCCCTCTTGTTTCTTGAACATTCCTGGGGTGCTCTTACTTTAGGGCCTTCCAGCTAGTGATTTCCTCTGCCAGAAATACTCTTCCCACAAATATCAGCATGGCTGACCCCTGACCTCCCTCAAGTCTTTGCTCAACTCTCACCTTCTCAGTGAGGCCTACTCCTAAACACCCTTTTAAAAAGGCAGCCCCACTCCAGTCCGGATCCCCTTGACTGCCCTGTTCATTTTTCATAATTATTATTTTTTGCTTGTTGTTTATTGTCTGTCTTCTCTGCTAGACTGTTCCACAAGGATGGGGATTTTGTTCCATTTTGAACACTGAAGTGTCCCTAAGCACTTAGGCCAGATCATAGCACATAGTAGATGCTTGAAGATATTTGTTGAATAAATAAAAATGCCCTGGGGTTAGGATCTCTGTTCCGTCCTTATATCTACTCTGGCACTTAAGAGAATGTGCATGGGAAGGGCTCTGTATGTTTTCATTAAGTTTAATTTTGTATCTTTATTACTAGTTTCATAATAACCTATGGATGTCAAGCAACATAAATTTGAAGGCTTTTTTCAACCACAAGACAGTATTGGAGGAGGCAGCGCCATCGCCACATGGCACAAGTGTTGTCTCCCTCCTCTTTCTGCCCAGGTACAGCCCATGCACCTTATCATGCTTTCATCCCCTTGCCACCCATAAATGCTTCACTACTGAATTAATGAAAGAGCTTGGTAGGATTCTCACCTCACTCTTAAAGTTGAAAGACTAGGATGCTAGTACTTGGGGTACTATGTAAGAACGACTATTATTAAGTTGTCTTATACAAAATTGCCATTTTTTTAAGTCAAAAATGATCAGATGTCCGCAGTTTCATGTGGTACAACCTATCATATGAAATCTGATGCAGTTGTGAGTAGAACCAAGATAACTAGACAAAACAGACTAATTAGTGCAGAAAGGTGGCCTTTTTGTCTTCCCTCCACTTGAGCCGACTCTTGGCCAACTGATATAGTGCCATGCTTGGAAACAGTAAGAGTCAGCTAGACCCGATGTCTTCCCAATGTCAGAAATGACCCTCCTCAGTCAGCTGCTGGGTTTGTCCTGCCCACAGCCTAGGGCTGGGTCTCGAGTATGTGCCCTGCAGCCTCTCTCTTCAGAGCAACAGTAAACATGAACCACACCACCTTTCCCAATTTTTAAACGTCATCACCAAGATCAAGGGCTTGTAAGATTTTCAGACTATGAACCACTTTAGCAGTGTCCAGAGAGAACTTGGAAGCCAGTGAGTCTACCCTTACTCATCAACACAAGGAAAAACCCAGACATTCTCTCAAATAAATGATACACGAGAAGATGTCCACTCCTTTGGATGAGGCACCAGGAGCAATATCTGGATTTTACAAAATATTAATGCAAGCCAGAAAAAAAATGCGAATATGTCCTTGTCAAAAAACACATGGCACCTGGGGTATCTTAATGAACTGCAAATAGCTTGCAGATCCCATTTTAAGAACCACAGGTTGGCAGTCTGTAATCATATCTCTGTTTTGATGAATAATATCACCCTTTCAGTCTGATTCTGTAAGCCACATTCATTCATTCAACAAAGATTTAGTAGGAACTGAGGTGGCAGAGGGTCATGATTAAAAGCAAAGACTAAACCAGACTATAAGTTTGAATCCCACCTCAGCCATTTACTGGCTACAGGACCTTAGGGAAGTTACCGAACCTCTCCATGCCTCAGTTGCCTCTTCTGTTACATGGAGATAATGGTGCCTACCTTGTAGGTTTGATACGAGGACTGAATAGATGAACATGAAAAATTTTAAAGTGATTCATATAGTGCTTTACACATGGTAAGCACTACGTAAGTGTTAGCTATAATTATTACAATATGTCTGCATCTTCAGGACACTCAGAATGCTCAGAACAATACAATCTAGGAAGATGGCAGGGGCTCCATGAGTGACAGCCTGAATGAGAAAATGGATGTAGCTGGATTATCATAATTGCACTGACAGGCTGAACTTATCTGTGCCTGTGTCCACAATTCACCAAGAAAACAGATCAATGCAGTGGGGAAAACATTCGACCAGTTGTTTGATGCTGTGTAGATATATCTCCCAAAGTGTTACTTATGTTTTATTGTGAATATGTTTTAATTAATTGTGGCTGCAGGGATATATTTTAATTCACCTTCCTGCAAACCGTTATCTCAATTTTCTGGAAGGAAACAGGAATCCCTAGCAGAGCAACTCCTTGGGTGCAAAATAAGGACCTTCCCATGCTCCTATTACCCAACTAGACCCACTTATAGTGCAGTGGGGAATATTTCCAGATTAATGCTGCCATGGGAATATCCATTTGATATTTCTGTATAGAAATTTTCTTCTGCTATTATTCAAGCATCAGTTGAAAAACAACATCTTGATCTGTGTATGCTTTGACGATGCAGGAATTTACAGCTATGAGCAGAGAAAGATCCATTTTCTTCAACAAATTTGGTGGAAGCAGAAAAACATGCAGTAAATTAAAGCTGATTTGCATGACATTGTGCATGCATGCAGTCTTTTCTCTGAGGCAGGGAATGTTCTTTGATTGAATTTTTCTATTTCTCTATGTTTGTATGGTATTCTGGGAACAATCAAGGAACCCTCTGTTGGCTAATTAACACCTGTAAATTCACATTGCCTAGTGTCTTCCTTATATTGCAGAGGTAATGAGTCCAAGTCCTGGTAGGGTTGTATTTTTATTAAAATTTCTTCGTATCTTTTTCTTTTCATGTAAAACAGATTGCTACATGTTTAACCCTTTAATATCTTTCATGTTCTTTTTTTATCCTGGGAAATAAAGCAGAAGTTAGAAATTTACCACTGTGTTGCTAAGAGGGAGAAATGAAGCATTCAGGGAATTGGTGACTGGTGAAATGTAAGTTCTAACTATATGGTGACATGGTAGTTGGGGACTGAAATTCCAGCTAATTAATCTGTTGTTCAGTCTATGTGATACCAAATAAATGCTTATTAATTCATCAACAGATATTTCTTGAGTGACACATGGTGATAAAGAGTAGGTGGTTCAGAAGAGGAAAGACACAGCCACTGCCCCCATTTCACAGTCTGGTGAGAGGGAGAACAGTGAAGAAATACAAAACTGGTTAATACATAGAATTATGTTGATGGTACTATGGAAAAACAGAGAAGGAAACAGCTAACCCATTCTGAGGGATCATAGGCTTCTCAAAGTAGATGAGATTTCATCTGAATGTTAAAGAATTCTAGGAGTCATTTAATTGTGGGGGCAGAGGTGGGGGGCACCCTAGAGTGAATAAATAACATATATACAAATGCTCTGTTAATGGAGAATGCAGCTGCCTGTGTGTACACAACTCCACAGAGAGCTCTAGTGATCCCTTCTATGATGGGGTGGCTCCAGTGGTAAAGGCCAGCCACTCTAGTGATCCTGCTCTACAAGGCTGAAAGGCCGTTTGGCTCTAATTCCTAATTAATTAAACCTATTCTTCAGCATGGGATACTTCTTTGATGGAAATACACTCTGCTGACTTATTCAGCAACTGTGTCATCAGTGTGAGTAATCACACCTGTGTTGTGAGAGAGCTGGTCACGCTGTATGTAGCTATCCTGCCCTGAAACCTCTGGAATCACCTGTCATGATCAGGAAAAGTCTCCAGATACAAGTAATAGAGAAACTGTACCCCTTCTCCGCATTCTTCCAGTCTAAGAGTCAGGGCACCAGACCTATTTTCAGACACTGTTGGTGGTGCCTGATTCCAAGGGAATCAAGAATGCACTGAAAATGATGCAAGCTGGAGTCTCTTGTGTGTGGATTACCAGGCCCCACTGTTGACCAGCCTCAAGCTTGCATCATTCCGAGTGGACATTGTCAAGGGGTACCTTCTGCTTGAGACATTAACAATGACTGAGACACTATTCATGGAAGTCAGAGTAAAGGGCCATATAGATAGGTGGATCTCACTGATTGCTGTATTAGTTAAGGTAAGCTAGCCACTATAACAAACAAGTCCCCAAAAGTATAACAGCTCTAACACAGTACAAGTTTGCTTTCTGATGTGTAACAGTGCTGAAAGGGAGAACAAGTTGATGAAGTGGCCCTCATCCATGCAATTATTAATCTCCAGGCTGATGGAGAAAGTGTCATCTTTAAATTGTGACTGCCAAGATGAGGGTTGTCTCCATTCCTGCCAATCATAAGGGGAAAAAAGCATGGAGGAAAGGGTAAGGGGGACTTTTCTGGGATAGAAATAGAAGTGGAGAACATCCTATATCTATTCACAACCCATTGGCTAGAACTCAGTCACATGGGCATATCTAATTGCAAGGAAGTCTGGGAAATGTAATCTACCTATGTACAAAGAAAGAAGAGGAACATGGATTTTAGATAACAGCTATCAGTCTTCCATAATCCCTCCTCCTCACACCACTTTTTGCAACTCAGCCTTACCTGGATTTTGTGCATGGCTCAACAATCATCCAAAGCACCAGGTCCATAGTTTACTGCTATCATTGCCTGTAAGACATGTGGCCATATGCTCCACTCTTACGACTGCTAGCCAGGATGATGTGACAGCTTGGCTGATGGCCAAGACCATAAAAATAAAAGTTGGAGAAGCTTTCCCTGTGATCTCATGCCTGGAGGTCCTCATTGTTTTAAAATGATAGAATCTGAAGCTTTTGTCTGTTTTGTTTGTTCGTAGTTCTGTATAACATTACAGTTGAACAAGGAGTTCCAAAACAAATGCAAAATTTTGAAAATAACTGGGCTAGATTTCCAAATTGATTTTGATGAGTCTTAGAAATAGGTTGTGTCAGAGAAATGACCTTAAAAGTTGTGGGTGAATGGTCAGCCAGTCATAAGAGATATTAGAATTCCATTTTAAGAGATAGAAAACATATGAAAAGAATGCAAGATTCTGACATGTCCAAAAGTCTTTAAAGTTAACTGGAAAATGCATTCATGTCTTTTAAGAAACAAAGAAAAGCAAAATCCAAAATTGAGCCTGTGTTAAGAATGCAGTTTTCTAGGGTAAGTGAAATAATCATGTAATATATTACTTGATCACAAAGACATGGGCTAATCAGTTTATGAGGCCACCTTATTGAAAGATTTTGGTATAACCACTGTAAATGGAACTAGACATGGCCTATTAGTGTTGCAGACAAGTATTCAGTCACTATCCCAGCTGAAACCTTGGGTCGTCAGTGTAACCTCAACTGGGTCAGAAGTATCCACCCAAATTGTGTGGATAATAATGGTTTCTTCACTGTGTATACATCTTTCAAACCTCACAGAATTTCTAATTAATTATTGAAATGTTTAAAAGACCAGAACCAAGCTAGTAATGTCTTTGTGTCAGGAATGTGGAAAAATTTGGAATTTTAGTTACCAGCAATGTTTGAATACTAGTAATGCCCTATTAGAACAATGGCTTAGCCTTGTAATATCACTATAAATATACAATTGAGTAATTGACTTAGTCCTGTAATTTTTGGTTGGAATCTAACTAATTGTATAGACAGTGTTTAAATATTTAAGAGAACTTAAGTTTCACTGTATTTAAAAGTCTTATTTATTTATTTCTTGAGACTGAGTTTTGCTCTTCTTGCTCAGGCTGGAGTGCAATGGCGTAATCTCGGCTCACTGCAACCTCTGTCTCCCAGGTTCAAGCAATTCTCCTGCCTCAGCCTCCCAAGTAGCTGGGATTACCGGCATGTTCCACCATGCCTGGCTAATTTTGTGTTTTTAGTAGAGACAGGGTTTCTCCATGTGGGTCAGGCTGGTCTGGAACTCCCGACCTCAGGTGATCCGCCCGCCTCAGCCTCCCAAAGTACTGGGATTATAGGCATGAGCCACCGCGCCCGACCTTAAAAGTCTAATTTGTTAGACTTAAAAAAATCAGTTAAGTATGGGAAATGTTTTCTGGTCAGATAAGCGAAGTGTTTAAAGAGGAAGTTGAAGATATTAAATTATAAACGTAGTTTAAAATTTGTAAAAGGGCTTAACCAAGTTTGTAAGTAAGACCAAACGTTAACAAAAGCCCTCAAAATATGATTGTTGAGATTAGCTACATTTAAAGGTAAAATAATGAGATTTGTGAATTGAACTAAAAAGCTTAAGGAAGGATTAAGTTTTTGGATTAATAACTCTAATAAAGTCAGTATTAATTACTAGAACCAAAGGTATATGATTGAAATTTTCTGGCACATAACAACCACTCTCAAGGACACACACACACACACACGCACACACACACCCTTTATAATGAGCAGATTTTATATTTAGAGTTTTTCAGATGGTTTCAGTAAATTTAGAAAAACGAAAAAAAAAGTCAGTCAACCAATTGTTTGGTGGAATTGAGTAGACTTTTAATAGAATGGATCAGTCTTCAGATTCTTAACTTGAAAGTTTCCCAAGAGCAAACCCAGTAAATAGACAACCCATTCATTTGGTGCAGTATTCTTCAAACTCAAGCACTGTATGTAGACTCCCTTTAGAGGGAAAATAAATACACAAGGATTCCTGTGTTAAATTGTTTATGTTACTTAAATATGTTTACCATAAAACTAGATATAAACTGTTGATAGTAAGAACCCTACTACATCCAACACAACTTAATCAACTAAATCCAAACTCAAATATAAACATAATAAAATTCAAATGAACAACATTCATGTACTATGATGAGTAGTGTTTGACTGAAACTCAATCACAGTTTGCAACATGAGCATGGCAGTGGCTGCTGCAGCCCCAGTTCCTTAGAGTTCCATGTGCCCCTATTATTACCTATGTGCTATTTGCACGCTGCTCTCCTCTATCGGAACTACTTTCTACAGCCTACTGTGATGTCATTTGGCCTTCATTTGGCACAAACGCATCATTTACTATTCAGTTCACCTCTGTTCTTTTCTCGTTAGTAAGAGCCATTAAAGTAGTGTCACTTGACAACAATGTAATTGCTAACAAAAGCAAATAAGAGCACTGAAATCTTGGGGCTGTTGGGATGATCCAGAATAGACATACATTAAAGTTGTTGGATTATTACAAGATTAAAGTTGAATTTAAAACTTAGTATAAAGCCCATAGACATGCACAGATCTCCAGTTTGAGAGCAGTGTGGTAAAGTGGAAAGAGCTTAAGCTTTGAAGAAAAACAAACTCAGATTCAAAACCTAGCTTTTCCACCAACTTTCCAGTCGTTGTTCCCTCTTTGTGTCTCCTTTCCCCATTTTAAAAATTAGGAAAATAATACTAATCTCACACTGCTGAAATGAGAATTGGAGATAATATGTATAAAGTTTTGAGCAAAATGGGTAAGCCCTTAGGTAAAGAGTTGTTGCCATTATTAGGGATTATCTATGCTTAGTACATTTGCCCAATAACCTGCCCTGAAGTAATGAGTTTGTGTGGGGGGAAAGTGATGAGGGGGATTGTGTAGTTAAAAATTTTACCTACATCAGACACAAATGAAAGATAATTTTGAAAACAATGATTTTCCAAATATGCCCTAGAGAGCCCAGTGAGGGTAGGGAGGGAGTTGGGAGACCTGGTGGGGTTCAGGGTTTCTACTCTGTCTTCAACCAAAGCAATTTTATTTTACATACATGTTTTACTCAGAGGGCTTCCATTTCAAATAATATTTGAATAATGGATTTTTATGGCTAGGAAGTTTTAAAAGATTGAAAATCATCAGTATATTGATATTTTATTATAATGATGATGATGATGATAACTCTTGACCTGTTGTTATTATGTGGTGGACAGAACCACCTTGAGTTAGATATTATCATTATCTTCACTATACTTTTTTTTGTCTCCTGTAGCTGTTTAGAATAAAATATATTCTTGTCAGTGCTATGGCAACAAACTGAAATATTGTTCAAGTTTGAAAGCCCTTGTAAACAGAACTTCCAGGCCTAAATTTCTAATGTAATTCCTTAAACATTAAGTAAAATTATTTTCTCACCTTTTGAAATACCAACCCACAGCCATGCATAGCCAACAGCTAGGAATTCACACCTCTCAGTGCAGCCTCTTAATGAGTCAGCATTCTTCATTTGATTCCTATTAGAATGAAGAAGCCTGAAACCAGTCTCCAGCAAGCTGAGAAAAATACACTGCCTCTAAATTTTTCACTGTAGTTTCATCCCATGGGCCCTAGAAATGCAGACACATGCACATCCACTAGCTAACACACCACATCTCTCGCTCTCTGTCTCTCTCTGTCTCTCACACACATACACACACACACACACACACACACACACACGTGGGCAGAGGGTTTATTATTGTTATGCAAATGTATCTGTTATCTAAAGACTGGATTGCCAGATATCTAAGGAATTTATTAATTCTAACTAAAGAAAATACATGATGAGAATGAGAGAAAACAACGCTGCTTAAATTTCTTATAAAACTACATAAGCTATTGTCCTTGTGATTACAAATCTTTTGTTGTCATCTAATGTGTATTTCATCTTTGTCTCATTTTGCCCTAGAAAGTGTTAAGCGAATCATCTCATTCCCTGGCCAAAGGGCCCCCTTTTGTCTTGTAACAACCTCGTGTGGATGGAAATTTGGAATGTTTTGCTCAGATTCTCAAAGGCACATAGGAGCTTTTAATGCTACTTTTCTCCCTTTCAGCTGTTAGCACAAGGGGTGTACCATTGTAGCACATTACACTTGAAAACGTCTGTCTAACACCCACAGATGACCTCTGAGATGACTTTTATTTTCCTTCAAGGGAATCATTATTTTCAAGAATCTTAAACAGTTTAGTTGATTGAATCAACCATATCATTATTTTAATAGGTCATTAAAATAAATGAAAAAAATCAAATGATTATAAAACCTGTGTTTTCTGCAATATAATCACAGCCAGAAGCTCCATGTGTATATAATAAAATAAGGCCGTGACACAACTATCACATAATGTCACTCAAATATTCTTTGAAACCGGGAGAGTATAAATAAATAAATTAGTTAGTTGAAAAAAAAAGTCTAGCTAACACAGCCAAGGGATGAGAGCATGCTGTGATGGAAAGACATTAAACTAAGATTTAGGAAAACAGGGCGCTTGTCTCCGCTCTCCCAGTCTCAGTCTGTGACTGAGTTTTCCTATGCTAAATAGAAAGATTTCTGGCTCTACCTCTGGGAAGGACTTAATGTAAAAATACCTCTATGAATGTTATAGCTCATAGTGCAGTTTAACAAATGCTTCTGGCTTTGCTTCTTTTGGTGCATGGTAGGGTTGCACCTCCTACTTGCCCTAAGGATAAAAAAGTATTGACATACAAAGTACTTTGGCCAATGAAATGTGAGCAGAAGTGATGTATATCACTCTCAGGTAGAACGTGACAAAATGGGGCTTGACTTGCCTCACCTCCTTCTCACCTACAGTAGTGATTGCAGAAGATTATACGGAGATGAATCTTGGTCTTAGTGTGCTGAGTCTGTAACTGACTACAGTGAGCAGAAGCCCTCTGATGACCCATATTAGACATATAACGTGGGGAAGAATTTTTATTATGTTGGGCTTTTGAGATTTTGGAGTTGTTTATTACTGTAGCATAACCTAGCACATCCTAACTGAGCTAGTGTATGCAAGCACTTTGAAAAGTATTAAGAACTATTCAAATGGAAGAAAACACTAGTTTTGAAAGTTTGAAAACATGTTTGTTCTATTTAGATTTTTAAAGACTCAAAAGACAGAGTTAAAAATATTGCCTCTTTAAGAATATCTTTTTGTTAGTAGAGAATCAAATTGTAAATGCATAATAAAGTAATAAAGTAGTGACCCTATGTAAGAGAAATACAGATAAAGTACTCACAGGAGGGATAGTAGCAATATGCAATGTCCTTGCTAAGCAAGCCAAAGAAGGCTTTTTTTGTGTGCTTGTTTGGGCATACTTTAGCATCTGTTTTTAACTGATCAGGAAAAGTGTAGGCTTGGGGTCTAAGAGAAAATATTGTTTCACGCAATCAGGAGAGACAATGTGGAGATGGGTCTTATAAACATTACGTTTTCTTATAAGCATTGTGTTTTGTTTTGTCAGCACACTGTTTAATTCTTTTCCTTTTCTTAATTGAAATGACTTTCTGTGGGCACAAACTTTGCTGTTCTCCAGAGCACCCATTAGTCCCTGCACACCTAGCCCTTCTACACAGCTGTTATCTGCCTGCCCAGGACCATTTGGATTTTAGATTTCATAATCCTTTCACTGAAACATATATATTTCAGAAAGAAATGGGAGTTTCAAGTAGCAGCTAAAAACTAATATATCTGTATGAAAGTTATATCTATATATCTATATCTATATCTATATATATAAAATGTACAGCTCTATTCAAGTAGGATATTAAGACTATGAAACCATAACAGTGCAGGCAACAACAGAAGTCAATAAAAAACTGGGGATAGACAACACCTTGAGGGTAAACTAACATTTTTTTTCTGTAACCCTAAAAGAAAACTTAACAGCTAAGCAACGATTGAAAATTAAGCTTGGATTGGGTTAGTTGAGAGAGCCACTGACTTAAATATAATATTCAATTTAATTTTCTTTCTTATTCTTAATATGTCCCCATCAAACTTATTCTTATCTTTTATACTTTGAGATCCAAATATAAAGCAATTGGAAAAAGGTTGTGTATATAATTGGCTCTTCATCTATAATAGTAGCCCTGGGACCAAACCTTGAAAAAACTGCTTTATAGATGTTATCTTGTAAATCCACCCATTTGAGAGATGGGAGAAGATTGTGTGGTTAGGTAACTTTGAGACTGCAAATTCAAGTCAAGTCCATGATGAAAAGCTCTGCTTGTCCTGGTAATATGGCTTCCTGTGGGCAGTCCTAGCTGGAGCTACTTGGAAGTTCAAAATCTTCCTTCTGCAAATTCTGTTTCTCACATACTGAATGCATTCTGTCAAGATATCTTGCTGCCCATGTTTTCATAACATATCTCAAATGTGACCACCTCCTCTGAAGGTCTCTTACTGCTCTTGCTGGGATCTTCTCATGGAGCCCCCACTCTTGTTTCTCAACAGTCTATTTCCCACACAAAGGCCACCTGATCCTTTAACACTTGCTCCCAACCCCCAGGAATTTCTCATCCACTAGAATAACATCCACACTCTTTACCATGCCTAAGAGACCGACCCAAATGCTCTGCCGTCTGGTTACCATTCCCTCCTCCTGGCCAGCCGGCTCACCTGTTCCTTCTGCACCAGCTGGTCTCATCTCCTGCAGCATGTCAGGACCACACCCTTGCCACATACTCCTCCTGGAATGCTCTTTCCCCAGACACCTGTCTGGGCAGCCCTACAACTGTCCACCTCTCTGCTCTAATGTCAACTCTTCAAATGATCCCTGCTGTCACCTTGCTCCCTTTGTACGAGTTTATTTTTTATTACACTCATCACTGCCTGAGATTATGCTACACGTTTGTAACAGGATGATAAAACGAGACCCTTCTTGTCTTTGGGGTCCCAAAGCTGAGAACAATAGGTGCTCACAACTTCTGCAGGATCTCCCAACTGCTGCGTCGATAGAAGAATCTGAGATTAAATCGGAAAGGAGGATTTAAAGGGTTTTAGAGTAAGGATTGCTTTAGAGAGAGCCAAGTGGTGGGGTAAGGGGATCAAATCTCAAGAGAACTCGTGGGGAGGATTTAATATATGTTTCTTGGAGTTTGAGGGTAACTAGGGACTGGTGCCTGGCTTAAAGAGTTTAAAATAAAAAAAATTCCAAAAGAGAGATGGCTGATGCAGCCTGAGGTGGAGGCCTGTGGTGGGAGCCTGCTTTTCCAGAGTTCAGAGGGGGCAAGTACGTGGCTCTATTTCCCAGGCTGGATGTGGACTGGCGGCCTGAAAGTTCAAGGTGACACCAACAGAAGGGTAGAACAGAGGCTAAGGAAGAGATTGAGGGTGGCCAGATCAAGATGGAAATCTCAGGTGGAAGGCCCCCAAAATGCGGAGTGGGACAAGGATCTCTAAATGCAGTATGAGGCTTTGGACATACAGAAGGCCTGACACTGCAGGGCTGTCTACCGAAGATGGTGCCCATTTTGGCATCCCCACCTCCACCCAGGGCAGGGGCCCTGGAGAGGTGAGCAAGTGAGGTGTGAGTAGAATGACCCTCTCTCCCATAGTAGGCTCCATGCCTGTATCAGTCCTGAGCTGAAGTGGGAGGGAAGGGGAAGGGAGAAGCTTTGAAGCAGGTGAGACAGCAAAACTTTAATCTGTTATTGGATTTTATGTTTACATAACTTGCAAAAGAGACTCTGCATAAAGTCCCCTTTGCAAAACAGACACCTCTTCTGAAAAAGTAACTAACCTGTTTCTAACACTTTTTGAGACAACATCATGCGGGGTTGGGGTGGCAGTGGTGGTAGGTGGGGAGATGAAGGCAGTTGGAGAGATGGTTAGAGGTGAAAGAGCCAACCCCCATGAAGGGAGAGTTTCCCTTTCTCAGGGAGGGAACCTTATTTTGGGTGCCATCCTGGCTCTTAGGGCTGGGAAATTACCCCAGAGGGGATTGACTCTGTGTGCCCTGGCGGCAAGGACCCGAGTTTTTCCATTTTCAGGAGACGACGATGATTTAGGTAAGGTGGTTAGAGCTATGAAATTTGTGGACAAAGACCTGGGTCCATTCCTGGAGGCTGAGTGCTGGGTAAGATCCCTGGCACCTCTGCATTGCCCTTCAGAGGGGAAGCCTAGTAATGATTTTGATTTAACTCCTCAATACCCTAACAAGGGAGGGCTCAGAGTCATATTTAATTTAATTTAGAAAAGTTAAATAATGTGACATGTCTTGCGCCTGAGAGTATTGGTTGCAAATTTATATCCACTATGCAAGAGAATGGGGCCGCAGGGCGTAATCCTGGAGAGTTAGAGGAGGGGCACTAGGGCCACCTCTAATTAACTGCTCTGCACAACATGCCTGTCAAGTGTGCCTTGGGCAGGTACCTTGAGTACCATTTCGCAGGCAATAAAATTAAGTCACAAAGCAGCTTGTTGACACCTGTGAGACATTGGCAAGGCCAGAGAGCGGGCCAGAGCTGGAGGTCAGACTGTCCATGCTGTCTCCCGACCCACCCTTGAACTCCTCTCTCCAGAAGCACTGAGGCTCCCAGGAAGATTTAAAGGGAAACATGGAAAAGACCTCACTGGAGGTTGAATTAATGCCTGCCAGGGGGTGGAAGGGAATAAAAGGGGAATTTACAAATCCATCAGGGAAAAGGGAGCATTACAGAGAAAGGAGAGCAAGTTATAAATGAAAAGGGGTGGGAAATTAATGGGGACTAAAATAGATTAGAATTTTATGTGCTCCACGGGGTTTACAGCACTTCACATGCAATTAGGAATAAAATCATGGACTCCCCAGTTCCCTGTTCCCTAGAGGCAAAGAAGGTTTAGGGGAGGGAACAAAACCCAAGAGGGCCTTTGTTACAAAGACGTAGGCCAGGCAGTGGGTGGACAGTAGTGACGACTTCTTCGTTTTAAATGTGCCCTCTGTGGACCTTTGTTTGTAATGAAAATAAGGGGCAGGAGGGAGGAGGGGGAAGCAAGTAAAGCCAAGCTGCAGAGGCCGTCCCTTCTCCCCTTCTTCCTCTCTCCTTCCGGTAAAGTGCAGTAGGAAAGGCTGAGCCATTTCACATCGGGCGCGATTTCTCAAGTAAGCATATCTGCTAATCGTGGTGACAACTGACTTAGCTGCAGAATTTTCAGTTTGCAAAGCACTTTACAAATATTGCCCTGTGGGAGACACAAATCCTTTGAGACAGGTAGGAGGAGCTAGTGTGTCCCCCATTCTACAGATGAAGAAAACGAAGCCCAAAAAAACTTAGCTAGATGGCCCAAGGTCACATAAATAGTAGGCAGTATTCAATCCCAGATCTTGTCTTAAAATTCTACTCTAGACTCACTGTTTTTCTGAAGTGGGAAGAGGGTGAGGGAGACAAGTTTTATCCTAGGCAGGGACAGAGTAAGTGGAATGGCAAAATCACCAGCCAAAGGTCTCCCTGACCACAGAAAATTTCCAGCCAGCTTTGTAGTGTTTAACCAGGCTTTGCTATTCTGCATTTGTGCTCCTCTGGGCAGTTTGTGCAGGACAAGTCTATGTTGTCCAGAAGTGGAAGATGTTGAGCATTGTTGCCTCTTGGCCTTAGTCAGCATGACAATTAAAATGTCCCCAGTCATTTCCAAATGCTTCCTGGAGGCTGGTATTGTCCCTAGTTGGGTGTTGTGTCCCCTAAAAGGACCAGCATGTTCACCTGTTGTTAGAAGCTGACCTTTGGAGATTTGGAGCGGGGGGTGTGTCCTCACACCTTGCACAGAGGGAAAGTGAGCCACAGAACTAAAGCACAGTAATGCACAGCCTACTGGCTGGATTCACCTGCAGCTAGCAGAAGGGAGGGTGGATCAGCTCACCTGGGCTCGTGGACTCACTGTCTGAAAACAGAGTCCACGCCTCCATTGCTGTTTCCTCTAGAGCGATCCAGGGAACACTGTACAGTCCGGTTATTCCCGTAAATGTGGCTATATGTGCAAATCTTGTGTTCTGGATTTATGGATAGGAGACCATACTTCCCAGCTTACCTGGGGGATGATTCCAGTTTATTCTGGTTTTCTTGGCATCATTATCAATAACTCCCTCTTTTACCCTTAGAATTTTGTGTGCTCCACAGGGCTTACAACACTTCACATGCAATTAGTAATAAAATCACAGACTCAAGTCCCTATTCCCTAAAGGCAAACCAGGAATGTGTCCTGGTTTGGATAACAATATATGTGATCCCCCATTGTGGGAGAATTCAGGCAAATGTAACTCCCTACAGCTGGGTGTCTGAGAAGCTGAGAGATGGGCAGCCTCTAGACAACCTCGAAGTTTCTTCTTTGAATGACAAAGCGCACTTGGCCACTCTTCTGGGCTGAGTTTTATCCCCTTAAAATTTATATATTGAAGCAAATCCTTAACAGCTCAGAATGTGACTATTTGGAGATGGAGTCTTGAAAGAGGTGATGAAGATGAAATGAGGTCATATGGGTCGGCCTTAACCAATGTGACTGCTGTCCTATGAGAAGAGGACATCAGGACACAGATATGCATAGAGGGAAGGCCGTGTGAGCACACAGTGACAAGGCTGCCACCTATGAGCCAAGGAGAGAGGGCTCAGAAGAAATCCACCTTACTGACAAGGTGGAGGCTGGACTTCTAGCTTCCAAAACTGTGAGAAAATAAATGTCTATAGTTGAGGCCACCCAGTTTATGGTACTCGGTTATGGTGGCCCTAGTAAAGTAATACAGCCTCTCTGTGAGATATATAAAACAGTGTTCACCAGGAAATAAAAAAAAAACAGTGTTCCAGGAGTGATGGGCCTTGGACAGCAGTACTCGGTCTCTAAGAACAAAAGCCTGAAGAGAAAAGGCCAATCTCTATGAGCCAGGTCTAGAGAGAAGAACCTAGTCAGTGTGAAGTAGCCACAGGGGTTAGCAGTCCAGCCTCTGGGAACTTGTGGACCTTTACAAAGTCCTGGTGACAAGGCTTGAGGCATGGCCACACCTCCTCCCCTTAGCAGCTGACTTGCTTGCGACCACAGCTGCTTTTGGTGGTTGTGCCGGCCATGTACTTAGAAATGTGACTTCAGAGGCAGGCTCTGTCTTTGGGGTGCCATGGTTACCACCACGACCCTTTCCCCCAAGGTCCTCTCCCCCCTTGACACCCCACACAGCCCAGCAGGAGGAGAGAGTGGCTGTGCCTCAGGCCCTCACTACTCTGGACTTTGGGTAGCAGTCCCCTCTATGACTGATGGCACTGTTAATCTGCTATCCCATGTCCATCCATTTACTAGGGGCTGGGATTTGGAAACTGATGGACCTGAATTCACATTTTGGCTGTGCCATGAGCCACATTTACCGTCTTAGGCAAAATATAAAATCCCTCTAAGTGTGTGAATTGGGATATAATAATACCTGCCAGTTAGGATTACTATAAGGATTAGGCAAGCTGATGAATGTGAATTTCTCAACATGCTGTCTGCCTAAGGAAGCATAGCTAATGCCAGTGGTAATATTTCTGGACCAGCCCTGCTTTAGTGGAGGCAGCTGCCTTTCTAGCCCAGGCAGATACACTTCATTAAAAGATGCTCTTTACTGGAGGTCTTGTGACTCATAAGACCACCCTCAACATCCTGTGCTTTGGGCCTGTGTCAAGCAACTGGTGACCTCCATTACCCACCACTCACCTTCTCTTGGGTCTCAGCTCTTTCTGAATGGAGACCTGTGGTCTCACTGTTTGGAGCACCTATATCCTATACTTCACCTTTGAGTTCCTTCTTTAGCATGGTCCATAAATTCCCTAGGCCTCTGCTTTACCTTTCATTCCCATACAGTGGAGTGTTTGGGAGATCCCAAACAATGGAGCATTTCAGAACAAAATATGGAGAAGCTGATTCTGCATCTGGAGTAAGACTCAAGGCCCCCACACTACCAGGTGCACTGACTTTGCAGGCCCAATGCTGAAACCACCCTCACAGAGGGTATACTATTGTAAAATATATATTTGCTTTTCTTTGGAGTTTTCAGGCATACAACTCCTAAAATCCTTAGAACCTCCAAGGTGATATATGCTAATGAGTTAACTAATTGCTTCTAGGTAGCTTCACGTTAGAAGCTGGTCTCTAGAAAAACCAAGGCATGATTAGAAGATTGAGACTTTCTTCCCCACTCCCCAACCTCCGGGGAAAGAGGCGAAGGTCGAGTTGATCACCAATGGCATTTAATCAATCATACCTAGGTAACAAGACTTCCATAAAAACGCAAAGGGCTGGGTTTGGAGAACTTTCAGATGACCGAACACGGCGAGGTGCCTAGAGTGGGCACCCCTTCCCACACATCTTGCCCTATGCATCTCTCCCATCTGATGTTCATCTATAGCCTTTGTAATATCCTTTATAATAAACCAGTAAATGTAAGTGTTTCCCTGAGTTCTGTGAGCTGCTCTAGCAAATTAATCAAACCAGGAGGGGGTCATGAGAACCCCAATTTGTGGTTGATTAGTGAGAAGTACAAGTGAAACAACCTGGGGCTTGCAATTGGCATCTCAATGGGTGGGGACACTCTTGTGGGACTGAACCCTCAACCTTTGGGATCTGACACTGTCTCCAGGTAGATAGTGTCAGAATTGAATTGAATTAGAAGATATCAAGCTGGTGTCTGCTGCTGAATCTGGAGAATTGCTTTCTTGCTTCATGTGTGGGGAAAAAAATAATCCCACCTATTTGGTCATAGAAGCATTCTGTGGTAGGAGAGGAAAGTAGGAGAAAAGATGTGTGTTTTTTCTACTCAGAGACAGACATCAGCTACTTCTAACCTAAGGACAAGGAAGGACTTCATCGGATCTTAGGAA
Source organism: Homo sapiens (assembly GCF_000001405.40). Taxonomy (NCBI): domain Eukaryota; kingdom Metazoa; phylum Chordata; class Mammalia; order Primates; family Hominidae; genus Homo; species Homo sapiens. The sequence goes on along the minus strand of NC_000001.11, from coordinate 165,044,285 downwards.
ACTGAGGTCTCCAATCAGTCACCATCAGAGGTCTCCATCCATTCCCTCTACTCTCTTACTTGGATAAACTTTATAGAACTCAGGCCTACAGGAAGCTGAACCTGTCCCTGAGACTGAATTAGAGAAGATAACAACATTAAGATGATTTCCCAGAAAATTCCTAAGTACCTAACACACAATGTCTAACAAGTCTATAGAACACCCCCATCATCATCCAACCTCTACTTATTGCACATCAAAAATACTTTGTAATATCCCATATATAATGATCAAGCTTTCTAATTATTATTCCCTCAGGAATACAGTGTCTTGATTATCCCTCAAGAATGTGTGTTCCTCTTTACAAAAGTTTAAGTATTATCTATATTTTCCCAGAAGGTGTAGATTAAAAGGAACATGCACCTGTCACACTTTCCCTACTGAGGTATTTGAAAGCTAATTATAGACAATACAGCCATATCTTTATTCATTATTCCCCATATAGAGTATTTTTTCATAAGAGATACACATAGAGACATACGAATAAACAGAAAAACTGCCAAATCAAGAGATATGGACATTTTTGAGAATCGTGATGCATACATGCTGTTAAGTATCTTACAGAAATGTCCTATCATGATACAGCACCTCAAGTTCCGAAAGCATATATATATCACTGGATAATAATATGTATTGTCATTTAAAAATATTTGCCAGTCTATAGATAAAAATAATATATTGTTTTGATTTCTGTATCTTTAAAAAACTGAATGGCAAGGTTGAATATTTTTCATGTGTTCATTTATTAGCAGCATTTTGTCTTCTTGTGAATTTTTGTTTTTTTATATTATCTTTTAGGATTCTATTGTTTTTATTATCAATTAGCATGCATTTTTAAATAAAGTTATTAGATCTTTGTCTGATGCCATTTTCTGCAAATTAAGAAATGTGCCTAAGGTCAGGTAGCTAGTGGCTCAGATCAAATTCAAACTGAGGTTTGTCTGACTCCAGCGCTTATTCTCTTCCAATTATATTGCATTTCTTTCCAGTATGCCAGGGAATGGTGACTTAGACAATGTCTGTGTTGGGTCTGAGGCGACTCAGAGCCAAGACCTACATAAATATGGAGCCCGATTACTGCAATGCAAGTCCTGGAAATGTCTCATAAGTAATTTCTCATTTAACCTCAAAATACTCCTATTAAATGTGAATCAAGTATAATTATGATATTGACATTTTACAGATGAAGCTGCTAGGGTAAAATAATATTCATGTGCATTAGGTCAAGTAGAGGTCAAATCAAGTCTTAGACTCAAAACTATTATTTTATGATAATACTGTAACACTCCATTTATCTGTCACCATCAGAAAGAAGAGGCAGGTCACTTAAGTTAATTTTCAGTTAAATAAAAATTACCCCTTTAAATACCAATTAAAAAAACTTTTATAAAACTTTCACAAAAAATATGACTGATCACATACATTTATCTTTTCTTCCCCTTAAGAAGCCACTAAAATGATAGTAAATAAAAATTTCAAAGGCATAAAACACAACAATGAAGAAACATTGCAGATAAAAATTTAAATAAATTTCTGAGAGACAGAGAGAGAGAAAGAGAGAATAGATAGGAAATTTGAAATTGCTGAAGTAAGACATAGGAGTGCAGGAGGCCTGTACAAAGCAATGCTTAGATTGTGGTCTATGGGTCAGCAGGTCACCCGAGAACGTGTTAGGGTCCCTTGCCACTTGCCAGAACTACTGAATAAGATTCTGTGGGTTGGGCCAGAAATCTATTTAATAAGCTCAATTGATTCTTACATATTGTCAAGTTTGGGAAGCATGAACTTAGAGAACACCTGGGTGATATAAATGAAGAAGCTGTTCTTTACCTTCCTAATCCCAACGAGGTATGGAATTTGCAAGCACCAGGAATGAGAGAGATAGAGGCAAACAAGCTTCATGTTCTTTGTGGGGCCCAGGAGAATGGTACAAATAGTGTCCTCAACCCCCAGCCAGCACCCCTTCCCTTACTCCCTACCTCTGCTCTGCACCACAAAAGGCCTCCTGTGTGCCTGTGTAGTCAACCCAGTTGGCACGTGTTGGAGCTTCATCCACACCTACAAGTGACCTCCCCTTCTAACTTTCAAGGCCTAGGAAAGAGGGCTGAACAGTCTCTGGAAGGAAGAGAGCTTGGAGCTGACTGGGCAGAGAATTCTTAGATCCTGGTTAGCCAGAGCATGGTCAAAAAGGGGAACTGTGAGCATTGGATGGATGTTTCCTTGGTCCTTTGAACTCCTTGCCAGTGGGGAGGGCTGAGGCCAGAAGAAGGACAGAATGGGAACCTCTGTAGCACAGAAACCAAGGCAGAGGCTGCAGGCACGTGGCTAGAAGAGTGGATAGGAAGTTAACATGGAGTTATAAATTGGATTAATTGGAAGTACATATACATACTTGTTTTCCTGAACACGTGTTTTTCCTTACTCACTTCCCCACCCTTAAATTTTTTTCCAAATTGGGAAATTCAATTTCCTTTAGAAAAAATATCTGCGCTTTTTATCCTAAAGATCTTCCTGAGAAATAGCTGCACACTTCTGGCCTAATTATCCTGGGCCATAGCCTGCCAGATGAAAATCCCATCCATAGGCATTAAGCCCCTAGTCTGCTCTTGGTTGTCACATTTAAGATATAGGCATGACTAAGGATCAATAGACTGTTCAGGAATGCCAGCCTGATGGAGATAAGATAGAAAAAACAATGTCGTAAAAAACATGTGTAAGAAAAATATCAGAGAGTCTATAAAACTAATTAGAATCCTCTGAGATAAAAGAATAACTGCATTCATAAAACAAGAAATTATATCATGAAAATAGAACAATCAAAACAGAAAGGAGCTATTTGACATTAAGACTCTGATTGCCAAATATAGCACTCTGAGTTGCTTATGCTACAACTGCTCACCTCATCTCCCCTCTTCTGGCAGAATCCTGATTGTGTGCACCTTTCTCCAAATGTCTTGTGTTTCAGGGAAGACTTAGTTCCTCCGCATCACCAGAAGTGGGTCTTGATTAGTTTAGTGTGAAAATTCTATTCCTTCTGTCATATGACTGGCTTAAGAATGAGTATGTGATACAATATCGGCCAATGAAGTTTGAAGAAAAGTCTGTTATGGGGTTTCTGGGACAGTTTTTCTCGCTCTTAAAAAAGAACACAAGACAGATGATTCCTTTTCTTCCTTTAGATCTAGTTGTGTGGAGATACAATGCTTGGTGTTGCTGCAGCCATCCTGTTACTAAAAGTCTGTAAGCCAAGTGACAAGGGTGACATAATACAGCTGCCACAGCCCTATGTCATTAAGCAGTTGAATTAATCAACCACTTTGCTACCCACCTCTGAACTTTTTGCTTTTGGAGATAACCCCCTTTTTGTTTAACCTATTTTGTGTTGAATCCTTACTTACTCAAAGGCCACAAGCATCTTAATTGACATATTTAAAGAAAAATATTCCATTGAAAGCTTGGAAAACAATACCAAGAAAAAGCTCTCAAAACATAGAACGAATAGGCCCAAGTGCAATATATAAATTAAAAAGTCAGACTTAAAAGGTCAGTCTAGGACAGAGTTCCAGAAAGAGAGCTCAGAAAATGAAAAGGGGGAATTATCAAAGAAGTAGTACAATGGCATTTTCAAGAATGAGAGTTATGAATTTCCAGATTGAAAAGTCTTCCCTATCATCAGTTAGAATGAGTGAAACACTATCAAACTAGACATATTATAGTGGAATTTTAGATAAAAAAGATGTTTTCAGAGAGGAAAAAGCAGGTCATTTGCAACAGAAAAAACTGGATTGTTCATCAGGAATTCTGGATGCTGTAAGTCATGGGTGGGACAATTCCCTTGAAATACTAGGAAAATTTATTCTCAAACGGAGAATTCTGCACTCAGCCAAACTCTAAGTCTACTTACTCTAAGGAGGTAGAATAAATATTTTTTCAAATATGCAACAAGAAAGAGGAAGATACGTAAAATAATATTATTGTTCAGCAAATGCTCACTTCTCCCCCCTCCACTCTAAAGGAGTGTACTTCCCCATCCCTTGGAGGTTGGGATTGGCCATGTGATTTCTTCATCCAATGGACTGGGAGTATATGTGATGGATACCGTATTGAGCAGAGGCTTTAAATGTGCTTGTGAGTTAATCTTTCACCTCTTATATTCCTAGTTTTGTTATTTAATAAAAGAGCAATCTTCATACAGTGTTACTTTTTCAATTTGTGCCCCAAAATGAAAGACACATGGAGTCTACCTGAACCTGTTTCACAGCCGAGACCCAAGGCAAACTACTGGGTTGTTGCGATGAAAAAGAAAGTCTAATTAAAATAGCAATATAAGGTAGAGAGATAGAGGTTTTTTGTTTGTTTGTTTGTTTTTCCGTACTAACTGGTTGTTTCAGCATAATTCGTTGGAATATTTTTTTCTCTCCTTATTAAATTGCCTTGGTAACTTTGTTGAAAATCAGTATACTGTATGTGTGGGGATCGATTTCTGTGCTCCGTTCTGATCTCTCTATCATTATGCCATACCACACTCATGTGATTACTGTAGCTTTTTAGCAGGTCTTGAAATCAGGCTTGAGAATTCAACTTTGGCCTCTCTCTCTTTCTCTCTCTCTCTGAGATTGTTTTGATTAATCTGGACCATTGCATTTTTATGAATATTTTAGAATCAACTACCAATTTCTGTTTAAAAAGTCTGTAGGTAGAATGATTGAGATTGTGTTTAATTTATAGATCAATTTCAGGAGAACTGACATCTTAACAATGTTGAGTCTTTCAACTGATGGAAATGGTATATCTCTGCTCATTAAGGCATTTTCTGCTTTATCTCGGTAGTTTCAAATTTTTAAGGTAGAAGTCTTGCATGATTTTTGGTAAATTTATTTTTACTTTTTATGTTGATGTTATTGTAAATACATTTTTTTAAGTTTCATTTTCCAATTTTTTGCTTTTTAAAAAGATATTAACCTTGTATCTAGTAACCTTTCTAATTCTACTTATCAGGTCTAGTAGATTTTTTTCAAGAAGATTACATAAAATTTTCTATATAAACAATTATTTTATCTATGAATATTTCACTGCTTCCTATCCAAACTTTATACTTTTTTAAAATAACTGTTCTGAATAACACTAGGAGGGATGAGAATAGACATCCCTGCCTTTCCCCCAATCTTCAGGGGAAATAATTTAATATACCACTATTATCACTGTTAAAAATAATGACCACAGGCCAGGTGCAGTGGCTCACACCTGTAATCCCAGCACTTTGGGAGCCTGAGGCAGGCAGATCACGAGGTCAAGAGTTTGAAATCAGCCTGGCCAATATGGTGAAACTTTATCTCCACTAAAAATACAAAAAACTTAGCTGGGTGTGGTGGTGTGCGCCTGTAGTCCCAGCTATTTGGGAGGCTGAGGCCAGAACAATTGCTTGAACCTAGGAGGCGCAGGTTGCAGTGAGCCGAGATCATGCCACTGGACTTCAGCCTGGGTGACAGAGTGAGACTCTGTCTCAAAAAATAAATAAATAAATAAATAATGATCACATAGGTTTTTTCATATACACCTTTTATCAAGTTGTAGAAGCTTCCTTTTATTCTCAGTTTTTCTAAGAATTTAAAAATCATAAATGTATGGTAAATTTTGACAAAAATTTTCACCTCTATCAAGCCAATCATATTTTTCTATTTCATTCTGTTATTGCAATGCATTACTTTAATTGTTTCAGTTGTTAACATAGTATTGCATTTCTAGAATAAACTCTGCTAGTCTTCATGAGATTTGCTATATTTTGTTAAGGATATTTTTTGTTCATGTAAAAATGGCTTTTTAAAATTTTCTTTTCTTGTGATATCCTGTCAGATTTAGAAATTAATGTCATGTGAGTCTTATAAAGAAATTGACTTTTTCCTCCTCCATGTTATGAAAGTGTAAGATTGCTATTATTTCTTCCTTTGAATATTTGAAGAGTTCACCATTGAAACTATCTGAGCATGGAGTTTTCTTCGTGGAAAAGTTTTTTTAAAAAATTACCCATGAAATTTTATAAGTAGATACAACTGTTTACATTTTGCGTATCGTCTTGTGTCAGTTGTGATATGTTGTAATTTTATAAGGAATTTGTCTATTTTATCTAAGTTAAATTTATTGGTATAAAATTTTACTTTATTATTGTAATAACTGTAATTTAACATTACTATTTTAATGTAAATGTAAATTATATTTTGGGAATCTTAACAGTCCATTGTCAGTAATAGAACAACTGGATGAAAAATCTGTAAGGCTAGGAAGATATTAAGAATGAATAATACCATCAATCACCTTTACCTAATAGATTTTTATAGAACACTATAGCCACAAAAAGAATGGAATACACAATCTTTGAAAAAATATAAATTGTTTGCTGAGCCATAAATATCTCAACAAATTTTAAAAGTCTGATTTTAAGAACTGTTATAAAGTTATGGTAAGATATTTTAATATAATTTATTTATATTTGAAGTGCCTTTCTTATAGATGGCATACAATTAGAAATCAACTTTTATGCAAACTATTAGTAGTAATTCATTGAATCCAGAACTTTTGCTTATTATAGGCATCAGTAAATTTGTCCTGGTCTAATATTATACCCCTTCCATCCTTATCCATGTCATAGGGTTCTTTTCCAGACATGTTCCCCTAAATATCTGATTATATAATTGTCAGAATCTTGCAATTCATTCTCTGTGTGTGATACCTCATGTGTTATAGTTCTTCACTGACTCCTTGGGGCCTGCTGAGACTTGAGTCTGGATATAGCTCTAAGAGTAATGAGATGTTGTAGGGGTAGGTCTTGAGGAGAATCAGAAATTCCATGCAAAGTGGGAGACACCATTGTAGGTCCTTCAGGGAAGAGGAGGCTAATCTCCTCAGACAAGGGAGAAAGGTATGTATCTAGTTCATGCAATCTTGGCAGAATATAAGAATTCAAAGTAATTAACTTCATTTGAATCTATGCACATATCCCCATTCCAAATGTTGGCATTCTACTCCTTACCAACGAATGCTCTAAGTGAGAGATTCTGCAAACTTGTAAATTCAATTTGCATTATAACTCCGCCATTTATAAGATTAAACTTGGAGTTATTCTTCAGAAATCTCAACCTGAAGTGAGAAAAGATAGGGCAGCCAGAACTGTTTTGTGGCCATGTATCTCGACCTTGATTTGGAAATTTAATGTGCTGAGCTTCTTATTTTCCTTCTTCATTTTCTACAATATAATTAGATGCAACCAACCAATCCCGTAGTCTTATACTCTTTATTTCCACGAAAATCTAAAATGTTTTATGGCAGTAGCTACTTGATCACTCAAAACTGTCTTCTCCAGGCACTTGACTCCATGTGACCACACGTCATGAATTAAATAACTATTATAGTACTGCATGCCATGGACTTCTATTTACCCGTGTCTCCCACTGACCGCTAGAAATAGGGTCATTAACACCTTTAAAAATAGTCAGATCAGAGATTCTCATCCTTTAGATTCTATTCACCTGGAGCCACTTCTGGAACAAAAATTGCCATTCAGATTTCAGTCAGAGAAGCAGAGTGACTCAGTGTAATGGAACAACGCATTTATCATACGTTACACAATTGTGACACCGTACATAATTGTGGGAGGAGTTTAAGAAATAGAAGTGTGGAATGGGAAGCTAGACGATCAGACAAAAAGGCACTGGTGCAGGTCGAAAAGTTGGAACTTGCAAGGGAATCTAAAAAACCAAATGTGGGAGGTGATCAAAGTGAGACCACATAGAGGAAGACTTAAGGAGGGGTGATTGGAAAGCCTCTGTGAATCTGTGACAAGAGTCTGGAGTTAGTTCGGGCTGTTGTTGGACAATAGGACTGAGAGTTAAAAGAGCAAGACATGGGAAGAAGGAGAGTAAGGACAAGCTAGAGCACGCTAGGCACGTCTGCTCGTTTGTTAATGTATCAAACTGCAAAAGTCTTCAGAGAGTAATGCTGCTTCCCTTCCAGCTCCCAAATCTCAAATCTCATGCAAATCCTCCTCTTAGCAACTCTGGCTCAGAGTGGTGCATGAGGGGACTCTGGGAAATCTAGTGCTCACAATAGAAAAAACCAGGACGCATATCCTGAATACCGCTTACTTTTCTCTTCCCAAAATTATTTCTAAAATCAATAATGGTGATAGCAAACCTACTGGTATAGATCTTGACCATAAATTTTTACGTGTTAAGTAAACACTTCTGAATCACTCCAGGTGAATATTCAAATTAAATTATACACACATTTATCACATTGTCTATACTGAAGAATTTTAAAGTTTATTACCTCAAGGCAGTATAATGTGCATACATATGCCAATCAGAACATGGTTGAAGATATAGATATAGATGTAAAATATACAGAGAGATGTCAACAAATATATTTACATACCACAAACACTCATCAATATACATACATAGGAAAAGTATTGAATGAGAGACAAAATTTCTGGAGTGGTCATCCTAGGGTGGTAGATTACATGTAATTTTACCTATTGATTTTTTTCAGTTGTTTTATGTTGAATATATATTATTTTATAATCAGAAATTTTATACATAAAAACCAAATTAATAAATTCTTTTTTTCTTTATTTGGGACTAAATGTTAAATGATATATTGCATACAGTCAACAATAAATGTAATCCATCAAAACTTATGATCTAGAACTTCTAGCATACTAGGCATTCCAGCTGAGTTCTTAGTTTTGAATTCTACAAATAAAACAATGACCATTTTTTCTTCACTTCTTTTTTTTCTTGACCTCTGCCTTTCACGATTTACAAAGAAAAAGGCTTATTTATTTTCATTTCATTGCAACCCCTCCCCCACCCTATTCTCTTTTACATATGTGAAAACATTAACCTTCTCATTTAATGAAAAGCACTACCCCCAGGCTTTGGCACGGAGTAGAGGCACAGACTGCCTTAGGAAGAGACAGGTTGGGATTGGCTGCCCCTGGCGGCACCTGTAGACTCTAAATCTCCACAAATCAGAACCGAGTGCCTGGCCTCATGAAATGTTATTTGAATTTGGCTACTGGGAAAGAAGGGTAAAAATCTAACAACTGTGTCTCGGTTTCATCTTTGGGTTGGAGGCTAGGGATATGGGTTTCTGTGCCTCTTAGGGAACAAAAGAGCTGGGCTGGCATTTAATTTCATCATGGGAATCATCCACTATGACCAACCAGAGGCCCGTGCCCGCCAGTCCCATTCCTCTTACTATATTTAGTCCATTATGAATATGGAATAACACTGAAAATGATTCACATCGACATCCCTCTGTCTAGCCTAATAACGTCAAAGTCATTAACAACAAACATTAAGTTCACCCTGACAGTGTGATTTGGAAATCTCAGCCCTCCCTGGTGCCCTCCTCTGCCTGTCTTGATAGATAGCCTGGACACAGCACATGCATGCTTTTCCACTCCCCAATCACTTCCCCCTCCAAAGGGAAAAAGGAGATATGAAGACCAGTGAGAGCAAAGGTTGCTGTTGGCTGCATGGACTGTTGATGAAATGCTGAGCTAGTGAGAGTCAGGCCCTCCTCAAGGAGAGTGAGAGAGGAGGGGAAAGTGAGAGCTGGAGAGATCTCTTCTCTCCTTCCTTGCTCTCTCTCTCTCTCTCTCCATATCTCCCCCTCTCTCTGCCTCCTCTCTCAGTGCCTCTGCCTCTTTCTCTCTCTGCCTTTCATTCTCTCCACATATCCCAATTGAACTGCTGATGCTCTACAATCTCAACAGCCCTTCTCTCTTCCGGCAAGTTTAATATCTTCATCATTAATATTCCTACTCAAGTTTTTCCCACAGAGGGCCTCTCCACATATTACTGCACGTTACTCCACTAAGAGGTGAGTCATCTGTTCTTTGCCTTTATAGCATTTATCAGAGTTTACTTATTTAAATAAACATCTGTTTTCCTCACTAGCATATAAGCTCTGTGAGAGCAAGGCCCATTTTATAGGGCCTTGAGCAGTGACTTGCATTCACGGTGTTAAAGAAATAGCAGTTAAATAAATAAATACAAGGAAGGAAGACACAAGGAAGAGAGAGAAAGGACAGAATTCAGTATTGCCTCAATTTATACAAGGCAGAACAGAGGTACTGAGCTGGTGAGCTATTTGATTCAGGCCCTTTGGTAAAACAATGGAAAAGTCTATATGAGGTACTGCATTTTTACATTCTGGCTTTGATGTTCCCGCTTCCACCCCACCGCAAAACTGTTTGTTCCCCTAAAATGAACTCATACTGTGCATGCTCAGCCCTGCTTTACCCCTCTCTGGTGTGTAGGAGATCTTGGTAGGCAATTAAATCCAGGATAACTGTGTGGTCCAGATAGAGCACTACAAAAGACAGAGTGACCTGAAACCCTCTCCCTTACTTTGTTTTTAGTGTAGACCAGTCTTGGTGAACAGTTTATCTAACTGCTCTACAACTATCTTCACAACCAAACTATCTAGTCCAGTGCTGGTAACCCAAGGCTAAAATCAGTCTCCTGTCTTCAGCTGCATTACTTAGCACATGACAGAGGGAAACCTACAGCGCAGCATTATCTACTTGTGTTTGTATTCCTCTCCTTTCAAACTTCTCTTCCTGTATCACATCCAATATTTGTGCCCTAGAGGATGTCTACTCCCTAGGCTTCTTTGGCAGGGGCTGAGTGGAACTCTCCATCTTTTTCAGCATCTCTACCTTTTCCATCTTTTGCAACAGAGAAATGGCTCAAGAAGAGGTGAGATCCATTAGTCCAAGAGTTGCCTGCATTCTTTTGAAAGTGTAGGCACAGAATTTTCTCCTGCAGCCAGAGACTGAGGGGGACAGACTCCTGTAATTTCCATCTTCTTTGCTCCGAATGAGGACGTGAGAAATTCTTCCCAACTGCTTCGTTTTGAAGGGAAAGGAACTTGTTTGTACTTCTTTCTACTTCATAAAGGGAAAGTGAAGAATAAATTAACATTGTCAACTTAACTTACTAATAGTTATTCTGTTCAAAGTTAAGTTGACAAATTTGGATTATGAAATGTGTTGTGAATGCTTGGATAAAAGTGTGCTGTTCCCTAGGAACCGGTGTGGGATCAGCATGAACAAGTCATGCTAAACCCTTCTTTTGGGAAACTATATTGGAAACTATATTAGGGAAATACCATAGACAGGATGTACATTCTTCTCACATATGCATTGTGATATGAAGCCCAGATAGAACAGCCAATATGATGAATTAAGGAAATAAGATTGAAAATTATCTCAACAAATTCCAAGTTTATTATCAATAATGTTAACTAGTTTGTTTCCAGGCCTGGTTCTCCATCCACATTTTCAATATTGTCTTAAAAATCAACTTTGTTGCGATGGCTCAGGCCTGTAATCCCAGCAGTTTGGTAGGCCAAGATGGGAGGATTGCTTGAGGCCAGGAGTTCGAGACCAGCTAAATAACATAGTGAGACCTCCATTTCTACTAAAAATTAAAGAAATTAACTGGGTGTGGTGTTGCATGCCTGTAGTCTCATCTACTCAGGAGACCAAAGTGGGAGAATCGCTTAAGCCTGGGAGGTCAAGGCTGCAGTGAGCTGTGATTACACCACTCACCACTACACTCCAGCTTGAGTGACAGAGTGAGACCATGTCTAAAACAAACAAACAAACAAACAAACAAAAACTTTGTTGTTGATGTATGATTTATATACAGTAAATGTTCTCATTTTAAGTTTGCAGTTTGATGAGTTTTGACAAGTATTGTGTATTCATCACCCTAATCAAGATGTAGAACTTAAAGCTTTTTGATACTGTGATTTAGAATACTACGTCGTCTTCCTCCCTCTGCTAATAACTTCCACCATGGCTCAAAGACAGAAAATAAATTAGATATTTGAGATGTTATTTTATTTTATATTTATTTATTTATTTGTTTATTTATGTATGTCGAGACAAGGCCTCGCTCTGTCATCCAGGCTGGAGTGCAGTGGTGCAATCACTGCTTACTGCAGCCTCAACCTCCCAGGGTAAAGTGATTCTCCCAGCTCAGTCTCCCAAGTAATGGAGACTACAGGTGTGCACCACCATACCCAGCTATTTTAAAACATTTTTAGTAGAGATGGGGTCTCTCTATGTTGCCCAGGCTAGTCTCAAACTCCTGGCCTCAAACATTCCTCCCACCTCAGCCTCCCAAGGTGCTGGAATTTTAGGTATGAGCCACTGTGCCTGGCCAAATATTTTATTTATTATAGTTACTTATTTATTTTTATTTTTAGTTGTGGCAAAATACATATCATATAAAATTTACCAACTTAACCATTTTAAAGTGTAGAGTTTAGTAATGTTAAGTATATTCACATTGTTGTGCAACCAATTGCCAGAAGTTTTCAAGAGATGAAAATTAGTTTGAATAACCTTCATTTAAGTTACCATAGAAAATTGATTAGGCATTTCCTAAGCACTCCCTACAAACCCAGTCATCTAGGGGGCACTTTGCGCAGTGATTAAGAGTATAAACTCTGGAATCATGTCACCCAGATTCAAATCGCAGCCCCACCACTTAACATATTTTATCTCTAAGACATCATCAATCATAAGATACACTATTATTCTATTAAACACTAAGAAGGAAAACAATGCCACCAATTAAACTAGGAAGCAATGCCTTATGGTGGTTCTCTATGATGCATGCATTAGTTGCAACAATCTCTCATGGCTTTAAAGTTTCTTTCTTCTTTTTCAAGGAATTTGGCCATTTACTACAATGTCTTGCTTGGCACATGATAGGCAATGCTTTTGCGTGTCTCTCAAGAATAAAGAGAAACAGCTTCAGCTATGTGTGCGCATCATCCTTTCTTTGATCTCATAAAGGATTTCGTTATTGTTCTGCAAGAAAATATGGACTTGCTATTATTCCTCCAGTGATAAATATTTGTTTCTCAAATAAAAAATTTATGATCTGCTGCTCTATTTTTGTCTCTTTGGGTACACAATAACTTTTAATTTTAATGCCAAGTCATAGTATACTCCTTTGAAGATATTTTAAACAGCAATTAAACTCAATGTTTATAACGTGATTGAAGCAAGAACAATATGAACAGCTATGACCAAGGCCACACATGTGCATGAAATGGCAATTATATCAAACTGCTGCCTGGTTGCCAGCAATTGTAAGACATCATTGATTATAAGAGGCACCCTAATTTCAGAGATGTTAAGCATGAAAAAATGTGCATCTTATAACAGTGTAGGTTATGTGTCCTTGGTTAGGATATTTAACTTCCTTGTGCCTCAGGCTCCTAATTTATATAATGAAGCTAATAATAGTACATGCTTCATAGGATATGAGTGAAGATTAAATGAAACACTTAGCACAGTAACTCATGTACAATAAGCATCCAATAAATATTAACCATGGTTGTTATTAATGATCATCTTAGCTGTAGCCAAGTACATCAGATGTCTATTGTTGCATAACAAATCACTTCAAACTTATTGGCTCGAAACAATAAACATTTATTATCTCAGTTTCTGTGAGTCAGGAATTTAGAAGTGGCTTGCCTGGGTGGTTCAGGTGCAGGGTCCCTCATGTAGTTGCAGTCAGGATATAGACAGGGGCCACAGTCATTGGTAGGCTTGAATGAGGTTGGAGGATCGTCTTCCTAGATGACTAACTCATATGATTATTGGCTGGGGCCTCAGCTCCTTACCACATGTACCTCTTCAGAGTTTCTTCCGTGTCTTCATGACATGGTAACCGGCTTTCCCCAAAGCAGATGATCAAAGAGAGAAAGGAAGAATTCACTGTACTTTTAACAACATAGTCTCTGAAATTGTATACTATCACTTCCACTTTTATTCTATCCATTAGAGGCAAGTCACTAAGTCCTACCAACACTCAAGGATGGGGATTAAGCTCCACTTCTTGGAGGAAAGAATACCACAGAATTTGTTGACGTATTTTAAAACCACCACACCACAGTAACTTTAGGTCAAAATAATGATTATCAGCATCTCTTTCATCTTCTCAATCATCTGTTAACTAATATCTATGCTCTCATTTTTCTTACCAATAATGTTAGTTAAGTTCCCAATAAGAAATAGGTAGCACATTCAAATTAGGATACTTTGAGAAAACCTTATTGCAAATGTGTGGGCAGGTGGTAGGTAGTACAGGACTGGGGCAAGCAGCAACAGGGCAATTACCCCCACAGACCTGAAGGAATAAAGGCAGAGAGTGAATCAGAACCAACAAGAAGAGAAAGTCCTGCAGAGCAGGCTATATTGAGAGGAAGATCTTGGCTGGGGGACTCTGCTAGCCTTTGACAACTTTATAGGGAGGTAGCCAGGGAAATAAGCATCCTGACCTCATTCTCCTCTACCTAAAAGGGGAAAAAAACACTGTTTTTCTCTATACTCTCTATACTCCCACACTTACTCTCAATCTTCCACTTCTGACATCAAGCAATTCTTCACTTTTTGGTGGACACCAACTGAGTGTCCTGTAATGTAACTCACTTCTGACTCAATTTACCTGGAGATAGCATCAGTTTCCACGTGGTAAGGGCCCAGTCCCACAAGACTGTCCCCAGTTCAGATCGATGGCAAGTCCAGGTCGTCACCTGTGCTCTGACCAACAGCTACACATCAGAGGTTCCCACAATTCCCTCCCTGGGTTTGATCACTTGCTAGAACAAATCACAGAACTCAGGAAAAGAGATCTTTTTTAATAGACTATGAGTTTGTTATAAAATAATATAATTTAGGAATAGTCAGAAGGAAGAGATGTACAGGGCCAGATGTGGGGAAGGGATACAGGGCTTCCATGGTGTCTCTAGGCATGCTGCCTTCATAGTACCTATTTGTGTTAGCCAATCCAGAAGCTCTCTGAACTTTGTCCTTTTGAGTTTTTATAAGGCATGTTTGATTAATCACTGGCCATTGGTGACAAGTCAATTTCCAGCCCCTCTCCCCTTCCTGGAAGTAGGGGGATGCAGTGAGGCTGAAAGTTTTAACCCTCTTATCCCAAAGTTGGTTCCCCTGGAAACCAGCCCCCATCCTGTAGGCTTTTCAAAAATCACCTTATTAACATAATTTGAGTGGTGAAAGGGGCTTATCATGAATAATAAATGTTGCTCCACTCACCTTTGTTGTACTTAACAACCTACGCAATTCCAAGAGTTTTAGGAGCCCTGTGCCAGGAACAGAGACAAAGACCAAACATATATTTTTATAGTAAATCAAAATATCACACATTCTCCAGTTTTTTTGGTGGAGGTCCCAAATTAGCTGAAGCCAAAGTCACGAAAGCCCTGTTGGACGTGGGACCTAGGTAGGCCTGCTGTGGGAGAGAGTTGGCAGAGAAAGGGGACTGCTCGATCTGGATAAGCACAGAGATGATAACCGACATGATCTGTCCCCTTTCCCCCTTAGCATCCCAAACAAAGGACTCAGAAAGTCCCATCAGCAACTTTATCATCATGGGGAAACCTCAGAGTAGTTACATTTCTCTTGAAACTTTAAACACTAGTCACCTTCTTCATTTAAGTTTGTAACAAAAAATATGAGGAGAAAGAAAACTGTCTAAAGAAACATAAACCACTGCAATAATCTCTGCCTCTGTAGCATTCTGAGGTTTAAGTGGGCACTGATAGCAGCCTTCTTCCATTACAGATTCCTTATTCCCTTTGACTTTTGCCAAAATCTCAGCTGAACAGGGTCCTTTACTTTGCAAGGATAATGAAACTTTAATTTCTACAGAGTCTGAGTTCTTGGTGTTTAAGTCTTTATTTGGTCATCACAGATTTTCATTAACCAGCTTTATGGGGCAAAGGAGTATTAAGAAGCAATTCAGTGAATTTTCTGTGTTCTAAATATAATTATTGTTACTGGTTTTGGGTAGCAATAATGAAATTTCTCTCTGATAATTGGGATCAATCACCCCACCCAGTGCAGTGATCTCCCCTCTTCTCTGTGTGTTGTTTAGAGGTATGAGAAACTGAAAATGGATAGAGGCTGACTTCGCATCCAATTCATCTGGAAGATGACTTTCTGCCTTGATGGAAGCTTTTCTTCACTGGGCAGTAGAACCTCCAAAGACATGTAACTCAAGTTCACAGGAAAAAGAAGAAAAAATACTTCCAGTAGGTTATTAGATAGATAAGAGTGGGAGGGGGCTCTCTCACTTCCAGCTTTTGACTCCTGAACCTCTTGACCATGGGGAGGTGATGTTGGTTGAAGGCAGGGTGTTGGCTCTCAGGTGGGACTATATCTGAACCTTCGGTGGGACAGGTCACTACTTTATCAAGCTAGCTGCGTCTGGAAGTTGGGGCATGTGATAAAGTCACTGAATTCTGTGGTTGTAAATGATATTGCTCTTTTATAAAATATGTCTACTGTTAAGACTTATTTTTATGTCTTAACAGTATTTTTATGTTTTAACTGTTGTGTGAGACACCACAATGATGGATGAGGCATTTTTAAGTCTACAAATAATGAGGCTGACTGAAACACCTCAGGTAAGAAAATAAATATGTGTTTCCCCCTGTGAGGGCAAGATGCTGCCCACTTTAGAAGAAGCATGGCCCAGTGGAACCACCCTGCAAGCTGACAGCTCTCTGGGAAATGATGCCATATAGAGGGCTCAGCATGGGCCTTTTCTATTGGCAATTCACTCAGCCATCATGGTAGTCGAACTTGCTTTGATGGAGAAAGACCATGCTGTGAGCCTTCGTCCATGCCTCCATGGCCACTTTGTACCTGGGTACATTGAGTAAGCACTGGGATGGCTGGGGAAAGAGGCTGATTGGTATCTAAGAGATGAATGATCTTATCCCTTTCTTTATTTAGAGTTTCCTCAACCTTTAGTGGGCATTTATCAGAATAATCTCTTTAGTTTCAGAGCTCCATTGATGATTCGTTATCAATTTTCCAATTTTGTCCTTTCCAAATTCCTGATCAGCTGGTCAATCATTAGTCATTGCTCGTAAATCAGAATACATATGTAATTCAGGCAGGCCATCTTCCATACAAAGTGTGCAACAGAATAGACCGCCCAAAATTCTGCCTTATTGCAGGATTTTTTCTTGCCATCTACAGTGCAACATCTGCAGAATTTTTGCTACATGCAGTATAGATCTATAAATGAGCCAGGCCAATGCTTTTCTTCTTCTAATTGGTCATAGAGAATACCACATGAGGCCATATATGTAGGCTCAGGAAGAGGCAATGAAATACAGCATGGGCAGGTATTGTCATAATATGGTCTCTTTGTACAATTAACCTGTGCCCCCTTGACTGTTTTGGGTTTAGTCTTTTTATTTTACTTTATATATTTTATTTTTGAGATAGGGTCTTTCTCTCTCACCTAGGCTGGAGTGCAGTTGCAGCTACTCAAGAGGCTGAAGCAGGAGAATTGCTTGAACCTGAGAGGCAGAGGTTGCAATGAGTTGAGATCGTGTCACTGCACTCCAGCCTGGCAACAGAGAGAGACTCTAGCTAAAAAAAAAAAAAAAAAAAAAGGAAAGGAAAACCAAAAGCAGACCTATATGAAATTAATTTACAAGAGACTGGATATACAAATGAAAAATGACCAGACTTTGCGTAAAAATGGAACTCTGATTTACAATTTGCAGTAACTAGTCCAGGAAATAAACCTAGTATGTGCGGTAAACCAATACAAGAAACCAAACAATAAAGCTTGTAGCAATTGGCCCCACATGGCCAGGACTTAATCGATTAACAGACAGCTTTCCTAATTTTTGCCTCCATTTCCAACTTGGGATCAACTGCAAAGCCAAATATGCACCCCTCTTCAATCACATAAGATGTCCTAATTCTAGTTAACGTGATTATAATTTTCCCAGGTCAACAGCCTACAGTCAGGGCATACTTGAAGTCCTCCCTTTCTTCCACTATAAAGCTTTACCACTCGTTTGCCTAAGTTTGAATCTCTTTCTAATGTGTGTGATGGTGACTGACTCCCTTGCTATAGCAAGCTCAGAATAAATAGCCTTTGCTTTTACTCATTTGGGTGGCCTTTGTTTATTTCCACAAATTATACCAACATATCTAATACCTGGATAATTCAGGATAATGAGGGCATTCAGCATGAATTTTCCAGACAATTGTGTATGTGAACCAGACCTCTGGGATTTAAAATGGACTTTTGCATTGATATGCTGTGTGTAGAGCCTCATGTAATGCTAGAATAGTTTAATGAGGTTGCATTGAATTGTGTGATACATATCCCCAGGAGTATTGACTTGATAGATCATTATGCAGTCACATTTCCTTCTCTCTTTAAAGAAAGAACAGGAGAAAAGGGGGAAAAGAGGTTGCGTTTGAATATAGTATAAACTTTCGTCTCTTTGAGAAATGTCTACCAAATTAAATATATATAATTATGTATGGTTATTTATCTTTAAAGGATGTTTCAGAGACAGAATTATAAGGGAAACTACCTTTCTGTTGTGGTTGCCTGTTTGGGTACTGTGAGCAAGAAAGAAATTGCTTTATTCAAACCATTAATGAAATGTCACTGTCAATCCACCTCTAACTGCATCATATGCTTTTTATTCTTTGTGTTAAAAATAAAGAAATAAAGACAGAATATTTCCAGATAACATCTTGTGCCTGTAGAAGCAAGCTGTGTTTTAACCCCAAGCTTTATGCTGATTTCTTGCTTATTTATAAGGTTCACTATAAAAAATCAAACATCTACATTTAAGTGCATAAGAAAATATTACCATGAGGAAATCTTTTCCTTGTCAATCATTATTTCCAGTAACATCTTCTGATTTTCCCAATGATGTGAATGTTTTCCCTCCTTCCCTCTTTCCTTGCTACTTCTCTTTTTTTATTTTGTTATTGCAAAGAAAGGGCTCAGTTTCTTTATAATTAACCTTTTCTTTCTGTGGCACTGTGCTTTCTTATTCGGTTCCCTGATACGTATATGCTGATCCCAAACTTTGAAAAGAGATATTCTTAAGAAACCCTAAGAGGTTAATATTGGTCCCTAACTCATGGCATGGTCCTAAAACAGAAGACCTGGAGTAATTTGTGGTGTACTTAATAAACATTTCCTGGGTTTCATGTATCAACACATGCTTGGCTAAGCTAGGACATGCTGAAAGTATAGTCAATTGAATCTTTGATACTAAAGATATGGTATTTCCCCTGGATAGCAGACACACCTGACTCTGACCTGGCTCCCTCAAATTCCTCAGCTCCCTCAGAAACACACTTTGGCAAAATGAAAACCAGGTAGCTAGTGCTTTTTGAAAGCAGTTGTATTGCTGGGACTACGAGATTGCCTGCTGCTTATGAGGACATTGACTCAAAGTTTTGAGCTTGGCTTTTGGACATTATTGGTTGAGGGTGGATTGACCTGCCTATTCTAGGAAAAAGAATGATGCTGGAGGAAACACTGAGTTGAGAACAAGACAGGGTCAAATGTGGCATTTTTCTTGCAAACTTTTGTTTATTCTATGACATTGGATGAAAAGAAAGAGATTGTCAGAGATATGCCTTGACCTCTATATCGAGAAGTAGAGAGGAAAGTGTTGTCAGTAGACCTGGCAGTATTCCCCTTATGAGGCACAGTGAACTGACTGAGAAGTGTGCATGAATGGAATATAGTCAGTGGTGGGACTGCTGGGCTTAGAGCCTCTTTGTTACAAAATTTAGCTTGTCTGGCAAAAAGACTTTCAGTTTTCTTCAGTGTCTAGAAAATCCAATAGCAGCACCTAAGTCTAAGGAAATTAGCAAATTTTGAAAATTCATCACCAATGGCACTGAGGTACTTTTAAGTCTTTGGTAAACTGACTAACTCCACAAAGAGGAATAGAACTAGATAATGTGTGTTGAATACTTACCATGTGCAGGCACAGTGCGAAGAGTGTTTGTACATTATTTCTTTTAGTCTTCCATACAACTTAATCAAGTGGACACACATAATATTCCTCTTTTCTAAAAAATGAAACTGAGGCCCAGAAAGCTTATGTGACTTGTCCAAGCCAGAAAGTTTGAAGTACAGAAGAAATGTAGAATTTCTCTTCTACAAACCTATGACATGAGTTTCTATGCTATCCAGAAGAAATAAAACTCACCAACCCATCCCTCTCTCCTCCTTTTCTCCTTGCTTATCCAAAGCAATTTCCTCTAGTCAAGGAAGAAATGAGAGAATTTCTTAGCTTCCTGGATGGGACTAAATCAAAACAGAGTCTACATCAGATTTGTCACTGGGGTCTAGGTTTAGTAGTTGCTATGGTTTGAATGTGTCCCCGAAAGGTTATGTGTTTGAAACTTAATCCCCGTTGCAACAGTGTTGAGACAGGGGGAATT
The DNA here is from genome assembly GCF_000001405.40 of Homo sapiens. NCBI lineage: Eukaryota > Metazoa > Chordata > Mammalia > Primates > Hominidae > Homo > Homo sapiens. Next base: position 165,023,899 of record NC_000001.11, on the reverse strand, counting down.
TTAAAAGATGATTAGGTAATCTTTTAAAGGTCTTGGGTTCATGCTGTTATTGTGGGACTGAGTTCCTGATAAAAGGGTGAGCTTAGCCCCCTTCCTCTCTCTCTCTCCCTACTTCGTGTGTGTGCACTGGAGCTTCCTTACCCTTTCACCTTCTGCCATGGGATGACAGAGCAAGAAGGCTCTCACCAGATGCCACCACTCAGCCTTCCCTCTCTGTTCTTTATGAATTATTCAGTCTCAGGTCTTCTGTTATAGCAGCAAAAACAGACTAAGGCAGTAGATATGCCCTCACACATGTCTCAGTTCTTAGATTTTGGACTGACTTATATTTTTCTTTCAAGATCAAATGATAAAAATGCCAGGCCTACCACCCACTTTATGTTTGTTACCTTTTCCAAATCCCCAATTCATTTTGCCTAATGATTTTTAACTGTACAGCCATGTGGTGATGCATTTACTTCCATTTTTATTTATTTTCCTAATATATTATGTGCTGCCTGCTTCATGTTCACTCTTCACCAGCCCTTGTCTTCATAGCTCTTTATCCCCAATCCCAATTTTGGAATAATCATCTGTAGCCATTAACTGACTTAATAAATCTTTCTGCCAGTGAGCTGCTTTATGGAAATTGAAAATTAATTAACGTTTATCTCAGCAGCTAATCACATAAAATCTACTGCCTTCCTATCTCAGGTTCTAAAATAATGATTGCCCATGAATTGAGCAAGGCAGATCTTGATAAGTCCTGACAGTACACAAGCTGAGATGAGAGGGAACAGTTAAGCTTCAGCCTCTTCTGCTAATGAGATCCACAGGGGTATAATAGCTGAAGTTACTAAGAAAAGATGGCCTCACCACTTGAGCTGTTAGTTATCTGGACACATGGGCTGTATCTACACACACAAACATACACATTCAGAGACAGTTATTAAACACCAAAAAGTTGTTGGCTTCAATGTTTAAAATTAGCCCTTTTGTTAAAAACAATTAACCATTCATTTTATCATCTATTTATTCATTCATTTGGTACACATTTATTTATTAATCATCATATGCATTTTCGTTTGTCAGGTACTGGGGAAACACAGGTGCCTAAGACATGGTCCTTGTGTCATTTAATTTAAGTTATAAGCAGTAAAAACTCACTGGATGGAAAAAAAGGAGGACACCCAGGAACATATCTTAAGCAGGAAAAGATTAATTGGCTGCAACACATAAACAAAAAGAAGAAAATAAACTTTTTTTTTAATTTGGGAAAATGTTAAGCCATGTTTTCTGAGTTTGCCAGGTTTCCTTGCTGCAGGACTTTTCAGAGACTTTAATAAGCTAATATGTGGGGGTGGCTCCAAGATGGCCAAATAGGAACAGCTCCAGTCTACAGGTCCCAGCATGAGCGACACAGAAGACGGGTGATTTCTGCATTTCCAACTGAGGTACCAGGTTCATCTCACTGGGGCTTATTGGACAGCGGGTGCAGGACGGTGGGTGGAGCACACCGAGAGTGAGCTGAAGTAGGGTGAGGCATGCCTCACCTGGGAAGCCCAAGGGGTCACGGAATTCCCTTTCCTAGCCAAGCAAATCTGTGACAGACGCCACCTGGAAAATCGGGTCACTTCTGCCCTAATACTGTGTTTTCCAATGGTCTTAGCAAATGGCACACCAGGAGATTATATCCTGTGCCTGGCTCGGAGGGTCCCACACCCACACAGCAATGCTCATTGCTAGCACAGCAGTCTGAGATTGAACTGCAAGGCAGCAGTGAGGCTGGGGGAGGGGAATCCGCCATTGCTGAGGCTCAACTAGGTAAACAAAGCAGCCTGGAAGCTAGAACTAGGTGGAGCCCACCGCAGCTCAAGGAGGCCTGCCTGCTTCTGTAGACTCCACCTCTGGGGGCAGGGCATAGCCAAACAAAAGGCAGCAGAATCCTCTGCAGACTTAAATGTCCCTGTCTGACAGCTTTGAAGACAGTAGTGGTTCTCTCAGCATGGAGTTAGAGCTCTGAGAACGGACAGACTGCCTCCTCAAGTGGGTCCCTGACCCCCAAGTAGCCTAACTGGGAGACATTTCCCAGTAGGTGCCGACTGACATCCCTTATATGGTCCAGTGCCCCTCTTAGACAAAACTTCCAGAGGAACAATCAGGCAGCAACATTGCTGTTCAGCAATATTTGCTGTTCTGCAGCCTCCGCTGCTGATACCCAGGTAAACAGGGTCTGGAGTGGACCTCCAGCAAACCCCAACAGACCTTCAGCTGAGGGTCCTGACTGTTAGAAGGAAAACTAACAAACAGAAAGGACATCCACACCAAAACCCCATCTGTACGTCACCATGATCAAAGATCAAAGGTAGATAAAACCACAAAAATGGGGAAAAAACAGAGCAGAAAAACTGAAAATTCTAAAAATCAGAGTGCCTTTCCTCCTCCAAAGGAACACAGCTCCTCACCAGCAATGGAACAAAGCTAGATGGAGAATGACTCTGACGAGTTGAGAGAAGAAGGCTTCAGACGATCAAACTTCTCTGAGCTAAAGGAAGAAGTTCGAACCCATTGCAAAGAAGTTAAAACCTTGAAAAAAGATTAGACGATGGCTAACTAGAATAACCAATGTAGAGAATTCCTTAAATGACCTGATGGAGCTGAAAACCAAGGCATGAGAACTATGTGACACATGCACAAGCTTCAGTAGCCGATTTGATCAACTGGAAGAAAGGGTATCAGTGATTGAAGATGAAAAGAATGAAATGAAGTGAGAAGAGAAGTTTAGAGAAAAAAGAAGAAAAAGAAATGAACAAAGCCACCAAGAAATATGGGACTATGTGAAAAGACCAAATCTACGTCTGACTGGTGTACCTGAAAGTGACGGGGAGAATGGAACCAAGATGGAAAACACTCTGAAGGATATTACCCAGAAGAACTCCCCCAATCTAGCAAGGCAGGCCAACATTCAAATTCAGGAAATACAGAGAATGCCACAAAGATGCTCCTCGAGAAGAGCAACTCCAAGACACATAATTGTCAGATTCACCAAAGTTGAAATGAGGGAAAAAATGTTAAGGGCAGCCAGAGAGAAAGGTCAGGTTACCCGCAAACGGAAGCCCATCAGACTAACTGCTGATCTCTTGGCAGAAACTCTACAAGCCAGAAGAGTGAGGGGGCCAATATTCAACATTTTTAAGAAAAGAATTTTCAACCCAGAATTTCATATCCAGCCAAACTAAGCTTCATAAGTGAAGGAGAAATAAAATCCTTTACAGACAAGCAAATGCTGAGAGATTTTGTCACCACCAGGCCTGCCCTAAAAGAGCTCCTGAAGGAAGCACTAAACACGGAAAGGAACAACCGGTACCAGCCACTGCAAAAACATGCCAAATTGTAAAGACCATCAAACAACCGGTACCAGCCACTGCAAAAACATGTCAAATTGTAAAGACCATCAATGCTAGGAAGAAACTGCATCAACTAATGAGCAAAATAACCAGCTAACATCATAATGACAGGATCAAATTCACACATAACAATATTAATTTTAAATGTAAATGGACTAAATGCTCCAATTAAAAGACACAGACTGGCAAATTGGTTAAAGAGTCAAGACCCATCAGTGTGCTGTATTCAGGAAACCCATCTCACATGCAGAGACACACATAGGCCCAAAATAACAGGATGGAGGAAGATCTACCAAGCAAATGGAAAACAAAAAAAGGCAGGCATTTCAATCCTAGTCTCTGATAAAACAGACTTTAAACCAACAAAGATCAAAAGAGACAAAGAAGGCCATCACATAATACTAAAGGGATCAATTCAACAAGAAGAGCTAACTATCCTAAATATATATGCACCCAATACAGGAGCACCCAGATTCATAAAGCAAGCCCTTAGTGACCTACAAAGAGACTAAGACTCCCACACAGTAATATTGGGAGACTTTAACACCCCACTGTCAACATTAGACAGATCAATGAGACAGAAAGTTAACAAGGATATCCAGGAATTGAACTCAGCTCTGCACCAAGCAGACATAATAGATGTCTACAGAACTCTCCAACCCAAATCAACAGAATATACATTCTTCTCAGAACCACACCACACCTACTCCAAAATTGACCACATAGTTGGAAGTAAAGCACTCCTCAACAAATATAAAAGAACAGAAATTATAACAAACTGTCTCTCAGGCCACAGTGCAATCAAGCTAGAACTCAGGATTAAGAAACTCACTCTAAACCACTCAACTACATGGAAACTGAACAACCTGCTCCTGAACGACTACTGGGTACATAATGAAATGAAGGCAGAAATAAAGATGTTCTTTGAAACCAACGAGAACAAAGACACGACATAGCAGAATCTCTGGGACACATTTAAAGCAGTCTGTAGAGGGAAATTTATAGCACTAAATGCCCACAAGAGAAAGCAGGAAAGATCTAAAATTGATACCCTAACATCACAATTAAAAGAACTAGAGAAGCAAAAGCAAACACATTCGAAAGCTAGCAGAAGGCAAGAAATAACTAAGATCAGAGCAGAACTGAAGGAAATAGAGACACAAAAAACCCTTCAAAATACCATCAGAGTGAACAGGCAACCCACAAAATGGGAGAAAATTTTCACAACCTACTCATCTGACAAAGGGCTAATATCCAGAATCTACAACGAACTCAAACAAATTCACAAGAAAAAAAAAAAACAAACCCATCAAAAAGTGGGCGAAGGACATGAACAGACACCTCTCAAAAGAAGACATTTATGCAGCCAAAAAACACATGAAAAAATGCTCACCATAACTAGCCATCAGAGAAATGCAAATTAAAACCACAAGGAGATACCATCTCACACCAGTAGAATGGCAATCATTAAAAAGTCAGGAAACAACAGGTGCTGGAGAGGATGTGGAGAAATAGGAACACTTTTACACTGTTGGTAGGACTGTAAACTAGTTCAACCATTGTGGAAGTCAGTGTGGCGATTCCTCAGGGATCTAGAACTAGAAATACCATTTGACCCAGCCATCCCATTACTGGGTATATACCCAAAGGACTATAAATCATGCGGCTATAAAGACACATGCACACGTATGTTTATTGCAGCATTATTCACAATAGCAAAGACTTGGAACCAACCCAAATGTCCAACAATGATAGACTGGATTAAGAAAATGTGGCACATATACACCATGGAATACTATGCAGCCATAAAAAATGATGAGTTCATGTCCTTTGTTAGGGACATGGATGAAATTGGAAATCATCAAGCTCAGTAAACTATCGCAAGAACAAAAAACCAAACACCACATGTTCTCACTCATAGGTGGGAACTGAACAATGAGAACACATGGACACAGGAAGGTGAACATCACACTCTGGGGACTGTTGTGGGGTGGGTGGAGGGTGGAGGGATAGCATTGGGAGATATACCTAATGCTAGATGACGAGTTAGTGGGTGCAGCACACCAACATGGCACATATATACACATGTAACTAACATGCACATTGTGCACACGTACCCTAAAACTTAAAGTATAATAATAAATAAATAAATAAATAAATAAATACTCTTCAAAAAATTAATGAATCTGGGAGCTGGTTTTTGGAAAAGATCAACAAAATTGATAGACTGCTAGCAAGACTAATAAAGAAGAAAAGAGAGAAGAATCAAATAGATGCAATAAAAAATGATAAAGGAGATATCACCACCAATCCCACAGAAATACAAACTACCATCAGAGAATACTTAAACACCTCTATGCAAGCAAACTAGAAAATCTAGAAGAAATGGATGAATTCCTCGACACATACACCCTCCCAAGACTAAACCAGGAAGAAGTTGAATCTCTGAATAGACCAATAATAGGCACTGAAATTGAGGCAATAATTAATAGCTTACCAACCAAAAAAAGTCCAGGGCTAGACGGATTCACAGCCGAATTCTACCAGAGGTACAAGGAGGAGCTGACACAATTCCTTCTGAAACAATTCCAATCAATAGAAAAGGAGGGAATCCTCCCTAACTCATTTTATGAGGCCAGCATCATCCTGATACCAAAGACTGGCAGAGACACAATAAAAAAAGAGAATTTTAGACCAATATCCCTGATGAATATCAATGCAAAAATCCTCAATAAAATACTGGCAAACTGAATCCAGCAGCACATCAAAAATCTCATCCGCCAAGATCAAGTGGGCTTCATCCCTGGGATGCAAGGCTAGTTCAACATACACAAATCAATAAATGTAATCCAGCATATAAACAGAACCAAAGACAAAAACCACATGATTATCTCAATAGATGCAGAAAAGGCCTTTGACAAAATTCAACAGCCTTTCATGCTAAAAACTCTCAATAAATTAGGTATTGATGGGACATATCTCAAAATAATAAGAGCTATTTATGACAAACCCACAGCCAATATCATACTGAATGGGCAAAAACCGGAAGCATTCCCTTCGAAAACTGGCACAAGACAGGGATGCCCTCTCTCACCACTCCTATTCAAAATAGTGTTGGAAGTTCTGGCCACGGCAATCAGGCAGGAGAAAGAAATAAAGGGTATTAAATTAGGAAAAGAGGAAGTCAAATTGTCCCTGTTTGCAGGTGACATGATTGTATATCTAGAAAACCCCATCATCTCAGCCCAAAATCTCCTTAAGGTGATAAGCAACTTCAGCAAAGTCTCAGGATACAAAATCAATGTGCAAAAATCACAAGCATTCTTATACACCAATAACAGACAAACAGAGAGTCAAATATGAGAGAACTCCCATTCACAGTTGCTTCAAAGCGAATAAAATACCTAGGAATCCAACTCACAAGGGACGTGAAGGACCTCTTCAAGGAGAACTACAAACCACTGCTCAACAAAATAAAAGAGGACACAAACAAACAGAAGAACATTCCATGCTCATGGATAGGAAGAATCAATATCGTGAAAATGGCCACACTGCCCAAGGTAATTTATAGATTCAATGCCATCCCCATTAAGCTACCAATGACTTTCTTCACAGAATTGGAAAAAACTACTTTAAATTTCATATGGAACCAAAAAAGAGCCCGCATCGCCAAGTCAATTCTAAGCCAAAAGAACAAAGCTGGAGGCATCACCCTACCTGACTTCAAACTATACTACAAGGCTACAGTAACCAAAACAGCATGGTACTGGTACCAAAACAGAGATATAGACCAATCGAACAGAACAGAGCCCTCAAAAATAATACCACACATCTACAACTATCTGATCTTTGACAAACCTGATAAAAACAAGAAATGCGGAAAGGATTCCCTATTTAACAAATGGTGGAAAAACTGGCTAGCCATATGTAGAAAGCTGAAACTGGATCCCTTCCTTACACCTTATTCAAAAATTAATTCAAGATGGATTAAAGACTTAAATGTCAGACCTAAAACCATAAAAACCCTAGAAGAAAACCTAGGCAATACCATTCAGGACATAGGCATGGGCAAGGACTTCATGTCTAAAACACCAAAAGCAATGGCAACAAAAGCCAAACTAGACAAATGGAATTTAATTAAACTAAAGACCTTCTGCACAGCAAAAGAAACTACCATCAGAGTGAACAGGCAACCTACAGAATGGGAGAAAATTTTTGCAATCTATTCATCTGACAAAGGGCTAATATCCAGAATCTACAAAGAACTCAAACAAATTTACAAGAAAAAAACAAACAACCCCATCAAAAAGTGGCCAAAGGATATGAACAGACACTTCTCAAAAGAAGACATTTATGCAGCCAAAAAACACATGAAAAAATGCTCATCATCACTGGCCATCAGAGAAATGCAAATCAAAACCACAATGAGATATCATCTCACACCAGTTAGGATGGCGATCATCAAAAAGTCAAGAAACAACAGGTGCTGGAGAGGATGTGGAGAAATGGGAACACTTTTATAATGTTGGTGGGACTGTAAACTAGTTCAACAATTGTGAAGTCAGTGTGGTGATTCCTCAGGGATCTAGAACTAGAAATACCATTTGACTCAGCTATCCCATTACTGGGTATATACCCAAAGGATTATAAATCATGCTGCTATAAAGACACATGCACACGTATGTTTATTGTGGCACTATTCACAATAGCAAAGACTTGGAACCAACCCAAATGTCCAACAATGATAGACTGGATTAAGAAAATGTGGCACATATACACCATGGAATGCTATGCAGCCATAAAAAATGATGAGTTCATGTCCTTTGTTAGGGACATGGATGAAGCTGGAAACCATCATTCTCTGCAAACTATCGCAAGGACAAAAAACCAAACACCACATGTTCTCACTCATAGGTGGAAATTGAACAGTGAGAACACTTGGACACAGATAGGGGAACATCTCACATCTGGGCCTGTTGTGGGGTGGGGGAGGGGGGGAGAGATAGCATTAGGAGATGTACCTAATGTAAATGACTAGTTAATGGGTGCAGCACACCAACATGGCACATGTATACATATGTAACAAACCTGCATGTTGTGCACATGTACCCTAGAACTTAAAGTATAATAAAAAAATTTTAAAAATGTGCTAACATGTGCTGTTAATGTCAAAGAGGGAAATAGAATATGCTGCTTTTCTCAGATTTATGTGATGGGCTTGTGCATATGTGCATGTGCACATGTGTGATATTTATCACATAGGATGAAGGTCCCCAGAACATATTTTGGGAAATTCTAGCCTAGAGTAAAATTCTTTAAGCAAAAAAAAAAAAAAAAGATTAGAAAATAGGTATGAAGAAATTTTCGTGTGGTGACTTGGTCTTGAGAAGGATGCTCTGTTAAAAAGATGTCAGCAGATGTTGAGCTGGCTTGGATATTGTGTGGCATGGGGGCTGAAATCACACAGCTGTCTCTAGTAACAGGGCTGCAGCTGGATCATCAATGCTTTAGAGCAAATGCGAAAGAGGCACCTGTTCCTCTGGGCGGATGAAGTCCTGTGGCAGGCACGTGGTAGGCAAGAGGGGTCAGGGCTGGGTTTAGCCCCCACTGCCTCCCAGCAGGTGCTCTTGGGCAGTACACAATGTACATAGCTGAGTGTGGCACCCTGCCCTGGAAATGAGTGCTCTTCTTCTTGCTGACCTTCCTCAATGCAACCCTTCAGTCTTCTAAACAGTAGATCAGCTAGTCACATTAAGATCCACCAGGAAGTTGTTGAAAATACAGACTTCAGGCCTATCTTCGGATCCAATTAATCAGAGACACCTAGTGTATCCCAGATGTTAGTATTTTTTGCAAGCATTCCAGGTTATTTTGATTGGCAACCACTTTAGGAAACATATGCGAGAACTCCTTGATTACATCTAAGTGGGAGGGGAAGTAGCAATTTTGACAGTTTTGACTTGAAACCAAGGAATGTTTGTTTTTCCCCAATAACAAAAGGTAGATGGAAAGTGTGGATAAGAAATAAATAGAACCACTAAAATTAAAACTTATTACCTAAAATTAATTGAATTAAGTATATTAATTAAACTCTGTACATGTACATTTTCTATTAGAATTTAGTTTATCTCACAAACATAACTTCTATTAAAGTGTATACAAAAGAGATGAGTGCTTCAAAAAGACAATCTTAGGGGGCCTACCATCGTCTTGAGTTCAAAGCCTCAAGCAATGTTATTCCCCACATTGTGGTAGAAGAAAGGGCCAAAGACAGGCACAAATGCCCTAAGTGTTTTAACTCTAGTAGAGTGGGATGAAATCAAACACAACTCGTAGAAAAACAGAACAAAGACTGGTTTAAAAGAGCAACTTGCCTTTATTAATTCAAAAGCAAATGCATTGAAATTTAACTTTTATTAATACTAAATCCATCAAGTCATAGTAATAATCTTAACAAAGTAGATAGATACAGTTGGCACTCTATAAATGTAAGCTTCTTGGGGATAAGAATGGTTTCTCATTTATTTTTGCATCTCCCAGAACCTGATATTAGTTGAAAAAATACATTCTGATTGTCTATTACTTGAGGCATAATAGGTAATTCATAAGTATTTGTGAAATTAATAAACATTGTATTGTTTACATATTAAAACAAATTTTTAGTATTAAATTGGTTGATGTAAAAGCCCAGATGTGCATAGGCATTGTAAGTTCTATTTCAAACAAGGTTTCTTTTAGTTATAGTGAATTTATGTAAGCCTAGCTGAAATAAGAAACCCAGGGTGGCTTGAGCGGGAACATGTCGGGGTCTCGGGAGATCTGGACACAGAAATTCCTCAGGTGCTCTGGTTTCCTTGCTTCTCTGCTTCTTGTTTCTCCCCCTCCTTCTCCCTCTCTCTCTCCCCTCTGTCTCCATCTCTTTCCCCGGACATCTTTATGTGTCTTGCTCTATGAACTTTTTTGTATGTCCTCAGTTTAGTTAAACACACTGGAGCAAATAACCAGCCTCTCCATCCCAACTCCAGATTCTCAGGGGAAAGAATCCCATTGGTTCATCTTTCATCAATCCACTCACGGTCAAATCATCCATAGCTGCAGATGGGGAAAGAGGGGTTATGTAGTCCAAACCTGACCAACTGGACTCACACCTGTTATACGTATGATGTTCTCAAAGAAGAGGCATACAAGCCTGGAGGAGCCCTGTAAATCTGGCTACTACAAGATCCCTCTACAATATCCCTTGGAACTTGTACCTGTTGCCACCCTACTCTATCTTTACAGAATCTTCATGGCTTGCCCTTGTAGGGGATTTTGTCAGACACAATAGTTGTGTGAATTAAATTTTAGTAACTGGCACATGAGATTTGAATTCTGCAGGGAGGAATTTATTTAAAGGGTTCTGTGGTGAATAGTTTGAATTTAAAAACAACATAGTTTTTCATGTTCTCTAAGTGAAGGTTTTTACTGTTTAGATTTTCTTAGAGCAAGACCACTAATATTGCTTCCATAACACTCCCTTTTCTGCCCTGATATAAGCAAATACAGAATTTGAATGGATTACTTAGGAGAAATAACACTAGTGGTGGCTATAATTTCCACTCAATAGAAAATATTTTTACAAACTCATAGAGCCAGGTGGGACCTTATGGACGATGGAATTCCAAACCTTTCACTTTACATATGAAAAACATGACGCTTAGAACACAAAAATAATTTGCCCAAGATCACAAAGACATATAGTGGGCCTTACTTAAAAGACACATATTTTTGTATGTATTTTGATTATTTCTAAGTAATTTCTTTGTAACCTAAGGGATGTTTTTGTAATAAAAGTGTTAATGCAGAGAATTTTGTATAGCTTTTTTTTTTTAAGAAAATCTTATTTTAATTACAGAACTTGGAGACTGTTTTGCCTTAAGTTTCTCTCAGAAACAATGCATGTTGACAGTAATTTTTCCAGCAAAGAGACAGGGAGAGCCAGCATCTGGTTTTAAATGCTGTTAGCACAATGGAATGAAGGCCCTGTTGAATTTACACAGACCTTCACTGTTACATAATCCAAAGGAGCCTTTGGAATATATATATTTTTCCATGTCTTTTGGTGGCTAATCAAGAGACAGACGTTTTCTAAGAAACCATCTTGGTTTTGGATAATGGTTTTTAAATTTGCAAGGAACTCAAGGGCTATTTGGCAAGAGAAGTTCAGCTTTGGGTTATCTGTAAAATTACTGTTTGTTGTTTTTCATATTTTTGTGTGAATGTTATTTCTGAGTCCAAAGTCTTTTTCCTTTTTTGGTCAGCAAATTTCACTTTCTTCCTCATGCTCCAGCAGAGCATTTGTTTCCAGATAATGTCAAGGAAAATGGCCAGGAAGCAAATATCACAAGTATAACAGCCTAGTGGTGGAAGTTTTATTACATTTTCCTTAACATGGCCCAGATGAAAAGCAACATCAAGATGCTTCAAATTTTCTTTGGCTCAAAAATCCTTGTATTTCTGGAATATAGCAGCAAAAAGAAAAATCATGGGCTCAGGTTACATGCAGAAAAATGTTTGATTCCCAGCCTACACTTAGTTTTGTTCATCTGCACCTGCAGATGCTTTGGTTCTCTGACTCCTCCACCAACAGGAACCAATCTCCCATTTCTGCTGCCAGTACTTAAAGCTGTCTGATGCTGCTGTCACCACCAGGGCACTACTTTTCTGCTGCTGGTGCTCCCGTAGCTGCCATTATTACTTTAAGAGCCATTTCTGCTACAAACAAAAATAAAATTTTCCTCTAAGGACATCTCTCTCAGCCCCAACATCAACATTTTGTTTATTTGTCCATGAGTAGGACGCTTCTTTTCTTCATCAATTAAAGCATAGTACTAAGTTTTCTTTTGGGGGGACACACACCCTTGTCTCATTGTGTAACTCAACATATCCTTTAGTGACCTTGAATCAGCAGCCTGAAATGGTTCATTTATCTTCCAGCATTCTCATACCTGAGGGCTATTGCTTTGATTCCCAAGGCACCCTCCTCTCCCTACCCCTGGCAATGAGACCTGCATTCTTTTTGTTGAGAAGTCCTTAAGCCCCAGATGTACTTTTTGTCTTTTTAGGTGGACCAGGAAACCACACAAAAAACAAGACTTTGCTATTCTCGTGTGATGCCTAAAAGTTTCCATACTAGGTAAGAAGATTAGACCCTGGCCACAAAATTCTGGAGGTTCTGTGACTTCAGTAGGTTTGGAAAGGCCATTGTAGAAGAGAAGAGCTGTAGGATGTGGGTGATAATAATAAGTTTACCATTCCTAACTCATTTTCCCCTTTAAATTGAATGTAAACTGATTTTTTATGTAAGCAATGTTTGCTTTGGATACCTCCTGCCTCCTTTTTTGGATTTTGCCCATCTCCTGCTGTCCAATGCTTTGTTTAAATGATGCCAAACATTTGGATGGTTAGCTGGATTGTTGAGTTTTTCACCCAGATGTTTGCAATCCTGTGGACATTGTCAAAGATTTGTTTATTATCATCCAGCATGTAATCATACTGTGTCTGAATAATCTTAATCTTCCAGATGAAAACTGAAAAAGTCAGTCAGTCATCCAGATGTCTCCAAATGTCTGGGTGTTTGTCATTGCCAAAGAACATCTGGATGGCTGCTTTTTTTAAATAGTTTTTATTCATGTCTCTGGCATAGATACAGTCTTGGGTTGAATTGCTCTGGATACAGCACAATAAATAGCCTTAGTGGTGAAGGGGAGATATTTAACAGAGATACATTCACAGGGTTCTGGTGGTTAAAATTCCAGTCATTGGCTTGTGCAATTGGAAAATCATCACCACCTGAGAAAGTCTCTAAGAGAAATGACATGGTGACCCTTCAGGGTTCTCTCCAGCATCGGGGTGGGGCGGGGGGTGGTTAGGAAGTTGTGTGTCATCAACATTTACGTACAGTGCCTCCAGGGCTGAAAATCAACTCAGAAAAAGCAAAGAATCTTGGCACCATTTACAGCCCCAAACATAAAGCATGAAAATAATCACCTATGATAAATATAAGCAGATAGCTAAATAAATCTCAGGAAAATTATTTGTTTTTTTGGACAACTATAAAATGAAAGAGCTGGATTGGATGATCACTAAGTTCTCTTCCAGTTTCAGCAGTTTCTCATTCTATAAAACCTATATGCCCATTCAACAAAGGAAGCAGGAATACAGGAAGCAGAGTGGCCTGGTGGTTAAGAGCACACAAACTTCAGAGTCAGAAACACCTGCTTCACATCCTGGTGCTGTTCCTCACCAGCTCCATGAATCCAGGCAAGCTCCCAGTCTTTTGGAAGCGTGCTTTCCTTGCCTGAGAAGTGTAATGATTTGGATCATTGTGGTGAGGACTAAATGACATAATATTTTCAAAGAACTTATACAATGTCTGGTGTACCATAAAACAATAGGAAAGTAAGTTCAATGTAAAGTTAAGATTAATTTTTTAATTAATATCTAGAGTGAGTCTGGAATTCAGAAGAGAGGCCAGGCTAGATATATGAACTTGAGTCATTTGAAAAAGATAGGAAAAGAAGGAGCAGACATGCGGATCAAAGCCTGGGGCATTCCAATATGAAAGGTCTGGTGGAAAAGGATCAGTCTGTGAAGCAGGGGCAAATCAGGAAGGTGTGGTGTTCTGAAAGCCAGCAGAAGAGAGAGCTTTCAACTAAAAACTTGGTGATATGAGATGGAGAAATGTATTAGAGTTAGCATCATAGAGGTTGTCTTAGTTTGGATTTCTTGGCAGCAAACTCAGGAATAAGAATTCAAGTAGAGGGAGCGGGAAACAGACAAGAAAGATAAGACAGGTGATAAAAGGTGTGTTATCAGGGCAGCTACCAGTGTGGGCAACTGATGTTGGATATCGCTGGGAAAACCCTGGAAGCTGGTGCAAAATCCATTTCTCAGAGGGTCACCTCAAACGACGGGCATCATTTATTCATTAAGCCCAGTCAATCATTTGTTGAGGTCTGTTCCTGGCGTGGGGAGAAGACATTGTTTTGTTGGCATTTCTGGTCTGCTTTGCAGAGGCAAATTGAGCTACAGTGGCAAGAGAGGCCACTGGGTAAAGAAGTGTAGGTGCTGGCATTTGGAAGTTGAGCTTACAAGCAGTGGAGTAGGAAGAACTTGGAGTTAAGACTGTGTTCTTGAGAGAGATGGACAGAAACCAGACTAAAGTGGAATGAGGAGTGAATCAAAAGTGAGGAAGTGGAAATGGCACGTGCTGACAACTTGTTTGAGAAGGCTAAGTGTGCAGAGGAGAAAATAAATGAGCTATTAGCCAATGTGAGATATGGTTTCAAGGGGTGGTGCTTTTAAAAATGAGATATTCTTCCTTAGAGTATGTTTTATGTGACATAAATGATCTGATAGGGAGGGAGACACTGGTTAGGAGAGAGAGCAAAGAGCTGGAGTAAAGTCCTTGAGAAAAGGAGAAGAGAAAGGGATCTTGTGCACACACAGGGGATTAGCTTTCATGGGTATGGGATGGTTTTTCTATCTCCATGAGAGCAGAGGTGGAGAAGATGGGTGCAGGCAGGTGTTCCTATATACGGTTTCTGTTTTTCTGAATAAATTATGAGGCAATGTCATTTGTGGAAAGTGGAAGGCCAGGGTGCGGGAGGCTTGATGAGATGATATAAAGTGATTATCTCAGAGAGGGAAAAACAAGCTCCCCAATATTTTCAGCCTTTTATATGAATTTTCTCTTTGCTTGTTGCCTTAACTGAAATCTGCCTGTCCCTTGAGGACATATTTTTTCCTGAAGCCCTATAAAGGGGAGGCTGTTTTTACCCTCCTGCCCTGAACCATCAGAACCAGGATGGGGGCAGAGATCCTACTTGCATCCCATTGCCATTTCCAGACTACTTACCTGTTTTTCACCTTCAAAACTCTGTTTCTGTACTCCGAAAGACCATTTCAAAATTTTGCATCACTCATTCATTTATCTGCAGCCTCAGTTCTGCTTTACTTCCTTCAGTGAGAATTTTAATCCTGTGTTTGTTGCTTGTATTTTAGTTCTGTTGGAATCATTTCTTATCTCATTTATATCTCTTTGTCTTGCATTTTTGCTGCTTTTTCCCATCCTGTTGTCCTATCATCTCACCCTGTTCAGTTTTTTTTATTTTCTGCTTCTGTTTGAGAGAGGAAATCCCATCCAGACCTCTGTTATAATGATGCCAGTCAGTTTCTGGACATTTTCTTCTGTGTGCTACAAAAGGTTGGTTTCAGGTGGATCTTATTCTGGGTCTTCTGGGTACTTTCTCTTGGTCAGAATTACTTATTTTTATTTTTTCTTTCATGGCTTCATTTTGGTTGATTTCTCCTTGGTAATCTTCGAAGAAGGCAGCGTCTTTGTTCACTTTTGTTCTCTGCCATGAAGGCATTGTTTTGGTTCACAAACTTATGTGGTAGTTTAACCATCTTTTCACACCCACCACGGAAGGGACAGTTGATGAGTTTAGCTCCTAATTTATTTCTCAATTTCTAGGTGAGTTTCAAACCGTGCCCTCTGTTGTAATGAATTTTCAACTTATGTCTACTTGAATGTTTTATTTAAAGTCAATATGATTCTTTAAAAACTATGACTTATAATATGTATGGCTACCAGGGCTTTTCTCATCTCTACCATCAACGAGCCTCCCCTTATTTCTAACTTAACTCTTTTCTGGGATTGCAGCCCTGTCTGAATAAAAACAATTAAACAATCTGTGTGTGTGGGTAGGGGTATAAGTAGGAGAAGAGATAATGTCCAAGGAAATGTTATCTTCCCACTTTACAGAGCAAGACCAAGAAAGGAGAAGAACAGCTGTCCAGTTTTTGGCTTGAGTGAGGAGAAGTATGATGAGAGGGCACAAAACATTTTCTTATCTTTGTTTAGATGACCTGTGGCTCAAGGGATGTCAGATTATGCCACAAACTCAAGTCTGGTCCGGGTTTTCTTCACCCGGATCTGTTGGTGTTCATATCAATTCCTCCCCATATCCAGCATTAAGTGGCTTGTCCTTTTTTTTTTTTTTTTTTTTTTTGGAATAGCTTGAGCCATCATCTTTCTTCTGAATCCTCTCTGATATTTAGTAACAATTTGGGTGAGGCTAACTAGATTCATTTTGGACCAGCAATTTCTATCCTCTAGAGATGGAAATGTCCTGGTGGCTCAGTGTTTCCAAAGAGGCTGCATGATATTGTTGTGTGTGAGTGTTACAGTCGGATGTATCTGGGTCCTGGGCTTGATTACCTTTTTATAATCATATGGTCTTCCATCTGTTAAATAGGGCTTCATAAAGTTATATTAACTTCATAAGGTTTATGAAAGTGTTTAATAAAGTAGCGATAAAATTTGATAACTTATGAAGCACCGAACCCAGTACATGGTGCATATAACGAGCTGTTACAGCTCGTTATTATGATTCACGGGACACGCTGCCAAAGTCATTGTAGCAAACCCATGTTAAAGAGCTTAGCAAACAGGACCAACTAAGTTATACTACTTGTAACTAATTTTGTATTGCATCATTATAAAGTCCTTTTTTAAAGCACATTTTTTTTTTTCACTGACATCATAAGAACTTGTGAAGCAGGGAATATTGGCATCGACTCAGCCTACAGAATGAGTCTCAGGGAAATAAGGTGAATTCCTCTGTACAGCTAGCTAACTTAGAGCTGAACCTGGAACCCAAGCCTTCTAATTCTAAAATTTGTGGTTTTCAACACTGCCTCTCCAGTCTTTGATAATGTACTGGCCGGGACCAGTACAAACAGCCCAAAGTCCTGCAAGGACCCTCTGCCCCACTGCCTGCTGGGATATCAGGTAAGTATTCCTAATTTTTGTCTTAAGGACCCAAAGAGAAACGTCTCATGCTACTCTTCATCACATCACTGAACTGAAGCACAGCTAAGCAAGATGTTTTATCAGGTGTCATTTGTGTTCTTTGTAAGAAAAGCTTTCTAGTGAACATACTTAAGATACTTCTATTTGTTCTATTTTTAACAAAAACTGAGCAGCAACCTTCCCTTGCAGCAACATTGTCACTCAGATCACTTATGACTTGTTTTTAGACTGAATGTGAATTTGAAAGCATCTGCTTTTGACAAATGAACACAAATGAACAACTGCTTTAATGAAATATTTGTCATTTTGGGAAGAGAGATAAATTTAAAGTGTATATGCACAACTGGGAAAGAATTCTTCATTTTTTGGACTTTATCTCTGCCTTTTCAGACAGAAGGTGAATCCAAACTATAGCTTTCACTTTACTTGGGGTGGGGGTGGGGCAAGAAAAGGTCAAAAGCAAACTTTCTTTCACTAATTTTAATATTTGTTGGAGTAGTACATAGGAACTAAAAATGATTGATAAATGCTCATTTAGTCATCTCCCCTTCCCCATGAATGTTTACAAGGACAAGGGCTTTCAGATACTTTTGAGTTATGGGCCTGTAAAAACAGAGTTGTATTGACGTTTTCTCAAAGAAGTGTCCCTACATTCATTGTCAAGTAATTCAAAGCCATTTCAACTTCTCTGTTCAGCTTGGATATGGCCTTGATTTCATTTACCTTTCCAAGACTTGTGAAAGCTGAGAGCTTCTGTGTGCAGTTACTGTAGCACTACATAGAAGGCATAGATGCAGGTATCAACTGTGGCTGGTGAAGAGAACATATGTGCAATAGCATGAGAGAGGCAGAAAGCTTTTCCAAAGGAAATGCATGTAAATAATTAGATAAGAAAATAAAAACAGAGTAAGAAGAATCAAAATCTAAAAGCTTAACAATATTTCACAGGCTTGTGTGTATCCCAATCCTTTGCACGGATAAATAGCTATCCACACCGTGTAATTCATTCAATCAAAAATATTTACTGAACATGCCAGGCACTGTTCTAGGCACTGTTCTAGACACTGGAGGTACAGCAATGAACAAAGTGGCTTTACTATTTTACATTTCCACCAGCAATATATGACAGCTCCTGCTTCTCCACATTTTTAACAATGCCTGTTATTATATATCTTTTTATTATAGCTATCTTCATGTGTGTGAAATGGTATCTCATGGTGGTTTTGATTTGCATTTCCCTAATGACTAATAAAGTTGAGCATGTTTTCATGTGCTTATTGGCCACTTGTATATCTTTCATAGAAAGGTATGTATTCTAATTCTTTACCCATTTTTTCTGTTGGGTTATTTGTATTTTTATAGTTGGATTGTAACAGTTCTTTAGAAATCTTGGGTATGCTAGACCCTTTCAGATATAATTTGCAAATATTTCCTTCCATTCTATGGGTTATCTTTCCACTTTCTTGATGGTGCCCTTTGAAGCACAAAAGTTTTTAATTTTGATGAAATTCTAATTTATTTATTTTTTCATTGTTGCTTTTGGTGTCATATCTAAGAAACCATTGCTAAATTCAAGGTTATAAAGATTTATTCCTATGTTTTCTTCTAAGAGTTTTATAGTTTTCTCTTACTCTAAAAGTGTTTGATCCATTTTGAGCCCATTTTTATATGGTGTGACATAGGTTTCTGTGATGGTTAATTTTATTTGTCAACTTCACTGGGCCAGGGGATGCCTAGATAGCTGCTTAAGCACAATTTCTGGGTGTGTCTGTGAGGTGTTTCGGAAGAGAATGGCATTTGAATAGGTGGACTGAGTAAAGCAGATGGCCCTCCCCAATGGGGGTGGGCATCATACAATCAATTGAGGGCCTGAATGGAACAAAAAGGCAGAGGAAGGCTGAATTTGCCCTCTGCCTGACTGCTCGAGCTGGGATATCAATCTTCTCCTGCTCTTTGCACTCCTGGTTCTCAAGCATCTTTCAGGCTTTCCAGCCTCTGAATTGTACCACCGCCTTTCCCAGGTCTCCAGCTTTCAGATGGCTGGCCATGGCACTTCTCAGTCTTCATAATCACATGAGCCAATTCCTTATAATAAATCTCATTTTACATGTATCTATATCTATCTGTCGTGTGTGTGTGTGTGTGTGTTCTATTGGTTCTTTTTATTTGGAGAATTTTGACTATTATAGTGTTCAATTTCATTCTTTTGCGTGTAAGTATCCAGATTTCCAGCACCTTTTGTAGAAGAGTCTATTTTTTCACTATTGAATGGTATTGACAGCCTTGTAAAAACTCAGTTAACCATAGATAAATGGGGATTTAAAAAATGGACTTTCAATTCTATTTCATCTGTATGTCCAGCCTTATGCCAGCAACATAATGCTTTGATTATTGTAGCTTTGTAGTAATTTTCAACTCAAAGAAAGTGTAAGTCATCTGTTTTTCTTTTCCAAGATTGTTTTGGCTACTTGAGGTCCCTTGCAATTCTGTATGAATTTTAAGATTACCCTCTTCCATTTGTGCAAAAAGGGTCTCTGAAGTTGTGATGGGGATTGCAGTGAATCTGCATGTCAATTTGGAAATTATTGTCATTTTAATAATATCGAGTTTTGCAATTCATGAACACAGAATGTTTTTAATTTATTTAGATGTTCTTTGCCTTATTTCAATGATATTTTATAGTTTTCATTAAACTTCTTTTGTTAAATGGATTTCCATGCATTTTATTCTTTTTGATACTATTATAATTATTTTTGAATTGTTCACTGTCATTGTATGGAAAAACAATAGATTTTTTGTGTTTTAAGCTTATATCTTGCAATCTTGCTGAATTTGTTTACTAGCAATAATAGTTTTTTAATAGATTCCTTAATATTTTCTATTTACGAAGTTATGTCATTGCAAATAGAGAGTTTTACTCCTTCCCTTTCAATCAGTATGCCTTTTTTTTCTTTTCTTGCCTAATTGCTCTGGTTATAACATCCAGTGCAATGTTGAATGAAACTGGCAAGAGTAAACATCCTTGTCTTGTTCCTGATCTTAGGGGGAAAACAGTCCATGTTTGCCATTGAAGTATGATGCGAGTTATGTGTTTTTCATTGATGACCATTATCAGATTAACGAAGTTCTCTTCTATTCCTAGTTTGTGAATGTTTTTTATCATAAAGTGTGTTGGATTTTGTCAAACACTTTTTCTGCATCAATTGATGTAATCATGTGATTTATGTTCCTTATTTAGCAGTATGGTGCATTATTGGTTTCTGTATTTGAAACCTAACATTGCTAGAATAAATTCTACCTGGTCATTATGTATAATTCTTTTAATATTCTGTTGGATTTAGTTTGCTAATATTTTGTAAAAGATTTTTATGTTTCTGTTCATAAGGAATAGTGTTTTATAGGTTCTTTGCAATGGCCTGTTCTAATTTTGGTATCAGGATAATACTGCCCTTTAGAATAAGATGGGAACTTTTTCCTTTTCTATTTTTTGGAAGAGTTTTTGAAGGACAGATGTTAGCCTTTTTAAATGTTCGATAGAATTCACTAGTGAAGCCATCTTTTCTGGAACTTTCTTTCCTTTTCCTGGTCTTTTCTTTTTAAGATGAGGTCTCACTGTGTTGCACAGGCTGGCCTCAAACTCCTCAGACTAAGCAATTCTCCTATCTCAGCCTCCTGAGTAGCAGAGGCTACAGGTGAACACCACTATGCTCAGCTTTTGTCTGGGCTTTATTTTTGTGGTAAGTTATTGTTAAATCACTAATTCCAACTTCTTTACTTGTTATAAATCTATTCAGATTTTCTATTTCTTCTTGAGCTTTTAGTAGTTTGTATGTTTCTAGGAATGTGTCCACTTCATCTGAGTTATCTAATTTGTTAGGGTGTGATTATCCATACTAGTCCCTTACAGTTATTTTTGTTTCTGTTTGGTCAGTAGTAATGTCTCACCATTCTTGATTTTAGTAATTTGAGTCTCTCCTCTTTTTCCTTCGTCAGGCTAGCTAAAAGATTATTAATTTTCTTGATAGTTTTAATGAACATTTTGAAAAGTTTTGATTATTTTCTCTACTGTTTTTTGACTATTTCATTTATTTACCTCTGATCTTTACTATTTTTTTCCTTCTGTTTGCTTTGGATTTAATTTTTTTTCCTTTTGCTAGTGTTTTAAGGTGAAAAGTTAGGTTACTGGTTTGAAATTTTTCTTCTTTATAACTATAGGTGTTTACAGCTATAAATTTCCCTTTAAGCTGTATTTTAGCTGTGATCTACAAGTTTTAGTATGTTAAGTTCCCGTTTTCATTCATGTCAAAGTATTTCCTAATTTTCCTTATGATTTCTTCTTTGACTATTTATATTATTATTGATTACTTAGAAATATTTTAATTTCCACATATCTGTGTATGTCTAAAATTTCCTTCTGTTATTGATTTCTAATTTTATTCCATTGTGTTCAGTGTACATACTTTGTATATTTCAGTGTTTTAAAATTTATTGAGACTTATTTTATGGGCCAGTGTATCATCTATTTTGGAGAGTGCTCCATGGACACTTGAGAAGAATGTGTATTCTGCTGTTGTTGAGTGGAATATTTTATAGATGTTTGTTAGCTCTAGTTGGTTCATGGTATTGTTCAAGAATTCTATTTTCTTGTTAATCTATTTGTTATATATATTATTGAAAGTGGGGTATTGATGTCCCAAACTACTATTTTTGAATTGACTATTTCTCCCTTCAATTCTGTCAGTTTGCTTCATGTATTTTCTATCTCTGTTGTTAGGTGCTGCAAAATTTTAGTTAATTTCATGGTTCTAAAAAAGTTGATTCTGACAAATCAATTGCCAGTGTTCTCATTGCTCTTAGTCTCTATTTTCACTGACATCATCCTTAGATAACAGGTTTTGCTGGTGAGTTGCATGTGGCCTGGGCAGGAAAGAGAGGAAGCAAAGATGCTGCCAAGATTTTTTATCTGAACAATTATTAATGTGAAGCTGACATTTTCTGATGTGGAGAGATCTCCAGGAAGATCATGTAGGCTGCAGGTGTAAAATCATAGGCAAAGACCATAAGACTCTCCCTCTCCAGGCTTATACCCATGATCCCACTTAAGAGCCCTCTGGACTAGTAAAACTATTCTAGGTACTGTCCTCAAACATGCCAAACACTGTCCTGCTCCTCACTTTTGTTCACTTTGCTCTCTCTGCCTAACAGACTTTCTTATTCCTTGCTTAAAAACTTCTTTTAAAACTCAATTAGCTTTATCACAAGTCTTCTCACCAATAGAGCCCTATGCTGCCTGCTTCTCCTCTAATTCTCTGTTATTTACTGCTTGAGAACTTTCATTTAATATACTTTTTACCATGAATACATTTGTTTTCTATAACATTCCTCACATTGGCCATATTGTACTTATTTGTTTATATATCTGCTGTCTCATGAAACTCTGATATCCTTGAGACAGGAACTGCTGAAATGTATTCATCTTTGTATTTCTAGGTTTCAGCACAGTGTTTAGCACATAGTTTGTGTTCAACAAGTATTTCTGAATGAATGTGGATATACAATGTGTTGGCCTCTATGTTAGGCAATCTTCTGCTTCAACAAAATACAGTGTATCCAAAACTGAATTTGTTTTTTCACTTCCAACAAATTGCAGCCAATGGCACTGTCATTTGCCCATTACCAAAACCCAAAACCTAGTACCCTCTTTTCACTAGTGTTTTTCCCACCCCTACCCACCAATGTCTAAGCAATAATAGGTCTTTTCAGTTCTTCACCATAAACTTTTCCTCAATCCACCTACTACTCTCATCCTTAATGTCACTTTCTTCTTCTAGGCTATCATCTAACCTGAATTATTTTCAGAGACTTCCTGTGCTTCCATGCAATCTCTCCACTCTGCATCCTTAATGATATTTCTGATGTTGGAAACATATTGTGATCTCTGCTGCATGATACCGTTTGCTGATCCCAGTGTCATAAGTTAAAATCCAAACTCTTACTATGGCTTCAAAAATAATTTTTATCTCCAGTATCAGCTCCTCTATCAGTCCGTATATTTTACTACGTGTCATCTCCTCTATTGCTCTATATATTTCATTAGTCTATCTTCTCTATCCTACTGAACTAGGATACTTTGCATTTGTCAAAGGCATTGTGCCCTCTCTTTCTACCAGGCTTTTGCACATGCTGCAAAAACAAAGCTAAATAAACAAACAAAAAACCAAATAATTGCTCTGTATATTCTATTCCTCTTTACCTAGATAAGGTCTTCTCTTTTCTGTGTCTCATCTTAGATGTCAATTTCCTCTAAGAAGCCCTTCCCTGATAATGGAGAAGAGGTTAGGAGTCTCTTCTCTGTGTTCTCATAGCTCCTGATGCTTTAACCTTGGTAATACTCATTATACAGATTGTAATTGCGTGAATTGGGTTTTTCTTATGGTTCTTGTGGTTGTGGTGGTGATTGTGGATATTTTACCCACTGGGTTATAAACTCCTTGAGAACAGAACTTCATCATCTGCATTTTCTGAACTTTGCATCGGATTTAGCGCAAGTAAGTTTTCAAGATGTGTGCAAGTAAATTTTCAAGATGTGTGCAAAGTGTACTGGGTGATTTATGTTTTTGAAGGAAATACACTTAAGAGTCATATGGGGTGGGTATTATTGCCTTCCTATTATCAGTGAAGCACTTGATGCTCAGTAAGCATAAGTTGATTTCCCAAGTTCACAGAACTGGTAGGTGATACAACTCTGCTTTTTACCAAGTTTTTCTGACCTTAAATTTAGTGTTCTTTTTAATCAATCAGAGCTATCACCATTATGGCACTTAGCCTATGGATTATTGCATTATTCTTCAACTCTTCCTACAATTAGGTTATAATGTCCTTAAGAGCAGCATCTAAGCCTGAAATTTCTTTCTGCCTCCCTATTTTCTGACACCAAGCAGTTGCACAATATGCATTGATTATTTCATGTGAAAACATTAATGAAATTTAATTAATCTCTAAATACTAGGGACTATTCGTAGTTTTTATTAGCAGCCTTAACCCTCAGACCTTCTGCCCAGAACTTTCCTTTTGCTAAAAACCAAGACCAGATAAGAGAGAAAATAGGTGGAATGTTGATAAACATACAAATTTAGACATGGAAAGAACTTCTAGAGATTCTGTCAAGTCCTACATTCTCATTTTATGAATATGAAATCTGAAGCCTAAAACGTTTCAGCAGCTTATCCTGTGCTACCGGGGTGATATTTAGCAGAACAGAGAGTGACACATTGATCTCCTTTCAGTATCACTATCTGACCACACTGCTGTGTAGCCTCTTTGTGCCAGTCATAGGAACGCTAGTCATCAAGGCAGACTAATGAAGTCGACCCACTGACTCACTGTCGAGGAACAAGACCTTGGGTGATTTGGGAGAACTGGAAAACTGAATGTGTCTTTCCTTGTAGGTAACAATTTCTCCTCTAGGAAGTCAATAGCAGCACCCCCACTGCAGCATCCTGGTAAGCTGTCTGGGCTACTGCGATGGGTGTTCAGTCAGTACATGAGCCTGGCGTGCTCCAGGACATGCCCTGGATACTGTGGATGGGGCTACATTTGCATTATCTTCATAGTTTTTCCAAAGCTGAGCTCTCTCTTCCATGAGTTACAATACAGGAGGTGTATCAGGCTCTATACAAAAAGCAGATTATTGAAAGGAAATTATTGGAAATAAAAGCTCATTTTCAGGCATTTTGTGTACCCTACCAAGTAGTTTTTCAAAGAAATTCTGCAGTACTTTATTCAGTGAATAAAAGCAGTGGTTAGACTAGAAGTCTTTTAATTTTTTTTCACCTCTGAGATTGTATGAGTATGTTGATAGCATAAATGATCAGACTTCAATTTCTCTGCATTTAGCAAGCCTCAATTCTTGCTGGAAAACCTGGAAGGAAATGGGACCAGGATAAACTGAGCATTTGCTCTCTGCCAAGTACTTCATGTGCATTAACTTGTATAATCCTCCTGATATTTTTGTGAGATTCGAGCCTCACTTTATAGATGAAGCTGCTGAGGTGCAGGGAAACTTT
This sequence comes from Homo sapiens, assembly GCF_000001405.40. Taxonomy (NCBI): domain Eukaryota; kingdom Metazoa; phylum Chordata; class Mammalia; order Primates; family Hominidae; genus Homo; species Homo sapiens. The sequence goes on along the minus strand of NC_000001.11, from coordinate 164,998,589 downwards.
AAGTGGCTTCCAAGGCAGCAGTCAGGCTTGGAAAACCTTGGGTTTAAACCTTGGTCTGTATGATGTATATGCACAAGAAGCTGACTTCGAGGTCCTTTTGGTCATTTTTACCTCCTTCATAATTTGATAAAGCGAAATACAGTTCCACTTTGGTGAGATCTGTTGTCAGGGCACAAAAGTAGAGATGCTGCTATCCTGAAGGGAAATTTAAATAGAATTTAAAAATCAGGCTCCATGGGCTCCTTTGTGCCTTTTAGAACAACTGCCTCTTGACAGCTGGTGTCGTTTCTACCTAGGACATTATGTGGAGCTGCAGTAACTCACTTGCTCAGGTCTCTAATGTGAAGTGCCCAAGGTAAATAGGTTAATTCAGCAGTATTTACATAGACAGAGGGATAAATATAGACAGTTTCTTGAAGATGCCACTCTAGATTGAGAAGTGGGCAAAGCCAGCCAATCAGCTGACCACAAACTGATCCCCTTTAAAAGCTTCTGTTCTCTAATTGACTTGGCTAATGACTTTTTATGACGTGGCCTGATTGTGAGCCTATTGTATCAGCAGAGCCTTAGGAGCAGACATGTGGAGTTACTTCTCCAGAGTTGTAGTCAGCCAGTTAGTCAACAATAATTGATTGGGACCTACCATATATCAGGCATTGTTTTAGGGACTGGAGACACAGCACTGACAAAATACCTAACAATGAATTGACATTCGAGAGGCTAAAGACAGACAACATAAACACATAATATTATATTTTTGCTTGGGTTCTTTCCCCGCTTTCTGATCTCCTGCCTATTCAGAAATGGGACCACAACATCTTCTGGGAAGGAATACTTTTTCCTCTTCTCCTAGAAATGGATCATGATTGGCTTGGACATTTCTCTTTAGCATTGATTAGTTTAGGGCTAGTTAATAGCTGTGGCTCAGTTCTGCGATCTTAGGAAGAGTCTGCTTAGCACATTTGATAAAGATTCTCCTCCCTCCTAATAAAATAAAGTGCTTTTTTTTCTTCTTCCCTTTGCACATGTGTGGATGTAGTATTTGGAGCAGCAGCAGCCATCTTATACTCATGAGGTGCATCATCAGTGCTGCACTGAAGATGATGCATCCAACAGATGGAAGAGATTAGGTTTTCAATGATACTGTCAAGCTCTTGAACTAACCTTAGAGCCACTGACCTTTGGCATTATTGAGGAGTAAAATATAATCACTTTCTGCTGGGTATTTGTAACCTGCAGCCAGAAGTATTCTAACTAATATAGCAAGAACAGTGGACTTTATTTTTATTGCAATGGGAAGACATTGGAGGGTTTTAGGCAGGAGCACTATACTTTGATTTGTGTTTAAGCGATTTCTCTGGATGCCGTTTGAAGAATGGATCAGAGTGGAAGCAGGAGTGCAGTGAGGAACCTCTTACAGTAGTCCATGATTGAATAGGGCTGTAAAATGGGGACAAAATGAAATGTTCAGATTTTGGATTTACTATGGAGATAATTTTCATAAGACTTGCTGATAGATTGGTTTGGATGTGGAATATAAGGAAAAGAGAAGACTAGAGGATGCCTCCTGGATTTGAGGCCTGAGAAAATGATGGATAACGGTGCTGTTTATGTTGAAGATTTGGAGAGGTGAGGTGTGGGGTCAATGGCTCTATTTTAGTAAAGTTAATTTTGAGGTGCTTATTAGATATCCCAGTAGATATATCCAGTAGGCAAATGTATAGACCAGTCTTGAGCTCAGGGCAGAGGTTTAGACAGAGATACAGAATAAAGTTTGGAGTCATCAGTGTTAGAAGGGACTAGATAAAATCACCTGGGAAGAGTATAGATGAAGAAGAGAAGAGGACCAAAGACAAAGCCTGGGGGTGCTTCAGTGTTAGGAAATGTGGTAGAGGAGGCAGAGAGAGTAAAGGAGAAGTCAAGCAAAGGAATCTGAGAAGGAGAGGCCAGTGAGGGAGGAATTAAACCAGGTAAGGGTGATGGCTCCAAAGCCCAGAACAAAATGTTCCATGAATAAGAATGGTCAACCATGCCAAGTATGGCTAAAAGCAATAAGGGAGGAAAATTGATCATTTGCTTTAGGAAGACCTAGTCAATGTTTCTCAATCTTTAATAAGCATAGAGATCACCTGGGAATTATTAAAATCATATTTTGGAGCTGGGGAAGGGACTCTGCAATTCTCTGCTCTTTATTTTTTTATTTTATTTTATTTTATTCTATTTTTTGAGACAGGGTCTCACTCTGTCACTGAGGCTGGAGTGCGTTGGCACAATCTCAGCTCACTGCTGCCTTCACCTTCCAGACTCAAGCCATCCTCCAACCTCAGCCTCCCAAGTAGCTGGGACAACAAGCATGTGCCACCAAGCCTAGTTAATTTTTTTGTATTTTTGGTAGAGATAGGGTCTCACCATGTTGCCCAGGCTGATCTTGAACACCTGAATTCAAGCAATCTGCCTGTCTTGTCCTCCCAAAGTGTTGAGATTACAGGTGTGAGCCACTGTGCCCAGCCTTCTCTGCTTTTTTAACAAGCTTCCAGGTAATGCTGAAGCTACTTGCCCTTTGGCCATACTTTGAATATCAAAGATCTAGGTTGTTGGTGCCCTTGACAAGAAGTCAAGTTCCAGTAAAGTAGTGAAGGACAAAAGTCATACTGGAGTGGGTTGGAGAGAGAATGAGAGTTTAGGGAGTGCAGACTGAAAATGAAAATGTGGACAGTTGTTGAGGGATCAAAAGATTTCTCTCTCTCTCTCTCAATCCCCTGCCACTTTAATGTCCTTGTTCGATTTGTATCTACGTGTGCCTGCACAAATTCATCCTCCTGGTCATGATCCCATGAGATGATTGCTGTGATTCTTGAGGGAGGATCAGATTTTCCCTGTGCACCCACAGTGCACCAGCCCTGGGGCTAAATCCTGGAGTGACCCTAGCATTAGAGAGGCAGAGCATAGAGTATATAACGTTCAAGCTGCCGTGACTTTTTGTGTTTGCCACACGGCTGAAGGCTTCACAGAGCCACTCTGTAGACTGCTAATGATGACTTTCCTTTCCAGAGGCCCTCCAAGCAGTTACTTTTGTTAGAGGATATTTTATGAAAAATGCTACATATAAATATGATTTGCACAAACTATATATTGTTTATAAGACTATCTTATAGACTTTTTTTTTTAAATAAAACACATTATACCACTCACATTTCCTCAGTTACCAAGACTCTGGTGTCAGAAGGTTTAAGTTAAAAATCCAGCTCTAAATGTTTATTAGCTGTGTAACCTTGAGCAAATTGCTTAATTCTCATAACTTTCAGTTTCTTCACCTTCCAGGGATAAAAGTACCTAATATCTTTGTTGGGAGGATTAAGCAAGCTAATAAATATAAATACTTAACTCAGTAGCTGGCACATACTAAAAGCTTTAATTATTTGTCTGTTATTACATAATCTAATGCATAAAGTATGAAATAGTCCAGGAATTGGACTTCTAATAAGTTATCAAATTTGGTTGACTTTATAATAGTTTTATGGAATGCTCAGAAAAGAAATATTAATGATAGATACATTATCATTTTTAGCCTCAAATTGGCAAATGTAAAAACCAAGTATAGTGGCCAAAATACTGCTAAATAGCAAGATAATTTCCAGTGCTGCTTTATTATGTTTTTTTTAAAGGTGTTCATTCCTGTTTTTTGGCATCCAGAGTCAAAATCAGAATCAGAATCATAGAACTTTAAAGACAAATGATCTTAGAGGTCAAGTCATCTGACTATTGCTATATAAACATGGGACCAAGGCTGGTGAATTTGGGCAGCTCTCACAAGGTCACATTGCCCATAAAGAAACAAAAGAATTGGAATTTAAATATAGGTCTCTGGATTCTTTAACCAACGTTCCTGGATCATATGAGTGATGAGATTAGCAGGGGAAATGTTTTAGGTTAAATCATACAAAATGTCTTTGTGGCATCAGCCTGAGGTGTAAAGAGGCAGCTGGCCCCACAGCAGGTACACACAGAGCAGTGTGGATGGGACTGCAAACTCTTGACATCTGACCTCCTCATCCTTGCCCACATTTTACCCTTCCCTGTAGGTTCTGATCTGACACCCCTTCTTGTCTCTCCAAGTTTTGTGGTTCTTCCTTCTGGTTTACAAAACATCTCCTTTCAATCACAGTGACTGCGTGGGCCAGTTGTCTACTTGTCTGTTTGGCATGGTTTCGTGACTCTTTTTTTAAAACTCTTGCTCTTTTTTTTTTAATTTAAAAGTTTTATTACATCATTTAGACTTGAAAGAAGTCACAATAGTTAACACGCTTACATGTATTCTGTATACCACCAACCCAAATGGATTGATTTCAGAATTGTTATTAATAAAAAATAAACAGATTTACAGTGAAAAATAAAAACATGCTAGCAAGTTTGATAATTAAACTGTTACCTATAATTAGTTTTGGGGAAGTGCCAATCTACAGGATTGCATATAAGACACGATGTCATTAAGTTTAAAAAGTTCATAATTGAAGAACTTTGTTGTAATATGTATGATCCATTTCTTACTACGGTTTTTTTCCTCCCCAAACTAAAAGTTTTAACCAATGTACGTAAAAAGCTCTATTTTCCCTTTATTGGAGGTAAAAGTAGAAAAAGCTCTAAACTCTCCCTAGAACCATCTAAGTAATAGAGCTATTTAATGCTGCAAATATGACTATAAAACTACAGAAATAAACCCTTATACAATTTGTGCTCCTTGTCCTCCAAATTGGTGCAGATTCCTAATGACACTCACTCCATGGCGAGTTGGGTAGAGTGTCCAGGGTCCCACAAATGTTTTCTGACCTCAGAAGGTTGAGCTTGGACACATGTGACTCACTTAAACCTGTTAAAGACCAAATTACACAGATAAAAATTGTTGAATAAGTTCAATCTAGAACCGCTAGGTTGGGGTTCATTTAAGTGTCTATATTGGTAAACTACAGCAGGCATGGAAAATAGCTTTCATTTCATGTGCTAGCTCTAAATAATTGCTAGTGGCTGCCTAGCCTATTCTGAGTAGGATAGTGGTCTGCGCTGCAAGTTATCAGAAAGGAAAGAGTATGCAGGACAAAAAGAATGAATGCTGTTTAATAGAAATGCCTGCCACAGGTCACCAAGTGGGGAGTGGTGGCTCCTGGTGGCTTATTTTCAATCTCTAAATGGCTAATTGGAGCATTTTCTGGGGCTTGCTTTGTAGATGTGTCCTTGGAGTGTTGAAGTTCTTCTCTAATACCCAACTGATACACTTTATATTTCTCTACCTTTAAGGAGATAAAACCATATTTAGAGAATTTGAGAAGATCCAAGGAAGAGAAGAGGAAGGATATCAAAATTTGCTGAGGACTTACTGAGTCCTATATACTTTCGTGCATGCGACGGGTTTTTTTAGGTATGAAAAAATGACCAAACAGGAGGGAATGATTTGCCCTGACTCTGAAGCAGAGACTTTGGCAGGGGTCAAATGTCCCAGCTGTTGGGAGAAGAGGAGCTAGGCCTGCAGGCCTGATATATTTGGGTCACATTGTCACAGTTAAGTGTCAGAGAACCAGAAAGGCAACACTGAATAATGAGAGGAAATAATGGGAAGCTTATTAACATATTTTATAAAAATTAATAACTTTGACATTTCCCCACTGTTACACAGTGCCTCAAGATCCCAGGCTCTGCCTTGTCAAAAAAATGTTCCCCAAATCACCCAGCTCCTTGCTCTGGTGGGCATCTCTGGAATCTCTATGAGTGGAGACGTCATCCTATGCAAGAACATTTGACAGTGTTAAAACATGGGGTCTTGGGAGGCCGAGGTGGGTGGATAGCAAGGTCAGGAGATTGAGACCATCCTGGCTAACATGGTGAAACCCCGTCTCTACTAAAAATACAAAAAATTAGCCGGGCGTGGTGGCGGGCGCCTGTAGTCCCAGCTACTTGGGAGGCTGAGGCAGGAGAATGGCGTGAACCCAGGAGGCGGAGCTTGCAGTGAGCTGAGATCTTGCCACTGCCTGCAGTCTGCGCAACAGAGCAAAACTCCATCTCAAAAACAAACAAACAAACAAAAACATGGGGTCTAGGACTAGCGACTTGGGTGTAGTTTTTGTTCTATAACTTTCTGATTTTAAAACACCAGGTAAATTCTAAAACCTCTAACTTCATTTTATTTTCTCAAAAATGAAAAACTCCATTGCATACTTTAAACCGCCATTGTATACTTTAAAGTTTGCAGTTACTCTGTACTAAAAGTGCTAAGAGCCTCTTCAAAATATGTTCATGGCTGGAGGATGAAACTTAGCTTTACTGACTAGTTAACTCACGGCTTATTCTCTTGTGGATACAAATGAGACCACTTCAACTTTATAATATAAATTTCACTGGCACCTCTTTGTGGAGGACTTTATGCTAAGTAACCACACAAGCACATATGCACATGCAAGTGCACTCATGCACATGCATACACATATTTCTGGCCGCCCACTAGAGAGAGCTCACATGCATCCAGGAGTAAATCCCCAGCTGCCATGTGGAGTTCCTGGGTACCGCTGATCTCTCTGCCTCCAGCAAGTGTCACCGGCTTCCCCAGGCAGTGCTGATGTTCTCTCCACACCCAGAAAGTGCTGCCACCTCTGCTGGCGCTAGCGCCATCACCAATAAGGCCATTCAGTCCTTGCTGGATGCTACCATCTCTTGCCATTGGTTTTGCTGCATCCTGGAAGGTACTGAAAGCTCCTGCCAGCCACTGCTGTCTTCCATGTGTCACCACTGTGGTTTCTCCCATCTCCCAAAAGACCCTGAAATCTGCTAGGAATGACAACTGAGCTCTTAAGGTAACATATCTGCACTTTGTTTCTTGGTTAAACAGGGGATGCTGTCTCCCCCTTTTTTTGGCCTTCCAATATGTGAGAGGGACCCTAAAGTAGTTAGCTTATCCCCTCAAGACTTACCCACCATTTAATTAAACATGTTTGATCTTTTGGTTTTTATGTATAGCACTGTCTCAGACTGGGTCCTAGACATGAGTCCACGTAGCTAGGCTAAGGATAAATTTGATTTACAGGGACCAGAATCACTCTTCTCCAACAACCTTTGCCTTGATACTGGGTTTGGCAGAAATTGCTAACAGTTCCCCAGAACTTTTTACCTCTTTTTCTCCTATAGTAGCAGATCCCCTCTACCCCTGCCCCAATAAGGTAGCTGGGCAGATGTCATTCAGCTAGAAACTACATTTCCTGAGGATTCTTGTAATGAAATTTGACAATATGACCAAGTTTAGGTCAAAGGTTTCAAGCAGGACTGAAATATATTTTAATGGTTCTGTTGAGGGCCTCGGAGAAAGATCATCTATCCTAAGGGAAGGAGGCTGCTATGACCCAGTGTTTTAATTTAAATACACACTGTGCTGATGTAACAAAGAGACTCAAAAATACACAATAGCATAAGATACATGCTTATGTTGGCTTGAAATGGTGGCTGCATCCTAAAGAATTAGACGGGGGCTTCTCCATGTTTTTTTGCCCTTTGCGTAGGTTGGAAAAAAAACTTGGTAGTTATCCTTTGACTATGCAAGCAAAGATAACACACTACAGGGTGGCAGAGCTATTCAATGGAAGAGACCCGGATGTTTCAGTGACCTCATGGAGCATGGCTACCTTGTTACCCTGGACTGCCCATTTCTGGACTGTTTCTCTCTAATTCACACTATTATATGTTTTTGTTTTCTTTGCTACAGCAGCATAACCTGTACTTTGGTTGGTCTTATGCTTGGTTCTTTATTTCCTTAGGATGAGCTTTCTTCTAGGAGGCTTCTTAGAAACATGAAAATGATCTTCTAATGGACCGTTTCACTAACTCAACATACCCAGGAATGCCTCTAAACAAAGCAGAGATTCAAGATGTGCTCCCTGCTTCATTTTTGGGGTAACCCTCTTCCAATTACTATCACAAAATTTGTTGTGGCTGATGTTCACTAAGCTTGAGAAAATTCCCTATCTATATTTGCAAATCTATTTTTCAAAAGGCTGTAAAATGTGTACCTTTAGGAATTATTTTATGTACTCTCTGACCTGTTGCTTAGAGCAGCAGTCAAGAAAAGACTTGAATTTTATGGAAATTACCAAAAGAAGACTTTGTGCAGAGGATAACTGTGCTGCCTTTAAGGCAGGATCTTTTGGTGCCAGCTTTTTTTGAAGCCACTAAGGCTATGAAATGTGCAAAACAGCCTAGATGAACTAGTTCTCTGAGCTGCAGCCCTCCCAGGTGTTGTGTACATGACTGCAGGGAAAGGGAGCCTTTTCATTGTTGATGTGGAGAAAGATATAACACAATCTGCCATGTTCGGGGGATGTATGCATGTTAATTGAGTAATTTCCAGCCAACATGTTCCGGAAAGCAGAACTTTCCATGAAACTCTCTGGGGGTGAGGCATAAAAGACTACACACTGGATACAGTGTACACTGCTCAGGTGATGGATGCACCAAAATGTCGGAAGTCACCACTAAAAAACTTATTCTTGTAACAAAACACCACCTGCTCCCCCAAAAACCTATTGAAATAAAATAAGAAAAAATGAAAAAAAAGGCAAAATAAAATGACCATTAATATTTGAGTAGAGCTTATTAGTTGATGAAATAATTTTATATCCCTTGCTGATATATCTTACTGTGTTTTCGTTGTCACAACCCTCTGAGGTATATACTATGATTGCCACCAACTTAAGGATGCAGAATCAGAAACACACAGGAGAGAAGTCAAATACCTTTCCCAAATCAGAGAGAGTATATGGCCTGATAAAGAACCACATCCAAACTTCAGTTCAAATTCCCTGCTCCTACCAGTACTCAACATGATCTCATTCTTGTTGCACCCAGCTCATCTTCGTCCTTATTCCTAAAAATGATTTGAAATCAGGATGACTATTGCTGATCCTGAAAAAGAAAGCAATTGCAAATAGATGCTTTTAAGTCATGTTACATAGCGGAATGGAAGAGTAAAATATAGTGAGTTCACCCAAGGGAAACATGCAGCAGTTAAACAATTAATATAGCAACATAGCAAGATTTGAACCATGCAGTTGAGTGAAAAAAATAAGAGACAAGGTGAGTTCTATAGCATGATACCATATATAGAAGTTAAGCGAACAAATACAAAAAACAATGTCTGTACCATATTCCTATTGGAGCATATTTAGATGAAACATAACAGAGGAGGTGCCTGGGGAGGGCAGCAGGAGGAGAATGGAGATGTTGACAAGAGACTGTCATGAACTAATGAGTATGGCTAAACCTCTTTGCACTTCAAATCCTGAAGGGAAAAGATGCATAACAACATTATTTCAAGATCAAGGATGGATCAACAGAACAAGAGAGTCAGGAAGCCACTGACTTGGCCAGATAAACCTCAGAGTCCCTTTTAATGTTAACATTTTGTGTCCAGTGATTTTAGTTCATTAGTTCATGCAATATTTACGGAATGCCTCCCATATACGTGGCAATATTCTCAGTGCCTGAGTACCTCAAAAAGCAAATCAGAATGACCCTCTGCCATTGTGGAGATTATATTCTAGTGAGAGGAGACAGGTAACAAGCAATAAACATAAAATTATGGTATATGGAAAAAGGTGATAAATACTAAAGGCAAAAAAGTCCAGGCAGAGGAAGATATTAGGAGTGCAGAGGAAGAGTGCCAGGGTGCAATTTATGATGGGGTGCTCAGGAGAGGACTTATTTTTAAAGGTGATATTTGAGCAAATACTTGCAAAAGTAGGACACTCTATATGAATAATTGGGAGAAGAATATTTCAGGGAGAGGTTTCAGCCATGCAAATTCCCAAGGCAAGGACATGCCTGGCATGTTCAAGGTATATACTATGATTGCCACTAACTTAAGGACGCAGGATCAGAAACACACAGGAGTGAGTTCAAATACCTTTCCCAAGTCACAGAGAGAGTATATGGCCTGAAGAAGTACCACATCTAAATTTCATTTCAAAGGAGGTCTGGGAAGGAGGTCTGGAAATTTGGGATTTTATCTGAGTCAGATAAAAGCCATCAGAGGGTTTTTGAACAGAGGGGTAACATCACATGATTTACATTTTAAAAGGATCATTCTGACTGCTCTGTGAAACATAGCATGGCAGAAGTGAAAGGAGGAAGACCAGTAGGAAGCAATTGAAGTGTCCAGGTGAGAGATGGTTTAGACAAGAGTAGTAGCAGTGGAGCTGTTAAGAGTGGTCGAATTCTGAATATTTTTTGAAGGTACAGTAGACCACCCTTTGTCCATGAGGATCTGTTTCAAGATCCCCCAGTTAATGACAGAAACCATGGATACTACTGAACCCTAGGTACACTATGATTTTTCCCACTCATACATACCTATGGTAAAGTTTGATTTGTAAGTTAGGTACAGTAAGATATTAATAATAACAACTAATACTACAATAGAACAACTAAGGAAAATCAGGGTTATTTGAACACAGCACTATGACAGCCAATTTACTGGCAGCTACCAAGTGGCTAAGGGTAGCATAGACATCATGGATGTGCTGGACAAAAGGATGATTCACGTCCCTGGTGGGGTAGAGTGGGCTGGTGCAAGATTTCATCACAATACTCAGGATGGTGCACAAATGAAAACTTATGAATTATTTATTTCTAGAATTTTTTTATTTAATATTTTTGGATCATAGATTTGGCTGGGGAGGGGATAGGGGCTGGGGTGGAGCTCACAGGTTAAGCTTTGGATGTGTTAAGTTGAGATGTCTGTTACACATTCAAGTAGAGATGTCAAATAGGCAATAGATTTATGAATCTGGAGTTCAAGTAAGAGGTATAAAGATAAAAAGAGTTTGAAGATAAAACATTTCCAAGTCTTATACTAAGAATGCCAAACATGATATATATTAAGGATTTTGTGTCCATTATTCTGGAGGATTTTATATCTGGAGTGTGTACAGTCATCACTAATGTCATTGTCACCACCACGACTAAACCCCTGCTGTGTTAAAGGTACTTTGGAAAGTTTTCTGAGCATTTGAGTGTATGCCTGTGTTTTGGGCCTGCTCTGATGTACAACAGAGACCTATTTAGATTGCTCTCAGCAGACTGAGTAAGTTTGGGCAGAATGGATGATGGTATATAGCCCAATGGCTGTCACATACTGGCATCCCAAGACAAAAAAAAATTCATAGTAGGAAATAATTTAAAGTCAGTCCCCCCGGTGTGCAAAAATACAATTCACATTTTGCAAGAGTTGTATTTTTAGCTCCCAATTCACCTGAGGCCTGAAAAACAATCTTAGTCCACTTAGAGTAGATTCAAACACTTTTGGTTTAAAGTCAATAAACCCTAGGTTTTCTCTTGTGCTTCCTTTCTGAGGCAACCTATACATTCTGGAGTACATAGTCACATTGGGGTGGAGACAAGTATCTGGTGGGAATCTGTAACTGCCCATGTACAGAGATGTGCATTGCTACATCTCCTTCTTGATTGTCATCATAGTTTCTCACAGGACTCCGCTGGGATCTCTGCATCCACATCTGGTCTTCTGTCCACAAGCTTTTCCACTGTGGGATTTTCTTGTCAAGACTGTGACACTCCTTCAGGTGTGCTGTTTCTTTCTCTTTCTCCCACTCCCTCCATCCCTCTCTTCCTCCCTCTACTGTTCCTCAACTCTTACCTCTTGGCTTATTTGGGAGTGATGAGGGGGAGTAGACAGAGGAAAGCTTGACTGCTCTTTCAGCAACTCTGGAGGCCCAGGAAACATGTGGTGGGCTGTCCCTTTCTTCCCCAACTTCCTTTGTGGCCTGCTTGCTTTGCGTCTGCTGCTTGAGGATATAAGGAGCCACTGTGGGTGATGCCCTACTCCTCCCTCCCTGCTTTATAGAAAGCAGACCATGGTTTCTATCATCTCCTCCTGGTCTTCAGTTTAACAGGGATATCATGCATTTCCCAGCAATGTCAATCCCCAGGACATAGTCCAAGATTAGTAGGTGACAGGGCCCATTCTCAGAAACTCAAACCAGGATCGTTCTTGTTTCCTTGCCTATTGTTTTTCAATTTGTCAGCTCAGAGATTTTATTTTTCATTTCCCTCTATATGGTGGGAAATGGGCTAGACAATTATTTTTCTAAACCTATAATTTATGCCAGGACTGTAACGTCTTTTGTTTCTTCTGTCTTTCTTGCTGTGGCTACACTTCCTGGGTAGGGTAGAAACCGTGGTGTAAATCAAATGGATAAGGTGGAGAAGGGCAATACAAAGAAGACAAAAGCAAAGACATTTTGGAGACAAATTTATGTATCTTCCCAATGTCATTCAGCCACAGAATCTCTGGAGATCTGTGCTCAAATTTCAGCTTAACTGCTTCACCTCCAGGCTCCGGCTCAATCCTGCTCCAGACCTGGGCTTCTGACATAAGAGAAGCAAAATACAAGATGCATCAGACAGTGCATCCATCTGCAGGTTATCACCAGCCCCCAGGGAACCCAGGTAGGGCACCTCCTTCAAAATTTTAGTTTTCCTATTTGTCAGACAGGCATGTGTATCTCAAACATACACACATATGTTGGGGAGCATATGAGATGCTGAGACTGTGGGGAAAGAGGTGATGATCAGAGATAACTAAAAGAGCTCTGAACTCTGAATCAAAGGCTCTGAGGCCAAAAACCTGCTGTGTGACTTTTTTCCACTCATTAACCCTCCTGTTCCTCAGTACCCTTTTCTGAACTATGAAGGACAGTAGGCTTACTTATCCACTTACTAGTTAGTCATAAATTCAACATTTACTGGGCCTTCCCTGTATTCTATGCACTGTGATAAGTGCTCAGTCACTATTGCAACTACTGCAGTCTCTTATAGTATCACCTCTGACAACTGCAATGACAACCACTGTGAACTGAGTTCCTACAGGATGCCAGGCACTGTGCTGAGTGCTTTGTCTATGTTATTGCATCCAGTCCTTGGGAAGATATTAATTCCATCTCTATTTTGCTCTTGAGAAAGTTTATGAGATTAAGGGACATATTCAAGGTTTTCCAACTGGGAATAAGTATCAGTAAGGGTTTTGACTCCAGCTTTTCTGTTCCTGAAACAAATGAATAAAGAAGATTCACTATCACAACATCATGTCCTTCGCAGCAACATGGATGGAGCTGGAGGCACTTATTCTAAACAAATTAACACAGGAACAGAAAACCAAGTACCGCATGTTCTCACTTATAAGTGGGCACGAAACACTGAGTACTCATGGACACAAAGAAGGAAACAACAGACACCAGGGCCTACTTGAGGGTGGAAGGTGGGAGGAGGGAGAGGATCAAAAAACTACCTATCGAGTACTATGCTTATTACTTGCATGGTGAAATAATCTGTACACCAAGCCCCTGCAACATGCAATTGACCTATATAACAAACCTGCACATGTACCCCAAGCCCAAAATAAAACTTAAAAAAGTCACTATCTTCCAATGTCTCAGAGTCTTGTTTCTTCCGATTTAAACATGCTATGATTCTACATAGATTTGAATGCATTATATGCGCATCCAAACACGCACAGAGAATATTTCATGAAGTCATTTATCGTTGCAGTTTCAGAAATGAGTAAAATACTTAGGACAGTGGACACACAGGTGTGTCCTGTAAGTAAAGATGACTCTATGAGTCCTTTGAGCCAATGTCTTACTCTCTGTAGCGCTCCCGACCCCATTTCAGGGCTGTGTTCCCATAGATGAGCAAATATTTGGCCCAGCCTTTGTTGCAACTGCGCAGCTACCTATAGAGAAGGAGGAGTTGCCCTCTGTTTTCTCCTCCCACAATTGAGTGTCTTTTTCCTGAGCTCATCTGGGGCACAGTAGGAATGCTGCCAGAAATGCTACCCAACTGCACCTTTGGATGCTAAGAGTAGTTTCCCACGTATGATGGAAACTGGAGATAGGGCATTGACTGCTCTGGACTGGGTGACAAGAAACAGGGCTCCTCCAAGCCTCCTATTTAGTGAATTAATCCTTTTTCTTCAAAAGATGCCTCAGACAAACAGGAGCTGTCATTCTGGAACACAGGGATTCAGGAAACACTTGGGAAAGTACTTGCCAGAAATTGCTCTTGAGTGACTTTATCTCAAAGAATTGCTGAGGATGAGCTGTTATCAAATTAAATGGCAGATCTCAACATATCCACGCTCCGAATAAACCACATTTATTACCTTACAAAAGTGACATTTTCTTTGACAGTGAAGTAGCATAGTTCTAAAGAAATAATTTTCCGTAACATTGTTAGTCACTGGCATGCAAAGTCATTCTCTGGCGTCAAAGTCAAATGATGTCTTTGATGATGAGTATCATCATAAAAAGATGGACTGGGCTTTGATATTATGGAGGAGGTTGAAGAAACAGGAGGGAGGAGAAAAGGTATTTTCTGCAATCCTTCTATTATAGGAACTGAGATGAGAATCTGAACGGAAGGCCACACTGTACGGAGACTTACTCCAGGTATTCATCCCAATTCTATCCAGTTGAAATGAATAGCAGGGAAGGAATGAAACTTAGATTACCTTTACTAAGGGGAATTGGAATGGGAATAATATTTACAACAAGTATTAGGTTGGTTGCAAAAGTAATTGTGCTTTTTACCATTGAAAGTAATGGCAAAAACCGCAGTTACTTTTGCACCAAACTAATACAAATTTAGCTGCACAGACAATGCACTTTTCTATTATTCTGTCCTCTCCCAGAAGATGCACAAGGGTAAGAAAGTCTATACTACTTAACACTTGTGTAGCAGTTGAAATGTACAGTGTCTTTTCACATGAATTGACCCATTTACGTCTCCCAATAGCCCTGTGAGTTAGACATTATCATTCACGTTTTATAGATAAGGAAACTAAGCTCAGAGAAGGGAGTTAAATCGAATATTTTATCAAAACAGGGGCTTGTGGAATCTAAAGTTTGGAAGACACCTTAGAAGTGATCTAGTTGAAACTCTAGTTCAAATCAGTTTAATTTAGTTCGATTCCACTGGATTCAATAAACATTCATTTAGCACCTGGTTGTGCCTAACACTATTTCAGACCCTGATATAAAAATAGGAATTGGTTCTGGTTTCTGTCCTGGAAGAGCATACTGGCAAGAGGGACAGCCTGGTAAACAACTTACTCTCATACTGTGAAGTAGATGATACCTGAAAGACGTATGTGTGGTACAATCTGGGCAAGAGCCATTATTCTCTTGGAAGGGCAGGTGTCAGGGAGCAGTAGTCTAGAGAGGTCCCAGGAGCTGAGCTCCTAAGGAGGAGGAGGCTTTCTGTGGGACCGGGAAGTGAGGGCTGCTGGTCAGCAGGGCAGGACTGTGCAGGCAGAGGGAGCAGCATGAGCCCAGGACAAAGGGATGCTCAGAGGAGCCTGGCAGTCTGTGGGGCTGGTGTGTGGCTTTGTGGGAGAAGGAGGGGTGAGGAAGCTGGAAAGGGAAATCAAGATGAGAATCTGAAGGAGGTTGAGGACCATGTTAAGTAATTCAGGTTCTCTCCTCTAGGAAATAGGGACCCATCAAAAGCTTTTAAGCACAAGAGTGCAGAAATAGTGATAATAATGTGAATGATCCCAGGTAACATTTATTGAGCACTTACCACAGGCCAGACAGTTTGCTAGACACTTTACATACAGTAGCACATTTAATCTTCTCAAAAACACTTTGAGAAAAGAACTGCTATGATCTCTATCTTACAAATGTGGAAACCAGGGGTTAGGGAGCTGAAGTAGCCTGTTGTGGCAGAAACAGGCTCTCCAGCTGTGACAGGCTTAGATGGCTGTGTTTATCAGAACGAGCACTAAAAGCACTGTGAAAGGTCAGCTTCAATGGAGAAGGGGTTTATCTTGGCCCCAAATGTATGACTCAGGACTCACTGGGAGGCCTTCTGTTTCTGAGCTGGGGAAAGAAATGCCCCTGTCCTTCCATGCTTGCTCCCTTCCCCAGGAAGCTCAGGAGAGGAGTGTGGCACTAGTTACCCAAGCCATTTAGCTACTGCCTTCTGCCTGTCCCCACAATGTCTACCCCCTCTCCCTCCCACATTTGCCGTCTTCATGAGTGACAGCTCTGAAACCCATCACTGTTGGTTCAATGGACTTTAGGGAAATCAAGGCTATTCAACCTAGAAAGTGAACAACAAGTATGGTGGGGGCTACCTGTGGTCCAAGATAGGTTTGGAAAGGCAGGATGAGCAGAGAACAACATATCATTAGCACCTTGCAGAGTGGGCCCCAGAAATATTCTGATTCCATGTAAATTAAATGTGGGTAATCATGAATATATGGGTTAAAGAAATGAAAATGGCTGAACTGTAAATCAGTTTATTTAAATGCATTTTCTGATAGCAGAGTATAGGCATATCATTAGCTTGTAAATGTGTCTAATAAGCCTGTCTTCACTAATATGCCAAAAAGAGTCTAATTAACTCTTTTTTCCTCCAGTTAGACAGTAGTGTGAGAATCCCTGATCACAGTTCCACACTATCTTTTTAGCATCAGCAAAGCAGCACTAAAACAGCCCCTGTGACATCTATAAAAATGCTAGTTTATAATTAGGATGATCTTGGCTTGAACAATAATGTTGCAATTTGCAGTGATGGCTTCTGTTTCCCTTTAATTTTAATGTATTAGTCTACAATGCTCTGGAGATTTCTGGACAGACTAGCTTGTTTCCATTTCCAAAATTGCTAGCATTATATGCTTTAGGTTAAGGAAGAAGCAGCTGCAATTTGGTGGGAGTTTTTTGGGGGGAGTGGGGGGAATGTAAAGGCAAAAGAAATGCTAATGAGAAAAGCCAAGTATAACATCACCCATTTATTTCGTAACCCATCATCTGACATGAGAGCCATGTCATGGAGCCATAGGAATCCCAAAACAACAGAACCCTTGTGTTTCCCAGTGTTCTCCAGTAAGGGGGTGGTTAGCCTCTTTCCATCAGGCTCCCAGAGGCCTGCACAGATCTGCCATGGATTCCACCAAGGAAATTCAAGAAGGAGGACCTTTTTGCTCTTTCAAGCTTATAATTATTTGTAGAGTCAATTTAGATTTGAGACGAAATGCCCACATCACTATCAGAACCACATCACTAAGCCTGCCATGTCTCTTTTGTCATGCCTGGAACACAATTGCCCTTGTTGCCTAAAGCTAGAGTTCTTAACATTGGGAAAGAACAGCCATGGATAGGCTTCAGGAAATGTATGGATACCCTGAAATAGAATGTAATGCTAAATGAACATTAGATTTCTCTGCAGAAGATTTTACCTACATCAAAATGCATGTTACACCATTGAAGAAACTGACTCAGGAGATCTTGGGTGGGATTTGGGAGTCTGTATTTTTTTAAAAGAACCTCCCTGATAATTTTGATAATATATCTTTAACTGGGGAGAATGTTCATGACTTTTATCAGAGCCTCAAAAAACTCTGTGACCTCAAGAAATTTAAGAACCCCTTGTATGAAGTTTGGCATGCTAGGTGCTTTTTAATCTGACCTCATCTTTCTTTTTCAACACTGTTGTCCTATTGGGGGATTGAGGGACCTAATAAATAGCACCCTTCTTTCTTAGCTGAGTTCTAAGACAATTAAGAAATAAATGAGTAAGGTAGAAAGGAGATGAACATATTACCTTTATTTTCTAAGTGGCTAATTGCAATGGACTGAACATTTTCAACGAATTCATATGTTGAAATCCTAACTCCCAATGTGATAGTATTAGGAGATAAGGCCTTTGGGAGGTAATCAGGTCATAAGGGTGGAGACTTTACAAATGAGATTAATGCCTTTATAAAAGGGACCCTAGAGAGCTCATTCACCCTCTTTCTGCCATGTAAGTATTCAAGAAGTCAGCAGTATGCAACCTGGTAGAGAGCTCTCAGTAGAACTAACCATGCTGAAACCCCGATCTCAGATTTCCAGCCTGCAGAACTGTGAGAAATAAGATCTGTTGTTTACAAGCCATTCAGTCTATGTTACTTTGTTATAGCAGCCTGAACTAAGACATTAATATTGAAGAATGTGGCATATAACTTCAGGCTAGTAGAGTAATTAATACTGAAACCCCAAGGTTCTACCCACCTAGCCTCAGGTAGTGTGGGATGCAGGAGTAGAACCTGCTCCTGAAAGCTATGACGTGGGGGAGCAGGGCAGCTCCTGTCTTGTCCCCAAGCAGCTGACTCCCAAAGAGGAGGAAGGGCAGGTGCTGGAAAGCACAGGCTAAACTTCTTCCCTAAACTGCACTGGTAGAATGAATGAAGGGATAAAGAGAGGCCAGGACTGTTACTCTAACAGAATTCTGTCTACATGGAGGCAAGCATCAGGAACAGTGATTACTCCCTGACTAACATTTTCCATTATTTCTTAATAGGTCACATGTTTCCCTGCCTCTGTATCCTGTTTAACATCTATCCTGTCTGAAATGCCCTTTCAGTGCTCACTTCAGCAGCACATATACTAAAATTGGAAGGATACAGAGAAGATTAACATGGCCTCTGTGCAAGGATGAAATGTCCTCTCAATCATCATCATTTATCTGAATTTCATGTGTCCTTAAAAACCAGGTGGAGTTTGACTTCCTCAGTTGAGTCTTCTCTGACTGCTGCTGTGGGTAAACTTTCCCTGTACCAAGAGCAATCTGCTTGGAGTCCCCACAGCAGTTCCCCAAAGCCTGATTGACACCGACATTACCCACAGGAGAGTTTACCCACACCAAAACCTTGGCCTCACTCTTGGAGAATCTGATCAGATCTTAAGCGGAGTTTAAGAATCTGTATTTTTAAAAAGTCTCTTGGGATAGTTCTAATAATCTGCCTTGTCCAGAAACCACCGTCCAGTCATTATTTGCATGAACCTTTTGACACTCACAGCCCTGGTTGTAAGAGGGGAGAAATGCATCTCACAAAGTAAAAGGGTTACACAAAGGTGCATAGGATATAGAGCACAGAGGAGCTTAGTTAGGATGGGCATCACGGAAAAGAGGCTTAAACGTGGGTGAGGAGACAATGGTGCCAATTGTGGGGAAGTAGTGGGGATAACCTCCAGCAATTTCTCTGCAGCCAAAAATGACTTCAGATATCAAGAGGGCATAAGAGAATTATATGACCGTTGTCTGTAAAGGAGTATGATCATAATACCTTTGTAGAGTTGTTGGGTGAATTACGTAAAAAAGTATACCAAGTATGTAATGCACCTAGCATAGTTCCCAAAATGTAGAAGATACAGCAGTCCCTCTTTATTCATGGTTTCACTTTTTATGGTTTCAGTTACTTGTGATCAACTGCAGTCTAAAAATATTAAATAAAAAATTCCAGAAACAAACTATTTATAAGTTTAAAATTGCATGCTGTTCTCAGTACCATGATGAAATATTGCTCCATGCCATCTGAGACATGAGCAATCCCTTTTTCCAGTGTATATATGCTCTGTGTGATACGTGCCCATTATAGGAATAAACAGTGTATATAGGGTTCTGTACAATCTGCAGCTTTAAGCATCCACTAGGGGTCTTTGAACTTATTCTTTGCCGATAATGGGGGACTACTGTATCGAGAATACAACTTGGAATGTCACTGTAACCCAGATTTAATTTTGTGCCTATAATACTTGCCTGTGGAAAGAAAATGGGACAAGTAATAACAAAATCACATATGGATAGAAGAAACACTGATATTCTCATTTTGTTCATATATTGATTTTTGCTGACTTCTATTAGTTCATTGTGCTTTCTTTTAGCTTTTCGAGCATATTTAAAACAGTTGTTTTAAAGTCTTTGTCTATAAGCCAAATGTCTGTGTTTCTTCAGAGTTGATTTCTGCCACTTTATTTTCTTCCTTTGAACAAGCTATGTTTTCCTGTTTCTTTGTATGCCTTGTAATTTTTGTTGAAAATTGGTTATTTGGAAAAACAGCTCTGTGGATCTGTGGTCTGTAGTCTCTTGCAGCTTTCATGAGCAGCCCTGCCACTTCTTACTTAAGTTCCAACTTGGGTGAGACAGAGAACCATCCTTCATGGAGCTCCCAGACATGTTGGAACATTGCAACTCAGGTCTTCTCTGCTCTTCTGATTCAAAGAAGGGAATGGGGAACCGGCTTGCCTCTCCTCCAGGCCCACTGTACCATGCTGGGAAGGGTGTAGGAGAAGGGCAAGTGAATCACCATGAATTTGCCTCCTACTTTGAATGTAGCTTTTCCTTGATTAAATGTTTGCTTGGTTGCTGTAGACTTTTGACTATTTTCATAACTCCTGTAAGGTCCTGTATTTTAGCCAGTTTCTGTTTGTTTTTTGATGTTTCCCTGGGGAAATGAGGGATGGACTATCCTAATCCACCATTTTTATATCAGTCCTTCTTGGTCATCCCTTTTAGTTATCTTTCAGGATGTCACTACTATTTTTCTAAAAAAATTAAGATTGCAGACATAATATTTTAAAGAATAATACAATTATTGAATTGATGGAATAAGAATGGACTTCAGAAACCATTTTGCCCAAATCTTTTTTCTTTTCTTTTCTTTTTTTTTTTTTTTTTTTTTTTTGGTGAGGAAGTGAAGGCTTCCTTCTGGAAAGGGAAAGAGACTCCTCTGAAGTCACACAATCATGAGTGGCAGATAGGAGCCTCAAACCCAGATTTTCTAGCTGAATGTCCAGTGAGATCAGCATAAGAAATACATATGACCCCCGAAAGTGTCCAGTAGGCAGGATTTGGCGATGCAGGCAGGATTTAATGATGCTAGCACTGCTCTCATCCTGTGTGCCTTGTGACCTTCCCCTTCCTGCACACCCTTTACCTCTGCACGGTCAGTAGCAATAATTTCCAGTTCTTCATGTTAATTAAAGCAGTGCTGATGTGGCTGCTCAGACAGGAAGTGCTGCAGCTGTTTTTCTCTTCTCTTCTTACAGGTATTGCCTTTGGAAGTTCCCCAACAACTGTCTGAGAGTGCTGCTGATATCAGGGAAGACAGAGTGGAGCATGATCCTGCACCATTATCTTTGGACATGCAGACTTTTATTAGGTGACTGTTGTAGCTATCGGGCCCAAAGACTTTAGAGCTTCATAGAACCTGAGATAGAGATTGGACAGGTCCTTTTAGAAAGCTGCTCAGGTGACCTAAAAAGCTGATTTAAGAACATTTTTCACTGACAGCTATTTTCCTCCAAAATTGTATGCTCTATATCTTGCTTTTGCACTCATGTTATTATCAATAGTATTAGTGAAAGTGGTAGCTGTAGTAGCAATACCAGTAATGCTTCTTGGCTATGCAGTAGATGTTTTGAGGATCAGTAGTCCTGGGGAAACTTACAAAACTAAGGACCTGTTCTTCCAAAAATATAGATACAAATAAACACACAATTATGAGATTGTAAGAATTTTACAAACCTCCTAAAATCTAGACCTCAGATTAAGACACCCCCGTAGACAGACAATACCATTAGCTTATTTGCCATGCTGTTATGGATAAGCCAGTTTGTCTGGTTTGTATTTTCTCACATGTCAAACTGGGAATAGACAGTGTATTCATAGTTGGAAAGAACAAGGTTAACAGCAGAGGACTAGGCCTGGTGTAGCATCAGCCTGGAGTGAGCAGGTGTAGGACACAGGAAAAAAGGAGAAACAGAACCTGAATGTGAGGGGATCGTGCAAGAAGGCAGGTGACAGGCAACAGGCTGGCATGAGAGAGGCCTACCCTCAGGAATCAGCAGAGGATGGGGAGATTAGCAGATTCCAACAGGCAGGGTATTCGAGAAGCAGACAATTTTTTAGTTTCTAGCTGAAAGACCAGTAGTCAGCACCAGGTAGATTTGAATACCTGGTAGTTAGTCAATGAGTAGCAGGAAATGAATCCCCAGGCTGGGAATCAGGGATGGAACCGCCATCCCTGGGGAGGTAACCCAGGGCAATAGTGCAAAAGGAAGTGAAATGTAGCCAAGGCCTGGGAGAAATAGGCACCAAGAACCGTCTAGCCACAAGAAATGGAGCTCATATTAGGGCTGAGATATGGGACAAAGCAGCCCACCCCTAGAAACCAGACTGATGAAAGACAGGCACCAGCGGTTTACAAAAGAAGGGTACAATTAGTCAGTATAGATATTAAAATGTCAGACCTCAATATTAATCAAGTAACCGCGCGTTAAAACAAGATACCATATTTTGCTTATTAAACTAGTAGTAATTTTTTAAGCTAAAAAACCATTCATGTTAGTTAGGGAGTAAGAAAATGGGTACACACTCAATGCTGAGCACCGATGGGTGCAATCTTTCCTAATTTGGAAAAAAAGTAAAAAACTTGAAAGTTACGCACAGATTTTGGCTCAATGTTTTCACTCTGAGAAATATATACAAATGTTTTAGAATGTGCACATACATTAAGCTACAAGAATGCTAATTGCAGAGAAATCAGATGTCCAATAACAAGCAACAGGTTAATGAATTATACAATATCCATATATTGGCAGATAATGAATAAGTATAGTTGATGATGTATAATTATATTTATTGGCATGGAAAGTTGTTCATGATACACTGCTAAAGAAAAGAATCTGGTTACATATAGGTACATTTAGTATGTTCCTGACACATAGTATACTCTTAATAAAAATGTGATTTATTGATATAGTACAACACTAATAAGAAGAACATATGCCAAATTGTCAATAATTATTACCTCTGGTTAGTGAATAATGGAATTTTTTTCTTTTCTTTTCTTTTATCTATTTTCTTACTTTTCCACCAATGAGCTAGCATCATTCATATAACACAGAAAAAGTAAAAGTTACTTTTTAAAAGTACAGATTATTAACTGAATGCCTCCTTTACCAGCAGTCTAGGGAATATTAACTAGCATGCTTTGATCTGCAAGTCAGGCTTAGATGACCTCCCCAAAGCCTAGGCTGCAAGACCACTAGGCCAAGAGGCAGGCATGGTGGGTCTGTGCTCCTCCCATCCTGCTCCCCCTCCAGGCTCCACCACTCTACAAAAAGTGAAGTCACTATCAGACCAGTGGCCGATCCCAAACGCCAGGCCTCATTTAGAGGAGGCTTGCTCAAGAAGCTTATATTTGCTAATTACATAAATATCAAATACTGAAAGCACCGCAAGGGCAGGGTAGGTCTGTCTTGTTTGCCGTATTATCTTCAGTACCTTTAGCACAGTGCTTGGCACATAACAGAAGCTTGATAAAAAGTAGAGTAACTGATATAGTATAAATGTTATTAAATAAGGTGAAGAAAGAGAAAAGGAAATAAAATTAGGTTCCATGAGTAAGTACCCTATATATGCCACGCCCTATTTTAGGAATTTTGCATGACACAAGAGTTAGTATAGACTGGAGGTCAAAGATGCAAGCTCTGATACTCAGGATGCCTCGGGTTGAATCTTAGTTCTACTTACTACCTTGGTGACTCTGAGAAAGCCGCTTAACTCTCTAAGCCTACATTTTCTCATAAGTAAAATGGAAACATTGTGCGCAGACTCCAAGACATGGCCTCCAATAAGCCATGCCTCCTGATATTACTGCCCTGGTGCAGTTCCCTCCCACCTTCCAACTCTGCTGGCCTGTTGACCCGATTGAATAAACAGAAGGAAACTGAATGTGATCTTCTGGGAATTCAGAATGTAGGCATTAAAAGGCTTGGTAGACACTGCTTTTGTGCTTTTGGGGACCCTTAGCTGCCTTGTAAGAAGTCTGTCCTGGAGACACCATATGAAAAGGCCACAAGGAGAGGCAAAGCCCTGAGACCATGTGGAGAGAGGGACCCAGACATTCCAACATTTCCACTGAGCCCATGCGACTTCAGTCCTAGCTGCATCTGACTGCACCACATAAGAGACCCCAAGCAAGGCCAGCAGAAGAACCCCAGCTGAGCCCCATCAACTCACAGAACTATACGAGATAAAAAAAAAAAGTTGTTTTAAGTCATCAAATTTTGGAGTGGATTATAACACAAGAACAATAGCTTTTACTTTGTAGATAAAATACTATCATGCACATAAAGCACATGCGTCCATTAATTATTTGATCTTTGCAAACAATTCTGCAAGGTAGGAATTGACTTTTCCATTTCCATGATGAGGAGTCTGAAATAGAAGGGAGAGGTAGAGGCTGGGCATGGTGGCTCATAATTGTAACCCAAGCAGTTCTTGTTTCAGATATGCAAGAGGCTGAGGCAGGAGGATGACCTGAGCCTGAGAGGTCCAGGTTTCAGTGAGCCATGCTTGCACCACTGCACTCCAGCCTGAGCGACAGAGCGAGACTCTATCTCAAAATAAATAAATAAATAAATAAATAAATAAATAAATAAATAAATAAATAAAAGTGGTGGGGGAGGGTTTGAGACAGCATTCAAAGGGCCAAGTCAATCTCACTCTGGAAACGTATTTTCCTTACTTCATAGCCATCTCTTTAGAAAAAGAGAAGTAGCAACTTGCCACAAAGTCTTAGGAACCCAAGTCTATTTTTCCACATCAAATCATTTTAGTAATAAATAACAAGAGGAATGAAGGCTATGTGAGCTGAAGAGTGTGCTCTCAAGATGGAGCTGGTTGCTGTGGAGATGGCTGTGATGTCTCAAGCTGATGATGATTTCAGCTGGGGAAATGAGCCGCAGGAGTGGATGCACCAGGAAGCACCCATGCTCTTTCTCCTAATGCAATATAATGAGGGAAGTTAAACTACAAATGAATGAAAATAGGGACGGACTATTTTCTAAAGATAATGCTTCCCGGCATCTCCACAGCGCTCTAAAGAACACCATCAGCTGGCAGAATGAGAACAGCAGTAAGTGCCATTCAGTGTTAATTACATTTAAATGTAAATCTAAAGGCATCAGGGCCAGACAAGTCATTTTTAATAACATTTCATCCTGGGCTATTAAAATTTTTATTTGTCATCATCTAATTGATTTGTGTCCATTTCAATTATTTGTTTTCTTTATGCTCATCACTTCCCTGGGCCAGTGGGAACAGGCAGCCAGCAACTTTCATGTCCTCCCTCCACTGTGTTCATTCTCATCAACACCTGCCATCCTGAATATCTGATAACGTACCTTTTCAAAGTAGTTACCTCCTGCCTGCTCCCTGACCAGAGAAACTAGCTTTGTGTGATGCTAAGCAATCCCTCAGCCCTTCTCAACCCAACTCAATAATCATCCTAGGAAGGCAACCTGGAGGAACTTTTTTAGTATATTTCACCTAACTGGTGAACATGTCTATTTTGTCTTATTAGGTATCTACAAGCTCTTTAGGCAAAGGTGTGCTTACTGCCTTTTATCTCAGCTGTTTTTCATAATGTACGCATTCCCCCAAGACACACACCCTACAGCACTGCTGTCAACTCAGTTCTAGCTCCTCTCATCAAAAGTTGCCCATCATGTATTCCATTCTCTCAAGTCTTCTACAAGGGGCCAAAGGTGATAATGGATTAGTTAATTAATAAAATAAAGCACTGCTAATGTGTTAGTTTTCTCATGCATGACCCTGGCCAGATAACAATAACTGTAAATTAAATAAAAATGCACATATCGGCCGAGGCGGGTGGATCACCTGAGGTCAAGAGTTCGAGACCAGCCTGGCCAACATGGCAAAACCTTGTCTGTATTAAAAATACAAAAATTAGCCAGGCGTGGTGGGCGCCTGTAATCCCAGCTACTCGGGAGGCTGAGGCAGGAGTATTGCTTCAACCTGGAGACTGAGGCAGGAGAATTGCTTGAACCTGGGGAGGCGAAGTTTGCAGTGAGCCGAGATCATGCCACTTCACTCCAGCCTGGGCAAAAGAGTGAAACTCAGTCCAAAAAAAAAAAAAAAGTATGTATCTCCTTAAGACGAAAACTGAGTTAATGGAGAAAGTAACGAAAAATATATCCAAATAGAAGGGTAGATAATTTGAAATAGGGACACTTTTCTGGACCCTTAAATCATATTAGGAAGTCAGTTGTCTATTTTGCCCAGGCCTTTGAATACCAGGTTTGAAATAACTTTTGTTTTGTAGATCTGATGGTGGTGAATGTTGTAACTGGGTTCTCTAGGGCCCCAACCCACCATCCATATAATAAAAGGCAGACGGGAGATGTTATTCAGTTGACATGGGGCTTTGGGACAAGTACAGGGTAGAGGCAGCAGCAGAGGCAGAAGGGAGGAAAGTTTTCCCTCCCATATTCGAGTGTGCTTGCATTTTCCCCCTCACACTTCCCCAGACCATCCTTCATTCGCAGACAACGTGCTCATGCCTTTGAATGCCTCCATCTCTAGGCATGCTGCTTTTTCCACAGCAGTATGAATCAGAACAGACATGGCTTCCAAAGAGCCAAAGGGAATGGCATTCACCCATCACTGCAGGGACAGGCACTGGAGGCTCCAGCAGTTGACAATATGTTTGTAACAGATCACTGGGCAATTTTCCAGTCTGATACTTCCACTCTGCCTGTGTCCTCCAAAGCACAAGGTATCAGGAAAGTTGGCAGTCTAGTGTGACGAAGGCTTTGAAACACAACCCCCATTACACACCACACGCTGGAAGGCATCCAAGCTACAGTACCCCGTTGAATTCATTTGCAAGTCTGAGTCCCAGGTTAATTGTACCAAACAATGGCCCTGACCCATCAGTACAAAAAGACAACTGGTAGGCTCACAAGCGTCTGTTCATTTAACTCACCCCTCTAAGTGTCAAGGTACTTACACAGGCATGTGCACAGGTGGTGAGCACAGGAATACATACGGCTGATGCATATTAACACATATGTGTACCTTTATAGATAGCTACCTGCACGTGTACACATATATTCACACACGCACTCACGCACGCGCACACATGAATCAAACTAAATAAATCATCCATCAGACTGGCTCTTAAGTCAAGCCAAATGGACTTAGCCTTAGTCTGCTCCCAGAGCCAGAGTGGAGCTCTGCAATGCTCTGAGAAGGAAACACATTCTAGCCACTGATAGTTGCTCGAGCCTAAATTCCATTCCCAAGTACAGCCTGGCCACTTAGCTTTGAAAGTCAGCAAGTCCATGTCCCAGCCATGAAACAAAGGTTTTTCACAGCTGCCTGACCTGGCACATGCCTGACCTGTCTGTGAGGCTGTGGCCACTCCTCTTCCACTTCAGGGAGAGCCAGAGGTCCCACCCCAGCTCCTTCTGCCCTGCAGCTCTGCTGCCTGTTCCTTAGCTCTCCCATCCCCTGACTCTCATTGGTCACTTGGCTAATGAGCATCTGTCCACTCTTGCATCCCCTCCTGTTATTCCAGGTATAGGTCCAGCTGGCAAAGCTGCCATACACGAACTTGGTGAGGCTGCCAAATGTCTATTCACACACACCTGAAGGCTTCTGGCTGTACCAGCACCTAGTGTAGCAGGAGAGCGAGGAGCTTAAGAACAAGGACATTAGGGAGAAACTGATGTGGGTTTGAATTGCCACTATTTAGCTATGTGTCCTTAGACATGCTCTCTCTGACCTTCAGTTTCCTCAGCTATAAAATGTGGATGAATAATACCTACCTTCCGCTTCCTCAACTTCCTTAATAACCCTTATAAGGTTATTGTGAGGCTTGAGTATGTCATGAGCTTGGCCCTGTTCCAGGTATTAAGGGGTCAATAAATGTTGAGCATCACCATTAACATCTTCATCATCATTGTGTTCATCATCATTTCATGATCTTCAGCAGGAGAAAGTACTGGGTCTTCATCATGACCCTTGTTGGCACCTACCACTCGTTCATTTTTGTTGTGCAACCTCAGCTCTCCCAAGTAGGGAAACAAAAATTAAGAACGTTTTTTGCAAAGTATTATTTCTTTCTTTCTTTTTGCTTAGCTTTGTTGGTTTAGGGGAAAGAGAATGAAAATTTACTAAGAAGCAGCTACACCCGAGGTACTTTATATAGAGTTAAAAGCTTGGAAATGTCCCCACAAAATCTAGGTTGCATCTGTAGGTGTAACTTTGCGAGAAAGGGTTGTCTGGGTGAGAGGATGGGACACTCATCTCTGAGGGGAGAAGGAATTCAACTCTCATGCATGTTGGAGGTGGTGGGAGCAGTAAAGCTCATTGCAAAGAAGGAGGACCCAGCCCCAAATCTGGTCGGGAAGGTGGAAGGTAGGGTTCTAAGGACCCCAGTATCGCCATCAGAATGCTAATTCTGTGGCAGCATGCAGGCTGTCTAGGGGTCGCAGGACACATGTTAACCCATAGAAGGGTATTTGGTTCAGGGTGAAAAGAAGGATGAGATGGGGAAAAATAATTTCCCTTCTTAGACGATGAATTTATCTCTTCAGACTCAGTGTCTGTCACCGAGAATGCTCACCAAGAGAATAATAATATTGGATTTACCATGCAATTATGATATGCCAGGCATCATTCTAAATAAATGTATTAACTTAATCCTCACAATGGTTCTGTGAGGCAGAGACTTATTATTACCATTCTATAGATGAGGAAACTAAATACGGTGAAGTGATTTACAGCACAAAGTCCCGCAACTAGCAAATGGCAGAGCTAGAATTTGAGCCCTGGAGTCTGGCTCGGGGCCTTCACTAAAAAAGGTCATGGAGCCAGGCACAGTGGCTCACACCTGTATTCCCAGCACTTTGGGAGGCCGAGGCAGGAGGATCACGAGGTCAGGAGTTCGAGACCAGCCTGGCCAACACAGTGAAACCCCGCCTCTACTAAAAATACAAAAATTAGCTAGGCATGGTGGCACATGCCTGCAATCCCAGCTACTCGGGAGGCTGAGGCAGGAGAATTGTTTGAACCCAGGAGGCACCGGTTGCAGTGAGCCACAATCACACCACTGCACTTCAGCCTGGGCGACAGAGTGAGACTCCGTCTCGGGGTAGGGGGGTGGGGGAGGTGGGGGGTAAACACCCCATCATGGAAGCAAGCTGCTGCAGAAAAATAGCTAGGGATATTCAACAGCAGGCCCAGGTGACAGCAGTTGATGTGGGGCTGACTTTCTGCAGAAGCAATAGCACCTTCTCAACCATAGTGACCAAGTGACCACATGGAGCACGGATAACTAAAACAGTTTGTGGAATCTGAGAGAACATTTTCCCTCACCCTCACCTAGAAGGGCAGACCTGAATGGAAACCTGACACTAGCAACCAGCTGAGGGTGAGAGGAGGAGGGTATCCTGAATAGGAAGTAACAGGGCAATCTGATTATGCCTTGGAAGTGCCCCCAGGCAGGTTTGGTCTAGCACAGGGGTCATACACTACTGCCTGTCTGCAGTTAATTCTGGTCCAACACATATTTTTGTAAATAAAAGTGAGACCCAGCTATGCCCATTTAGTTACACATTCTCTGTGCCTGCTTTTGCACTCACTACAACGTTGAAGCTGAATAATTGGGACAGAGTCTGTGTGGTCTGCAAAGCCTAAAATACCTACAAACTGGCCCTTTACTGAAAAAAAATTTTAAAATGCTCACTTCTAGTTCAAAGAAATACTTGCTCTTTAACATTTTATCATTCAACCCTCCCAGGCCAGGGCATTATGTTTTATTTTCCTTGTTTTGCAGATGGAAAAATCTGGGGCCATGAGAAGTTAGGCAATTTATTCAAAGTTTTATGTGTCAAAGTTCTATGCATCAGATTTAGGGCCCAGATTTCTTGACTCCAAAGGCTATTTTCCTTCAATCTCATCATTTCACAAGAGGTTTTTTCCCTGTATGTAGACAGCATAGAAGCCTCTATTTCTCCTCCAAACTTACAAAGTCCCAAGGAACAGGAAAGGCAGTAAGTTATATATATATATATGCATGCATCCAGATACATAGTTCTGTCTTTCACTTTCTGTTTCCAAAAAGCCAAGCACACTGGGCCGGGCACGGTGGCTCACACATATAATCCCAGCACTTTGGGATGCCGAGGTGGGTGGATCACTTAAGGTCGGGAGTTTGAGACCAGCCTGGTTAACATGGTGAAACCCCATCTCTACTAAAAATACAAACGTTAGCTGGGTGCAGTGGTGGGGGCCTATAATCCCAGCTACTTGGGAGGCTGAGGCAGGAGAATCACTTGAACCCAGGAGATGGAAGTTGCAGTGAGCTGAGGTCATGCCACTGTACTCTAGCCTGGGTGACAGAGTGAGATTCTGTCTGAAAAAAAAAAAGAAGGACACTGGATGTCATTTATGCCAAATTACCTGTACTTTACATGATATATGTGTATATGAAGACCTCAGGCTTGTAACTTCAAATTCGTGACTGTTTTTGAACCTATAGAAGAGCTGAGATCACAAAGCAATCAACTGGCCCAAAATCTACAGAAAGACAGTGTCTGCAGGAAGGGAGGAAATGCAGGCACATGTTCACCTTGGGGTGGACACATGGTAAGAAGATTTCTGCTGCAATAGCAGACAAATTGGTGAGGGCTGAATGCTGGCTGGTGACACAGTGTGATCCCTGGGGCCTGCAGAAATTAGAGGAGTCTGCACTCTCTTGCAATCTTGTTCTCCATGAACCCTATCAGGCACTGACAGAATTGATCAGATGAGTCCTAAGAAGTGTCTATTGTGGTGCAGACTTTGGAAAGAGGAAGAGAAGCCATGGAGAGCGGCAAGATAGTTCTCTAGATCTTTTTCCTTTATCTCTCCTACAGAACAAAAGTCTTAATCTGTGGGGAGAAGCACAATAAGTACTTCTGGCCTTAGGACATTAGTGAATACTCATTTCAGCTGGGAAAAGGAAACAAGGAAGAAAATTCTACTCCTGGGGAGAATTTTGACAGACATTACCTTAGTAAAATGATCAAGGTTAACACTACCTGTACATGTATTGCCATCAAGTACCCCTAATATGATATACTGAGAAGAGCATTTCACGTCTGTGGCAACCTTCCAATAATGCATAACCTCAATTTAATCATAAGGAAATACCAGACAAATCCAATTGAGGACATTCTAAACAGTCACTGACCAGTAACCTTCAAGAATGTCAAAGTCATGGAAAAAAAGGTAATCCTGAGCTGCCATCATAGATTGGAGGAGACTATAAGACATGATAATTAAATGCAGTGTAGAGTCCTAAATAGGACCCTAGAACAGACAAAAGGATGTTAAATACATTCTGAGCTTTATTTAATAGTACTACACTAAGGTTAGTTTTATAGATTTTATAAACATTTAATATATTAACATTAGGGGAAGCTGGGTGAAGGGTATATGAGAATTTTCCATACTATATTTTGCAATTCTATTGTAAATCTAAAATATTATTTTCAATTAAAACATAACTATCAAAAAACTATATGTGAGTTGAATTTTACTTTATCACTGATTACCATTAGAATATCAGAAATCTGTTGTTTAATTCTGATTGTTCTTTAAGGTACAGACAATAACATGTTAGTTTTCCATAGCTCTATCACTCTGGCAATTATGTCATTATCTGTAAACAAACACATAATTTTACTAGTACAACATGTTTGAAAGAGTCTTGCATTGGTATTTTTCAAATAAATGATATCTTTCACAAACTTGAGTCTCTTCCAATGTATACATTTTGTAAATTTAATTATTTCATATCAGATCACGAGTTAATGAGTAGCTACCAAACTGAACATACTATGCATGCTCACACCTCTGTATGAAGGTGTGAATCACCTTTGTCTTTGCTCCTTCTTCTGCTGAAATGTTCTTGCCCCTTCTCTATTAGTTCTCATTATTCGAGATGCAGCTTAAATGGTCTACTTTTTTCATTTTGTACATCCAGAGTGTGATGTCTTTAATAGCTGTAATTTTCACAATATTGAAAAGCTGGTGCATCATAGGCATTTACTCTGAGGACTGACATTTGCCAAAAACACCCAGTTTGACCATATTGGTACACACTTGAATATCAGCCCTTCTTTTTCAATTTCACATTCCATTTGCTCTTTCAAAGTGTATAGTGCTTTAAAGCATGTATATCTTTATTGGCTTGTAAGATCTTTAGTAGTTTCCTCATCTTTGTGGATCCTCAAGTGTTTAGCAGTGTCTTTTACCTAACCCTTGCTCAAAGGGTCCACAGAGGCTGAATGATGGAGCTGGAAGTTGAACACCCATTTTTAAGAGAATGCATAGTATGTTCCTATGACTGCAAATCCCATACCGTTTGTACTATGTCTCTCCTCTATCTTGTGCCAGTTAGGATGTGTTTTACTCCAAGGTCAACAGTGGCTTTGACAATAAAGGACTGTGTGGTCTAACATCACAATAATTCTGGATATGGTTAATACCAGGTTTATTGTTGAAGATCAACATATCATCAAGAACCCAGGCTCATCTCTCTCTCATCTCTACCATCCTCAACGTGTTGGCTTTTTTTTTTTTTTTTTTTTTTGAGACAGAGTCTTGCTCTGTCACCCAGGCTGGAGTGCAGTGGCACTATCTCAGCTCACTACAACCTCCATCTTTTGGGTTTGAGGTATTCTCATAACTCAGCTTCCTGAGTAGCTGGGATCACAGGCGTGCACCACCACTCTGACTAATTTTTGTATTTTTTTTTAAGTAGAGACAGGGTTTCTCCAATGTTGGCCAGGCTGGTCTTGAACTCCTGGCCCACCTCAGCCCCCCAAAGTGCTAGGATTACAGGTCTGAGCCAGCACGCCCAGCCTGGCTTTTTGTCCTTAGGTTTATTGCTGAATAGTTGCAAAATGGGTCCAAAGCACCACAGTTATCCATAATAGCTTCTTGCACGGAAACAAAGGTACATAGAAGAGAATCTTTGCAACCCATGAGACTTTCCTTTATGTTTTACTGTCTAGAAGGGGCTCACGTGCCCAACCCTAGACCAATCACTGGAAATAAGAAATGAAATGTCTGTAATTAACTTAGTTCAGTCACAGTTCCTCCCCTGGAGCTGGGGTAGAAACCCACATTCCCAGAGCATGTTTTGCCTGCATTATACCTGAGCAAACTTGGGATTCTATTAGCAAAAAGGAGGAGAGAATGACTTTTGGAAAGGCAACTAACATCTGTCACATGTGCTATCCTGAATTATTCTTTATTTTTATATACATTTATATTGTCCCTTTATATTATTACCCTGATAGCAGGAGTCAAGTCTTAGACTTTCTTTGCATTCTCCACAGAGCTTGCTCCAGCGGTGAGCACAAGAAATATTTGTCGATTGGTTGGAGAATAAAAAGAAATCACAGTCTAATGTCAAAGAGTTGAAGACCCTGTCATTCACATTGCCTCCATATTTCCATGCCAGCCTTAGATGGGTCCCTTTGGTGCACTTGCAGAGGATGCCAAGTTGGAAGATGGGCACCAGGAATTGTGTGTGGCAATATTCAGTTCATTGGCTGGGCATGCACATGTGCCAAATTATACAACAGGCAGGCATTGGGACACCTGCTTTGACAAAGCATGTCTATTACGGGATTTGAATACTACTAATGCCAGTGGCAGAGTTCTCCACATTCATCATGCTGTGTCTCATCTCCATATTTTTGCTCATGTGACCTCCTTTTCCTGGAATACCTTTCCCTCTCCCACCACTTTTTCACCTGGTTAAACCTGCTTATAATTTAAAACCCTCCTAAAGAGTCTTTCTTCTCAGATTCTTCCCAGCAGGCTGGGTTTAGGGCTTCCTCTTCTGTGGTTCTGGGTGGATATCCTAATGATTATACTTAATAATATTATATTTCATCCATGAGGAGACTTTAATAAGTTCATGGAAAATGTAATTACAAGGTAAAAATAATAAATACAAACTTTATTTCTCAGCATAAGCTCCACCAAGGTTAAGACATTTTTGTAAGCAATGAGACCAGCTATTTAGTTCATCCCTAAAGAAGTGAGGGTCCTAGGAATTTAACCACATCAATGAAGGCTTTTTTTACATTATTAACTGAAGAAAAATAAATGCTCTTTAAAGATTATTTCAGATTAGGAAATAATAGAAAGTCAGAAAAATCCAAATCAGGACTGTAAGTTGAATGCCTAATGATTTTCCATCAAAACTCCCATAAAATTGCCCATGTTTGATGAGAAGAATGAGCAGAAGCATTATCATGGTGGAGAAAGACTCTGGTGAGGCTTTGCTGGACATTTTTCTTTAAAATTTTTTTATTTAATTTTTTTTTGAGACAGGATCTCATTCTATTGCCAAGGCTGCAGTGCAGTGGCACGATCTCAGCTCACTGCAGCCTCAACCTCCCAGGTTCAAGCGATCCTCCTGCTTCAGCCTCTCAAGTAGCTGGGACTACAGGCATGCACCTTCACTCAGACTAACATTTTTCTGCTAAAGCTTTGGCTAACTTTGTCAAAACACTCTCATAATAATTAGATGTTATGGTTCTTTGGCCCTCCAGAAACTCAAAAAGCAAAATGTATTGAGTATCCCAAAAATCTGTTGCCATGACCTTCTCTGTTGACCTGACTGCTTTTGCTTGGACTGGACCACTTCTGCATGTTGGTAGCCATTGCTTTGAGTGCGCTTTGCCTTCAGGATCATAGGAGTTAAGCCATGTTTCATCTACTATTACAATTCTTGGGAGAAATGCTTCAGGGTCTTGATCCCACTTATTAAAAATTTCCATTGAAACCTCTGCTCTTGTCTGCCACTGATCTGGGCACAATGATTTTGGTACACATCAGATGGCCAGTTTGCTCAACTTTAATTTTTCAGTTAGAATTGTGTGAGCGGAACCAGTTGAGATGTCTATGGTGTTATGGTGTTGGCTATTGCTTGTGCTGTTAATCACTGGTTGCCTTCCATTAAGGCACAAACAAGGTGACTTTTTTTCCTCAAAAACTTATTTGAATGATCTGCCACCACAGGCTTCATCTTCAACAGCGCCTTATTCCTTCTTAAAATAAGTCATCCATTTGTAAACTGCTGATTTCTTTGGGGCATCACCCTCATAAACTTTTCATAAAGCCTCAATGATTTCACCATTCTTCCACCCAAGCTTCACCATAAATTTAATGTTTACTCTTGCTTCAATTTTAGCAGAATTCATGTTGCTCTGGTAGGGGCTGTTTTCAAACTGATGTCTTGTCCCTCTTAGTCTCTCTCCTCAAACTAGATCCCATTCAGACATGTTATAAAAAGTTAGTATGAGTTTATTTTGGTGCAAAAAATTTTTTGAAATCCATGCATAGTTTTTTCATAATATGCATTTTCCATGAACTTTTTGAAGGCCCTTCCTATATATGATAGTATTTGCTATTTGAGTGGTTATTTTCTTTTAGGCCTGTGATAAGTGTTTTAAATACATTATCTCAATCAGAAAAGGCCTATGATACATCACTGGGCTTAATTCCCACTGGGGAGCAAAATTAAATAAAGACAGAATTAAAAGTGTAGTTACAAGCTCTGAAAAGTGCTTTGAAGGGAAACATACAGAGCCATGAAAGCATCTAAGAGGGCAAGCAGACCTAGTCTACCATGAGGAAGCAACATTTAAATTGAGAGTGACAGACTGAGTGAACATCCTCTGGGTAAGGGGAGAGGGAGCGAAGGCTCCAAGCACAGGGCAGAGCATCTGTGAGGCCTTGTGATGGGAGGGAGCGTAACAGAAAGAAGGAGAAACAGAAGGTCAGTGAGAGAACAGCACAGACAGTGATGGGAGCATGGTCAAGATGAAGCTGGAGTGGTGGGCAGGGGCATTCGCATGAGCCTTTACAGCCCACATAAAAGGCATTGTATTGTTTGTCTAGGAGTCACTAGAAGGCGCTGAAGGGTTTTAAGGTATCTTAGGGTACGTGTGAGTGAGGCTTGGGGCAGGAATCACATAATCAGGTTTCTGTTTTGAAAAAAAATCACTTGGACTACAGGGTAAAGACTTCATAGAAGATGAGCGAAAAGGGCCTTGGAGGGAAGAATTAACAGCCTATTTCAGTGGTCCAGGAAGGAGAGGGTGGTGGTTTAGAGTAGGGAAGTGGTCATGAAGATAGAGCAGGATAGATGGACTCAGGCTGTATTCATTTTCTATTGCTGCCATAACAAATTAACACAAAGTTAGTAACCCAAATTGACATGCATTTATTATCTCACAATCCTGGCACAGAATGGCTCAGGTGGGTTCTCTGTTCAGGGCCTCACAAAGCTGAAGTCAAGGTGTTGGCCAGCCTGGGCTCTTTTCTAGAGTCTCTGAGGAAGACTCTGCTTCCAAACTCATTAAAGTTGTTGGCAGAATTCAGTTTCTTGAGGTTGTGGGACTGTAGTCTTCATTTCCTTGACACATGACCTGCCTTACCTTCAAGCCAATGATGGTGCATTAAATCCTTCTCTTTCCTTGGAGTCTTAACTTCCTCTTCTGCTGCAGCTCTCTGGTTTCCTTTTTTGTCTTCCTCTTCTGCTATTAAGGGCTCATTGATTACACTGGGAATACTTGGATAACACTGGATAATCTCTCTACCTTAAGGTCAGCGGATCGGTAACTTTAATTATATCTTCAATGTCCCTTTTGACATGTAATATAACAACGGGCATGACTTCAGAAGGCAAGCCATGGGGACAAAAATTGTGCCTATCATACAAGCTTAATTAAGGAGATAAAATCAACAGTTCTTAGAAATGGGATGAAGGGATGGTAATTATATTCTTATTCCTTGAATTCTAGGTGCAAGTGAAGAGAAGTTAAAGCCCGACATCAGGTAACAGGCTACTGCTATGTATCAGCTATTCTCATCAGATATTTTGTAGGCCTGGTACATCATGGTGACTAATAAGCACTGAGTCAGAGGAGGACTGGCCTGAGCTCTAGTACCGGCTTCCCTGGCACTTAAACAAATAAGACCACCTCTTGGAGCCTTGGTTTTCCAGTTTGTAAAAGGACAAAATTGAACCAGAAAGTTTCTTTCACCTGCAAATTTCTAACACTGAGTTAATCATATTCATTTGTCTTTTCTTACTGCTACTTGATCAGGAACAGGCCAGGTGTGAGGAGGAGGGACTAGAGAACTACTGGCAAATGCTGAATTCATCATGTCTTTTCCCAGAGTGTAATGCCAACAGATGTTTCTGAGTCATAATAAAAGGTTAAATATTTTAATAAAAAAGACACATGTTGAAGGTGATTTGGGTTTCTATTAAACTCCCCCATACCCACAATTTTTCCTTACATGCAAATGAACTGGAAGCTTATTAATGAGATGAGAGGCTGGAGCCTAATTAGCAGCAGGACTGGGGAAGCTTATATTGGCTGATTCAGCAAACTAACTGGATAATTACTGTAGCTGGACTTTGGCAGCTTCTAGAAAACCTTATTAATGGAACTCTCAGAAATTGCCTTGATTATGGCCTCTCAACCTAGGGGCTTAATCCAGGCCATAGATGTTTTATGGTTATTCCGCACAGGGAATCACTCTCTTCCATCATCATTAGTGGGCAGGCAGAATACAAACCATCTCTTGCTATGTCAAAGCTTTATCAACTTGGAGACCCAAGGGAGCTTCTATGTTGACTGCTGACCCAGTCTTTTCTTAAGCGCAATCTTCATTCATTCCTGAGCTTGGAGAGATACACCTGATGGTACTTTTCACATTCATTGCCTATTTAATTACAAGAGGTCTAGTATTTTAGATGTTAATTTTTAATTTAACAAACACTTATCAGGCATTTAGCATGCCAGATACAGTTGTAAGTGATGTATACTTATGAAAACTCATTTAATCCTCCTAACAATCCTATGAGGTAGATGTCAGTATCCTCAATTTACAGATGAAGACATTGAGGCACTAAGTAACTTACCTGACATCACAAGTCAGTAAGAAGCAGAGCCAATATTTAAACTCAAGAAGTTGGCAGAGTGCAATGGCTTATGCCTGTAATCCCAGCAGTTTGGGAGGCCAAGTTAGGAGGATCACTTGAGACCAGGAGTTTGAGACCAGCCTGGGCAACATAGCAAGACCTCATCTTCATTTTTTTAAATAAAATATCTTTAAAAATAAACTCAAGAAGTTTGGCTCCTGAATTCACACTCTCAGCCACATCGTTATGATGCCTCTGTAGCTTGACATGATAATAGTTAAGAGGAAAAACTGGATAAGGCAAAACATTAGGCTCCCAAACTAAGGCTGGTTATCAGAAATATTAGTTGTAAAAACAGAACATTAACTCTGTTTTGTTAGAAATATTTTATGCTGTTTGGTTTTTCCCAGCTGTTGTTGTTTTATTATTGAACAATCATTCCTTCTCAATGTTAACAACTTAAAATCTATGTGGCCAAATTGCCTTCAAACTGAAATTATTTTGCCTGGCTTTTGAAGTTCCTTGTTAACTGGCTCCAGCTTATTGGTCCTGTCTTACTTGTGTTACCTGAACAGTTCCTTTAAGCCACTGCTCCAGAGAATCAAAAAGGAAGGTCAAGGTTCTCATCCTATTCAAGACCTTTGTCCTGCACTACTTACTTCAAATTTTATTTCACCCTGAAATCTTTGTCTCAATCGTCCTGCTTTCCACTGAGCTTCATTTATTGATTTTCTACTCAATTCTATGTATGACCGGGCTGAAGTCTGGAAGTATGGAAAAAAAAGGAAAATCACAACATAGTTCTTGCTCTTGAGAAACGTATAGTCTAATGGAGGAAATAGATCCCTGACTTTTAAAAAGTCAGTATCATATGATTACCGAGATGGAAGGGAACTTGCAGTTCTCTGAAAGATTAGAGAAGAAAATAATTTTTGAAGAAAATGATCCCTGAGCTAAGTCTTGAAAGATAAGTGTTAGCCAAGTAAAGAGATGTGGGTAAATAAACATGGGAGTTCATGCCATCACAGAATGGAACAGCCTGGTGTATGTGGGGAACTACAAGGGTGAGAGTGAAATGTGTAAGGAAGGCAATTGTGAACTGAGTCTAGAGAGATGGCAGGCCTGTGTCATGGAGGACCTCCTGCGTCCTGATAAGGGGGCTTGGGCTTATTCCCCTTGAAAGGAATTGAGCATGGTTATGAGTAGGCCACATTTAGATTCTAAAGAGAGTAGTCCCACTGCAATGGGAAGAACGGATTTAATGAGTCAAGACTGGAGGTGGGAAGACCAGCTGAGCTGTTTCTGCAGAAGAACTGCTTGCAAATAGCATCTGGCTTGCAGCCCCATGCCTTTGGATGACAACTTTCCACTAAAATAGTTACAAGCTCACCAAAATCAAAGCCTGATGGACCACACAATGACAGGATTTTTGAGGAATCTTTATTGACGAAAAGTAAAAGGAGCTGGATGGAGAAATACCTACATGAACTTCCCTTCATGTAAAAGACAGCCCCTGAGAAAAGAGAGGGAGATGCTTTATCTCTCTGAGTCAGGGGCTTCACTTGAGTGCTGAAGTCCTCTTCATGGTTTTCTTGTTTTTTCTTCTTCCTTTTGGAGCCAGACTCCTTGGAAGAGTTGTATTCATGTGCTGTTTTCTTTCTTCAACGCCCCATTCTTCAAACCATCATGACATGGCCTCTGCCTTCACTGCTCTGCCCGAACTATTCTTGTGAAGATCACTAGTGACATCATCCCTGTTACCAAATCTCCTCTGTTCTCATCTTACTTAAACTCTTAGCGACATTTGACCCAGTCAAAAACACCCTCTGTCTTGAAAAACATATTCCCTGGTAACTTCCATGACACATTTTTCTCTCTCAAATTTTCCCCTACCTCACTGGTTGTTATTTCTCAGTCTCCTTTCTGTGATCTCCCCCTTTAATCTGAAAATGTTAGGATTCCATAGGTCTAAATCCAGGGCTATCTTCTTTCCAAACCCTTCTTTTTTTTTTTTTTTTTTTTGAGACGGAGTCTCGCTCTGTGGCCCAGGCGGGAGTGCAGTGGCGCAATCTCGGCTCACTGCAAGCTCCGCCTCCCGGGTTCACGCCATTCTCCTGCCTCAGCCTCCCGAGTAGCTGGGACTACAGGCGCCCACCATCACGCCCGGCTATTTTTTTTGTATTTTTAGTAGAGACGGGGTTTCACCGTGTTAGCCAGGATGGTCTCGATCTCCTGACCTCGTGATCCGCCCGCCTCGGCCTCCCAAAGTGCTGGGATTACAAGCGTGAGCCACCGCGCCCGGCCATTCCAAACACTTCTTACATAAGATCATGCTTTACCATCAGTGAAATAACATTTTTTATGAACATGGTTTCCAAATGTATCTCTTTAGCCCAGATATCTCTGAGCTTCAGTCTCACATTTCCAACTCTCTATTCAACATCCCTACTTGAAGATCTCTTACACATTTTAAATATTACATGACCAAAATGGAACTCTTGATGTATGCCTTCTACCCCCAACATGCACATGCCTGCTGAGTACTGGAACACTCTGGTAAATACTCCCCTGGGGATGTCTGTGCACTATTCAGCATCTGCATGTGGGGGGCCACCTCAGGCTGGAGAAAGAATTCCCCAAAAGGATGAGGGGATGTGATCCCTGGTGCTCACGTGGGGCTGGAAGTTGTGTCTGTTCCCACCGGACAGAGTGTAAAACCTCATAACTCACAGGGCAATGAGCAGAGTACTCAAAGGGCTTTGTCTCTATACTGGGGAAAGTTAATGTTACACAAAAATTCTAGGCTCTTGTACTGAGGAACCAAATAATAGATGAAGTGAAACAGCTTAAAAGCAAAACCTGAAAAAAACAAACTCTTTCCAAGTAACTCATAGAGCATCCCAAAACAATGCTCAAGAACAATTATAGAAATTAAAAAATATCCAGCTCCTAACAAAGTAAAAATCACATCCGACATCCAACAAAAAAAGACAGGCATGCAAAGAAGCAGAAAAATACTATCTGCAATGAGGAGGAAAATCAACCTACTATATATATATATATATAAAACTTATTGACAAGAAAACATGGTTGAGATGTAAAATACACTAGATGGGATTAATGGCAGATTAGACATTGCAGAATAAAAGAATAACAAACTTGAAAACATACAGATAAAACTATCTAAAATGAAACACAAAGAGAAAAAATTGTTTCAAAGACTAAGAAGAGAGCTGTGGGACAATTTCAAGCATCTTAATATACAGGAAATTGGAGTCTGAAAGACAGTAGAGCAGGGAACAGTAAAAAAAAATTGAAAGAAACGATAGCTAGAATTTCTCTAAATTTGATTAAAAATCATGAACCTGGAGATCTATAGAATGGAATACTCCAGATATAAAAAGTAATGAACTATAGATCCATGTAGTCATTATAGAAGAATCTCAACATAATCGTGCTGAGTGAAAGAAGCCAGACCACCCCCCCAATCAAGAAAAGAGAGACAGCCTGGTGCAGTGGCTCACGTCTGTAATCTCAACACTTTGGGAGGCCAAGGTGGGAGGATTTCTTGAGCACAGGAGTTCAAGACCAGCCTGGGCAACATAGTAAGACACTATTTCCACTTAAATAATAATAATAATAATAATAATAGAAAAAGTAGCTGGGTGTGGTGTCACGCTGAGGTGGGAGGACTGCTTGAACCCAGTAGGTCAAGGCTGCAGTGAGCCATGATTGTGCCACTGCACTGCAGCATGGGAGACAGAGCGACATCCTGTATCAAAAACAAAGAGAGAGAGAGACAGAGAGAAAATATACTGTATGATTACAGTTATACAAAATTCTAGAAAATTATAACCTAATCTAAAATAACAGAAAGCAGAGTGGTAGTTGCCTGGGGAATCTAGGGTGAGTGTAGAGGATGGGAGCAAGGGATTATTCAGGGGAATGGGGAAACTTTTGGGGATGATGATATGTTCATCATCCTGACAGTAGGTAGTGATGGTTTCACAGGTGTATATAAATTATAAAACTTAGAATACCAGATCTTTGAAATAGTCTAATTTATTGTGTGTCAATTATAACACAAAGCTATTTTAAGAAATTACTTGGCCACCACTGGAGAAATCTTATAAACAACTATTTTTAAAATTAATAAATGAAGAGAAATAAAGGGAAACAAAATCGATACTTTGTCCTTCCTTTCCTATGTGAGCTGTTCTATTGAGGATCCAAAAAAAAGATGAAGAAAAATTTATCTTATACACACATTCCATTTTTTTAATAATAGAGGAATGATAGAATGTGAATTTATCATTTTCTTTTTCTTTCATTTTATTATTTTTTTGAGAGAGTCTTGCTCTGTCGCCCAGGCTGGAGTGCAGTGGCACGATCTTGGCTCACTGCAACCTTCACCTCCTGGGTTCAAGCAATTCTCCTGCCTCAGCCTCCTGAGTAGCTGGGACTACTGATTTTTATTTATTATTTATATATTTATTTATTTTTGAGATA
This sequence comes from Homo sapiens, assembly GCF_000001405.40. Lineage (NCBI taxonomy): Eukaryota > Metazoa > Chordata > Mammalia > Primates > Hominidae > Homo > Homo sapiens. Next base: position 164,956,393 of record NC_000001.11, on the reverse strand, counting down.
GAGTGTCACTCTGTCACCCAGGCTGGAGTGCAGTGGTGCAGTCTTAGCTCACTGCAACCTCTGCCTCCCGGGTTCAAGCGATTCACCTGTCTTAGACTCCCTGAGCAGCTGGGGCTACAGGTGCATGCCACCATGCCAGCTAATTTTTGTATTTTTTAGTAGAGACAAGGTTTTGCTATGTTGGCCAGGCTGGTCTCAACCTTCTGACCTCAAATGATCTGCCTTCCTTGGCCTCCCAAAGTACTGGGATTACAGGTGTGAGCTGCTGGATGTAGGCACTGATAATCAGTGGCTGCTAAGATTACAAAATAGTGGGAACCAGCCCTTGTGTGTTGCCTGATGTTAGAACACAATATCACCTCTGAAGTAGTCTTGCCCCAAAAACCTGAATGTATATATCCAACAACTAAATCATGAGAAATATATAGAACAGGAGGACATGTTAAAGGATACCATGGAGGTGCAATAGGCAACACCTAGTCTGTGGGAAGCCCTACAGGTCACACTACCCAGACTCTTCAGTAGATCATTACAAGAGAGGAAAAAAATTAAAGGGAATTTATAAATTAAAAGAAATTTGGGAATTTCAACTAATTACAATGTATGCAGCTTATTTGGATCTTAATGTAAACAAAATGTAAAAAGTTAATTTAATTGATATAAAATTGATAAAAACTGGTAGATGAGACACTGGGTATTAGATAGTATTGAGTAATTATCATTAATATTTTATTACATTATCTTTAAAAGTTCATGTATCTTAAGAGTTATATATCTAAATATTTGTGGATGAAATAATATGATGTCTGAAATTTGCTTCCAAAGAATATCGTGGAGGATAGTAGGCAAGTATATTGGTGAAACAAGATTTGCCAGGAGTTGATAATTGTTAAAGCTGGATAATACACACAATACAGTTTATTCTACTATTCGGTGCACAGAATTGAAATTTTCCATAATAAGTTTTTAAATAATTTTACCTTGCTTGAAATCTGAATTTTATTCTGTTTCACAAAGCTAAGGGGAACTACCTTAAATAATGTGGAATGACATAGAACAAATTGAAGGTTAAATAACATTTTGTTTTTTATTAGATATGCAACTAGTTCCATGGGTAGAAATGGCATCTGGAAACAAGACTAAAACCTGCTTGTTTATACCCTAGGACAGAAATTATGGTATTTGTTTAAACTGAAACCGAACAAATCTGACACTGCAAGAAACCACAGACTTCCTTACCCTCATCATTGGCAGAAGCTCCTACCTCAGCGGGATGCTCACATCCAGATTCTTGGATGTTCATCAAGACCAGATTGAGTCTTTAGGGCTTCACCCATCACCAAGCAAAACAATGTCTCGTTGCTTTTCCCCATCGCATATGTCACTGGAGATCAGGATTTCCTGGTTAAAATCTTACCTTTAGGTAGTTGTTGGGAGCACACCTCATTTACTTAAGGCAGACAAGTGGATCAGCCTCAGATCTGTAACAAGTTTCCCTTCCAACAAAGAAAATGCCAGTCTTCCATGTAGTGTTGGTCCTCGGCTTTAGAAACCAGTACATCTTTATATTAATAACTTCTTTCTGCAGAGTCGCTAGCCTGTTTTCTTAACTAGCACTGAGTTCAGAGTCTTTCCTGGGATGTCAATGTGCAACACAGCCGAGTGGGCGACTGCTCTGTAAAAGGAGTTGATCTCAGAATCCCACCGGAGAGTAAAGGAGAAGAGAGAAGAGAGGGCTATTTTTTTTTCTTTCTTTTCTTTTCTTTTCTTTTTTTTTTTTTTTTTTTTTGTCTCTCTCAATGTCACCCTGCTACAGTCAAGAAAAGACAGTGATACTCAACCTTGGATTTACACTAGAATCATCTGAGGAACTTGGAAATATACTCTGGTTATTGGTATAAAATAGCCCCAGGCATTAGTATTTTCTTTTTTCCAGGTGATTCCAGTGTTCAGTCAAGGCCAAGTAGCCCTGATTGGAAGGCCTGACAAACATCAATGACGATGTGAAGCTCCGTCTGTGAACGTGGTTCCTGAATACTTGCCAAACACCCACTCATGAAGGCTCATAGGATACAAAGGGAGAGAATGCACAGTGCTATGAAAACATCAAATGTTTAAGCTGAAGTAAGCATGATCAATATCTTCCACTTTTGTGCCCTCTGATAACTTCAACAAGCTAAGTGCTGTGGAGTCCAGCTGGTTCACTCACTTTTGTCTGTTGCTATCTAACTCTAGAGTTAATAGGTGGTGAAAACAAGTGTGACTAGAGCACGGAAATGGGAGTCAAGGGAGACAGGCTATAGTCCTAGTTTAACCATTGACTTGTTAGCCTGATGAACCAAAACCACACCCCTAGCCACCCTCTGTGGCCATGTAAGCACGGCCACAGTCCCCTCCATAGCCAGCAGGGGCAATTCATCTCAAGGAATTGGTGGCCTGTGCTTGGGACTTACTTTCTTTGCTTTGGTGTGTCCCTGACCCCAGTTTCATCCTACTGCCTTAAACCTAATCTCAGTATTTTTGCCTAGCCCGTGTGGACTTGTGTTTTAGTTCTAATCTCAGTTTTGCTCCAGACTCTGCCTTTCAGATTTTCCCAGGCTCCACAACTCACAGCAATACAATCCCATTCCCACCACAGCCCAGCCTTTTAGAATCCCTCCCATCCCCATTTCATACTCCTCATACTCAGGCCCTCCCTAAGTTTGTCCCGCTAGGCCACCACTTTTCCAAGACATCTAGGCATCACTGGAGAAAACGTAGTACAGAAAGACAATGGATAGGCTCGGTGTTGCCCAAAACTGAATTTGAATCTTCATTCTGCTGCTTACTAGCTCAGTGACTCTTTTTTTTAACACTGGAACCTCTCTATCTTGTACATGATGATATTTACTTTTTAGATATATTATAGGGAATAAATTTAGTAATGTATGCAAAATGTGTGTCCATATAATATAGGCACTGTGCCAATATCAATGTATTGCTTTTCGGTTTTAAATCCAAATTTTATTGCCTGCTCTGTAAAAAATGGAGATGGGTCCTTTAAATATTTCTTTTGCCAGCAGGCACAATGTCAAACTTTGTCAGTAGAGGATGCTAGAAGGACACTGATAGACAATGGAGTTTTCCTTCCTGGTTCCTTTGTGCTTTCTTGCCAATGTCCTGCAACATTTGCAACTTCCACAGTGCTCTACTCCTGCAGTGTAAGTGTCTTCCCCAGGGCAAAGTTCCTGCTGCATGCACAGCTTCCCCAGCACCTATCTTCCACAGGGTGCACAGCTTCCTTAGTCCCCAGAGCCTGCAGCCCAGGCAGCTTCTCCAGCGCCTGGCTCCTGCAGTGCCAGTTTCCCCAATGCCTGGCTTCTGCAGCAGGTCTAGTGGCCAGCAGCTTCCCTGCTTCACCCCCTTAGGTGTCTGCAATGGAGTGCATTGGCAAGGAACCTCCTCATCATAACATTCCCTGGCTGATCCTTTATGGGATTGTTCAGCAAGTTCTCAGGTGCAGTGCCTGACTAGTGACAGCTTCCCCTAGCACTCCACAGGATGAATTCCTAGCAAAGTCCACCTGTTTGACACCTTAGTTAATTCTTTATTATCTAGTGAGCCACAGCTATGCCCTATCTGGATCTCAGGTTGGAAGGAAGAGAGAAGGGAGTCTTTCTGGAACACTTTATATGAGTTCTGGGGGTAGTGACTGCTCCTTTTATCTGCTACCCTATATTCTTTAGACTCTCTTTACCTCTTACTCGCCAATCCCCTGTTACTTCAATCTACTATTATAGTTAATTCTTTATATTACATTTCCTTGTTCACTTTATTGTGTGGTTTCTATCTTCTGGTTGGACCCTGACTGATACATACATCTAATTCATATTAAGCGGGCCCAACACTAAATAGATTGGCCTAGATAATCTGTTATATATTACTTCTCTTCTAGTTCTAAGACTTTAAAAAAAATTCGATTCCACAACTCATGTTACTTCTCATGATAATAAAAAGTGTAATGCATAAGTTATAAATTAATACCTAAGGCAAAACAACAATGAAGGCCCTGACATATGATATGTATTCACAGTAACAGATGGCCAGACCCAGGCCTAGCAAGAATCCTTCAGTAGTCCATATCTCCTGTCTGAGGGCCTTCATTCTGCAGTAACATCCTCCCCTATCTTGCCTCCTAAAGTATTCTTTTAGATTCTTTCAAGAAGTTTGTTCTTTTCTGGAATGTACCTCAATATGGTTTCATGGGAAGGAGTGGATTAGTTTAAAGATGAGATTGCTTATCACTGAGAAACAAAATGTTCTTAGGACTTCAGAAAAATTCAGTGGAAAATGGTCTACATTAGCGGTTTCTAAAGAAACAGAAAAACAAGAATGAGTAAAGTTTGGGTAACAAAGGTTGTAGTGCTAATTGTTCTACTAAGCTGGTAGTCATTTTAATTTTCTGCCAATGGGATATTGTTGAGAAATTTGTTTTAAAATTAAAGTCAGTCTCTTTCCCAATGAGTCACTGGTAATTGGTGCCTTTGAAAAGACCGAACAGGACTACGACTTTAGGTTTCTTTCTTAATTTGCATTTTTAATTAGATGGGCTCTCAAAGGGTTTCTAAGAGTTTTTTCTTTTTGCCTTTGCACTGCCTTTTTTTGGGTTGTTGCTCTGCAATTAGAATTTGTAACAAATGAGTTGCTGGCATATAAATGTCAACTCTGAGGTAAAATACGGCTGCTGAAGAACTGAGCAGGATTCTGACCATTACTTTTTAAATGAAAGCTCTTTCTAGCACATGCCTCTGATGAGGCAGAATTAGTTGCACTGGAAGAAGGAATGCTCAGATTTAACTCTGGTTAAAGTTCTTCCTGTAAATGTATTTTCCCCATGTATTTGAATAAATTTTTGAAGGATACAACCACCACTTCAGAGAACATTTAATTTTTACTCAAGAGCTAGTGTAGAATCATCAAACGGACAAAGTCAACAACCTAGAAGAAGGGAGTTGGATTCAATGAACTCTTCAAAGAGAGTTTCAGCCAAATAGTGTCATCTGGTTAAATTTTGTTTTATTAAATGATTGTAGGACAATAACCATAGGGCCAATATTTAACTAGCCACAAACTAGTAGGCTATAATTGATCATTGCTAAATCATTGTATCCAAACTCTCAGCTTTACTCATTCCTTCACATTTCCAGAGCCCATGATATATGTCTGGTACTGGTGGACAAGAGCCCTGCTCAGTAGCCTTTGCTTTCAGAGTCTAGTAAAGACATGGCTGTACATACAAGAGTGTATTAAATGTGCAGTGGACACAGGCAAAGCAGAATATACATCTGCCATTCCATGAACAGATTATCTAAGCTATTTTTAAAGGCTTCTAAAGAAAAGGATTCTGTAAACTCCCATGACAACCTATCCAGCACGCCGCCAGGAACCACTTCCTCATATCTAGCTTAAGCCCCTCATTCTACGGTTAAGCCATTATTCTCTTGTTCTGTTCTCAGCTGAGAGAGAAAACAGCTGCTCCCCATCCTGCTTAGGTGAGCCTTTTATAGACTTCAAGACAGTGTCTGCCTTCTGTCTACTTCTGACAGGAAAGAAACTGGGGCTGCCAACGAAGATAACAATAATAATTTTCACTTGGAGATGGAATTATTATTGCTATGGTTACTAGTAAGATTTCTTTCCAAAGAGAAAAAGGCATTTATTCACCACTCTGCCTCAAAGAACAAAGTGCTAATAAACCCTTCTGGTTTGTCTGATTTGTTGATTACTCAGAAACGTCAAATGGGAACTGGTCAAAACATGTCCCTCTGCCATTTGGACTAGGGTGGAGAACTTGATGAAAACCAGTTCTTCTCTCAGTTTCTGAGCTGCAAATGTTTCATGCTTAAACCAAATAGAATCTCCAGTTTATTAAGTCAGTGTAATTTCAACAAGAGGCTTTGAAGAAATAAACAAGAATATGATTTAGAAGTTGTAATCATCATTAAGACAAAAAAGATCTAATAACCTTTTTTAAACTGTGAAGAGAGCCCTAGAGAATTCACAAAATGGTCAAGACAGGCTTATGAATGATTAGTTGCCTGGGTCTTATGATTTGAAGAACGCCAGCCACAGCTACCTTCCCAAAAACATATCCCCTAGTGGCCAGCCAACAACAAGCCATGTTCCCATTTTTCTTTTCTAAAGTTTAAGACAGAAAAGTTCAAAATTAAAGTAACATTGTCATCTGGGGGGAAAAAAGACACATTTCATAGTTAGTCATTATCAGTTCTTAACTCTTCAACTCATAGTAATTTGTTAGATTAGTTATATCCAAGAGCAGGATTTGAAAGAATCGACACAGGACAAATGTCTGCTGTCTAGGCTGAGCAGAAGCAGGATAAGAGTAAGACTTGTAGTAATGCCATTGGTACACTGGCCTCAGGATGGAATGTTTATGTCAGGGAAGGGTAGACAGGGAGAGCCACTGAATGAACAGTGTACATAAAACAGAGCTAGATAAGTTTTTATAAACTGAATACATCATGTTACCAGCACCTAGATCAACAAACAGAACATTACTAGCACCTCAGAAAAATCTCCTCTGTTCCTTTCTATTTATTACCTTGCCCCAAGTGCAACCACTCTCCTGATGTCTAATACTAGAGAGTAATGTTTCCCTTATACTTTATATAACAGGGATCATACTGTTTGTATTCTTTTTTGTTTCTGGCCTTTTTGTTCTCAATCTTATATTTGTAATATTCATCTATATTTTTATATATAATTATAAATTGTTTGGCATTAGCATGTCGTATGAATAAATAACAATGTATTTACCCATTCTGTTGTTAACAGGCACTTAAGTAGTGTCCAGACTAGAGTATTAAAAATAGTGGTGGGAGTGATGACATCAAGATGGTGGAACAGGAGATTCCAGACCTCATCTCCCCATAGAAACACTGATTTAACAATTATCCATGGACCAAAAATATGATAATGAGAGTTCTGTAACCCAGGTGAAAGGTTATAACGCTGAAGTAGAACCCAGAAACCACAAAAGATGCCCTGGAGAAAGTTAGAAGAACAGTGTTACTTTATCCTCTTTGCCCCTCCCCAAAGCCTGCACTGCACAGCACAGCACCAAAAGAGGTCCCCTCAGCCCACCAGTTCTCCTGTGGGGAAAGAAGTAATAAAGGGAATGTCTGACTTTGCTGCAGACTTCAGCACCAGGACCACCCCACTGGATCTCAGCACCAGGTCTACCCTCATAGATCTTGACACCATGCCTGCCTACCCATGGACATTGGCAGAAGACATACCTGCCCATAGACCCCAACACCAGGCCCACCTACCCACAGATCCCACCAGTTGGCCCATCTAGAACTCCTGGATATGCTAACTGGTGAAGAGCTTTCTGTGGCAAAATTAGTATGCAAGGATTGAAAAAGGATGACTACTTCTTCAAATGCACAGACACCAACTCAGGGCTATAAGGATCAGGGAAACATGGTACCACTAAAGAACAAAAGGAACCAAAATCACTAAAGGAACAAAAGAAAACTCTAGTAACTAACCCTAAAGAAATAAACAGCTACAAGCCATTAAAAGAACCAAACAGAAATTCTGGAGCTGAAGAACACAGTGACTGAACTACAAAATTCAGCAGAGACTTCAACAGCAGTCTTGATCAAGCAGAAGAAAGGATCAGTTAACTCAAAGACAGGTCATTTGAAATTACTAAGTCAGAGGAACAACATCAACAACAAAGAATGAAAAAGAGTGAAAAAAGCCTATGAGACCTATTGAACACCAGCAAACCAAAATATACATTGTGAGATTTACAAAAGCACAGAAGAAAGAGAAAGACACAGAAAGCTTATTTAAAGAAATAATGGCTGAACACTCCCCAAATCTGGGAGGGGAAATGTACATTGAGACTCATGAAGCCCAAAGAATCTCAAATAAATACAACCTAAAGAGATTTATGCTGAGATACAATATTATTAAGCTGTCAAAAGTCAAAGACAAAAAATATTTCTGAAAACAGCAAGAGAAAAGTGACTCATTACATACAAGAAACTCCCCATAGGACTATCAGCAGATTTCTCAGCCAAAATCCTGTAAGTCAGAGAGGAATGGGATGATGTTCAAAATGCTGAAAGTAGAAAAATAAAAACAAACTGCGAACCAAGAATGCTATACCTGGCAAAATTATCCATTAAAAATGAAGAAGGGATAAAGATTTTCCCACAGAAACAGAAAACTAAGCAAGTTGATCAAAACTAGACCTTTCTTACAAAAAATAATATGGTTCTCCAAGTTGAAACAAGAGTGCTGAACAGCAACACAAATGCCCATGGTAAAGGTAAATATATAAACAAATACAAAATAATGTAACACTGTAAAGATGGTGTATAAATCACTTTTAACCCTAGTATAAAAGTTTAAAGACAAAAGAATTAAGAATAACTATAACCACAAAAAGTGGTTTATAAATACACAACATAAGAATAAGTAAATTCTGGCATAAAACATAAAATGTGTGTGTGGTGACAAAAGTATAGAGTTTGTATATGTGATTAAAATTGTCAGCTCATACTGGACAGCTATAACAATAAAATGTTTTATGCAAGCCTCATGGCAACTACTCACACAAAAAATGAAAGTGTACCACTACCAAAATTATTTAATGCCAAAGAAAACAGAAAAAGAGGAAGAGAGGAATAAAAAAACGACAACACCAAAAACAATTAACAAAATGACAATGGTAAGTCTTACCTATCAATAATTATTTTTAATGTAAATGGATTAAATTCACCATTCAAAAGACATTGAGTGGCTGAATGGATTAAAAAAAAAGGACTCAACTCTATGCAGTCTATAAAAATAAAAAAAAAACCCACCCTAGGTTTAAGGACACACATAGACTGAAAGTGAAGGAATGAAAAAAAATATATTCCATGCAAAAGATAACCAAAAGAGAACATCAGTGGCTATACTTATATCAGACAAAATAGACTTAAAGTCAAAACTATCATAAAAGATGAAGAGGTTCATTATATAATAACAAAGGTTCAATGCAAAAGAAAGATAAAACATTTATATATATATATATATATATGAACTTAACATCAGAGTATCTAAATATATAAAGCAAACATTGACAGATCTGAAGGGAGAAATAGATAGCAATGTATTAGTAGCAGGAGACTTCAATACCCTACTTACAATAATAGATCATTCAGATGGAAAATCAATAGGAAGCAGCTGACTTGAACAACACTACAGACATATTCAAAATATATCACCCAACTGCAGCAGAGTAGACATTCTTCTCAAGTGTACCTGGAACATTCTCCATCATAAATCACATGCTAGGTCACAAAACAAATCTTAAACTTACGAAGATTAATATCATCCCAAGTATCTTTTCCAATCATGAGGGAATGAAACCAGAACTCAATAACAATAGGAAAATGGGAAAATTTACAAATACATAAAAATTAAACGACACACTCCTGAACAACCATTGGGTCAAAGAATAAATCATAAGGGAAATTTAAAAATATCTCAAAACAAGCAAAAACCAAAACACATGTACCAAAATTTATGGATGCAGCAAAAATAATATGAAGGGGAAAATTTTATAGTGATGAATTTCCACATTAAAAAAGAAGAAAGATAAAAAAAAAAAAAAAACTAATGTTACACCTCCAGGAACTAGAAAAAGAACAAACTATGCCCAAAATTAGCAGAAGAAAAAAAATTATAAAGATTAGAAACAAATAAAATAAAGAATAGGAAAATTTAACAAAAATACAAATTGGTTTTTTGAAGAGAGAAACAAAATGGGCAAACCCTTATCTAGACTAAGAGCAAAGAGAGAAGACTCAAATAAATAAAATCATAAATGGAAGAAGAAGCTGGAGCTGGTAGCCCACGCCTATAATCCCAGCACTTTGGGAGGCCAAGGCAGGCAGATTGCTTGAGCCCAGGAGTTCAAGACCAGCCTGGGCAACATGGTCAAACCCCATCTCTACAAAAAATACAAAACTTAGCCAGGTGTGGTGGCACATGCCTTTAGTCTCAGCTACTTGGGAAGCTGAGGTGGGAGAATCACTTGATCCCTGATCATGGCTGCAGTGAGCCATGATCATGCCACTGCACTCCAGCCTGGGTGACAGAGTGAAACTCTGTTTCAAAAAAAAAAAAAGAAAGAAAAGAAAAGAAAGAAATGGGAAAATTCCTAGAAACATAGGTACCAAAACTGAATCAAGAAGAAATAGAAAGCTGGAAGAGACCCACAGCAAATAAAAAGATTCAATCAGTAATCAGAAACATTTCAATAAAGGAAAACACATAACCAAATAATGTCAGAGGTGAATTCTACCAAACATTTAAAAGAAAACTTACATCGTTCCTTCTGAAGTTCTTCCAAAAAGTAGAAAAATGAACATTTCCATTTTTATGAGGCCACCCTGATACCAAAGCCAGACAAATACATCATAAGAAAATGACAAGCCAATATCCCTGATGAACATGAATGCAGACATCCTCACCAAAATATTAGTAAACTGAATTAAACAGCCCACTGAAAGGTTCATATACTATAACCAAGTGGAATTATCTCTTGGACTCAAGGATGGTTTAGCATATACAAATCAATCATTGTGATACATCACACTAACAGAATGAAAGATAAAAATCACATAATCATCTCAATAGATGAGGCAAAAAGCATTTGAAAAAGTTCAGCATCCTTTCATGATGAAAACTGTCAACAAATTAGGTACAGAAGGAATTAACTTAGACATAAATAAAGCCTGTATATGAAAAGCCCACAGCTGACATCATACTCTGTGGTGAAAAACTGAAAGCTTTTATTCTAAGATCTGGAATTGGGCAAAGGTGCCCACTCTCATCACTTCTATCCAACAAAACACTATAGGTCCTAACCAGAGAAATCAGGCAAGAAAAAGAAATAAAAGTCAGCTAGATTGGAAAGGAAGAAATAAAATTATCTCTGTTTGCAGATTACATGATCTGATATGTAGAAAATAGAGACTACACAAGTTTCAGGATACACAATTCAGCAAAATTATGATACAAAAGTAATGTACAGATATCAATTATATTTCTATACACTAACAATGAATTATCTGAAAAGGAAATTAAGAAAACAATCTCACTTACAATAGCACCAGAAAGAGCAAAGCTAATTAAGGGGTGAAAGGCTTATACACTAATAACTATAAAACACTGGCAAAAGAAATTAAAGCAGACACAAATAATTGCAAAGACATGCCATGTTCAGGGATTGGAAGAATTAATATTGTTAAAAAGTTCATACTACCCAAAGTGATTTACAGATTCAATGCAATCCCTATCAAAAGCCCAATAATACTTTTTGCAGAAATAGAAAAAACAATCCTAAAATTCATACGGAACCACAAAGACTCTGAATAGCCAAAGCCATTTTGAGCAAGAAGAACAAATCTGGAGACATTGTACTTCATGATTTCAAAATAGATTACAAACTATAGTAATCAAAACATTATGGTACTAAAAGCAGACATACAGAGCAATGAAACAGAATGGACAGCCCAGAAATAAACCCATGTGTATATGGTCAACTGGTCTTTGACATGGGTGCCAAGAATATGCAATGAGGAAATGATAGTTTTTTCAACAAATTGTGTTGGGAAAACTGGATATCCACATGCAAAACAATGAAATTGGATCCTTATTTTACACTATATACAAAAATCAACCAAAATAGATTAAAGACTTAAATGCCAGATTTGAAACTGTAAAATCTGCAGAAGAAAACATAGAGAAAATGCTTTCTGACATTGGCCTTGGGCAATGATTTCCTAGGATATTATACCAAACCGAAGGCAACAAAAGCAAAAATAGACAAACTAAGAAAAAAACTAAAAGAAAAAGAAACATCCGCACCACAAAGGAAATAATCAACCAAATGCAAACTACAGAAAAGGAGAAAATATTTGCAAGCCATGTATCTGATAAAGAGTTAATGTCCAAGATAAATGAAACTCCTATAACTTAATAATAAATGTTAAAAACAAAAACAAATAACCTGATTGAAAAATGGACAAAGGAACTGAATAGGCATTTTTCCAAAAAAAAAAAAACATACAAATGACCAGCCAGTATCTGAAAAGCTGCTCAACATCACTAATCGGTAGGGAAATGCAAATCAAAACCACAAAGAAATATCACTTCATATCTGTTAGGATGGCTATTATAAAATGGAAAAAGATAAATATTGACAAAGATGTGGAGAAAAGGGAACATTTGTACATCATTGGTGGGAATACAAGTTGATGCAGCCACTATAAAAAACAGTATGGAGATTCCTAAAAAACTTAAAAATAGAACTATCATATGATCCAGCAATATCATGTCTGGGTATATATCCAAAGGAATTGAAATCAGAATCTTGAAGAGATATCTGCACTCCCATACTCATTACATCATTATTAACAATAGCCAATACTCAGAAGCTATGTAAGCGTTCATGGATGGATGAATGGATAAAGAATATGTAGATAGGACAAACCCTCAGCCAACATCATACAGATGGGAAAAAGTTGGAAGTGTTCCCCCTAAGAATGAGAACAAGACAAGGATACCCGCTTCACCACTTACATTCAACAGAGTACTGGAAGTCCTAGCCAGAACAATCAAGCAAGAGCAAGAAATAAAGGGCATCCAAGTTGAGAAAAGAGGAAAACAAACTATCTGTGTTTGCTTATGATATGACTGTATACCTAGGAAGCCCTAAAAACTCCTCCAAAATACTCCTAGATTTGATAAATGAATTCAGTAAAGTCTCAGGTTACAAAATCCATGTATGCAAATAAGTAACACTGTAATACACCAACAACGATCAAGCCAAGAATAAAATCAAGAACTCAATCCCTTTCACAATAGCTGCAAAACAAAACAATACAACCCAACTAGGAATATATTTAACCAAGGAGGTGAAAGCTCTCTCCAAGGAAAACTATAAAATACTGCTGAAAGAAATCATAAATGACACAAACAAATGTCAAATACATTCCATGTTCATGGATTGGAAGAATCAATATCATGAAACTGAACATACTGCCCAAAGCAAACTAGAGACTCAACGCAATTCCTATCAAAATACAAATCCTAAAATTCATATGGAATTTTAAAGAGCCCAAACAGCCAAAACAATTCTAAGCAAAAATAACAAATCTGGAAGCATCACATTACCCAATTTCAAATTATACTATCAGGCTATAGGAAACAAACAAACAAAAAAAACCAGCATGACATGGTATAAAAGTAGACACATAGACCAACGGAATAGAATAGAGAACGAAGAAATAAAGCCAAATACTTACAATCAACATCTTCAACAAAACATACAAAAATATAAACTGGGGAAAGGATACCCTAGTCAATAAACGGTGCTGGGAAAATTGGGTAGCCACATGTAGAAGAATGAACCTTGATCCTAATCTCTCACCATATACTAAAATGTATATGGATCTCAAGATGGATCCAAGACTTAAATCTGTGACCTGAAAACATAAAATTTCTAGAAGAAAACCTAGAAAGAACTCTTCTGGACATTAGCCTAGGCAAAGAATTTATGACTAAGACCCCAAAAGCAAATGCAAGAAAAACAAAAATAAATAAATGAGACCTAATTAAACTAAAACACTTGTGCACAGCAAAGTATGTAATCATCAGAGTAAACAGACAATCATAGAATGGGAGAAAATAGTTGTGAATTATGCATCAGACAGAGGACTAATATCCAGAATCTACAAGGAACTCAAACAATCAGCAAGAAAAAAAAAACTCATCAAAAAGTGGACAAATGACATGAACACTTCTCAAGTGAAGTTATACAAATGGCCAACAAATATATGAAAAAATTGCTCAAGATCACTAATCGTCAGGGAAATAAATGTTAAAATCACAGTGAGATACCATCTTACCCCAACCAGAATTGCCATTATTAAAAAGTCACAAAACAATAGACATTGACATTAATGTGGTGAAAAGGGAACACTGATACACTGCTGATGAGAATGTAAATTAGTACAACCTCAGTGGAAAACAGTATGAAGATTTCTCAAAGAACTAAAAATACATCTACATTTGATCCAGCAATCTCAAGTACTTAGTATCTACCCAAAGGAAAGTAAGTCATTATATCAAAAAGATACCTGCACACATATGTTTATAATGGCACAATTCACAGTGGCAAAGATACGGAACCAACCTAAATGTCCATCAACTAATAAGTGGATAAGAAAAATGTAGTGTATATACACCACGGAATACTACACAGCCATGAAAAGGAATAAAATAATGTCTTTTGCAGCCACCTGAATGGAGCTGGAGGCTATTATGCTAAGTAAAGTAACTCAGGGATGGAAAACCAAATACCCCAAATACCATAGGTTCTCTTATAAGTGGGAGCTAAGCTATGGGTAGGCAGAGGTATGCAGAGTGGTATAATGGACATTGGAGACTCTGAAGGGAGGAGGGTGGGAGGAAGAGGTTGGGAGAAGGGTGGGAGGAGCATGAGGGATAACAAATTGCATATTGGGTTCAATGTTCACTACGTAGGTGATGGGTGCACTAACATCTCGGACTTCACCACTCTACAATTCATCCATGTAACCAAATCCCACTTGTACCTCAAAAGCTTTTATATATATATAAAATTCCTAATTGAATTATATATAATAATATATATTATATATATAAAATATGTATATATATACACACATACACACATATATATAATATATATACATATTCTGTGTGTATATATATATATACACACATACACACATATATATAATATATATACATATTCTGTGTGTATATATATATACACACACATAGTCTGTACATATGTACAGAATATGTGGAGTGCATTGGAATATTAATCAGCCTTTAAAAAGAAGAAATCTTGCCATTTACAACATCATCATAGATGAACCTGGAAGACATACTACATGAAAAACAAGGCATACACATAAGAACAAATACTCATGATACCATTTATATGATTAATATAATATAGTCAGACTCCTAGAAGCAGGGTGAAATGGTGGTGCTGAAATAGAGAAAAAAATGGGCACATCCATACTTCATAATACGTTCTCCTTTTCTAGTTTTCTAACTCTAATTGGCTTTTGTTACTTGCCACCTAAAGAATATTAACAAATATAATGATCATTTACAAATATACCTGATCAATCTGTTAGGAGAAGGCATTACTGATGTTTTCTCATCACACAGGTAATATATTAGTTAGGGTTAGGTATTGCTGCATAGCATAGAAAAATAAAACAACCTTAGTTAAAATGAGATGGAACTTTATTTCCTCTTGGATAAAATAAGGCTGAGGGTAGGCAACTCAGGGCTGATACAACAGTTCTTCAGTTATCAGAAAACTAGGATCCTTATGTCTTTTTTTTTTTTTTTCTGCCACTCCTAGCTAAAAATTTTTCCCTCAAGATTGCTTCATGGTTCAAGTTGTCAACTAAAGGTCCAGCCTTCATGTTTAAGTTGCAGACCCAAAGAAGGAGGAAAGGCAGAGGGGCAGAAAGAAGCTCCCAGGCAATCTGTTTTATGCTGCTTTCACAGAAGTTCCTCTCAACAGCTCCTATTTACGTCTCATTGGCTAGTATTGAGTCAACTGGCTACACCCAGCTCCTAGAGGGCTTGGAAAAATGTCTTTTATCTGGACACATGGCAGCCCAAAGACACAAGGGTTCCCTTAGAAAGAAGAATGAGAAGTTGCTTATCAGCTTAAGGAGATTTTGGGCTGAGAAAATGGGGTTTTCTAAATATACAATCATGTCATCTGCAAACAGAGACAATTCGACTTCCTCTTTTCCTAATTGAATGCCCTTTATTTCTTTCTCCTGCCTGATTGCCCTGGCCAGAACTTCCAACACTATGTTGAATAGGAGTGGTGAGAGAGGGCATCCCTGTCTTGTGCCAGTTTTCAAAGGGAATGCTTCCAGTTTTTGCCCATTCAGTATGATATTGGCTGTGGGTTTGTCAAAAATAGCTCATATTATTTTGAGATACGTCCCATCAATACCTAATTTATTGAGAGTTTTTAGCATGAAGGACTGTTGAATTTTGTCAAAGGCCTTTTCTGCATCTGTTGAGAGAATCATGTGGTTTTTGTCTTTGGTTCTGTTTATATGCTGGATTACATTTATTGATTTGCGTATGTTGAACCAGCCTTGCATCCCAGGGATGAAGCCCACTTGATCATGGTGGATAAGCTTTTTGATGTCCTGCTGGATTCAGTTTGCCAGTATTTTACTGAGGATTTCTGCATCGATGTAATCAACGTGCAAAAATCACAAGCATTCATATACACCAATAGCAGACAAACAGAGAGCCAAGTCATGAGTGAACTCCCATTCACAATTGCTTCAAAGAGAATAAAATACCTAGGCATCCAACTTACAAGGGATGTGAAGGACCTCTTCAAGGAGAACTACAAACCACTGCTCAACAAAATAAAAGAGGACACAAACAAATGGAAGAACATTCCATGCTCATGGATAGGAAGAATGAATATCATGAAAATGCCCATACTGCCCAAGGTAATTTATAGATTCAGTGCCATCCCCATCAAGCTACCAATGACTTTCTTCACAGAATTGGAAAAAACTACCTTAAAGTTCATATGGAACCAAAAAAGAGCCAGCATTGCCAAGACAATCCTAAGCCAAAAGAACAAAGCTGGAGGCATCATGCTACCTGACTTCAAACTATACTACAAGGCTACAGTAACCAAAACAGCATGGTACTGGTACCAAAACAGAGATATAGACCAATGGAACAGAACAGAGCCCTCAAAAATAATACTACACATCTACAACCATCTGATCTTTCACAAACCTGACAAAAACAAGAAATGGGGAAAGGATTCCCTATTTAATAAATGGTGCTGGGAAAAATGGCTAGCCATATGTAGAAAGCTGAGACTGGATCCCTTCCTTACACCTTATACAAAAATTAATTCAAGATGGATTAAAGACAAATGTTAGACCTAAAACCATAAAAACCCTAGAAGAAAACCTAGGCAATACCATTCAGGGTATAGGCATGGGCAAGGACTTCACGTCTAAAACACCAAAAGCAATGACAACAAAAGCCAAAATTGACAAATGGGATCTAATTAAACTAAAGCGCTTCTGCACAGCAAAAGAAACTACCAACAAAGTGAACAGGCAACCTACAGAATGGGAGAAAATTTTTGCAATCTACCCATCTGACAAAGGGCTAATATCCAGAATCTATAAGGAACTCAAATTTACAAGAAAAAAATCAAACAACCCCATCAAAAAGTGGGCAAAGGATATGAACAGACACTTCTCAAAAGAAGACATTTATGCAGCCAACAGACACATGAAAAAATGCTCATCATCACTGGCTATCAGAGAAATGCAAATCAAAACCACAATGAGATACCATCTCACACCAGTTAGAATGGCAATCATTAAAAAGTCAGGAAACAACAGGTGCTGGAGAGGATGTGAAGGGAGAGGATGTGAAGAAATAGGAACACTTTTACACTGTTGGTGGGACTGTAAACTAGTTCAACCATTGTGGAAGTCAGTGTGGCGATTCCTCAAGGATCTAGAACTAGAAATACCATTTGACCCAGCCATCCCATTACCGGGTATATACCCAAAGGATTATAAATCATGCTGCTATAAAGACACATGCACACATATGTTTATTGCGGCACTATTCACAATAACAAAGACTTGGAACCAACCCAAATGCCCATCAATGATAAACTGGATTAGGAAAATCTGGCACATATACACCATGGAATACTATGCAGCCATAAAAAAGGATAAGTTCATGTCCTTTCTAGGGACATGGATGAAGCTAGAAACCGTCATTCTCAGCAAACTGTTGCAAGGACAGAAAACCAAACACCGCATGTTCTCACTCATAGGTGGGAATTGAACAATGAGAACACTTGGACACAGGGAGAGGAACATCACACACCGGGGCCTGTTGTGGGGTGGGGGGATGGGGGAGGGATAGCATTAGGAGATGTACCTAATGTAAATGACGAGTTCATGGGTGCAGCACACCCACATGGCACATGTATACATATGTAACAAACCTGCAGGTTGTGCACATGTACCCTAGAACTTCAAGTGTAATAATAATAATAAATAAAAAAAAGAAACTGGGGAAAAAGCAAGTAACTGGCCCAAGGTCATCAGCAGGGAAGTAGAAAGGTCAAGATTTAAAGTCAGATAGTCTGACTTCAGAGACTTTATGGTAACCTCTGTGCTATAATAAAATAAAGCCATTATAATAGAAAAAAAGAATGAGAATATGGAGAGTGGGTAGAGAACTAACAGTCCCTGCAAGTCACACAGGACACTGAACTATATCCAGAAGGAGTGAAAGGGCTTTCTATTTAAAAGCACACAAATCTACTCAAGTTAACTGAAATGGTGGATTATCAAAATTCTCCCCAGCAAGTGCCATTAAGGAGGGAGAGGTGGAGAGACCACTGAATCCATGACCACTCTCCCTCAGGAAGGGGATGAGGGAAGGCACAGGCATGAGGTGATAAAAATGTACTGCCTGGATTCACAAACCAGCAATTATTTTAAGGGTCTTAAATTTCCCATCAGCATCATAAATTTCCTTTGAGATATTTACATGGAACCAATATCTCTCCTGCTTCCTCCTGTAGAGATGGTGTGCATTGTTTCTTCTCAGGAAGCATGCAAAATGGGTTAGTTGGCAAACAGCTAAAGTAAGTTCTCTGGAGGCTCTTTTTGTCTTAGACAGATGCTGCGTCTCTATGAGGCAATCTGTAGAGAAAAATGCATCCTTTCCCGATTGAGCAAGAAGTCAAAGGATCAGGGGAGTCTCCAAAGCCCCCATGTGTGTTAACCAGAAGCACAGAGGTGAAAAGAGCAAAGGGAATTGGAAAAAGATTAGGAAGGAGTTGGGAAAGAGGGTCACACTCTCAAAAGTGAGTGCTGTATTTTTTTAATGTCAGATCCATTGCCTGCAAACTGCTGGCAATAAAATGAAGATACCAGCTCACCTTGGGACGTGCAGATACTTCTGAATTTATGAGAAAGGACATCTGTGGAGCATGAAAAAAATACATTAAGAGCAGGCAAGATTTTCTTTTGGAAGCTTTCTGGACAAGGAACTGAGATTTTTTCCCCCTGGTTCATAGTGGGAATATGACAGTTAAAAGCATGCTTTGGAGTCAGTGGGGGCTCTCTGAACTTGATTCAGTCTCTTAAAATCCCCACCCCCATCCCAACTCACTGCTGCTGTTTGTTCACTCTGCAAAAAGCATCCGGGCCTAGAGGAATAGTGTGGGCTGATGCCTGCACCCTCCTAGAGAAAGGAACTGTTTCCTAATTCACCTGAGATGCCCTCTGGTCACCGAGATGTTTTCTGAGGTGTTGCTATCTCACCCAACGGGCACATATGGTCAATTAGTTACCTTGCTGCTATTAAGTTGAGGGGGGTTGTTTCCCTTTTATCACAATTCTGGCAGTTGCATTATTTTCCAGAGGTTATGGTGCTTGAATATTATTTGGGAAATATGCATATTCCTAATTACATTTTAAGAAAACCTCAAGACTTATCAGAAGCAGACATGAATTTTGGAAAAGAGAAGTAATT
Organism: Homo sapiens; assembly: GCF_000001405.40. Taxonomy (NCBI): domain Eukaryota; kingdom Metazoa; phylum Chordata; class Mammalia; order Primates; family Hominidae; genus Homo; species Homo sapiens. Next base: position 164,936,686 of record NC_000001.11, on the reverse strand, counting down.
GCAATTTTATTCTCTAGCAAAAAGTCAAGGACCAATATAAGGGCTAAGAGTATGTTCTGGAGTTACAGAGTTGAATCTTGGTTAAACCACTTAATTGCTGTGTGCTTGTGGGCAAGACATTTGGCTTCTCTGTGCCTCAGTTGCTATGTAGTATATCAATGCAAGAGTTCATTAATTGCATTAGTGAATTAAAACAGTGCCTAGCACATTGTAAGACCTCTATAAATGTTAGCTATTATTATTAATGACCACAATATCACTTGCTACTTAATAAGATATCTTTTTCAATGTTCTCTCTGATTTCAAGAAAGCTGAACATGTGAAGGAAACCTTTTCCCAACTTGTTTGGACAATGATACAGGTTTAACCCATATACTCTTCACTTACTGTTAAGAATTCTTGGGTAAAACTTCCTGTTTTCAGTGAATATCCACACTACTAGACATCTCATTCTCTTATTTGAGGAGATGTGAAACTAAGTCTTTACTTAAAAGATTGTAACAGTTACCATCCTGTCCCCTGACATCCTCTTTGCCTTGCCCATCTCCGAGAGCCTTGGGTGTGGTGGTGACCAGTTCTGTGTAGACAACACGGACTTCATGCCTGACATGTTGCACCTCTCTTCATGCTTCTTCACACACATACTGCTCTATACTGCTCTCTTTGCCTCCTGCCCAGGGAAGTCCCTGTTATTGCTAAACCATAAACAACCAGGAAGAACAGGGGAGTTAACTTCCCCGTGAGTTGAACCTTTACCTAATGTGAGAAGGGGACATCCGATGAATTCTTCTGTCTTCCTTCTCCTGGATGGACTGTCCTGACAAGCAACTATCTATAAGGTGCCTCAGAAGATGGCCCTGTGGGATCCAGCAGTCACTTGCGCTTGACGCCAGAGGCTGGACAGCTTGGAAACCTCTCACACCATCTCTCCCTTTTTCCCTGCCCGCGGCCCATTTTCCCTCACTTCTGCTCCCCTGGGATCGCACTCCTGAATAAAGTCGTGGCACTTAGGCTTTTGCCTCAGGCTCTGCTTCCTGGGGAACCCAGTCTACAGCAAAATCTATAGCTTTAAATTTTAAGAAAGATGAGCTTCTTTTCAACCTGCCGTCATTTATTTTGCATATTTGCATATTAGAAGCTCCTATCTTGTTTGATGCATTGATTCTTTACAGGGGTTTGAATCTTGATACCAACAGAATTCTTTATGAAAATTTGATTTAATCATTCAGAAACTCCTTCAATGATTTTTTTTCTCTGCAGGGTCTGAAGAAATCTTAGATATAGAGCAAACTTGTTGAGATATACATCAAACTGAGAATCTGAGAATGGTCACCTCCATTCTTGGCTGACAGCTGTCAGTTCTAACCCCACCTAAAATGCCCAATATACCTTCAAGATTATTTGTCATTGAGACCTCATAACTCTATTCCGCTGATCCTTTAGGAGTTTCAGATATGCTTTTGCAAATGTTATTAGGTATTCCTATCTTCTTTAATCCCCTTTATGTCAATAGGATGACCTACCTTTCTTTAATCTCTTTACAATGGCATTCTTCTACCCCCTGCCCCACTTCTTGCAAATAGTTTCAGGACGCCCCCTCCCCCCGCCCGCCACCCCGTTTACTGTCACATAATGGCTTGAGTATTTACTGTTATGTATACACACCGAGTGTCACATGTAACAAGATATGATATGAATTTGACTCAGGTGTATTGGGACTTTTTAAATAAGCCTTAGCTCAATATTATTCACCAGGAAGCCATTTATTATTGAGTTATGTTTATGATTGTATGGCTATATGGAAAAATAATACCTGCTAAAAGACCCAGCATGTTTTAATGGCTCTTTACTTTCTCCTCTTTCTCCTCTGCTGACTTGAGCTCTTTTCCCATTTTTTCTTCTTACTGAGTGGCTAATTCTTGAGAAAGGGGACACTCTTATTTCCACTCTCTCTGGGTTTGTTCTGTCTCTTCTTTAATGATAGGAACAAAACTGTAACATAAGAGAATAGTTTGAAGTATTATCCTCAGCCATCTTCCTTGGTAAATCTTCCCACCACCTCCTTTCCTCTCCAACTCAGAGAATAGTGAGATATTCTTTGCTCACTACCCAGAATGTAGAGATGCAAGGAGAAAACAACAGAAACCAAAGTTTAGCTTCTGTGTTCTTAATATAGAATTTCCAAATTCAACATTTTGGGAGGAAAAAAAAAGGAGGGAGGTGGGATGTTTTGAACTCCCCATACGTAACTATTGAATAATGAAAAATAAGATTCTTAAGGACATAGGGAATAAAAATTTTGTCATATAAATTGACTTGGAAGAAGATGTGCTGAGCCCTTTTCTCCCATACAGAAGACAATCTGGGCCGGCGCAGGGGCTCACGCCTGTAATCCCAACACTTTGGAAGGCCAAGGCGGGCAGATCACTTAAGGTCAGGAGTTTGAGACCAGACTGGCCAACATAGTGAAACCCCATCTCTACTAAAAAAATACAAAAATTAGCCAGGCCTGGTGATGCGTGTCTGTAGTCCCATCTACTCGGGAGGCTGAAGCAGCAGAATCGCTTGAACTCGGGAGGCAGGGGCTGCAGTGAGCCGAGATCACTCCACTGCACTCCAGCCTTAGTGACAGAGCAAGACTCCATCTCAAAAAAAAAAAAAAAAAGAAAAGAAAAGAAAAGCAAATCTGAGTTCCTTGAGAGATGGAGGAGAGGCAGAGAGGAGAAGGATAGAATTAGACTTTGTTGTGGGTCTCTCAGAAGGATCTATGCATCCCCTGCACCCAGCTCCACTCCCACTCCCCAGATTTAAAGTCATATAATACTGAGAAGTTTCCCTGAAGCATCTTAGTGCTCTATCAGGACTGTAGAAATAGTGGCTTGTCTTTTCTAAGTAGAGAGGGTCTGCAGTACCCGAATTATTTTCTCACGATCCTGCAATGGTGCTACAGAATCGGGTCTGGGTGTCCTTTGGGAGGGGCTCTGCAGTAGCTGTGAGGGGGTGAGCAGAGCCAAAACGGCCTTGCATTTGGGCAATGAGGGGAGCTATGATATGACTTCCAGGAACTAATGACCAAGATCAGACATCATCATGGATGCCAGAGGAGACTATGGGTGCTGTGGACTAGGAGTGTCGCCTGAGAAATCATAACCACTATATGCGTTAACTGGGACTATTAGATAGGAGAGTTCTTCAAAACTTGTGACAGATTGAAGACCTGCTATAAGCTCAAGCCTCCTCGGGGCCTAGATAGTCACTGTCACTTAATACTGGGACTTCTGCAGTTCTACCTTGGAAGCTGGAGGTGAAGTCCTCTTTTCTTACTTCGTTGCAGTCCTCTAAACCACCTAATTTGTCACCCTACATCCACCATTTACAATGAACACCACTATAAAAGTAAGTGGAGAAGTCACTGGGCTTAGAGAATTTAGCATCTCATGTTCAGCTGCTCATCTTTCCCTTGCTAGAAGACTTTGTGCTGTCCCTTCACGGTGCCTTTCTTCGGTGAAAGGAAACAATAATATTTATATCCTATTCATAGGAAGATGGAAATGCATTACATGAACATATGAGCTCTAATGGACTTTAAGTTCTAAGGAAAAAGTTGCTGAACACGGATAATGTGCTTTTTAAAAACTGGCCATTGCACACAGAGCCAGATACTTTAACACCACTGCATTCTTTCTTTCTCTCTTTTTTTTTTCCTACAAGATGTCATATTGTGTCTTTGCAAGGCTTCCAGCAAACAGGAGGGCTCATCAATTTCAACCTAAAGCTATTAAAATGTTACTTTGTTAGCAATAATTAAGGTGTGCAGCCAGGGCTCCCTATAGATCACACTCAGAATCAGGGTCATATTTTTCTCCTATAGCACCTCAGGCATCTTAAATTACCAAGTAGTCAGGGGAGGAGGGGCAAGCTGGGGGCTGGGCAGGAAAGGAAAAAGGGAGGAAGACGCTTGCCTTACACATAAAAGTAGAAATAACAAACGACTCTTTTCCTATGAGAAAAGAAGGGATTAGCGTAGGACTCTTTTCCTACGCCAAGCCCTCATAAAAGTTTTAAAAAATATTTTCTCTCAATCTGTTGAAATGTTTAGAAACAAATGTTAGACTGATTTAAAAAAACCATTTTTTAATTAGATTTTTTAAGTCATCAGAGGCACTAAAATTCCCCTTCAGCTTTAGCTGATAAAATTTCTGCATTCTATACCACAGCACGAGGAAACATTATGTCCTCTATGTCATGTTTTCTTCTTCCTTTTATTTTCCTTCTCAATCTTATTTCCCTCTCTGGATTGTGTCTTCAGCTGCACAAGGAAACTGTGCTTCTTTGCTCTTTCTTTTTCTGTGCTCTTATTCACCCCACCCACCTTGTAACACTCTCATGAAATCAGAAAATCATGAAAATGAGTCAAAGAAAGCTTCCTATAGAAAAATCCCTTGTATGAAAATTTTAAGTTGCAGGGTATTCAAAGGAAGGCTCATGGAACCTTGAAATTCAAGTTTATGAGGAAACACTAGAAGCAAAAAAAGGCTGGGACTGTGAAACCTGGAAATAGAGTCAACTGTCTAATGTGAGGCTGATAATAGGTAAAAATATGTTCCTGTTTCTGATTCTCATTCTCCCTGTGTGCATAGGGACTCTAGGGTACAGGAAATATATTGCACTGTACATTGGAGATGTTTTTGATCATGAAAGAAATCCAGGATCCTTATGAACCTATGGGGTAGAAGTTTGATGCAATGAAATAGTTCCAAATGTGGAGATGGGAGACCTAGGTCTTATTAGCTATGCGACATTGACCTCGACATCTAAGAATCTCCTTTTTTCTTCCATTAAATGGAGATACCTCTTACCTCACAGTGTTGTTATGAGAATTAAATCAGATAATGTACGTAAAAGAGCACCATAGATCATAAAGTGGTATCTCAACATTATTTTTGTTAAGTTCTGTGGTAAATTGGGTTCTCTGTCCCAATTATTTGTCCCTGGTCACATGGCTGCTTGGCCAGTGAAATTTGGGCAGACAGTATATCAGCTGCCAATTCCTCGTGTCAGCCTGAGAGGTGCCACACATTGCTGCTCTCCCTCCTGCACCTTGCCATTTTCATGAGAAAAGTATGCCCTGACTAGCTGACTGGTCCTTGAAAGATGAAAGATCTAACCTGTACCTTAGGGCAGTGGTTCTCAAATGTTAATATCAGAATGACCAGGAAAGCTCACTAAAACACAGATTGCTGGGACCCAGTCCAAGAGACCCTGATACAGTCGGTCTGGGGGAGGTCTGGATGGTTTGCATTTTAAATAAGTTTCCATGTGTTGCTGATGCTGCTAGTCCAGTTATTTTTGGAAATTACTCCCTTCCTTCCTTCTTTCTTTCCTTCCATTCTTCCTCCCTCCCTTCCAGTGTGTATATCAATCTTCTATCACAGGTCATTTGTGTTCTAAAACAGACTAATAGGTACAATTTTATCCTATCAATGACTGGTGTGGCTGAATTTAAAATTCAGTTTCAAACTTGCTTCTGAAGAACATTTAAAATAGCTTCTAATTACTAGAGTGAGAGCAGAGAGAGTAGGGAGAAGAATGAAGCCTCAGAACCACAGGCTTAGAGATGCCCAGTGAAGCCCAGACCATAGCAGTCAACTCCCAGGGTAGCTTGAGGACATGTGAGCTAAATCAGTGCTCACTGTTGCACAACACTGAGAATCTGGTCATTACATAGCAATAACTAACCAACATAAGCTAATTACTCAAACAAGTTATAGATTAAAGAATATATGATTGTCTTCGCAGTAACCAGGCTTCTCAAATTGAGGCAAGAGGTAACCCCTAGATTATAACTGTTGGGCAGTTCTGAAAGTCTTTAAAATGCCATGGGACGTTGATTTTTCCTGGGGAACAATCTCCTGCTTCTTCTATTTATCAAGTTTCCTCTGCTCCATCCTGTTGCCTTGTCTGTCTCTCTGCTCTCACTGTAAGTGTTCCTAGAAATTTGTCAAATATTTTTCAGAAGCAGATTTGAAGGCATATTCTAAATTCAGCTACACTAGTGACTGATGGAATGAACTTGTTTCCACCTGTAATATGAAAATGATGTACCCAGTGGAGGGAAGAAAGAAGGGAAGAAAGAGAAGGAGGGAGGGAAGGAGGAAGGATGGACTTGCAGAGCCCCATAGAGTCTGAGGAGCTCTCTATTCAATATCCCACAGCATCAGTTTTTATCAACGTCCCCTAGTGTCCACTTGAGGGACAGGAGAACCAATGGGAAGGTAGGGCCTCTGCTACTCTACGTACCATTCTGTGTTTGAGGAACTGGTTATCTGGTGTGGATATGCAGCAGACAACTTCCTTCTCTAGATTGTAAGCTCCTCAAGGGCAGAGATTTTTGTTCTATTCACTGATGAATCTCAAAAATCTACAGTAGTGCCTGGCACAATAGGCATTCAACAAATATTTGTTGAATTGGAAATGAACTGAATTGCCCTGAGACCAGGCCATGGACAGTTTCTGGAAGTAGCAGGTTACCAGGCAGATGAACCATCCCCCGAGCCTCACAAAGCCAGCCCCCTCTAGTATGGTCACCAACTCACAGCTCCCAGCACTGCCCATCCTCGTAACAGCAGTGACACCTGATTTCAAAAGCCAGATATTCCACTTATTCTATTCAACTGCTTCTTTTTCTCTTGAATCCTTTTTATTAGTGCTCTCATTTTCCACTTGGCTTCATTTCCTCTAAGCCTTTACCCCTCCATTATTCCTTACTGTGACAACATTACCACATGGCAATTATGACAGTTTTTGCTGTTATGAAGTATTTAATCTGCTTTTCATGTCAACACTGAGATGGAGATGGCATAGTATTTTATACCTTTGGAAACTGAGGCATAGGGGAAATGAGTAATTTGCCCAACATCACCTGGCAAGCAGGTGGCGGAGCTGAAACTTGAGCTTGTTAACAGGAGTGTTCTCGCTACTGATCCACGCTGCATAAAAAGCGTTTGGTTATTTTCTGGGCCGGTGTTAAGCCTGTGACTCTGATAAACCCTATTTAGGTCTCTGGGACTATGAAGCAGAATGTTAACTGCCATGCTTCATCAGAGTGACAAAAAGTCTCCCGCTTCTAGAAGACTCTACAGCTTGCGAATCGTCTTCAAGCACAGTCCCATTTGATAATGAAGGACCCTCCCTGGTTAAAGTGATGGCTTTCTTGGCTTACTCCTTCAAGTTCTGCAAGCAAAGAAAAGTACCCAAAATGTCACAGTGATAAATAATGCTACATTGATTCTGCTGCTTTCCAAGTCCCACAAGTCCCTGGATTGAGCTGGGCTGCAGCCCTAAAAAAGCAGATGATTCTGTGTGTCTCAGACTGGAGTCTGAGACTGAGATCACTGAAAATGGTGCAAGAGTAGGGAGCAAGAGGCAGCAGGAACGGGAAGTCTCCACACCACTGAGGTAAATGCTGACAGGAGTATGCACAGTAAAATATTTTACTACGAAGCAGAATTACTCCAAAGACTGATGGACTTGCTCGCGAGACCCACTCACATTTATGAAGGTCATAAGTTACAGGCGTCCAGCTCACTCACAGGAGCGCAGCCATCACCTTTTATGGGTGAAACTTCCTGCAATATATTAAACTCTCCAGAAAACAGACAAGGGGTTTATGGCAAACGATAACTTTAATGCCCAGAAACCATTCGGTGATTTTGGGAGGATTATTAGTAACAAGGGCAAGATGCTGAGTCGTTTCCAGGCACCAGGCTCTCTCTCTCCTGCCTGCTCATGCCAATCCTCTTTTCTCCTCTGAATGCTGGCCAGAAATGTGGACCCTGAACCCTACCTACAGTAAGAGGGGATGTGAGGAAGCAGTGGGTGAAAGAGGGCTGACGTTTATTGGCTGAAGAGTAGACACAGCGCTGAAGAGAAGAGGGGCCTCATGGGAATCCTTAGGCTGGAACCAAGACTATTGCTGAGAACCCTTAAAGGACAGCTGGTCACAGAGACACCCAGTATCACTGAAACTTGTTGCCAGGAATAAGGAGCTGTTCCTGTATGAGTCCCCAACCACCCCTCATTTGGAGGAAGTTATAAAAAGGACAAGGCTGGGGTCACTTGAAGAACTGCTTTGCTCTGCATGATTTAGAAGAATCCCTGAAGGCCTTTTCTATTAAAATCTGAGCACTTTTGAATTGGTTTCTTCCAAGTCCTCCTTAGCAATGCCTTCTAACCTCAGCTGTCACTGCTGTATGCAGATGGCTGTCGGCTGGTGGAGGGATTGTCAGAAGGCAGGCCAAAAGATCTGGGCGTGGAGGAGTCTGCAAAATGTCCCATCCAGGAGGCTCAGACTCGGTGGCTCCAAAGCACATGGCATCTCATTTCCTAGGGTCGGGAAAGGGCAAGAGCACTGGACTGGGAGTCAGGAGTTGTGCATTAAAGTCATAATCTTGGATCATATGCACATCAATCACTACAACTCTCAGGGGCATGGTTTCCTGGCCCATAAAAGAGATGGCCAAGATTCTCCCATGGAGTCTTTCATTGCTGTACTCTCTGATCATGACTTCTCGCCTGGGTTCTGACCAAACATACGCTGGCAGCACTCGGAACTGGTTCTCCAAATGGTATTTAGCCTTTCTTTGTTTTCCCTATGGAACTGTTTATAAAAAGCACATTTGGATCATTCTTAGTGATTGAGCACCAAACTTTGGAATCCCCTTGAAGAGAAAAGGGAAGAGGCCGGGCGCGGTGGCTCACGCCTGTAATCCCAACACTTTGGGAGGTCGAGGCGGGCAGATCACCTGAGATCAGGAGTTCAAGACCAGCCTGGCCAACATGGTGAAACCCTGTCTCTACTAAAAGTACAAAAATTAGCCGGCTGTGGTGGTGCACTCCTATAGTCCCAGCTACTCAGGAGGCTGAGGCAGGGGAATCGCTTGAATCCAGGAGGTGGAGGTTGCAGTGAGGCGAGATCACCCACTGCACTCCAGCTTGGGTAACAGAGCGAGACTCAGTCTCAAAAAAAAAAAAAAAAAAAGAGAGAGATAGAAGGGAAGAAACAAAAGCAGAAAGTGCCCTGAAGGGAAGAAACAAAAACAGAAAGTGCCCTGTCAGGAAAGTACAAAGACCTGGCTTTTAGTTGTCATGGAGTCTTCAACTGGCTGTGCATTGCTTCTCGAATTGCACTTCTACTTCCTACTCCATACACTGAGCAGGATCAGATAATAACTGCTTACACTTCTGACGGTTTACTGTGTGTTGGTCAGTGTTCTAAGTGCTTTACATGTGTGTTTTGTATATTCATTTAATCCTCACAACTCTTTGAGGTAGAGATTATTATTATCCCCATTTTACAGATGGGGAAATCAAGGTGTAGAAAGGTTTGGTAACTTGCCCAAGGTCTTACAGTGAGCAAGAAGCAGAGATTTAAAACTCAGGCTGTCTGGCTCAGAATCCAGCATTATACAGCTGAGATTTTTAAGTCCTCTGGGACGCTGGTTCACAAACTCTTGTGTTTATCTGCATCATCTGTGAAGCGTCACAAACTCTTGTGTTTATCTCTATCATCTGTGAAGCATCTAAAATATTCAGGTTCTGAACTCTCTTCCAGGGGTTCTGATTTAGCAGTTATGTGACAGGTTCTAGGACTTTGTATTTATCAAGTGTCAAAGGCAGCTAAATTAGGTGATTGAAAAGCCACAGCACCCTGAGACACACTGTTCTAGAGTAGCTCCATATGTTTTAGGAGCCTTTGCGGGGAGTTAGGGACAGATTGAGTGGGCAGACAACATCTTCCTGTCTTTGAAGACTTTCCCATCTACTTTGGGAGAAACCCCATAGACAGCATATTAAATCACAAGGTGGCTTCGAACACCTGCCCCTTTCCACTGGGTGGCTGATCCTTTTCATCCCATCCAGGTACGAATTAAACAGTAGCAGCCCTACCTCTAGTACATTGGGGCAAGGACTCATCTCCCTGGAGTTCCTCACCTGTCTGCTGCTTCTCTACTCCTGTGACCTTTGGCTTTCAGCATTGTCCAGGTCTGTGGGGAAGCTCCAGGACTGGGGTCAATGGAGGGGTGAACTCAAGGCAGATTCTACCTCCCCTTCCTGCATGTGAGTGCAAGAGGAAAAGGCAAGGCATTTGCACCCCAAGGGACAAGCTTTATCCAGGGAGAGTACTCTCTGGTAACTGCTTGAGGAAGTAGCCAGGCAGTATGACAAACTATTTGTCTCTCCTCTTTATGAAGGAGAGGCTGTCCTTCCAGTTGCTGACAAAAACTTTCATATTCCTTCTGCTTTCCCCCAGTGCACATATGGGAGAAAATTCATACGTGAACATGCACACAGATTGAGCCCTCTCTCCTCCTACCCCCATCTGTGCATCTGAACCAGCCACCTGCACTCACTGTAATCCATCACTCTTTTTCACGGGTCTGGCTGTGGCTGTGTGCTTGGTTGTCTATTAGGGTGTCTTTATCTCATCATACCTTCCTGTCTGTCTTTGTTATTAGTTCTAGGTCATCTGTTCCTTGAGGGCAGGAGTTGATTTCTGCAAGCTTCCTTGTGTTATGTTCACATTCAAGTTACCATGTATGAGGCCTTTAATACAGACATTGCTCCTGAGTGAGACTCATTTGATGCTTCTAGAGTCCAGAGAACTTTCCTTTTATATGCTAACAACTATCTGTCTTTCAAAAATGTTCTAAAGGAAAAGATTCTGATGCTATCAGCAAAGTTTGAAAATCACTTGAATTTTTTCCAATATCTCTGTTTTAAATAATCCAACATAGTGTTGTCCCCCAGTTTTCTGACACTCCAAACTGTTTGTATGATATTCACCAAATAATTGCCAAAAATATTTAACAAGACTGCATTAAGTTTACCAATGAGACTTAATGACCATGAGTTTTTTTAAAAAGTGAAAGTACATGTAAAACACTGTCAGTAGATAAATATTTGTTATCATTAATATGATAATTATTAAAAATAATTAAGATAATTATTATTTTAAAATTTTCCCATTGTTAATATCAGTCTAAAATGTGAATTTTTATGAGTTTTCCAATAAATTCATATAACTGAATTTCCAGCCAGCTCACACTTCTTTATCTTGTTCATAAGGATACCATTTAAAATACTGTCAAATGTCTTGCTGAAATAGACATGTGGCATTTTCCTGATATGTCAGTCTAATAATCATAGCAAAATAAGGACATGCATTAGGGTTGTATAAATTGTTCAAAGTAAATCTGTGCTAATCCTTGAGATTACTCATTTCTTTTATAAATACTCATTATTTGTTAATTTTCTATTTGAGAATTTTCCTAAATAATACACATCTATTTTATTAGTATGTAGTTTCCAGTTTTAATCATTTTCTCTTTCTTGATAACTTTCATAGGCTTTTACTTTTCTTGTCTCATATTTGATATGGTTTCTCAAAGATCTCGGCTCTTTAGTCCTGTCTGAAAGCTGTCTATTTACTAACAAGATGAGAACAAAGTCCTTTCATCTGCACCTAGGCACTAGGACTCCTGCAAAGAGCTGAGGTCTTTTCCTACCACTTCCACAGCTAATTTAGGCTGTAATTCCTTTCTGCTGTGAGGGTCTTATCTTTGAATAAAAATAGAAGTAAATGAAGAGTTAGAAATTGTCCTCCATCTTGGATAAAGTGTAAGCGGAGGTTCGGTAAATGCTGAATGCCCTGAAAAGTGCCCGTGCCACATAGAATTGGACCAGCAAAGTGCCCGTGCCACACAGAATTAGACCAGCGAGGCATGTTTCTCTCTGAGCATCAGTAGTAGTGCTTCATCAACCTCAGAACAGCCTGCATGGGAGAAAGTGCTCCTTAAGTTCTGATCTGCCATCCTTCCCGGAATATCTTGGTTCACAAAAGTGTGATTCAGATTTCATCTGAAATTTCACTTGTTCCTTAAAGAAGCAGAGGTAGAAAAAATTTCTAGATGTTTTTTGTTTAAAAATGCTGAACAATCTTGTTCAGGAAATACATTCTAGTATCTAAGCCTCAATTCATTATACTAGAGATTTTAGTTTATGGCTTCTTGTTCTTTCTTCAGTGAGTTGGAGGACATCTCACAAAAACTGACATTTACTCTTAGGTGATGAATATGCTTCCTATCAATGAAGGATAATGATGGGTTATCTACTGAATGGTAAGTAGGATACCAAACTACTGCGTGCCATGGACTGAATTGTGCCACTTCCAAATTCATACGCTGAAGCCCTAAGCCCCAGTGTGACTATATTTGGAGACTGAGATTTTAAGGAGATAATTAAGGTTAAATGAGGTCATAAAGTAGGGCCCTGATCTGATATTGATATCCTTATAAGAAGAGACACCAGGACGGGTGCAGTGGCTCACACCTGTAATCTCAGCACTTTGGGAGGCCGAGGTGGGTGGATCACTTGAGGTCAGGAGTTTGAGACCAGCCTGGCCAAAATGGTGAAATCCCTTCTCTACTAAGAATACAAAAACTAGCCAGGCATGGTGGCAGGCGCCTGTAATGCCAGCTACTCGGGAGGCTGAGGCAGGAGAATTGCTTGAACCCGGGAAGCGGAGATTGCAGTGAGCCGAGATCATGCCATTGCACTCCAGCCTGGGTGACAGCAAGACTCTGTTAAAAAAAAAAAGAAAGAAAGAAAGAAAAAAGAAAAAGACACCAGAGAGCTAATGCCTTCTCTTCTCCTCCTCCCCCTGCTCCTTGTCTTCCCCCTCCTTCTTCCCCTGCCCCTACCTTATGAAGACACAGCAGGAAGGTGAGCATCTGCAATCTAGGAAGAGAGCCCCCACCAGACACCCATCTTGCCGGGCCTTCATCTAAGACTTTCAGCCTCCAGAACCACAAGAAAATTAATTTCTGTTGTTTAAACTGGCATTTTATTACAACAATTTGAGCAGTTGTATATGCTATGAAAAGAGTATAGCCACTGGATAAGTGTTGTACTTACATTTTAAAGCTAACCAAAGTTAGGCTCTTGATTGTTGGTTGATCTTGGACAAGTGATTATCCTTTTATCATCCTTCTTCATATGTAAAACAGGGCTAACTTTATGAGGCCTGTCTCACAGGATTATTTTTTAGATTAAAAGAATAATGTGTGAAGCCAGTCGTTTTCATGCTTTGCTGCAAATTGGAATCACCAGAGGATCTTCTAGAAAATGCCGATGCTTGGCTCTCACCCCCAGTTATTGTGGATTAACTGGTATAGGGCATTGAGAGTTTTAAAATCTTTCCAGGTGATTGAAATGTGCAACAAAGTTTGAGAACCAAGGTATTAAAATATCAGATACAGAACAGGTATCTGTTAAATAGTGGCTTTTCCCCCTTTGCTTTTTCTTCCCTGATAATACAGAAGCAATGTGTTTTATTTTTTATATCTGACTTGAACAAGATGCATCATTTTGGTTAAGAATTGACGGCCTGAACAAGATAAAGCTCTTGCTGTCATGGGGCTGACATTCTCATGGAGCATCTTTTCATATAAATATTGCTTCTGTAGTCATCTCCCATGTTTAGACTGTCCAGGTTCCTGAAGATCTGCAGTCTTTGCTAATTTCTCAAATCAGGATGCACACTTGTCTTCAATCTCCCTGTTTTCTTCTCCTCTGCCCCCGCCAACCTCCAGTAAACACACCTCTGGCTAGCACCTATTTCCAGCTTCCAAGCCTCTCAGATCCAGGATAGCTGCTGTGAAAAGTAAGTGGATGCACCTCCCAGCTGGTCTGTCACTTGGTGGAGAGGCTGCACCTGCCTTCTGCCCCTTGGGGTTATTATCTTGCAGCTGGGTACTCTCAAGGGACACTCTGCATCCTTTACTCCTATATTTCAACATGAAATTACCCACTTGCCTAACTTCTCATTCTTTGGAGGCAACTTATCTCCAGGACTTGAAAACTAATCAACAACTAGGTATTTGTTTTAGTGCTGGGAATTGCAAAATGACCAGTGCCTTTTATCCCCTAGTTCTGATTGTCATTGACTTGCAACATCTCATGAATCAGTTTCTGGGGCAAATCTGCCCTGAGTGGCTTCTTCTCCCAACATCATATTGCTTTCTGGGAGGTCCTTTTGGCATTGTCTTAAATTGAATTCAAGTTATGAATGTGGAATTATAAAATCACAGTCACAAGGCACAAGGATGGTGCCAGAGAATATGAATGCTGACATCCCACTGGGGTTTGAGCTCCAAGACTGTCCCGTAGAAGGGTTTCCAATAGAAATGGAGAAGAGGAGATATAGCAAAACTACCTATAAACTTTAAAAAAATATATACACATCCTCCTCTCCGGTCCTACTATACCCTGGTTGGCTGAAGGGGGATGCTTAATGTGTTTATTTGGGAAGAAAATCTTCATCAACCACTGCACCAGCAACTTTGTTATTACCATGCCCTTAAGAATTACTGATTTAGTGGCCAGATACACTTGGCTCTAAATCAGCTCTTTCCAACCTCTGCTTGATCATTAGAGTCATTCCCACATCTTTTACAAAATACAGATTCCCAGGTCCCACCCCAAATTGCTAAATCAGAATTTTTTTAAAGTATAGTCTATCCTCCATATTCCTGGGCTTTACATGCACAGATTCAACTGACTTTGAATGAAAAAATTTTGAAAACAAGGAAAATCACAATAAAACAAAAAATAACAGAAAATTTAAAAAGTATAGTATAACAACTGTTTATAGCATTTACATAGTATTAGGTATTATAAGTCGTCTGGAGATGATTTAAAGTATATAGGAGAATGTGTATAGGTTATATGCAAATACTAAGCCAACTTATATGAGGACCTCGAACATCTGAGGATTTTGGTATCTGAGGGAGTCCTGGAACCAATTCCCCCAGGATACCGAGGGACAACTGTAGTATCAGAAGTCTGTAATTAGAAAAAAAGCCTCCAGGTGATTCTGGAATTAGCCAGGGCTGAGAAGCATTGACATGGTAAGTAAGAGCCTGGATGTTGTTTTTCTCTTCCCGCCATCTTGGCTCCTGTGGAGGCCTGCAGGGAACAGGACTTCTAAAAGGAAATATGTCTGGAAGGCTGTGGTCCAAGGCCATTTTTACTGGCTATGAGAGGGGTCTCCGGAACCAAAGGGAGCACACAGCTCTTCTTAAAGTCGAAGGTGGTTATGCCAGAGATTAAACAGAATTCTCTTTGAACTAGTGATGCACTTACGTATACAAAGCAAAGAGCAACATAGTGACTCCTGGCGGCAAACTAAACAAAACCAGAGTAATCTGGGGAAAGGTAACTCCGAGAACGTGCCAAATTCCAAAGCAATCTTCCTGCTAAGGCTATTGGACACAGAATCCGAGTCATGTTGTACCCCTCAAGGATTTAAACTAAGGGAAAGTCAATAAATAAACGTGGATTTGCACTCTTTAAAAAAAAAAGACAGAGAGCCTGGATGTTGCACCCAAATGTGGAATAAATCTTTATAGGTGTTGCAACACCTAACACCTTACATCTGAGGGGTGCTCATAAATCATAATCAAAAGTTGCCATTATTGAGCACCTGTTGTATGTATATAATGTACCGGGCGGTTTATACGCATTATTTCACTCAATTTTCACAATGATCAACTTCATGCATAAAGTTCAGAGAGATTAAGGCTCCCTGTGTCAGAATCCAGATTGTGACCCAGGCCAGATTCCACAGCTCATGCCTACTTCACACCACATTCTCCCCACCCCATGAGTGTTGAATGCATCATGAATCATCAGTCTTATAGCCCCTCCTAAAAACCAGACCCCCTAGTCTCAAATGAAGTCATTTAGTGCCTCACTCACACCTAAAATTAAGATCCACTTAAGCGTGTAAAGGCAGATGAAAACTGCACAATTCCAGGTAAATGTCTGCATGGGAGCTTTTAGGTGGCCAAAAATAGGTGACTTCCAAATTTAAAGTTAAGTATTCATCGTTCCGTGGGCATATACAGCACCTCAGAACAGGACTGGCTAGGAAGGGCTGGCATCCAGAGTTTGAGGACCCAGGAGGAAGTACACTGGTGATTTAAGGTACAAGATTTGAACTGCAAAGGGAAAGGCACTTGGAAGGATTCTAGTATGAAGCAAACTGCTTGCTGAGTTATCACTTTTTTCTCCTAGACAGCGTTTCATAAAGTATATATCTTTAATGCCCTTGAGTGGCATTTTACAATTAACCACAGGTTCCACATGTTGGTTTACACGTGAAAGTAGACATGTGATATTGACATCCCTAGAATGGACATATGCAATAAGGTAGGCAGATACTGAATTCAGAGAGGTCAATTAAGGGAGACTGGTAGATGCAGGCAAGGTCCAGAGTCCTGTAAGTTAAGGAAGCTGCTCCAGCCAGGAAATGACACTGGGCTTGGCTGGGTGTGATGGGTTCTGGGCTGACAGACCATGGATGGAGACAGAAAGCTGTCAAAGGTCATTGAAGGCCTGAAGGCAAATCGGGAGACCTCCCAGTCCCTGTAAATCATTAGTATCTCTAAGTACTATAATCAATCCACCCCCAAGAGAATTCTGTGAATTAGAGTCGGAGAATCTTCCAGTTTTCCAGATGGAGGCAGCTGGAGAAGATGTGAAACCGCAGCTTAACCTGTCTTTCCCCTGTGCACATGCATACACATATACACACATGTGTGCATACATACACACACTCACCAGACCCCTGCCGCTTCATATGCACATCACTCTGTCACTCAGCTCTTCTTTCAGGACATCCCCTTATCTTCTTGTTTTAAGCACCCTAAAGGACCCCAGTGTGAGTGAAGATTCAGGACGTCCTCAGCTGAGTCTGAGGCTGGATCAGGTGATGTTTGCCATGCCCGGTGGCTTCATGATGGTGTCCAGGAGCAATTGAGTCCAAGGGTAAAGAACACGTCTTGAGGAAGGCAGCTGTCTATTCAGAGATGCAGGGAGGCAGTGAATCCTTCCAACAAAGGGCATTCCTGCCTTTTAGTTCATTCTGGTGCTGTCATTGATCCAGAAACTGAGTCTTGATGCCTCATTTGTCCAGAAGTACATCTCCCCTTGATTGGGTAAATGGTGCCCAGTGATACAGTGGGATCTTCACAGAGAAGTTTTTTGCCTGTCATTGCTTTGCATGTTAAAAGGCTCTTAGTTCATCTTAATTAAAAGATAATGGGCACCGCACTTACTGTCTGTGAACACATCATACAGCTTCCTTGTGTTTAAGAGAGAGGGCTTCCACACTTGACAACAGGTTGGCAGGAATAGTGGGATGAAGAAAAAGAAGAGGTTAAGGGTGACGCCCAGATTTCTGAGTTAGGCAACATAGCTGAGGGTGTGTGGTGACCAAGGTAGTATTTTCATAAGTAGAAACTGATTTTTCAGGAGGACACGTAACCATCTACTGACCCGCTTCCTCTGCACGTGATTCCTCTGGATCTTTCAAGCTCCTGCCTTCCACTGCTTTCCTCTCATTCCAACTAGCCTCTTAGCAATCAGACCCTTTCTCCCACTCCTATTCTCCCTGCCTTGTGATAGCTCCCAATGTTAATCCTCTAATAAATACCTTACACTTAGGTGTATGACCCAGTGAGTTCTTCAAAACACTTTCACATACATCCTCTTGTTCTTCCCTGCAAAACAACCTTCCTCTTTAACCGAAAAGGCACCTTCATAGGTTTGCTTTTCCCCAAATAGTACAAAATGTGAAGACTGCTATTTTTTGGCGGTTTTACTTGTATGTTTCTTTCTGTTCATTTTCTCAGTCTATCTGACTTACTGTTGCTTTATTTTAGGCTCTGCATTACTCACTGGAAGAGGCTAGCACATACCATGCTCAAAGCAGCAAGCACTGAGAATGCTGGAAATTTGGGATCATGTTAGTCAGGAGTAAAGTTTACTGTACTAGATCCATGCACTTAGAGCTGTCTGACAATGGACCAAGCTGCTTTAGGAGGTGGTGAGACCCCCAACCAGTGGAGGTGTTCAAATAGCAACAGGATGGCTTTTCCATATATTGCAGAGGAAATGACGGATAGAGTAGGTTAGATTGAAACCCCCTATACTTCCTATTAACTTCTCTGATTTTCTCATTACATGAAAATATTGGCCAAAATTTTGCAGCAAGGATTGTGGTCTGAGGGTTGTGTTAAGAGAAGCCTTTTGAGTATGTAAATTTTGATAGGCCCTCCCCCTTAAAAGTAGCCTTGGGTGAAATTTTTTGGTGTTCATTCAGTTTTTCCTTCCTTTAACACTGCATAATGCCAGCCAGGTCTTAAAGCAAATGCCTGTTTGTAACTTCTGAAGGCAAAGCCCTTCTCATAGAGCCAGATCCCTCAGCCAGAAGCTAGTGAGTCAGTAAAGGCCAGGCAGGAGAATCGACGGCCCCCTCATGCTCCTGGACTGATTAGTTCTCTCTGCCTTTTCCTTTCTTTTTAAATCTCCTGGCACTTGAAAAAATCCAGTCCTCAGCCTGCTCCTGGGCCCTTTCCCCAAGCATCATTTAGTCTCAGAGAATGAAAACCATTTTCATGTTAGCCTAAGGAAGCATTTCCCAAAGTGTGATTAGGGGAACACTTGCCTTAATAGGAACTTCTGGTAAACAGGTCCTTCTGCTCAAATATTACTGCACATGTTCTTTCCCTTTGGAAAATTTCAGTGTGTATTTGCGCGTTAAAGCTTTGAGAAATCCTGCACAAAGAAACCTATTGCAGTTTGTTAACCCAGAATTTGCCAAATTTGTTTGATCCTAGAAATATTTTTCTAGAACAATTATTTTGGAAGTGGAGGAGTGGGAGGGGAATGGGACTATGGCATATCAGTTGGTACCTGGAATATCTGCAAAGTGTGGCCTGAACAAGGCAAAAAGATCAGTATATCATTCACAATTAAGGGAAATGGCTTTAGTTTCTGGATTATGTATTGTTTGGAGCAACTATTCCATGGTGCCCACCTCCACCTCATTGACATAAATGAGGGAGAGTTAGCAATATTATCAGTCTTTCAGCAACAGCAAGTCCTAGGTGCCTCCCTCTGGAATTAGTCTTTGATGAGTGTTATTGACTTAGCTCCAAGTTGCTGGCTATTCAGGGCAGGATAACCTTCATCTTCACATGTGTGCCCAGGTCGTGCCTGCAGCTTCCTCTAGGAGCAAGGGTATTTCATCTTCCAACTCCAGGGCATTTGTCCTGCAGCACCTGGAGTAGAACGATAACTCCTGCCATGGGATGCTCCTGGCAATTCACTTGGCAGAAGTGAGGGGCTCAGAGGCTCTCTTCACAAATCTCTAAATCAACTGGCCATGCAGTTGTGGGAGCAGTAGCAGCTGTTTCAGAGGCAAAGGCCATTCATCTTCTGCCTTTTATTCTCTTGTTTCTGGGGAACCTGGAAGAGTGAAGTTGTCTGCCACCAAGCATTGCCTACCTGAGTGTTCACTAAGGTTCACGCAGGACTATGGAATATGCTGGGTGCCTTCAGAAAGCTTCCACGTGGAGGGCAGGGTTCTTTTATGAAAAGGCCTTAGAAGCACAAAGGTTCTGTTTTAAAAGAGCTCCTGAAACCCAAAGTTCCTGCTCTACAGTTCTGTTGTCACTAGACAATACAAATCAGAAATTTATTGGGCCCAGTCCTGTTCTAAGAACTGAGGGAGATTCAGAAAAAAAGGATAAGATGGTGAATCTGAGCTTCTGGTTGAGTAGTGGTAGTAGTACCTAGGGGAGGTCTCAGGGAAGGGCTTTAGTTATCCCCCACTAATCTCTGCCCTCCTCTTGAACTACTAAATAAGCCTGAGATTTATTTTTTTAAAGGAAGATTTGCCTGGTTAACATGGTTCAACAACTCCATATGGATGTTTAAAAGAAATCACGCACGTAACATCTCCAAAGCTAAACTCTTTTCCGGCCTGCACATCCCCAGTCTTCATCTCAGTTGACAAGTGATGCTATCCTTCTTTAGAGAAGCCTTTGAGTCATTCCTGAGTGGAGTCAGGCTACTCTCTGTTAGTAAGTCCTGTTGAATCTACCTCCAAAAAAAGCCAAGATTTACCCCCCAAAAGAGCCAAAATCTAACCACTCTCATAACCTTCACTTCTTGCACCCTTGCCTAAGTCATCTTCCTCTCTCACCCAGTTTTACAACAACAGTCTCCTGACAGGTCTTCCTGTTTCTGCCTTTGCCCGCAATTATAGTCTATCCTCAACCCAGTGTAAGAACGACTCTTAAAATGAGGAGTCGGAAAATGGGATTTCTCTGTCCAAAACACTTTCAGGGTCATGCTTTCTTGTGCAAGGAATAAGCCACAGTACTTTGGTTACCTCCACAGTCCTCCATGGACTGCCCTTCCTACTACCTCTGATTTCATTCCCTACCACATTTCTTTTTCCTTCTGCTCCAGTCATATTATCCCAAAATCTCCAGCACAGTCTTTCTCAGTACCTTGTGCTTGTTGTCCCTTCTACCTGGAAGCCTATTTGCTCAAGATATCCACATGGCTCAACCCCTCACGTTTGTTAGGTCTTTGCTTAAGGCTCTCTCTCTCTCTACCTTATATAAAACCTTCACTATCTCCCTTTTGCTGCTTTATTTTTCTAGCATTTATCACCATCTGCCACAGTTTATAGTTTACATTTATGTCTCCCCCACTCCCCACTAGTATCTAAGCTCCTTGAGGGCATTTTTTTTTAATCTGTTTGATTCAGTTTCATGGAACAGGGCCCAGCATATATAAGGCACTCAACAAATATTCACTGAATAAAGGAACCAAAGAACAGTAACATTGTATATATCAATATGCCACATGAGGCAGGTGCTATATATATGATTTCATTTCATCTTCACAACCTCCCAAAAAGCTAGGTATTATAGTTACATGTCCCACCACAATTAACCACGAGAAAGTCCAGGCACAGAGAGGCTAAATGACTTGCATTCAATCAGCAATGATCACAATCACATTTCAGACTCACATCTGTCTACCTCCTAAATTCATGTTCCCAACCACTCTACTCAATTCCTTCCTCTTACAGTCCCCCAGACAACCAGAGCTACTGGGATCTCCAAGGAAAGAGAAATGGATTGTCACGGTGGGGGATCTGCAAAAGCTTCCCCCCGGAGATAGAATTTGATGTGGACCTTAGCAGATGAATAAATTCTAACAGGTAGAGAAAATACCAGGTGGCATTCTAAGCTGGGGAGAAGCATGAGAGGTATGGAAGCAGAGCAATTCAAATGTGTTCATCCAGGGGTGGCTTAGATAGGCAACCTCCTCATCCCAGTTTGCCTTGGACTTCCTGGTTCTAGCATCAACAATCCCGTGTTCTGGGAAAACTGGGACAGAGGGTCTCCTAAGTGACAAATGGATCAGGTTTAATAGGGTAAAGCATTCATTGTGCACATTGTTGAGGAAATATTGAAAGTAAAAGTGGCAAAGAGTTTTGAGGCTGAGGAAATGAGTTTGGAGCTCATTGTGCAGGTAAGGGGAAACCTTTGGAGGTTTCGAGAAGGGAATGATATGTGGAAACACAGGGTTACATGAAGCCGGAAAAGTCAATACTAACCTGATTGTGGTGAAGTACTGCCTTTTATGGGGTCGACCATGGTTGCCAGAGGAGCTGACAGTAGAGGGAGACCAATCAAGTCTGGACTCGGCTATCCCAGGTGTTTCAAGGAGCTGCTGCCTCTTGAAATTGGCATTTTCCCCTCTCCTTATAGTTCTCCAATCCTTTTTACATCTGTTACCAACATCATCTCCTGAGCGTGGATAGAGGTATGTCATCTTCCATGCCTTTGCATCCAGAAGTATTTATAAACCTTGGAGACCCAGGGAAAGCCCCTGTCTTGGGCTTCATTTCACATTTTCTCATCACCTCAAGCTTCTCTTTGCTCAGGCCTGGACCTATGAGCTACTTCCTTCTACAGTGGCAGGCCTTGTGGCCAAGGTCCTCTCATATCCTATTCAGTGGGTTGCTTTCATATGAGCGCTTTTCATCCTCTCTTTTGGGAGTTTTACACTTACTGATTCAATGGAAAGCCCTTAATTAAAGAAAAGGATGAGCACAGTGTCCATCCATATTTAAATAGATGAGAAATAAGCACTGGGCAGCCTGCAAGTGGCCTTCATGCTTGGAGAGATCTATGCTCATGTTTATAAACTGCACAGAAGGCAGTGGTGCCAGATAAAAAGACAATCAAAATAAATGCATCTGATAGTTTGTTTCTCCGTGTGGCATACATAATGTCAAATACAACAGTCCTACCATCAGAGGTCCTCAGCACTTCATGAACTACATAGCAAGGGAAGTAAGGCCTCAAATAAACTGTTGTGCAACTGTGATAAGCAAACTCAGGTCTTGGTAGAGCAGAAAACTGTCCTCTGTTCTCACAGATATCTTACACACACACACACAGACACACACACACACCCCTGTTTCTTTTTTAAATCTTCAGAACATACAAATAAATTTTGTCTTAAAAATTGGCTGGGCATGGTGGCTCATGCCTGTAATGCCAACATTTTGGGAGGCTGAGGTGGGCAGATCACTTGAGGTCAGGAGTTCGAGACCAGCCTGGCCAACATGGTGAAACCTCGTCTTTACTAAAAATATTTAAAAAAAAAAATTAGCTGGGCATGGTGGCTCACACTTCTAATCCCAGCTACTCCTCCAAAGGCTGAGGCAAGAGAATTGCTCGAACTCGGGAGGTGGAGGCTGCAGTGAGTGGAGATCACACCGCTGAACTCCAGCCTGGGTGACAGAGTGAGACTCTGTCTCAAAAAATAAATAAACAAAAAATAAATAAATATGAATAAATACAAGGTCCACAGAAATAACTGACCTCAGTGCCTAGGAAATCATTTGCCTCCAGTTTCCTTCAGAAGTAAAGTCAGGTTTCACTCAAAGGTCAAGAAGCCAGAGCTCAGTTCTTCCTAGCTGTACCTCAAGCTTAATTTGCTAGGTGAATAGGAGGTGATGTCCAGCAATTGCAATGAAAGCAAGCTCTTCAAATGGAGCAACTGTAGTCTGCACAATGAGATGTCTTGGAATCAGCCAGACTCGCCCTCCATCCCACCATGCTTTCTGAGGTGATGAGGATGGAAACAGAAAAAGAGGCTCTGGCATTATAGAACCCTGATGGGCGGTGGCAAAGGGTGGAACCCAGAACTGGCTGAGCTTCTTCTTCTTTCCTCCATTTTCCCCACTCATTTCAATGTTGCTGATTTGCATTCAGAAGGAGCTGAATTCAGTCTGGATACATCAGTTACTAGCTGCGTGAACTGAGTAACTTACTTAACTTCTAAACTTAAGTTTATTCATGTATAAAACAGGGAAAGTTTCTTGGTAATCTGAAAATTGCTACAGTGTTGTAAGAACTTAGCATAGTACCTAGTATATAGTAAGAGGTAGGAAGTAGTAACTGGAGTTACTATGCCTTCGGCTAGTCTATTTTCTTGCTTCCTCTATTCTTACTTCTCCTGCTCACCCATCTCACACCCTAACTTCAACTCCCAACCCAGGGACAGTAAACTGATACTTGCTTTCACCTGCCATTGATTGATTTGTGAGATGGGCTGCCTCACAAAACCACTCTTAGGAATTTAACGGGATTTGAAATTTAAAACCATCTCTTATTCATGTGTGGCTCAGACATTGCTTTGAACCTGGTTAGTTCAAGATTTTTTTTTTAAGATGGATATATGTTTAAAAAGCTCACAAGTCCTCTTGGGCACCAAATGGCTCTTTGGAAAGAATCCTGTGACAAGTTTATTGTAAATGAACCAGAAACATAGAGATTAAATTCCTCCTGAAATACTTCTGGGTGTGGAAATTAAGAAAAAAGCAATTGCAAGATGTCTCCAGTTTTGCAGACCTGCATGCAGCTGGCTTCCCTTAAGGCTGCCTGCTGAGCTGTGGGAAGAGCTCGGCTGGCTTGGCCAGGCCTCCGGGGTACCCCTGCAGCCGTGGGGTTACTTATTCCTGAGATGGGGCAGCGGAGGCAATTTGATGGAGGCAACTTTCATTCTAACTGCTCTTCCGGCAAAGCTCCTCTCTGGGGATCTCAGACTGGCACCTTTCACCATTGTTAAATTCACTTAAGATAAAAGCGACACCAGGCAAATGACAAGGGAAGAGCCATTAAGGGATGAGCGTAAGCAGTGACTGACAGGCAGGCTCTGCGAAGCGCTCAGCTGCCAGCCCCAGCCTTGGCAGGAATCATCACCCCGAGTGCCTCCCATAGCCAGCGCTTGACAAATGGGCAAGATTCAGTCCAAGCCTATGGGCTCAGCCCTTTGTTTCCCAGAGCCTCAGCCTCCATGCCTATTCACCCACACACTACCAGCCCCTCCACCCAGGAACAGCATCAGCAACCACGCAGAGAGGAGCCCATTGCTGCTGAAGGTGAGAGGCTGTCCTCTGCCTGCTTTCAGGTGAGTGCCTGCGGGTGGTGAGCCATGGAGCATGGACGACTACGAATTCATTCACTGCATAGTTAGGAGAGACGATATGAAGATTGAACTCAGCAAACCATAGAAAATACACACCCTGCCAAGTCTGTCTTTTATACTGTTGTTTTTCAGTCCAAGTGTAAAATTATGTTGGCCATCTTGGTCTTTTCTTGGGATTGTGCACAAGGACACCCAATGGGACTCCTTGCTGGGATATACTCACCATGCAAGCGGGCTCATACAGGTGTCCTGCAACACTGGCTCTTAGTAAATTACTTGCTAAATAATGTTTTTTTTATTATTAAGGTTACTTCTTTTATTGGAAAAAAATTAGAAAAATACAAAAATAAAAACCTACAAAGAACAATGGCAATCACATAGAAGGTCCATAATTGTTAATATATTATTGCATTTCTTAAGTGCAAAGTCTCCATAGCCAGATTGCATGGGGTCATATTCTTGCTCTGCCACCTATCAGCTGTGTAAGCTTGGGTGAGTTACTTAACTTCTCTGTGCTTTCATTTCCGCATCTTTAAAATGAAGATAAGTATAGAACCCACCTCATGAAGTTATTGTAAGCATTAAATGAGTTAAAACCATAAAGCTCAGAACACTACAAAGACTCATTAAATGTTAGCCGTTATCATGCACCAATTTTCACTAACCTGTCATTGTAGTTGTGATTCCATTATATCAGTGCTTCTCTGCCTAGGGAGATTTTGACCCCAGGGAACATTTGACAATATCTGGAGACATTTTTCGGTTGTCACAACTAAATGAGTTGGGACTACTGTCATCTAGTGGGTAGAAGCCAGGAATGCTACTAATCTTCCTACAATGCACGGGATAGCCCTCAATGATAAAGAATTGGCCACTCAAAAATGTCAACAAGTGCCAAGGTTGAAAAACCTACATTAGATTACTATACACATTGTGACAGATCCCAGTCCCCACTTGCTCCCTGTGGATTTCAGCTGTCCCTCGGGGCATGTCTTGCAGGATCCTGGAGTCTCACATATGCTTGGGAACACAACTCTTTCCTGCTCCAGCCTGCTTGCCATCCATGCTGCTGCTATTCTCCATGAGATGGCTCTTTTGGTGGGCACAGGTACCCTGTGCTGGTGCCAGCCAGAAATGAGTGGGAGGGTGGAGAGAGGCTGACCAGTGACCCTCTCTTAAATCTAAGGCCCTTCTTGTTCCTTAGATTCTGAAGTGGCATAGTTAGAGGCTAGCAGACTTTTACCAACATAGTTCTTCAGCTTTTCTCCCTAACTTCTCTCTCACTTGAGACTCAAAACCTGACTCTGGCTGGGTTTTGAAACAGAGTCCATGCCATTGAAATCATTCCCACCGCCTTTTCCCTCCATCACTTTGGCTATCTTCATCCCCAATATGTCTTTCTCTTTCTTGAGCCAAAAAACATAAAGATCTCATGAATATCAGTCTTAACAACTCATACAAATAGATTCTTAGGGGCAGCAAGCCAAAAATATCCATATCTCAGCAATATTCTTTCTTGTACACACAAACTTAAAGATACATAACTTTTTAAAACAAAAGCGTGATTTTACTACACACTCTGACACCTTACTCTTTCACTAAAGAAAATGGCATTAACACATTCGGATGTCACTAAATTGTCTTCTATATCACCATTTTATTGACTGTATAGAATTCCATTTTGTCACTATATAATATCTTTGGGTCCATTCCCCTTTTATTAGACAGGGAGGTTATTCCTTAATGTTGAAAATTATAAGAAATGCCACATTGAATATCACTGTAAAGCAGCTTTTCATACTTGTTTAGTATTTTTCTAGGATAAATTTCTAGAATATAATTTAAGGTTTTTTGATACATACTATAGAAAAAAAATTGTGACAGTTAGTTTTATGTATCAACTTGACTGGATCACAGGATGCCCAGATAGCTATTTAAACATGACTTCTGGGTATGTGTGTGAGGATGCTTCCAGAAGAGATTAGAATTTGAATTGGTGGACTGAGTAAAACAGTTGTCTCTCCCCCGTGTGGAAAAGCATCATTCAATCTGTTGAGAGTCTGAACAGAACAAAGGGATGAAGGAAGGATGAACTTGCTGTCTGCCTGATTGCTTGAGCTGGGACATCCATCTTCTCCTGCCTTTAGGACTCCTGGTTCTCAGGCTGCTAGACCTGAACTGGAATCTACAGCCACTGGCTCTCTGGCTTTCAGGTCTTCAAACTACATCACCAGCTTTCCTGGGCCTGAACCTTGCCAATGACAGATTGTGGGACTTCTCAGCCTCCATAAACATGTGAGCCCGTATTTTATCACCAATATTTTTATCTATATCTATATATTTATATATCTATCTGTATCTATATCTCCTATTGGGTTTCTTTTTCTGGAGAACTCTGACTAATACAAAAGGATTTACGAACTTTGTTTTAGCCAACAGCAACTGCCCATTGGAAGCACATTGGAATGGCAATCCAACATCCAAAATGGCTGGGAAAGTGAAGTACTTCAGTTATTGGAATATACTAGTTAGCTGACAATTTCCATCTGCCAATATCACAAGTGAGAGGACTATTTCTAAACACTTAACACTAAATTATACAGAACAAAATTCCGTCTTCTTTGGACTATTCAAATGTCATTTTGAAATGGCTGCTGCATGGCCAGCAGACTGAGGTGAGAGAAATTTGTAGCTGTAGAGAATCCTCATTAATGCAGTGAGGCCTTCCCTTTCTAGGCAATTCCTGGATCTAAGAGAGATTAACTGAGACTGACACCTTTAAAGGTCTGAAAAGATATTTACTGTCTACTCTCTCGGAGCACTGCTCTCTATGAGGCTTCATCCATATAACAAAGCTACCTTTGCTAGATCGGCGTCTTCCTTTCTCCCTCTCATAATCTGTCTTGCCACTAAACCTGATTTACCAACATAACCAGTTTTGGGCTACACTCTGAGCTCACATTTTTTTCTATAACCTCAGGATGGAATATAAGATTCTGTGCCTTATTGTTGGCTTGGGTCTTTATTCTGAAGGTTCCTTTGTGTGCATGTTAAATAAGTTTGTATGCCTTTTCTCCTATTAAAGCAAAAACAAAAACAAAAGTCATTTGCAGTGATTCAGGGTAATCATTATAACCTAATTTCTCAATGCAGAGTTTCAGGTGATGTTTTGAAAAGTTCTGCCTGGGCAACATGGCGAGACCCCACATCTACAAAAAATTTAAAACTCAGCTGGGCATGGTGGCATGCACCTGTAGTCCCAGCTACTTGAGAGGCTGAGGTGGAAGGATTGCTTGAACCCAGGAGTTCAAGACTGTAGTGAACTGTGATAATGCCACTGCACTCCAGCCTAGATGACAGAGTGAGACCCTATCTCAGAAAAAAAAAAAAGAAAGGAAAAGAAGAGCTCTAAGTGGCAAAGAATTATGGAAATGTAGAGGTTTATTATTTCAGTTTTCAAATAGGGAGAAACTGTATTGACCAGATTCATCAAGAAATGACATATCTTAAAAGCTTCTTTTTTGGGTAAGTTTCTAATAGCAACTTGTTTACATGTCATTTACCTCTTCCTCATAAAAGCAAAATAAAGAATATGTAAAAATTCCTGTTTCAGCTTTTGATGGTGTTCCAGATGAATGTGTTTAACTATAATTTTAATATCTCAAAACACTGTCAGTCATAAATTTTTTTCAGTATGTGTCAATAATAAAAATAAGGATGATAATAACAGGGAAGCATCACAATGAAGGAAAAAAGTACTTTCTTCTACCCTGTGGATGCATGAAGTGAGGAATCTATAGGCAGACCCAGCACTGCTCATAACTAGCCCTATAGCCATGGCCTTGGGCAAGTCAATTATTCTTTTTGGAACATGATTTTTTCATAGATAATGAAAAGGTAGGAGGGTGGTGGGAAAAGGGAAAGGAGCAGAAAAGATAACTATTGGGTACTGAGCTTAATACCTGGGTGATGAAATAATATGTACAACAAACCCCCATGACACGTGTTTACCTATGTAACAAATTTTCACATGTACCCCTAAACGTAAAATAAAAGTTTAAGAAAAGACAAGAGAAGATGGTGATTTCTGAGATCCTTTAAGCTGTAAAATGTCTATGATTTTATGCCTTCACTCACATCTTTAGGGGGTTTTGAAATTCTGTTCTCTCATCTTCTTGAATAAATTTCAAGCTAACGAAAATGATTTTTCTTAAGTAACAAAATATTGAGTGAGATTTTTTCCCAATGTCCCAGAATGTTGGTTAAAGCCCCAAGCTGAGAACAATGGGTAAGAAGTATATCTGTCAGAGGCATTTGAACCAAAGTGACTCCGTCTTAAATAGGGTAAAATGAGACTGAGATCTACTGGGCTGCTTTCCCAGGAAGTTAGGCATTCTGAGTCACAGGATGAGATAAGAGATCAGCACAAGATACAGGTGATAAGACCTGGGTGATAAAACAGGTTGTGATAAAGAAGCTAGCCAAAACCCACCAAAACCAAGATGGGGACAAAAGTGACCTCTGTTCATCCTCACTGCTCATTATATGCTAATTATAATGCATTAGCATGCTAAAAGACACTCCCAACAGTGCCACGACAGTTTACAAATGCCATGGCAAGGTCTGTAAGTTACCCTATATGGTCAAAAAGAGGAGGAACCCTCAGTTCTGGGAATTGCCCACCCCTTTCCCAGAAAACTCATGAATAATCCACCCCTTGTTTATCATATAATCAAGAAATAACCATAAAAATAGCCAACCATCAGCCCTCTGGGCTGGCTCTGCCTATGGAGTAGCCATTATTTTATGGCTTTACTTTCTTAATAAACTTGCTCTCACTTTATGGATTCACCTCTAATTCTTTCTTGCACGAAATCCAAGAACCCTCTCTTGGGGTCTGGATCTGGACTCCTTTCCGGTAACATCTCCTCATTGTGAAGAGAGAAATTAAAAGATTCTGCTGAACATACTCAAAGAAAGCAGAACCTGTTCAGCAACCATCAACCCACATCAATGCCCAGCAGTGAATATAAAACAAGTCCAGAGATTGAATGCGTGACTGAAGAGTTACACTGAAAGGTTTTAGACTAGTAGTGGTATCTCTTCTTCATTTACCTTTTTAGGGTTGTCCTTCCCCAAATCAAGTGATGAGGATTCATGAGAAATACACATACAAGTTGAGGGTGCCTGTGAAAAGTGAGAGAAAGGCCTCTCACTTCCCCACTGGATGCTTACAGGGTGTGGAGTTGAAGGAGGGAGAAGGGCTGAAAGGGTCTTGGAAGGATTCTTAGAGATTGTATGTGAAACTCATGACTGTTGCCTCTTCTCTCCTAGAACTGGGCCTGAAGACCAGCTGTGGCCATGCACAATGGTAGAGTGAGGAGAGATGGTGGCAGTAGACAGCCATCTCTGCTACCAGGTTTTGGTCTGGCAGGGATGATTGAGTTTCCTGTGGCCAAGTGGGTCCTGTGGGAAGTTTCTGGGCTTGAGTCACCATACAAGAAGGAAGCCTGTTGGGGCAAAATACTTCAGGAGTAACAGCTGTGGGGTGAACAACACAGACAGCCAGGGGTAGCCAAGAGAGGATTACTTGGCACCAGTGACATGCAAATCTTCCCTTCTTCATCTTTAAACCCCTTCCCCCGACTTGGACCCCAGGATATCCAGAAGACAAAGTGGAGAGGTGGCCAAGAATGAGAAGCCACATTTGCCCCCTCCCTCACTGTAGATGCTTGAGCCACAAGAGAGGCATGGGGTAAAGAGGGAAAAGAAGTTGCAGATTGCATCTGAGATCTAAGTTTTTGTTGCCGTGGTGGTGGTGGTGGTTGTTCTTGGAGACAGGCTTTTGCTCTGTTACCCAGGCTGGAGTGCAGAGGCTCGATCATAGGTCGCTGCAACCTTGAAGTCCTGGGCTCAAGTGATCCTCTTGCCTCAGCCACCCAAGTGGCTGGAACTACAGGAATGGACCACCACATCTAGCTAATTCTTTTTTTTCTTTTTTGTAGAGACAAGGTCTCGCTTTGTTGCCCAGGCTGGTCTCAAACTCCTGGCCTCAAGCAACCTGGTCTCGGTCTCCCAAAGTGCTGAGATTACAGGCGTGTGTCGCCTCTCCCAGCCTTGAGATCAAAGTCACGTTAGACTAGATTTGACCTTTTAATACCTGAAATGGTGTAACAATTAAATACATGACCGTATTTATGACCACAAGTGAACAAACACTTGAGGAACTGCCTGAGAGTCCATGAAGATATGGGAAAACGGAATATAGCTGGGCAAGTTTCCTAAGTGGCAGACTCCACCCACGTCGACATGAAAATAACTTCAACATGTCTAGAATTCATTATGTGTTTAAAATAGTTGGGTTTTTTTCCATGTGATTTTATAGCTGAAAAAAACGGGGGCATGAACTATGATCTTTTAACCAAATATCTGCTTTGCCTATCACATATCCTAATAGCGCGAGATTATTTTTCTTTCCTAACACATTTTTTTGTGCATGTGTTTTCTTTTCTATGGTCTTCTTCATTTTCACAACCATAATATTATTCTAAAATACTAACTCCATAGCAACAATAAAAATCAGTAAATGTCCTTTCTTTAATAGATATATAGAGGAAGGTTTATGACAAAGTAGTAAGAAAAATCTGTCCTTAAAAAAGTAATGTTATTTTAACCATAGAATTGTTACTTTCAGTGAATTCCTTCTTCAGATATACAAGGAATTTACTGAACAAAAAATGAATATTCTTTACTTATTTATATTTGTGTAAGATGTGTAAAAAAAAATCTATACTTTTCAGAGAAATTATTTCATAAAATTGGGTTTGTGGAAAGCTGTGGCTTTTGAAGATAGACTTGGGTTAAATTCCTGGCTCTTCTGCTTATTATCTATCTCTGTGACCTCAGGCAAATCACTTAGTCTCCCTGAACTTCAGTTTCCTCATCTGTAAAATGGAACTATTAGTATTTATTTCAACAAATTGTGAGTCTGTGAGGATTAAATGAAATCACATATGTCACAGATTGACTCAAAGTACAGTCAATAAATTTAAGCTTCCTGTCTTCCTCCCTTTGCTATTTGGTCCTAGACACAAATTTGCCTAATCTTTATTTATTATCATTATATATATATGTGTTTGTGTGTGTATGTGTGTGTGTATAGTTTATTATACCTATTTTACTTAACTTGGTGTTTTTTGTTTTTGCTTTTGTTTGTTTTTTACAGACAGGGTCTCACTGCTGTCCAGGCTGGAGTGCAGTGGCACCATGATAGCTCACTACAACCTCAAAGTGATCCTCCCACCTCAGCCTCCCAAGTAGCTGGGACTATAGGTAGAGGCTACCATGCCTGGCTAATTTTTAAATTTTTATAGAGACAGAGTCTCATTATGTTGCCCAGGCTGCCCTTCAACTCCTGGTCTTGAGTGGTCCTCCTGCTTTGGCCTCCCAAAGTGCTGGGATTATAGGCGTGAGCCATCATGCCCAGCCTTAACTGGTTTTTAATAATTATAAACATAATCTATACTTGTTACAAAGTCAGGAAGTATAATAAAATGTTTAATTTTCTCACCTTCTCTGACTCTAACCTCCTAAAATATTAACAGTTTTGGTAGGGGGACACTCTTTCATACTATTTTTTTTGCTCCTACAAGCATGTTTTACACATTACTCTGAAGACTTCTTTTTCTTCCACTGAGGCAACTTTCCATGTCAGAATGGGTGTAGTCAATGACTCAAGGGGAGTTTAACAAAGTATTGTCAATTTAGATTCCAAGATAGGGCTCTGTTCCTCTAATTAATTACTTCCCTCTGGGTTTTAACCTTCATGAGAGGCATATGAGCTACTTGTTGGATTGGAAACTGTTCCTGATGTCACCTTACAAGCTGTTTCTGTTTAGAACAAATCCTGTCTCTGGATCATTAGAAAGTCACATGTCACATGTCACAAACTGTCAGCCTTTCTCTCCCATCACTCCTTATTACTTAAAGGTGTTGGCTGAGATCCCAACATCTTTATCTCTCAGGGGTTGGAAGCCTGGGCAGCTTCTGTTTTTCTCTCTCTCTCCTTTCTTTCTCATATCTATCCACCATCGTCATTGTCTTTAAGGAAGGTGTTGCTCGTGAATCTCAGAATTACCTGCCTTAGGAAAACCATTTAGAGACCTTAATTCCAGTACTGATGACATCAATACCACCGGAATCAATGGAAAAATAAAAACAAAAACAGCTCTATCTGTATCTGACTCTGAGCAGAGTGTGGCCTTAGCCATGGAAGTTGAGGTGTTGAGTTCAAAGGATCATCAAAGAGCATTGTCCTAGGCCCGGTGCAGTGGCTTATGCCTGTAATCCTAGAACTTTGGAAGGCCTAGGTGGGCAGATCACTTGAGGCCAGGAGTTCCAGACCAGTCTGGCCAACATGGTAAGACCCCATCTCTACTAAAAATAGCAATTCTATTGCTGGATAATCAGTTTCAAAGGTGTATTAGTCCTTTCTCACACCGCTAATAAAGACATCCCCGAGACTGAGTAATTTATAAAGAAACAGAAGTTTAATGGACTTACAGTTCCACATGGCTGAGGAGACCTCACAATCATAGTAGAAAGTGAAGGAGTAGCAAAGGCACATCTTATGTGGTGGTAGGTAAGAGAGCTTGTGCAGGGGAACTCCCATTTATAAAACCATCAGCTCTCATGAAACTGATTCACTATCCCAAGAACAGCATGGGAAAAACCTGTCCCCCATGATGCAATTACCTCCCACTGAGTCCCTCCCACAACATGTGGGGATTATGGGAGCTACAATTCAAGATGAGATTTGGGTGGGGACATAGCCAAACCATACCAAAAGGCAATAAAAAAAAAAGTATTTTCTACGATAAAACTGTGATGACATTATTTGTCTGATTATTTTCAAGGAATGGCAGCATCTTTGAGGATCTTGGAGTCAGAGAAATTCAGACACCAAAAAGTCGAAGAGACTTAAGAGATCCTTTCTACCTTTTTGTCTGACTCTTAATTCTCCTATTTCATCTCCTTGAAATGTGTCATTGATCATCTGTTTGGAACCCACTAACAATGGAGAGCTTAATTCAACATGACAGAGGGGAGGAACCAGACACATAAATAGGCCATTTTAATAAAATGTGATTAATGCTATAAGAGAACTGTGGAGTGGCAACTATGGGAGTGGTCATGAGGAGTGGCCTGGCCTGGAAGTCTACGGAATGAAATAAGGCTTCCAAGGGAAAATGACATTGTGCTGGCTCTTGAAAGGAAGAAGGGAGTTTGGCAGATAAGGGGAATAGTGAGGGAGTGAGTGGGGATCATTCAGAAGTGGGCAAAAATATCAAATATTTAGCAGTTATGTGAATCATGTGACAGGTGTCTCAGTGTAGCTGGAGCATGGGCCATGGATGCAGGGATATTGACAGATAAAGCACAGCCCAAACTGGAAACTACCCCATGCTGAGGAGTTTGGATTTTATCCTGAAGTTGAAAGGGAGTCATTTAAGGGTTTTAAGGGATTGACAGGATCAAATCTGCATTTAAAATGAACTGGAATAAGAATGGAATCTGGGAGACCCCGAGGAAGCTAGTGCAAGGCCTGACAAAGAGGGATCAAGGAAGAAGGAGAGACAGCAGTAAAAGTTAAAGATTTTATGAGAATGTGGGTGTGGTATGGATAGAGAGTGGGAGAAGTAGAGGGTGATGCCCAGGTTTCTAGCTTGGGTACTTTGGTACCTGAAAAATTATGCGGGGGGAAGCAGAGCAAGTTCTATGCCATCACTGGCAAACTCCAGGTGTAAAGTGAGTCTTCTTGTATTGATCTGAAAATGACTACAACCCTTTAACCTTCTCAGGGATGGTCTTAGTCTCTCCTCCATAATTATAAATAGCAATGAACATTATTTTGTGAATGTACTAAGTTGCAAATAAATATTCTACTGGCAGACTGAGCCAGATTTTATCATGTTTCTCTCTCTCTCTCTTTCACTCTCTCTCTCTCTCCACATATAATTATATATATAACGTATATTATGTGTATATACAATTATATAAAAATATATATATAATTCTTGTTTTTCTAGGAGCTCAAAGGCTATATATATATATATATATATATATATATAGAGAGAGAGAGAGAGAGAGAGAGAGAGCTCTTAGAAAAACAAGAGTTACAAAACTCCAAAGGTTCACTCCCATTATTATATCTAATGTCTGAAAACAAGCTTGCCTTATGAAATTTTAAGGCCAGGTGTGATGGCTCATGCCTGTAATCCCAGCACTTTAGGAGGCCGAGGCAGGCGGATAGCTTGAGTCCAGGAGTTCAAGACCAGCCTGGGCAACGTGGCAAGATGCCGTCTCAACAAAAAATACAAAAATTAGCCAGGAGTGGTGGTGTGTGCCTGTTGTCTCAGCTACTTGGGCGGCTGAGGTGGAAGAATCAATTGAGCCCTGGAGGTTGAGGTTGCAGTGAGCCGTGACTGTGCTACTGCACTTCAGCCTGGGTGACAGAGCGAGACAGAGATTTTTTAAAAAATAGGTAAATAAACGTTCAGCAAATGCAAACACTGGGAAGCAATGGATAAATTGTGAAAAAAGTAATGGTGCCCCATCCTTCCTCTCCTCCCACTGGCCTCTTCATTGCTTGTGTTGCCTGTCTTACCATTTATTCCACCGTAATGACTAGGAGGCTAACCACAGCTCTGTTCCTGATACAATACTCCTCGTTTTGCAAAAGCCATTGGGAATAAGGAATCAAATATAGAATTTGCTGAAGGGCACAAATATCAGCAGTATTCAACTATCCAAATCCAACCTAATGACATTCAGCTAAATCTGGGAAGTCAAAGATGCTATTCACCCTCTGTGACAACTGTTACTGCTTTTTCCTTTTCCCATCCAAACTTTTTTCAAAGAAAGGATATCTTTTGACTAGGCCAGTTACTAAACTTCACTGAAGAAGAGACGTGAAGAATGAAGTGATTTCATGTAAAAGCACAGTTTGTGGAGGTTATGCCAATTCCTGCTCGGGCCAACATGTTTCTTGCTTCAGAAGTCAGCGAAACTCAAACTGCACAGCCTTTTCTTCCTTCCCGGCATATCTTTACTCATATGGCAAAGTTGCAACCATGTCTTATTTTAATAGGAGTAAATGTAGATATATCTCATTCTTATATTGAGCCAGTATTGCTTTTTAAATATACGGGGAAACATTGTTTTTAATATAGTCCTATTAAGTTAAAAAATGCAGTAAAACATCACCTGAAGATGTAGATGTAAAGCTGGTTGAGTAACGGTATTTTCATTTCACTCCCCACCCTCGAAATTCACTAAACCATTGGAATTAATTTTTAGGAAGTGAAAGAATAACATGAAGAGAAATCCCTCTCTGAAGAAAAAAGAAAACTTCACAAACCCATCCTACAACCTATAAAACAGCCACTTAATAACGTTAAGTTTGGGCTAAGATGATAGGCCACAGGAAAGCCGAAGGCAGAAAGAAGGCAGAAAATGGACAGATTGCAACATGGAATGTCTGTGAATTAAAGCAGAGAATTATCTCTCATTTGCTTTTAGATGGCCAAGTTTTTTATGGATTTATAAACATTGCTATGCAAAAGATCTTAACCCTTTGTCTTTCACACAGGTTGAATATTTTCTTCTGAATTTTATATCTTAATTAAAATTTTGCATATAACTTATTTTGTTTTGATATTGCTTTTGTTTTGTTTGGGGGTAGGGTGCTTTTTAGGTAGCCAAATATATTATTTTCCTATCTTTGGTGCTGTGATTAGAAAAAATGCTATAAAATGCTTTACAGCCTTTTTAAACTTAATTAGACTGTATTAAAAACAGTGTTTCCCGATATATTTAAAAAGTGATACTGGCTCAATATAATCATGAGAATATCTACATTTACTCCTATTAAAGTAAGACACAGTTGCAATTTTGCCAAAAGATGAATTAGAGAGTATTTATCCTGATATTTTACCAAAATGTTAGTTCATCTGAAATTGATCTTGAAATTTACCTTTTCCAACAAATTAATTAACCCAGCATTGAATAAACCAGACTTTCTGCTGTCATCTTTGTCACATATTAACTTCTTATATATACACTAGAGTCCTGTTTTTAACTTTTTTTAACTTTTTTAAGTGATGTTGCAAGATTTTTTTTTAACTTTTATTTTGGGTTTGGGGATACATGCACAAGTTTGTTATGTGGGTAAACTCATGGCATGAGGGTTAGTTTTACAAATTATTCTGTCATTCAGGTACTAAACATAGTACCCAATAATTATTTTTTTCTGCTCCTCTCCCTTCTCCCACCCTCAAGGAGGTCCCAGTGCCTGTTGTTCCCTTCTTTGTGTTCATGTGTTCTCATCATTTAGCTCACACTTGTAAATGAGAACACGCAGTATTTGGTTTTCAGTTTCTGTGTTAGTTTGCTAAGGATAATGACCTCCAGCTCCATTCATGTTCCTGCAAAAGACATGATCTCATCTTATTCTTTTATGACTGCATAGTATTCCACGGTGTATATCTACCATGCTTTCTTTCTTCAATCTGTCATTGATGAGCATTTAGATTTATTCCATGTCTTCACTATTGTGAATAGTGCTGCAATGAACAT
Organism: Homo sapiens; assembly: GCF_000001405.40. Classification (NCBI taxonomy): domain Eukaryota; kingdom Metazoa; phylum Chordata; class Mammalia; order Primates; family Hominidae; genus Homo; species Homo sapiens. Next base: position 164,899,621 of record NC_000001.11, on the reverse strand, counting down.
ATGCATGCATATGTCTTTATAATAGAATGATTTATATTCCTCTGGGTATATACCCAGTAATGGGATTGCTGGATCAAATGGTAGTTCTGTTTTTAACTCTTTGAGGAATCACCATACTTCTTTCCACAATGGTTGAACTAATTTACACTCCCATCACTCCCACTAGCACAGTGTAAAAGTGCTCCCTTTTCTCTGAAACCTCAGTAGTATCTGTTACTTTTTGACTTTTTAAAAAGAGCCATTCTCACTGGTGTGAGATGGTACTAATTGTGGCTTTGGTTTGCATTTCTCTAATGATCAGTGATGTTAAGCTTTTTTTTGAGATGGAGTTTCGCTCTTGTTGCCCAGGCTGGAGTGCAATGGTGCAGTCTTGGCTCACCACAACCTCCATCTCCTGGGTTCAAGTGATTCTCCTGCCTCAGCCTCCCGAGTAGCTGGGATTACAGAAATATGCCACCACGCCTGGCTAATTTTGTATTTTTAGTAGAGATGGGGTTTCTCTATGTTGGTCAGGTTGGTCGTGAACTCCCAACCTCCAGTGATATGCCTGCCTCGGCCTCCCAGTGTGCTGGGATTACAGGTGTGAGCCACCATGCCCGTTTGAGCTTTTTTATATATACTTATTGGCTGCACATATGTCTTGTTTAGAAAAGTGTCTATTCATGTCCTTTGCCCACTTTTTAATGTGGTTGTTTGTTTTTTTCTTGTAAATTTGTTTAAGTTCCTTATAGATGCTGGATATTAGACCTTTGTCAGATGCATAGTTTGCAAATATTTTCTCCCTTTCTGTAGGCTGTCTGTTTACTCTGTTGATAGTTTCTTTTGCTGTGTAGAAGCTTTTAAAGTTTAATTAGATCTCATTTGTCAACTTTTGCTTTTGTTGCAATTGCTCTTGGAGTCTTTGTCATGAAATCTTTGCCTGTTCCTATGTCCACAATGGTATTTGTCTACATTGTCTTCCAGACTTTTTATAGTTTTGACTTTTACAGTTAAGTCCTTAATTCATCTTTAGTTTATTTTTGTATACAGTGTAAGAAAGATGCCCAGTTTCACTTTTCTGCATATGGCTAGGCAGTTCTCTCAGCACCATTTATTGAATAGGGAGTCCTTTCTCCATTGCTTGTTTTTGTTAGCTTTGTCAAAGAACAGATGGTTGTAGTTGTGTGGCCTTATTTCTGGGCTCTCTATTCTGTTCCATTTGTCTATGTGTTGGTTTTTGTACCAGTATCATGCTGTTTTGGTTACTGTAGCTTTGTAGTATAGTTTTAAGTTGGGTAACGTGATGCCTTCAGCTTTGTTTGTTCTTTTTGCTTAGGATTGCCTTGGGTATTCAGGCTCTTTTTTGTTTCCATATACGTTTTAAAATAGTTTGTTCTAATTCTGCAAAGAATGTCATTGGTAGTTTGATAGGAATAGCATTGAATCTATAAATTGCTTTTGGTAGTATGGCCATTTTAATGATATTGATTCTTCCTATCCATGAGCATGGGATGTTTTCCATTTGTTCGTGTGATCTCTGATTTCTTTGAGCAGTGTCTTGTAATTCTCATTGCAGAAATCTTTCACCTCCCTGGTTAGCTGTATGCCTAGGTATTTAAGTGGGATTGTATTTCTTATTCAGCTCTTGGCTTGATTGTTATTGGTGTATGAGAATGCTAGTGATTTTTGTACATTGATTTTGTATCCTGAAACTTTGCTGAAGTTGTTGATTAGCTGAAGGAGCTTTTGGGGTTTTTGATTAGCTGAAGGAGCTTTTGGGGTTTTTGATTAGATGAAGGAGCTTTTGGGGCTTTCTAGATTTAGAAAAGACTATGAGGTTTTCTAGATCTAGAACTACGTCATCTGCAAACAGGAATAATCTGACTTCCTCTCTTCCTATTTGGATGCCCTTTATTTCTTTTTCTTGCTGATTTCCCTGGCCAGAACTTCCAATACTATGTTGAATAGCAGTGGTAAGAGACGGCAACCTTGCAAGATGGTATTGTTAATAAATAATTGTTAAATTTAGTAGATGTTGAAATTGGCATTGTGATTATGTTAAAAAATAAAGTGCATACTGAAGTGTTTAGGAGTATCTGCAATGTATTTTAGCAAAATTAAAAGAGGGTAAAAAAAGAAGCAAGTATGGAGAAAAGTTGATAGTTGCTGAAGCTTGATGATGGGTAATGTTGTACTCTGTACTCGTGAGCATGTTTGGGAATGTTCATAATGAAAACTTCAAAAAAGGCTTAAGTTGACATCACATTGCAAACATCTTGGATTCACTGCTCTCTAACCTTGGAATTCTGTTGTCTTATCTCAGTCTACATTATAACCTCTCATCTGAATTTGTGCTTTTTCCCAGCTTTGGTATCCAAGGATCCTCTAGTTTTATTTTTCTGTCTTTTGCCTCTTGGCACACTGCTAGTGCTGCCCCCTTTCATTGACTTGGAGCAGCTTGCATGAGGTCAGCGGCTACCCCAATAAACTGTCCTTGTGACTGAAAAAAAGAGGAAATTTCTGGAGGTTGCTGATTGGCTTCTTTCCCCAATTGCCTTCCACCCACCTCTGTTCCGTGGTCAAAGACAAAGTTATAGTTTCAGTGAAACGTTTCTTATTATCTTTCTACACTTATTTTGGAGAATGAAAGCAGCTGATTGTCTTTTTTTCTTTTTTTTTTTTTTTTAACAGAGTCTCGCTTTGGTGCCCAGGCTGGTGTGCAGTGGCACCATCACAGCTCACTGAAGCCTCAACCTCCCAGGCAATTCTACCTCAGCCTCCCGAGTAGCTGGGACTACAGGCATGCACCACCACACCCGACTAATTTTTGTATTTATGTTGCCTAGACTGGTCCCAGAATCTTGGCCTTAAGTGACCTTCTCGCCTCTGGTTCCCAAAGTGTACAGGCATGAACAACCACACCTGGCCTGATTTTCTATTAATAATAATTATATACCCTAGTATTAATATATGTAGTTATCCTCCTGCCCTGTCTTTCAAGTTTCTAAAAAACAAAATTATACCTCTACAAGCCTTGTATAATTTTCTTTTTTTTTTCTTTTTTTTTTTTTTGAGATGGAGTCTCGCTCTGTCGCCCAGGCTGGAGGGCAGTGACGCAATCTTGCCTCACTGCAAGCTCCGCCTCCAGGTCCACGACATTCTCCTGCCTCAGCCTCCCTAGTAGCTGACACTACAGGCACCCGCCACCACGCCTGGCTAATTTTTTATATTTTTAGTAGAGACAGCGTTTCACCGTGTTAACCAGGATGGTCTCGATCTCCTGACCTCGTGATCCGCCTGCCTCGGCCTCCCAAAGTGCTGGGATTACAGGCGTGAGCCACTGCGCCCAGCCAAGCCTTGTATAATTTTCTAAAGAAGTTTCTAGGATACAACATTCCAGTGGAAATGTCCCCAAGAGAACAAATTGCTTCTCCTTAGTATTTCTTCCAGCCTACCAACCACGGGGTCTCCTTTTCCTTTCTTCTTTTTGGTACCCTCTTGTTATCCTAATTACAGAGAGCAAAACAAAGAATGTTCATAAAGTGGTAAAACTCAAGTGGCAGAAGATCAGAATCCTCCTATAATAATATTGAGAAATTGTCCAAGCTTTCTAAAGAGAGCTGCTTTGCATGCATTTTCACTTAATCCTTCAAAATACTCCCATATAATGTATATTATTACGTCACCATTTTACAGATGTAGAAACCGAGGATCAGTGATATTAAATAAAGTTGCCCAGGCCCATCAAGCTAATAAGTGTCAATGCAGAGACTCAGACTCAGGGCTGTCTGAATTCAAAGCCTGTGCTGTTGAATGCCTTCTAACGCTGCCTCACAAATCCTCATTTATTCAGGACTTACATCAATATTAAACACTCTTCCTCCCCAGTCAGGCCTCTTCCTTGTTGCTGGGTGAGTGACCGTGCTGTTAGTCACCACCGTGGAAAGAAACCTTTGTGACAGTTAATGGTCTACATGCATGTAGGAGACTCAAAATAAAGCAAAATAGCCTATTTGCATAAATAGAATCTGCTCAAATGTCAGCAGGCACGAGCTGGCAACAAATGTGAAGACAAGGCAAAGAGGAGGAAGGACCACCACTTGCCTCACACCCTCCCTTGTCCCTGCAGCCTCTGTCCTGGACCCTGGGACCCACCAGGGAGCACGTCCTGTCAGATAAGCCCCAGCCAGACAGACGTTGTCATTTGACTTCAGCACATCACTCTGATCCAGATCAGTTCCAAGCTAGACACCCAATCATGAGTGGAATTTGGTTTGACACATACCTGGCTGTGAAAGCCATGTTCTCGCCCCCACCCTTGCCCACTTGACCCCCATAGCCTCATATGTCAGAATGTGACATCCCAGGTGTCAGCTGTAGTACCAAGTGCACAGAACAAGAGAAAGATGGGCAATGACAGCAGAGGCTCCAGTGCCCAGCCCAAGCCTGGCACCAGGACTGGCCTCCTGCCTGGGAGGAAAGAGCGGGCCCACAGCTGTGTGTCAGGGAGGCTGGGACTGCAAAGCCCCTTCAGCTGGGTGCCATGGGGTCTGGAATACCACTGCCAGAACTGCCAGAATTTTTCTTTTGCTCCAGCATTGTCCTCTCCTCATAAACTCTGAGCCATTCGGTGTGAATTTGGATATTAAACAACATTTCCCTGGCTGGAAGAACCCAGAGGTGCAAGAGTGTGACATGAAGTTACCAAAGACAAGATAACTCACAATTTTCCCTAGCACTGACTCTTGAGGTAAAGTAGGAAAAGAATATATGCTAAAAGGAGGCAAAAATGAATGTTTACTGAGCATTTAGTAAGTATCAGCCCTGTATAGGTGCTTTGTATACAACATATTTTATTGTTGGAGCAACACAGCAAAGCTCATAAAAGAAGCTGCTCAAGATCATATGCTTACTAAGTAATGGCCCTGGAATCATGGCTGGTACACTCCACAGCATCTCTTCTTCCTATTAAGCTTATTTACCTGGGGCCAGGAGAGCAGTGTTGGGCACACCAGGTTAAGTTCTCAGTTCTTTGCATTATCCCTCCTGTCTGATACCCCAGACAGAGATGGGAAGGAATGGTCAAATATGGAATCTCATCAATTCCCAAGCCCCCAGGCTCCCATGACAGTTGAAAGGCTCCCTTTCCTCCCATACATCCTATAGTACTCTTGGGACTGTGCAGGTTCCTGATTGACCAGGTAGGAGCTTTGAGCCCTATGAGGGCAGAGTCTTGGCCCCATGTTGCTGAGCCGTTGGTGATGACTTCTTGACACGATGACGAGTCAAATGCTTGTAGTAATCTCCAGCTCACATTGGTGGATGCTGCAGGCAACAACCTAGATGGCCACAGAGTACTGTGTTCCCAGACTTCAGGATTCCTAATTTTTAAAAGCATTAAGGACTGTCATGTAGTTCACAATGTTCCGTTTTGCCAAGCAAATATATAAACCTCCACTATTTATTATCATTATAAGTTCATAAAGAAGAGATCTTTAAATACCAAAAGTGTAGGAAGGGCATTGTCTCATTAAAGACAGGCTTTCTCGAGAAAGAAAGTTTGCAAGGTTATGTTGATATGCACATATTTCATATTTGTCATAGTTGTATGAAAATATCATCAATAACCTGTGTAAGTCTTTAGACTAACATTAAGGGATCCTTGATTAAGATGGAAAGGTCTTAGACTGAGAGTCAGGCTACCTGGGGTCAATCTCAGACCCCACTGCTAACCATCTGTGTGGCCTTGGGCAAGTCGCATCATCTCTGTGATGCTTAGTTTCCTCCCTCATAGGATGGAGTAATAACACCCACCTTAGCGGGGCATGGTGAGGACTAAATGAAATAATGAGTGAAAAATGCAGATGAGGAAACATATCAATTTCCTCATCTGTTAAATAAGGGAATTAGATGAAATGAGTGTTGAGATCCCTCTCAACTCTCTATGATTACAGGAAAGCAGCTTAAGTTTCCTGGCCATACAGCATAGGCCTCAGAGAGGAAATACTTTCTTAGAGAGAGAGATTCACTCTCAAAGAGAAAGTGTCCCATATAACCTGGGACAGATCAGGTTTTGGGTCAACCCTAGCAAATTCTCAACCCCTCTTTCACCTATGCCTAGATCCTTTTCCTGGTCATCTTCATACATAAATAAAAGCAGCAAATGCTTTTGTGCTGTGTTTTGGCAAAGTTGGGATTCCAGAGATAGCCACAGTTGGTGGCCCACTTTAAGAAGCTGAGATCAGAAGTAAAACACAAAGACATGAAGAGTTAAATAACACAAAGTGTCAATCCTGATCACGTAACTGGCTTTGAGTTCACTGAGCCCCTGAATCCCATTCCATCTCTGCCACTCTGTGTTCTAGAGTGCAACACTCTCAATAGAATCAAATCTCAGGAAAGGCAGGGAAAGAAAGTGGGCACAGGGCATGTGGTATATGCAGTGCTCATGCACGCATGTGAAGGATGAGGCAGTGGGATGTCTTCGTTTCTCCCTCCATTGTTCTTCCATTTCTGCCTCCCAGGTCCTCATCCACCTGGGATGCACAAGGAATGAAAGGTCCCACACTGCTTTAGTTTGCCAGTGGGGCAGGAATCATTGACTTATGCTCGCTTGCTCTGCCTTACATGCAAAGATTTACATCTTAGGTGTATGAGGCCAGAGACAGCTTAGGCAGGAGAAACATTTTGCAAAGCTCCAAGAATGATTTAAAAGCACTACAGGCTTAATGCGTGGAGCACTGGGCTGGATGCAGGTGCATTGGTGGCACCTGTCTTTGCCTAAATGTTGGATTTCATCCCTTCTGTAGACTCCATTGTCACAAAACCTGGACTAAGCCCAGCCCCCTCCATGAAGTGCATAGACAGTCCTGCCAGTGCCAAGATGTTCTGGAAAACTGACAACCATGTGAAGAAGGCTATGAGTGTGTATTTGTATGTGCGTGCATGCGTGTATGTGTGTGTGTTCCTTTGTCTGTGTCTGTATGTGTGTGTGTATTCATATTACCTATCAGGAAAGATGAGAGCAATCCAGATGCAGTTTGCTAAGTATTGGCATGTTATCAGATTAAGCTGTGAAGATCATACTTCCAATGTCAAAGTGCAGCTGAAGGTCAGTATGCCCAAGGTAAGTGGCTTTAGAAGTTCTTACTAGGAAAGGAAGATTGAGCTGAACACACCTTATAGCCTCTCCAACTTACCCAAAGCCCATTAACCAGTCTGAGTGAGTTGCATCCAGCCCTACAGATTCCAGTACTTGGAAATATGTATTAAGAAGCTCAGAGATGCATGAGTCAATGGGAGCTGACAGCGGGCAGTGGTGGAGGTTTGAAACAGGTAACAGACCTAGAGAATGTTTCATAGCTGCCAATGCTAGGTTTTCCATCTGCTCTTTTAAGGTAAATCTTGTGGTACATCCATGGTAGATAGGAGGCAGGTTTCTGAGCTCTTGCCTTACAAAGGGTCTCTTTTTTAAAATTATTTGCACATGTGAACCAGAAGCTTTCAAACAAAACCCTGAAAACTTTATTGCCTTTTTCTGAACAGGAGAGAGAGTTTCTGTAAGAGCCATCACAATTAAAACAGCATCAAAAGAGGCATCTGTATGGAAATAGAATAAAATAATTAAAAAGATGAAATAGTTCAAGGGGTGCACAAACCATTCATCCCCTCCCTCACCTCATGCTCCTACCTTTTTCCCCCAGGAGGAGCTGACTTTTAAAATATTGCAGGTATCAACAGGAAATCTGCTGAAGATGCAAGAGTGAAGTTTAATAGGGTCTGTTCTGTGCTTGATCACCTTGCTGCCAGTGGGGACACCTACTGTTGGGAAAAATGACAGGTCATTTAAAAAGAGAAAGGAACAGCCAACAGGGTGAGCATCCTGGGACAGGCAGCACTTCAGCAAGTAATCTTCTGCCAGAGCAGGGAGAGAGATGCCAGAACTTGCCAGAGCAGGACTGCAGCAAAGAACTTTACCTGGTCTGGGATGGATGTAGAGGACAAGCCTGGAAGTGGCTTTATGCAGGTTTTCCATAAGCCCTAAGCTCCAAAAAAAAAAAAAAAAAAAAAAAGAAAAACTGTATATTACACAGACATTGAACTTAGGCTGATCTATTAGGAATTGGCTAGGACACTGTATTAGTATGCGTTTCCCAGAAAAACAGAACCAATAAGATATAAGTTTTATTTAATAAACTTTATTAATTATGAGAAATTGGCTCACACAATGATGGAGACTGAGTAGTCCCACAATCTGCATCTGCAAGCTAGAGACCTAGAAAAGTCAAGGTGTAGTTTCCAGCCTATTTCCGACCACCTGAGAACCAGGAGAACCAATGGCTTCGGTTCTGATCCAAGAACAAAGGCCAAAACCAGAACCAGGTTTCAGTTCTGATCCAAGAACCAGTGCACTGAAGATGTAAGTTCTAATTCATATCTGAACCCTAAGATGCAGGCATGGTAATGGTGTAAGTCCCAGTTTAGGGGCAGGGGAAGACCAATGCTTCAGCTTAAGCAGTAAGACATGGAGAGCAAATTCTCTTTTATTCAGCCTTTTTTTCTGTTTAGACCTCCAGTGGTTTGGATGAGGCTTACCCACACCGGGGAAGGCCATCTACTCTACTCGGCCCACCAATTCAATCAAAAGATTGGTTCAGCTCAATCTTCCTTTCCTAGTAAGGACTTTTTTTTTTTTTTTTTTTTTGAGACGGAGTCTCGCTCGGTCGCCCAGGCTGGAGTGCAGTGGTGCGGTCTCCGCTCACTGCAAGCTCTACCTCCCGGGTTCATGCCATTCTCCTGCCTCAGCCTCCTGAGTAGCTGGGACTACAGACACCTGCCACCACGCCCGGCTAATTTTTTGTATTTTTAGTAGAGATGGGGTTCCACCATGTTAGCCAGGCTGGTCTTGAACTCCTGACCTCATGATCCACCCTCCTCGTCCTCCCAAAGTGCTGGGATTACAGGCGTGAGCCACCCTTTCTTAGTAAGAACTTCTAAAGCCGCTTACCTTGGGCATGCTAATCTCTTCCAGAAACACCCTCACCGACACACCCAGAAATAATGTTTAACCAAATATTTGGACACTCTGCGACTCGGTCAAGTTGACACATTAAATTGATCGTTACAAGCACTGTTCTGTGAGCGGGTCCAAACGGACCCTGGAAAATGGTATCAGTTAACATACAGTGTATGTGTAAAGTCCCACATACTGAAAAGTGTGCTCTGGGACTGCTTCCCAATATGCAGTGGTTATTGCCATTCCTCCTCACTACAAAATAAATGTAACTCACTGGAGCATTACTTGGTAACCTCCTGCTGACTTCTGGGAGTAAATGGACAAGTGCAGCAACTGTATTTGAGAAGGACATGGTGACCATAATCATCTGGCTGCCAAATGTGTTCGGTCCTGCCCCATTTGGTAACAGCAGCATCACCTCCTAAGGTGGGTCAGTTGGCCTTCTTCCCTTACCTTGCTTGGTGGTCTCTACCAGATAGAGCTCACAGTGCTAAGACAGCAGCCATAGATGATAGTCCAATGTGGCTTGCTATGTGTCCTGGAGGAAGGATTTCTTCTTTGTGAAGTAGACTCCTAGACCCACAAAGACTAGAGTTATGGGAACAGGATGCACAAATCCCGTAAGTAGGTCACTGGGAGTGATGGAAGTGGGTCACTATGACTTCTAGCCCTTGGCTTCAGATTCGTGTACTCTATATATCAGGGACATAGCACCATAAAATGGTCATTGATCTAGATGTATGTTCTGGAAGATGGTGCCCTATCATTGCAAGCTATGATTTCTAAGCTTGTGCTGTCTTAAAAAAATTCATTCTATAATTCTGTCAAGATAGTAGTATCTCGATGGTGTTGCATATGACAGGAAAGTGAACCCCATGGTCATTTGCTCACTGCTATCCTTCCTTTGCTATAAAGTGGGTTCCTTGGTCCAATGTGATATGATGTAGAATCCTGTGTCAGTGGATCATATGCTTTAGAAACCCTCAAAAATTGGTACCAGACAAGGCCTTGAGGTAGGAAAGGCAAAGCCAAATGTCATATACCTGTTTATTTCCGTCAAGATGAATTTTTGCCCTTTACAGGGTAGGAGAGATCCTGTGTTCTCAAGTTACTATCAAATGGTTAGTCTCCTTGAGGAATGGGGTGCCATATTTGTAAAGGGGCTTACTCTGGTCCATGTTGCTAGCATAGACATTTTTTAATGGCAATAACTAGATTAGCTTTGGTAAGCAGGAGTCCTTGCTATTGGACCTGCTCTCTGCCACCATAGCCATTTTGTTTATGTGCCCATTGAGCCAGCACTGGGCTGGCCAATGAGAAAAGCAGGCACTTTCTGACTCATTCTATCTATGTGATTGTTTAGTGCCTCTTCTTCAGTGGATACTCTTGGGTGAATGTTAATTAAGTGATGCAAAAATTCTCATTCTTTTTGCCCACTTTCATAAGTCCATCCACATATGTCCTTCCTAGATCTCCTTGTCTCTAACTCCTAAATATCTCTTCTTCTAGGTTCCTAATCACTAGCCAAGCCATTTGCCATTGCCATGAGTCTTTTATGTTTTTATCTCAGTCCACTTTTTTTCCCCACACAAAATATATGGCCGGTGAATCACTCAAAGCTCTGCTGATTCTAATAATTTCTGTTTCCCACTGTACTTCACAGCATTCATTACCCAAGAGTGGGTGTGCTCCTGCTGCCATCCATTTGGGGCTTGCCCCACATACTAAGCTCAGACTTTTCCTCCTCAGCCACCGCATCATAAAGGACTCTTCAAGTTGCCAAATGTGTGAGCTGAGGGAGATGCACCAGTGTAACAGTGGGAATAACATGGAAGTCTGGTCCTTTGGCTCTTGTAGCTCACTATGCCCTCTGGGTCTATTTGTATCTGAGCCCGTATAAAACACTTCCATCTTATAATGGGTAGTTGATAGGTCCACTGTGTTTTAAAATTTGCTGGGTCTGATTTAACCCAATTTATGAGAGGATGTCTGGCTACACAGTCAGTTGATATTCCAGATCAGGTACTCATCTCTCCTAGGTCCCAGTTGTACACTGGAGCTCTTTTTTCAACTGGAGTCTAATTTTCTGATGCAAAAGGCATGACCTTGCTCCAAAATTTTATGGGTTCATATTGTGGTACTCTCACTGTGGCTTGACATAGCTGCACAGCATGTCTTTTCCCAGCATAGATACCTATAATATCACGGGGACTACTGGGTCATATGGTCCCAGTTGCAGGGCTGCTTATACTGCAACTGAAACTTCTACAGAGCCCTTTCCTACTCTAGGCTTCACCCAAAGTTAGAAATTTTCCATGTTACCTGATAAATGGTCAGAGCAGTATGTCCAAATGTGGAAGTTCTGCTTCTTCCAGAACCCAAAGAGAACTATCAGGTATTGTGATTCTTTCTCAGAAGATATAAATTGAAATACTCTGCCCTTATTTTTGGAAGGGCAATCTCAAGATGCCTCATAGCACTGAACTTCTAAAAAGTTCACTAATATGGCAGGTCTCTGAATATGCATAGGTTTTATTTTATTTATTTATTTTTATGTTTTTGAGATGAGTCCCTATCACCCAGGCTGAGTGCAGTGGCATGGTCATGGCTCACCGCAGCCTCGACCTCTCGGGCTGAAACAAACCCCACACCTCAGCCTCCCAGTTAGCTGGAACTATAGGCATGTGCCATCATGCCCAGATAATTTTTTATTTTTTGTAGAGATGAGGTTTCACTATGTTGCCCAGGCTGATCTCAAATTCCTGGATGCAAGTAATCCTCCCACCTTGGCCTCCCAAAGTGCTGGGATTACAGGCATGAACCACTGCATACGGTTTTACCTTTTATCCTGTGAACCACATGCATCTTACTCAAGGCTTTCAGAATAGTTACTAGTTTTCGATACTTCTTATCATGACCTCATCCATACAGTAAATAAATGTGACATTCGTTGGAATAACCAGATAGTCTAAGTCCTTTCAGACTCTATGATGATAGAGGGTAGAAGAATTAACATAGCCCTGGTACAAGATCACAAATACACTTTGTTGTCCACCCTATGTGAATATGGACTGCTTCTTGTCATCTTTCTTGACAGGGATGGAAAACAACTTATTTGCCATATCAAAGGCTGCATACCATATACTTGATGCTGTGTTAATCTTCTCTAGCAAAGATATCACACCTGGCACAGCAGTTGCAATTGGGGCTAACACTTGTATGAGTTTACAGTAATGCAACTGTCATGTTCTAGTATCCTTCTAGTTTTAGTAGGGACTAAACCAGTAAATTAATGGGGATATGATGAGGACCACCATCCCTACATCCTTTAGGTATTTAAGCATTCCATTAATCTCTTCCGTTCACTCTAGCATGCAATATTGCTTTTGGTTTACTATTTTCGTAGGGAAGTGGGGTTGGAGGAAGAGAAGTTCAGAAGATTACACTTGGTCTTCCTCATTACAGTAGCTCTTACCCCACAGTCCAAGGAACGCTGTGAGCTTTCTATCAACTACCAAGTATATGCATTTCAATTATTCTTTCAGTTACTGAGGAAATTCCCAAGTGTGGGTCCACGGACTCAGTGGATGCACTGTGGGCAATCACAATTGTGGATACACTAAGACCCCATATTTTGACAACAAGACTGTGATGACTATCTGGGTCTCAGATATCAATGTCAACTTGGGACCTATGTCTCATGGCTCAAACTGTTTGGGTCATCCTCTTCCCCTAGTATATGATCACTTGAGAAAATGGCCAAGGGCCTTTTGGGAAAATAATGAGAAAATCATTACCATATATATTTTCTATAAAATTTAAATGGTCTCATCACCTAGGGACCCAGTTTTTTGTTTGTTTGTTTCTGTCAGTGGGTTCTGAATCTGAAAACTGACTTGAGTCTGGGTATCATGTCTTGACTTTTATTGAGATGACTGTCCTCAGCCTCATAATCATCTATCCTTGATTTCTTCGAGTTTATAGGTTGAACAATACTCTTATTTGCTGTCCATTTATCTTGTCCCTAGAAATGCCATATTTTGCTTACCGTCTCCATAAGTGCGTGATCTCCTTAGTTGCACTCCAACCTTGTCACTCATTACAATAATTATCCTCAGAGTCAACGAGATTTAGTTACCTAGCTTCTGGGAGACCTCTAGAAATGAGCAACCTGATATCTCCTGAGACAGATTATTCTATCATTACACATCCAATTATGTTGAAATCCTTTCTTGTGCAGCAGAAGTATTCTTCCTGGAATTGCTATCTATGTGACACACCTTTAGGTATTTGAAGGTAGCAACCACACAAATCCCCTCTTACTTCCCTCACAATGATTAACTCCACTTGCTTCTAGACTAATCTTCACAGAATCAAGCCTTCACATTCATTAGCTGGGTTAAAGTACTAATCCTGGGTTAATCTTGGGTTATCTGGAGAAGAAAGAGAACACATGTGCCCCACTGAGATGAGGGAAAGTTGCGATAAAATGGTAACATAAAGAGAGAACATGTCTGGAGTGTTTACTGTGTACCGGGTCTTGTGCAAAGGACATTACTCACACTACACTCACAAAAAATTCATTTATGCAAGAAATATTTATTAATCACCTAAATCATTCTAGAAACTGGGGATACAGCAGTAAAGAATACAAAAAATCCTGCCCTTATAGAGCATACATTCTAGAGGTGGGAAAGAGGCAATAAATAAGATAATTGAGTGCTATATAGTATGTTAGGTATTGAGTGCTAAGGAAAATAATAAAATGAGGAAAGAGGATAGGAAATGCCAGATGGTTTACAAGTTTAGCTATTGTGTTCAAGAAAGTTCTCACAAAAAGGTAAGTTGAGTGAAGACCTGAAGGAGGTAAAAGAGTGACCTTTGCGGATATCTGGGAAAGACTGTCCCCAGGAGAATGAACAATAAGGGCAAAGACCCTGAGGTAGGTATTATCATCTCCATTTTTACAGATGGGAAAATTACTTGCCCAAGAGCCCATTGCTTGAAGACGGAGCCAGGATTCAAACTCAGGTCTGCTTGATGTTAGAGCTAGTGTACCACACACCTGCCCAGCGACGTAGTGTGAGTGACATTAGGCAATCTAGAAACACTCTATACTATGGATGATGACACAAAGCCTAGAAGCATGAAGCAACTTGCTGGGATGAACACGTGTGGATAATGGCTGAGCTGAGACTGGTGTGCTGTCATTTCCACTCCACCATCCCTGCTTCCAGAATCCAGGCATTTTTCCTCTAGCTAGAAATATTTCCCAGAGAAGTTAATGGACTTGGTATAACTTTATCAATGTGTTTTGCCAATAGGCATTTTAAAGTCTTGTCATTCCCCAGCCATACTAAATGATGTCTTTGAGCTCTGATTTCTCTCGTTGGTAGGTGTGGGATAGTTATGGAGCACAGATTACAGAGTTAGATACATCTAAACCTGAAAACAGGCCCCACACTTTTGTAGCTATGTGATCTTGGGCAAGTTATTAAATATCTCTAACTCCCACATCATCCACAGAACAAGGATAGAAATGCCTGCCAGGGATTTGGTGGGGATTAGATAAATTAGTACTTGTACAGCACCTCACACAGTGACCGGTACAGGGGAGATGCACTAAATGTGTTCACTGCCTTCTCCCTATGTAGTTAATTGTCTTTTTACATGCACAACTCTTGCTTTCTTAATTTATTATAATATTTTGAGAATTTAGAGGTTGTCATATATATACCTAGCTATTCATCACATTTTATGTTATATGGTGGTGCACAGTAAATGCTTAAAAGTGATTATTTGATTGCTGGATTAGTGGGGGCGAAGAGAAAGAGAGATTATTGCTTTGGGGCTCTGTTGATGCCACAGTCTTCCAGTTGCAACATCTGCCAACTCACTGCTCACCAGAGTTTTTTGGCTGATATGACTGGCCAGCAGGTATCCTTTTGCTTCTTCAAAAGTCAGTATGTGTCATTCCGGAAGAGAGGCCACTTTTCAGATAGGGGAAGACATTTCTTCAGTCAAGAGAAGAGGACTTGCTGTCACCACCAGAGCATCCAAGCCATCAATAGGTTCTTGCAATTTCCTGGTAAGAAGGAAAAATTCCAGTTTAACTCACAACTTTAACACCCCCTATCCACAGATCTTTCATCATGACTGCTATCAAAGAGTCAAATTGACCGATTTCAGTTTTTATTTCTTTCGCCCACCCTCTGGCAAGATCTCAATGAGCAGCTAACCAGCTGAAAATAGGAGAAGAAGAAAAAGGCCTGGACCTAGATGATTCAGGAAATGGCTCATCAGCCACCAAAAATTGAAGCCACTTTTCATTCATATAATATGGAAAAAAATCTCCATGATAAATATTAGGAATAGTTCAATGGAGTCACCTGTTTATAATTTCTTTTTAAGAAAAAAATGTGATTCATTTTTGCAGTACTTTCTCCTACATTAGCTTGTTTAATCTTCATAGCAACTCTACGAAATAGTTATTATTACCCGTGTTTTACAGATGAAGCAACTGATCCTAGTAATATTAAATGACTTGCTCAAGGTTACACAGCTGGTTAGTTGCAAACCCAGGACTTAAATCTGCATGCTCGTAATTTGACCAATGGTTTTCCCCTTCCCCTTGTTTATCTACCTCCACCTAAAAAGAAGCTAATGAAGAACATTCTGTACTGGCCCTATCATAGGTCAATGACAGTTCAGAGGGAGTGTTAGACACCTGTCCTCTTTTTTGTAGCAAATTGTACATAGAACCCAGCCTTAATATAAAAACATTGTCAGAGAAAAATGTTTTTCAAAAGTTAATAGTGCATCTAAGATTAATTTGTACTTGTTTCTGAGTAGCTGAGAAGAGCTCAAAGACATGAAGCATTACTCCTATTCATTACAGAAGGGGAAGGTGCCGGTGCTCCCATTTTATGGCCAGGGATAAAGAAGAGAGAAAGAGAATGTATAACAAAGTTGAAAAAACAGCTAGTGCTTCTAATTTCTGAACTCAAATTTGGCAAAATTCAGCTTGACAAACTTAAAAAAAATCTATCAATAAATTTCCAAAATAGTAATTGTATACATATATGTGAGCAAATATTAGAAGGAAATTATGGAAAATGAGGACTATTGTGTTAGGGTGATAGAATTATAAAGATATTTTTTCTGTTTTCACATATTTTGCAATGACTTTATATTATTTTGTGTAAGGAAGATATAAAGCAATAATTATAATTATTTTAGTGGATGCTTTGAAAATATCCATTTGCCCAGGGCTAGGCAATCCCTTTCCACCAAATTCCCAAAATGACAATTGATTGAGTTGACAATAGCTGAAGACAGATTTTTTTTATGGGTGAGAGGCGCTAATAACATCGTCTCATGTTGGTACATAGAATTGGGTCTTGTGGAATTAGTACTCTGTACCTGAACACTGATGGCCTCAACTTTCTCTAGTCCTCCTCAGAATGAACATTGAAGTGGGGCTTGATGTTTTTAACTAAAGTCTTTTAGAATAGATTCTCTAGCAAGATTTTCCCTTTTATTTTCACCTAAAGAGCTTGAAAGATTTTTAAACCAATTATTTCAGTAATATGCCTAATTCACTAACCTTTGTAATTTCTCCTTTAGTTCGGTAGCTTTTATAATTCCTCATTTAGTTTAGAATGCTAGAGCTTGAGGAAGAGAAAACAGTTAACGTTCTTGTCTGCAGATGAAGAAACTGAGGCTGAGAAAATATAGTTCCAAATTTAAACTAAGTATATAGCATAGCATAGCATAGCATAGCATGTATCATATTTTCCCAATTATAATTACAGATACCCCTATAAAATAAGTACACCTGTTCCTCTCCTTGATGTTACTGATGTCCTTGATTATAATTACATCAGAGGCTGGGCATGGTAGCTCATGCCTGTAATCCCAGTATTTTGAGAGGTCAAAATGAGAGGATCACTTGAGGCCAGGAGTTGGAGGCCAGCCTAATCAACATAGTGAGACTCCATCTCTATTTTATTTTTTAAAAAGAATATAGAATATTAAAGTAAAAAAATATGCGTTAGTTCAGTAGAAAGTACTCTAGCCCTTGGTACTGAGGGCCTAAGAATAAATTTGGACTATAGACTTTTCACATTTGATAGTGAAAGAGGGACACACACTGTATATGTATGAACTTACGTATGGACAATTTTAATTTCACTTGTTTTCTCACAGGAGAATATTATCCCATGGCTTAAGAATCTTAAACAGAATCTAAGAAATCAAGAAAAAATGAAGCCATGAAAATGAGGAGCACAGATGAGAATTTCCCAGGCTCTCCCATGGACTCTCAGGCACATTTCCCTGAGTTGCCTTCACTTTCTCAGAAGATGCATATTTAGTGAGCACCATATTTAGGCAGCATAGAGTTAGAGGCCTAGGCTCCAGCCCTGGAGCTGCCAATGATCATCTGTGTGATTTTGAGAAAATCACTTAATATCTCTGGGTCTCCTACCTCAACTACCAAAAAAAAAAAAGGGTTGGACTAAAGATTGTTTAAATCATTTGGATTGCATGAAACTGACTCAGGTTATTTTAGGCAGAAAAAGAGTAAATCAGAAGGATATCAGGGAGCACAGAGAATTTTACCTGGATAATTAGTTTTGGGAAAAAGATGAAACCAGGACAGCTTGGTGAGGGGCATAGCGGGTGGGACCTGATGGTAGAAAGGTAGTGTAGGTGCAAGTCTCATTGGAGTGAGCTGCTGCTAAAGTGAATGAGCTTCTAAGATTCTTTGTCCTTGCATCTCAAGTTCCAGATCTTAGGACTTTGGCTAGTTGGCCTAGGGTAAGTCCATGTGACCAAATCTCAACTAGAAGATAGCAGCCAATGTAACTTACAGCCTCACCAAGACAGCACACAGTAGCCAATGAGCAGATGCTGGACAGCCAGAAAATGTAGTGTCTTTGGAACTTCCTAGCTCTCTCCTTCCTTCCTCTTTTTCCCCACTTTTCCTCCCCTTTTTTCTTCTTCCTTTCCTTTCCTTTCCTTTCCTTTCCTTCCTCCCTTCCTTCCTCTCTCTCTCTCTCTCACCACCGCTACTCTCTCTGGTTCTTCTTTAGTACTCTTACAAATATCAACTGGCATTTATACGATGGGGAGAGTACACAAGGGCAAGGTGTTCTCTCCTCTTTTCTATTTTTCCTTTCCTTCCTCCCTTCCTTCCTCCCTCCCTTCCTTCCTACCTTCTTTTCCTCCTTCCTTCCTTCCTTCCTTCCTTCCTTCTTTTCCTCCTTCCTTCCTTCCTTCCTTCCTTCCTTCTTTTCCTCCTTCCTTCCTTCCTTCCTTCCCTCTTTCCTTCCTTTCTCTCTGTGTCTCTGCAGTTCTTCTTCAAGACTCTTCCAAGTATCAACTGGCTTTTATACTATGGGGGGTTTACATTTTAGCACTCAAGGGTGAGCTGTTCTCCCCCAGAAAAATCCCCACTTCTCTCCAGACTCCCGGGAGGATTAGGCTCATGGTGGGAGAAAAAGGGGAGGGCTGTCTTGGCTGCAGTTGGGTACCAGAAAGCCAGAGTGTAGCAATGTTCATAAAGACCAGAGCCAGAGAGCACTGGGAGCATGAGCTTGGAGCAGATGGCTAGGAGATCAGACCACCAAGGACCACTAGGTCCCGCTCCTAGTCAGAGGGGTTTTCTTTCAGAGTGTTCCCATTAACACATTTTCTTGGCCTTCGCCTTATGGCTGCTGGAATGAGTGGCTTTTTTCCTTTTCCAAACTGTCCTTATCAGTAATGCAACAATAGCTAATTTAATTAGCTGACCTGAATGGCAGCCAGCTTGAGCTAATTTGGTTTTGCTAGTGCTCTCTGGTATGTACAGAACTGATAATCCTACTTCCCTCTAGACACACTAGAGGGCTTGGGAGGGGGCAGCAAGAGTGACAGTGGCTCTTCCAAAGTCAATCCTACACCTGTGGGATTTAGCACTTGACCAAAGGCAAGTAGTCTTGAGTCAGTATTTCCCAAGGGCCTGTCAACTTTGTCAACTGAAAGAGATAAAATATACAACCAAGAAATTGCAAAGGCAAGGTGCCCAGGATGGGAGTGCTGGGAAAAAGCATTCCCCTTAGCAGAAAGAACGCTTGGCCAAAAGATCTGGATCTCAGCCATTGACTGACCTTCCCAAGTCCCCACACCTTGGTGTCTCAGCTACCAGATGCATCATAATAATCACTGTGAAGAAATACTTCCTTTGCAGACATGCTGTAGCACGATATAATGTAGATGAGAGTGCATTGACACACAGAAAACTGTGGCAATGAAGAACGCTTTGATAATTAGCCTATCATCATGAGCATATTTTCTGTTTATCAAGGGCAGGAACTAAACACCATCCTCTCTGTGTCCCTAGCATCAAATATGAGGTCTCCACACAGAAGGTGCCCAACATGTGCTTGTTGACGGAATAATACAGGAATAGGGGTATGAGGAGATGTGTAGGTATAGTTTAAGGTGCAGGGAAGTCAACACATAATTAAAGAAACATTGAAAAACATAAGCCTTCTTTTCAGGTAAATGTCTTAACCCTCTCCATCCTTGACAGAAGGGAAAACTGCCAGAGAGGCACAACGGTTTATTCAGATTTCAATACATCAAAATAGCTCTTCTATACCACTGGCACCTCTGCCCTCATTCCCCAGCCCAGGTACTTCCAGAGCCACTGCCCAACTAAGGTAAAGGAGCACCCCCAGCGTAGGCTTTTGTGTTTTTTTAGGGTTCTTTTCCCCCTTAAGTACTGCATTTCAATGGAATACGGATTAGAATTTGCATGTATTCACATGGAATAAATGATGTATTGTTAAAATAAGTAGATTTGAAAAAGTTTGGAATAGGAAAGATCTATCTGGTCATATTATCCACTCCCATTACTTTAGTATGCCTTGGTATATTGGTATTGGGCCAAACACATTTAACCATCATGACTACCGTGTTGACTTACTCCATCCATGCTCCCTTGGTGATCCCATCCAGTGCATGAGTTGAGCTGTGTCCTATATGCTGATCTTCACCTCTGACCTCATTCCTGGGCTCAGTTATCTTCAAACACAACTGCCTGTTGGAGGTTTCCACTTAGATCTTCTGTTACATGTCAAACCCAAGATGACAGAAATTGCCCTCCTCACCTATGTTTACAGAATCCTCTGTTTTAGCGGTTGCTCACATTTACCAAGGCCAGAACCCCAACCTTCCCTTCATGCCTACTTGCAGGTAGCCACTGAGTCCACTGATTTTGCCTTCTAAATATCTTTCAAATCCAGGCCTTTCTCACCACTGAAATTGTTTTATTTATATCTTTCATTCCCTAGCCCCCAACTCCAAATAGGTGTTTCTCAAAGGTGAATTCTGTGCCAATCAGGCAAATAAATGTTTGTTCACCTGAACTGAATTAAAATTTTTCTCCCTCTGTTCCACTAAATTTCAAATCTTTAGTGAATACCAATTACTATACTTAAGAAAACCAAAGGTATAGTTGAATTTTTCCATTCTGTTGTAACAGCTATTCCAATGGGCTCTTAATTGACAGCTAATCCCCAGATTTGGGATGAGTACACTTTGCTTAGCTGAGACTGTGCAGCCTCAGTGGTGGGCTTACCTTTTGGGTCTGCTCTAAAACCTGAGGCTCATACAAAGAACACTTAAGTTTCTCCTATGCTTCCAGAAAGGCAGATTATGCTCCGGCTGCCATAATTTCTTCTTCAAAGATTCCTTGTCTTTGACTGTCTCATAGTTAACCCTAAAATCAGGTGTGCATTACATTTTATAAGTTCAAATTTCCTACATATTCCTATAACACATTTAAAATAATTGGTATTCCTTAATCATAATTGGTGTTCCAATAATAATTTTGTTTTTTTACCCATTTCTCTAACTTTTACTTAGCTACTGACATGGTCTTCATATTTAGATTTTTTTTTTTCCTATAGCAATTCCCCTAAAACCCTAGGGCTAGTGGGTGATGTCATTGCATATTGAAATGTAGCCAGATCATAATGGAAATGACAGCCTTGAGCCAGACTGCCTCAGTTCAATTCCTGATTCTACT
This sequence comes from Homo sapiens, assembly GCF_000001405.40. Classification (NCBI taxonomy): domain Eukaryota; kingdom Metazoa; phylum Chordata; class Mammalia; order Primates; family Hominidae; genus Homo; species Homo sapiens. The sequence goes on along the minus strand of NC_000001.11, from coordinate 164,878,550 downwards.
ACCTCTCCATCTCAGTTTCATCATCTGTAATAAGGGATTATAATGTGACTGCATACTTCACAGTCTTCTTGCAAATATTAAAAAAGCTAATTCATATGCCACATTAAGTATTCTACTTGGCACAACATAGGCAGGCTATTGTTTTATTAACCTGATATTGAGGATCTAGGAGACATCAAAGGAATTTTGGTGCACAATTTATTTTTATTTTTTAAAAATTTATTTTAATTGCAAAATCAAATGCTTACCATGAATAGAGGCTGTGCTATGCAGTTTACCTATATTATCTCATCTAATCCTCACAGTAACCCTATAATGTAGTTTTAATTATGGAGGAAAAAAACAGCCTCAGACAGATTAAGAAACTTGCCATTTGGCACACAGATAACAAATGACAGAACTGGAATTCGAACTCTAAACTGAGTCCAAAGCTAAAATTAAATAAAATACATACTAAGCACTCTAAGTGTTTATGTCTCTAAATAAAACAAAGACAAAATACAACATTGGATGAATCTCAAAATAATTAGGTTGAGTGAAAGAAGCCAGACAAGAAAGAGTATATAGTGCAGGATTCCACTTATATAAAACTCAAGAAAATGCAAGCTAACTTTAGTGAGAGAAAACCCATCAGTGGTTGGCTGGGGAGAAGATGAGGCAAGAAGAGGTAGGAAGAATGGATTACAAAGAAGCAAACTTTTGGATGTGATGAATATGTTCATTATCTTGGTTGTGGTGATCACTTGTGTATCACTTGTGTATATGTATGTCAAAACTTACCAAATTGTACACTTCAAATGTACAGTTTATTATATGTCATTATGTTCAATGAAGTTGAGCATAATATGTTTAATAATGAATAAACACTTGAACTACTTTTTTTTTTTTGAGACAAGGTCTCATTCCAATGCCCAAGTTGGAGTGCAGTGGCGCGATCTCAGCTCACTGCAACCTCTGTCTACTGGGTTCAAGTGATTCTCCTGCCTCAGCCTCCTGAGTAGCTGGGATTACAGGCATGCACCACCATGCCTGGCTAATTTTTATATTTTTAGGAGACAGGCGGTTTCACCATGTTGGCCAGGCAAGTCTTGAATTCCTGACCTCAAGTGATCGGTCCGCCTCTGCCTCCCAAAGTGCTGGGATTACAGGCGTGAGCCACTGTGCCCAGCCTTGAGCTACTTTTATACCCTCAAAATCTGGCACATTAAACAAAGGGTTTAATCATTATTAGGAATAACATATCAAGTATCAGGAGGATTTGGATTTTGCTTGTTTGGTTTGGGTTTTTTTTTTTTGCCCATCACTGGGCTATAATCCTCAGGTATAAGGAGGATTTTGATCTGAATGGACCAACCTGGCTCTCTCACCTCCCCCTTGAACCAGTTGTGTGACTTTTGGCAAGTTACTTGACAAAATTCAGTGTTTCCATCTAAAATGAGAAACTTACAGGCAAAAAAAAAAACTTACTTCACAGGGTTGTCACAGAATTAAATGAGATAATGTACATAAAGCCATTAGTGGAGTATTTGGCACATGGTACTTCCTCTATCACTGTTTGCTAGATGTTGTTAAGGTGAAAGAAAGGGCTGAACGAGGCTCTGCGGGGCTGTGAGGTCCAGGGTGAGTTAGGTGCACGGCAGGGGGCCGGGAGGAGCAGTTATTGGGTGTAGCCCTAAAGGAGGATGTGCCTCTTTTCATCATACAACTGTGTCCTAAAAGGTCCCAGCATTTGGGGGCTGTGATAAATCACTGGGTCAGGCTTTCTCTCATTCCCTGGAGGACTCTCCCCTTCTTCTAGATCTCACTCCAGAATGCAAAGAAGAAAACAGCTAGGGTCAGGCCTTCTGCTTTTCCACAGAAATTAGTAATGCATTCGGCTTTATTCCACTCTTCTATTACCTTAATGTGCTGGCCTGGAGGATAAATGAGATAATAAACACAGAGCACCGAGCACAGTGTCTGGGTCACAGGAGGCGCTCAATAAATGTTAATTCCCTGCCCCGCCCCGCCCCCACTTATAGATTAGCCCTGAGTTCTCAGAAACGCGGATCCCTGCGCACTCACCTAAGTCTCCTTTCAATATCCCTGCATGGGAGCCTTTTTACTACCCTCTTCAAGCTGGCCAGAATCCCTCTCCTCTGCTAATTGTCCCACCGAGAAATGAGGGGAAGAGAACGCAGCAACTCCGAGCCAGGAGGCCCGGCCTCCTAGCAGAGGAGACTGTGCTGTTACTGAGCTTTGTGAATGCGAACCTCATTCATCTTCACAGACGCTGCTGCGCCATCCATTTTAAATGATATAGAAGCCAACCTGTTTATCAAGATCAGCATACTACTATATTATTATGATTATTTAGCATTTACATAACACTCTATTTGCAAAGTGCTTAATAATAATTTATTTATTACCTCATCTAACTACTCACTAATGGAATATTCAAGGGTTTGTTCTGAGTTCACTGACCTCCACTCTGGAGACACCTTAGGCCATTTCCAAATGCCTGCCATAAAATATTTTAATAAAAAACCATTTGGTGTATGTGTGTATATATATATATATATACACATACACCAAATATATATAGGTATACATTTCTTTTTTGGCATTTGCAACGCATCTATTGAGACAATACTTTTTTGCTTCACAATGAATACAAATAAGCATTACTTTTATTATAAAGTCACTAAAATAATATCTCTCTAGAACTTTTATATAGAACCAATACAAGATTACATTCCAGTTCTGTGACAGACATGAAAATCATGCAAATGTGCCCTTCACATATCCCTTTAAGAAAGGGCTGGTTGCCCAGCTCAGAGGAGTGTGGTTGGCTGCCAGCTCCTGCCTGCTAGCTCTCTTAAGGTCCACCTCAAGCAGTGACTGAGCCTGCCGGTGGCTCAAGGGTTTGGCCATTTTTGCCCAAGGTGGGACTCATCTAAAGGGTGATTTTTGGCCCAGGCATGGTGGCTTGCCCCAGTAATTCCAGTACTTTGGGAAGCCGAGGCAGAGGGATCACTTGAGCCCAGGAGTTCGAGACTAGCCTAGGCAACTGAGACCCTGTCTCTACAAAAAATACAAAAATTAGCTGGGCATGGTGGCACACGCCTGTAGTCCCAGCTACAAGGGAGGCTGAAGTGTGAGGATCTCTTGAGCCCAAGAGGTCAAGGTTGCAGTGAACTATGATCATGCCACTGCACTCTAGCCTGGGCAACAGAGTGAGACCCTGTCTCTCAAAAATAAAATAAAATAAATAAAATAATGTAATTTTTGTTCTGGGGCTCCCTTATGTCTGTATCCCTGTTTGACAGCTTCCCAGCCCAGTCGTGCTTCCTTTGCTTTTTTCCTTCACAGATGTAACGCCCTGATAAACTTTGATTTTCAGTCCTAACTTCACATCAGAGGTCTGGCAGCATGAACTCTACATTAAGCCCTGTCATGTAAGGCAAGTGTCTCTGGACTGCAGATTTTTCACCAGCACACTGAGGGGAGGTGGCTTTGATTATTTCAAAAGTCGTTGTATTTCTTCCATTCTATGAATCTATACAGAATGAGACTCCATATGATTGTACGTCTTTAGTCTCCCTGTAAGGGGGTTTTGCAGTGGAGGAAGGTTTTGAGGAAAAAGCTTCTTGCTTTTTCCTCAAATGAGTCCGTCATTTTCCTACCTACAATGATCTGTAACAATTCCACCTCTGTTAAAACATGCAATAGTAAGATGATTGTGAGTGTGGATTGATGTGTAAAAATTACACAGTAAAGCTGGGCACAGTGGCTCACGCCTGTAATCCCAGCAATTTGGGAGGCCAAGGCAGGCAGATCACTTGAGGTCAGGAGTTCGAGACCAGCCAGGCCAACATGGAGAAAACTCGTCTCTACCAAAAATACAAAAATTAGCTGGGCGTGGTGACGTACGCCTGAATTCCAGCTACTTGGGAGGCTGAGGCATGAGAATCGCTTGAACCCAGGAGGCGGAGATTGCAGTGAGTCAAGATCGCACCACTACACTCCAGCCTGGGTGATGAAGTAAGATTCTGTCTCAAAAACAAACAAAAAGAAAGAAAGAAACAAACGAACAAAAATTATACAGTAAGAATGTATGTGCATGTAAAAAATCTATACTTAATATTATAGAATACACAACAACGCATATAGTTAAATAACATCATAACATACATGATCTAATACATATGCTTACATAAAATATAATCTAAGACAGAGGATCTCACAGCAGAGAGAAATGGCGAAGCGAAGTCTCATTGATGGATGGGGAAAACAGAACTGCACACTGAGAGGGCCTAATCCCTGGCTATGATGGTCCCCAAGTTCTTATATTAAGTTATATTCTATAGGGTGAAGATAAGCTCAAGTGAAATACCCCAAAAGAGAATAGCTCCTTGAACCTTACACATCTCACAGTTCTAGAAGATGCAGCCTCCTTATCAGCTGCTCACCTGCAAAGGTCTTTGTTTTCAAGCCAACAATCAGAACAAAAGGTGTGTGCCCTCTCCTCTCCTTTCATGCCTCTTTTTCTTTTTTTTTTTTTCTGAATTCCTCAGTAATCTTGGGTCAAATGTATCTCCACAAAATAAACTACTACAAAACTTTATTAGGATTTTTGAAATTAAAAGCCAGTAAAAATGTATTTACTCCTGTAATTTTTTTTTAAGCTGTTATTGTAAGGCTTATGTATAAGGTTGTCATTGGGCACTGGCTCTGAGAGTCACATATGTAAATGAAAGTCTATAGTTTGAGGTCACACTTGCTAGAATTTTAAAATGTGTTCAATAATACTTTGTGCAAATTCACAGCAGATTGATCTATAATTAACTGGAAAAGACATGTGCGGTGGTTGAGAGAATATCAAAAAGGATATCTCTGGCTTTCCTTTGATGCTGTGTTTAGAGGCCTGGTGAAATAAGGTGTCACCACCAACCCCTACCCCTGCCCCCCATCTCCCAGCTACCAAATAAGTTAAATAAGAAGGCTCAGCAATATTCTTGGGCAAGAGTCTAGACTCAATTCTTTAAACAAGGGCTTCAGAGCATGTAGTAAGATAAGCTGGGACTTCCAGAGGCCAGCATGAATTCATGAAAAACAAGTCATGCCACATTCACATTATTTACTACTTGGTAAGGGGGCTCATGGAACGGCAGGGAATTACTATAACTGTGTTTCTTCAAAACAGTGAACAAACAGTCCTCTACTTCTTAGGATAATAGTGAGTAGCATGAAAGTAACATGCCAAGCAAAGAGAAGAAATCATATTGAATGAATCAACCCTCTCCGCCTGAAGTCCTCAAGGGTTTTTGCCACAAGGCTCTGATCCTGTCCTGTACTGATCAAAACATGAATGACTTGGATGAAGGCAAAAATAGTAGGGTGGCTATGAACATGACCTTCAGAGTCAGAGTTGGGTTCAAATCCTGTCTCGACCATATACTGGTTGTGTATCCTTGCCTAAGTTACCTAAAGTTTCTGAGTCAGTTTCCATAAATATAAAATGAGGATTATAACACATTCTTTGTAGAGCTGGAGTGAAAGGACAATGAAATATTCTGTGTAAAGCCCAATGTCTGTTGGAGAAATACTCCAAAAGTGGTAGCTCTTTGCTGCATGTTAAACACATTGTCTGCGAGTAATGAGCTAATATGTTAAATGACAAAATCAGGATCCAAAAATGTCTCACCAGGCTGGACTCAAGGACCAAATCTAATAGGATGGCACTTAACAAGGATAAATGTAAAAGTATTGCAATTAGATCTGAACAGCAAGCTGCACAAATGCCCAGTGGGGAGACAGGGCTTATCGGCAGCACACCTGAAAAAAGCCTTGGGAGCATTATATGACTCCTTGCCCATTATAGGCCAATGGTGTGTGGTGGCTGCCAAAAAGCAAATGCAGTCTTAGGCGGCATAAAGGCAAGTGCATTGTCTGGAACAAAGAGAAAAATAATGCTCATCTCCTCTGCTTCTCTCTGGGTACCACACTTTAGTAGGGGTGTTGATAACCCACGTTTTTGTTCTGAATACACAAAATCAGGATAGGGAGAAGACGTAAACCCCATCAGAGCAAAAAACAGCAGAGGCAAGAGAAGCTCAAGGAGGCTCAGGACATGTGTCTATAAACATTTGTGCATGATGGATTAGATCCCTTGTGATGGAAAATTTCCAGCTCCTTTCTGTTTAAGAAGAGAACAGGGACTATAGATATGGGTTACAGAAAGGGAGGTTGCTATACAATATATAAAGATGATGCCTCTAACCATGAATGCTGTCCGCACATGGAGAGGGAGTGAACTCCCCACCACTGGAATGGTCGGGGCCAAGGCTGCAGGATTGCCTGTGAAGAATTTTGTAGAGTGCTTACTATGCCCTTAAAGCAGGGCTCAATCTGTAGCCGAAGTGCCCCACAAATCATCTGTAAAATCTTGTAAGTATATGAATAAGTGCATTTTTCACTAGGGAGAAGGTCCATAGCCTTTTTCAGATCCTTTATGGGACCTGAAATTCCACCCCAAAAAGGTTAAGATGAACTGAGCTCGAGTATTATTTCTTTCAATATTTATTGAACACATGCTATCTGCTAGTAGGGGACACAGAGATGAGGAAGATGCTGTATCCTTATAAAGGGAAACTTTGAGTTCGGTGTGTTCTTTTAAACAAACAAGTATATGTTTGTTTAAACATGTGCTATGATAGAGAATGGTGTGCAGTAGAGCAGCAAGAAGGAGAGCGGTCCATTCTTCCTGAGAGCAGTTTCCTTCCAACTCCGAGGTTTGGGGCCTCGATGACAAACAATAGTGGAAGGTTCTTTGGCCACCTTCACCACTCTTTGGGTACAAGTTATCCTCACAGGCTCCCCACAGGTTCCCAGGGGATGCAGATTTGGCAAAACAGCAGATATCTTGAGAACTCCAAGCAAGGCTCTGGGAAATGCTAATCTCCAGACCTGACGTTTCCTCCAAGACCCCATCCCACCTGTCCATGATGGGGCAGGGTCACTCGGGTGTCCTAAAGTGAGGTGCCATGAAATCTGTAGAAAAATGATTTTGATCGGTTCAGGAAAACCCAAATCAGCAGCTGCCTGTGCCTGTGTGCATATGCACATTACACTGCCAACCTGCTTCACATTTATTTTCCCACCATGTAATGCCTGCTTTATTGGGCCAATAAGTTGGAGGCAGTAATATATGCCCATTAAAATCCTACCTAGCTTCCAAGGCCTGGCTCTCTCCCTACCTCCCTCAGAGGTCTCCTCAGTCCCTCTGCCCACTGAAAGCACTCTATTCTCTGAGCCCCTGCAGCACACACTGTGCATGATCTCATTAAGCACCTGCTGTTTACAATTTTTGTAACCTTACTTAGGTGAATCCTATGAGTACATTTTTCTAGTTTTAGACTAAACAAGATGTTATCTGACAAGATCATCAACTCTGCAAAAGGATGGGGAACCTGTCTGATCCTTCCCCTCTGTCTTTGGCTGACTTTTTAATAAGGCAGGGTATGCCATAGGGGCTCAATTAAATAGGATGAAATAATGATTATAAAACTAGAGTGTTTTAGGTAATCAGCTTGATCTCGTTGACAGGTGTGAAAAGGGAGTGGGGGTGGGATTTAAGACTCCCATAGAGGAGTAGATGAGTTTCATACCTCTGATCTGTCCCTGCAACTTTGAGCAAAATAGGAGATGGGGAGTGATGCCCCATGGCCTCCCACTGGAACCCTGTCCAGAGGAACCCTGAACAAGGAAGGATGTGGAAATGTGTCCTTTTGACACTAACAAATGATTTATTTGATTTACTTTTAGATTTGTTTGGCTAGAATAACAGAATGGTAGAGCTAGAGAAATGTTAGAATTCAAAAGCACAAACTCCTCGTGTTAAAGGTGATGAAACTAAAGTCAGTAGAGGCCTGGTGCAGTGGCTCATGCCTGTAATCCCAGCACTTTGGGAGGCCAAGGCGGGTGGATCACTTGAGGTCAGGAGTTCAAGACCAGCCTGGGCAACATGGCGAAACCCCGTCTCTACTAAAAGTACAAAAATTAGCTGGGCATGGTGGCACGTGCCTGTAATCCCATTACTTGGGAGACTGAGACAAGAGAATTGCTTGAACCCAGGAGGCAGAGGTTGCAGTGAGCTAAGATCGTGCCACTGCACTCCAGCCTGGGGAGACAGAGCAAGACTTCATCTCGAAAGAAAGAAAGAAAGAAAGAAAGAAAGAAAGAAAGAAAGAAAGAAAGAAAGAAAGAAAGAAAGAAAGAAAGAAAGAAAGAAAGAAAGAAAGAAGGAAGGAAGGAAGGAAGGAAGGAAGGAAGGAAGGAAGGAAGGAAGGAAAGAAAGAAAAGAAAGAAAGAAAGAAAGTCAATAGAGAAAAAGTGATTTTAGAATGAGAATAATTAAAGTTACTTGATCATAGAGCTGGTAAGTAGCAAAAGATATCAGGGCCTAGGTCTCCTGAGTCCTAAAATAAGTGTTCCTCTACTTAAACCCTCCTGAGCTTTCCTCAGGTCTTTCTGAGTAGAATTCGTAGTCCTGGCTGTGAACTAATGGATCTCTTAGTTACTGTACCAGCTGTTCTCCCTCCTGTTCTCTCTGCTCCAGTCTTGCTGGCCTCCATGCCGTTCCTTGAAATGCCAGGCATGGTCCCACCCCAGGACCTTTGAATGTGCTGTATACTCTGCCTGGCTTGCTTCTGCCCCAAATTCCAAGGGCTTGTAGCCTCACCTCTTTTAGGTCTTACTCAAATGTCACTTTCTCAGTGAGGCCAAACTGACTAAAATTACATGCCCCACTGCCTGCTCTAGCCAAACATTCACCTGTTTCTTCTCTGCTGATATTTTTCTTTAGCATTTATCCCTAATATTCTACACATTTTATCTATTTATCTTGTTTATGTCCTTTCCTCTAACGTAAAGTGTGCTCTCTGAGGGCAGGGACTATTTGGTCTACTTGAGTTCTCTACCCCTGATACTTAGAATCGAGCCTGGCACATAGAAGGTGCTCGGTAAACTCTCATTAAATGAGTGACAGCAGGGCTGGCTAGGATGAAACCCATGGCCCAGAAGCTTCAATGTGAGATTCAGGGACACGTGAACCAATGGCTAGATATGTAGCCATATTTTGTCCTCACATCTCTTCTAGAAATCTGCCAGACCCACTTGGAGCCCAGTGTGGGAAGTTAACCTGCTTCACCCTGGCCTGGGAGCTTATCCAGGCTTACTGACTAGCAGAGCAGAAACAGGCAGATGGATCTCCTGGGGTTTTAACTATGGACTTAGAATTGTGGTCTTCAGGTTTTTCAGTGGAGTAAAGTCATCATGACTGCCATCGTCACTGTTGCACAGTGTTCTGACGAGATCGGGCATGTTCAGGGTGGTATGGCCATAGCCTGTTGCACAATGTTCTAAATAAACCTTAGCAACTGCATGGAAAGTCCTGGGCTGATTGCAGCGTGGCATCATTGAGGTGATGTTTAGGTTTTGTTAAAATAAAAGCTCATTATTAATTCATGCCAGAGACAGAAAAAACACTATTGAAACTGTCAGAGGCCCATCTGCCAAAGGCCGGGAGAAACCTCCTCTCCTGTCAGCAATGGGCCCTGAACCTGCTTGGAGAACCACTGACTCTGATGAGGAAACAAAGTTCAGGCTCAGGACAATTAGAATCAGTAGCTGCTCTAGATGTGAAATGTCTCGCCATCCCAGAGCCATCTGAATCACAATGGTTGTAACTGGCTTTTAGAGGTACTTAAAGAATCTGAACCATATCCCACCAGAGCATTACCTGGTGGAAGATGCCAGGCTCGCAGACTGCTAGGAGCCTCTGTGGACAAGCCCAGATCTTCCATAAAAGCCTCTCATTGAGTCCTTGCCACTGTGTATGTTTAAAGAAAGCAAGAGCTCTTTAGGAATCAGAGAGACAGAAGACAAAGATTTTCTTCATGCTCGTTATCCAAATCCAGGCATTTCCAAGCCAAAATGGCAGAGGATTCTTTTCTTTTGTCTCACCCATCCCTTGGACCATGCTGCTTGCAAATCAACCAGGTTTCAGAGGTCATGGGAGGCCTTTCTCTCTCTACCTTTCCTGTACTCCATGTAGGGTCCCTGTAGATGAAGTAACCATCTGGACTCAGGTCCAAACACCAACGCAGAGCAGGGAGATGTCCCAACAAAAGCCCGGACCCTTAACTGTCAACTATCCCTGCTCCTCTGGGCTCACTAGCTGCCTAGATGTACAGCATGGTCAGGGGTCCTCAAATTCCTGCCCACTGCGTGGAGCTGCACAGAGGGAAGAGAGAATATCTCGGGGCGGACACTGTTTAAAAAAAATGGCCCCCCTCAGAAGTCACCTCTGGCTGTGGCTCAACTGGAAACCATTAGCCATTTTCTTAGCCTGGTATTGTGCACGGATGGAAATTTAAAGCTAGCAGTGAGCCGCTCTATTTTCTCTCTTTCTCCGTATTCTCTTCTTCCTCCCACATGAAATGCTGGGGGCCCACCTGAGACCTAACATTTGTCTGTTTTGAGAATAGATGAGTATTTATTAGAATTAAACAGCTGGGAGCTCTGTGATATTTAGACGGGTATTAGGAGGAGTGTATGAAAAGAAGATAATGCTGGGTCTTTTTTTCTGTAAACCAGTCTGGGCTGTTACTGAAGGGATTTCTTGGGTCTCCTGTGAGAGCCAGATACAGTTAATTTCCTGCAAAAGCTGCGGGCTGGGCCGCGCTGATATTGCAGTGTTATTTAGAATAGAAAGGTCAGGCCTGAGATTGAATAATCATTGACAAGAAATCCATGGGGGATATGAAGCAGTTGGTAAGCGGTGACTGAAACCTCATCTGACTCCTCCCGCGCTTCCCTTTCTTCCTGGGTATCTGGCTGATTCTGGGGTTTATTTATAATTCTTTCTGCAAATGTTTCGTGAACCCTCCAAGCTAATGGGAAAGGTGTATCAAGACAGAGATGGCCAGTTTTTAGGCCACCATTTGAGATGGAATGCTCAACTTTACAGACTGGATAGGCCCACTCTGGCTCTGGGGCCATTTGCCTTGGGCACCTGTGCATGAATTTTCAAATCACAAATGGTGGCTTTCTCCTCAATACCTTGAGGCACTTTGTCCCCAGCAGGGCTTTCTTTTTTCTGCATGGTCTCTGAGCTGTAGTCTGCGTAGCCCAATTTTATAGCCTGTCCTGACTGTGAAGCCAAATGTAGGATGCTGGGAAAGCACAAAGGGAAATGAGATGGATGGAACAACTGCCGTGTGTCGGGCATGTGCTGTGTCTTTTGAATATAGTATCTCATGAATCTTGGCAACCCAGAGATTCCCGCTCTACTGATGAAGAAGAAGCCTCAGAAGTCTCAGAGAGGTTTGAATAACTTGCTCAAGACCTCCCAGTTCCTAAGCAGCAGATCGAAGATGTAAAACCTAGAGCTGTCTGGGTACCAAGCTTGTGCCCTTTCTCTGTGTCACATTGTCTAATAAATTTTCTAATCTCCACTGTGGACTCTTTTTCTGATGCTGTCCTCCTTCTCTTTAATCCAGTCTCTATAGAGGGTTTCTTAGAAATCCATGTTTTCAATGAAAGAGTTTCTCTTGCTGAAAACCATCAACAGCCACTGTATCAGGAGTCAGGTCCCACAGATTGGGTGGCATAGGGTTGTGTCCAGCTTAGAAAGAGGAGAAATGGGCCAGGGGACTTTCAAGGTCCCTTCTGAATCTCAGATGCCATATAATTTATTTTAAAATTAGATTTATTTCTTAAAGGTTTAGCCATGGGATGATTCTTCAAAGTATAGTTATCTGGCTTAATTTGGGAACATTGAAGTACACAGATAATAAAATAATCAACAACTCATCCATCAGCCACCAGTTGTGAATTAGCATCTAAGTCATGGTTACAGTTACTCTGACTGGAGCCAGATAAGGGATAGTGCCTACACTTCTGGTTAGAATAGGAAGGTCTCTATAATTGTAAAGTCAGGATCAGCATGATATCTCTGTGAACAGCTCATAAACCAGGTAAGATTATCAATAGAGAATGTCATTCAAGGATGGCTTCTTGGCACAGTGGCTTTGGGTCACAGTTTGTCTGTTGCTGTCCTATGTTGTCACCAAGTATTCTGGTATCTGGTGACATTTCCTGTGCTTCCTGTGACTCCATGGCTGGGTAACATGGAGAAATTCTAGGCAATAGGCTGAGCTGGGACCACAGCCTCTTCTGCAGGTTGCCCACTGGCAGATGAAGAGCTACAAGCGTGAAGATATCCAGTGTGTGAGTAGATTACTGTGTCATCTGCTTCACCCAAGTTTATGTAAATCCTACTCCTTCATTGAGAGGCAATTTGATCATTGATGCCACATAAGTTACAGAATAATGAATAAGAATATATTTTTGGCTTTATTGGTTTTAAAACATAGATTTAAAACAATAGTACAAGTTTTTAAGCGCCATGATCTGGTGGCTGGTGTACGAACTGGAAGCTTAGAGTACTGATATTTATCTCCAGATTGCATGCCCCTTTCTCCTGAAAGAATTGAGGTAACTGTGTGCCTTGAGTCCACTTCCTGAGGCTACAGAAAGTGCAGGGACTTGTCATGGCATTGACAGTTTATTTCTTTGAAATGTCTGAGAAATTTTACTTTAATGCAGCAAAGATGTCTGCTATTACCCCTTTCCCCATCATTTCCTGAGCCTCCATTTCCACACTGAGGCAAGAATTCTTTCTGTCATTTCACCTGTACCTGGATGCTGGCAGTGCAATGTTTAGGACAATAGATATGTAGAGCAGGAATGTGCATATTCTGGAAAAAAATTAAGTATGAGGTGGTATGGCAAAGCAGTCAACAGCTCCAACTCTGAAGCCAGATTCTCGGCTCCTCTGCTTTGTATCTTTGTACCTTTTGGAAAGTGGATCAGCCTCACTGTGCTTCAGTTTCTTCGTTTGTAATGAATATAATAATAGCACCTACTTAGAGCTGTTGAGAGAACTGAGTATGTGCAAAAATCGTAGAACTGTGCCTGGTCCATGGTAAGCATGATAACATGAAGACGTAACTTTTCCTGCCTACTATGCACCCATACCTTCAAAACACCTTTTCCAGTGTCAAGCACTCTGGCATGCAGACAAATTAATTAAAAAGAAATTGGTGGTGATTTCTTATCCAGCTGGTTCGGGTGGAAGCTGCAGGCTCTCAGGATCTCAATCCTAACTTTTCTCTGAATGTGATTCTAGAAGCAAACCTTGAGATGTTCCTTTGAGAATGCTTTAGGGCAGCATAAACGGATCCATTCATTCAACACACATTTAATGAGAACTGGCTATGAGCCAGGTACTTCCTTGAGCAATTTACTCCTTAGTCCCCTCATCTCAGTTTCATCACCTGCAGAATGGGAATCATGACACCTGCCCTTTTGCAATCACAGGATTGTTCTGAAGCTCCAGAGGAATGTGTCAGTACACCTTATAAAATGCTAGACAAATTGGTGGTGCCAATATTATAACCATGGTGACTGTCACTGTCTGTGGGGTCGTGACCCTGCCATCAGATGGCAATCCCCCCAGTGCAGGGCAGCACTAGATCAGACGGATGACCTCGGGAACATGAGCTCCATGGCACCATCTGGCAACCTCTTTGCCTTTGATTTATCAGTGCAGATCTCTCCCCATGCAACACCATAAAGGCAGGTTGTGTGACACCTTTACTGCCTGGCACAATGTGGAACAGGGATGATCTTTTGCATGCAGGGACAAGGTGCAGAGGCTCACTTCTGCCTTCTGAGCATACATTTCTTAGGCAGGAAAAGGTCACTGGTACTGCCAAGGGGAACTTGGCCATTCTAGCTGCCCTGGGATAGGCCAGGCTGACCCACGGCAATAGCAGGACAGCCAAGGTCCAGCCAGGTGGAAGATGTTTTTGCAACCCCTCACCCTTCCCTCCCCCAGTTTGCTCTGGTGGCTGCCATCCCTGAAGTTTATAGGTATCATTACCTATGAAAAATCTGTTCCATCTGAAGACAGTTGGGGTTGGGGATGGGTGGCAGATTGCAATTTAATGATCAGATTAAAATATGCTAAAGCAAACAAATAAATAAATAAAAAGCCCAGCAGCCTGGAGCGCCACAGTTCATTCCGTGGGCAACAGAGGCTGGGGCTCCAGGGACCAGCTCGTAATTCACCCCACAGGCAAGTTTAGTAGCCTGTTACTGTATGACCACAAGGAGAAACAACTCTCCAAGAAAGATTTACACTGAATGGCACTGGAGGCTGAAGGGCTAGGGCCTGGGAGAGGAGGGAGGTATGGGAAACTAACAGGTCCTGGGGTTAATAATGGAGAAAGTATGGATTCTAAACTTACTCCTGCCAGCAACAGTGACCCACATCTTCCCTCCCCTTCCAAGTTTCCCCTGGCCCCTCCACAACTCACCACACTTGAGTCACCCTGCCCGTGGCAATTAAACATAACTTGATAATATCACTTAGGGTCATTTTTCTATTTCACAGCTTACCAGACTGAGCTCACGAGGGAAGAACATGGGGACTATTCCTCTTATTATCCCTGCTTTTAAACACAAAGATGCTACTCAGTAAGTAATTGCTGGGAAGATGAATGAATGAAACCACTATTCTATCAGAGCTTGTGCTCCTTACTGAGAACTACTCTGTGCAGGTGCTCTGGGGCATGAAAAATGAGTGAAAACATGCCACCTCATGTGGTCCTCCCTTCTCGACCTCCCTGTCTTCCTCATCTTCCTTGGGGACCATTCCTTGCTCTCTCTGATCTGTATTCAGGTACTGGTATCCGCCAGATTCCCTCCTCCAGCACAACCTTTGTATCTACTCTGCCTTCTGCCTAGGACTCTCTTTCTGTCCATATTTAACTAATTTGTCAGTTTATAGCCTGAGAGGCAACTTCTCAAGAAGACATTGTTGACCCCGTTGACAAATTCAATTCTCTTTACTATAGGCTCTCATAGGATCACATATCTTTTTTCATATTACATATCAGAGTTGCAGATTTACACTTACCTGAGTGAATATTGGATTGATATTAGATACCCCCACTAGACAGTAAACACCCTGAGAGTAGGAACTGGATGTTTTTATTTTTGCTTGTCATCCCTGGCACTCAGAACAATGCCTGGTTCACAGTAGGCTCTCGGGAAACATGTGTTGATTAGAGGAACAATACCTTTCCCTAGCTAGGGACTTTAAGAAATAAACATCACTGAGCCCCCACCTCAGCACGTCCTGTGAATCCACAATCTGTCACCCCTTGCCCTCTGCTAACGCATCTACAATTATCACAACAGATCTCCATGCAGCTACAATGTAAAACCGATTAGGGCAGCTCCCTGCCAGGGCCCAGCATGGCTGGGGATTGCTGTTGTGTCTGAAGGAAGAGAAGGGTGAGGAGATCTGAGATAATCATTCATTTCCCCCCTTTGGGAAACTTTTTTTTTACCACACTCAGCAAATGATGCTCTTGTACCAATAACAAATGTCAAATGCTCTGCCTGGGACTTGGGGAAGACAGAGCATTAGCAAAAGAGGAGCAATTCAATGAAAAGGACAGAATTTCTGTTTAAGAACTGGAAAGTCAAGTAACAAATGTCACTAGAGACTCCAGAGAGACAGCTTTGCATCAACAACCACCACTACAGAAAAAAATAAATACATCCACAACTACCTTTAATCATCTTGCACTCCCTGCTTCCTGGAATCTTCCACAGGGTCTCCCTCTCTCACTTTGACAAGATCCTTAGCTCTCAACACTGTAGCATCTATTGGCAATGGTGTTGGCTGGACCGAGTGCTGGGGAAGTAGCCAAGGGGAGCTGTGGGGGCAGCAGATGAAGCCCTATACTATGACACATTAAACAGTGTTGCAAATAAGCCAAAACCACCATATCTCCAGCCCATGGTGGTTTGGCTTCTGGTAAATCTCTGTTCACGTATTAATCTGAAAACTATGAACCAAATGTGGGGGCAGTTGTTCCGTCTTCTCCTATATGAGATGGTAATTGGGATAACATCTTATTCACCTTTTTATTCCCACTTAGTATCAATGTTTGAACTAAGCTGACATAAAAGTGTTCTTGGTTCGGAAGAGAGCCAGAAAGGTAAATGAGTAATTGCAACGCAATAGGATGAGTGCTACAAGAGAGGGATAAATAGGGTGCTGTGGAAGCAATAATCCTTGGTGGGAACTCAGGAATGAGTGGCATTGGCACTGAGCTTTGAAACCCGGGAAGGTGTTCTAGCATGAAGACAGTCATTCCAGGCAGGAGAAATCGTGTGTGCAAAGGAAGGTCTAGTGAAGGCAAATGAACTTTCCTTATTCCAGGATTTTCTCTGGGTCCTCACACTATCAACTTCTGCCCCAAATATTGCAATTGCCTCCTCACTGGTCTTCCTATTTCCAAACCTGCTTCCCTGTGGTCTATTCACAGCACTGCTGCCAGAGTCACACGTTAAAACTTAAGTCATATAATGCTACTCCTCTATCCCAAACATTCCAAGGCCTCCAGGTTCACTCAAAAGAATAGCTAAAGTTGTTACTAGACCTTACAAGAGGCCCTATGTAATCTGCCCCTCCCTTTCACCATTAAATTTCTGACTGCATCATCTGACAGTCTTCCCCTCACTTTCTCTGATCCAGCCACCTTGGGCTCCTTGCAATTCCTCAAACCTACCACATATGTTCCTGCCCCAGGGCCTTTGCATGAGCTGTTCTCTGCCTGGAATACTCTTCTCAGATAACCTAATGGTTTATTTCCTTATTCCTTCCACAGCTTGCTCAAAATCACCTTTTTAGTCAATCCTCTGGACCACCCTACCTTGATTTACTCCAGAACTTCTACCCTCCTTTCTTACCTCTTTCCCTTAGCACTTGTCACTTCTAACACACCATTTGGTACACTTATTTATTGTGTTTATTGTTGGTTTCCTCTTCTGCTGGAACCTAAGATCCCTGACAACAGACAATTTGGTCAAAGTTTTTTCCTTATTACCTAGTCTAGTGCCTGGCACACGGTGGAGCGGTGGGGAGGTATTTGTTCAATATTTGCTAAGTGAAGGAATAAATAAATGGATAGTTTAAAATAACTATATGTTCAAGCCAAACACTGGCAGGAATATTCAGGTTTGTTAGACAATCCAGGTCATCATCTCAAGAACAATTAGGATTCTTTAAATAAATCACAAACTTGATATTTAGAAGTGAGTTAAGCAGAGCTGCTCTTAAACAAAACGACAAGGGCACGCCATGGAAGTTTGTCTTCATACCTGCTGTGTAATCACTTTGAGGCCTCGTTCTCTATCAGTGCCCCTTTTTTGACTTCTAACTACCGAGATCCTGAGATCTCCCTTTAGGGAGAAAGGAGGCGACATATCTCTCATGCCTTATACGCCTTACTTGAATGGCTTCAATCTCTCCCTCTTTTCCTTCCTCTCTTAACATTTCTCCTTTAAAATCTTTTCCTCCCTTCTCTGTATTCCCTTTCCTCTTTTTTGTTCCTTCAATTTTTCTCTCCTCTTTTGCCCTTTCCACCTCCTCCTACACCATGCTACTCCTCTATCCCAAACCTCCCACCCCTTCTCTCTGTATTTTCCTGTCTTTTCCCCATCTGCGCTCTCCTTCACTGTTTTATTCCCTTTCTCCCTCTTCTTTTTTGCCTTCGTTCCTTCCTCCCTCTCTTGTCTGAGCAAGTACTAAGTGTGTCACGAGGTGCTTTGTTCTGTATGTGAGGGAGATCGGATCCTTGAATTCTAGTAATTTATGTGGGGAGCCAAGACATTGAAAGGTAATTCAAGGCAGGACCAAAGACACACTAGAGGAGCTCAGTGGAGAGGTGGATAACTTCAGGAAGGAGAAATAGAATGTCTATGCATATTCTATGCATGTCTTCTGCATAGAAGACATGGACACCTGCTTGAAGAAGGAGTACGTAAGTGGGTCTGAGTGTGTTAGGGGCCATCATTCTAGGTGGCTGACATCATGGCATCATGAGCAAAGGTAAAAAGGCAAAAAGAAAGAAATAAGCTTGGAATTTCTAGGGGTGCTATAAGAAGACCAGTCTGGCTGGAGTCAGCAATTTTTACTTGAACCTAGTAAAAAGGAGAAAAGATTAATAAAGCCCCCTCAGAATTCAGAATGTTCATTATCTATCATTTTAACAGTATTTCTTTTCCTCCACAGAGCAACCTAAATCTACATACATTCTTTAAAGAAAGCAATTGCTAACTCATCTAAGTGATCATGCACTAGTGTATTCCCAGCATTCAGCTGTCAATAAGTATTGATTGAATTGTTTGGAATTATACACCTGCATGACTTGGGGGAAGGTGGAGTAGCTATAATCCAGACTTGAGAAGGTTTTAAATCAACATCACCACTGCTTCTGGGTGTGAGGGATTCCTGCCTAGCATCCTTCCACCTCTCCTTGAAGCTAGATGATTTGAAGTAATTGGGTCATAACATTTCTTGAGCAGCTTTCTTGGGCTTCCTATAGTTCCATCCCATGATAGGATTAGCTACTCCAAGTCATCCAATTGTAAGAACTTTTAAAATTTTAATCTACATCTGTTCCCATAAGCCCAGTCTAATTCTATTTCTTCCTGGCTTTGTTAATGGACATCATAATTTTAAATTCTTGTCCAAGCTTGTACATTGATAAATACAGTTGTATTCCTGACCAAGGACCCAGAGATTTGGGTTGTGTTTTGTTTAATCTTGCATCATATTGAGCCAGTATTTCCAGTGGCAGTGCTAGCAGAAGATTCGCCTGGGGTACAGAGCAGTGCCTGGCACATAGGAGGTGGCCAGTACATGCTTGCTTGTTGAAGAAATGCAAGGCTGATTTACAGATAGCTTGTCAATGTTCATGATTTCCTAAGTAACAACCCCCAGCAAGAGGGGCCAAGAGGACTCACAAACTTTTCAGCAGAGATTTTGCTATTTGCATAGAGGGGGTATTGGCAATGCATAGAAAGTCCCAAAGAGGGAGTCTAGACAATCTGAATAAAGCAGTGATGTGCAGAGAGCTAGGACTGCAGACCTACAAGTGAAAGAGCTGGTTTTATGTCATTAAAGGTCAAGATGCAGTGATTTGACTGGAATAAACTTGGGTGCAGAGGATAAATGGTTAATATGATTGATGCAGTCACAGTCTCTTGTTCTCTGAAACCAAATGCAGAGGGCCCTGCTTGAGCTCCCAGTCCATATGGCTATGCAGGAATTCAGGGCTCTCCAGGGGCCACTGTTCTATCCCCATAGATGTACCTGGAGAATGATCCAGGCCAGCCTGGACAGAAGGCCCTTTTTCTTAGATTTGAGGTAAGAGATGGGAGATTGTTCCATTCTCTAAGAAAGTTTACCAGAGCTCTGCATTTGGGGAACAACCGGGTATCCCTTCTGTCATCAATAAAAATGTTTTCTTGATTTCCATTCAGCCATTGCTCCTTGTATTGGTTGGTAAGAAGCTGGAAACCCCTAGCCTTCAACTGAGGTTAGGTCAGTCTGGCAGACTTGCAAATAAGCCAAAGACTAGCATTAGAAGATTTTACACATTCAAGTATTTTATACATCCTTTCTCCCTAAAGTAAAATCTCCAGCACCTTGGTCATTTGAAGCCTAGAAAAAAAGCACTAGGAGAGAACAAGGATTCAAAGAAAGTACACGGCACGTATGAAGACAAACTTCAATAACAGCGTAGTTTTGTCCAAGACCAACTTTGCCTACTTCCCTTCTAAGCACCAAGTTTGTGATTTGTTTGAAGAATTCTAAATTTTCTTAAGATGAGATTCTGGGATGTCTAGCAGGCCTGAATATCCCTTCCAGTGTTTGCTTTGCAATTCTTCATTCATTTATTCATTTGGGCCTTTAGATTGTACTAGGCATAGGTGGGCCACACTGCACAGTCACCCCAAATTCTCCCTTCCTCTTTGTTTAATTGAAATACAAGATCCATAAAGGAAACATTAGTGAGGCTTGAGACCCCTACCACAGGATTGCAAGATGGCTCTTATGAGAGTTGTGGTTTCAGAAACTCAGATTTGCTGTCAGCCACAGCGTGTGTGTGTGTGTGTGTGTGTGTGTGTGTGCTGGCTCTGGGGGTGGTGACAGAGCATTTTATCAGTGAACTGACACAAAGGAATGAGGCCCTTGTTTATTGGAGGTGTTCATCTACTCTTGAGCTGAGGTGCAGAAATATTTTAGTGACATTTTTACAAACCTGAGGCTAAAAAAGACATTTACAAGGCACATACTTGGACTCTTTGTCCCTAGGAATCAGGTTCGCTCAGATTTTCTAGGAGAAATGGAATCAGTATCTTTTTTTTTTAAGTTTGTAATTTTTGTAAACAAAATAGGAGCAGTGGAAAAGTGAATAAGAAATGATGGCAAGCACACTGATTGAGCTGGGAGATGACAAGAACTTTTTCAGGAAGAGTAAGATCTTAGCAGCCAGGCTAGCTTGATATAAAAGAAAGAAAATATACCCATAGCTAACAGTTTATAATGGAGCTAGGAAACAGGACAATATTTTAATTATTCTTAGTTCAGGCTTGAAGATGCACCCAGAGAGATATGTTAGAGAAATCACACTAATAACTAACACATGTTTAGCATTTACTGTGTGTCAGGCATTGTTCTAAGTGCTTTACATATATTAACTCACTTAATCCTCCCTGTAATTCTATGAAGTAGATACTAGAATTGTCTTCATTTTATTGATGAGGAAACTGAGGCACAGAAAGATTAAGCAACATATCAAAGGTCACATGGCTGGTAATTAGTTATGGTAAAATGGGAAATTTGGTCTTTGTCCCCAGTTCCTGGTACAGAACAACTGAAACTGTTGGAATTTCCTCAGTGATAAGGGTGATAGGAGAGTCTTTTGTTCTAATGAGGTGACTCTTGGCAGGCCACTAGACAGCTTAAGTATGAAGCTGGTCACCAGAAAGAACAAGACTTGATTAAAAGGTTAGAACTTTCAGCCCCACCCCACAATTCCTGGGTAAGAGGCTATAGCCTGCGTCACCAATGCCTATGGACAATGATTTAGTCAATCATATGTATTTAATGAAATCTACATGAGATCCCTAAACAATGGGTTTCAGGGAGCTTCTGAGTTAGTGAACACATCCACATGCCAGGAGGGTGGCACACCCCAACTCCATGGGGTTAGAGGCTCCTGTGCTTAGGACCCTTCCAGACCTCCCACTATGTGCCTCTCTGTTTGGCTGTTTATTTGTATCCTTTATAATAAACTGCTAAATGGAAGCAAAGTGGCTTCCTGACTCCTGTGAGCTATTCCAGCAAATTATTGAATTTGAGGAGGGAGTCATGAGACCTCCCAATTTTTAGCCAGTCACCAGAAGTACAGGTGACACAATACTTGTTGCTGGTGTCTGATGTGAGGGCAGGCTTGTGGGACTGAGCCCTTAAACCTTAGGAGTCTGAAGCTAATTCCGGGTAGTTGGTGTCAGAATTGAGTTGGATTGTAGGACACCTAGTTGGTTTTGGGGAATTGGAAGAAAACTTCTCATCTGTTGTCAGAAGTGGCATCAGGAAGAACCTGGCAGTAGCAGAGCTGGGATTCAAGTATGTGTGGTCTTGCTTTTAGGATCTAGTGAGCAACCAATGTGTTCCTCAATACCAAAGGATCCAGAAAGCACCCAAAGCAGCAGATAGGGGACCAGTTATGGCAGCAATTGGAAATGTTCTCACTGGTGATTCAGAAGACTTCACTAGGTGCGAACAGAAAAGGTGGACACATTTGAGAGGGGAAAATCAAGAAGATCAGAGGAAAATACTTGAAGGATTATTAGTGAATTCCAACATAGCAGTTATATGTATAGAGAAACAGACCTGTCATGTGTTCTGAAGGTGTAGCATAGGAAATGGGCTCTAAGGGAGGGCTCCTGGGAGGGCGGAAACACACTACAGCCATGTAATGGCTGAGCCTGGGTGTGTGCTCCTGGGAAGACTCCGCCTATGAAGCATTACTCAACTCAAGGAATTAAAGCTGAACAGTGGAAGCTTTGGACAGATCCAGAGATATTGAAAAAAAATTAAAAATATAATTTAGAGAAGTATGTTAGGAAAACAAATGTCTGTGCCCAACAGCAGAGAGTGAGCCCTATGCAAGACAGAGAAGGGATGGAACCAGGGAAAGGAGCAGGTTAGAACATTTTAAACCTTGCAGGCTCTGCTGAAAAGGATTTGAGGAACAATAGGAGAGAAACATCAGGTGCAAATCTCAAGGGGAGGGCAGAAAGGAATGTTTCTGCTAATACTGAAGCAGCACCAGTTATTCAAGGCCTGGAACTCCAAGGCAGAAGGAAGGGAGGCTTTGTGGGGAGTGGTGCCCAGGGAAGAAGCCCTGCCCTCTGCACCAACAATGGCCTGCTTCAGGATTTGAGCTTGACTCCAATTGAGACAAAGGAAAAGCCCAGAGAAGGTCATGGGCTGGAGGAATTCCAGAGAAGGAAGCAGCAGAGGTCACAGTGGTACAGGGATAAACATATCTAGGATTAGGAATGCAGGGTTTAAAGGGAAATGGAAATCAAGATAAATCTCAAATATGTATATGAATACCAAGGGGGAGGCGGGAGCCTCAAGTGAGCCTGTGGACTGGAGAGGACCCATTTTACATTTTTGAATTTTTCACAAAGACATGAATATTTCAAAGGTCATTCTCAGAGAAAGGAGGCAGAATGCATAGATCGGATTGTTTCCCTCAGGATATAGGAAGCAGAGTGCAAAATTAACCTCTTGTTGGTGGCTGTTTTTCAACATTCTATTTGATAGTACTCAACTGGCATTGTAAAGACTGAAATAAAAATTGTATTTTTGCTTTCTCACGTGCTCTCTGTCTTTCCTGCTTCCTCACCAAGTTTTCAAATCTCTTCTATGGTCATTTGTTACCACTGGTCATGTTCCATGCTCTGGGTTCTGGAAATGTAATTGTGCTGTAGGAGTCTGAGCTTTGCTGTGTTTTCTAAATTCTGTGGGTCAGGCCAACACTGGGATATGGTTCAAATGCCTACCAAGTGACTTTCTAGAAAAAAAATGGGATACTAGAAAGATTCAAGGTTGGATTAATTTAACTTTGGAGGGGGCAGAATGATTTTCCTCATTTCAATATAAGAGGCCAGCTGCTGCTATAGAAGGCAGGCCTTCGACTTTACTTCTGGCAATGGAGTGAGGGTGTACTGGCTGGGAATGAACACAGCAGGAGGAAATTGGAGACTGTGGAGGTGTAGACTAATATTCCTTTGAATTTTAATTTAAAAGAGAGGAACCTAGGCGTGGTGGCTCACGCCTATAATCCTAGCACTTTGGGAGGCCAATGTAGGCAGATTGCTTGAACCCAGGAGTTCGAGACCAGCTTGAGCAACATGGCAAGACCTCATCTCTACAGAAAATACAAACATTAGCCGGGTATGGTGCATGCCTGAAGTCCCAGCTACTTGGGTAGCTGAGGTGGGAGGATCATTTGAGCTCAGGGAGGTCGAGACTGCAGTGAGCCATGTTCGTGCCACCTCACTCCAGCCTGGTGAAACAGCAAGACCCCGTCTCAAAAAAAAAAAAAAAAAAAAAGAGAGAGAGAGAGAGGAGGATAACTCTGGTGAGCTATGTCATGTGACTGGGCATTGTGGGAGAGAGTGAATTTTGGCTGAGGGTACAGGAGAACCTGGATATTAATGAATGCACCGTTTTGATCTATCTAGAAGCATCCAGAAATAAGAGCTGCATTGTCTTTTGCATGGGTCCTGGGAGGATATACAAGGACAATGATTCTCCAAAGAATGTGGTCCTGGGCAATGCCACTGCTATAACCCTTTACAACCTTCCTTACCTCACCTCTACCATGCCCAAGGTGACCTCAGAAGTCTGCCTAAGGCTGGAAGCCATAGGTTGAATCACACTGGCCTCGGTGGTCAGCAAAACCACTTACTTCTTTGTACACTATAGTAGCTTTTATGCAGGAATGAGAGGGAACTCCCCAAAGCAGAACATCATTCCTGATTCAAGGATCCAGATTAAAACAACCTTCTTGAACTTACCCACTGAATGATTTGATAAGACTAGGTTCTTGTGCCTTTCTCCACAATGGATGTTTCCAGAAGGAAGGCTATATTCTGCATACGAAATGGTGGTCAGTAAAATTGACATTTTGTTGCATGTTTTAAAAAAAAATTTTTTTTAATTTAAAAGGCTTATCAAAGTAAGCAGTGGGAGTGGAGAAGGAACAAAGGAATCTGTAACTGGTTGTAATCAATTAGTTGCAAACACGACTGCACTTGGACCAGTCATGTCTGTTTTTGAAATGGGGATTTGGCCAGGTGCGGTGGCTCATGCCTGTAATCCCAGTTCTTTGGGAGACCAAGGCAGGAGGATCACTTGAGGCCAGGAGTTCGAGACCAGCCTGGCCAACATGGTGAGACCTCGTCTCTACTATAATTACAAAAATTATTTGGGCATGGTGGTGCATGCCTGTAATCCAAACTACTTGGGAGGCTGAGGCAGGAGAATTGCTTGAACCCAGGAGGTGGAGGTTGCAGTGAGCAGAGATCACACGAGATACCGTCTCAAAAAAAAAAATAAAATAAATAAAAATAAATAAATAAAATGGGGATTTGGTGGAAGTCTAATCTATAAGGATAGCCATGTACAAATCTATGGTTTGGGAGAAGGGGTGAGCGTATGAGATTTTGTGATTTTAAGGGGTTAGACCTACACTTTACCATACTCTTTAAGATGACTGCTGGCTGCCAGACTTGATTCTTCCAGCTAGCAGTAAACATGTCAGTGTGACCCGAAGATGGCAACAAGGTGGCCCTAACGTACTGCAGCTCTCCCTTCCTAATGACCACAGGCTCGGTGCTAAGGCACGCTAGAAAACAACATTTGGAGAACGTCGGAAAAAAGGGGTCGTTTCTCTCACATTCTTACATTTCTATAGAGGTGGAGACTTCTGTTTCCTCTACTTTAAGTGGGCAATATTGGATTGGACATCTCTGGCCCCTGTTAAATCCCTCTCTTGATCTTCTTTGTGAAGAGTAATCAAGCCAAGTGTGGAATGCTGACATGGAAATGTCTCTACTGAAAGTGTGTCCAGTCAATGAAACAGCTATAGATGGGCTTGTCTTTTGCTCTTCCTTATCCCATCACTAGGTGTGATGGACAGAGTCAGCTGTCCACAGAGTTACTGTGTGCAATTGTTCCCAGGAAGTGGCTGCCTAGCCAGGGACTACTTTTCTAATCCCCACGCCTACCCCTAACCCTTGCATTTAGGAATATGAATGGAAGTCTTGGTCAAGGCTTTCAAGAAGCGGGTGGGCCTTCTTCACACCCTTTCCCTTCTGTGGGCTAGATGTGAAAAGCTACAGATTCTTGGAGGATGGATGAGCCACAGAGTAGAAGCAGCTAGATCCCCAAATTACTTCAAGGAGAGGCAATGACCAGGGACATTTGCCTTAGGCTATACCGTAAGTGAGAAATAGCTTGTATTGCATTTGAGGCAGTATACATTTTTGGTCTGTTTCTTACATCTATTTAGTACCACTCTAAGTAATACACTAGGTGGGTGAGTTAGCCCCTAATTTTCCATGCAATTGAAAAAGGAAGTAATCGGAGCCTGCTTGCTCCCGTAAGTATATTCCAATGTTTAGATTTGAAGAGAGAACACGAGTCCTCCATTTTGGCTTCTGGTGACACTCACCAACTCAACATTAGCAGATAGCTGTAAACTTTGGAGGCCAATGGGCACTTAGCTTGTCCATTAATAAAAATGATAATTTGATTCCCATAGGCTGGGGATGCTTTGATCTAGTTTCTATCATTTAGAATTGTGATTGGGATAAGTGATTATTACCTCAACTTTCAATACATACTCATCTCATAGAGGATCTGGACAGAGCCTCATAGGAGAGCTACAGCATGAAAATGAGAATGTAATGCATGTGATGGCCCTAGAGTAACATGTCAAAAGGCAGACAAGGAGTTCCATCCCACTCTATGGATGGGAAGATGGTGTTAAAGACTTGGGCACAGACTTAGGTGTGGAGGCCTGGTGTTCCAGCTAGAACACTGGGGATACCACACTCTGTAACACTTCGAAACCTCAAAGGTCAGGGGTTCAATATGAGTGCAGACTATTGGAAGAGATGCTCCTTTGGGATGGTAGGCATAACAGATGGTAGAGATGCACATCTGTTGGGAGTAACATCTATCACACTCCTGAGAGCCTACAACTGGGTATTATTTGTAACCTAGATTCCTTCCCCTGAAATATCTCTTGGGAACCACAATTTTTCTTATGACCAGATCACAGCAGACAAAGAGAAGAAAAGGAGAATCACTGGGCAAACAGCCATGACTTAGGAACTTAGAATTTATTATGGAAAATACTCCTGGCATTTCTCTGAACTGGTGCTTGGTGGATGGCTGCCAGTAGCAAGCAGACAAGATGGGGTGCTCTGTCCCTCTGTAATACAGCTATTGTTTACCCACAAATGATCCTTCCTTCCTTCCTTCTTATTTCCTGAGTGAAGAAGGTGGTCCATAAGGTCTCTGCCCCACCACCATAGTATGTAGACTTTTCAGTGATTAGGGCAACAGTTTAAACCATAATCTACACTAATGCAGGCCTAGTTTGGGGAAAGAGAAGTTGCCAGCATGTAAGAAAAGAAATGTGCACAAAATACAAGTATTTTTTTTTGCAACAAAAGAAACTATTTATTTGGAATATGCATTACCAGTACAAATTAGGAGACTGTAAAACCTACACCGTGTTAGTATCATTAGAGAACACAAAAGTTCAGTTGGAATCAAAAGGGACAGAAGCCTGTGCTCTCACAGAAGCAGAAAAGCTTAAACTTTCAAAACCAAAACAGAGCAGAGCTTTGCAGGTTTATATTCTGAATAATAAGAAAAGGGGAGGGGTAGGGGGAGAATAAAACCAACAACCAAAGGAAAGCATTTCAAATTGAAAATGCCAAAGGAAAGAAGTAATAAGAGAGAAAAGGAGAAAAACATTGAATGTTTTATTTATTTTAACAAAAGAAAAAAAAGTTTACAAAAAATAAAAGATTCCAGGAAGCTTTGAGCTAGGGATTGAAACCATAAAGGTGATGTGAAAAGCTCATCATTATTTTGTTGTGACTTCAAGAGTACAAGTGTTCAGGTAGAAATATTTCCTAAAGCATTGCTCCACAATTCTGCATTCTTTCTTTACTTTTCTTGCTTAAGTTCTGACCACTTTCTGAACATAATTTGTTGAATGATGGTATTTAAAATGAATTTTTTTCCAGATAATATGGCTTTCTTTTTTCCTCTAATAAAAACATTCCAAATCAAGCCAGTTTTGCAATTTGCTTTAAGCAGCTGCCTAAGTCAGAGGTTACTAAGAGGTGTACTCTGTGAAGTAAACGTAACCTCTTAGCATTAAAACTACAGCATTGAGCCTGGCCCAATATCTCATTAACTCTTCATCCAAAACCAGGACTCAGCTGGCAGACTGGCCCCAAGGACTTCTTCCTGCATGTAGTTTACTTAACCAATGGTGCCCATCATACCAGCATCTCCTGCGGGACTCTCCTGGAAGAAAAGGCCTCTTTGGTTGGAAGAGGCCTCATGGAATGTAGTTATTAATTAGGGAGAAATAAAACAAAGTACTTGGCTGTGATAATCAGAATCAAAAACAGCAAAAACCTTTCCTGATAGCATAAAAAGTTCCCTTGGACTAAACGTTTTTGAATTTTTAAAAGGCTAAAAGGAGAAGTATGTCCCTGATTTTATTTTTCTCAGGGACTGCATGAGTGTCACACTCTCTGGAAATGCAGGTGAGCAACGAGACATCAACATGGGCTTGATCTTCGCTTTTGGCATTAACTGAATTCTGAAGCAAAGTAGAAGAACAAGCCTACTTGTTCTTACTCCTCTGCCCAAGTCATCTTTTCACATCACCTTGTATACATATTGAAGAAAAACAGCAAGATCATAATCCTGACAATTAAAAAAAGCCCCCCAATAAACAAACCAAAAATAACACAAAACAAAACATTTTTTTTTTTGTATTTTTAAGAGCAAGAATCAAGAAAAGAAAAGAATTTATTTCTGGGTCTCAAAGTTAATAAACATAATAATGTGTTAGGTTGTACCTATTATGCTCACTATTCCAACCTTTTTTTTTTTTTTTTTAGTTTACAAAATGAATTACTGTCACTTTTAAACATTGTGAAACAAGAAATGGATGTGCACAACTCGACACTTTTCTAGCATTCTTGAACTAATTCACAAATGCAAGAAAATAAAAGAAAAATGAGGGAAATGATGAATGTAGGTAGTCTGGTGTTAAAAACTAATGCAGGAATGATGCGCATTGTCACAGAAAGAAGAGGGGAAATTCCCCATCCTGTTTTGCGTGCTATGAGGGTCATTTTTAAAATTTTTATTATAAACACTATTAAATTCAGACCGCTTTTTTGGTTTTTTTTTTCTTTATCTGAATATACAAGAACATTCATTATCAAATGTTCATCATCAATACTACAAAGAACGAGACACAAGTCGCAAGAAACAATGGAAAATGTTAATAAAGCTGAAAGAATCGTTGAGTATTTTTTTGTTTCTTTTAAAGTTTTTTTTAAATTTGAGTTTCTGTAGTTTCATCTTTTTTGGTATCGAAGTCAGGTTTTTCTGGGCAGAAAAACAAAGAGCAGGAAAGAGAGAGACAGAGAGAAAGATGTGTGAGAAAAGACAACCAGCAAATAAAGAATCACCACCATAGCAAAATAAAACATAAATTGAAAGAAGGTGCCACTTGGCAAATGTACTGCACGGGCGTCAATTCCATGCCAGAGGGAGGATGGATTAGGGATGAAAAGGAGGAGATAAGGAAGAGTTACAAGGTGGGCAAACCCAGGGTCTAGTATCGTTTCTCAGGGGAAATTCGCTGTCGGGGAAAATGGAGCACTCCCACATCTATTAGAAAATGAAGAAATCCTGGGGTGCATCTTGCTCTCTGTAGGACTGGCCTCATGTGAATTCCCAGGAAGCTGTGTTTCCAGAGGCATGCTCTTTCCAAACCCATCCTGCTGCTCTCAGTGTTCTCCTGCTTCGCCTAATGTGGACAGATCTCACGGATGCCACGTTGGAAGTCGGAAGTGATAGTGGGCTTGCCGGGGGTGCCGGGGGAGGTGCTGGGTATAGAGAAGACTAAGTGAAATGCTGGTTGGGGAAAATGCTGTGAAAGGTGATCATCAGTGAAAACTACGGCCCGGAGAGAAACTGCCTGTGCAAATGTAGCCCTGTTCTGATCTTTTGCATTAACTTAACATGGCAATTATTCAGGCCACATCTGGAGTCACTCTTCTTGTTTCCAAGAGAACCCTTTTGTCTCTCTTTCGTACTTTGCCCTAAGTCAAGCAAATGTGATTCAACCATGTTCTTGCGTGGGTAGTTTCATTATATTCCTGCCACTAAGATGGAGTTCTCCACTGATTCTAATCACTATGAAGTTGTCACAAAAATGCTCCTTCTAGGCATCTGTTCTGATTAGGGCTGAAGTTAGTAGACACAACCTTTCTAGTGCCTTTTAGTCATCAAGGCATAATTTCATTTTGCTAAATACTTAGTTTTTGCATTTCCTTCAAATACACATTCCCTTGAGTTTCTTCAGTGGCATCCCCTGCTCCCCTGAGCACACACAGTGTTTTCTATTTATGACTGTAGTGCCAAGCAGAATTTCCATGTTCTTGCTAGCTGCCCATTCTCACCCCTCAGGGTCTCATACTTCTCCCTGGAAGCCTCCCAAGCAGTCAATGTGACAGGGACCAAGTATGTACAAGGCAACATATTGGGTTCAAGTGCAAACTAAGGGAACCAGGGCCTGTTTTTCTAGTTTGGAAGTTTTTCTTTATCCTAAGAAAAGAGACAGACCAAAACCAAGAAGATCAACAATAACTCTTCTCTTTGTCATCACGGTGATGACATCAAGGTACTGATATTAACCAGAAGTTACAACAAGAAAACCATTTATTGTCCCTAGATGGCATGAACCCGTTTATTTCAGGGACATTACTTCCCCTGACTTCGCATTTACAGATTGGATATGAACAAAATCAACTTCTCAGTCTCTCACAAGACTCTTAGTAAGCCAGGCATAACAGTTCCCATCTCACAGATGAAGAAAATGAGGCACCAAAATATTTGACCACCTCCCACTTAATCAAGTGATAGAGCTGCCATCTTTATAACTGGTAGGGTTGGCTATGAAGATGGTGAGCTCAGGTGACTTTTGAGAATAGCTTTCATATACATGCTATTTTCTCATGTATTTTTAGTACACGCTGTGTTCCCAGGGAATAAAAATCACTGTGATGATTTCAATGAAAACATTACCTTCCCTTTCCCCATGATTCTCAGGTCCTCAAATGAAGCTAGCAAAAGTTCACATGAGCCACGTTCTTATACAACTCTTTCCTCCAGAGCAATAGGTCAGGACCAAGAACATAGTGTGGTATAACATTTTGGAAAATTAATACAGTGTGCCTAATATAAAACAAAAAATTAAACAGAATCAAGTCCATTAAAGACATTGTAAGTACTGTATGGGGCTCCCTGAGTGCTCCAGAGGTGGTGGGAACAAGAGTAGTTTACACTGGAAACCTGGTCTTCCTCATGATCAGGTCCTGTGTATGCCATTCTGGTAAGTGCACGCTAGTGGGCCTGCAGGTCCTGGAAGCCCCAGACACATACTGCTTCTCTGTGTCAGTGACCTTCACTTAGAGTCACTAATTCCCTCTCTCGGGCTCAAAAGGCATAGTGCTACAGTTATTAATGTAGGTAATTGTATATGGCATCTCGGGAAAGTGAAGATGTGAGATGGTACATGTGCCTACATGTGCATGAACGTGTGTGTCTATGAAGGCATAGTTGAGGTTGAAGGGTTTCACGATAAGAACTTTCTATTCCTTGCTGATGCATTCATCACCATGCCTAACTCAGGCCCAGTTTTGCAATAGGTTCTAAATATTGCTTTCTCAGTGCTGAATGGTCTCCAAAGACTGTGCCTCTGAAACTGAGAGCTATTGCTAGCAGGGTAAGAAAGACTGTAGGAATTCTCCACCTGCTGTTCCCGTGTCCTTCCCTGCTGCCTGACTTCCTGCCCGGGAACCAACCTAGTGGAGATGAAACTGAAAAATGTGGCACCTTTAGAATCCCAGCTATGACAGTCCCCAGTGAATAGCTGGGGCTAGGAAGGAAGAGGAGGAAAGTGTTCCAATCAGTACTGTCCCCAGGGAGGAAGAGCAAGAGGAAGCAGGGAGGCCTGGAATGAATAGGGCAATGTGGAGTATTCCTGCTAAGAGGTAGTGAGAGTAATAAGAGAAACAGAGAAGGATTGCCTGTTAACATAGGGAGTGAGGGATTCGAGTGAGGTAAATTTGGCTCCTCAAACCACCAGCATGAAAACGTACAAACACTTTTATTATTTTCTTTGTAATTTTTTTCCTCTTTAAATTCCTCTAATTGTTGAAAATATCCTTCAGTGATATGAGAGAGGGCGGGGACCCCGGGAGTCTAGGACAGAGGCACAGGGGCAGGGAAGATGACGAAAACCAGGCTGACAGCTGGAGGCAGGGAAGGGTGGCTTCTACCCAGAAAAAAAAGGGAAGAGAGTATAAAGAAGTGTCCAGATTGGCTGAAATAGCATCCCAAAGAAGAGAAGAGAAGGAGACTCTTATTGTGTTTGCTGATTGCTTCGACCTCCAGTCTGACCGCTTCAGCGTTGGGAGAGAAACCCTCCCTCCTGCCCCTGCCCCAACTGGGGCACAGGGTCAGCCGGGATGCGATTGCTGGGAGATCAGTTGGAGGTATCAGAGTGAACACTGCCAGGGCCTTCTGTAGGGGAGGTCACTGATGAAGGGGTAGTAGCATCCTGCCAACCTCCATTAGCCTAGAAGGGAAAAAGGGAGAGAAGTCAGTCCTCTGAGATTGGGTGGCTGTTTTCAGCAGACAATGACAATGAGGCATCTTGTGTAAAGGACCTAGCATAGTGCCTGGCACATGGAGACACTCATCAAATGGGCAACTATTACTGTGGGTGATAATATTGCCCCCACCCTCAAATAAGTTTGGGTCCTCCCAGTGAGCCTCTGGATATGATGTTAATACCTCCCACTAGTATGATGTGTTTATACTTCCCAAAGACTCTGTAATTAAGTCCCAGCCAGCAGTGAAATGACAGCTGTCCTGCAGGTCAAGGGACTCAAGTTTTGGTTCTGGCTCTGGCAACAACTAGCTAATGTCGATGGTAAAGCACCTTCACCTATTTGACCTTAGTCTTCTTTTTTGAAAAATAAGAAGGTTGGCTCAAATGCTTTCTAGGGTTCTTTCTGACTCTGGATGTCCCATGTATTTATGGGATTCCAGGTATTTGTTCTGCACAAGGTTCTATACTAGATGCTCATGGGTATATAATGATGAGTGAGATGTAGTTCATGTGTTCAAGGAGGGAGATAAGCCCACGAATGAACTTATAAATCAAGGCAGAACCTAATAAATGGTAGAGTCCCATTGCTATGAAGTTTCAAATGAAAACAATATCACATTTTGTTGCAACATCAGGAAATACTTCATAGAGGGAGCACTCTTTGAGGTGAGTTTTGAAAAGTACAGAGGCTAATTCAGGTGACTATAACAGATACAACAATGGTGCCAAGGCCATAAGGACTAGTCTGTGTGAATATATCCAGAGAGGTGGTGAGACGGGAAGGTATAGGCTTGATCAATATTTGGAGATCATTTTACAAGACTCTAGATCCAGGAGCATCCCAACAATAAAACTGTTAAAACTGTTCTAAAAAAATCTGTTTAGTAACCACCCCTTTCAAAAAAATCCCAGCACTAAAATAGTTGAAGAATGCTTTGCTATAGTGGTTAATTCATGATGCATAATTCATGATTGCTTATATGTTTTAAAGCATTGAAATATAAGTGTGCTAAAATGCCTTTCCCCCCTTCGATTACTGTGTTCCTTTGTAGTTCACGTTGAACAGATCAGGTCTGAGACATCCCTGGTAAAATGTTTTCTATTGTACTATCCTCTCATTCTCTGAAAAATTTGGGGGAGATGGGGCAGGTATTATTGTTGCTGCTTGGGAGGGAGCACCACTTCAACTCTTGCATACTCCATGGCACCTGGAGTATGCCGTTCCCATTTTATTCATCAGAGAGCAGAGGTGCAAGAGAAAAGCAGGTGTCCCGGTTCACGACTGAGAACACAGGCCTTGAGATCTTTGAATTCGGGCTCCATTTTCTCTGCGCTTTTCAACCACTTGGCTTTCTTTATCATTGGCTCACCCAAATGATGCTCCAATTTTCCCAGGAAAGCCAGGCTTTTAATTCAAAGCAGCTCCTACCAGTTACTTCAGCAACAGGGTAGGTTTTGTTCACACCTCACTGAAAAGCAGATCTGGATACCAAGAGGGCATCCTGAGCAATGCCAAGAACACCGCTCCCCAATCTTGGGTCAGCAAATAACTGCTCTCAAGTTCCAATCTCCCATCTCCTAACCCAGTCAAGTCACTCCTCTCACTCCTTTTCTCTGTTGGAGGACATTTCCCCCTGCTGTTTGTGATAAACAGATTAGACGGAGAACAATAAGGAGGAAAATAATTCTTTCTTTCATAACAGAAAGCTTTTCCAACTTTTGGGGGCAAAGACTCTGTAGTATAACCAGAATCAAGAACAGAATTCATTCAAATTCCTAATGAAAGTCTGCCATAGGGGTGATAATATTGTAGCCTCCCATCCCAACCAGGAATATAGATTCTGGTGCCATTTTAGGCTGACTAAGAATGGCGGCCACGTTTATTTTTCCCAAAGAAGATCCTTTAATGTCATTTTTTAAAATAAAAATAAGATATACTTATCGCTAATATTTGGGAAATTAGAAAGCATAAAAAACAAAACATACAGCATGCACCCATAATCCTACTACTTGGGGAAAATTATTCAGCTTTGATGACACATATAATTGCTTTGGTATCTGTTTCTCCTACTCATTTTTATATGTGAATGTTTACCAGATAGATATTTAGATAGATAGATAAGTAGACAGACAGGTAGATAGGCAGGTAGATAGATAGGTAGGTAGACAGACAGGCAGGCAGGCAGGAGTGTATCTGTAGGGGCAGGAGGTAGGGGTCCTACTTTTTAGAGGAAGCACGTCACACTGGGGAATGCAGCAGGTTCCCGAGATAAGAAAATCTGGATTTCCAAAGCACAAAGATATTTGGAAACAAAGTGTTTCAGGAATAAAAATGACTCAGCAGTACAGAAATTTAAGAAAACTTTTTTTTTAAGTTTTTAAGTACAATGTCATGAAGTAGAGTAAAATTCTGGTAAAAAAAAAAAAAAAAAGAAAGAAAGAAAGAAAGAAAAAAGGCATGTATCTTAGAATCACCCTGGTATAAAATAAGCAGATAAGGAAGCTCTATGAAAGCAGTGAGCGTACATGTCATAGGTCATGGAACAATGGAGTTCTATTACATTGCTCACAAATCACCACTCTATCATTTTAGCCATGCCATAATTCCATTAAGATAACAATAAGTGGTGCAAAAAATGAAGCCATTAGTAAAGAAAATTAGTTCTGTGGTGTTTCATTAAGAAGGAATTGACAAGGCATTCTATATTGCCCAGAAGGTTCTGGGAGACTTCTTCTTGAGTCATCCCAGACCTGAAATAACTCAAATAGTAAAAATTTGATCTCTTTTCTTTAAAAAGTTCTGTTTTCTCAGACCAGTGTGTAAGATGTTAGGGGGTATAGAGAACCCACAGATGGGAGAAATAGGAATTATTTCAAGCTAATCTCAAAACCAGCATTATATTATTCTAGTTGGCCTAGTGAAGAATATATAAAACCTTCTAGCTAAAAGAAATACATTAAACAAAACCTCTTTCACTCCCCTTTTTTCCACTCCCCCTCCAACCATAAATATGCACACAGATACACACACACACACCCCCTCAGATTTGGTGACCATCCATCCCAGTTTGCCCAGGACTTTCCCATGTTAGTACCTAAAGTCTCAGATCCGAGTAGACCCCAACAGCCTGAGCAAAATGAGACTTTTGGCCACCCTATTCCAGGATATGCCAGCTATGACCTCCCACTTCTCACCAAATTTAGGACATTGTAGCCTATAGGGTTTAAGTTAGAGAAACACAAATACTTTTTAGAAGAAGCATGTCATGCTGGGGAATGTGGAAGAATTCTTTTCTCTAGAGGTGCTTTATAGGACGGTATATTATTTGCTGCTGTTACTGCTAAAACCATCATAAGATAGAAACTGCAAGCAAACTCAAGTTAACTGGGTTTCCTGTAAATCACTTCGGCTGCTTCAGCTGTATCATTCTAGCTGTGATGGAAGACGTTCAGAGGCTGCACCGTCTTGGGAAACAGCTGACCTCGCTTACTGCCACGTTAACCCTGGGGAGCAATTCCTTCCCTCTACCTCGACTGTGGGTGAATATTAAGTAGGAAACTCCGCCTTTGTGTGTTTATTTATCTCTGGGCAGAGTGAGAGGAGAGGATGCTTTCATTAACAACTGTGCGGTGGGTGGGGGCGGGGTGGAAAATAAGACTTTTATTTTTATTTTTTTTCTGCACCTCAGCTTCCCTCTCTACTTTCTGATGCAAACAATTCTTTATAATGAACACACTCTTGGAAATGCTAATGTCATAAACCACACTGAGGGGTCACAGGGTGGGAGGTAAAATCTGCAAAACCAAAGGTACACTTTTAATTGCTAAAAACAATTTAGTGGAAGAGTGTCTACATTTGCACTCAGTTTTATATAGGTAATTCTGTGGCCTGTGATGCAACACCTGGGACGTGTGACCCAATGTAACTTTTAATTCTACCAGATGAAGCCTAAGCCAGCAGAGCAGCTCAACCTGGAGCTCACCAAGAGAGAAGCTCATAGAATATAAAACTAAGATAAAATACAGCAGGTTCCCAAGATAAGAAAATCTGGATTTCCAAAACACAAAGATATTTGGAAACAAAGTGTTTCGGGAATAAAAATGACTATTTACTCTATGGTCTATCCTAAAGAATTTGGCATATAATTTGATATACACCAAATTTTGCTAGAACTTCACCTAAAAGGTAATGCAAAACATGCCTGTCTGAGGAGGTAGAGGGAGCTAGCTCTTGAGCCAAGGATGGGGCAATGGCAGATGGGAAAACCCACGTGGTTTCTCCTGACAGGACACGTGACACAGAATTGCAACCAAAACCCTGCCTTTTCTCTACCACCCTCCTTGAACCAGAACGGGGACCACAGATAGTTGCTTCTCCCTCCCTGTTGTGGATCCAGTGCTGCTTTTAGCCCTGAGCAGCGGCTGCAGGGCTGAGAAGCACCTGCCCCATCTCCTCTTTTTCCCACTCTTCCTCTGCGATTACCTTAGCAGCACACGGTTGATGCAGAGAATTC
This sequence comes from Homo sapiens, assembly GCF_000001405.40. Classification (NCBI taxonomy): domain Eukaryota; kingdom Metazoa; phylum Chordata; class Mammalia; order Primates; family Hominidae; genus Homo; species Homo sapiens. Next base: position 164,842,033 of record NC_000001.11, on the reverse strand, counting down.
ATCACCTGATGTGACAGCCCAAGCAAGCCTGGCACTAAGAAACTCTCATTTGCAACCCAGAAATACGCTGAGGTGCCACAAACCGGCTGATGTCAGCACAGAGTGGAGCTAGATCTGCATATGGGCCAGATGCCATTACTAGAGATGCCTTCAGCGTGGGTGAGGAGCTGCACGTGCTCCAGCCCCTCAATCACCCAGTCACTGTTGGGAACGGCCGGGAAGAAAAACAGAGACACGGATGCATCCTCTTTCCCTCTCTATGCAAACACACACAGAGCCACTATATATCAGGGAGACATCAGCTCACACAGCAGAGGTCACATCCTAGATTCATCACTCTTCTATCAAGCTAGAAGAAATATGTCTTCCTGATATGCTTAACACTTTCCCAAGATTACACAGACAGCACTTTGAAAAGATGCTATTGGAAAGCCCCCTTAGGGACGTCAAAAGATTCAAAATTTCCTGGGGAATTTTACAGTGGAAAAGAGATCCAGGCCCGGTCTGGGTATTCCTCCAGTCCTATCTCTAGCTGCCACCAGAGCTATCTTTCAAAAGTGTCATTCTGTGCATGTCATCTCCCTGTTGAAATCTTCAATGGCTACCCATTGGCCTCAAGATGAGGTTCAATGTCCTCAGCAGCTCTGCCGCAGCCTTGATCTTGCTTACTTCCCCTATCAACACAATTATTTACATTCCCATGAATTTCCCAGGACAGAGCAGCCGTCTCATGCCTGCTTCTTTCCCCTTGAATGCCGTGCCCTCACTCCTCCAATTACATCTCACTCACACCTTGGCTGCTTTGTAAGACTGAATTTGAATATCTTTGCACATCCATCTGTCCCCTGGCCATGCTTTTTGTTTCTTCCTCCTGCAGGCCCCCAGTTCTATGTATGTGCCTCTGTCACAGCACATGTGCTGCTGTATTGCGTGTGTTCCTTCACACGTCGGTTTCACCTACCCGACCATAAAAGCAAGGGTGTGGAATTTATCTTTTATTCCAAAGTGCCCACCACAGTGCCCGACACATCGCCGATTTTGATAAATGTTTCTTGGAGAGGCATAGGATGAAGTAAAGAAACACTTGGTGGCACTGTGACATCCATCCCCCAACATGGGCATGGAGAGACATATGGCATGAGATCCCTGACCTCCATAATTCATTCCAACTATATGTAAATAGCTGTGTACACCTAGAAAATACTCAAAAGACAGAGCAGAAGCACTGCCAAGTTTCTGGGTAACTTTAATCTTCAGGCAGTGAACGTTTCTCTTACTAAACTGGCATCAGGGAGATTTGGTGCTTCATAGCTTATCCCAAACAAGCAATGATAATTAATATTTATACTGTTTTGTTTTGCGTTTAGGGAAAGCAATTGAGAAGGACACTGGAACCTGACAGTTGCAGTGCCACAGCTTAGCACACCATCTTAACAAGGAGTGTTCTCCAGAAAGGCACAAGGAGAAGACAACCCATCCTGCATCTGTATCCCAGTTACCACCCTGAGCACAGTGGGAATTGCAAAAATGCAAAACAGACATAGTCTCCTAATGGCCTGTTGTGTCCTTGAGCCCCTATCTTTTCTCTCTCTGGTGTGAGACCCATATACAGATTCAGCTTCCCTCTTAGGATCTAGGAATGACATTGCCAGATAAAATATGGGATGCCCTGTTACACTGTAATTTTATAAGTATATCCCATGTAGTATTTCCATTTGCTAAATCTGGCAACCCTATATGGGAATAACATGTGCTCTCAGACAGAAGAAATTTTCTTCTGGCCTAGTTTGGTACCATAGGTAACTCAGAATCAATTTTGCCACTTGTCTTACTTGGACATTTTGCATCAGTGTCTTCATATAGGAACTTCTTTCTTGTGGTTGAGACCATCTCTACCAAGCTTATGCCTAGCTTTGCTTAATTTTCTGCTATTTATTACAGTTCCTTAAAGACCGAGAAAGTGACTTGCTCTTGTTATTGGAATACTGCTCTGGAACCTCAGCTCACCAACTACTACCTGCCATCGTACTTCCCAGAAGCCAATCCTCTGCTTGGATTAACTCATGCTGCTGGCTCTAGGATTCCTGTTTCCATAGTCCTTTGACTGCCAGGGTATCCTCTCTAATTGCCACCTACCACTAGGTCAGCCCCTGGTGGCTTCATATCAATGCCACACCACCACACTCCTCTCTAGTCTGGCTCCCATCAAGCCTCTTGAATCCTGAGATCTTGTTTATAGGTCTCTATGTTCAGAAAGATTAGCAGTGCAATGCAGTCAGCCATTCCTGGTGGAGAATAGAAATCCTTGCTGCAAAGACTTTTGTAGTTTACGCTGCTGCAAAGAAATAATAATTTTTCATTGTCAAAGTGAGAATCCTTCCTTTACTGTACTGAGAAGTCAAGTGAGAGGATTTTTTTGCCTTTGCCTGTCTATCTCCTCTGGTCTCTACAAATCCGTGTCATCTTTCAAGGCCCAGCTTGAGAGTCACTTTCTTATTGTAGGTTTCTTCAAGGCACACATCACCCATGTCTCTAGCCTCTAATACCACTGACTTACTGATCCTTCATTTTGACATTTAAAACTACGTGCAACTTTTATTTATCATTTAAAATCTCCAAGTGAGCACCATATGTTTTTGGCTGTAATCACTTAGTTTTTAATTACGTAAATACGTATTCAGTGCCCACTTGTGCTACATACTGGGCATACAGTGGTTGATAAAATAAGTTAAAAAAATCTTGTTTCTGCTCTCAAGGAGTTTACTGTTTTGCAGGAAATTGACATTTGCTATATTATCAAAATAATGTATACAGATTCTAGATGGCAATAAGTGCTAGGAGACAGTACAAAAGAGGGACCTCACTTGGGCTTACGGAAAATCAGCCTGAAGGTGAACAGAAAACAGACAAGCCAAGAGTGGGGCAAAGGGAAGCCTTTCCAGAGTCTCCAAGGGACTCAAAGAAGGCCAGAAAGAATGGAACAGGGGAGAACAGTGGTAAGTGAAGCAAGACAGGACCGGAGAGGAGAGGACTTAGCCATGCCCAGACTTGCAGGCTACATGAAGCACTTTGATATTTATCCTCAATGAGATGGTAAATCATTCAACAACAAGCCATTACAGGACTAGGCTCATGTTTGACACAGCAGCTGCTCAATTAAGCACTTGATTGAATGGAAGGAGAAATGATGGCTTTGAAGCCTTCCCTTGGTGTCTCGTTCCTGTGAATACTGGATGGCTTGGCTGCAGGTGCCCAGCATAACTGCACAGTTATAGGTCCATCTCTTGCTCTGGATCACAAATACACAGTGGTACACAAATCTAGTGTGAACTCTTACTCCTACTTCTCAGGAGAGAAAACTAGATCTCAGAACCCAGGATTTGCCAGACTTAGTACCCACTGCCTGCTACTGCTTTTTGGACATTTCAATTTTCAAAAGACGGGGCTGTGGGACAATGTGTGCGCTCCACATGCAGAGCACAGCTACTTTGGATGCTCACAGCTAAAGGCAGGTGACTTGTGCTCTTCAGTTCACCTTTGGGAATCCCTATGTTGTTTATTAAGATGCTAGAACATATGAATCACAAGACTGGCCTCAGAAAAGTCCGAGGATTCTAATATCTCCTGCTACTAAGCAACAATCCACCTCATCAAACTTGGTTTTGAACAAGACAAGCTCTGCTCCTGCAGGGCTATGCTTCTGAGGCTTGACCATGGGCGGCACCACCTTGCCAGTGAATATGGCTTAACTTACACTGGCAAGGCAGAGTTCTGGTCTAAGACCTAAGAGTAAGATGGTATATCTGATCCATGTTCACACGGTATGAAAACAAACTCTCTTGTTAGAAGTTACTACCTTGAATTTTATCTTGCATGCACCCTAACTGCTAAGGGGTGCTCAGTCACCAACTGGAAGATTCCATCAACTGTAGCACCATCATAGTGTGCCCTCCTGCCAACATCCTAATGCCACATTATTAAAGTGCGCTTGTATAATACATCAACTCTGAGATCAAGATCTACTCTGGCTCCTTCTTAGCTTTATTCTTTTCTAATGAATCTGTTGCGAAGATCCAGGATTAATAATGCCATATAAGGGATCTGAGACACGGGGTGGTTTTAGCTGAGCCTCTCCATAACTCACATAGTATAGGAGATGGTGTGCATTTCCAGGTTTTGGGTTGAGTTGCTTTTCCATTTCTGTTAAAAGTACAAATAGGACAGTTACACATAACGTGTTCATGTCTTACAGACTTAAGGTCCTTAGGCTAAATGGACATACAAGAGGCTAAAGCTTCAAGTTTGATTTTCTTACTTTTTCCAAAGGCTATCCTGATCTCCTGGCAAAGAAAAATAAGCTCAGCTTGATTTTAGCTAAACAAAGGTGCCTTAGTGCAGAGAATTCTACTTATATCTGAATAAATAACCTCTGCCTGCACAGCTGCACAAACCAAAATAAAAACACACTTCTAAACATCAACAAACAGCATTCGACAACATGCATAATTTCCACATTTATTATATTCACGTAGAGCTGATATACATTTCGAATGTACTCATACTACCTAAAGAATATAGACAGACACACAGATGCTACTTACACTAGAAAAGAGTAGCTACACTAGAAAAGAGGAAGCATAAAGCTTCCTCATAAAGCTAAACCTAGATAATTCAAGTAAGGGTATTCTTTTTCTTTTTTAAACTCTCAATATAAATTATCTGATTGGCTGAACCTATACAGCCCTGAATTCGTCATTTCATTTTTATAACCTTTGATTTTGCTTTGGCTTTGTTGACAAGGCTATTATTTACTAAGGGTACACACAGAGATTGTATACACATCTTAACGGTGAACGGTGGCTACACATGAAATACACACACAGCCAGTATGTGTGAACCTGCCCTCGTGGGGTAAATTTTGAGGCTATTTACCATCACACAGGAAGCTAAACCCCTTACACTTTTCTGACCATCCAAGAGACAGCAATTACCCCAGATTATCAGACCAACAATGACATGCCGTGTAAAGAGAGACACTGAGCCAACTCCACATCCCAAAGACTGGCATATTCAAGTACACTTAGGACATTAATAGCAATTTACGTGCCATCACTGAGACAAAGCCACAAAGGCTCCGTTGGCAGCCTCTTATTTTGAAGCCTATTATTTGTGGGAGTTACAGGCTATAATCACAATAGAAACTTTCAAAACCCTTATCTTCCGTGACGCACCAAATCTATTTCAGAGCCATAATTGCTATGTCACCAGAGAGTTTGCTGCTTAATGCACTCAAATGCCATTTAGTGTTTGCAGGGTCATTACAGCTAACAGAAGGGTTGTGGGAGATATAGTGGGAAGCAGGCCCAGGCTTGGGGGTGGGGGATGCAGAAAGAAAATGTTGACAAGAATGTACGAGAACGGAGTGCTAGTATCCATTGTGCCAAATTTACTGATGGGAGGATATTGTTGTTTTTAAAATTCTATTTACTGATGAAATGAAAACAAGAGCTTGAAAACAATCTATGTGCTCAAGAATTTTGAATTCACTTGACACCACCCTAGAAATATTCAGGGGATGCTGGGGGACACCCTCTTTTATTCTGGAATTCTCATCCAAGTGTAAGGGGGTTTGATTTTTTGAAATTTTAATTTTTTTCTTTTTAAAGAGTCCCAGAATCTCTGCAGTAGAAACCTTCCAGCTGTACTGTGGGTTCAGGAGTCTGCTTTGGCCTTTCTTTATGTGTGCTGCTACGGAATAAGATGGGCAGAGCATATGATGGTGAGATGTCAAAGTTCAACAACTGAGAAGAATGTGTTATCTTACAGATAGTAAAAGAAACAAGGAGACTGATCGAGCATCCAAAATAAAACATCTAGTCACTCAAAATACCATTTTCTTGACCTAAGTGTAGCAAAGGTCATAAGAAAGCTTTTTTAATAGATGTAACTATTATCTCTTCAACCTGGCTATATAAACAAGCCAAGGATTTATTTATTTGGCTTAGGGTCATACTAGGCCTAGGGCAGATCTCCCCCTAAACTTTCCACTAACATATCTCTAGGTTCTTTTAGAAAATTCTTGGGCACTATTTTACAACCTGAGATTTTTCATAGATCAGAAAAATAGAAAATGTCAAGCTAGTTCAGATTGTAGGGTTAATTAATTTATTTATTTTAAGATCAATACTGGTATCACTTACAGATCTGCCTTTAGTTTTCCTAGGGCAACAATCCAGCTTTCACTCTGAAGAACTTTACACAGAAATAGGATGAGACTTGGGGCCTTATTCCACAGGAGTCCTCCTCCACTCAGAAATAGAATTTCCTCTATTTACTAAATGCTGGCCAAGTGCAGGAGGATTAATATCCTTATTGTATTATAAGAGTTCTTAGAAATCAATAAGAAAAGAGATGAACATTTCCAGAATATGTACAAAAGGCCAATAAACATATAAAAAATGTTCAATCGCACTAGCAACCCAAGGGATACAAGTTAAAATAAAAACGAGATGCCATTTAATGATTTGATAATTGACAAAGACTGAAAAACAGTTGAGGGTGTGAGGAAATGGAAACTACCAGAAACTGTTAGTGAGAACCATAAATTAATAGAAGTTCCTAGAAGAAAAGTTTACAATACATCACAAAGACTGTAAACTTATGCATACCCTTTGATCTAGCAATTCCATTTTTAGAAATTTATCCAAGGAAATAACAGAAAATGTGCATTAAATGTTCTGTACTATAAAGCTTACCACCGTGTTATTAATAATAGTAAAAAAAAAAAAAAAAAACCAAAATCAAAAGTAGCTTAAATGTTCTATAGTATAAATTGATTAAACACATTGTGGACTTTCCCTATAACAGTTTCCTATGCAGTTATTTAAAGTTATGCTTGAGAAGAATGTTTAATGATATGGAAAATATTCATAACACATTTTTAGTAATATAGGTAGGTAAAAGGAAATGTAACTTTCTTACACCCACATAAAAAACACACTTATACATAAAGTGCTAGAAGGCTACGAGCACAAAGTTAACAGTAAATTTTCTTCTTTGTGGTTTTCCTGAATTCTCCAAATTTTCTACATTAAATACTAATTTGCAATCAGAAAAAAATTTAAAATTTAAACAAAGTGTCTGAAGAAGAGTCCATATCTAACTCATGTCTTTGTTTGGTGTTGCCAATCTCCAGAGGTCATTAGAGAAGAGCAACCAATGCAATTTATAGCCAACCACAGGTCTTAGGAAGAAAGGCTGAGGGAACTCAGACTCTTTTCCCCAGAGAAGAGAAAGTTAGCAAGGGATTTCATAACTCTTTTCAAAATACAACAATAACCTGTGAAGAGTGTTAATAGTTGTTTTTTCCTTTCCATGAAAAATAGGGCTGGCCGGGTATAGTGGCTCACGCCTGTAATCCCACCACTTTGGGAGACTGAAGTGGGTGGATCACCTGAGGTCCAGAGTTTGAGACCAGCCTGTCCAACATGGTGAAACTCCGTCTCTACTAAAAAATACAAAAATTAGCCAGGCGTGGTGGGGCATGCCTGTAATCCCAGCTACTTGGGAGGCTGAGGCATGAGAATTGCTTGAACCCAGGAAGTGGAGGTTGCAGTGAGCCAAGACTGTGCTACTGCACTCCAGCCTGGGTGACAGAGTGAGACTCTGTCTCAAAAAAAAAAAAAAAGAAAGAAAAATAGGGCCAATGGAAACAGGCTAAACAACAAGATCAAGACAGAGAGCTGCTCAAGAACAGGCATTAGGTCTCCTTTTCATTTTCTTTGCCTTAATGCCCAACACTATTCTGAGTAATAATAAGTCTCAAGAAAACATCTACTAAACAAATGAGTGAATGAGTGAATGAATGAATTATGGATCAAGCTCAAGGCCACAGAGATAACAGCTGCCCCAAAGAAAAGTATGGAAAAGAGAAAAAACAGTCACAGATATCTGAGCTCTGAATACACACACACACACACACACACACACACACACACACACACATATACATATATATACCCATATCCAGGGTATATATACACCCATAAAATATTTCTGGCATAAAAATTATAGGGTATGCAATATAAATAAGTTGGAGGTAAAAGATGGGTACCAGTCTGTGGTAAACAGAAAAAAAAAAAAAAGTACAAAAAGCCATTTTCTTGTGGAAGAAATTCTCTGGATAATAGAAACACAAAAATACATGTTTGTGGGGGTTCAAGGCAGGCAGAAAATCCAGTCAGAATAGACCGGTTGCTGGTTAAAAAAACATACACACAAAACCCACTGACAACAGGTTCAACTAGGCTCACTTTGAAAAGCATTCATTGAGCACCTACTGTATACCAGGCCTGAGTTGAGGAACAGGATATAAAACTATGATCCTTCTCTTCAGAATTCTATGGTCTAGAGAGGAATGAAAGATAAGTGTCAGAAACGAAATTCCACTCCAACTCCAGTGTACTAAGTAGTACATAGGCACAGTCTGAAGGAACTAGGAAGTACTTCCAGAAGATAGGCCTGAGCTAGGTCACGTAAGATGAGTGGGCTTATGAGATGTTTGCCCACTGCCATAGGTTCTGGGCTATGGATTCTACTGATTGAAAACGTCTTTGCCCCTAACAAAGGTCAATCTTATCTATGACGAGAGAAAAAGAGAATGCTCATTTTATAACGCTAGCCACTTCGGGAACCTGTGATCTGAAGAAAAGTACCAGGGCAGGTACTGGGTGTTTTTCAACCGCAAAAATCACCACATTAGACAAGGAATGAAAATTGATATCTGCAGATCTATTTTGCTTACCTTCAGGTTTTGTTTTTTTTTGTTTTTGTTTTTTTAGCGAGGGGAGGGTTATTGCCCTGATGCCTGGCTTTCCCTTCTCTGAACTTTTTTTTGCTTACCCCAAAAATAAATTCCTAATTATTTTAATACACTTGAATTAAAGAAGTTAATGTACATAAAGTGTCTACCACATAGAAAGAAGTCAATAAATGTTAGCTATTAATACAGTTATTAAGTGTCATTTTGGCCTGTTAATTTTCTCTCCTTATTGTTTTTTAATTGTTCTTTAATTTACTGCCTTAAACCACTTCCTTATTTTATTACTACTTGATCTGTTTTTTAATCTTTGTAAGTATCTTCTTAGCTGGTGTTATTTATTTTAACTACTCATCCTAGCTTATTTTATGTTTTTATTATTCTCTTCAGTACCCGTGTATCTTAATTGCTTTTAACCTTCATTTTGCAATTTACATGCAATTTTATCACTCTCCTGCCAATTTTATTCTTCCAGTGCTTTGTAGTTGATTACTAAATTCTTTCTTCCTACTTTTCTTTTTCTTAGTTCCTTGCTATTCTAATTTTTTAAATTATATTTTCTATTTAATTTTCTAGTTCTATTTATATTATATTACCCTTGCAGGCTATCATATTTATTCTTTTAACTTACTTTAAAAATCCACCTCTGCTGATACTTCACACCTAGATTCTAGAACAGTCTTGCCTTCTGTTATAATGAGTACCACACATTTCTCAGCGAAGTAACACTTGATCTAAAATCCTGCTCTCATGTATGATCACTGGGTCACTATCTAGGCAGGTTAACCAAATATGACACAATAAAGGTGTAGGGTAGCCTAGATCCAGGAAAGAGCTGTCTAAATATTTTCCAAATTTAATTTTAATAAAGAAATGAACTAGTCGTAAGCCTTCCATATGCCACCCTGAGAGGATACACAACAGAACAGTCATAATTGAGTTCTTAAGAGTTCTTTTCCATATCATTCGGTCTCCAAAATGCTTATCACCAGGCAACATAAATTCTTTCACTATAAGGTTCTTGTCAATTCCCTTCACTTGGCCTAAGGACTAGAGGTCAAGGGTCTATCTGGATAAAGGGAAAGAAGAAAGGGGAGAAACGGCAAAAGGCAAAAGAGGAAAAATGTAATAGTGAGGTAATCACACTATAATTCAACTTTCTGATATCTATTAGAAAGTTTCTATTTTTATATATCTCAAAAACTTTTCTCATTGAAATGTGAATATAAGTTGAATACAAGCCTTTAAAAGCAGGCTCACCATATCAGAACATGAGACAAGTGTAGAATAAAACTAAACCATCTCATTTGATTTAAATTGGCCTTTCTAGCAATGCTTGGCTATAAGATAGAATGAGGGACTGAGGATAGGAGGTGCAAGGGAGGGAGCCCCTGGCTGCTGGGAAAAGAACAGACTATTCTGTGGACAACTATGTGCCCTGTCCTTCCATTTCCTTCTTATTTTGTTTTGTAAACTATACAAATGAGGTAGACACAAGAAAACAAAGGGTAGGAAATTTATATACAAGTGTATTACATTTGTTAAAACTTAAGAGACTCAGCACTTTGGGAGGCTGAGGTGGGCGAATCACGAGGTCAGGAGATCGAGACCATCCTGGCTAACACGCTGAAACCCCGTCTCTACTAAAAAATACAAAAAATTAGCTGGGCATGGTGGCGGGCGCCTGTAGTCCCACCTACTTGGGAGGCTGAGGCAGAAGAATGGCATGAACCTAGGAGGCGGAGCTTGCAGTGAGCCAAGATCGCGCCACTGCACTCCAACCTGGGTGACAGAGCGAGACTCCATCTCAAAAAACAAAATAAACAAAAAAAAAACCTTCAAGAGAATGGATACTTATGATTTGCACATTTAGTTGTGTACAATTTTGTTCCAGAAGAGAAAAATCCTGCAAATAAATATTGAACTCTAGTTAATGATACATGTACCAGGATATTTACTTAGGAGAAAATGTACTGTTGTCTGCAATTTACTTTGAAATGAATGAAAAGAAATCAAGATGGATTGATGGATGCACAGAAGGATAAAAGGGTGACAATATGACGAAGCCAGTAGAGTTAAATATTAATGACAGAATCTAGGTGGTGAGAATAGTGATTTCACTGTAAAATTCTTTCCAGTTTTCCATATGTTTGAAAATTTTTTAAATAAAATGTTGAAAACATTTTAAAAGGTATCCTTAATGCAAATAAAGCTATGTAATTCCTTCTCTTCAGTAAGCCCTAGAGAGCATGTAGACTTTACACACTAGAGCAGAGCTTCTCAAACTTAATGTGCTTAACAATTGCCAGGGGATCTCGTTAAATTGTAGCATCTGATTTAATAGGTCTGGGCGGGGCCTGAGATTCTGCATGGCTCACAAGCTCCCAGGTAATGTTGTTGATCTGCAGACTACACTTGGAATAGACTAGCAGGGCAGGGAGGAAGAAACGGCGAGGCAGAGGCTGCCAGCAAAGGCTTAGGTCACCTGGGAGACTTGAAACAAAGACTCTATCTTATGTAAGCCCTACAGGGTTTAGACTTAAAGAAAGAGTTCAAGATGAGTTCAAAGACATGTCCTGCTTGGGCTTGAAGAATTATTAGGTTGGATGAATTAGTGGCTGACACAGTGAAAAATTATTTCAAAAAAACCATAACAAATGTAGGTATTTCTATATTTATATTTTAAATCTTCCTCCATATTATTTAATAGTTTGAAGCATATTATTATGATAACCAGAGTTCACTTCTTGTATATAGTTAATTTTTAATAAAGAGCTCTATTTATTTTTGGAAAGGCTGATTTAAGCAGAAAGCATGCTTTTCTATGTTTTGTGTTAAGAAGTCTACTCTGTTTTCACAGCATGGTGACACCTCTAACACCGTCACCCCACTTTGGTGGCTTCATTTTAACCTTCATTTTGCAATTTACATGTGATTTTATCACTCTCCTGCCAATTTTATTCTGCTAATGCTTTGTAGTTGATTAGTAAATTATTTCTTCCTACTTTTCATAGTTCCTAGCTATTCTAAATTTTTAAATTATATTTTCTAGTTTTATATTACTCTTGCACACCATCACATTTATTCTTTTAACTTACTTTACCAAGTTACAGTTACCAAATAACCGGCAGAGCATCTAGAACTTCACTAGCCAACATGGTAGCCACTGGCCAAAAGTGGCTACTGAAAATTTAAATTACCTTAAATTAAATAAAATTAAACATTTATTTTCTTTTTCAAACTAGCCATATTTCTTTTTTTTTAGTTTCAAGATGTTTATTTTGAAAAACGTGCTTGTTTATATGTAAGCATCTTCGTATCTAGCAGCTAATCAGTATTAATTCTTCATTGTCATATCTTGTATGTTAACGGTACTTAGTTGATACCAATTCTCTTTTGGACCTCATGCCCAATACTTTTTTTTTTTTTAATTTCCAACTTTTATTTAAAGTTCTGGGGTACATGTGCAGGAAGTGCAGGTTTGCTACATAGGCAAATGTGTGCCATGGTGGTTTGCTCCACCCATCACCTAGGTATTAAGCCCAGCATTTATTAGGTATTCTTCCTGATGCTCTCCCTCCCCTCTTCCCCTCAACAGGCCCCAGTGTGTGTTGTTCCCCCATGTGCCCATGTGTTTTCTTTGTTTAGTTCCTACCTATAAGTGAGAACATGCGGTGTTTGGTTTTCTGTTGCTGTGTTAGTTTGCTGAGGATAACGAGCTAGCCATATTTCAAGTGCTCAATAGCTATGTTTTGCTAAAGGCTAACTTATTGGACAGTGCTAAAATAGAACATTTCCATCAATGCAAAAAGTTATATTGGGACAGCATGGTTCTAGAAGCAAAGAACAGCTTTTGCTAGTCACTCACAAAATCTATGTAAGAATAACAAATGTCAATCATGCTTATAAGCAATTCATATATTTATAGTTGATAGGAGTATGATTATATGTGTGTAAATGCACCTTACAATGGCCATTCACCAAATTTTTGAAAATAATATTGACTATACTGGCTGGTATATTTCTTCTCTTTCAGAGAATCAGATAACTGAACCAGATAACTGCCAGTTCTTTTTGCTTTCTATGACTTTATGAAGTATAAGAACCATGTCCTATTGATGTGTGTATTCCTGGTACTGGAAATTAGAAGGATCTCAATAAACATTTGTGGAATAAGGCATTTTTATTTACTTATTTACTAATACTATCAAATTGAAACATATTTAGAGATGTGAAAAAGAATTTCCTCAAACTCAAATGTAGCCAGAGATTGGGATTTTTAAAAATTACCAATTTTAAAACAAAGGGATTTTCTAAGAAAAAAGTCTAATATTTTATCCGAAAACAAGCTTGTCTAAGAACATGGAACTCTTCCTAAAAGGCAAGAAGGGGTGAGGCTAGACTCAGCAAGAAGAAGACTGTCTTCAGAAATCAATGCTAATGTTTCCCATAATTAATTTGCCTTATTTAATTGCCTTAATATTTGCTGACATCTAGAGGGACCATGCCACTTTCAGGAGCAACCATAAAAAAAAAAACCTATCCCTTTGAGGTTGTGATTTTTCTCCACAGAGCAGAAGGAGGGACCAACTTGAGTCTGGAACAACTAACCAGATCCTAGCCTGAGGACAGCATGGCTACGGGGCCAAATGCGGGCCAGGCTGGGCAGGATGCTATAAAACACCAATTGCAATGAAAGGAACATAGCATACGCTGTCATCTCACAGTTGAGAATCTTCCCCAAAACACAATCTTGCATTTTCTTGGGAATGGAAAAACAATAATTGTTTATAAATGGAACTGGCATTGGAAGATGCCCTAAACAAAATCCAGCTCAACTGTCCTCTTTGGAATTCAGAAAACTGAGTCCTATCATGAGAAACTGACTTGTTCATAGTCACACAGGCAAAAGTGGAATGTACATGTACACACACACACACACACGCATACACAAACACACACAGCCTAAATGTGATACTGTTTAGTGTGATCATATCACTAGGTTTAAGATCATAACTCATTGCAACTAGTTCTACAAAGAGAGAAGCAGTTTCTACAAAATAATGCTTTTTATTATATTATTAAGTCCATGGTATATCTATTTGGTTGGGGTTGGTACTTTTCTCAAACTGTTGCTGGTTGGTCCTAAATTCCCCCCTTCTGTCATATAATTTAATTTCAAATTCCCTCCTAGGCTATAGAGTTGGTCAGTTCCCTTGGTCTAGTCTTCTAGGAACAGGAAATTCAATCCCAGACAAAGTGCTGAATGAGACTAAAAGGGAAAATGTACCCTGACTGACATCAGAGTTTCTCCAATTTGACCTGGATGTACCATGATGTAGCTTCATTCCTCAAGGTAAAAAATGCTTATGTTTATTGAATGAATGAGTGAATGAATGAATAAGCAAATGAATAAATGAATGCATGAATAAGCCATTGAATGATCTGACCTCATTTGTACTTTTAAGGGCTTTCACTTGGGAGCTGGGGAAAAACATTGGATTGCATATGAAATCACATTACTGGGATATTTTTTGCTTCTTCAATCATCGTGGGCTGAAATAAAATGCTTTTCTGGTCTCAGGTTTGTTATGGTGCTAGGTTTAAAGGCCCTATAAGAAGGAAAGGCACTTACTTACTCTGTTTCCCAATAGTTTTGTCATGAAGGAAAGTGAGGCTGTTAGCTTCCATCTATCTACTCTATCTCTGCTGCCTTCAAACACTATACAGTCTGGTCTGCCACATTCAGACCCCTCGATTTTCCTTGGTACCTTTACCCCTCAGTTTTGGGGCTGTTCACTAGTTCCTGGTCATAGCACCAGAAGGTACCCAAAGACAACCAACTGGGGGGCACATCTGGGTATGTTTTCATCCCTTTGAAATTCAAATTCAGCTGGTAAAATAGAAGAATTAAAACTGTGTATAATTAACATGAGTTTTCAAAGATATGCATATGAATTTTAATTATTACCCTCAGTTCCCAGCCTTACAATTCCACATGTGGCAACATCTTACTAATATATACTTTAAGTGGAAGGAGGTCTCTCAGAAATAGTTAAGAAAAAATTAAAATTATGGCATGTGGCCAAGTATTACTAAGTATCCCCGTGGTATCCAAATGTCTGAAATATGTTCATTTAAATAGGAGGCTATTTTTGTCCTAATGATTTATATACTATTTATTTACTTGGTAAATGTTCCTTTTTCCCCCTTACCTAACATGGGAGAAAAGAAAAAACAAAAACACCTATGTTACAGTTTTACAATGATAAAAGCTTCATCTCTATTTTTCTATTACTATAATGATTACAAAGCAAGATTAATGAGTTTTTTTTGTGTCATAAATTGATGTTAACGGCATGTTACCTTTGTAGAGATAATGCTGACACTTATTTCCATTTTCACCAAACCTTTTGAATAAGAAAAATCCACAGGGGTATCTATTTACATCAAAGACTGGCTGGAGTAAATTCATTCCCATAACCCACATTTTAAAACAATTAAATATAGTGGCCAGGTGCAGTGGCTCACACCTATAATCCCAGTACTTTGTGAGGCTGAGGCAGGAGGATCACTTGAGGTCAGGAGTTTGAGACCAGCCTGGCCAACATGGTGAAACCCCATCTCTACTGAAAACACAAAAATTAGCTGGGCATGGTGGTGCAAACCTGTAATCCCGGCTACTTAGGAGGCTGAGGCACAAGAATCGCTTGAACCCAGGAGGCAGAGGTTGCAGTGAGCTGAGATCACACCACTGCACTCCAGCCTGGGTGACAGAGCGAGACTCTGCCTCAAAAAAAAAGAAAACAAACAAACAAACAAAAAAGGTTTACCCTAAAGAATAATGCTTTCTGCTATCACAAATATCCAAGGAATTCAAAGGGAAAAGTTTGTGTAACGAGAGCACTTCTTCCTTCCCATTTGGGTTTCAAGATATAATTTGAACACTGGGGTTGGCTAGAAAGAATAGAAGTTACTAACTCTAATGAAAGAGTTTTCTGGAGGGATGATCTACAATTTAGTCTGGTGTCCCTTGAGCTAACAATGAATCAAAGATCATAAATGTAGAATTCTAGAGCTGTTGAGCTGAAAGAGAGCTTTCAGTTTGCTTATCTAATAAACTTTACAGATGAAGCAACAACACAGAGGTGAAGTGACTCCTTAAAAGAAAAGTCACAAGAAGGACCTAAGTTTCCCAATTTCAAGTTGCTTCCACCTTCCTCCAGGTTGTCCTTGGAGGTTCCAATACCACATCTAGTAGGGAGGGCAATTACAACAATGAGAATCCAGTTACAACAATGTTATGTTGCTACATGCACAGCTATCCCACAAACAATACTATGTTGCTACATGCATGGCTATCCTACAAACAGGTATATATACTTTTTTTAAACAGGGATTCTTTTAGTATAGAAACACAGGGACTCTTTAAGGATAGGAGGAGTGAAAGAAATTTTACAAAATTCATAATAAGAATGATCCTACTGCTGAGGATAATTATGTCTGCAATATCATCACCATATAAATTCACACACTTACTGCTGATTTGAATCTTATTCTCAGAGAATATACATCAGCCGGAAAGTTTGAAAAACTTTTTCCAAAAAGAAAGACTTAAGGATATTTTTGGATCTTAAAGACAGTATAATTGTGGATAAGCATTTAAAGTAGTAATTCTCATCAGATACTTTATAGCTGGTACACTAGATGTGGCTATTGGTCATTAAAATGAATTTTTAATTTAGTAGCATCTTTTCTTCCCCTCCCTGATTTATTCATTCAACGAACATGTTTTGAGCAACTAGAACATGCATTTTTAGGACCATACACATGGGCAGAAGTGAAAGACACAGAGGTAATTTCTGCGCATGTATGTACAGTGCAAAGAAAATGTGTGTCTGTGATAAAGTAGAGAGAAGAGGGGGAGAAGGACTAAGAAGAAGAAAGACACGAAGGAGGAGCTGGGCTTGAGACTCAGTGTGATTTGGATAGTGGGGTGGGATGGAGAGGTGATGTGGGAATGAAAGGACATTTGTGTAGATGGCATACATGAGTAAATGTAAGGGGAAAAATGGGTAATGAGGTAAAGATGAGCTGGCCATACTGAATGGCATCCAGAGTTTATTTTGATGACAGGAGGATGAGGTAGAAGGACAGGAAGGCTGGGCCCAGATGTAAGAGACCCTGAATGTCGTACTCAGGGTTTGAGCTTGCTTGGGTAGGCAATAGATTTCTGAGCAACGAATGACAAAATTCAGAGGGTGTGTGGGAGAGAGGAGGAATTAAAGACAGCAACAGTGATTAGGAAGTTATGGCAATAGTCTAGTTAATGAACTATTTCTAGAACTAGGATGGTGGCAGTGAGAATGGATAGGAAAGAATGTGATAGCTAAGTGATCTTTAAGTATGTCTGATTGACAGAGAAGTGGAGTAATCTCCCTCCATTACTTAGAGCCACTCTAAGCTTAGTAAGTATTGCCCATTGTCACATGAGAACACAAAGTACTTAAGGAGGTATAATTTAACTCTCACCATGGCTAAGGAAGGGGGTCTTTAGGCCTTGCATAACACTATATCCATCTCAAAAGCACACCTTTCCATCAGAAGAGAAAAAAAAGTGACAAATGTGTCCTAACCTATCCTCACTAGGAACTACCTACTGAGAAAACTGCTCACATCAGAGGAGAAAAAAGGTCAAATCAGAAAGTTATCACTTACAAAATTTCATACTGCATTCATGTGGAATAATTTATGCTTTGCCAATCCCTTTCCGACTTATTTTCTCATTTGCCCTAAGCCAGTCCTTGAAGTAAGTATAAAGGGTGGGAATTACTGTCCCCATTTTCTAGAAGAGAGATTCAATATTTGCCCACGGGCACATGAGTTACTAGGACTAGCAGCTCCCAACTCCCTTTATAATACTCCTACCACCGCACCTTGCAATTCTACTGCTGTGTGGTCAGTTAAAGGCAAATGGTCTGAACTTTACAGGGCTTAAAATAGATGCTGCTTGGATAAGATATGGGTGCTGTGAAAGCCCAGCCAGGGGAGCAGATAAACGCTGCCCAGAAAATGTCCTCCACCGAATCAAACACAATCCAGAGCCCAGCTGGGAATTCCACTGCAGCTTTGGGGTTAGGAACTGTTTATTTTCATTTCTTGGCTCAAAGCTTTCATTCCTGTCCTTGTCTCTTCTTGTCTCCCCTCCTCTCTCTCTCCTGCTGGCAGTCATTGTCCTGCTCTATACACACATGTCTTAGCATCGAATACCACCATCTAAAAATACATCTCACTATAACAAGCTTAGCCTCCTGCAGGTGGCACAATTTAAAACTGATATCAAAAGAACATATCACGATCAGCCTTTGATTCATTTACCCTGCATATTAAAGACCCAGAAATAAAATAACCACAGTTCATGGAAAAAAAAATTAATGCAAAGTGAGAGACTCTTTCAAGTGGCATTTTCAGGCCCAGTTTTTGTGGTGGGCTTATGTCATCAGACATAATTGTCTGCACATGTTTGGTTACACTATTTCAGAAATTATTCCCAGCCCACCAGATGATGTCAGAGGGGTCAGTGTTGACCCCCCCCCCCACCCCCCAGAGTCTGACTGCTGCTCTCTCTCTTCTATGCTGCCCAATTAGGAAAGAAAGACGCCAAATAACAGCAGTGTCAGCCCCATTTCCTGCCCAGTCATGTGGACTTCCTTCAGTTCCTTTTGAGTATGGCCAGGTTCTTGTCCCTACACTCTTGTGCTTTCCTCATGTTCTTCTCTTCTGCTTATGCACAGAGCAAAGCTTTCTCTGGAAAAACTTATATCCCAAAAAGATTCAGGAAATACATAAATGCATGTGTGTATAAACCTGCACTCAGACAAAATCCAAACAACTTCATTCATTTGGAATTCTTTTGGAGAATACACTTTCCCACAATGGCTTCTTGTATTTTTCCAAGCAGTCTTCCCAGTAAGTCAGCCATCAATGCAGTACTAATAGTTAATGTAGTTAGAACAAGCACAAGATGGGAAGAATCTCTCTGTCCTAAAAATCCTTCCAAGAAAGTAAAATGATTGTCTAGAATATGTTTAACAGGGTTAACTTTGACTTCTCTCCTTCCATTCCAGAGAAGACTTGATAAATATTGTGTAAACTCAAGAGGAGATTCTGCCTGAAAAAGGTAGAAAATAAAGACTCCCTAATGTAAGTGGCCTTAAAAGTCATCAAGACAATCAAAATCTGCTGCCTGACTTCCTTCTGCAACATCCTTACCAAGCAGCTAGCCAAGCCATGTTTGAATTTTCCAATGATGGGGAACACTTAAGGGCAGCCAACCCCTTCTTTGGAGGACTCTTACTGTGAGAAAGGTCCATCAGATGTTGAAGTGAAACCTGTTTCTCTGAATCCACTACTTAGTAGTCCTATCCTATCCTAACCCCTTTAGATCATTCATGATGAATCTAATAGTGTTAGCATGCCTTACACTACTATGTAACCCCCAAATTTTCTCTTTTATGAGGTAAGAATTCCTAATGTGTTCAATCATTCCTCATCTGATCTGAGAAATAACTGATATTCTCTTAATCCTCCCAAACCAGACAGAATCATGTATGACTTGACCAACGCAGTTGAAGAGGTCATCACCTCCTTCACTGCAGACATTATATCTCCATTAGTATAGATTACATTAATAAATCATGCCTAACTCTTCTTCCTTCGATCCCTCATTCACTTTAATCATAGCAACAGAAACAAACAATAAAAAATGATCACTACCCACCACCCAAACCTTTCTTCAATAGTTAAGAGCCAATAGTTCTACTCAAGCCTCCTGTGACCTCTAAAAGCCCAGGAATCATCCCTGATCTAAAAAACAGCCTCCTTTTCCAGGCTGCCCTCTTGTCCCAGCTTGCTGTCACCGCTGCTGAGAAAGCAGACGATTGATCTGAGAAATCAAGTTGGATTGCTGTCCCAAATCTACACTCGGTTCTCCTTGTGTCTGTCTGATCGATTTCACTCTGTGCGACATAGCTTGTCGCTATGAATTTTCATGCTAGTCAGGAGCCGCCAGCGTACCCAAGAACAAGTAGAAGATGGTCTGCATCCCTCCCCATCCCTTCTACATACCCAGCTTCTGTGTTAATTTTCTTTTTAATCGTCCATAGACAGATTGAAAAAAAGTATTTTTTTTTTCAGACCACAGACGTGGATGCAATGGATTTTGGCTACTGGTTTCACCTCCCAGGTTCCCAGGCCCCAGCTTGTGGTCACATTTCCTACCACTGTTGTACTAGGTGTCACCTGTTTAGCAGCTCCTCTAGCTGAACGCATGTGGCCGCAGGTGCCATGCAAACACTGATTGCGTCTGACAGCCCTAGACGCCAGCTGCCTGCATGAAGCCTGCCCAATCGCCACTTTTTTTGTGGGTAGAATGCTGCCGATGGCATGACCGATACAGAAACAAGAAACTAGGTGACCGTAAAGCTAAGATAAGCCCTACTAAGTGGCATTCTGGGCCCTATGGCTTTGAAATAATTGGTAGTGAAAGAATAAAAACAAAGCAGGGGGTGGGGGGGCTTGTTTTCTTACACTGATGCCCTGCGGACTGTACATCTGACTGGCTGCGAGTCCATCACTGTATCCTCCTGTCTGGCTGATAACATGGCGAAGGGTATCCACCTAAACAGATGAACAATAACAGAGAGAAAATTAGTCAGAGAGGTGTAGGAAAAGGGAGGCAGATCATCATCAGGCAGGCCACCATTTGGGCATGCCATATTAATGCAATCATTTTGGAGACAGTTGTCCTGGGAGAGTCCATTAGGAGGAGGCTAGCTTCCTCCGTATGCCAATCCATAAAGAATTCTGAGTTCAGTAAGCAAGACGTAAAATGGTAAAAGAAAACTGGGATCTCCACATTGAAACTAGTTCAACAAGTCTGCATGAGATGGTAAGGATTAGGATGATAGAGGGAGCTGGAGGGGAAAGCATGAAGGAATTTTCTTTTCTCCCCATTTTTCTTCCCTACAGGTCATCCTATACAGCTGTTCCTTTGCTGGGTATCCTATAAAAACAAAGGTTCTGTTTAGAGGAGGTTTGGGCAGCCATCTCACAGAGAGAGCAGTACTTGATTGAGACCTTGTATTTTTTGAGGACTTAAGTGATGGCCAGTTGTTTAGTCACTTGACCAAAGCCTGACCATATCACTTCAAACTGGTTTCCAGGCAATGTTTCTCAAGAAAGGGGTGAATCGCTGACCAGTTGGTCTGTTCCGGGCTTGTAATGCTTCTTGTTCCACATGGAGGGTGGGAAACTAGGCTGACATGGCTCAGAACTTCCCTAGTAATTCTGACCCACAGCATACTACTTTACCCTCTCACAACATGTTTCATGCTGAGGTAGTAGGATGGCTTCTTCAAGTATCATGAAGGAAATCTGCTTACTATGGAACACTAAAATTTGATATCACATGGCTTGATTTTGCTTCCCAATGTGGACTTCTACTCATCACCAGAAACTCAAGTCCCTTGACCTCAAGGATGACTAAGAAATGTATTTAGTCAACCTGGCTGGGTGTTTTTAAAGCTTAAAATGAAAACGTCCGATAGTAATATATTTGCTTGCTTGTTAATTGCCTCTTTATATGGTAAATATTGAGCAGGAGAAACCAACACATGAGAGGGAGACCTGGAAATTGAGGTAACATCCTGAACACCTCCTCCTTTTCCCTTTGGTGAATAAAGAATATGCTGGTTCCACCTGCCTGATGTGTCTCGGTCACCTTGCCCTGTGCTTACTGTTCTTCTCCTGCCTTCCAAGTACAACTGAAAAGCCAGAGCCAAATGCATTCACAAAGTGTGGACGAGATTCCCCATGACAATGGTTGTCTTGATTTTGGTTCGGTCGTTGGTAAGGTTTTGGTTCTGATCTGTTTTTCTCTCTCTCTCTGGACAGAAGCAGGAAGTCCAATACAACTGAGGGCTCTTGGACTCTAAGGCATTCACCTGGTGACATATTGGCTGGGTCCCTACCTGTGATTGCACGTTGGCTCCAACCTGGGCCCCTTGGTAAGAATCCCCATTGAGTGACTGCACGCTCATGAACAAATCTCCAGAGTTTGACATGTTAAAAGAACTGGAAGAACCTGGAAAGGAAAGAGTGAGGCACCTGAATCACAGAAAGGAAAAGGCTCAAACCCCGCAACTAACAGCCAAGAGGAAGAATGACATGCAAAGCAACCCCCCCCAAATAAAAACTAAAATAAAAATAACATCAACAGAGTCTGGTTAGTAGCATGAAGAACAGAGCAAGCAATAAAGGGTGCATATTGTTTATGTTATGTGAAGCCATACCTTACTGCAAGTTGTCAATAGAACTGCTTCCCCTTGGCAACTTCAAGCCAAGAAAGGGAACCTTTATTCTTCCCAACTTAGTCTATTTGGATTGTAGTCTCTAGACCTAGGATCTCTCTTCTATGCCTCTAAAATTCTAGGGTTGGCCAGGGGACCACAAGATGGAGGCTATGGGCTGGTCACTGGTACTTCTGCCACCATGATAGAGCACATAAACTATTCAACTGGATTCTAAATATGTCATTGCTAAACCATCCCCTCCCCTGTGAGGAGCAGCACCTGGGAGGGAGTGCATGAAGGCAATGTCACCTACTAGGAGTGGCTCTATGATATGGGTCTATTGACATTCTTAATTTCTAAAATGAAGGTGAAATTTCTTGCAGGGTGGCAACAGCCCAAGGAACCTTGAGGACTGTAAGAATATGTGGGAGTGATCTACCCTTCTCTGCCACCTGTGACTACAGAGAAAACAAAATAATGGGCCAGGAATTCTCAAGCATGCATAAAATATGAAACATCGCTGCTAATAATAATAATAGTAATAATAATAATAAGTGGGCCTCAAGAAGGGCCATTAGCCATCTGCTTTTCACCTCCCAGGGATGGAAGCATCATCCAGTGAGTTAGCCTAAGGTCCATCCTGGCACCACCCAGGTTCCACTGGTTCCACTGCGGTGAACCTAGCCCACATTCAACCTAAGCATAAGGGCTTGCAAAAGCTTAATATTATTCTGAAGTCATCGTGCAGCTCAGCGCATTAGGAAAGAAAGCTCAACGTGCAAGGTTTGGTTAAAACATGACATTAGCCTGGAAAAGGAAAGACCTTAGGGACCCAGGTCAGTTGCACTCTATTATTTCCAACCCTATATTGCTCAAATTGTGCTCTTGCCCTCATATTCTGAGACAGCCATCATCAGTGTGGAATCACCCAACAATGATTCATGCCTCAGCTCTGACACTTTTCTTTTCTCCTAAGGTAGGGATTTGAGCTCTGAGAGCTTTCCTGCCCCACATGAAGAGGTGCAGCTAAGCAGAAGAGAGGACTTTTTTTCCCCCATAGAAGGACCACTTAACAAATGATGAACTCTAAACTCTGACACAATGCACTGTTTATTTATGGTATCTATCTAGGCTATTCATGGTGTTTTCATACTTTAAAGGCAAGAGCCATTTAGAGAAAGCAGATGATTTATAAACCTGGGGACAACTCAACATTAAAAAAAAAAAAAAACTCCAATTTTCTTTGTCCTGTGGGATGTTCATTTGCATGCAAAAAAAACCTAGCTATTTTACTAAATAAAACAATCCTCCACCTAACTCCCTTCTCATTCCTTCTTTCCCAGGAAAAAATAAATGCTTTCTTTGGGGGTTAGAGGAGGACTCAAGCATCAACCAAAGGACTATGCCATCTCCATAGCTCTGCGACTTGTCCTGTCTCATCTGGCCCACATTTCTCTGTTTAGCTTATCTGAAAGGAATTAGAAAGGTAGGGCCTTAGCAAAACAAGTGTAAGATCTGGCCAGGTGTGGCTTATACCCAGTCAGTGGGACAAAGCCTTTGGTCTGTAACTTCCTTCCATTAATATGGGACCTATCTTTGAAACTGTCTTCCTGAACATATGAATGAAACAATGTGTGGCACAGATCACATTCTCACGTGTAGATATATAATATCTCTATATACTAGTTCTATCCCTCTCAAATATTTTTTGTAATCACAGATATAACCTAAATAATAAAAGTCATTTTGTAATGTATTACAATACATGCTTGCATTTAGATGTCATCAGAACCAAGAAGAATCAGCTCCAAGAACCCAAATTATAATTTGTTATATGTCATCAGACTCCCCCACCCAACTCCCCAGAGTGTTCAGTTTCAGGCTCACGTATTTTACTTCTCTCCCATCGTCTCTAGATGATGTCTCATCACCCAGAGAGTCAACCTTAAGGTCCATCCTGGCACCACCCAGATTCCACTGGTTCCACTGTGGTAAATCTAGCCTAAACATAAGGACTATAAGTTTGACCAATGTTTTTCTGGAAATTAGTATACAAACTTAGAAATGGGAGAAACCCCCAAAGGGCTACATGATGTCCAATGACGTGGCATCCATGGAACCATGAAGGCATGGAATGTGTCATTTAAAAGATACACATTGCAATTGACACAGGTGATTTAAAAAATACATGTGCATAAACTGTAAATATGTCTGGCTGCCTAATGTACACAGAGATAAATATGCATATATAAATGTACTTCATATACAAGTGCATTTGTATCAGAGCAGTAATTGAAGAAACAGTCCCTTGTGCTCTTGGCTGTGCTGTTTCA
This sequence comes from Homo sapiens, assembly GCF_000001405.40. Classification (NCBI taxonomy): domain Eukaryota; kingdom Metazoa; phylum Chordata; class Mammalia; order Primates; family Hominidae; genus Homo; species Homo sapiens. The sequence goes on along the minus strand of NC_000001.11, from coordinate 164,817,530 downwards.
GCATTTCATTGTGTCTGTACACCCATGTACAATATTACCATGGCTTCTCACTCTCTGATAAGTATCTAGAAGCACTGACTGTGCTGAGGGAAGAGACCAGGTGCCACTAACACCACAATGAAGCAGACGGAAGTCCACAAAAACATCTGAACTACAAGGGGAGGACATGTTCTCTACCCAGCACTGCAAGTTGGAAAGAATTTATCATGGAATGGATAACCTCCTGGGAAGCACACGATCCACTGACAAATAGTGAATGGGCTCTCTTGGAGGTGCTGTGGCATTCTCAAAGAACTGAAACAGAAAGACTTGGCTTGCTGAGAAGATCATTCAGAAACCTTACCTGCAGGCTGTTTTGAAGCCATCAGCTACCATTAGAAGCACATTTTAAGATGTGGTTGTCAGTTAAAAGGTTCTGAATTTGGTTTGGGAAGGAAGGCAAGCAGCTCATTTAAACTGCCACCCAGACATTTGGGGCATGTGCAGAACTAAATCTACACTCAACTAGGCAGAGAAGAAATACTGGATCACTTATGATTATAATGCATTTGCTTGGGCAGACATCATGATGTGGTAAAGTGTCCACATCCATTTTCATCAGACAAGTTCCAGAAAATTGCATTTCTACTCTAAAGAATCTTCAGGAGACTTAAATTTGTTAAAGAAAAACAAAAAAATTAAAAGCAAAAAACAATAAAAAAAATCAGTTAACTTCATAATCCAAAAATAATAATAATAATAATAATGATAAAGCTTAAACCTAGAATAGGATCTCTCAACCTTGTTGCTACTGACATTTTGGGCCAAATATTCTTTATTGTGGGAGATTATCTTATGCATTGTAGGCTGGTTAGCCCTACAATGGTTATCCTCTATCCAATAGATGCCAATAACAACCTCCCTTCAAAATTGTGACAACCAAAGATAGCTCCAGATAGTACCAAATGTCCCCTGGGAGTACAAATTTGCCCCTAGATGAGAACAAAAGACCTAGAGCAAGAACGGATTTACTTTTTCCTTTTAAGGAATTCAGTGTTTAAATGTATTCACTCAATATTCCTTACAGTATTTTAATGAAGTAGTTGCCATTTTCTGTAGTTTAGAAATCAAGACTTCAGATAGATTATGTGGCCAGCCTGATTCAGCTTGATTAGATTGGACTCTCATACCATTTGGGAGCTCAAAGGATAGGCCCTTTTTACTAGATGTAAGCTTAAATTATGTCCCATGCATGCTTGCTTTTCCATTTCCCTTTGTGAATTCCAAAATTCATTGTTACTTTCTACTTGGGACAAAGCAAAAGAGTAAAGTGTTGTCTGGTTGAATGTGAAAACCCTTCAATAGGTATGTATCTCAAGGTTGTAGAGTTCCAATTCCAGGACAAATTGTTTTCACTCTTCAATCAAAAATAAAGAGGAGAATCATACTAAGAAAGACATGAGATAAAACATCAGTGGGATAAATATTTTCACTTGGTTTTAAAAAACAAAATTATAAGAATTCCTGTGGATTTACTAAAGTTTTAGTCAACTTCTCTGTATGTGTTACCTTCTCTCTGTGTGTATTATATAAAAACTTCTCATAGGGCATGAAGGCTCTGAGTTTTAATATAATAACCTTTCATCAATCCTGAAAAACACCAAACCTCTTTTTAGGGGTTGATATGATTAGACTTTGTGTCCCCACCCAAATCTCATCTTGAATTGTAATCCCCATAATCCCCACGGTCCCCAGGTCAAAGGAGAGACCAGGTGAACTTAATTGAATCATGGGGGCAGTTTCCTCCATGCTGTTGTGATAGTGAGTGAGTTCTCACAAGATCTATCTGATGGTTTTATAAGGGGCTCTTCCCCACTTCACTCGGCACTTCTTCCTGCTGCCTTATGAAGAAGCTGCCTTGCTTCCCCTTCACCTTCTGCCATGACTGCAAGTTTCCTGAGGCCTCTCCAGCCATGCTAACCTGAGTCAATTAAGCCTCTTTCCTTTAGAAATTACCCAGTCTCAGGCATTTCCTCATAGCAGCGTGAGAATGGACTAATACAGGGGTATTACAAGATTATGTATATGGGCTTGCCATTGACTAAAATAGTGCTAGAGGAAGAACTTTCATGGTTGAATTTGCTGTTGTCCTTGACACAAACACACAGCTAAGCAAAAGAATTCCAATCTTGGGGTTCTGAGCTTCAGTAAGCCCACTACCACTGATCTAATCACAGAATGTGATATAATTTCAACGCTGATGGCATGCCACAGTGAACATCTGTAATGCACAAGTCAATTTCTTTCTTCTTGGATGTTAAAATCCTCTGCAGAAGATAATCCAAGCTTCTTGAAAGGGCCTCATTTTTCTGAGGTTTTATAATCTCATCGAAATTAAGAAATTAAGAATGCATTACTCTAGGCCACTACAGAAGAATTATAGACCCCAGGTTTTAACCAGTGCTTCAACTGGCCCCTATTCTTGCTTTCTTTTTTCAAAATTTAACTTTCTCTCCTTCCTTCTATTCTTCCTCTTTGCTTCATCCATTTTGTCTCACTTTGCTGGTATAAACTATGAAGCATGCTAAATGTCTCTAAATGCTTGCTAATCCCCCCGGGTTTTAGTCTTAAGTGATTTAAAAAAAAAATTATGCTTAAGAAGATAGGAGACATGGAACATATCAATAAATAGAAATATTTGGAAGTAATCTTACTGAAGTGCTGTTCTCCATACAGAAGCCTCTAGCAGGAAGAGGATTTACTTGCAAAGAAATATATTTGGTTTTTTTGTTTGTTTGTTTGTTTTGTTTTTGGAGTTGGAGTTTCGCTGTGTTGCCCAGGCTGGAGTAAGTGGTGCGGTCTCAGCTCACTACAATCTGCACCTCCCAGGTTCAAGGGATTCTTCTGCCTCAGCCTCCCGAGTAGCTGGAACTACAGGTGCACGCCACCATGCCCAGCTAATTTTTGTAATTTTGGTAGAGACGGGGTTTCACCACATTGGCCAGGCTGGTCTCAAACTCCTGACCTCGTGATCCGCCCGCCTCGGCCTCCCAAAGTGCTGGGATTACAGGCATGAGCCACTGCACCCAGCCAGAAATATATTTCTTTACAATAGAAATGAGTACTTATATTTTGTAAAACTCTGAAAAAAAAACTTCTGCTTCAATACTGAGGTTATGAAAAGTTCCTAGGTTCTACAACTCTAGACTTCAAACTCTGCCAAAATATATTTTCACATATTAACCTCTTATTTAAAATTTATTTCAATTATCATTTATCTTTCCAAATTATTGAAGAGCAAGTACATAACATAATAAACACCTTATGTGAAAAGTTTGAACATTTTAAAGTTCTACTTTACCTGTGTGGATGATTTAGGTTGGTTAAGAGCAAAAGAAAATACAGAAAAGCCCATTTATAACTTTTCCTGTTAAAATGTTTATCTTTTAAAATTCCATGCTATTGCACACATACAATAGTATTTTCTTTTGCCTCTACTTTAGAAAAAGCACTACAAAGGGGTTCCTGTGCAGATTATTTCCAACAACTTACGCACAATTGGAAGGCTTAGCTCAAATTTTCCATAATAATTTACTTTGTGCTCAGAATAGTCACATGATGTTTAAGCCACCAGAAAAAAATTCCTTAGAAAACTGTAATCATAGTCTGACATTCCATAAGAGGCAACCATATTTCTTAAACACAGAATAGAGGGTTAAAATGCTTATTTTTCTCTTTTAAGGGCTTTAGGAAAGAATAAATAGTTACAAATTTAGTAATGAAGAAAGTCCACAGGGCTTTTCTAAGGACTAGTCATAAATCATGCTAAGCCATCTGCGATGCAGATATACCAGGGACAGGAAAAAGTCATTTTGATATCGTTTTGCATTATGATAACCTTTGCAGGAGTGTTGAGTGCATTTTTGCTAATGTTGACAGAATTGTACTTCTTCCAAAGAGACAAGTGAAAATGTCTGCCTAGCAGCACAGTTCAACTGGTGTTGTTGGGTCTGAAATTCTTAATAATTGACCAGATGGAGAAGATGGAACTCTCTCTGGTTATTGAACCTGTTAGCTTTGATCCCTTGTCAATCACACCATGATGGAGGAAGAAAAAAACAAAATATTTCTAAAAAAGTAAATATGCTCCTCATAGGAATCTAACCTGCAGTGCTGGGAAAATTAAAACTGGATTGAATTCTACATTGTTTTATTATATCCATGTTGAAAAAGCCCAGGCTACTCTTCATGCATGATTCCATTTAGATAAAAGAAGGCCACAAAAGAAGTGCTGGGTATAGCCCAGTGACTTGGAGGACCTTATCATAACAAATTTATGCATCTGGAAGCTCACAGAAGACATCAGTCTGTGGAACCCTACATTTCTCCAGTAACGAGTCGCTGTAAGAAAACTTATTTTAGTGGACAAACAAGCTTTGTGGTCAAAGATACCACATACTCTAAAAAATGTTAGACATTAGGTTTGTAATCATATTACGATCAAACATATTTAAATTGGTAACCTTTTAAGTTAGAATCATCAGTTTTCTTAGCTGTGCACCCTAATCAAAGTCAAACCAAACTTATTTAATGAGAAAATACTTGTCTTTCCTTTACCAAAGGGAAAAAAAAATTACCACATGCCTTCCATAGCATACAAACACAAAGGTTATATTTTTTGCATTATTAACTACATTTTTTCACATGTAGAAATTCTGAACTGATGACACAAGGCACACCCCAAAATATAGTATTTTGACCTAAACTCTTAAATTAGTGATATAATGCATATTTCCTGAAACAAAGCCTATTACATAGCTCATGACCGATAATCATAAAGAAGACCAACAAAAAACAATAAAGAACAACAACTATAAACAATATATAGAAATATTCATAGCCTGGCTTTGCATACCAAAGCATTCTAATAAGATATTTGCTAGAAGAGTAAATATTTCTGCATAGAATGCATGCTAATAAGTGACCCAGACATTATGTTGTTGGAACAGCAAAACTGACAAGGATAAAAGCTTTATATAAAACAGGCCAAATGACAGAATCCCAATAGACTATCTCTAAGCACTATGTCTAACTTACTTATTGATATCCCTGAGAGGAGAATTTAGAGGTCTCTTCAAGCTAACCAATTTACTTTGGTCTTAACTTAATAGACAAATTAATGCAAACCTCCAGACAACCCACGTTGTAAAAAGTCTAACAGATTGCTCTTTGGAAATGAAAGAAAGAGCCCAAAGTGACATTAACATCCAAAAATACAATCAAATACAGAAATTAACCAATCAAAAGCCTAACAAATTAAAAGAAAATCCCAATGTAGGAACAGCCAGTATAAAAATGGAGAACAATTCCTTCCCCCACCCCCAATCAAAGAAAAAACTAACCAGCCGAGTTGGGAGTTGAGGGCGAGTTAGCTTGGCTTCCATGGGCTGACACATTGGTAGCAGTGACAGCTGTTTTGGCAGCATAAATATTGGCTTCCTCTTGAAATTTACCTATGTTCTTCTTGTACCGGATTCGCTTATTTCCAAACCAGTTTGATACCTAGAGTAGTTTAAGAGAAGATGAGAAAGTTCACATTTCATCCTTCAGAAACATTGCAGAAGAAAAAAAAGGCTTTATGGGAGAGGTGAAGAGGTAAGCTAATTGGTCTTATCCTATAATAATTTGGCAACATCAGTAAAAAGATCTGAAGTAAGAGCTTCAAAAGGACAACTACATAAAATGCGATTCTCTTGTTTAATATAACTGAAATTTAGCGAAACCACTGTGACAAAAATCTTCCTATAAAGGAGCTGCTCATTTAAGCTAGAACCCTTTTAATTTAGAGCAAGCATTTTAAATTTGCTTACATCTTCAGTTATGACACTAAAATATACCTAACATTTCAGGAGAAATGCCCCTAGCGTTTATCAATGTGAAAGCTGGCTTGATGCCATCAAGATACACAGATCTTTAAATGTCCATATAGGTGCTTTCGTGTGATAGATTAATTGCAAATTTTTAGAAGTTACATAACTTTAATGTGGACTGAGATTCTTAGCTGTATTTCACTATAGACCTTAGGATCAATATAATTCAATCTACCAGATTTCACTGACTATTTTGTGTAAAGCTTAGTGTTATCTACATAAGGAAAAACTGTAGCATACAAATGATTATCCCCTTGAATTCTAGGGTTTAAATGTTAAAGCCAGCAGACACAATAAACCTAATTTACTTTCATTTGTTAATTTATTTCCTTCATGTGGTTCGCAGCAGGTGTCTTGGCTTGATCTGGTACCTCTGCTCCCTTCATACCAAGACCTCTGCCAGACACAAGTGGAGACACAGTTAAATTCAAGTTTTACCCCCATAATTCCTGCCCGGGGAAGGAAAGTTTTATATCCCACATTCCAGATATGATTTTGAACTAAAATGTCGATGTTTTTATATAATTACAAAACAAACTATGAATCTGGTGAGGGAAGGGGGAGTTGATCCCACATGTACCACAGCTTACATATCATTGATATTTAACTCCCAACGACGGCAGATAAAGAAAACTGTTGCAAAACTATACTTAATTTTTTAAACGCATTAACAAACTTAAAACATCTTATAAGGATAGCACTGAAAGGCTTATACAGTTTATACTACAGCAGAAATGCCAAGCCTTTCTTTTTTAAAAAAAAATCAGTCTGTACCACCACAATATTAAACAAAAAAGAAAAAAATTCAATAAGAAAATGCTTTATTTATTGTAAACACTGATGTCTACAGAAAAAGAGGTAAACTGGAGGAGGAAGGACACTTTTGGGTGTATTTCAGGATCACTGCATATCTAGTTTCACTTTGAAATTTATGTTTTTCTTGACATAACTTTCACTATTCATAGGAATCAGTCATAATTATGGTTGCTTTTTGATTTATGGGATAGGAAAAGAAGAAAAAAGGTAAGGAGATTTTTTTTCTCAGATAACTGCACAAGCTGAAAGAAAAGGGAAAAAGATGAAGATAATTTCAGAGGACTTTTGAAGAAGAAATACCTGAGGTCCAATTATATGTAAAAAAAATATGAGCTGAAGGGGGTAAAGAGGGGACATGTTGTGGGAATGATACCCTTCTAAATGACAACAATGGAACTGGTAGGAAGGTGCTAGGTCAGTTCAGGGACTTCCTGCATTGTCCAACAGACAATGATCTGGACAATGTATAAAATGAGTGTTATCATGAATGAACTAATTACTCAACAGTCATGGACTAAGGGCCTAATACGCGTTAGGCACTAGGGATGTATAGATAACAGACACAGAATGAGACATGAAATACAGAAAGAATAGTAGGTTTTATGGGAAGAGTTTGATTCACATTTTGAACAAGTTAATTTTGAAGAACCTCTGGGCAGAGCCATGATGAAGTCCATTAGGAAGTAAAATTTATGAGTTTGGTGCTGCAGGGGAGAAGTTCCATTAGGTATTCAAATGGAGGTATTATTTGTAGCTGTGAGCATGGAAAAGATCACTCAGATAAAGCATATAGAACATTGCTTTTCAAAGTTAAGTGTTCATGGGGAAGTTGTTAAAACAAATTTCTATTATAGATTTCACCCTCAAAGATTCTGATTCAGAATTAGGGTGACACTCAAGAATTTATATTTCTAACAGGCTCCCAGGGGATGCTGATGCTGCATTCTGTGGATCACACTTAGAGTAGCTCTGGTATAGAAAAAGGGCTCTTTAGGGATCTGAGGAGATACAGTCAATAGGCGGATTTCAGATGGATTTGGGTGTATGGGCAACATATCTTTGTTTTGGGTCATGGGGGAAATCAATAGCTTTTAGTAGATTTCAAAAGAATTTGTGACTTCAAAAAAAGACAATAATGATACAGCCCAAGAGGTATTCCCTGGCTTTGGGAATTAGGAGAAAGATTTAATAAATCATGTGATCCAACAAACCATGATTAGTAAATGGGGCAACTAAGATCCAAAAAGAAAGAGTGAGTTCCCTAGGATCCCACAGTTGACTCTTGTCAAAAATAGGCTCCTTGCTTAATGCTCCTTCTATGACATCATATTATACTGTCTTCCATTGGACTTGTTTAGCAATGGTAGCTTAGTTGCTTTGGGGAGAGACAGATGTGATGGGGAAGAAAGAATGGCATGACTTTGGCATGGACAGAGGAAAGGGAAAGGTGACACAATATGTAAATAAGGATTTTAATGGACACACTATTTGTACCTTGAGTTTCCATAATGAAGGAAGTGAAGGTTGCGGGAACAGATCAGGATTTTAACTTGTATCCAGCTATACTACAAATTACCTCCAGGAGAATTCCTTTTACCTTCAACAGGAAGTTGAAATTCTGAATTCCACACTTGGAATTCAGACAGTAGTAATTTAATTATATTTTAAAAGCAGAAGGTTCCATGATAAAATTCAGTGATTTGATATTTGCTGCATATTTGTGGTCCATACCTAGAAGCATTCCTCAAACATGTAGCAAGTATCAAAAAGCATTAATTCCCTTTTTTGTGGAAAAGGGGTTTAGATTTGGATAAGAATGGTGACAGCCCTAGAAAAAACTAGGCTACTTGAGTTTGACCGCTGACGTTCCCGTTTCCCAGAACTGTCAAGACTAAAAATGACCTCCAGCTGGGTCAAAGCACCTAAGGAAGGCCCAGGTTAAAAAGGAGTCAATTCATTCTGCTTTATCTGAAAGAATGTTTTCAAGGATATTTGCTGCTGTAAAATCATCTTAGTTTGTTGGGAAGGCTTGGACAGTCCCTTCATTGTCAATACTTTTGTGGAGCTCTATATTCTGACTGGACCTAATTCTGTACAGCTAAACACAGGTTGATGGGATCAGCACCCTGCAGGGATTAACAGAAGTCAGGATTCAATTCAAGGAGGTACAGATGCTTAGTTTATATAAAAGAGCATCTACTTCATTTGAAAAATGGTAAGTGAAATTTCTCGCTACAGTAGCCTTCACTACTCCCTCCCCTCCCCAGTTTTAATGGAAATATCAGTACATTTAATTCTCCTGCATGTGACAAAATTCTAAGAAAAACCTTCTCCGATAGATTTCAGAATTATCACTATGGTTCTCAATTAGAAACCAGTGGTGGTATTTGAGGTTCAGACTGAATAAGAAGTTTGGGTGGATCTTTTGAGTGGACAAAATACACGTACACATAATTATTGCCTACTTCTCTGCTTCATATTCGTGTTGAAAACTCTAGGCCTATAAAAATTTTATGTCATGTATCTTTCCAAGTCATCAGACACCACCTGTTATGGTTATTGCTCTTTGGGGGAAGGGGGCATTCAGTGACATTTTGTTCACCATTCCAATGTAATCGCAGTGACATGTTAAAATTCCTACACTCCCATCAGTTATAGAGTCAGCACATCAAGAGGAGACATTTAAGTTCTTTCATTTAAAAGGCTATATAACAACTAGTTCCATTCACTGACTCTTAAAGTTCCTGGGTTGGGCAAAAAATGGCTAAGGAATTGACTGAATTTGAAAAAACAGCATGAGGAATGCAGATAACTTTCCTAGTACACTTTAGACACCTCACCCATTTGAAGCAAAGGAGTGCTCGATGGGAAGAACCCTAATCCTGTTTTTACATTGTACTCTACTTATTCTTCTCTTCCTTCTGCTGGTTCTTCTCAAGTTTTGCCAAGTACTTACCTAGAAACTCACTTATACGCATACACATCAAGTGCTTACCTTGATATTTTAAGGCTATAGCTGATGGAACTTGCAAGGCATGAATGTCCAGTAAAGCAAGACCTCTAAGAGCCTGCCCCGGAGGCCCCGCCATGGCCAGGCTACAGGCTGAGGCTTTTGAGGTGCTGCTTACCTGGGAGACTGTGATGCCACACTTCTTGGCTAACTCCTCTTTGGCTTCCTCACTGGGGTAAGGGTTGCTGAGATGGGAATAGAAATATTCATTCAGGATTTCTGTCGCTTGCTTGTTGAAATTCCGTCTCTTCCGCCTTTGTAAAGAGAAAGGAAATAATAACAAAAAGGCTCACACCAAATAAATATAAAATGGGAGAGAATAAATCTACTTCTGGGAGAAGACAAATTTTTGAGCAAAAGGTGAATTTGGAGCAGATTTACCAAAAGGGGCTGGATGCCAAAACCAACGCTAAAAGCATTTGCTCAATACTTCATTGTGTACCATCTGGGCACCGAACAGAAGAGTGGTCACAGATATTTTTGCAGAGTAGTGAGGAGTATAAAGTTTCAAAATTCGGGCCATCTTGGTTTGTTTTTTTGAGATGGAGTTTCACTCTGTCACCCAGGCTGGAGTGCAGTGGTGTGATCTTGGCTCACTGGAACCTCCACCTCCTGGGTTCAAGTGATTCTCCTGTCTCAGCCTCTTGAGTAGCTGGGATTACAGGCACGTGCCACAACACCCAGCTAATTTTTGTATTTTTAGTAGAGATGGGGTTTCATCATATTGGCCAGGCTGGTCTCTAACTCCCGACCTCATGATCTGCCTGCCTCAGCCTCCCAAAGTGCTGGGATTACAGGCATGAGCCACCGCGCCCAGCCCCATCTTGGTTTTGAATCCTCGGTCAATTGAATATCAGCTGGGTGATTTCGATCAGCTTCTTCCGTGAAAGTGAAGAGGGTGATACTGACTTCACAGGGTGAGAGTAGGGAAGAGATGAGACCACACAAAGACAGCACTCAGCACAGCGCCCAACACGTGGCAGCTGCTACAACTTGGTCTTTCTTCCTACCAGGTTCCAGGCACTGGGCCTGACCCCTCCCTCTTGGCAATCAATTCAAGTTATTCATTTTTCACTACTACTGAGGCAGATATGATTATTCGTATTTACCGATGAAGAACTGAGCTCAAAGGTCACTTGGCTGGTATGTAACAGAGCTAAGGTATTAATTCAGGTCTGACCACTACAAAACCCAATCTCTCTCTTCTATACAAATTGGCTCCTCACAATTATGCAGAGCTTCTGCAGCCATAAGTTAAAAATAAGTTATCATGTTCTTTCCATTCTATCCCCATGTAAATGCATGTAACATTTTTAAAAGGCATCTGGGGAAGAGGGCACAGAACTGACTGAAATTAACCCCCAACAGCTTGACATCCCTCAAAAGGAGAAAAGTGGCACTTCTTAAGCAAGAACAGCTGCTAAATGGTAAAACAAAAGCCCACAGAATTCTTTTTCATATACAGGTTGCCAAAAAGGAGAAAATCACTTTTTTTTAATAAAAGCATTTTCTGCCTTAAAAAAAAAGTGCTAATTGAACTAATTTAAAGTGAGAATCACTTTATTGCTTCCTGACAATGAAGGCCTGTGGATAGTTGAGGGAGTTGCAGGCTCAATGCAGGGGCTGGTTGGCCCTCCTTGAAGTTGTGTGGCCTTCATCTTTAAATTAGCTCACTTAGCACTTTTGCCTTTCTTGCTTTTATTAAAAGCTTTTCCTTATGGAAAAGATTTCCAGAACATCCCTGATTATACCAGGATATAGGATTTCCCAATTTAGCCAACAGAAAGCACTGATGGCCTTGCTAGACAGGAAATTCAGCTAATATTGTATTTTCAGGGTCCCACTTGGATTAATTAACACAATGAAGTGCCTGATTTTACCGGAAGAACACCATCTGTCCACAGGTATTAACCACATCTGTCCAGATTATGCCAAGCCCAAGTCACTCTCCTAAATCATGCTGAGTTTCTGGGTCACTCAGCATCAGAAATTGTACAGATTGGATTTAAAAGCCTAACTGCAAAGTGGGCATGTGTTAAAAGCTCTTGCATGATGGGAATTTGAGGAAGATAGCCAAGTGACTAACAGGGTCTGCAGGCCAGGCTTTAGATAACCTTTGGCTTCTCTTTCTTCTTCGCCTAAAGACTGTTGTTTTAGGCCTGGGGAACTGGACCCTGAAGGCTCCCTAATTTGGAGAGCCTCCGTTCCTTCATTCAGTTGTTTGCATTAGCATTACTGTGTATTTTTTGGGACTCTTCCAATTGAACTCAAAGGAAACCTCTCTGGAATGAGCTGGTGGTATGCGGATGGTGCAGACAGCTGTTCCCAGCTCTTCTCTCCTTGTGATGTGCAATCTTCCCTAGGTGGTCTCACCTACTCTGATGGACTCGCTTATCACTTCTTTTAGTAGCTGTCTTAATCTAGGGCCTTTGAAATCCTAGGATCAGGATTTTTCCAAATTTCAAGAAACCTAGTGAAAATAACACCTTTCTACAATAAGGTTGAGCTAACTGAGACACCTGGTTTCTTTGCTTTGGCTTGAAGTGTTATCACCTTGCTGAGTTAACATTTGTGATTTCAAACCAATCAGTAGCTTTGTGAGTTGGGCATCTAGGTTTTGAATTTAAGAAATTTGGAAGCTGATAAAATATTACTGGATAAATATGGTGTTTTAGGGACAGAATATTTTTGAATCACAGGGTCCATGGGGTAAGTTTTTTATAAAAGACTCATGATAGTGAGATGTGTAGACATCACAGACATACACTGCTAACTATCAAATTTGTTATCTCCTGCCCTAATACCTCTGCTAAGAGCCATTGGCCCATTTATGACTGCAGACTCCAAGCATCTTCAAACAAACTGTTTCCAAAACTAAGATCACCTTTTACCCAAATCAGCTCCATTTTCCTTGTTAGTCTTATTATTTGGTGACATTACTATAGATATGGTTCATTATATTTGCTAATTTGTTCATTCATTCATTCATTCAAAGATTGGAGTACCTAGCATGTGCTAGAAACTAGGAGTTTCTCAACTCTTCCTGCTTTCTTACCTTCATCAAATGATTGCCCCCAAAGCATGTCCTGACAGTTCTACACTTTCAAATCTACCTCTTCTGTTTCATTCTAATTGCGCTGCTATTTGTGAAGTGAGTGAAGAGGAGCAGCTGCCTGTTGTATCACTGTATGACTAGTGCTGTCCAAGAGTACTTTCTACGATGAGTGAAATGTTCTATATCTCTGCTGTCCAATACATTAGTCATTGGCTATGTGTGGCTACTGAGCAGCTGCAATGTGGCTAGTGTAACCAGAGAGCTAATTTTTAAATGTTTATTTATTTTAATTTAGTATTTAGTTAACTTAAATTTAAAAATAAATAGCTATATACCAGAGCAACACTAGATCAATGCTTTCCTAAGAAGCCCTCCTGGAAAAAGATTGTAGCTCTGGGGACACCATCAAAAACATAAAATATCTTTGGAACCTCTTGTTTTAGTCCACTTTATAATATATCAATGTTTATCTTAAAATAAGAATATTTTCTTTGGAATACTTACACAAAATGTGAAAAGTATTTCAATTTATCCTGTGCAGTGCCAGTTTGAGGAGCACAGGCTTCAATAATTGTTCTTTACATTGTCTTTTCTCCAATACAGCTCATCTTCAAGAGAATCACTAATCTTTCTAAACCACAGATATGATCATGTCACTAATCATTATAAAATTTAACAATAATGTGTATATATATAACAATGTACAATAATATATCATATAACAGTAATAATATATAACACAGTAATCATTATGATAGCTGAATTATGATGTGAATATTATATGCCAGATACTATACTAATATTTATTCCTATTTACAGGATTATCCCTGTTTTACAGGTAAGAAAACTGAGTCTTGGGAAAATAAGCCACTTATCCAGCGTCATATAGGTCATCAGGGTTGTAGCCAGAATTTGAATCCAGTGCAATTTTATGTGATAACTTCCCATACATCTTCCTTAAACAGCTCTGAGGGTTTCTGCTGTTTAATAGGATAAATTCAAAATCTTCACTGGTACAGTTAAGGGTTTTCAGTGGATCTTTCCTATCCCTAGTGCCTCATTTCCCCTCAATCCTACACATGCTCTGAACAATTTCATCTAGCCACATCATATGCCTCTGCGTTCCCCAAAGACTCGTGGCTTTCATGCTCCTGTGGCTTTTCACACCACCCTGCATATTTCTCTCCCACAACATCCGCCACAGATTTACATACGTCTCCCCAACTAAACAGCAAATTCCTCAAAGGCAGAGGACAGATCTCACTCATATTTGAGACCCTTGTGTCTCACGCATATAGTAAGCACTCAAGGAATGCTTGCTGAAGTAGAATTCTGTTATTTTATTTTGCTATTATTCCTTCTATTTGGCAAACATCCTGCTCCTCTGAAACTCAGTATTTTAGGCCCTCTCTCTGGATCATTTCCTTCAGGTGGAGTAGGTAGATGAATGAACTGAATGTGTAACATGTGGTGTTCTGTGTAGTTGTAACAGTATTTGTCCTATGAGCTCTTTGAAGGTAGGACCCACCTTTATATGCACTTTTTTCATCTTTGATGTTCCAGTGGCTACTATAACATCGGGCAGATAGTAAGAGCTCAGTTAGATAAGCCAGTAAATCTAAGTAGAGTGCCAGTGTGACCAGACTAGACCTTCTTGGATGTCCTTTCCTCTTTCTTGTCATCCTCTCTTTGGCAATATACTTTATGTAATCCCCTCTATTGCAGTGAAGTATACAGACGTACTTTTAATTATCTGTTTGTGTTACTGTTATTTCCAGAAAAATGTTATAGAAAAACAGTTAAGATTAATGCTCGAAAATCATTTAGAGAGCTTATAAGTTCTCTCCCTCTTTTAACTAAAAAAAAAAAATGTTATTTATAGTCCTGATAATAAACTTACCAAGTTGTATGGCACAATGCTTGGTATATAGCATGATATGATAAATGTTGAATGAATGAATGAATGAATGAATGAATGTGTGGAATTTTTAAGTTAAACTTCCGTGGTACAGTTAAGTCAATCTAAGGAAGAGAGACAGGAAATGACTTGAGTGGCATAAAGGGCCGAAAGGTTAGTTGAGGGGTGTGGTGGACAGAATTCCAAAACTCTAGACCCTGGTGTACACACCTTCCCTGTAAGTGGATGGCATAGTAAATATGATTAGGTTCCTCATCAGCTGACTTTGAGTAAACGAAAGGGAAGATTCGATTAAAGCCTTAAAATGGAAGGTTTCTCCTGCTGGCCCTCAGGAAGAAAGCAGGCAGCCAAACTGTGACCTGCCTATTGAGAAAGGGAGCCTCTAGGAACTGAGGCCCTCAGTCGTACAATCAGAAGGAAATGAATTCTGCCAACAACCAGAACGAGCTTGGAAGGAGACCCTGAGCCTCAGACGAGATCACAGCCTCAGCTTATAAGCTTGATTACAGATTCGCTGTGATTAGGGCAGAGGATCCAGCTAAGCCATGCCCAGGCCCCTGACCAACAGAAACTGTGCGATAATAAACTTGTGTTGTTTTAAGCTGCTTAATTTGTGGTAATCTGCTACGCAGCAATAGAAAGCTAATACAATGAGTGTTCCACAACAAAGTAGTAACACTCAATTCTACACACCTATTAGATTACAAAGACTAATCCTATTACTAAATCAAGTCCTCTTTGTATTTTATTTGTCTTCCATGAAATCTTTTTTGGTGAGGCCCTGCCCATCAGATGCATGGTTTAGAGGAGCATGTGAATATCTGCAGTGAGTGTGTCTTTCTTACTAAGTTTGCTTAGCTCTCTCTCCCAATTATAGCTAGTGACGCTGGAGGCATTGATGTGAATTCCCCAATCAGGATGTCTGGCAGACATTTGTTTTTGAACTGAGAAGGCCATTTGCTCAGCCTTAGGCTGGAATTTGGGGTCATGTTCTTTCACTGGTAATAAATATACCCCCAAAATGAAATGATAGTAACGATGACAATAGGTTAGTTGTTTTCGTTTTGAATCTTGGCTCAGAAGCAATGATTCAAATGTTGTAACCAAAGCAAGAAAAAGACCCTGTCTTAAAGTGATTGTCCGTCTGGTGCCAACTGGAACACTCTAGGCAAAGGCTGGTGGAAGCGAAAGAAACTTGCGTACAAAACCCTCCTAGCTTTGTGTCTGTTAAAGTCTGACCTTCAGCTGGGCACACTGGAATTACTGAGAGAAGATATCCAATGAGACAATAATTCTGCCCCTCCCTTCTCTCTGCTTACTTTCTTGAAAAGAAAGAACCCAGTCTGGAGCCAATTGTTTTTTTTTTTTTTTTCAATATCTGCCAACATAAATACCAACTCCAGCATTTTAACTAGGGGAGTTACCATGGAGATGTAAGCAATACATGCAGGGTGGCAGTGGCACAGAGGAAGGACCCAAACAGAGGCCACCAGTCACTTGCACTTTGCACTACGCAGAACGGGCTGCATTACAGAAGCCTGGCAGACAGCAGGCCACGGGTGAGGGAGAGGCACAGAGGATCCTGCTTTAGGGTGATTTTGCCTATTTCCACTCCATTACTATACCCAGCTGGGGAAAACGGCCTTCGTTTTTACTTTCTCTTGACTTATTCTATGGAATTCTACTGGCCCAGAGTTACATTTTGCTAGCCGGCATTCTCATGTTATATTCCATGCAACCCAAAACACATTGACTAAAAGGGAGTGAGGAAAAAAGATGCCAGGGCGTTTTAAAGAGGTCCAAGGACTGTAAAGACCATAATTGTGAACACAGAGAAAAATGCAGGTAGGAGAGCTGAATAAAACATGATCTCAGGGGTGAAAAAATTCAAGAGGAGTAATAAATTGTTTTATCTCATTGAAAAGAGGCAAAATTATAGACTGTGAAATGGTACACTGACCCTGACATATCTAATGTCCCAATGATAAAAATAACAGATTGGGATTATTATCAAGAATTTAAATATGAATGGTATCTGAATTCACAGATGATGAATTTAAGACAAACTCTAGATCACAAAGCATACCCATAATCAAAATGTATTTGCTAGATGAATTATCAAAATATTCTTCTAGAGTAGATGAAAGATATGACGACTATTACTATCTTACAGGCTGGATAACAGAAGCAAAAGGAATCAAAGGGTTTCACATAAATCTACCGGTCTAGAGAGTAGATGAAACAAGAGATGACCACTTGTTCTGTGTTCTCAGTTCTTGTCTTCTTTTAAAGGTCCTTTCTATCCATGGTTTCTTCAACTGAATGCTCTGAACTCACAAGTAAGGACATGAGCAGCAATGCCAGATGGAAACCATCAAACCAAGTTGGCCCATGTTAGACCACCTCCTTGTCCCTCTGTGTCCAAAGTGCCATGTCTTATTCAGCTCTGCACTCCTAAAATTAGCCCAGAGACAGCAATTTACTTAGGAATATTTGTTGAATTGAGTGCACTCTCTGTCCATCTACAGTGTGGAAAAGATCCCAATTTCCAAGCAAATGGAATAAACTTTATTGAAGAGAGCCTGTCGTGATAGAATGCTAGTAAGACAGCTGCAGGCCCATAGTTATAAGACGCAACTGTAAAAGAGGTACCTAGTGCTATGAAAAGAAAAAAATCTCACTGTACCTAAGTCCTCCTTGCTGCTACCCAGAGTGCATAACAGTAGTGATAAAGATCATCCCCTCCAACCATGTATTTTCCTGGTACTGTGTGAAACCGATGGCCCATCTAGTCTCGCAGAACCATCCTCAGGGTATCACTTGGTTCAGCGTTGATGGGGTGAAACTAGAGCCTGAAGGGGGCAGCGGCTGTGGACTCCAGCCCCAGATCAGGGACTCCCAGAGAGGGCAGGACAGCCCCATGGGAGACTCACCGCGCATCCAGAAATCGGGAACGCAGGATCATCACCGCCTCGCACGTGCTCTGCTTGAGCTGCATCTGGATGGAGCTGAACTTGCGGTGGATGATGCTGACCATCCGCTCAATCTCCTTTGGGGAGATGGGCCTGGTCCGGCTTTGCTCTCGCAGGAGATTCATCACGTGGGTGGTGAACTCGTTGCAGGCCTGGAATGGCAGGACAATCAACACCGTCATTGAGGGTCCAAGCCTCAACACGCATCAAGTCTATGACATTAGGCCACGTGGGCTTTTCTAGAGACTTGTGCAAATAAAGAAAACTAGGATAGTTTGTGGTAGACGTCCCTTTCAGCCCCTGTGGCTCAAAGTTTTGGCGATAATGTTGAATTTTTATTTTTATTTATTTATTTTTTTTGAGACGGAGTCTCGCTCGGTCGCCCAGGCTGGAGTGCAGTGGCACGATATCGGCTCACTGCAAGCCCCGCCTCCCGGGTTCACGCCATTCTCCTGCCTCAGCCTCCGGAGTAGCTGGGACTACAGGCGCCCGCCACCACGCCCAGCTAATTTTTTTGTAATTTTAGTAGAGACGGGGTTTCACTGTGTTAGCCAGGATGGTCTCGATCTCCTGACCTCGTGATCCCCCCGCCTCGGCCTCCCAAAGTGCTGGGATTACAGGCGTGAGCCACTGCGCCTGGCTGATAATGCTGGATTTTTTTAAGAGAAAAAAAAGTTTCTTAATCATTTTATCTTAATCTTTTTTTTCCCATGATTTTACCACAGTAAAATGTAAGAATATGACTTCTAGTATAAAACACACTACACCACCCTTTTTCCCAAAGTTAACAGCCAAAGAGAGTTTGGGGTCAAATGTATCATGTGCTTTCTGCCTTGCTCATTATTTCTGATATAGGAGTACTTCCAAATACTCAATTTTAGAATGCATAAATAGCCAAAAGAGTTTAAATGGAATTATGGAATTAAAAGCTTTGATAACTCTTCTGGGAGATTTCTCATCCACCTATTTCTGTTTCAAGTTTTATTATAAGAACTTCCTCTCCTGTTCTGGCCTTCTGAAGATCCACTATGTCTATAACACAAAGGGAATCTGTCCCCAGGGGTCTTACAGAAACAGCATCAAAACATGATTGAGAGGATTCAGGAACTATCCCTGCAGAAATAAAAATTCTCAGGTTATAAACTAGCATATCATCAGCTCTGGAGGTGGAGTTGAAAATCATATTTCCCCACCTCCTTATTTAACAGGAAGAAGTGGCCCAGAGAGCTGAAGGGACATTTCCACAGGCACACAGCAAACATGAAGAGGCAGAGGTAGGGCCTGAGCCCTTCCTATTTTAGGCCAGGGCCTCTGTCCTTTCCTAGAGTCTGAACTTACTCCTCTGAAAACTCCTGCCCTCTCTTTTAGTTACTATGACTTAGCATCCATAATCTGGTTTCCTTAGCTGAGCATTCAACAAAACATCTATTCACAGATTCACTCAAAGCAATACTGTAAAACTATATTAGATTCACAACAAAAAAGGCAAGATGATGCTTTGAGAGTTAAAGAACTAAAGACTCAATTCCTCCAACTTATTAACAGCAGAAACACGCTCGTTATTGATAACATTGCATTGCCGTTGTCATATGTGTCGACAACGCAATAACAATAACAATAGTAGACATTTACTGATTATTTATCTAAGAAATCCTTTGAGGTTGGTTGGCCAAAGGTACATAGGCAGGTGCATCCACTGGGCTGTGTCTACACTGGTGAATGGGAGGCCTGGGTTTTTGACCCTGCCTCCATGAATATTTGGGCACATCCTTTCACTACTCAGTGCTTCATTTAACTCACCCAAAAGTGGCTTTAATCATTCCTGACCCTTCAGCAAGGCTAATGGCACCCATGCTCTTGTGCCATGACCTGCAGACTGAGCAAATCCCTCACATGAACACAGCAGAGAGGCTGAGTGAGAGCACAGTCTGGGTTCAGCTCCTGCCTCTGGAACTCACTTGGCTGTGGGATCTTCAAAGTTACTTAACGTATCTGTGCCTCGTTTTTCTAATTTGTGAAACCGAGATGGCAATACCCTACCTGATAAGGTGTAGTAAGGATTAAATGAGTTACTATATGTGTGCCTGGCCCTACAAGTACATGTCACAATTATCTCTTCAAAATATAGATAACTTAGAAATCCCAGCATATTTGGATATATCGATAACTGGGTAAACTTCTCCAGAGTTCAATTTCCCTCTTGGTAAAAGTAAAGGTGGTAATAAATACCTCCTTTTTACTCTGTGGGCCTATACAGAAGACAAATCCATAGAAGATCGGGTCCTTATAGCATGTTACTCTCCACTCTCCATGGAAAAGTGCTAAATAAACACGAGATCTATATAGTAAGCTCATTCCCTAGCCAACCCCAGCACCTGGAACTGTACAACCAAGAGAAGGAAATAAAACCTGGCAGCAAGTTAGCTGAAATTTGGAGACCACAGGATGGAGAGTGGAGGGCTAGGCACATGGCAAGCATCCTAGCCACCTTTCTAGAGAAACAACCTCCCGCCGGGCTGCAGCCTCCCCACCTCGTCTGGGCTCAAAGAGAGGAGGGGCTGGATGTGAGGGAGTATTGTCAAGTGCACCAGCTCTCAGCTGGGAAGCCACAGTGCTCAGCTAATAATAATGTGCTTCATTATGGTGAATAAAAATATTCACAATATCTGATGTTTATTCAGGGCACTCTATCCCGGGGCCCTTTCTGCTCTTCAATAAACAGACAGTGGGGTCGTTTCACCCACTGCTGAGGTGGAGCAAAGCAGCTGCTAAACAGCTGCTGAGGAACACACAACAGAGAGCAAAGTTCCAAGGGCATTTTAGATGGACAGAGCATAATGATCCAGATTTTTCCAGTACCTGGGAAGGAAGGAGCTACCCATACCTCCTCCTCACTTCCCTCAAGCCTTGTATCTAAAGAAGCTGGGCTACTTCCGATAGGACAGGCACTCACAATGTGACAGTAATGTGAATACTTGGGGTTACAATTGTTAATTAAATAAAACCCTCACATGCTGAATGTTTCTCAACAGAGGAGACTCTACTGTAGGCTGTCATAAAAAACAATAGTTACTTTCTGGGAGCTCAGGCTGCCTCCATAGGGCAGAGGGATTTCTAATAGACCTCCCAGGTTACAGGGCAACGTTGTTTCTGGAAGCAGACACTGAAAGGGAAGCCTTTCAAAAGTCTTGTATAAGGTTTAAGTTTACATCCTGAACTATAAGACCTATCTTCTTCCTTGACTCCTTCAAAAAGATGGATTGGATTGAGATCCAAGGATGAGATTGGATTTGGCTGCCAATCTCATCAACAAAAGTAACTGGGATCTTAGGGCTCTCTTAGCTATGAACTGAATTAACCCAGTCCAGTTCAACATTAGAGATTTAGTCCTGTTGATTCCCCAACAGCATTATTTACAAAAGCTAAAAAATCCTACAAAGCCACAAGATAATTTTTTTTTAAAGTAGAGCTTGGAATAAAATTCAGGTTTCTGACATCATGGTTTTATCTATTATAATATGACAGCTCTTAAATACCTTATAGCGCCAGGCACGGTGGCTCACGCCTGTAATCCTAGCACTTTGGGAGTCTGAGGCGGGTGAACACGATGTCAGGAGCTCGAGAGCATCCTGGCTAACACGGTGAAACCTCATCTCTACTAAAAATACAAAAAATTAGCCGGGCGTGGTGGCACGTGCCTGTATTCCCAGCTGCTTGGGTGGTTGAGGCAGGAGAATCACCAGAGGCAGAGGTTGCAGTGAGCCGAGATCGTGCCACTGCACTCCAGCCTGGGCAACAGAGCAAGACTCCATCTCAAAAAAAAAAAAAAAATGTCTTCAAAAGACTTCTTTCTTTAATAACCTCAGGGTGAAACAATGGCTGATTCAGGTAGTTTTTTGTTTTGTTTTTGGAGGGATAAGGGTGAGGGTGAGCTACAATAGCTAATTATTGTATAGTTATCTGCCATCACCATGCCAAAAATAAAACAACAAAATTAATTATTAAGTAACCAATTTGGTAATTCCAGGTAGGTACTACTAAAATACTGACATTTTCACTTGACCAAGGTTTTCTATTTTTAAAAAATCCCCATAAGGAACTGTTACAGGAAAAATGAAGAAGATATCTCTCAGACACACTAGCTAGAAGGTTAATAGCATAATTTCCCTACAATCTGCTATTTACTATAATTAACACAACTAATATTAATAAATTATTAAGCATCCAAAATGTATTAAGCAGTATTCACTTCTTAACTAGAAAATGCCCATATAAACAAATAGATGATATTTTAGTACTTTTAAAAATAATAAATACAGATGAGTAGTACAACTTCTACACTGAACATAATTTGCTTCTGTACTGATGGAGCTTTTTAGTTCTCAATTTCCAATATCTTTATTATTTAGAATAGGTAGGTAGCCACAAGAAGTTTCTGAAGAGAATATTTTTATCACAACCCTCTCTTAGGTGCCAGTAATCTAGCCCAAGGAAGTAACAGAGAGGACAACCTGCTTACCCCATTGTCGAAAGACATCCACATTCTCTTCTTACAAAGTGGAGTCAGGTATTATTCTAATAAGAGCCCTTGGGGTAAGGGTAAAATCCTGGATTCTAGGGCAAATTCTCTCCCTCATTAAATGTGTGACCTCCACCACATCTTAACCTCTTTCATCTCCATTTCCTCACCTGCATCAAAATGGAGAGGATGACAATACCTGTCCTGGGTACCCAATCTCAAAATTGCCTTGAGGAGCAAGTGCCGTTATGTCAGCCGCAGTGTTTTGTAATTGGTGACATGCTATTAAAATGTACTATGGCTGTCATAATTTTTACTCATTTTGGATGAGGATGGAAGAGTGATAAGAAGGTTTAAATCAAGGAAGCAGTTCCATATTACTGGCAACCTGAGCTCAGATTAAAGACAGTTTCCAACACCTCCCAACCTAACATCCATTGCAATTATGGTTTAGTGAAGGAAGTCGCACTCTGGGCTTGTCTTGTGTCCTGTTCTTTGGCACGAGTTAACCTGGAGGACAAATCTGGAGGACAGCTTGCTATGCCAGAGGACAGGGTTATTGGTGAAGGTGAATTAGGAAGAACATTGGGTAATAAGAATCCAAGAGGTCAGCGAGAGGTCTGTCCCCATTTGCCTTCCATAATTACCCTTTTAGGTTAGAGCAGACTGCAAATTCTAAATGATGGTCATGGTTGGGGAAACTGTCACAGTTCAGCCAGCTCTCTGAGCTCAGCATTGCCTGGGATCTGGGGAAATGTCTATATGAGCCAACACTGTGGCGAGAACATTTGTTCTTTCCCAAGAAGGCAAAGGAGGATGACTCACAGCTTCTTACCACAGCTTGCTTTTATTTTCCTCCCCTTCACCCTCCCTACACCTTGTCTGATGGTCAAATTTCACTATTCTTGGCTTCACAGCAATTTTTCTGCCCTCATAAAAGAGAGGATTTTGTAGAAATCCATTCCAAAGGTAGATAGGAGTGCAGTAATGAAAATTTATTCACTTTAAATTTTTAAAATGCCTATTTCTATTTTAAAATTTAAATTTTCTATTAAGTTTGCATTTGCCTTCTACCTAGATAGTTACAAGTGGACTGCACAAGGTCTTCTACCTTCCACTTTTTCTCTGTCTTCTTTTTTGGCTTTTAAAAAGAAAGGGGCCAGGTGTGGTGGCTCACGCCTATAATCCCAGCACTTTAGAAGGCCGAAGCAGGTGGATCACCTGAGGTCAGGAGTTCAAGACCAGCCTGGCCAACATAGTGAAACCCTGTCTCTACTAAAACTACAAAGATTAGCTGGGTATGCTGGCACCTGCCTGTAATCCCAGCTACTCAGGAGGCTGAGGCAGGAGAATTGCTTGAACCTGGGACACAGAGGTTGCAGTGAACAGAGATCGTGCCGGTGCACTCTAGCCTGGGTGACAGAGTGAGACCCCATCTCAAAAAAAAAAAAAAAAAAAAGAAAGGAAAAAAAAAAGAAAAGAAAGGTAAGGAAAGCAAAGGAAAGAAAAGAAGAAACGAAAAAAAAGAAAAGAAAAGAAAAGCTAATGATTCAATGAGAGTAGGGTAATGGAGAACTTCAATATAATGTTGCATCCCAAGAGATAACAACAAACTTATCTGCTATCTAAATGAAAGGCTGCTGTTAAAGGACTCCTGATAAAGTAGCATGCTTACACTAACCAGAGGAACTAGCATTGCTATATGATGTGTGTATGTGTTGTGGGGAGGATGGGATGGGGGTTCTCTATTAGAGAGGGGCTCTGTTATAATCGGGAGACCCTACATGTACTGCTTTGTAGTTAACAGCCTTTCTTGCCCTTTCCTTTATATAAGTTTTATGGTCCTTCACATCCGTGACTCCAAATCCACAGATCTGTGCCATACATCAGCTTTCAGAATTGAGTATGCAGAACACTGAGTCCCACAAACCATCTGTGGAGTGCCCGGATTAGAATCCCAGTTTGTCTGGCTCCAGGGGTCTCCTGAACCTCCTACCCTTTTTACAGAGGATGATTTGTGTCATATTCCATACCATATATTATGTAAAAGAGGGAATACGTTTGACTCTCAATTGAACTGAGTCTGGGTAAAGTGAGGGACTCTAGGGCCAAGTTTTAAGTCCTTTCCCATAGGATACTATGAGCACCCAGAAAAAGTATAGGCCTCCTGATAAATAAGGAAAAACAAGGGCCAGAGAAAACCTCCCACCTTCTTGCAGGTTAGCTGGTGACTCTGCTGATCACCTATAGCGCCCGGATGAGAGCCAGGCCTGCACATCACAGACACACGTTCTGGAGTCCAGGTATGGAGTGTTCCTTCTATGCACGATTTATGTTTCCTTGAAATCATTTACAGCGTCACACATTTTTTAATGCCTTTACCTCCATTGAATGCCTAGGTTTTTAACAGTTGAGACCAGGACTTGGCAGACTCAAGTTTGGCCAGGGCTCTGTGGCTGGGCAGGGGATGCCGGGCACAGGGATGCCAGCACCTGGGAAAGGTGAGCCGCTCCTCTCTGCAAGCCCCGGGGTTGTGCTTCCTCCACCCTTTCCTAAAGGGCCTGGGTGCCGAGCCCCAGGTGGTTCTGGTTACCTGCTCGTATTTCTCCAGCTCCGTATGGTAGATTTGTCTGATCTGTGAGAGTTTGGCTCTGTAATCTGAATGCTCCACTGAGTTGTCTGAACCTGCCCCTCCAGAAGCCGCCGCCGCTGCCGCCGCTGCCGCCGACCCTCCGCCCTTCTCAGGCCCCGCCACGCCTTCCGCTAACAGCATGTTGTCCAGCCGCATCAGCTGGGGGTCTGTGGGTTCCTCCTCCTGGGCTCCTCGGATACTCAAAACTACAGAAAAAGACAGGGAAGGGAGCGTTAATAGTAACCCAAGAAAGAAAATAAAAAACACAACACATTTGTGTTCTTTGGCTACATAAGCTGCCAAGTTACTTGCAAGATGCCATTTGAGGAATAGAAGAAAGGCTGGAAAAAGAGAGAAACTGAGAGGGTGAGAAAATGAAGGAGGGACTTGCTTTGTTCCAAAATTACACTCCACTTGTATGTGGAATCTCGAATAATCAAATTTATAAGAGGCAGAAAGTAGAATAATGGGTACCATGAGTTGTGGGGAGGAGTGGGGAGCTATTGTTTAATGAGCGCAGAATTTCACTTTGGGAAGCTGAGTTTTTGAGATG
This sequence comes from Homo sapiens, assembly GCF_000001405.40. Lineage (NCBI taxonomy): Eukaryota > Metazoa > Chordata > Mammalia > Primates > Hominidae > Homo > Homo sapiens. The sequence continues at coordinate 164,792,146 of NC_000001.11, read as the reverse complement.
GCTGCAAAATAATACTCAACTGTACACTTAAAAATAGTTTAAAATGGTAAATTCGGCACTTTGGGAGGCTGAGTGGGGGGTTGATCACGAGGTCAGGAGATCGAGACCATCCTGGCAAACATGGTGAAACCCCGTCTCTACTAAAATACAAAAAATTAGCCAGGCGTGGTGGTGCGTGCCTGTAGTCCCAGCTACTCGGGAGGCTGAGGCAGGGGAATCCCTTGAACCCAGGAGGCGGAGGCTGCAGTGAGCTGAGATCACGCCACTCATTGCACTCCAGCCTGGGCAACAGAGCAAGACTCCACACCCCCACCCCCCAAAAAGGTAAATTCTATCTTATATATATTTTACCACAATAAAAAATTTCAACTAGAAAAATGTAATCATAACAAAATATATTTTTTACTTTCATCCCCATACTACCTAATTTCAATTTAAGGAAAAGCATTTCCCTCTTTATTTCTCCTTTTAAATTTCCATAAGTCTGTGGTTGTGCACTCATTGCCTTTCTTTGCAATGCTTGATCAGTCTAAATTTTTCATTTCCAAAATCACCTGAAGTACACAAATCCAGTACATGTGGAACGAAATCTTCAGACCTTTCCTGTGGACTAGCAGAGAGTGAGGTCTAACATAGCAAGAAGACAAATTGGCCCTTGAGCAGGGTCGTTTAGCTCCAAACATTGAGATCTATGTGTTCCGAGTGATAAGGACTCTGTCCTGTTGGAAACAAGGGTGAGGTCCTTTTAACAAGCTGTCTCCAGGGTTTCAGGGAAGCCAGTGCTCTGGTAGGATGGCGTCTCAGATCAATGAGATGGCTGATCTTTATGAAAACACCAGGACCCTTGGTGGTGATTTGGACTGAAGGAGATCCAGTGATTTAGTAAATCAGCAGAAGAGCGAGACAGTCTTTTTTACTACCCCTTCAGACAACCTCCCATAAAATAAATCACTCATCTAAATCCAGTTCAGTTGTCAGCAGCCAAGTCTTTGTTAAGAGGGAACATAAAAAGTGTTTTCAATTTTTAAGAAATTGAAAAGAATGTGTGGGTAGGGTGGGAAAGAGGGAAGTGATTAAAGGCAGAGGAGAGGGGTCCGGTGTTGGTTGACATTTTGGGGATGGAGGTGGCAGGGTCTAAGTCCCTGGTGGATATCCACACACCAGAGCACAGTCAAGAGCTGTTTTCATGGCAGAGTGCATCTGGTGAGCCCCAGGGGGACAGTGCCAGTTCCAGGTGTCTCCCAGCCCTGGCAAAGCAGGGCTTCGGGTTGTAACAGGGAAGGTGAAGATGAGCTCAATGAGGGTATGTCTAGATGTTTGAGCGTCATCACATATAATACCAGCATAACTGCTGGCTGTGCCCACATGCTCCTGGCTGCCAACAGGCAGCAAAAGAACCAACCCTGAACGTTGTTCAGAAGGAAATCCCAATTCCTAGGCCAAAAGGAAAACTACAGTATGGCTCTCACAAAACACGAGACCATCAAATGGAATGGCGAGCCATGTGGATCAGTGGTGGCCATAAAGAGCAAAGAGGACAAAAGGTGCAGGGCAGAAGCTTGGGCTCCGTGGTGAAGTAAAAAAGGATGAGAGGAAGGAAAGGAGGGAGGGAGGAGGGAGAGCAGGTAGCTGGGAAGGAGAAAAGAAGGAAGCCTGCACCCTAGACGCAAACCACAACACTACCACGTCATGATCTTCTCTCTTCAAACCTGAATATGTAATATTCTGCTACACAAAAACAAAATTGCCATAGTGGTGACGGCAAAAGGTTAGGAGGTCATTGAGGTTTATTTTGTGGACTTTTTTTTCCAATAAAATCCTTCCTTTGTAGGCTCAGGAGACTGAATGGGAAACTGCTCCTTTGGCTGATCTTTGCACAATAAGGATTTAGTCACGTTATTGTTTCTTAAATTTATTTACTTAAATCTCCGAAGCACTCTGAAGAACAAATTGCCACTAACAAAGGTTTCCTTAAGAAAGTAGATGGCTGCTGTAACCATGCCCTGAATACCAGGCCCTAAAGGCACCGAAAAGAATCTCGGGGCATCCAAACATCTGGCAGCAGCGCCCAGCAGCCTCTCCTTCACCTCTATGTGGTTGTTTCTCTTTATATGATAAATTTTAATAGCCTTATCCACAAAGAAATTTATGGGTCATTTACAAATTAGAAAAAAAAAAGAATCGCCTCTGAGCCATTAATAAATATAGTTGTTTCACTTTAGCTCGATTATTCAAAACATTGTGCTGGGGCAAAATTCTACTCTCTCATTCGCTCACTGAATCTCATGTCCAATATACTTCCTTCAGAAGAGGCCGTAAGCCCCCACGGCTGGCAGGAACATTCCCCACGAAGCTGAGGCTGGTAACCCTTCAGCTGGGTGTTAATGCCTTCAAGTGGGTCCACCTGGCTACTCCACACCCAACTGGTCCTGCATGCGGCCCAACACTGAGAGATTTTAGGACAACCTCTGGTCTCAACAACAACAGCAAAGCAAAAAAGAATGATGTCCTATTAATGGTCAGGACTTGCCTTGCCAGGGCTAGTGTTAAGCACTGCCTACTTGAGCTGACATCAAGTATCCTACCTCCTCCAATCACATGGGTACCCCAAGCGGCCTCATTCATTCCATCAGCTTATTCCTCCAGCCAAACTCAGTGAGGTATGAAAGAAGGGAGAGGCAAGGCAGAGAGACAGTTCTGATCCTCGCTCCTCCAGGAGCTACACAGGTGATCACGCACACATCACTATGAATATTTCCCATATACCTAATATTAACCTCTGAGAATATTTCCTCTTTCCAACCCCTCTCAGTTTCATGCCTCTGCTCCATCTTTTTAAAACACCATCTTTTTAAAATAGTCAATGGGAAGCACAAACAATTTCACACAAACTCTACACACCTCCTAATTAATACATTTCTTGGCCTTCAAATCTAACTGGTTTTAAATAAAATAAGAAAGGAAATTGTCAAGGCTGGCAAAGAACACTGAAAGGATAAACTGCAAGCCCCTACCCGCCATGGAAGTTTCAGGAGGGTTGCAAAGCTTAAAGCATAAAGCATACTGCCTCTTTTCTTTCAGGTATGAAGGATACATTTAATTGGGCGCAGTGGTGGTGGGTTGGCTGGGGCAAGAAAGTGTTAGTATTTCGCTTAGCTTTCACATCATTTTGTGAATCCTGCAAATAAATACTCCCTAAAAAGAAATTTGAATTCACTATGAGTTAATAGACTTAGTTTCTAAATGTGGCCAATTAGAAATTGATAAGATAGATACAATGCACCACGGCATAAATATTGCTTGCATTTACACTTAGAGTTCAAGACACATAAATAGGTCCCCAATCAGAGTTCTGAAGAAAACAAAAGAATGAAAAGAAAAGGGCGGGGGGGGGAGGGCGGCGGGTAGAAAAACCAACAACAGTCATTTCCAAATTACACCCTTTAAATTATACTCAAATTATGAAAATAGAAAATGATTGTGCAAAAACCCAAAAAAAATTTTTTTAAGGAACAATATGAACAAGGGAAAACCTTAAAAGAAAACCATCTTGCACTATTTTGCATAGAAAATTCAGTTCTGGTGGATTTGGGCTGTGTCTGTAATGCTTGGAGGGGACAGGGATGGACCAATAAACAACCTTGCATGCTCATATTTGTAGCCAGCGCAAGGAGAATCCAAATATACCACTATTAAGAATGGGTGTTGGGATTCACTGATACACAAACTGTTCAGCTCGGCGGTTAAAAAAAAAAAAAAACACCAACATTAAATAAATAAATGAAAAGGGTGATATGTCTAAGCAGAACTGATGCTACCTATTTATTGCTGGAAGCCAGTACTCTGGTGAGTAGGAGACAAAATGATTATTTAAAAGCTCCTTTTTATCTCTGCAGCACCATGCAAGACTCAAATGAACCTTTCGCCAGGACACCAGAGATGTTAACACTCATCCTCCAAGATCCAATTTCAACCAGCGGAGCTGTTACCTAATCCAGCAACCATCACATATGATCAGGTTCCTGCTTCCCTGATGGGTGCCCTGCGCTCTCTCCCTCCCCCTCATCTCTTCCCTCCCCACCCCAGCAGCTTTTTTCTGAAATAGGTTTTAAAGGGCCAAATCCCTTGTTTGTCCTCATGCATATAGGGTTTTAATGGCCAGGCAGGCCCGGACGCGTCCACTACCCGAAAAATGTCATTGATTGCAGTGGATATGCAATCTGCAGAGGGGTTGCGCCCATGAAGATATTTAACCCATTTGGTAATCATTCTTACAGAAAGAGTTTCCTTCCCACAAATCCACCCAATTATGGAAGAGACCAGTTGAGACAGGTAGGTGATTTATACAGGAATTGTCACAAGTCCTTTAAAAAGCTTCTGATGTCACATGTACCTTGCTGCCATCGCTTGCCCTGGGGTTAATTCTTTGGTAAAAGTCCTAAGATAAAGGGACTGTCACAGCATTGTGGGAGCTGCTCTCACCACTTGTCTCCTGCTGTTCTTTCTTTCTTTTTCTTCACACAAGGAGAAAAACAAACCAAACCCAAAGGCATAGTCAAGATCATCCTTGGCGGGAGGGCCGTGTGGCGGGTTGTTTTGTCCTTGGCTGAGTGACGTGGGTCCGGAGCAGCTCCAGCCAATGCCCACTAGAGGGCACTCTTTCTTCACCAAGGACTGGTTCTCCAGGCGGGCGGACAGTCAAGTGTCCAGGTTCATGCTGGGGGAATGCCTCTGCTCAGATTCAAACTTCCACAGGTGGGGGCAGGTTGGGAGGGGAGGAGGGCAGATCTACAGGGAGGGTGGTCTTCAGATTTGGACAACAGTCCAGGGGCCCAAAGCTGAGCTGAGAGAGAGAAACAGATAAAGAACAAGACAGAAAGCAGAGGCAGGTGGTCTGGGGAAAGGCACAAGGTAGCCTCCCAACGGTGTGTGCAAAAAGGCAGGCTCTCTCTGGCTGATCTCTTTGTTTGATTTGTAGGCACAAACCTCCATGCAGAGTGTTCTATTGCCCAGGAGCTCAGTCTTTACCACATCCTACCAGAAGAGTTAGAAAAGAGAGACCAGCTCTCCCCGCCTCATTCCCAAGTCAGCTATGCAGTTTTAGGAAAAGAGCAAAATGCTTGCTTCCTGAGAGCATCAGAGTTATACCTTTTATTTGTTCATAAAGTACTTGCACGCACTGAATTACATCACCTTACAAAACATGAAGTAATGTTCCAAACTTACATAGCAGATAACCGAAGATTATAAAGGCAAAGCACATTTCCCCAAAATCAAAGCAAATGAGACACAGCCGACACTGAACTCTAGATCTTTAACTCTCAGACACTTCAGTCCTCTACAATATTGGAGTTCTGAATCCTTTTCACAACAGGCAGCTACATGGATGTGATATCTATTCTGTGCGTGTGTGTGTGTGCGCGCGCACACACACACACACACACACACACACACACACACACACAGTCTCTTCTGATGCCCAAGGCACACCGATACTCTGGCCAAGAAGAAAACAATCAGATAGTAATGGAAAGAAGGAAGTTTTTTCTATTGATTTCCTAATTTCTTTTAATTTCTCTAAATCTGGTCCTTTCCCATTACCTCTTTCCACCATCATGGTTAGAGCCACTGTATTGGGTGATAGAATGCCCTCTTCTTTCTCAGCCACAGAAATCCACTTACTACAGTCCTATTTCATTTTAAATCTCAGCTCAAAATCCTTCATGAAATCTGCCCTGACGAGAAGAGCCGAAAATGATCTCTAAGCCTCTGAGGCACCAGGGCACGTACTGCCTAGACCACAGCCATGGGGCATCTCAGGACATGCCAGGGCACACCTACCATCTTGCCAGCAAGACTGTGAACTCCTGAAAGGCGGTTCCCCACACAACCTCACAGGGCCCCTGACACTAAATGTCTGTTCCAATATTTCTTAAGAGCAATATAATAAAGAATCAAGGAGGGAAGATACGGGCTGGTGAGATCCAAGGATCTGTGCCTCAGCTTCCTGTTCTCAGCCAGGCAGCCAATTCCCTGTATGTGCTCTCTTTCCCCCTGCATTCCAGTTACAAGTTGTACCAGAGCCAGCATGCTGTTGGGTAGAAGGCTGTTCTCTCTGCCACCTCTTCCATATCCACTTCAAAAAACTGTCAAATCTGCCTTATCAAATCTGACAATTCTAAACAAGCAAAACTACACTGGCATTAAGCCAGAGCTTCCTGGACCCAGCCTGGTATGACCCCAGGAAGCCAACATTACCGGTGACAAAGGCTCTGGGTGCTGGGAAAGGCCTGGTTCCTGACTGGTACCTGGGGAAGAAGCACTCTGTGAGGGCTGACAGGGCCTGGCAGCCAAGGGGCCACATAGAGGTTGTCTCCACAAACAGGCCCTCTGAGGAACGCTCAGTGCAATCAAACAAATTACTGCTCAAGTACCTCCAAGGTGACAGGAATGAGCTGGATCCTGGGACCTTGGATGACCCAGATATGGGCTCCGACTTCAAGAAGCCCATGGTTTACGCTCCTCCAGTCCCTCGGACACAGGACACCAACTGCTTTGAGGCTTGTGGGTACATGAGATTGCCAGGGTGGGTGGATAACAACTGAAAATCTGAAGATTTGTGTGCATCCAACTGATGCACATACACTTCTTCCTCTGATTTTGTTTACTTCCTATAAGCACAATATATCCACAGCCCGGAACCTCCTCAAGTTGAAAAATAACTATGCTCTAATTTGATTCTTCTCAACCAAAGGTGGGACCCAAATCTTCTGTTAGTGTCTTGAAACTCAGGGCAGCAGGTCCTCGTGTTCTTCACTCCTTATTCTCAATCTCTCTGTTTGATGTGAAATGCCTTTTTTAATGGTGATTTTTAAAGAGTTATTCATCAAACAAATAGAAATGACTGATGATTCTGTTTTCTAAATTTTACAAGTCAGCATTACTGATAGGTGTCAGTCAGCGCTTCTGATTATACAGGGAAAGCAGTTACCACCCGAGTTGACACCTTCCAGCCCCAAGTGGAGACCCTGGATGCTGCAGTAGGCCTGGAGCGGCCTCTTCAGATGAGAAGCTGTAGTTTAAGAAATCTCCAAATGTTGAAAGCCACCCTTGTTCCCCCGGGTTGTCTCTCAGCCCTCTAGAATCTCAGAGACACCGAGGTGGGACTTAATCTAGGTCCAGGGTTTCTTAAAGTGGGGGATTTGTATTGAAGGTAAGATATTATTGTTTTTAAGCCATTCCAACTGTTTTTCTTGGTTTGCCAAGCAGGTAGGCCAAGTTCAGGGATTTGAAGGATTTAGTAAATGAACCAAGTTCAGGGATTTGAAGGATTTAGTCAAACAAAGGCAAGAATTTGCGGCCCTCAAATGTTTCAGCCCAGGAATATTTATTGAGCATTTACTATGGTGCCAGGCACCGTGCTGACTTTCCAAATAAACGTGGTCCTGCGAGGAGCTCTTAGATTCACTCGTTTTTCACATTTAGCCAACAGCCACAATGTGTAAAACTTTGTGTGAGGTTTTAGGGCAAGAGATGAAAACAAAATTATATGACACTCTTGAGACAGTTTTAGGTTTTTGTTTGTTTGTTTATGTTTTGTGGTTGTCTTTAGAGAAACACACCAAGTTTTTCTTGTCATCTTTTTCCCTGGGTTAGGTTTTGGCGGTTCTGGTCACGTGCATTTTCTACTTCTCAGGGGATGCATGGGCATGGATCCCATTCACACGTTCCCCACTTGGCACGCTGCGCCTCCCTGGGCCAGCTGGCAGGGAGAAAGCTAATGTGCTGGGCGATAGGCCCCTGCCTTTCTGGATGGGTGCCGGCTGCCTGGGCGAGGGGCTTTGGTCCTTAATAGCTCAAGTCTGGACTGCTGCTCGGGAAACCCCTTTGCCTAAACAGGAGCTACAGAAGTTGGTAGGAGGGCATGACTTACACAAGCTTTGGCCTTAGACTGACATACCCAGAGGTATGAGGAAAGGGGGAAAGCCATCGGAAAGACAGAAGGCCAGGACCAGGACCAGGGCCAGGGAAGGGTGTGTGAGACCTGGATTGCCTGTGGTAACCCATGATACAAGGAACAGTTTCCTTCTTAGTTACACATAAAAAGCATGAAAAATGTGGAGCCATTGGTCGGCAACTTGCTGTGCATTCCGTGGAGATGAAAGCTTCTCTCTACAATGGTATTTCCTAAAGGAAGCAACCATAGAGAAAACAGAAGTTTCTCAATACTCTTTAGCCTTGAGGTAAAAATGTTCTGCAGTTCCGAGTCTCAGTGAGGCACCTAGCACATTGCCTGCTTTCTGGCAAGAGCTAATACATGATAGATTTCCTTGTCCTACCACATTTTAATACCTAGAAAAGTATAAGTATGGGCACGAGCTTTCTTCTGTTAGTGCCACAGCATGGCACAAAAAAAAACGTACACTAAAACAGGCCTTGGGTGTCTAGGTTCAAAGCCAGGCCCAAGACTCCTACTACACGACTTCACCTATGCCTTAATTCTTACTAAGGATTAAATAAGGTTATTTTTACAAAAGCACACAGTAGTGCTTGGTGACTGATAGATTTTAGATTTTTGGTTAAATCTGAATCAATCTCACTGATAAAGATCCCTTTGGGAAGAATAAAAAAGCAGGATAGATTTAGAGTTAAGAGTTTGGTTTTTCTGCGCGTTAGGAATCAACAACACAGAAGAAACCAGGATAAGCCAAGAATATACATACACACATACACGCACGCACACAAATGCACACAGACACCCCCCACCCCCACCTTACTGACCTATGCTTCCAGGCAAGCTCACACTGATACCGTCAAAGGCTAAGGAATCCATAGATCCTCAGCCAATAGAATACATTTCAAAAGGTCTTCTTTCTCTCATCTTTTCTCCTCTTTATAGTCCTTTCTTGCTATTTGCCCAAGTACATTAAGGATCCTGCAGCTTCTTAAGTCTTCACTCAGAGGAGATGCCACAGTCTTCAACCCTAGTCTCCCCTGAGCCAGAGGCGACACCATCCTCCTGGCCTGGCAGAGCTCACACTGGAAGCCTCGGTCTTTCTGAGGCTGGAAGACCCTTCTGGGAACCACTTAGTTCTGAAGTAATCTCACCTTGTGTCAGACGAGCTGGCCTGGAAGTCATCTTTAATGGCTGCTTTCAAATTTCCATTAAAAAATAAATAAATTATAACCAGAAGAGGGTAAAGACACTATTTGTACTCAAAGGTTTGAGGAAGCATGTTTAAGTTTTGATTCTGGGTGGGATCTGTGATTCACAATCACCCTTCTCCGCCAGGATGTAGAGAAACCCCATGGGTGAAATATTACAACGACTTGCCTGGGCTGTGCACACCTCCATGTTGTCTTACCCCGCTGCCGTTGTCACTACTGTCTTGAGGCTACAAATTAGCTTCCAGCTCCTAGTGGCAAATGGCATTTTCCGGCCCATATCTACAAACTGAATAGGAACAGAACTAGTTTTTCTCTAACTTTCCAAACAATTTCATCAGAACTAAGTTTGAAATAAAGAACATTTTGCTCCCACAGGAATATTTCCCAGTTTTTGAAAATTGCTGAATAATTCAAAGGCAGGGTTCCTAATACAATGAGCTATTGACCTTGAGCAGTCCTTACAGAATTCGTCGATCATTTAGTCTTAACGCGATCCATGATTACTTCCAGTTCTACAGATCACAGGAGACGAGACCTACCACTGATAATATGATACACCTTCTCCCTGCTAGACCAGGATTCCTTCCCAATAAGATTGAAATGCAAACCTCTGCCAGGTGACAGCCATAGACAGAGGTGTGCAGACCAAGGACAGACAGAGGAAATGATGTCACTGATGCCAAACAGCAAATTCCAGCCAGGGTTACCAGTAGCCTAGAGTAGGGCAACAAGGTGCAGTACTCTAAATCACTCCATCCCTTCTGCAGCTCCCCCATCCCCCGGCCCATGAGCTGGGCTGGGCACTGGAAGCCACTCTAGGGAAAGAAGCCAGATGGGAGTTCTCACACCCTGGAGACCAGCCCACCAGTCATCTTTGGGCTATAAGAAAGAAGGGAAAAAATAAACTTGTATTTTGTTTAAGCCATGTTATTTTGGGGTTTTTCAGAGGGTTTTGTTTTGTTTGCTTTAGACAGCTTAACCAATCTAAGCTAATACAAATTATTTCTAAAAATAAGATAAAAATCTAGAAGGCAGAGTGTTTTCATGTAGAGTATTGCACAGTGATCTCATGTAGAGTATTACAGAGAAAATTAGAAAAAGGCAGATTTAATAACCAGAGGCAAGTCACAGAAAAACCTGAGTAGTCACTGTGGGGAACTCCTGGCAAAAAGAGGAGGTTTTAGAACAGATCAAAGAGACCTTGGTCATTAGAGGGGCCTCTCTTGGGTACTACCACGGCTATCAGCAGAGGCAAAAGAAGGCCCAGGAAGTCCGGGATGAGGGAACAGGGAAAGACATCACCTAGTGAGGGTATCGGGTGCCCTTGAGGAGTTTAGACTGAGAATACAGTGGTAGGTGGTGAGGAGTGGCTGTATATGGAAACCAGCCAAGAGCCTCTGTGATGAGGGAGTAGAAGAGAAGACTCTATCTTGACCAAGGGAATTCTAAGGTGGACTAAACTGTAAACCTGTGAGACCAAGTTCTAACAAATTACTTTAGGCTGAGTACCTGTAATTTGCCTTTCTGCATATATTGATCTATATCTTGTAGTGGGATGTTTCCTTACACTATACTAATAAAATCAGGTTTTTACTCTAACCAGCCTGCTCAATTTGTCAGGTACAGAGGATTGGAAGAGAGATCCCAATGCACCCTACTTAGAGGAGAAATCACCTCTGTTCACTTTAGTGGAAGCAGAATTCTCCAGCTGAAGGACACTGGGTCTATTTATGGGTGCCCCAGGTCCATTTCAAAACACACGCCAATTAGCTTTTCTTTTTCCATGACCACAAACAACACCTGTGACCCCAGACAGTCATCTCACAAATGCATACAAGGTCAGTCAGGGTCCTTCAGGGAGAGTATGTGGATGATCCATCACCACTCATTACAAAAACCACCCCAAGCACATGCCGTGCTGCTAATGAGTCACTCGTGCTGTCCTTAGACACAAGGAGCCACGGAACACACAGGCAAACAGGCTGCATGAAAAGCAGGAGGCATTTGCTGCTTCTCAGAACTTTCCAAGTAGCCCCTGAACGCACTAAGCCTTTAACTGACAGGGAAGAGCGGATGGCAGGACATGATACTAACGGTGATACTAACGGTGTCCTGGACAAGAGGCAGTAAATAAGAAATCCTAGTTGTGACAGTGGAATGGGGTAAGGGCGACTGAGATTATGAGCTCCAGATTGCAAATTATGCCTTTAATCTTCACTAGACCAGTCTCTGGATAAAAGAGATAACATCTCATGGGGACCAAGAAAGCTACTGACTTAATGTCTTCGGGGATGTGTGACATTTCTGCTTTGGGGACGATTCCATGGAGCCATCATTTCCTGTCTCTCATCTCAGCACTGTGCCTTCCCTTGGGGAAATGAGGCCTAAGGAATGGCTCTGTTCTCCCAGACGTCTTCCCTGGTGCCTCTTCCTCTCTTCTCAACAGAGTCTAAGGGGCTGAAATTTACAATTCATCAACACCTGGAGGTCAAATGGGTTTAACTTTTCTTGAACTTGAGTGCGAGCATTCAAATTCCATCCTGAACAAGGCTTCTCGACTGCCGATTCAAGTTTCCAGGGGGACATTTTAAAGGAGAAGTAGATTTCAAGTAAATGATTGCAACTTATCGAAAATAATGTGCTACTTAGCATCTGCGGCAAACATCCTGGCAGGCAGCGAGAGGAAGCAGCACTGGAGCAGATGGGAGTGATTAGGCTCTGATTTTCAGACGGGCTTTTTTGTGGTGGTTGTTGCCTCCACTTGCTTTTACATGCTGGTAAAATCGGGAATTTGGGGAGAGCAGGGGGTCTCTGGACCATTCCTTCTTTCTGTGCACTGGAGATGGAGCCCCCCACTAAGAACTCTCACATCGGAGGCGCCCACCCCTGTGGGGAGATACAGTGGTCATCATGAACCATCATCATCAAAAAGCATTTAGCACCACAAGATGCTGGCTAAATGCATCAACGGGTGACAGAGAGATAGATGAGGAGCCGTCTTAATTTTCCTTTAAATATCTGCCTCCCTGAGGCTGGGCCTTATTTACTGTGGTTCTTACTGTATTTCTCTGAAGAGGTGTCTGGCTTTCCTGCTCACTGTGTAAAGCAACATCTCTCCAACCCATGTGATATCTGCTCTGGAAGTTCCCCTGTTTCACTGGCCAGACATTAGCATGGCCCTTCGTAGGCACCTTGTTGATGGCACTTCATTGAACCCCACTCTGGTTGTATGGGACAGCCCCTAGCAAGCCATCCGTATTTCCATGAGGACACTGGGGCCAGCATGCTAAGCACCCTGCAAATCCTTTGCAGAACAGACAGGAGGCTCCAACTCTCCCCACTTCAGCAGAGAACTTTGCAGGGGCTCATGCTTTCTGGGGTAACAGACATATGGTCATCTTAGAAGCCAAATTTGCTTTTCTCTTTCGGTGCTGCCTGCTTTCTAGCAGCACTCTGTTTGACTCTGCCAGACTGGTCATGTCCACTTATGTTCAGTGACAGCCTTACAGCTCAGTTAAAATAAAAATCTCTCAACCCGCACAAAGTGTGACTGGGCTGCACAATTTTGCCAACATTGCTACTCCAACAAGGACCCCAGTTGGTCTCTCGGTCAGTTGTTCATTCAACATAATATACTGAGGATCTACTCTTTGACAGAACCTATATTTCAGCTGGGGAAACTTGACCAGAAATAAGACAAGTGTGCAGAATCATGGGGGAAAGAGCTAATATACAAAGTGAAATTGCTAGAACAGGTATGTGGACAATGTGGTAGAGAAGAACTAAATACGCCATATTTTCTTTCATGGAAATTAAACCTTACAAATCCATTGTCAAAAATTACCTCCTTTGACTTGCAGTGAGCCGAGATAGCGCCACTGCACTCCAGCCTGGGGGACAGAGTGAGACTCCGTCTCAAAAAAAAAAAAAAAAAAATTATCTCCTTTGCTTTTATTCTCACATGAACGTTATGGGGTATTATTAACCCTTTTTTAGTCAGATGAGGAAACTGAGGTACTGGGAGTCAAAGTGGCCCAAGGGCACATACTTAGTTCTGCAGTTGACTTCACTCAGGGTGTTCTCCCTACCTCACAGCTGCCTCCAATTGTAGCAAGGTTGATAGCAAGCAAAGGCGGTGCCCTGAAGAAAGAATAGGGTTGAACCCCAAGTAGCAGCTGGCAGAGTTTCACGGGATGAAGGCCAATGTGGACTTTCATGCTGCCTTTTGCAGAATTTCATTTCTGTTTTCCTGAACTAGCCTAAACCAAGAAAAACTACTAACGACACACATGTAGTTTTCTCAGCTTCACACTCTTAACCTGTTCTTCTTTTTTTTTTTTTTGAGAAAGGGTCTCACTCTGTTGTCCAGGCTGGAGTGCAGTGGTGCAATCACAGCTCATTGCAGCCTCGACCTCCCACGTCCAAGCAATCCTCCCACATCAGCCTCCCAAGTAGCTGGGACTACAGGCACACACTACCACGCCCGGCTACTTTTTCTGTAGAGATAGGGCCTCCCTATTTTGCCCAGGCTGGTCTTGACATCCTGAGCTCAAGTGATCCTCCTGTCTTGGCCTCCCAAAGTGTTGGGATTACAGGTGTGAGCCACTGCACCTGGTCTATTATGTCTTAAAGCAAACCAAACAGACATGGTATTTGTTTCTACACCACACCATCAAAAATTACAGTTGTGCAAACACTTTTTTTTAATGCTGAATTTGACTTCACTTTTTGGGACAGGAGATATGGAAGTGAAACAAAAGTTACCCAGTTTTTGATCTGTTTGGTAATGAATAGCACTGAGTTGCTGTTGTAAGACCTTGGTCTTAATGTTCAGCATCACCCAGCAGGAGATATCCTCCAGTTCCAGGCTCTGTTCCCAATTTGCCAACCAGAATTATGGGGCCACCTCCCTACCTTCATATGTAACCAAAATAACAGGTGGGCTCAGAAAAACTGAGAGGAAAGGCATTTTGAAGGTTTCCAATGAAAGAAGCATCTAACACTTGTATCAAGGTTGTCAAAGGTATATATAATGTATACTTCTTTTTCCTGCAAAAAACCAGAAGGTTATGGAGTCATTTCAGCCTAAAGTAAACTAGCTAATTTTAAGATTCTGCAAACCAATGTGAATTATGTTCACATAGTTCTCTTTCCTCTTCTAGAGGGAATCCCAGGGAACTGACGTTGGTATAGACTAAGAGATTTCTGCTTTAGGTAAACATTCAAACAATGCTGCTGATTGCAAAACTGAGGACAGGATGGCAACAACAGGTTGGAGATCAGACAGGTAGTTATCCAGCCTTTAAGTGACAGGGATGTAAATAATTATGAACAGAATAAAAAGCAGAGATTTTCTTAATTCCGCCCTCCTTTGTTTGCTACTACTGTAGTCCTGTGACAGTGGCAGGACCCTAGACTTTTGAAATACCATAGTCAGTGATTACATCCTGTGAGAAAATGCTCAGAGTTTAGCTTTATGGTCAGAGTCTCTGGAATGCAGCCTTGCTGTTCATCTCTCGACCCTTAAAACCTCCTGAGATTTTGTTGTTGTTGTTTGAGGCAGGGTCTCACTCTGTAGCCCAGGGTGGAGTGCAGTGGCCAGATCTTGGCTCACTGCAGCCTCCGCCTCCCGGGTTCAAGCGATTCTCCCACCTCAGCCTCCCAGGTGGCTGTGACTACAGGTGCGTGCCACCATGCCTGGCTAGTTTTTGTATTTTTAGTACAGACGGAGTTTTGCCATATTGGCCAGGCTGGTCTTGAACTCCTGGCCTCAACTGATCCTCCCAAAGTGCTGGGATTACAGGCATGAGCCACCATGCCCAGTCCCTCCTGAGATTATTTCAAAGATGCTAAGGTGAATTTCAAGGTGTGGTTTTCCGAAACTATTATTCTGTTGACGGCCAAGCATTTATTCAGTTCATATGTAGGGAGAAGAAAAAAAGCTTCCATTACTTGTACCTCCATCTTCTGGATGGCAGCCCCCCGCCCCCCCACACCTCCTCTCTCTCTCTCTCTCTCTCTCTCTCTCTCTCTCTCCTCCCACCACACACACACACACACACACACACACACACACACAAATGTAAAACCACAAGATTTACTGCAGAGATTCAATATTAAATTTTAGCCCAGCCATACATACAATGACAAGCCATATGTACAATGACAAGTATACTAAGCTCACAGATTCATTAACCTCTTGAAATTAAAGAAGGGAAAGTTAATCATTGCACAGAAAAGAAATCTTTTATTGCTCAAGTTAGGCTTAAAACTTTGCACTTCTGTGTTTCCTTTTGGATATGTTCTAAGACTAGAAATTAAAGTCACTAGGAAAAGAAATCCCCCTTGGGGCACAATTCATCCATTTGGAGAATATGCTGATCTTTAAGGGACAAGTATTTCCCTAGAAAAGGCAAAGGGAAGAGAACACTTTAGATGAAAAACAAAGAGGACTCAAAAAGGAAAAAGAGGGGTGGGAATGGCAAAAGAAAAGAGGGAGATAACACTCAAGATATTTGTGGATCAAGAGGTATTATGTGGCCCAGATGTCTCAGCAGTGAGGACATAGCACAGCACCCCTTCCTTCTAAATCACATGCCACAGCCGCCCAGTACCCCTTCCAGAGCAGCTTTTCTGTTCTGCCTTTAGCTGGCCATGCCCTTTACACCTAAGGAACACCCATGTTTCTGGGGATGCGGATTCTCTGCTTCCTAGAAAGAAAGGCAAGAAAGGTACCTGGGAAGGAACCCACGTACAATGAGCTATGATAAATACCTAACAATTTATACCGCGCATTCAATCTAGGATAGGCTGCCTCTTCACTGAAATCTATTAATTATTCATACACTAAATCAAAGACCCATTCCTTGATTGGTTACTATGGGCCAGACAGGTAACGGTCACAGAAATGAAAGACAAAGTGCCTGCCCTAAAGGAAATGATAGTGTCATAGAGAAAAGCTGACAAACCGATTATTAGTATACAGAGATGTGGAGGAAGTTTACTCAACAAATGGCCTCAATTGTGATATCATCACAATTAAGCCTTTTGACATTCATCCTTATTTCCTTACTCCAGTGTAGACTGCCACATATTCAAATATACAAACAGACCCCAATGTATGCCCATGCAGCAGGTGACAAGGGCCAGGTGCTTGTGTTTACCTGTACTTGTTTCAGCACTCACCCCATCCTTACACCATTAAACCGAATAGCCATTTGTAGGGCTTAAACACTTAAAAGCCAGTATTAAGCAGAACCTCAGCTCTGCATCTGGGGACAAAATACCCCGCAAAAGGGATGGGAATCCTGAGAGTGCAGCCAGCATAAATCACGCCAACATCACTGGGCAGACGGTTATAACAAAATGCACTTCCTCCTCCATGAAGAGCAAGGGCTTCGTAGACTGCACCCAAGCCACAAGCTCCACACCAGACCAGAGATGGGCTGGTAGGCAGAGGCAAAGGTGGTTTCAAGGCTTCTGTGGCTTTGAAGAAAACATCTTTGAGTGTGAGAAAGCATTCACATGGTCTCTGCGGGCATCCTTTCCCTGTGGTCGGGCACTCTTCAATCTGTGGCTGTTGATTTCACCACACACTCAACTTGTCCCGCCATAGTCCTCCCTAACGTAGCCCTAAAGACAAAAAGACCACTAAGATCGCCTTGCAAACCTAATCAGAATGTGGCAAGTCTGGGGCAGTGATCTTTCACTCTATGATCTTTGACAGTGGGTCCTAGGGGCAAAAGTCTCAGACTCTTAAAATCTTATCTGGCTCCTTCCGTTAACAGAGAAAAGTAAATATTTAGCCACCAGCACAGAGGTTGAGAGAAAAACAGCTGTAATCAACACTCCACTTCTCACCCCTCCCAGATCAGAGGTGAAGCCTGACACCCCTGACCCCTAAGCGAGCTTCCTCGGTGTAGCGAAGCACAGAGCCCAGCCAGCAATAATTCCACATATAAACAACTCTTGCTAGGCATGAAGCACACACCAGACAGTAATCAGCTTATCTAACAGAACAGGCCTCTTTTCCGAACGCAGAGGAGGATTAGCAGGCTTGAATTACAGCCGTGAAGTGTAATCAAGCCCTGGTGGACCCTGGCAAAGGCTACTGTATATTCCTGCTGGGCCATGGGTTGTTGGCACGATGTGGTGTACCTACAGGGGACGAACAGAAAATGCTTGAGATGGTAATTACACTGGGAGACAGCAGTTGAGAAATGGGGAAGAGCAAGTGTGGAGGGGAGAGAAATCAGATTCCAGCTGATGCCCACGTCCTCCACATCTTCCAGTCTTTGGAAAATCTTGAAGTTACTGGATTTGAACAGATTTTTCTGGCTTATTAAAAATAGAATATTGCCTACATCACATAAAGGGCAAACTCCGCCCTCACTTGGTCACAGAAGCAATTACAGCATTGTCTGTAGTACACAGCCCACGGCCTCTAACCACAGTGATGGGCACACTTGGTGATGTGCAACTCAGTGGGGCCTACAGGGTCCCAGCTGACATAGACATCACAAAGGAATTTGAACCAGGACTCAGAAATAGGTAGACAATTTTAAGAATTGTATCCTCACCTTGAAGATGCTAAAACCAACCAGATGGGGGTTTCCTTTTATACCTCCCAGATGGAGACTTCTCATTTCGAAAACTTGAGAGTCCAGCATTTAATGATATGCCTACAAAAAAGTCTCTACTTAGTGAATTCCATGAAAAAAGGCACTATGACTTTTGAATTTTTTGAAGCTTCCCAAAGAACCCTGTGCCTTGCTGAAAAAGAAAATTGTCTTATGTTAGGTTTATTTTTTTTTTATTCTGTCATTTATTTGTGAAGAACTTTCCTTAACATCCTATTCATAGCACCCCACTATGTAAAACAATTCAACAACTCATTAGCTTTCCCTTAAAGTAATCTTAGCCCCCTCTGAAGTTCCTCATCTATCTTGCCATCTATCCTTTTCTCTTACTCATATTTCTTAAAGATCAAAGAATTCAAAGTGGATATCACGTTAAAAAATTGCCTTCACTAACATGGGGAGTCGTAGAAAAATAGCTTCCTGGCTTTCTTAAGTTCTGGGCCTCTTGAGGCAGATCCACTGCGTTAACACTGCAAACACGCTTCCTTCTCTTCAGTCAAATCTCTCCCCAGCTAACTCTTCTAATACCAGCTTTCCAATGCCTTCCCAACACCCAATCCTTTCCAGTACACTTGGAGAGAGCAGAGACTCCAGGTGACATCATGAATCCCCTCTAGAGATGATCCATGGGTGAAGAGAGAGTCATGGCCCATGCAGTGTGGGGTACGGTTGAGGGCTCTGAAATGTGCCACAGGCCGCTCGTCCTACCAGTCCCAACCTATTCCTCACTAGCTTATCCCTTAAGACACATGTCCCCAAAACCACTCTCCACATTTAATCACAGCATAGAAGCCTGAAAGCAGTGATCTTTCACGCCATAGTCTTTGACAGGGAACTCTTAAGGCCAAAACTGCCAGACTCTCAAACAACTGATAAGTGCATAAACCTAATTTTCAAAACAATTTAATTGACTACAGTCTGATTGCTGGTACACATGAAGATATACCGTGTGTCAGCAGTGTTTGAAATAGGAATGCTGAGCTGAGTGTGAGTGGGTCACTCAATTCAGTCTATCAGGTTACGATCTGACAGTGGAAGGCAAGAGACAGCATATCAAGAAAAACTCTGTGTGTGTGTGTGTGTGTGTGTGTGTGTGCGCGTGTTACCTATATGCAAGAGCTGGAAAATAGAAAAGAGCTCTGATGAGTGACATGGAGCTGAAGATCCTTTGCGAGAACTTTAAATTCATTCCAAAATGCAACCAAAATAATTACAGTATTCAAAATTGTGCCACCAGTACAGAGGGCTGAGAACAACTGCTCTTAGTGGGACAAAGCCACAAAATGCAAGAAGGAACCAAAATCTACCAAGAATTACCTTGGAGATGAGTTAAGCTGATCTGGCCTTATGATAGTTCTGATAGCCAAGGAACAGGTCAGGGCTGGAGCCCAGAACTGGATATGGTCATATCTGAGAAATCAGACACTCAAGAGTAGGAGTCACCTCTCTGGGTCTGAGTCAGCAGGCACCTCCCGCCTCTGACAGGCCTAACCACTTATCATGAGCCAGGCATGCACTCAGGGTAGCCTAAATGCTAAGTACTGCCAGCAATGCTCAGACTCTTAGCCAGCCGTGGAGGTCTTCTCTGGGGCCACCCAACTATCCTTTCAGACCTCATTCTGATATCTCTGCCTGAAAAAGCACGCGGGGCAGCAATAGTCCCCAATCACTGTCCCTTTTAAGGTGTAAGGAGGACAGGGCAGGGGAGTGGGCTGTCCTAGTCCCTTTCAGGGGCTATACTCCAAGCCACAAGTCTGGTTTCTATTACAATTTTCCAAATTGATATGTGATCCTGGTGACAACAGTCACTCTCTGCACTGGAGTGTGTTAGCACCATCTGTAAAATGGGCCACTTGCCTTTCTTTTTCCAGACCAGTTGTGAGTTTTATAAACATACTCGTGGCAAAGCCCTCTCAAATTTATTTTCCTATGTGATATCTGATATGGCCCCATCAAACAAGCACACTTTTAGAGTGGCTTGTCAGAGTTGGTAAACGGTGTTGCACCTTTGGCTAGGATTTAAAATGCCTGAAAGGGGTTTAAACCACATGTTCTTTTAAAGATAGAGAAAATTTCACTGCTGTACCCCAAGATCTAACGGCAAAGAATTTTGGTGTAGTAAATCTGCTATATGTTATGCACTGTGATGGAAAGTATTTCATAATTACAAGGTGTTGTTGCTACAGGAATCTTTCTTTTGCATTTCCTGTCTGTAGCTAAAATGGATTTTGCAGCAGATCTTTGGATAAAAGCTATCAGGTGCTTTCCTGAGAAAGGATGAACAGACAAAGGACAGCTGGAATTCTTGGGGCAGGATTTTTTTCCCCCCTATTCTTGGGGTAGGGCCCACACTTGAATTCAGCTCTATCTTCCCTTACAAAGATCTCGGTTTCTACATTCCATTCTCCTTCCCTCATGTTTGCCCAGCCCCCCTTCCGGCCTGGAGGCCCAATCTCGATCTCAGACAGACAGGTCTGGCGGGGGCAGATGGGTAATTTTTCCTTTCAGCTTTAATGGCTGCTATTAACAATAAGTTGCCCTGCCCTACTAATGGCTCAACTTTCAGCTTTTTTCTGATTGCCTATGAGTAACACTGTGTCACATGAGCTGTGTTTAACAGAGGTGTAATAAATGCCAAAGAAAAAATATTACCCAAAATAAAAAATAGTTTGTCCCAGTGTGGCTGGGATCTCATGACTCGCAACAATGTTCAGTTCAGCTTCCAGCGCAATTTCTATTTGCATTCTTTTTTTTTTTTTAAGGGTCTCTGGGTGCTTTAAAAAAGCTGTTTAAGAGAAAAAGCAGAAAGACTGTAGTGATTGTCAAGTGCAAGGAGTTCTGCATTCCAGACAAACAAATGCAGTGTGCAGACAACAGACAGAGCGGCAAGGGAACCCCCTCAGCACAAGGGGACGGCGGCAGATAGGCAAAAAGGTAATTACTACATGTCTGCCTTTCATGAAAGGCAGCCACCCTCCTTGGTGTGGCTTGGAACTTCAATTCTGGCTACCAGGATACAGAGGTGGAGGAAGAGAAGGCTGAACACCACCCCCGTCTCCCAACACACACCCTCGAGGCAAGAAAGATATCAAGTTCTCATTTTGTTGCAAGAAAACTACATTCTCCTTTTGATAATAAGCAAAAAAATACTTCTACATTTTTCAAATAGTACCTGGTCGGAACTGTTCCAAACCCAGAGAAAAAAGCAATAAACACTGAAATCCCCTGGCGGTCTCTGAGTTGAAGATGTAGGCAGGAAGTATTCCATATCTTCAAGGTTTTTAGGGAGAAGCAAGAAAACGGTAGAGGAAGGGTAGAGGAGGCCTCCCAGGAGGCCTGGGAGTGAAGTGTACCCATCCTATGAAAGCTGGAACCTTTAGGAAACAGAATCAGGAGAATGCTGACTTTAAATTTAAATTACCTTGCTGAAAAGGATTGGCCCAACACAGGACAAGCAGCAGTCTTTGGAATGAATGCATCTTTTACTGACCTATGCCTCTCTTTCAGAGGTCACGGCTGTCTTCACCCTCTTCTTTGCATGTATCTCAAGCCTATGTAATTAACACCAATATTTTTACTCACATCTGAGAAAGGAGACCAAGGGCATCAAAAGACATGGCAGTGCTGGGACTTGGCTTCAGAAATGCACTTTGCTCAAGGAAATTCTCTGAGCCGCCAGTACAAACAGTTAGAGACGGTGATGCACTTCAAAAGTTATAGCAGAAAATAGAGATGAGCCAGTAAGATAACTGCATAATTGCACCCTATAGGAGAAGATCCTTAAGGGGAAAATGATGGACCCCCATAGATACAGAACAGCTAAGGCATCATGCTGCAAGACATCCCAGCAATGAAAACTGAAGAAGAGAATGGCACTAGCCTGCAATGGTCAAGAAGGGAAGGAAGTGTTCACCCAAGCGTGAGGCTGAGGAGTTGGAGCACAGAAGGTGACACTGATTATGAAGATTTCCCAACAAAGAGCTGGCTACAGTGAAAAGAGCCCTAGTTTTCAAGTGAGAGATGTCCTTGGTCTGCCACTCTTGATCTTTGTAATCTTGGGAAAGTCACTCAACTTTATCTATAAAGAGCAGAGATGGGTCTGGGAGGGCTAAGACACGGACCTGGAAAACAAGCATTCTCTAAAAAGGCAGAGATAGTCAGATAGCCTTTGAATATCAATTTAGACTTCTTTATTTTGATAGTATTTTATACCTTCCCAACAGCTTTCATTTTATCTCACCTACATTGTCTATGCTGACCCACACATCAAGCTTCAGAAGTAGATCCTGGATGCCTATTTTTTAGGAAAATAAGTTCAAAGTTACAGCTTACGCAAGTGCAGTTCTTCAATGTCCATGCTCTTTGCACTACCCTGGGCTTACACCAGGAATTCAGATAAGCATGGACTGTCTGCTTATGTGCAGGGATGTACTGGTCTCAAGTCAGTTACCATCTGAAAGCTAAAAAAAGGGAGTCAAAAGGTAGGTAACTGGAATAGGTGCAGGCAAGCAGAGAGAAAGTGTGGGAATCAACATGAGCACTGACTTTTTTTATAGACCAAAATGGAGTAAGGGCATGAGGGCAAGTGACTGGAACCAAGTTCCTTTTAGTACTATAGAGTTTCATCACTTATATATAAGTTATTCATAAATGATTTGGTGCCACAGTAATAAAAGTTGGCTCAAGGTCCACATTTGCCATGCTCCCTAGATTTCCAACTCCAACTCAATCTTCCTGGTTATGATGGTGTCATTCCCATTTGTACAGCACACACAAGACCTCATCTGGTCCTTACAACAGCCTTAGGAGAGGACTGGTTCTACCGGGCCCATTTAATAAATGTCAAAGTGAGACTTCATCATGTGAAGGGCAGAAAAGAGTGCATGTCTCAGGGGCCTTCATTAGGGGCAAGGTGCTTTCCCCACTTTATGTATAGCATCTTCTGGACCTAAGTCTTCTCTTGTGTCACACTTTACCCTGCAGGACCACAAAGATGAAGCCACTTCTGACACCAAAGGAAATGTGTCTTCTGCTCACCTTTGTAGGGGCCAGGAAAGAAAATGTACCCCAAGTACAGATCCATAATTTGGGGCCAGAGTCTCATTTGACCCCTGTGAGATTCTTCATGATCCACTCTAAAGCTTTAAGCCACCAAATTCGATGTATTTATAAGGGAGTCAAACCACATCACATGTGCAAGTTCAAAGAATCTGATGTTCGAATCAATTTGAATGGCTGGCCTGCCTTCCTTCTTTCCTTCTTTCCTCTTTTTTTTTTTTCTTTTTGAGACAGAGTCTCACCCTGTTGCCCAGGCTGGAGTGCAGTGGTGTGATCTCAGCTCACTGCAACCTCCGCCTCCTGGGTTCAACCAATTCTCATGCCTAAGCCTCTAGAGTAGCTGGGGGATTACAGGCGTGTGCCACCACACCCAGTTAATTTCTGTATTTTTAGTAGAAACAGATTTCACCATATCGCCCAGGCTGGGCTTGAACTACTGGCCTCAAGTGATCTGCCTGCCTCAGCCTCCCAAAGGGCTGGGATTACAGGCGTGATGAATGGATTTCTTAATGAGAGTTTTCTTATCTCACACAAGTAGGTTGACAACATTCCAGGTCCATGGTGGGGAGATGAGGCAGAGTGGATTGGGTACACTGGGTAGAAAGAGATGATATGCTTCTCTGTCAATTATTGTCTTCTTCCGCTACACTCAGCACAAGGCAACTGTTCTTGCTGGCTGGAACCATTCTATCGGGAACCACTGGGTTTCACACAATGGAAAGCCGTTGCAATCTATAAATCCAAGTCACATTTCCGAAACATTTAAGGGAGCAAAAGCAAAGTTATAAAGCAGTGCTCAGCCTCCATGAGGACCCAGAGAATGTTAATAGTAGGGTCTCCCCTCTTGATGATTGGGTTCCTGCAAGGTTGAGGGGCTGGATTGCTTTGCAGGCCCTGTGCCCCTCTGTGTCCTGGGCTTCTTGTGTTGGAATTCAGAACAGGATGGGTAGTCTGGTGTGTGGGAAGAATACAAGCTTGGACTTAGAATTCAAGCCTTAAGTCCCAAGCTAGCACTTATTGTCTGGGAGGCCTTGGATGACATCTCAGAGCTTGTTTCCTCAACTGTAAAATAAAGCCGGCTGTACTTGCTGTCTGCAGTTTTGCTGAGCCCCTAGCACATGGCTGGTGTGAAATCAATGTTAGGTTTTTTTTACTCCCTTTTCATGTCCCTTCAGATAATATGATTCGAAAGAGTACTATATTTTGGCTTAGCCTCTCTCTGAATGAGAAAAGTTGTTTTCGTTAAGTAGGCACATCTACTGATGTGGAAAAAAAAAAAGTATATATGGAAAGACCAAAAAATATCCTCCCTTTTCAGAAGATGTAGAGTTAAACCACATTCTGGTTCAACAACATGAGTCCTTCATTTGAAATCTTGTTCTATTTAAATACCCTGTGGTTTTTAGTTGCAATTTCATGTTTTGCTTAATTGTCCAGAGTGGCAGATGTGATTTTTGTGTAAATTTCTATCCCATCTGTTTTTCTGTGCCAGAAATATATGTGGAAGGTACTGGGACCTCTACATAAGAATGAGCCTTATCTACACTTATAATAATAAACTTATAAACTTGAAAATGAACCAAATCTGAGTTGGCAGTGAGTACAGAAAGCCTTTTTTTTTTTTCTTTTTTTGATGTTTGTACTACCTCCCACTTTTACATCCTCCCCTTTGCTCCAAATCAGAATTCTTTGGGGATGACTTATCAAGAGATATTTTTCCTTGTGCAACTGAGAGTTAACACGTTCCTGGTACTTAGGAGTAGAGTGCAGTTGGACGCAGAAAGCCATATCCAATCCATATCCTGTCCACTCCTCCTCTCCGGGCCCCGCACATGTATATGCCTCCAGCGCACTCTCTGATAAAATTTCTAGGATAAAAAGGTATTCCTTGTATTCTAAACCAAAGCACTGGCTTTGTGAGCATGAGACCTGTGTGGAACCCCAGGGCCCCTCATGCAGAAGGACCCCGTGTTTGGTTTCATGCTCTGATGACGCCATCTTGAAATACTTAATTTTTGAATGAAGAGTTGACATTTTCCTTTTGTACTGGGACCCACAAATTATATAGTCTGCCCTGCCTCAGAATGTATTGTTTGTATTAAGAACTATTTTGTAAAGAGTGAACAGACATAATTAAAACAGAATAAGCAGGTCACAGTTAAGGCATATTCTCTTTTGCAATAGGTCCAAATGGACCTTGGAATCTAGCTTTATGACACTTCCTGAAAATGTGTTATAGGTTGCAAAGAAAAAAAAAACAGGATAAAAGCTCACACCTGTAATCCCAGCACTTTGGGAGGCTGAGGCGGGCGGATCACGAGGTCGGGAGTTCGAGACCAGCCTGACCAACATCGTGAAACCCCGTCTCTACCAAAAATACAAAAAGATTAGCTGGATATGGTGGTGCGTGCCTGTAATCCCAGCTACTCAAGGAGGCTGAGGCAGGAGAATCGCTTGAACCCGGGAGGCAAAGGTTGCAGTGATCACACTACTGCATTCCAGGCTGGGTGACAGAGCCAGACTCTGTCTCAAAAAAAAAAAAATAAATAAATAAATAAATAAAAGAAAAGGAAAGAAAAGAAAATTTCTGGAATACAACCCATTTGTAAACTGGAAGCCATTGATAAGGAATATAAAACTCTAGAAAAAGCCTTTATTTTTTATCCAAACTTGGAATCAGAGGGCGTGGGATAAGGCCAAGTCTCTGCTTCTCACTAGCTGTGTGACCATGAGCAAGTGTCCTGCTGCTTCTCTCTCAGCATGAGAGTCTTTTATTTATTTCCTCAGGAGCCCTTCCTAGGGCACAATATGTGTAAGGGATGGTACTTGATTGGTGTTCCTCATAGGTAAAGCAGGGGTGATGATGATTAATAACAATAATAATGGAAGTGAGAGAAAATAGAAATAAGAAAATAAAGTGCTCTGGAAACTGTAAAGTGCCAGGCAGATGTTACTCTTCTTAAATCTGTAATGATGACACTTTATGTTTCTACAATCACTGCTCAGTCCAGCTGTTTCTCTCAAGTCTTCCTTCCAGCCTTCCATGCAGCCACATTTAAACTGTCCTTCTAGATTCCCTTCACCCTAGCATATACTAATCTCCCCCTTCTCAGCTTCTGGATTTTGTGCTTGAATGATGTCATACAGTTATTCAGTTTCTGTTGTCACCCAAGTCACAAATTTATTAAATATCATCATGGCCATCAGCTGCTGCATGTACTGCTTTTCTGATTGCCAAATGAGAGTTACCCATCCAAGGGCAGGGACCATATTTTACCCTTCTTTTTTCCCCCAACGGCATTTAGAACTTTGCTAGGGGCATGGTACATGTTCATAAATATTTTTTAATTTATTCAAACAAGGTTAGCAGAGTCAGTGAGGATAGTGCATAAAGCCACCAGCTATGATTTCACATAACAGTATTTTAAGGGGCATTTCACACCCTGACAGAATGAGAGTATCTGACTCACAGTGACACAAGTTTCCATGGTACCCTGGAAACTGGATGGTTTTATAATGAGACAGACCTAAGTTAAATTCCAACTCCTCTGCCTCTTGTTAGCTGTCTGACTCTGGGAGAGTCAGTTCACTTCTCAAAGCCTCAGTTGTTTCTTCATCTGTAAACTGGGGAGAACCACATTTATCTCACAGGATTGCCATCAGGTTTAAATGAGTTAACATGTGTAAAGCAATTAGACTAAAGCTGGGCACACAGAAGGCATCCAGTAAGTGTTAGCTGCCTTCTCTCCTGTGTTTACTAGGTGAAAGTCATTTTGAACAGCTGTTTGCTTTTTCCTGCCTTAAATCTGGCACCAGAAGGGAGCCATTATCGGGAGCCAATCATCTTCATTGATGAAGCCAAGTTCCCTCTTCCTGTTCCAAGTTTCCAAAACAAATGAGAATAGAAATTATTCTGTGTTCTTCAATCAGTAAAATACATTGATGCCCACTCCACTGCACATGTACATGTGCACAATCTCACACATACATGTTATCGCACATATACCAGAAGCAATTTGTTTTTAAAGATAACACTGACTCTTGCTGGGCAGAGACAAAAATCATGGAAGTAGGTAGGGCTACATGTACATCTTTATACTGCTTGCTCTTTTTTGTCAAGACATCACCTCTATATGTTTCTAAAACTGAGGGTTAAATCACTGTCTGTAAACTGTTGACAACCATATATGTGGCCGCTGACAGAAGCAATTAAGCTGGAAAGGTGAGGGTGGAGGAAGGGTATTTTAACCTATAACTATATGGAAACCTGTCCTCCAGTGCTAGAAAATTCCTTCCCAAAGAAGACCAATTCACAGGAGAATTATAATAAAGACAACTTGGCTTATAAAAACCAAACCAAAGTCTTAAATTAGAAGAATATTATCTTTGGAAGTCATTGCAAATGTTCCAACAGAAACTACTGAAACAGTAGCTGCAATAATGGTAAAGATATATGCACACTTCTACATTTCCTATAGGGTTGTGCAAAGGTTTCTTAGATAAGAAACCTACGCATTTCAAGTTATATATATAGATTTGTGGGCCGAAGTTGCCACAAATAATAGTCTTTTTCCATGTAGGTGGGCTATAACTAGACAAATTCCAATAAAATTATAAAGGCAAGATAAGAAAAAGAAAAAATGCAGCTGAAAATGTAACAAAATAAGACAACTAAATTATGAGACTGAACATCTGTGGTCTAAATAAAATATGTGATGGTGCAGGCAGCACCATAAGTTTCTCCTGACATTCTGAAGAGACCAGCAGAGCTCACTTATGAGTAATGTGGTCATCCCCACATTACTGCAACAAAAATATTAGAGCAAGCTACACTGTCAAATATTCTATATGGATTTGTGACCTAAGGAAAATCATATTAAGAGGCTAAAGTGATATACAATGTGAAATATTATACAGATACACAAATACACACAAAATCCTTCCTGTCGTGAACATATAAGTGCTCTATTTTCATCTTATTCTTTAAAAAATACAAATAAATCAAAGATAGCTACTTGCCATCAGTACCTCTGAGGTATGATGTGTGTGTGTATTGTAACTCCTAAAGCCTTTAGGGCAACTGATATAGAAGACAAAGAACTGAGGGAAAACACCCCACTTGCTGAGCTCATTGACAAGAGTTACAGAGCATAAAGTATATGCCCAGGTACTTGGGAATTTGGATTCTTTTTTCCTCCAGAAATAATGTTTTGACAGTAAGAAGCCCTATCTACTGAGGTCATATACGGCATTTAGGTTCCCTGACCACTGGCCACCAAATAACCAAGGAATTGATCCTATAAATCTCCACAATCCTATAAACCATTCTATTAAAGTTTAAGTAGGAAGTAACACCAAGGGGGAATGTGAATTTAGTAGCCTGGAGCACACAGATTAATCTTTATGAATTTATTTCAGAGTTTGTGGTCACTCTTGTCTCCACAGATTGCTCACCATGGCATGATTGGAGTCAGTCCCTTTTCAGTGTTGCTGTTGCTTGGGAAGTACATCACCTCCTCTTTGGATGTGCCTTGCTGCAAATGTGTACAATTACACCCAATACAGCAAACATTTATTAATACGATCAAGATTTGCCTTTGCCCTCAGCCAGATTCTCTAGTATAACATGACACCTATGTTCCAAATCAGATCTAGACAATTAAAATGACTCCTCGGTCTATCTTTCTTGGTTAGGGAAAATCTGTAGGCTGTAGCTAAACCCAAGTGCAGTGACATTTCAGAAACTTGCCCCGTTTCTAAGAGCTGGAACATTTTTACCCAGCTACATGTCCAAGACTCCCTTGTAACTAAATGTAGTCGTAATACTAAGTCCTAACTGATGGGATACAAGTGGTAGTACAAGTATTATGCTAGAAAGTCTTTTTTAAAAGGAATAAGTCTACAGTTATTCTCTGCCCCTTCCTCCATTCTGATGCCTGGAATGCAGATGGAATGGCTGGAGCTCTAGCAGTCAACTTAGATCACGAGGATGACACAGGATCACCTTTTAGGGAAGACTGAGTGAAAACTCAGGAAGGAGCCTAAGTTTTTTGTGGTCTATGGAGCCACTCTGCCAGCCCTGAACTGCTTATATCTTACTTCCTATGTTTTGAAAGGGGGTGGATGTGGTTTCAGCTACTCACATTTGAACCTAATCCTAATACATTCACATTGGACTTGAATTGTGATTTTGACTGTTTAACCTCTCTGGGTTTGTTTTCACATTTGTAAACTAAGAAAAATAAAAGCTATCCCTTTAGAATTATCATGATATCAAAATCGAGATAATATACATGAAAAGTACTTGGTACACTGGAAATTATTATACCAATATTAGTACAGCTGCTATTATTTTTCAGTTTATTACAAATTTCCAAAGAAAAGTAGGTCAATGATTGACAAATGAAAACTAGCTGAAAATAAGAACTCCAATTTCATTATTCTGGCAAGATTTGATATTAGCAGAAAATGAGTTCAAGATAATTAATTGTAAGAAAGTGACCACAGGTTATTAAACATTTCTAATTGTTGTGTTCCTAGAAAATTTGCTACAAAGATGTTCTTTTAACTACTTGAAAAATATGGAATAATAGCATTTCTAACTCCATTTAGGTTCCAAATTGCTCAACGAATATCATTTAGATATCAGAAGCTGAGCCAGAAATCAAGATAGACAGAGACACATGGAGGAATGGACCTACTGCACACTGCAGACCCAGATAACTAATTACCAGGTTGGTTCCAGAAGGTGGGTTATCATAAGCTGATATGAAAATGAAGCACACTTTATATTTTTTAAAGTATGTCAAATTGCTGAAAGACTTGGCTCTATGTTTTAGGTTAATTTTCACTGTTATCTCTAAGGGTAGGTAGGATCACATTTAACATAGTAGGAAAAACAAGTGAGATGCTGGGCTGAGGACTGTTGCAAATTGCATCGGAAAAGAACAGAGTTCCCTAAACTATGCTGCTTCTGCCAACCTGTATTGACCTAGGGCATCAGAGCTCTTACTGTAACATTCCAACACTTTGTCTTTTAAGCTGGCAATTTCTCTGTAGGACACTTTATTCTTCATCTTAATGACTTAAACTTATAGAACCATGGGAGGCTAGGAGATACTATCAATTTATATTCTATTTAACTTTACAAGGGCAGGTCATCAAAATAAGGGTGAAACAATGTTGAGCCCACAGGTGTCACACTGCAAAGCTGGTTTCCAACAGTACGTGAGGAACAAAGTGAAATTAAAAAATATATATATTGATCTTCTTGGAGCGCCCATGTAATCTAATACAATATCAATTAATCTTAGAGAATATAGTTGGTTCATCCCCCCTTCTTTGACATTACTGGTAGATATTTGAATTAGTCACCCTTCTAAGAGTATCTATAGTACTGTATTTGCCCAACACTTAGTGATCATAAATTTGAGGTTGAAGGAAAAAAATCCCTCACACTGATCCAAATAAAGGTATAGCCTGAACTAAATAGCAAGCTTTACAATTTGCTAAAATGACCATAAGAATAATGTCCCAATGGGCCGGGCGCGGTGGCTCACGCCTGTAATCCCAGCACTTTGGGAGGCCGAGACGGGCGGATCATGAGGTCAGGAGATCGAGACCATCCTGGCTAACACGGTGAAACCCCGTCTCTACTAAAAATACAAAAATTAGCCGGGCATGGTGGCGCGCACCTGTAGTCCCAGCTACACGGGAGGCTGAGGCAGGAGAATGGCGTGAACCTGGGAGGCGGAGCTTGCAGTGAGTCGAGATCGCGCCACTGCACTCCAGCCTGGGCGACAGAGCGAAACTCCGTCTCAAAAAAAAAAAAGAATAATGTCCCAATGAAAGACGATGTTTAATGTTTATTTTTTAGAATGTCCAAAAACATACCAAACCCAAAGCCTTTTGGCATGTGTGTACACACACCCTCCTCCACACAAACACATTTAAAATACTACTAGTGTCTAATAAATATGTGCATGTAAGATTATACTCATAAATTTGCATAATTTGCTCTACATGTGTGTTCTATTTTTATATATTGATTTAGTGAGCTGAGCAGACACATCTTACTGTGAGGAAAAATCCTTTTCCCTGACCACCAATGTGTCCCTAAGTAGTGTGATGTGAGGGGACAGTACTTTTAAGGGTATGGAGGAGGGAAGTGGTTTTACTCAAGATTCTTGAATAAATCATGCAGTCACTGCTAAGAATTGATGAGAAATAGACACCAAAAAGAAAAAGATGGGTGGGGGCAGGCAGACAGAGGTTGCTTATACTTTTAGAATACAGCCTTATTCCAAGTGAGAGGAAAGAAAGTATCCAAAAATAACAACAATGATTATACATTTGGCTCCAAACGTGAGTGCAAACCAAGTACTCTAAGGAGCAATCTAATTGGGAAATGTCCGAGGTGAAAAAGAGGCAGTTTGAGAAATTCTTACCCATCAAGCTTTATTGTGTTATTCCAACTAAGCAGAGACAAAAAGACAAATCTCAGCTCCCTACTTTCATTTATAATTGAACCAGGTCCAGAAGGATGAAGCAAGTACCATCTGTAACGCATGCTGCATTAGCAGCCGGGAGAATGAAATATTCAAATTACTCTAGGCCACCTCACATAATGACAGGGCTACAAAAACTGACTTGCAACCACAGACGAGAGAAGAAGAAAAGAAAGTTGTAAAATTTTGTTTTGTTTTTTATTGTTGTTGTTTTGGGGGGCAGGAGTTAACCAAACAAAGTGTTATTCTTAAAGAGAGTGAATATATAACAAAATATGTTTTAAAAAATCCGAAGGAAGGAAGGAGGGAAAGAAGGAGAGAAGGAGGAAGGAAGGGAAGGGAGGGAGGGAGGGAGGAGGGATGGAAGGAGGAAAGGAGGGAGCAAAGAAGGGTGGGAGGGAGGAAGGGAGGGAAATGCCATCCCAAACTTCCTCAACTTGGAAACCTTCCCACTTTAGATACAGGATCCTGTTGTTCTCATATTTTGCTTCATATAAATAAGGGGCACTATTTTGGAGAGGGTGGAGATGGAGCTGCTCATTCTGATTCGGTTAATCAGGGCTGCTGAATGTGTGACATGGTAAGTGGCTCCAGCCCCGAGCAGTAGTCAAGACGGAGTGACAGGCTCCATTTAAGATGTCATTGCACATAATAAAGTGTAAAACTATACTTAAAATAAACGAGATAGAAACAATAAACTTGACTCAGTATTTGAACTTTTACAGACACACGGAGACTGGAGGAGAAAGCACGTGTGGCTGCGTGCTTGGGGACTTTGAAGAGGCCACTACCTCTACAGAGCTTTACAACTGTGGTTTTTAGGGGGATCTAGTCGGGCTCCATGTGGAGGTCAAGCAGTCATATCTTACTGTGTGAACTGGGCATCTGATTAGCTCATGGCCAAAACCTCCTAAGGAGTCAGGAGCACAGGCCATAACCAAGGGCCAGGCCTGGAGGCACAGGTCTTCCCTGAGAGTGCCCCAAAGAGTAATTTTGTACTCCTTACGTGTCCTGACTCCAGAAGTGTCTCCCAGTTCCAGCTCTCCATGTCCCCGATTGTCCACCTGTGCCAGGGTTGCCTCGCTGCAGCTTGGCTTCACCACTTCAGAAGGTTTAACACAATATTGTCAAGGCTGGTTGGCCCCAAATTGGAATGATACTTTCTTTCCCCCTCTAGGCCCTGCAATTACTGTTACATGTAGGGGTGGATTCAATGTCAAAGCAAATGTTTTCCTTATGTTTCTTTCTTTAAAAAAAGAAAAAAGAAATCATAAATGGGAGCTAGCACATGAAGCTCCTGAACCAGCCACCCAGGATTCTGTGTCACCCGGGGTGCAAGGAGTCTTGGCTTCCTTGGGCATTAGATTTAGGGGCCTCCACTCAGAAGGTGACCCACCCCCTGGGAATCTATGTTAATGGCATACATAAGGGCAGAGCTTGGAATGAGCCATTCTTTCCCCTGCAGTCACAGCATGTTACTGGAATGGGGGTTGAGCCAAATAATGATCCTAATCGTTGCCTGTATATTGGTTTCTTCACCCACCTTCCACCCTCACCTGCAAAAAGATTGTTAAGGTACTTGAGAACCGACACTATCCTTTAAAGGCATATTTTTTTAGATAGTAGGATAAACTATATTAAGTAGAAATACATACATTACAGCTGTACAGTGAATTTTTGTATAGTGCATGCAGCCCAGTCTCCAGAAGTGGGATCAAGAGAGTATTATGAGCAGCACACAGAAGCCCCAGCCAAACCCTTTACAGTTACTATCTCCAAGGGTAGCCAGTCTCTTGATTCCTTTAAGCAGAGATTTGTTTTTCCTGCCTTTGCTTGCCTTAATTTTCCCTTACCTTTATCACTCCCACTGGATCCTGGAACTTCCATGCATTTAGTAATTCAGCAAGTATTTAGTGAGTACCTACTATGTGCCAGACACGATGCTAGGTGAGCACAACAGGCACTCAGCTCATGCTATGGAATTGACTAAGTTGAGAGGAAAAGAAAAGGGATTTTAGTTTCCAGCTTCTTGGCTGGAAGGAGCATGAAAGGAGCATGAGGAAAAAAAAAAAAAGTGATCTAACTCTCATACTTTGAAGGGGCCAAGTATACTTTTAGATGGTAATTTGCAGTCTTGTCTTGCCCTTGGCTGGTCACTGGGAAGGATAGGAAAGGTTGTGACGGAGACAGGGTAAGAAGGCAGTGAGGGCAGGCAGCTTCCACCTGAGCATGAACCCGGAAGTCACCTTCCACCCATCCTCTGCTGGGGACCATTAGGCAGGGATGCTCGCATCATCTCTATGTCCTCCACTCTGCAGAGCCAAGATCAATCCCTGGCATCATGGCACATCTAAAACCTGCCTCTTCAGAGTCGGCCTGCAGCTCGCAGTGTCACTTCCCACCAAGCCAGGCTGCAGTCACTCGAGTGGGATTTTTATTAGCTGTAACCCATGACACCATGCACTGATATATTTAAGCAATAATGAAAAGAAAAGGGTGGTTGTCTGAAACAACCATTGAAGTGGTAAAATAATCAACAGTATTTTGTGAACACAACGTTCCGCTCACAGATCTGTGATTCTGTAAGGGATGAAAATAACACAGGTTTCTAGGGGTAGAAGTTGTAGAATCAAGGAGGGAAAATTACTGTGAAACATAAAGTGCTGTAGAAATATGAGGCGGCTGTGGGTAAGGATAAAACTGGGCAAGTAGATGGTTCTGGGTAGGTTTGCTGCCCAACTAAAAATCAGATCCAACACACAGTTCCATCTGTAGGAAAAGTCTAATCACCTCCAATGCCATGAGGTACAATTTTAAATTATAAAACTAAAAGTGTTTTAGTGAAAACACTATAGCATGGGAGTATGTACTTGGTCTTATCAGATCCAAAGGTTCACTTTGACCAGCCCACCAAAGATGAGAACATAGCTTTGGCTGCAGTCTGAATTGGCCTGGTGGTTGATAAAAAGTTTTACTGGGTCAACCCAACCTAATGTGATTGCCTTAATGGAAACATGCTGGGTGACGAAATAGTAACAGCATGATTTAGAGATTAAAAAATAATAATAATAATAGCTGAAATTAGCTTGAAAAAAATGTATTTTAGAAATCCTTTCTTATTCCTTGTCAATACCCAATTGACTGCAGATGGAAAACACTGACTTCATTGGCTAGACATGTTAAAGGGATAATAGAATTTATATGATTAACAAGGTGGACAAGATAACACCTTAAACCTCTTTCAGTATTTTGAAAGCTAAAACATTACTTTGGGGTTGTTACTTAACATTCTTTTAAGGAACCCCTTGATCTTCCCTATCTGGTCAAACTTCAGACAGTAACTGAAAATGTGAATCGTCAGTGAGTTGAATAGATACGACTTCAATATTAGGACCAAATATTATTAGTTTCCAATGGCATTTGCTTAGAAATTTCCAGGTGTTATGTTAATTAGAAAAATTACAATATTTCATGGTTCTTCTCATCAGTACTCTGAAATTGAACTTTACAAGTCATGATCAGCTTTTCAAAAAT
Organism: Homo sapiens; assembly: GCF_000001405.40. Classification (NCBI taxonomy): domain Eukaryota; kingdom Metazoa; phylum Chordata; class Mammalia; order Primates; family Hominidae; genus Homo; species Homo sapiens. Next base: position 164,757,240 of record NC_000001.11, on the reverse strand, counting down.
ATCACTATTCCCCATCAGGTTACATCCTTGAACCCCAAAATATTTTTTATATGTCTCCCTTATAAAAACCCAGTTTCCATGGGGGGCAATGATACCTTCTCTCTTGTTCATTGCTATGTCCTCTGCTCTCCTCTTGCAAAAAAAAAATGGGAGGCCCTATAAATATTTGTTGCATCTTTCTCCTGACAAAACAAAAATCCAGAATAGTTTCAGAAATATGACTAAATACCACTTCTACTTCCTCAGCTCCCAACTCCCTTCCCTACAACTCCCAATGCATCACAGAGCTAAGAATGCTGAGTTATTTAATGAGTTGCTTCATAAATACATTTTTTTCTCCTTATCTAGCCTTTATCTGTGACAACTGTTTGAATTGTATATTTGAAGTTTAGAATTTTTGCTATGTTGCTATATTACTACATTAAGCATTCTCCATTCAAACATTATGATAAAGCCTAAATATGTATAGTTACACATATGTATACGGACACCCAGAGTCTACTAAAAACATTATCTTCTATTTGTTTTATAAACACTAAACTTAGTGAGCTAAGAAACATGCCAGATATTCTCAAATCAGTTTTCCTCAAGTAAGTAGATTTTATGGTTTTGGTATTTTCATGATATAGGCTTCCATTCTGAATTACCAAAATTTATGTGATGCCTTTTTCTTCTATGACTACATATGCAATGTTAGCATTCCTTAAGACCTCATAACTAAGTGTACGTTTTTTAAATTGCAACAAAGAAAAAGTAATTATAAATATGATTATAAGCATATGTGTGCAGCATTTCTGTGTACAAACGTGTAAATTATCTCTGAAAAAAACAACTTTTCCAATTTTTAACGTTTCGCAATGCCCAAATTAAAGGATGCTTTTTAAAAATTAAGGTTTCCAACTAAGGCCACTATTTTCCATAAGATTTTAAAGGGGAAAAAAAATCAGACAGCCCTTTTGTGACAAGGACTTGGGTTACATAGGGCAGTGTGAGGAAGGGATGGAGGACTGGTCTTTGTCCCCAGCCATCCTTACGCGGTGCTATTCATATAATATGACAATGATGGCTTACATCAAAAGCTACAGTGCAAATAATCCCCTTCTCCATGCCATCCCAAAGCAAAAGCCAGCCCCTAAAATAAGGGGCAACGTGCCAGCACAGATATTAATTGTATGCCAGCTAGCTCTGTGCAGAGGGGAAAGCAAGGGAAGGGTTTTTTTCTTTCTTTTTTTTTTTTTTTTTCCTGAATCGGGTTTTACAATGAATGTTAACTTGCACCAGGAGGCTACCTTGGGCCCCCAGAGCCTTCTTAAAACCCTGGCACCCTGCCAGGGGAGCTCCAACTTTGCAGCCCAGAGAAAGCCATGTTGGCAGCTTATCAGGAGCCAGGGAGTTACATGGCGCCCTGGGGGTAATAATATTTTCCAGAACGCTCAAGCTAATAGTCCCATGATGGGCGATTGAAAGGACTGCAGGTATGCTCTTCCTTGTCCTCAGCCTTGGAAGTCTCATCCATCTCTGCAAAGTGCCACATCACACTCTGCTGACCTTCATGGCAGAGTTGGGGACACTGTCTTTTGTTTCACTTTACCTCACTGCCGACAGAGTGTTATGTTCAAGCCAAGTCAGGCTTCTACTTATTATCGTGCTTTGAATTCATTTCTTTAAAAAAAAAATGCTGCATATGAACCTAGAGGCATTCTGGCACTGAGCACATTTTTATATCTTCTTTTAAAACAACAACAGAATTATGTATACATAAGTACATTTTAAAAAATAACCACAAGTAAAAGGCTGGGCGCGGTGGCTCATGCCTGTAATCTCAGCACTTTGGGAGGCCAGGGTGGGCGGATCACCTGAGGTCAGGAGTTCAAGACCAGCCTGAACAACATGGAGAAACCTCATCTCTACTAAAAATACAAAATTAGCTGGCCATGGTGGTGCATGGCTCTAATCCCACTCCTTGGGAGGCAGAGGCAGGAGAATCGCTTGAAACCGGGAGGCGGAGGTCAAGATTGTGCCACTGCACTCCAGCCTGGGCAAGAAGGGTGAAAATACCCACAAGTGTAGCAGGATGTCTAGTTCACAGCCTAGATTCTTCCTAGATCAATGAATTGGAATCTTCTGTTGCTTTTCTAGGGTAGCTGGAGAAGCTGACAGTTGACTCACTTTTGTTCTTCCATCAAAGGTCCAAGGAGAGAGGAGTTGTGTGCAGACTCTCAAAATTCATTCTTAGCTCCTTATATTTTAATCTTTAATTTATTTCATCAATATGGCTTTTAATTCTTAGCACCACATTCAATATTATACAGAAATTTGTAGGGCTCTTTTTTTACATTTTATTGATTACAAAGATAAAGACAAAACAAGTTCATTATTTTAAGCTTTTTGATTAAAAGAACACAACACAGTGTCAACTTCTAGGTAAGTTAAACTTCAGAGGAGCTGGAGTACCACCTACAACATACTTAACACAAAAAAATCACGAAGCATATCATGCCCATAAACTGATCTGTATTATCCTCATCTCTCTCTCTCACACACACACACACGCACGCACGTGCACGCACGTACACACACACCCCTCTGTTTTAGAACAATAAACTGAATTTAGTTACCCTGTTGAAAAAAGTAGGGTAACCCCTTCTCCTTACACAGTCACTTTTTCAGTCCCTGCAATGCAACAGCATTGAAACCCACAGACAGGTTGATGCCAGTTTTACGTGTTGAAACAAACCAGTCACTCTTTCTCCCGCTAAGCAGTTAAATTAGAGAGTATTCAATTAATAACAGCTGAATATTCTGTCACATTTAGGAAGATGTATGGTAAGACAAGCGAGTTGTGATGTATCTGACAGAAATGATAAAGGTTCTCCCGACACAGTCTGGCAGATACTTGGCTCCTACTGCGGCTCTTTCTCATGTTCTAAAACGTCAGCAGCACAGACCCAAGATCCAGCACTGGCTTCAAGAAAAGAAACACTCTAAAGTGAACAGGGAAGCCTTTGCCAAGTTCTCAAAAGAAGCCCAGCCTCTGCTTTTTCCCATGAGCACATGGGTCTGAGTTCCCGTCCACACACCAGCCGGGCACATAGGCAGCAGGGCAGTGGGCACACACTATCACCCAGAGATTAGGACAGGCTCTAAGTCCCCCACCTGCTCAGTCCACCTTTGCCGAGATACATAAACATCTTCCCAAGCCCACCCTTCCAGTGGCCAAGGGAACACGCTGCTCCTCGATACATACTAAATGACAACAAAGAGTACTGACCCCTTCTCCACCACACTAAACAGAAATCTCTTCTCTCAGAGGCCTTTCACGGCTACTCCTGCCACCTTCAGAGGTGAGGCAACTGCTCAACTGCATCATTCCCGTTTCCAACACTGAGAGCCTTTATCCACATTCCTTTGGGAAACTGCCGGGGCCCAAATTGAAAAGGAAATAAAAGAGACCACAATAAAATTGCTAACATACGAGGAGTAACAGAGCAATCCATGACACAATTATATTATGCTCGTCCCCCAAGCCCAGCTAGCCACAGTGGCCCTGGGGAAGGAGAAGCCACTCTCATTTCCACAAATCAAAGGTCAAAACCACGCAAGGGCTGTGTTACTCACAAATGGGTCTGGCCGACCTGCACGAAGTCAAGTGTGGTCTTGCAAACTCCATTTTTAATTCCAAGGGACTCCTTTTCTAAAACTGAAATAGCATCTCACAAACTTGGGGACTAATGTACCAACAGCAATAGAAAATGAGGGGATATAACGAAATCCTGACACAAAATAATGAGAAACAACAACTACCAAAACCCAAACAAAAGACAAATAAGATAACAAGGAGAATTAAATAGCCCTGCTTTTATGCAGAGAAATTAATGATGCATTAGTCTAGAGCCTGGTCAAAAATAAAGACTAAGAGTTGCTGACTTAACTCATGATAATTATTTTTTAAATTTAGTTACACCACCTAAAACATCTCAGAACTACATGCTGTGCACTTTTTTAAAATTATTAAATAATTCAAAGAAACAAAAAATAAAGACAATCTTGTGCACTTTTTAACTTTCCATTAAGAACTTTTGAGAGCCAAAAAAGAAATGAATGTAGAGGTTCTTTTCTCTTGCAGCACAGATAAAAGATTCAGATCGTTTTCACTATTCTCCAACAGCCCCGTTGCTGGAAAATTTGCAAAATACAGGCTTACTCATGTTTGCTAGTAAGAAATCAAATTCATCTCCACAACCCTTCCAGGTTTTATTCTTTTGAAACTTTCATTATAAAACACACACATGCACAGACTTACCATTTTCCCCACCAAAGGCAGCTTATAAAATTAAAACTGGTCTCAGGGATTCAATATACATTCTCCATGAGCAAAAAATATACATGTAAATGTGGAATGGTACACAAGGACTTCATCTTCCTTACCCCAATGACAGGCCAAAGCGTGCAGATTCCATGTGGATCACTGCAGCTGATTCACTGCACTCCTATCCACATCAAAATTGCCCCTTCAATTCTTCCATGTTCCATAAAATTATTATTATTGCCACTTTTCCCATCTACTTTATTGGCAAATACCTTGGATTAATAAAGCCCTCATAGTGTTTATGAGAAGAAGATCACTTTATTCCCCTAATACACCAAAAGACACTGTGGGGCAACAGGACCTACCACTTAATTAGATTATATAACTGTCAGGAGTTGGTGAGGTTTTAAATTTATATTTCAATTAATATTTAATAGAGCTTAATTAACAATCCCCTCCTCTCCTCCTTCCACATTCTGCATTCTCCCCTATGTCTTCCTTCTCAGATCTTGGTCCAGAATGGCAATCTGGCTCACAGTATTTGGTAGGGTGGCACCTATGCACACAGACTACTTTACTCAGAAATGCACTTGCCATGGCACCAGCAGAAGGAAATTATGAGTAGAGATGAATTCCTTTCTTAAGAGCTAAGTGTCTATCTACCTGCATATCTAAGCACTGAGGGCACACACACACACACACACACACACACACACACACACACAAAACCTTAAAGGGGTCTAAATGGACACATTAACTGTTTGACATCTCCGCTTGTTTGTTTCTTGGTAGCCACGTTAAAATCTCCCTTGGCATTTGAAAGGAAATAGTGTTGGTGACTTTGCCAAACCTATGAATCACACACAGGTACAGACAGCCAGTTTTTAGAAGCAGTGTTTCTCAAATCTTTTGGGCTTGAGACCCCTTTACATTCTTAACAACTATTGAGGACTCCAAATAGCTTCTGTTTATATAGGTCATATTTATCAATATTCATAAATTTGAGACTAAAGAATTTTTTAATATTAATTCATTTAAAAGCAATAAACTGGCCGGGCGTGGTGGCTCATGCCTATAATCCCAGCACTTTGGGAGGCCGAGGTGGGCAAATCACCTGAGGTGAGGAGTCTGAGATCAGCCTGGCCAACATGGTGAAACCCTGCCTCTACTAAAAATACAAAAATTAGCCAGGCGTGGTGGCAGGCGCCTGTAACCCCAGCTACTCGGGAGGCGGAGGCAGGAGAATCACCTGAACCCAGAGGCAGAGGATGCATTGAGCCAAGATTGCCCTATTGCACTCTAGGCTGGGCGACAGAGCAAGACTCTTGTCTCAAAAAAAAAAAAAAAAAAGGGGGGCAATAAACCCATTACATTTGAACATAAATAACCCATGTCTATAAAAAATGTTTTTGAAACAAATATATTAGTGAGAAGAGTGAGTTTTACATTTTTACAAATCTTTTTAAGGTCTGACTTAAAAGAAGATGGCCAGATTCTCTTGTTTCTGCATTCAGTCTGTGACAATATTACATGAAGCCTGTGGAAAACTCCATTGTACACATTCATAAAAGACTGAGAGTAAATAAAGCAAATACCATCTTTTTTTTTTTTTTTTTTGAGACAGAGTCTCACTCTGTCACCCAGGCTGGAGTGCAGTGGCGTGATCTCAGCTCACTGCCACCTCCACCTCCTGGGCTCAAGCGATTCTCCCACCTCAGACTCCCGAGTAGCTGGGATTACAGGCATGCACCACCATGCCCGGCTAATTTTGTATTTTTAGTAGAGATGGGGTTTCACCATCTTGGCCAGGCTGGTCTTGAACTCCTGACCTCAAGTGATCCGCCCGCCTCAGCCTCCCAAAGTGCTGGGATTACAGGCATGAGTCACCGCACCCAGCCTGCAAATACCATCTTAAAATCATTATCAATATACTTTTGACCTCATAGTCTCCCTGGAAATGTTGGGGATCCCTAGACCCTATTTAAAAATTGTTACCTTAGGGGGTTTCAAAATGTTTTAAAGACATAACACAACAGGCCTGAAGTAGCTAAATTTCTCTTTTGCTTCCCCAGCCTCTACCGCTATCATTTTGGCTAATTAACTGATATATAAGCCACTGCCTACAAGTCACAGTGAAGACAAATCTGAATGCAGGCTTTCTGTTCCAGATCTTATGTACTAGTTCTTATAGTACTTTCTAGCCTAGTATATAACATAAGAAATGGTTTTTAAAAAGAACCCACTGAAACAAAGAAAAAGAACAATGAACATTTTTCCCAAGCCTCCTGAAAGCTACTTCTGACTGTCTCTGCCCCCACTGGTGCTAACCAAGGGCAGCTGGACCAGCCAAAGGGTATCAGAATGTTTCAGATAAATTTCATTCCCACTCAATAGGAATAGCTTGCCTAGACACCAACTATGGGTCTATTTTTTCTATTGTGGGCTTAAAAAAAATTTTTTTAAGCTCTGATTGAGAATTTATTTTAGTTGCTAAGAAACTAGTTTCTTATTGTAGTCAGTGAGAGTAAAGATAAAGCAGCTGTCAAAATACTGTGTTATTTTGACAGTAGCCGTATCAGAATCATAAATGATATAGTTTATCTGTATATTTTTACCCTCACTAATGGGGTCTAAATACTATATTCTCAGATATTTCATACATACACAAAGACATATACACATGCATTTTAGTAAGAAAGGCCAACACACAGTTAGCAATGAGCATTCAGGGAATGCACATGTGCATGTACACACACACACACACACACACACACACACACACACACCAACTAGCCCCCAGTTTGAAAGCTCTTTTTTTTTTTCTTCCGATTTTTGGAGTTAGGATCTCACTCTGTCACCCGGGCTAATGTGCAGTATAATCATAGCTCACTACAGCCTTGAACTCATGGGCTCAAGTGATCCTTTTGCCTCAGCCTCCCAAGTAGCTGGGACTATAGGCATGTGCCACCTTGCCCAGCTAATTTACTTTATTTTTGTAGAGACACAGTCTTACTAATGTTGCCCAGGCTGGTCTGGAACTCCTGGGCTCAAGCGATGAATATCTGCATTCATTCAAACCCTCATTCCCACATCCTCTTGATCTGTCAGATGCTGGTAATCACCATCAGACAGGGTGGATCATCTATACGGGCCTGCTTGGTCCACGGTTCTCCTAAGCCATGCACAGTGCTTTGATCAATGACAAATTCATTCTCTCCCTTTTGCTCTGCCTCCCATCCATCCATCCACTCACCCATCCAATCATCCCCCAGCTACTGTACTTCTAAAAAGTTTTTTTGTGGTCAAAGGGTCCAAGCCTTGCTAATAACAGTGGGTTAATCATGTGAAGAATTAAATCTACCAAAAATCTCCAGCAACTCCAAATCAAATACCTGAATATGGACTTTATTTCACTATTATATTGCTGATGAGTGGCATTTGGCAGAATTTGAAGGAGGAGAAAAACAAAAATGTATCATTTTCTTTCTGTGTCTATCCAGGACTGGCTATACTAAATGCTATTCATCATTACTTTCACCTATTTGTAGGGTAATAATACTTAAAACTCTATCTGAGAAATATTAAGCAGTTGTTAAAAATAATTATAAAAAGTAATAAAGTAACAGAAAATTTCTGTATTAAGTTGTAAGATGAATAAGCAAGATATATATTGTTTATGTTCCAATTTTAGCTAGCTAATATATTATATATGCAAATAGATTAAAAACTGAAAGGGGGCATTACTAAAAATGCAATGAGTTGTATATTTGAAGGGCAGGGCTATCAGCTTTTTTTTCCCTTTGTTTTCCAGACTTTCTGTAATGTTTTAATATTGTCCTGTTCATGAAGACAAGGAAGAATATCTCAAAGGGCTTTAGTTATGGTTGATTTTTTTCCTATTCTTGGTAGCTTAGAAAATTTCCCAACCAGGAGTGAGGTCTAGCTATCAATGTCAAGGTGGAAAAAATATGCCAAGAGTGGTGAGCTTGCTCTTTTTGGCTTCCTCCTACATTTCTGATCCCATCTTGGAGTGGAGAAAGATTCCTCCACCCCTCCATCACACACCACTGCTCCTGCCCCAGTGCTCACCCCATCCTAGTCCCATGCGGTTAGGGTGATATGTTCCAGTCTTCATTTGAGGTCTGATGCAATGTGTTGACCTTGCTCCTCAGCTTATCTTGAGTAAGGGATGAATGTCATGGCCATATGCTTCCCATGACCACAATTCTCATTCTCATCAGAGATCCAGGAAAGCTTCCTCTGAATTCAGCCAAACTGCAATGTGTAAACATTTCTGCTGTGAGATTTGAAACTTGCGATAGAAATTCCAAGCCAGAAGCTTCTGCAAAATATGTGAATCACAGGGAAAGAATCTGCTCTTTTCTGATTGACCCTTTTAATGACGTATTATTTAACCTTAGATGATAGAGATCACAGAGCCTGCCGTGACCTCTTCTAATGACTGTTAAGCTGACCTTAGGCAACAAAGCCGGCAGGAATCAGAATTGATTAGGAGGATTTGCTACCTCTTTCCAAAGAGGCCGGATATAGAGTTCTTATTTCCACTTAATTATCTCTTGGCCTCTGATCCACATGACTGCTTCTAGAAGCCAGCAGGAAACGTGAGGCGAGGAAAGTCAGTCGAACCTCAATGAACTGGCTCTCCACGTACCCTGGAGACACACACACCTTTTGTATTGTACAATTACTATTTATGGTGTGACATGATCTTTCTTTATCATGTACTTTTTAATAAAGGATTTGACATACACTATTAGTTTTAACACTTTGCATCTCAAATCCTGCTAGTCTGCTTGTATAATTAGCTGTGGCTTGACAAACAAAAACTCAAAAGCAAAAACACGAATGGTGCCCATACTGTTTATCACAATGGCTAAACTTGATCATTTTGGAGTAAGAATAGTGGGTACACCTCTTTTCATGAACTGCTTGGCATGCATCATTTACTTATGATGCATACTCATGATTTGTGTATAATTGGGAGGTGGATTAAAAAATGTTGCTGTTCTAATTTGTAAACCTTTATCTTCTAGCTCTCAACCTCCAATCTAAACAAAATTCTAAAGCTGTCTAGCCCCAGGATACCCTAGGGCTAGACACAATTCCTCTGTGAATGCATAGATAGCCACTACCTTGGTATCATAGTATCTCAGGTTGAGTCCTAGATTACTTAAGCATCATTAAAGTCCAGCAAATTTTTCTATGAGAGGATTATTAATTATTTTACAGTTGCTCTAACCCTGAGCCTAAGAAGAGACAGCAAGCAAAATCCTGCTTTACTCACTTTTCATGTGGAAACTGGCAAATACTTTCATTTCCAGTGTGCCCGTGGTCATTCAAGATTCAGAGAGACACAGTTACTTCCTTAAGGACACACAAAGTCAATGGCTGTTCTAACCTAAAGTCTATCTAGCAGAACACAAAATATACAGAAACATACTGTTATGTTACATCCATAACAGGCCAAGAATATAAGCATGACCAAAGTTATCTTCTGTGAATAGCTTCAGTCTACCTTTTTGTACTTTGAAATATGTATGTATATAAAATACATACATACATATGTGTGTGTGTGTATATATATATATATACATGATTCATACATATACAGATGCTAAATTTACATAAGTAGGAGAGTTACAAACATAGTACTCTCTACAGCCTAAGCCTATTTTTTTAAAAAAGATCATTCTCAAATTTACTGGTATTTCAAATTTGGAAAAAGGAACTAGCAGTATTTAGTGGTAAGAACACAAATGGTAGAGTCAGAAGATCAGAATTAGAGCTGGTACTCAGCAAATTTTGAGTTAGGTACTCTCTGGAAACTCAATCTGTTTAAGCCTCAATTCCTCACCTGCACAATAGGAACAACAATATCTCCTCAAAGATTTCTGGAGAGAATGAAATGAAAAAATGCAGTGATTTTTCAAAAGAATTTCCTGAAACATGAACTCCTTTCTTAAGATTACTAAGAAGCCCGATATGCAAAAGAGGCCCAAATGGCCCTACATCAGAAGAGTAGGATCTTGTAATAGCTCTTCTGCCAGCAACCCCATCAGCCCTACCCCATGCACTCACTGGAACCATGAGAATCCACTGGAATTCTCTGTAAAACATAGGAGATAATTCACATAAAAGCAATATAAAACTGCTTTATCAAAATGAGGGCTGATAAAAATCGAGATAAGAATAGTTTAGGAAAGGGCCAGGCGTGGTGGCTCATGGCTGTAATCCCAGCACTTTGGGAGGCTGAGGCGGGTGGATCACGAGGTCAAGAGTTCGAGAACAGCCTGGCCACATGAGGTCAAGGGTTCGAGAACAGCCTGGCCAATGTGGTAAAACCCCGTCTCTACTAAGAATACAAAACTTAGCCGGGCGTGGTGGCACATGCCTGTAATCCCAGCTACTCGAGAGGCTGAGGCAGGAGAATCACTTGAACCTGGGAGGTGGAGGTTGCAGTGAGCTGAGATCGTGCCACTACACTCCAGCCTGGGCAACAGAGCAAGACTCCATCTTGAAGAAGAAGAAGAAGAAAAAAGAATAGTTTAGGAAAAAAAGACAACTATTTACCATAGCTTTCTCAAATTACATTTACAATTTTACTACTTGTTACCACTTTTACCTATGAATTTCATGCTAAGCAACTGAGACTTGCGAGTGAGGTACTTCTTATAACTATACCCTATACAGTCTGCACTGAACCTCTTGCATGACCAAGATGCCAAACACAGGAAACATACCTCTACATACTTTGAAACTTAAAAGCTGACTTTTCTAGCTTTTCTTTGGCTGAAGGAAAATTAATTTAACACTTCATTTTGAAATACTTAGAATAGCCATTTAAAAATATACATGTACTAATGTTCTATTATAAAATAATCGTATGCCTCTCTAGGTGATGCCATGGGCCATGTGCGAGCAACAGGTCAGTGACTGTTTGATCATGATATTTACCATGTATGGAGGGGGCCAATAGGAACGATCCTCTAGAGGCACATGACTCAATGATTTAATTCTGGCTGCACTGGGAAGAGTATTTGGAGAATGGAACTCAGCAATGTCAGGTCAGTTACGTTCAGTCATGTATGCATATATGAAGGCACACAGCAGAATTAAGAGACTTTTCTGAAGGCTCTTGGAAAAGTCCTATCGCAGATGGGCTCTCAGCTCTGTTAATGTCCTTATTAGACACTTCAGAGCAGGAGTAAATTCTCTCTGGCAGAAAATGCTTAGAAGCTTTAGCCCAGCCTGTAGCTGGTTGACTAGGTTTATTACTAATTACTATTGAACTGATATTGTTGCTATTACTACTACCTTCTTTGGGTGCTTTAAATTTAGATGATGCAGCTCAATTAGAAGACCTCAAATCACTTTACACAGTTCCTGCGTTGACAAGTGGTGATGTTTAAAAGGTTCATCATTTGTGGTTCTCTGAGCACTTTCCAACATGCTATTAGAGCACTTTGGTGAAAAAATAATATTAACCCAATTTTATAAGGGTAGAAATGTAGTTATAGATAAAACTGTTATTATCTATAACAGTTATATAGATGAAATATCACTTGTATAGGGCTCCATCCTTTACAAAGGACTTTTAATACACAGTCTGCGATGATAAAGGAAAGTCCCAGGGCAGTGTTGAGAAAAGAGAGAATTCAGTAATTCTAATTTCCAGGCCATTGCTCAATCTGTGGCCCATGCTTTCCATCTATTTTTCACTATATAGTCTAAACTTCCTGCTTTGCTATTTTTCCTTGGAGAGGCAATGTGGCATAGCGGAAAAAAATATGGATTTTAATATCGGCTTTGCCACTCATTAGATATGTGGCCTTCAGCAACGTTCTGCTGCTCTCTGACTCAGTTTCCCGGTCTTTGAAAATGGGAATAGAAACAGTACTTTGCAAGTCTGTTGTAGAGAATAAAAACATTACCTTGTAAGTTTGGTGTATTACATGGCTTAGAGTCTGGCAGGTGACGGGCAATCAACCAAGACGCAATCCCTCCTTTCTCTTCCCACCCACCACCACCCCCACCACTGTCTTCTTAGATAAGATGAGAGCCCAATAGCTCAACTAAGGTTTGGGACATATATACAATTTTTGCCTATGCTGCTGAAAAAAATGTCCTCAGATTACCTACCTATCTGCTACCTCCTGATCAACAACTCTCTAAGAGCAGAGGCCACGTCTGCAGTCTTTTTTGAATTGACCCTTATGTCCCTGAGTAGACAGTGCCTATGGGAAAGTGGGGAGAAATTATTTACTGGGCAATGACTCTGTGCCAGGCACTCTTCTAGCTACTGGGGATGCAGAGGGGATCCCGCCAGATCAGGATGTTCTCCCATAGATGAGACCCTACCTCTGTCTTAAAGAGTTCTGAGAGGATCTAATGAGGCATTTGAATTTGAATTGCACTGGGTACCTATGGAGGCTACAAAAATGTTGGTATAACCATGAGTATTATTGTTGTTTCAGTTAAGAGGGGCTCTGTTCAATAATTATTTGCTCATTAGACGTATCTAAGACATTGTGGTTGGAAATTCTTTGGTAGTAAGTATGAGAAATTTTTGATATCTCAATTCAAACATAGTAAGGCAGTAAGGAACTATGGAACAGAGAAGAGAAATTCCTCCAAAGTTACAAGATTAGGCTAGAAATAAACCTAGGAAATATAATCCCCTCTTGAGTCAGACACATGATTTTGAATTTCTGACTTTCACTTCCCATCACCAAGTATGTGGGAAGAGTTTGCCTGTGTCTTCTTATATTCCTGAAATTATGCCATCACCCTCTCATGTGACCCTAGCTCCTGGTGTATCTCCTGGTGCTGCGGGACAAATGTGGAAGTGAAGTAATCAAGACTAATCAATCGTGTCCATAAGTTCCCATCAGACTTCTAGTTACCTAGCCAATATCCATTCTACCTTTCCTCCTTGGAAACAGAACTCCAGTTTATTCAAGTAATATGCCCAGGTAAATTATTACATTTCTTAGCCTCCCTCGCAGCTAGGAGTAGCCATAGGACTAAGTTCTGGATAACTGTACATATATGTAAGTGTTATACTGGAGTTTTAAGAAGGCTTCTTAAAAGAACTAACTCAGTTGAGAAGTATTCCCATTCTAGTCTTCTCCTTCCTTCCTTTTTGCCTGGAACATTGATGTGATGGGTAGAAAATCCCCTTCATAAAGGCCTTTGGCTCCCTAATGACCCACCTCTGGAATTCTATTCCATGACTTTGTTTAAGCCACCATTTTTTAATTTTATTTTAATGTGCTTGGCTGAGAGACTTAACTTTAACTGATACAGTGTTAGTAAGCTGTCTGACAAAATTTTGGATTCCCTTAGCATCAATTTTGGAAACATATATAAAAGATGATGCACCTTCTCTTAAATACCACTTAATAAATTCTAAGGGGTGCAGCATAGTGCCATGCAAAAGTGAGCACTGGAAACACATCGCTTCCAACAGCAGCAGTAGAATGTAAATTTCAAGTAATAAGATCAAACTAGTGGATCCAAGGGCTAGGAGTATTATATCCTTGAGTCCTGAGGATGCCTTATTTAAAAAGATATAAAGAAAAAAATTTAAAAAACACACAATTCAACATGTCAGAGTCAACCAAAATTCTAAGATTGCAATGAGAAAAGGAGATGAACAAAACAGGCCAATAGAGTCATTAGCAATTCTGTTATCATGGCAATACATATTACTATTATCATGGCCATCTTATTGTGTAGCCATCGACTGGGTGTTTGTACGGAAGGAATACAATAGCTAAAATACCACTACAGGCACCCCCTTTAGGCTAGCTGGGTTTCTCTGGCTTAGCCCCATCACTGTTTCTGGCCCTGTAGGAATCTTCTTCACTGGCTTACATTGCTGTTTGTCAGGAACTGACCCCATTTCAGCAGAGTGGATCGTATTATTGGAGTCAAAGCTGTATGCAAAGCCATGACATCTCTGCTCTATTATGAAGTTATTCATTACTATTTCACATTCATCTCTGTCAACCGCTCTACAGTCACTTTCAGAAGCCATGCCTCTAGCATTTTCAAGCAGCAAGCTGGCCAGGACTATTAACCTCATTCTGTAGATATTTAAATAAAAGCCCAAATTTGGTTAAATTGATCTTCATGTGGTCTTTTTTGGGTCAAGCAGCCGCTCTCCAATTTCATTTTTTAAGTCAGAGGGAGGTTAGGACAAGGTTATCTAAAAATGGACTGTTTTTATATAGCAATTTCCTTAAGTAGATACCTGAGTTCTAACGTAGATATTGGCCTCAATGTGTCTTTTATTTATGTACTTACTTTTTGGTTTAAAATGGATCTACTACTGTACTGAAAACCAAGTTTTGTGATCCTTTTTTTTGAGACAGAGTCTTACTCTGTTGTCCAGGCTGGAGTGCACTGGCATGATTTTGGCTCACTGCAACCTTTGCCTCCCAGGTTCAAGCAATTCTCCTGCCTCAGCCTCCTAAGTAGCTGGGATTACAGATGTGCATCACCATGCCTGGCTAATTTTTGTATTTTTAGTAGACATGGGGTTTTGCCATGTTGGCCAGGCTGGTCTTGAACTCCTGGCCTCAAGGGATCCAATGGCCTCGGCCTCACAAAGTGCTGGGATTACAGGCGTGAGCCACCACTCCTGGCTTTGTGATCCTTGATATTGAATACATGATGGGCCTTCCAATCCGTAAGTAATACAGATACCCTGTCATTAAAAGCCTTTGAAGGCTTGTCTTTCCCTACCTGAGATAGAATAAAATATCTACAGGTTTCCCTAATCTGCAGTTTCTCAAGAGGTAACTGCACTATGAATAAGAAAGGTTACCTTTCTTTTCAAGAATCCCTGAAAGACTGCCTTTCAATAATGGGTATTTTTTGTTTGGCTCTCCCATGAAAACTACGACTCTCAGCTTTTCTTTTTGCCCATAAATTTATATTTTTCCAGATAGAATATAGTAAGCCTAGAAATGTTAAAAAAAAAATCTACCTTAAAAAAATTAAACCATTGGCTGTTAGTTTCAGGTTTACAAGTCCCTCTTGGAATTGATGGTGACATTTTTTTCCTCTGGAAACGTAGGTGATTTTCACCCTAGTACTTCATCGGGCTTCAGTGGTTTATAAATCAAGCAACACACACACACACACACACACACACACACACACACTCACTCATACATGCTCACTCCAACCTCCTAGGATACCAGTTTCACACAGTGGTCTTCATCTAGAGATCATAAGTAAGATGATGGCCAGGGGACTTATTAAAGCACTGTTACCATTTATTAAAGCAGTGTACTGAAAAAGAAAGAAACAAAAGGTTAGCTACCTTCCCACCAGCCAACCAACAGGAATATACAGACTACTCCTGCAGTTACTTCCTTGTACAGATATTATATTTAAATGGCAGGGCCAAAAGACCATATGACCTAGTATACCATTGTTCTTGCTCTCTTGGATCTGAAATACATTTGACTTAAAAGACCTTTCTGGCTGCTTTGAGGAGGCTGCTTAACAGAAATAGCAATTTATATTCCTGAAAATCTGTCTGACATTCTTTGGAATAATGAAGGCATACATGTGAATCATATGAAAAAGGAATTTTACCAAAAAGTCCTTCTGGCCCTATGAGTCCAGAGATCTCTTCCTCATGTCCCACGAATGCTGCCTTCACTTCATGAGTCTCAAATAGCCACAAGGACTATGGGTTATATCCTTGAGTTATATCCTCGAGTTATATCCTTGAGCAACTTCTTTGCTTATGTTTTAGAAAATGTGCTTCACAATCTATACCATATCGAGGATAGGCAAAACGATTAATCCTACATAGTGCCAAGGCAGACAGGGAAAATCAATTACTAAATAAAACCTTTATTAATGCAAACATGAGCATTCACACAGACATAAATTATTAGCTCTTGTAAGATTTTCATATTTACATTTTTACTCAGGCTGCCATATTTAACAGTATTTAAAGTTCGATAATCTCCAAATCTTAATTCCACATCTAGTAACAGTTGATCAAATATCAATATCCCATGGGCAGAATAAGATCCCCTTTTCTATCTTCCCATAGAATTAAGCAAAATATCTACATTATAAAGTACTTCTTATTAAGTACTGAAAAGAGTTCAGTGTTATATATCTGTCTTCTACACCAACTGCAAGTTCCTTGAGAGCGAAGATAATGTCTATACATGTCTGGCACATAATAGATGCACATTCAATATTTTGTGAATTAATTAATGAATTCATCTTTGTATCCCAAACACCTAACACAATATCTGGCACATAATCAGGTATTCAGTAAATATACTAACTACATGTTACACAAACCCTTATCAGTGGGTTCTGAGCTTTGAGGGGTTCAGCCTACCATCACCAAAGATAGTTATGGGTTTGCTTTTTACATCAACTGGTCTCCACTCTGATATGGTGGCCTATTTGCAATACAGCTCCTTTATCCCTATTAGGGATAAAGTCTGGCTACTAGATTGTGAGTTCCCTGAAGACAGAACTGAGTCTTTTCATTTTTTTTTTATTTTTTCCATACTATAATTTAAAATGTATTTATTGCATCATATTCTTTGGCACGTATAAAGTATATGGCATCAAGTATATGGCTCAGTATGGTTTGTTGCACATCATAGTAGAGATAACTGCAACACAGGGAAACTAGATCCAAGGTGCTGGGTCTAAGAATAGGATGCTCTCTTGGCCTCTGCCAACTAGCCGTAACCTTTCATCTTCATCTCTTTCTTCCCTGTGTTCCTAGCGTTAGTTCTTCACAGGCACCTTTTATTTCCTCTTCCTACATTTAGATCAAATTCTGTTTCTTCTTCAGACATAAAATCTTGAAGGTGTAACCTATCTTGCCTACTCCTAAGTCTCTGAGGCTAGTTGCTACCATATCTTCCTACATAAAGAGACAGAGATTTTTCCATTAGGTGTATTTTCATTTTATTTTCACCCGCAAACCTCTAGTATTGGGGCCTAGAGAAAATGAACCCTAGCATTAAAATATAAAATGTTAATCGAAGAGTTCAACGTAGCCTTACTTTGTCTGAAAAGAGTTCTCAGACAAATGAACACTAATGTGTAAGGAGATAATATACATACACACACACACACACACACACACACACACACACACATGCACAACCACTTCATGAACCCTGCAGCAGGAACCGTGTCCAATCCCAGAAAAAGAGACGGCACTGTGCTGCTTAAATGAAAAGGAAGAAAAAAGGCAAGGGGGAAAAAGTATAATCATCTAAACTTTTAAAGACAGCAATTTAAGCAAATTGCCATATCTGCTTTTAGAAATGAAAGGGGAAGAAAAATGCTCATTTCTTTTGAAGTAAAATTGCGTAGGTCAATGGCTGTGACAATCCTCTCAATAACCACTAACAAAAGACCAGTTTGGGTGGTTAGGGAAGCCGCTCAATAGCAGGTATTCATTGAATCTTGGAATAATTTCGCTTACCACAAGCTGTGAGAGAGAACCAAGCCCTGTGTAGAACACAGCCTGCTAGGTAACACATCAGCAGCCGAGGTGGAAAAATAAAACCCACAACCACGTATTTCTTGAGCTTTATCGCATGATTATTTACTCAAAGGTAGGGAGCTGAATGTGGAGCCCATTTTAGGCAAATGAACAGAAACACATATACTGGATCGCAGGCGAGTGTACGTCTATGATTGGTTTGCGCCAGGGGAATCCTTATGTGTTATTTAAGATATTTTATTTTAGATGAGAGAGTGGTAGTTTTCTGGACTACAGCTTCTGGAAACTAGGTTCGCTTACTCAAGAATGTACTGAACACACAGGGTACATGGAGCCCAGTAACTATTCCCCAATTTTGAACCTATACCAAAACATATCATGAAATAAGCCATCACACCAACTAGAAACAACTAAATAGTTACAAAAATACTGTCTACAATATAATTTACATAAATAATAGTGGAAGAAATGAGAAGTAAGGATGAGTTACTTAGGGAAGGTTTCTTGGAAAAGGTGTGGCCCAAGTAGGATGTTAGAGAAACTGTGACATGTAACCTCGCAAAGTAGTTTTCTGTTGTTTTAAAATAACTGCACAATTTAACTAGGTTGACTAATGATTAATTTGAACTATGCATCTGAGCATGGACAGCTTTATAGTGCACAGGAAGCCTATATATCAGCCATGCCTACTTCTATCACTATCTGTAATACCTCATTTAATTTGTCCTGTATGGAAAAGATGATATGGTCTCCTTCCAGAAGGGGTTAGAGGCATAACCACTGTGGAAAATGGTGTGGTTGTTTCTTATGAAATTAAATATATTGCAGGATGTGGTGGCTCATGCCTATAATGTGGCACTTTGGGAGAATTGCATGAGGTCTGGGGTTTGAGACCAGCCTGGGCAACATGGTGAGATCCCATCTCTAGAAAAAAATTGAAAATAAAAATCAGCCAGGTATAGTGGCACATGCCTATAATCCTATCTACTTGGGAGGCTGAGGCAGCAGTATAGCTTGAGCCCAGGATTTTGAGACTACAGTGAGCTAGAGGATTGTATCACTGCACTCCAGCCTGAGAGACCCTGTCTCCAAATAGAGAGAGAGTTACCGTATGACTTGGGAATACAAGTCCTAGATATTTATCTAAGAGAAGTGAAAATATATGCCACACACAGATTTGCACACAAATGTTCACAGTAGCTTTATTCTTAAGAACCCCAAACTGTAAATGATCCAAATGTTCATCAATGGATGAACGAAGAAACACATTGTGGTCTATTCCCACAATAAAATACTACTCAGAAACAACAAACTATTAAGCCAAGCAACAATGTAGATACATCTCAAAGCATTATTTTTAGATTACACATGAAAAGCCATATATATATATATGAAGCATGACACAACTATATTCCATATAATTTCATTTAAAGAATGAAATTCTAGAAGAGCTTATAAATAGCAACAGAAAGCAGATCAGTGGGTGCCAGGCACCGGTTGGGGGGAGGTGGGGAAGGTTGACTGTAAAGGGGCATGAGGAGACCTTTCGGTGTGATGGGAATGCTCTTGTCTTTATTGGGATTGTGACTGGAGAGAGGAAAACATATATTTGTCAAAACTCAGGCCAGGTACAGTGGCTCACGCCTGTAATCCCAGCACTTTGGGAGGCCAAGGCGGGCAGATCACCTGAGGCCGGGAGTTCGAGATCAGCCTGGCCAACATGGTGAAACCCTGTCTCTACTAAAGATACAAAAATCAGTTGGGCATGGTGGTGTGCACCTGTAGTCCCAGCTATTCAGGAGGCTGAGGCAGGCGAATCTCTTGAACCCGGAAGGCAGAGGCTGCAGTGAGCTGAGATCATGCCACTGCACTCCAGCCTGGGTGACAGAGACTCTGTCTCAAAAAAAAACAAAAAAAAAGGAAAGAAAAAAACAAGTAAAATAAAATAAAAATGTTTATCAAAACTCATCAAACTGTATACTTAAAATTGGTGAATTATTTATGTGAATTATACCTCATTGATCAAAAATAAAAACAATGGATATCAATACTGAAAAACTCTGATATATTTATATATTTTTCTAATTTCATCCTAATTTAGTTTTTTATTTAGACGACTTATCCAGTACATCTCTAGACACTACTAACGTGATGTGTGCCAATCTAACTGAAAATAAATGACCATTCGAAGAACTAAAAAGCTTGTCAGTCCATGGCCTGTACTTGGAGCTTTTCTGGTGGAGTTCCGCCATCAGGTGCTGAGAAAATGGGCGGACTTCTCAGGACTGCTAAAAGTCAAGGCAAGAAGATGCTCAGGCACCACTGTTTGGTGGAATCCACTTAGACACACACCTTTCTTGTCTCCTTGGGTCTCTGTCAACGGCACTGAATCCTATCTCATCTCATAATCCCTCTTGAATACCTATAGAAAGGACTACTTGTGAGCTGAAAATCAAAGGCATATTCACATGTTATCTATTTTTTGGCTCCACCATATTCCCACTCTCCTTTCTTTTAATAGAGTGAAACTCTAGCCTTCATTTAAAGAAGGACTAGAAGTAAACTAGACAATAAGAAACACAGTACTCTCACTAGCTCTTCTCTACTTGATTCTCCCTCTGATTTTTATGCATGTTCTCTCTCCTTCCCCCTTTCTTTCCATCCTGTTTTGCTGGCTTTCTTTCCTACATCTCTCTCCTCCATCTGTCCATCTTGTCTGCCTCATATTTGCTTCACAATTATTCTTCTGACTTTTGGTGCATTTCCTGACTTCTGCCTTTGTTAAAATCTATGTATTTTCTGGAGGATAATGTATATGTCATTGTTCCTTCTGTGGCTTTTTCCCTTTTCTTTATTCAAATAACAGAGGAATGAATTTTTCTCAGAGAAAAGAAGGAAGATGAAAGGAGGAATTAGGTTGAGACGAGAGAGCGTGGAATGAGAGAGGAAGGTGTCAATTAAAAAAATGAACCCCACTGCATCCCCCTCTTGACAGGTGGGGTGAGTGGAGCTGACAGCCGTCGCATTAGCTGGCTTTGGTGGAACCCTCATGCCTTGTGGTTCCCCCGAGCTCAAAAAGAGTGATTCCAGGGCCAGCGGACACACTCACACATTTTTACTTGGTGTTCCAATGCCTCCCCCGCAGCTATTTCTAATAATGGTAATTATAATGATTTGAGGCTTAAGCAGGGCAATTCCGGCCTGAAGGCAGATTGTAATGAAGTAGTCAGGGTGAAGGGAGGGGAGAGGGGCTGCAGTGGGAAGAGGCTGGATGGGGCACTTTCAGGCCTTCAATAGCTTTGTCTAGTCAAGTGCAACCAGGATGGCCTCATCTTTTGAGCCCAACGTTTTGACTTGCAGGATATTCAGAAGCCAGTTTCTGCTGGAGATGGAGGATTGCTCACATCCATAGACAAGCCACAATGACTCCTGAGCAAACAAACTGCTTGCTCTTTGTGCCGGCAGCCTGTGGCCTGTAGTGGCTACTGCTCTCTCAGCTATGGCTTGAATCACATGCCTCATGCTTTGTCCAGCCCCTCCCTGTTCCCTCACCATAGATAATACTGTCTTAAGAGCCTTGGCCAGAATCCAATTACTGCTGATATACATCTTCTCTTGACTCCAAATGACTCTTTCTGCCATTGAAGGATACCCCGGAATGTTGAAAACTTGTCCTGATTGCAGAGTTAATGGTCATGTGGTCCTCAGCACTGACGGAATGGCCTTAGGGGGAGCCTTGATGGGTCTCTCTAGTCATCAGTGTTACCCCACCTCTCCCGCTCTGCCCTTATTAAAGCCATTCGTTCTGAAAGCTAAATGAATATGTTTCATCTTCAAATGCTGGAAAACAATAGCAGGCAGCTAGCGATCTGTATAGAACAATGCTAGCTTAATCACTACTATTCTCTTTCCTTCTCCCTCTTTCTCTCTCAATTGCTCTCTTTTCAGCTTTGTTCCCACTATCATCAATGAGGCCTTTATATACAACTCCCTGATTCTGTACTCATGGAGCACATACATGTAGGCACAGACCAATACCAATCTATACTTACATTAAATCTGCGACAGCAAAAACATACATGTTTTATAGACGCATAATACATATAACTTAATCTCATATATAAATTATGCATATCTAGGGATATTTATTTTGGCCCTTTCTAAGCAGTCAATACATTCTTACAATGCCAAGTGTAATGGATACTTCTATCTAAACAGTTCATTTTACAAAAGCAAGATTTTTTCAAATAATTGTGGTGATAAAAGTATGAATACATTTACATTATCAATGCATTATAGATGAGCTAAAACTATAGAGCACTATAGCTTACGCAGTATAGTGTAAATAACTGCATAATACCTATAATCAAGCAAATTAAGCATTTACATTAAATTTTAGCTGGAGATGTATATTTTTGAAAGTGCATTATAGAAGCATTTGGAGTATTCTTTGTTTCCCTTTTCATCTTATCTATCCAGCTTGGAAAATAATAAGTCATAATATTATCTCTTTATTCCATACTTCTTTACTTCAGAGATATTCCTAAAGTAATAGCAGAAAGTTAGTGTATGAATATTCCCTCTCCAGATCACAGTACCATCATATAAAATTTCATCTTTCTATTCCTCCCCCCTTGCATGCTGTCCAGGCACTTAAGTAAATATAACGACAAGAGAAACAACTGTTCAATATATCAAACAATAATTTTTACTCATTGTAATGCTGTATTATTAATTTTATCATAGTGTATATAATTCATCACCACAGAAAATTTAATACCATATTATCCTCAGGGCCTATACTATGTGTGACATACAGCAGGCACTCCATACATGTTTGTTAAGTAAACCATTTATATCCATTTCATATATGGGGCAAAGAGTACTCAATCCATAACTTTATGAGTTAGAACTTGGTGAGTAATGGCAAGCACACTATCTGATGGCTTGCAAAACAAAAATCACTTTCAGGGAGAAATTCAAATTGTGAATTAATTATTCAGACAAGAAATAATAGGTTGTAGCTGACTAATTTAGTATTGTAGTTTTTATATTTTCTGTATTTTAAAAATGCAAATGAGTTATTCACAGAAGTTGATTCGGGTTCATTGTATACAAGAAATGCTTCCTTCAAGCCATTACTGGGAATCTGAATGTTCAGTAACATACTGCTTACAACTAAATTCTTGGAGAAAATGAGAAAGGAGATAACTCCAAAGTACATAGTGGTAGGATCCAACGTATTTGAAATGTATGTAAAGTGCACACCCACTGAAATCACATGCATTCAAATGTCCATTAAAATCACAGTCAGCAAACATGTAGTGAAAAATACAGAGCACACATACAAAATGAATCCACACTTACACAACATAGCAATATTTGGTACGTAAATATGTGCATGCATACGCCAAAGCCCAGCAATCCATTTGCTAATTAGTCAACCACAGAAAAAAATTAGTAGAACATTTCTGCCGATTCAGCAAACACAAAAGGGTCTGTTTAAAAAACAAATAGTTTAATTGCATAAAAGTTGTTTTCTTTTAGTCGGTCAAGTTTAGCATAAGATATAAAATGATTTAATGCAACAGAAAAAATCTTATAATTAATTCAAATATAAGACTGTTAAACATTTTTATTAAAAATTTTAATTGGATATATTAAAAACTTAATTTCCCTGTTTCCTTAGTCCCAAATTAAGGTTTCCTTTACACTTGAGCTTTATCATCTAGTCAATATGAAGATAGCCTTACTTATGTGCAAACAGGTAAACAGGTTTTAGTATATAGAACAAAAACATACTACATAGTATACCCAGTATTCCTTTTATGTACCATCAATGTACTGTTTGAATTTTGCTATTCAAACCTCCTTTGGGCCTCCTTTGAAACAGTATAGTCCTATGATTTTTTTAAAATGTCACAAAGACCTGTCTCATACCCAGCAGATAAATCCTCCTGTGCAAGGGTGAAAGCGACACAGGAAATAAGGCCCTATGTACCCTTGGTGGTTCACAGAGATGCACAGGACCCAAGGTTCCATGGTCCATCAAGCAGGAGGGACCCATTGTGTTGATAATGGCATTCTGTCCTTGTGGGATACAACAATGAATGAGTCACAAGGTCCGACATCAAGAAGTTCTCAGTCTAGTGGGTGAGTCACAAACACCCTGAGAGTGATGGGATCCCTCAACAAGAATGTAGAATGAGATCCATGCAGAGCCAGTCTGAAGTCAGAACTCAACAGAAACATCAATATCTCAGAACCTGGTGAGAAAAGATGCCCAATAGGGAGAATAAAAATACCGAGGATTACAGAGGTCAAGGGAGTAGAGCTTCTGAGAAGTCATGAAGTATCAAATACTGCTAAGAAAGAGGCTCAATAAGATCAAGACTGAAAAATATACATTGCATTAAGCAACTGTGGAGTCCTGGTGACACTGACTAGAAAAAAATATCAGTCAAAGATGGAGACAAAGGAAGACCAAAGTGGGTTGAGGAAGTGTAGATTTCTGTCTTTGAGAATTCAGACGACATAAAAAAGAGAAAGACTGTATATAGCTAAGAAAGATCCAGTCAAGGGAAGGTTTCTGTAATTTCTGTAGGTTCTCTAGGTTGGAAGAGAATGTCTGTCGGCTACAGAGAAGGAAACATCAAAGGGCATGACAGATAAGACAGGAGGCTGGTATGAGGTGTACAGGTAGAGGAATCATCTTTATGCAGAACAGAGAGATTCTTACTGAGAAAGGAGAAAAGAAAAAAAGTGTATTAGGTTGGTGCGAAAGTAATTACGGTCTTTGCCATTAAAAGTAATGGAAAGACCTCAATTACTTTTGCACCAACCTAATAGATACATTTGAAGAAAATGTACAGGGAGATTGAGAAAGTTCAAGATTAAAGGATTCCACTTCCTCCATGAACTAGAAGGCAATGTCATCTGCTAGAAGGAGATTGATTTCAAGAATTAAGGAAAGGGGAACATTTTTAATAGTCCTACAGTCACTAATTTCTCTAGAAAAAGTGAAAACATTAACTGGCAAAACTGAGAATCCATGTGAAGTTGGGGAACAGGTATTTGGGGTGGCACTAATCCTCATATTTGTAGAATTAGGTACACGCAGTATGAGTAACCATCCTTTTATCAATTCCTTACTTCAAAAATAAGACCATGTTTTAAAAAGAGAAGTTTATTTCTGTTCCAATTACCTGTGGTGAACATCTCCCATACCTCAGCACCAACACAGAATGTTGGCTTCACTAGCTCACAAAGCCAACAGTGTAGCACCAGAGAAAGAATAAAAGACTGGCTTCCACACTTGCTGGGAAAGGCTGGTG
Source organism: Homo sapiens (assembly GCF_000001405.40). Taxonomy (NCBI): domain Eukaryota; kingdom Metazoa; phylum Chordata; class Mammalia; order Primates; family Hominidae; genus Homo; species Homo sapiens. The sequence continues at coordinate 164,732,066 of NC_000001.11, read as the reverse complement.
CTTCGTGCATCACTGTCCAGGTTGTCCGGGCCCTCTCCCCAACATTGTCCCTGTTCTTCTGGCTGCCCACTGTGTAGGAAAGTGCCTGGTAGTTGACGCACTATGAGGGCCTGAGCACTGACCCCTCTCCCACCTTTGAACTCCCATCCCACTGGTGATGCTGGAAGGTCAGGAAGCTTCGTGGCAGCAGGGGCCCAGGCGATACATAGAGACCTGCAGAGCTCACACAGGCCGCCGAGCTCATGCTCACTTCTGTGGCAGACTTCATAAGGCTCTGCTCTTTGACTGGCGTTGAGTTTATGTGAAAGTAATTAACAGTAATTAATCCTTAATTACAGTAATTAGCCAAGTCGCAGTAAATTAAACCACATCTGGAGCAGATGAGGGCTTTCGAATGGGAGGCAAAGAGAGGCGACAATCGGGGAGATGCTGAATTCATCTGACAGCATCTGATTAAGTCTACCTGTTGCTGGCAGCCTCATTTGCATGTTGTTTTTGTTTGCATTTCCCAGTAACCCTTTCAACGGCATTCACAGTGTGGACCTCTTGGTCCCTGCTTAAATACCAGTTAGGCAGCCCTGCTGCCACAATATGAGGGAGTCCCTTCATATCCAGCAGGGTGGTTGGGTTTGCCCGGGCTTTATTTATGTTTCCCCCGCTCCCTTCTAACAAACAAAAATATAAATAGCAGGGACCTCATCAAGTGACAGGCTGAAATCAGAAGAGAAGCCAAGAGAGTTTTTTTTTTTTTTTTGGCTGATGAAAGGAGAAGATGATATGAGCCATTAACATGTCTGATGGGAGTAGGGAAGCAGAGGGTAGGAAAATGGCAAAAGATACTTGCAAAAATAGGTCAAGTAGGTCATCCTCTTATGGAGAAGTCCCTAGAGCCTACAGAGAGGGAGTCCAGCCTGCAGTAGACCTGTTGCCCATATGTCAGAAACACAGATACAAGTGTGCACATGCATGCATGCGCGTGCGCCCATACACACACACACACATAAACACGGAAAGCAATCGCAAAAAACACTGGAGTCCTCCATTTTTCTGACCTTATTCTGATGAATGCTACCCCTCTATGCATTATGTTTTTGCACATTAAACAACAAAACACATGCACATGAAAGAAAATGTAAACATGCAGTAAAATATAGTGATAAAAATAAAAACTACCCAAAATGCCACCATCTACAGATGGGTGATGGCAAATCTTAAAAAGACAAAAAATATGGCAAAATACTGTAAAAGAATAATTATTCTAGTTGCTTCTTTAGCACCAAGGGGACAGAGCTGACTGAGTTCTTTTGACTTTGTGTCCTGTCTCTGCTCTGGTCTTGATTAAACTTACGCAAAGCAGTACTTTTCCTGGGTTGTGAATCTTGGAGGTTGCCCTGTCAGACTGGTGAGATCCCAGTTTAGCTGTGCTAGCTAAAGCAAGGAGAACAGAGAGAGCCATAGATACTTTTGCTTAGTAAAATCTTTCTTTGAGGGTAGGGACTGGAGTATGGAACCTTTTCAGAGGAATGAGAGGGGCTTGTGACGAAAGGGTAGAGGAGGGAATACCTCCCTGCAAAATCTTACACAACTAACTAATGTCATAAGGCCGAGGATGAGAAAGTAGCACTTAACTGTTTCATCCTCATCACACATAAAGCATTCCAAAGACCCATATCTCCTACTACTGAGGTGTGTGCTGGACAGGTCAAGACATCCATATGACTGGCTTCTGGGCACACAGCAGCATCACCAGGCCACAGATAAGGCAGGAGCTTCAGGTAACTGATCTGCACCAGTCTATTGCAATCTCTTTCCCCAACAATGCCACCAACTCTGGGACTAACTGTTGATGGCTGTATTCTTGGAATAGGGCAGAACTAATTGACAAGAAGTGGATTCACTAACTCCATGCTCTAACCAGCTGATCCACCTGCCATCCCTAACTTCCATTGCCTTCTGCTACTCTCACAGTGATTTATGGTGGCCTTCAGATATCCTGAAGCCCTCCAGGGTTTACCCCAACAATAAATGGCTCTGCTGTTTACCAGCTATATAACACTGGGGCAGGTTTAGAAACTAAGTCTGTTTCTAAATATTTGAAGTGGGATAAAATGGAATCAACATCATCAAATTATTGGGAAGATTAAATGAGACAACGAATGTACAATGCTTGCCACAGTGCCTGATGCAGAGGAAATATTCAGTAATATTTACTTATTATATTAATTATTGTTATAATGATTTTTATTATCTGTCTTTTGCTTATTATACTTATACTGAGAAGCAGTACAGTGTACTGATCAAAAGCACAGACTTTTGAGTCAGACTGCCTGCCTAGGTTGATTAAATATGCCACTTATAAGCTGTGTGACCTTCAGCAAGTTGCCTAACCTCTCTAGGACTCAGGTTCTTCTTAACTGTAAAAGAGAGATAATAATATACCTACCATATCTACTTCTTTCAAAAGGTTAAATAAACTGCCTGAAACATGTTGAGAATAGAACAAAGCATATACCTGTAGTAAATGCCAAATAAGTGCTTCCTATTAGTTACATGTATGTATATGTCTATATTATGTATATATACATATTTACACAACATCTTTGAAATCTTGATATCCATATTAAAAGTTTGTGTTAATTTGCATAAATAAATTCTTACAAAATGTTTTTGGATGATAAAGATAAGGAAAAAAAGGAAGGAAAAAAAGAAGCACAAGGATAAATAGCAGAAGGTAATTCAGTAAGCAGAATCTGTCCATTTCATAGTGAGCAGATCTCTCAATAGGTTATCATTTAGGGAAAACTCACTTCATATCAATAAAGAGGCTCAATTTGATGCAGGCAGTCTAAGATTAATTTCCTACTCACTGTAAGAATTCAACCACATATTTTTATTTTTTACTTTTTTAAACCTCTGAGGTTAGTTACCAAGTATTCCTGGATGCTGCCTTGAAAATTCTGCTTGAAAATGCTTGTCAACCACCTTTATTCAGATGTCCTACAAAATGTACTGAAAAGAGAAGTGGCTATTGCAAGTTGAACAGAGAAGAGTATAAACGCCTAACACAATGCTGAGGAGCCTACCAGCAGTAACCCTACAATTATCTTGTGGTTTCCTAGAAGTTATAATGAGCTGGCCCACTTGGCGTATCAAATTCCTCCTGACTGGTTTTGTAGTTCTCACCCATGCAGAGACACAGCTCTATGAAGAAAAATAACAGGCCATTTAAACTGAAATATGTTGCGGTGGGTGGGGAGAATATCGGGAAAGAGATGCATCCTGCAGTTAAAAATTACTCAACCGGTGTTATAAAGTTAAAAACCAGAGGCCCTGAATAAAAAAATTTTTATATACGCATTTTTGGGAAAATAATTCTTTGGCTGAGAAAGCTTCCCTCCTTCTGTTGAATGAAGTATGTTTAGTTAACATTAATGCCCATATTTTCTGCATTTCTTCCAATTTCATTATTCTGGCCTTGTCTAAATCAAAATACATTATAATTCTGAATAATGGGCTATCTGCTGCCTGTGGGGAAATGTTATAATGATAATAAATAATTTCTGAAAATTATGAATTACTTCTATCCTTTTGGAAAACAAGCAAATTATTGGTTTGCACAGGAAATGGGAGCACATTTGTGCAGAACCTTTTCAACACTTGTGGGCTTCTTGCTCACTTCTCCAAGAAGCAAGGCCTAAAATGGTTCACCAATCTATTTCTCTCTCTCTCTCTCTCTTTTTTTTTTTTTGTTAAGACAAGATCTCCTTTGTCACCCAAGCTGGAGTGTAGTGGCGCGATCATGGCTCATTGCAGCCTCGGTCTCCCAGGCTCAAGCAATCCTTCCACCTCAGCCTCCAGACTAGCTGGAACTACAGGCACATATCACCAAGCCTGGCTAATTTTTTAATTAAGACAGGGTCTACTATGTGGCCCAGGCTGGTCTTGAACTCCTGGACTCAAGCAATTCTCCCACTCTGGCCTCCCAAAGTGATAGGATTACAGGCATGAGCCACCACGCCCAGCCTGGCTCACCTCTCTTAACTATAACCATACCAAATGAAGAATGAATAGGAAGGCGCTATCTCCACTTTTTGTTCATTTGTTTCTTTTCTCATATCCTCTGCAGATGACGAAGGGAGCACACAAATGTAGACAAGTCACACTAAAACATCAATGAGGTTAAGAACCTCCCACTCAGACCAGGGATAGATAACTTTTCACAAGTACTTCCTACAGGTTGGGAGAGGGGAGTACTGACTGCTGATCTGGAGGCTGGGACAAAGACTTCTGGTGCACAAGCAAAAAGAAGCCTTATATACCATTTACCTGTATCCAAATTTCCAGCAGCCAACGATGGCGAAGAGCCTCATAGCAGATGTGGCAGTGGCCGCCACTTCCCATGACAAAGGGAGGTAGGCATGATTCATCTCTAGTGCATGGGGACGGTTGCCTTTTGCCCCAAATCAACTCAAGACCCCTTTCCACCATATGTCTGTATGTAACTCTAAATGCATCTCTAAGACTTAAGAATAAAAAGCCACTGCTACCTGGCAAGTGGATGAGGCAAAAGAGAAGACATACCCCAAAGAACTATAGCACTCTGCTCCAAATTACAGAACTTTCTAAACTATGTTAGTACTTACAAACTGTTAAAATCTCCTGTATAAGAATTACATTCCTCTGAATTATAACCTGATTTAGTTTTATTAATGTGACACAGTGAATGGTAAATAGAACTACTTAGGCATAATCCCTGTCTTCTAGAATCTTACAATCAAAAACAACAGAATTGTAGAGATTTTCTTAGATCATAAGGCAGATATTAAGGGCACACATTAAATGAATACATAAATTAAGTAAGTTAATTACTGAATTTCATTACATGTTCATTATGAGCATGCCAAGGGGTGAATGCAATAACTCAGGAGATGCTAAAGGGTCAACATCTTCATCCCTAGGGGTGTGTAACTTAATAAAAGACAAAGCTTGGTGTTGAGCTCCAGCAAAACCGTAACACCATATTGCACTGCTCAAGCATCTCACCAAAATGAAGTGATCAAAAATAGTAGCTGAGGGAACACAGAAAACCAAAGCGAAGGTTTCTTCCTGCATTATGGAAGCATAAGTGAATCTCTTGGGGGTAAAAACAGCACTAAGACAAAAGCTGAGCCCCAATTCTGCCTCCACATGAAGGGATTCTGACAATGCCATTTCGCCTAGAAGTGCCTCTGGAACCTCGATGTTCCAGACGGGCCTCTAGATCCCCTAGATGTGCTTGAAGAACTCTTTTTTGAAGAACTGTAAAATTGTTTCACAGTGTGAGGTACAGAGCTGCTTTTACTAGTAAAACATTATTTTGTCATTATAGGTTATAGGAAATACTTATCTTCCCAGAAGACTTTCTAAAGACCATTTTATACTCCATAGACCTCTATTTTATACTCAATAGATGTCAAGCGTAGTGCTAATTCAATGTGGTAAGTGGCTATGCTTACAATTTTATAAAATTCCCTGATGTGGCTTTAGCATGAATCTATTTATATCCCAGATGTGACCAGGATGTTTTGGTTAATTCATTGGTTCCAGCCATATTTATGGCTGAATGCCACATGATTGAGTAAACAGATCACGTGGCAATCTTTGCTAATCACTGTTTGCATGGCTAAAATAACTGGGCCAGCAGGGTCATTGTCTAGCTATTCAAGTAATGTACAAGTAGACTTAGGAATCATCATCCTCATCCTGTCCCATTTTCTCTACACTAAACCCATGGCAGGGAAAGACCATAGTCTCTGTAAATTTTAATCAATGTATTTGAATCAAAAGATTCTGTTCCTGGAGGAGGCAACCGTGGGTTGACCAAAACGTTTGTATGCAAAAAGAAAATGCTCACAGGTAAACACTGGGCACAAACTCTGATCATTCCACTATAGCTACAAATTATTTTTAATTTTGTTAAAAACAGATTAAGCTTTTAAGGTTAAAATGGTTATAGAAGAAACCAGGCAGTATAACACTTTTCCAGTAAGATAACATCTAATTCACCCAGGGCAGTCAGAAACTTTCAGTTGAACACAAGAGAAGAAAATTCCAGAAGCTCTAAGGTGGTTAAATTTCATTTCCAAATCCTGGGGTCATCGAAGACTCCATGTACCAACTGAAAAATAAGACAACCAATCCCATCATGGTGCCAACCACTCTAGTTGTCTTGGGCAAGTCACTTATTTATCCATCTTGGCTTTCTTGCTCAAAAATGATGGATAGCTACACCTCACAGTGAGGATTCAGTCATGTAAGCAAAGTGCCTTGAAGACAGGAAGCCAGACATTATAGGAGCATAATTTTTGCCCTGAAATGCATTTGGTATGGGTTGGGCATCAGATGTTTCTGATTTGTGAATTAGTCTGAGAATGTTAGACATGCAATGGTTTAAGGATTGCTAGGAGCAAAACAGAACCATGTTGTGTGTTTATGGGTAATCAGCCAGTTTGGCAAACCACCAGTGGCTGAAACTTGTACGGAAGCAGAAAGGCGTTAGAGAAGATAAGGCCATGCAAGCAGAAGCAAGTTAGGGGAAGCACGCAGATCAAGAGAGGAGCAAAGAGAGCTGATGTGCAGAACATGGTTACACGGGAGGCCCTTGAATCCTAAGGAGGTATCCCACTGGTACAACTTCCTCCTAGCGTTTCTGGTTAACTATGTGAACACACAGGCAGACAGATCAAGCCGCTATGTGAGGGACAAATAAACATACTGAAGACCTAAAAATGTGAAGTCAGCTGAGCCTCAATTCAATCCAAACCTTTGGGGGCTTATGCACCATTAGTCTGTATCATGGCCTCCAGTCATTTGTCCCTCTAGAACAGGAACTCTGAAAGGCCTGACAAAGAAGAATGGACAATCACAGATGCTGGTTTTGCCTTCTCATTCCCTGCAAGTCTACTGGATGCAGGAAGGGGGTGGGGGGTTCAAGCTGCCTGCTTAGGAGCTTAAACATGACAAGGATTTTCTAATGAAAAGCTAACCCAGAGATTCCTCTTTTTCCTATGATACCACAGCATCCATCATTCAAAAACCGAAAAAGGACCCACCTGTATAGGCATCTTTAAAAAGACAATAAAGGGATCCGAGCAATTGTCTGCAGAGTACATTGTAAAACACTCCGCAAGTTATGTAAACAGCCTGGATGTTACACTGCCTCTCACACCTGGAGAGGCAACAAAGATGAATGCTGCATATTTGCCTGAAAGAGGAATACAAGAAAGGAAGAGTGGTTTAGAAATTGCAGACCATTCCCCATTTTAATGAGGCACTTGAGTTGCTTTCCCCTCATTTTGTTGCTACTAGAATGGGCACTAAAAAAAAAAAAAAAAAAAAAAAAAAAAAAAAAAAAAAATCTGCAGCTATTGCAATGGGCATCTGTGAAGAAAAATAAGATATTAGACATGAAACATATCATTAACACTGTCTAGACGCAAGCTTGTCCAACTGTGGCCCATGAGCCACATGCGGCCCAGACCAGCTTTGAATGTGGCCCAACACAAACTTACAAACTTTCTTAAACCATTATAAGATTTTTTTGTGATTTTCTTTTACCTCATCAGCTATTGTTAGTGTTAGTGTATTTTTATATGTGGCACAAGACAATTCATCTTCTTCCATTGTGGCCCAGGGAAGCCAAAAGAGTGGCCAAGGGAAGCCTGGCTAGAGAAGTCATTTGTATTTTCTGTTTGTATGACATACATATATGAGAGAGGGAGAAAGAGAAAGAGCACTTACGGGTGAGAAATCCATGGGCCTGGAAGCTCAGTAGAGTTCCTGAATGTTTGGATTTGACTTACGACCTTTTGAACTGCAGAAGCAACGGTTCTGATGGCACGTTCTGCAGGACCTCCATGCAACAAAGACTTGTAACCCAGTATCACATTTTCTGTTCAAACAACATTCTTTTGGGGCCAGGGAAGGGTAAATCAAAATCAATTAAAATGCTTTTGAACTTCTAAGAAAGTCATTCCAGGTTTTAGTTGAAAGAACCTTGTTTCTGGTAAGCATACGTGTTCAGGTAGACCCACAGACTACCCCTAACCTGCATGCAGATTATATTATTTGGAAATAGAAGCTGAGTTCAGTAAACACTCCCCACACTTCAGCTCCTTCCAGGCTGTGGGCTCTGGCCCTTCTTCTCATCTGCACAGTTCAAATTAATTATACACTTTAATTTCATGAATTATTAATTTGATTCTGACTCGGCAGCTTATGATTATCCAGCGCTACAGACTATACAATTCCAGCTTCATTAAAACATCACCAGCTGCCTGAGAGACAGACATTAAATAGGGGAGAGCAATAATAAAATTAAGCTTCCGGCGCATAGCAACAGAGTCTTCCTCAGTCACAGGCAGTGCAGGGCTCTGCCGCCTGGCTGGCCCAGGCAGAAAGGAAAACGTCCTTTTAGACAAGTCCACGCCCCTTCTCTGAATGTGTTTCTTGGCCTTCCACCATGCACACAACCTCAGATGGTCAGATGGCATGACTGAGGGTTTGTATATTCATCTATCTATCTCTCCCTGCAACCCCTTTCATATGCCCGCCACCCCTGCTCGTCCAACATTAATTCTTTGATGACTGCCAATGCTCCAAGCACATCCAGTCTGGCCACCTCCCAGTGTTTGCGAGACTGCCAGCTTCTGGGAAGGGTTCACAACTGCTGACAGCTTAGCAGGTAGAGTGGAGCATAAGCCTCTAAAGAGTTAGCCCAAGAAACTCCTCTGCACTGTGCCTCTCTTCCCTCTCTTTGGCTTCTTGGTTTAAGAAGCAGTAGTCTGGTGCCAGGAAAGGGATTGGGTTTTAGTAGGAGTGTCCAATATGTCCAGTATATTACTTCACTATTTGGGGGTGACAGATGCATAATGCCCAATCTGGGTACATGTACAATCTGGTACATGATAGGTGCTCAATCAGTACAAGTTCCCTTACACCATCCTCGCATTTATAAAATGAGAGCATTGAGCTCCTAATCTCTAAAGCTCCTTTCCATGCTGATTTCTGAACCTCTGTATAGAAAGTTCACCATTTCTGCAAACCATATGACCCTAAGATACATCTGATGACTCTCCCCCAGAAATTCCATGCTTACTGTTAACAGGGAGTACTAAAAAATCATACATGTATAACTCAACAAGATCACGGCTATAAGGTTTGGAAGAATCCTCTTGGAAATCACCCTGGGCAGTTGCTCTTCAAAAAGGAGTCCTGAGCAGTGCTTCTGCACCCTTTGTGAAGTTCATACCCTTCTTCAAAGGGTTCAAGAAATCACTGGTTGCTAAGGCATGGTCTTAGTTGGATAAGCATCATGAAAGTAAGTGACAAAGAAGAAAAATGACCAAAACAAAGAAAAGAATGAGGAACAGAATCTTGATGGTCAGTGGAAGAGGAGGGGAAGAGAGAGGAGGAGAGGGAGAGAGATCCAAACATCTTTTTTTCTTCCATTTTGTATACAAAAAGCCCAGTTAGGCATGCAGAGTCTTCTGTGGATTAATATACTTCTTCAAATAAATAAAACCACAGCACTTTCTCCCAGTAACTTTGTGGCAAAACAATTTGTAGAAGGAAAAGGTTGGAATTTAGACATTCCATTTAGCTGCTTCAGAAATCTAAAGACCCCAAACCTTGTGGGATTTCAAATCGATGGAATTAATTAAGGGAGATGTCCAGCACTCTCCACTAAGTAATCAGCAGGTACAGTAGACCTGAAAGTCTATAAAGAAAAATGGAACCAGATGACATTGAGGGAGGCAGCAGGGATTAAAAAATGAGGATCCAAATGGGAAAGGTGCCCACCCATTGATCGCAGCATAAGAGATTAAGGCTTCAATGAGCAGCAAGAAGATTCTGTAACAGAAAATGGTTGCAGAGCATGAGCTTAGGCCCTGAAGATATCTATAATCAGTGACAGCCAGGCATAGACAGACAGGGCACCATTTGCCCAGGAGCCAGGACCTGTAAAGAGTCGGTCAGGGGGTAAGATATAAAACTGGGTTTAAAAGATGTTAGTAGTATATAGGATAGTGTATCATTTTATATCATGTCATATTTATTTTCTATTTCTTTCACTAAAATGGAAGCTCCATGAAGGTAAGAACTTTGTGTGTTCTGTCCACTGTTGGATCCTCAGTGCCTAGAATATAGCCTGTCACAAAAAGATACTCATTCATATTTTGTAAAGGGAATAGGTAACATGAACACAGGAATGAAGCACTGTAAGTGAAAATAGGCACCCTGCTAATCCTTAAGCGTGATTCCCCATTTCCCTGGACAGGGCAGAGTCAAGCCGAGAAGGAGGAGCCACAGGCCAGCTGTTAATGAGACACTAAATAAAACGTTCAGTATTCATACCTGTGGAACATGGGTGAACCTTCTGGTAACTCGATTTTTCACACCAATGACAGCAAATGAGAAAGTGAGAGAAGCTAGATAAATGTTTTTGAAAGCATTACTGCAGTGGAAAATAACTGCACTCTCAGGACACAGCACTGTAGCTCAAAGAATTCAATTGTTTTCGCTTTTAAGTCATTATCCTTCTTCCTCCATTCTCTTCCAGTCCTGTATAAGAAAATACACACACACACACACACACACTACACTGCCACCCAATTTTACAGATGGAGTGTCACCGAGATTTGGAGCAGTGCCCTAAACAGAATTCTGGCCACACTGAGAATCAAGTAGAAAGCCTTAAGACCCCATGGCTCCCAGGTTCATATGCAGCAGTCAAATGCCTGCTCAAGGGCCCAAAGGGGAGAAAAGCAGTGAGTCCCCTGTTCCTCCGTGCTCAGCTGACCTTTCCACCACAAAGCATGACTAGAAAAAGCCCCCTGCATGATGATGCCAAGAGGCAAATTCCAGAAATGGGAGTAGACAGTTTCCGATGAACCCTAGAATGCTTACAGACTCGCAGGATTAGAAGAAACCTTTATAGACACGTACACTTATCCTTGCTTGCTCGGCCATCTTCTCACTGGTTCAAGTAAACAGAACATGATGCCTACCAAAGATATCCTGACATGCTTCTGAAGAGAGAGGCTCCTTCCCCCTGCTCAAGAGGATGAACCTAAAATTTGTTGCAATGAAGGCACAGTCACTGTAAATATACCTCAGGAAGGAAACCGCAGAAACCCTAAGTCAACCACAGTTCCAGTACAGAGGAAGCCCTCCCTTGGACAGAGGTCATAAGGCTAAACAAGCAATGTTCCATTGGACACCTCTGTTACCTTAATAGGCATCTCATCACCTCCCTGCCCAAACGCCACTGCTATTCATACTGAATAAGACATTAGCTAGACCTGGAGGCAGGTCTAATGATAATATTTCTTCACTTGAGCCCCCGGTTTGGTCACTGGCAGAAGGTATCCTTGAGGGGCTTCTGTTTATGTCAGCAGATGTTAGCCTGAGAAGTAGCAGCTTTTGTTTCCATGACTTCTTCCAAATGAAGTCAGAAGCCTCCAGGGTTCTCAGATACATCAGAGAGTTCTAGGGGCATTGCTTCCTTTGTGGCCAGAACTATAATGTGGGGAGGGAAATGCTGACTTTCATTGCACAGTAGAAAATGTCAGTCATATTTCCAAGAATCTCTCAAAGGGGTCAGCATGTTCACTTCAGGATCCTTGGCAGTACGGGTGACTTCACATACAGTAAAAGATCCAGTAGGCTCTGGCATCTAAGAGCTTAGAATCCAGACATGGTGAAGTTTCCCATGAGCCCCAGATATCCACAAAATTGCCTGTGGTCATTAAACCCACAGGACTGTTAAAAAAAATAAAATACAGAAGTATGCAGAACAATGAAGGAAGGATTTTCTAAAACAAAAAACACAATCTTTCATTGTTTCCCCTGTCTTTACAATAAAAACACAGTTTTGGACCTGTCTGGACAAGGGGACTTTCCAGTTTCCATGTGAGGCTGGACATTTTGCATTCGATACAAATTAGTTCCTCAAAATCAGAATCAATTGTCATAAAATGTAGGGAAGTATTTTCCCACGGGGCAAGCATTTGTGGTAAAACTGGAAATGTTCAACTTGATTATAATGCTTCACGAAAAGGTCAGCGTGGGATTTCAGAGCTTTACCTTGAGGATGTTAACTCTGTTTGCAGGCAGGGTGAAATGGGAAGAGTGAGTTTGCCCAGGCTTGCCATGTCCACATTGCTCTGATCACCTGTCACAGGGCCAGCAGCAGACCGTGTGCCTCAGAAAACAAATGAATGCATGTATACACACGCACACTTTAGACACACACATACCCCCCATGTGCTTTCCAGTGCCCAGACACCTCCAAATTCGATGACAGAAAGAGTGTGCCAATGTGGGTATATTCATTGGATAAGACAAAAACAACATTACTAACAGTAATCTAAAACAACAGGTCTCAATTCACTGGGACATGGCATAGCATCACCTGGAGAGCTTTCCAAAACTACAAATGCCTGCGCCTCCCCGTATCCAGAAATTCTGATTCAGAGCATGCACAAATATTAAAAAGGCCCCCAGGTAATTATAATATGCCATATACCTACTCCCTGATTTCCTGTAGAGACAATATTTACAAAGCCAATTAATAGCCTAAAGCTTTTACTCAGGACAAGTAAAAATGGCTACCACTTCCTGATGTCCAGGTTCTGGCTGTATATTTGTCATAGAACTTCATTATACTCAGAATCATGGTTCACATTCCACAATTGACTCTACACATCAGACCATGAGCTTTCTAACCCTACCTCTAACAGAATGAAACACAGACAGAAGAATTTCTCCTAACCCTACCCCAGATTTAAACCTGAAGGAGAGTGATAGAAAAATGGCTCATCATTGAGTTGCTTGCTCCTGGGACACCATCCTAACCATTTGTTCTCTCTCACAGACTGGCATTTCTGTGTAGGTCTCTTTTGCAGCTCCTGGTAGCCCCTAGCTTGTTCAGTTTATCAGATCTGACGGGGTCATTGCCTGTGAGCAAGGCTGAGTAGAATTCTGAAACACTTTTTTTTTTAATCAGCCAAAAGTTGTCATTTGGCCAGATCCTGAGGGTGAGCCCCTCCTTACTCAGTAAAGCTGAGTGTGATTCAACTTGGAGGAGAGGGACTTACTATGAAAACTAGAAAAATAGGAAAACAATTTCAGTTTTAAGAGACCAAAATTATGCCTTACTTGCAAGTCACAACATTTTTACATTTTGAAATCTAAAATTCTGAAACAGACCTCTTTTTCAAAACTAATTCCTGCCACAATGATAAGAGTCTTTCAATATCTCCACCATATTCACACAAAGTCAAAGAGTCAAAAGCATTCTGAGTCTCCGGCAACCATCAGTCAGGCAACCTCTGTCATTGGCTCTGATTTTACGAAGCGGTAGAGGTGGGCTGGGCTCATCCTCAAAGCCTAGGCAATCCAGAGTTTGGCTGCCCATGTGCTTCTATGTCATTGCCAGGTGAAAACTCATGTGATAACAAGAAGCACAGTGATTCCACAGAACCATTTTGAACACTCCATTTGTCACCCAAATCTTAAATACCCCTGGTTGTCAGGTATTCCTCATGAGCCTATATGTACCAGAGTTAGTCCTATGGGAACAACGCCCATTAGTGAAGGTCACCCCACCCTGACCACTCAGAGTTATGTCCTCAAAGTTCCTAAATGTGATACAACTGGAAGCTTTAATTGGCAGAAGATTTTCACCCCAGGCATGGCTATCTTTGTGGAGGTTGTGTATGATGAATTCTTTTGCCCAAAACACCTAGATTCTCCAAAATTACCTTGAATATGCTGCAATGCCAACAATGCAAGTTTTTATTACACATTAATGTATATGGCAAATTTAGAGTCAAAAAAGAAGGTAAAACATGCCACATTCGTGGTAAGTCCAAATGGAAACACAACTTTATCCACAGTTTAGGAATCAGACTTGGATCTGACTTCCAACTCTGTGACTTAAAGCATGTGTCCCCTTGGGCAAGATACTTACTTACTTTGAACCTCAGTTTTGAATCTACGCAAATGGGGATAATGTCATTTGCCCTGATATTCTTTTTGAGAATTAAATCAACAAATATGGTGTCTGACACAGTACATGCTTAATAAAAGATTGCTAGTATATTAACAGTTGTTATTATTATGTTATTATAGATTATCTTCTCACTGAAGTTATGCTAGGTACTACTTCTTAGTGAAGAACAAGTCCTGGACAGGGAGCAGGTAATATTAATACCACTTACTGCTCTGAAACCACCATCTTCCCCTAGACAATGACTATTAACTTGTTTTTGAGCTCTACCTCTGACGCCTTCAGCCAAGGCACACCTGTTTCCAGGTAAGACTAGATGAAATAAATGCTTTGTTTCATTTCTCCATTGGAAATGAGGTCTTGGTCCATGTTGAGGATGTGTCAGGGGTGTGTCTGTTCTAAGTTTCTGGAGCCACTGCACACCTGCTCGAGTAGCTGAAATGCATACTCCGACCATCTCAGAGCTACAGAAGTCCCAGTTGCTGCTGGAAGTATTTTTAGCTGCATTATTTATTTGAACACCTGCCTGATAATCCTAGACAGAGCTCAGTCTGGGAGGGGAAGGGCCACCAGAACACCCAAGCGTTCCTTCCCAATATGGTTGCATTTGCTAATCTGTACCCACCCTGTGGCCAAGAAGAGCCTCTCTCTTCCCAAAGAGTGGTTCTGATCACAACACACCACAGGCAAATAAAAGTCTCCAAAGAAATACCTCCAGTGTCATATTCTTAAACAGGACCTCATAAAACCCAAGAACCTTAATGCCAATGCCATGTGAAACACTGAGCCTCTCATCCTGGCAGCTATGAACATATTAGTCACCCTCAGCTATCCTTCCGGTGGTGACACACTACTAACCAGTATCACTTCCTTTATTTTACCCGTACAAAAACTGAGATGCAGAGAAAATGGCTATAAAAATGCTGTCCTCTTTCTGACCATTCTGCGTTCGTGTATTTGGTTCTTCTCAAATATAATGTCCTGCTGCTGACTTCAACCGTGCCCATTTTTCAGTTCATAGCCTCAACTCCTTTCTCTTAACTATCAACTCCCCACCACAAACACCCTGAAACTTAACTGCTCTCTGTCTCCGAAACTGCATATTGTCTGTATTCCAGTATTTAATGTTTTAATTATGTTCCATGTTGAACTGTCTGGCACCCAGGATGTGCTCAACAAATTGAAAGGATGATTTTTAGGTCTTGTAAGAAAGATACTATGCATGTTTTGGCTTTTATTTTTTCGTTAATAGATTCTTTTTTTTTCTTCTCTTCGTGTATTTCTGTGTGTGTGTGTGTGTGTGTGTGTGTGTGTGTGTGTGTGTGTGTAGAGATGACATTTCCCATGTTGCCCAGGCTGGTCTCAAACTAGGCTCAAGCGAACTTCCTGCTTTGGCCTCCCAAAGTGTTGGCATTACAGGCGTGAGCCACCACACTTGGCCTTTCACAGCTTCTAACTCAGTACCAGAGACTTATCAGGTACAGAATAAAAGGTTGCAGATTGACTGAAAGCCCCTCTCAAGGCCGCACTGCCATCTGCCATCATCAGAATGTTTACAGATCAAAATTCTTGCTGCTGGCACTTAGGTCTGGCTCACCAGGTCATGCTTTCTCTGCTCATTCTGCCTTGGGCTAAATTGCCTAATTTTTCAATATGTAGGCTACATATTCTTTTCAAGGGGGTAAGGATCTTATTATTTATTTAACTCACTAGAGTCTTAAGTGACTGTTTATGAAAGGTTCTGAGATCCCAGAAGGAACGATGTGGCATTTAGTGCAAAGCACCACTGCCTTGCATAGATCAGTGGGTGGTGTGTACAGACATACACATAAAAACACTACTTGGCAGTCACCACACACATTGTTTTTGTATGATCTGAAAACATCTTGCTGGCATAATTCATAAGCAGAATGTCTTTATATTTAATGACCCAAATATGCCAGTCACGTGCTTCTGAAAAGCAAGTTAGATCCAATAAAACAGCAATTTTGTTAACCCTCCTCACCACCTCCCCACTAAAATAATCTCTGCTTTAAATTCTGACCTCTCTGAATGGCTGCTTTGAGAAGTATAAGTGGGCAATAGGCCTTTGTAAGCCATCATCTCATAGTGTAGGCATGAGAGGAGGCGTGGAATACAAATGGTCCTGGCCAGTGCGAGTTATAGACCCAAAGATACAGATTTTTAAGGAACTGGTAGAATTTATGCTATGAGAGGAAGAGTTTATCCCGGCTTAGACTTCTGAGTCAGAGAAATAGACTCAAATAATTCACAAAATCCTATTTTAGAAGAGAACAGTCATCCAGTCCAGTTATAGACTTTGAAGGCATGAGCTAGTCAAGCAAAAGTAGACCTTCAGCAATTACTTATCCATTTAACAACTATTTATCAAATACCTATTATGATCCAGGTATTATTCTAAGCACTAGACAACAACAGGAGTTAGATAGATAAGGTCCCCCAGCATGGTCCTGTCTCTTCCCTTCTTCAGGACAAATGACAAGAATGCCATAGCAATATGCTGGGGAGGGTTCTTGGGCAGCTAAGAATACACCAACTCCTGCTACTGAGAACCTCAAAATCAACTGACCCTCAAGATCACTAGGCCTTCGCAGGTCTTCATGAACAACCAACTACAAAGAAAACAAATGACAATAACAAAACTCCATGATTATAATCAGACCTCTGCAGTACCGAAAGGTCTTCCATATACTACCAAAGACATCATCATCATTTTTCACTGTTTCTCCTGAAAGATATTTAACAAATGAATGGCTGAGAATGTGCACACAACTTAGAAGAAAAATCATTTAATTCTGAAGGAGTCATCACTTGCAAAGCCCAATTAAAAGTCATATTCATTCATTCATTCAACTATTCAATAGTGAACATTTATTGAGCAGCTCTGTGTGTAGAGCACTTTATGAGTTAGGTGCCTTGGGAAATACTGAGATGGATGGCACAGTCCCAGCTCTTGAGGAACTTAAAAAAAAAAAAAATCAATGGGGAAATTACAATCTTCATTTTACAGATGAATAAACAGTGGCATGGACAGTTAAGGGATTTATTTTGAATGCTTCATCATAGAACTAAATCACAAAATAGTCATCAAAAAGATGCAAAAGCACTGAGCTAGAAGGTAGAATATCCTAGCTCCAGTCCTGGTTCAGACTCACTGGTCAAGTCCATCCCCTTTCTTGGGTTCTAATACCCTTTACAAAATGAGTGGGTAGTCTTCAGAGTGGGTTCTTCCAGCTCTAGGACGACATAATTCTAACACTTGTGAACAGTAAGGTTTGGTGGTCAGAACTAAAGAACTCAGTCTCTTGACAAAGGGAATGACGTTTAATATGAATTGTTATTGAGAGAATTTAAAGTCCCACCTAAAGGAATATGGAAGCTATTCCATTCCACTGGCTATTATTGCATTTGTTCTTAGAAGATGCTCAGGCCTAAATATCTTCTTCAGTGGACTTTCTAATTGGTATCTCTCCTATCTTAAAATAATGATATAAGGAAGGCTGCAGCCTTTCCCTACATCTCCCTTCAGCCCCTGCTAAGTATCTATAACACAGGGTAATAAGTGTTTGCAAGAACTACATTGCTCCCTGTAAGAATAACTGTTCCAACGATAATGTAACTCACCTATGTGTGATGTGACAAACGGGGGCTTAGCCTACATGTAAAGAACTCTTAATTAAAGGTTTAATAGACAATGAGAGGCTTGAACTAGATCATACATGTAAGATCCCTACCGGCTTTGGCTTTCTATATTACTATGAATTCTGTGAAGACAATATAAAAGATTTCTTTATTGAGTTAATCAGGGAATCTAGAGCATTAACCAAAATCATTTATATTTGGCTTATCAGTGCTTACTTCCAAAAAAGAATAATAGGAATTAGTGTAGAAAAACCTTAGTTTGGATCTTTAAAAACAAACTGTTTAATAATTTCACAACATTTGGAACCCTCCCCAGAGCTGTTCTCTGAACTTGGATGATGTCTCCTAAATTGCCAGTCAGCTGGCCATTTTGCAACACGTGAGCTGTGAAATCATATATGTGACGATCTAAATGACAGAAGAAATGGCTTTGAATCCTTTTGTTTATATTTAATTTTTCCCTTCCTGCTTCGACATATCATTTGTCCTTAATACTTTTATTTTTTGGTCCTAGAGGCACAGGTGGTTCTTATTTCAGGCTGTATGAACAGTTCTGCTATTCAAAGATTAATGAATAAAAGGGCCTTGTAAATAGATTAGCATGATAATGGTAATAATGCTTTCTGCTGCCTTCTGTGCCTACTTCAATCTGTGTGCCCCTGAAAATGCCTCCCCTCCCCCATGCACGGGTTCCTTTCCCCTCTTTCCCACCACCTGATTCTTTCAGTCTTAGGAAGACAAAGTGACCCACGAATCAGGCAGCTGTACAGAAAGCAAGGAGAGGATGGAAGGAAGGGGGAGAAGAGGGGTGGAGAGAGACAGAATAGAGAGTAAAAACCCTAATGTACTTTAAGATAGGAAGGTTTATGCAGAATGTGGAGAAAATACAAGACTCCACTTTTTAATGCAAACAATATCTTCAATCTTCCCCTTCTTTTTATGACACTTGCTGTCTATCTATCACCATTGGAAACTTACCTGTTTTTATTTTAATCACATGTTCCTGACCTCCTACACATACCTTTTATCATAGCTGTTGGAGAGCCATGTTGGAGGTCAAGATTTTAGAGAATTACATCTAGAAGCAAAGGCTAGTTACAGGTTTGGCTTTTCTCTATCACTACATAGAGAAAAGTTCAAAGGGCCTTTCCTTGAAGGTTTTACCAAGAGGCAGAAACTTCTCTGAAAACTTACAACTCCTCCCCAGGGGTTTAGTGTCAGTCATTAACGAATGACTTGGTGGGACCTCTGCTGACATCCTCCTTGAGCCTCAATCAATGTAAGGAGACTGTAAGGATCTCCACACTCAAGACTTGCCTGTGCTCCTTTCCCCGTAGCCTAACCCATCATCTGGCCTCTAGGCATGTGTAAGGATGATGAGTTGGGCAGGGCAAGTCATTCTGGAGGGATGCCATGAAGTCGTCGTCCAGGCAAAATGGATTTAGACAGAAAGCAAAAGTCAGTCCCTAGAGCAGGAGAGAATGTGGAAAGAGACCAGTCTTTCAGAACCGCACACCTATGCCTGCCTGCCTAGGTGGAAAGTCCAACTGCACGGAGACGCTGAACGGAACAGGCAACGGGCCCACACACCAGGCCAGGAAACAGTCACTTCCCTTCCTTTGTCTCCTAAGACCTGCACGTGTTTTCCCTCATTTGAAGGGAGCCCGGAGCACTGGAAGCTGGGCTGACCCTCTGCCTCTCATGGTGATTAACATCCCCCTCCACCTCACTCTGACCCCCAAGGGGGCACACATTACTATCCACCCCACCTCCTGCCTCTGTGCCTTCCGATATCAACCGGGAAAGGAAAATCTAAAAATAAAGCCAGGGCCAGAGTGTGTACCACTCGATTGGGCTCCTGTGCTCACAGATCTGCTTATTTTGGCCTATCTCTCCCGAGCGATAAGGCTGCTAACAGCCTGTTATCAGCCAGTCGGTGAAAATGTGCTCCAGCCTGATTAGGCCTCAGTCTTTGCCAAGGTTATAAACAGCCGTTATCGTTTTCCCGAACAGAATAATCCGGACAGTATCAGCTCAGAAACATATGGGCCACACAGAGAAGATAGCCGCTGACGGACACTTCATTTTAATTGTAACGAGTGGGTAGCAGCAGCCTGCAGACAGCAGACAGAGAGCTGCCCGACTGGCAGTGGGGCTTTTTTTTTTTTTTTTTAATCTCTTCTTCCTTCCCTGGGTTCCAACGCCTAAGCTGCTTTGATATTCTGGGTGGCATAATGAAGTGGCCCCTCCCCCAGATGTTACCAGTCACCAACCATGACCCTTCCCTGCAAGGCAGATGGGACCCTTCTGATTCTCTTACGGTGGGGGGGTTTGAGGTGGGGGGGCACACAAAAACCAACAACCAGCAAAGGGGAACCACTACAGCTCTCCCTACTCTTCAGACAAAATTCAGTCTCAGTAACCTGTCCTGTCACCCCACCCTGCTCTCAGCCCCCACGGCCATGCTTCTTAAAGACCCTCGGCCTGTGAAGGCCACATTTCAGTGTCCGGCAGACGGCAGGCTTTCAGCACACGATGGCTGAATACTTACGAATGGGGCATTTATAGCACTTCCTTCAGCCTTCCACATGTACACATATACATCAGGCAAGATTAAGCTTGCAGGGAACAAGCCCACGCATGTGGGATTTTGTGTTCTGAAAGCAATTTCCAAAATCTCCGCTCTCCCAATGCTCTTTCATGAGATTCATTCCTCAGGCTTGACACAGAAAGCCAACTGACTGGTGTGAGGCAAGTAGGAAGGTAGACACGACAAAAAGAGAAAACTAGCCGGGCGCAGTGGCTCACGCCTGTAATCCCAGCACTTTGGGAGGCCAAGGCATGTGGATCACGAGGTCAGGAGATCGAGACCATCATGGCTAACATGGTGAAACCATGTCTCTATGAAAAATACAAAAAATTAGCCGGGCATGGTGGCGGGCGCCTGTAGTCCCAGCTACTCGGGAGGCTGAGGCAGGAGAATGGCGTGAACTTGGAAGGCAGAGCTTGCAGTGAGCCGAGATCGCGCCACTGCACTCCAGCATGGGCGACAGAGCAAGACTCTGTTTCAAAAAAAGAAAAGAGAAGACTGATGATTGAAGTTTTGGTGAAAGGGTCACCTGTCTGCTTCTGGGTCAGCAGAGGTCTTGGTTGCTGACAACTAGGCCCTGGTTCACTGCTGTTGGTACAAAGTCAGCAGCCACCCTGTTCTTTCATAGGGTGATGTATTTTCCCCCCTCAAATGTTACCATAAACAGAGTGGTAAGAAATGAGCAGAAGAAAAAAAGAGAAAGGGTTGACAGCAAGAAGGTACAAGATGAAGAGTGCATCTCTCCCTGCATTGAGCAGCAGATGCACTCTGTGTTGCCCCTATTGTTGCTAGACTAAGGTTCACGCCTGGCTGGCCAGATGGGGTCAACAACAGCAGGTGGGACTTGGAGGAAGGTAAGCCATCACGCCCTGCCTTGCACTTAGTCATCCCTGTTCATCCTTCTCATCAATATTCATGTTTCACAATATTTCAAATAATTAAATATCCTCAACTTGTTCTTCTTTTCCTGATCCTCTTCTCTATTTTACTCCCCTCTCTCCTCCTTAAACCCTCAAGGCTTTTCTCCGTTTTACCAAAGAAAGCCAGCACCGCCAGGCGTGGTGGTTCACACCTATAATCCCAGCACTTTGGGGGGCCAAGGCGGGCAGATCACCTGAGTTCGGGAGTTTGAGACCAGCCTGACCAACATGGAGAAACCCCGTCTCTACTAAAAATACAAAATTAGCCAGGTGTGGTGGTGCATGCCAGTATTCCCAGCTGCTTGGGAGGCTAAGGCAGGAGAATCGCTTGAACCCAGGAGGTGGAGGTTGCAGTGAGCCGAGATGACGCCATTGCACTCCAGCCTGGGCAACAAGAACAAAACTCCATCTCAAAAAACAAAAAGGAAAAAAAAGAAAAAAACCAGCACCTTCCACTGCCTGCCTACACGCTCAATATATTCAATGGCATTGAAGACATCCCCCAGTTTAAATTCAACATCTGGAGTCTTTCTTATAAGAAAGAAAAAAACTGAAAAGAGAAAATGGAAAAACGGTATATGAATCTAAAAGAAATTCCCTCTGATGTGTGATGCTGCTGCCTCCCTCTTCTTTTGACATCAGTTTCAAATTCTGCAGAGAAAGGATGATGTTGCTTTGCCCACGAAGAAACAGTCACAATAGGTAATACTCACTGAACACTGGTGTATGTGTCAGACACTGACCTAAGCATTCTACATAAATTTGCTCATTTAATTCTCAAAACAAGTCTATGATTCACACCCAGGTGGGCTGCTCACTGCTGCATCTATGCAATTCTAGGGACTCCTGGGCCTCACACCCAGGGAGCACCCTTTCCCAGCAGCCTGAAGAGGCCTGTGTCAGCTTGGCCACCCACCCCATCTCCATGCTTTCCTTCTGCAGATTAACAGGGACTGGATGCAGACAGCACTCCGGACCCGAGACGACTTCTGGTATTTCACTGTCAAGTGAAAATTGAGTCCGTGGTAATGTTCCTGCAATAATATCAAATTCAAAAGGGAAAGATGACGGAAATTCTGCTGCCAGCTGAAAGGAGCCTGAGGCACATTTTTGTTTTAATTCTTTTTTTCATGGCTTTTCAACACCTGCCTTCGCTCTTCCACTTTCCCAACAAAATATAGTTTAGGTTGCCTTGCAGTATTAATAAGAGACTGGCCAGCAGACCTATGCAAGAAATTGCAGTGGGTGGTCTGCGTGAAATGTCTTGGTGGTCTTAAACTCGGTCCTCTGACAAAGTTCAAGGTTACAGTGGTCTTTCCCGAGTTGCCATCAGAATCTGAAAATATCCTGGAAACATGAGAATCCCCCGCTGAACTCATGAGTTGGCTCAGCAGTTGTTTATTCAACTTAAAGTGTTTTTCCCCCTTTTTCTATTTTTGTTTTCTTATGCTTTCTGTTTCAATGGACCCAGCTTTGTCCTTGCACAATTTCGAGTGAACAAGACTAGAGGATTTCCTGAAATAAGCAACTGGGCCTATTTCTCCAGCGGTCCTGCTTCCCATTTTGTCCATGGCCACCTTCTGCTGATCAGCTTCCACTTTCTTAGAAAGAAGACTAGCTTGCTCAGAGTTACACAACAGAGACAAATGGAGCCTTGAGAGTAGCAGATAGACAAAAGTGACCAACAAAGTTAGGTGTGCTGCAGCCTTCCTGTGTCTGCCACGTCACTGACATTATGAAGTAGCAGGCCCCATGAGTACCGTGACTACTTCTCAGAGTATCTATGGCACCACTGCCATCGCTGATTTGCTGGGGTGTCTCCGCGGCTGTGTGTACACCTCAAGGACTAGGACACTGTCTTCCTCTAGTCAGTATCCCCAGCACCTACCATGGTACCTGGCATACAGTCAGCACTCAATAAGTAGTGCTTAAAATGAAGAAACAGATTCAGTGCAAACCTGCTCAAATGGGTGTTCAAGGCCAAGTATTTTGGAGATAGCCTAGATTCAAACTTGGCATTTTCTAACTTTGTCTTGGTTACTTCTTTAGCCTCAGTTTCCTTATCCCTAAAATGGGTATAATATAATCACAGTACCTGTGCCATATATTTGTTGTAAAGATTGTATATGTTGATGGATGCAGCCGGAGGCCATTATCCTAAGTGATTTAACGCAGAAACAAAAAATCAAATACTGCACATTCACACTTACAAGTGGGAGCTAAACAATGGGTATACATGAACGTAAAGATGGCAACAATAGATACTGGGGTTTCCAAAAAGGAGGAGGGAGGGAAAGGGCAAGGGCTGAAAAACACTCTCTTGAGTGCTGTGTTCATTATTTGGGTGAGGGATTCAATAGAAGCCCAAACCCCAGCATTATATAATATGCCTATGTTAACAAACCTGCATATGTACCCCCCTGAAACTAAATTAAAAGAAAAGAAAATATTTTTTTTAAAAAAAGACTATATATGTGTAAAGCACTTAGCCCAGCTCCTGACACATAACAGTCATCTGATAAATATTTCTTACTTAGGAATGACCATCTCTCACTCATCTCTATCTGCCCCTTACACAGCTACTACAGTAGTCAACCTCTCTTACCAAAGAAAAGGCTGCGTGCAGTCCAGGAACTCTGGTTCCTATCCCTGCTTTACTAGGATTCCAGCAGTCACTTAGTCACTCTGCCTCGCTCTGCTTCTGTGGCCTGCATCAGGCTGAGGTCACTCGGCCTCACCTAACTGACTTGCAGGTTGGCTACGAGACAGCATGGCCTACCAGATGGGGACAGGTGTGGAAAAGCAAAATCCAGGCCATCAAATCTGCTGTAAGTCATGCTCCGGCAAAGCCACTTGAAGTCTAGCCTGCCATGGACCTTGCTGCATGCCTCAGGGTGCCTCAGCTCTCTCGGGCTCTGCCAATGCTCTTGCCTTAATGCAGGGCTTCTAATCAAGATAGCGCAATCGAAAGCATTTGCTTGGTTCTTAGTCCTCACAGTGATCTCTATTTAGTGGGAAATTAAACCACTTTAAGGGGCTAACACCCAGACAACCTATAATGCCATTTCACTCAGACAAGGCTTCCCCATCTGGGAGCAGCACGTTTTCTTTCCTCTTCCTCCCACTGTCCCTCCAGTCTCCTGGGTTTTTATCTTCCTTTCCTTTTCTTTTCCCTTTTCCCAAAAAGGGTGTCTTGGCTTGGCGACTCTTAAACCCAGCTGCATTCCCGAGACAAGCTCTTAAGCATAAATTCATTCCAGCATTGGGTTCTTCTTATTCTCTTTCCTTCCTCTCACTATGTAGCTGGAGTGAATTCATAAACAGTTACAGTGGTTTTAGCACCAGGGCCTTGTATGAGACAGGATTACAGGGGATTCAGCACTTTCTCTCTCTCTCTCTCTCTCTCTCTCTCTCTCTCTCTCACACACACACACACACACACACACCTCAGTGGTGTTAGTCTCATTAGCCACAATACTGTTCTAATCTCTCCCATCTCTAGATTTGCCCTACCCCTGGCTTACTCAGTGCTCTCCTTCCTGGCCTCCTGTGGAAATACTGCCAAATAAAATAACAAAATATTCATATGGTAAGGCACGTTAAAACCTTGGGAAGATTTAAGCCAGGGCTTCATGTCACAGACGCTCCCTCCCATAATCTGTATTCCAATCTCGATGCCAGCGGAGCTGTGATCAGAATATCCAAGGTCTCATAAAAGATTCAGGGCTTACTGACTTCCCTGACATTTGCTGTTTCATGTTGTTCCTGCTCACTCCCTTTCAGCCTCCAGAGCCCACAGTCCCTTTCAACTCACCACTACAGATGGCAAACTGGCCAAGACCATCCACTAACTCAGGACAAACACAGGTCCTAAATCTTCCCTGGGAATTTAGCTGGGACTAGGAAGGGGTTTTCAGTTCTTTCAGTGGCTTCTTTTGTTTGACTAAAGGTTTATTTTTCTGTAATTGCATGCCTGCTGCCTCATCCATGGTACCTGGAAGTGGGACTTTGAAACCCAGGAAGTTAACAAGACTTCAGCAAGATTCCCCCACTTAGCTATGAGTGCTTTTGAGGGTAGGGTTATGTGTGCCTGACTCAGACTGTTTAAATCTTCCTGGTTCTCACTGTTACTTAAATTAGAGACTGTGTTATTTAACCTTGTAAAGCACCAAGGCTATAATTTGTAGAGAAGACAGTTCACCAAATAGGGGCTATGCATATTGTCATATGTTCAAAAAAAGGTATATCATATATATGTGACTGCATGAATCCAGGCAGGACACAGCTATCATACATATCACCATACTAGAATGGACATTAGTAGTTTAAAAACTCTAACAAGATATATTATGATTTAAGGAAACCGTGCATAACTAAAGGGGTGATTGTGAATAGATCTTATGACTTACTAGGAGGATTACAATGGATATCCTAGCCAGACTCCACTAGTGGATTCTAATATGATTTGCTTTCCAATCATATAATTCATGCACAGCTTATCAGAAAGACATTTAGTGAATAAAGGAAGTCACACCATACTTCTTAAGGCATGGTCTAAAAGGAAACACAAAAGGAAACCTCTGCCCTGCCTACAGAAGTTTCCAGAGGAGCCCAGTGACCCACAGAGATGGCAAGAAGAGGTGAAAAGACACACAGTATATGGCTAACACCGCTCAGCCATCAGAGGTCATAGGGGCAAAAGAGAATGGTAGTTCCACTGAATAACAGAATTGAGACATTTTCAAGATACTCCTTAGTAAGTCACAAGTGTCTAGATTTTTTTTATATCAACCATAGAATTCCAAAACTCAGCAATCAAAAACCAAAAGGCCAATTACAATTTAAGTCCTTTTGAAAACATTTTAGCTTATTTCTGTAAATGCTATGGCCACTAGACAAATTAACACAGAATTCCAGATCAAAGTGCCATTCACACATAGGTACTTGAATAACATCAGGCAGCATGAAGGTGAACAGGTGCTATAAACAACTTATTTGAATGTTTTAAATGTATCTACCATGAAAACCTTCTGAAGAGGTTAAGGAATTCTAGAATACAAATTGAAAATTAAAGGCAAGTTGATGGTACCTCAAAATTGAACTTGTCAAATGAGAAAATTATAATCAAAATTGTCTTCATACTTTTCATATCCTTCACTGTGTTAGTCACATAATATATACATATACATGTTTCTGCATATGCATGTGAAAAATCAAAAAGGCAAACACATATCAGTGGCTAATCATAACATAATATAAAAAGAATATGAGGTCTGGTTTCATAAGTGATTATATCCATAAACACATGTCCTGAGGCTTAAGTAAGCAAGCAAGGCATCTCCTTCCACATAGTGATATGATCCCCAAAATTTATATGAAAAATTTTAAAGATTGAGCTATGTTACATTCTTTGGGGGAAACACCTTATTTAAAAGCAGTCAACAGTCAGATATTTCTGCAAGTAAATAATCCTGTAATTCATCTTGTTTAGTAACAATATATTTTTTAATTACCAAACACAACCTATATTATTTATTTACAGTAAAATGTATTTTCCCCAGACATATTATAATACTGTATAGATGAATGGTTCTCAACTGGGTATAATTTTGCCTCCCAGGAGACATCTGGCAATGTCTGGAGACATTTTTGGTTCTCACAATGGGGGAGTGGGGATGCTGCTGGCATCTATGGGTGGAAGCCAGGAATGCAGCTAAACAGCTTACGGTACACAGGGCAGCCCCCATAATGAAGGATCATCTGGCCTCAAAAAGTCAATAGTGCTGAGGTTGAGAAACCTTTTTATAGATTATCACAAATGTTACAAAATTTCTCAAATGATTTCCCTCAAAACCTTTAAGAAATGAAAAATGAGAAGTTGGGGAAAACAAGAACTCCTTTTGGTAGTATTTTGATTATCAAAGTTATAGTTGCTTTTGTGAATGCAACAATATATTACTTCACCATAAAATATGCTCTTAAAACCTAACACTTGTACTTGCATTATACCCACACACTGAGAAATGCTGGAAAATCAGCAAGGATTTTAGGAAAAAACATCTACCTGAGACATCCTTCAATGAACAGAGGAATACCCTGACCAACTGTGTTAAAAGCAAATAAAGTAAGATATAACGAAAGCTAACTTTTTAGCCAGTGAAAAATAAACACATCTGGTACATAGAGTCCTATGTGTGTGTATCCATCCAATTCTATAGTATCAGAGCTCTGACATTCAGTAATATAATAATATTATTTTTGAGATCAGTTAAGGTATAAAATGTGCGTACTCTCAGTCTTTAATATTAATAAGTCTTGTAACTAGCAGTTTCTCATAGCTCCGAATTCTTGAGCACAACTACAAAGGGCACTTATCCTGAAAAATCTAATAAATTTACAGTTTTATATACTTCCTTCAATTGTAAAAGTCTTGTTCAATAAACTTTAAAATGCCACTATAGAGCAATAACACAGACAGTATAAACCCAGCCCTGGGAAAGCTGTGCAACCAGAAATTGTTCCCCTTTCTGCTAGAGCAATAAAGTTTTATATGTTTGAACTGACTGTAAAAAGGTTTGAATGTTGGCAACTGGGGAATAATCTGTCTTCTTTATAGTTATTATCATATTTCCCACAAGACCCCTTGGTCTGTGTCAATCCTTCTTGTATATGACACCTTTGTACTGTCAGCGAAAGCAAGACTACTTTACTTTTTTTTTAACTATAGGACTTGTATCTGTTTTCCTTCAGATTACAGCTAACAGGAATAAATTATTTCTGACAAGCATCTATTGCAGCATTTTACCAAATAAAGCTGGTTGTGAGCTGCTTTTCCAAGAGAGGGAGGGACCTCCTCCCTTCTCCTTCCCTCTCTTTCTCTCATCTGATTCAAATGCAATTCAGGGCTGGTTAAATTGGAGGAAATGCCAATAAAAAGAGATTTGTAGGGAAGTTGCTCTGAATGCCAGACCCCATTCAACATGGTGGTTCGGTTCTCATGGGTGCAATTGGATGTGTGGAGAAGGGACTTAGGAAAAGGTAGGAGGAGGAATCATCCCTTTCCCTTCCTGACCTCTCTTAGATCTGAGAACATCTCTGCATGCACCTGGATTCAGGCAGCACACGGAGTCCAGCCAGTAGAAATGGCCAGAGTTTCTCATATTCTGATTAACAGCCAGTGACGGAAGCGGTAGCTATGACCAGCAGGGGCAGACACCCAAGCTGTCACATGTACGCCTGGGCTGTTGGCTAACTGGTCGTCTCAGCTGAAATGAGTTCAGGCTCGTGGTAATGAGCAGGGAGCCATTTTGTACATATGTGTTTGTGTCCCTCTGCCAGGCCTGTCATGCCACAGATCAACAATACATGGACCTATACCCAGTAATCCATTACACATAAGGCAGCCATATGAACTAAATATATTCTCCTCTCACTCACAATGCTACAGCACCATCCTGAAGTTGCTCGGCTTTCCACCTTTTAGAATAACAAGAAAAAGGCACAGAAGATAAGAACAGATTTTTGTAGCCCAGCATGGAGGTATACACCTATGGTCCCATCTACTTGGGATGCTGAGGCAGCAGGATCACTCCAGCCCAAGAATTCTGGGCTGTAGTGCGCTATGCCAATTGGGTGTCCACACTCAGTTTGATGTCAATATGATCACCTCTTGGGAGCAGAGAACCACTAGGTTGCCTAAGGAGGGGTGAACCAGCCCAGGTCAGACACAGAGCAGTCTGTGTTGACCAATGGTGGGATCGAGCCTGTGAATAGCTACAGCACTCTTGCCTGACAACATAGTGAGACCTTGTCTCTCTCTTTTTTTTTAATAATAGACATTTGCAAACATCAGGTTTTCAAAAATCCAAAGATATATATGGTTGGATATCAGTGGAGCTGGCACCATAAGTTAATTACCTCTGCACTCCAGAATAGACAAAGTATCTCCAAAAGACCATGAGAGTAAGATGATGAGTCATAATGAATATAGGCATATGCAGATACACACAGACCTACACAATGTCAACGAGAAGAAGAATTTTCCTCCTCATCCTATAGACACTTAACAGACCTGAAGGGACGGTCCTGGCATTTCCCTTTTAGACAAAGAAGTGATTTCCCCCTCTGTCCTCTCCATCCCCCAACCACCTCCCCCTTTCATTTTCATAGTGCTTTAGAAAAGGGCTGATATTTCCTGCACTGCATTCACTCTACCTGCCACTGTAGAAGCACACAGTCAAGCACATGCGTGACACCCTGTTCATGGGGGTAGGGTGATTCTTAGATTATGGTGTATCTGTACAAGTGCACACACTCACTCACACTGAAGCCCACCTTGGTCAACTCAAAATGAAGAGTCAACTCCAATATGAAAGCTCTGATGTGGAAGGGTAAATGCCAAATGATGTCTATAAACATAGCAGTTCTACCAGAATGAGGTAATGCAAATAAGGCTGAGTCAATACAATGACATCTCAGTGACTTTGGAAAAAGCTTGAGCCCATGCCCATGAATGTGAGCTCAGGGTATCCTCTTATTTTCTCCTCACTAAACCCTACATGAATGTTCAGGTGCACATTATGATGCCTTCTCCATGCCCAGTTCAGGCAACAAACATTTTAATCTATATATGGAGAACATTAAAAAAAAAACCTCATCGTGGTAATTGTCTCATACTGCCAGCCAGGGCAAGGCACACTGTGCTCCCTCCTGCTCTTCTCCGCAACCCCCAGAACGGAATTACTATACAAGCTATACCTTTTAACAAAGGTGTACTCATGTGCACCTTAAAAGTTCTTAAATAGCAGCTGCCCACTGGAAAAACATATGTCTGTAAGAGATTTTTATTCTCTCCATGTCCCCTTCATGCACTTTGTCTATGTGGTTAAAGTTTACAAATTATTTACTTTTCAGTAGGTTTTTAATATAGACCAAAAGGTTGTGGGTCTCAGTCATATGTCACAGTACCACTAATAAAAGCAATATCGGTGCTATTATAAAAAACTTTCTGAACACATAATACAGAGATAGAAAATGACACAAATCATAAGTACAGAGCTCGGTCAAAAAATACAAAATGCTTTAAAAATGTGCACAATCAGTCTTGTGCAGGACCCATGTGCTGATGAAGTGAGGGCATTGGTGGCATTTTAATTACTCTTGAATAGTAGTGAGTTATCACCTTTAAGACCAGTAACTAGACCATCACCACAGGGGAGTGGGAGAGAGTGTGAAGGAAGAGGTAGTTTCTAATAAGTGACGTAAGTACCACAGGCATGGGATTCATTGACAGTGTTTGTGAAATACAGATTCCTAGACTCCTATCAAATTTGCTGGGGCAAGGCCTGTGAATCTGCATTTCATAAACACCCACACCCGCAGGGGTATTCTTGGAATTACTGAGCTTGGCTAATGAAGTACAACAGCAATTCCCCTGCTGAACCCCATCACACTTTCTTTTCTGAAACTGGAGTGGCACTGCCCTGACTTGCCCAGGCCTCAGGCATATCCATATCTGAGATAACAATTGGTGAAGTTCAAAAAATGGCATTGTGTTTCAACACAGAAAAGAAAAAGGTTTAGAAAAATAACAGATCAACAAGAAAGTACTATCCTGGAAGCTCTGCCTCATTCTAACTTTCCCCTGAACTCTGCTTTCTACATATCTTACCACTCTATGTATCCTAGCAGGGGAAAAAAAAATGCAAAAAGGCAAAGAGTCTCCTGAAAAGATTAGGAGTTGGAGCTTTACCTTATTATCTGACACGCATATATTGTTTCATTACTAACAGAAATAATGATAATACTTGGCTATTTGCGTAATGTTTTAGAGGCTACCACACTTTCATAGGCATGATTATGTTTAGTCTTGCTAATGAATTTATGAAGTGTTATTATTCTCATGTTACAGATGAAGAAACTAACACCCAGAGAGGTTCAATGACATGCTCAAGGCCACACAGCAGGCAACTGTCAGAGGCAGATGGGAGTCCATATCAGCTAAGTGGCAATATACAGGGCTGGCCACCACCAAAACACAAAGATGGGTGAAAAAAGTCATAGAAACCCAACACAAGGGAAAAGCACCTTGTTCACTGAAACTGGCAAACCTTCAGTTTAATTCACCTACCTCATCCAGGAGAGTTGGGTCCCCTTCCATCATCCTATCTGCTGCAGGGTCTCCACCTGACACGATCACCTTTATTATTACCTCTGTACCATGCACTGTAACTAGACCATGAGGTAATAAAGATGATCACTGTCTGCTCCCGTGTCCCCCAACCTAGAGCAAAGCCACCACATTCTGGTCAGTGGTAAACAGCTAGTATTTGCTACGAAGAGTAGCAAGAAACCTTCGGGTGCCACTAAGAGAATCAAGTAACATGAATCTCCTCCCCTACGTAACCAAAGCACTTCTCTTAAGTCTCCAATGGAGAAATAACAGAACCTCACGCTCCCTTGATGTGCCTTCCTTGGCTTCTCCATAACCCAGCAATCCTGGCACATTCTGTCTCACACAGCCACGGGAGTCCCGTGTCCCTCAGGAGCTGCCAAGCTCTCTGATGTACAGGCTGCTAATACAGTGTTATTAAGAATGCGTTTGCCTCCACTCCTCTACACACGCTGGCTTCCCTGCCTGAAGAAAAGCCACACACATGCTCCCACAGAGGGACCCAGCGAAAAGCCCTGGAACCCACAAAGGGAAATCAGCATGCCAAGGGTTAAGCACACCCTGTAATAAGCATCTCTGTTCCGGCATGTTGCGAAAGCCCATTACCTCCCGCCACATTACCTCATTCATTTCTTATATGCGGATGGTTTATTTTCCCATGAGCACCCTGGCTCTCAGTATTAAGTCCCCTCCTTCGCCTCTATTTCTCTATCCATCACATTTAACACTCTGACAGTAACAGTCTATAATGTTTCTATTCTACAAAACCGCTCTGTCAACTCCGGGCTTCCAGAGCAGCAACTGAGGAAAATAAATAACATCAACGCCAGGGACGACAGCATCACAGCTCCCTTTCTGCTGGGCTTTTTTATATTATTCTACAAAGTGAGAAAGAATAAAGGGGATGGGGAGAGGTGGGAGCAACGAGAAGAAGAATTTTCCTCCACATCCTATAGACACTTAACAGACCTGAAGGGACAGTCCTGGCATTTCCCTTTTAGACAAAGAAGTGATTTCCCCTCCGTCCTCTCCATCCCCTGACCACCTCCCCCTTTCATCTTCATAGTGCTTTAGAAAAGGGCTGATATTTCCTGCACTGCACTCGCTCTACCTGCCACTGTAGAGGCACAGTCAAGCACATGTGTGACACCCTGTTCATGCGGTAGAGTGATTATTAGATTATGGTCATCTTTTCTGGAGCAGGAGTCCAGTGAGGAGGTGGAGGTACTTTGGGGATCCACAATCTTTGTTCTCGGGGAGACACCAGGCAACAGAGACTCTGGAACCCACGAGCAGGTAGAAAGGCACAAAAACGTTAACTACTGAAAAATAAATCACTTTTGAAAGCTTGGCTCCCTGTTACTGGAGCTTTACCAAAACTATTTGTATTTTCATCATTTTCGATAGTAATCTTCTAAAACATGTTATATTTCCATCTAGCTTCTTTTAAAAAATATCTAGGTAGATAGATAGAGAGGGATCTTGGACATTATTTGGCCTCCTCTTTGTGACCCACGTCATTTATCATTAGGAATGCTGATGATCACCCAGGCCCGCTGCTATGTGAGAGCACGCATGCCTATTCTGTATAGACTCAGTCTGCTGGTCTTTTTAAATTCTTGAGTCTCCTTTTTATGATTTTACTGCTTCTTTAAGTTTCCCCCTCTTCTGAGGTTGTAGTGCTATAGCTGATAGCATGGGCTGTGGTTCCAGATCATGGAAGCCAGACCTGACTACTGGCTTGGGACCTTGTTTCAAAACCCCCCTGTGCTCTGTCCTCACATGTAAAATGGAGGCAGTTGTGGTACCTCGTGTTCTAGTGTGGTTGTGAGGATTACCTGAGTGAATGCTTGAGAGTATTTAGGAGAGTGTCTCAGTTAGTAAGTACTTAGTAAATGTTAGAGATTATCATGTATATAGTCTGGCACAGGCTAGGAAGCCAGATAAACATACAATTAGAATCATATTTGAAATCAGAGGTCTTGAGTGGTGGCTTTTGGGCGCTCTGATGAGTCAACTGCACAAACTTAAGTACATGGGCCCTTAGTTTGGCTACACAGATATCCTCTGCTAGCATCCTGGCTCTCAGCTACTTCAGATGCGGGAGGCTGGCAACATTGAGTCCTGAATGCCGAGATGTAAATCAAGAGACTAACTCAGGATAAGAAAAAAATGAGGGAACAGGGAACAAAATAAGAAAAACAGCTAAAAATTTCTCACTCAACACCGTCAAACACAATTCTGTAATTCCTTCTGTTCAACCCCACAAGGCTGTTTCTCAAAGAATGAGAACTACAATGTACGAAATTGCTTTGATATGTATGAAACACTCTGTGCTTATTATTTATACCAGTAAGACCATTATTATTACTCAACTTTGTATCGTAAAGCAGTCAAAATGAACTTCTAAATCTAACGGCATTCAGAGGTAGGAGTCTTGCTCTCACCCTCTACTGCTACCCGAGGGACCGTGGTATTTCTTTTTTCTATCTCAGGTGTGGCAGAATGGAAAAAAAACATACTGAGGTCCCAACCCTCTTAACAATCGGTGCCCTGGGAGATACAGGCACTTTAATTTCCCAGACCCGCTTCTCCCTTCCTAAAAAAGAGAAGAGCCCGACACTAGAAAATCCAAGTCGCTTACCACAAAGCTTCAGAATAATGCCTGCATTCCAACCAAAGGGGTAAGTGAGACAAAAAGTTAAGACCAACTGGGATCTAGCATGTCTGATACCTGGAGGCAAGGAGGAACTGGTTCCTGATACGTCTCTTCTTGTCTAGTTCAATTCCAAATATCACAAACAATCTAAACCACTGAGGCAAAGAACACTTCTGCTTTTATGACTTTTCTTTGGTCGGGGGAGGTGATGTGAAGACCACAATCAGGCTAAGTGATATTATATCCTTATTTTAAATGATAATATTTCATTACTGCTATTCGTAGTACTCTGTGACAGTTTAATTTTCCTATTTTGATGATGGAAAAGTAAAGGTGACCTCAAGGCACCAAGTGGCTAAAGATGTCCCCCTAGGGAAGGCATGAGCCTTTCAAATAATTTCTTTGCAACAAATTAACATTGAGACTTCCTGTGTATAAAGGAATTGAATGCAAAAATACATAGGTAAACACAGTTTTTGTTTTTAAAAGTTTATAATTTAGTGAAGAGAAGGGGACGTATAAAAATGATTAAAATTAAGGGTTGAATAAAGGGTTGACATAGAATAGAAAAGGGCTAATTAAAGTTTCAGGAATTTTGTTATAGGAGCATGGTAGAAGAGGTGATTAATCTGAAAGAGGGTCTTACTAGAGATTTCACATTTTCATAGAAAGGGTGACATTTGGGAAGCTGCCGTGCTTTCAGTTATTAAAGGCTCAGATTCTGCAGTCATTCAACCTAGGTTCTAATCCCTGCTCTGCCAATTCCTAGTCAGGTAACAGGGCAAATTATTTAATCCCTCTACTGGTCAGTGTAACAGGGACAATGAAAATACATACTTTATAGATTTTGCAGGGAGGATTAAACGAGATAATGAATGTAAAATAGCAGTGCTTAGTAACTAATCCCTAAATTAATATTAGCTATTATTATTTTAATCTTTCACCAAACCCCATGAAGTAGGTGATATTATCCCCACTTGCAGTATTGAGAAGACGGACATATGAAAATTAGGTAACCTGCTAATGTCACAAAATAGACAAAGGATATAGAACACAAATTTGGGTCAGTCTGACTCCAAAACCCAAATTCTTTTCCACTATAATTTTATTCTGGTCCACTGTCACTCAATAAACTCTGACCTCCTACCAGAAAGAGGTCACTGGAACTAGTGAGCTCAGCCTAGGGACAGCCTGAAAACAGAGTATGATTCTAACAGATACAGCGCTATCCTATGAAAGTCAGAGACAAAGCCAAAAGGAAAGTCAACAATTATACAGAAGTTATCACAACATTCAGTGAAACTCAAAAGATCTACCACAATCTGAAATGAAGAAAACTCTACCTGGCATCCAAATCCCCTCCCTTCCCTGATTTCCTTATTCCTATTAATTAATGCCAAACCCATTCTCTCAGGTAACAAATCAGAGAACTTACAAAGATAAACACATAGACAGACATGGGAGATATCTTAGAGTCTAGTCCAAACTTGCATACGATGCAGCAAACTCTACGACAATCCTGGCAAAGCCTTATTTCCGAGTTACATGACAAAGCCAGCATCTGTGACCACACCCTCCAGCCATATGCCTAACAGTTTTCATTGTACTGAGTCATATCCCACCTCAAACTTTCTGTGGAATCCAAATAAATAAATGAATTAAATGATTCCATCATCTTCAATTCATACCTTTCCTTCAACTTCCATATCTAGGTGGTTACCAGGCTCTGTCATTCTTTTTTTCAAAAACTTTTTGAAAAAAGTGTGATCTTTTTCATTCCCAAGATAGCAGATCCCAGATCCTTTTGTCTCCTGGCTGAAATCTGTTTCTTCACTCTCTCTACACTCTAGTACATCCGGCACATTTTTACCAGATGAGAAGTCCTTCAATCTAATTTCAGAACATGTCATCTATGCTCAAATAACGACTGGGTCTCCATTTATTACTCCCAGCTAGACATTCAATGACAGACTATCAATGGCAAGCACATGGGCCTCACTTTGCCTACTCTATCCTACTTCCTGTATTTTCCAATCAATGCACACCTTCCAACTTGGTCTAAACCACCATTTCATAGGGAAGTCCTACAAACAGACCATACACATAGAAACTGAGATAGATATAAGTTTTGTGTAACATGTCAAGGGCCACAGAATCATTATAGACGAGCTAGGACTAGCTGCTCAAACTCCCTGTCCAGGGCTCTCTCGCTTTTATCTATTAAGTTATGATGTGGTACTAAAGTTGCCTGATTCTGAAGAATGTTGGGACCAGTGGATAAGATTACAGAGCACCTACCATATGTTCAGCCATGTACTAAAAATTGGGAGAAGAACATGAAAAGGCATTAACTTACAGTCCAACGGGGAAACGAACATGCTAAAAACACCATGTAATTATTATAAGCTACAATGAAGGAATATACAAGGCAAAGTGGATACAAAGGAAGAGGAATATCTAGAACTGGGTCAGGATACTCAGGCAAGGCCTCAGCCAGGATCTGAATGATCAGTAAGAGTGTTTTAGGGGATAACAGGTACAAGAAATCGCTAGTAGGAGACAATCTTCAAAGGTATAAGAAAGAAGTGGCAGGTTTTAGGTATTACAGGTAACTCAGTATATTTGTAGCATATGATGAGATAGAAAAAAATGGTGAGAAATAGCCCTGGTGAAGTAGGCAAGGACTAGATCACAAGGTTCATGTAGGTTATGCAAAGGAGTTTAGATTTCATCCTACAGACCAAAATGAATAATTCTCAGCAGACTGTAATGCCACTCTTTCTCTTCCACTAAAGAAAGCATATGGGAATTCAAGTGAGCGAAAGTGACATTTATATGGTGATAATTTGACTTAGCTTAAAATTTTAAATAATTTGCAAACCTTAGGTCTTGAACCATTATTAATATCAAAATTACTTGTGACATACTTCACAACTGATCATGGCACAACAGTTTTGAGATTCAGGACTGCAGCTTTTGACAATGGGACCTCCATCAAAGAATTTTGAATAAGGGTATAGCAAGCAGGTTAGCATGTTAAGAGTCTCCTGGCAGGCCTCAGATGCGATGGGCTGCTTAAGGATATTACAGGCAGAGACACCAGTCAAGAGGTCAATACTGCTGAATGGGTGAAAGATAGTGAGTGCCTGACTTAGGATGACAGCAGATGGGAAGAAGGAGAAATGAGAAATAGTTAGAATGTGTTTAGTTTTATAAGTCTTGGCATAAAGTGTTCATTAAATGCTTGCTGGTAGTATCAACACAAATTGGCTAATGATTAGATGAAGGTAGTGGGAGGTGACATAGAAAAAGGTTAAAGTCTGATACAAATATTAGGTTTCTAGATTGGGCAGATAAAAGACGGAATACAGGAGGAAGACTTGTTGTGGATGGGGATTGATGAGGTCTGCTCTGGATTTATAAATCTGCTGAACATGGATATAGAGATGCTTGCCGGGCAGTTATATGTGTAGATCTGAAACTCACAAAAGCAATCTGGGCTAAACATATAGGTTTTACTTTACCATTTGTTCAATAAATACTTACTGGATACTTGTTTTAGTCCAGACATTGTACTCCTCACTGGGGATGCAGCGGTTGACAAAGAAGATAAGTCCTCTGTCCTCAGTGAGATCACAGATGGATATATTTGTGAGCCATAGGTATTTAGTTGATAAATGCAGGCATACGAATACTTAGTGATGGGCTGAGGAGGCAACATTGAAGTTAACTAAGGAGGCCCAACCAAAGAGATATGAAGCAAACCAAGAGAATACAGAGATGAAGAAATGAGAATTTTATAATAGAAAGGTTGTCAGGATCAAATACAGCAAGAGTGTAGAATAAGGACTGAATTTGTCCACTGGGTGATTTCATAATCTGCAGGGGCAGAAATCTGACTTCAGCAAAGAAAACAAAGCACTCTAGAAGTTAATTGAAAAAAAAAGCTAGAAATCTTAGAATCACTAGTCTCTCTAGTTCTGTGACATCTGAGATAATCCTAAAGGTTTCATGGAGGTGGGACCTGGGTTAGGAGGTACAGAAGATACAGAGGACACTTTTAGACAACATCAAAACAGAATATGGCCCATAGAAGGAACCAGACTGGGAGAGCACTTTCACAACTCTTGTGAAAGGCAATCTTGGGCATAAGGTGCCTATGATTAGCTGCACGTTGTGAAAAGGCAGACGTCATGGTGTTCAGAGCAGCAAATTACCTTCCAGGAGTCTATGGACAGATCTGTTCTTCATTGGCTACATGATACTCAGGAAAAGCCCTTGCTATGTATGAACTCACTGGACCTGGAGAGCAAAAGTGTGTGAAGGCTGCAGATGGAATAACAGATATGCTAGATGACAGCACACTAGAACAGCCAATGACACAGGTGCTACCTCTGCTCTGCCAAGTAAGGCAGCTCTAGGTAGCTCCCCTGCCGATGGAAAATGGTGGGGAGTGTCAGGTGTGGTAGGAAAGAAGGGGGAGCTGTGAAGCAACTGAAGCAGTATAAACACCTATAGAATAGTGGGGACCCTACCTAAAGCATGCCATAAAAATGTCATACTTTGCTCTCAAGAACGTAAGTCGCACTGTCCTAAATTTACAAGATCAACAACTTTTGGTGCTTTCAGTGCCTGATTTGTTCTTCGGCCCTTCCAGGTATTATAATAATTGTAATAGCTCCCTCATTCCTCAGCAGGCACCCTGTGTATCTCAGGGCCACCCTGAAAACCAGGCAAAGGCCATCTGCTTCACACTTCCTCCCTTCTGCAACAGCGAGCATGAACCACAGGGCCAGTTCAGAGACAGCTCATCTTGTACATCCAAACTCTGCTCTGCTCTGCTGTTGCTTGTAGTTTAAATCTGCTGTGTTACAGTGGCAGTGGGGAGAAGAACCCTGAGCTTCCAACTCTTTCTTCCTGCAGAGGCCTGTGGGGCACACACAGTGACCTTGGCGAACAGTGGTCTCAGGGAAGGTCCCAACCACATAGCCATAAACCTCTCTGGGGATTAGCACAGTTGGGACAATGTTCACAGAAGCCATATGCTGTGGTAGAAAGAACCCAATCTGGGCTAGTCTTGCCTCTACAACTTACTAACTCTATGATCTTAGGTAAGTTATTTACATTCTTCGATTCCCTTTCATGAAATTAGAACCTAGTAAAACTGTGCAGCCCATTTAAAGGGCGACTGTGAAGACTGGGTAAGCTAATGCTCCAGAAAATTTCTTTGATTTTAATATTATTTTTGAGTAGTTAATGCATTTACAATATAAAAAATACATCTACAATATACATTATGATCACCATACATTGCCAAGTCTTGCTCCCACCCTTGTTTGGCCCTGTTAACCCTATTCCCCACGCTCACACCTGGCCTCTACTGATAACCATTTTTCTTCATTTCTTGCTTATCTTTCCAGCATTTCTTGAAAGGGTTACTTTAAATATAAAGTGCTGCATAACTTAGTTATCATTATTATAATTGAAAAGCAGGAGGGGAGGGAGTGGTGGGGTGGGAATGGATGGTTGTGTTATCTATAAGGGGTCCCATTTCCTCCACGAAAACCTGCCTCATTATATCATAGTTCACACCCTCCCTTTCATTCATCCCCACATCCATTCAACCTATGTTTGTTAAAAGCCTGCTATACTCAAGGCAATGGGCTGAGTGACAGCATAAAAAACACTAAAATCATTTAAGTGCATCTATGGCACTTCTGAGTTCACACCATCCTCACTTACACTTACCCTCATGATATTCACTTCTGCCTGGGTATGAGCTGCCTATGGCCACTTCTGCCTGCGTATGAGCTGCCTATAGCCAGCTGTCTACGTACACTTTGTATTTCCCACAGCATATAATGTGGTACACACAAGCACGTATACAGGTTTAGTATCTCTTATCCAAAATGCTTGGGTCAGAAGTGTTTCGAATTTGGGATTACTGTCTTCAGATTTTGGAATTTTTGCATATACGTAATAGTGTCTTGGGGATGAGACCCATGTCTATACACAAGATTCATTTGTATCTCATATAGTTTACACACAGACCCTAAAGGTAATTTTATATAACACTTTAATGATTTTGTGCATAAAACAAAGTTCTGACTATGCTTTGACTGTGTAGTCACCTGAGGTCAGGTGCAGAATTTTCCACTTGTGGCATCATGGTGGTGCTCAAAAATTCTCAGATTTGGGAGCATTCTGGTTTTCAGATTTCCAGATTGGGGATCTGTGGAAGACACTCAAATATGCCTGCTAACTTGAGCTGCTCACAGGCAAGAAGTCTTATTTTATGGTGACGCAACATCAGTTGGGTGATCTCAGACCCAGCAGCCTTTCTACCAGCGCTTGAGAAAAGCCAAGGTTGCCTGCAAGCTCTCTGCTCTCTATCAGTGCCCTGTGGTAGCCCCTAGCCTAGAAGACGCTTCAGCCTCAGGTGTGTCTAGATGGGACTGAAAGAGAATGGGTCTGTCTATAAGTTCTTGCTTGGCAACTGGAAGTGATAGAGCTGGAGGAAGGAAGCTTAGAACACTCTAAAACACAGTTAAAATTATCACAGAGAGAAAATTACTCCTCATAAGGAAATGTCATATGCCCACAGTACTCTAGTGTGATTTGTATTATGTCAGGATGTGATATTCCAGATATTCCAGCACCAACTATGCTAGACAACTTTTCAAGATTAAACAACTCTCGCCGGGCACAGTGGCTCATGCCTGTAACCCCAGCACTTTGGGAGGCCAAGGTGGGAGGATCACTTGAGGCCGGGAGTTCGAGACCAGTTGGCCAACATGGCGAAACCCCATCTCTACAAAAAATACAAAAATTAGCCGGGCATGGTGGTGCATGCCTGTAATCCCAGCTATTCAAGAGGCTGAGGCAGGAGAATCACTTGAACCCGGGAAGCAGAGGTTGCAGTGAGCCGAGATTGCACCACTGCACTCCAGCCTGGGTGACAAAGGGAGACTCTGTCACAAAAAAAAAAAAAAAAAAAAAGATTTAACAACTCTTGATCACTTTACAATGCATCCTTGAGTTGCCCTTCAGAACCCCCTGCATTTTAAGGATTCCCCCTCATTTGGGCACTCAGGGACTTTGTGACTTCAAACTGTAATGCAGCCAAGCCTCTCCGAATCTCCACCGCATCATCCGTAAAACAGGGGGATGATTCCTAGTCTACCTGTGTTGTCAGATGCTGATGAAAATCAAACAGGTTAACATATATTGAATATTGGTGTGATATGATGAAAATCCAACAGGTTAACATATACTGAATATTGGTGTGATATGAAAACAAAATATATTACTGGTAGTAGAGTATTAGCTCTGCATTAAAAAAGAAACAGCAACAACAGAAAAAAGATTTTTTTTTTTTTTTAAGAAAAGCTTAAATTTTTTCTTCTTTTAGAGACAGAGTCTTGCTATGTTGCCCAGGCTGGTCTCAAACTTCTAAGCTCAAGCAACCCTTCTGCTTCGGCCTCCCATGCTAGGATTACAGACATGAGCCACTGCGCCCGAACAATGTATTCTTTTTAAATAAATCATTTCAAGGTAAGGACTGACTAATCACATGCAGCCGTTGCTTCACAACTCTAGAGAGACCTTTCCAGCCCCTTTTCAGAGTAGGCCTGACAACCACTTCCAAAAAATATAATTGTAAATGTTAATTCCAAATGCAAGCACAGAGGCCTCTCTATTCTTCCCCACCAACCCTTTCACAGCAGTCTGTCTGTCTGATCCGCTTTCTTTCCCAGAGATCCACAGGCCCCTCCCTCTCCCACCCCCATCCTGCATCCGATGTGGCAGAGATAATGAAAATCTGCGGCCTCCAGACACTGGAGAGCGAGAGCACAGAGGGGAGGCCGAGGAGGAGCCGGTCAGGATGCATGTAATCAGAAGGGTTATCTAATGCTAGTTTCATTCTAATTGAGTCAGTACCATATGTCACCCTGCAATAACATCGCAAGCAGCATGCAACTGAATACATATTTAATTCACATAATGGGTACAGCAGTAGAAGTAATCAAGGCAGTTTGCCATAAGCCATAAAGAAATGTAGCTTGTTCCTATCAAGAAACATTTGGCACTTAGGGAGAGAACTGTATCACCAGTGAGAGGGGAACTGCATTACTGAAAAAGCTCAAGGGGAGGGGGAGGGATAGGTGTAGGGAGCAGGGCACGGGGAGAGAGAGATGAGGACAGGGAGAAAGAAATGAAAGAATGAAAACACCAAAGAGAGCCAAGCCAGAACATCGATTCACTGAGAATGAAAATCAATGAAGGAATATTGTCAGCAGATCGTTGGCCATCTCAGTGTAATTAACAGTAATGGATTTATTGGCAGAAGCTTAATGATTTAACGTTAAATGTGCCCCAGAATTTCCTGTGCAATCGCAGGTCCTTCTCATTCCCTCTTGGGCCAACCCATGTCCCAGGAAATGGATATAGCTATGGAGGATTAAAAAAATTTCTTTTCACATCTCTTCATCTGGATTGGCATCTGACAGAAACCTGCTCGCCCATTCCCTTCATTTCCTCCCTCAAGGAGATGATTAATACGCCTGGGCAATGCTCATCAATATCTTTGGACAGATCAACTGGAGTTTTCATTAAACCCATATTAATGTCCTAGATACACAGCTGTGGACAGGTTATTCTGGAGGAAAAAAAAAAGAAAAGAAAAAAGAAGAATGAAAAAGAAAAAGAAAAAAAAACCTTCCACTTCAGTTAACTATTTGCCAAGAATTAACAGAAACCTGGCCCCTTCCCTCATTAGGGCTTCTTCCACCAACATGTTTTGATGTATATTTCATGAGGATAAACAAACATTCATTTCACTTTGGGAAGGTGTTTGCCGTAATGTATTGTCAGCGTACCCAGCAATGAGGGGACATTAATTTCAATTCTGGTGTTTAAACACTTTGGCGAGTCCCAATTACTCATTCCCCAGCTCGATAGGAGCCCTGGAGGAAGGTCGTTGCCTCTCTGCGTGGCCTGCGGCACCAAGGGGAGGCGCGACGCCACCCTCCAGCCAGACACAGGTCTTCTTTGGCTGAGAGAGCAGGGATGAGGCAAGACGGGGTTGTTCCCTCCTATTCCTTAGTCAAATAGTGACATGAAGGGCCACTTCAGGGAATACCCAGACTTGCATTACAGCAGTTTCCATGAAAGGCTGTGTGCAAAGAAGAGTTCAGGAAATCAGATCCTATTTTTTTCTTAGCCCACATCTGAGGATGACAATCATTTAATAGAGAAGAGCAAAGCTCTGAAATCTCCTAGAAGGGGAGATATTGGGGGAAGAATGGAAAGTGGCGACAGAGTCATGTGTTGTTAGGGTCATGTGTCATTGATGAAGACCTTAAAAAAGAGGTGTAAGAGGTCATGGCCCTGGTGTGAGTGGGGTTAGGTATGGCATGGTGGCAGTTTCCAGCTACCTCATGGCT
Organism: Homo sapiens; assembly: GCF_000001405.40. Lineage (NCBI taxonomy): Eukaryota > Metazoa > Chordata > Mammalia > Primates > Hominidae > Homo > Homo sapiens. The sequence continues at coordinate 164,688,564 of NC_000001.11, read as the reverse complement.
CGCTAGAAATGTATGTGGCAGACTTTCCATCTTGCAAAGGATTAGAGATGGAAATCCCATATATCACATGAGCAAATGCGGAAGTAAGTTTTGCAATGCTATGGAACTGAAGAAATTTCAGTTATTATTTTTCAGGTATGGTTCCATTTCTGACAGCACCTGCAACTTTATTAAAAGTTCTTCAGCAATGCACCAACCTCTCCTTCAAGTTGTAATTGATCTGTACTCAAATACATCAGAAACTCTCTCTACTTATAGGAGCTTGCTACCAAATACTTTACCGAACTGAGGAATGTTTTTTAATAACGTGAATAATTATCCTCAAGTCTATCTGAACAGTAATTTCCAGTTAATGATAAAGTGTCTAAAGGCGGATGCACACGTTTCAAAGATAAAGCCCTAAGGTTGAGAAAATGACGATGAAAAGATAGCATGAGATGCATGGTCCTTGACATGAGGGGAAAAGAGCTGGGAGAGGCAGGTGTCCCCCGGGCAAAGGTCTTTGCCACAAAGATTAGTTCCTAGAGAGCACCATGGTTGTCGCTAGGGGAAGAGCCTAGGGCATGTGTGGTATCTTGGGCATATCATAACAGAGTCTCAAATAGGTCTCCACTGCAGGGCACAGCTGGGGAGAGTTAGCAAGATCTGAAAACATGAAACCAATAAAGAGAAAGAACAACCCACCTGGTTCTTATCAAAGTTATTTCTTCTTTAAGTGAGTGCTAAGTCCAGTTTCTGCATATATAAGTTCTTCGGAAAGAACTCAGAACTAAGTGCCAGAAGCCAATGCTGGTTATGTTACTAACTGTATGGCTGGTCCACCTCATATTGCCAATAAGACATCAAATACTCTTAAAACCTTGCGTATGTTTTTGGCTTCATTCAGATGTGCAACGAGAATCCCTGTAGCCACATAAGCTGGGCTGATACATAGTCAACACCAGTACAAGTGGACCAGAAGCTAGACACTAAACTATTTCCTTTTTTTTTTTTTTTTTTTTTTAGACAAGGTCTCACTTTATCACCCAGCTGGAGTGCAGTGGTGCAATCATGACTTGCTACAGCCTCGACCCCCAAGGGCTCAGGTGGATCCTCCCATCTCAGCCTCCCCAGTAGCTGGGACCATAGGCGTGCCCCACCACACCTGGCTAATTTTTGTATTTTTTGTAGAGACAGGGTTTCACCATGTTGCCCAGACCGGTCTTGAACTCCTAGACTCAAGCAATCCTCCTGGCTCAGCCTCCCAAAGTGCTGGGATTAGAGGTGTGAGCCACGTGTCTGGCCTGAAATACTTAGATACCAGTTGATAAACAGTTGTGCCTTACACTACCTCTCCACCTCCAAATGCCAACCCCTTTTTGTTCCAGCCTCTCTTCCTTATGTTCCAAGGATCTAAGAGTTAAAGTGTTAATACTCTGCATACAAAAGGTAGTCTTGAGGACCATGCTCCAGAACTATGGCTGTTGTCCACCCTGACTTGCTGGTGCCCATGCCACCATGATTGTTATTAAGTAGCTTGAGTTCTACTTTTGCATCCAAGAATTACGAAAGGTCAATGCATCACTCATTTGGTTTTGTTTTTGTTTTCGTTTTTTTGGTTTTTTTTTTGGGATGCAGTCTCGCTCTGTCGCCCAGGCTGGAGTGCAGTGGCACGATCTCTGCTTACAGCAAGCTCTGCCTCCCAGGTTCACGACATTCTCCTACCCCAGCCTCCCGAGTAGCTGGGACTACAGGCGCCCGCCACCACACCCGGCTAATTTTTGTATTTTTAGTAGAGACGGGGTTTCATCGTGTTAGCCAGGATGGTCTCAATCTCCTGACCTCGTGATCCGCCCGCCTCAGCCTCCCAAAGATCACTCATTTGTTGAACAAACTTACCCATGGCTGAAGATGTACCTGACCCATGCCTAGGAGAGCAGGAATATTAAGTGGTAACCTTGTGTCTCCCATTGATTCACTTCTGTGAACACAAGGAGGAATCCCTTCCCCATTCTATCATCCAACCTCTCCTTTCTACCTTCTGATACCTTAAAGTGCCTTTCCTCCTGACCATTCTGGGGCTGCTGCCAAGGTAAGTTCTTATGACCCATTTGTTCCTGATGCCACCTCTGCTGCATCTGTCCTTGTTTTCACTCTGTTTGATTCCCATCAAATGGGCCATGGAAGTTTCCCAAGAAGCCACACCAAATAAAAATGACAGGTTTGGCAACAACAGAGAAACCTGGTAAAATGTTGATATTTGACACAGCAGAGAAACTGGGAAATGGGTGAACAGTTTAGTCACAGATCAAAAACCACATACTCACAGGTTCCAGGTGACCGAACACTTTCATCTGAAAAGAGTACAGTGGTAATCACCATAATAATAAGGAACATCATTTAGTGAGCACCTACTGGGTGTTAGGCCTTTACACATATCCCCTCATCTAATCCTTGTAAGTTCCCCGCCCTGTAGGTAGCTCTCCCCTTAATAGATGAATAAATGGAGGGCTGGAGAAATTCAGCAGCATTGATTGCCAATGTCATCAATAGTAAATATCTGAAGGAGGATTCAAACTCAGGTCTAACTCCAAGGCCCAGACTCTTCCCCTGGGTGGTGCTGCACTTTGTAACACTCACCACGGGGGAACAGGCACCTAATGTTCTCCAGCAGAAGCTGCAAGAAAACCATGGTCTGAGGTTTTCTCCAACAGATCCTGAACTCTCACTGCCAGGAGGGCGGCCTGTGTGTATAGAATGCACTTAGCCTTTGGAGTCATACAGTCTGAGTTCCTGTCCAGGCTTTTTCTCTCACTAGCTGTGTGACTTTGGAATTAACTTAATTCTCACTTTTCCCTTCTGAAAAAGGGGAAATGCCTACCCTCTGTTTCAATAATTGAGAACTGCTGTAATAATTGTAAAAATGTGTATAAAAGTCCTAACACTGTTGCTTGTACAGGGAGGCTTCCAGTGAATACTAACTTCCCTTTTGTCTCTGGACCCTCTTCCCTTTGCAGGGGAAACAAATACTCTCACATTATTTCATGGCTGTAAGAGGTGGGAAGGGGGACCGAGTGGAGCAGAAATCTGGCTCAGATGTTCACTGGGAGGAAGTGGACTCTGCATTTCTTCCACCACAGGAAGCATGAAGGTGTTACTAATTTGTTGAAGTAAACTTGTCTGGGACATTTTGATAAGCTGCTGCTATGCTATTTTTGTGGGCTAAAAAGTACATTTTTCATATAAATAGAACTAAAAATAACAACAACTGTAATAATGCAAAGAGATACCAAAAAAGCCATTTCCACCTCATAGGAATGAATAGCCATGACAGCAAGAAACCTTCAAAAAGCAGGCTGTTGCAAGGTGTGAATAAAACACTGGTGGAATCTGCCAGTGATGCTTTTGTATGACTTAGACATCTCCTAAAAGACAGGACTAGAACCCTGGATTCAGAAAACGAGGCCCGCGTCTTGGTCAGATCAAGAAACATCCTGTGTCCTTGAGGAAGTCATTAACCTCTCTGAGACTTACTTTCCCAATCAGTAATTGGTTCTTGTAATTTATGTCTAATTCCTAAGGTTGTGGTGAGGATTACGTGAGGTAACATATCTATAAGTGAATTTTCTTTTGCTTCTTGCTGAAGTTCCACACACAAGACTAAGTAGTTCTTAACCATAAAACGTTATATAAGGTTTATTTACTTTCAGTATTATGGAAATGAGTGCAAGCAAAATAGGATTATATTCTGTAAATATATCGGGAGGGGAACAAAGAAGTGCTATCGTCAAACACAGTGCCCCAGATCTTTTTGCCAATACAAGGTGACATAAGGACTCTGTCTCAGGAACCTCATGGGAAAAGCACTCCCTTCCTTTTTAAGTGATTTCTGAAAGCAGAGGGTGATAATTCTCTTTTCATATTTATTATCCTCAGGAAGTAACTTCTTCATGTATCTTGATGCTCAGAGAGGTCATTTGGGTCTATGAATCTAGAACACTCAGAGAAATATCTAAATACAGTCTTTTCAGTGAAAGGACTGGTCAAAGAAGAATCCTGGTCTGCCTCAAATACCTGAGATCCCTATTTTCAGTGTATTATGGCATCTAAAATTTTTAAAGCATTTTTTTAAGCCTGCTTCTCAAAACTTAGGGAAAGCAGTAAAGCATAGATTGCCTTTTATCTCCCTCAGTTTTTCAGAATTCATAATGCATAAGAGAGGTCAAAGAATAAAGACTTCTTTTATTTCTACAATGCTTTCACAAAGTGTCCAGAAACAGGGAAAACATGATGATAATGTTACCTGCCAGAGATAGGTAAGATCTATCTACAGATATACCTACAAAATGCAAACAAGACCCTTGAGCTTAAGGAATTCACAAGGATATTCATAAGGCTGCTTTAAAGGTAAGCATAGCTGTTAGATATTCTGTACATAAACAGGAAAGAAATCTTTAGAATAATTACAGGCTGGGCGCAGTGGCTCATGCTTGTAATCCCAGTATTTGGGAAGGCCAATGCAGGAGGATCATTTGAGGCTAGGAGTTCAAGACCAGCCTGAGCAACATACTGAGACCCCTTCATCTCTATGAAAATCTAAAAAATACATAAAATTAGCCTGGTGTGTTGGCACATGCCTATATTCCCAGCTACTCAGGAGGATTGCTGGTGCCCAGGAGTTAGAGGCTGAAGTGAACTATGATCACGCCACTCCACTCCAGCCTGGGTGATAAGAGTGAAATCCTGTCTCAAAAACAAAACAAAACAAAACAAAACAAACAAAATCCAATAAATCTTAAAGTGATCCCTCATCAATACTGAAAAAAAAAAAAAAAGACTTCACACAACACAAGCACATCTCAAAAGCAAAATTTGACAGTAAGTTTCTGGACCATGTTCAGCAGTCAGTCCTTAACTAGTTTATTCTAAGATGGGTCCGCATTAAAAGTGAGAGTGTGTATGTGTTTTGGAAGGTGGGGTGGTAGTTCCTGACACATTAACAAGGTGATACAGAAGAAAGACTTAGATTCCATTCAGATGATCTGGTTTTGAAAACCAGTTCTACCACCACCCAAGTAATCTTAGGCAAGGCACTTAACCTCCTGGAGCCTCAGTTGTCATACATAGGAAGATTAATGACATGTACCTGGCTTATCTCCTTTGTTGCGTAAGTCAAGATAATAAAAGTGAAAGAATATGGCCTGTTAGAAGAATCGCTGGGCTTGAAATCAGAGAGTCCGGGTCAAAGTCTTATTTTAGACACTTTCTAATGACCTTAGGCAAATTCCTTGCAATTTTGGGTTTCTTCTTCTGTAAAATGGGGCTATTTCTTCTGTCTCAGGACATACCACTTGGGATCAAATGAAAACACCTGATATGAAATAAGGAAAGCTATACACCACCACACAAATCTGAATGCTATTGACTGATACAGGGCCATGCAAATACAGGATGTTACTGTTATCTGCTTACTAATACATATCAGCAGCTTTGAGTTTTCAACCAAAATTTGATGATGGTTGTAGAATCACCACTCTCTTGGAGGCTTTCTTTCCCTCCATCCTCTGCGTCAAGACATGCTTAGTAAATAGCTTTCCACATCAAAAAACTCACAGCCTGGGTTCTGAGCAGTACTCGCCTATGGGAAAATAAGCAGAATGAAAGAAAAGGGCCTGACAACTCTAAGAGCTGCTCTGCCCTTGCAAGGATCCCATCTGCAAGGAAGGGAGGTATGAGGGGAGCAAAGGAAGAACTCCTTCCGTCGGCACAAGTTGTTTCCCAGGGACGAACTCTGATCCATGACGGGACTCTGCAATGGCAGCAGCCACAGGTTTTATGTCCCCGAGCACAGTGGCCTGATTACTCAGTTACCAATTCCATCAGCAGCCTGAGGAATGAGGTTGCTATTTAACAGTAGAAGAAAAATAAAGGTAGAACCTAAGGCCTGGTGATCCTTAGGGCACATAATTAGTTTCTCTTTTTTTTTTTTAAGTTGAAAGTATCCAGTTTATGGGTACAGTTAAGAGTTAATAAAAACAGCAACTATTAAATGACTAAAAGACATCATTCCTAAAATAAAAGCTCCTTGAGGTCAGGAGGTTTGGTTTTGTTTTCCTTATTTTGTTTACTGATGTATTCCAAGAACAAAGAACAGTGCTGGCATTCAGTAGATGCTCAATAAGCATTTACTCAGCAGACGGATGGATGAGCTGATGAACAGGTTCTTCCCGTGGGTTCTGGAAGAGCTGTACCAAAACCAGGCTTTTTTCGAAATACCTGCAAAAAAAAGTGGATGATTCCAAATCCAACTGAAGTGTCTGCTCTCTCTCCAATTCAGAACAACCAGAAGGGCCTGTCTGAATTAGTAATGCATTAAAGAAAAGTAGGATTATTATATTCCAATTCTTTCCATCAGATGTAAAACATTATTGGTAGATCACATCTGTTTTAATAAATCTGTAAGAAAGACGTGTAATTATAATTATGTTACCATTGTATGTAAATGGCATTTTAACAAGACATATTAATACATTTTTATAGAGTACTTACAGCATACACTACAGAAATACTTAAAGGTGCTATTTTGATTGCTTGGATTCTTAAACGTTCCCTCTGAAGTCTTTACATATTAGTGTATTTAATGTTTCTTCATTTCCGGGTAAATATTTTTACCAGTTAAGACAAAGGCAAATTTGAGTTCCCGGGACCAAATATCAAAACATTGAGGACAAAAGGGTTTAATTTTTTTTTAACTTTTGTTTTAGGTTCAGGGGTGCATGTGTAGGTTTGTTATACAGGTAAATTACATGTCATGGGGGATGGGTGTATGAATTATTTTGTCAACCAGGTAATAAGCATAGTACCTCATAGGTAGTTTTTCAGTCCTCACTCCTCTTCCACGCTCCACTCTAAAGTAGGCCCCAGTGTCTAGGGTTTAAACTAATGAATGTTTTTACAATTGAGTTTTCATTTACTTTCTATGTTCTGGCTTCAACAGGTTACTGAAGCTGAGTCTCTCTCCTCACAGGCATCTAGGCCTGACAATCAGCTGTGATGATGTATCTTTGAACAGTTGTATCTCTAAGAGGAGGCTATAATTAACCTTGAAATTAATATCTTAATATATCAAAAGTCAATTGATTTATTTTAAATGCTTAGTTTTTCAACTCATTTTTCATTTACTTTCTAGTGTTCATTCCCTATGATTAAAAATACATATGAATATGTATATACAGGTATAAATGTACATGTTATAAACATACATACAAATTTCATTTTCTATTACCTGAGCACAAAGGAAAAAAGTAAAATCGGCTTTCTTTTATCTAGTTCTTAGGTTGAGTTTGTATTACAAAGAAAATGATTTATTAATGTATTTATTTGAGATAGGATCTCACACTATAGCCTCGAACTCCTGGGCCCAAGCAATCCTTCCACCTCAGCCTCCTGGGTAGCTGGGACTACAGGCACGCTCCCATCATGACAGGTTAATTTTTAAATTCTTAGTAGAGTCAGGCTGGTCTCGAACTCCTGGGCTCAAGCAATACTCTTCCCATGGCCTCCCAAAGTGCTGGGATTACAGGCATGAGCCACCATTCCTGGCCAGGAAAGGGTTTTAAATTAAAAATGCCAGGCTCACACATAGTAGGTGTTCTGTAAGTGTCTATAGAGTTATGAATTAAGAATAAATTAGAAATAATGCACAGAAACCTAAGGAACTGAGAGTTTTCGTTTCGTTCAGCCTAGGGAAGAGAAGATGAAGAGGTAAAAAATAAGTCTTCAACTATTTGAATGCAGGAGAGCAATAGATTTATTCTACATTGTGTCCAAAGGGAGACCTCAGACAGAATGGGGAAAGTTCCACTGAAGCAGATTCAGTTCACCATGAGAAAAAACAGCCTGTTTGATGTATACAATAGCCTAGCTGCATTTTTTTGTAAAATAATAATTATCCTGAAGGCTCCTTTAAGATAGAAGAATTTATGATTCTGTGATCTTCTTTCCTATTTCTAGAAGTACTTAGACAATATTCAGAAACATTAGCAGCCCTGTAGCAGTCATTGTAGTAGTGGTAGATCCACTGCATAAGAGTATAAAATCAGATCGCTTTATCTGTACACCAAACCTCAGCATCACACAATATACTCAGGTAATAAAACCTGTATGTGTACCCACTGAATCAAAAATTAAAGTTGAAAAAGAAAATAAAATCAGATCCCTCATGAATCTGTAATTCTAAAGTTGTAAATGCTCTCTCTTTCAGATATCCCCAAAACAGGAGTATGGGCTTTGCTTAAAATTTTTTAAAAAGGTAAATGAATATAATAAATGTTTGCTTTATAAACCTCTAGAATATAATTTTTAAGTAACTAAGTTCTAATTCCTTATGAAATATCTATAGGATCTGACTGAAAATAGATTTTCCTTCCACTTTCATTAAACCATGTAGGTCCATCCTACCAACATATAGCTATACGAATATACAACTACAGGCCGGATTTCCACATGGAATGGACTAATATATCTGCTCTACTCCATGGTCTTACTCTCGCTAGGAAGGAAGAAATTGTTAATTAATTCACGTGACTGATATTTCCAACAACACTCCTTTGTCCAAATAAGATCACATCAGTCAGTTTTCAGACAAATAAAAAAAAACCAGCAGGAGTTTGGAGTCATAAGACATAATTTGTGAGCTTCATTTTTCTGAGCCTCAGGTTTTCCATCTTTAAAATGAGGGGTGATCAATGTTTGTCCTAAGTACCTATTTCACAGGGTAGTTATAAAGATCAAATGAGAACACAAACATTAATGAAAACCTATAGTGCTACTCACAGGTGCATAAATTTAGAACATAACTGTGAAACATACGATAATAGCAAATTTTGTCTCCTAATTACTTAGACAATGCTTAAATGAATACAACCTGTCTTCTTTTTCTTAAGATTCAATACAGGTGTTGGGTTTCAGATCCAATGACCTTGGATTTATTGTTGTAGTTGTTGACAATCTGATGATCTCAGATTGTGACTTTATAAATAAAAAGGTCAAACGAAAGGGGTCTGCCTACTTGCAGCAAAAGCCCACAGGATTGCATACACTGTGTCCCATCACCTGTTTTCAAAGGAGCCTTTCCACTGCATCATAATTTTACTTGTCTCCTACTAAGGTCCCCAAGACCTGACAGCACCCCTCCCACCCAGTAGACTGCTCCCACTGTGATGTCCACAGCAGCCGATGGTCTCAGTAACTGTCTCACTGTCTTCATCCTTCCGCAGTGCAAACAAACTAACAAAAAGTGCAGAATTTGGCAAGGGTTTTGTAGTCTTCCATCTCTCTACCATCATTTCCTGCCTGGTGACTCTTCTTTAACCAGATAAAAAGGCATCATCCAGCTAGCCCAGCCTAGGAAACAAATTATTGGATGTGGTTAATTAAGAGTATAAAAACCTATGTAACGTTTAGGGGAAGAATGAGTATTGGGAAGAAAACCGATGGATGGTTTTTATATTTATTGGCAAACTCATTTCTGAAAACACTGGTCTTGATACAAGAAGATACATGTAGAATATGAATTTAGTGTTTTCTCCCTCTGCCTATGTGAGGATAATTTCCACACCACGTACGTGATTTTTCTGGAGTCTCAGATAAATCTAAATTAAAATAACCTTAGAGCTCCTCCTTCTTGCACCTCCACACAGGTCTCCCCTGGAGCTTGGAATGCATCTAACAGATGCCCTAAGAGAAAAAAAAAAAGTTGTTCATAAAACTACCATGCCGACTGAGGATGAGAGAGTGGCGTGTGAAGAAGATACCCTTAGCTGTGGTTTCCTTAGCACTGTGTTGATAGTAACAATCTATCACCTTCTTCTTTAATAAAGAGGGGTTTTGCTGAGATAATTATATAAGTGTACATATTGGCTGATGAAAACTAACAGATTACAAGACATAGGTTAAATTGTTGCAGGGATGTGGGGTTAGCCTTCCCCTAAATGGGCTGTGGCAGCTGGATGACTGGTTCCCAAGACTTTTCACTCAGGCCTTGGTTACCAGCTCATGTTCTCAGCCAGTCACGTGAAGAAGGCCAATGGCTCTGCTCATCAAAAATGCAATTTCCCACACATGGAGGACAATAGCACAAAACTATTCTCTTTCATTGCCAAATGAATTGTGTTTGGTAATCTGAAAGCATCATAAATTATAGAGACACAGACCCGAGGAGGATTATGCCTTCTATGCTGGCTGTGATACACAGAGAGCCTTGTGTGGATACAAACAGGGCTGGCGGCTCCTGGGTACACAGAAAAGGAATGCAGAGCTCAGGAGCTGAGTCCATCATATGGCCTTCAGCTTTGCGTCTTTTGTTCCTCTATCTGTTCCACCAAAGGACATCCTCATCCTATATAAACATATGGATACATGCGCAGTAAACAATTCCATTGGATCACCCCCTTTCACTATATCTCCTCTGTTCAAGAACCCACAATGATTCCCCACTACCAATCACATCAAGCCTACCATCCTTTCTTGAGTTAAGGTACCATGTTGAATTGAAAAGAGGTTGGTTTTAGACAGACCTGGGTGTGCATACTACCCATACATTTTCTTTAAAATGGAGCCAATAATACTAAATGGATAGGGTTTTTAACAAAATATATGTGAATTACCTACTTAAAATTCCCTTTGCCTCCTCTCCATAATCTGACCCTACTAATGCCATCCTATTCCATCACTACTGTAACCTCAAATCTGCATCACGGCCAAGCCAATCCCCTCATTGTCACCCTCTTCCCTTGCCAAAGTACTTCCGTGCTTCCTTAGTGCTGGCTACTATCCCCTCTTACTACACCATGTGTCCCCACCCTGCACACACTAAGATTTCTATGTATCTGTTCCTGCCCCATTTCTTCACCCCATCCCTACCTCCTCTCAATGAAGCCAACCTTAATTTTCATGAACCCCAAACCACTGCTTTTGTCTCTGAAATATCATTATACTTTTAACCCATGCCACATAATTATCAACTTCATTGAACATTATCATCTGTGGTTTACATATTTTAGTCTTTTCTTCTGAACACTAGAAGTTCCCCTAAGGCAGAGATCAGTTCTTATACTTTTCTTAAGGATCCCACAGCACCTTCAAAATTGTAAATGGTGCAAATGATGGCGTTTTGTAAAATGTCAAGCAGTAAGGCCGGGCGCGGTGGCTCACGCCTGTAATCCCAGCACTTTGGGAGGCCGAGGCGGGTGGATCATGAGGTCAGGAGATCGAGACCATCCTGGCTAACAAGGTGAAACCCCGTCTCTACTAAAAATACAAAAAATTAGCCGGGCGCGGTGGCGGGCGCCTGTAGTCCCAGCTACTCGGGAGGCTGAGGCAGGAGAATGGCGTGAACCCGGGAAGCGGAGCTTGCAGTGAGCCGAGATTGTGCCACTGCAGTCCGCAGTCCGGCCTGGGCGACAGAGCGAGACTCCGTCTTAAAAAAAAAAAAAAAAAAAATGTCAAGCAGTATATGCAAAGAAGATGCTCTTATTTGTCATAAACCATGGGGACTTGCCTGGAATCATGTTGAAACCTTAGAATTACCTTCCAGTTGGGAAAAAAAAAGGTAGAAACTAGGCCAAGAATCCTACCTAGAATGTCCCACTGGGTATGACAGTGTTGAGATGAGCCTGACACATTAGTCTTATTTAAAAGTAAAAACATTCCAACAGTCATTCCTTTTAGGTAGTTGGGTAGCACATTCATTTAAAAGCAGACCTGAGCCCCCTCAGGGCTCAAGGTTTGGGCAAAGGAACACTTGGCAGCTAGGGAGTGAATGACACTGAGAAAACAGCAACAAGGACATTAATGCGTATGAAGCAGGACAGTTAAATAGTTTCAATGTCACTTAGCTAGCAAGTTAGGGGGCTGCAGGCTTTGAACCCAGGCAATGGCACTCCAGAGGCTCTCCTCTTAAACGCTTCAATTATAATCCATTTCCAGATCTGGTGTCTGTGCCCAAAAAGCTGTTGACCATAAACTCCACACTTGTGGCAGCCAGGCTCTGTGGCTTGAGATTTTGTATCCTATCCTTAGCAACCATCTTGCTTGGGCATGGTGTTCTAGTTTCCACCTGTTCACACAATCCTGCCTCTCGGCCTTGCCTTCTTGGTTTGACGCTTTGGCCCTCCTGGATTTGGTTTTACTTTCACACCTTGGTTCACCCTCAGTTCCATTCTCCTACTATCTTGAGGAGTAGGAGAGCTAGACAGACCTACTCTATGCCTACTACATAAATCTAGTATCTTAAGGTGTCTGCTTGTTCAGGAAAGGATCTGAAAACAGAAGGAATTAAATGTAGAAGCCCAGGCACTTGGTCTGGGCAAATATAGCACTCATAGGTCCATGGAGTCCCCAGGTCATCCCAGGCAATTCCAAGACTAATTTGTTAAAGCACAAAGAACGCAAAATGCCTCCATTTCCTTCTTGCACCCCTCTGTGCAGTAAGCTACTTCAATCCAGCTCTCCTCTATTAAGGTGGGCTCAGGAACTGGGGTAAGGAGACTGGGTCTGCAAACTGCACGCGTTCATACCAAATATAAAGGGCATAGCCCTAACAGCAAGGCATGATGGGAGAGGTCCTAGTGAGAAAAGAGGGTGAGAGGTTACCAGACTCAAACTGCAAGAGTAGAGAGAGACCTGGCACACAGTCCACACAGAACACGGGCATGCACAAAAAGTCTAAAACCTAGTCTGATGAAACATAGAAATCTCTAGTCTGATCCCCACCAAGATCTGCTTGAAAGTTTTCATCTAAGCCAGTGTGGTGGGATATAGCACTAAGAAGACAGCAGGCAGTCCTCAGTGTCTGGGGGCGGGGTCTGGGTTTCAGTCCTGGAGCTTATTCATAATGGTATGAGTAATACCTGGTAAAAGGATCTTGTAGCCATAAAGGCAGTAAAGTGCATGATCCCTCATAATGGTGGGCAGGTAAGAGGTGAGATAAATCAGAATAATTCCTGATGCCCCTTACTGATGAAAAAAGTTCCCACCCACACAGCCTGCACTGACTCTGGCTGGCTAGGCCTGGGCGGTGCTAGGCAGGGAGGTGGTAGCAGGATGAAGCAGACTGCTGCCTCCCCCAGAGAGGAGCTAGGAAGACAGACAAACATGATTATTATTAGTTTGATACAAAAGTAATTGAGGTTTTTGCCATTGAAAGTAAGGCAAAAACCGCAATTACTTTTGCACCAACCTATAATACTTCTTAAGTGAATGGTAAGGGAAAGACATGTCCTATTCTCTTCCATGTCAAGGGTCAGGTGACAGAGGTAGAATAAAGATCTAGAAGGAAATTTATATTTCTATTCCATTTCCTTGAATGAAATGGTTTTATACTTTTTCACCAAATTCCTAGGGAAAAGATCTGGTGGCATCATCTGTCAACCCAGGACCAATAATTAAAGACCTCAATTATTGTCCTGGTTCTGCTATCTACCAGCTGTGTGACATCAGGCAAACCATTCTAGACATCTAAAGCTCAGTTTCCTTATCTTAAAATGGGGTTAATCATATTTCCCTTGCCAATCTCTTTGAGTTGTTCTGAGAATCAAATAGCAGTATCAATGAAAGTATTTGGCAAACTATAAGCACCATGCTAAAGAAAGGGTTATTTTCACGGCTACCATAAAATCATAACATCATTCCATCAAGTTTAAAGATCCTCTTGGTGGTGGGTGGGGGGGGGGGGGGGCTGTGATTTCTTCCTCTAACTAAATACTCACTGTCACTTTTTGTCTCCATTAGGACAGGGTCAGTGGCCTCCAGGATCAGCTGGATTCAGTTTGAAGCATTCTTCATTTTTTCCAACTTGGTAGAGTGGGTAGTTTTGCTCCCCTGAAGCTATGGCACACTGGGTGGTTTCTAAACTCTGGCAGCTTTTGTAAAAATTTCTGCCTATTTAGTTGGCATCAGCTTCTTAATAGTACTTAGTGGTTCAGAATTAATTTCCCCACCACAGAATTATCCAGGACATTCCATGCCCATTTATAGTTTTCTCAGGACTCCTTGGCTCCTAGCTTTCACTCCAAAGCCGTCAACTGTCTCTGTAACTGGAAAATGGGTTTTGGTGGCAATTATCAAAAAGCAGATGTTGCATCCCAACTCAGCAAAGCAATGGTGACTTTGGCCAAGCCAAGAAAAGTAAAGAGCAAGGGAAGAAAACCATGTGTATACCAAAGCCAGAGAATCAACTAGATTTGTACTGAAAACACAAAGACACTATGGCTCTTTGGTTTAGAGTCAACTCATCCTTCCTCTTTGTCCATGTGTAAGTCATGACCCCAGCATAACCAGACTTGATGTTGCAAACGGGAACCTGTTTCTAGAAATAAGCTACTTGGGGACACAAAAAAGAGTAGGAAGACTCAACCATAATCGACTTGAGGACCACAGACATGGAGGTTTACCAGGGACTGATGGCTAAAAGGCAAACAAACACTGACACCTGGTGAACGGCCAGCTGGACGGGGAACTGGCTCATGTTAGAAACTCTATGTTCTGTATGTACTGGCGTCTTGTTTTCAGCTCATAGTCATTTCATCTCTGTGCCCCAGTTTCCCAATGTGTAAGCAGCGATATTCATAGCCCCATCCCTTTACTTTCCCTACAAGGGAGTAACGAATAAAGTAGCAGCTATCATTGTGCTTTTGTAGCAGAGGACAAGGGGACTCCAGAAGCTCCAGAGACCAGCAAACCACAAGTCTGTCGCTCTGCCCCCTAGTGGCTGGGGGTAGCATGTGCCGAGAGATCCGCGTGGAATCACGGCATTCCCATAAAAGTTTCATCTAGTTGAGAAGTTTAGGGTTGAAAGAAATGTTTTCTTTGCTGAATTTACAAAGTCAAAATTTAAGCAGATTCCTAGGAGTTAAGTTTCTTAGGGCAACTTAAAAATGTTAGTAACTTTCGCCAGGCGCGGTGGCTCACACCTGTAATCCCAGCTACTCAGGAGGCTGAGGCAGGAGAATCGCTTGAAGCCGGGAGGCGGAGGTTGCAGTGAGCAGAGATCCCGCCACTGCACTCCAGCCCAGGCAACAGTGCGAGATTCCGTCTCAAAAAAAAAAAAAAAAAAAAAAAGTTAGTAATTTTCCAGAAGAAAAAAATGCCAGAGAGGTTGGGCTGATGAAAGCGGAGAGACGTGGTGGCCCCTGAAGCTTGGACTCACTAGAGAACAAGTTGTCTCCTTTGGGAGAAATCCAGGTTCTGGGCGCTCCCAGCCCCACTCCAACCCTTTCTGGGGAGCACTGGTTACCTCTTAGTATAGGTGACAAACACCCCGGTGACTAATCTTCCAAGAAAGCCCCTTAACTGTGTTATGCTGGGGTTTTTTTTCAACCTTAATATAAAACATATCATATACTATGATCATTTTCATGGCATTTATATATCTGTTAGCATGTATGTATTGTATGGATTTGCTTGGGTTCAAACAGGTTTGCTGGAATCCCTCAAAGAAGGACCCTATATAAAAACTCAGAACTATATTACATACACATGGACACCCACATCTGAGTGAGCTCAATGCTTTGGTGTTGCCCTTTTCAGTCAAGTACAATTGTGGCTTTAAGATAGCAGGAGAAATTAGACAGAGAATAAAAGAAAAAAGAAAACAAAAAAAAGAAAGGAGGAAAAGGATGACATCTCACTCCTGCCTTTGAAGTGGTTACATATTTACCAGATGAATTTTGAAAGAACAAATTATGGGTAGTCCAAAAGCCAAAGGCAATGTGAGGAAGGACACTCCCCAGATAAGAACAAAAACAGAAATCTGTATGTGCTATGTGTTACACACAGTTGCGAATAATCAGATGTACACACATGATGCAAAGGCACGCCGCTACACATTTATGTGATATTCAGACATATGTTCAAATAGAGGAGGTGAATATCTTTTTATAAATACAATTTAGCAAGTACAAGAATGCTGATCAGCTGCAGCTCAAGAAGAAAGGGGGAAAAAATCTTATGGAAATTATTAATACTCCAAGAACCTCTAAGACTCAACCTGAATGCAGACACTTAAGCTCTCAGCTTTGCCATTAAAGCTGGGGCCTAAATTATTGATCTCTTGCCTTTATCAGCATAACAGTCACGTCTCAGTATCGAGATCTAAGTACACTGCGGTCCCTCTGCTGCAGCCACTGAAATAATTAGGAGAAATTCTCATTAAAGGAGAGTGAAAGGTTCAGAGACAGAGGCAGAGCACAGGGTCTGGAAGGGTGTTAAATGTCTTCCATGGGGTCGAGAGATTACTGGGATCAAGTCCCCTGAGCAGTGCCCACCGATGACAGCTTATCAAAGGGAAAAAGTACAACAATAAACACATGCAGTGGCCCTCTCTGGTGTGTTTACACCCATGAGTATCTATGTAGAGACAGACACGCTGCAGAGAAATCACTCTCCATGACTGTTCGTATACAGGGAAGAGAGCTGTTCACAGAGAGAGAAGGGAGGGCTGTATATGTGGTGTGTCAACAGGGGAATAAAAGGGGAAAAAAAAAAAAACAGAAAGAAAAACAACCAGAGTAAGAAAAATGCATGAAAAATAAATAAAAAGAAACAAATTAATAATGAAGAATCCACGGTGGACTCTCTTCAATTTAATTTATTCATTCTTTGAAAGTACAAGAGGGTCTGGAGAAGAAAGGGAAGGTAAGGCATATGGGCAAGCAGGCTCTGTCTGATGAGCTCCCAGTTGGGCTGGCAGATACCAGGATAATATATACCACTGACTCAGACACCCACACTCACACAAAACCCTCATTCCAAAGGCGCAGAGGCTTTCTATTGATTTGAATGCAGATTTAACCTGCTTACTCTTAACCTCCCCCACCACTTACCACTCCCTGCCCCCCAGAAAAAATCAGCCTTACACACATGTTCCCAGAAATGGCCTAGACTTATGAGGAGGAGAGAGCAAAGGACAGAGAACAGCCTTTCAGAAATCATACTGATGGAGGGAAAGGGTAACGACAGGGGAAACTAAAGATGAAGCAGGCGGTAAAACAGCAAGGGAAAGGGCAAGAATGAACACAAGCCTCACACCCAGCTCCAGGCAGGCACATGCACTGGCAGGCGAGTGTATGCACATGCATGCACTCACACACAAAGTTTGCCCATCTTTAATGTCAACGTGCAGTCATTTAAAAGAAAAATTCCACCTCACACGGCTAATCAGAATTGTTAGAGAGACCATTACCACCAACACTGGAAACATCTGAAATTGATTATTTTTACTTCATTTCATTAATGAAATCCTCCAGCAACCAAGAACTAGCCCTGGACAAATTTCTATATAATGAAAAGGAAAAACAAAACAAAAACCAAGAGTAACTTCTCTGACTTTAAAAAAAAAAAAAGGGCTATCTTAGCACTTGAAAAACACATATATATTTGTTTTGTGATTTCTGTCGGTGCAGAATAACTGAATCGAGCTGAAATCTGTTCCCACCATTTTGTGAGTGGAGACATTAGCATGGACCTCACATCCCATAAGGAGCACCACATCATTAAATGTCTTGGGCTGGTGCATGGGGAAGAGAAATGCGGGATGTCACTGGCTGATAGGGAAGAAGACTTGATGTTATTTATTAGGGAACACTTACCAGAAACTGCATTTTCTCCATTTGCATTAGATAAGGCACTGCTGCCTTTGCAAAGTGCACACGGGCGCAGGGACACAGGCAGAAAGAAAACACCCCTTCTGATCCTCCCCCCAATGCTTTGTTCACTGTCCCCTCAATCTTAACGGCATCCAGGCCTTGGTTTACAAGAAGCCTTGCCCTATCACTTTCTTTTTCCTCTCTCTGCTATTTTCCTCTCTCTGCTATTCTCAGTACTCCATTTTTCTGCCCCAGAGTTGCTTTATGCCTCTAAAAGCCCCTTTCTCTCTCTTAGTCTTGGCAGTCTTGATACATTCAGCTTCAAATGCTCTCTTGCCTGCTCCCCATCTACCTCTCAAACCTGACCCCACAGGCCTTCAGTCAGCTGGCTATTGAGATGTCAGAATGTCTGCAAGGAAAGGCCGTAGCAGCAGTGCCTATAGGTGGATTTCCCCTAAATCCATAAATACAGGAGTCACACGGGGTGGAAAGGAAGGAGGGATAGCTGACATACATATTTTTTAATGAGAGTAAGGGGAAAACTGAGTTAAGGCTTCCAGTGGAAGTGCTGAAATTTCCCACCAGGGTATTCTCCTGGAAAGGGATTGAGTGGGGAAGCATAATTGCAAAATCCCTGGCCTCCAGGTTCCTCCCCAGCACTTCTTCAGCCTATCAGTCATCAAAACAAAAGATGCAAGCCTCAGGCCATCAGCTCTTAGAGAGGTCCTAGGCAGTTTCCCCTGGACCTCCCTGAGGGTGTAAAGGGAAGAAACCAAATATTCCTTTTCCATGGTGGAAGCCCTCAGGAGGCGCCTCTGGTCACTTGAGGGCAGAGTCCCACTCCTCATGGACTCTGCCTATGGCTTAGTACTCTCACACTCTCATAGCAGCCAGATGTGCAGGAGGAAATATTGTGAGCTGGTAGTCAAATCTTGATACTGCTGGCAGCTTTGGAATTGGAAGGGTGGAAAGGGCTTACAGAAGCCCAGACCATGAGGGTCAATGATAATTCATCAAGACAATATAGCAATCAGAAATATATATGCACCCAACATCAGAGCACCTAAATACACAAAACAAGAACCAACTGACTTGAAGGGAGAAACAGAAAGTAAAGCAATAATAGACACTTCATGACGGTCTGTGACAATGCCCAACATGGATATACACAAAGGAAAGGCCAATTGGGTAGCAGGAAATATTAGAAGGCTGTGAACATGTGTTTAGGGCTAAGAACAGAATAGTGAACTCCCTAGGAGTATGAGGATTTGTTGCATGAACCCAGGAAAGGGAAGTAGGGTGTGCCCAGAGACAGAAGGTCAGAGAGGCAGTGTGTACATTCTAAAAAATTCTACTTCTGGAGAGGACTATTGGAGCTAGAACCCAGCCCATACTTAAGACTACTTCCTGGAAGTAGAAGGAAAAGAAGAGAATAAAATTTCTGTGAAACAAGTTTTGCTCACCTGCAACACCCACATCTGCTAGAAGAATGTGCCCCCACCCCATGTCCTCTGTGGATTTGGGAGAGGGCGCCCCTTATCCCAATCCCTTGCTCTTAATTCCCAGTGCAGCGGTTTCTCCCCAACCTCAAGAAAGTGGACGAGTGTAATTATGCAGAAAGCACCACTGGAGCTATATCAATAAGACAGACGTCTGTTGTATCATTCTCTCTCAGTAAGGCATTTCTTCTCCCCAATTGCTCATATAGAATCATAGCCTAATAGCATCCCATTAACATAATTGCCAACACAACTAGTGTTCCGTGTCTCAGAGCCATTTACTTACTTTACCATAAAGAATACCAAAACAGCCCTAAAATCACAAAGAGGAGGGAAGAAGAGGGGTGGGTGATGGGGGAGGTAAGAGGAAAATGTTACCCCCTTTATATTCCCTTTGCTCCCCAGAGTGGGGCTCCAAGATGATAAACACAGGAGTGCCTCTCTCATCTGCGGGAATCGTAACACACAGTCTTCCTACCAGACTCCCAAGCAGACGTGTGCTAAAATCTAAACGGATTCTGCCAGGCGAAATGAAATTCCCATTATTTTTAATTAATCCTTAATTAAAATATATTACTCCGCAGATTCCGCAAATCTCTCTTAATATGCAAATGCGGCCCATTCAAGGATATTTACATATCATTAATTAAAACGGCACATTCTTTCAGTCTAACAAGCTGAGGGGCTGTGGCTGCTGCCACATTGGCGCGAGGAGCCGGTCCTGGCAGTGCCAAGCTCATCTGATAAAAAGATGTCAAGTGTTGGCTGCGCCTGGGGAAGGTAAGGCGAAAGGGGAAGAGTATGTTACACTTTGACACTCTTGAGCACAAGAACTTCAAATATTATCTTGGGGCTGTGGCCAAGTGATTTTGGCAGGGCTCGGAGGCTCCCTGTTATCGACACCTATCTAAAGATCACCTCAGGAGACAGCCCAGCAGGGCCCTGGCTGGGAGACCTTGTATTTCTCTCTCAGGTGATCCTAAGTCATGGTGGAGGTGGGGTGGGTGGAGGAAGATGTTGGCGTGTGAGAGGTGAGAGAATTTGTATACATTTGTCCAACTTTTGCTACAGGAGTAAAGTCTGACCCTCAAAGTCGAACCACCGCCCCAAATCAAGACACAATCGGGTCTGGTGGGGAAACATTAAGCATAATATACCCATCCCTTACAAATTGCTTAGGTAAACAAAGGTCTTCCTAGGAAAGACCGGTCGCTTGGGTGTGACTTTATGCTCATTCCACAGAGTGCTGAAAAGACAAGTTCAGGACCATGTAGCCAAGGCCTGACTGTTGGGAACAGATGACAGGAGGGTGGTATGACATAGTTCCTGACCAAACGTAAAGGAGGAATTCACCTAGGAAAGGCATGTAGAAATGGACATCAATCACTCCATTTCTAAAGACAAGCCCTATCAATCAGGGAGAGATCTGCAAATAGCACTCCACCCACTCTGGAGGGAGAAGTGGGAGAAGGGGGCAGCCATTTGTGTACAGCCAGGACAGCCTGCTGACCTCCCGTAGCTCACTGCCTGCAACACCTGAGACTAGGAAAGGCTAGGAAACAACAATACAGGAAGTGTGAACTGCATCTACCTCGAGCCTTGTTGTCCTGAGACCTCTGGGAATCCCCACATCTGAGAGTCTCACTCATCAAGATGGGGCTGCTGGTAGCTGGCTGGGCTCTCTCACTAGCTAAACGGCTCACTCCTGCACAAGTATTTGAAATGCGTTGTCTCGGCAAAATTACAGCTGATTACATCCTGTAGATTTGTGGCCATTTCTTAATAGGTGAAACCAAGAATATTAAATCTTTGAATGCCAATGATCTACTGTGAAACTATTTAAATTATGACAGGGGTCCATGTGATGTCTTGAAGCTGAAGCAGCTACCCAGGGACTATAATCTAAGGCTTCTGGTCTTGACCCAAATGTCCACTGCTTCTCTGTAGTTCTGCCAGGGTCGAAGTTATTGCTCTGCCTGTATATATATAGACAGAGCTATACATATATACACACACACACACACACACATATTATACATATGTTATATAAAATACATGTTATATACATTATATTATATAGATTATATTATATATTTGTGTGTATATATATTTCTGATTATAAACTTCTACAAGGCAAGTCCCTTAGCTAAAAAGGTCCTTGCATTGTTTTTTACTTAGCTCATTGCCATGCAAAGACAGGAACTAAATACACGCCCAGTGCAAGATTAGATGAAATCAGTAAGAAAAAGGGAAGGTCACAAGGCCAAGGTTCATGAAGATGGAGCAGTTGGCCTGAAAAAACCTTCAGAAGCAGTGTCAGTCTGGGTAGGGTGAGCAATGAAGTTTTCAAAGCAATTAACTAGAATGGGCAGAACCATCCTAAGACAGACACGATGTCAGGCTCTATTCTTAGGGTGTATCTTGGTGCTTCACAGCAAATTCGGGTTCAAATCTCAGCTCTATACAGAACACACTCTGTGACAAAGAGGGTTCCATAACATCTCTAAGCCTCAGTCTAGGTATCTGAGAAACGGAGAATCATTGCCTGCCTTAAAGGGTTCTGTGAAGATTCAATGAGACGATCTAATAAAAACCTCAGCACATAATTAGGACTCAGTAGAAGGTAGCAAGTAGTAAATTATTATTTATTTTTACTACTTTTTTTCCTTTAGGCAAATGGCTTAGTCTCTAAAACCCTTTCCAATTTAAAAATTCAGTAACTCCCAGGAATCCTCTCCTTCCCGTCCCTCATCCTCCACATTTGCTTCAGCACCTCTCCTAGGCCCATAGGTGTTATTTACTGATATTCTTGGAAACTAGTATAGGGACATTTCCATTACTAAAATAGCAATAACAGAGGCCCCACAGTTCTATGAGTTTATCAAGCAGCAGAATATTTGCTCCATCAGCCAGAATCTGTTATCAGGCTTCTTAGAGCAGCTATCATTATTTCATTTTTCTTACTCAGACCAATCTGAGAATGAACACCCTAGTACATTATAACAACATAAGCATTAGCTAAATACATCACTGGATCTTTGAAACCTTAGGCATATTTATATACAAAAACAACAAATAAGAATAATAATAATAATGGACTTAAGCCTTTTGTTAGCATTTGTAATATGTCCACTGAATGCAGATATGAACAGAGCCTCTTTCCTTTCCATCTAGCTTTTGAGGCTTTGGGGAAGAAGGGCTGAGACGCCAAGTGGCAGTTGAGAAACCCCCAGGAGAGACCACTATGTTAGACAGTCACCCCAAGAGTATTGCAAATGGGGACATCCTCTGGGAGGTGAGGGATTCGTGGGAATAGTGAACGGTACCCAGGAGTCACATCCCGTATCTCTTCAACTCCATCTTGTCGTGCATACCATTCCCTCCTGGAGTTGCCCAACACTGAGAATCCCATACCGAAAATTTTATGGCTGCCTAATATCTTTAAGGCACGACAATTTTGATAATTCCCTACTTTACAAGTCCCATCTTCTCAAGGCCAAGCCAGAAAACTTAAAACCCTAGACTCCCTTGCAACTAGGTACAAGCAGATAAAATGGGTCCCATGAATCTGATGAAGCCTCACCAGCACTTGGATTCTAAAAAGCAGCAGTTTAATTTAGGGGACTCAATCTTTTGCCATCCACGATGACAAGCTATGTAGTTGTTTAGGGGTGGAAGCGGCCACATTCCTGATGTTAGGTCCTGAGTGTCCTGGCTGCTAGAAGCAGAGGTAGAGGTGTTTCCAGTGGAGACAGCCCCATAGGGTAGCTGGGTGCTACAAACACAGGCTGCCAGGCCCTCCAGACATTCTATGAACTAACCAGTGTCCCTTTGTTTTTTTAATCTGAAAAATTAGGCTGGGTTCAGTGGCTCACACCTGTAATCCCAGCACTTTGGAAGGCCAAGGCGGGTGGATCACTCGAGGTCAGGAGTTTGAGACCAGCCTGGCCAACATGGTGAAACGCTGTCTCTATTAAAAATACAAAAAAATTAGCCAGGCATAGTGGCGCATGCCTGTAATTCCAGCTACTCTGGGGTCTGAGGTGGGAGGATCACTTAAACCTGGGAGGTAGAGGTTACAGTGAGCTGAGATCGCAACACTGCACTCCAGCCTGGATGACAGAATGAGACTCTGACTCAAAAAGTAAATCAATAAAATAAAATAAAATCTGAAAATTTTAATAAATTTTTAAATAAGTTTCTTAAAATGTTTAATACTTTTTTATTTTATGTTAAGTAGCCAGACTGAATTATTTTTAGCACAACTAAAATTTCTGACCGATACAGCTATGTTGCCAATGTACAAGAGATCATCTAGTCTTTCCCATTTAGACAGGAATATTGTAGCTAAACTATTCACAGAATTTATTACAGAATTCAAACTCCACTGAAGAAGGTTCACAGTCCTCCTTTTCCCTCTTTTACAAAATGGTCTCTTTTCTAAGACCCTGCAACACAGATTCCAAGCTTGTACTATGATATGGTTTGGCTGTGTCCCCATCCAAATCTCATCTTGAATTCCCATGTATTGTGGGAGGGACTCAGTGGGAGGTAATTGAATCATGGGGCAGGTCTTTCCCACGTTGTTCTCTTGATAGCAAATAAGTCTCACGAGATCTGACAGTATTACAACGGGGAGTTCCCCTGCCCAATCTCTTTTTTTGCCTGCTGCCATCCACATAAGATATGACTTGCTCCTCCTTGCCTTCCGCCATGATTGTGAGGCCTCCCCAGCCATGTGGAACTGTAAGTCATTAAGCCTCTTTCCTTTGGAATTTGTCCGGTCTTGGGTATGTCTTTATCAGCAGTGTGAAAACAGACTAATACATACCATCACGACCAGAATAATGCAGAATGATGCCAGGACTTGTCTCATATGATAGGAGTTCAACTCAAGCCAAAAACTCTAATACATTGTGCCAGTTGATATTGTGACTAGTTTTGGTATGGTCAGTTTTGGTTTGGTCACACCTGACTGTGGGAATCCAGAGTTGGCTTGGTACTGGCGGCAACACAAAGGATGTACCGGGGCTTCCCACAGCTTCCCAATTGTGGTGACAGTTTTGGTACGGCCAACACCAGTTGTCAAAGGCAGCACAGACATATGACTAGAGGGACACCAACTAAAAAACTCCCTCATCTTACAGAGGAAGCCACATAACCTCAAAAGGTCAAGACACCTAGACATGGTCCGCCTGCTGGTTAATGTCAGATCATAATGAGAAGGAAAGACTTCATTATATGAAGATGAGGAAAAAGCAGACTTTCTCAACTCCATGACCTCAGTTAACCTGTTTCAGTTGAGACATCTATGTCCTTCTCTTGAACAGACAGACACTTCCCTTGGTTATGTAGATTAATATTAGGTAATTCAACAAACTCACCAAATGCAAAGTGGCTGCTCAGTCTCTGACTGACAATCCAGCCTTTTTGCTCTTTCAGGATTTACCTGTCACAAATGGGGAGACTGTTTGAAACCCCCTGACAAAATAATCAGGCACCATTCAGCAGGTGCTTGGATTCCCACACAAAGGACCACCATCTTTCACTTTCTTTAATACTTGGCTTCTGGGAAGAGTTATTAACTTAAACACCATCTGATTAGTCATAGCTCTACTATGAAAGTTGGCCTGGGGTTCACCCCTAACGTACCTGGCAATTGATATTTTATTTAAGGCGCCAACACACTTCAACATACTTTGCTAATATAATTATTTGCATAGGACTATGATGGATAGGATATCATACCAAGAGCAATACATTGAGGAGCACTCAAAAAGGTGTTTGATGATCTCATAAATGTTTTAATTGCAATGACAGACAGGTGCAATCATCTCATTAAATATAAGTATCTTTGATATAGCTTTACTTTTAAAGAACACACAGCATGTCGATGATAAGTATCTTTACGTTCAGGTCCCAGATCAGGCAAGCTATGGGCCAGAGCCCAAAGCACGTAATGTTGAACAGGTTCTACGTATCATGAACAGTAATGTATTATCACACTACATCATGTTGTACCATAGGGAGAAGCAATCCTACTAAGATACTTTCTACTCTGACCAAATCTCTAAATAAAGGATGGAAGGAAAAAAGGAAGGAGGAAAGGGAAGAAGAGAGAGAGAGAGAGAGGAAGGCAGGAAGGCAGGCAGGTAGGAAGGCAGGCAGGCAGGCAGGCAGGCAGGCAGGCAGGAAGGCAGGAAGGAAGGAAGGCAGGAAGGCAGGAAGGCAGGAAGGAAGGCAGGAAGGAAGACAGGAAGGAAGGCAGGAAGGAAGGCAGGCAGGCAAGAAGGCAGGCAGAAAGGTAGGCACGCTTCCATTTGCTTAAGTCATTCCTTTGACTGACATGCTTAAGGCTATGGCTTCTGGGAAACTATTTGAAAGTTACACAGCTGGGCAAGACATATTTTCACTAGTTGTGCTGATGTTAGCACCAATGTATTTCTATGATATCATCAAAACATTTGTATTTTAGAGTTGTAGTTCTTTATAATAACCCTCACAATAATAAAATAATAAATGAAGAAGGTAGTTCTAGTTCAGGAGTAAGAAAAACAATATCTGATCAAAGTTCTGCATATTAACCATCACTACAAGAAAAAAAATAAATGTTCACACATGTTCACATGCATGCACATAATGACATAGAATGATAAACCTTCACAGTACAAGGTGACGGTGACTGTAACAACGAAGCTACCAAACTCTAGGCAATTACGGGAAAGACAAGTGCTTGAGCATGAACAAAGGCATCTCACTGCCACCAGGCTGTGCAAGAGGCCTTGATCCACAGAATGCTCAAAGCTCACACTCCTGAATCCTACAGGGGATCACAGATTCAGGGAGGCTTCAGGCTTATCTGGAACAAGCTGAAGAAGGCTCCTCGGACCCTGAACCAACAGGAATTGACATCAGACCATCACAACTGACTGAGGAAATGCATAGTCGGCTTGGTACTGGTTGCAATGCAAAGGATGCACTGGGGCTTCCCACAGCTTCAAGGTATTCTGCAAAAATCCTATTAACTCTGCCTACACCCTGTCTCCTAGAAGGCCCAGAGTCTGGTCAGATGGAAATTTCCAAAAACAGACTAAAGAAGTTTTTGTTTGTTTGTTTGAGACAGAGTCTTGATCTGTTGCCCAGGCTGAAGTGCAGTGGCGAGATCTTGGCCCACTGCAACCTCCACTCCCCAGATTCTGGCAATTCTCCTGCCTCAGCCTCCCGAGTAACTGGGGTTACAGGTGTGCACCACCACACCCGGCTAATTTTTGTATTTTTAGTAGAGACAGGGATTTGCCATGTTGGCCAGGCTGGTCTCAAACCCCTGACCTCAGGTGACCTGCCCACCTAGGCCTCCCAAAGTGTTGGGATTACAGACTTGAGCCACTGCACCTGCATCTGGTCTAAAGAGGTATTTAAAGGAGGGCTCTTCAAGTCTGGGAAGAATTGATTTGTTAGGATTTGGAAAGTACTCAAGAAGAAAACATTTAGGCAATTGATGCCCTCCATGAAAGTGTATTTTTAGGTCTTTAGTCCTTTTTTTCCTGTTTTTACTCTACAACCTATCCCTGCTTGAAAACATGAAATAAATTTTTAAAAAATTAAAAAGCTAGCACTACTTTTCTTTTAACTTCCAATGAGGTGATAACGCCTATGTACACATTAACTAATACCAAAAATAAAATTACAAAGGTCAATATAAGAAACTGGCTTATGGCTGGGCACAGTGGCTCACGCCTGTAATCCCAGCACTTTGGGAAGCCAAGGTGGGTGGATCACCTGAGGTCAGGGTTTCGAGATCAGCCTGGCCAACATGGTGAAACCCCGTCTCTACTAAAAATACAAAAATTTGCCAGGCATGGTGGTGGAGGCCTGTAATCCCAGCTACTCGGGAGGCTGAGGCAGGAGAATTGTTTGAACCCGGGAGGTGGAGGTTGCAGTGAGCCAAGATCATACCATTGCACTCCAGCCTGGGCGACAGAGTCAGACTCCATCTCAAAAAAAAAAAAAAAAAAAACTGGCTTACAGTGAAATTGCTGGTGATCCCTAGACCACAATATCAGGGCTTTCCCTGAGGATGTAGAGGCTTCTTTGACATGAACCATTGGTAATGTTATCCCTCATGCCAGATGGCATGTCCTTCAGACACACCCATGGGAGAGAGGCCCTCGGCTGGATTCATTCACAGGTGTTCAAAACATCAGTATTCCTTCCCCACCATTACTATAGATGCTGAAGAACTAAAGGATAAGAAATGCAAGGGTTCAATCTCTGAAGAATTCACAGTCAAATAAAGAAGAGTTGGTAGACAGAGAAAAACATAGTAAAAGTCTTCTCCTCTCAGCTGCTTCCAGTCTGTGTTTACTTAAATAAGGTGAACAGGCACACCAACAAGCAGTATGCTTGCCTTCAGATGTGATCAGCTGTTGGCTTCAGCTGTGATCAGCTGGCAATTCTCTGGGTTTCCTCCTGTACCAGAATAGTACAGGTATACATCAAGGTGCTTGGCTCCACCAGTAAGGTAGGTAACTTAGTGCTGAGCAGAATTTGTGAGGGGAGAGGATATGAATCCTAGAAAGAGAATTAGTAGTCTGAACAACTGATATGTTATTTGTAGGCACAGACCACAATCTATATTATTGTTAAAATGAAGAAGAAATAATATACTTTAAAAAAAATCATCCTATGTTTGGTTTTCTAACCTCAATGACTAGCAAAGGCACTGAAGAGCTGTAGTCAAGGATGATGTACATAAAAGCTGCTCTGTTCTGTCAACCAAGAAAAGCAAGCAATGGCAGCAGGCGTCAGTATAACCACTAAGTGTGACCTCTAGACAAAACCACTTCCTTCTCCCTCTGCTGATGTTACTACAACTGACTGTGGTTTTAATCTAGCTGATAGGGTGACAAGGAGCAAGTTAACATAAAAGGAATTTATGCAATGGCACAGGTCCTACACTTTATCCCAAGAGGAGGTCTGTAAAGTGTCCTTGATCTTTCGCCAGTCTTACCACACAGGTGTTTTGGGTCTCAGCACTGCCATGTCAGCTGCAGCTGAGACGCCTCAGCTCCCTGGCAGGTGCTTTTCAAACCCAGTGTAAGTTCCCCAAAGCTCCAGGCCCCAGCATGTCCCACATAGGCAAGGTCCCCAAAGGGCTCCATTCAAAGCCCAAACCCGTATTTCAGGTTTAGACAACATTCCCTTATATTTCAAAGCCAGGTGCAATCCTTCTCCAGTTTGCTTAAACCTTGTTTTCTACCAGAAATACTTGGCTCACTCAGAAAACCTTGTCCTTATCATCATCTACCCTGTAGAATATTGCCCCCAACCCCTCCTCATTTTCCTTTGGTGAGTAGTTTTAGAAACAGCATGTGATTTTTCCCTAACTTCTACCTGTCAAGGTTTTTGGTTGCAAACTACAGAAGTGGACTCTGGCTCACCTACCCAGGAAAGGAATTTATTGGACAGATAGGCAGTGCCTCTCAGAGTCAACAGGAAACCTGGAGAATCAAGCTCAGAAAAATAAGCACAGACAGCTGAGAATACAACCAAGGTGCTGCCAGAGGAAGCCTGTTAGGAGACAGACTCTGGTACTGCTGGCTTTGGGGACTTATCCCCACCACTGCCACCACCCTCGATTCTGCTGCTACCTCTGAGGCATCTGTAGTAATCCTGTCTCTCTGCTTAGCTCCCTCAAAACACAAGACTGGGCATGGCTGGCGTTCCAACTGGCCAAGCTTAGTGCTCTTGCTTAAGCTGCCAGGGAGAGGGAACAAGGGAGGATGTGTGAAGGGGGAGGCAGGTTCTGCAGCCACCCAAGCCAATGGAGGTGTCCACTCACATAGCAAAAAGATGTCCTTCCCAAACTCACCTGCTGCTTCCTCGGTACAAATCCCAACTTTCCCTTGCTCACTCAAAGAACTCCACTTGATTCAACAACCATTTTTTGGATGTACAGCACATGTTTGGTGCTATGTAAGGTGATTTAAGAACACAAGGGAAACATATGCTACAGCTTTGTTAATATAGAGGGAGGAGAGTTACATTCCCAATGAGGAAGTGGCAGAAAAATGCCTTTTCCAGGTCTGTAACTAAAAAGGAAAAGATCTGTGGATGCCTTTGATTTACCCCCTTTTCCCTCAGAAGATCTGGATGCAGAATTCCAAATGGTATTTCACCCTCTCCAGCTGAGATGTGAATCGATGTATATCTGCAAATCTGGGCACATTCTCAGGATGTGATTTCTAGAGCTTAAAACAACGAACCTAATTCCCAACAATTCAGGGAAAGAAATATTCCCTCTCTGTGTCCATGTGACATTGTTCATTGTAGGGAAAAAGAGATGATGAATGAATCAGCCCTTTCTTAGTGCCTCCTACCCATCAGACACTGTGCTATGAGGTTAATATGTGGGATTGCCACTGGTCCTCCTGAGTCTTAGTGAGACAATGGGAATGGACAACGACTGGAAATCATGGAGTCTGAGATCAAATCCTGGCTCTGTCATTTAATAACTGTATCCACCAGGGCAAGTTACTCAACCTCTCTGTCTTTTCTTTCCTCAGCTATAAAATGGGGATAATAAGAGCCTCTACCTCAAAAGGTTGTAGTGCACAGGGTAACAGATAACATATGTAAAGTGGTAATAACAGTATCTGGCATGCACATGCTCAATAAATATTGGCTGTTATTATTATAAGGTAACTATTAAAATCCCAATTTTACAGATTAATAATCTGAGGGTTGGAGAGGTGAAATAGCCCATCCAAGGTCATAAAGACCAACCTCATATGTAGATATGTAGCAGGCTGGAATGCCAAACAGTTTTGACTCTAAGAACCATGTGACACCATGCTGTGTATACACTTATATAGTGTCAAACACACTCGGGGATATCAAGCTGCAATCCAGAGAAAAAGCTGTAGTGCCACAGCTTTTGATGCTGAGGAAATGTCACAGCCATTATCTGTATTAATAGATCTCTAATATTTTATCTCTAGTAATTATCTGTACTTATTTTGGTCATTCTTGGAAAGGCAAGAACTGAAATTGCCAGAAATCCCTACGACCACAGCAGATAAAAAGCAGTTTTCAATCAGTTGAGCTCCACAACAGGCTGATGAGAACCTTTGGAAATGGCAGCACTTGCTTTACTGGTGTTGGGGTATAGGGTCACTTTTACAATTGAGCTAAACAGTGGCTGCAGAATTCGCATGGGCTGTAAGGTTGATTTGGCTTTTATTTTAAATTCCAGTCTTTCTTTTTTTTTTTTTTTGTACCTCATTTATTATTTGTGAAATAATTACAACTTCTGAATGCCATTATGAGTTAAGAGAGAAGGGGTCTAGCTTTTGGACTTTAGGTCTCCCCATCTACCACCTGCCTGCTACCCATCATTCTGGCTCCCCAGTCCCCCAGAATCTGCCTGACAGTGGGACACGAATGCCCACAGGCATAACAATGAAGCTGCTAGGAGGCCATACCCAAAGCTACTATGATGATAAGATGGCAAGACATGGAGTGGCAAAGGCACCAGAAGTTTAACTCTGGGACTATCTGTCCATCACCTTTCTTTCTTGCACAGCATGCAGGTTGCATGGGCTTAAACTGTAGTGGTCAATAAAGCCACACAGATCAGGGTGAGCAAATGAAAGGCAAATCTAACTCAGGTAGAAAAAAGAGCATTTATTTCCTTGACTGGTACCCTATCAAAGGAAAAGTGGGGCTTCTTTCTACTTGAGAAAACTCCCGATTCCCCAAAAAACAATATGCCCACTTATAGGTCAACTCAGATTAAACAAGAAGGTTAATGCACTCTACATCCAATGCTCCATATTTTACTATCAACTAAGTTGTTATTAGCCTCTTGCATGAATTTTGAGCCTTGTTTCTGTCCTCTCAGAACAGGTATCAAGAAATACATCTGCTAGAATGTAAAATTATCATTTCATTTCTAAGATTGAAGTAAATATTACTTAACATGTTGTATAAGCATTTACTGTTACTTTGATTTTATTGCTTCAATTAACCCAGTTTTAATGCATCATGATAATATTAGGTTTGGTTTACCATATTATTATTGCCTCCTGTTGAGATAAACATCTCCCAGATACATGACAGACAGCAGATGTCCCCACCTTCTGAATAGATACCAATGTATGATGCATCTTCTACATCCTAAAAATGTTCAATTAGAACAGGTGGAACTGCCCTAATGACTGAAATAATTGCTCCTCTTTGATGTTCTTCAACCACCATGGATTTCGGAAGCTTGTCTCTTGGAGCCAATGACATTTTATCATCTCTACATGTGTTCTTATCTTCCCACTCTGTGGAAAACAGTACCAATACACTCCATTGTTTTGTTTTGCTTTATCAAACAGCAAATTATATCCTTATTTGGAATAGAGTATGTTATCTTAATATTATTGCTTTAGTCAAATACTCCATATGGGAGTTTGAAGGGGGTTTTTGTTTTATTTTACACAGGCTTGGTATCATATATACAATCCACAGTCAACCCATGTATAAACTCACACTTGAATCACCAGTTGATGAAAAATATTATCTATTCTTGGTATAGTATGATAATATAATATATGTAATAGGATATTATAATATCATTTATATAACATAAGAATACCTGTAGCAGAACTGATCTCTACAAGTCTCATACATTATTAGTCATATTACAAGAATTTCCTGTACATTTTAGCATTTTATTGTCCTTTATACTTTCTATTTCACATTAAGAAGGTTTTTTTTTTCCGTCACTTTCCTCTATAGCCATCACTCAATCTTAAATTGACAAAGCAAATCCTCCAGTGGCATCAAATGCACACCATGTGTTAGCCAAATTTCAGACAGGTTTCCCCTCATAATTTGTCTAAGACGAAAGGAAT
Organism: Homo sapiens; assembly: GCF_000001405.40. Classification (NCBI taxonomy): domain Eukaryota; kingdom Metazoa; phylum Chordata; class Mammalia; order Primates; family Hominidae; genus Homo; species Homo sapiens. The sequence goes on along the minus strand of NC_000001.11, from coordinate 164,656,539 downwards.
AGATATGTTTAGTTTCAGGGAAGTGAAACTATTCAGCAATATCAGTATGTTGATCTAAACTAACTCAAATGAGATGAATTCTTTTCTGACTTCAAAATATGGATTAAATTAATAAGAAGAATGCAGATTGTACAGGCAAACAAATTAAGACAAAAAATTTCTATGAGATGTACTGAACATTTGCCTCCTGAATTATTGTTTACTTGAAAAAGAGCTGATTATATTAAGTATTTAAATGTAACTGAGACTTTTATCAGGACAGAAGTGCTTTTGCTGTTACCCATATTTAATCCAGCTACCTGGCTAGAGTTACATAATTATATATGTATTAGACCAATATTTATGTGGCACTTCTTACCACTGAGTAGCCATATCGATAGATCCTAACAATTATTCATTATATTAAGCAGCCCAATTTCTGGTCAAATAATCAGATGAAAGCATTTTATTTTGACTCTCTTTTAAAAATATCATTTCTAAAATATTTTTAAATGTTCCATATTAATTCCATTCTCCACCTGCAATTGAAGGCTAACTGTCTATATAATCTCCATCTATTCATGTTATGGTGAATACCTATCCTACATGCCTTCTTGTTCTTGTTCCTGTTCCATATATCTACTAATCCCAAAGGCAGCCATAGCCTCATTTGTCATACAAAATCTTCATCAGGTCCTTACACCATGTTAGACTATGACAATCATAGTAGTTTCACTGCATATTGATGCCATGTAAAATCCTATTCACTGAGATTTAGGGAGGCTACATCACATTAACTATATACAATGTTTTACAAATCTAAAGCCCAGTGCAAACACACACACAAAACCAAAACAAATGATTGCAGTCAAGGAGGTCAACTGAAGTTCCAGATCAGCAAACACAAACAGTAAGTCAATCACAAGAAAAAATTTCACTGAACATTACCAGAAATATTCACACTGTCTTGACTGTCTCAGTAAACCACTACAAGAAATGGTGGTCATCCTTGGAAGATTAAGAGTGGTCCCAACAGCCATGTATCTCAATGTTGTACTCAACATTGGACTTTTCTACTCCCAAAGCCAGACCACACTCCCATAGCATGGTGCTCTGTAGAAGACAGGCAGTTTAAAAAAGACTTCAGAGGCCGGGCACAGTGGCTCACTCCTATAATCCCAGCACTTTGGGAGGCTGAGGTGGGCAAATCACCTGAGGTCGAGAGTTCCAGACCAGTCTGACCACCATGGAGAAACCCCGTCTCTACTAAAAGTACAACATTAGACAGGCGTGGTGGCGCATGCCTGTAATCCCAGCTACTTGGGAGGCTGAGGCAGGAGAATCACTTGAACCCAGGAGGTGGAGGTTGCAGTGAGCTGAGATCGCACCATTGCACTCCAGCCTGGGCAACAAAAGTGAAATTCCGTCTTAAAAAAATAAAAATAAAAAAAAAAAAAAAACACACATCAGAGACTGGGGAAGAGAGATGCTAAATTAATGAATAACTCCTTTGGATAATTTCCATAAAATCAGTTCTTCCCCTGAGTTATCCAATCCAGCGTGCCATCCTTGACCCAAGAAGGCCACGCTAGGAGCCCATCTTCCATTCCCATCACATGCTGTGCTCCCCTCTGTGATAATACAGATCACATCACACATTACTCCCCAATCACAAGCTCCTGATGGCAGAGGCTGGCTTTATCTATTTCTTATACCCAGTTCGATAAATGCTGCTGAATGAATAGAGAAATGCTTAAGACTTGGTTAACTATCTTGGTTCTTCCATTGACTGACTACAACTGAATCCTTTCTGAATAGGCCTTAAATGCTACATAACTGAGTTTATTTTCATGAAGTTTATGTGTGTGGGAATGGAGAAGAAAGTAGAACTACTGATGTGATGCCACCAAATCTCCACTCTCAGACCATTCTCTTCCCATTTTGACTCTTTAGAAAGTACAGATATCACCAGGGATAGTTTTAAAAAGAAGGAAAGAATTTAAATTCCAGTATTTCTCACATCACTTGTCCATATCTTTCAAAAACCTTCTTGATCCTGTTCCTCCTCAAATGTGTTCAACCCAGCTGAAGCAGTGGATTTAATGACAAAGGCCATCAGCGATGAGATAATCACACGACATAGTAAGTTTAAAATCAATGAAACCTGAGGCCTGATGTTTTGCCATGATGTCACCTCTAACCAGAGTTCCAAAGACTGGGCCTCTTTTCTGTTAATACAAATGGCAAATCATAGAGACCCTGGAAATACACACGCACATCCTACCTTTTTGGTTCAAGGTAAAAGCACTACATTATAAGTAAGGGAACCTGGATTTTCTTGCCATTCTAAGTGCCAAAAATCTTAGTGGAGTGACAAAGTTTTTCATATTGTCCCCATCTACAAAATGCAAATATTAGAGCTAGACACCCTACCCCCAATGCACTGTGTTTACGGAATATCTGCCAGCAATTTCTAGTCCCGATTTGTGATATCCTTGAGTTGACTCTACTGTTTGGAAAAGAATGGTAAAAATTTATCAGAAACAAAATTCCATTTTAATCTTGGGAAAAAGGAGCAGAATTTTAAAATCAAATAACTAACACAGAAAACTCCAAAGAAGGAACAGGCTGTTCTATTGTCACACCTATTGTTATAAATAGCCAAGGACAATGAAGCAGACAATGAGCCCCAAGCAAAGAAACAAGTAAGTTCCAAGCCATTTAAAGTATGGGTTTGTGGGCCCAGGTTTGAGAGGTGCGGCCATGACAGGCTTTTGTCTGCCCTGTGCCTCAGCTCACTCCTCACTCTGTTACCCAGGCTGGAGTGCAGTGGCACCATCTTGGCTCACCGCAACCTCCGCTTCCCCGGTTCAAGCGATGCTCCTGCCTTAGTCTCCCAAGTAGCTGGGATTATAGGTGCCTACCACCACGCCTGGCTAATTTTTGTTTTTTAGTAGACGGGGTTTCACCACGTTGGCCAGGCTGGTCTCGAACTCCTGACCTCAAGTGATCCACCCACCCCAGCCTCCAAAAGTGCTAGTATTACATGTGTAAGGCACCATGCTCAGCCCCTCACTCATCCCTCTTGCCCAGCACCACGGCCCTGCCACTGAATTCAGGGAGCCAGGCCATCACCCATGTGCTCTAAAACGCTTATAAAAAAATTGTATCTTACATACTAAATTATTGTAAAAAGATTTAAAAAAAAAAAACAAGTGAGACTGGATAAAAAAATTGTGGTGTATTCACATAATAGAATACCACTCGATAATAAGGAGGGGTGAAGTACTGATGCAAGCAATAACACAGATAAATCTCAAGAAACAGTGTGATAAGTAAAAGCCGGGTACAAAAGTACACATGTTGTGTAATTCTACTAACAAAGTTTAAACAAGGCTGGGTGTGGTGGGTCACGCCTCTAATGCCAGCACTTTGGGAGGCTGAGGCGGGCAGATCACTTGAGGTCAGGAGTTCAAGACCACCCTGGCCAACATGGCAAAACTCCATCTCTACAAAAAATGCAAAAATTAGCCGGGTGTGGTGGCGCACACCTGTAATCTCAGCTACTCAGGAGGCTGAGGCAGAACTACTTGAACCCGGGAGGTAGAGATTGAAGCAAGCCAAGGTCGCACCACTGCCCTCCAGCCTGAGCGACAGAGTGAGACTCTGTCCGAAAAAAAAAAAAAAGTTTAAACAGGCAAAAATAAACTATGGCGGTGGGGGTGCGGGTGGTAAGAGAAGTAAAAGGGGCTGAAAGAAACTTTCCAGGGTGATAAAGGGGTGTTGGTTACATGAGTATATTTACTTGTCAAAACACTTCAAACTGTATATTTTAGGTCTAACTATTTTGCTGTATATAAATTTTCAAGTTTTAAAATTCACAAGCTTATTTATCTTTTAACTTCCTCCCACCTCTTGACAAAAATCTAGGAAGTTTAGTGGTATAAGGGAAAAACACTGAATTCTGGAAAGGGAGGATCTGAAATGTAACCCTCTTCTCTCACCTTCTAGTTCTATTACCTTGAGCAAGTAAGTTAACATCTCTATCCCTCATTTTTCCCATCTGTAGAATGGGAAGAATCTATTAATGGTCATCTCCAACAAAATGCCCCAAATATAAAATGCCAATAATATAAAGGAAAATGCTTTGTAAATGACACAAGGTTATATAGAAAAGAGATGAAATGAATCACTATTTTCCAAATTGGGGTGGAGTGAGGGGAGGAAAATCTGCTAGAGTACCCCCACAGGGGTTATTTAAATTTATACGAGGTCAGGAGATAGAGACCGTCCTGGCCAACATGGTGAAATCCCGTCTCTACTAAAAATACAAAAATTAGCTGGGTGTGGTGGTACATGCTTGTAATCTCAGCTACTTGGGAGGCTGAGGCAGAAGACTGGCTTGAACCTGGGAGACGGAGATTGCAGTGAGCTGAGATTGTGCCACTGCACTCCAGCCTGGTGACAGAGACTCCCTCTCCAAAAAAAAAAAAGTGATGATTTCCTCTTTCTACCATTTTGAAACATAGATTTCCACAGCTGATCAGAGCCACCAAACCAAGAGCTCACATTTGGCTTCTACTTTTCCTTACACACACACACACACACACACACACACACACACACACACCCTCCCTCCATAAGCTCTGACTCCTCTTACTTGCTCTGTCTGCTTTGCGAGGTGCCCAATCTGCATAAACCATGAAAATAAATCAACCAGACAACGAGGAAAAAGCAACAAACCGCAGCCAAGGCCAAGGTACAAACCCCACCCGGGGAAGAATAGGTCATTAGGTCCTGCTGTGAGTCATGGATGTCACCATGCTTAAAGTGGATTTGGTCGCAGGAGGAAAGTCACCCATTTGTGGGCTCCTCTCTGTCTCATTCCCCTCCTTTCTTCTCCCCCCACCTTCAACTGTTCTTCTTTTTGGAGGGTTGTTTATGTGTTCTCTGCACCTCCCTCTTCCCCTGCTCTTGCTTCTCTCCTGCACTTTCTCTTTCTCTCTAGGCTGGGTTTAATTTGACACCTTGAGCTTTGGTAACGAGGTGGGGAGCAGAGCAGCCACAGCGGAATTCATTAGGCTCAACACTGCAGGGCCCGCTCTCTGTGCGTTAATGACATCGGAGGGTAGGGAAACGAGACAGCCACCACGCGAGATGAAATAAACATGAGGACTGTCAGCAGTGACAGCCTAAGCAAAGGGGACAAAATGAGCCAGGTAGAGACCTTTCCCCGTCCGCACAATGCAAACCGACAGCTTGCAATGCCCCCGCCTCTGCACAGCCTCCACCACCCCCTCCCCTGCACAGCCTCCACCACCCCCTCCCCAAAGCTGAAGGGTGGGTAATGGGGAGGGGGGTGAGATCCAAGTGTGGATGGGAAAGAAGGAAATAAAATACAATTAAATTATCATTGTTTTAACATACAAATTTCATTTATCAGTTTAATGTTGGTGGAAACCGAATTCATCACCCTCCTTCAGAGATGGGAGGTACAAGGAGGCTGGGGTGGGAGCTGACATGCCTGGGCTGGGCTATGCTTGAAGTGTTCTTTCCTTTCCCCTCACCTCTTAAGGTCTAGGCTGATTTTTTTTTTTTCTGAGCAACATCATTCCCCCCATTTTCAACCACCATCCCTCCCTGGTACTAAAGGGAATGCTGCAAGGAGGAAAAGAAGGGAGAAGGGAAGCAGAGGTGGTGGAGAAGGATCTGAAATGCTACTTCCTGCACGCTTTTTTTTTTCTTGGAGGTGGAAGGAGTGGAGGATGATGATGAAAATTCAAGCAGCATGTACTAGACGGCAGAGCAGCATGAGCTACATCCACACTGTGCAAAGTCCTTAATGTGCACACCTAGAGGAGCAAGGGCCCTGTTCTCAGTTAACAGTTGTCAAGAGACAAAGACAGGTTGTCCTGCTGGGTTAACTGGCAAGGAAAGTTTTAGGGACTATGATGGCTCTCTATTCTCCACATAATGCAGACTGTAAACAGACTAAATCAGGGCTGCCTTCTCTTCCAATAGAAAGTAGCAACGATAGTTAGGCATGGTGGTTCACACCTGTAACCCTAGCACTTCGGGAGTCTGAGGCGGGCGGATCACTTGTCAGGAGTCCAAGACCAACCTGGCCAATATGGTCAAACCCTGTCTCTACTAAAAATACAAAAACTAGTCAGGCATGGTAGCAGGTGCCTGTAATCCCAGCTACTCAGGAGGCTGAGGCAGGAGAATCTATTGAACCTGGGAGGCGGAGGCTGCAGTAAGCCAAGATCACGCCAGTGCCCTGCAGCCTGGGCAAAAGAGCAAGACTCCATCTCAAAAAAAAAAAAAAAAAGTAGCAAAGAAAAAGTCTCTCTTTACACCAGATGCCTAAGAGTCCAGTGGCTTCCCCATCTCCAAAAAGTCTCCAAATCTGACTCCATATGGCTGGCCACAATGTGAGGCCCGGGGATGGGATCTGTAGCACTACATTTGCCCTAATTTTGTCTGCAGATCCACATGGCCAGAGTTAAGAGTTGCTTCTATGCCCCTTTCCCAGAAACCTTCAACTCTTTCTCTCCCTTCCTCAGAGAGAGGAGTTTGGTAAGCAAAGACCATATTTTAAAGCCAAATATCTTTGTTTTTTTTTGGCCATGGACTTCTCAAGCAAAGTTTTCAAAGAACCCCCAAAGCTGGCAATGTTATTATGAGAAGGGACATGAAAGCCATTATATTTTTATTAACTAGCATTAAGAGGAATTCATAAGAGAAAGTATGTGAAGGCTGGATCAAGGTCCAAATTCAAACTTAGAACAGACCCAGCATGGTCATTTTGAGTTGCATGAGTTTAAGTTTGCTCCCTGGCAGGGGGTGGAATGCAATAAAAAGCTAACTTGAAAGTTTGCTACAGTATGCTGCAGGGATGTGAAGGACAAGGGAGGCCAGGTGCAGCAGACTGGGAGCTCCTTATGCTTGAATTCATGGGACACAATCTAGGAAGCCAAGTGGCCATGGCTCCAAGCCACACATAGGAACAACTAACACCAGAAAACAGCCACTTTCGCATACTGGGGGGAAAAAACTGATAGATTTAGGGCATTATCTTTTCAAGGGGTTGGGAGGATGACAGTTTTGTCAAACAGGTCCTGGGTTTAAGGTTTAGAGACTCCCAACAAAAGTATTCTCTACATTCGAAAATAGTTAACACTTTCCTTCCCTATATGGCATGAAAATAGATGAGTCAGCACCTCATACTAAGCACTGTAATCCCTGAAGGAAAGCGATCCATTAATAAAAGTGCTTTAGATGTGTTTTACATCTAAAAGACTAATTTTGTTTTAAGCTAGAAAATATGATTATAGAATACTTTGTTAAGGGAAGGAGACACACACAGCCCATTTGTTTTGGAAGGCAGCAGGTGAAGTGACTAAGCGCATGGCGGTGGGAGAGGACCTAACTAGATCTGTAGGCCAATGTTCCCACATTGCAGTACATTCTAGCATGGACCCCCTGAAAATGATCCAGGTCCAGAATGAACACAAAGTAACCCCACAGAGGTGTGTCATCTTGGAATGAAAGAGGCAAACAGCCTAAGTCACATCAATCACAAAACTGTGATACCAAAGGTATCACAGTTAAACAAAAAGCATGTTTCCCATATTACTCATTTGGACCCTCCCACAATTTTCTTTCTTTTAGCCCAGTTCTAATTGCAAGCCTGCCCCTGGGGCTAGAGGCCCCTGCTCTGGTGCATGTTTTCATTACATTACACTGCCTTGCTCAATCTCTAAGGTAATCTCTGCAGAAGCTGATTTCTCCTCTCATGTTTTCTCTCCTATCTGAAAAAGAAAGCCAAACGCCCTCCCGCCAAGGGCAAGCAGCTGACAAATCAACAAGTCCAGGGTCATTCTAAGAGGCATTAGGTATAGTAGAAAGAGTGGGGTAGCTTAGAGTAAGATAAACAAGTTTGATCCCCTTCTCTACTATTTACAGGTTTTGGGACCCAGAGAAAATTATGTAGCCTCTCTGGGCCTCCATGTCCTTCTCTGTAAAATGGGGAGGATAACAGCAACCTCTCTGCTGCGTGCAAGTAAAATATCCTAAGTGTGATTTCCCTACAACGGTAGCTGGCATGTGGCTAACACTTTCAGTGGGAGCCAGCTAGTGAGGAGGTGGCCAAAGAACTTGCTGTGACACTTCTGAAGTTTCCTGGCCTTGAAGTATGTGAAAAATAAGTTACACAAGCCAAATGGGCTACACTTACTATAAGAATAACCTAGAGCTTGGTAACTTCAAAGTACAGTTTTAAGTTTCCTTCCTCCACTGTTAATTGGAAACACTTAAATCACACCCCTAATAATAAGCCTTTCTTTGCCTTTCTTTGGGCACACTCAAGCTCACCTCCTATTGTCAGCCTTCCCAGGTCCCCGGGTATTTCACAACCCCAGTGCATAACACAAAAGCTGGGGTGGGCTGGGCACGGTGGCTCACGCCTGCAATCCCAGCACTTTGGGAGACCGAGATGGGCAGATCACGAGGTCAGGAGATCGAGACCTTCCTGGCTAATACGGTGAAACCCCGTCTCTACTAAAAATACAAAAAAATTAGCCGGGCGTAGTGGTGGGCGCCCGTAGTCCCAGCTACTCGGGAGGCTGAGGCAGGAGAATGGCATGAACCCGGGAGGCGGAGTTTGCAGTGAGCCGAGATCGCGCCACCGCACTCCAGCCTGGGCGACTGAGCAAGACTCTGTCTCAAAAAAAAAAAAAAAAAGCTGGGGTGCTTTGAGAAAATACAGATGCTCAGCACCAGCCCCCAGATGTTCTGATTTCATCATTCCAGGGTAGATCCCAGGCACCAGTAATATTTTTTAAAAGTTCCCCAGGTGATTTTAATGTTCAGCCAGGGTTGAAAACCACTCTGTACCAAATATACTTGTTATTGAAAGGTTTATGCATAACATTAAAAAAAATTTTATGATGATTTTTATTGCCGTAACAACTTGGCAGAAGGGTTAGGCCTGCTCACCTAAAAAGGAAAGCTCCTCAGGCTTCTTAAAAGATCATACCTGGGAGGGGCCCAGGGGGTCAACTAGGTCACCTCGATTTCATGGAGGAGGCTGACAGAAGGAAGTGACTTTCCCTGATAACAAAACAACTTCCCAGCAGGGCTGGATTCCTTCCTGGGAAGCCTGCAGTCTTTACGATTTTCCTCCTTTGGCTGTAGTGGTGGCTCTGGGGTCCGGACTGCCGTGCTCTTCTCTCTGCTCTTCCTCCCTCTTTTCTCATCCTCCCTAGTGGTTCCTCCTCCAACGGCCCCTGTTCAACCTTTAGTGCTAACTGCTATCAGTTTGAAGAGTTCATTCAGTGCCTTGAGCTTTGAAAGGGAAGGTGCCATGAAAATCTTAATAAACAAATAAATAATTCATACTAGGCATTGGTCTATTCTCTGCACCACTGGGTTTCAAAGGTTACTTAAAAGCAGACTCTTTCCCACAAACCCAAGCAAATAAAATCCATGAAACAAAGGTGCAGGGGTTGAAGTTGGGGTGGGACCCCCGAGCCTGTAGGGCTGCCCCCCTTACTACCAGGAAGGCTGTCCTGGGACATCTCCACACTCTTCCGAGGGCCATGCCCTGCAGACCAGACTGAATGCCACCACACTAAAGGTATGAGTGCACAGCATGTGTTTGCGGTGGGCAGTCCTAAAGGATACAATGGCATTCCACTACACATCCTGACCCCTAAAAAGGATTTGCTGTAAAGCAAACACACCTCTGTGAAAAACTGCATGTACTGAAATTGGGTGGTGAGAAAAATAAAGAGACATGGCGGTAGTTGGACCTGCTCAATCTACTCAATCCTGAAATGGATTTAAGACCCCATAACTATCAAAAAAACTCTCTCCTCTCAACGAGCAGGGACATATCCTAACAAATGTACACAGGTATGTGTGACTTTCTACCTATTATCTCTCCTGAAGACTTGGTGTCCCCAAGTCTTTTTTGCATTCAGAAACAAGGAATAATGGAGCACAATTAGAAGTAAGGGGTCGGTTTGGCCATATCTCCCCATCAGAAGCATCCACAGGTCTTTGGCAGCCAGGTCAGAGGTTGCCTCTTCTAGGTAGTCAGCCTACAAGGGAAGCTCTAAAAACCACCCTCTAGTTGATTCCATAATGTATGTGGCTGTCAATGACAAGCTTTCCTACTGTTGATCAAACTAGTTATGCAGTAACCACTACTGATTCAGTACCTAAATTTGCCAAAAACATCAGATTGATTATTTTAAATGGTTTTCATAACATAGATGCGGTGAGGATTAAAATGGGATTTTTCACTTGTTTCTTTGTTCCTTTAACCAGCATGCTGCTCCTGAATCAATTTCCCCTTCATTCTTCTGCTCCAAAGAAATTCTGACTTGCTGAAAAGACTAGGTCTGAATAACCAAAATGCCATCAAGAAAAGGAGGCACAGAGAGAAAAATAAAATCCCTTCAGATTCGCATCTTGTGTTATGCATAAAAGCACTTTTGTTTGGCCCTTATAATTTTTTCCCCAGGGCAGTTGCCATAATCCCCACTTATAGATGAGATAACTGAGACAGAAAGATGAGGTGACTTGCCCACAGTCACACAGTCTGTGTCTTCTGAGGCTTGGATCCAAGTCTTCCACTTCTCAATGCAGTTCTTTACCTATCACACAACTCCTGCCTCAAAATTCAAAGCGCCCATTGTTAACCTGGACTGAAGAAAGTTAAAAAATCACTGAAAAACTTTAATTCAGGACGGTCACATCACCTTAGTGTTGTCATTTCTGCCCAGTATAATCTCATTACCATTTCCAATTTCCCTGGGGACAAATTTGCACATTAATCGGGAGTGAGGTATATATCTGTGTGTACGTGTTGGCAAGAATAATGGGCCCTCAACTATTTTCAAAGGTCCCCTTACTTTGTCCTCAATATTTCCATCCCAAGTCCTCCTGCCATGGTTTTTCTCCCACCTCTCTTGTTCCAAGTTCTTTTTGATCACCCCCCACTATACTCTTTAGCCCTAAGCCCCCCTTCTCCTCTGCCTTAAAATCAAACAGCCATGGAGTTTGTTCAGATTCCCTATTCATCAAGGAAATGAATTCCATATGCATAATTCATTTCTTTTGTGAACTTTTTTCCCCTTCAGGGAGTTAATGCTCCCTAGTGCATTGGGAACAGAGACAGTGACAGAAGGACCAGAGAGCAAGGGGGCAAAAATGCTTTTCCCCATGTAAATGGGACAGATAGGGGCCAAAAGGTCTGGCCTCTGCTGGCGGACACCTTGAGCTCTACAATTCTATCTCACCAAAAGAAGGGGGGGAATCCTGTACTGGTTATTAGGGCACAATAGGCTTCATCCTTAAGGGTGAGAAGCCCAGGGAGCCCAGAAGCCTTTTGAGGCTGGAGGCCTTATTTCCAAACCCAGTGGATGACTCATGGGTAGAAAGAAATCGATAGAGTCCTCCCACTCCTTTATGTCTCTGCTCATATTAAAAACCCAAAACTAAACAAAGAGATATACACCGTGCCCAATGCACCATGTTTAACAGCTGTTGCATTTGGAGAAAAAGCAGTCCCTAGTCCAAAGTCAGATTTGAAAAACGGCTTTATTAAGAGAAAGATTTACTGTATATGAACTCCAAGACTAGAAACTGGAGGAGGAGCAGCTGAAAGAGACAGATCTGCCAGACGGAGAGCCCAACTGATTCCACTGGCTGATGTTACCTCTTGGCAAGATACACTGACCCACACAACATCCTGGACGTTGAAGCCTTTGGTTATTAACTCTTTAATAACAGTCTGGAGTCCCCAAAGTTCAGAACTGATTTAATAAATGGCACAAGACACATTAAGGCCAAGATACAGTTTTTATCCTGAAACAGTCTATTTCAGGCAATTCATGTTACTTGGCATCTTATTTAAATATTTTTTAATCCATCCTTCTTTTTTGCTTTTAACTTCCAACTTTATCTCCATTTAGGAAAAAAAAAAACAAAAGCTGATAAACGTTTTAGATTTAGGAATTGTTTTGCCTGATTTGCCCAAGACCACCTCTTAGCTCAGGGTCTGCATTTTGTAAGCGAAGGGTGGCAGGCTCTCTTAGAGGAACTGTCTAGGGTCCTAAGATGAGCAGAATTTGACACACACCTCCTAATATAGACTGCTCCAAAGATGCTGTTTAATACATAATAATAAAATTTCATTTGCGGTTTACTTTTTTCTGTACAGTTGGATATAGACTAGATAGGTAATGTACTAGTAGGAAACAAAAGTGGATCCACCAATAAATTCAAAGAAACAGAAATTTAACTGTGAATCCTGTAGAATTAACTTGTAAAGACAAGTAAAATCCCCCACGGCTTTCATCTAATGTATGAAATGAAAACCAGAAAGCAGCTGGCCAGCCTTTTTTAACCCTATATTAGAAGCATGATGCCAAAAGTAAACACTCCACATAGAAACTAGGGACATCATCGACATTTAGGAGATTAGAGAAAGGGCTTGGCTGCTGACCTCAGAGAGCTTATAGTCTATTTACAAAAGAAAGAATTGTGAAGGGAATGCCAAAGTTAAAGTTAAACTGAACCCAAAGAATATACAAGCAATAAATATGTGAGTCAAGCTGCTCCCAATGGTTATCAGGGATTCTCAGCTATAACCTACATAAGAGTCTTCAGACCACAGTGATTTTGTACAAGGGCTTTGGAGTCAGGTAGACATGAGTTTAAACCCCAACCATGCCACTTACTGGTTACATAATTTTGGACATGAATTTAGCCTCTCAAACTTCATCTATAAAATATATGTGATAACTTTGCTTCTTCGTTGGCTATTTGTAAGAATCTGATTAGATTAATTCATATAAAATAATTCAGTAGTATGCCCAGCATGTCATAAGTATCCAAAAGGTTGTAACTTAAATAAATAAATAAATAAAGCCAAGGTATTAGCTCATGTACCATTGGAAACAAACAGTGCTGCAGACTGACATGGTAACAAATAACTTGCTTTGGCACATGGTGGGAGGTCACATTCTGGAACTTAAAAATGTTGCCCTATCTGCAGTATGCCACATATCTGGTTCTTGTGTGGACTGGCTAGAAAGTGAGCCAAAGAGAATTAAGAAAACCAACCCCTTCACCAAAAACCAAGTTTTCCCATCTTCTTCTAGAATATATACCCTGAACTTTGCCCTTTCTTTTTATTAGGTGGAGCCTCCATTCTATCTTCCACCACGACACCACGTCAGCATTGCTCTCTTTCCTATACTAAATCTGGAGAGTAAATGGCATCACCCTGTCACGGGGGTAGGGAGAGCGTCTGCAACGCCCCATTTAACTGCTCTGTGCTCCTATCTTTGGGCTTCATTAGCATATTTCAGCAGTGCCTTGATGGATGAAGATGGATGGGGCAACATCATCCTTGGTGAAATCACTGTTTCATCAAGGTTAAACCAGCCTCAAGCTTCGCCACCTCCCTTTGTTTGGCTAGGTTTCTAATAACAAAATTAACGGCAGAATTAATGCCCAGGAGGCTCCCAGTGAAATATACTGATGCCCTCAGAATGAAGCTTTATCCTGGACCTCCCAGTTTATAATCCATCAATCAGTTGCTTCTATACTTTATCTTAAAATAAAACATCAACTCCATCACAGCAGACGCCAGCTTCTCTATCCTTTCATCTGAAACAACTGGGCTGGGTAAAAGAATAAAAGGTGGCTCGTTACCTTAGAATGATCACAGTGACACCAGTCCAAGCAGAGAGCAGAGACTGCTTATGTCCAGTCTCCAGAACTAGACTGTGAGCTCCTTGAAGGCAAATAGTTTTTGTTCTATTTCCTTCTAATATCTCATTTTCTATTTTCTGTGAGGCAAAGAGCACATGTTCACTAAGTCCTTGCTGATATTAAAGGAACTGTATTCACCATGATAAAAAACACCTAACCAAATAAATAAATTCATACTGAACACTTACCATCTACCACAGATTTCATGGGGCCAGGATACAGTACTATCCTAGGCCTCAGGACCTTAGGAACTACCCTGACAAGTTTCAACATGACTCCTGAAGGATATGGTCTCCTAATCAACCATTGAGACATAGTTGGATGCTTCTCCATATGAAAATGGAGAGATGCCTTGAATGTCCTGGTCTGAGACCAAAAGGAGAAATCATGTTGGTGAGAGTGGTCAAATATCTGGGGTCATACCTAGGTTCTATTTTTAGTTCCATTTCCTATTCATAATTGCATCCCCTTGGCAAGACACTTCTACTTGCTGGGACTCAGTCTCTACCAAATAGAGTAAGCCTGCACTTGGTTCTGTCCGTTCTGAAACGGGGTCACAACAAACTGCAGGTGTACCTTCTTAGAGCTGGTGATGGAAATGTGGAAATGCACAGAGTTCCCTGAAAAATAGGCACAATGGAAATAAACAGTACTAGAGATGGGGCTTATCCTATGAAAATAGAACACTGCTAACCTGGACATTCACATAATTCATTTTAACAAAATGAAGGAGAAAGAAAAAACAAAACACAACAAAAGAGCCACCAAAAAGCAGTGCATGTCATATAATTAATCAAGACAATTTACCTCACTGGACCTTAATTTTCCAGGGGTACTACTGAGGATCAAAAGCTTAAAATTTATCAAGTGTTCTAACTTCCTTAAAGGAAGGGTGTTAGCTGAATACCAAAAATCATCCTCAGCATGCAAAACCCAACCCAATTTGTGATATCTGTCATGGGAAGGATGCAAATCCAGATGTTCACACCATTTGGAGAGAGTGGATACAATAAAATCCTTTCTCACAGTATTCTCTGACTTAGAATAAAATCTGGAATTCTTAAAATTCAAAAGAAGAGTAAGTACTGGAAAAAAGACACGTTAGCCTTGAAGTTATCCCTCAGGCCTGCTACCCTTGTGTCTTCTTCATTAACTGCCTCTGTAGTGAATAGCTGAGGGAAGGCCACTGAGTCAGGCCAGACCTGAAGCTACACCATAAGCTGCCTTTGGTGGCAACCAAGGCCTCTGTCCCGAGTCACAGAGATGAAACCCCGTGGAACTAGGGCACGGGAAGATGAGTCATTTCAGCCTTAGCTAAGGGGGAGGGCAGCTGAGAAAGCATGTCCGAAGCAGGAAAATGGCCTGGTGGCTTTACTGGCCCAGACTAGGTCACTGGATGGCCTCCAGGTCCAAGCTAGTTTCCTAGGTACCATAGTGGGAACTGCTGGGCCCCTAATGACAAGAGAGATGGATGAATGGACCCCACTCCCATTTCTCTTCTTCTCTCCCCTTCTCTTCTCTCTCCTTCCTCCCTTCCCCCAATGGCCAAGGACAACACTAAAATCAGTATCACAAGTCTGCTGTGGCACATGGCCATGGAATGTGACCGTCAGAGGCAGCTCAGAGAGGACACAACTGGAAGAACAGGTGGTGTGGAATTTTAGAACCACTGCCTTAAGCATTCTGCTCAAAGTCCCAGAATGGTTGCTCTGATGGGAGCTTTTTGAGAGATGATCTCTCCCTGCAAAGAGAATAAGAAATGGGTGAGGATGATAGTATCCTGGAGAAGCTATAACTTTGACAGCTTTAAGGGTCTTAAGCAACCAAGTCCTCCTTTGACAGAGAGGTCAAGCTATTAACATCTGGTTTGCCCAGAATACTGTGCCTGTGTTTGCTTTAAGACACAAGGAACCGGCCGCTGCAGTGGCTCATGCCTGTAATCCTAGCACTTTGGGAGGCCAAGACAGGCGGATTGCCTGAGCTCAGGAGTTGGAGACCAGCCTGGGCAACATGGTGAAACCCCGTCTCTACTAAAATACAAAAAAATCAGCCAGGCATGGTGGTGGGCATCTGTAATCCCAGCTACTCAGGAGGCTGAGGCATGAGAATTGTTTGACCCTGGGAGGCAGAGGTTGCAGTGAGCTGAGATCGTGCCACTGCACTCCAGCCTGGGCAACAGAGCAAAATTTCGTCTAAAAAAAAAAAAAAAAACACAAAAAAAAAACACCAAAAAACGAGGAACCACAGAAAATAACTATAAACTGTCCTTTGTGCTAGTGTCATCACATCGTTTCCCAGTATGTGTGTTGCACCAGGAGCAATCTGCTGAGTGGAGCACTTATGCAGTAGTCCAGATAAGTAATTCCAAACCCCTGACCTACCTTGTTCTGAGAAATAGGTCAATGTTTTCATCATTCTAGCCGGGGAAACTGAGGAACAAGAGCTCTTAGCAGGACTTGGATGAAAGGCCAGTTTAGAACCCAAGGCCTTCCCCCATTTGGATCCCTTAGCTACTCTGTATACTAGCAGACATACAAATGTAAACAGAGCAAAAAAGATGCAAGGGCCCTCTTCCAACCCTACTGACCCACCTAGCACATCCAGACCTCCAGGAGCCAGGCTGCGATCTGTTTGGGGAACATTCACTGATGTCACAATTTTGAAGTCTAAAATTCAAGTCTTGTCAATACCTAGAACGCTCAGACTCCTTGGCGGCTTTCTACCTACTCCAGCCCCTCTGGCTTTGGCAGGGGCTTCGTCTATACCATCAGGCCATAGGATTTCTTTTTTTTTTTAATATAGAACACAGCTGGGTACAGTGCCTTATATCTGTAATCCCAACATTTTGAGAGGCAAGGTAGGAGGATCACTTGAGCCCAGGAATTTGAGACTAGCCTAGGCAACATAGTAAGACCTCATCTCTACAAAAAATAGAAAAAATTTGCTGGGCATGGTGGTGCATGCCTATAGTCCCAGCTAACAGGGAGGCTGAGGTGGGAGGATCGCTTAAGCCCAGGAAGTCAAGGCTGCAGAGAGCCATGGTCATGCCACTGCACTCCAGCCTGAGTGACAGAGCAAGACCCTGTTTTAATAAATAAATAAATAAGGAACACTTCACCACTTCGCATGTCATCCTTGCCTAGGGGCCACACCAATCTTCTCTGTATCATTGCAACTTTAGCATATGTGCTGCCAAAATGAGCACAGGCCATAGGATTTGGATCTTGGAATTAATGGTCTCCAGGGTTCCAAACAAATCATCCCACTGCTCTGTACTACTGTCTCATCATCCATAAGATGGGAGCAAACCATCCTAACTGATTCTGTATGGATTAAGAAATCACTAAAATCAATTAATACCATCCAGGCACCCAGCATCAAAAGGAGAGAGATCTCTCATCTTTTCTAATCTAAACAGAAGGAAATAAAGGCTCTTCATTTAGGAGGCTAAGAAGGAAGACAAAAACCAAGACACTGAAGTTTGGAATCAACAAGGTAGCTGCAGTGCTCACCTTCTTTTCCCAACTTCCTACTCTTTAATCATGGAGAGGAGGTGAACAGCAACAATTACTTTATACTTGCTGCATGCCAAAAAGAACTAGCGCCTCTTTTAACCTTTCAGCCCACTCTGTAAAACCGATATTGCTATCCCTTACAGACAAGAGCGGTAAGGTTCAGATGAACAAGAGCTTGCATAAAGCCACACTGCTGGTAGGTAGAAGAGATAAGGATTGAACTAAGGCCTTCTGATGCCAAGCCTGTACTCTGGCTACTATTCAACTCCTGTAGAGAAAAAACGGGCAGGCAGTACCTACTCATCCCAGGAGGGGTAGGGGGAGTCTGCACACTCCCTTTTTCTTGCTGCCAAATAATATCTTCCTTAAGCATTCCGTTCCAAACGCTTCCAATGTTCCATGCACACAACTGCCAAAAACAGTAAAGGCCGGCACTCTGACCCTGGAGGTCTTTGCCAAGCAAGCCCCTTTTAGAATCTGTAGTGAGCAGGTGACCTCATTCAAGAATGTCATGTGTGACGGTGACGGTCAGAGCTGGGAGAAAGGGCAAACCAGCAGGGATCACCTGCCTTTATCGCTCCTGACTGCTTTGTTCCTCCGGCCTCAAAGAACAATCAGTAGTCACGCTCTGCTCCACTTGTCGTTTTCACCCATGGTGTGAGTGTGTGTGAGTGTATGTGTGTGTCTTTATCAGAAAACTGGTGGCTTTATATTCACACATGCAGAGTAAAGGCTCGGGCTCAGTAGAGGCAGCACCCAGAGGGGCCTAGCACTTTTCAAAGATTCCTCTTCCTGCTTACAAGTCAACGTGCCAGTGCACAATATCTTCAAAGGGGAAACTGAGGAATGCTATGTAAGAATCCCTGCTCAGCCCTAGGCAGTTTGGAAACGAATCACTTTAAAACATGCACTTGTGTATTTTTCCACCCTGGTTCATAATGTTTTCCTACCTCTCACTATGGCTAGGGCAGAGAGCGACCCATAGAAGCCATCTGTATTTTCCAGCAGACCAAACAGGAAGAGGCGCAGAAATCTGCGCAAGTGACCACGCTGCCGCTGTTGCTAGGCAGCATGATTATGTCCATTCTCCGCTGCTTGGCAACCAGCCTTTCCCATCACATACACACACAGCCATAGCAGCAGTACGAGTGCCCTTAACTGCTGCCTTACAGCTTTCAAAGAAAAAGGCTGAATTTCGAAGGAACGTATAAACATTAATAGACCCCCTCAATATTCCACTGATATTGAGATGGTCCCCAGAGCACGATGGCTCTATTTAATCAGAAAGTATCCCTTTGGTGATACTTGAGTTTGCACCTGATAGTTGCACAAATCTTCTCCTGAGTGCAGTGACATGCCAGAGAGATGAGTAAGAAGCTTGAGTCAGCAAGCTTGAACTTTTGGAGAAGAAAGCCTGTTCTGTCTGCCCCCATACCTCTGAAGAATCCACTGGTGAAATAATCTCCTCCCCAGGATCTGCCATTTAGTGAACTAGGACAAAATAAGGGCCAAATACCTTGAATGGTGATGTTTCTTTCTGTGGTCCCCAACCAAACGTCAGTGGAACTTGGCAGGCCTCTCCTCACTGAGGGCAAACTTGTCCTACAGTCATCTTAACCTCATTGGTCACAATCTGTCACTCCTCAGCAGCAGGGCCAAAGTCATCAACTTATTGAGCAAATCAAATAGCTGCCTACTGAATAACAGGACTCCCTCACCCTACCTCCTGCCTTTGGTCGATAAAAAACAGATGCCCAAAATCCCACAGGAAGTTAGCATCCCAGTAGGCACTTGAACTCAGGAGCCCCTGGCTTATAGTCAACGGCCTCAGCCACCGTCCGACCAGCCCCGCTGCTTTCACGCTAGACCCACATAAGAATCACGTTAATCCATTTTTTCTCTCAGTTTTACTTTGGTCCAACTTTTTAATATGTTAACTTTTCAAATGACCCCTTTAGGAGGCACTATATAGAGTTCGGCTCTGCCTATCAGGGAAAGCAGTCTGTCAATACTATCAAGGGCATATGCATTTTCTTCTAAATCTCTCCATAGGATTTTAGAAAATTCTCCAAGCATCGTTCCAAGTATAGTCTGAATTCAGTGAGATCATCCAAAGTGATAACCTCATTGGTATTTCATTTTCTTCTCAGCCCCAGCTGGAGAATTTTTCCCCTCATTAAAATTAACGAGGTCAGTTTCCCAAGCTGAAGATACTGAGCACTCCTGTTGGCGGAGTTTTGTTTCTTAAATTGAGCTACATTTCTATAAGTGCAAAGTTATACTAAGCCCCATTTACTTTATTGCTGTGTAATAAGAAACCAAAATGGAAGTCCTAAGCCATCCTCCTACCATATCCTACACTTCAGTGATCACACATAAACACACACAAACCACACATCCCCAACTCAGCCCACGGTTTCTCCCCATTCTGGCCATGAAAGAAACCCCACCACAGTTTAGAATCAGCAGCTTGGTGGAAAATATAAAAAAACTCAGGCCTTCTAAGTGGCCAAGGGCTCCAGTGTTACAGCCAAGTTGAGAAGAAAGTTGCAGTCTCCCTGGGCATTTGTCAAAGCCATGATGAGAAGACGAGAAGATTTCTGTCTCCTTCTCAAGCTCTTCTCTGCAGCCAGCAACAAGGTGACTAGGTGTCCAAAGTTCAATGTGACCTTAGTACTCATAAAACACCCCAACCCCACTAAAAATCAAGAGGAAATACTACGTCAGCAAGTAGAAACTGTGCTTCACGTTCCAACTCTGGTGAAAGGGAAAAAGAGAAAAGGATAAAAATAAAAAGCCAATTTCATAAATGAGGTGGAAAGCCACTCTACAAGGCAACTAAAAATATACACTTCCCACATGCAACAAACAAGCTGGGCTCATGCACCTTGTTCCAAGCTGAAATAAGATGCCTTCAAGATGGTCATGTAGAAATGAAAATAGCCTTGTTCAGACTCACTCTTTCAGTCATCCTTTCAACATCCTTCTCCTTGGTTAACCCAAGAAACTGTGTTCCTCCCCCCTTCCATCTCTGTAGACCTGAGGTGCAATATAAATAAAATCTAACTGTAACTGAGATCAAAAGGAGAAAAAAAAAAGAGAGAGAGAGAAAGATGCTGGGGGCTAGAACTAAAGCCTGGGAGGGGGTGCCCACTGACTGGAGGCCACCAGATTTGTCAAGGCCCATTTACCCAGACCAGGCAGGGACTGGGGAGCTTGCAACGCCCATTGTTGGCTGATCAAAGTCCAATCAGAAAGTAAAGGAGGAACCCAGCCAGCCTCATGTGATCCAGCACAGGAAGCCAAGTCTAAAGAAAATGAGCTGTGCTTGTGAATAAGGTACACCAAGACATCTTTACTGAGCTTGCCACACAGAGAGAGAACAAGCCAGAGAGAAGGGAATCTATTTGAAGCTGCATCCTAACGAACCTTAATAAGTTAATGCAGAAATCCTCCCAAGGAGTCTGGCTATAGGAGACACCGGTCTCTACGGAATCAAAATCTGTTATGTTGCAATATAATAGACGTAAATTAAAACAGAAAATCTATCATGCCTCTAATGTACCCTGATAGCTGAGTGTGTGGATCCGTCCGAGGAGAGGCACAGGAGGAAGGGTGATATATGGCGAGGCTGGATGGAGGGTGAAAAGCGTGGCGAGACGAGCGGGAGAATGGCGCAGCCCGCGCGCGCCTCAGACCCAAGGGCAAGAGACGAATAAATGTTGATTAGTGTTGATTTTGTCCGACAAACGCCTGTCGAGTGACAGTTGGGCTAAGCTGCACTGAAAGAGAACCATTAATCTTGGTCTGGTTTAAGTAGAGTATATTAATTTGTGTCATTTTTACTAAGTCGCACTGAGAAAGGCCTCTTACTGCTTTGCATTTGACTGCTTTGGTGGTTTAGCCTGGTTCCCCTCCCTCCCCCCTCGCCCCCCACTTTTTAAAACAGATACCATGGTGGCAGCGGTGGCAGCAGCAAATTCAAATGACACAGCAGGGGAGCAGGGGACTGAGAGCTCCTCTCTTGGATTAAGAAAATAAACTCCCAGGGTGTTGGCATAGCAACAGCATTTCAGATGAACTGCTGTATATTCAGTGATTAATAAATTAACATTTTTTACAGTTGTTCCTCCTTTTCTCCCCACCCCCACCCTCACAATAAACCCCTTCCCCCACACACACTTCTACCTTCTCTAAGATGTATCACTTGCCTCTTATAAGAATAAGGAAAGAAGGTACAGAATATTCGCAGCCTTAGAGTTAACTCCTGCCCACAATTGCCATCTCTACAGGCAGGCAACATGGCCCCTTGTCACCTATGATGCTAAGAATAGGCTCCAAGATCAATGGACAGGTCTACATAGAACCACGTGCACATAGTTGGTGAAACCTGGCACTCTCCAAAAGGCCCCACCCTCAAAATTTGGGGTCTTTCCAGGTCCTGATAGGCTAGGAAATAACTGAGAGTAATCATTTCTCCCAAAGAACTTATTTCCCTACAACAAAGACCCCAAACCATGTCCGAGGGAGTCCTGACCTTGCCCAATTATGCTGGGTAAAAAGAAAGTTTGTGTCTATCAGATGGTGTTGGTGTATTAATGGGGAGCCAACACTTCCTTTTTGAGCTTACAATCCTCCATCAGACAGTTCAAGTAATTTTGGCAATTCATATTCCAGAAACGAAACCCAAAGAGCATTGTGGGAGGGACTAAAGAAGAAACTGATTTTAAGCACTGCCATAGTAGTCAGGTCCACTCAGTTTCAACGGTACCCCAAGCTCAAAAAGCACTCTCTTTTCAAAGTGTTCATGAAATAATAAATGCTTTAGGAGATAAGGACCAGGAAAATGATAAGTTTTGTTTTCCATAGCTCTTACCTGTATCGGTGTTTTATTATAACCATCCTTTTAGTCCTAGATAAGTGTCAGCTGGTGTGGGGCCAGGCAGGGCACTGCAGAAGGTCAACGGCACTAATCTCGACCTTCGAAACTCACCTGGCCACATCCCTCAAGAAGCCTCTGGCCAAACCTCACAGAAACCCCACAATTACAGGCTTCAGGACAGGGAATACTCAGTGAGCAATGCTGGAGCTACCTCCAAACAAGAAGAAGGAAAAGCCTTACACTGTGCAGGTCCAGAAGACAAAGCTGGCACTAAAAACTGAGCATTACAGGTGGTGGGGAGCTGGCTCACAAGGAAGAAACTGTTCATCCACGGCTGTGCCACAGCAGAGCTGGATAACGCCACCCGGGACTGTTACAACAGAGCTCCTTCCTCAATTGAATGGAAGATTAAATTACATAACCTTTTGGGTAGCTCAAGGCCACTGCTGGAGAGTGAAGAAAATAATAATAACAATAATAACAAATATACTGTGAGGCTTAACATGCACCAGGCACTGTTTTAATTGCTTTCTGTGTATTAACTCCGAGGCAGATACCTATGAAGTAGATACTACTATTATCCTTCCTATTACATAGATTAGGAAACTGAAGCAAAGAGAGGTTAAATAATGTGTCCAAAACAACTAGCATGTAATTGAAGGAGCTGGGATTCAAATCCTGGCAATCACAGTCTAGAGTCCATGCTCTTAACCACTACATTACACTTTTCCTTGTATAGTACAGGAAATCTGCAGGGAAAGGCTCAGGTAATTCAGTATTCATGATAACGTACACCATTCAAATTCTACCAGATCCAAGAAACAGTCCATACTGAGACCCCAAATAATAACAAAATGGACCTAGCAGTGAAAATACTAGTAATAGAAAATGACCCAACTATTAATAGTCTAAAGAGAGAGAGGGGCTGCGTGCTGTGGCTCACGCCTGTAATCCTAGCACTTTGGAAGGCCAAGGTGGGTGGAACACCTGAGGTCAGGAGTTCGAGACCAGCCTGGCCAACATGGTGAAACCCCATCTCTACTAAAAATAAGAAAATTAGCCGGGCATGGTGACGCACACCTGTAATCCCAGCTACTCGGGAGGCTGAGGCAGGAGAATTGCTTGAACCCAGGAGGCAGAGACTGAAGTGAGCCAAGATTGTGCCACTGCACTCCAGCTTGGGCAACAGAGCAAAAGTCCATCTCAAAAAAAAAAAAAGAAAAGAAAGAGAGGAGAGATGGTTGTGAAGAAAAGAAGTCAGTAACATCATCCATTCAAGGACATTCTACATTGAGGATGTTATGGTGGACTTAACAGGCAAACTAGTTTTGAGTCTTAGCTATGCCATTGACTAATTGTATGACCTTAAGCAAACTGATATCCACTCTAGGTTTTCTTATCTATAAAACAAGACTGGGGATTTCCAAAGTCTCTTCCAGGTCTTAACTCTACATGAACCCTAGGATCTAGGCACCATAAAATCCATTTCCCACTTTTTAGATGACTTCCAGAGTCACCTTAATTATATCCTTTTGTGCCTCCGTGTTTACTGCTCAACCAACATCAAACTTGTGGAGAGCACCAATGAGTTCCTGGTAATAATATCCTCTAGACCATAAATACCACATGTCCAATGTGTCCGTACCACTGATTCTTCCTAGTGTATTAATCATTATAAAAGCCTAGATATAAGTGTGCTGGGGAGGTTGATATAAAGCCACCAATTGAGAAAAAACCCCAAACACATAGTTTGCACAGTGTTGAATCCACGGTGGGCATTCTGCATGTTCTACACTAAGAGTACATCTGTAATTCCTGAAATTATTCATGGATTATGAAACTATATACTCAAGGTTATTGATGTTGGCTTTTCATCCTACTCCTGTGTCCAGCAGGAGAAAGGCTGTGCTGTGAACCTAAGGACAGGTGTGCCAGCTCTTGCTTCTCTACACTCAGAGCCCAACTTCCCCCTCACCCTCCCCTGAAATCAAAATATCTGCGACTTTAATTCCTTGGGAAAATGGGCAGCACCATAAGAAGAAACTGCATAATAAAGATGAAAGGGGCGAGGGTAGCAGGGGCACTAAATGATACTTCCTGCTTTGTAACTTCAACTCCAGTGCAGCCATGTCAATGAGGTGCTGTGAGGGCTATTAATGCCTAGGCTGCGGCAAGGTCCTGTGGTTTCAGGGCAGAAGGGTATTAGGTCAGCCACAAGTAATCATGGCGATAACAATAACAATATTAGTATTTGTCCAGAGAGGGGGTGGTGTGAAGGGAATCACATTAAATTCAAGAGGACTCCGATAAAATGATGCTAAGGGTCAGACTAAATCTAACAACAGCCTGTGATTTGTGGCTTATGCCAGTGCTCTAATTTGCCTCTCTACGGCTGATGGCCTATGAAGGTGAGGGGTGTTATTGAGTGCTGCCCAGGCTCTGCCTGTGGAACAAGCAAGTCACAACACTGCTTGCCCAGTTCCTGACTCCGCTGCAGCCAAACAGATCTTCTAAAATAATGTTTCTTAATATGAAAATAGTCGAATATGGCCCAAATCAGTTCCAATTCCTTAATTTGTATTAATTTCCTTCACGTGCTACAATAGCTGATTTATCTTACGGATTTCATATGCACATTAATTGCTGTACTCTTGTTTGTTTAAAGTGTATCTGGATGCATCTGTCTACTAAAATAATATGTCTTGTTTATATATTATCTATTGTAGATTGTAAATAGCAATGGCAGGGACTGTCTTTTTTCTATCACACTTGTAAATATGCCCGGAGGCTAAGCAGAAATGAGCTTCTCCAATAACTAAAATAAATAATGAATTAAGTAAGTGGACTTGTCACTCTCCATGTGGATTATTTATGCTTTGTACCTTACACCTCAGTAAAAGGGTCAATGCAGAGTGAGAGTTTTTATTTTCCTCTTTTACTTAATTTTTTTGTCCCTCTCCTCCAGCTCCCATGCTTTTATTACTTGAATCTGAGAGCCTTGTTTTCTGACTTCTCTGTGTTGCTTACATCCAAACAAATTTAAGTTTGTTCAGAAAGCACTTTGAATACTGTAGAAAAAAAAAAAAGAAAAAAAAAACTCTCTCACTAGGTTATGAAACTATTCGTTTGGTTTTAACCAGAACTTTCATCTAGCACCTAAACCAGATGGTGGCTTTTAAAAGCTATCTTAAACTGCAAAGCCAAACAAAAACAAAAACAACACAGTAATAGTGAGATAACAATTATGTGCACTAACCTGCAAGAAAAAGAAGGAGCAACTTTGTGTATCAGTAAGGTTAATATATTACTCCTCCCATTCTCCCACTCCACACTCTCAACTTCTGCGAGGTCCCCAGGGCTTCCTGATGCAGCCCATGTGCTAGTTCATTATCCACTCTGCCAGTGACATCTTGCTACCTGGAAAGCTGCTGGAGCTGATGAAGCTAGCTTTACAGTAAGGTGAGTCTTGCTGACTCTTAGGCTTGTGTGTGATGATGCTAAATGCTCGTCATTCTTACTTTACTATGAACTGTGAAGGGAATGATTAAGCACATTATCAAGGCAAAGATCCAAAGATTGCACAAGACAGTAATTGCCAAGTACCTGGTAGGGGCAATGCAACTCAGAGGAAAGAGTATGGGCTTTGAAATCAGAGACCTGAATTTAGTCACTTAGTCATAGAAGGTTCTATTTTATTTAATCTCTCTAGGGCTCATTTTCCACATCTGTCAAGTGGGACTAATAATCCCTTTCAGGGTTATACTATGTACTTTACATAGATTATCTCATCTTATCTGCTTGGTAGGAACCTAGTGCATGTTAGCTTTCTCTTTTACCAAATATTTGGGTAAAAGAAGAATGATATTGAGTGTAATATTACAGATTGACAGATGTACTGATAGCAAATCACGAATTGCTACAGGCAGCTTAAATATGAAAACAGCATAACCACTAGTCAAATAGGTGATCACCACACCACCCCTACAAGTTGGAAAGACCAAGTGAAGATCTAAAACAGAGCATTATCTGTCTCCTAAAATCCCATCTTACCCATCCATGTAAAACATCCCACTCAGACTTTGGAAGCATAGAAACGAAAAATATATTCAGGGTTCTTTTTCACGTCATCCAAGAACAAATTATGCAATCTTTCTGTCTATGCCCATGCCAAAAGACTCGTAGATCTGAATTATTTTGCCCAGTGAAAACCACAACGTCAGCCACGTACTGTCCCACGAGCATCACCCCATTGGTCACAAGCATTAGGTTTTCTAATGACTTTGCAAAATAACATTAGGAAAAATTTTACGTTATCTTGGGGTTACTTTATTCACCTTTCTGAAAAAATGCTTTTATTGATAGCATTTCTCATATCATCTGTGATTTTTGGCATACTCATTCGCACTGTCTTTCAAAAGAGAAACAGTCAAAATATTGCCCATAAAAAATATATAAATATATGTAGTCATATATACAAGCATCCCAAATGTGGTTAAGAGAACAGATTACAGAAACTCCTACCTTTGATCAAAGAATTGGCAAGCCAACCTTCTTGTTGGAAAAAGAATTAAGAAATTTGGAGGTACAGCCTCACCACCTGTCCACATTTGCCAGATGAGGTCTCCACTATGGCTACAGCCACTTTTTACAGAAATGTTGCAGTGGCTTGAGAGGAAATTAGCTTGACAGTAAAATCTTTCAAATAATTTCTGTTTTAAAAAACTAACAAATTGTAGCAAAGGTGAAGCCCAACTGAAGACTGGGAGATGTGGGTTTTCATCCCATCTGCACCAATAAAGGATGAGTGATCTTAGCAAGACACATGCCCCTTTGGGTCTCAGTTTCCCTAAGAATGTAATCAGTGCACTGGACTCAGTTCTGTGACTCCCTTTTAGGACTAATATTCCATGAGTCAGGGAGAAGGTAGGTCTGCTGGGTCTTAAAGACACACAGAGAGGACTGAAAAATGCACATGGTAACCTGTCAAAACTGAGCCCGTGAGGGAATTCCAAAGAGAACATTGACATGCAGAGGATGAGCTGCCCTCACTCTTTCCATCTTGCCACAGTATTTACTATGCATCCAACCACTCACAAAGCTCCATATTTAACTCAAAATGCTTAACACTAACATTTTTTTTTTCAATTTTAGATCATGAGTATCAGCTTCTTTCCATTCCTTGGAACAGGTCCATGGAGACACGGCCAATATTAATGTAGAGACAGACATGGCAGTCTAATAAACAGAGCCTCGAGCAAAAAAGAGAAAACAGTGTCACAGATGACCAGGGTAAGGGCCACAGCACTGGCCCCAGCTGAGTGTTTGAGGTCAGTCCAAACAAGCACTGACTTCAAGAATCTTGCGTGAGATGTCATCCTGCTCTACCCTAAGAAACGATGGAACTGTTGCCATGGCAACAAAGGTACTTGAGAGGGACATGAGCAAAGGGAGACTTAAAAAGAAAAAGACAATATGTGGCCTAAACAAAAATATGTGACGGTGTAAGGGGTGCTGTAAAGCCTTTATTGCCACTTGTTAAGGAAGACCTGTATAGCTCACTCGTGAGTAATAAGGCGGTCAACCCAAACTAAGGCACTAAAAATTTTATAGCACCCCACATATCATATATATCTAGATAGAGAGAGAAAGAGAGAGATACAGATATAAAGGACCTCCACAGATACACTCACAAACAACGCAAGCAAATGTTGCTACTGATCTTGGAAATGCTATCTTCTAATAGAGTTGCTACATTTACCAATATCCTTAATTTATCGGCTATCAAATTCCACATCCCATCAATTCAGTTCTTAAAAGATTCAGAAAGCTCAGCTGCAATGAGAAGGAACCGTGATGGTTTCACAGGGAGTGCAAACTAGCCAGGTGCATAAAGCCAGGATTCCCTGTTCTGGTGGTGACTCCACAGCTAATTTATTATTTCACAGTTGGATTAAATGCTCCCTACTGCCATCAAGGATTGTCAAGGTGACTGTTCGGACTCGGAGAAAGAGACCATTGCAACCCAGAGCAGGAGATAGGGGACTGTCATGCTGCATGTTCTATATCCCTTACCTTACTCAAAAAATATGCTTCTAAAGTATCAGTTGTAAACTGATTTATAGTCTCATTAGATGACTACAGGACTAGAAAACTTAGCAATTTAAAGCAAACCTGCAGTGAAGCCTTTCAGAGTAAAATTTTTAAAACTTTTTTGTAAAGTAAATAATGACATTTTAAATTCTCCCCCAAATTTTGTTTCTTATAATTCTTCTCCAAGTCAGGTACTCATAAACCCAAGGGATTTCACTGAGCACTGTGCTAGGAACAGATGTCCCCAAAAAGCAATTAACATACTTTTCTCAGTTACCTGAATCTAAAACAGGTACAGAAAGATCCATTCTTGGGGTTCTTGCTCTATTCACTATAATTTCCAGTTGCTAGTTTCAAATATACGGTCATAGCAGAGAACCAGCTTGGGTAAATTCAGGGGCCTTCTTCTCTAACACAGTGATGTGTGAGAAAAATGAGATTATCTGGATAAAGTTCTCCAAGCCCACTGGAGAAAAAAAATACAAAAGAGATGCAATGTATTGGTATTATTATTTCTACTGAGCCACTTCTGAAGCACAGCCATGAATGCCTGCCTGGCTTTTAAAGAGAGAAATGCTTGTCCCCCAACAAAAGCCCATCGTCTATTCCTTCCAGAGCTAAGAAAATGTGAACAGCCTAGTCTAGCTTCCCCAAAACATCTCCTCCATCACATTGGCTTCCCATCTCTTGAGGCTTCCTTCAAGAGAAATATTATTTCCTTTCACTGATATTCTAGCTTTCCTGTTCACGATGCTGCGGGTCCATTCTCAAATGCCACCACCTCTGACTCTACCATGCCAAAGTGAGCTCACCAAAACAGGAGGCACCTCTTGCTGGATTGAACATGCATAGGCTTCAGGTGACACAATGATTAGGCCAAGCAATTGCCGGCCACACATCGGTACCAACACACTCAAAAATCAATAGAGCATTTATAATAATGGAAGTTCAATGGCTTCCATTTTGTGAAGTGTTAAAGTGCCAAGGGACTGAGTTAAAGCTTTGGCTATGAAAGGGGACTGTAACTTATGCTTCCTTTAAAAAAAAATTTGCAAATGGTTCATTTTTCCTTAAGGAAAAAAGGGGGCATTTTCAATTAGGTGAGTGGAAGGACAAATGCTCCAAGTACATTTTGCTGAAGTTCTAAGTGCTTCTGAAACCCCTCCTGTCAAGGCATTAGTAATACAAGATTTAAGATGCCCAATTAATTTTTTCCAGCCACCAGCCAAAAGGAGATGCAGGAGGAGGTTAAAAGCTAAGTGTTTAATTAATATTAAATTTATAAGATTCTCTATCACTGAAAGCATTGTAAAATTGAAAAAGCAGTTAATTTTATGGTTGCTGTGTATTCCTCTGCTTTGATCTTTGATCTATGATATAAAATCACCAACTGTAAAGATTCCCCACCTTTATTATACCTGTTAAATGGTGAGAAGAAAGAGAGGGGGAACCTGCAGGCATGATGGGGAGCAGGGAGTGAGGCCCTGAAAGTGGTCATTAACGTTGATGAGAAAATCTAAACACGAGAGATTCAGGAAATAGCTTTTGACTAAGCCACATACATAGACGAGGCATTCTCATCTTGCCCATTCTCTACACTCCAGTTTTCTAGAGTTTTAAGACGGGAAAACAGCAGTTGCCTATCTCTGGCTTAAGACAAAATAGTAAAGCAGAAAAGATTTAGGTTGGATTATGGAAGAATTTTCTGAAACTGAGTTTCCAAAGTGTAAACTCTTCATTGGAATAGATCACATCATTGCCTTTCCTACAGCTAGAAATGCCTAAATTAGATAAGTATGTGTCTGTCTTGAACAGTCCATACACCGATTCCTTCTTCCAAAGGCTCCACTTACCCACCCACTAGCAGAGACCAGGCCGGGCAAAGAAATGCTCAGCCCTGGGCAGTGGGACCTCTTTAATCCATGGCATTTTCAAAAGCCTGTACTGATAAAGGGCAATGGAATAGGAACCAGAGGTAACAGGGAGGAAAACCTACTACTGAAAATGTTATCCTGAGAGAGGTTTTCCCAGGATTTCCAAATACCGTATTTCTGCCATCAAGATAGATGTGTGGTTCCCTCAACAGCAGCCCATGTCATGAATCCTTAAAGATAAAAGGGGGAAGGCATGGTATATGCATCTCAAGTCAACTGGCCATTCAGCCTGCAAAGATATCGAACACTCACCTTTGCCTTCTCCCCACCCAAAACTGGGGTGGTGGTGTGTGGGCTGGGGGGTAACGGGGTTCCCGGAGGTAGAAGCAGAGGAGAGTACTCTGTGCCGAACAGAACTTTGTATCCTAGTCACCAAAAAGAACAATGAGGGGCAGTTCCGACTCCTGGCCTCCTTCAATTCTGTCACAAATCCAGAAACAAAGACCTATTATGCAGAATAGATTTTACAGAAAGGCAGAAGGAGGGTGGGGGAATGGGATAATTCATGTAAGGTGTTTTTTTTCTTTTTTTTTTTTTTTAAATCCCATCAGGGATCTCATTATAATTTCATTATTAGCAGAAAAACCAAATAAGTGGCAAGAGAAAGAATCTCCACTTAGTATTAACACACACACACTCACATACACAAAGATGAAAGATCTTATGAGCTTCAAAGAAGCTGCTAATTTTCCAATTTCAAACGACTCAGTGAGAAAGACACTGATAATGAATGTGCTTTTTCCACTGGCTCGCTTATAAACTTTTCCCATTTCTGTCTCCCTCCCAAAAATTACTTCTCATTTTTAACTAGAAACAAACATCAGACGTAATAACAGAATCCTGGGTTCATACACAATCTTCCTTCAGGGCTTCCTTCTTCTGTCTTTCTGCGTACAATAAAAATGTACGGGGAAAGAGAGAAGAAGAACTTCCTCAATGGTAACATGGTGTATTTCCTCAGGAAGAACAGCCGAGAAAAAAATACAAATGTACCTCATTGCCGATAAGCTATACTACTTCAAGAGTAGAGGACTAATTCATAAAACACTAACTTTCTTTGTCTCTGTAACTGTCTTTATCCGTCAAGAAGCTGCAAACTTGGGGCATTTTCACACTGAATATATGTTTCTAAAAGCTTTACCTGGTGGTGAAGTGTGATACTGCAAGCCTCCCTCTTTTTGGCATTTTAATCCTAAACAAAAAGTAAAATCAAGTTTCTGGAATTCAGGCTCCCATAAGCTAGTGCCACCTATGCCCTGCAGTACCCATGTTTCTACATGGTGTAACATGTTCTTCATGAAAACTGTTCAATTCTGACTAAAGGAGATTTTTCCACCCTATAGAAATACATTCTAAAATTTATAATAAGTCATTGGAAGGATAGATAACACTTTAAGAAAATCTTTATAAACCTATTTTCTAGAATTAAAATAGTTGTCAAAAGTGAAAATTAGTTGCTAAATTTTATAAGCAGTTTTGGACAACAGGCTAGACAGAAGCTCCCAACCTCTGTGAATGTATAGTCTCTCTCTTAATGTCAAAACATTGCAAGTACCACTATAAGAGAGTTATTGTATTTTTAGCTTCTACAGATGGAGGAATGATACACATGAATAAAAAAAACCTATAGGAACTGAAAAAATGCTTGTTTAAGTGAATGTGCATTTCATTAACCACAATAGCATTTCATACATTCAAAGAATTTTAGTAGGTATATTTATCTGCATGTGTGTCCATGACATTATTCTGTTTACAGACAATGCTTGGTATGTGCATGAATTTACTAAACCTTTTTAACAACTTCAAGGCTCCCTCAGGGTCCGTGGCCCACAAATTGAGAATCACCATGTTAGAGGAAGAAAGATACCAGCTGAAGGAATGCATGCCTCTAACCAATTCTTTCATTGAGAGAAAATGACATTCAAACAGCTGAATGATTTTACACATACCACTCCTTGTTTTACTCCTACCAATACTATCAAAATGTTGATAGACACAATACAGATTATTTCTGAGCTTACATGGTCTTGATTGTTGGTTTATAACACAATAAAACTTCTTTTTGGCACAAGAACCTATCTTCTATGTGTACCTCTCCCATTACAAATTGCAAGTAAGGATGTTGTGAAGAATAACATAATCAAAATAACATTTCTAACAAAGATATACCAGTATGATCAATGGCAACAGTAGCAATTGCTTAAAAAACATCAGTAAATAATTCTTCAGATACAGTTAGCCCTGTGGTTTTAGGACAGTGGAATGATGACAAGACAGCAATGCTACCTATAAGAAAGATTGACCCTCACGTTAAGTGTACACACAGGCATTCACACCCCCAATACACACTTCCTCCTTCTATCTCCCTGTCTGATTTCCACTCATCCATTCTCAGCTCCTGTTTGTCTGAGGCCACATGCAACTGGATTTGTCAAGCCCCCTTTTCACAACTTGTTGTCACAGTCCATTACCAAATTGCATATAGTTATATATTCCACTAATTAGGCTTCTAAAATATCATTAACATGTCTCTTGATCATTAGCATAACGTATGAGGCGACGTCGTTAGGCACGACTCGAGTTTGTTAACGTGGTAATGAAAGGCACAAGGCAGGCTCTGCAGGAACCAAGAAGCACAGAGAAGTGGGGAATATCCAAGCACCAAGATGCTAGCCACAAAGGCATAGACAGAGACACAGAGAGACAAAGGCAAGCACAGAGAGGAGATGCAAGGCACGAGGAAAAGGCAGAGAAACACAGTCAAAGGAGTGCATCAGTAAGCACGACTTTGGCAGTGAGATGGCTGCTTGGGCGTAAAAAGGTGAAACCTAATGCACCCACTCCCACCTGTGTGGGAATTAGACCCTGGCAAGGCTCTAAGCAGAAGAAGCTTTAAAAATTTCCTAGACAAGAAAAAAATAAAATTCAGAAATCTCCTTCTTTCCTGCCACCTAACACATGGTGCACACGGGTGTGCCCATCTCCCCCATTCCCACACCACGCCCTCTCCAGCAGTGGCTACAGAAGACTGTGGGCAATTACCTGGGGGTGACGTTCTTCGATTCCCTATCAGGCCCTTTATTAACATGCTGGTAGATATCTCTATCTATCTATATACACCGCATTAGTCATGATCCTCTTGTGTGTAACGAGGCGGGGCTTACCTCCAGAGATTATAGACATGCTACATCTAGAGAAGAGAGAAGGAAGGAAAGCACATAAAAAAGATGGCAACTGGCCAGGCGTGTTGGCTCATGCCTGTAATCCTAGCACTTTGGGAGGCCGAGGCAGGTGGATCACGAGGTCAGGAGTTCAAGATCAGCCTGGCCAACACGGCAAAACTCAGTCTCTACTAAAAATACAAAAATTAGCCGGGTGTAGTGGCACGTGCCTGTAGTCCCAGCTACTTGGGAGGCTGAGGCAGGAGAATTGCTTGAACCTGGGAGGCAGAGGTTGCAGTGAGCCAAGTGCACTCCAGCCTGGGCGAAAGAGCAAGACTCTGTCTCAAAAAAAAAAAAAAAAAAAAGATGGAAACTGTGTGTATGTATGTATAGCAAGCATGTGTCAGTGTGTGTGTGTGTGTGAGCACACACCAGCAAAGTGGTTGTGGGTTGTGATTTCAAACAGCTGGTTAAGCCTGGATTCCATATTTCATAGAAGTGTTTCTAAATATATCTATTAGGACTCACAGGACAAGAAGATAATGAAGTGCTTGGCTCAGGAAAGTGGCCAAGTACATGATGGGTAGAGAATTCAAAGGAGTTGGGGGAGATGAGTTAACAGCATGTGCACATCAAGTGCTTAATTCATCCTGAACAAGGAAGCACTCAGTCCGAGTGAGCTATACCTTGGTCACAGGCTGAGGGCATAGGGAACAAGCAGCCTCAGAAACAATCAGGAGAACCTCACTCATCTAGTCATTACGATAGAAAAAGATCAATCCAGAACTTTGGAGTCCAAAAATCCTGCTAGTCTTTCAGCACAGAGATTCTAGGCTAACCTCTGTGGACTTGACATTTCACACAGATCCACCGGAAGCATCCTAGGCACTCACAACAGTGCGGCCCAGAGAGAAATGTGGCTTCCTTGGAACAGCTTCACAAGAGACAACGCTGGGAACAGAGGCCTGGCAACCCGCTGTTTTACACCAGCTCCTTCCAACAAGACGCCTTCTCCTACCTAGTGATCACTTCCAGCCTAGCCTTGCCTCCTGGGCCCACACGGAAAGAAGAGTATACTCAGCATTTACAAGGATTACAGCCAATGTCAATGCAGAAGAGAGGCTGGGTAAACTTAGATGGTGCCTAAATGGAAGTATTTCCTATACCCTCTAGCTTGTCTGACACCTGACTTGACACATCAAAAGCTATGCAACCAGGGTTCATTTACAGGGAGGAAGAATCAAAGTTGCTTGGTTTTATAGAACGTATTTAGTGTGAAAGATGGGAGCTTTTCTTCTGGTCCTAACTTCTCATTCTTAAGGAAGATGGAAGTCAAATTGTAGAAAAAAAAAATCTACCCAAATGCCTATTCGATGGGCAGACTCAGGAATCATCCTCTGTGCACTTGGAACTCTTACATTATGGAACCACAGAAACCTTTCTGTTCAGGTATGTCCATTGATCCTTTTCTCAAAGGAGTTAAGAAACTCCATTGGCTAAATGTGCACCCTGGACGTGAATGATTCTTAATTATGGCCAAAAAGATAGACTGTGCAACAAGAGGGATGGCCTCTTGTTTCATGATTATTTCAGTCCAGTAGCCTTGTGTGGCTTATGAAATGGGCAACTAGGCCAGCCTAAGACTGCAGAGCCACCAAGCTAAATCAGCCCCTGAAGGAGAACCTACAGTAAACCAGTCCGTATCCCATCCCCCTGTACTAAATAGCACCCCCCAGGCAGTCCTTTGCGATGCTTTCTCATAGTGCTATCAGCCAAGGAAAATGTTCATAATAGTTTCTGGGAACCTAATTCTCGCCCCCGTTGGGGATAAAAGAAAAGGAAGGCAAAATACAAATACAGACAGACAGAAAGAGAAGGAAGACTGTTAAGAAAATAGGGGAGGAAGGGCGCGGTGGCTCATGCCTGTAATTCCAGCACTTTGGGAGGCTGAGGCAGGCGGATCACAAGGTCAAGAGATCGAGACCATCCAGGCCAACATAGCGAAACCCCGTCTCTACTAAAAATACAAAAATTAGCTGGGCATGGTGTCACGCGCCTGTAGTCCCAGCTACTCCAGAGGCTGAGGCAGGAGAATCGCTTGAATCCGGGAGGCGGAGGTTGCAGTGAGCCAAGACTGTGCCACTGCACTCCAGCTTGGCAACAGAGCAAGACTCCATCTCAAAAAATTAATTAATTTTTTTTTAATGCCGGGCGCAGTGGCTCACGCCTGTAACCCCAGCACTTTGGGAGGCTGAGGTGGGTGGATCACCTGAGGTCAGGAGTTCAAGACCAGCCTGGCCAACACAGTGAAACCCTGTTTCTAATCAAAATATAAAAATTAGCTTGGCGTGGCAGCAGGTGCCTGTAATCCCAGCTACTCGGGAGGCTGAAGCAGGAAAATCGCTTAAGCCCGGGAGGCAGAGGTTGCAGTGAGGCGAGATCGCACCACTGCACTCCAGCCTGGGTGACAGAGCAAGACTCCATCACAAAAAAAAAAAGAAAAGAAAAGAATATAGGGGAAAACATTTCTTTGACTTTCCTCTCAAAACCTGAAGTCAACAGTTACAAAATTAATCATGTATTCAGCAACCTACTCAGCACCAGACCTGATTTTAGGCCACGAGAATATGGTTATAGACAAGTCCCTATTTCATGTCACAGGGTGGTGAGGTGGAACAAAAAAGAAAAAAGATTGCACACACACACCCACATACTCACAAATGCACATGCACGCATATGAACTTCCTTAAGCCTAAACTGCAAAAAGGGCTATTTTTAAAGATGCATAATTTTATCATGTTTCAATGCATATAAAAATTAGAATTAGCTAGAATTACACTAACAAAATATAGCCTCAAAATAATGCCTTATGAAATCTGCTTGAATAAGTAAAACAGATGTGCTATTTTGGATCTTCAAATACAAATGGTGTTTTTAAAGTACCTTAATACAAATTTTTTAAAAGAAGTTCATGTTTTTCTATAAAGATTTGCTGGTTTTGCTGGTTTTTTGATAGGATCTCACTCTGCTGCCAGGTCCAATCATGGCTCACTGCAGCCTTGACCTCCCTGGGCTCAAGTGATCCTCCCACCTCAGCCTCCTGAGTAGCTAGGACTACAGATGTGTGCTACCACGCCTGGCTAATTCTTTAATTTTTTGTAGAAACAGGGTCTCACTATGTTGACCAGGCTGGTCTCAAATGCTTAGGCTGGTCTCAAACTCCTAGGCTCAAGTGATCCTCCCACCTCGGCCTCCCAAAGTGCTGGGATTACAGGCATGGGCCACGGCGCCTGGCCTCCAAAGAAATATTTAAAAGGCAAACTCATTATTTTTCCTAGGCTTTCTCCACTTCACTCTCCACAATTATGTATAAAAATTGCTTCCAGCCCTACTTCTGGATCTAAAAACAGGATTTTTTTTAACCTGAAAAAACTAGAAGATCCATGGATGGTCTTTCAGGAGTTCCTCAGCTTCCTGAAATTCCATGGGGAAAAAAAAAATGTGTGTATCTAGGCTAATTTTCTGGAACTAGACCATAAATTTCCTCAGAAAATAAAGGGACACATGACCCAAGGGAGGTGAACTGCTCCCTGTGGTCAAGGCGAGTACTTAGGCTTTGTACCAAGGACTAAGATGGTGTAGGAGTTAATTTTTCA
This sequence comes from Homo sapiens, assembly GCF_000001405.40. Taxonomy (NCBI): domain Eukaryota; kingdom Metazoa; phylum Chordata; class Mammalia; order Primates; family Hominidae; genus Homo; species Homo sapiens. The sequence goes on along the minus strand of NC_000001.11, from coordinate 164,619,531 downwards.
AAGGTGTAAGAAAGCACCCACTGCCTTGTATAGGTCATTTTCCTCTCCTTGAGCACTCCCCACCGATCCCCTCACTCACTGCCCCTTCACTGAATAACCCAGTAAGTAAGTCAGCTGCTTGAAAGATATTGTAAATAGCTCCAACAAAGTGCAGTTTGGGGCAGATTCCAATTAGCCTTCACTTAATGGTCTTTTTTCCTCTGCCAAGTTTGTGCAGTGAAGATCCAATGCCCCACCCTCTGCCTGGCTCTGAGTTTAGGCGCAGGGAGGAATCAAGTTTGTGCTCAAGCTGATAGATGTCAGCCACAAAGTCTATATGTGTCCCACCTGTAAGCTAAAGAGGGAATCAAAGGTGGTTTCAAAAGGGGTGTGCCTGGCAGTGTGGCAGAGAGCTGGTTTCCTGTGAGTTTCCTTCTTTTGTTTCTCTCCCTGTTGTCTAACCCTAAATTTCCCTGCTGCCACTTAATTATCCCTGATCATTTTACCCTTTTCTCTGCTTACTGGTTGATTATCTCCCCATTTCATTTGAATCCCAGTGGAGGTACATAAGCGCTAAAAACAAAGCTGATGGCCAATTAAAAGGTAAGTGCCTTATGTTAAAAGCCAGAACATTATACTTCAATATTCATAATTAGGTAGCTTTTGAATGGCTGAAGAACAACGCAAGTCCATATAGAGGGCTAATCAGGGCACCTATATTTTGCAATCCAAATCAACCAATGCCTATTAAACTGATTGCTGTGAATTGCCAGCTTCCTTATTGGCTGGCTCAGAGCCTCAGTACTTCATAAATATTAGAGATGTAAAAGACCAAGGAGTTCCTAATGTGTTTATTTCGTTATAATGAATTCTTCAGGCAAGTGATAGGATTACTGAAGCAGAGCTTGGTAAAAAAACCCTACTGATTTTGGCAGCTCTGCTATTCTTCAGGAGTAGCATCTAAATATTACTGAGAAATAGAGCATAAAGATTATTCACTTGGGTGTAATTTTTTTGAGAAAAGGAAAATAAAAATTTATCTTCCACTCTTTCATTTATTTTCCAAATTATCAGATCACTGAAATTTCCACTGGAGCTGTGCAAAATTAAACCGAGACAAGAGCAAGTGAGCAACGGAGTAGGAGACAGTCATTGACAAGGTTCAAGTGCACTTCAGCACTCCCCAGGAAACCCTTACCCCAGCCTGGGAGAAGGCTGGGCTAGTGCTGATCATCTTGAGTGCCCCCCCCCCCCCGCCGTGATTATTCTCCCTGGGGTAAGTCAACTTAGAATCTCCTCTCCGAACTTTTAAGTGTTTGCTAATAATGCACTTAATTTTGGTGGTGGGGAGGCGGGGAGGAGGAGAGTTGTTCAGTCTTGCTTACAGAGTTACGACAATGCCACCTTATAATTCAAGAGCAATGGCAGGCCAGAGAAATGCTCACAGACACCAGGCAAACGCTTTCTAGAAAAGAATTAAGCATTATGATCTCTGCTCTTTGCAAATGCTCTGTCCACTGGGAGGCAGCATAGGCCGCTGGAAAGAAAAATGGGCCAGAGATCTGGGTTCTAATCCCTGAGATGTTACTGATTTGGGGTATGTGTTATGGCCAGCAACAGAATCCTGGTTTAAAATATAGGGCAAAAAAAAGAAAATGGGACAAGAGATGCGGAAGCACTTTGGAGGTAAAGATAGAGCCTGCTGAAAGGAGATCCACACATGTAGAAGTTAGTGGAATATGGAAACTGGTCTTTTTTAACTGTAACTGATCCCCAATGTGGAAAGACTACTATAGGGATTTAAAATAACAGAACAAAGCAAGTACATTTTTAAGACACAATTTTCTAAAGTGTGTTTTTAAGAATCCTGGTCCAGGGAAAAGGTCCTCAGGTCAAATAAATTCTGAAAATGCTAACCACTCCACCACACACACCCCTCTGAGAGATTTACAACACACATTAACATATTAAACCTCGGGGAAGCCCTGTAGTTCAGAAAGCTCTTTTAACTCCCAATCTTACTTGGCAATACAACGCTTCCTCACATACAAACACTAAAACAAATAACCAGCTCCAAGGAGCACACCAAGAAATGCTGTTTTAAACTACTATACATGGCAATAATGTCTGATCCCATATTGGAAAGAAAACATTACTGAACCACCATCCATAGTCTTGGGTGGCTGATCTAGCGGTCTGTGCCATTTTATCCACAATCTCCTCCTTATTCTCTCTGATCAACAACATGCATTTGTGAGGCAGCTGGCCAAGGTGAAAGGTTAATTCTGTGGCCATGAAACTCAGCCCAGCTAACAGACTCAAATGGGGGCTGAACCTTGTCACCTTGGTCCCATTAGCTCTAACCAACTGGGTTGAGTAGCCACAGACATTAGTCTTAGTTATAATCTCTAGGGGGGATAAAAATTTAAAGGCACCAGCACATGGCCAATGAGCTTTAGCATATAAATTTGAGGAGTTTTTAAAATAATATTTAAGATGAAGTTATACTATTTTATAACAGGAAAAAGATAGTCAAGAGGTAATAAAATATGACCTCTGGATCTGGACTCCAGGTGGGTTCAAGTCCCAGTTCTACCATTTAACAGCTGTATGGCCTTGAGCAAATTACTTAACTTATTTGAACCTCAGTCTCAAAATCTGTAAATCAGAATAAACATATTCCATTTCTCAAAGGATTATTATGAGGATTATGTGAAATGATCTATGTCAATGGGTTTAGCACTATGCCTAGCACATGATGAGTATCAATACATATTAGTAATTATCACTGCATGTAAAAGGACGGAATAATCTCAGAAAATGCAGCTCCCTCTGAAGTTAGCATTGGGAACATGCAATTTTGGATTTTTTTTTCTGTCACATGAAGTGTTCTTACCTTGTATTTATCAGAGAATATGCCTCTTAACCTTCACTGAAAATTTCAGTGAGGTTGAGATGGCCTCAGTCAGGTTTTTGTCCTTGAGAAAAATTTCTACATTAATAACTTCAATGGCTATAAAATATGATTCAGCTAACCGAAACTCATTTTACTGGTATATTTCCAGGAATATATTTCTCAAGGGAGATACACCCAAGATAATGCTAAGTAATTGCAAGACATTATTATTTGGCCTAGCCAGTGTTTCCCACCAACACAATAATATATAGATCAGTAAACGGAGCTTCCCACCCCTCGTCACAGGAGCAGGAGTAAGGAGGACCTGGGGAGGGAGACCCAGGGGCTGAGAGGGCAGCAGAAGGCACAGAGAATGATCATGAGGGCACCAGGCAGCAGCAGTGTGCCTCCTGGCCTAGACGCTGGTGGCTACATCAAAGACTGCCCAGACTTGTTGACACACGGAATCATCCCCGGGCATGAAGAACCACCATTTGAAAGTTTACAGGGAGTCACACAGCTGCCACTCCAGAGGTGGAGAGAGAGAGAGAGACTAAGCCAACTTTTCCCATCCCTATCCCATGGTTTACAAGACCATATTTCACATAGACATATCCTGAATTTTTCATCTCTGGAGACCCCAGTGAAAGGCATTTCCATGGTGATCACCTGGAAGGCACCTCTGTAACCAAACACAATACCCTGGCCTCCCCAGACTCCTGGCTCTTAACCTCTGCGACCCTTCCAGGCATATCCAACCCAGGGAGGCCAAATCCCAAAGTCGAGAGGGTTTGTGGTCATTCACAGAAGGCCTGTAGGCTCTCCCTCTGGCTCCTTCTACTTCACTCCTCCCCTCTTGTGACAGTTCATTTGTAACTGTCTCGTGGGTTTTATTTAGTTGTGGTGGGCACAATTAAATGCTGTTCTAACTAACAGAATCCTTGTCCAGAAAACAAAAACCACACAAAAGTCAGTCTGGTTACTTTGGCCACGTTTAGCGATTGTTTCACATCACCACCTCGTCGATCCAATCAACGGTGCGGCGGCTGGCTGTTAATAAAGCTAGATAAAAACAAATTGATTACAAAAAGGTCAATTTGGTACCTAACATTTAGAAGGCTAGAGTTTGAGCAGTTGTCATCTATAGGGAATCACCACAGTATAAAATCAGGAATATTACACCTGAACAAATAGTTACTTGCCTGAAAAGAAAAAAAAAATTATTCTAAAAAAAAGAATGTTATTATTACTTTCTTTTATATCTATCAGTGCTAGAAAATTGAACCTAGAGAAAAAGATAGTGACTTAGTTATTTAAAAATTCCTTGTGGTTATTTGAAAGGTTATTTCAACAAGTAGAAATGGAAATAAACTGGTCAACAAGACCAGGGTAACCCACACATTGTTAGAAAAAGAAATGAGGTCCAACTTACTCATTTTTCTTATTTTCAGAAATAAGCTACTATATGGAGAAATTGTGTCCATAAACTTCCTTTGACTCCCAGAGAAACATAAAGTTTTGAAGAATCCTGACTACCTAAGAATTAAGGAAAGAGTTGAATAATCTTAAAGAGTTCAACTGAGGCCAGGCACAGTGAATCACACCTGTAATCTCAGCACTTTGGGAGGCCGAAGTGGGCAGATCACCTGAGGTCAGGAGTTCAAGACCAGCCTGGTCAACATGGTGAAACCCTGACTCTATTAAAAACACAAAAAATTAGCCAGGCGTGGTGACAGGCTCCTGTAGTCCCAGCTACTCAGGAGGCTGAGGCAAGAGAATCGCTTGAACCCAGGAGGTGGAGGCTGTGGTAAGCCAAGATCATGCCACTGCACTATAGCCTGGGCGGCAGAGTGAGACTCCCAACTCAAAAAAAGAAAAAAAGAATTCAACTGACATGACCAGGGAAGCCAGCCTAAGCTGCCGGTCATGCCCTAGAAAACCTGTTTGTCATAACCAAGTACATTATATTAAGGCCCAATTTAGATCTGCAAAATGTGTGGGAGTCCATTTTTTTATGATCTGCTTCCATATTTCACAGGGTTGAAACAGGCAGAGTGAAGCAGCATAGCGCACCAGTCAGCAGCCAGGTGGCAAACATCAATTTTAGGTAGGGACGTTGCAAGTGCCCCAAGTCACATGTCAACATAGAGAATAGGGGAGGTAGGAGTGGGGGTGGCAGCTGCAGAGAACAAAAGAGGAAACGAATAAGATAGGTCCGACCTAAGAAAAAGGAGGTGTCTATGGGCTGACCTGATGGAGTGAACCAGAAATTCAGACGGCAGCACAGCTAGATACTTTAGAACTACCGGCATCCTAAAATCTGGCTCCCAAGCCTCTGTCATAAAGTAGGTCTGTGTCCTCGGTATAGTCACTTAACCACACTTTGCATCACTCTCCTCATTTGTAAAATCAGAGAGGCTGAACCAAATGGTCTCGAAAACATGCTCTAATTTTGTCTATCCTTCTTTCATGTACTTCCACACACAAGGAGGACCCAATCACCGAAGGTCCCAACATAAGGAAGAACGGAATTGTACTTTGCCTCCCGAGTGATTCTGGGCAAGGAACTGTGCTTGGTTTCTTCTGCTTTGTGCTTCTGCTTCCCCAACAACAGACACCCCACAGAAATACCAGAGGAAGGTCATCCTGGGAGTTGATGGAGTTGATCTGCTCAAGTGCTGCTTTACTAGCAAAGCAATAAGTACATGCCAGAAAGTCTTCTAAGGTTCTCGGTGCATACTGGGATCTCCACTGTAGGTTCCAGGAGAAGACAGAGTAGCTGAAGGGGCAATCTACCTGCAGCCCCCAGGTAAAGTCCAGCTTAGAGCATGCTTTGGAGTGGGACTAAGAGTTTGGTCAGGTGCTAGGGTGGAGTCAGATTTCTTCGTTTCTACCTCAAGACACTCTCACCAGAAGAGAAGGAAGACAAGGAAACTGATGTTGTCACCAAAAAGTACTTATTGTTTATTTGTTAAAAACATGGAGCATGACTATGTAACAGACACTGTACTAATTGCTGGTGTTCAGCGTGGGAGAGCTCTGGGCCCCCACGTGCACATATACACAGATCATAACCGCAACACTGTGTGCCAAGGCTGGCTCACAGACAGACACACAATGCTAGGGGGGCTCACAGGAGAGCCTGGAGAAAGTTAGGAATAGCTTTACGGCAATCCTGATACTTCAGCTGATTCCTGAAGGAGGAAAAACAGTTTGCCAGGTAGCGTGGAGAAGAGAGAATGAATTCAAGGCAGAGAACACAGTACAAAGGCTGAGTCAGCAAGGGGTGTGACCTGCTCAGAGAAGAGTGACAAGTTCAGGGCAGTTGGGATAAAATGCTTTCCCTGACAGTCCAGAAAGGTTTTCCGTATGCATACCTAGGTGATTACTTTAGATGCTTTGTCTTACAGGGATGGTAACAAAACACTATAGCTCACAAATTGGAACATAAGGCTTGACATTGCTAAGAAACAAGCTAAATACATAAATAAATAAAAGCAAGGTGCAGAACAGTATTCATGGTATTCTACTAGTTGTATTTTCAAAATTAGGAAAATACATTCATAATTTGTAAAAATATTTCTAGAAGGGTTTTTTTGTTGTTGTTGTTCAGGAAATTCTCATACAGTGATCCCTGGGTGCCACACACTGATGTAAATACTTTGTATACATTAACTCATTTAAACTGCCCAATAACCCTGGGAGGTAGGTCTATTTTTCTTCATACTCAACAGATTAAGAACTGAGGCAGAGTTCAAATCACTTGTCCAAGGTTAATCTGCCAATTCATAACAGGATGGAAAGCCAAGCTGGATACTATCTCCAGTGCTCTTAACCAGGATGCTTTATCACATCTCATGAGACACCAGCAACTCAGTCACCTCCAGAAGGGGAGAGGGACCAGGAAGACGGGAACAGAGGTGGGAGCCCCATCATATTCTGCATCTCTTCCTCCGCCTAGGGCAGTGCTCCAGCTGAGTGCCAGGCACCTTTCCAGTCTAGAATCTTTTGTCTCTTTTCATTCACAAAAAAAAAATGTAAATACAAAAATGGGACTTTTCTGACATTTTTTAGGTACAGATATCATGGGGTGAGGGAAGGAGGAAGAGGCAGGAAGTAAAAGGAAGCCATAGCCAGTTTCCCTTTCTATTCCCGCCACCAAGTCCAGCAGCACTGCTCGAGCAGAGCCAGAGAAACCAGAGCTACGAGAGGTGGCTAAACGCTAGCCTAGAAGACAAACTTGGTCACATAGAAGTCCCCCCATCCCCCTTTCCTTTCTGTGGTCACTTTCTAGATTAGTCTCAACCGTTGCAGCTGCTCAATGGCGACGCATTTGAAATCAAGACTATGGCACCAGAACAATGCAAAATTGCATTAAAAGGGGCAGCTCCCAAGCCTGCTTCTACAAGGGTGTTTCTCAACAATGATAGGTTGGCTGAGGCGCCCAGAGGTGGAAGGTCCAAGCAGAAAAAGCTTTATTACAACCTACCAACTTCAGTGCAATACACCACCCTAGCCCCGCCTCCACCTTCTTGAACTAGGAGCCCATATATTATACTGTGCCATGGTTCATTTCAGCAAAAATCAACTAGCATTCTTCTGACCTGGGGCAAAAAATTTCCTCATTGAGATCCTGAAAAATAACATTACATCATGTTGCCTGTGTCAGGTTTATAAATGGGCCAAGGGGAGGCTGGGGTGTAACCTGACACTATCAAAACACCGGCCCTGGGAGAAGAAAGGAGGGCATTGTTGCAGGCTGTCAGCTCTCCTCTTGCTGGAGGTAAAGTGAGATGCGAGAAATGTTAGTGGGAGGCCAGGCACAGAGCAGGTCCTCACTCCCTATCTCCTAAAAAATCAGGCAGCCTCCCTCCAAAATGGGCTTGTCCCCATTTCCTGTGGGGTATGTCACCCTCTTCTCTACTCTTCCAGCAGAGTAGATGAGCTAAGTAATTTTTATTCCCAAGCCTCAAAGCAAAGAAACAGGCATTGGATGGCAAAGTCCAGGAGCCAATTTTTTTTTTTTCCTAACCAAGGCATTCCTCTAAACAGACAATCAAAAAGAGAACTGAGCCCCAGTGATTATGTATACACAAGCATCATTATTTGAAACACAGAAGGCCGGGCGCGGTGGCTCACGCCTGTAATCCCAGCACTTTGGGAGGCCGAGGCGGGCGGATCACGAGGTCAGGAGATCGAGACCATCCTGGCTAACACGGTGAAACCCCGTCTCTACTAAAAATACAAAAAAATTAGCCGGGCGTGGTGGCGGGCGCCTGTAGTCCCAGCTACTCGGGAGGCTGAGGCAGAAGAATGGCATGAACCCGGGAGGCGGAGCTTGCAGTGAGCCGAGATTGCGCCACTGCACTCTAGCCTGGGCGACAGAGTAAGACTCCGTCTCAAAAAGAGAAAAAAGAAACACAGAAATGTGAAAAAGGCCCAAAGTTAGAGAGAAAAACAGACCCCAAAAAGGGTTAAGTGAACATCCCACTCTAAGGCAAGAAAGAAATCCTGAAATCTGAGAAAGAAAAAAGCATTTCAAAGTGAAAGGCTGGGGTTCAGATCAGGAGACAAGAAAGTGAGCAAAAGAACATGGGGAGGATTATGGAGCTGGGACAGACACAGAAAGAGCCAAAGGACAAAGTGCTGGCACAAAGAGTAAAAACATTTTAATGGGTAAAAGGAAAGGAAAAAGGATTTATGGTGAGAGAAAGTTCAGAAAATAAAAAGCAAGACAAATGCAAGCCAGCCTCACTGGAGACAGAATTCATTCTGCTGGTCAAACATTTAATTTGATTTTCTCCTTTCATTCTTCCCCATCTCCCAGCTCAGATTTTAAGGAGAGGGGAGCATGCAAATGTACCATCCATGGCAGAATGTGCGTAGATACTTTTGGCAGGAGGGCCAAGCACATTGGCCTGCCAGCCCATCACAGCAAGGGTGATGCCAGCCCTGTGATCATTTAGGACAACAGGCCTAAGGTCCTTGGTGAACCAGAGAACACAGGGACACAGTACAGAACCGATCGCTTGTAGCTCTCCTGGTATTCTGCTTGTTTGTTTCCACCAAATTATTGCTAATCCTATCATCACTCTATGAAGACCTTAACCTCTTACAAAGGATCTCCCCAGCCACCCCCAGTGCCTTCCTGGCTTAATTCACTAACAATTAAGAAAGCAGGCCATAGACCAATGGGTTCCTCACTGCTAAACTCTGCTTTTATGTTAACCCCACCGCATTCTCTTTGGAACCCAACAGGGACCCCCTCAACTAAAGCAGAATGATGCCCCGTGGCCCAAGTTCACCATTCTTCAAAGCAGCTTTCCCACAGAGCCCTGGAACCAGCCCCTTCTTGCTTCAAAGGTGAGAAGGGGAGGGGCTCATGGACCACCGTCAAGCTCAGAGCTTACATTTCTCTCACAATTCCAGTCCCTCAAATCTCTTTCCCGGGGAGATTGTGGTTGGCACCAGAGCCTGCTGCATTGGGCTGATGGCAAGCAGGGATTTGGGGCAGATGAGGCAAAGGAGGCGGCGGCCACCAATTGCCTCAATGCTAAACCTGACAGAACAAAAGGAGACGCGCAGGCATGGAAGGTGGGGCCCTTCGACAGAGGGCATCGTGAATGTGCACCAACCCTCTGGTGTAACAGGTTCCGGTCTTGGGGGTTCTGTGACTACTTCTGTTATGACGCCAGGAAGCCTTTTGCTAAGACACCCCCCAGTCATGGGGCTCCTGTCTGTTGAAGATGCCCATGAGTTTTCCAACTCTCCTCTTCTTCTTTTACCATATCCCCCCCAACATTAAATTATTCATTGTATTTAACTAAAGAAAGACTGAGTGCCTACTACGTGCCAGTCACTGGCTTAGGTGCTGGGAATACAACTGTAAGCCAGGTAAGAATAGTCTCTGCCTCTAAGCCTGTCTACCCCTTCCTTTCCCTATCCAAGGCTCTTACCAAGCGCAACAGAAAGGTTTTAGGTGATTTCATGAAATCCATGCGGCTCACACAGATTTGCTCAAAAAGCAGTCCCTAGTACTCTAGAAGAAGCCGAGAATCTCAGAGGATCCAGAGAAATGTGGAATGGGAAAGCCTCAAGGAGCCTGAGGAGAGAAATGGGATTTGAGGGGATGGAGGACATTTAAAAGAAAAGGGAAAGAAGGGTGTGGCGACAGGAAAATGGTGATTTTAGGAATTTGCCTACACATTTTTCAGACTGTTATACGTGTCCTGCCATGCCATCTATCCCCTCAGGTGTTCTTACCTAGGATTTCAGGAAGAAAATACTGGTACAAAAAAATGTGCCTAACATGCTGAAGCAGGGTGGGTTACAGGGAACAGCTGTGTCCAACCAGCACGCTCAATTTTGTGTCCCCAGAGACTTGGTCTCTTGTTCTGAACTTATCACTCAGGAAAGAAAAAATAAAAAAGGCAATGTTAAGAGAAGTTTCCTGTACATCAGTGTAGTGTGGGAACTTTTTTAAATTATTAAAAAAAAAGAAAAGAAAAGAACAAAGAGGCCTCCTGAAAAGTCTGACACCTCTGGCCCTAAATTTATTTTCTCATTAATGAGTAAAGGGGGATTTATTGTCTGAAACAATGTCTGTTTTATATTACCTCTTTTTCCCTGTTTTCCCCTCAGACAGTGGAGCTCCAAAGAGACCAAGAGCAGATGTTTTATATTTCAGGAGAAAGCAGTCTCCACAATTCCTAAGAGATTCCTGGAATTCTTATACTTAACAAAAATTAGCCACAGAGAAAGAATCATGAATTGGGAGCCCATGAAGCCTCTGGGAGCCAATCATTTCTTCTCTTCCTCCTACCAACCTTGTACCATCCAAAATGCTGCCTGTGGCCCCCTGCATTCCATGGGAAAGCCCCTCTGAATCACAAGGTGTCCAGCTCTGCTAGTTGCCCAAACAGCTCAGCCACATTTTGTGACTAGAGATGCCCATTTCTGAGCCATACTCTCAAGAGTTAGAAGTGGGAGTCAGACCTCAGTTCCAATTCTGGCTCAGTGTTTGCTTTCTTACTCAAATTTTTAGTAATAAATATCTCTATTTCCTCATCTGTCTAATAGAGATGACAACATATGGCCTATCTCTCTTGCTGGATTAATGCAAAGATCAAGTGAGATGCAAGTGCACACTAATAAGTTAAATACTTACAAAAGTGGAAAGTATTTTTGTTAAAAATCATTAAAATCTGGCATTCTTTTACCAGAGACTTTGTGTTAACCAGTACACTCCGCATAGGTGGAAGGCAGGATGACCTGAGGCACACAACACTGAAAATGGCCTCAGCTGGGCTCTCAGAGGTGGCTCACCTCACTCAGGTCCTTTCCCATTCCTTCTAAAGGATGTTGCGAGCCTTCCTTTAACCATTCAACATTTATTCAATAAACATTTATTGAGCACCTGGCACAGTACTTGGCACATGCTGGGCACTCAGTAAGTATCTGTTGAATAATGAATGAATAAGTGCCTAATGCAGACATGAGAAATACAGGGCAAGTTGCCATCAGTCCCTGATCCTGAAATCACTAATCAGAAATCACTAATGGATGAAGGCACTCTTCTCTGCAGACTCTGGACTCAGCTGAGAATACTCAGACTTGGAACATGAAATGAAACCTATTTGCCATTTCTGGCCTATGCACAAAGATGAAACACTTTTTATCCCTGCTTTCACAGAGCTCACAGACATAGGAAAACCTGATAGAAAATACATGAAGTTAACATAATATATGTTAAGATAGAAGTATAAGAGCCCAGAGGAAGGCTGTGGCATCTAATGATGCGGATGAACCTATAGTTCTCAAACTCCCCTTGGCTTTTAAGATGCTACTCCCTCCAGATTTTTCTCTTGCCTCTCTGATAATCCTGTTCTTAACCTCTCCACTAACCACCTTGCCAAATATTTGGCCTTCTCAGGGTTTGGCCCTGGTCTGCTTCTATACTGTGTAGGCTCTCTTGGATCACTGCATTCCCTCTCACGGCATCAATCGCTATTTACACACTGATTATATCCAAATTTATGTCTCTAGCCCTGACCTCTCTCTGAAGCTTCAGTCATATATTTCCAACTGCCTCCTGGACAGCTCCACTTGAATATCCTACAGGCTACTCAAAATCTAACTCGTCAACTCTCTCCTTCTAACCTTCCTCAGTAGCTTTCTTCAGCCTCTGGTAATCTTGATATCCTTTGAGACATTGCTATTCTTCACTTACAAACTAGAAACCTTGGTATTAACATCAACTCTTCCTTCTCCCTCAAACCACCTTCCCATTAGCAAATTGCTTAAATTTAATCGCAAAAATAGCTTTTTAAACTCATTCATCCCACTTACTACACCATCTCTCACCTTCTAGCTCATTTTTTTCTAATCTCACCCCCACTTTAATCCATCCTCCACAGAGACACCAAAATTACCTTAAAGTACAAATCTGATCTTGTTACCTCTCATCCCCTTCCCTTGCACTGTCCTCTGATTTTTCAATAGTCCCCAACTGCCTTCAAGATAAAATTCCTCGCCTGGCATAATCTGACCCCAATCTACTTACTCCTGTTATGGCCCTGCAGATCATATGACCCTGGGCCTTTGCCCATGCGGTGCTCTCACAGCCTGGTGTGCCACAAACTTGCTCTTCAGCAACCTCTTGCATCCTGCAATATCCAGAAATCCCATTCCAACGTCACTTTGAAATACTTCCCCAGTACCTCATGTCAGAGTTAGTTATACCATCTTCTGTAAATAAATGATTTTATAAGAGTCTGAAATTCCTCTCATAAAAAAACTTGTTATATGTAAGGCAGTATTAATATTAGTATTAATGTAATATATCTTATAAAATGTGCAAATATCATGTTTCCATGCACAAAGAATGAACTGTTTCATACACTCATTAAATAAATATGAAGACTCTACCATGCAGCAGGGACTGTTCTAGTTGCTAAGGATACAGCAACAAGACAAAGTCCCTGCCATCATGGAGCTTATGTTCCAGCAGGAAAGAGAGACAATAAGCAAATACGACATCGGATTCTCAGATATCATAGATTTATACAGAATGCTTTTTATTGAGACAGAGTCTCACTCTGTTGTTCAGGCTGGAGTGCAGCGGCGCTACCTCAGCTCACTGAAACCTTCGCCTCCCAGGTTCAAACAATTCTCATAGCTCACTGCAACCTCCGCCTCCCAGGTTCAAACAATTTTCGTAGCTCACTGCAACCTCCGCCTCCCAGGTTCAAACAATTCTTGTGCCTCAGCCTCCTGAGGAGCTGGGAATACAGGCGTCCACCACCACTCCCAGCTAATTTTTGTACTTTTAATACAGATGGGGTTTCATCATGTTGGCCAGGCTGGTCTCAAACTCCTGGCCTCAAGCAATCTACCCGCCTTGGCCTCCCAAAGCACTGGGATAACAGGCGTGAGCCACCACACCTGGCCATATAGCAGAATGCATTTATTGGAGAGACTGAAAGATGAGAGTTATTTTAAATATACACAACAAATTACAACTCTTGAATAATGAAAGAATTTTTAAAAATCCCTTGAAGCTGAAAAGAATTGCTCTTACACTACCCACAGCCTTTTGCCTATTCACTATCATCAATATGCTTATGTTATTATAAAAATAGAGAGTGCAACTCCAGGAAAATCTACCCAATCTAGGGAAACTGGAGGGAAGGCATGAATTACCAAAAGTGTCTGAATTCAAAGAATTTTAATGAAAAATAAAATCTTAAAACTTTATGAGACATAAACTCTAACTACTGATAAACTGTTTCCACAAAGAGGCACCATCAGACCTATTTTTGAGCAGAGTATAAATTGGAATTGGTATGCAAATAGATGTTGTTTACTTTATAAAGCCTTTTAAAAGTTTGTTTATTTAAACCAGCTAAATAATCCCCGCAAGCAACCTTGAGTACATAAACCCAGCACCCTACACATTTAAATGCTCAACATGTATGTATTAATTTCATAGCTTTATTTATATGCTTGGTCAGTTGCCTTTTACAGGAGGGCTTCACAAACCACCAAACATTCTAAACACTGGAGTTTCAATTAACGGGGTTGTATTATGCCTCCTTTAAAGAAGAGTAAAAGCCATCAGCACAGCCAATCAGGAAAACTGGAGAGACCCAAGGCCCCTCTTCTCACTAAAAAGGGCCCTGTTCTTCCCATAACAAAGAGTGCCTCCTCTACAGGAGCCCTACAGAGGTTAAACTCACCAGGCTGTCCCTAAAAGACTTGTTCATCTGTTGTAGAATACCTTAATCCCTACCATAGCCCTGGAAGCTCTGCTGTGGAATTTTAGGACAAAAGTCATATTTCTTCAAAACAAAAAAAAAAGGATTTTAACAAAAATGTTCTTCGGCCAGTCTGCTCCCCTCTGCCCCTTACATCCCCTTTATCTGGAGAACTCTAATTCATTCTTAGATCTCTGCCTATGTGTCTTCTCTTTAGAAGAAACTTCTGTGACTGCGTCATCCTCACCAAGACAATAAGGTGCCCTCCTAAACATTCCCAGGATACTCTCTCAGTATCCCCATCACAGCATTTAATACCCTGGACTAGGCCTATTTCTTTGACTGCCCCACAAGAACACAGGTTCCTTGAGATTAGGGTCTATGATGTGATTACTGGTGTCTTCCATACACGGCACACAGCACTTGTTACTAGAAGGCACTCCACCTCTATGGAATAAAGGAAGATGGTTTGTCTTGTCTTTTTCCATTCTTTACTTTTATTTGTTTATTTACTTGGGAAACAGAGTGAGAAATTTCAAATACACTTTGTCTAAAAGCACAGTATTTCATAAATGAAAAAAAAAATAGTCACTGATATGAAGATGTCTTAGGGAAAGCCACAAAAGAATGACTCAGTTCTACACCAAGATGCATTTCCTACTTATTACTAAGAATTCTTCCTATTAAAATTTAATGCAGTCTTCTCTAGCAGTTCATTTTGTCTGCCAAGTCCTTTATGACTATTTTGATAAGTTATTTATTACATATGAATGCCGCTATAATAAGTGGATAGCATAGGCAACGGCTCTCAGGACAGAATAAAAAAGGGTCATGTCCAGCCTTCATTTGTTAAGGCCAAATCACTAGATCCTGTGACCAGTAGTTATCACTGAGTGCTGGCCTGACTGGCAGGGCATCCTGGCACACAGTAGGCACTCAATACATGTAACTGCTGAATGCACAAATGAATGAATGTCAGGGTGGAAGGGACCTCAGATTGTAACCCTTAGAGTAATGGGAACACTGTGCAATAATGATGAAACACAGGTGGATACAAAGGCAAGCAACCAAACATAGTGTGGTCAAGAACAACTTACATATCCTCTGTGAGGCTTTGTCACTTCATTTCTAAAATGGAAGTGGCAATAGAATTAAATGATAGGCCGGACGCAGTGGCTCACGCCTGTAATCATAGCACTTTGGGAAGCTGAGGCAGGCGGATTGCCTGAGCTCAGAAGTTCGAGACTAGCCTGAACAACATAGTGAAACCTCATTTCTACTAAAATACAAAAGATTAGCTGGATGTGGTGGCACACACCTATAGTCCCAGCTACCTGGGAGGCTGAGGCAGGAGAACTGCTTGAACCTGGGAGGCAGAGGCTGCAGTGAGCCGTGATCGTGCCACTGCACTCCAGCCTGGGTGACAGAGACTCATCTCTAAAAAAAAAAAAAAAAAAAAAAAAAAAAAAAAATGAAATGACATAATGTACAGAGTGTCTTGCATTAATGTCTAGCAAACAGTATCTGCTTAAAATTATTATCTGTTATTATTTCATAGATAGATACAATTCAGGTACTAAACTGAAAAGTATAAAACATCAGACTAAACTTAAAACTTGAAATGTATAAAAGAGATGTCTCTAGGAAATAGTATAAACTCAGGACATGACTTATGTAGGTATCCTCCATACAGTTTATTGTAAGCATTCTATTTGAGTAGAAATGATGTTTGGTAAAGGTAATCACACCTTAAACAAACTGAAAAGTCTGTTATCTAAAAATAATGCAGTACTTTGATGGCTTACATATTGTAGCTTAAAAACACATATTACATTGAATTATACAAGGATTTCTTTTGGAAGTGTTTATTTGTATATGTATCTGTGGATCTGTATTTTCACATAATGGAGTTGCTTAAAGTGAAGATTATCCCATATCCAGGTATAATTATACCAGCACTGTGAAAGTCCTCTAGCTACATCTGGCCAGGTCCTCCAGGACAAATCCGCATTATTTTGCCCTAATTTTAATTTTTAATACATGGGACAGAGTCAAAGTTTCTCCATATTCTGTTTAACTCAGGCAGTTATTCAAAATTCCTGTCTTTTGCAAACATCAATTTCAACCTTGACTTAAAGAGAAAGAAATGAAGCAAACACAAAGAGATAAAAGGAAAAGCAGAAAAAAATAAAATGCACCCTTTTGGCCCTGCTTTCTACAGGAAAAGAAAAAAAAAAATGCTGCTTCCCTAGCCTCATTCTGACTCTGTTCCTCATGGTTACTTTCAGAAAAAGCCAAAGGGGTAGGGGTGGAGTGGGTATGGAAGAAGGAAGGGAAGGGACGGATTATAAGGAAGGTAGGGGAAAAAATAGCTGCAGAAGAAAAGACGAAAAAAGAAGAAAGGAGAGCTGAAACCCGACACTCAGGAACTCAGGCCTCCAGCAAGAGACTTCTTGGACAGCAAACCTGCCAGCCGGGACGGGACGTGGACTGGTTCCAATGGCAGCCTTCATTAACGCTTCATACACTCAGCCCTTAATTTACAACCGTTTAACGGCAAACATTCCACAAGTACCTTTGAGGGCAGAAAGAAATCTAAGAGAAATTAGGTGCCTAGAGAGCTCCCCTCAAAGGCAAGAGCCCTTTCGTGCAAGTAAGCAATTTTGCTGCCTCCCATTTTTTTTTTTTTTTTCAATCTGTTTGGGACTTTGAGGGCTGGGGTGGGAAGGTAGTGGAATGGAATAGATAAACAGCCAGTCAAGAGCTGTGGGGAGGTTGACAGAATTGGGGTGCAGGTACATGTAGGATACACAGAAGCTTTGTGTCTGTGGAGGCTGTATGAGTCTGTGGGTGAGCAGCATGTCTAAGTGGGTGGAAACATGTATAGCTAAAGGCAGGAACTCTTCCCATACAGCTAAACCCTTGTTCAAGCAATTTAAATAAACAAGAACATTTTAAAAAATTAAAACCCCACTAAAACAATCCTTGTGGAGCAGTTTTCTTGAGTGCTTAAGTAGAGACCAGATTCAAAAAAGGATTAAGAGAATGTCGCATAACCAAGCTGCAGAAACTGAAACCGAGCGGGGTGTGAGGGGAGATGGCTTGGAGGGTGGGGCCCTCCCATAGCAATTTCAGCAAGCCTTTCTAGTCATCCCTTAAGCTTTGTTTCCCTTCAGCCCATACCTGTGCGTACTGTAAACAACTCACACATGGTTGTAACTAGCCAGGGCCCAGAACTGGTTAGGCAGCTTTTCTCCCAAGGCCACAGTGAAGAATCAGTCTCAGCCAAAACACAGGAGTCCTGGAAAGAAGACTTGAACTCCCTCTTTTCTGGCAGGAGAATGGGGAAAGGGAGGCTAAACAGATTACCTTTTAACTAACAACTTTATCTAAACGGATTAACATTGAAGATTAACCTTCCTGGAGCCACAGAGCTGAATCCCCACTCCTAGGGTGCATGGCTGAGTGGAAGCTGGTCTCTGCTCTCAGCCAGGATCTGGTTCCAACCTCTGTCTGAAACGGAGGGCAGTATCTTAGCTAACTTCCTTTTAAAGGTGCTCTCTCAAGTCTCTCCAGAATGGGCTCCATGGAAAGTTAATCCCACAGGCTAAGGGGTCTCATCTTCACAGTATCCAACTGCAGCATTTAAATGCACTTCATCTTCCCTGGAACAACAGGAAAATACAGTGAAAGCTCAAAATGAGGCAGGTGACAGGGACTGGGAAGAAGGGCTTGTACTAAGCGTGGAACAGGTGAGATGCAACACCATGCCCTGTTCTGCCAAAATTAAGACCCTCCTGCCACAGTTTAAGCTAAAGTCTGTGTACTCCCTCATTCCCACCTCCTCCAGAAAAGGGCACTTGCATGCTTTCTGTTAAAGTGAGATGGTTTTTTCCCCTATTCCAGTGGAATACGGTAAAATCCTTATCCCTTCATAATGGGCTTACCTGAAAGTGAATGAGGCTTCCTGGGAAAACCCTTCTAAAGGAGTGTCGGATGCCTCAGAAAGAACTAGAGTTACCTTCCTCCTTTCTGTTTCATCAAAATCATAGCAGTTTCTTAGCTTAGGGACTCTAAAGGTGGTTGCTATTGAACTGTGAATCTGGTTAATCTCAGGTTAAGTTCACCTCTGTGTCTGCTTTTTTTTTTTTTTTTTTTTTTTTTTTGAGACAGAATCTTGCTCTGTCGCCCAGGCTGGAGTGCAATGGCACAATCTCGGCTCACTGCAACCTCGGCCTCCCAGGTTCAAGCAATTCTTTCTCAGCCTCCCGAGTAGCTGGGACTACAGGCGCCCACCGCCACGCCCGGCTAATTTTTGTATTTTTAGTAGAGACGGGGTTTCACCACACTGGTTAGGCTGGTCTCAAACTCCTGACACCTCAGGTGATCTGCCCGCCTCGGCCTCCCAAAGTGCTGGGATTACAGGCATGAGCCACTGCGCCCAGCCCTGTGTCTGCTATTCTGAGAGCAGAAGAATCTCCAATTTTTATAAAATGCAAGCCATTCCTCAGGTATGAAGATGACAACCTCTGGCCCATTAGAAGTGAGTTGTTTGGATTACTTCAGTGGCTGGATCAATCTTGATCGGTGTGACCAGAAGCAAACGTGTCTGAGATGGCTTGACCACTTTAGGGATGAAGTCTGTGGCCAATGAATGCAGTAAATAAACTAACAGGCCCACAAGGGATTGAGCCCCTAGTCATGTGTTTACTAGCCCGGTGCTTTAACCAGTTAAGCTACACTGTGTTAAACAGGCATGGGGCTGCCTCAGGAATCAAATGTGCCAAAAGCTCTGTTTGCCTTTTGTGGCAAGAGAGGGAATGCAGGCAGACTTTAGTTAAAAAGCAGTAGTAGGCTAGGCGCAGTGGCTCACGCCTGTAATCCCAAAACTTTGGGAGGCTGAGGCGGGTAGATCACCTGAGGTCAGGAGTTCGAGACCAGCCTGACTAACATTGTGAAACCCCATATCTACTAAAAATACAAAAATCAGCCGATGGTGGCGGGCACCTGTAATCCCAGCTACTCGGGAGGCTGAGGCAGGAAAATCACTTGAACCCAGGAGGTGGAGGTTGCGGTGAGCCGAGATCACGCCACTGCACTCCAGCCTGGGCGACAGAGTAAGACTCTGTATCAAAAAAAAAAAAAAAAAAAAAAAGCAGCAGCATACTTTAGGCTCTTAATATTTTCATTATTTTAGTCTAGCCTTACAGAAGCAATACATCTTGGATTTTTTAACACAGTCCTGACTCAAGTATCCCATTTAAATTTTCCCATAATTATACTCACAATTGTAAGACCAAACAGACTAAATTGAGATTTAGGAAATGGGAACACCATATTTAAAGTACTCAACATTAGGACAGGTGCTTCAGATGCCAGGACGATTTGGGTCTTAGCATTGCCCCTAAACTGGCAGCTGTGAATTAAAATTTGGTTTGGAAAAGAATTGCTCATGAGGTCTGAGTTGCACACACACTGGCTTCAACTTTTGTTGGCTTGTTTCAAAAGAGCACAGAAGCTTTTTAAGAAAAGAAGAAAAAAAAAGCGGGGAGAGGGGGTTTGTACAAAGCCAGCTCTTTGCTTAGCAAACCAGTAGGAAAAATAAAATGAAAGAACACATATGCAAAGATGTATTTCCAGTTTTCACTCCAGCAGTAGGCTTTTGGAAGGGCACAACCCATTGAATCTAAGCTTCCCTAAGCATTTATATTATATAACAGAGCAAGAAATGAGACAAGTGTCCCTACAGTCGCCAGGCATCCTGTGTCCAAACCCCATTCCCAGTTATCCCCATGCCAGGCCTGTGCCCCTCCCCTCCTGAGGGACAGTCCCACTCCAGGCAGCTTTTATAACAAGTCTCAACCCTCAAAAGAAAAACAATGGGTTTGAACTATTAACCCTTCCCCAGAAAGGACTAAAATTAAGAAGAGGCCGCTGGCAAAATGTTCACATGGGAATACTGTAAAAAATAACAAGGTAAATATGCGCCCACAATTGCAGATTTGCCCGAAGAAAGAGAAAAGAAACAAAAATGGAGGGGGGTGTGGCTGAGCAGTAGAAGACGACTGGAAGGTCAAGCTCAGAATCTATTAAGAAAGAATTATACCTGCACATCATGTATCCCAGAACTTAAAATTAATAATTAATTAATTTTAAAAAAAAAGAATTACACAATTTAGAAAGAACTGGAGTTCATGCTGGTCTCAGAGGGGAGCAAAGTTAGAGTAGTGTTAGACATGAGATCTATTGGGAGAGAATGAAAAGAGGGGCAAAATCATCTGATAAAGCTACTGGCAGAAACACTCTTCTTTGCAAAAAAAAAAAAAAAAATCAGGAGGAAAAAAGAGACAGAAAATAAATCTGGTGTAAAGAAACACCGTGATGTCTATCAGCAGGGCGGGGTTGGTCAGGACATAGACTGGAGCTGGACAAACCAGGATTCAAATTAACGCTCAGCCACACACCTGTTGAATAACCTGGGGCAACTGAGCCTCTGTTTTCTTTTATGTAAAAGTGGGATAATGATCCCTCCCCTTCCTACCTCCGGGTAGTTTTAAAGGTCAAATCTAATCACATAAATGAAATATGCTATACGCTCCGAGGTATGACACAATGTCAAGCTATTTCAGGTGTAAGGCTCTTTATGAAAAATTTGGCTGCCCAGGTAGCTCTTCTAAAAGTTAAAAAGAATAAAAAAGGCAGAGTGTCATTGGAAAGGGTGGTGCTTGTTGCTCAGAAAGGATAAGAACCAATGACAAAATCAAATGCAATCAGGTTTTTCAAGGAATTTACCACATACTGAGAGTTCCAGTAATCCAACAGAAAATCAACAAACACTAGTATGTTCCTCAGAGAACTCTGGGAATTAAACTAGTTCAGCTCAACTGATGTCTCTCCTATCTCTAAGAGTGCCGGTAGTCATCCATCCACAAGGTTTGGACTGGAGAGATAC
Source organism: Homo sapiens (assembly GCF_000001405.40). Taxonomy (NCBI): domain Eukaryota; kingdom Metazoa; phylum Chordata; class Mammalia; order Primates; family Hominidae; genus Homo; species Homo sapiens. The sequence goes on along the minus strand of NC_000001.11, from coordinate 164,598,449 downwards.
ACAAAGAAGCCCTAAGACAATGGAAGACAATGACTTAACCCTCCACAGTGTGCCTTGGTCTCGACACCTAACTCCTGTCTGAAATTTTCCAGCTCTGGTCTCTACCACCCTCTAGGAAGGGAGGGAACAAAGGAAGGAGAAAGGGGAAAGAGAGAAAAGAAAAAAAGAATTCTTACTCTAGTAGCCAGATAAAAACAAACAAACTGGCTATGGTTTGAATATGTCTCCCAAAAATTCATGTGTTGGAAACTGAATCCCTCTGCCCTCACGAATGGATACAAATGGATTAACATTGCTATCCTAGGAGTGGGTTTGTTACTGTGGGAATTGCTTTGTTATAAAAGCAAGCAGTCTGGCTCTCTTGCTCCTGCCCTCTCACCATGTGATGAACTCCACCATGTTACCAAGAAGGCCCTCACCAAATGCCAGAGCCATGCTCTGGGACTTCCCATTCTCCAGAACCACAAGCCAAATACACTTCTTTGTGAATTCCCCAGTCTGTGGTATTGTTATACCAACAGAATATGGACTAAAATACCAGGAGAACCAGAAACCCAGGAATTGGGGAACTCTCCAGAAATGTACAGCAATAATTAATTTAAGTCTCTTAAATTAATTATTTATTTAATTTTTAAATAAAAAATTTAAGGCCAAGGCATCTTAAAGGCCCAGAGTTATAACCTACAAACTCTCCTGAGGTATTATATTTACAACATGGCTGCGAGACCCCAAAACGAAGGCCATAAAAAGTCTATTCTTAAAGGTAATGTCCTAAAATATAGCAGAAACTTCACAAATTCATGGAGAAAAAGTACATACCAGGTCCTGGCTTCAAGGCAATAACTTTAGAATTATCATAGGTGGGAACAACAAGATGAATATCATGGTCCTCTGAAGGCTGTATAAAGATTTGGGAAATTCTTGATCCTTGGCCAACAAATTTCAAAGTGTGGTAGAAAATTATCTCTGCACCCCCAAATAGCTCCATTTCAATACCATTATTCCAAGAAAACTAGATAGTTCCACGTCGTCATAGAACTATGTTATATTTTCCAAGTGTCAACCCTTGATGTCACCATCTACTTACAAAGGAGAAGAGATGACCACCCTTCTAGGGGACAACAACCAACTCTGTTCCTTCCACAAAAGACAGGGAAGATAGTCTTCTTAGAAGGCCCTGAGGGGCCACATAAACCCATCCTGGCTGAAGAAGTGAGGTAACTGGTTGTACAAAAAGAAGCAGACATGATTTAAAGCACTGTTTTCAGACTTTTTAATGAATAACGATTCCTCAAAGGAAATGTTACACCATTGAGCATTTTATAAAACAAAAATAAGCATAAGAAAACCAACAAGAAGTCCAAGCTAAGTGTAGATCCTGGAACAGGATCACTGAACCCCCAGGGTTCCAACCCAAATAAAGACAGAGGGTACAGGGTGCATGCAAGTAACTGATCCAATTCAGGAGACTGAGTCTCATATCCACGCTGTACCACTTACCTGTGGTGTGGCCTTGGCCAAGGAACTAAATTTCTCTGACCCTGGAGTTCCTCCTGGATAATTTCTTTTTTTTTTTTTAATTTAGAAAACACTGAACAACATAAGAAGTAAAAAAGCTCAGAGATGAGTGTGGAAACAAAATTAGGGTGAAGTAACAGTGACAGAAATAATAACACCTTAATTCTTAATACACTAGGATGTCACTATTATCCCTACTTTATACATATGGAACTGAACCTGAAAAGTTAAATGCTGTGTCTAAAATCAGGATGAATGGAACAGAAGCTTCTGCCCCACAAACAGGTATGTTTTCCACTAGATACAATAAACTCCTACATCATAGGCAGGTCTATAATGACTCTGGCAATAGTCAAAGTCATTTGAAAATGCAAAAAGTACACAGTAAAAATATGACATAAAAATGAACTTGCATTATGACAAACCAGTAATGTCCCCAGATATTGCCAAATGGCCCCTGGGGGCAAATCACCCATGGTTAGAACCACTGCTCTAAATATATGGGTTGAAACTAAAAATGCCTTTGTAAGGAACAGGCATATAAAAGTTAATGAGTAAGGTGTTTGCATGGGAGGGACTATGATGAACTAGAAAGCTCATGCACCATCTCAAGGAGAGTGCATATTTACCATGTAGGAAATGAGGCCCGATTTTACCATGTGATTTTGCAAGGATTCAAACCTGAATTTGTATGTCAATGTGAGACCCTAATGCACTTGAAGGTAACCTTTCTGCACAGAAAATATTTCAGGGGCTACTTTAGTTGTAAAAGATACCTGATGTATTAATGCATTAAAGTTCAAAATTGAGAAACCAAGAAAAAAAAAAAAAGAGGGGACCTGCAGGGCAATAAAACAAAACAAAAACACATATCCAATTTTTCCCTTTTACTTGTTCTTTACAACTCACTCTAATAGTAAAACTGGACTGAAACAACAGACTTTCTTTTACTGAGAAATTCTACTTTCCATTTTTCTGTGTTCAGAGTACCATATTGAACTCCACCAAAGCCCTAAAAATTACAACCTTTGGAGCTATTTTGTCAGCTGTATTTCCCTAAAACGTATTTTTCCTAGCTAGCCCAGGCTGGGTGTCTCTTTCTGTCATTCTTTTCTTATGAGCCCATTTGCAAAGACAGGGTCTAATTCTGTGTTCTTTAGAGCACCTTTCATCCTGTTGTTGATTAACACTAAATAATAATGATGTTTATAATAATGGCTGTCAATAATCATAACCATAACCATCATCTCCATAAATAAGATTTCCCACTGGTGGTTTCTTGAAGCCAGTGAATATACAACGATCATATCAGTTTGGCAATCACCTACTAAAAGCAAAGCTGAGCTAGGCGCTGACAATGAGCAAATGAATCATGCCAAAAGTGGGGATTAATAAATGGCTCCTCTTCTCCTTTAAAAAAAAAAAAAAGGCTCCCACCATCATCAACTAGCCAGGTGACTGACCTTGTTTTCCATTACAACTACTCAGTCTTAGCTTGAAGAGCCATCATTCATGTCATCCTCAACTGCTTCACAGCCAACTTGCCACCGTGGGACCACTACTGAAAACTGCTCTACTGCCACTGCCCACTTGGCTCACCAGAGCAATTTTCCAAGGGCTCTGATCACGGCTTCCACGGATTTTTAGGGAGAATCATGCCCAAGTCCATAGAGTTGTACCAGGGAAGCTCTGGGCAACAATAACTTCATTCCACTGAAGGGAACTTTGCAAAGCAGAAATCCCATTTCTTGTAGAGTAAGGAAATTCTTAGGAATCAGAAAGCTCTCTGCTAATAGAAAGAATACAATATAACTCTAGGTTCAGACGTGGTACTGTCTTAAAGTCTGTTAAGGCTCTAAGTTCCAAGCCCAGGCTATAGACTGCATAAGAGAGGATATAAAAGTATGAACAGAAACCGGGTTCTTTTGTCTTCACGTTCAAAGCAGTAGAGTGAAGACAGTATAATGAAAAGAGCTCTGGAGGGAGACGTGTTTCATTTCTGCCACTTATTAGTTAATCACAGTTCTGGGCCTCAGTGTCCTGATCTATAAAATTAAATATTTGGAGTAGATCTGTGCTGTCTAGTAAGGTTGCCACTAGCCACTGTGGCTACTGAGCACTTAATGTGGCTGGTCTAAATTGGTAAAATACATGCAAAATAGTGAAGACTTAGGACAAAAGAGATTATAAAATATCTCATTAACATTTTTATGTTGATTACATGTTGAAATAGTATTCTGAATATACTGGAAAATATTTTATTAAAATTAATTTCACCTTTTTTAAACTTTTCTTAATGTGGCAATTAAAAATTTTAAATTTTCTACTTAAATTTAAAGTAACTCTATTTTGGCCGGGCACAGTGGCTCATGCCTGTAATCCCAGCACTTTGGGAGGCCAAGGCAGGAGGATCACCATGTCAGGAGTTCGAGACCAGCCTGGCCAACACGGCGAAACCCCGTCTCCACTAAAAATACAAAAATTTGGCAGGTGCCTGTAATCCCAGCTACTCGGTAAGCTGAGGCAGGAGAATCGCTTGAACCCAGGAGGCAGAGGTTGCAGTGAGCCGAGATCATGCCATTGCACTCGAGCCTGGTCGACAAAAGCAAGACTCCGTCTCAAAAAAAAAGAAAAGTATCTCTCTTTTTCTCAGTGCTGTACTAAATGATCTCCCAAGTCTCTGTTGCAGCTTTAGCATTCTGTGTTTCATCTTGTGCTTCTGCGTGATCTTCCTACAGCAAGTTAGAAGGAGAATTTAAATCATGTCTTTATAGAGGCTCAACGTCCTTATCTCTAAAATGGGGATAATGCCACCTTTGATGTGAGATGAAATAGGAAAGTGACATGAAATTAATAAAGTGCTATAGAAATTAAGTTATTATAATAATCACACTATGCTATTAATTCCCAGGAGGTTCTACCAAGAAACAGCAACCTGGTATGACAGGTGAAAGAAGGCTAAAGTGGGAAAAGTGAAGCTTCTCCCAAAGGAAGAAAATATCAGCCTCACCTTAAAGTTTCCAAGCTTACAGGCATGAATGAACTCTGAGAGAATCAGGAGCTCAATCTCTCGAGAGCAAGAGATTCTCAGAACAGTCATGCAGAGCCACGGAAGAAACGGAGATAATAACAATAAGTGCCTGCATTATGTGTGAAAAGCACCTTGGTCCCCAAGCACAAGGCACTTTATATTTTAAAGGAAGTACATGGTGTGTTTTCAACCCAGTGAAAACTAAAAAAGGAAGAAAAAACTTAGCAATATTTTTGCAAAATTCTGGCTATTTATTATTTTTCCAGCCCCCACCCCGCCGCCACAACCTTTAGAGGTAAACCAAATACCCACATTTTTATAGATGAAAACAAAACAGAGGCTTACAGAAGTAACTTGCCCTGGGTTGTGCCACTGGTAACCACTGAAGCTGGGGTTTACAACCAGGACTCTCTGATTATTTTTCTCATCAGGTAAAAGGTGAGACAGTATGGGAGCAGACACAGTATTTCTAACCTTTTGGGGGCATAGATTAATTCTTTGGAAGTAACCTTGGCACCTGGGGTCCACCTAACATTTGAAAAATAAAAGTGCTACTACAGCAACCCACCAGGAGTCAAAATCCAACAAAATGATGTCTGGAATTATAAAGAGATAAGTTGGGTTAAAAAAGAATCTAAGGGTTGGCCAGGCGTGGTGGCTCATGCCTGTTATTCCCGCACTTTGCAAGGCCGAGGCAGGCAGATCACTTGAGCCCAGGAGTTCAGGACCAGTCTGGGCAACATGGCGAAACCCCATCTCTATTAAAAATACAAAAATTAGCTGGGTGTGGTGGCACACACCTGTAATGCCAGTTACTTGGGAGGCTGAGGCATGAGAATCCCTTGAACCCAGGAGACAGAGGTTGCAGTGAGCCAAGATCACGGCACTGCACTCCAGCCTGGGCTACAGAGCAAGACTCTGTCTCAAATTAAAAAAAAAAAAAAAATCTAAGGATTGTGTGCTACATACAAATGCTGGGAAAGTACTAGCTCCCAAGTTCCCATTGTGGGGAAGGAGAGAGAGCAGCCTGTCACAGGTGAGTGCTCACGACAGAAAACCCAGGGGCAGTCTTTATCCTCAGCAAGGCCAGCGCGTGGGAGCCTGGTGTGTCCAGGAAGCAGCAGAGACTCTACTCAGGAGGGATGGTTGGGGATACAGAATTCAAAGCCTGAGGAGCAATAAGCCCTGACACCTGGCTGGCCACATGTGGTCGTAGATCCTGTACTGCTTTTCAACTTACTGTGTGGAGATGCCATGCCAATTCCAACAAGGCCATTCCCTTTCACTCCCCCTGGTCCAGGCTAGACTCTGCCCCAAAGCCTCTGTGGCCAGGGCCAGCACCCTCAGACTCTGCTCAGACACTGCTGCTTCTCAATGACAAGGAGAAATGGTAATCACAACTGTGGCCTCAACTTCTCCTTTCCTTTCTCAACAGACCATCAACTTTGCAGACCCTTGAGAATTAAAGGCCTGCCAGGGATGATCTTAACTTTGGAAAGTTGGGCTACTAGGCAAATTTGCAGCAATAGAAGCTGCTTTGTGATTTCCCTTAAACTCAACCAAAATGGTTGGCATGGAGGTTTACACGTCAAAGCTAAGTGTTTCTATTTCCTTTCCTAGGACATATACTGGGATGAACCTCATCCAGACTCTCACACTCAAACTATGAGCCCTGTGAAGATTTCATATGCTAGGAAAGAATCGCTGTTGCTCTCTCTTAAAACCACAGACTTGAACACAACTTGATTTGAACAAAGGCCCTCCTCCCCACCTCCCTCCAGCTTCCCAACCCCCATCCCCTTCATCTGCCTTTCCCCCCAGCCACATTAACTACTCAGAAACACAGTCACTCCACTCTAGAGTTACTCAGGAATCACATTCTTAGAATAACTCATCAATTATACCTGTCAACTTGCCAAAAGTGCCACAGGGGAGGTGGAAAGTCTAGACTGCAATGAACTGCAGTGCCACAGCACCCCTGTTCACAGAAGGCCCCAACTTTGCAAATGCCTTTACAGGCTCACAAGAAACAAGAATCCAAGGAAATACAGGAGCACTGGGTTAGAATGCAGACACTATCACCAAGTTACTCTCAGGCTCAGGGTAGGGCATGGATCTCTCCATTTCTCTACTTGTAGGATAGGAAAACCTGCACAAGTCTGCTAACAGAATGTTCTGCCATACAAAGCCTGGGTTAGGAAACATTAAAAAGAAATGTCACTGTATTATTTAATATGCACACAAGCTCATCATCAATAAAAGCACTGCCAAGAAAGCAGCGCCATGACAGACATACTTTTAATTAATTGGCAAGGATCATTAGTAATTAGAACATTTATTGTATGCAAATGCTGCTGCTAACTCTGAAAAGTTTACTCTCTTAAGCAGGGTAAACATTCACATGAACCCGTTTGTGCTACTAATATAGTTACAGAGCTCCTTTTTTCATGGGTGAAAAGGTAAGTTTTCATTCAACTTAGCCCGAAATTATTTAGAATCCACATTATCAAAGATCTTAATTAATAAGGTTTTCCCTTGATTCCAAAATTTTTTGTGAACAGAACTCTTTTCCAGAAATATTTAACTGGGGGCCAGGAGCGGTGGCTGACGCCTGTAATCCCAGCACTTTGGGAAGCTGAGGCAGGCAGATCACTTGAGGCCAGGAGTTCCAGACCATCCTGGCCAACATGGTGAAACCCCGTCTCTACGAAAAATACAAAAATTAGCTGGGCATGGTGACACATGCCTGTAGTCCCAGCTACTTGGGAGGCTGAGGCAGGAGAATCGCTTGAACCTGGGAGGCAGAGGATGCAGTGAGCCAAGATCATGTCACTGCACTCCAGCCTGGCAACAGAGCAAGACTCCATCTCAAAAAAAAAAAAAAAAAAATTAGCCAAGTGTGGTGGCACACGCCTGTAGTCCCAGCTACTCACGAGGCTGAAGAAGGAGAATCACTTGAGCCCAGGAAGCGGAGGTTGCAGTGAGCCGAGATCGCACCACTGCCCTCCAGCCTGGGTGACAGAGTAAGATCTTGTCTCAAACAAACAAACAAAAACCTCAATAAATGTCTGGAAGGGTAATCATGCAGTCAGAGATTTTTTTTTTAATATCCTGAATCTTCAACATCCCTGTAGAGCAGACTTTGCTCTTTATTTGGTTTACAGTTTAACAAATCCTTAGATCAATGCCCTGTTTACCCCAACAGACTAAACTCCCAATTGCTCTAACCATCCAAGCTTCCAAGGGCTAGGTAAAAGCATACACTTTTGGGAGTCATATATAGTCCACTATGATTCTGAAGATTTAGGGGAGGAAAAGGCAATAGATCTCCTGGTCACAATGCCAAGTAAGATTTCACACTGTTGTCCTCCTCATTAAGGCTCACCAAAAACGGCACCTCTCAACTTAACTTCCTCCTCGTCAGTTTAGGCCCCATTATTCACTTCCCACAGAGCAGCTTGTTTACCTGAAGCACAGGGGGGCGGCGGCGATTGGGAAGAAGCAAGCAGTGCAAGTGAGCAAGTCCAGAGCACAAAGAAAACAAGGAGCATGCAGGAGAGCCCTGTGGTAGCTCCTAATGAGGCTGGGACAATCAAGAAAGTGTTCCCCTTTTGGCTCCTCCCTTTCCAGTTGCGCTGGCCAAGGTATTTCTTCTATCTGCTCCCTGACCCCCAGCTTTTTTTTTTTTCAACACAGGGTCTCGCTCTGTTGCCCAGGCTGGAGCACAGCAGCACGATCACGGCTCACTGCAGCCTTGACCTCCCAGGCTCAGCAATCTTCCCACCTCAGCCTCCCGAGTAGCTGGGACTAGAGGCATGTGCCACCACACCTGGATGTCTTATTATTATTACTATTTGTAGAAACAGGATCTCACTATGTTGCCCAGGCTGGTCTTGAAATCCTAGGCTCAAGCCATGTCTCACCTCAGCCTCCCAAAATGTTGGGATGAAAGACATGAGCCACCGCACCTGGCCTTTCTTATCAGCCTTTTTACGGGAGGCTCCGTGTGAGCATTAAGATATTTATTTTTCTCTGACAAACAAGAGCACCACAACAGGAACAGAAATCTAATTCAACTTCAATCACTGGATCACTATAAGACCTTGGAAAAGTCACTTCACCTTCCTCCCCAGCAATTCAATCTTAGGAACAGGAATCAGAAAAGTATTTGTCAGTCTCCTTCCCCATGGTGACAGGTGGATAATATCTCCTCCACCCTAAATACCTCGCAGGGATGGAGAAGGATGGATGAGCAGGCATTACAGCCAATATTCTACTCTCTGGCAATAAACAACTCACCTTTTGGAGGTAAACGGTCTCTTTCCAGGGCACCAGGGGATCATTTAGCACTCTGGAAGAAGTAATTTGCTCTATGGTTCTCTGGTGTCCTGAAAAGTGTAATCCACCTCCAAAAGGTGAACCCTTATATCCCAGAGAATTTGTTTTCTCTGGGATCAGAACGCTTTAATGTTTTCAGTTTCAGGAAAAGACACCACAGGTATCATTTTCTGGTCAAGAGAAGACTCTTCCCTCTCCCCGCCCCCTCTCCTTACTGATCATCCCATACTCTCTTCCCCTCAAACAGAAACCAGATGAAACCATCTGCAAACAACTTGGGAATGCTGTGTGTGTGCCTGCAGAAACTTAAACAAAAATCCTTTCTCAGCCGCGCCCCCCTCCTCCTTCCAGTGGTTGTTAAGGGCCCGGCGAGTTAATGGGAACTTTTCTCCTCTCCCCTCCCTCCCCCACTGCCCCTCTCCCGCCTGGGTCCTCAGCATTTGATTCCTGTCTGTCACTGAGTGATGAGGACAAAGGGTGAGGAGTCAGGAAAAGGTCTGCGCCACTTTGTTCAGAGTCTGGATTCGAACTTTGGATGAACCCTTCATCGGGGAGGGGGCTGGGGAGGAGGGGAGAGGCCGGCAAGGAGAAATCCGCTGCTGTTCTCGCCGCTGGAGCCTCAAAAAAGAGAGAAAGATTCTCTTTAAACAACAGAAAGGAAAAAAGAGGGTTAGGAGGGTAGAAACAGCCTCCCTCAGCCCAGTTAGGAAAAGGAGGGCATGGTGGGGGCGGAGGGATAAAGGGGGCTGAGCTTAAGAAAACAGAAGGCCGGGGCAACGCGCTCAAACAAGGCTGTTGGGCCCATGCTGTGGGCGGCCAGCCAAGAGCTAGTTTTGTTTCTTCCCCCTCCAGCCTCTCTCTCTCTCCCTCTTATTTTTTTTCCCCCTAAACCAAAGGGAATTCCTAATAAAGCCACAGCAGACTTGTAGAGAGCAAGGGAAAGGAAGAAGGAACCAGAGGTGGGGAAAAAAACAGATGAAACTCATTGCTTTCTGGAAGTCCAGAATAAAGAATATATATGCATATAAAATTATAGCACACTTCACCATATGCTTCGAAACTAAAAAAAAAAAAAAAAAAAAAAAAAAAGCTTAGTCCGGAGTGTATTTCTCTTTTCTCTTTTTCCTCATCTCTGTGTGTGTGTGCACTTACATATACTGGCTGGCAACTTTTACCGTGTGATTTTTTTTCCCCAAATCCTGTACTGTAGTTTTTAAAAAGCACTATTAACATACAGTTGAAGTCACAGCAAAAGCCAGTTTGTCTTCTTTGTGCTCAATAAAACCCAGCTGAAACTCTTTCACCTCCCCTTACTATTGATTTTTCTATTGTGCTCTACAGGCGGGTGTATCTCACTCACTCATCAGACTGCCTTTCATTCTGTGAACCTCTCTGACCGCATCTGGATGTGAGGTTTTTCAGCTCCCTGCGATGGGTATCCTTGCTTCATTCAATCATTTGGGGCCCGCATGCAACCATGCAGTCACTTTTGGTTTGGCCTCTGTCCTTTGGTCTTTGCCCCAGACTCTGGATTTCACTTCCAAAAAGATCAGGTGTCTATCCCAGCACAGAAGATGAGAGGTGACAAGGCATCCTTGCATCCTAGGGCTCTTTCTCTTCTCTTCTTGCATATAAAAATGGGACTTCAGTGACTGTGCAGGAGATTCAGAAAAGGGGTGGGGGATGAGAAGGAGGATCAGGGAGGAGTGTACTGCTGCAACATCTGGCACCTGTTCTACCTCTCCTGGGGACACCCCCTGGTGTGGCGCGTGTGAGGCTGTATGTGCCGGACTGCTGCAAGTGAGAACTCTGTGTCTGTGTGTGCCTCATCCGCACAAAACGATGTGAAGAAGAGAAGCAGATGGGTCAACAGGATGACTATTCATTAATCTTCTGAGAAACTGGGTTAGGAAGTGAATCCGTGTATTTAAAACTTCTCATTTTGCATTCCTATGAATGGGAGAATAAACTCTACACTTTGAATAAGAGTGCATGACATCCTTACTCTTAAAAAAAAAAATCAGACACACAAAGATCATCAGCTAACAACAAAGAGGCAGATAAAGTGCTGGGTGAGTATACACAATACAAAAAGGGCTCCTCACCCGACAAAAGGGAGTGCTAGAAGCATAGACCTGAAAGGGATCTTATTAATCATTCATATCTAACCCCTTCACTTAGAGATGAGACAGCCAAGACCCCCAATGTGTAAGCAACTTACCAAGTCACCACAACACTCTCCACAACACTCCCCTCTGGTGTTCCTTCTGTCATATACATTGCTTCCATGAAACTAAGGAATGGACTTAAGTTTAGGATAAGGATTACCAAAATCACACCCATACACTTTTTAGGAACACATCTACATAAAAGTGAAAGATAGCAGTACATCTTACCTGAAGATACAGCAGTAGTTGTAGCATCCTACATCCCAGTTATGTAAAACCGGGAATGAGAAACAGGGACACACACACACAAACAACACCCTATGCTGCTCAATGTCAAGCATGGGCTTGCTATTTCGCTGGTATACCTCGTTATGCATGACATCCTTACAACGCAGAGCTGCTGCTGAAATTGGGTGTGAGGTCGACATTCAAATCTCATTCTCCATATAAAATCCTGGTGGACTGTTGCCACTGTTCTCTCTGTGGGCAGATAACCTCTATTTTCAAGTTCCCTCTGCGGATAATGGTCTCGACTCACCATCATCTGACTCTCAATCACACCTCTCTGTTCAACTCCCTTGAGATCTCCAGCTCCATATTCACTGCATGCCCCACGAATTCTGTGTTCAACAGGATTTCTAAATCTATGCCATGTTCTAAATCAGCCCTCCACATGCCTGCCAATCTGTGACTTCTTTCTCTTGCTTTGATTTTATAAGCAATTGTGACAGTATAGGTTAACAAAGAAATCTTAGTTACATGGTGCTTTATAATTTACAAAGCATTTTACGCCCATCTCACTAGAGATTCACAACCTCCCTGGAAGTGGACAGGGCCTGGATAATGAGTGTAACTAGTGCCCCCATTACAGATAAGAAATTGTTCTGAGTGAGGTGCCCCCTCATTACCTATCAACTCAACATAGAACAGTCCAGTAATTGTTCCCTTGCATCATAATGCTGCTCCACATGGGCTCAGATGTTTCCATTCCACCTTGGAAATGAAAAGGGGAAAGCATGCATTTATTGAACATTCATCACGTGCCCAGTCCTGTGTTTGATGCTTGTTCTTGCAACAGGGATAACTTCAGCACGTTTACCATGAGCAGCTTCCTCTAGCACAGCAATGAAATACATGCACATGTGTCTTCTGCAGATAGTACACACCCCTTTGCTCTTCTTATTCCTATTTGTCTGAACACATTACAGCAATAAGTCAGTCCACCAATGTAAACCCCTAAACATAAGATGTGTGTGCCCATAGGACTATGAGAGCAATCACCTACATTTACAGTTCTTTCAACATGTGTGTAGTACAGCACCTATCTGTGAATATCAAAGTTGTACTGCCAGGTTCCCCAGTTGTTCTTCTCTCTTTTTTACTAAGTACTCCTGGAAAAAGCCATTTGTTGAATATCTGAATGAATGAATGAATGAATGAATGTCATAAGCACTACTTATTCAAAGGATGTTATACAGAAGAGGTGAAACTATATATTGACATTTATTTCATTAATTACAGAAAGGAAGGGGGTTCTTGTTTAAGAAAGGACTTCCCATGAACATTGGATGTAAAGAAAAAGTTTACAACCCAAAATGCTAAAAGCTTCTCAGCTAGACATACATTGTTATTAGCTGCCAAGATGCCCAAGTCAGGATGGCAGCCTTGGCAACTAAGAAGAACATAAATAAGAAATCTTAATAGATTGTGGTTCTACTGAGCAAGAAAGTGAAGCAACCACAGAAAAGAATCAGAGAAAGGAACTGGTTCTAGTGGTCTCTAAACCAAGCCAAAAGAAATGTTCAGGACATTTTTATTTAAATGCACTGGTTCTCAATGCCTGACTACCCCCCTCAAAGACTACAGTGAGATTCCTTGCCTGACACTGTCCCCCAACCCCAACCTCCCCAGACAAGTCTATAAATAGCAAAGCCACTAAAGCAAATGCTAAACTCAACACTGAGTGGGGCTGATGAGGAGGGAAGTTTGCAGGGAAAACTGAGTTTCTCACTACTCCTTACTCAGAAACATTAGAACTGCCCTGGGATTGGGGGAAGGGTATCCCCAGGGAATGACCCCAAAAAGTGACAGCCAAGTTTGAGATATCACAGACCATGACTAGGAATTTTCACTAAGGGAGGAGGGGAATGGAAAAAGGTGGGTAAAATTCTTCTTTCACTCTTCCCCAGGAAGAGGTTTAAATTACACATACTCACATTGGAAGGGGTTGGGGAAGGAGTGAGGAGTGTGCCCAGAAAGATGTCCATTCCATTCTTTCCCTTGCCTCCAGTTCTACAACCTCTTTCATTGATGTCAAATTAATTAGTTAATTTCCATTTTTAGCTTCCTGGTTTTATTTATTTTATTACTATTATTATTACTAGCAGTAGTAGTAGATGGAAGAGTCCTTTTCTAGTATTTTGGTTCATCTGATGGGAGGAAAACTGGACAAAAGGTCAACATGAACAGACAGAAAATTAGTTTAGCTTTTAAAAGAGGGGGAAAAAGAAAAGAGGAGATTTTGCAGATGAGAAGAGACAGGCCAAACTGTGGATGGGGATAAAAGGAAGGTACTGGAACCTGAGCCCTTGATTAGTTAAAGAAGCAGCTGCCCCCTCACCTCCGCCTCTCCCACTGGAAGGTTGTGTCCAGCCAGCTTCCTAGTCTGATTATCACTTGCCTTCACACGGTCCTCAGGTGTCCTCTCTTGCACACCTCCCATTCTACCTCACCCCCATCTACTCCATGATACCCCTCTTACTCTTCACACACCAAAACACAAAATCTTAACTCAGAAAACAGAGAGCTATTCAAGAACTTCTCCCCATTCAGTAACATGCTGATCCAAACCAGAAACCTTTCTCTCTGAGCACTTAACTGGAGTGATCCAATAGATCTAAGAGATCTAAGAGGCTTTTCCATCCTGTCTTCTAATTCTCGACACATCACATAAGAGCATACATAAGATGAACAAACTAGTATCCTTCAAGCAGACAATACTACTTTTAGATCTCTCTCTCTCTCTCTCTCTTTCTCTCTCTCTCCCTCCCTCCTTCCTAGAGACTGAGTCTGACTATGCTGTCCAGGCCGGACTAGAACTCCTGTGCTCAAGTGATCCTCCCACCTCAACCTCCCTAGTAGCTGGGATTTATAGGTATGCACCGTACTGCACTTGGCTTTTGGAAATAATTTCTTAAGATATTCACTCTAAAAATATAAGTAAATCCAAAGTAGATTTAGGTGAATTATTTGTGATTCCTTTCCTCCTTCCCCTCTCCCTCCCTTCCTTCCTTCAACTAGCATTTGTTGGGCATCAAATATATATACCAGGCACTGGTCTAGACATGCAAAGATGAATAAAGCATGGCTCACTAGGACCTTACCATCTTCAAGGGGGAGCTTGCAATCTTGGAGAAAACTGGATTCATCTTTCAGGACTTTCTTTGAGAACATATTGTGGGTTAAGTGCTATGCTATACTTAAGTTATCTTCAAGGGCCTGATCAAGAGCTGCCCTAAAGCGCCTTCGTTTTCTCCCAGAGGTAAGCAATTTGAGGACAAGTTCCTATCTTATATTTCTCACTCTGCCTGCCATAGAAGTACCTGGCAAATGGTTTTTAAATAGAAAGAAGGAAGAGGAGAAAGGAGGAAGAAAAGGAAATAAGGTAAACATTATTTCTAATAAGTGTAGCAATGAGTATCTAAAAATTAACAGCCCTGGATAAAACCAGTTGTGGTAGTTATTTGCTTTTTATACTCTTCATTTTACACGTATGTCTCAGGGACTGTCCCTCCTGGCCTTCTTAGGAACCATGTTTCTTCTGTAAGCCAGTCACAAGAATCACAATGGTGGCCACAACTCCAGCTGCCCATGAAAAATGGAACAGTGTCTCCCAGCTAAGGCTGCCAGGTCAAGTCAGGAGTAGACTAAAAGAGGGGCCCCACTCCCCTCTCACCCTGTGACCTGAGATTCAGAGAGGCTGGGTTAGTTAGCCCAGGAATGGAACCCTCTTCCCTAAAAAAGAATGGAAGCAAAAAACCAAATCTACAAGACAATAGCCTCTCTCCTCTCAGAAAACTCTCACATGCCCTATTATTCTTTTTTTTTTTTTCCCGCCTCTCTTGGCTTAAAGATCCAAACCCCAAATTCTAAAAGGTGAAGCTGGCTGTAATGAGAGTGTAGTTTAAGCAATCTATAAGTCATTTCACAAAAGAATGTTCACACTTCTATCATGTAGCAATTATCCAGCTAGAGTACAATATAACTATTAATACATGTTTATTCCCAGTAAATCATACCTTCCTCAAGGACAGGGACTTTTGATTCATCCCTCTTTTTATTTCAGAGTAAAGAGTAGCAAGTACTCAGTAAGTGTTAATAAATTAAATTTTCCCCTTTTGAATAAGCAGATAAAACAGTGTTTCAATTCAAAAATATATTAACTGAATATGTACTATGGGCTGAGCATACAAATCCTGTTCATCATTTTCAAGAAATTCTGAGTCTAACAAGAGAATTACATAGTAAACCAATAATTATGATAACATCTGATGAGTGCTGTGGATGGGTTATGCATAAAGGGCTATGGTAAAACATGAAATATAATTTTTTATCATGTCGTTGAGGGCAATGCCTATCATATCACTAGCATCTTCTTACTAGAAATTATGAGGCCGGGCACGGTGGCTCACACTTGTAATTCCCAGCACTTTGGGTGGCCAAGGCAGGCAGATCACCTGAGGTCAGGAGCTCCAGACCAACCTGACCAATATGATGAAACCCCATCTCTACTAAAAATACAAAAATTAGCTGGGTGTGGTGGCATGTGCCTGTAATCCCAGCTACTCGGGAGGCTGAGGCAGGAGAATTGCTTGAACCCAGGAGGCAGAGGTTGCAGTGAGCTGAGATCGCGTCACTGCACTCCAGCCTGGGGAACAAGAGCGAAACTCCGTCTCAAAAAAAAAAAAAAAGAAATTATGAAAGAAATTTTGCATGGGGTCCAGTACCAGGAAAAAAATCTGCTTCTCCTTAAATAACTGATTAGTTTCCAATTCTAAATGTTTGGCAATTTGAAACGGATCCTATTTCCCTTTTTTGCTTTTGCTACTAGGAAGCACAGAATCAAATCTGTAGCCAACCTTTCTAGGATATGGACTGAACAAGGTCCTAGACTAGTTTGACCCAAAGAGACAGTAGCTACTTCCTTACTAGCAAAAGGCCTGAGAAGTTCACAATAAGAAAGGATCTTATGGATACCATTTTACATACTAACATTCCCTTGCATGTTATTTTATTGCCCTACCTGAATTTTTTTCTTCTAATTTCCTCATTTATTTAGTAAATCTCTTGGTATCTCTCACATCTTTTGGTAAGCTTCTTGCATGCCTTTTTGAAATGAAATAAGCAATAAACAAATAAATAAGATACATAACAGGTTCTGTGGATAAATATGTTCCCTGAGTACACAATCATCCCCAAGACATGGAAAATTTACACAGCCATAAGGAAAGTAACACAAGAAAATGTAAACACAAGAAAACTGAAAATAGACGTTGAACTAGGATAGTATGATTAAAGGTAAATTAGTAGATTTATGATTTTCTTTTGTAAAATTTTCTTTATTAAGGTCTTCTTGGTAATAATGATGCTATTATTATATTTTTAATATCAACAGTATTGTTTTCTAAACAGTAAGTTTTAACATGAAATGCCTTGAACTTTTTCTTCCCCTTCAAAGACCTGGGGTGATATGAACAGCTTCACCTTCACCCTGGTCCTGCATACCAGGCTGTTCTCTGGGCCACCACTGCAATTTGGAAGGTAGATCTTCCCTCCTCAAAACTGAAAACACCCACTAATCACAAAAGGGGGCTGGGTGCGGTGGCTCATGCCTGTAATCCCACCACTTTGGGAGGCCGAGGCAGGCGGATCACAAGGTCAGGAGTTTGAGACCAGCCTGGCCAATATGGTGAAATCCCGTCTTTACTAAAAATACAAAAATTAGCCAGGCGCGGTGGCCCGTGCCTGTAATCCCAGCTACTCGGGAGGCTGAGACAGAAGAATCACTTGAACCCGAGAGGCGGAGGTTGCAGTGAGCCGAGATTGCGCCACTGCACTACAGCCTGGGTGACAGAGTGAGACTCCATCTCAAAAAAAAAAAAAAAAATGGCGGTCGGGGAGCTGCTGGATATGCCTTTCCAAAAACAGAGGCTCTGTAACTGGACAGATGAGACTTTTGGGTCTCACCATGGAAGCATCCATCCGCACCACGTAGAATCACTGGAGGGCCCAGGGCCTAGAGTCTGGCTGCACCAGGGAGGTGGTGTGATAGGACAATGGGCACAGGAAGGGTGTGCAAAGGCAGGACCCTGTGCCCTGCTTTATGCTTCTGTCAAAATGCTGGACTTCTGAGAAGGAACTAGGAAAGGTGACATATACAACAGCGGTGGTCAAGCTTTAGACCCCCTGCAAAAATAAGTCATGCTTGTTACCTGAAAGAAGTCAGGTGGATTCTAGAGCCAGGTGCGGTGGCTCATACCTATAATCCCAGCACTCTGGGAGGTCGAGGAGGGTGGATCACCTGAGGTCAGGAGTTCCAGGCCAGCCTGGCCAACATGGTGAAACCCCGTCTCTACTAAAAACACAAAAAAATTAGCCAAGTGTGTTGGCGTGCTCCTGTAATCCCAGCTACTCGGGAGGCTGAGGCAGGAGAATCGCTTGAACCCAGGAGACAGAGGTTGCAGTAAGCCAAGATTGCATCATTGCACTCTAGCCTGGGCAACCAGAGCAAAACTCCATCTCAAAAAACAAACTTGGCTGGGAATGGTGGCTCAACGCCTGTAATCCCAGCACTGTGGGAGGCCGAGGCAGGTGGATCACTTGAGGTCAGGAGTTCAAGACCAGCCTGGCCAACATGGTGAAACCTCTGTCTCTACTAAAAATACAAAAATTAGCCGGGCATGGTGGCGCACGCCTGTAATCCCAGCTACTCGGGAGGCTAAGGCACAAGAATTGCTTGAACCCGGGAGGCGGAGGTTGCAGTGAGCCAAGATCATGCCACTGCACTCCAGCCTGAGCAACAGAGTGAGATTCCATCTCAAAAAATAAAAAAAGTCAGGTGGATTCTAAAAACAGAATAGGCAGAGGCCTAATGAAAATCAGGAAATAAGCTCAAGGCGAGTTTTGAACTTATCCTCTTTACTTGTTTTGCAGCCAGCCACAGTCATGAGATAATTAAATTTCTGTACCTGAGAAACAGGATCAGAAATGAGTAGAGCCAGACAATTTGTTATTTGGACAACCAAGTAAGATTCCACTGGATTTCCTTGGAAGAATCACAATTTGATGGGCTGTCACTCAATGGGAATGAATATTTTCATAGAAAAATCTACACTTAGTAAAACTTACCAAGTAAAATCTCCAAGTCAGCCTCTCTCTCATTAGCTATGTGACTTTAGGAAGATTCACTAAACTCTCTATGCCTCAGTTTCCTCATCTTAAAAATCAGAGTAATAATAGCGCTGTACCTAACACATTTTTTAAATATGCATTAACTCCTATTACATATGAACAGGAGAATTCTGGGCTCCTGTTTCATACAGGAAAGTATGAAACATCACTTCTGCCGACATTCTCTGTTCAGTTTCATTCCAGGATGATCCACCACTACTGGGGCCCAGAGCACTCTTTCCTTCAAATCACTTGGAGCACACAAGTATAAAGTAACAGCTTAACCATCTATATTGCATGTTTCCCTTCTTCGACTGACAGCCAGGACAGACAGACTGTGCTGTCTGTGTGTTCCAAGAGTCAGAGACGCCTCCAGGGCTGGTCTGCCCCAGTAACTGGGCTGAACAAGCTCCTAGACCAGTTTGATCCAAAGAGACAGGCAGCTATTTCCTTACCAGCAGGACTGGGCAGGCCACAGTGAGAAAGACATCACACGGAATATCACAAACCTTAAGGAGACAGGTGGTCTAATGACACAAGGCCTCAAAGAGCATTAAGTTAACCCAGTATGTTCTACTAGCAGGGAGGGAGAGAAGGGGAGGGTATGAAAGTGAAAGATGACGCTAAGCATGAAAATTTAATTTGTTAAAAAAATGGAAGACAATGCACAAATTGTCTACATGTACTTATTGAATATATAATAAATGTAGGGTATAAACATATATGTGCACTATGATAAAAATTAATTCCAGCTTCTAGAAAGCATTGCTGTTTGTCTCCCTGCTAGCAAGAACCCTGGAGCACAGAGGTAAATTTCACACTTCCTCTCAGTACTCCTTCAAGGCAGAAGCAGACCATGTAGCTTAAGCTGCCCAGGTGAGCAAATGTCACAGAATGCCTATTCAGCGGGTGGTAAATTTCAGCCATCCCACGGAAATGCCAAGTGGTCTCAGGTCACAAGTTTGGCAAATAGCAATGGGGGCGGGGAGGGCGTGGAGGGGTGGGTAGGCCCCAGTAGAGGGGAGGAAGAGAACAAAAGAGAGTGAAAGGGGAAAGGCAGAAAGGAAATAAAGGAGGTTACAGTGCTTGAGGAAAGGCAGGAAGGCCCAGTATGCAAGGACTCAAACATAGAACATTTCTGAGGCATCCAGGTAAAAAAACTAGAACTCCTTGATTCAAAGAAAGCATGCTTCTGCATGTATCACCAGGGCAGCAATGAACTTTGGTCAAGAATGACCTTTACAGCCACACTCCTGGCTCTGGGGAACACATTCCAGGCTCCTGTCATGGGCTTTGGGAGTGATGGACCTGCCCATGTCACATTGATTCTGCCCATGATTCAGGCCCCTGGAAGCTCCTTGAGGGTAAGGGCCACAACTCACACATATCTGTATTTTTCAGTCTCTGTCACAACACTTCAGGCATGGGAGAAGTTTCACAAATATTTGCTAAAGCAATAATTAGACCAAAATGGAATAAAGACTCTTCAGTCCCATCATGCCCTCCAGGAGGTCTAAAACAAAAATGTTGAACGGTATTTCTCAAATGAAAAAATAAATCCAACCAGGATAGAGATTCATTTTTAACTTTTTCACTATACAACCTGTGGAAGATAAAGAGTTTTCACCAACATCTCCAGAACATAGGGCATTCAAAAATATTTTATGAAACTTACTTAAAAAATAATTGAGCTTCCATAACCTCTACTTACAAAGGGCAACATGCAGGAGGTGACATTATAGGTAAGAAGATATACTCCAGTGGGATCTTGACAACACAAACAATCTTTGCATACTTATACCCAAATGGAAGCCACTGGAGAGATGCTTCTCTCCCCTAGGAAGTCACCAAAACATCTCTACTTGAAACACCTAGAGAGGAGTCAATAGAATAAATGAGTAGGAGGATGGGGGTGTCCAAATCAGGAGCAGAAGGAAGCAGTTATTTCCATTCTTTACTATCACCATTGCTGATATTATTATTGCTATGCTTATATTTTAGCTGCAACATCTGTAACAGTCAGAAGCAACAAGAGAACTCTCAACCTACATAATAAC
This sequence comes from Homo sapiens, assembly GCF_000001405.40. Classification (NCBI taxonomy): domain Eukaryota; kingdom Metazoa; phylum Chordata; class Mammalia; order Primates; family Hominidae; genus Homo; species Homo sapiens. The sequence continues at coordinate 164,577,888 of NC_000001.11, read as the reverse complement.
CCTTTCGTCCTCTCCCCCAGAGTTACTAGGATGAGAAATTCATCCTGTGAAATTAATAATGGGCTTGATTCTCCAGCTGGTGGATCAGAGACTAGGCTGGTGGAAATTTATAGAGGGAATTAATTTATAGATTTTCGAAGTAATGAGGGAATTCAACCTTCCTGACTTCTAGCTCTCCCACATTCATTCAATAGAAAGTTTCTGGACCGTCTACTGCAGGACCTGCTGGTTTCCTGTGAAGCTGTAACAGAGCAATAATAAGCAAGCACTAGAATACACTTAAGAATAATAATCACACATCAAGAACATCTTTCCTAGTGTAACTTTCTAAGAAGAAAAATAAAGTAATATGGCTTAGGCATGTGTATGATGACAGCCCCTTCCTGCCTGGGCTCCAGCAGGCTAGGTGGGGGAAGGGAGGCAACTATGCGTGCATGGGCAGGAGGGGGCAAACTACCAAAATCAATTCTCTATTTTCTGAAGACTGGTAAAAATAAGGCAGCTTGAAGCCCCTTTAAACATTCCTCTGAGACAAGACAAGCCGCCATATAAGAAACTAGCTATGTCTGAAGGCCCCAAACCTTCTTCAAGTGTTAAAGAAATCAGACTGAGCTTAAGGAAAACAAATGTCAGTGCTGTTTAAAGTACATCAAGGTTCTTTGGGTTAAAAATCTCCCTAGGGGAAGATGACGCACTCCCTGTAAGAGCTGAGAGACAGAAAAGACGGGAGGGTTTCTGCAGTAACTCCAGATTATATTATTTAATTCATTTCATTACCATAAAGCAACAACTCGAATATTTATCGAATACAGCTGAGACAACACACGGCCAACTAAGGAGCTGCAAATTAATACGCGTGCGTGTTAGCACATACACACACTCACCCACGTGCTCACACGCGGCCTTCTGAATTTCACTTCTGCATGCAAAACCACCACCACCGAGGTCTGCACAGCACCGGCACTTTGCATATTGAAAACGCGGCTCCAGCGGGCCCCACGGAACAGATCCTTCCCAGGAACAGACCCTAGGCCCGGCTCCCTGGGAACAGACCGCAGGCACCCCTCTGCCTCAGAGGCTCTGAATGTGACTCCAAGCCCACATTGAGAGGTGTTTAATAAAGGAAGTATGGCTCCCAAGAGGATGTCTTCCCCCTGGGGGGCGGCGGCCCTCTCTTTACCACCCTTTGGGAGAAGAGTTAAGTCAGCCGGGACAGAAGAGGTGGCGGGGGAGCCTCGGGCCGCCGCCGGGAGCAGACCGCTGCGGCTGACCACTGCAACCCGGGCCAGGCAAGGGAAATGATGAAAACACAGCAAGCCCCGCTTGGGGGACACTTGGCTTCGCGGTCCGCGCGCTGGCGGCCGGTGACGTGCGGCCTGCGCTGGGAACTCAAGGGCAGAGTCTGAGGGGGGCCGCACGCCCGAACGGGAGAGGGAGCCGGTGCAAGGCGCAGGGTGCAGAGAAGACCGGGTGCGACGCGGCGCCGCGCCGGCGGACCGGGCAGTGGCCGGGCGCTCCCAAGCGTCCTCTATGCTGCGCGCATCAGCCCTGCGGTGAAGTCAACAGATTTGCGAGGGGGTTCGCGGCCACCCCTAGCCCTCTCCTCTAATCTAATTGTGCAGCGTCTTACAGCAAGACTCAGGCGACAATCTACGACGGTCCAGCTCCCAGCATCATCATTATCCTTTCTGAAAAGGGCATCTCGTCTTAGCACAAGGCCATGTGGCTCGCCACCGGGCTTCTCCACTGTTTCTTGGTTCCAAAAGTTTTATTTTGTGATGCATCCCCTTAAACTCCTTCCAGACGACTTCAATTTCTCTTTTCTACGTGGTCTGAACGAACATGCTCTCTCATCTCTTGGGTTTTATTGTTGCTGGGTTTTGTTTTTTCTTTTTTCCCATTCTTCCTTAATTGGCCTCCGGATGAAGCTGCTTTAATTTATTCCTCACACGATGTGGTTACTTCTTGGGCCTTTATACTTGGTGCTGCGCGCAGCATCACCACCCACCCGCACCCACCCAGACATTTCCTTCCCAAGATGTTAGGTATTACAGGCACCCTAGTAAGGAGGATGCACAAAGGAAAGATGTGCTTGTGTTACCCGCTCTTTGTTTTTAAATATTTATTAATGTAAGCAGGGTGCATTGGCCCTAGAGCCTCTGCATGCAAATTCTACAGAAAGGAATTAACGTCTACACCCTCATATCCATAGAGTGCCTTTCAGAATGGATGTAGGCAGGGCTCATCATTAGACTCTCTGGGAGTCTTTCTTTGTTAGGGATAAAAGACAAATGCAAAGTTTCAATTCTATTAACAATGGTAATTATAAGGAGGATTCTCTTACAGTGACAACACTTGAGGTCTCAAATCACCTAACGCCCTCAGGAAAAACGACTGACTCTCTCTGCCCTACCAGCACAGGCTACTAGGTAAATGTATTCCTCTGACCTACTGGCAGATTCAACCTGTCTCAAAGCAAGACAAATATATAAACTTTTTCTCATACTTACTGACCACACTTTCTTAGGGAAACTCAAACATCTTTCTAAATATCCTCACTGTAAGTTTGCAAACGCCCCACTGACAGGTGGGAAACAGAAATTATTTCAGTATTTCAGCTGAGGCAAACGTTGAACAAGTAACTCCACCATTCCAAGGTGAGGGCCAGACTCCTTTCCTAAATTCCTGGGCTCTACCATATGAACTCAAGAAGGTATTCTGCACTTGCAATACTGCAATCAGAAATCTATTCCAAGACAAGTTTCCAGTCTAAAATCCAATAGCTGCAAATACATAGCATGAAAACAACATATGCATTCCATCACAAAGTCCGCAAGGTGGATTAAACTGGGATTGGCCTCCAACTGGCCTTATAAATGGGATCCTGAATGCTTCAATAATTTTTTTTTTTTTTAGTCTCACTCTGTTGCCCAGGCTGGAGTGTAAAGGCGCAATCTCGGCTCACTGCAACCTCCACCTCCCGGGTTCAAGAAATTCTCCTGCCTCAGCCTCCCAAGTAGTTGGGGTTACAGGTGCCCACCACCACACCCAGCTAATTTTTGTATTTTTAGTAGAGACGGCATTTCGCCATGTTGGCCAGGCTGGTCTCGAACTCCTGACCTCAGGTGATCCGCCCATCTCGGCCTCCCAAAGTGCTGGGATTATAGGTGTGAGCCACCACACCCAGCAATAAAAATTTTTTTAATTCCACTATTTTTTTCCCTCTCAGTTTGCCTTCTGCAATTCAACTTGATTGATGGAGGGTAACGTTAACACCACCATAACCAGTTTTACATGACCATCTAGGAAAGATATAAGGATTCATAGGAGAAATTAGAGCTGCCATAACAATGAAAAAGAATTTTCTTTTATAAATGTTCCACCTGCCTAGTGTCCTAGGAATCTAAGCTTTGGCAGGGATCATGTTGGGGCTCACAACCCATGGAATATGGAGTCAGATCAGAGGCTCTCTAGAGTCACCCATTCCATGGATGTGGAAACCTGAGACTAAGAGGTTAAATGGCGTTCTCAAAATAATATGCTACCACAGAGGTAGTCAGTGTGAGGCTGCAGAGGGTCCAGCAAACTCCTGTCATACCATGGAGTGCTCTGTACTTGTTCCATTGCATTACAGCTAAAGAAAACAAGGAACTGCTTCGGCCCACTCAGTCTATTCTAGGGAACACTTAAGATTTTGTTAAGGAGAAAGAAAGAACCTAAAATGAAGAGCTATGGAAAGAAAGAAGCAAAAAACACAGAGAAGGAGGTGGGGGAACCACCCCATCCCGGCTTCCAGCAGTGACCTCAATAGTGTAAGGTGGACGTTCTCTTCCAGAAAAAGATGTCTCAAATATGCTTTAATCTGGAACACGGCTATTCATCAGGCAACAATTTCAATTGCTACAGAACTACCAGCTCAAGTTTGAGTGGGGAACAACCATGTATCTTCCTCAGAATGTAAAAACTATGCCAAAAAAGGAACAAAACGGAGTTATGCCAGAACAACTATTCTATGGCTGTGCTGTCCCATATGGTAGATACTACTCATGTGTAGCTATTGAGCACTTGAAGTATGGCAAGGCAAAATCAAGATATGCTATAAATGCTGGGCACGGTGGCTCACGCCTGTAATCCCAACACTTTGGGAAGCCAAGGTGGGTGGATCACCTGAGGTCAGGAGTTCAAGATCAGCCTGGCCGACATGGTGAAACCCCATCTCTACTAAAAATTAGCAGGGTGTGTAGTGGCAGGCGCCTGTAATCCCAGCTACTTGGGAGGCTGAGGCAGGAGAATCCCTTGAACCCGGGAGGCAGAGGTTGCAGTGAGCCGAGATCACGCCACTGCACTCCAGCCTGGATGACAGAGAGAGACACTGTCTTTAAAAAAAAAAAAAAAAAAAAAAAAGATGTGCTGTAAATGTAAAATACACAATGGATTTCAAAGCCTCAGCATAGACACACAAAAAAAGAATGTAAAATATCTCATTAATTTTTATGTTGATTACATATTGAAATATTTTCAATGTATTTAAGTTAAATAAGATGTATTATTAAAATTCATTTCACTTGTTTCTTTTTACTTTTTTTAAATGGGGCTACTAAAAAATTTAAATCATTAAATTTAACATTACCATTTCAAGGCCTTAGCACAAAAAAAGAATGCAAAATATCTCAATAATTTTTATATTGATTACATGTTGAAAGATTTTTAGATATATTTGGGTTAAATAAGAAGTATTAAAATTTATTTCACCTGCTTCTTCTTACTTTTTAAAAATGAGGCTACTAGAAAATGTAAATCATTAAATTTAAAATTACAGGTGTTCACTGAAAAGCACTGTTCTGTGAGATTCTCTCCACAGAACTCTAGAAGTAGGGGAGGGGGGTGTGAAAGTGTGGAGATGCCTTTTGCTGCGTTTTGCCCGAGACTTTTATTTCTCTCACACTGACAACCATTTAACATAAAAGCAGGGTCAGGAAGCATGTTAGTGAACCTCTAAAACTCCCGGACAGAGGTAGTAGAAAACTCAACCTGAACCGACAAGGCCAAACTGATGAGAAAGGTGGTCAACACTCTGTCATGTGGTTTCAGAAAAATAACAGTAGTGGCCACTAGTTGAGCATACTCATTGAACTATGTGCTTTACATCAGTGTCTTTTTTAGCCCACCATCCTACATCATACATATTATTATCTTCACCACAGAAATGAGAACACTGAAGCTCTGTTAAATCCAATAGCTCACTAATGTTAACACAAGCTAGGATGGTTTCACTCAAAGTCCATGCTCCCTCTGTCACACTAGATTACTATTCAGAAAATTCTCCAATCTTTTTCAAAAGTGCCTTCCTCTCCAGGAACCTGACATCTGAAATTCCAACATTGGAGAATCATTCCTTTGTCTTACTTTTTTTCCTCTTTAAAATGCAAATAGTTCTAACAGAGATTTCACATAAATCCTGATCATGCATACTTCAAGTCAAATAAATTTATCAAAAACTTTTTTTCTTAGTGTATTGACCAAACATGACAATAAACACAGTAGAGTCCTAAACATAGAGAGGAGACATCATTGAATGGAGAAAGAGATTGAAAAGAATGAAAAGCTGAGAGTGCTGAAGACAAAACTTAGTGCCATTTACACTATGACTTAAGAATACACCAGGCTGGGCGTGGTAGCTCAGGCTGGGCGCGGTGCCTCACACCTGTAACTCCAGCACTTTGGGAGACCAAGGCCGGTGGATCACTTGAGGTCAGGAGTTCGAGACCAGCCTGGTCAACATGGTGAAATCCCATCTCTACTAACAATACAAAAATCAGCTGGGTGTGGTAGCCCATGCCTGTAATCCCAGCTACTCAGGAGGCTGAGGCAGGAGAATCGCTTGAACCTGGGAAGCAGAGATTGTGGTGAGCCAAGATCGCACTACTGCACTCCTGCCTGGGACACACCATCTTAAAAAAAAAAAAAAAAGCATATATATATATATATATATATATATATATATATATATATATACAATGTACAGATTTTTGTATATCAAATAGACCTCAATAAAGCTGTTTTTAAAAAATGTGCCTACTGCAGCCACTCTGTAAAACCGTTTGGCATTTTCTCAAAATCTAAACATAGAGTTATCACGAGCCAGCAACTCCACTCCTTATCCAGAGAAATGAAAACATATATTCATACATAAAAACCTGTAAGCAAATGTTCATAGCAGTATTATTCATAATAGTCAAAAATGGAAATAACCTAAGTGAACAGTAACTGAAGTCCATTCCTTAAGTTACTGTAGCAACTGAATAATGAATAAGCAAAATGTGGTATATCCATACAGCGGAATAGTATTTGGCCATAAAGAAAAATGAAGTACTGATAGATGCTACAGTATGGATGACCCTCGAAAACGTGCTAAACAGAAGAAATGAGTCAAAAAACATCAAATATTTTATGATTCAATTTATGTGAAATGTCCAGAATAGGCAAAAACCACAAAGACAGCAAGTAGGTTAGTGGTTACCAGGGACTAGGTGAAGGGGGAAATATGGACTGATTGGTAAAAAGTACTGGGTTTTTTTAGGGGGCAAGGAGGCTGATAAAAATGTTCTAAAATTAGATTGTGATAATGGGTTCACAACTTTGTCAATACACTAAAAGCCACCTAACTGTATATCATTTAAATGGGTGAATTTCATGGTGTTAGAAATATATTTCAAGAAAGCTATAAAAATAATGAAGAATAAATCTACTATGAATCAAGGCTGTCCTTATGACAAAGATAACATTTTTCCTAAATAAGGAATGTACTAGAAGGGCAAGAAAAGGTCAGGTTGTCTTCTATCAAACAGTGGGTGAAGGATATGAACAGACACTTCTCAAAAGAAGACATTTATGTGGCCAACAAACATATATGAAAAAAAGCTCATCATCACTGGTCATTAGAGAAATGCAAATCAAAACCACAATGAGATAGCATCTCTCACCAGTTAGAATGGCGATCCTTAAAAAGTCAGGAAACAACAGATGCTGGAGAGGATATGGAGAAATAGGAATTCTTTTACACTGTTGGTGACAGTGCAAATTATTCAACCATTGTGGAAGACAGTGTGGCAATTCCTCAAGAATCTAGAACCAGAAATACCATTTGACCCAGCAATCCCATCACTGCGTATATACACAAAGGATTATAAATCATTCTACTATAAAGACACATGCACACATATGTTTATTGCAGCACTATTCACAATAGCAAAGACTTGGAACCAACCAAAATGCCCATCAATGATAGACTGCATAAAGAAAATGTGGCACATATACACCATGGAATACTATGGAGCCATAAAAAGGATGAGTTCATGTTCTTTGCAGGGACATGGATGAAGCTGGAAACCATCACTCTCGGCAAATTAACACAGGAACAGAAAATCAAACACCGCATGTTCTCACTCATAAATGGGAGTTGGACAATGAGAGCACATGGACACAGGGAGGGGAACATCACACACTGGGGCCTGTCAGGGGGTGGGGGACAAGGGGACGGAGAGCATTAAGAGAAACACCTAATGTAGATGACGGGTTGATGGGTAGAGCAAACCACCATGGCATGTGTATACCTATGTAACAAACCTGCACGTTCCACACACGTGTTCCAGAACTTAAAGTATAATTTAAAAAAAGAAAGAAAAAGAAAAGGTCAGGTTGCCCTAAACTCACTTGTGCTACTTTTCCTGCTTTGGAACTTTGCAAGTTGAATGGATAGGCTTATGTATCTTCAGAGAGAAAATGAAATGTTTTTAACTATGATTACACAATGCCTCCAGTTGCTGACGCTAAGAAAACACCATCCTTAATATGCAATTCTAGCTTTTCAAGCGGTTGTTGTCCAGTTTGTAGTTTAAAAGTTTTTAAAGTAGCTTAAAAACTTTTCCTCTGTTCTTACCCATTCTCTTTTCCCCCTCTTCTTCCAATCTGTCCCAGACTTTTGGCCAGATATAGCTAATTCTCACTTTAAGAGAATAGCAAGGGAAACAGGGCCAGGCATGGTGGCTTACGGCTGTAAACCAGCACTGGGAGGCCGAGGCAGGCGGATCACTTGAGATCAGGAGTTTGAGACCAGCCTGGCCAACAGGGCGAAACCTCGTCTCTAGTAAAACACAAAATTTAGCTGGTGAATGCCTGGAATCCCAGCTACTCAGGAGGCTGAGGCAGGAGAATCGCTTGAACCCAGGGATAGAGGTTTCAGTGGGCCGAGATCACGCCACTGCACTCCAACCTGGGAGATAGAGTGAGACTCTTGACAAAAAAAAAAAAAAAAAAAAAAAAAATGCAAGGAAAAAAAGAAAGCAAATCTTAAATTCAGCAATTTTTGTCTCTTTTCAGCATAAAATCAGAGTCTTGGAATTGGCTTTGTCTTTAGGGACCATCTGGTATAAGCCTCTCTATTTCATATAAGAAAACAAGTCCAGAAATAATAACAGCTAGCAGCTATTGACTGTTTACTCTATGCCAGGCACTGTAATTTACATCTATCACCTTATTTAACCTCACAGCGACCCTCTAAGATAAGTACCATTATGATCTGCATTTTATAAATAAGGAAAATGAGGCACAGAGAGGTTTTTTAACTTGAATAAGGCCAGACAGTTAAGAAGTAAAAGATCTAGGATACAAACTCAGAGAGTCTGGCTTTAAAGACCAGGTCCTTAACCACTACTATTATAGTTTATCATAAAATTATTTAAGCAACTTTTCTATGGTCTTATAACTACTTAGTAGAAGGTCCAGAACTAGCACAGAGTGTGAGGTATACCCACCCCAATACCTACTTAATGACAAAAGTTTCAGTAGAAGATGCAGTTGAAACTACAACCTAAACCAAAAAGGATGAATTTTCCACCCATTGCAATCTCAATTTCCACCAATAATTGAGAGATTGAAAGAGAGCTGTTAGAGGTAAGAAGACCTTCGGGTAAGACACTATTGACCTTATTCTGCCATCATGGGGGATAGGTGTTATAATCTTATGACAATCTATTCCTGCACCTTTTTTCCCCTCTGGGGATCACTCTGCTAAGTTCCGAGAAGTGCCATCTTTGAGATGCAGATGGGGCAAAGATACAACCAGAGAACTTTCCTCATGAGCGACGATCGATTACCCCATTACTTAAAGACCAGTAGACGTACATTTTTTTTAGCCTGAAAGAGTGAAATGCAGTGATATCCTGTGAAATAAGATATGAATCCTGAGATAATTTATTATAGAAAATACAGTGCCTTAATTATTTACATAACCCACAGGAACTCAAAGCACTTCACAAACAACTCATGAATTCTCTACTTATTTATCAATTATTGCATTCCTTAAATCTTACCACACCATTGCAGGTAAAGGGCAATGGAACCAAAATTATTATATTCCTCCAAATCAGGTTAATATGGCAATGAAAATGAATGGGTGCTTCTTAGGGTCATAAGAGAATGAATAAGAGCTGTTTGGAGCTGGACCTAGGACACTGTCTCTATCATGTGGTGCTTTGGTAAACTTTTTTTTTAAAGGAAAAGCAATAAAAAGAATATTTAGATTCGCTTCACCAAGTTCAAACATAGTATCATCCATCTAAAAGAGATTTGAAACCAAATTGAAGAATAAGCTTTCCTAAGATATGCCTATGACACAAAAGAAGTCAGGGTCATGCTTTACAAATGAAAATGTCTTCCAATTTAAATTATGTGCAACATCTAGGTTTTGGTTTATTTGCTCGTTTGGGGGTATTTTTATAATTTTGCCAACAACCACAACAAAAAGTTCATGGATGTCAACAGAATGCAGGGGCAAAACCATGTGAATAGGTCTGGCACCAGCAGTGAACTAAACACACAGGCAGGTAATGCCCCCTTCTCAGCCAACAGTGCAGCCTACTGTACAGAACCCACCCACACCCGGCCCAGCTCAATGCCCCACAGCTCTTAGTTCACAAGGTTCTATGTTTCCCCGCTTATAAATCCCCTTCCAGATCCTTCAGTATAACCTAAATCGCTCTCATGTCCAATCCTCACAGACACTCCTATTGTTAGAAAAAAATGACACCAAAATTTCCCAAATTCTCATTCTGGCAGCTTTGACCAAATTGCTCTTTGCACTTCTCAAAAGCCAGAATTGTTCTAATTCTAGTAGTAGACTAAAAATGGAATACACAAAAGTGACTAAAAAGAAAAGTCATTTCTCATTACAAGTTCTTCTTATATTATGTCTGTCAGAGTTATATTGTTGTAGGTCTACGGCTTATATCCACATTATAATAAATAAATAATATAGGGTCTAACCACATTACTTCTGCCTTAACACACTGTACCTGAAAGATAGCATCAGGTAAAACTGATTTGTAAGTTCCTTTCATTTGATCCCCTTTTCTTTCCTCTGCATCTTTACCAGGAGGGAGAAAAAAAAAAAATGAACCAAATTCTTGAATTTTCTCATCAGCAAGAAAAGTTTTTGCATTTGCTGGCTATCGATGACCTTCTACAAAAATGACTCCTACCACTTCAACCCCAAAAGGAATCTGATCAGAGGCTGCTTCTAAATGGTTTAAAGTTATTTTACTCCTATTTTGCTCAAGGCCTAATACCATCAGAATTCTCTTCCCGCAATCTCTAGCTTCCTTCCATAACCCACCGCCCCTCCACCTACATATGCAAACATACACACACACATATACATAGACACACAAATTATTCTCTAATGCTTTAAAGGGGAGAGGAGAGGAGAAGTCCCATAATGTAATTGCTATATTAAAAAGAAGTGGCAGGCGAGAATAATAAGGGAGGGTGTCAAAAGTGAAATAAAGTAGTAGAATTAAAAAAACACACACACACTACAGTTCTGTGATGGGGGTGTTAATTGAACACAGAGAGAAAAGGAAAGAGAGAGAACAAAAGGGTGTTAAGGAGCAAAAAATAAATTTTTTTAACCTCCTCCAAAGATTTGATTTGCGTTAACTTTGATGCAGACAATGCACAGAGGAAAATTGGCTGAAAAGTGCCATATATAGCTATTATGTTCTAAAATTAAAAACTATTCACAACAATTGCAGCTATTCATTGCTATCTATAAATATTCTCCTTAGTAAATGGCATTCAATATTTTTCGTGTTTTCCTAATTTTTAAACTTGCGTGATTTTGACACAGGAATAAAAAACATCAGGAAATGTTTAAAAATATATTCAAGGTTTTTTTAAAGAAATGTAATATGCTTGACTTTTTCTCCTTTTCTTCTATCCCACCAACCCCATTACCACCATATATACACATATGCAAAACTTAGCCTATTACTAATATGCCAGAAGACAAGGAATGGATCTTAAAAATCCAAAAGAAAGTGTTATATTAAATGATCCAAAACTCTAATTGTCTCTGTATTCCTAGAATGAGCGAGCAGATAAAAGCCACATGTGAAATATACATTGCTATAGGTCTTGACAGGGTTTTTTAGCTGCTCTTTGAGAATTGCCACCCGAGCATTTTGCTGGCACTTCTTCTTAGCATTTATTTTTTTAAAAGCGAAAATGTATCAGAATAAAAACTACCCACATTCTGAAGCAAGAAGATGCATGGGTTCTTTTGTTTTGTTTTGTTTTTTAAATATCCCCACAGTAATTTCTGACTTAAACACCCATCAATCAATTGTAATTCAGATGGCACCTTCTACTTTGGGGTGTTACGTGCATGTGTGTATGTATTTTTAAAGTTCCAAAAGGTTGGTAATACATCTTAGCCAGTTTTTGTATCTATTTCTAAGTCTTCCAACTATAAAATCATTAACAAATGCAAAAAAGCAAAAATAACAAATCAATGCAATTACCAAGTTCCTCTCAAGAGTTCTGCCTAGGTGAGCCAAATGTATGAACTTCGTGTTAGAATACAAACAAACAAAGCCCACCCTAAATCAAGTAACCTCTATTATTATTATAAGCATTATAATGCTTGAGATGGAAACTCAAAAATACTCATTTAATGCAAAAAGGCTTGAAAGTAACAATAGAAAAAGTCCCCAAACAATAAAGGAATGTATGTGAACTGATCACTCAAGCGATGTTTTCACCAGCTCTGTATCAAGAAGAAGAGGGGGAAAAAAAAAAAAAAGCTCCTGCAACTTTACAGACACTTTGTTCCTCCGACCCATCAACTGCATGAAAGATATGCTGGCAAAAAGATTGAAGGTTCCAGGGTCTTGAGTAGCCAAGTAATCGTGCTTTAGAATCAAAGGGTTCTTTTCAGCAGACCACAGTTGACTCCTACCTTTAACACAACACTCAACATTCCAGGAGAGGTTTTTGCCTTCCCTTCAATCCTTCCAACACACAAGTTGAAGACTAAGAGGGAGGTAAGCCTTTTTTTTCCCCTACTTTCACCCAGGGGTGCCCTCTTAATCCAAGACTTGTGTGTGTGTGTGTGTGTGTGTGTGTGTGTCCCTTAACACAGGGGGCAATGACTCTTATCACTTTCAATTACATTATTTGTAAATTGTTTTTTTAAATATGTTATTCTAGAGACAACACAAAAAACCTTAATTTAGATTTTTTTAAGTCTCTAAACATTAAATGTATTGACACAAAATTTAAAATACAAAACTTTTAGAATGTTACTTTGACCAATACGACTGACTACTTTACTTCCTATCATTATACTTGAGCCAACATGAACAAGGAGCGAACTCTTTAACCCTCACCTGAACCGGATCTCTATTCACACCCACCCACTTTAATCTACTGCCTCAGTAGGTTTTAATTAGGAAACTAGAATTAAGCACTTTGGCCACAATGTACATTTAAGTGCCCTGACAGGCTTCCTTTCAATAAAAATCTGATAAAGTATCTTCAAAAATAGACTCTCTTTAGTCCATATTATCACATATGCTTTTATATTTTGATTCTACATTTCATGAAACAAGATCAGCAGGAACTCATACTTGGTTAGAAACAAATCTCAACAAACCAAACACTCAAAGTAAATAAGCATCAGAGATCAAAGAAGAAAAAAGAGAGAAGATAAAAAAATATATATAAATATATATATACACACACACTTAAGTTTCCTACTCTGGGCTAATAGAAAAAAGAAACTAAAAAGTGTGACAAACTGGAAAAAACTCTTTTGATATTTGAATGCACAGTCCATAAATCTTTTAAAAGTTGTCTCACAGCTAAAATAATGCAATTAACAGGTTTGCAATAAGGTTAAGCTTTGGCAAGGCAACCTGGAAGACTTAGAGGTCTGAACATCACTTCTCAGGTGCTTTGTCTAGAATGTTATGCACAACACAAATAACATTCAACAAAGGAGCTGCGTACTAATTTTACACGCATTTCAAGACCCAAGTAATTACATATTCATTCAACAGTCACATCTTGAAACTATTTTTTTAAAAGAAAAACACAGAGAGCTCTCAAAAAGAAAGCCACCCTGTGTGCCCTCTCCCCCCGCCCATTTTTTATGTGTAACTATCAATGTATATCAACCAAGCATGCAATCATATTTATTGTCACTTTCATTCATGTCATGCCCTTGCTTATATGGTTTAGATATGAATTATTGACTGTTACACTCCTTGTTGTAAAAAATAAATAAATAAATAGGATGTCAGGTACTTTGCACTGCTCTAAAGCGAGCGGGTAAGTCAGAGCCCAGCAGAAGCTCCCGCTTTATATAACCACCCCTTGTCCCTCATCTTTATTCCCTGGTTTCAGATTGCCTTCTCAAATCTTTCTTCTTACAAGGGAGAGCTTTACCCACTTTGGAAAATTAAGGATTAAAATAAACAAGGGGATGTCGCTAAATGTCCTTCCCAGAGCATCTGTTGTTTAAGAACACCTCTGATTGATGACTGCTATTTTTTAATTGTTGCTTTAAAATTTAAATGCCCTCCTGGGATGTGTTATAAGTGTGTTAGTCCACGAAACGAGGTCTAGAAAGTAGAAAAACAACAGAGTGAATTATCTCATGGCGTTATACTCTCCTAAACCCAACGATTCTCCCTGCAATAAAATCACAGGCCACTCAAATACCGATAACCTAATGTTGTATAGCGCATTCCACAAAGGTATTTGACAACACTCTCTGTTGAGAACCTCTAGTCTGCTGCTTTGTGTAATTACAAGAAAAAAAGGAAAGGAAACTTTCAACAGTTTAGCACCCCCACACCCAACTCCAAAAAAATTAGGGTTTTAAAAATGGGCCAAAATATATTCCTTAAAAAAATGAACTTTTACTTTCATATTTTTGCCCCAAAGATACATCAGTCTATAAATTTCCTTTCAGAATCTATATTTTAGCCCCAATCTCAAAAAGGCTGGAAATAGAGTTCTGGAAAATTAACCAGTAGTGCTTGATAATAACTGTCAAAGAAACTTGATTCTTTTTTTTAAGGAAAGCAGGGCTAGGACTTCCTATTCGAATATGAGGTCAACCTTCATAGTACTTGTATTCTGAAATTTTAATATTTAAATAATAGATTTGTGACTGCTGGTTAAGTGATTTAATTGGCCAAAGAAAATGCTAAAATGTTGGAATCTCATTCCTACCTGTTTTTTCTTTGATTTCACACAACACATTAAACAAGGCAGGCTTCATTCTGTGGCAGTTTAAAGCATGTTTTCTGCAAGAAAGAAACAACATGATAGCTTAGGTGGACTCTCAAGATCAAACTGCCGATAATGCACAGGGTGAAAACATTTGAACATTTAGACAAAATTATATACCCAACCCTAACTCTGTGGCATGCTTCAGTTGTTTTCATGACTTAATATACAGAGTCCCGCCATAGAAAAAGAAATAATGTTAATTAGCAGGGAGAGGGTAGGGATTTAACTACAGAACAGAACTAACCTAAATTATGCCCATTTAGGGAAAGGGTTTTTTTTTTTTTTTAAGTAGTTTAATCAAAGAGTAATTCTTAAACCCACAATTCTTCCCAGGACAATGAACACAGCAAAGCCAAAGGTGTAGGTTAACAGTTTTGTAAAATCCATGCAACGACCACAGCCTAGGAACTGTCTGCCTCTCGGTCTGTGTGTTTTCAAATTTAATTCATCCATGTGTTCGAATTCATTCCGCAGATGCCCCTGTATTCTCATAAACACAAGATGCTTGAAAGGTCTTCTGAGTAGAACTGTCAATTTATAACATTTCAGTCCCCAAGTTAAAGAGTATGGAAATGCATTGCCAGGGGGCAAACATACCCATATGGGGAATAAATTCATTTCTCTGTGTTCACATTATGCTTCTGTGCACACACTGCTTATTTGCAGGTGTTGAAATTCAATTATTTACAATTAGGACCTTGCACCCATTGGGGGAAAAATAAATGCAATTTTGTCTTTTAGATTAGTGATTTACCTGGTGTGTGTGTGTGTGTGTGTGTGTGTGTGTGTGTGTGTGTGTATTCTGAATGCACTTGAGGAACAAAACAATACCTTTCCTTCTATTTTATTATGGAACCACTTAGCAGAATGATACTGTTTTGGAAACAAAATACTGATCATATCAGCTATTAGTTAAGTGAATTCTGTCTACTAACTAAAATTAATGTGTAAAGATAAATGGAAAGTTCTGGCACTCAAAACACATGCAATTCTTTTTTAATCCCTTTGAAAGTTAAAAAATAGACACATCCTCATGAAGAACAGAGATCAGAAACATGCCCTATGTACTGTACAGCAGGGGAGTAATAAAGTCAAAATTCAGGACTATCAAAATGAACACATACATTATATCTAAAATATTAATGGTTTACTTTTGTAAATAATAAATACACATTATAAAGGTGTGACTAGAAAAAGGAAAAAAGGACATACTATCTACTAAGTGGAGTTACATTGTTTATCCAAAAAGAAAGCTTAGCGTTGATTTTAGTAAGTTCTCATGTGGGGTAGAAAAAAAAAAAGATGGAAAATACTTTAAAGTATTAAAGACCTTTCCTGGGTCTTTTAAAATAGTTTTAATTAATTCTATTATTATATATAGGCCCAAATGCAAACAAAAATTCTCACACAGCTTTATAAAAATATTGTATTTCCACAGCACACAAATGGAGCCAGCTACAGAGGAAGAACTGAAAATTTCCCCATCCCAAAATTGTATCTGATCTCTCTCTGCATCTAGGCCATTGAAAGGGGGAAGTCGCCAAGCCCTGTTTGTCCACAGTTTCACAAAAGAAGAGAGACTGAACATCAAAAAAGTAGTATCTATTCTTACTAGCCCCTTCCACTTCACAAACTTATTTTTAAGCCAGTTTATTGGTATGTCTGAGAGTATTCTTCTAGAACAATATAATAGAGAAAAATGTTCCAATTCAAAAGAGAATTGCCAGTGGGAAATCTTCCTCTTACCATACCTATTAGCTTTTCTTCAGATAATAAAATTCAAAGAGAGCACCAATTAATTTTTAAAATTTCCCCTATTTAAACAAAACTTAGGATACTTTGAGTCTTTCAACATTTCCAAGTTTTCAAACACCCGTAAACCTTAGTACTTTTGAGTTTACATGTTGCATGTGCTTGCAGCTAAAATTGAGTATAATTCATAACATCTATGTTTTTAACTGCTTCCTCTCATTTTCTCAACTCAGATTCTTATTTCACGTAGACAGAAATACACATAATGATGTCTTCTCCATATAACCAAGTCATCTGAAGTATAGGAGTTGCGTATATTTGTTTACAGGGTTTTCAAAGAGAAAAACGCTACTTCGGAGATATAACAAAGCTGGGTAATTGTACAGACATATGTGGTCATTAGATTTTTAAAATTCTTCCTTTTGAGTTCGGCCTTGGGCAAGCTGTTAGCGGGTTGTCACTTAGTCTATGTTTTACTTTAAAAGAGAATTTACTGTAAAATCCTGAAGTAGAGAACCATATACCTGGCAGTGGATTAACTTGAGAGGCTACACAGTTTATTATGTTTCCTTAATGAAGACCTTCATGTCCTATAGTACTGAAATATATAAAATTCATAAATGCTTTCATTTCTAAGTGGTCCTGAAAGAAGCATGGGGGAAAAGAGCATGCTTGATTTTTGTCCCCCCACCCCTTTTTAAAGGACCCTACATAGCTGTCTGTGTCACGGAAGGTTAGTAAACCGGCTGAAATTAGGAGACAATAAAGTTAAACTAAAAATCTGAGTCTCTTAAAACTAACAAATATGCCTAAAAACAAAATCACCTTTTCATCAACTTTTTAAAAAAACAAAATTAAGTGAATGCAAAATATTTTCTGGATAGCTGACAAGTACTGACAAAGAAATACCCTGCTTTTTTGTTGTTTTGTATTTTGGGTAGGGGGGGAAGAAAGGAGAAAAGATAAAAATTAATTTTGGACGGGAGAGTCAAGAAAGAAAATCAAACTCGCTGAATTAGGTAAGGAGTCAACTAAATTTGCAAATAAAGTGTTCTTGGGACATTTTATTTCGTAATGTTACAGAGTCCCCTCAACAAGAAGGCATGGAATGCTGTTCAAAACTTGACAATTCTGCTTTCTCTGATACTTTTTTAAAGCAGTAAAAAGTGCCGAGGGCCGCTTTTGGATCAGTTGGCAGTATTTTCGGCATGCCTGTGTGTTTGTGTGGATATAAATGAATACCCCTATATTCACACACACACACACAAATATGTACACAGCCACATCTCGGCATGGGCGATTACACTTTCGATAACAACGCTCCTTCAAATTTTACTCCTCCGCCATGTAGTTGCTTGTCAAAATGAGAAAAGAAATAACATTTTTCAAAAAAAGCGCTGTGGTGATTCGGTTCCCATTGTTTCCCCCTGCAAGAGGAAGAAAAACAAAAAACCCCAAGAAAGGAAAAGAAAAGCCTCCATCTCACCTGGCCTGCGCCTCATCCAAACTCTGGTCTGTGATGGTCATAATTTGCTGTAAAATGTCTCCAATGTCCTGCTTCCTCCCGCCCTCCCCCTCGGTCCCTCCGGCCCCATCCTGCAAGTGCTGGGACAGGCCGGGGTGTCCGGCCATCCCGACCCCAGCATGGGAATGCATCAGCCTGGGCTGCTCGTCCATCTCCAAAGGCTACGGCAGCCCCCGGCTCTTCCTCTTCTGCTCCTCGGCTCGGCTCCTGGGAAGCACCAAGGCTTTTTATCCTTCAAGCTTGTCTTCAAATCCTTTTCAGGATAAACAGGGAAGGGGGAAAAAAGAAGACCAAAAGAAAAAAAAAATCCCTTTGCCTCTTTAGAGGATGGTGGGAGGATGAGGAGGGGGAGGGGGAGGGGGCGTGAAGGGGTTGCGGGGTGAGGGTGGGGATAAGGGCTGGTGGGGAAGGGTGTTGACTCCAAAAAGCAAGAAAAATAAACCACCTTCCCACTTGGCGAAAAGAAATCAGAGCTGGCTTTAGGTTTTTCAGTCCGGTCTCCTTTGCAAGGCAGAAATGGGCTCCCGGCGCTTAAATCTGTGGCTTAATCCTTTTGCAAATATGCATTGATCGGGAGAAAGGAGAGGAAGGCAGGGGGATTGCAATGCAAACTTTCCCCCCCCACCCCCCGCTGCCCCCCACCCCCACTCCGGGCCAGAGTGATCTCAAAGGGGGTGGGCTGTTGCAAAAGCCAGATCTCCCCCAGCCGCGGCGGCAGGCAAAGCACAGGCTCTCTCCTCCTCCGTGTCTCTGCAAACTCCAGCAGCCCCGTCAGCCTCCTGCTTTTGTTTAGCTCAGGCTCAGGACTCCAGAAACATATACAGAAAAACCACAGCCTGAGAGGAGGAGGAGGAGGAGGAGAAGAAGGAGGAGGAGGACGAGAAGGAGGAGAGGGGAGGGGGCAAAGGGAAGGGGAGGGGGCGGGGAAGCCGGGAGGCTGGGGAGAGGAGGAGGGAGGAGGGCGCCTGGAGCTCCTCCCCGCTTCCCTGATTGGCCACCAGATAAAGGACCGGCCCCCTCCTCCCCTACTTTCCTCACGGCGCCTCCTCTCCAGCCTCCTTCAGCTCCTCCTCGCCCGGCGCCCTGTCAATCAGAGTTCAGAGGTGGGCCGGGAAGGAGGCCGAGCTAATAGCAAGTCTCCAGTCCTTAAAGGTGCAATGGTACTGTAGTTCCAGCTCACTTAGTTTCCACTTTCCCTGCTCGCCTTACTTAGGTTGCGTCCTTGAGGAAAATGTGGCTCCACTTAAATGCAAACATATAAAATTAACACGAAAGAACACAGACGGTGTGCGTCTTCCCGCCCACCCCTGCTTTTCTTTTGCTGTGGCATTGTCATTTAAAACTTGATTCTTTTAAATGCTTAGACCTCAGGGAAACTGCTGAGAGCACAAGTTTGTCAGCACGACGTAGTTATGAAACACAATCGAGCTGTTAATATAATTAATAAAGATCTCTAATAAGTGGCAGATGTAATAATAGATACATTTAAAAAAACAATTCTAGCACAGTAAAGGTGAAAAGAATACCAAACTGTGTCATTTTTGCTGCATGAAAACTAAATTATGGACTATGAAACTGAAAAATGCTCAAGAAAAAGAAAGATTAATAAATAAGTTCACCAAATGAAACTAATTCAACATTTCTCTCTCTTCCCCCGGGGGAAATTAGTTATTTGGCTTAAATACCTAATAAAGAAATGCATTATCACAGTCTAGTTCTAGTTTTTAATATAGTCTAATAAGCATTATTAACTGGGAAGAGAAGTGAACTGACATTTATTGAATGCCTACTATGCACCAAGTAATTTGCATGAGTTATTTTATTTAATCCCCAAGACATCTTTGTGAGTTATGGATTATTATTTCCATTTTACAGAGAGGGAACTCAGAAAGGTTAAATAATTTGTCCAAGGTCCACAGTTATTAAGTGTCAAAGCTGGAATTTAAACCCAAGTGTGACTCCCTCCAAAGGCCTAGTATTTCCACTGCACAATCTGCTTCAGTCTAACAGAAATGTGTGAATAGTGTTAAAAATTAGTTATGTGTCTATTGCCTGTCCAGTTTGAAAGGAAACTTGAGGTGCTTAAAAGGGTACATATTCCAACAAGACAACTCCAATTGAAAATGGGTAGGAAAAAATAAAAAATA
Organism: Homo sapiens; assembly: GCF_000001405.40. NCBI lineage: Eukaryota > Metazoa > Chordata > Mammalia > Primates > Hominidae > Homo > Homo sapiens. Next base: position 164,557,827 of record NC_000001.11, on the reverse strand, counting down.
AATACAATGGGATCAAGAAAAAAGCCAACAAAAGTCATAACTAAGGTCCAGTATCATAGCTCCAGACAGACACAAATTTGCTTCCAATCTTTTCATTGGGCAAAGTGAGAGGGAAAAATCTGACTGTGTACACAGTCACAATGAATATAAGATAAAATAGCAGGCCAATTACTTAGGAAATGTCCAGAATATTTTGTAATATAAAATATTCTATTGTGTAGCCAGCCCTCTTCCTGGATGGCAGTATAGCAAAGGAAATGCAAAGCGCAGTGTAACCAATCTGCAAGCGCAGTGTAACCAATCTGCAAAATGGAAAGCAGCCTTGCCAGGTGCTTCGAGATCCTCAAATAAAATGTTATTCTTCTCACCAATCATTACGCAAAACAAGTTTGGCAAGATAAGGAGCACTGATGCAAGCATTTCAAAGCAGTTTTTAGCAAGCTACTTGGCACTTATTGGTATGAGGGCATGCAATACAGAGTATTAATTGTAATTATGATGTTATATTACTTAATAACAATTGTTTTATTCACATACATATCCTGATTTTTAAACTGTTTTTTTAAAAATTAACACTAATCAAAAGTTGAGCACAAAACTATATACTCAAATCACATATCAATCACAGTGATTGAGAGTTAGCATATCCCTTACAGAGACGAAGTTACCACATTTTAAAGCATGAAAAGAAGTCAACCTAGAGTCTATAAGAAATCAGTTTGTGAGTAATTAATTCTAATTGCAAACCTAATAAAATCTTTCTAGGCAAAGTACTGGAAAAGGTACCATCAATTCCAGAAGATCATTGTCATCTAGGAACATTTTAGTAGGGAAATAAGATGTGTATACACAATGATACTAAAAATAGGTAATATTTATTGACTCCATACTATAATTAAGTATTATATTCAAGGTGTTTTGTTAATTTAATCATTGCAACTGTCTTACCCCGATAGCTATGCTTTTAACCATTACTCTAGAGTGTTGCCCAGATATATTTCAATACATAATAAATGCTATAGAAGTGATAACAAGCCCTTAGACATCCTATAAGAGATGAGAGAAGGGAGTAACCAGTTCGAGTGAATAGAAGGCTTCGCGGTGGATCTAAAGGATGAACTGGATCTGGAGGGCTAGGTTAATGAACTTGACGGAAGTACAGGCTATCTCTTCAGGCACAATGGAAATGTTATTAGGTGTGATTGGGAAGACTTTTTTTTTTGAAACAGAGTCTCACTCTGTGACTCAGGCTGGAGTGCAGTCGAGCGATCTCAGCTCACTGCAACCTCCACCCTCTGGGTTCAAGTGATTCTCCTGCCTCAGCCTCCCAAGTAGCTGGGACTACAGGCACCCGCCACCAGGCCTGGCAATTTTTTTTTTTTTTTTTTTTTTTTTTTTAGTAGAGGTGGGGTTTCACTGTATTGGCCAGACTGGTCTCAAACTCCTGACCTCGTGATCCACCTGCCTTGGCCTCCCAAAGTGCTGGGATTAAAGGAGTGAGCCACCGCGCCCAACTGGAAAGACTTTTAACAGAAACATTTGTGTTTTATTTGATGGACATTAGGGATACACTGAGGTAAGTTGTTTCTTTCTTTCACAGATAGGAACAGAAGAGCATGTTTCGGGAAGAATTATCTGGTTACTCAACACTTTGGGCAACAATTAGCTGTTTACCCAAATCATTTGGCAAGGAAAGATGAAATTAGGAAAGCAGCAGTAGAAATGGAAAAGAGAGGACCATTTTGAGGAAGATCTTCAAGACAGAGTCAATAGAAATTTATAATTGATTTTATGTGAGTGGGAAGGATAAAAGAAATGTCTTCAAGCTTGAATGAGAAAAATGCAATGGCATTAATATAATAATAATTATAGATATAAATAGAATTTGTTGACTGCTGATTGTGTTTCAGGCACTGATTGTACATTACCACTTAGTTTTAACAATCTAACACTTCATTTAAATAACTTCCTTATGAGGTTACAATCTCCATTTTGCAGATGAAGAAAACAAGGTCCCTAAAAGTAGAATTACTAGACAAAGTATGATGTAAAAACTCTTATTCTTTAATACATTACAGAGAATAAAGGACATAAAGAGGAGGAAGTACCATAGGTGAAATAGAATCTTCAGGCCAGGCGCAGTGACTCACACTTGTAATCCCAGCAGTTTGGGAGGCCAAGATAGGAGGATTGCTTGAGCCCAGGAGTTCGAAAACAGCCTGGCAACATAGTGAGACCCTGTCTCTGTAAAAAAAAAAAAAAAAAAAAAAAAAAATTAAAAATGAGCCGGGCATGGTGGCACTATCCTGTAGTCCCAGCTACTCAGGAGGCTTAAGCAGGAAGATCATTCGAGCCTGAGAGGTAGAGGTTGCAATGAGCCATGATCATGCCACTGTACTCCAGGCTGAGCAACAGGGTGAGACCCTGTCTCAAAAAATAATTAAATTAACAAAGAAATTATAATCATATTTTATTTGCATTTAGAAACTTCTGAAAAGAAACTAATACTTGCAATTTCCATAGCTTATGGGTTGTGACAAGGAATGGATAATGCTTTTTTATTCCTTCCATATCTCAGCAGGGCTCTCATTATAATAAACATTTAACAAATATATTTTAAAACAATTAATGATGCTAGTAATCATGCTGTATTTTTTTCAGAATAATAAGTGAAGCCCACTGAATCACATTTTAAAAACACTAGTCATTATTGGCCAGGCGCGGTGGCTCACGTCTGTAATCCCAGCAGTTTGGGAGGCCAAGGAGGTTGGATCACTTGAGGTCAGGAGTTCGAGACCAGCCTGACCAACATGGAGAAACCTCATCTCTACTAAAAATACAAAATTAGCTGGGCGTGGTGGCACATGCCTGTAATCCCAGCTACTGGGAAGGCTGAGGCAGAAGAATCGCTTGAACCCAGGAGGCGGAGGTTGCAGTGAGACAAGATCGCGCCATTGCACTCTAGCCTGGGCAACAAGAGAGAAACTCTTTCTCAAAAAAAAACAAAAAACAAAAAACAAAAAAACCACGAGTCATTATCAAAATTTGTCCAACTAGCAAAGTGTCTCTCAGACTGACCTTAATCTAACATGTTTACAAAGTCATCTTACCATGTTTACCTCTATGTTAAGATTTAGTTCGGCCGGGCATGGTGGCTCACACCTGTAATCCCAACACTTTGGGAGGCCGAGGCGGGTGGATCACCTGAGGTCAGGCGTTCGAGACCAGCCTGGCCAACATGGAGAAATCCTGTCTCTACTAAAAATAAAAAATTAGCTGGGCGTGGTGGCGCATGCCTGTAAGCCCAGCTACTCAGGAGGCTGAGGCAGGAGAATCACTTGAACCTGGGAGGCGGAGGTCGCAGCGAGCTGAGCTGGTGCCATTGCACTCCAGACTGGGCAACAAGAGCGAAACTCCATCTCAAAAAAAAAAAAAAGATTTAGTTTATCTCTGTCCACTGGTACGTATATTCCCATCTTCCTTAAGAGATGAAGAGCAGGTACAAGGAGTGTATGCAAGGACCTCTGTTTATTCTCTGGCAAACAAAATGGTTGCAAAGAGATGAGTCCCTTCCCATGATCTCAGAAATAAATTCACTACCATGAGATGATATAGTCTTATATCATCTGAGCTGGTATTCATCTATGTATATTTATGATTATATTTTAATGGACATCTAGGTTTTTCTAACTTTTCTATTTATGTGGAAAAAGGAATTCTTCTCTGACCAAGAGGGTCAGAACCAGGGCTAGTAATCAAAGATAGTACCTAAGGCAGTTGATGGCATCTATTCCTCTGCCCAAGAATTCCTGTCTTTCTCTTTCAACTATTCTCTTACCTCTAATTCTCTTTTTTTTTTGTTTTTTTTTTTTTTTTGAGACGGAGTCTTGCCCTGTCACCCAGGCTGGAGTTCAGTGGCACGATCTCAGCTCACTTCAACCTCCACCTCCCAGATTCAAGCAATTCTCCTGCCTTAGCCTCCCAAGTAGCTGGGATTACAGGTGTATGCCACCAGCCCGACTAATTTTTGTATTTTTAGTAGAGACAGAGTTTCACCATCTTGGCCAGGCTGGTCTTGAACTGCTGACCTCATGACCCACCCACCTTGGCCTCCCAAAGTGTTGGGATTACAGGCATGCGCCACTGTGCCTGGCCACTCTTATCCCTAATTCTTGCTTTCCTTAAACTTTTCTACTTCTCTACCTCCATTCCCCTTGCCTTCCTTTTCTTCTGTCCAACCTCATCTGTCTTGTTCACAGAGATCTTCCCCCTCCAAGCTTGTTCCTATCTCCTTGCCTTACTGGGCAGGTTTTGAAGCAGTGCTGGGACCACCAGCCTGCATGGAGCATGGGAGTTGTATGTTAGAGCAGGAAGAGCCTCCAACAGGGATTCCTAAACGAGGGTCCATGAATGAGCTTCAGATGTTCTGTGAACCCCTAGTAATTATACACAAAATTTGGTGATGATATGGTTTGGCTGTGTCCCCACCTAAATCTCATCTTGAATTCTCACGTGTTGTAGGAGGGACCCAGTAGGAGGTAGGTGAATCATGGGGGCAAGTCTTTCCTGTGCTGTTCTTGTGATAGTGAGTAAGTCTCACAAGATCTGATAGTTATTATAAGGGGGAGTTTTCCTGCACAAACTCTGCTTGCTGCCATCCATGTAAGATGTGACTTGCACCTCCTTGCCTTCTGCCATGATTGTGAGGCTTTCCCAGCCACATGGAACTGTAAGTCCAATTAAACCCCTTTCTTTTGTAAATTGCCCAGTCTTGGGTATGTCTTTATCAGCAGTGTGAAAACAGACTAATACAGGGATTTCCAATGACCGTCATCAGTATGGAACTTTGGAGATTTCCATATTGTTGAATACAGTGAGTTCTAAGTTTCTCTTCAAAGAATCAGTATGTCAGTATGTTCAGTTCTTTGTTCTCCATTTTAAAGTTTAACTTCCTCGTTCTCCTCGCCCCTAGTTTTAGTAAACAACATTTTCCACCACTTCTAATCAGTAGTTCACATCTGTTCCCCTGGTCACTTGCTCTGACCTGAATCATTCTGAGTCACCTGTTCTGTAACCGCCCTTCCTGCCAAACTACTCACCCCGCCACTCTGGCTAGTACCCCTGCTCTCTTTAAAATAGCCAATCGTATTTAGCTTAGACTGTGTGGTCCAATCCTAACCAATAGGGGAACAACACAGCAGTAGGGGCTACCTGCATCAGGAATAAAACCCCTTCCCCTCCCTTGTTCAGGTGTGCTCTCGCCATTGCTCCATCCGCGAGACACACCCTTCTATAGAAGTAAAATTGCCTTGCTGAGAAAATTAAAATTGTGTTTGAGTGCTATTCCTTTTGTAGCACCAAAAATTTATTTATAACACATATCAACATGAGAACAGACCAATATAGTAAATCGGTACCAGTAGAGTGGGGTGCTGCTGAAAAGATACCTGAAAATATGGAAGTGACTTTGGAACTGGGTAACAGGCAGAGGATGGAACAGTTGGGAGGGCTCAGAAGAAGACAGGAAAATGTGGGAAAGTTTGGAACTTCCTAGAGACTTGTTGAATGGCTTCGACCAAAAGCCTGATAGTGATATATACAATGAAGTCCAGGCTGAGGTGGATTCAGATGGAGATGAGGAACTTGTTGGAAACTGGAACAAAGGTGACTCTTGTTATAGTTTAGCAAAGAGACTAGCAGCATTTTGTCCCTGCCCTAGAAGTTTGTGGAACTTTGGCCCTGAGAGAGATGATTTAGGGTATCTGGTGGCAGAAATTTTTAAGCAGCAAAGCATTCAAGAGGTGACTTGGGTACTGTTAAAGGCATTCAGTTTTGGTGGGGTGTGGTGGCACACACCTGCAATTCCAGCACTTAGGGAGGCCGAGGCGGGTGAATCACCTGAGGTTGGGAGTTCGAGACCAGCCTAACCAACATGGAGAAACCCCGTCTCTACTAAAAATACAAAATTAGCCAGTCTTGGTGTCACATGCCTGTAATCTCAGCTGCTCAGGAGGCTGAGTCAGGAGAATCTCTTGAACCCAGGAGGTGGAGGTTGTGGTGAGCTGAGATGGTGCCATTGCACTCCAGCCTGGGCAACAAGAGTGAAACTCCTTCTCAAAAAAAAAAAAAAAAAAAAAAAAAAAGGCATTCGGTTTTAAAAGGGAAGCAGAGCATAAAAGTTCAGAAAATTTGCACCCTGACAATGTGATAGAAAAGAAAAACCCATTTTCTGGGGAGAAATTCAAGCTGGCTGCAGAAATTTGCATAAGTAACGAAGAGCCAAATGTCAATCCCCAAGACAATGGGAAAAATGTCTCCAGGGCATGTCAGAGGTTTTCACAGCAGCCCCTCACATCACAGGCCAGAGGCCTAGGAGAAAATGGTTTCGTGGGCTGGGCCTGGGGTCCTCGAGCGGTGTGCAGTCTATGGACTTGGTGCGCCACATCATAGCTACTCCAGCCATGACTAAAAGGGGTCAAGATACAGCTTGGGCTTTTGCTTCAGTGGTGGAAACCCCAAGCCTTGGCAGCTTCCATATGATGTGGAGCCTGCAGGTGCACAGAAGTCAAGAATTGAAGTTTGGGAACCTCAGCCTAGATTTCAGAAGATGTATGGAAATGCCTGGATGCCGAGGCAAAAGTTTGCTGCAGGGATAAGGCCCTCATGGGGAACCTCTGCTAGGGCAGTGCGGAAGGGAAATGTGAGGTTGGAGCCCCCACACAGAGTCCCTACTGGGGCACGGCCTAGTGGAGCTGTGAGAAGAGGGCCATGGTCCTCCAGAACCTAGAATGGTAGATCCACAAACAGCTTGCACCGTGCACCTGGAAAAGCCACAGACACTCAACGCCAGCCAGTGAAAGCAGCCAGGAGCAGGGATATACCCTGCAAAGCCACAGGGGCAGACCTGCCCAAGACCATGGGAACCCACCTCTTGCATCAGCCTGACCTGGATGTGAGACATGGAGTCAAAGGAGATCATTTGACTGCCCTGCTGGATTTTGGGCTTGCACAGGGCCTGTAGCCCCTTTGTTTTGGCCAATGTTTCCCATTTGGAATGGCTGTATTTACCCAATGTCTGTACCCCCATTGTATCTAGGAAGTCACTAGTAACTAGCTTACTTTTGATTTTACAGGTTCATAGGCCCAGAAGGGACTTGCCTTGTCTTGGATGAGACTTTAGACTGGACTTTTGAGTTAATCCTGAAATGAGTTAAGACTTTGGGGGACTGTTTGGAAGGCATGACTGGTTTTGAAATGTGAGGACATGAGATTTGGGAGGGGCCAGGGGTGGAATGATATGGCTTGGCTATGTCCCCACCCAAATCTCATCTTTAATTCCCACGTGTTGTGGGAGGGACCTAGTGGGAGGTAACTGAATCATGGGGTCGGGTCTTTCCCATGCTGTTCTTGTGATAGTGAGTAAGTCTTACAAGATCTGATGGTTTTTATAAGGGGGAGCTTTCCTGCACAAACTCTGTTTGCTTGCTGCCAACCATGTAAGATGTGACTTGCTCTTCCTTGCCTTCTGCTATTATTGTGAGGCTTCCCCAGCCACGTGGTACTGTAAGTTCAATTAAACCTCTTTCTTTTGTAAATTTCCCAGTCTTGGGTATATCTTTATCAGCAGTGTAAAAATGGACTAATACAGGTGGTATGTGCTACTTTACATTATTCTTAGAGCAGTCCCATTATGTTAATCAAAATCTCAAGAAATTTAAAGACCCAGAAAAAGTAACATCTATTAGCTTTGGATTATCAAGTAAAGTAAATGCTACAGGTTTAAGCTGCTGGTCTGGGGAAACCATGTGACTCTTAACAGATGAGATTTTCTAGGAAATATCTGCTTCTATTTCCTAAACTAAGCAAGCTCACAGACTGTCAACAGCTCATTAGGACTGGCTATTGAATGATAGTCAATCCAATATCAATATCAGGGCTAAAGAGCCAAAGGTATGAACCTTGAAAGTAAATCAGAAGGAAAGGGGATGGGGTTGTGCAGATGAACATTGACATTGTTATATTGTTCAAGGCACTGGGAATATAGTGGTGATAAAGCAGACTGAATTCCCTAATTTCATGGAGCTTCTATTCTCATATGGGAAAACACAATAAGCAAAAAAAGAAATAAGCTCAGAGATTCCTAAATGCTATGAATAACATAATACAGGGTAATATAACATGAATTTAGAGAGGCAACTTTAGATAAGATGGTCAGGAAAGGACCTTCCCAAAGCTCACATTTGGGGTTAGTCTTGAGTGACAAGAAGCCAAATATGCCAATATGCAAATTGCTCTGGGAAAGAGCAATTGGAAGAGATGAGAAGGAGGGAGCCACTTGCACAAAGGGCTTGAGTGCAGATAATTTGAAGGAAAGAAAGCCAGAGAAACTGGAACATAATGAGCAAGAGAAAGAGTATACAAAAGTACTATCAGAGTGGGGAGCAGAGATCAGGTATCGTATGAACTTTTGTAAGTTCATACTTACAAAGTAAGGCATTTGGATTTTATTCTAATTGCATTGGCAGTCCCCTGGATGATGCTAATTAGGAGAATGATATTGCACATTGATCCGACACACATTTTTGACCATGTACTATATGCCAGGCACTTTCTTTCTTTTTTTTTTTTTTTTTTTTGAGACGGAGTCTCGCTCTGTCGCCCAGGCTGGAGTGCAGTGGCGGGATCTCGGCTCACTGCAAGCTCCGCCTCCCGGGTTCACGCCATTCTCCTGCCTCAGCCTCCCAAGTAGCTGGGACTACAGGCGCCCGCCACTACGCCCGGCTAATTTTTTGTATTTTTAGTAGAGACGGGGTTTCACCGTTTTAGCCGGGATGGTCTCGATCTCCTGACCTTGTGATCCGCCCGCCTCGGCCTCCCAAAGTGCTGGGATTACAGGCGTGAGCCACCGCGCCCGTATGCCAGGCACTTTCTAGTCACTAGTGGATATACCAGCAGTGGATGTGCCAGGCATGGTCTCTGCTGTCATGGAACTTATATTCTAATGAAACGTACATGAACACAGCAAGAAGTCAATGTCAGGAAGTAATAAGTTTTACAAAGAAAACAAAGCACAAAGGTGTGATGGAAAGTGACCTGGAAGTTACTTTAGATGGAGTGGTCATGAAGGACACATGGAGGACGGGCATGTAAGCTCTGACATAAGTGGTAAAAGGGAGTAAGTCACATGAGGCCAGGCAGAAGAAACAGTCAATCCAAAGGCTGTGAGGCACGAAAGTGCCTAGAATGTTTGACGGATAAGAACTGAAGTCAAAGCCAGGTGTGGTGGCTCACGCATGTAATCCTAGCACTTTGGGAGGCTGAGGGGGGCATATCACCTGAGGTCAGGAGTTTAAGACCAGCTTGACCAACATGGAGAAACCCCATCTCTACCCAAAATACAAAATTAGCTGGGGTGTGGTGGTGCATGCCTGTAATCCCAGCTACTTGGGAGGCTGAAGCAGGATAATGGCTTGAACCCAGGAGGCAGAAGTTGCAGTGAGCCAAGATCACGCCATTGTACTCCAGCCTGGGCAACAAGAGTGAAACTCCGTCTCAAAAAAAAAAAAAAAAAAAAAAAAAAGAACTGAAGTCAGTGTGGCAAGAGGGGAGTGTGGCGTAAAGCCAAGGTCAGGGAGGTAGGTAGGTTTTACATTAATGAAGGATAGATTGCAGGGGTGGGAGTGGGGTTAAATGCAAGCAAGAAGAATGCTGAAGGCATGATATAGTAGCTTAGGCCAGAAATGATGGTACCTTGGACAAGGACAGAAGTACTGGGCATGTTATAAAATGATTAGTTAGATTCATGACATTTTTGGAGGTGAAGTCAGAGCTCATTTCTGGATTCTGGCTTTTCTAACTAAATATGTGGTGTTGATACTTAATGAGATGAAGAAAATATCCTTTGTAAGATAAATACTATCACTCCCATTTTACACGTGAGGAAACTAGGTTCAACAAATATAATTCCAAAGCATATGCTTTTTCTACCACATTTTCACCAGGAGTGAGCACTACCTAAATATGATTGATCATTTAGAAAAAAAGAACATATAAGGCAAAGTCAAAGAAGTAGTCTCACAGCATATGTATAGTCTGTGTGTGTGCATGTATGTTTATGTGTCCTTGTGTATACCTGTGTTCTAACAATCTTGGTGAGAAAGGTGTCAGAAACAACTATCCTGTGGTCTTGTCCCTTCCTTTCTCTTCATCTATGAAGGGAGATGATAGTGGAAAATGAGAAGACCTTGGACTTAAGACTAGTTTGTGCTGGTGATACTAGAATGAACCCTGGTATACTATACTGACCATGTACTATATGCCAGGCACTTTCTAGTCACTAGTGGATATACCAGCAGTGGATGTGCCAGGCATGGTCTCTGCTGTCATGGAACTTATATTTTAATGAAACATACATGAACACAGCAAGAAGTCAATGTCAGGAAGTAATAAGTTTTTCAAAGAAAACAAAGCACAAAGGTATGAGTTGCTATACTGACTTAGCAACTCAAATGTTTATCATCTATGATGTTAAATGCAGTGCAGAAAAGATTTTCAGTCACATGGCAATTTACCACCAGAGTCCTAGACACAAACACAAGGTGAACAGCAGAGCCCAGTGCTTAGAGATCAAGCAGACCCTGGCTCTGAAACTCTCCAGTTTTGTGACCTTGGCCAAGTAAATTAACTTATCTAAACTCCCACCATTTTCACAACTTTTAAGATTGTGGTTAGTTTGAAATCAGATCACAATGAATGTTAAGCATTTAGTACAGTGCCTGATAGAGAATAAACATTCAATAAATGGCCAATTTTCTAATTCCTTCCATTACTCTTGGGTGGTTTCTTCCAGAACTGTATTATTTCTCTTTTGTTCTTCCCTGCCTTGGAGACCACTAATAAAATTATACTTTTCTTTCACGATTCCTAAATCTCACAACCCATTCAGGTAGTAACCTGCCTGTATAGTTTCTCTGTCTAGCCTCCATACCACACTTCCTTTCAGTTGAGAGACTGTTCCTGCTCATATTTAACTAAAGCAATTTATCTTACAGTATAGATAAAATATACATGTAAACCCCTGAGATAGTTGTAGAATCCCAAAAGGGAGCTTTATTTTAGGGAATCCCGGTTGTCACTATATCAATTATCTACTATTATATACCAAACTGTCCCAAATTACTGGCTTCAAAGCATAACCATTTTTAATTGCTCACAAGTCTACAGATCAGCTAGCTGGTTCTGCTGAACTGGGTCATGATGAGCTGAATGTATCTGTGCTTATTAAGACAGCCAGAAGGTGGGCTGGCACCTGCCTGGTTAAAGATGGCCTCACTTACATGCCTGACAGTTGGCTAGCTATGCGTTAGTCTGGGGCTACAATAGTGATTGGCTCCTCCATTTCTCAACATCCGTCACTCTAGCTTAGACTTTCTTACACAGTAGAGACAGAGTTCCGAGAGAGAGTGAAAGTGCACAATGTCTTTAGAGTCCTAAGCTTGGAACTGGAACATTTCCATAACATTCTACCAACAAAAGGAAGTCCCAAAGCCACCCTAGATTCAAAGATTGGAAAACGGACACCACCTATACCATCTCTTGAAGGTAGCAGCTACAAAATCACATTGCAAAGGAAGGGCTGAAGAATTGGAAACATTGGCCAGGCACGGTGGCTCACACCCATAATCCCAGCAGTTTCAACCTCCCGAGGCCTCCCTTTGGGAGGCCGAGGAGGGTGAATCACTTGAGGTCAGGAGTTCAAGACCAGCCTGGCCAACATGGTGAAACCCCATCTCTACTAAAAAATACAAAAATTAGTCAGGTGTGGTGGCAGGCACATGTAATCCCAGCTACTCCGGAGGCTGAGGCTGATTCTGGAGAATCACTTGAACCCAGGAGACGGAGGTTGCAGTGAGCCAATATCCCGCCACTGCACTCCAGCCTGGGTGACAGAGCAAGACTCCATCTCAAAAAAAAAAAAAAAGAATTTGTAGCATTTTTGAAATTCACAATCAGAATGGACCCTTGACCTCTTGACCTATGGCATTCTGATTGCCCTTGCTTACCCCAAGTATCCTTCCCCCCTTCTCTAGTCAGTGAATATGTGAAATTTAGCCTACTTTGGTTTGCCCCAGTAATATTAGCCAGGCTGCTCAGCTTCCTTCAAGTCTAGCTTCTCTGAATCACTATAATTTTGGAGCCCTTAACACTTCTTTTCCCCTGTGAAAGCGAAAAGTTGAAGGAGTCAGGAGAGGAGATGTTCAAAAGGCACTGTGACTGGAGAAAACAAGTTAACCTCTTATTTCCAGGTGACTCTACTCCCTTAGGACCCTCCAGCCTTCTTTTCCTCCATCTTTAGTACTTGTATATGAAAAAGATCAATAGAAACTGTAGCCAGTAAGAAAGCATTCCACTTTCTACATTTAAAAGGAAAATGTGTGGCTGGCAGGCCCAACTAGTTGTATACCCCTAACATACACTCTTCCCTACAAATCATGATGTAGTTTAACAGCAATGTACCCAGAGAACTAACTTAATCTCCCAGCTTCCTTGCATTTAGGTGTGATCATGTGTCTTAGTTCTGGGCAATGCAATCTAAGAAGCAGTTTCTTGGGCTGAACTTCTGGGAAAGCTATTTTTTTTTTTAGTGGTAAAAATGGACAGACTCCACATGTTCATGCCTTTTGCCCTTTTCTTTCTTATCGCTGCCTGGGGCACAAATGTGATATCTGAAAATAATAGTCATCTTCAGATCATGAGAATTAAAAGTGCTATTATGGATGGAAGAAGAGGAAACTACAAATGGCTTGGATCCTTGATTTCAAGGAAAACTATATGGATTCCCAAGCAATATGTAAAACCATATCAGTCCTTGACTACCCACCTCTGGACTTATTATATAAGAAAAATAATTCTGTATTTTCTGAAAAAACTGTGATTGTTCTACGAATACGTGTAGCCAAACACTATTTTAACCAACACAGCAACTGAAGTTGATCACAAGAGTATGAACTGATATTAGCAATACAAGTGGCTCAGAGAAAAAATAAAGAGTTCATTTTCCTCCCCAAAACAAGCTATCATTAAGAGTATGTTGCTGCCGCGGGAGGCAGAGCTTTCAGTGAGCCGAGATCGTGCCACTGCACTCCAGCCTGGGCGACAGAGCAAAACTCTGTCTCAAAAAAAAAAAAAAAAAAGAGTATGTTGCTGCTGGGCATGGTGGCTCACATCTGTAATCCCACTTTGGGAAGCTGGGGCAAGATGATTGTTTGGGCACAGGAGTTGATGACCAGCCTGGGCAACATAGCAAGACCCCAATCTCTACAAGCAATACAAAAATTAGCTGGGCATGGTGTCACATGCCTGTGGTTCCAGCTACTTGGGAGGCTGAGGTGGGAGGATCATTTGAGCCTGGGAGGTTGAGGCTGCAGTGAGTCATGATTGTACGTAATCCTGTACATGCCTGTAATCCCAGCACTTTGGGAGGCCGAGGCGGGTGGATCACCAGGTCAGGAGATCGAGACCATCCTGGCTAACACGGTGAAACCCCGTCTCTACTAAATATACAAAAAATTAGCCAGGCATAGTGGCAGGCGCCTGTATTCCCAGCTACTGGGGAGGCTGAGGCAGGAGAATGGCGTGAACCCAGCCGGCGGAGCTTGCAGTGAGCAGAGATGGCGCCACTGCACTCCAGCGTGGGCGACAGGGCAAGACTCTGTCTCAAAAAACAAAAAAAACAAAAAAAAAAAACAAACAAAAAAAACAAATTATCACAAACTGAGTTGCTCAAAACAATTTATTCAAGTTTTCAGCAAGGCAATGCTCCCTCTGAAAGCTCGTGAGAAGAACTTTCTTTGACTCTCCACAGCTTCTGGAAGCTGTTGGCAATCCTTGGCACACCTTGGTAAAAGGTGTGTCTTTCCAATTTCTGCCTTCATTTTCACACAGGCATCTTTACTCTGGATCTCTGTGTCTCCAAATCTTCCTCTCCAGTCACTGGATTTAGGACATTAGTCATTGAATTTAGGGCCCACCCTAATCCAGTATGACCGCGTTTTAGCATGTTTATAGTTAAAAAACATTCACAGGTACTGAAGGTAAGGACTACAGCATATCTTTTTGGGGACACAATTCAATGTACTAAACTCCAGAGCCTCCATTTTCTCTTCTATAAAATTAATACAGGCTGGGCGCAGTGGCTCACGCCTGTGATTCCAGCACTTTGGGAAGCCAAGGCAAGCAGATCACTTGAAGTCAGGAGTTCGAGACCAGCCTGACCAATGTGGTGAAACCCCATCTCCACCAAAAATACAAAAATTAGCGTGGTGGTGGGCGCCTGTAATCCCAGCTACTTGGGAGGCTAAGGCAGGAGAATCGCTTGAACCCAGGAGGTGGAGGTTGCAGTGAGCCGAGATCATGCCATTGCATTCCAGCCTGGGCAACAGAGTGAGACTCCATCTCAAAAAAAAACAAAAAACCTAAATAAATATAATACCAACCTTGAAGAGTTATGATCAATAATCAAGTAATGCCTAGGACCCAGAATAAATGGGTAATACATTATCAAGGCAGGATTTAAAAAGTAAGTACTAAGTAAAAGATTGGGAGGCTGAGGTGCGAGGATTGTTTGAGGCCAGGAATTTGAAACCAACCTAGGCAACATAGTGAGACCTCTTAGCTACGAAAATAAAAGCAATTAGGAATGGTGACACAAGCCTGTAGTCCTAGCTACTCCAGAGGCTGAGGTGGGAGAACCGCTTGAGCCTAGGAGTTCAAGGTTACAGTGAGCTATGGTGTGCCACTGTACCCTGGCCTGGGTGAAGACAGAGACCCTGTCTCTTTAAAAAAAAAAAAAAGACACATAAATACATATTGATAGACTCAGGAAGGGGTGGGGGTGGTTGGGTGATTGAAAGTGAAAGTTTCTGCTAACTATACATATTAATAAGATTCTGTCAATGGAAAACTCCATTTTTTTTCAAAGAAACTATAATATTCAGCCTAATATCAAGTGAATAAGAAAATATGAGGGCCAAATAGACACTAATGCAGTGCACAGCAGCAGCAGAGGCACTGCTCCTTGTGGAGCAGGGCTACCCTGTAGGCAGTGTGCCCAGAGGAGCAGCTCAGAGGCAATGCTGCACTCATATTTATACCTGTTTGTTATTACATGCAAATTAAGAAGTGATTTATACAGAAATTTCTAGAAAAGGATGGTAACTTCTGGGTTATCAGGTCGTTGCCATGGAAAGGGGTGGTAACTTCCAGGTGTTGCCATGGCAATGGTAAACTGAGGTTGTACACTGGTGCACGTGTCTTATGGAAAGCTGCTTCTGCCTCATCCCTGTTTTCGCAAGTTGTCAATTTGGTGGGATGTCCTAGGCCTGCCTCTGGAGTTAAGTCCCATGCCTACCTCAATATGACTTATTAAAGGTTATTAAGATTAGTATATTTCTAGAGTTCACTGAAATATATACTGCTGAAAAGTCTGATTGCCACCCGAAGATTGGCAAGGTAATTATTGCCTTGGAACTAAAGCATATATTTGGAATTATAACAAATTTATGGAAAGACTCCTTGCTATTGGTGCATTATGTCTTAAATTGGTTGCTGTTTTGTTTTGTTTTGTTTTGAGATGGAGTTTCGCTCTTGTTGCCGAAGCTGGAGTGCAATATCGTGATCTCGGCTCACTGCAACCTCCACCTCCCAGGTTCAAGCCATTCTCCTGCCTCAGCCACCCAAGTAGTTGGGATTACAGGTGCACGCCACCATGCCTGGCTAATTTTTTTCTATTTTTAGTAGAAATGGGGTTTTACCATGTTAGCCAGGCTGGTCTCGAACTCCTGACCTCAGATGATCCGCCTGCCTCGGCCTCCCAAAGTGCTGGGATTATAGGCGTGAGCCACCATGCCCGGCCAATTGGTTGCATTTTTTACATTTATTTATTTATTTTTTTCTGAGACCGGGTCTCACTCTGTCACCCAGGCTGGAGTGCTGTGTCTCGATCGCGGCTCACTGCAGCCTCCACCTCCCTGGGCTTAAGCAATTCTCCCACCGTAGCCCCTCAAATAGCAGGGAGTATAGGTGTGAGCCACCATGCCACTGGGCTAATTTTTTTGTATTTTTGGTAGAGATGAGGTTTTGCCTTGTGGCCCAGGCTGGTCTCCATCTCCTGGACTCAAGCAATCCACTGGCCTTGGCTTCCCAAAGTGCTGGGATTACAGGCATGAGCCACAGAGGCCGGCCTAATTTTTATTTTTATTTTATTTTTTAAATCAAAGTAACATTTACATAATTTAAGATGTCTAATTCTACTTTAATGCATTTAACCAAGAGCATTAGTCCTCCCTTTGTCCCTTTCACTGGAATCCCACTTCTCAGAGGCAACAATAACCTGCAATGCTAGCTACTTTTATGGTATTTTTTAAAATGGGCTCCTATTTCTAAATAGCACACTTACACTTAAATTGCTATTTCTTTCTCAGTTAAAACATTGTATTAATTTCCTACCATTGAAGTTTAAGAGTTAGCTGTCTTACACTACCCCTATTCTTACAGATCATCCTCCCCAACCTTCCAATACAGCTCTAGCATATTTTCTGTTTTAATCAGTACATAGTCCTTACTTCTCTTCTCTTCTCTTCTCTTCTCTTCTCTTCTCTTCTCTTCTCTTCTCTTCTCTTCTCTTCTCTTCTCTTCTCTTCTCTCTTCTCCTCTCCTCTCCTCTCCCCTCCCCCCACCTTTTCTTTCTTTTCTTTTCTCTTTTGTTTTCTTTTTTCTTTTTTTTTTTTTTTTGAGACAGGGTCTCAACTGTTGCCCAGGCTGGAGTGCAGTGATGCAATCTCGGCTCAGTGCAACCTCTACCTCCTGGGCTCAAGCAATCATCCCACCTCTGTCTCCCGAGTAGCTGGGACTACAGGTGTGTGCCACCACACCCAGCTAATTTTTATATTTTTTGTAGAGCTGGGGTTTTGCCATTTTGCCCCGGCTGTCCTCAAACTCCTGGGCTCAGGCGATCCTCCTGCCTCAGCCTCCCAAAGTGCTGGGATTACAGGAGTGAGCCACTGTGCCTGGCCTTACTATGTAAATATTTCTTACAGCTAAGTCTTGTGATCTAATAGTATGCTTTCATTTCTCTGTACTTAAAAAAAAACTGCAATTAGTAGTTGTCCTTTAAAAATTTTGTTTTCTTTGTACCTATCACTAATGTTTCTGAACCTTACAGAACTCTAAATGCCGTTCCACAGGATCAAATGCATCATGTAATCCATTAGTTCTAATTGCTTATTGAAAATATCTTTCTTTGAACTCTCCATACTTCTGTTCCAATCTGTACTGTGGCTTCAAACTGACATCCTGAAACTCCTCCCTACCATATCCTGGACACTATCTTTGCCTCCCTTGGATAGGATCCTCAGTTTCCTGGATCCCAAATTTTCCTGTTTCTTAGCTTAGTCCCTAATATTAATAGAGTACATGGGAAGGAAATTTTTGGCTATCTTATATATCTATATATTTATTCTCGATTGTTACCCTCATACTTGATTGACAGTTTGGTTGAGTATAGAATTCTAGATTGGAAATAATTTAGTGTCTTAAAAATTATTTTATAGTGTTACAGCTCTTTTAGAATTTGTCTATCAGGCCTTCAGGTTTTTTTTTTTTTTTTTTTTTTTTTTTTTTTTTTTTTTTTTGCTCGAAAGCCTCTAAAAAATAAAAGAAAATAAAAATAAATTATTTTGTAGTATTTAGTACATTTAAAATACTGTTGTATTATAAATATAAATTATGGA
The DNA here is from genome assembly GCF_000001405.40 of Homo sapiens. Lineage (NCBI taxonomy): Eukaryota > Metazoa > Chordata > Mammalia > Primates > Hominidae > Homo > Homo sapiens. The sequence continues at coordinate 164,540,038 of NC_000001.11, read as the reverse complement.
GCATAATAAAATAAATTGCCTTGCACGGTGACTGATGCCTGTAACCCCAGCACTTTGGGAGCCTGAGGCAGGGTGATACAGCTTGAGCCCAGGAGTTTGAGACCAGCCTGGGCAACAAACATGGTGAGACGCTGTCTCTATTAGAAGAAAATGTTTAAAAAAGCCTGGACATGATGGCTTATGTCTGTAATTCCAGCACTTTGGGAGGCCGAGACAGCAGACCGCTTGAGCTCAGGAGTTCAAGACCAGCCTGGCCAACATAGTGAAACCCTGTCTCTACCAAAAAATATAAAAGTTAGTTGGGTGTGGTTGCATGTGCCGGTAGTCCCAGCTATTCGGGAGGCTGAGGCAGGAGAATCACTTGAACCCAGGAGGCAGAGGCTGCAGTGAGCCAACATCACACCACTGCACTCCATCCTGGGTGACAGAGTTAGACTCTGTCTCAAAAAGAAAAAAAAATTCTCTTTATTCAATAACAAATTAACCATAGCTTACTGCAACTTTCAACTTTATACACTTTTAAATTTTCTTTAGCTTTTTGACTCTTTTGTAATAACACTTAGTTTAAACACAAACACATTGTATAGTTGTACAAAAATATTTTCTTCCTATATATCCTTATTCTATACACTTTTTTCTATTTTTAATTTTTTTACTTTTTAAACTTTTTGTTAAGAGCTAAGACACGAACACATACATTACCCTGGGCCTACACAGGGTCAGAATCACTGGTTCTACCTCCATGTCTTGTCCCACTGGAAGGTCTCCAGGGGCAATAATACACATGGAGCTATCATCTCCTATAATAGCAATGCTTTCTTCTGGAATACCTCCTGAAAGACTTGCCTGAAGCTGTTTAACAGTTAATTTTTTTTTTTTTTTTTTGAGGTGGAGTCTTGCACTGTCACCGGGGCTAGAGTGCAGTGGCCCGATCTTGGCTCACTGCAATCTCTGCCTCCCGGATTCAAGCGATTCTCCTGCCCTCAGCCTCCTAAGTACCTGGGATTACAGGTGCACACCACCATGCCCCGCTAATTTTTTGTATTTTTAGTAGAGACGGGGGTTTCACTATGTTGGCCAGGCTGGTCTCGAACTCCTGACCTCGTGATCTGCCTGCCTTGGCCTCCCAAAGTGCTGGGATTACAGGTGTGAGTCACTGCACCCAGCCTTAACAGTTAATTTTTTTAAAAAATAATTAGCAGGAGTATACTCTAAAGTAATGATTAAAAATTATAGTATAGTAAATACATAAACCATTAGCATAATTGTTTATTATCATTATCAAGTATTATGAACTGGATGTAATTGTATGTGCTATATTTCTATAGGACTGGCACCAGGTTTGTTTATGCCATCACCACAAAGACATGAGTACTGCATTGTGCTACTACGTTATGATGGCTATGATGTCACTAGGCTACAGACATTTTTCAACTCCGTTATAATCTTATGGGACTACCATCATGCATGTGATCTGTTTTTGTTTTTTTTTTTTTTTTTTTTTGAGATGGAGTCTCACTCTGTCGCCCAGGCTGGAGGGCAGTGGTGCAATCTCAGCTCACCATGACCTCCACCTCCCGGGTTCAAGTGATTCTCCTGCCTCAGTCTCCCGAGTAGCTGAGATTACAGGTACGCACCACCACGCCCAGCTAATTTTTGTGTTTTTAGTAGAGACGGGGTTTCACCATATTGGCCAGGCTGGTCTCGAACTCGTGGGCTCAAGCTATCTACCTGCCTCAGCCTCCCAAAGTGCTGGGATTATAGGTGTGGGCCACTGCATCCAGCTTATGCAACCTGTTTTTGTTGACCAAAACATCACTTTGTGGTATGTGGGTGTATATATATATGTGTGTGTGTAAATATACATATATATCTTCAAGTGTGTGTGCACTTGTGTGTGTGTGTATATAATATTTTGGTTCTGATAATTCTAATCTCTGGAATTATTGAAGTCTGTATCTGTTTTTTGTAATTTCTTTTCTTTTCATTTTTAGTTTTTTGAGATGGGGGTCTCACTCTGTTGCCAACTTCTGCCTCTTACAGGCTTGAGCCACCATGCCCAGCCAAAATTTAATTTAATTTAAATTAATAATTTAAGTAGCTACATGTGGCTAGTGGTAACCATATTAAATAGCAGACATCTACAGGCTAGACTTTTCCTTCTACAAAATTTTACACAATACTTCTCCTTCACCTTCCAAGCCTGCCTTCAGAAGTAACTAGTATTTTCCATTCCTGAGCCTTTTCTGGTTGCAGCACTAAAAGTCAACTTGCCTTTTGTTGGCCTGCGTTGACCATTTTCTTCACCAACTAAACACTTTCAACAGAATAGATAAACTTGAATCCTAGATGAGATAGCATTGATTCAAGCATTTTTCATTTTCTGTAATACGTTGACTTGTCTTATTTGCTATTTTCTTCTTTCCAATTCTGTTATTTTTTACATCCCTTCCTCTCAGTCGCCTTCCAATAATATTAGTATGGTTTTCAAAAGGAGTCATTGGAAAACCAGACTATGGTTTTTCAATTGACTTTATTTTTATACCTAAATAACTTACTCCTTGTTTTAGCTTCATTATCAGTTTAATTCAGAGGTGGCTCTAAGAATTTTTATCTGTCTAGTGACTGGGAATTCCAGATTGGGATCAGAAATGACCATCCCTCCATAGCAGGGTTTCTCAAAGTCAGCGCCATTGACATTTTGGGTTGAATAATTTTTTGTTGTGGGAAGTTCTCCTATACGTTGTAAAACATTTTGCACTGTTGCTGGACTCTACCCACTAAATACCAGTAGGACCCGCACATCCCTTCTGCCTTTGACAATCAAAAATATCTGTAGACCTTGGTCTAGAAGACAAAATCCCCTCCGTTGAGAACTACTGCTTTAAAAGGTTTTTAACTTTCTAAACTAGGCCATGCTTTATGAAGAATCCTTAAGTTAGCATTTTCTCAAATCCATTAAAATCACCTGAATATTCTGTTTGAGAAGTAGACTAGGAATCTTTTTAACAAACACCCTAGTGATTCTAATTTAGCTATTTCTAAAGATCACACTTAGAGAAACATTGCCCTAAGCTGACTACAACGTTATGTGAAATATCCCTGGGCACCATTAGAATGCTCTAGACATATAAGATTTCAAGGGACAGGTCAATGTATTGAGAAGATAAATATTTACTGGGTAAGAAATCATGCAAACTATCCAAGAGCGCTGCATGGAGCAAATCTAGTACAAACATTGGTGAAATCCCAGCAGTAAAGTCTTCTTTGTGTCATTGTTCTGGGACATGTTTGGAGCTGACAAGGGAGGTGTTGGGGACCTGTAGAAGTGAGTTCAATTTTTCTGAGTCCTTGATTTTCCTGAAGCTCACATTTAATAATGAAACAGGATCCCCAGTAAAGATGCTGCTGTGGTGTTGCCAATTACTTCATGCCTGATAGAGAAGCTGAAATGCCTCCCCATACTTGAGATTTTTTTTCTTTCCAGTTAATTGTTCTTCCTAAATTGAATGATCTATTTTTGGAACTGAAAGAGATGCAGTGTAGAGAGAAAGGAACTGACAAAGCCCAAGGCAGAGAAGGGAGGTAGACAGAGAAAATGCGGAAAGGAGAGAGTGATGCTATCTGCATCCATCTTCCTCATAACAAACACATAAAGTGAACAGGAAGGGCATTATCTCTTCCTAGGAGCAGGTGAATGAGACATGAGGGGCAGGATATTTTGCTTATGAAACCACAAACACATGAAAATAAAAAAATGTAAAATTCTAGAAATAGTTGTAACCTGGCGGTCTAGGTCTTAAAATTCACTGGGCTTTCCCTTAAAACTCTAGAGTGGGCCTGCATGTTCATGTCATCAAATCAGAAGAAGAGAAAACCTGCTTCTTTACTGTATTTCTTAATAAAACTTATTTGAAAAGCACCACGGCCTTAGTCTTGAAAATGTGGGAATGATTGTCTTATAGATGTGATTCTGAGAGTATTTAGCAGGACTTCTGATGCATTTAGTCCACATGCATGTTTGATGAAGCATATATACACACAGATGTGTGCATTTTTAATGAACTGAGAACCGTAAGTAATGTCCACCTTAGCCAGATTCATTAGCTATTATCAAAAACGTATTTGAAAAATAGTCAGCAAATACTGTGTCTAACTACCAGCGTGGCTATCAGCTTCTTACACTTTGCTGCTTCTATAAATAATGCTTTTGTTAACTCCAGTGAGTTCTTCTGATCCTCCTTCAGTCTGAGCATCATGCTCAAAGCTCTGGAGTGTGCCTACACTAGCCATATCTGCTGCTTCTGTTCTCCAGGCATTTCAATTGCAGTTACATTTTTAAAAGACCCTCTTTTGTGCTTTTAAATGCTTAGCAAAACTACAAAGAAGAACACGCATCATTTTCTTCAAAACACGTAAACTTTTTGGCCTGCCAAAAAGACTACACCAAAGACAGCCAGCCTGACTTTAAAATGCACGAGAAGAACAGAGACCTTTCAAGCTCCCATAAGACTGTGCCATTCTTTCCACCTCTCACTGGATATTTTAACAATGTATGCAGTTCACTCCTGAAATGATTCAACTAAGGAAAGAAAGAGGCTTCAAAGGACTGTGCACACTTGCCTTTCACTGCCATGAGGTGTCAGGAGAGGAGCTCCTGGCTGCCCGCAGTATCATTTTCTCCATGTCCTGCCATTTTAATGTGAGCGTCATGTGGATAGCATATCCATATTTTTCTGTGTGTCTAAGCATTTGATTTTCATCCACTGTAATAGCAGACTCTAACACCACAGGGTGGGGAAGAATGAGAAAGGAACGATCCTGGGAATTATAGCATTCAATCAAACAAGCTATGCACATCCTTTTATGCCAGCTTGTAACACAAAAGTTGTAGAACTAGAAGATTGCTACTTTCTTCCTCACATAAGTAATTGTGCAGGCTGATCAAACAAACCTCTGTTTGATCTTAGATCATTTATTCCAAACTCAAACTCTGATAAGCAGAGATAAGGTCTTATAGTGTACTGATAATGTGCGCTTCATAACTAAGCATGCCTGGATTCAAATTCTGGTTCCATCTGGATTTGTGCACTTTGGGAAAACTGAGTTACCTTGAGCCAATAACTTAACCTCTTTATGCATGTTTACTCATCTGTAAAGTGGGATAATAGTAGAAAATGCCACTAGAACTATTGTGCACATGAAATGTGTAGCTGTATGTAAAATCACTTTTTTTTTTTTTTTTGTAGACAGAGTCTCTCTCTGTTGTCCAAGCTAGAGTGCAGTGGTGTGATCTCAGCTCACTGCAACCTCTGCCTCCTGGGTTCAATTGATTCTGGTACCTCAGCCTCCCAAGTACCTGGGACTACAGGCGTGTACCACTGTGCCTGGTTAATTTTTGTATTTTTAGTAGAGACGGATTTTAGCCATGTTGGCCAGGCTGGTCTCGAACTCCTGGCCTCAAGTGATCTGCCCAGCTTGGCCTCCCAAAGTGCTGGGATTACAGGCATGAGCCACCTCACCCGGCCTGCAGCTATGTGTAAAGTCACTTAGAATGGTCCTTGTCTGTGAAGCGTGAGAAATAGAAGTTGTTAGAACTGTTGTTATCAGTGTTAGTATCATTTCGTTATACATCCAGAATTATTGACAATGATGTGATAGATCTGATTCTAGCTAATTCTGAAGCGAAATATCAACATTCAGGATGGGTGCTGTCCCTTTTCAGCACAAAAGTACTCAGACAGCTCAGACTTGTCAAATCCTTCCAGAACCTCTCTTGGTTTTATATTGACAGGAAGTTCCTACAGGTATGGTTATACAGAATACATATCTAGATTGGAAGATGGAATATTTTTTCTAGAAATGCCCCATGACACTCCATTTTGAGTGAGTTCTTTCTGGGAGTCTTGCGGAAGGAAGAAATAGGTGCATTTCCACTTATTTGGATGTGATTCATGTAGTGTGGGATTATTATTCATTTCTGTTATATAATGTGACCATGTTTTTGGCCCAGGAGTTTAATGGTATTTCTGGCACATAGGTTGTCAAATATACTGCTAATTGAATAATCAACTCCATTATGTTCTTCTGGGTCCATAGGCAGTTACAGTGCCTCTATCTCTAGTACTATCCTGTCTGTATTTTAGATGTAGGAAACAGCTGCACTGAAACCATCCCTGTGGCTTATGCTTATCTCAAAATCTGGCTTGGGGAAACTCATTGGATTATTCTCTATAAGTGAGAAGAAGAGCAAAAAGATAGTCTTCATATATTGAAAGTGTATGTATTCACTGAATATTTATTGAGCATCTACTATGTGTGTAAGTCACTGTGCTTGCTACTGACAATACAATGTTGAACAAGATAGACCCAGTATCTGCCCTTAAGGGTACATGGTGGAAGAAACAGACATTAAACAAATAATTCTATGATTTTTCAAAAAAATTAACAATTGTGGAAAGTAGGGAGACGGGGATATGTGTTGCTCTGTGAATATGTAACTTAAATGTCAGACCTAATCTGAGGGGTGAATCAAGACCTGCCTTAGAGAAGGAATGTTGAGCTGAGGTTTGAAGGATAAATAGAAGTTAATTAGACAACAAGCAAGGGAGAAAAGCCTCTTCTAGGTAGAAGAAATAGCATGTGCGTGGGCCATGACATGGCAGAAGCAGTGAATTTAATGAAGTGAAAGAGGGTAAGTGTTGCTAGAGTGTGGAGGGAAGGGCAGAGGAATGTAAGATTGGGAAAGGAAGGCAAAGGTGAGCCAAATAAGGACTCAAGGCCATGGTAAGGAGTTTGATCTTTATCTAAAAACAATGAGAAAACATGAAAGAGAGCGACATGATCAGAACTGTGTTTTTAAAAACACTGGCTATCGTGTAGAGAAGGCCTGGAGAGCTGAGAGTTTGGATATAGGAAAACTATTTACTAGTCTATTAGTTTCGGTGAATTTATTAGACTGATAATAGCAATATAGACAGATATCAATTTTTTAAATTGAGAAATATTTATGTTGTGAAACTGAAAAGGCATTGGCGATAGGAGTAAGATAGAAGGAGGTTGTAAGCTCAACTATTAACTGGACGTTTGGTGGCGATATTTACAAAGTTAGGATTCATTGCAAGAAAACCAAGTTGAGTGAAAAAGGAACGGTTTAAATTCAGTTTGGAACTATTAAATTGTGGAAACTTAGCAGTGTTGTTTTGTAAATTGTTAACAACAGGCTTTCCAATAAGAAAAAAATAAAAAGCTCAATGGGTAGCATTTGTCAGTTTCCATGATGTAAATATTCTCATCATGGCAGATTTCAACCTACCAGTGTGATGGTGCTGAACATGAAGGTGTGAAGAGATTCGTGCAGTGGGATCCCAGGCGCCAAGGTAAGCTGGCTTCAGCACATTACTGACACTGAGATATGTAAAGGGAGATGTCGAGAGGAGGTTGAATGTATAAGTAGTGAGCTGAAAGGAGTGGTCCAGGCTGGAGTTCGGATCATCAATGAGTAAGTGATAACCATGCAGATGAGACTGCTGAGAGTGTACTTAGTGAGAAGAGGAAATGATTACTGGGACTTGGGAAACCAAGATGTTAAAGTTCACTGGAGAAGGGCCAGAAAGGAAGAATAATTCTCAGAGAGTGGACTGTTTGATGAGACATGGAAAGAAAGAGTTTTGAGAAAGATAATTTGGTCAACGCAGTTAAATGTTGCTGATAGGTCAAATAAGACAGAGGCTGAAAAATTTCCATTAGATTTAGTGACAGAAATTATTAGTGAGTATAATGAGAGCACTTTTCATAGCGTGGTGAAGACAGGAGTCAGACTAGAATGGTTAGAAAAACAAAAACACAAATAAATTGGAGAAGATGGTGCTATTGAATATAGAAAATTATTTTGAGATGTTGGGCTATGACGGAAGTAAGAGATTATTTGTAGCTATCAACTTTAGGGTTTGGGGCAGAAAGTTGATCCAGGTTCTGTTTGTGCTTTATTATTTCTTCTTATTATTAAACAAGAGAGATTTGAACATGTTAAATGCTGATGTCAAAGATCCAGCAGAGAGAGGGAGGTTGCCAATAGACGAAAAAGTTGACCTTTTGAAAAATCCCTCTTCTTTCATTAGCTTGGTCACTCCTGAACCCCTTACAAATATTATACACATTCTCATCTTATGCCTTTCCTTAAGTTATTTTTCTCTTTTACATACGTTTGTCTCTACAAATTTCACTTAGCCTAAACACCAGGCTTATGTCTTTTCTCCTCTATGAGGATTTCTTTGATTATTCCATCATACCCTGATCTTTTTTCTTTTCAACCCTAAATTGTAAGCAACAACTAGGCTTTAAGTTCAGTAAACCGGAGGGACAGAAGAAGATATTAGTTATCTAGGGGCCACGGTCAAACCCTTTTCTCTGGAAATTTCTTAGCAGCCCTATACAAAGTGTGGGCCTTGGTGGCCACTTTTTTTTAACTTTTAAAACTGGCTGGCCTGGCATGGTGGCTCATGCCTGTAATTCCAGCACTTTGGGAGATGAAGGAGGGAGGACTGCTTGAGCCCAGGAATCCGAGACCAGCCTGGGCAACATGATGAGACACTTTCTTGACAAATTTAAAAAATTAGCTGGGCATGATGGTGAGCACCTGTGGTCTCAGCTACTCGGGAGGCTGAGGTGGGAGAATAGCTTGAACTCAGGAGCTCGAGGCTGCAGTGAGCCATGTTTGTGCCACTGTGCTATAGCCTGGACAACAGAGGGAGACCCTACCTCAAATAGAAAAAAAAATAAATAAAAACTGCTTATTGGTCACAGCTGAAGATTGGAGTGAATAGTTAAACCAAGTTGAGACCATCAGATTTTCTCATGTGAGAGTTTGAAATTAGAGACACAAAAAAATGTATTTGTTCATGGCCGTTCCTGAAGTTACAAGGATATTAAAACTGGGGTACCTAAATGGCTATTTGTGGACAGCAAGTTTGATGTCCAAGCAATGAAAACTGGTCAATAGAGAAAAAAAAGTATAAAGCAGGTTCACAAAATCAATAAGGGGTGGTTTACCATGTGATGAGTGAGAGACTGACTTTGTGTCATTTTTCTGTATCCAGCCCTTTTTGTGGTCTGGTTACTTTTCCTGGCCTTGGGTAATGGGACATTCCTTAATAAAAGGACATTACCTTTACTTAAGCTAGCTTCAGGTGGTTGCTGTTTCTTAAAATTAAACAAACTTTGACAGGTGACATCAAAGATCAAGACTGAATAGATCATTCTGAGCTGAAGGGTCTCATGGGTTGTAGCTGAAGAGACAATACAAGATCAGGTAAAGCTGACCCCAAAGGTTAGGGGGAAATTGGAATCTAAAGATCAGGTCAAAAATTGAGATCTGAGAATTGATCTCAATGAGAAATGGCAGAGATGCAACCTCTGGATAAACAAGCCATCTCAAACTGAAAACGTTTCTGTGCCAGGCCAAGATTCTCTGTTTACTTTTATTCTCACATCTGCTTAGAGGTGTTCAAAAAGTAAGAAAAATTAAAACAACAACAGCAACAATAGCAACAAACTGACAAGTAGAAATTTAAGGTCTCCCTTACTGTATTTGTTTCTTTTCCCCCCATCTTTGTGACTATTCTTCCTCGGATTCTCTGTCCTCTTGCTCTATAAGGCAATCCCATTTGAAGAATATGCTGCCAGCTCCTTTTCTTTTCCTTCTCGTTTTTTTCTTACAGTCTTTACTTTTGTAGTCTCATGTGTTTCTATAGCTTCAACATTGGCCTTTATCTGTGTCTTCAGCCTTGACCTCCATCCAAAACATGGTATCAACTGTATAACGACTTGTTGGATGTCTCTACTGGAATGTCCCAGTGGTCCTTCAGAGTCAGTAAGACAGAAAATGGGTAAAAATGCACACTCTGTAGTCTCAATTGTCTAGGTTTGAACCAAGACCTGCCTTTTATCAGGTCTGTAATTTTAGGAAAGTGATATAATCTCGGTGATACGGTTTAGATCTGTGTCCGACCAAATTTCATGCCAAATTATAATCCCCAGTGTTGGAGGTGAGGCCTGGTGGGAGGTGATTGGATCATGGGGGCAGAGTTCTCAGGAATGGTTTAACACCATCTCCCTTGGTCAGGATAATGGGTGAGTTCTCGAAAGATCTGGTTGTTTAAAAGTGTGTGGTACCTCCGCCCCCTGACTTTTCCTCCTGCTCCGGCCATGTAAGGGGAGCCTTCTTCACCCTTACCTTCTGCCATAACTGAAAGTTTCCTATGGCCTCCCCAGTCATGCATCCTGTACAGCCTGCAGAACCGTGAGCCAGTTAAGCCTCTTTTTTTCATAAATTAGCCAGACTCGGGCATTTCTTTATAACAATGTGAGAAAAAACTAATACACTTGGTAAGAATCAGTTTTCTTATCCAGGATGACAATAGTGCCTACATCATAGGATAGTTACAGAGATAAACATATGTATATAGAGTTGGTATACTGCTTCGTTTGTGGTAAACGTACACTAAATGAAATCCTTTATTATTGTTGTTGTTATCTTCCTCTTTATTTTTGTTATTAAATGTGATTTCCCTTAGCTTGATTATCTCTCTTGATAACTTCTCAAATATTTGATAAGTTATATGAACATTGAAAGTCAAAAGTTATAGTCCAACTCTGTCACTAATGGCTGTGTGACCCTGCATCAATCACCTAAACTCTCTGGAATTCAAATTTCATCTTGGTAATACTAGATTGTACTAGATGAACTCTGAGGACTTTTGAAATTGCCTTTGCAAAATTATAACAGTGAGGAAAATTTAACATAGCCGACTCTATCTTGTTTCTAGTATCACAAGCTAACTATCTCTGCTCATTCCTGGGCATAGGCCAAGCTAACTATGGGAGCAATTGAGTTTATAGTTTAACCTTAAAGCAAGGATGATAATAGTCCCTTCCTGAAACTAACCTCCTTGTTTGGGGACCAAACTGCCTTTATAAAGCTAAGGAAAGGCCACAAGGTTAGAATTATGAAAGGGGCATGAATTATTTTAAGATGTAGGCATAGTTGAGTGGTAACCAAACATTGTTCCCTAACTTGCTTTTGTGTTATTGCTCACTGCTCAGAAGTCATGTAGCTGGAGGTCAAAAGATTTGTAATTTCCCCAGTTGTTCCTATAGATGGCATCATTATTCCAAAACCTAAGACTGACATTTGAGATATTTTTATGACTTTTGCATTCTTGCAGACCAAATGATGCCACTTGTACCTGTGACCCACACCAAAGAACTGACTCAACTCAAACTGTGACCCCCCCACTCAGAAACTGACTCAGCACGTGAAGACACTTTTGATATCCTTATGAGTTCATCTCCAACCAATCAGCAGCACCCATTCCCTAGCCCCTTGTCCACCAAATTATCCTTAAAAACCCTAGACTCTGAGTTCCTGGGGAGATGGATTTGTGAAATATTTCTCTTCCTTCTGCTCAACTGCTTTGAGATAATTAAACACTTTCTCTGTGGTAACACTGCTGTCTCAATGTATTGGCTTTACTGTGCAGCAAGCAAGAAGAACCTGTTTGTCTGCAACACTTTCCTGAGCCCAAACAATATATAATATGATTTCCTCTTTTAATCCTAAAATTTTTAATCATCTTTAGTATTTTCCTTTCTCTTAACTTCTAAATCCATTTAGATTTTGATTCTTGTCAATTTTACCTCCACCACCTTTCATATCTGACTTCTCTCTATCTCATCCCATCACCTTATTACAGGCTCCTCCTGTTGGACTCCATCAGGTCTGGGAGAATTAAAGTGACTCCCTAGCCAGTCTTCCTTATTTCCTATCATTTCTTCTTTCAGTGCATTTTATACATCACCAATTATACTCTCCACATTTGCACGAATTTTTATTCTTATGCCATGTCTAAACCCTACTTTTCTGTTAAAGCTAATTCAAATAATAGTCTGTTCTTTAGATTTAGCTTTTGATCACTACTTTTGTGAAATTTATTATTCATGCTAATAAACACCATCATTTCTTAATACTAAGCTTACAAAAAATTCTGGGTCTTTTTTTAGGGTGGTTGATGTATTCAGAAATCAAATGGCTTATAGTTCAGTTTTCCACTTTTAGAAAAAACATGTTTTCATATACAAAACAATTGAGTAGGCCAGGCTCAGTGGCTCATGCTTATAATCCTAACACTTTCAGAAGCCACAGTGGGAGCACCACTTGAAACCAGGAGTTTGATATCAGTGTGGTCAACAGAGTGAGACCCCATCTCTACCAAAATTTTTTTTTAATTAAGAAATTAAGTTCACCTGGTAGTTGATCCCTTTGTGAAGGGAGTTAACCAAAAATTTGTCATTTTGGGATCTGGTATTTTTTTCAGCACATAGACACAACTATAGTCTTCTTATTTAATCATCTAGTGTGTTTTGGATGCATCTCACAAATGAATGATTTTGTTGTATTTCTTCATAAGGTCAATAAGCCCATAACCAATAAACTCAGGAATAACTATTGGTATGTCTTATTTGAATAATATGCTGATTCTTTGTTATGATGTCACTTAACTACCTGAGTCATAGTCTTGGAGCCCACTTACTTGTTTCCTCTTTGACCAGGAGATTGGTCGCCTAAGAGTATTTTAGGTAGAATCAAAATCCAATTAATTTGGTAACTCTTTGAACTGTAACATCATTTTAGCAGATGACTTGACTATTAGAAAACTCAAGTTACTGCTTTCTCTATTCAATAGAAGTGAGAGAGGGATAAAAAAAAAGAGGCAGGAGCAAAGAAAGTAGTTCCAGGCATCTATTCTTTTAGGTATTAGACAGAATATTAGGTAAGACAGCTGGAGACTGTTATAGTCTTTAAGATGTCATATAATTTCTGTGCATCTGCTTCCTTTTCTACAAAAGGGGAGAATAGTAATACATAATATGCCCATGTGTCTTTGGTGAGCTTTAATTAGACCTTGTTCTGCAAAATGAGGACTACAGTGACTTTTTTTTTTTTGAGACGGTGTCTCGCTCTGAACTCCTGACCTCAAAGGATCTGCCTGCCTCAGTCTCCCAAAGTGATGAGATTACAGGCGTGAGCTACCACGCCCGGCCCTACATTGACTTTTTATTGTGCTGTTGTCTAATGTTATGATGCATTTTAGGATAAAATATATTTTTCTATCATTCCATTTACTTGCATAATTATATCAACCATATTTTGAACCAGTAAGCCATTTAGAAATGTGGCTTGAAACATTTGTGTCCAGGTCCTTACTTACATGATTTGTTGTTTATAGATAATTGCATTCTGTTTTGTGGCATAACATGAAATATATTTAGTCTTTGTCTCTGGTTCAGGTAAACAGAGCCAACTCTTGGGATTATCTGTGTGATAGGAGTGTCTTTTATTATACATAATGAGCTTCTTTGATAACATAGTGAGCTTCTTTGATAACAGTTTATGATAATGAAGTGACTTAGAATAGGGCTCCTAGATAGCCTCAGGATGGGGCCAGTCACCAGAAAGACCAAGTGATTAAAGGATTAGAGAGTTAGAACTTTCAACCCTACCCAGAAATCTCCAGGAAAATGTGTGTGTGTGTGTGTGTGTGTGTGTGTGTGTGTGTGTGTGTGGCTCCCACTGGTGTTGATCTCTATAAAATCTCTTGGCCAGGAGCGGTGGCTCACGCCTGCAATCCCAGCACTTTGGGAGGCCAAGGTGGGTGGATCACCTGAGATCAGGAGTTTGAGACCAGCCTGGCCAACATGGTGAACTGCCAATCTCTACTAAAAATACAAAAATTAGCCAGGTGTGGTGGCGTGTGCCTGTAATCCCGCTACTCACAAGGCTGACGCATGAGAATCACTTGAACCCAGGAGAAGGAGGTTGCAGCGAGCCGAGATAAAAAAAAAAAAAAAGGCCAGGCTTGGTGGCTCATGCTTGTAATCCCAGCACTTTGGGAGGTTGAGGCAGGCAGATCACGAGGTCAAAAGATTGAGACTATCCTGGCCAACATAGTGAAACCCCATCTCTACTAAAAATACAAAAATTAGCCAGGAGTGGTGGCACGCACCTGTAGTCCCAGCTACTTGTGCTCCTACTAAGGCAGGAGAATCTCTTGAACACAGGAGGCAGAGGTTGCAGTGAGCGGAGATCGCGCCGCTGCACTCCAGCCTGGCGACAGAGCAAGACTCCGTCTCAAAAAAACAAAAACAAATGAACAAACAAAAAAGATATGATGTCTCATTCCACCTGCCAGTCCCTGTCTTGGCCCTGCCCCTTCACTTCCCTCCCCCATTAATATGTAGGGTCCAAGGGAAACCTCCCCTTCATCCTCTGAACTTTCTTTGAGAAATCGACTCACAAAATGCAGATTAATTGGAGAAAACATGTACACATTTGATTAATGTGCTCACGGGAGAAACACAGAGTGATTGCCCACCCTGCAGTGGGTTCAGAAGCTTATATAGAATCTTGGAAAAAGAGGTTATGGTGGGCAGGAGAGAAGAGTGATTCTGTTAAGGGGATTAGTAGGAAGAATGAATGGATCAGGGAACAGAGATTAACTTGTAACTTGTAGATTAATCTTGTGAAAGGGTCTGTTCAAGTGTGGTTATGTTCTTGGTCTTACAGAGAGGAGAAGAAAAAAACTACTGTTCCTTTTGGTGGGTCTGGATCTTAGGGGTGTAAAGGAACTTCAGCTGTCATACTGTGCTTTGGAGGCAGGGGGAAGGTTAGAGACACCTTGAGGCTTCAAAGTGCCATATTTTGGGGTGTAAGTTTGTCACAGGGTGAACCCCAAAATTGGGGCTCAGCCCAGGAGGCCGCATGGGTTCTTGGCTTCACACAGGAAAAAAGATTGAGCCAACAGAGTAAAGTGTAATCAAGTTTATTAAAAAGTAAAGGAATAAAATGTTGGCTACTCATAGGCAGGGTACCTCTGAGGGCTGCTGGTTGGCTATTTTTATGGTTATTTTTGATCATATGCTACAGGGGTGGATTAGTCATAGTTTTCTGGGAAAGGGGCAGAGAATTCCTGGAACTAAGGTTCCTCCTCTTTTTAGACCATATAGGGTAACTTCTGGATGTTGCCATGGCATTTGTAAACTGTCATGGCACTGGTCAGAGTGTTTTTTAGCATGCTGATGCATGATAATGAGCATATAATGAGCAGTGAAGACGACCAGAGGTGCTTTCTTCACCGTCTTGATTCTGGCTGGTTTTGGCTGGCCTCTTTACCACATCCTATTCAAGCAGTGGGGTCTTTGTGACCTGTGTCTTGAGAAACAAGTCCTGCCTAACTCCTATCTCAAGTATCTGAGCCCCAGCAAATACTAACTGACTTCCCAACTGCAGATTCCCAGGTTAATTCTGCTCTAATGAGGAGGAATTTTAAGGTGTCTTAGTTCTGTAACATGTTTCTTTCATGCATCTTGGTTCAGTTTGCCAAACTCTGACCACATGGGAATTTCAGAAATAAAAAATATTGATTCTAGTGACATATTAAAGCTATGAAGAGCTGGGTGTGATGGCTCATGCCTGTAATCCCAGCACTTTGGGAAGCCAAGGTGGGCGGATGACTTGAGCCCAGGAGTTTGAGACCAGCCTGGCCAACATGAAGAAACCCCATCTCTATAGAAAAACAAACAAACAAACAAACCATATATATATATATATATATATACACAAAAATTAGCCAGGTATGGTGGTTCTCACCTGTGGTCCCAGCTACTCAGGAGGCTGAGATGGAAGAGGGTCTCATGTGGTCTGTACGAAGACCAGCTCTGTTGCTAGTACCAGGGAATGGCTCCTTCCCATGACTCACTTCTTTGGGTATTGCTTGCTTGTGTTAAGACATATCCAATAAGGTATGAACAGGGTCTTCTGCATGTCTCAGTTTAAACATACTATAGTACTATAGGCTTTTTTTTTTTTTTTTTTTTGAGGCAGGGTCTCAGTCTGTCACCCAGGCTAGAGTGCAGTGGCGTGATCTTGGCTCAGTGGAACCTCCACCTCCCAGATTCAGGCAACCCTCTCCCGTCTCAGCCTCCTGAGTAGCTGGGATCACAGGCAAGCACCGCCATACCTGGTTAATTTGTGTGTGTGTGTGTGTGTGTGTGTGTGTTTTTGTAGAGATGGGGTTTCATCATGTTGGCTAGGCTGGTCTCAAACTCCTGGGCTCAAGTCATCCGCCCACCTTGGCTTCCCAAAGTGCTGGGATTACAGGCATGAGCCACCACACCATGCTCTGCATAGCTTTAATATGTCACTAGAATCCATATGTTTCAGTTCTGAAATATCTCATATTGAGACTATTGAATTAACCCCTACTCCAATTCCACTTTTTCCACCCTCAAATTCAGCCATTCTTCATAATGCAGACAGAGTAATCTTCCTTTTTTTTTTTTTTTTAGTAGAGAAAGGTTTCACCATGTTGGTCATGCTGGTCTCGAACTCCTGACCTTGTGATCCACCTGCCTCGGCTTCCCAAAGTTCTCGGATTACAGGTGTGAGCCACCCCGCCCGGCCCAGACAGAGTAATCTTTCTAAAAAACAGATCTGATTATGCCTTTTGCTTGGTTAAAAATCTTCCTTATTGTCTGTAGGCTAGAATACGGTAAGATACCTTACAATTCACCCATAACATTTTTTCCTCATTGTCTGTGGCTACATGCCACATACCCTGTGCTTTGACCTTGGGCCTTGTTCTTTCTAGCTCTGTGCCTTTGAGCCACTGTTCCCGTTGCCAAGACCATGCTGGTGAAGTATCACCCATCTTTGTAGACTCCAATGTTATGTCCTCTGTGAATTGTTCCTGGGTCTTTCTTTCTCTAAGACAAAAAAAATTGCCGCCTCCTTTGTTTGTCCCTAGTAGGTTTGTCCATATCACTATTGTGTGTCCCTATTAGGTTTGTCCATATCACTATTGTGTGTCCCTAGTAGGTTTGTCCATATCACTATTATTATATTCATGATGCTTCACAATAATTAGATATTTGTGTCTTGACTATGTATTATTAGCCTTTGCATCACCTCACCTCATTCAGAGTCTGGCAGTTCCTTAATACATGGATAATTTGTTAAACAACTCAAGACAGTGATTTTTATCCTATTATATAAGAGAAGGCAGAGATGGTGAGAATGATACTTTAGATATTCCTTAAATTCACTCCTAAGGCAAAGGACATTGAAACTCTATTACAAAGCATGACCATGATGTTCTTTTCATCCACACTGAACAAGCATATGCTTTGGGAAATAATTATTCTTATTGTTCTTCTGCAAATATTAGATTATTTTATTTTATTTTATTAAAAGATGGGACACAGTGTTCATTTAATTAAGCAGTTTTCCTCTTGCATCTAAAATCAAGTATAATTTCCTCTTTAAGATCAAATGAACTATAGTACTTGAGAGAAACTTACATGATATAAAAGCATCTGGCACAGTGTACGGCACAGAGTGAGCATTGAGCAATGAAGTTTATTGAAAGAAAAGGAGAAGAGAGGGAGAAACACAGCAGTAGAAAACAAGAATATTAGGTGCTGATGCTGAATGACTCAGAACCAGTCAGAACTACAGATGAAACAACTCTGAAGTGTGGACCTAGTTTAGAAATAACTTGCTGGGAATTCTATTCCAAAAAGTGAATTATGTCTTTAAATGTTTGTGTGTTATTATTTCCAAGCTTCACTATTTTTATAGAAATGCAGAATATTAAAACTGGCATCCATTTTTGTCTGGTCCGGTAGTTTCTGTGGAATACTCTCAGAGGAACCCAGGAGTTCTCTGGCAGGGACAGCCTGTGAGGTGTTGGTGAGGCAGCCCAGGCTGTCAGGAACATGGGGTTCTCTGTTCTTCACCAAAGAACTTCTACTGTGTCTATTTTGTACTGGAGGTTTCTGTGTACAAGTTCGTTTGAGGAAAATTTCTTAACTTTGAAGTTGAAAACATCCCAAATCTACTGTTTAGGTCTAGGTTTTTATAGATGAGGAACATTTCAAGTGACTTGTCCTGTGTCAAACAACTATTGATGCACTAGCAGCTAGTTAGCAAGCTAGTTGGATTTCCTTTTTTGTTGCTGTTGTTGTTGCCTCAGTTTGGACATGGTTATAGGAAGTGATGAGCACTAGGGGAACAGGGAGAGGTGAGGGCGATAGGTTAGGAGCTAAATTAGGAAGGTTGTGGCAAGGGAGTCTGCTTTTCATGCAAAATAAGAAAACAAATCAGGAGATCTTCCTCCACTTCTTCCCTCTTAGAATGCTGCTCTTAAATATACAAATGGCTGCAGCAGCTTTTCCTTCATAGAATGCTGACAGGGACCCAAATTTGAGTAACTGCTTTATTATATATATTATATGTATAATATATATTACAATATATATTTGCATATAAATATTTATATATTGTATACAATATATAAATGTATAATATATATTTGTGTGTATATATATTTCTAATATATATTATGTAGCAATATATATAGGGATATGCATGTTTTATTTTCTTAATTTTAGTTTTTGGAGATGGAGTCTCGCTCTGTCACCCAGGCTGGAGTGCAGTGGCATGATCTCAGGTCGCTGCAGCTTCTGACTCCTGGGTTCAAGCGATTCTCCTGCCTCAGCCTCCTGAGTAACTGGGATTACAGGCATGCGCCACCACACACAACTAATATTTGTATTTCAGTAGAGATGGGGGTTTCACCATGTTGGCCAGGTTGGTCTTGAACTCCTGACCTAAGATGATCCACCCACCTCGGCCTCCCAACGTGTTGGGATTACAGGGGTGAGCCACGGCATGTGGCCAGGATATGCATGTTTTATTTAGAGATATAGATATCCCTATGTACAGTATATATACCACTTTGGTGGTAAGATTGATAAAAAATTTGAATGACTTATAAAATGTGATTATGGAATTTAGAGAAGGTCCTTTTTTTTTTTTTTTTTTGACAGTCTCAACTCTGTCACCCAGGCTGGAGTGCCACGGCGTGATCTTGGCTCACTGCAACCTCCGCCTCCTAGGTTCAAGTGATTCTCCTGCCTCAGCCTCCCAAGTAGGTGGGATTACAGGTGTGTGCCATGACGCCTGGCTAATTTTTTGTATTTTTAGCAGAGACGAGATTTCACCATGTTGGCCAGGCTGGTCTCAAACTCCTGACCTCAGGTGATTTGCCCACCTAGGCCTCCCAAAGCACTGGGATTACAGGTGTGAGCCACCGTGCCTGGCCAGAGAAGGCTCTTTATTTGCAGAGAAGGTTCAAAGATTTATTTAATATTGGCTTTAAAATAGATTGGATTTGCCTGAGGAAAAGAACTCTTTCATGTCTGTGATCCAATTATTCTATCCTTGCTGGAGGACAAGGTGTGTTCAATAGCACAATAGCTGGAGAGAGTGGATAGAAAAAAGGTTGCAAGGCCATTAAGTCACTTGATTATGAAAGGAAAATTAGGAAATTAGTTTTAGACACATTTAAAAGGTGACAAAAGACACTGCTGTGATAACCAACGACTGAGAGGAAAGAGAAAGGTTAGAGTTTAGAAGTAGGATAAGAGATTCTGGGACATTTCAGTAATGTTCATTTTGTTGTTGTTTGTTTCTTTTAGAGACAAGGTCTCCCTTTGTCACCCAGGCTAGAGTACGGTGGTGTAATCATAGCTCACTGCAGCCTTCCAACTCCTGGACACAGGATATCTTCCCACCTCAGCCTCCCAAGTAGCTAGATCTACAGGTGTGCACCACCACTCTCAGCTAATTTTCATTTTTTAATTTTTTTTTTGTAGAGGTGGGGTTTCACTATGTTGCCCAGGCTGGTTTCAAACTCCTGGCTTAAAGCAATTTTCCTGCCTCAGCCTCCCAAATTGCTAGGATTACAGGCATAAGCCACCATGCCTGTCCTGTTTCAGTAATGTTAAGAGAGATGGTTCCGTTTGACATAAGAGACTAAACAAAGAGGCATAAAAAGGATAATCTGAAATTCAGGAATTAAAAAGTCAATTAAAAAATGAAAGAGTAGATTCAGGCAAGAGAACATTAAAGAAGGAAGACAATTTTACAGTGTGAAAGAAAGATGAACAATGGTCAAAAGAATTCTAAGGAGACACAATTTAATCTGAATAAACTTTCAAAAATGTTGAGGGAAGAAAGACTAGCTCAAGGAGAAGATATTGAAAAATAAGAGTAGAAAACTCATTGATTGTCTTGTTGAAAACTAACACAGAGAAATATAATTAAAGGAAGAGATATCCAAAGACATCCCAGACAACTTACCAGGTAATACCAGAGGAGTAAACAATGTAGTCATTAATATTGCAAGATTAAGCTTCTCTCTTGTTTTGGGGGGAATTAGAGCGAGTTCATGCAGAATAAAGCAATTACCACACATGAGCTCGAGTTAAGGTTTCCTGCCTCCCGATGGCATGCACGGCTTTGTGCCATGAAATCAGAGTAGACAAGACTCAGGCATGTCATTGGAATCCAGTAAGTTGTGAAGTATACATTTCAGGGCAGAATCATGCTTTTTTCAACTTCAGGAATGAATTCAGGAAGACTTAGATTTAGTATAATGGGGATTTCCACATTAAAAAGACCAAATTGGAAATTACTAGCATAGATGAAAAATGTATAATTTGTGTGTGTATGTGTGTGTGCCATGGTGAAATAAAAATGGACTGGAGCATGGAAAGTAATTTAACCATTTAAAGAGACAATTGTTTCATTAATATTTACTTATATCTGATTAAATATTCATGATGCTTTGCCTTCCCTCCGTGTCTAACAGTGTTGCATTCATGGCCATCTGCACCAGCTCAGCACACGGGAGGTCTCAATTAGCCATTCAGGCTGACAGTGGACTCTCAGCCAAGGGGCCCATACCCTGTGATGGGCTAAAAACAGATGATGAGTTTGTCTGCAGGCATAAGCAACAGTGAGACAGACTTGCCCTGGGCTGGGATTATAGTAGACAGGCTACAGCATCACAGTCCCCTGAAGAACACAGAAAGGATGATTTCAGAAATGTCTAAATAAATACGGGCAAGTGAAAAATCTCTGCCCAGGATGCATGCTGTCCTGTGGGAAGCCATTCTCAAGGTGTGAACAGGACTAGAATTGGAGCTCTTGACACCTAGCACCATGCTCCCATCTGCCACCATGAGGTTGGGCAGCAGATGACCTAGTTTGTAATCTTAATTTAGCAATCTGTAAAACAGAACTGAAAGTATCTCCCTCTCAAGGAGGTGCTGGGAAGGCAGTTATACACCCCAGCACTGCTTGTTGCTGAGGGGTCTGGCTCTTTTATATCATCTGCAATAGCAGGATGAGTTTTTCTTGCATTGTAATTACCTGACCCATGTTTCTCCTAACTGTGAGCCTCTGGAGAACCAGACTATGTTGTGTTCACCGTGGTATTCTAAGACTAATGTAGCAAAAAAAATTTTTTTCAACAGATTAGCATTTGGGGATGGGGAGGCTAAGGTTTGATATAAGAACTTTTTTTTTTTTTTTTTCAGAGACAGGATCTCGCTTTGTCACCCAAGCTGGGGTGCGGTGGTGAGATCAGAGCTCACTGTAACCTTGAACTCTTGTGCTTAACCAACCCTTCTGCCTCAGCCCCCTGAGCAGATAGGACTATAGGTGCATGCCACCATGCCTGGCTAATTTTTTTTCTATTTTTTGTAGAGAAAGGTCTCACTATGTTGCCCAATCTGGTGTCAAATTCCTGGCCTCACATGATCCTCCTGCTTCAGCCTCTCAAAGTGCTGGAATTATAGGCATGAGCCACCATGCCTGACCAGAGCATGGTATTAAAAGTGGCCGATTGGCCGTGTGCGGTCACTCACGCCTGTAATCCCAGCACTTTGGGAGGCTGAGGCTGGTGGATTACCTGAAGTAAGGAGTTCGAGACCAGCCTGGCCAACATTGTGAAACCCCCGTCTCGACTGAAAATACAAAAATTAGCCAGGCCGACTGAAAATACAAAAATTAGCCAGGCGTGGTGGTGGGAGCCTATAATTTCAGCTACTGGGGAGGCTGAGGCACGAGAATTGCTTGAACCTGGGAAGTGGAGGTTGCAGTGAGCTGAGATTGCACCACTGCACTTCAGCCTCGGTGACAGAGCAAGACTCTGTCTCAAAAAAAAAAAAAAGTGGCCGACGGTTCTATCCATTGTGTGAATGTACATCCATTGTGGAAGTGCTCACAAACAATGCATGAATAACATTGCTGTCTATTATTAAAAATCAAGTGTTAGTTTTTAAGGAAAAAAAAAATCTCTGCTAGCCTGTCCTGAAACAGAGTTGAAAGTAGCATAGAACCATGACATTTGCCGTAGGCAGAATAATGCCAACTCTTTTTTCCCAAGCATGCCCATATTCCAATGCCCAGGACCTGTGAATATGTTACTTTGCATGGCAACAGGGAATTATTAAACCCGATTAAGGTGAAGAACCTTGATGGGGGACATTATCCTGTGTTATTCTGGTCAATCCAGCATAGTCACAAGAGTCCTTAAAAATGATGAAAACAAGAGTTGGCCAGAAAGATGCCAGAAGCTGGCGTTGAAGATGGAAAAAGAGGTACAAGCCAAGGAGTGTCACAGCCTCCTGAAGCTCAGACCTCAGTCCTCCAACCACAAAGAGCTGAATTCTGTCACCAATCTGAACTGAGCAGAAAACAGATTTTCCCGTAAAAACTCCAGAAAGAACAAAGACTGCCAACACCTTAATTTTCATCCAGTGAGAATGATATTGGACTTCCAGCCTACAGAGCTATAAGACAGTAAATCTGTGTTGTTTTACTTCGCTAAGTTTGTGATAATTTTTTAGAGCAGCAATAGAGAACTACTACAACATCTCTGACTCACAGACCACACTTGCCATTAAGCTTTCAGGTCCTCTAAGGATTTTAACAACATTGAGGCTGTACTTAGACATTTACCAGTGGTCAGGATGAAATTAACGTGCAAACAAATTGTTCTTTCTTCTTGGAAAGGTGCATCACACTTTCCTTTTTAATGTCATCGTTTGGAAGCTCTTTGTCTTCTCATTTCGTTTAAGTGAGGGAGTAAGATATAAAACCCGATTTTTAATTTGTATTATTTAGTTTGTTTCAGCAAATGTCTCCAGAGCTTTGTCATGTGCAAAGTGAAATCACCTATATGCTGTGTCTTTAAAAGCCGGGGAAGTGCACAGAGCCGCAGCAGCAGTCAATACCAATTTCCACATCTGGATCAATACCATCGGATGGCTCTGTAGCTGCAAAGATTGTTTCACACGCACACTCAGAGAAAGGGAGGGCTGGGGAGAGAAAGGGAATTGGTTTTAATGATTTCATGGCTCTGAGTATTCCCTCTCTCCCTCTTTTCTCTAAAAGAAATAAATACATAAAATTAGAAACCAAATTTACGAACCTGTCAGTCCGCATCAAACCCAGCTTCTTTCTCTGACCTGTCACCAAAAGTGGCATCTAATCTAGCAAATAGCCTTATTCTTTGTGGGAGGTTACACGTGTTGAAGAAAAGAAGTGATAACACTGTCTGCAGTGATGCAATAATAAAAATGCTTTGTATTTACAGCAGGCTTCTCCTCAAGGATTTTATAGGCAGTTTCCTCAATCTACAAATAGAAAAACAAGAACCAGCAACTTGTTCACCATCACCCACCAAGAAAAAAACTGACGTATTAACTTCTATACTGTATCTATATGCATATTTGGACAACATGAGACTAAAATGTTTTCTTAGGTGCTTCCACTGCAGTCTGACTTTGTAGCTCTCAGTGATAGAGTCTCCCTCATGAGTGGGACTGGACAGCTGTTTTTCACAAGGCATAGTTGTTGGATCTGCCAAGAGAATGCAACTGCGATTGAATCAGCAAGGGAAGGGCAGGGACCTGATGCTATTAGCTTTGCTGGAAGCTTTCCCAGTAGGTCAGGGTCCCAACCATTTCTCCTCCTGGGAGCAGGCACAGCTTTGATTCTTCAGCGCCTCTGTGAGACCCCAGAACGCGCTCTGCTGCCACAGAGCCCATTAGCTCACCTATAAAGAAGGCTGACCCTCACTCAGTGTAGGAAACTCACCATCAGGATGAGCCAAACAAAGGAATAAATATGTCCCCTCTGGGCCCTGACATAATGAGGAAGCTTAATCCTCAGCTTGGTAAATGCCACAGCCACAACCGTGACCAGCTCAATCTTCAAGGCAGATCAAAGGACTTTCAGGAATGGTTCTGAACAAGTCCCAGCTGGAGGGCCAAGAGGTTTCGTGAAAGACTGACTTTTCTATATAGCAGTTATAAAAATTATCTTCCTCGGCGTCATGTCTTTCATTTTACTCTACTTTATGGTTTCACAAAGCATTCCCACATACATGATCACATATACTTTTCACAAACATTTTGTGCATTTGATCACTTGTCCATAGCTGAGGCTTGGAGAGAACATGATTACGGAAGGTAATCACTGAAGTGGCTCAGGGGATTGTGGAGCTGTGGACTGAATATTCTAGCTAGCCCCTTGAGTGTCAGGGGTGGGACAGGACCAGGGTAGCAAAGCCTCATACATCCTTTTACTCTGATGCAGTCTATTTCCACAAATAGAATCTGAATCATAGACTCCTCAACTCCGAGATGCCTGATTAAATATAGGCTGCTCTCTCCATGGACATCAGCCATCTGTGGCTGGGCTCACTGTGTCCTTCCAAGGGATCCCTACCTTCACTCTGCTGCCCATTCTCCTGGAGCACAGGCTGGATGCACTAAGTCAGCAGGGAGAGTCCTGGAAGGCAACCCATTTCTGAAATTATTATGGCTTTCCTTTAAGAGCCAGTAAATCCCCACTAAATTAGTCTTCACTGAGCAAAATTTGAGAAAAGCACAAAATGCTGAATAACCATTGAAAATGCCACTGTTATTTTGCAAAAAGTCTCCCAGCTTCACTCCCATTCTCAAACTGCCCACACTGTATTTAATTCTTCCTGATGCTTGCTTTATGTTCACCCCAATACATCCTAAATCAATTAACAGCAATTAGTTTGATTATGAAACTATAAAACCAGATATAAAAAGCTCCCATAAATCTTCCAGTAAAGCACCCAACAAAACAAAATCTGGCTAACAGCTAAATTAAGAGTTTTTGTTGTCGTTGTTGTTATTATGTAGCTCTCGCTTCAGCCTAATAAGGTTTGTTAGAAAATGTTCACTGGAACACAGGTGATTAGCAAGCGGATCTCAAAGGTTTCTGGACAGGGAAGAACCAGCAGAATGCTTTTCTCCCCGTAGTCCATTGAGTTTTCTTTAGTTTTCCAGAGGGCTTAATACCTTCTTTTGTTTTAGGTTATGATGATAACCTACTCACAATGCAAGGTAATTTGTTCTTCAGTGGGGATTATTTTTGGTCAACTACGTCAAGTCTGGTTGAGGAAATTATCATGGTTCCACATTATGAGGAAGAAGTTGCAAGGGACCACTTTTTTGGTGAAAAGAGGACCAAAAAACATAGATCCTCTACATATTACCAGATAAATGTCCAAAAGGAGTTTCCAAAATGTTTGCTTAAAAAATGCCATTTGGTACAAAAAATTAGCCAGGCGTGGTTGTGGGCACCTGTAATCCCAGCTACTCGGGAGGCTGAGGTGGGAGAATTGCTTGAACCCGGGAAGCAGAGGTTGCAGTGAGCCATGATCCCGCCACTGCACTCCAGCCTGGGTGACAGTGAGGGGCTTTGTCTCAAAAAAAAAAAAAAATGCCATTTGGCTGAGTGTGGTGGCTCATGCCTGTAATCCCCGCACTTTAGGAGGCTGAGGTAGAACAGCCACTTGAGTCCAGGAGTTTGAGACCAGCCTGGGCAACACAGAAAGACCCTGTCTCTACAATTTTTTTTTTAAAGTTAAGTGGGCATGGTAGTCTGTGCCTACAGACTGCTTGAGAGGCTGAGGCAGGAGGATCACTGGAGCCCAGAAGTTTGAGGTTACAGTGAACTATGATAGAGCCACTGCATTCCAGTGTGGGCAACAGAGCAAGATCCTGTCTTTAAAAAAATTAAAAAAAATATTACCGAGGTGTGGTAGTGCACACCTGTAGTCACAGCTACTGGGGAGGCTGAGGCAGGAGGATTGCTTAAGCCCAGGAGTTCAAGGTTTCAGTGAGCCATGAATGTGCCACTGCACTCCAGTCTGGGTGGCAGAGGGAGACCTTGTTTCTTTAAAAATAAATAAATAAATAAATAAATAAATAGCCGAGCATGGTGGCTCACACCTGTAATCCAGCACTTCAGGAGGCTGAGGCAGGAGGATGGCTTGAGTCCAGGAGTTCAAAACCAGCCTGGGCAACATGGTGAAACCCCATCTCTATGAAAAACGATGACAATTAGTCAAGCATGGTGGCAGGCACCTGTAGTCCAGCTACTTGAGAGGCTGAGGCAGGAGGATCACCTGAGCCCAGGACGGTTGAGGCTGCCATGATCATGAGTGAGCTGTGATCACGCCACTACACTCTAGACTGGGTGACAGAGTGAGACCCTGTCTCAGTAATAATGATAATAAATAAATAAATAAAAATAATACAATAAAATATTCCATTACTAAAAAATCAAAACAACAACAGAAAGAATGTCAAAGTATATCACTGGATAGCCATCACATTTAATAGTTTAGGCTGGGCACAGTCACTTACACCTGTTATCGCAGCACTTTGGGAGGCTGAGGTGAGTGGATTGCTTGAGCTCAAGAGTTCAAGACCAGCCTGGGAAATAAAGTGAGACCACGTCTCTATAAAAATTACAAAAATTAGCCAGGTGTGGTGGCTGTGGTCCCAGCTTCTAGGGAGGCTGAGGTGGGAGGATGGCTTGAGCTTGGGAGGAAGAGGTTGCAGTGAGCTGAGATCAAGCCACTGCACTTTGGCCTGGGCAACAGAGCCAGGCCCTGTCTCAAAAAAAACAAAACCAAAAAAAAAAAAAAAAAATTAAAGGTGTAGCCAAGGAGTATTTATGGTCATGTGACACTTTAGCACCAGAAAGGTCCCCCCCACCCAGGAAAGATCCACACAGGATATATTATCTGTCAGCTTCTAAAGGAACTTATGATTTTTTTTGGCATAACTGGTAATAACAGCCATACAGTTTCAGGCAGTCACTGAAACATAGCAAAACACCAAAGCAACAATTAAGAAGGAAAAGACACAGCATGTTTACAATATCTGAATTTAAAAGTGCTCTTTTCTTGGTGGTCTCTGGACTTCCTCCTACTTCCCTGAAGTTTCAGGGGAGAGAAGTAGCCAACCCTTAACATGGCATAAAAAAAAGCTCACTTGTGTAAGTTCGCTCAGTAACTGGAAGAAGGATGAATCTGCTTGGATTGATGGGCAAACGGATCTTGTTCTCAGGAAAGGAGGCAGAACTGACATTAGATATAGATAGTATCCCTCTAGGTTTTTCCTGTGTATGCCAGTTCTAATCTTCTTTCTTTAGGAACTTAGTATAGCACACTTGGTTAAGGTCATAGTGTAACATATTTGTTTTGCATTTTGTTTTCATTCACTCATTCCATGAAATTTATTGAGCGCCTACTAAATGCACAGTGCCATGTGCATAGGCGTTTATTTAATTACATCTTGCATCATTTGGCAGATTGATTCCATAATCACAGATTAGTTGGCTGGGATTCTGATTCTAATTTTGCCCACAATTTGCCGTGTGGCTGTGAGTTAGGCACCCTACCTCTGTGAGATACCTCAATTTCTTTCTCTGCATGGTGGAAATTAGAGTAACTGACAGCTGCTTAGAGATGTGTTGGAATGATTCATGTTCAAGTCAAGGTAAGGCTTGCGAAGTTCAATGATTTCATCCTCAAAAATGCCACTTTGAGATTCATGGAAGTAAAGATTCGTTTGTTTTTTTTTTAAATTTATATTGCAATAGTTACAAGTTTCTCGACTATTTTATTTATTTCTTTGTTACTGTTTTCTGATTTAATGACTGCTAGCTGGATTCCAGGGTTTCAATATCAAAGCCATTAACCTGGATCGATTGGCCAAACTTGAGGTCTTCTCTGAGAGATTTTCCGTGGCAATGTAGAGGTAAGAATTTGTATATGCCCAAAAGGTGGATGAGCACAAATTTGAGTAAGATTTGTAAGGAAACTGAATTTGAGCCTGAGCTTGAATTTGGCTTCCCAGCTTCAGTACTTGTTATGTAGTATCAGGATCATTTTATTTTTATTTGTGTAGTAGTTAACTTGCTTTGTTCTGATAGCAAACAACTGCCTCTTAATCTCAGACATCACCTTTACTCATGTACTGTGAACTGGCAAGAAATACACTAATGTATTTACCATGAAATTGGCAAATATCACCCCTAAAGGTACCTATATCTTCATGATTTCAAAATAGCCAGTTTTTTTTTTTAAGTTATTAGGTATGATAAATGTCTAACTCTCAACACCTCTGGGGCTGAGCCTGGACGGGGCAGGGCTGAGGCATGTCAGTAAAACCTTAGGTGGCTGTGAGAGAAGTCAGAGTGGGGAAGTCTTGAGGCTAATCTAGAAGTCAGTTATCTTGAGGTCACAAAGACCCCAGATCACAGGGGAAGAGACAGACTGTAAGCTTGAAGATGATAACTTGTGAAAGCCGGAAATCCTAAGCCACTTTAGCAATTCCTTTTCCTCACCATGGGACTTTCTCCAAGCCTCAGCTATGGACAGTGGTCAAATGCAAAGAATTATTGCGAGGAAGAGAATTTTCATAATTGTTGTATAGAAAAGTCGGTCTTTCACAAAACTGCTTGGCCCTCCAGCTGGGACTTGTTCAGAACCATCCCTGAAAGTCATTTGATCTGCCTTGAAGATTCAGCTGGTCATGGTTGTGGCTGTGGCATTTACCAAGCTGAGGATTAAGCTTCCCCATTATGTCAGGGCCCAGAGGGGATATATTTATTCCTTTGTTTGGCTCATTCTGATGGTGAGTTGCTATACTGAGTGAGGGTCAGCCTTTTTTGGGGGTAAGCTAATGGGCTGTGTGGCAGCAGAGCGCATTCTGGGGCCTCACAGAAGACTGCAGAGGGGAAGGTGAGAGGAAGGAGGTGCATTTGAAGCTTTGGCCACGGAGGACTTTTTAGTTCACAGTAAGTATTTTGAATGTTTTTCTTGTCATTTGGAACCCATTAGAGGGTTTAATTAGGGGAGCAATGTGACACAGAGTGGGTAGATGTGGAAGAGAGACCAGTTTGGCAGATGTTGCACTAATATCTGGAAGGAATATAGCAGTTTGCATCAGATGCTAACAATGGAGATGGTGAGAAGTAGCTACATCTGGGATATAGTTTGAAGTTTGAGTCAATCATATTTACCAATGGATTAAATGTAGTGGATGTGTGCTGGGGGGAAGAGGACATTAAGAATGACTTTAAGGGTTTTGGTTTGAGTACTCACGCCATCTACTGATGGGGAAAGTGTTGGAAGGAGCATGTTTGGAGGAGGAGGGAAGCCAAGAGTTTAGTTTGGGACCTATTAAGTTGCAGAAGGTCATTTACATATTCAAGTAGAGATGTCAAGTGGGCAAGCAGATAAATAAGTCTATTGAGCAGAGGAGCATTTGGAGCTCTATATATGAATATGGGAAGTATAAACACATAGATGATTTAGGCCTATCGTACTAGGTGAGACTACTTTGGCATGATTACAGCAAGAAGAGAAGAGGCCTGAGGAGTGAGGCTAAAGGCCTGAAGCCTATTAACCATTAGGACTCAGGAAGAGGAGGAGGAGGTAGGAAAAGAGACTGAAAAAGTAGTCTGTGATGTAAGAAGCAAAGCAGAAAATATGGGGTGGTAGAAACTAAGTGAAAAAATTTTTTCATAAAACATGATATGCTGACCTATGTCCATTGCTACTGATAGGTAAAATAAAGTGAGGCTGGGAATTGACCAATGGATTTGAAACATGGAGGCCAATGGAGATCTGTGAGGGTTAATTTTATGTGTCAACTTGACTGGCTTAAGGGCTACCCAGACGGCTGGTACAGCATTATTTCTCAATGTGTCTGTGAGGTTGTTTCCAGAAGAGACTGGCACTTGAAACAGTGAACTAAGTAAGGAAGACCCGCTCTCACCCAGTGTGGGTGGACACTGTATAATGCGCTGAAGGCCCAGATAGAACAAAAAGACAGAGGAAAGGCAAATTCTTTTCTGGAACTGGGACACACTTTTTCTCCTCCCCTTTCATATCGGAACTCCAGATTCTTTGGTCTTTGGACTGTGGGACATGCACCAGTGGCCCTCCAGGTTCTCAGGCCTTCAGTCTCAGTCTGAGAGTCACACCATTAGCTCCCCTGGTTCTGAGACCTCTGGGTATGGATTGAGCCATGATACCAGCTCACCTGTTCTCCGGCTTGCAGATGACCTATCATGGGACATCTCAGCCTTCTTAATTGCATGAGCCAATTCCCCTAATAAATCCCCTTTCGTCTATTTCTCTCCCTCTCTCTCTCCATATCCTATTGGTTTCTCTGGAGAACCCTGCCTAATAGAGATTTTGGTATCAGGAGTGGTTCTAGGGGAACAGAATTTTAAGGATGAGTTTCCTCGACTGGGTTTGAGGTTTCTGGAATTGGCTCTCCAATATGACTAGACTTAAGAATTTTAAGGATCTATTTCCAATAGTACAGAGACATTGATAGTTCATGGTGTGAATTGTTTGTACACAATCTGCATTGGGTACTCTTAATCACTTATAAAAGGCAAGGAACTTAGTGACCTTGGATATGATATTTCCAATCATTCATAGAAAACTAAGGAATATAGTGATATTGGTTGGTTGCTCCTAATGTAGCTGGATAAAGTGATGAATGAAAAGAATGTACTCAGGGATTCAAATTTCTGGATCCAGCTCCATGTGAATAACCTCTGAGACCTTCCCTGTGTGCCCTAAAGGAGAATCTTCTATCCTGTAGCCACAGGGCTGAAATTGCTGAAAATGAAACACAAGTCCTCATCATGTGATTGGTTGAGTTACAACGACAGGTGAATTATCAGCCTTGAATGGTGTCTACTGGTAAAGTGACAGCATTGGTTGGGAAAGATCCTATAAATGGGATGAGGATACTGAGAAGACCCTAATAAAGCTGGGGATATTCACCTCTTAAATTCAGATGAAGCTGGGCATGGTGGCTCACATCTGTAATCTTAGCACTTTGGGAGGCCGGGGTGGGCCAATCGCTTGAGCCCAGAAGTTCGAGACCAGCCTGGGCAACATGGCAAAACCCCATTTCTATAAGAAATACAAAAATTAGCCAGGCATGGTGGTATGTGGCTTGCAGTCCCCACTACTCAGGAGACTGAGGTGGGAGAATCACCTGAGCTTGGGAAGCTGAGGCTGCAGTGAGCTGAGATCGCACCACTACATTTCAGCCTGGGTGACAGGGTGAGATCCTGTCTCAAAAAAAATAAAATTAAGTTAAAAAAAAATCAGATAAGTCCTTTTTGCCAGTAAAGTGGCCTCCCTACCCACAATGGAAGTGGCCCCCTCAGAGGTATTGGTCTTTTCCCCACTGTCTGAGGGGAATAATCCTGCATCACCTGAGAAAACAATAATGGCCTTCCCTGAGGCAGCCGCCAACAAGACACCATGATGCTTCTCAGGACTCGCTCCCACCACCCCCCCGTTTTTGTTTTTTTTTTTTGGTTCTGGACCTATAACTCGACTTGAATCCTATCAAGCCCCTAAAGGTGAGCTACAAAGTGGGTCGCATAAGGAAGTATGCTACAGTCCCAAAGACCTTGAGTTTCTAACTTATGCCAGCAGAAATTCATGACATACGGGGAATGAATCTTAAAGGTGTGGGATAAGGGAAGGAATATAAAGCTGGATCAGGCCAAACATCTTAAGATGGCCAATTAAGCAGAGATTCTATATTTAATGTCACAGCTCAGGGAGGTAGAAGGGGCTCTAACACTTTGTTTGGTTGGCTGGCTGAAACATGGATCAAAAGATGGCCCACCATGAATTCATTTTGCTGGAAAACCCTATTACAGTAACCTTCACAAGAACAGTTTCTATAGAGTGGATTCAAGAGGTGATGGGGGATGAGGAAGTGGAGACAGAATGATGGACAATTCTTTTGAAGAGTTTTGTTGTAAAGGGGACAGAAGATTCTCTTTTAGGGCACACAGGGAAGGTCTCAGAGGTAATTTACATGGAGCTGGAGCCAGAAGAGAGGAAAGTTAGTAGAAGGAGGTAGGTATATGATTAAAGGAGAATCAATCAATTTCTTTCTTTCTTTCTTTCTTTCTTTCTTTCTTTCTTTCTTTCTTTCTTCCTTTCTCTCTCTCTCTTTCTTTCTTTCTTTCTCTCTCTTTCTTTCTTTTTTTCTTTCTTTCTTTCTTTCTTTCTTTCTTTTCTCTCTCTTTCTTTCTTTCTTTCTTTCTTTCTTTCTTTCTTTCTTTCTTTCTTTCTTTCTTTCTTTCTTTCTAGATGTTTAGCTGTTGATGAGGTGATTCAGTTAGGAAGAAGAAACGGAAGCTACAGGAGAGAGAGAGGAAATGATGGCAGGAGCAACATCCTTGCATGGGTGAGAGAGGCCCTGATCCATGGAACGGTGAGAGGGTTTGGCACAGTCACAGCCAATAAGCAATAAGGCTGGGATTTAAACCTGTCTGGCAGTAGAGCCAACAATTATAACCGCTATGTGTGCTGCCTAGATTTATAATATAAAATGCTTTTTTTTGTTTGTTTTTTTGAGACAAGGTCTCACTCTGTTGCCCATGCTAGCGTGGGACATGGAGGCTCAAGTGATCCTTCCACCTCAGCCTCCCTAGTAGCTGGGACTACAGGTGTGCACCACCACACCCAGCTAAATTTTGTATTTTTGGTAGAGACAGGGTTTCACCATGTTGCCCAGTCTGGTCTCGAACTCATGAGCTCAAGCAATCAGCCCTCACTGGCCTCCCAAACCACTGGGATTACAGGCATGAGCCACTGTGCCCAGCCAACATACTTTTAAGCAGTGAAAATCTTTTTTTCTCTTTTTAAAATATAGTCTTATATAATTCATATATAAGAGGTAAATCATGGTGGCAGGGGTGGGTGAGAGGTGGATGGAAGGCCACAAGCTTTCCAACTCTGCTCCCCTGCTCCCCCTGTGTCTCAGTCCATTCAGATGCTATAACAAAACACCATAAACTGTGTGCCTTATCAACAACAGTAATTTCACAGTTCTGGAGACAGGAAGTCTGCATGATTGGGTTCTGCTGAGGGCCCCCTTCCAGATGCAGACCGCCCACTTCTCATTGTGTTCTCACATGGCGGAATAGCTGTCTGGCCTCGTCTTATAAGGGCACTAATCCCACTCATGAGGGCTATGCCCTCATGACCTAATCACTTCCAAAAGGCCCCGCTCTAAAACCGTTGTATTGGGAACTAGTTTTCAACATGAGAAATTTGTGGAGGTGAGGGGGGTGGGGACACATTCAGTCCAAAACAACCCTTACTCCCCCAAAGCCCTTTAAACAGCTTCCCAGAACTCTGAAACTTGAAGGAATACAGTCTAAAAAGCTTCAACCTAGATAATCTTTTCTCTTAAAGTTGTATGAGTTTATAATAGGGCAACTGGATGGTCCTTAAATCTCTTCCCTGTTTAGGACACCGGCTATGTCCATCTACTCCAGCCTGTGACAACAGCCAAAGCGTAGTGGGGAAAATGAATGGAAATGTTTCCCAATATGGACTCGGGCTCCTCTCTCCCCACTCCCCCCAAAAACAAAAACCTAGGAAGTCATTTACAAAACAAGGCATCCTCAGGGAGTTGGCCATCTTGTTAGCAGTTTAGGCTTGTCTGCATGAACATCTGTTTTAATAACACATCTGTATGGTTGTAGTACTTAGCAGGATGACCTAGGTTTTGTCTTAGAGAATTTAATGGATTTTTCCTTTCTTGTTTTAAAGCCCTTTCCCTACACAATTAGTCAGTTGAAAGTGAAATCGTTCGGCTTGGTCCTGAAACAGGAGATCAATACTGTTGGACGATGCACTGTGTGGAATCCCAGGTAGCAGCCATAGCTAATGAAGCAGCGGATAAGTGATTTCACTAGTGTCTGAGCTCTGACGCCAGGAAGAAGCACAGGAATGCTGCCCAAAGGGCTGCTCTGCCAAAGAGGAGTAACAAGAGTGGTTCCTGGCTGAGAGAGATGCCCAAGCAAGGTATGGGGGAGGGTTGCACAACCAGTCTGGAAATGAGGGGAGCATTAGAGAGTCTAGGGTAGAAGTTCACATAGTTCTGGTGTCCGAGAATTGGAAGGGGTATAAAGACAATGGCTATATCTCTATAATAGCAAAACATTCCATTTGACCATTTGTTCATTTATTTGTTCAGTGAAAACTTATTGAGCACCTATTGTGTGTCAAACAATTTGTTATATATTGGAAAGATAAATATGACAAAATACTTGCCCTGAAGGAGGAAATAGTCCAGTGCGTCAGATGGAAATAAAATTGAATTTGATAATTATAAAACACTGGGGCATATCCAATGACAAAACTATCTACATGGGATATTTCTTATTCTATATTTTAATATTTTAGTCTCAATTTTTCTTAGATTAATTTCCCAAAAAAGAACTTGAAGAGTATCTCTTTGACACAGTAACAATTCTTTTTCATGTCCTTGGCATACAAGGGGTGCCACATAAGTGAATTGAAACTAGCTAGCACTTTTTATTAAATTGTTTTCACATGCATTATTTCACAAGTTCCTCAGAATAACCCTTCAAAATAGATAAGACTAAGTATTATTATCTTCACCTTCTAACTTGTGATAATAATACATGGGAAATGATGTTAATCAGCTAATTCACATTATGGCATCAATAACTAATAAGTGCATGGTGAGTAGCCAATCCAGAAATTTATGCATTTTAATACAGGTCAATATCCTTACTCAGAGGGCTGACTCAGATCTGAATTTCAGATAAGCCATCAATCACAAGCTAATATTTTGTGGGTGATGGAGGATTGCTTGGCATCCCTCAAATTATACATAAAGCCCAGTTACCATAGACAATATAGTCATGTGCTGTATAATGATATTGCAGTAAACGAC
This sequence comes from Homo sapiens, assembly GCF_000001405.40. Classification (NCBI taxonomy): domain Eukaryota; kingdom Metazoa; phylum Chordata; class Mammalia; order Primates; family Hominidae; genus Homo; species Homo sapiens. The sequence goes on along the minus strand of NC_000001.11, from coordinate 164,504,971 downwards.
AAACTGCATATAGGACAGTAATCCTGTAAGATTATAATGGAGCTGAATAATTCCTGTAGCCTAATGACACCATAGCCATTGCAACATCATGGCACAATGCATTACTCACATGTTTGTGGTGATGCTGGTGTACACAAACCTACTATGCTGTCAGTCCTATAAAAGAATAGTACATACAATTATACTATATGAAATTATACTATATGACTTTACAATAGTTCATAATACATTTTTTTTTTTGAGATGGGGTCTCACTCTGTCACCCAGGCTGGAGTGCAGTGGTGCAATCATGGCTCACTGCAACCTCAACCTCCTGGGCTCAGGTGATCCTTCCACCTCAACCTCCTGAGTAGCTGGGGCTTCTCCATGTTGTGCAGTGTGGTCTTGAACTCCTGAGCTCAAGTGATCCTCCTGCCTTGGCTTCCCAAAGTGCTGGGATTACAGGCATGAGACACCGGGTCCAGGCTAGTTCATAATACTTGATAATGATAATAAACAAAAATGTCACTGGTTTATGTATTTACTATGTCATACTTTTAATTGTTATTTCAGAGTGTATGCCCTCTAGTTATGTATATTTTAAAGTTAACTTTAAAACAGCCTCAGGCAGGTCCTTCAGGAGGTATTCCAGAAGTTGTCGTAGGACAGGACAGCTCTGTGTGTGTTACTGTCACTGAAGACTTTACAGTGGGAGAAGATATCTCCATATGATGATACCAGCCCTATTTAGACCTAGGGCAATATGTGTGTTTGTGTCTGCATTTTTAACAAAAAAAGTTTACAAAGTAAGAAAAAAAACAAAAAAAACCCAACAACTTTGTTTTAAAATAGGAAAAATATTATAGAATAAGAATATAAAGAAAAAAACGTTTTTGTACACCTGTGCAATGTGTTTGTGTTTTAAGCTAAGTATTATTACAAGAGTCAAAAAGTTAAAAAAAGTTAAAAAGCTTATAAAGTAAAAAAATGTACGGTAAGCTAAGGTAAATTTATTATTAAGAAAAGTGTTTGAAAAATATATTTATTGTAGCCTAAGTGTACAATGTTTATAAAATCTACAGTAGTGTACAGTAATGTCCTAGGCCTTCACATTTACTCACCACTCACTCACTGATTCACCCAGAACAACTTTCTGGCCTGCAAACTCCTTTCATGGTAAATGCTCTCTACACTTGTTCTATTTTTTTCTTTCTTTCATTTTTTTTTTTTTAATTATACTTTAAGTTCTGGGATACATGTGCAGAATGTGCAGGTTTGTTACATAGGTATACACGTGCCATGATGGTTTGCTGCACCCATCAACCCGTCATCTACATTAGGTATTTCTCCTAATGCTATCCCTACCCTAGCCCCTGACACCCCAACAGGCCCCGGTATGTGATGTTCCCCTCCCAGTGTCCATGCGCTTTCATGGTTCAACCACCACTTATGAGTGAGAACATGTGGTTTTTGGTTTTCTATTCCTGTGGGCATTTAGTGCTATAAATTTCCCTCTAAACACTGCATTAGCTGTGTCCCAGAGATTCTGGTACATTGTGTCTTTGTTCTCATTGGTTTCAAAGAACTTATTTATTTCTGCCTTAATTTCATTATTTACCCAGTAGTCATTCAGGAGCAGGTTTCCATGTAGTTGTGCAGTTTTGAGTGAGTTTCCTAATCCTGAGTTCTAATTTGATTGCACTGTGGTCTGAGAGACTGTTATGATTTCCGTTCTTTTACATTTGCTAAGGAGTGTTTCACTTCCAGTTATGTGGTCAATTTTAGAATAAGTGTGATGTGATGCTGAGAAGAATGTATATTCTGTTGATTTGGGGTGGAGAATTCTGTAGATGTCTATTAGGTCCATTTGGTCCAGAGCTGAGTTCAAGTCATAAATATCCTTGTTAATTTTCTGTCTTGTTGATCTGTCTAATATTGACAGTGGGGTGTTAAAGCCTCCCACTATTTTTGTATGGGAGTCTAAGTCTCTTTGTAGGTCTCTAAGAACTTGCATTATGAATCTGGGTGCTCCTGTATTGGATGCATATATATTTAGGAGAGTTAGCTCTTTTTGTTGCATTGATCCCTTTAGCGTTACATAATGCCCTTGCCTTTTTTGATCTTTACCGGTTTAAAGTCTGTTTTATCAGAGACTAGGCTTGCAACACCTGCTTTTTTTTGCTTTCCATTTGCTTGGTAAATATTCCTCCATCCCTTTATTTTGAGCCTATGTGTGTCTTTGCATGTGAGATGGGTCTCCTGAATACAGCACACTGATGGGTCTTGACTCTTTATCCACTTTGCCAGTCTGTGTCTTTTAATTGGGGCATTTAGCTCTTTTACATTGAAGGTTAATATTGTTATGTGTGAATTTGATCCTGTCATTATGATGCTAGCTGGTTATTTTGCCCGTTAGTTGATGCAGTTTCTTCATAGTGTCGATGATCTTTACAATTTGGTATGTTTTTGCAGTGGCTGGTACCGGTTTCTCCTTTCCATATTTGGTGCTTCCTTCAGGAGCTCTTGTAAGGCAGGCCTGGTGGTGACAAAATCTCTCAGCATTTGCTTGTCTGTAAAGGATTTTATTTCTCCTTCACTTATGCAGCTTAGTTTGGCTGGATATGAAATTCTGTGTTGAAAATTCTTCTCTTTAAGAATGTTGAATATTGGCCCCCATTACTCTCCTCTGGCTTATAGGGTTTCTGCAGAGAGATTTGCTGTTAGTCTGATGGGCTTCCCTTTGTGGGTAACCCAACCTTTCTCTCTGGCTTCCCTTAACATTTTTTCCTTCATTTCAACCTTGGTGAATCTGATGAGTATGTGTCTTAGGGTTGTTCTTCTCAAGGAGTGTCTTTGTGGTGTTCTCTGTACTTCCTGAATTTGAATGTTGGCCTGTCTTGCTAGGTTGGGGAAGTTCTCCTGGAGAATATCCTGAAGAGTGTTTTCCAACTTGGTTCCATTCTCCCCGTCACTTTCAGGTACACCAATCAAATGTAGGTTTGGTCTTTTCATGTAATCCCATATTTCTTGGAGACTTTGTTCATTCCTTTTTATTCTTTTTTCTCTAATCTTGTCTTATGCTTTATTTCATTAAGTTGATCTTCAATCTTTACTATCCTTTCTTCTGCTCGATCGATTCAGCTATTGATACTTGTGTGTGCTTCACAAAGTTCTCGTGCTGTGTTTTTAAGCTCCATCAGGTCATTTATGTTCTTCTCTAAAATGGTTATTCTAGCTAGCAATTCCTCTAACCTTTTGTCAAGATTCTTAGCTTCCTTGCATTGGGTTAGAACATGCACCTTTAGCTTGGAGGAGTTTGTTATTAGCCATCTTCTGAAGCCTACTTCTGTCAATTCGTCAAACTCATTCTCCATCCAGTTTTGTTCCCTTTCTGGCAAGGAGTTGTGATCCTTTGGAGGAGAAGAGGCGTTCTGGTTTTTAGAATTTTCAGCCTTTTTGCATTGGTTTTTCCTCATCCTCATGGATTTATCTACCTTTGGTCTTTGATGTTGGTGACCTTTGGATGGGGTTTTTGTGTAGACGACCTTTTTGTTGATGTTGATGCTATTCCTTTCTGTTTGTTGGTTTTCCTTCTAACAGTCAGGCCCCTCTGCTACAGGTCTGCTGGAGTTTGCTGGAGGTCCACAGCAGACCCTGTTTGCCTGGGTATCACCAGTGGAGTCTGCAGAACAGCAAAGGTTGCTACCTGTTCCTTCTTCTGGAAGCTTCAACCCAGAGGGGTACCTGCCAGATGCCAGCCAGAACTCTCCTGTATGAGGTGTCTGTTGACCCCTGCTGGGAGGTGTCTCCCAGTCAGGAGGCACAGGGGTCAGGGACCCACTTGAGGAGGCAGTCTGTCCATTAGCAGAGCTTGAGCACTGTGCTGGGAGATCAGCTGCTCTGTTCAGAGCCAGCAGGCAGGAACATTTAAGTCTGCTGAAGCTGCTCCCACAGCCACCTGTTCCTCCAGGTGCTCTGTCCCAGGGAGATGGGAGTTTTATCTATAAGCCCCTGACTGGGGCTTCTGCCTTTCTTTCAGAGATGCCCTGCCTAGAGAGGAGGAATCTAGGGAGGCAGTCTGGCTACAGTGGCTTTGAAGAGCTATGGTGGACTCTGCCCATTCAAACTTCCTGTTGGCTTTGTTTACACTGTGAGGGGAAAACCGCCTACTCAAGCCTCAGTAATGGTGGACACCCCTCCCCCCACCAAACTCCAGCATCCCAGGTTGACTTCAGACTGCCATGCTAGCAGCGAGAATTTCAAGCCAGTGGATTTTAGCTTGCTGGGTTCCGTGGGATTGGGATCCACTGAGCTAGGCCACTTGGCTCCCTGGCTTCAGCCCCCTTTCCAGGGGAGTGAACAGTTCTCTGTCACTGGCTTTCCAGGTGCCACTGGAGTATGAAAAAAACTCCTGCAGCTAACTCGGTGTCTGGCCAAATGGCTACCCAGTTTTGTGCTTGAAACCCAGGGCCCTGGTGGCGTAGGCACCCGAGGGAATCTCCTGGTCTATGAGTTGAGAAGGTGTGGGAAAAGCATAGTATCTGGACCTAAATGCACCGCTCCTCACGGCACCATCCCTCAGGGCTTCCCTTGGCTAGGGGAGGGAATTCCCTGATGTCTTGTAGTTCCCAGGTGAGGTGACACTCCACCTTGCTTCAGCTTGCCCTCTGTGGGCTGCACCCACTGTCTAACAACTCCCAATGAGATGAGCTGGGTACCTCAGTTGAACATGCAGAAATCACCCGCCTTCTGCATTGATCTTGCTGGGAGCTGCAGACCAGAACTGTTCCTATTTGGCCATCTTGCCAGCCACCTCAATCATCCCATTTTTTCTTTTATACCATATTTTTTACTGTATCTTTTCTATGTTTAGATAGGTTTAGATACACAAATAGTTATTATTGTATTACAATTGCTTGAAGTATTCAGTCCAATAACATGCTTGTACAGGTTTGTAGCCTAGTAGCAACAGGCTATACCACATAGCCTCGGTGTGTAGTAGGCTATACCATCTAGGTTTGTGTAAGTACACCCTCTGATGCTCACGCAATGAAGAAATTGCCTGATGACACATTTCTCAGAACATATCCCCATCATTAAGAAATACATGACTGGCTGGGCATGGTGGCTCATGCCTGTAATCCCAGCATTTGGGAGGCTGAGGCGGGCAGATCACCTGAGGTTGGGAGTTCAAGACCAGCCTGACCAATGTGGAGAAACCTCGTCTCTACTAAAAATACAAAACTAGCCGGGTGTGGTGGCACATGCCTGTAATCCCAGCTACTCAGGAGGCTGAGGCAGGAGAATTGCTTGAACCTGGGAGGCGGAGGTTGCAGTGAGCCAAGATCACGCCATTGCACTCCAGCCTGGGCAACAAGAGCGAAACTCCATCTCAAAAAAAAAAAAGAAATACATGACTGTACTTAATGGGCTCAAATCCAATTTTCACAAGCATATAAGAATCAGAATCCCTCTTCTTCTTTTCTTTTTTTTTTTTTGAGGTGGAGTCTCTGTCACCCAGGCTGGAGTGCAATGGCGCAATCTTGGCTCACTGTAACTTCTGCCTCCTGGGTTCAAGTGATTCTCCTGCCTCAGCCTCCCAAGTAGCTGGGATTACAGGCGCCCGCTACCACACCCAGCTAATTTTTGTGTTTTTAGTAGAGACGGGGTTTTGCCATTTTGGCCAGGCTAGTCTCGAACTCCTGACCTCACGTGATCCTCCTGCCTCGGCCTCCCAAAGTCCTCTTTGCTTTTAAGACATCATTATTCATTTTTACTTAAGAAGGCTTGGATTAAGCAATCTCTCCAAGACCATACTGCTAGGAAGTAACTGAACTGGGATTTGAAACAAGAAGTCTAACTCCATGAATGATGCTCTCTCTCTGTCTAATCCAGATCAGATTTTTAAAAAGCTGATTAGATCACCCCTGGGGACAAGATTGTGCTTGGGGTCTGGGCCTGTTTACCTTGTTATGATAAGCCCCTTAATGGCTTTGGTGTGAACTGGGAAAACACAACTAACAGTCATCCTCCCAGTGATGCTGGGCCCCAAACGCTAGCATCAGGATGTGGCATACTGCCAACAGCATTACCTCTAGAGCAGGGGCACCCAAGTGCAAATCCAAGCTCTGACTATGAACAGTGGATAACCTTGAGAGAATTAATTTATTTCTTTGTGTTCCGTAAAGCAAAATCAGAATAGGTCACCCAACTTCTACAAAGGTTATTGAAAGTATTAAATTATTTAATATACATAAAATGCTTAGATTGGTACTTTGTACAGAGTAGATGTTAGATAAAGTTTAACTACTACTACTGTTATTCTCTCTCCACTCTTTTCTCAATCCACATGTAGCACAAATATTCTCAGGAACTGCTTAGGATCATTTGCTTTAAGAGTGGCCAAGAGCTGTAGTTAGAAGTCCAGATACCAAGCTGTCTTCGCCCTATGTCTCTAAGACTAGTCCACAATGGGCAGCAAGGGCAGGAGTCAAACCCACCTGGCTGTCTCTACTCACATCCCTTTCTGTTGTACCATCAGAAGCAGTCTAGGATAGCAAATGCTTTTGAGTGGCTATGTTACCCAGCTCCCTTTAGGCAAGGATCTTACTTTTTTTAGTCCTACTGGTGGTTCTAAGGTTATATGAAATAAATAATCTAGCATTTTATTTTGTCTCATGGAATCTTGTGATATTTAGGGGTATAGGAAAGTGCCCCGACTCTCTTGTTACTTCTCCTTGTTGATCATTGATGGCTTAGGTTCTTATCAGAGGAAGGAAGGAAACTCATGGAATATTGTCCGTGGGCCAGGCATTATTCTAGGCGCTTAATGTACGTAATCTCTTTACATGTTTGTAACAACCCTATTAGGTGGACACTATTATCCCTGCTTTACTGTAAGGAAAATGAAGTTCAGGTTATACAACGTCCCCAGTCACTATGGTCACAGAGCAACTAAATAGCTGAGCTGGGATTTGAAATGACATTGATCTAACTCCGAGTATGAGGCTCTCACTCTACTTTTATGAACAAAATTTTATTTTATTACACAATTAGAACTAAACTGAAAATGCAAATGTCATAGGGAGAGGTAACACTGATATATGTTCATATTAGAGGACAATATTGCCATTAGATCTTTCCTTGAAAACAGACTGATAAGAGAGAGCCGAGGACAGAATATGCATGCCAATAAGTAACATACAGAAAGTGAGTGGAGGAGAGAAAACGGAGGAGCAAAGTGTGGAGAAGTGTATTAGTTTTCAATTGCCACTGTAACAAATTATCATGAATCTAGTGTCCTAAATGACACAAATTTATTATCTTTCAGTTCTGTAAGTCAGAAGTGCAACAGGGGTCTTGTCAGGCTAAAACCTGGTTGTTGTCAGGGCCAAGTTTCTTCCTGTAGGCTCTAGGGCAGAATTCATTTCCTTGCTCATTGAGGTGTCAGAATTGAGTTCCATGGGGTTGTAGGACTGAGGTCCCCCATTTCCTTGCTGTTTCTCCCTGATCCTTGCAAATGGCCCCTGCTTCTCAGCACCAGCAGTGAGGTGTTGAATCCTTCTCATGCTGCCAGCTTCAAACTAATTTTTTTTTTTTTTTTTGAGACAGAGCCTTACTCTGTCACCCAGGCGGGAGTGCAGTGGCACAATCTTGGCTCACTGAAACCCCTGTCTCCTGGGTTCAAGTGATTCTCCTGCTTCAGCCTACAGGGTAGCTGGGATTATAGGCCACCACGCCTGGCTAATTTTTGTATTTTCAGTAGAGATGGGTTTCACCGTGTTGGCCAGGTTGGTCTCAAACTCCTGGCCTCAAGTGATTTGCCCGACTCGGCCTCCCAAAGTGCTGGGATTACAGGTGTGGGCCACCACGTCTGGCCTCCAGATTCTTTTTTTTTTTTTTTGCCTTTGTTTGTCACATATCTGTGACCCAGCTGGAAAGGTTATCCACTTTTAAGAGCTCATGTAATTAGATTGGACCCACTCAGAAAAGCAAGAATAATCCCCCTATCTCGAGGTTCTTACCCTTAGTCACATCTGCAGTCTTTTTTTAAATGTAAGGTAATGTATTCCGGGTTCTGGGTGTTAGGGCATGGACAACTTTGTGGGGAGGCATTAATCTGCCTACTGTAACAGGAGTACCTGGGGTCACCCACAAACTGCCTGTCTCATAGCTTTGCCCTCGGTCTCCTGGTCTTGGGCAATAGGGTTTTGCTAATTCTCCCATGTTGTTCTCTTCAATGGATCTGAAAGTTCAGGATAAAGATGAAGGAGTGGGAAGCTCTGAGCTGCTAATAGACAGATCCTGACCTACCTCCAAAGGGTTTTTGGCCTACTAGCTTTCCCAGTGTCCCTTTAAAGCAATTTGTAGTCTGTTATCCTGTATCATTAACCTAATTAGTGTAATTGCACCCAATTACGTAGTCAGTGTAAATACATGAAGAATCCCACAATTAGACGATGTAATTAGGTAATTAATAGATGACGTGGGAAAAAAATCCATAGAAAGCATTCTGAAATGGACATGGCGCCTGCATGAAGCAGGCAATTTGCTAACTTCAGCATCTCAGCCAACTCCCTCTGTTCAGGAAGAGAGATCCACAAATTAATTGGAATCCAGCCATAAAACTCTTGCTCTAAAAACTCCTGCTATCTTGTATCAGATCTTTCCACCCCCAATTTTATAAATATATGGCCAGGTTCTCTCTCTATGCTGCTCTTGGGAAGAGAAACTTCTCCCACGGAGCTGAGTAGGATAAAAAAATCTGGTTCAGTGTAAACCAGATTTGATACTATGTCTATAGATAGAATGAGACTGTCATTAAGGCCATGTCTGTATGACTGAAATAACCAGACTGCACCAGAGACAGAGCTGGGCTGCTTAGTTGACAGTCTTACCAGCTGATTCACATGGAGGCAAAGTCTGTCTGAACATAGGCACATATTTCTTCAGCAGACGCTACGGATCTTGGGAGCTCATGCAGAAAGAGGGTTGGTCCAAATGTCCTGCCAATTCCTTCTCCAAATATAACTTCAGTTTACCCACTTGTTTCTGCCTCTGTGGTCATGCCCCTAGGTCCAGCCATTGGTGGGTTTCTCACTTGATCTATAGTAGCAGCATCCTGACTGTTCTCCTTGCATTTATTCTTACCCTTTTTCCAATCTATTCTCCTCCAGAGCCAGAGAGGTCTTAAGATCACTTCAATCTGTTGCTTAAAACTTTTTTTATGAGAAAACCTATGTCCTTTTTTTTTTTTTTTTTTGAGATGGAGTCTCGCTCTGTTGCCCAAGCTGGAGTGCAGTGGCATGATCTCTGCTCACTGCAACCTCCACCTCCTGGGTTCAAGCGATTCTCCTGCCTCAGTCTCCCAAGTAGCTGGGACTACAGGCGTGCACCACCACACCCTGCTAATTTTTGTATTTTTAGTAGAGACAGGGTTTCACCATATTGGTCAGGCTGGTCTCAAACTCCTGACCTTGTGATCCGCCCGCCTCGGCCTCTGAAAGTGCTGGGATTACAGGAGTGAGCCACCGTGCCCGGCTTTTTTTTTTTAGACATCTTGCTCTGTCGCCCAGGCTGGAGTGCAGTGGCGCGATCTCTGCTCACTGCAAATTCCACCTCCTGGGTTCAAGTGATTCTCCTGCCCCTGCCTTCGAGTAGCTGGGATTACAGGCATGTGCAACCACACCCAGCTAATTTTTGTATTTTTAGTACAGACAGGGTTTCGCCATGTTGGCCAGTCTGGTCTCGAACTCTTGATCTCAGGTGATCCGCCTGCCTCGGCCTCCCAAAGTGCTGGGATTACAGGCGTGAGCCACTGTGCCCGGCCTACCCCTTGTCTTTTACTGCCTAAATCCATTCATTCTCTGGGCCCATAATTTCTTAGAGAAACTTTCTTTTTTTTTCTTTTTGAGACGGAGTTTCGCTCTTGTTGCCCAGGCTGGAGTACAACGGCACTATCTCGGCTCACCGCAACCTCGACCCCCTGGGTTCAAGTGATTCTCCTGCCTCAGCCTCCCAAGTAGCTGGGATTACAGTCATGCACCACCACACCCGGCTAATTTTGTTTTTTTTTTAGTAGAGACAGGGTTTATCCATGTCGGTCAGGCTAGTCCCGAACTCCTGACCTCAGGTGATCTGCCTGCCTCGGCCTCCCAAGTGCTGGGATTACAGGCGTGAGCCACCGCGCCTGGCCGTCCTTAGAGAAACTTTCTATCATCTCTTAAATTAAAACATTTCCTCATTACAATCTCCCATAACACATTTTACCTTTTCTTTCTGATTCATCACAATCTGTAATTCTGCATTTATTATCTACAATATTATTTTATGATCTGTGCCATTCACTAGATTATAAACTTCTTGAAGACAACTGTATGTTTGTTTTGTTCACCACTGAATCCCCATTATCTAGCACATAGTAGAAACTCTATAAATATTTGTGGAATGAATATTATGTTGAAAGTGGGAGAAAGTTATCATATCAATAGCAGGGGTCAGTCCAAGCCAGCAGAGTGAGAAGCTAAAAGGGTGCTCAGCTTCACAGACACAAACGAATAGCAACTGCAAGGTAGACTTATCCACTGAGCTGTGAGCACTGTCTCCACCTCATAAAAACAGCCTGAAACACTTGCTGTTTACATGCATTCCTTAGAGAAACATACTTGGAGAGAGAAGTCAGCTCCTTCCTCTCCTTCCAAATTTGGTTATAGAGTGAAAGACATGATCAAGTCTAAAATTTATAAATTGACCATAATAGGTTATTAACAAGGATCAAATTAGTAAATCTGCTAATTATGGCCATCTTGTTGGCCAACAGCTCCTGTGGAACGTGTTGCCTGGGCTCTGGAGCTATTACACAGCCGACTGAAACCAGTAAGAGAACATCTAACTTCTCCTCATTTACAGTTGTAATCAGACTTTGTCTTTTTTTCCCTCTTCTTTTAATTTTAGCTTCTTCCTTAGAGAGAGAAACCTATGCAGGTTTTGCTGTTGACCAAATGCAGACACATTACTAAATTGATTTTTACCTTTTGCCTTGCATTATACATCCTAGAAAAAACTAGCGGGGAGGTTGAGATAATACTTCATCTGGTGATGAAGAATCAGGTATGGGTTAGTCCTCATTATAAACAAACAGAAGGGTCAAAAAAAAAAAAAAGAATGAATGCTCTTTGTGGAAAGGTTATTCAAGGCACAAAAAGTAGTCAGTTTCTCTGTTTCCAAACTCAACCAAGCAAATCAAATGCAACATCAATTGGATTTTCTCTTTTTATTAGTTGAGTGCTATTGAATTTATAGTCATTTCTCTGATAAGCACTTGATCGTTCTGTAATAATTTCACTCATTCACTTATTTAATCTTTAACAAATATTTATTGAACACCTTCTACTTACTTGGGACTTTACTAGTCACTTGAAATGCATGAAATTCTCTTCTTAGCAATATGTCTTCTCTCCACGAAACCAGACCTCTGGGTCAGCTTTCCAAGAGCATTAAGAACCAAGACCATTTTCAGGAAGATAGATGGCTACATCTGGATTTACAATCTGGGCCAGAGAATACAGATGGCAAGTCTACTGGATTGGTATGACCAAGACAGATGCAGCCCCTCTCCTGCAGAACAGTCTAGCTAACAAAATAGGCCGCAAGTAATTCTAGTCCAGTGTAATGAGTATTACGCTAGGGGAAGCACAAGGTGCATGATAACATGTTTTAGGGAAATCTGACCTAGTCTAGGGCCTCAGGAAAGGCCTCTTGGAAAAACTGATATTTAAGCTGAGATTTACAAGAAGGGTAGGAGTGCAAGGTAAGGGATTGCCTGATATAATAGTGATTGCATATATATATGTATATTGTGTATATATATATATATACACACACACACACACACACACTTTTTTTGAGCAGAGGTGGGGAATATATGTTCAGTGAGAGTGATATTGTCATTGGGAAGGATGTTTAAGGATGTTCACAGACCTGAAGGTGAGAGGGTACATGGCATATTCATTGGATTGAATGGAAGAAGAGAAATATGACTGGATCATAGAGTTTTAGAGAATGAGTGCCTTTCCCCTGTCCCCAACAGGAGGCAGCTTCTTGGGGACAAAAAAGTTCCTATTTTGCATTTTATATGTAAACTGTGAAAAATACGTTGAGGAAGCTTTTTAGTGAATGTCCAAATGACTCAAGGCTATTCTGTGTGGTTTTTTAAAGAAGTTGAATTATGGAAGGAGGGTGCTGTAAGAAATTTCAAATGAGAATGATGGAGGGAAGCCTGTTACTCTCTGGCTTCTTCTACCAACCTGCCTTCTCCCTGCAAATCCATATCTCTGGGTCAGTCTCCCAAGGGCTGGAGTAACCAGCACCATTTTCAGGGAGATAGATGGCTACATCTGGGTTTATTGCCTGCACCAACAGGACACAGATAGTATGTCTGTTGGATTGGGCTGGCCAACCTCCACAGTGTGAGGCAGCATCAATGGCTCCAGTGGGATACCTACAGGCATATATATCGATCATAAATAATGTCTTAATGTCCTATAGTAGGTCATAAATCAAAGAGATTTCAAAATATCTTTCTCTCCGGTTTGTTCCAATGGGCTGCATTCTGGCTTGGAACTTTTCTTTTTAGGGTTAGAGCATGACCTGGCCCTCTTGCCCACTGCAGTTCAAATCCTTTTCTTAACCTCTGCTTCCACAGGGCTGGAGAGCTTATTATAACCATCTCTGTCTCTGTGCACACATCACTGGAATAACCAGAGTTGCAGAGCCTTCATATTTTGTCCCGTCAATACTTCATAAATACCCTGGTGGCTATTTGATGGGCTGCACTATTGTTTGCAAGTAAACTATTTTCCTCACTTTTAACATTAAGTATTACACAGATTTACAGAGTTTGAAAGAGCCTTATAGTTTATTAAATTTATCCCCTTCTTTGATCAACTGAAGCAGGAAAGAGAAAATGAGTTGCTCCAGCATATCCAGGCCTTTAAGAAGGAGTGACCCACCTGATTGGAGTTTGGAAGAAGGAACTAGTTATGCTTGGTTTAGTCCCTACTGAGTGGGTGTATTCTAGTTGGCTCTCTCATCATGGAGTGGGCTTCTTGGGATGAGCTGTGCCTCTGCAGGAGATGAGGAGGGGGCCTGAGGTTATCCATCTACCTGTGATTTGATGGGTAGGTTTAATTTCAGGATAAAATTCCAACTCATGTCCTTCAATCCAGCCTTTTATAAAGTTGATGTTTGATCCCCATCTGTCTAATTCCTGGGTCTATCTCTTACTGGTTCCAAAATCAGAAGGGAAAGAGGAATATTATTCCCTGGATACTCCTAAAACTCTACAAAGCGACTCTCTTTAACATTGGTGATCACATTAACATGCTGATCTTTATAACCTATCATTGCCGTGGCTTCAGCCACTGTTCCGACCCCTGTCCCTGACTCTAGCCCCACCACCACACTATCAGAGTGAGAGTTGCAAAAGAGGCAGATCCGTTTCCGGAGCGATTTAATGACTTTCCAGAAGTTCTTTTGAATTCCTGATTGTCTAGAGTTCCTGACATTTTACCATTGGTGATTCGTTATTTACATATCCTACATTTGTTTTCAGAAGGAATTTTCTTTTCTTTCTTTTCTTCTTTTTTTTTTGAGACAGAGTCTTGCTCTGTCATCCATGCTGGAATGCAGTGGCATGATCTCGGCTCACTGCAACCTCTGCCTCCCAGGTTCAAGCAATTCTCTGCTTCAGCCTCCTGAGTAGCTGGGATTGCAGGCACCCACCACCATGCCCAGCTAATTTTTTGTTTAGTAGAGACAGGGTTTCACCATGTTGGCCAGGCTGGTCTCGAACTCCTGATGCCATGATCCAGCCGCCTTGGCCTCCCAAAGTGCTGGGATTACAGTCATGAGCCACTGTGTTCACCCAGACTTTTCTTGATGCATATATTTTATCTGGCATCTTCATGTAGAATATTAGAGACGAAGAAGGATGGGTTTGGATTCAGATAGAAAAGATTTCAAATGTGATTCTCAGGTTCCTCACCTGAAAAATGGGTATGTGTCAACCAAAATAGGTCAGGCTATACTACAACAAAAAGGAACTCTATCATCTCTCTGGCTTAACACAACAAAGATTTATTTTTAATTCACACAAAGTTTGCAATTATCCTCTATGTGAAATTATTTTGCAGCAATACCATTTGGAAAAGTAGTCCCCTAAGTCATTATGGCAGAGGAAGGGGGAACTGTAGATTTGAGCACTGACAATTAAACACAAAAGTGAGACATGTCACTTCTGCTCACCTTTCTTTGTCCGTAACTAGTAACATGGCTGTGCCTAACTGCAAGGGAATGAGAAATTTTAGGCCTTTCTGTACAGAAGCTAGAGGACAACCAGATATTGGTGAAAATTAAGAATGCCACAGAAGAATAATTATATTTGTCCTATAAGATTGTTGTGGGAGTTAAATGGGATAATGTATGTATAATTGATGACACCTGCTGAGTGTCCTGTAAACTTTACCTAAATTTATGTAGCAGGGAAAGGTAGCAGCAGAGACTGCAAAGCCACACTGGAAGTTTTGGGAATCCAGAAAGGGTTGCATAAGTGACCTGAGTGCTCATGTATTTCACAGAAGGTAGGAAAGAGGCACATTGTCTTCACTTTATTCTTCTTCTCAGCCCCAGTTACCCCTCTTGGGCAATACAACACATTATGCTATGTGCACAAGCTGACCAAACCTCATTAGATGGTGAGGGACAGAGAGGACAATGAAATCTATGAATATGTTCTCCGTGTTTAGCACCATTCATATTGCATCACATCTATTTTCTTACCTAATCTTAACAGTGCTGTAAAAGAAGTTATATTTACCTTTGTTTTGCAGGTGAGGAAGCCACCTCTTACCTGCAAGGTAATGGGAATGTTAAGTTACCTTCTCATGTTCTGACAAGGGAGAGCTAATAAGTGTTGGAGCTGGGTTTCAATCCAGGCATCTCAGACTCCAAGGCTTTTAATTTTCCCACCATCCCAGGCTAGGCTGCCTCTCTCCACTCTGCCATCCTTAGCATAGCGCCTAGCACACACCAGTATGTGCTTGTGAAAGAGAGGTTACACAGTCAAACTCGGCCAACCTCAGTTCTGGAAGAAGCAAACTTTTTAGTTGTGCCCAGGACCATCCTGACAAGAGATGGCCATGGTTGTGTTTGGTTTGATGAGAAAACCTGACTTAATCATAGAACTCATTAACCAGAGGTTTTACATGTATGCTAATAATTACTCTTCTCAAGTTGGAAAACAGGGACTCTGAGAAGAAATGTGCAAAAACCTGGAATAAAACTTAGAACCCTTCATTCAATATATGCAGCTACTTTTGCCAAAGCTTTTCATTCCACAGCTTCTTTATGGGACAAACGGAGCTCAAAGTCGGCTTTATCTGATTACCATCCCTTTCCCCAATGACTTATTTTACCTTTGGCACTGGCGATATTTGTGGCTCTCTCCTTCCTGGTTCTTTTTTTTTTTTTTTTTTTTTTTTTTTTGAGACAGAGTCTTGCTCTGTAGCCCAGGCTGGAGTACAGTGGTGCCATCTTGGCTCACTGCAAGCTCCCCCTCCCCGGTTCACGCCATTCTCCAGCCTCAGCCTCTGGAGTAGCTGGAACTACAGGTGCCCGCCACCACACCCGGCTAATTTTTTGTATTTTTAGTAGAGATGGGGTTTCACCATGTTAGCCAGGATGGTCTCGATCTCTTGACCTTGTGATCCGCCCGCCTCAGCCTCCCAAAGTGCTAGGATTACAGGCGTGAGCCACCACGCCCGGCTCCTTCTCAGTTTTTAGGTCTCAGTTTAAATGTCATTTTTGCAGAAAGGCCTTTTCTGACCCCCTTTTAAAATGGGTCTCCTTTATTCCTTCTCAGAGGCTGAAAAACAACAGGTTATAGTCAGGCTGGCCTGCATTTGGGCCCACTCCTAACATTGCTAGCTTTGAGAACTTGGCCAATTATTTAAATTTTTCTGTTCCTTAATTTCTTCATCTGTAAAATGGAGAAGGCAGTAGCACATATTTCTTAAAATTGTAGGGGTATTCCTGTGAATTCACTTGGGGAAAAAAAAAGAAAAAAAAAGGATTGTAGGTTTGGTGAGTGTGATGGTTAACACTGAGTGTCAACTTGATTGGATTGAAGGATGCAAAGTATCAATCCTTGGTGTGTCTGTGTGGGTGTTGCCAAAGGAGATTAACATTTGAGTCAGTGGGCTGGGAATGGCAGACCCACCCTCAATCTGGATGGGCACCATCTAATCAGCTGCCAGCAGGGCCAGGATATAAAGCAGGCAGAAAAACGTGAAAACGCTAGACTGGCTTAGCCTCCCAGCCTACATCTTTCTCTTGTGCTGGTTGCTTCCTGACCTCAAACATCAGACTCCAGGTTCTTCAGCTTTGGGACACGGACTGGCTTCCTTGCTCCTCAGCTTGCAGACAGCCTATTGCGGAACCTTGTGATGTGTGAGTTAATACTACTTAATAAACTCCCCTTTATATATATATATATATATCCTATTACTTCTGTCTCTCTAGAGAACCCTGACTAGTACAGTGAGGATTAAATGAGTTGATACAAACTTCTTAAAACATTTGGTGGTTCATGGATCATTCAATAAGTGTTAGCTATTATTATTAACAAAATACTATGTTTATTTCCATCCCAATGTTTATCATAAGCTATTAGTTTATTTGTTTAGTTATTTAAGTGCCCTGAAGCAGAGACTTTATCTTATTTATCATTGCATCTTCAGTATCTGGTACAACACCTGGCTCGTATGTACTGAATAAATGTTTCTAGAATGAATAAGTGAATAACATGCTAGAAACCATGTGAAGGATGGCCACAAAGATGATTTAGATGTTGTCCCTGACCTTTAGGAACTTACAGATTAGTGAGGAGATAAGTAAAGAAATAACTCAATACTGAGCTGAATGTAATTGGTGTTTGCGGTGGTGAATTTTGGATGTCAACTTGACTAGATTAAGGGATACCTATATAGCTGGTAAAGCATTATTTCTGGGTGTGTCTCTAAGAGTGTTTCTGGAGTAAATTGGCATGTGAGTTTTTGGACTAAATGGAAAAGATCTGCTCTCAATGTGAGTGGATATCATTCAATCAACTAGGGGATCAGATAGAACAAAAAGACAGAGGGACAGTGAATTAATTCTTTCTCCCTCTTGGTGCTGGGACAACCTTCTTCTCCTGTACTTGGATATCAGAACTCCAGGTTCTCTGACTTTTGGACTCTGGGACCTGCATTCCTGGTTCTCCTAAGTACTCAGTCCCCTTTGTCCTCAGACTAAGAATTACATCATTAGCTTCCCTGACTCTGATACTTTTGGACTTGGATTGAGACACACTCCCAACATGCCTGAGTCTCTAGCTGTCATGGCCTGTCAGCTTCCATAATCATGTCAGCCAATTCTCCTAGTAAATCTTTTATTTCTATTTATCTATCTGGCAGGGCCCAATGGCTCACACCTGTAATCCCAGCACTTTGGGAGGCTGAGGCAGGTGGATCATCTGAGGTCAGGAGTTCGAGACCAACCTGGCCAACATGGTGAAACCCCATCTCTTCTAAAATACAAAAATAAGCTGAGCGTGGTGGTGCACACCTGTAGTCCCAACTACTTGGGAGGCTGAGGCAGGAGGATCACTTGAACCTGGGAGACGGAGACTGTAGTGAGCTGAGATCATGCCAGTGCACTCCAGCCTGGGCGACAGAGAGAGACTTTGTCTCAAAAAATAAAATAAAATAAAAATCAATCTATCTATCTATCTATCTATCTATCTATCTATCTATCTATCTATCTATCTTATGGATCTTATTGGTTTTATCTCTCTGGAGAACCCTGACTAATACAGGTTGTATACCTTATCTGAAATGCTCTGGACCAGAAGTATTTTGAATTTTGAACTTTTTTGGATTTTGAAATATTTGCATATACATAATGAGATATCTTGAAGATGAGACCCTTAAGTCCAAACACAAAATTAATTTATGTTTCATAAACACCTTATTTTAACTATTTTGTACATGTGACCAAGTTTTGACTCTCTTTTGACTATAACCCATCATGAGGTCAGGTGTGGAATTTTCCACTTGTGGAGTCATGTTGCACTCACAAAGTTTCAGATTTTGGAGCATTTCGGGTTTTCAGATGAGAGTTGCTCAACCTGTACAGTGTTTTTAAACAGTGAAACACAAGGTGTGAGGATGGTGGGTCAGCAGATGGAGGAAGCCAGTCTGTTGGCATGTCTATGAATGCTCCCGAGAGGCCTTTATCATGGAAGCTGGTATAATTCACATTTTAATGGCATTTCCAGTTTATATATCCAGAACAGATAGATGAATAAAAAGCAGATCAGCTGCTTTTAAAATAGAATTTGTTGTAAGTTTTCCTAGTCTTTTTTCCACTTAGAAAGATTACAAATAGGTGCATCTTGTGGCTCTGATCACACATATCCAGGAAAAACATTCAGTTCCACTTTACTCTGGCTAGGAAGAGCCTATCTCTCCACTCAAGGGTAGCTGCATTGGGATTTTTTCCTTGTCCACAGTCTAATATCCATGAGGCTGTCTGCTTTCTTTATGTGATGGAGCTCTTGAGCCATTTTAATCTGAATGTTCACGTTAGCCTCCAAAATTATGAATAAGAAATACATTTAGGGGTCTGTTTTGGAAACAAACAACAATAACACAACCTGTCTATATTTTCTGAACTTCCTCAGCTGGTTGTTTTTCAAAACATAGGGCTTCACATTATGCCTAATCCCAAATTGCCAGAATGGTTAAAAATAGCAGACATATTTAAAGGTTGCTATACTTGAGAAACTCTTAGGGGGTTCCAAATTCTTTATATGTCTGGGAAGCAGCCCCATACATAGAAAACGATAGGATGTCTGTGTCTTTCTCTGCATCCTGCTGTCTGTGCATCTGGGAGCAGCTCTGGGATGGTGTTGCCAGACAAGAGAAGGCACTGTTTGTACCTGCAGTTGGCAGGTAAAGGTGGAGACACCCAGTGAGGCTGATGCCATTTGTCCTTTGGTTCTTACTTTACTCTGTTGCCTTGGCAACTGCCATGGAAGGAGAAACTTCTGGAACATAGAAAGCTTAGAATGCTCTCATCAAGATTGTTCATGGTTCTCTGGCTAAGGGCCCTCTTTTAAAAGAGTGGCTTCATTTTTCTTCACAATCGCTTGGTAATTTCCTACTCTGTCCCAATGCAAAAATCTCTTTTTTTCTTTCTTTTCTTTTTTTTCTTTTTTTTGCGGCAGGTGGGGCAGAACTTCCATCCTGCTGAGAGTTCTCCAGAGGGAGCATGTACCCCAGGGAGTCTCTGAAATCACAAGCATTTAGAGGAAAATTGAAGCTCTGTGGAATTTCAATCTGCCTTCCTTAAAAAGGCACATAGTTTTAAATCATTGCTCCATTAAGTCTTTTGTATTCCCCAGTTAGTTAGTACTTTCTGTGTTTCCTTTTTCCTTTCTTTCTTTTTTTTTTTCCTTTAGCTTTTCTGCTATTCTGTTATAAGTCTCTTCTCATGTGTCCCACGACTCCCAGGGAGCTGACAGTTTCCTACTTTAACTCTGTAGAGATTATACTCGGTCCGGCAGGTGTGACCCAGTGGTTTCAGGGAGTGCCACCAAAGGGACGTGAAGAGCGCCTTCACTGCCCAGGACCCTTGTCTGGAAGACATTTCCTTCCTAGAGCAAGTCCCTACAATCATAGAGCAGTTACACAAGAATTCCGAGCCCCTGACTTCTGTATCTGTGCTGTTTATATTGAGGTGACCTGAAAGTATTTCCTGCCAAAGTGAAAATTCCAGGATGAGAAGGGGTTCTAGAACTCTACAAGAGGGAGGAAGAGTTCAGGCTCCAGTGTCATGTTCTTCCAGGAGTCTAGGTAAAGACAGGTGACAGGCAGAGATCATTGAATCTGAGAGGAATGCTTGGTCTTTGTAGGCAGTTTTGCTAAACATACAGGAGGCACTCTAGGGGATATTTAGTATAATTAATTTATTTTACAATATGAGGAAACTAAATCCTAGAGCATGGAAAAGCTTAACCAAAGTCATGTAACCAAATTACATATCCAAGACTAAGCTAGATTTCCTAAGACTCCAGCCAGTGTTTATACTGAATATTAATGTATTTTTCTGGAAGATCATTGTTTTAATGGAACAGTTTATATGGACATTATAGGACTGTTTTGGTAGTTTCAGTACCATTAAACATTCTTGATTAAAGAAAAAGAACTGGCCAGATGCAGTGGCTCATGCCTGTAATCCCAGCACTTTGGGAGGCTGAGGCAGGTGGATCACTTGAGGTTAAGAGTTCAAGACCAGCCTGGCCAACATGGTGAAACCCTGTCTCTACTATAAATACAAACATTAGTGGGGTGTGGTAACAGGCACCTGTAATCCCAGCTACTTGGGAGGCTGAGGCAGGAGAGTTGCTTGAACCCAGGAGGTGGAGGTGGCAGTGAGCTGGGATCGTGCACTGCACTCCAGCTTGGGCAACAGACTGAGACTCCATCTCAAAAAAACCAAAAAAAAAAAAAAAAAAAAAAACAAAAAAAAAACAAAAAACAAAAAGAAAAAGAGAAAAAAAATTACAATGTCACTGGAAGAGGACAATGTACTGAGTAATAATTTGTGTGAACCTTATTCTCTATGGAACAATGTTCACTCATTCGTTTTTGTCACCAAATATTTAATAAACACCCTAAAGTGTACAAGGAACTGGGAGAGAGAGATGAACAAGATAAGGTGCTCAGTATTTCAGAAGCAGAAGCTTATGAAAGTTTTATACAGGAGACATTATTGGAGAAGCATATTTAAAAAGGAGCTCCAAGTAGAGTTAGAACACAAGCTTCTTTACATGCAATGGCACATAAAGCTAGATGGCAGTGGTTTTGTGTTTCTTTATTAATAAGTTTATAAGCCTGGTTTAAGTGGGCATACCAGACATAACCTAGCATAACTTCTGCAAAGGCTTTTTAACTCATCCTTCAGAGACTCCTCATCAATAAATTGGAAAACAAAATTTAGGCCAAACAATTATGAGGTGGGCAAAGAGTAAACTTTAAGATTAAGTTGATCATTGTCTATCAATGTAAATTTAATAAGCATTTATTTCACAGAAAAATAAAATAGGAGGGATCAGCGGACTATACTCCCTGTATAGCAAACTATACTTGCTGATGGCCAAATTTATCCCTCACTTATTTTTGTAGATAAAGTTTTATTGGAACACTGCCATGGACATTTGTTTACATATTGTCTATGGCTACTTTTGCACTATAATGGTGGAGTTGAATAATTTTGACAGAGACTGTAAGGCCTGTAGAGTCTAAAATATTTACTATCAGGCCCTTTCCAGAAAAAGTTGTCCAACCCTTGGAATATTGCTTGATGAAAAAGTTCACAGTGCAGTCCACTTTGTGTGAGATGGGTTGCTGACTTATTGTTCCAGTAAAAATAGTTAGTGGATTGGAAGAATATCCCCAGCAAATGAATAAAATTCAGTAGAGACAGGGGCAGAGTATTAAATCTAGGAGAAAAAAAGTAACTGTATAAATGAGTATCAGAAGGACTAATTTTGTATAACTGAGAAAAGATGGAGTAGTTATTAAAGAAAGCTAGCCAGTTTACCCTGGGACAGCACTGTAAAGCAGGATAGTTCTATAGATAAGCAGGAGCTATCAATTACAATAATTGGTTAACATTTATTGGGACCTTACTTGTATGTGGTGATATTTTGAGTGCTTTACATATGTTATCTCAGCTAATCCTAACAAAAATGTGATTGATTACAAGGCACATTTTAGACAGGAAGATACTAAGGCTGGGATAAAGGAAGTGCCCAAGGTCACACAGCAACTAGGATGTAGGTCCAAGACTTGAAGTTGGCCAGGATAATTCCAGAAGTCAAATTTTTAACCAGTATGCAATATTGCTGCTCTATAATAAATCCCTATTTATTAAGCAGGCATGACCTAATGAGAAGAATGGTAAGTATACAATATGAGAAAAGAGGGTAATTAATCCAACAATAGAGGCAAATTGCATAGGATAGCCTAAATATCTTTAGGAATTATTCCAACTTGCTAAACTCTTACAACTAAGAAAACTTGATGTTTTGAATTTTGGTGGAAAGGAAAAAAAAATCTAATTAGTTAGTGAAATTCTCAACTTATTCAACAAGGTGATAGTCCTGATAGAATAAGCAGAATGGAACCCATCTGTTTTCTGCAAATCTTCAGGGACACAGGGAATATTCGTTATTGAAGCACTTCTTATCCATGTCTGCCACTCTTTCCCTAAGTAGAAAATGGTGTGGGGTTCATTCGGAGAGTATTCAGGTTGAGGGAAATGAGTCTCTGTCTCTGTCTTAGGTCAGGTTCCTTGGGAAGCAGACTCTGAGATGGAGATGTGCATGCAGCAGACTTATTGGGAAGAGCTGTCAAGTTCAATATCTGTAAGAGAGTGAGGAAGAAAGAAGGCAAACGGAGAAGCTGAACTACCGTGAGACCCCAGCCTATCTCAGAGGGAGTATGCACTGGAATAACTTTTCAGAGTGATCCTAAATCAAGGCAAGGAGGCTGGGCCTATGTACAACCACACTAAACAGACATTAGATATGTGCTCTTTCCAGGGATGGGCATAACTATTTTTTTTTTTTTGAGACAGTTTTGCTCTGTCACCCAGGCTGGAGTGCAATGGTGCGATCTCGGCTCACTGCAACCTCTGTCCCCTGGATTCAAATGATTCTCCCACCTCAGCCTCCTGAGTAGTTGGGATTACAGGCGTGTACCACCACACCTGGCTAATTGTTATATTTTTGGTAGAGATGGGGTTTCACCATGTTGTTTGGCCAGGCTGGTCTCGAACTCCTGACCTCAGGTGATCCGGAGGGGCATAATTTTGGCCAAGGACAACTCCCAAAGAGGGGCTCAGCTATGCATCATAAGCAGGCATCTCTCCTTGAGCCTGGGGCAGTCAGCCTTCTTCCTCAGGAGGATCTGAGACGCACATCACAGTATCCACCACAGTATCTTATCCATTTTATTTTCTCCCTCAAACCCTGGGTTGAAAACTTCAGGGAGACATCAATGAAGAGTTCATAAAAATCACCTCATAAGTACTCTATTCTGAAGTTCCTCTTACATAAAAGAGCATAATATCTTAGGATTTTGCAGCCCTATGAGATGCTTGTGGCCTCCCATGGCTTTCCATTTTTAATCCTATTCTTCTGTCTCTCACCTTTGGTGTGTGGGCATAGTATGTCAAACAAATGATTGAGGGTCTGGGTATGGTGGCTCATGTCTATAATCCCAGCTTTTTGGGAGGCTGAGGTGGGAAGATCGCTTGAGGCCAGGAATTCAAGACCAGCCTGGGCAACATGGCAAAACTCCCATCTCTATAAAAAATACAAAAATTATTTGGGCATAGTGGTGCACGTCTGTAGTCTTAGCTACTCTGGAGGCTCAGGTGGGAAGATTGCTTGAGCCCACGAGTTTGAGGCTGCTGTGAGCGGTGATTACACCACTGCACTCCAGTCTGGGTGACAGAGTGAGAACTTGTGTCAAAAAAAAAAAAAAAAAGAGGGACATGATGGGGTGAGATGATTTCAAGGTGTTGCATGTTCTGGAAAGTTCCTGTGTTAGGTGTGAAATTGAAGTCAATCTCCAAAGGCCCATTACCCTCATAAGACTTGGATTTAAGATTTCAGGAATGCCTTTTACATTGAAATGACCTAGTTGCCATCTCTACCTGGGAGGATTCAGTGTGGGTATGTAAGGGCTTGGGAGACTGGTTGGGGAAAGTAAATTAAATAGATTTTCAAGATTTCTTAATCTCAGAATTTATCTTGAGGCTAAAATCTTGAACATAGTTAAAAAAAATCAATGATGTTGTCTGAATTTTCCCCTTCATAGTTACCTCAATCAGTTTGACATCTACTGAGTCTGACCCACTGGAACATATAGCATGCTTTCATTGGGTAGATCATCAGATCTTTGCATCTAACCTGCCATGGCACACATGCTGGGAAGAGCATTCATTTACAAAAAGTTCGTGACAGAGAATAGTCTGTCATAGACTTTGTTTGGACAATGAAAGGATAGTATCTATGAATACAGTCATGCATTACTTAATGATGAGGATATGTTCTGAGACAGGTGTCATTGTGCCAACATCATAGAATGTACTTACACTAACCTAGATGGTATAGCCTACCACACCTAAGCTATATGGTGTAGCCTGTTACTCCTAGGCTATAAACCTGTACATCATGTAACTGTACTGAATACTGTAGGCAATTGTAACACAGTGATAAGTATTTGTGTATCTAAACCTATCTAAACACAGAAAAGGAACAGTAAAAATATGGTATAAAAGATAAAAATGGTACACCTGCAGAGGGCAGTTACCTTAAATGGAGACTGCAGGGCTGGAAGTTGCTCTGGGTGAGTCAGTGGTGAGTGAGTGTGAAGGCCTAGGATATTACTGCACACTGCTGTAGACTTTATGTACACTGTATTCTTAGGCAACACTAAATTTATATAAAAAATTTTCTTTCTTCACTAATAAATTAAGCTCAGTTTACTGTAACTTTTTAACTTTGTAATTTTTTTAATTTTAAAAACTTTTGGCTTTTGTAATATCACTTAGCTTAAAACATAAATACAATGTACAAAAATTTTTCTATAAAAATATTTTCTTTCTTTATATCTTTATTCTATAAGCTTTTTCTATTTTTAAAATTTTTTAATTTTTATTTTTTACTTTATAAAGTTTTTTCTTCAAAACTAAGACACAAACACACACATTAGCCTAGGTCCCCACAGGGTCAGAATCATTAATATCAGTGTCTTCCACCTCCACAACTTGTTCTACTGGAAGACCTTCAGGGGCAATAACATACATGGGGCGGTCCTCTCTTATGATAACAATGCCTTCTTCTGGAATACCTCCTGAAGGACATGCCTGAGGCTGTTTTACAGTTAATTAGTTAACTTTTTTATAAGTAGAAGGAGCACACTCTAAAATAACAAGAAGTATAGTATAGTAAATACGTAAACTAGTAACTTTTTTTTTTATTGAAGTACATTTTATTTAGGTCAATAAAAGACAAAGGGATTATATGCACCTTGTAGTATATGTTTCATACAGTTGTGAAATAACCCCAGTAACATGTTTATTATTGTTATCAGGTATTATGAACTGTGCACAATTGTATGTACCATTTATACATTTATACATTTATAGCACTGGCAGCACGGTAGTTCTGTTTACACCAGCATTGCCACAAACTCCTGAGTAATGCATTACACTACAATGTTAGGACCACTATGATTTCACTAGGTGATAGCATTTTTTCTGTTCAGTTATAATCTTATGGGACCACCATCATAAATGCATTGTTGACTGAAACATCATTATGTGGCACATGACTGTACTCAGACCATCTCAAGGGAGGGTTGCAGGAGCTATTTAAAAGGGTTCACTGATAAGGCAAAACAGATTAGGGGCAGGAAGTATTGAATCCAATTATAACGGAGCTAGAATAGAGTGATAGGCAGAGGAAATTGGCTAGAATTTTGAAATCAACCTTCAATTTTCCCAGAAAAGGAGGCTTAATATTAGCTATTTAACATTATATTTAGTATCAACTATTTTCTTCTTGCTATGCTAGGCAATTTTACATGCATGAGCTCAGTTAACTATCAGCAAATTTTCAAGTTTAGTGCCATTTACCTTATTTATATACAAGGAGACTAAGACTCACAAGAGTTTTGAGTGATTTGTCTGAGTAAAGCCCGGATTTCTGGTAAGTCTGTTTATTAACTGAGCAAAAGATTGTTGTTTTGAGCTCAGTTCTAGAAGGCCACAGACATATCTGAGGATAAATAAAACATATGCCTAAGAGGTTTATTTATGATTACTGTGACTTTAGTTGCCCATTAAAGTCTCAATCATTGCTTCTGGCTAAGTAAGTAGAAATTTTACTTTATTAGTTCACTCATTTTAAAGAGCATTTTTAATTCACACAGAGGTCCTGGGAAAAGACTAAGGTCAAATGTGGCAAAATGGTCCAAAGGATCTAAGATTAACAACAGATTATGACTATTCACAGATAAGTGACACTGAGTAGAATTATTTTCTCATGGTCATTGTAATGAAAAGGAGTTGATCTGGGGGCGGCCAACACAGGTTTAGGACCTTTCCATTGTTCACATGTGATAGAAAGTCATAGAAAAATGGTAGCCTACATCTGAACTAATTCCAATTATCTACAAAGCTGTCCATTTCCTTGAAGTTCTGGGTTCTATTTGTCTTAATCTGAGCGGTTTTTTCTCCCCTGCCCCCTATATGGGAAGGGACTTCACTATATATGAAGTCAAGAGTAATGGGTTCTAGCCCAGTTCTCTAGTTTATTACCATGGTGAATATTGGCAAGCTATATAACTTCCATAAGTTTTAGTTTTCTTATCTTGTAATATTGACCTTATTTACATCCCTGGTTATTGCGACCCCCGAATGACAAAGTAGGTAAAAATTCATTGAAAGCTTAAACTGCTATGCAAATACAAAAAAGAAATGTAGTTAAAGTATCTTCAACTTTGTGGAACTTACAGTGCTCCTTCATGCATACTGAGATTCTGAAAATATTACATTCACTTTTGCTTAATAATTAGCTCCAATTCTTGTCAAGTTTTGTAAAATGAAACCTGTAAAATTGCCAGTGTCCAGAAATAAAGCGTTCTTGGAAGAGGTTTCACTTATTCAAGTAAAAGATATTTTATATCTTGTAAAAAGTAGGGGCATGAATCAATCTTTATATGATCTCATTGTGAACTGGGGACAGTATGGCCCAGCCTTTGCACAGTTGTGCCACATGACATGAAGGCACAACTCCAACTCCGGGAGCTTTGAAGAATAACATCAATTTTTACTAATCGTTTTCTTGAAAGTGGTTAACCCAAGATTTTATTCAATGTAGCAAACAGGAAGTATCCCAGAAAAAAATGTACCAAACAGGAAGTATCCCAGAAAACCTCTCTAGATATTATTTTTTCTCTCCAAAGCTCCATAGTCATGACAGTCATTGAAAATCCCTGTATTAGTTTGTTTTCACACTGCTGATAAAGATATACCTGAGAGTGGGCAATTTACAAAAGAAAGAGGTTTGATTGAACTTACAGTTCCACGTGGCTGGGGAGGCCTCACAATCATAGTGGAAAGCAAGGAAGAGCAAGTCACATCTTACATGAACGGCAGCACGCAAAGAGAGAGAGCTTGTGCAGGGGAATTCCTCTCACTAGCATGAGATCAGCATGGGAAAGACTTACCCCATGATTCAATTACCATATCAATCCCTCTTGCTATTTTTTGTCATTCTATCTTCTCTCCCACTACCCTGCTCTCCCACCTACTTCCTCCTGTGATACTGTCCTATGTTGTTCACGGGAAGTGGCTCCTCAGATTTCTCTCCCCTGCTGCTCACTGACATCACACAGTTTTTTTTAATTTTTATTTTATTTTATTTTTTTTTGAGACAGAGTCTTGCTCTTTCACCCAGGCTGGAGTGCAGTGATGTGATCTTGGCTCACTGCAACCTCTGCCTCTGGGGTTCAAGTGATTCTCCTGCCTCAACCTCCCAAGTAGCTGGGATTACAGGCATGTGCCACCACACCTGGCTGACTTTTATATTTTTAGTAGAGGTGGGGTTTAACCCTGTTGGCCAGGCTGGTCTCAAACTCCTAACCTCAGGTGATCTGCCTGCCTCGGCCTCCCAAAGTGCTGGGATTACAGGCATGAGCCACTGTGCCCGACCAGATCTCACTGTTCTTTTTTAGTGCCATGCTTTGTGGTCCTCCCTTGCTTGACAAAGAAATGCATATTTTCTGTTGTCCTACTTTTCTTGTGAATAATTCTCATGGAACATTTCTAGAGGATAATATTCTTTACCCCATTATGTATGTAACCAGTAGCTCCTTGGTGAGTTTGACATCAAAACCATGTGTAGATTTGGGAGTTGGAAACATTCTATCCCTCTTCCATCCCTCTTTCTGCCCAATATCTCATTTTGGTCCTCAGAGGAGAAGAAATTTCAATAGTTTATCACTTCAAAACTTGGGTTCCATTTAACTGGAGTCAGAAATTAGCCACCATGGATGCCATTGACCTATGGAAAATCAGCTTCCGAAGTCCAAATATCTGAGTTACAAATACACTTTTGTGAGATGATTCATGTGTAAGCTGTGGACTGCATGCCTGAATAAATGGGGGCATCCAATCTCACTTTTTTTTTTCCCTGAGAATGTGACCAGTGCACACATTCCCAAGTGTTTATTATAATGGCTCTGCAGGTAAGAATAGACCCAGCTTATATGTATTTTTCCCTGAGTTTCCTTTCTTAACTCTGATTCTTTCCATCTGAAGATTGCATATCAGAATGAAAGTGGGTGAGAGTAATATTATTGGGCTACCTTTGTATCCACTTTATTTTTTTTTTTAAGTAAATGATCTGCAAATGGCCATGCTTTATTTTTAGTAACAGACTACTTTCAGGAAACTTCATAATCAATCATGGTTTACCTGAGTTCTGTGACATTATGGTTGAGAACTGCCAGTTTTGGGGTATGAGTGTAAATTTTTCCTTAATTTCTCTTCCCTCTTTACCATCCATAGTCATGCTGGCTAGGGAACTGAGAGCAATTACAACCTTCCCGACGTTTGTATGGATTTCAGCCATCTATATTTCTCTGCGAAGGGTAAATGGAATAAAAGTGTGCATTGCAGAGGCAGTTAAGTGAGCCAGATATAGCAAACTAAGGCAGATAACGATATGGCCTCAGGCCTAACATGGCTGAAGTCATTCCTTCCTGACAAGAGTAACGGCTCTTTTGCCCTTAAGGCCCTCAGTTCCACAGGGCTCTGGGCTGTCATCCTCCTCTCCACAGAACACGTGAGGTCATTAAGAGAAATGCTGATGCCATGCTAGAGGCCATGATCTTCCCTGCCACCAGGTTGCAGCTGACACATGGATGACATTTCTTTGGTGTCAAATCCAGGCAGAGCGTTGTCCTACCTGTCCCAATATCTGTTGGAAATCAGCTCTTGGAAGGAATTTAATTGGTTCTACCTCAATTCAGATAAGACCGAGAGGCAAGGATAAAGTTACCACACAAGGACAATCCTGGATTCCAAATAAACCTGGAAGTTCCCTGTATACAAAGGACCCTGCAAATAAGTTTTCGTGAGCTGTGAATGACTTTAGCCAAATCTTGATATAATGGGTATAAGATATATTGTATTTATGTGGATTTCATACGTACATTTGTATTTCTGGGTATGTTAGCAATGGCATTGCCAATGAAGAGGATATGGTCCTATTTGGTCATTAGAAATTTAACTTCCAAAGTTAGAAATAATATAATGAGCATATTGTGTTGTTTCTGGACATAGATGTTTTTCCTTTCATGCTTCAATGAAGTATATTTTCTCTCTAATCTTTCTTACTCCAGACAAGGAAGTATATGATTCATGATACACATTTGTTTCATTGATCCTCTTTTCCTTCAGATGATTCTTCTACTGGAATTGGGCATAAAAACACAGAGCAAAACCAGGGAGAAAGAGTCCCTCATACTGCCAGCATAATACTGCACTGAGGAAGTCCTTCCCTCACCTGGCCTTGTGTGTTCATCAATTAGCAGGGTCCAGTGCCCAAATAGGTGCCACTTATCACCACTACCTCTGAACAGTACTATGAACACCACTATGACCAGTAAGTACCGCCATCCCTCTGCCCACTGTCATCACCACCACCACCATCACTACTACTACCACCACTGTCACCACTATCACCACCACCACCATCACCATTATTACTACTACCACCACTACCATCATCACTATGAACCCTACCACCACTATCACCACTGTCATCACCAGCTTTACTACCACCACCGCCATGATCACCATAACTACTTCTGTCACCACTATCAGCATCACCACCATCACCATCAGCACTACTATTACCACTGCTAATTACTATGAATACCACCACTACTACAATTACTAGCCCACCAGCACCACTACTTTTCTCTTGCAGAATTGAGATGGGCATAATGCTCTTTCAGGTTTCAAGAAATAGAGATACACTCAGGTAACCTTTGTTGAAAGCAGCTTATTATAAGAATACACAGATAAATAAATAAACACAAAAAATTGTCTCTGGACCACCACAGGTAAATTTCCAAAATGGAAATGTTGTTCATCTATTACAAAATAAATAGCTCTAAGATCCAAGAGTCTCCCTAATATGGTCCCCTCAAAGTTAGGTCGTTGCTTCTTCTGACTCTTGACACTCTGCTGTTCCAGGGACTAAGCTTCTGTTTGTAGATCACATCACAAACACTGAACAACGTATAAATGACTGCTTGTGACACAGGCACCAATCCCTGGTCCAGTGATTTGGGTCAGTGTGATGGTAATATAGGTGCAAAGCTTTTGCTCTATAAGCAAGGAATTGCTTTTGTCTACTTTATGCAGAATGTGGCTATAGGAGTGAAGACTCCTTCTCTTGACAAGCTGTCATTACAACTTCTCTGTGTGTGTACTAGGATTGTCAAATTAAAAAAATAAAAATACAGGTCATCCAGTTACATTTGAATTTCAAATGAGCAATAAATGCTTAAAAAAAATTTAGAAGGCTGGCCGTGGTGGTTCATGTCTGGAATCCCAGCACTTTGGGAGGCCGAGGCAGGAGGATCACTTGAGGCTAGGAGTTCAAGACCAGCCTGAGTGACACAGCAAGACCCTGTCTCAAAAAAAAAAAAAAAAAAGTGTCCCAAATATTGCATGGGGCCAGTACCCAAATGAATGACACTACCACCTTTACCACCATCCCACATAAAATAGTGATTTCTTTCTCATGTCATACAATGCTGTCTGAAGATAGAAAAGAGTGAAACATGGATGCTTTCCCCCTACTTCTGGGTTCTAAAGCTAGGCATTGCCCTAGCCTTCCAATTAGTCCCTCCAAATCCTGCCGCAGCCTGCCTTAACTATTCATAAATGTGTTTACTCAAAGGAGGAGGCATTTTTAAGTCTACGGAAGTAGGAGGTACCCACCCAGGTGGAAGGAAGCAATGTAAAAGCTGTATAATTTTAGCTCTGGCCATTGTACAAATGGTCTAGATAAGGAGGCATCCAAGGGCATGCAGTTCATGAGTAATAGAGCAGGAATGTGATCAGGTGTCCTAAACAAATCACTCTTTCCTATACAGTTTGAATGGTGCCAGACATGAGCAAAAGCAAGTATATCAACATCCCTTGCATAGCCGTACTAATATCTCAAATGTGTATTATATTTGAAAGTTTACAAAGTCCTTAGATTTTATTTTAGGTAATGCTCCATAGAAAAGCAAATGACTTTTTCAGATAGATCTTATAATTTCAACTCTACAGATGATGGAGAAAGAGGCTCAGAGAAGTTAAATAAACTGCTCAAGGTTAAACAGCTAGTAATGTGTAATGTGAAGATCTGTAACATATAACCAGACCTTTTTCAGCAACATTCATTGCTTTTTTTCATCACACAAAAGGTCATTATAGTTTCTTCACAAATAGTAATTATTACCATTTATAGAATACTTTTACCACATGTTACAGGCATTATTTAATTTTTACAAAATTTCTATGGGTTAAGTACAGAATTGTTGTTTCTATTTTGCATATGTAAATGAGTCTCAGAACAGCTAAATGGCAGCATGACTAAGAGGCAGAGTCGCTAGTCAGCTTCCCTGGGTTTAAATCCCAACCTCATCTGTTACCAGCTCCAGGACATTTGGCAAGTTATTTAAGCAGTTTCCTCACTTGTAAAATGCAGGTGATATGAATCTCTACCACTTAGGGTTGTTATAAATATTCTGAGTAAATATGTGTGAAGTGTAGAAAGCAGTTCCAGCAACATAGAAGGCACTTAACAAATGTTAACTATTTTTATTAGTGTTGCTGCTGAAAATTTTATTTAAGCTCAAAAATGAAGTAATTTGGAAGATATTGGAATGAAATTAGGTTTTTAGGATGGAAAAGCCCATGTTCTTAACAGCTCCACAATTCTTCCCCTTCCAAAAGTACTGTTTGAATAAATGTATTATCTGCTTCCTCTATTCACATCTTCATATCTCTTAGGCCTTAAAGTGTAGGGATTATCAATCCAAACCTAGATCTCCTTTGCAAGGCTTCTCTGAGCCCTCCAGCCTTCACTAAACCTAAAATCATACATTTGACTACCTATAATTTACTGAGTTCCATGGTTATCTAAAGGGCTGTTTTATGTGATGTATTAACTATGCTTCCCCAATTGGATTGTAATTCTTTGAGAGACGAGAACATCTCTGCCTCTCCCATGATGATAACTTCAGAGATAAATAAAAGGTTGAATTTTAATAAATCTACTAGTATTGGGGAACATTTTCTTTCTTTTGCTTATTTCTTTTTGATGAACTATCCCTCATTCATTTTTAGTCTATGCGGTTCAGCCAGGGTTGACTCCATCTTCTATTTCAATCCCACCTTCAACAGGGATGGGAATGTGACCCTGGTGAGGCTTCCCAAGTACTGAGTACATCATCTCCCTGGCCACTGTGATGGGTTTAGGTTCAGGCATGAGCCAGCCTATCTGATGACTTCCTGAGATTGTGCTGAAGCTCTTGGAAGAGAGACATTCTTTCTTCTCTGAAATGATGAGTACCAAAGATGAATACCATATAGGTCTTCTTTGCCACCATGCAGAAAGAATGGGCCTCAAAATCAAACCAATGCAGAGGAAGGATGGGAGGGGGAGAGAGAGAGAGAGAGAGGGAGAGAGAAAGAGGGAGGGGAGCGGTTACTGAAGATCATAAATCAACTATGTCCGAAACCAGCTATGTCCGTGGACTCTTCTTTTTTAAGTTAAAGGTTAATCAAGTAGGATTTTTATCTCTTGGAAGCCAAAGAGTTATGGAGAACATGTTGGCATATTACCTTAATAACCCATTTTAAACATGGACTCTCTATGGTGTCTGTCACCTCACAGGTGTTTGGCAAGGGTGGGAGTTGTCGTCTTCTGCTCGCTCTTCTTCCTTTGGGCAAACTGACTCTGGCCATTCCCTTTGAGGGTTCTTCATAGTAAGGACTTGGAAGACAATCACAAGTCACTTTAAATTAAGCTTCCTAGAACAGGTTTTAATCTAATGAGGTCATTAACACATGATGACATATCAGGGCTGCCTGATAGCATCATGGAATTAGGGATGATTGTTCCTTCTGTGAGAATGAAGAGTGCCTGCTGTATACAGGCCAATACTTTGTGAACTTAAGATGTAGGATAGTGATGGAGTAGATATTAATTTTCAGATGAGGCAGGGTAAATGTAAAATAAGGCATCTTGGTACAGTTGCCTGTTGATTGCTATTAAGGAAATCAGTGGAGTCTCTCACTGGGAGAAAAGGAGCATGGATATAGGATCGCTATATCTTGATTTAAATTTTAGAAGGAGAACTATGCAGACGACTGCCGATGTTGGCCATTAGTAGACCCAGTTTCCTCTCCTGGTATGGCACTAACAGGCTTTGTGACTACAGGAATAAGTTTGTGTTGAATAACTGCTTGTTATTTTTTTCTTGTGACTAAGGGTCTGTGCTGGTGAGATAGCTGTCTGAAGTTGTCATGCAGTGCTCACTGTCTATATGGTCTTGGCAGCTGAACACGGCACAATGCTCCCTCTGGCTTGGCTAAACAGCCCGGAGCTTTGATAAAATGCTCAGAGGCATTTGGATGAACTCTGTCATTTTATTCTTTTATATAAATCCAGTACTGACTTTTTAAATGTCGTGTGAGCATGAGTTTGGTATATAACTGACAACAGTGTAATGTTTTATAAAATAATCTTTCAAATAAAAACAATTGGTAGCAGTTCTATGGGCATTTTAATGGAACTGTAGTGGATTTACAAGGAAAAAAGGTATAGTCTTGTGGCAGCCTTGAAAATGCCCTGCTCAGATCTCTCTTTAAAGAGAGAATTATAGTTGATTGATTTGCTCCAGTTGCTGGTTTTTGGATCCACTAGGGTATTCCCTCTGCACCCATGCTTCCCAGCCAATGCCTGAGCAAGGCAGTGATATTGGAACCAGGCCATTCCTTCCTAACATAGGATTCCTCTAGTAAACAACTTTGGTTGGTGATTTCCTATCATGATCGTCTGAGAACTTCTCTACCATCTGAAGTTCTTCTTACCCAATTCTTCCTTCTCTCTCCACTCAGAGGTGACAGTTCTTCATCATGTTTATGTGCCCCCTCCCCCTTTACTCTTCATAGGCATTTCCCCAGTAAATATTTGACATGTCAGATTTCAATTTGGCATCTGCTTCTTGGAGATTCCTAACTGATGAAAGTGGTGCTGGGAGTGCTCTAGAGAATAAGCAGTAAGAAGGGATTAAAGACAGGTCCACTCATTGCTCATCTGGCAAGAAGTCTCCCATCCTGAGTGGGAAAAGGATAGTCTCAGAGCAAGGTGGCAGTCCCATTGCCACGCATTTCACCTGTGTTTTCTAAGAAAAAGTCCTAGTGGAGAGAAACATACTCATTTGAAAGCTACAGTGTGCAACGCATACAAGGACAGTGGATCTGGCTGGTTGTTACTAAATTGTACTGATACCTTGAAAAGTGATGAGAAAGTGTGGGCTATTAAAGTCTATGCTTAGCTTATGAAGAGGTCCTTATCTCACACAGTAGGAGGATTGAGCTCAGGATCTGACAGTTCAGGTCACAGAGCTCCAGAGGTATTTATTTCAAGGCTTAGCCAAAGTAGGTCTGTTATGTTGAAGTCAGGGCCTTGGTTGGAAAAGCCCAGGACACTAAGGCATGGAATGAGGACATCTTGGTGGGTTATCTCTGAGGATTTTGGCTATAACAGAGGTGGCCCAATCCTCTTCAGTAAGAGGTAACACTTTCACCATGTGAGAAGCTACTGCAGAGGCTGCTCTACTACAAGGCAATAGGTGGCCCCCTTAGGAGCTAACTACATCTCCTCTCTTGGCTGCCATGCCAATAACCAGGGTTAACTGCCAGCATGACCTAGCTGGGCCTAATAAGTGAGGAAAGAGATTGCAACCAAAAGGAGCTGTGAGAATTACTCAACATGCACTGGCAGGAGCTGGGGGAATATCTTGAAATTGAATTTTGAGGGGTTTTGATCAAAGGAGATAGAACATAAGATTGGATAAGCAAGAATTTATTGACTTGGGGCACTCTCACAGGACATGGGATTTAACACTTGGGGCAAACTTGCTGCTGAAGTGGCTCTTTGTAAGCCTGGAGAGAGCAATGAGACATACAAAGCAAAGTGGAAATGCCTGAGTTGCCCTAGTGGACAGTAAAGGAAGAAAGAAGAGGCTGAGGAAAGTAGGGATACCAGAATGGATGTATTATGTGAGGCTAGGAAACCCATCAGAGGATTATGTTCCATGAGAGTGCCATACCATTCTCCAATGTCATCAGAACTGAGCTGGTGAGAATGGCACCAAAATCACTAAGAAGTTCAGTGGTGACCAGAGATGATATTAGGGAAGATGGGCATGCACCTAGACTCATTAATAACCATGGAGATGCCATAGGTGCCATAGTAATAGAGGTAACGTGGAGGTACTAAACTGCTAGAAAATCAGAGCTACAAGCACTACAATGACTGGTAAGGTTGAAGAGGCAAAGAGTCTTAATCTGCAGGGAGTTGTGAAGATGGTTAACAGAGCATACCATACCTTGGGGCAAAACAGATGGGAAGCCAGTAAGTTTACTACTGAACAACATCTACAATGAGAAGAAAGCAAGAATGGAGGAGCAGGAAGATAAGAGTGGATACCCCAATAAAAAGGCATGATCCCTTTTTCAGTTTCTGGGTCAAAGTGAATTTTCAGATCTAGGACCCACTGAAAGAAGTGATGGCTTGGTCCCTAGGGTAAGGGGCTCTGTAATGCCAAAACAAATATATGGTGTACTAATTGCCTCTGCCTTTCCCCAAAGGGACCTGTGGCCATTTACTCAGATGACTGTACACTGGGGAAAGAGAAATACGAGACATTTCAAGGACTATTAAATATAGGATTTGTGTTGACATTGGTATCCAGGAACCCAAAGTATAATCATGACCTTCTATTAGAGTGTAGGCTTATGGTAGCCAGGTCATAAATGGAGTCCTAAAAAAAGTCCTTCTTACAGCAGGCCTACAATGTCCACAGATCCTCCTAGAGGTCATCCTCACAGTCCCTGAGTTTGTGATTGGAATTGACATACTTAGTGATTGGTGTAATTCTCCAAGTGGGTTCTTGACCTGTGGGGCAAGAGCTATCATGTGGGAAAGACTAAGTAGAAGGTTCAGACACTGCTTCTCTCCTATTCTCCCAAGCCAAAATAGTAAAAAAGTAATATCATTTCCATTGGTGGTAGGGGGTTGGTGGAGGTTTGTGTTGCATTAAATATCTAAAGGATGAATGTGAAAGTGATGAGTTCTGTTATATCTCTATTTTATTTGTTAGTCTGGCCCCTGAAGAAATTGGATGCATCCTGGAAAATCACTGTAGATCACCACAAGTTCAACAGAGTAGTAGCCCTAATTATAGCTGCTATTTCAAGTGTGGTATCTTTGGTAGAGAAGATTAATAAAGGCCTCAGTGCATGGTAGGAGGCTATTGATTTGATGAATGCTTTCTTTTCTATTCCAATCAGAAGGGAGGATCAGAAACAGTGTGCAGTCATGTGGAATGAACAAAAAAAATCATTTACAGTTTTACCCCAAGACTATGTTAACTCTCTTGCCCTTTGTTGTAGCCCAGAGAGATCTGGAGTGTCTGGACATCCCACAGAATGTAACATTGATTCATTTTATCAATTATATCATGCTGTTTGGACAGGATAAACAAGAGGTACTTGGTACATTGGAGAAATTGCTTAGACACAAGTATTCCAGACTATGGGAGATAAATCCTGTGAAGATTCAAAGGTCTTCCACTTTGGCAAAGTTTATAGACGGAGTCTCGCTCTGTCACCCATGCTGGAGTGCTGTGGTGTGATCTCAGCTCACTGTAACCTCTGCTTCCTGGGTTCAAGAGATTCTCCTGCCTCAGCCCCCTGAGTAGCTCGGACTACAGGTGCCTGCCTCAGTCTCCCAAAGTGCTGGGATTACAGGCATGAGCCACCGTGCCTGGCCGCATCTTTATCTTAAAGTAGGAAGTATAGCACCTTGTAGGACATTCTGGATTATAGAGGCAACATACTGCATACCCAGAAATACTGTTCTGGCCCATATATCTTGTGATATAGAAGATTCTATATCTCTGACAGATTAGGGTGGGGTTTGGCTTAGGAAAGGGCCAGTCTATTAGTGTAAGGATCATGTAGGAAGCAGTGACAGATGCTATGTTGTTGGAGATATAAAACTTATAGCAAGCCCTAGTGGAAGAAATCATTGTCCTGGGGTTCTGGAGCAAAACAGTGCCATTTGCATTGGATAATTTTGCATCTTTTGAAAAACAGTTCCTGGTGTGTCAGTGGGCCTTGGTAGAGATAGAAGACTTGACCATGGAGCGTCAAGTGACAATATGTCTAGAATTGTTCATTTTGAGATGAAATCATTAAGACAGATATATCTAGCAGTAGTTTGTCACAAAGCAGAATTGGTGCACTGAGTATTGTGCCTAAGCAGGACCAAACTTACATAAACAAGTAGTCCAGATGCCCATACCA
The DNA here is from genome assembly GCF_000001405.40 of Homo sapiens. NCBI lineage: Eukaryota > Metazoa > Chordata > Mammalia > Primates > Hominidae > Homo > Homo sapiens. The sequence continues at coordinate 164,467,147 of NC_000001.11, read as the reverse complement.
CTACCATGTTTATACCAATATGCCTCCCCAGACTTGCACTTATGGCTGTATATAGTGCCCCATACAACCAGCTGAAAGAGAAGGAAAAAGCTAATGTTAGTTTACAAATAGGCCAGCTCAGTGTGTGGGTACACACCAAGAAATAACAGTAACGACCTTACAGCCACTTTCAGGGGTGGCTTTGAAAGACATGGAGAGAAAAATTTTCCCAGTGGATGGGATTTCTAATGTTGCACCTGGTCATTCACTTTATTTGTAAGAAAAAGTGAATTAAGGTGAGAATATATATATATATATATATAGAATCCTGGGTGGTGGTCAATGGACCACTGGGCAGAGACTTGAAATGAAAAGGACTGGAAACTCAAAGACAAGAAGGCCTGGGGAAGATGATGTGTTGCACAAATGTGAGTGAGCATAAAGTGTGAAGCTTTTTTGTCCCACATGTTAACACCGTGAAAACATCCATCACAGAAGAGACACTAAATCACCAAATGATTACAATGACTCAGCCAGTAGACATTAGTCAGCCTTCATCATTGGCCGTCTTGGGACTGACTGAATAGGCAAATAAACAGTGGGCAGGCACACGGTGGCAGAGATGGAGACTAGGTATGGGCTCCGCTATATGAATTCCAACTTAACAAGGCCAATGTAGGTATTGCTGCCTCCAAACGCTCAAACTTCAAAAGCCACTTCTGAGTGTGGCTATGATAGTTGTTCATTTTTTGCTTGTACCCACACATTGAGTAGCAGAGACCATTAAGTCTTTTGACCCAGTATAATTTGTCCCGAACCACTTACTTCTCACTTCCAAAGCAGATTCAGTCTTTCTTGGGAGCACAGTAAGGAGTCCTATTAAACTATAAAATATGACTGCACCCTAGGCATTTTGAATTGTTTGTGTCATGAACCAGCAGGCAACAAGCGTCAGCATCTTTGAAGGAATAATTGACCTTGAGTAACAGGAGGAGGGAGGGGAACTTTTGGTATGAAACACAGTGATCCACTTGTGTGCTTCTCGATTTGCCTTTGTAATTTGATTCCCGCGATTCTCATTTGTAGTTCTAAGTAGACACAAACTGTATGCTGGCCAGGGAAGGATATGATTACCAATGGCTCAGACTCCTGAGGAATAAAGTTTTGAGTCACATCCTTAGATAAGCCAAGACCTGCAGAGGTGATGGTTAAAGATGAGGAATTGAGAATAGAGGAGGAAGGAGAAAATGACAACACTGGTGGCTCCAAGACCCACCATCACAAAGACCAGGCTGCTGATTTTCATCATCTCGAAAAGAAACCCTGCAATTCTAGCTATCACCACCTATTCCTTCCTCTGTCCCTCCATCTCCACAACCGTAAGCAACTGCTAATATACTCTCTGTATTTGGTATTTGCCTAATCTGAATATTTGATATGAGCGGAATCATATAATATGTGGTCTTTTGTGCCTGACTTCTTTCACAGAGCAGAACATTATCAAGGTCATCTATGTTGTAGGATGTACTTCATTCTTTTTTATGGCTGAAGAATAACCCATTATATGGACAACCAAAAGTGTTTATTCATTCATCAGTTGATGGACATTTTAGTTGTTTCCATCTTTTGGCTATTATAAATGATGCTACTATAAGCATTTGTGTGCAACTTTTTTGTGGACATATTGTTTTATTTCTCTAAGTTAGATACTTAGGAGTAGAATCAATGGGTCATATAGAAACTCTATCACCCTTTGTGGAACTTCTGACCAGATCTAAGTGCCTGCATCATTTCACATTCTCATCAGCAATATATGAGTGTTCTGATTTCTCCACATCCTTGACAATACTTGTTATTCGCAATTTATTTATTTATTGTTTACAATAGCAAAACTAAGGGATGTATAGTAGTAACTTTTTTTTTTTATTATTATACTTTAAGTTTTAGGGTACATGTGCATATTGTGCAGGTTAGTTACATATGTATACATGTGCCATGCTGGTGCGCTGCACCCACTAACTCGTCATCTAGCATTAGGTATATCTCCCAATGCTATCCCTCCCCCCTACCCCCACGCCACAACAGTCCCCAGAGTGTGATATTCCCCTTCCTGTGTCCATGTGATCTCGTTGTTCAATTCCCACCTATGAGTGAGAATATGCGGTGTCTGGTTTTTTGTTCTTGCGATAGTTTACTGAGAATGATGATTTCCAATTTCACCCATGTCCCTACAAAGGACATGAACTCATCATTTTTTATGGCTGCATAGTATTCCATGGTGTATATGTGCCACATTTTCTTAATCCAGTCTATCATTGTTGGACATTTGGGTTGGTTCCAAGTCTTTGCTATTGTGAATAATGCCACAATAAACATACGTGTGCATGTGTCTTTATAGCAGCATGATTTATAGTCCTTTGGGTATATACCCAGTAATGGGATGGCTGGGTCAAATAGTATTTCCAGTTCTAGATCCCTGAGGAATCGCCACACTGACTTCCACAATGGTTGAACTAGTTTACAGTCCCACCAACAGTGTAAAAGTGTTCCTATTTCTCCACATCCTCTCCAGCACCTGTTGTTTCCTGACTTTTTAATGATTGCCATTCTAACTGGTGTGAGATGGTATCTCATTGTGGTTTTGATTTGCATTTCTCTGATGGCCAGTGATGATGAGCATTTTTTCATGTGTTTTTTGGCTGCATAAATGTCTTCTTTTGAGAAGTGTCTGTTCATGTCCTTTGCCCACTTTTTGATGGGGTTGTTTGTTTTTTTCTTGTAAATTTGTTTGAGTTCATTGTAGATTCTGGATATTAGCCCTTTGTCAGATGAGTAGGTTGCAAAAATTTTCTCCCATTCTGTAGGTTGCCTGTTCACTCTGATGGTAGTTTCTTTTGCTGTGCAGAAGCTCTTTAGTTTAATTAGATCCCATTTGTCAATTTTGTCTTTTGTTGCCATTGCTTTTGGTGTTTTAGACATGAAGTCCTTGCCCATGCCTATGTCCTGAATGGTAATGCCTAGGTTTTCTTCAAGGGTTTTTATGGTTTTAGGTCTAACATTTAAGTCTTTAATCCATCTTGAATTGATTTTTGTATAAGGTGTAAGGAAGGGATCCAGTTTCAGCTTTCTACATATGGCTAGCCAGTTTTCCCAGCACCATTTATTAAATAGGGAATCCTTTCCCCATTGCTTGTTTTTCTCAGGTTTGTCAAAGATCAGATAGTTGTAGATATGTGGCGTTATTTCTGAGGGCTCTGTTCTGTTCCATTGATCTATATCTCTGTTTTGGTACCAGTACCATGCTGTTTTGGTTACTGTAGCCTTGTAGTATAGTTTGAAGTCAGGTAGTGTGATGCCTCCAGCTTTGTTCTTTTGGCTTAGGATTGACTTGGCGATGCGGGCTCTTTTTTGGTTCCATATGAACTTTAAAGTAGTTTTTTCCAATTCTGTGAAGAAAGTCATTGGTAGCTTGATGGGGATGGCATTGAGTCTGTAAATTACCTTGGGCAGTATGGCCATTTTCACGATATTGATTCTTCCTACCCATGAGCATGGAATGTTCTTCCATTTGTTTGTATCCTCTTTTATTTCCTTGAGCAGTGGTTTGTAGTTCTCCTTGAAGAGGTCCTTCACATCCCTTGTAAGTTGGATTCCTAGGTATTTTATTCTCTTTGAAGCAATTGTGAATGGGAGTTCACTCATGATTTGGCTCTCTGTTTGTCTGTTGTTGGTGTATAAGAATGCTTGTGATTTTTGTACATTGATTTTGTATCCTGAGACTTTGCTGAAGTTGCTTATCAGCTTAAGGAGATTTTGGGCTGAGACGATGGGGTTTTCTAGATATACAATCATGTCGTCTGCAAACAGGGACAATTTGACTTCCTCTTTTCCTAATTGAATACCCTTTATTTCCTTCTCCTGCTTAATTGCCCTGGCCAGAACTTCCAACACTATGTTGAATAGGAGTGGTGAGAGAGGGCATCCCTGTCTTGTGCCAGTTTTCAAAGTGAATGCTTCCAGTTTTTGCCCATTCAGTATGATATTGGCTGTGGGTTTGTCATAGATAGCTCTTATTATTTTGAAATACGTCCTATCAATACCTAATTTATTGAGAGTTTTTAGCATGAAGGGTTGTTGAATTTTGTCAAAGGCTTTTTCTGCATCTATTGAGATAATCATGTGGTTTTTGTCTTTGGCTCTGTTTATATGCTAGATTACATTTATTGATTTGCGTATATTGAACCAGCCTTGCATCCCAGGGATGAAGCCCACTTGATCATGGTGGATAAGCTTTTTGATGTGCTGCTGGATTTGGTTTGCCAGTATTTTATTGAGGATTTTTGCATCAATGTTCATCAAGGATATTGGTCTAAAATTCTCTTTTTTTGTTGTGTCTCTGCCTGGCTTTGGTATCAGCATGATGCTGGCCTCATAAAATGAGTTAGGGAGGATTCCCTCTTTTTCTATTGATCGGAATAGTTTCAGAAGGAATGGTACCAGTTCCTCCTTGTACCTCTGGTAGAATTCGGCTGTGAATCCATCTGGTCCTGGACTCTTTTTGGTTGGCAAGCTATTGATTATTGCCACAATTTCAGAGCCTGTTATTGGTCTATTGAGAGATTCAACTTCTTCCTGGTTTAGTCTTGGGAGGGTGTATGTGTCGAGGAATTTATCCATTTCTTCTAGATTTTCTAGTTTATTTGTGTAGAGGTGTTTGTAGTATTCTCTGATGGTAGTTTGTATTTCTGTGGGATCGGTGGTGATATCCCCTTTATCATTTTTTATTGCATCTATTTGATTCTTCTCTCTTTCTTCTTTATTAGTCTTGCTAGCAGTCTATCAATTTTGTTGATCCTTTCAAAAAACCAGCTCCTGAATTCATTAATTTTTTGAAGGGTTTTTTGTGTCTCTATTTCCTTCAGTTCTGCTCTGATTTTAGTTATTTCTTGCCTTCTGCTAGCTTTTGAATGTGTTTGCTCTTGCTTTTCTAGTTCTTTTAATTGTGATGTTAGGGTGTCAATTTTGGATCTTTCCTACTTTCTCTTGTGGGCATTTAGTGCTACAAATTTCCCTCTACACACTGCTTTGAATGTGTCCCAGAGATTCTGGTATGTTGTGTCTTTGTTCTCATTGGTTTCAAAGAACATCTTTATTTCTGCCTTCATTTCGTTATGTACCCAGTAGTCATTCAGGAGCAGGTTGTTCAGTTTCCATGTAGTTAAGTGGTTTTGAGTGAGATTCTTAATCCTGATTTCTAGTTTGATTGCACTGTGGTCTGAGAGATAGTTTGTTATAATTTCTGTTCTTTTACATTTGCTGAGGAGAGCTTTACTTCCCAGTATGTGGTCAATTTTGGAGTAGGTGTGGTGTGGTGCTGAAAAAAATGTATATTCTGTTGATTTGGGGTGGAGAGTTCTGTAGATATCTATTAGGTCCGCTTGGTGCAGAGCTCAGTTCAATTCCTGGGTATCCTTGTTGACTTTCTGTCTCGTTGATCTGTCTAATGTTGACAGTGGGGTGTTAAAATCTCCCATTATTAATGTGTGGGAGTCTAAGTCTCTTTGTAGGTCACTCAGGACTTGCTTTATGAATCTGGGTGCTCCTGTATTGGGTGCATATATATTTAGGATAGTTAGCTCTTCTTGTTGAATTGATCCCTTTACCATTATGTAATGGCCTTCTTTGTCTCTTTTGATCTTTGTTGATTTAAAGTCTGTTTTATCAGAGACTAGGATTGCATCCCCTGCCTTTTTTTGTTTTCCATTTTGTTTTCCATTTTGTTTCCATTTTGGTAGATCTTCCTCCATCCTTTTATTTTGAGCCTATGTGTGTCTCTGCACGTGAGATGGGTTTCCTGAATACAGCACACTGATGGGTCTTGACTTTTTATCCAATTTGCCAGTCTGTGTCTTTTAATTGGAGCATTTAGTCCATTTACATTTAAAGTTAATATTGTTATGTGTGAATTTGATCCTGTCATTATGATGTTAGCTGGTTATTTTGCTAGTTAGTTGATGCAGTTTCTTCCTAGTCTCGATGGTCTTTACATTTTGGCATGATTTTGCAGCAGCTGGTACTGGTTGTTCCTTTCCATATTTAGCGCTTCCTTCAGGAGCTCTTTTAGGGCAGGCCTGGTGGTGACAAAATCTCTCAGCATTTGCTTGTCTGTAAAGTATTTTATTTCTCCTTCACTTATGAAGCTTAGTTTGGCTGGATATGAAATTCTGGGTTGAAAATTCTTTTCTTTAAGAATGTTGAATATTGGCCCCCACTCTCTTCTGGCTTGTAGGGTTTCTGCCGAGAGATCTGCTGTTAGTCTGATGGGCTTCCCTTTGAGGGTAACCCAACCTTTCTCTGTGGCTGCCCTTAACATTTTTTCCTTCATTTCAACTTTGGTGAATCTGACAATTATGTGTCTTGGAGTTTCTCCTCTCGAGGAGCATCTCTGTGGCGTTCTCTGTATTTCCTGAATCTGAATGTTGGCCTGCCTTGCTAGATTGGGGAAGTTCTCATGGATAATATCCTGCAGCGTGTTTTCCAACTTGGTTCCATTCTCCCCATCACTTTCAGGTACACCAATCAGACGTAGATTTGGTCTTTTCACATAGTCCCATATTTCTTGGAGGCTTTGCTCATTTCTTTTTATTATTTTTTCTCTAAACTTCCCTTCTCGCTTCATTTCATTCATTTCATCTTCCATTGCTGATACCCTTTCTTCCAGTTGATCGCATCGGCTCCTGAGGCTTCTGCATTCTTCACGTAGTTCTCAAGTCTTGGTTTTCAGCTCCATCAGCTCCTTTAAGCACTTCTCTGTATTGGTTATTCTAGTTATACATTCTTCTAAATTTTTTTCAAAGTTTTCAACTTCTTTGCCTTTGGTTTGAATGTCCTCCCGTAGCTCAGAGTAATTTGATCGTCTGAAGCCTTCTTCTCTCAGCTTGTCAAAGTCATTCTCCATCCAGCTTTGTTCCGTTGCTAGTGAGGAACTGCGTTCCTTTGGAGGAGGAGAGGCGCTCTGCTTTTTAGAGTTTCCAGTTTTTCTATTCTGTTTTTTCCCCATCTTTGTGGTTTTATCTACTTTTGGTCTTTGATGATGGTGATGTACAGATGGGTTTTTGGTGTGGATGTCCTTTCTGTTTGTTAGTTTTCCTTCTAACAGACAGGACCCTCAGCTGCAGGTCTGTTGGAATACCTTGCTGTGTGAGATGTCGGTGTGCCCCTGCTGGGGGGTGCCTCCCAGTTAGGCTGCTTGGGGGTCAGGGGTCAGGGACCCACTTGAGGAGGCAGTCTGCCTGTTCTCAGATCTCCAGCTGCATGCTGGGAGAACCACTGCTCTCTTCAAAGCTGTCAGACAGGGACATTTAAGTCTGCAGAGGTTACTGCTGTCTTTTTGTTTGTCTGTGCCCTGCCCCCAAAGGTGGAGCCTACAGAGGCAGGCAGGCCTCCTTGAGCTGTGGTGTGCTCCACCCAGTTCGAGCTTCCCGGCTGCTTTGTTTACCTAATCAAGCCTGGGCAATGGCGGGCGCCCCTCCCCCAGCCTCGCTGCCGCCTTGCAGTTTGATCTCAGACTGCTGTGCTAGCAATCAGCGAGACTCCGTGGGCATAGGACACTCCGAGCCAGGTGCGGGATATAATCTCGCGGTGCGCCGTTTTTTAAGCCCGTCGGAAAAGCGCAGTATTCCGGCGGGAGTGACCCGATTTTCCAGGTGCTGTCCGTCACCCCTTTCTTTGACTCGGAAAGGGAACTCCCTGACCACTTGCGCTTCCCAAGTGAGGCAATGCCTCGCCCTGCTTCGGCTCGCGCACGGTGTGCACACACACTGACCTGCGCCCACTGTCTGGCACTCCCTAGTGAGATGAACCCGGTACCTCAGATGGAAATGCAGAAATCACCTGTCTTCTGCCTCGCTCAGGCTGGTAGCTGTAGACTGGAGCTGTTCCTATTCGGCCATCTTGGCTCCTCCCTGCCCAAGTGGTAACTTGTGATTCTGATTTGCATTTTTCTAATGATGCTGACCATATTTCAATGTGGTTATTGGACATTCGTGTGTCTTCTTTAGAGAACTATCTCTTCAGATCCTGTGTCCATTTTACAATTGGGTTATTTATCTTTTTATTATTGAGTTATAAGTGTTCCTTTTAAAAAAAAATTTTTTTTTGAGACGGAGTCTCACTGTCACCCATCCTGGAGCACAATGGCACAATCTTGGCTCACTGCAACCTCTGCCTCCCGGGTTCAAGTGATTCTGCAGCCTCAGCCTCCCAAGTAGGTGGGACTACAGGCTCCTGCCACCATGCCCATCTAATTTTTTTGTATTTTTAGTAGAAATGGGGTTTCACCATGTTGCCCAGAGTGATCTTCAACTCCTGACCTCAAGTGATCCACCCATCTCAGCCTCCCAAAGTGTTGGGATTACAGGCTTGAGCCACCGCACCCAGCCAAGTGTTCTTTAAATATTTTAGATACAAGTTCCTTTTCAGAAATATGATTTGGAAATGTTTTCTCTTATTCTGTAGGCTGTCTTTTCGCTTTCTTTATAGTGTATTTTTTTTTTTTTTTTTTTTTTTGAGACGGAGTCTCGCTCTGTCACCCAGGCTGGAGTGCAGTGGCGGGATCTCGGCTCACTGCAAGCTCTGCCTCCCGGGTTCACGCCGTTCTCCTGCCTCAGCCTCCCAAGTAGCTGGGACTACAGGCGCCCGCCACTACGCCCGGCTAATTTTTTGTATTTTTAGTAGAGACGGGATTTCACCGTTTTAGCCGGGATGGTCTCGATCTCCTGACCTCGTGATCCGCCCGCCTCGGCCTCCCAAAGTGCTGGGATTACAGGCGTGAGTCACCGCGCCCGGCCTATAGTGTATTTTGCAGCACAAAAGGGTTTTATTTTTACTTTTTATTTTTTTGAGACAGAGTCTTACTCTGTCACCCAGGCTGGAGTGCAGTGGTGCGATCTTGGCTCACTGCAACCCCTGCCTCCCGGGTTCAAGTGATTCTCCTGCCTCAGCCTCCCGAGTAGCTGAGGCTACAGATACATGCCACCATGCCTGGGTAATTTATGTATTTTTAGTAGAGACAGAGTTTCACCATGTTGGCCAGGCTGCTCTTGAACTCCCGACCTTAGGTGATCTGCTTGCCTTGGCCTCCCAAAGTGCTGGGATTACAGGCGTGAGCCACCACAACCTGGCCAAGGATTCTCTCTTATATTTTTAGTTTGTTGAGTGTTTTTATCATGAAAGGATACTGGATTTGGGAAATAGCTTTTTTTCATGTCTATTGAGATGATCATGTGGGTTTAAAAAAATTCTATTGATGTGGTGTATTACATGAATAGATTTTCAGATGTTAAAACAAACTTACATTCCTAGGATAAATCCCACTTGGTTATGGTATATAATGCTTTTTATTTATTGCAGAATTTGGTCGTGCTTGTACTTCATTGAGAATTTTTGCATCTATTTTCATGAGATATTGGTCTGTAGTTTTCTCTTCCTGTGATACTTTGTCTGGCTTTAGTATCAGCCAGTGTTGGTCTCACATAATGAGTTGGTTAGTATTCCCTCTCTTATTTTTTGAAAGAATTGATATGAATTCTTTTAAAAATATTTGGTATAAATCACCTATGAAATCTTCTGAATCTAGGCTTTTGTGAATAGTTTTTTGGTTACTAATTCAATGCCTTTATTTGTCATAGATTTATTTAGGTTGACTCTTTTTAAAATTTTTAATTTTTGTGGGTAGATAGTAGGTGTATATATTTATGGGGTACATGAGATGTTTTGATACAAGCATGCAATGTGTAAAAATTACATCATGTAAAATGGGGCATTCATCCCCTCAAGCATTTATCCTTTTCGTTACAAACAAGCCAGTTATGCTCTTTTAGTTGTTTAAAATGTACAATTAAATTATTATTGACTGCAGTTACCCAGTTGTGCTATCAAATACAAGGTCTTATTTATTCTTTCTGGTTTTTTTTTGGTACCCATTAACCATCCCCTCCTTCCTCCCATCCTCCTACTACCCTTCTCAGGTCTGGTAACCATCCTTCTACTCTCTATCTCCATAAGTTCAATTGTTTTGATTTTTAGATCTCACAAATAAGTGAGAGCATGTGAAGTTTGTCTTTCTGTGCCTGGCTTATTTCACTTAGCATAATGACCTCCGGTTCTATCCATGTTGTTGCCAATGACAGGATCTCATTTATTTTTATGGCTGTCTTGACTTGGCTCCCAGATTGAACATTTCTGGTGTATAGAAATGCTACTGATTTTTGTACATTGGTTTTGTATCCTGAAACTTTACTGAAGTCTGTCGGTGTACAATTCCATCTTATTCTTTTGTATTTTTTGTTTCTGAAAGGTTGATAATAATGTGTTCTTTTTTCATTTCTGATTCTAATAATTTGAGTTTTGTCTTTATTTCTTGGTCAATTCAGCCAAAGGTTTGTCAATTTCTTTGATCTTTTCGGAGAATCAGCTTTTGTTTATTGATTTTTCTCTATTGTTTTTTCTATATTTCTTTGATTTCTGGTCTAATATTCATTATTTTCTTTTTTCTGTTTGCTTCTGCTTTAGGTTTTGTTTAGCTTTTTTCCCCTGTGTATTTAGGTGAAAGTTTATTGATTTTAGATGTTATTTCTTTTCTCTTAAAATTATCATTTTTAGAGACAAGGTCTTGCTCTGTCGCTCAAGCTGGAGTGCAGTGATGAGATCATAGCTCAGTGTAACCTCAGACTCCTGGCCTCATGCAATCCTCCCACCTTGGCTTCTCCCAAAGTGCTGGGATTAGAGGTTTGAGCCACCACACCCAGACTCTTTTTAAATGTAGGCATTTATGTCTACAAATTTTGTTTTAAGATATTTGTTAGGTATATCCCATATTTTGGTATATTGAGTCTTCATTTTCATGTTACATAAAGTATTTTCTAATTTCCATTTTTATTTCTTCTTTGATTCATTGGTTACTTAGGTGTATACTGTTTACTTTCCACATAGCTGAGTTTCTCACATTTCTTTCTCTTATTAACCCCTAAATTCTGTGGTTGGAGAACATAATTTGTAATATTTCTATCCATGTAAACTTATTGTTTTTTTTGGCCCAGCATGTCTTGTGTTCTGGAGAATGTTTCACATGCATTTGAGAACAATATCTATTCTCCTATTTGGGGTGTAGTGTTCTATAGATCTCTGTTAGGTCTCTTTGTTGATCTTTTCTGTAGTTATATACATTATTGAAAGGGGAGTATGGAAGTCTCCATTATTATTGTTGATTTGTTATTTCTTCCTGTTTCCTGTCTGTTTTTCTCTTCTGTATTTTGGTACTCTCTTATGTGAACATATGCTTACAGTTTTTATATTAAAAATATATATGCATGTAATAATAGTGGGATAATGATCAATTGATTATTTTACGATTTTTAAAATGTCCTTTTTAGTCTCTAGTAGCTTTTTTTATTTTAAAGTATATTTTGTCTGATTTTATTATGAGCACTCCAGCTTTCTTGTGGTTGCCATTTGCATAATATGTCTTTTCCATGGTTTTCTTTCCAATCTATGGCATCTTTGATTCTAAAGTGTATCTCCTAGAGATAGCATGTAGCTGGGTTTTTTTTTATTTTTCAGTTTGACAACCTGTCTTTTCATTAGGTTTTTTAATCCACTCACATTTAATGTTATTTTTCATATAACTGGATTTATATCTGTAATTTAAAAAAGTGTTATAAACTCAATAAGACATTGCTATAATTATTACTTTATATAATTTTATGACTTTTAGATAAAATGAGAGAAGAAAGGAAAGCAAGTATACATTTATGCTTTTAAAAATATTGTCCTTAGTTATTTTCTGATTCTTTGCATTTGTTCCTATGGATGAAGTTATCTATGGTAACTTAACAATATGACTTAGCTCCCACCCACGTTCTTTGTATTGTTATTGGCATATATATTACATTTTTGTATGTTGTAGACCCAACAAAATATTTTATATGTACTGTTGTTTCCAATTGCTTTTGAAATCAGTTAAGAGAATAGAGGTAAAGAAATCTGTATTTGCACTATCTTTGATAACAACAATGACCTTTACTGATACTCTTTGTTTTATCATGTAGCTTTGAATTCCTCTCTGGAGTTACTTGCTTTCAGCCTGAATAACTTCCTTTAGTATTTTTTATAATGTGGGTCAAAATATATCAAAACAAATTGTCAGTTTTCGTTTATGTAAAGATGTCTTTATTTCCTTTTTTTTGCGGGGGAGGGATAGAGTCTCCCTCTGTCACTCAGGCTGGAGTGCAGTGGTGCCATCTCAGCTCACTGCAACCTCCGCCTCTCAGGTTCAAGCAATTCTCCTGTTTCAGCCTCCTAAGTAGCTGGGAGGCATGCACCACCATGCCTGGCTAATTTTTTGCATTTTTAGTAGAGATGGGGCTTTGCCATGTTGGCCAGGTTGGTCTCAAACTCCTGACCTCAGGTGATACGCCTGCCTCAGCCTCCCAAAGTGCTGGGAATACAGGCGTGAACCACCACGCCTGGCCAAATGTCTTTATTTCACCTTTAATTAGGAAAGATAGCCTTGCTGGGTATAGGATTCTTGGTTCATTTCTTCGAGTACTTTGAATATGTTATCCTACTGCTTCTGCTCTCCATTGTTTCTGATTGGAATTTATCCTAATCTTATTTGGGTTTCCATGTAATTGATGAGTCATTTTTCTCTTCCTGCTTTTGTGAATTTCTCCTTTGCAATTTAGCATTTTTACTATGATGTCTATATTTGTAAATCTCTCTGTTTATCCTACTTGGAGTCCTTGAGCTTTCCAGATGTGCAGATTAATGTTTTTCAGTACATTTGAGAAGATTTGTCATTATTTCTTTGAACATTTTTTTCTAGCTCTTTTCTCTCTTTCCTCTCATTCTGGTAATCCTATTATGCATATATTGATGTATTTAATAGTGTCCTACTTTTCTCTGAGTTTCTGTTCATTTTTCTTCTTATTTTTTTCATTTTCCAGATTATATAAATTCTATCAATCTATCTTCCAGTTCACTAACTCTTTCTTTTGGCAGTTTAAATCTACTATTGAGCACCTTTGGTGGATTTTAGCTTTAAGTTATTGCACTTTTCAACTCCAGAATTTCCTTTGGATCCCTTTATATGTAAAAAAAATCTTCTCTCTCTCTTTTTTCTCTTCCCTTCCCTTCTTCCCTTCCCTTCCCCCTCTTTCTTTTCTTTTTCTTTCTCTCTCTTTCTTCCTTTCCTTTCCTCTCCCTTCCTTTCCTCTTTTCTCCCTTCCCTTCCCTTCCCTTCCCTTCCCTTCCCTTCCCTGCCCTTCCCTTCCCTTCCTTCCTTCCTGTCCTCCCTCTCTCTCTCCCTCCCTCCCTCTCTCCCTCCCTCTCTCTCTCTCTTCTTTTCTCTTCTCTTCTCCTCTCCTCTCCTCTTTTCTCTTCTCTTCTCCTCTCCTCTCCTCTTTTCTCTTCTCTTCTTTTCTTTTCTTCTTTCTCTTGCTGTGTTGACCAGGCTGGTCTTGAACCACTGGGCTCAGGCAGTCCTCCTGTCTTGGCCTCTCAAAACCACTGGGCCTGGCCTATAATTTCTATCTCTTTATTAATACTATCTATTGCTGTGACATTGTCATCAAACTTTCCTTCTTCTTTATGGTTTTCTTTAGTTCTTTGAACATATTTATCATGGCTACTTTGAGGTCTTTGTATGTTAAATCCAATATTTGGTTGCTCTCATAGACAGTTTTGATTGTCTGCTTTATTTTCGGTTGACAGGTCATGTTTTTTTGTTTCTTTACATGTCTCATTTATTTTTGTGGAAACTGGATATTTCAGATAATATATGAACAACTCTGATTGTCTCTGTCTCTCTGGAGCTTGTTATTTTCATTGTCTTTTTATTTGTTTAGTGACTAACTGAAGTCTATTTTCCCTCCACAGGGTGAAGCCTCTGTTACTCCTTTTTGGGGGTTATATCCTTGGGTGTTTTCATAGTCACTCTGGTATGACAGTAGTTTTTGCTGGGCTCTCTTTGGCTATCTCTGTCTCTGACTATACTAGCTGTTAAGCCCCAATAATTGCTAGCTGATTGCTCTATTGTTTTCAGCAATACCCAAGATCACCAAATTTGGGCTCCTTTGAACAGATAGTTCCTGAGGTTAGTGTTTGAAATTTGTTCTGACTCCAGGAAGGCTCCTTCCAGCTCTCTCTTTTCCTAGTTCTGTCCAGTAACTCAGCTGGCTTACAGTTTAGCCTATAGTTCAAATGGATCTACCAATATTCTCCTAGTTGCTTTTTCCCACAACCTCTATTGTTTTTGAGAGTGTCTTTGGGCTTGGAACTTCTCCAAACTCTGCTGGAAATAAAGTCTGCTCCTCTGAGAAGATATTAAGAGCTGTTTTATGGCCATATAGCTTTTTCCCTCAGGCAAATTTTCTGAGCTATGGCTCTAGAGCTGGGAGTGAGGATGATTACGTACATCTCTCTGAGTGACTCTCATGCTTTTGGAGCTAAGCACTTGGTAGTCATGGTAGGAGCAGTAGCCTCAGCTTGCCTCTCCCTGCATGAAATCCTCTCCACACAAGCAAGGATAATTGGGGCCCCAGTGTTCTCAGCAGACCACCCCAAGATAGAGCCTCCATGCAATGAGTGAGGGTTAGTAGGAGAAGTGTTCTTCACCTTTTGACTGAAATCACCTGGAACTTAGCCTCAGTAACAGATAGCCGAAGACAGGATGACAAATGCTGATGTCCTACCCTTCCTGAGAAGATAGCCCTCCAACTGTGGGCTGGGTGGAGAGGAAACCCTATCTTCTTGGCTGTATCAATCTGTGTCAGAGTTTACATCTCAATAAGTTGGGAGGGGAAATGGAGAAAGCAGGCCTTTGTTCACATATCACAGACTCTGTTCTTACCAAATTTTAGTCTATTTTCTTGAATAAATATTGTTATTTGCTGTATGATCTCAGGACCATTTTCAGATAGTTAAAATGTATTAAAAAATAATTTCCCCCAGTTTTATACCCATGAAGCTCATAATGCTGTTTTGGCAGAGGTGAAAGTCTCAACTTTTTTTTTTTTTTGAGATGGAATCTCACTCTATTGCCCAGGCTGGAGTGTAGTGGCGTGATCTCAGCTCACTGCAACCTCCACATCCCAGGTTCAAGCAATTCTCCTGCCTCAGCCTCCCAAGTAGCTGGGATTGCAGATGCACACCACTGAGCCTGGCTAATTTTTGTATTTTCAGTAGAGACGGGGTTTCACCATGTTGGCAAAGGCTGGTCTCGAACTCCTGACCTCAGGTGATCCACCTGCCTTGGCCTCCCAAAGTGCTGAGATTACAGGCATGAGCCACCGCACCCGGCAGTCTCAAGTTTTTCTTAATAATTTTTATTATAATTGGCAGTTGATTTATCCACATACCTCTCTACATTTTAAGAAAATTGAGGGAGCCTACTATTTTATTTACCTTTCTATTTCCAGTGTTTACCATAATGTAGTACGTATATTGGGTGCTTAATTAATATTTATTAAATGTATTTTGCCAGAAACTATCACCTACCTATTGATATAGTTGGAATATATAAAATCATAACCCAGAAATTTTAAACACAAAATTTGATTAACAAAAATTCATATTCTAAACAACTTCTTAGCAACCTATGACAGAGGTTGTAAATTGTATATTCAATACCGTGTGTTCTTCTTTTTTTAGTAACAGAATTCAAATTTACTTAGGATTATATTGTGCTCAATTAAAAAGAGATCACATTTCCCAGCTTCTCTTTCAGTCAGTTGTGGCCCGATCACATAATGAAGTTCTGACCGATGAGGTATAAGTGAATGATATTGAGTTGGTCTTTTCAGATATCTCCTTAAATGGGGAATAAACAATTGTATTAATTTTTTTTTTTGCTTTTTCTGTCTTTTCTGTGTTTCTTGCTTTGAATGTTGGAATAATGGTTGTAGCTCTAGAAGAAACTTTTGTCTAGGAGGTGTACTTGACAATGAAAGCTACATATTACATAGTAAAGACGAGGCAGCAGAAAGGTAGAAGAAACCTTGGTTTCTTATGATGATGACTCCAGAGCTTAACACCTATATATTGGATTAGATGGACAGATAGATAGATAGGGAATACACTTTTATCTTGTTTAAACCACACTTATTTCTAGTCTCTGCCCGTAGTAGGTTTAAAGTCTTTCCTAACTGATATGTCATCTATTTTACATTTTGAAGTATTAAGTTCTACTTATGTGCTACATGTACATAATGTACATATGTTGTGACTGTCACATTCCACTTATTTGGCATGGAAATTGCAACTTTCAGGACACTATTTTTCTCATAGTGCATAAAAGTGCATCTAGAAATGGTGGAAAATTAGTAAATGAACTATATATATATTTAACCACCTTGTTTCAACCTGTCTCTTCAACACACTTACATAATTTGTATTTAATCATTGAGTTGTTTTTGATAATTAAATGGAGAATATATTCAAGAAAGAAAAATGTGATCTCCAGCCTTCATTTTTTCATGGTTCCATTTTGTTGAAGTCAACATTTACAGGTGCTTGAGATCTTCATGTGAAACTTCATTTTATATGAAATCCCATCAACATCACCTATTCTTTCAAAGTTGACTTCAATCATGGTATGTAGTAAAAGTAGTCCACGTTTATTGAGTGCTTATTATGCATGAAGCAGTGTTCCAAGAGCCTTTTTTTTTTTGATAGGGTCTTGCTGTCTCACCCAGGCTGGGGTATAGTGGTGTGATCATAGCTCACTGCAGCCTTGACCTCCTGGGCTCAAGCAATCCTCCTGCTTCAGCTTCCTGAGTAGCAAGGACTACAAGTGCGTGTCATTATACCTGGCTAGTTTTTATTTTTATTTTTGTAGAGGAGGGGTCTTTCTGGTTACCTAGGCTGTCAGGAGCTTTACATGGAATCCGTACAACAACTTTGTAAGATGTGTGCTATTATACTCCTCATGTTACAGATAAGGACAGGGGGGCAGAGAAGATTAAATATATTGTCCAAGATCACACAGCTCATAATTGGTGGAATGAGTTTTCAAACCTTGGCAATGTGCCTCAGAGTTTGTGTTCTTATCAACTAGATATACCATAACATGTCTTCTAAATGTGAGTCTTCTTTTAGCCTTGGAGCTCTTATTGCTGAAAATACATTCCTTATTTTATGTGAATATTTATTTAAGAAAGCAATTTAGTTCTTGCTCCCTTTTTTTTTTTTTTTTTTTTGTATTTTTAGTAGAGATGGGGGTTTCACCATGTTGGCCAGGCTGGTCATAAACTCCTGACCTCAAGTGATCCACTTGCCTCGGCATCCCAAAGTGTTGGGATTACAGGTGTGAGCTGCTGCGCCTGGCCATTGTTCCCTCTCTTGCTATGTGACATGCTCATTCCTCTTCATCTTCCAGCATGAGTGTAAACTTCCTGAGGCCCTCATCTGAAGCAGATGCTGGCACCATGCTTCATGTACAGCCTGCCGCAGAACTGTGAGTCAAATAAACCTCTTTTCTTTATAAATTACCCAGTTGCAGATATCTCTTTAGAGCAATGCAAAAACAGACTAACAAAAAATTGGTACTGAGGAGTGGGGTGTTGCTATAAAAATACCTGAAGATGTGGAAGTAGCTTTGGAACTGAGTAATGGGCAGCAGTTGGAAGAGTTTGGAGAGCTCAGAAGACAGGAAGATTAGGGAAATTTTGGAACTTCTTAGACACTTGTTAAGTGGTTGTGACCAAAATGCTGATATAAATATGCTGATAGAAATATGGACAGTGAAGGCCAGGCTGACAAGATCTCAGATGGCAATGAGAAAGTTATTGGGAACTGGAGTAAAGGTCATATGTGTTATACTCTAGCATAAAACTTTGCTGCATTGTGTCCATGTGCTAAATATTTGTGGAATGTTGAACTTAAGATTGATGGCCTATAGTATCGGGTAGAAGAAATTTTTAAGCAGCAAATCATTCAGGCTACAATCAAGTATGGGAGCAACAGAATGACTTAAAGCTGGAACTCACAATTAAAAGGGAAGCAGAGCCTAACAATTTGGAAAATTTGCAGCCTAGCCATGTGATAAAGAAGGAAAGGGTATTTTCAGGAGAATATTTTCAAGAAAGCTGCAGAGCAACCCCTTGCCAAAGAGATTAGCATGACTAAAATGGAAGTGCTGATATTCAAGACAATGGGATAACGGATAAAGGTCTTGAAGGCATTTCAGAGATCTTCTAGACAGCACCTCCCATTATAGGCCAAGAGGCCTAGAAGGAAAGAATGATTCCAGGGGCCAAGCCTGGGGCCCTACTGCCCTGCTCAGTCTGGAGATACTGCTCCTCACATGCTGCATGCTCCAGCTCCAGCTGTGGCTCAAAGGGCCCTAGATACAGCTCAGACTACCTCTCCAGAGGGTGTAAGCCATAAGTTTTGGCATCCTCCATATGGGGTTAAGTCTGTAGGCTCACAGAACACAAGCGTGAGGGAGGGTTGGCAGCTTCCATCTAAATTTCAGAGGATGTATGGGAAAGCCTGGGTATCTAGTCAGAAGACTGCTGTGGGAGCAGAGCCCCTGAGCAGAGATAAACAGAGACTACTAGGTGAGTGCCAAAGGGAAATGTGGGGTTGTAGCCCTTACACAGACTCCCCACTGGGGCACTGCCTAGTGGAGCTATGGGAAGGGGGCCAGCACTCTTCAGACCTGAGAATGGTAGAGCCATTGGCAGCTTGCACCCTGAGCCTAGAAAAACTGCAGACACTCAACTCCAATCCGTGAAAGCAGCCACAGGGGCTGCACCCTGCAAAGCCACAGAGATGGAGTTGCCCAAGGCCTTAGGTGTCCACCCCTTGTACCAGTGTTCCCAGGATGCAGGACATGAAGTCAAAGAAGATTATTTTGGAGCTTTAAGGTTTAATGTCTGCCCTGCTGGGTTTCAGACTTCTGTGAGGCCTGTCACTATTTTCTTTTGGTTGATTTCTTCCTTTTGAAATGGAAAAATTTACCCAATGCTTATACTGCCATTGTATTTTGAAATTAAATAACTTGTTTTTGATCTTGCAACCATATAGGGGAACTTGCCTTGAGTCTCAGATGAGACTTTAGACTTTGGACTTTTGATTGAGTTGATGCTGGAATGAGTTAAGACTTTTGGGGATTATTGGGAAGGCATAATTTTTTTTTTTTTTTTTTCAGTGTGAGAAGTACTTGAGATTTGGCGGTCCAGGGAAAGAATAATGTGGTTTGAATATTTATCCCTTCCAAATCTTATGTTATAATGTGACCTCCAATGTTGGAGCTGGGGCCTAATGGGAGCTGTTTGGGTCCTGGGGGCAGATCCCTCATAAATGACTTGGTGCTATCCTCATGGTAATGAGTGAGTTCTCACTCTATTAGTTCATGTGAGAGCTGGTTGTTTAAAGGAGCCTGGCACCTCCTCCTCTCTCTCTTGCTTCTCTTTTGTCATGTGACACACTGCTCCCGTTCACCTTCCACCATGATTGGAAACTTCCTGAGGCCATCACCAGAAACATATGCTGGCACCATGCTTCATGTATAGCCTACAGAGCCATAAGCCAAATAAACCTCTTTCCTTTTTTTTTTTTTTTTTTTTTTTTGACAGAGTTTCACTCTTGCAGCCCAGGCTGGAGTGCAATGGCATGATCTTGGCTCACTGCAACCTCTGCCTCCCAGGTTCAAGTGATTCTCTGGCCTCAGCTTCCCAAGTAGCTGGGAGTACAGGTGCCTGCCACGACACCTGTCTAATTTTTGTATTTTTAGTAGAGGCGAGGTTTCACAGTGTTGGCCAGATTGGTCTCAAACTCCTGACCTCAGGTGATCTAGTCACCTTGGCCTCCCAAAGTGCTGGGATTACAGGTGTGAACCACCACAGTTAGCCTAAACCTCTTTTCTTTATAAGTTTTTTGTTTAAAATGCAATTTAAAGTTATGACAATAACTTTCATTTGCCTAAATTGTTACACTTACAGACAATCCAACTTTTATTGTTTTTCTATATGAAAATATTATTAGAGACGGTGGGGAAAGAAGGGATCAATGAATTTTATAGACACTGAATTAACATGCCTATCATCTTTCATATAATTATTTGGCAATATGTTTTGTTATTGGGGTATTGTGACATATATCAAATGAAAGCTTTTCCTACTAATAAAGAGCCAAAGTTTGTTGTTGACTTTTTAAAAATATAAATTAGAGTAGATCCAGTGTTATCCTATTATAATCACTCTGATCATCTGTATTCCTATATATATGTATGAATTTGGGAGGAATGGGTACATCTACAATCGCCAGGAAAATATTTAACCCATATTCTATTTCGTCTGTCTTGCATATTTGAACATATTAGGACAAAGGAGTTAAGAGTCATTGGTCTAACTAATCAACCATTGTTGTCTACCTTACAAGATTGTTAGCTGAAGTTTTAGAGCTAAGTTGGTGTTGGCTTAATGTATGTATACATTTAGGCACACTTTAAAATTATTGCCCTTTTACTTGACTGGGCTTGGATGTTGAATTTGTCACTAGGTAAGGTAGGCATAAGTATTATTTAACAATTGTCCTACAAGACACATTGGCTAGGTTGGCCCTCTGAGCATACATTTTAATAGCCCGAGTCAGTATTTCACACATGAAAAGGAACACAGGAACTACTACAAAAGCAGTTCCTTCCAGTGAGTGTCAGAAAGTATCAGAACTGGTAAAGTGCTTCAGAATGAAAACAGCTATAAGAACGTGAGATATTATTATATAGTATGAGAAACAAAACAATGGAGTATAGATGGCATTTACCTGCAGGGGATTGATATCAGTGACTTTATCATATTCAACTCAATAACTTGCTCTTTTAGTTGGAGAGGTGGTAAGGGAGTGAGAAATTACCAGGTGCTTAAGAAGACAAAAACAACCAAAAAACCTGCGCCGAGCACTGACTCATGATTTCCGGGCTGAAAGTAGATGTCATTAATGACCCTTTTTATTCATGCAGAGGTTCTCAAAGAGGAGCATAATGTTCCATTAGTAATAATTGAAAAAGTCTTTCTTCGGAATTATGTCAAAATCTAAAGATGATGCTTCTGCCAAAACATTTTGGTGACAAACGTGTGAAGTATTTGACAGAAGGTGCCACTGCAGGTTGAAGAGGCTTCTTGAGGAGATTCTCAGAGGATCTGGAGGGAACAGGCTAACATGAGACTGACAGCATCAGCACAAAATTCCCACCTTAGGTCCTGGTCTTTGAGAATCACAGTGCTCCTTCTTATTGATAGTTCAATCTTACTTGCATGCTCCAGTTTTAACCAATGTTGGTGGAAACATAAAACTAAGACACATTGGATAGGTAGGCCTTCCATGACATAATTTTGATTTTCACTCTTTCTGTATAATGGCGACTGTATGAGCTCATTGGAAGAGAGTAATAACATGGACTATAACATCAGAGACACAATTTCAAGACCACGGAAGGCCTGTTCTACTCCTGCCTCCCTGTGCCAACCTCAACTGGCCCATCTCCTTTTTGTATTGCTTCTAGACCTCCACCTCATTTATCATTTAATCTTTTCTTCTTGATGCACATTCCAAGTACCAGATTGCTCAATATATAACACGTCAGGGTAAAAGCTGAGCTGAATGTTGCCCTGGAAGTCACGCTGATTTAAAGAAAAAATAAATACAACTTTAGTCTAGCTCTGCAGGCTCTACTGCTCCTTTGTGCCTGTCCTCTGTGGGTACCTCATTGATAGCACATATTTTCCTTTATTGTTTAGTTTTTGCATGTGCCTTTGTTTTTCTACTAGACTGCAAGTCCCTCAGGTCTTAGGACTATTTTACTGAATCAAAACCTTGCCTCTAATCACCTGTGTAGACTTAGACAACTTGCTTAACTTCTCTGAGCCTTGGTTGCCTTATTTGAAATGGAAATAATAATAGCTATTTTATATTGTAAGGATCAAAGGAGATAAATCTTATAAAATATACTATCATAGTACTTGGGACATCATAAATGCTTATTATAAGAAGGAAAATAGGCATCGGGCCTAAAACAGTGGTTAAAAGCTAACAATGGAATGAAATGTCTCCAATAATCTTGGGTTCTCCAGACGAGGGAATTATTAAGGCTGTCCCAGATAAGCTCTAACTTTTATTTATTGTTGTGTCCTCTGGACAAGGGCAGGATTTTGGCTAGGTGATTGAAGCAATCATGGTAGAGCTAACAGAACTAAGAGACTTGGGAGGAGGAACCAGTTTTGGATGGTAAAATGGAATTAATATTATACCAACCGAGTCACATGCTCAGTGAGTTTTGTGCACAAGTGATATTAGAGAACATATAAATTCATCCAATAATTAGTGTGAACCCATTAAGTGTCTCTAAGTGTTATGGCATATAAACATGTATCAAAGGGAAATTATTGGGTCCTAAAAGAAAATGAACAGGTCAGAGTAATTTGTCTGCAAATTTATAGGCTCCTTCCAAATAATATACACTTCTTATTTTCAATATAGTATTTTTATAGATTCTGGGTCCTGATTTAGATACAGAGGTGTTGCTTTTGCTCTTTCAGCCTCACGTGCATTTAGAATTACTTTTCTGATGGGACTGGTAAGTTTGAATTGATCCACCCAGTTTCCCTTGTGATGGCCAGCTAAGATTTATGTCATATCTGATCAGAGTTAACCGCAGTTTGTGACCTTACAACAGATTTTTTTCCTCTATAAATTTAACTGGATGACACCGAGGTTGAACCTGAAAATTTGCCTCAATAGCAATAGAGTCTGACCAGTTTTGCTGCAGTCCAGAGATAGCTGTCAGGGACATAATTTTTAAGTTAAAAATAAACTTTATTCTATATGATCATTATTTGTGGCATACTCTGTGTGCGTGTGTGTGTGTGTGTGTGTGTGTGTGTGTGTGTGTATACTACTACAGTATGAGTTGGGAAGCCAAATCTAACCTATCACATTTTTTAGAAAAAGGTTTTTTTTTTGGAGCACAGCCATACTCATTCATTTAGATATTGTCTATGCAATAGAGACTTAGACAGTGCAGCTCTACCATGTAAAGGCAGAGTCAGGGAGTTGCAACAGATATCTTGTGACTCTTAATGCCTAAAATATTTGCTCTCTGGCCCTTTACAGGGAAAGTTTACCAACCCATATACTTCAGGGAATTAAAACAAAAAAATTGCCTTGTAGTTTGTTTTCTGATAAAACAAACTCATATTCCAAACCAACATTTACACTCTCAGTATTGCAAAGTCAAACGCACTAGGG
The DNA here is from genome assembly GCF_000001405.40 of Homo sapiens. Lineage (NCBI taxonomy): Eukaryota > Metazoa > Chordata > Mammalia > Primates > Hominidae > Homo > Homo sapiens. Next base: position 164,443,861 of record NC_000001.11, on the reverse strand, counting down.
TAAAGCTGTTCAATTAAACACATTTTTATAAAAAATTTTAACAGTGGGAGTGTAAGAGAAAAACATTGATGCTAAAAATATGGGGGATTTTTGTTCTAAAGCCAATGTTTATTTAGATATATTTACTTTACTTTTTTTATAGTTCTATACTAATCATGTTATTTTTAAAGTTTGTTAATTTAATCAAAACCAAAAGGATTTGTATCTATTATAAAGAATTCTTACAATTCTGTAATAAGACAACAATCAATCTGATAAATATGGGCAAGTAATTTGAGCACATGCTTCACAAAAGAAGATAAATGAGTGGTCAATGAGCACTGGTAATATCCCCTGATAATTACTTATCAGGTAAATAAAATTAGAGGTATACCAGTCACATCCATTAGAATGGCTAAACTAAAAAGGACTGACAATGTGGAGAGTTGGCAAGGGTGTAAAACAAATGGGACTCTCACATACTGCTGGTGAGAATAGAATGTGGTGGAATCATTGCAAAACAGTTTGGGCATTTCTTACAAAGTTAGACATACACTTACCACATGACCCAGATATTTATATGATGAAATACTATTCAGCAAAAAAGAATTGAATCGAATACATGCAACAACATGTATGGATCTTAAATGCATTATGCTGATTGTAAGATGGCAGATGCAAATGGGTACATTCTCAATGATTCCATTTATGGGAAAATATAGAAAAGACAAATCTAATCTGTAGTGACAGCATATCAGTGGTTACTTGGAGTCAGAGGTAGGGGGATTGCCTAAGAAGGCAGATGAAACTTTCTGGGGGTGATCAAAATGTTGTATGCGGTGGGGGTACACAAGGGTATACATTCGTAAAGACTCAGCAGAATGTATCTTTTTGTACATAAATTCTACCTGAATGAAGTTTATTTAAAATTTCAAGTGTTTGAGAAAGGGAGACAGAGAGAGAGAAAGAGAGAGAGAGAGAATGATTATGAGTCAGAAAAAGAACTGGAGACAGGGACACATAAGAGATGGAGACAGTAAGAAAGGGATAGGTGGAGAGTGAGAGCATTTTATTTGCTACATTTCCCAGCAAGGATATAAGGTGGACAAACTCAAAATTAACAGTGAACTTTATAATGCAGGATTCTGAGGTTATGTTCCAAGCTATGCAGCAAGTACCTTACGTAACTTCTTTAGACAGTTTTGTTTTGCTTTCTGTTTAATATTTTTTGCTGTGATTTCAGTGGAGTCAACAGTCAAGTCAAAGAAAAAGTATAGTTTTTCATTCACAGTGGGGAGTTGAGCTTGCATGCTTGGTGCACAAGTCCTTGAGGCAAGAACAAGCAACTTAGTTCCTTAGTGACATTGAGTGGCAAGTGAGGGTTGCCTTTGGAATCCTCCACCTACTCTCTTCTGTACTCTTTCTCCACACCTCATCTGATTTTTTCATCTCCCAGAAAGTGTCCTGTAACCTAATTTTTTGCTTCTCAACATGCTGCCTTCATTCCCCAGTGTACATCATTTCTCAAGGAGAGTTTAAAATGTTACTCCTTAGCAGAAATTACACTAATAGGACTTTCTTAATCCAAAGTTGGGCCCCTTAAGGCATTTCAGACCAGCAAGGGACAGTGAACCTCTCTACAACTCTAAAATTAGACTACTGAGGCACAAGCTTAACTTTGCTAACATGCAAGGCTGTTTTCAAGAACCCAAAGCATATGTACATTCTGAATTAATAGGTAGTAAGAAGTGAACAGAAAATAGCAGATCATTTGTGCCCTTTAATGTTCCCTGTCTTACAAGGGCCCCTAATATCTATCAGTCTGTACTGAATATTTTTTTTGTGTGTGTGTTCCTTCAAGTATTTTAGTATAATTTGTACTACATTACAGCACTTTGCATTTTCTAGTCCTATCATGTGTTTAAATCTTGCCTGCTTTTGCCTGGCTTAGTTCCCATTTGTCAGTAAAGAGACAAATTATTACTCCTTCACCTTCATGTAAAAGCTTCTCATTGCTCAAGGTATGTGCCACCTGGCAATAGTACCAGCTGTGTCACCAAAGGCATGTGACTTCTAGCATGGATGTTTTGCTAAACTCTGGCAGTATTACCTTGTGATTCTGATGCCTCACAATTGTTTGCCCTTTCATATAATCCTCAGTCCTCATCTGTGGCCATTCCTTACTTCTTGCATTAGTCTGTTACTTCTCTACCTCTTACTCCAACATCATATTTCTGATTACAGCCTCTTTTCTCTCCAAGTTTCTCTCACTCCCACCATATTTACTCTGTCTCCTGGTCCATCCTCAAATCTATGAGTCATGTCAAGTCTTCGCTTTCTTTCAGATCTGCGCTAGATCACACAATCCATCATTTCACCTACCCATCTTTTGCCAATACTGTTAGCTCTCTTCCTCTTCATCTTTTCAACACATCCTCCTAGCACAAAAAGATGCTGGCTCAATCCCGTCAACCCAGTTATTATTATTACTTTTTCTCTTAAACTTTGGGCACTACAGCTATTCAAGAAAACCGCACACTTTATATAAATTATGGCTTCTATGAATTAATAGTTCATGGCTTTAACACATTTTAATGGAACATTTACTATGTGCCAGACACTGTACTAGGTTCTAAGCATGGAAACATAAAGAATGTTGACTTTTAGGGTCTGTGATCAGCATGAATATCACAGGGGAGGAAAGAAGAATTCTGGGAGAGAGGGACAGAGAGCGAGAGAGAGAGAGAAGGGAGAGAAGAGACAGCATGAACTGATGGCAAATCGTTTAATTCTGAGGTGCCGTCCTTCCCATATTACATCAGATGAGCAGGCTAGAAAAGTCAGTGGGAAGGTTGTGAAATGAAAGCAGCATAAGCTTGAAGTCAGATAGACCAAGATTTGAATCAGAAAGGTCAAAGTTGAGGGCAGAGAGAAGGCTGTTGCAGAAAACTGGCAGTGATGAGAACTTGAACTAGGACAGTGACAAGGACACTTGGGAAGAAAGAAGTTCTATCTGCTATCACCTGACACTTTAATTTAAAGGTAAATAGCACACCAAAGGTAAGAAACAGTTTTCAACTATTAGAAATGCTATGTTTACAAGATGGCAGATTTTCGGATGATAACAAAACATGCTCTTAAAAAATTTCTAGGACAACAACTCAGAAAATCAAAGGCAGCTGAGAAAGGACAGAGTCTTTGTTTCTTCAGAGAGTGAAATAATCTGCCATTATATGGTAGATAACTAGTCCAGCGCTATAATTTAATTTATTACCATCTCAGCACACACCACACATAACCTTCTTTAAGTGTGTCTGGGAGAAACCTAGGAAATCAGTAAAGGCTCCTTGCAGCCAGCCTGGTATTGCCTGCCAGCAGTTTGGGAGCACATCTCTTTCAAAAGGTCACCAAGTTAGGGACTGTGTCCAACTCTCTGTTCAGTGCAGCACTGTTGGGGGCTCTCTATGGGTGCTAGTTTCCCTCTGCTGGCCAGAGAGCTTAGTTACTGCCCTGCTGGGCACAGAGGGTAGTTGGATACTTTCACACTCTCCCTTCTCTTTCTCACTCCCCTCTCAAAATTCTTTTCATACCAAAAAATGCCTGGTAGAAGAAAGAATATATGACAGTTGGAGGAAGCCAGTGCTCCCACACTGTCTGCCAGGAGGTATATTTCTGGGGCAAAGCATAGTGATTTTTTTTTTTTTTGGTGGAAATGTCAGAGTTTATAACAACTTAGAGTTGTTTTTACGTTAAATGTCTGCATCATAATATTCTTGAACCATCTTCTTTCTTAAGTCTAAACTACCCCTTCCTTCCTTCCTTCCTTCCTCCCTCCCTCCCTCCTCTCCTCTCCTCTCTTCTCTCCTCCCCTTCCCTCCCCTCCTCCCTCCTCTCCTCTCCTCTCCTTCCTTTCCTTCCATTTTCCCTCTTTCCTTCCTCCTATTTTCTTTCTTTATATATGTATGCAACTAACTGATAAAACAATATTATTACAGCATTTGAACATTTTCTTTGGACCAGAATTTTCTGGCATTAAAATTCTGACATAGGCTAAAATCAATAAACAAACCAAAAAATTGAGCAAACACACACACACACACACACACACACACAAAAACAGACACACAACTCTACTAAAAAAAAAAAAAAGTAAAGGAGTAAAAAAAGTTAATCTACCAGGACAGAAAACAGAAAAGGAGATGACAGTAGATGGGAGAATTCAACACATTTTTAAAAGAAGGAAGTAGAGAGACAAGTGTTAATTATCTTCGCAGACTAGAAGAAGTTGTAACTAAGTGCCTGTAGCTGTAGACACTGATGTGAAATGAATCAATCCCCTCTGCAAAGCCCTGAGAGGTTCAGCATTTGGAGGCATATGTGGAAGACAAGGATGAGGCACTGGAGTGAAAGTGGGGTTAAGTGAAAGTCTGCTTACAGAGTCACTGAGTCCACAGGTACCCTTCCCTGTCCACAAAGTGGTATCCTCCTTTCTCTCCTGTTAGAACAGAGGTTTATACTGTGGAAAAATTATGTAACAAATATATATCAGTCTCTGGGACAACAGTGGATATATTGATGTGCAAGGCTGAGAGATGGGACTGAAAACAAAGGGATTAAATGAATATCTGCATAGCAAATTATAAAACATCTTCACCCTTTTCCCATGATCAGCTTCTAGAATGCTGAGAGCCAGAAACATTCATCCTGTTGCTTTCTCATATCTACCACATCTTCACAGTAGGACAGAAGATTGGTTTCTGGAGAAAGGACATTCAGACTTTGAAATTTCTGGCTCCCTTGAATGACAACCTTACTTTTTAAAATTATCTTGCAAAGAAACTTTTGAGGGAAAGTTCTACCTTTGCACGTAAGAACCATGCTCATTTTTAAAAAATAGATTCTTCCTTTTTATTACTGAGTAGTATTTCACAGGATGAATGTAACACAGTTTTGTTTTTTATTTATTTATTTTTATTTTTTTTTGTTTTGAGACAGAGTTTTGCTTTTGTTGCCCAGGCTGGAGTGCAATGGCATGATCTTGGCTTACCGCAACCTCCGCCTCCTGGGTTCAAGAATTTCTCCTGCCTCAGCCTCCTGAGTAGCTGGGACTACAGGCATGTACCACCATGCATGGCTAATTTTGTATTTTTAGGAGAGACAGGGTTTCTCCATGTTGGTTAGGCTGGTCTTGAACTCCCAACCTCAGGTGATCTGACCTCCTCAGCCTCCCAAAGTGCTAGGATTACAGGCATGAGCCACCGCGCCCAGCTCAAGGGCAAAGCCAAGGATTGTCAAGATGGGAAAGCCTCAAATATGAAAGAGAATAACTAAAACAAAGGGAAAAAAGAAAACTCAGAACAGAAACATTGCAGGTAGGGAAAAATACATCTTCAAAAATTATAATTAATATCCTTACAGAAATAAGAGAAACAAAGGAATGTTACTGTAGTTGAATACTCAAGAAAACATTTAGAAAAAATAGTAGAAATAAAACATTTAATATTATGGTTGGAGAAAATATTTTAGGAGGTCCACTAGAAAGTAGAATGAGTCAAAGTAATGAAAAACTAGAGAGAAAAAGGTAAGAAAATTAGAGGATTGTTTCAATAGTGTAATAGTATTTCTAGAAACAAATAGTATTTCTAGAAACAAATAGAGACAATGGAAGTATGTATTATCAAATAAATAATATAAAAACATGTCTAAAAGCAGGATATGTACTTCTAAATTGAACAGGCTTACAAAATGTTTAGTACAATGTGAAAATACACCCAGAAACATAAAATTTCACAACAGGAAATCTCAGCACAAAATTTCAAAACAGAAGGAAAGATTCTAAAAGTCGAGAGAGACTCTGAGAGCAAACATGAAGAGAGAGAAACCAGTTTACATATCAAAAAGCAGAAATGTGAATGATGTGTAATATCTCTAGAGAAACGTTGGGTGCTAGAAGACACTGTGCTAAAAACTCTGAGGCGCTAATTTCCAAATTAGAATTACATACTCAATATATTAGTCAGGAATCTCCAGAGAGACAGAATCAATAGGAGGGAGATAGAGAGATAGATAGATAGATAGATAGACATAATTTATTAGGGAAATTGGCTTGTGTGATTATGGAGGCTGAGAAGTCCCATGACAGGATATCAGCAAGCTGGAGACCCTGGGATGCTGGTAGTGTGGCTCAGCCCAAGTTTCAAAGTCTCAGAGCCAGGGAAGCCAATGGTATAATTATCCATTCAAGGCTGAATGCTTGAGAACCCACATGTTTGCTGGTGCAAGTCCCACAGTCCAAATGCCAGAGAAACTGGAGTTCCGATGTCCAACTTTAGAAGATGGTTGTCCTAGCTTCAGCAGATGGAATGAATTTGCCTTTCCCCTGCTTTTTTGTTCTATCCAGGACCTCAGCTGATTAGATGGTGCCTACACACATTGAGGGTGGGTCTTCCCACTGAGTCCCCACCAACTCACATGTCAATTTTCTCTGGAAACACCCTCAGAGTCACTCCCTCACAGCCACACCCAGAAATAATCCTTACCAGTTCTCTAGGTATTTCTTCATTCAGTCAAGTTAATACCTAAATCGACTTAACCAATTGTGTTGGTTAATTTTGTGTCACTGTGACTGGGTCATGGGTGTCCAATATTTGGCCAAATACGATTTCTAATGTGTGTGTGTGTATGAGGGTGTTTCTGGAGGAGATTAACATTTAAATCATTAGACTGAATAAAGCAGGTTGACTTCTCCAATGTGGGTGGGCCTCATCCAATCGGTTGAGGGCCTTAATAGAATAAAAAGGTAGAAGAAGAGAGAATTTGCTTTCTCTCTCTGCCTGACTGCTTGAGCTGAGCATTGGTCTTCTCCTGCCCTCAGACTGAAATTACACCATTGGCACTCCTTTTTCTTAGGCCTCTGGATGCAGACTGGAACTATACCACTGACTTTTCTGGGATCTCAGCTTGCTGATTTCAGGTCAGGGGAATTCTCATCCTCCATCATTTCTTAAGCCAATTCCTTATTTTTTTTATATATATATATATATATATATATATATATATATGCATAGTATATATATATGCATAGTATATATATATATGAAATAGGTATTGTGTGTATGTGTGTGTATATATGCATATATATATATATATATATATATATATATATATATATATATATAATATATGGAATTTTCCCCAACCCCTTTAACAATCAATGTTTTAGGAAATAATATCCTAAAAATAACCAAAGTTTAGACTTTATTATATTTATTTACTTATTATTATTTTTGAGACAGAGTCTCACTCTGTTGCTCAGGCTGGAGTGCAGTAGTGCAATCTTGGCTCACTACAATCTCCACCTCCTGAGTTCAAGCGATTCTCATGCCTCAGCCTCCCGAGTAGCTGGGACTATAAGTGCATGCCACCACATCCAGCTAATTTTTGTATTTTTAGTAGACACGGGGTTTCACCATGTTTCCCAGGCTGGTCTTGAACTCCTGGCCTCAAGTGATCCACCCGCCTCGGCCTCCCAATGTGCTGGGATTACAGCCATAAGCCACCACGCCCAGCTGCCTTTATTATATTCAAAAATTCATAGTTAGCATCTTCTATATGCATGAACATAAGGTGAGCTATCTTCTAGTTATCTCTTGGAAATGTATGGAATTTTATACACATATTTCATATATAATATATATGAAATGTTATATACACACACGTAATATATGGAATTTTTCCCAACCCCTTTAATAATCAATGTCCTAGGAAATACTATTTCAAAAAATAACTAAATTTTAGCCCTTATGATATTTAAAAATTCATAATTAGCATCCCCTATATGCACAAATATAAGGTGAACGATTTTCTAGTTATCTCTTGGAAAAGAAGAAATGGCCTAATGTTTGAGCCTATACTTTCTCATATTACGACAGAATTCCTCAATTTTTTTAAACAACAAAGTACTTTTTAAATGAAGGCAAATTATCCTTAAATCATTTCAATTAAAGCTCTTTTTTGTTGCTTAGAAAAATCATCTGGTGAAATTATTAAAATAAAGAAGGCAAAAATATTGGTAATTGAGTCATTATTTCTAGGGGTACGATCTCACAACTGCAAGTTTTTGATGTCATTGTGAACAACTTAAAAAGGCAGTATTGTTAACTGGTTAAATTGTGGAAAGAACATTAAATAAATTGTAGTGTTAAAATTATCTTAATTACAATTGTTGAGTGAATGAAATGACCCATTGTCCAAATGATATGTGAATGGGTACTCATGGGGTGAAATACAATTTCTGGTGAAATATGATACATGATTTCAAAAGTATTGCATCTTAAATGACATCGATGGCAGTGAAAAGGATGTACTTTGTAAAACTGTGTTAGTTGATCCAAAATGTGACTTTAATGACGATAAAGTTATTTATACTACAGGTGCACCTGAAAAGTTTGAGTACAATTGTTTCATGAAATGTGAAAGTTAGAAGAAGCATTATATCTAAAATAACATTTTACTTTATTTAATCTGAGACTTTAAATATGTATGTATAACTAAATTAGGAAATGTTATTAAATATTATATGGGATACTAACGGCAGATAATTGCTTTTTTATAATCGTAGTGTAATTTAAATCTTTTTAGGCTGTCCTTCAATGATTACCACTTTCCAGGCTCAAAGCCATTAAAATTTTCTCCTTCTAGATTTGTTCTAATTCCTCAGTCTGTTTCAAGAGATGTAGCAACTTGGAGAGCATTGCATTTCAAATAGGAACATACTGGTTCTGTTTTTGGGGTAAATGCTAAATATGTTCTTTTTTTTATTGTATGTTTTACCTTTTTATTTATGTTTTACCTTTTTGGATAATATCATTTTATTGACCTTTGAGGCTACAGCACATTGGGCTGATGTTCTTAGCAGTCTATAATAAATTCTCAAATCCATTTCTTAGGTGACAACTAAGAGTTCACAGCTCCTTGTCTACAGTTAAGGTTTGGATAAATTCTACCTAATTGTTTTAGTTTTCATAGTACTTGCTTGCAATGAAGCTCACCTACACTTTCTATGTCAACTCACACTGGACCTAACACATATTTAATCCAATCTCTTTGTTTTATGTGCAAAAATACAAAACATAAGACCAGGGAGGTTAAATAACTCATTCAAAATCACAGGTGTTTGGTGGAAGAGTTGGAACTCTTGGCCCTCTGTCCCTCCTGTTAGTACATGGAAGATTTGATAAACAAGAGGAAAATGTTTGCCTCAGGTTCAGGATGAGACTTTCCACCAAGGTAGTAGGACCTTTATTTAGTGTAGTTCCAAGAAGCAAAAAGCAAGCAATAGATTAAACCTACCTGGAGGCCCAGCGTAAAATTTATCTCAAATAAATTTCCACAAATAGCATTTGCAAATATGAAAAGCAAAGGATTTCCATTCAAACTATTGATCCACCTTTTAGTTTAGCAGCCAGCCACGTGAAGTTGGGCATATCAGTTAAACTCTGTGAGCCAAGCTTTATTTTCCTTATCTCTAAAACAGCAAACCAGAAATCCTTTCCAACTTGTGGATGAGAATAAGGCAAGGAGGCAACACAGGTGACCTCCACGATGGTGACCTCAGGCAAGTTATAAAACCTCTGTCTCCAGTTTCTTCATCTGTAAAATGCTGATAGCAATACATCCTATGTATGGCCCAGTTATAGGGTTAAGTGAATTCACTTTTGCAAAATACTTAGAACAATGCCTACACTTAGTAAGTGTTATAGAAGTTTTAAATAAGTGAGAAATAAATATATAATGAGTTAGAGGAGAAGACATACAAACAAATCAGGAATTCATGGGGAATGATGGGCTTTAGGCTTCTTTCACTCTCTTTGTCTCCTCATCCAGCTGTTCAGTCTCCTCCCTCACTTCAAACATCCCCCTCATGGAAAGAAGTGTCTTTTAACATAATGATTTCTTAAGCTATGCTGTTACAGCTATCAATATTAGCAAGTTTGAAATTCGTTGTCATCTTGCTGCCCCATTCTGAATACCTTATGTTTGCTTTGCTTGAATGCAAGGCATGAAGGGTGTGTAGGATAAAGCTTAGGTTTTTTTGGGCAGAGTGAGAATAATAGAAAAGGAGGGGGCAAGGGAATCACGTGAAACCTCCAGGGACCTACAAAGCAGACTGAGGGGTAACCTAAGGGAAACAGTATGTAAGTAAATATTTACATCACTTACATCACTTTCTGGACTCCAAGAGGTTTCGTGATTGAGGTCACTTTATAGCATGGCCTTAGACTATAATGTCAATGATGTCCCCTGGAGTAGTGTGAGCTGTGGCTCTGAACCCATGTTAAATGGACTTCTTGCTGGTGATAGAATGAGCTCAGATGCCTTTATAGTTCTAAGGGAAGGTTACAATTATAATATGATGTAGAAAGTGTTATAATAGAAAAAACATGTGGGATGTTGTAGGAATACAGTGGAGAAAGAAAATAACTTGCTCTGGATGAATTTGGAAATGCTTCCAAAGTAGATGACAACTTAACTCCAAAATCAATCAAGCTTGCACAAGACACTCAGTATTCATCAACCCCCATTCTTTGTCCAGAATTATATCAACACTTCCAAAGAAGGGGAGACTTACGGTCTTGTTGTGGAAACCTTGTTTCTGTAAAGTGTCATTAGTCTGTAACCATGATAAGGGATTGTGGCAGACATAAGTCACATGGAAGAGGTTTCCATCAGTTCTGTGAGAGTTCAAAAAGCACACTATGATCAAACTGAGATAATAGAAAAAAAATTCTGCTCAATGTAATGAAAAGCTTTGTAATAGTCAGCAGCTATTCAAATATGGAATGGTCTGCTTTTGGTAGGAGCAAGCCCTTGTTACTGTGTTTAGATGGAGGTAGGGAGTTGCAGGGGGATTTTTATTTGTTGGGGTAATGCTAATAATAGAAAAAAGTAAATCTCCAATGTCAATGTCGTAGCACAGTTTAAGATTAATTCTTGTTTATGTAATGAACAGTGAGATTTCCTGTTGGCAGGTGACTTTCTCCCTTGTGGTGACTCAGGGCACCAGGCTCCTTCCATCTTTGGCTCTACCATCTCCTTTGGCTTTAGTGTCCTCTGAGCCAGGAAAACAGAAAGTTAGGAAGGAATAAGAAGAGCTGCTCCTTAGCTATCGTGGCCCAGAAATGACATACATCACTTCTGTTCACGTTCTATTGGTGATAAGGTGGTTATATGATTTCACTTAGATACAAGAGAGACTGGCAGATGTGGTCCCTAGTTGGGAAGCCACATCCTAATTAAAAATCTGTAATATGGAAAGAAAACTCCAGTTTTGAATGAACAATTGGCCATCAACACCACAGGATTGAAGCCTCACATGAGATGACTTTAAGATCCCAAGAAACTTGGAATTCTTTGATTCAATTAGGTCCTGATTTCCTCCCTAATTACTTTTGTGATTTTGGACAAGTTGCTTATCTTCTTCCAGCCTCGGTTGATTCATCTATAAAATGACATGAACAATTCTGCTTTAATAAAAAATGACTCGGGGCGTTGTGAAATTTAAATGAAATAATGTGTGTGAAACTGTTTTCTAAGTTAAAAAGTATTCAAAGATATGAAGCATTATTTTAGATAGTTGATTCAACTTAGCTTTTACTTGGACCCATAGTTGAGCTTGGATCTTTTTTTCACATGTCCTTGAAAGATTATTATAATGCTCTGATACCAGAACATATTGAATGACTTATGTTTCTATAGTTTTAGTTTTCACCATTCATTCACTTCTTGAAAGATCTTAAAGTATTTCTTTTACTCAAGAAAATAAATAGTACAAACTGCACCAAATAGAATGTTTTTGCCTGTCATGTAAATACATCCATCTCTTCAATATCATATATTTGCTAGGGCACAGAAATATGGATCATCTGTTAGTTTTGAATGACATTTTGAAATTAAAAGGAGAGATGTGTGCAAAAATGTTTATGAAGTTTAATGATATACAGATAAAAGATATGACTATTGTTGCTATTATAGTAGAAGTTTAAACAGAATGTAGGGGAGTGAAAGTTCTAGTTAACTGAATATTCTATTTAACTGAGATATATCATTCACAGTATTTTAAATCTTCAAATCATAAACCTAAAAAGAAACAGAGAAATCACTCACTTCACTTTTTTATTTAACAGATCAGAAAACTGAGGCTAGTGTGACTGTCAAAGATTATGGGGTAAGATTTCAGTGGCCTTGCACTAAACAGGGTGATATAAGAGATTTCTTTCTATCTAGGATATCTAAGACTTAATATAGTGTTTCTTACTATACCATGGCACTTACTTGTCAAATTTTTTGAAAATTATATTGTTGTAGGGTAGCTAAAAATATAAAAAACACAGGAGATTGGGCAGAATGTACATGTTCTTCACAAATGCCAGAAATTTTCTCTTTTGGGCAACTCTTATATAAAGTGTTTCCTATAGTGTGATGTTTTCTACTTTAATCTGTGGTTTACTGATACTTGTAGCAAAATGAGTTCTGGCTAGTTGATATTTCATTGTATCATTTGTAGTAGTGACATGATTAAGCATAGCGTCCCATTATAAATGGGTGGATTTGGCCTGGCACAGTGGATCAGGCCTGTAATCCCAGCACTTTGGGAGGCCAAGGTGAGTGGGTCATGAGGTCAGGAGTTTGAGATCAACCTGGCCAACAAGGTGAAACCCCATCTCTACTAAAAATACAAAAATTAGCCAGGCGTGGGGGCGGGTGCCTGTAATCCTAGCTACTTGGGAGGCTGAGGCAGGAGAATCGCTTGAAACCAGAAGGCGGAGGTTGCAGTGAGCTGAGATTGCACCACTGCACTCCAGACTGGGTGAAAGAGCGAAATTGTCTCAAAAAAAAAAAAGGGTGGATTCGCTTGTAGCAGAATAAAAAAAACTGGGAGTAACTGAGCTCTTTGATAGTAAGCACCATAAAATAGAGAGATAAACAGATGTTGATAGATGAAGAGACAGGAAGAATTCGAATTTGTCTGGGACTCTGGAGTTCTCACCCTGCCCCTTACATTCTATATTTAACATCAAATGGCAGAACAAGGTCGCTAAGAGTAAGAAGCTGGAGCCCGTCCAATCCACTGGCACCAAAGCCATGCACTTTGCAACTCTACTTCTCCAGGCTGTTCATGAGAGGAGGATGGATGACAACAGGATTCCAAAGAAATTACTTTGTCCTGAGCTCAGAAGGTGACCATCAACAAACCTTCGCCAGTAGGTCAGAGGAAGCTCTCCAAGGATACATAAATGTTTACAGAAGTAGTGGAGCATAGTTGCCAGTTGCCATAATAACTATGGAGAAAGAGTACTGATCAGAGTGGATGCTATCACAGCTTTGGGTTACAGGTTTCTGGGGCTATAGTTGTGTATGAGTGTGCATGCACAGATCTACACTTGTGTAGCCATCTGATATAGGCAGATATCATTTTGCCCTCTGTGTTTTGCACAGTATGTGTCTTGGTCCTATCCCCCAATTTTTTTTAATTTACCCTTAAATACTCCTGATTGTCAAAAATATTTTTCTCTATCCTATTTCAGTATTTTTACTTATACTCTTAATTATATTATAAAATGATGGTTTTTGTTTTAGGTTACCAAGTTTGGGGTGATTTGCTATGCAGCAAGAGAGTCCAAACTTGTTTTTCAAAGGCTTTTCTCTTGAATATATTTAACACATATTAACTTTACTTCCTACATTGCATTAAACTATATCTGTAATCTTGAATACATCCCTTCTCACTTCTAGCCTCACATTTCACACCTTTAACTAGATAATGTCTAAAGGATTCCCAGAAGGGTTTTACACAGCATCTTCTGTTGCTCTTTATTGCTCTGTTTGTGTAAGTTTTAGAACTAACTGAACATGCACGTCAAGCACAATGCTCTCACTAGATTCTCAGTGTAGATTGCACATATGGATGATTTTAACTCCATCATATATTATTCACATACCAGCCAAAGTGGTCCCTGAAACACAGAAACCAGACTCATGATACCATCCTGCTCAAAACCCTCCAGTGACTTCCATCACTCTGAGTCAAATCCAAATGCCTGCTTATGCCCTAAAAGGGCCTATGTGATTTAGTCCCTATCCACCTCTCTTATATTAAATTCTGCCACTTCTTGTCTTCATTCAACTCTACATTGACCTTCTTACTTCTTGAATACACCTAGCTTATTCCCATTTTAGGGCTTGTGCATTTGCTGTTTCCTTTGCCTTAATGCCTTTTCCCTTGGTTTTTGCATCTCACCTCCTTGCTTCATTCAGGCATCTGTTTTTTCTCTGAGTAGCCTTCTCTTATCATCCTACCTGGATTTGTCCCTACAACTCACCGTTTTGACACTCTGTCCTTTTCTCTGCTTTACTGTTTTTCATAACACTCACTTCTAAGTGAAGTTATATTATGTATATAACAGGTCACATGATAAAAGTTTTTCTGTTTTCCTAGATTTATCTGAGGCAGCAAAGGTGAAAGCAAAAGGTGTTAATTGCTTGCACTTAATAAAGAAAAGTGCCATAACTTCTATGTATATCTGTGAGAAGAGGTTTAAAAAATTCTCCAGTGGCTCTTAGCCCTTCATCTCAAGGGTATGTAAGCAGATGTGAGATGATTGATAAGAGGAAGATTGGAGAGCAAGTATCTTTCTGAAGAGAGATGCCAATGCTACATTGTTTATTGACTCTCTCCCCTTGAGGGGAGGGAAACTTCCCCTTTCGCATAAGCCAAGTAAATCATTTACAAGAAAACTGCTCAGCAAATGTGACTTGTATGTCTAGATTTGGGATGGGGTGGAAGGTTGGCAGACACAGGGACGGATGTCGGATTTCTGCCTCGGGAGCTCCTCTCTGAAGGTAGAGTGAGTGGATAGGGGCACAGCGAGAGCAAGCTACATTCACTGATGATAACACAAAGATGACCATGTTTTTCAGAGGACAAGGTAGACCTGAACAAGTGCCCAGCCTTTAATTTCCCTGAAGAAGACCTTACCCAAGAGAGTTTCCTGCCAGTGGAAGGCACTCGGCAGAAAGGCTAGAGGTGGCGTGCGGACTGTTGCAGTAGGGCTGCAGGTTAGGAGGGTGAGTAGATGGGTGGGTGGGTCATACATGACTTGATTGGAAGGCAAGAATTTTGTCAACAAATGCTTCTAAGAGAGGCCTCCTGTGAGAGAAGACCACCAAAAGACCTATAAAGTTCTCCATAAAAGAAAGGGCTAGACTGCAGTTTACTGAACTAAGACCTCTCCTGCCCCTTAACTGTCCTTCCTCTCCTCCCTCCTCCCTATCCCCCAGCCCTGGAAGAATTAAAGGCAACAAAATGAGGTATGAATAAGACTAGAAAACAGGAATCTAACCCTATTTTCTATCCCTTTCCTGTTGCAGATTTCTTAGCCCAAGCTGGAGGATAAGCTAAAATCTAAAAATTGATGAGACAGTGATATTTTGATATTAAGTTGGATTAGAATTTAAATTTCTGAAAATAAGACTATTGAATAATAAATATCTGGAAATGGTGAGAAAAGCTATAATATATAATTTCTAGATTTCCTCCAGAAATTAGGAAGAAAGCTTCAAAGTAGCATATTAAAAAAAAGGTTAGTGATGCTTTAAAGATTTTGCCTCATAGATTAAGCAAATTTACTACACACACACACACACACACACACACACACACACACACACACACATTTATTATGTATTTTCTGTCTCTTAAATCAGAAGGTAAACTCCTCGAGGGGAAGACCTTTGTTTACCTTTGGTCACTGTTGTATTCCAGTGCTTAGAAAAATGTTGACACCTTGCAGTTGCTCGATTTTTTTTCTTGAAAAATGAATTCTATAAGGATTAGAATAAGCTGTTTTTATCTGGACATGTAATTCACTCTTTGTGCTATTCTGACTCACAAATCCCATAGGAAATATATCCCTGTGGAGTCCAGTGAGTTGGCTGGAGAGGAAGAGTGAGATAGAGATTTGGTGCAAACTCATGGACTAGATGTTTGTCTGGTGGGCTGCTGAACTGTTCTGAGCCCCACTTTCTGTATCTGTCGAATAAGAATCTCATCACTTATCTGACAAGGTCATGGCGAGGATCATGTCCATAGTGCATACCCAGTTTCTAGTTGATTGTGTCTACTAGCCGTTCTTTCTTCTCCTCTTCTCTCCTCCAGAAAGAATAATGTCTTGATAGGCCTTGCCGAGGTTTTTCTGGTCTACAGAGCCATTGAACTTTTGAATTCAGAAAGGTGACTGTGATTTGCAGCAGGAGCAGTGTTTTCTCCGGGAGTTCTCTGGCCTCAAAGTTGATGGATGGGCACCTCTCAGGCATAGTTCCTTGATCAATAAGTCATAAAGTCTCAAATTATTTTGTTAGATCCATTGATCAAATCCATCGAATTTGTCCCAAATCTTTTATTGTTAAGACAAAGGATAGTGATGTTCAGTTTTTCGCTCCTTGCTACTTTCTTTCTTCCATTTGGCTTTAAGGTGCTATGAAGCAGTATGGGAAAGGCAAGAAGAGGAGAATGAAAGTTACTCCCACACATTGATGGAAAGATGCTCATTTTGGCAGTCTGTTTCAGAATGAAGCAATGTGGATTACCTCTTTGGTCTTTTAAGAAGTTCCTCAATACACTGGCTTTGGAGCACTTTTGTTTTTCATTCATTCATTTATTCATGCAATTATTCAGTAAATATTTAATATGTGACAAGTACCATGAATGAGTTGTATTTGCATGGCATGGCTGTTTATTTCTCTGTAAGTGCCAACTAGGTTCAGATTCCAAGGAAGCTGGAAGATTTGCTAGGTGCATGACACATGGAATTTGCTGAATTTTTATTGTTGGATGGGTGAATTGAACTGTTTCTTGAGCAGTTAGCTAGGTGGAGTATTTAGTCACGAATTTAAAAAACATTTAATGAGTACTTATGAATGAAAATAATAATGCCTAACTTAGGGTTGTATGATAATGAAAAAATATACAGAGTCCCTAGCACATTTTCAGATACAAAATAAATTCTCAATAACTGATAAATATCATTATCATTATTGTTTCCTGATAGATTTGAGCTATGGTAAAGGAGTAACACGATTTATTTTGTTGGTTCATTTTAGAAAATCCTATTGCTGAGAATCTCTGGCCCCTATACAATAAATGAAATGATTCAATTGAGTGTAGTTCTTAGTCTCTTATTTGACTTCTCTTTTCTGCCCTGTCCCCACAATTTATACACAGTTATTTAACTCAAGAAGGATACCACCACCATAGAATTACCTGGCCCTCAGGGATTCTAGAAAGGAAAGGTATAATCAAGTCTCATCTTAGTGAGTAAAATATACTCATTCTTAGAAATAAAGAGATTTAGTTCCTGTATAAGGCAAGCCGCCTCAGGTAGCTTAACATGTTTTTTTCCAATGAGAGTTTTATTTACTCTTCTTAAAAGTGAATCCAATATTTAGTAATTAGTTTATTTGTGTTATTTATAGAGTAGTTTTGCCACAGAAGACTTCCAACAAAGAACTTTAACATTGCACATACCTTTTAATATGTTGTATTAAAAATGAGGAAAAATTGATTAAAACAATTATCTCCCTTCTCCTTTATTTTCTTATTCCTTCTCTGCTCATTCCATTTCAACTAACATATAATTTTGATATGCCCTGTATGTATATACTACTGTGCTTTTTATGTCTTCTCCAGGGTTTCGTTATGATCTTTCTTTTATTTGGAATAAATTCCCTACATTCCTTATCCCAAAAGTCTTCTACAATGACTCAATTCCAGTTTAGGGGTCTTTTCTATGTACTTCCGTAATTACCAGTGCTTACCCTTTTATTTATTTATTTATTTATTTATTTTTGAGACAGGCTCTCATTTTGTTGCCCAGGCTGGAGTGCAGTGGCATGATCTCGGCTCACTACAACCTCTGCCTCCCAGGTTTAAGCGATTCTTGTGCCTCTGCTGCCTGAGTAGCTAGGACTACAGCTGTGTGCCAACATGACTGGCTAATATTTTTGCATGTTTTTTGAAGAAGTGGGTGTCTCGCCATGTTGCCCAGGCTGGTCTCGGACTCCTGAGCTCAAGTGATCCATTGGCCTCGGCCTCCCAAAGTTCTGGGATTATAGACATGAGCCACCATACCCGGCCCCAGTGCTTACTCTTATCACCGCACTGTAAGCACATACATACCTGTTTGTTTCTTCATAAAACTATGTTCCTTGAGGGTGGGTTACTGACTTATAATCCTGGTGCCCAGTACTGTGTTTGACATATGTAAGTGGCTCATCAAATTTGTCAAGTGGATGCACCATTGAGTAAATCAATGAGAGGCTATTGGTGTGTGTAATAGGAAAGAAAGCAAGACATAATTGCTCTGTACTTGGGGGAATGCAGTACTTACATTTTAGTTGTGTGAAAAAGAAAACCACACATAAAATTATTAGAGCTAATTTACTCCAAGACGTGGTTTATGTCCGGGTGCTGTTTGTTCACAGAAGGGAGAACCTGTGTGAGTTGAGATGATGACTGGCATCGTAGAGGATTGAGCATTAAAGGATGAATCAGACTTAAAATATAATCATGGAAACCTGATAATTGGCACTGAATATAATGTATTACATAAATTTGGGTCATGCAGTTTTAATTTCACTAAACTTATATCCCAAGCTGGAAAATTATGAGGAATTCTCACAGTGGATAAAAATAAAACACTTTGAATACTATTAGAGCTATATCAAATACTTTTACATTCAGTAGCTACTAGCAGAGTTACCATCAATATTAACTTAAAAAAATTAATCATATCTATAGACATATACATTTTGAATTATGCAAAGATTGTTTGGAATAAAAACCCCAAATCCCCGTGTTTTATGACTTTTTTTAATGTGGTTCAATGTAGACAAAGAAGTAAAGTTTCCCATGCATGCATGCTTTGTTTCACAATTTCATAAATTGCATGAAGATCTGTGCTTTTGGAAATTTATAGAGGCAAAAAGGGTTCAAGGCTATAAACCTATGACAAGTAAGCAGTGGATAACTGAGGGAATAAGTTACTGAGGAAAGACGTCATTACGGGGTCAGAGTTACAGACCTATTGTGAAATGAGGCATGGGACACTACGACTGCCAGAGTTTTAAGTTAATTGCTGGCACTTCTCTGTGCATTTGATCAGACATGAGGGGAGAAATTCTTCTTGCCCTTCATAAACTGTCAACAAGCCAAATGAAATATGTGTTGAGAGTAAATGCAAACCTTTTTCATAGTTAGAGAAGAACACGATGCAATGATTTAGGCACCTGGGAAACAGAGCTCTTTCTCCATTACACTTATTTTTTATATTAAAGTAATGTACTGATTGTGTACTTGAAAGGATATATTTGGACAGTCTTTTTTATTTTCTTCGACTTGACAGTAAAGCAATATATAGCCATCTTTGAATTGCCCATATGTGGATTTTCCCATTTGTGAATTATCTGTGGCACGTTTTCCAACTTTGATGGCCTAGGAATTCATCCCAGGACTGTTTCTTCCTGCTCAGAAAAATGAAGAAATCATTTGAATATGAACCCAAACAAATGCAAGTCTGCAGGTCAATCTGTTGCAGAAATAAAAAACTATCATTTGATACATTTTCAAAGCCCTCCAGCAGAATGAATGGATTCCTTTATATTCCTATAGCAATTTTTACCAACTTCTATTATAACATTTATCACATTTTATTATAGTTTTTCATTTGCTTGTCTGACCCCCTTAGGCCTTTGAGAGCCAATGGTAAAGAGAGGTTTTAAAATCATTTTTCTTCCCTTAGCTCTAAATTCTATATCTGTATTCAATAATGTTAATTAATGTATAATGTTAATTAATGTACAAATTAGTGAATAAATAAGGTTTGACATGTATGGCCTTTATTAGGATAAGGAGAATTTCCTGTAAATAACTTAGATTTTATAGCATTTAAAGCTGTAAATAATCATAAAAACATCCAGTAGAATATGTTTTTAAGCTTTCTTTTATGCAAAAGAGTTCTGATTTTAATTAAATGTTACTTTGAACTTTATAAAATATGAGTCAGAGGGATGTAAAAGTGACCTAGGTGAAAAGGAGATACACAGCCCATCATCCTGTCCCCTTGACTACACCAGTGGCCAGGACAGAGCCCTGTCCCTAACACAGAGCACCAGGTCTCAATGGAAAGCAGTTTGGAAACAATCTTGCCAGTACAACCTCCTAATTTTATAAATGAAGTCCGGAACTTTACTGGAGCTCCCCATGGTTATTTCCCAAGCCAAGACTGGAACTTAGGTCTCCTGAATGAACAATGCTTTTTCAACAACATCATGTTTTCACCTCATTATTATTTCTGTGGTTGTTTCAGATCCCTCACACTCCCATTCCCCTTCAATATGGCAAAGGAAAGGCAGCAGACTGTAACATCAATTAACGTAAAAAGGGGAGACCATGTGACTAAACTTCTGCTGTCAGAAGTACTCTCTTGGTATGCCTCTAGCATACCATCACCCTGAGTGGGATAACCTGTGGTGTGGCTGAGAGCTTATTGGACAGGATGCTTTGAAAAACCCAGACATGATTTCCTAACTTGCATATGCATTAATTCTCCCATGGGCAAGAGTGGTTCAACCAGCTCTTGACTATGTGGTAAAGGGGAATTGGTATGAGAGAGATAATAGAAATCCACAGAGAATTCAAACCCTCACAGCAACTTGGCGTCTCTAGTTTCTTTCTTCTCTTCTAAATTTTCACCTGGATCTGCAAAAAAAGTAGCCAAAGTGACAGATTATCTTACCTAATGGAGATGCAAACAGACAATCATAAGAATGATAATAGTAATGCTGAGGATAGTAATGTTTACACGTCGAAACACATTTACATTTATAGGGAGCACTGAAAGGCTTTATTCCATGGTATCCTTAAAACGACCTGTGTAAAGAAAGCAAGCTACAAAAAAGGTGGTGAAACTGAAGATAAAGGCTAAAATGACTTATCCAAGGTGATAATGAATGGCGAAAATAGGAATGAAACTGCTTTTTTCTCTACACAATATAATCATGACATGACATCATTGCAGCTATAGGAAGCAACTAAAGGCTTCCAAGCAACCCTTATATTAGTTTCTGCAACACTGAGCTTTTGAATCTTTCCTACCTTTTTCTTTCCATTCTTTCCACCCTTCCTCACTGGGTTGGTCTGTTTTGCATTGCTATGAAGTAATACCTACGAGAGGGTAATTTATGAAGAAAGTAGGTTATTTTGTTCACAGTTCTGCAGGCTGTGCAAGCATGGCACCAGCATGGCTTCTGGTGAAAGCATTAGGAAGCATCCATTCATAGCAAAAGGTGAATGGGGAGCAGGTGTGTCACATGAAAAGAGAAACAGCAAGAGAGAGGGAGCAAGAAGGATACCAGGCTCTTTTTAGCAACCAAGTCTCATGTGAACTTAATACTTTGGGAATGTCACCAAGGCATTCATGAGGGATCAACCCCATAACCCAAACATCTCCCACTAGGCCCCACCTCCAACACTGGGAATCACATTTCAGCATGAGATTTGGAGGGGACAAACATCCAAACCATATCACTCATGATATCAGTAAACATTCATTTGGGGGAGTTGGACTAATATGAGCATAATAGAATAGGAAATTTGTCATAGGAATTAGTCCTTACACAAATGTGGGAACGACTGGGGAAGTAAAAGTCCAGTGAGGGGAATAGAGGATCAGAGGAAGGTTGCTAACCAGCCCTAGTCCAGCTGAGCAAGTCAGAGCTTACAGAGAAATCTGAAGCTTGGCTCATCTAGCTGCCACAGTAGGACCACAAAAGGCGCTAGCATAGAATCTGTAAAATGTTGTTGGCTTTTATTGGCTACTGCCTCTGTGAGTTCATAGTAAAGTGTCTTGTGAGATTAGAGTGAATGTTGGTTACAAGAACAAACAAGAGGAAGAAGAGTTGGAAACGGAACAGAGAAGAAAGAGGGAAAACTGGAAACTGTCAGCACTTTTGCCTCTGTTTTCTCACCACCTCTTACCAGTAAACATCTCTAGAAAGTAATGGCTGCTGCTTCACTTTCACTTGCCAAACTCATGCAACTTTAGTTTAGGCCAACTCACACTCAGGACCATAAAGGGAAGAGTGTGTTGAGACGTGTGGCTCCCAGTGTAAACAAGTTGGCAGTCGAACAATCCCACACACTCCTGTACCTCAACACTTTATTGATCACACAATTTTGTAAAACTGAATGATATGCCTTCTGTACAAAGTAAACCACTAAAAACCTTAAAACTTCCAGGAAAAAACCATGGAAGAATACCTTTGCAAAACTGGAGTGAGCAAATATTTCTTAGACAAGATGCAGAAAGCAGCCACTCTAAAGGAAAAACTGAAAAATTAGAAATCATCAAAATTTAAACTTCTAATCAGAAAACACTATTCACGTAATTGAATAAATTCAATTCAATACAATATAGTACAAACAAATCAATATGGAAGCAACAAACTGAGAGGAAATATTCTCAGTATGTGTACCTATGACAAAGGACTTTATCTAAAATATACAAATAATTCCTGGAAAACAAAAAAGACACCTCAATGAAAAATGGGCAAAAGACATAAACAGACACTCTACAAAACAAGATATATAGGTGACTAAAAAGTACATGGAAATATACTCAACATTTTTAGCCATTAGGGAAACTCAAATTAAAACCACAATCAGATACCATTATACATGCACCCAAATAGCTAAAATTGCAAAGACTAACCAAATCAAATGATGACAAGTATGTGGAACAACTGGAATTCAAATGCATTGTTTTTGGAATGTAAAACACTACAACTACTTTGGAAATCAGGTTGAAAGTTTTGTATGATGTTAAATATATGCCTACCCTGTGACCCAGAAATTTCGCTTCTAGACAGTTAGTAAAAGAGATGAAAATATAATCTACAAAAAGAGTTGTATAAGAATGATTATAGTAGTTTTGCATATGATAGTTCCAAACTGGAAGGAAGCTCAATGTTCATCAACAGGAGAATAGGTAATGAGGATACTTTCATCCAATGGGATACTAGTCAATAATAAAAAGGCACAGACTACGAATACAATGACATAGATGGCATTCAAAAACACTATGACCAATAGAAGCCAGATACAAAAAAGTGCATACTCAATAACTTCATTTATACAAAATTTTAGAATAGGCATAAAAATAATCTATGGCAGAGGAAATTTGAAGAGCTATTCCCTCTGATGGCAGAGGCTTTGTGGGGATTGACTGGGAAAGAATAAGAGAAAACCCTGGGGTGGTGAAATTTCTTATTTGAATGGGGTGCAGATGACTTGAGTTTGTACGTTTATCAAAACTCATTGAGCTATAAAACTTATGAGCTATACTATAAGCTTATGAGCTATACTATATATGCATTTTGCCTCAATACACATATTTAAAAAAAAGTTAAGAGAAAAACATCAAAGAAATTACGAGTAGCAGACTTTATTTGTGCAATTAACAATTCATGAATCAAGCACCTTGAACCAGGCTGAAGAGGTTCAGAGAGCTCCCCACAGCAACATGGACAGGCAATATTTATAGACAGAAAAATAAAGTGACTTACAAAAACAGCTTGATTGATTACAGCTCAGCATTTGCCTTCTATAAACATGGTCTGATCAGTTGGCAGCCTGGGATTGGCTGAAGCTCGGCCTGTGTGATTGGCTGGAATTCAGCTATTCCTTACAAGAATATACTCATGTTAGGTTGCAGGTTTTTTTTTTTTTTTTTTTTTTTTTTTTTTTTTTTTAACATACTAAGTTAGATTGCAGTTTGCTACCTATGGAGGCAGTCTCAAACCAAATTTAATTTAACAATAATAAAAAAAAATCTATATTTTGCTTAGATACCTGAATGTAATTTGAATAAATTTTTGACTCTGCTACTATTTTCTCTTTCCCCTTTTTGCCAAGTTTTAAGAACACAGATTCTGGCATTAAATCACATCAGTTCAAACCCCAAATTAACCGTTTTTAGCTATGCAGTTGTAGAAAAATCATTTATACTTTTTAGGGCTCAGTTTTCTTATCTGTAAGATGAAAATAGTAATAATGCCTTGTGGGGTTCTCGTGAGGATTAAATGACATAATATGTATAAAAAGTTTATCACAGAGCCTACAGCTACACTGTCCAATATTGTAGCTGACTACATGTGACTATTTAAATTCAAATTAATTAAAATAAGGTAAAATTGATGATTCAGTTAGTCTCACAGCAAGCGCTAGTATCACCATCTATAGATATAGAATATTTCCATCGTTGCAAAAAATTATGTTCGGATAGTGCTGTCTTAGAGCGTAGAAGATGTTAAGTAAATAAATTTTAACAATTATTATTATTACTACAATTAAGAGAAAAAGACTCCCCTTAAAGATTTAGTATTTTATTAAAGAAACTAGATACAAAAAGTTAGAAAACAATACAATTAAAGGCTACAGCTTTGAGGAGTATTATGGGAAGTGAGAAAAGGACCCTATAAGTGACAGGCAGGTAAGCATTACTTGGAGCACCCCCGAACTGTGTAAGACACAACTTAGGAGTTGACTGAGGCTGATGAAAATTAGTACATATAAAAAGTGTGGTGCTAGAGCAAATTCAGGGGATACTGAGCATATGCTGGCATGCGCCCTTTACTGGAAGCAAATCTTTAAGGAGGCCATGCAGGCTGTGCTGGGGTGGTGGAGTGATAGAGAGGAGAATCAGGAGGTATTCTGAATAGAAAAAAAAAAACCTGCTCATACACAGTAAGAGAAGAAAAGACACTAATGAGAGGTTCAGCTCTCCACCACCTATAGGCTTTGTGTGAGTGGTTGACATGGTTTGGCTCTGTGTCCCCACACAAATTTCATCATGAATTGTAATCTGCCCGTGTCCAGGGAGGGAAGTGATTGGATTATGGGGTCAGTTTCCCCATACTGTTCTCATGATAGTGATGAATCGCACAAGATCTAATGGTTTTAAAACTGGCAGTTTTTCCTGTGCGTGCTCTCATTCTCTCTCCTGTTGCCTTGTGAAGAGGGTGCCTGCTTCCCATTCTGCTGTGATTGTAAGTTTCCTGAGGCCTCCCCAGCCATGTGGAACTGTGAGTCAATTAAACCTGTTTTCTTTATAAATGATCCACTCTAGGCTATTTCTTCAATGGACTAATACAGTGGTGGTTGGTGTAGAATGATAGGACGTGAGCTAAAGAGGTAGACAGGGCATAAATGAAGAAGAAACATTTATGTCATGCTAAAGCATGTTTTTAAAATAAATGTATTTAATTATTTGGATATATAATATATTCATGTGGTCTAATAATAAAAAAGTGTAAAAATAAATACAGTGAGAAGTACACACACAGCATAGGTGACAACTTCTTTTTGTTTCTTAGCTAAACTGCCAGAGTTCATTTTAACGTATCTAAGCAAAACAAATACATGCATGTACATTTATGTGTATGTGTGTTTCCCATCTTTAATATAAATGAGTTTGGTAAACTTTTCTATTTTCGTTTTTCTTTTTTTTTTTTTTTTTGCTTTTTAAAAGCAGCTTCATAGAATTTCATTATGTGGGTGTATAACAGGTTATTTAATCAGCTTCCTATTAAAATTTGTTTCTAATCTTTTGCTATTACAAAAAATGCTGTAATCAACAACTTTGTATATAAATAATTTCTCAAATGTGAGTGCATGTGTATAGAATACATTTTTAGAAATGTGACTGTAGGTTTATGTGTTATGATTTTGAGAGATATTGCCACATTGCTCTTCACAGGATTTTTCCAATTTACACTTCCACTGACAATGTATAAAAGTGCTGGTTCCTTACAGCTCCCTGGTAGAGGTTGCTATGAAACTTGTTTTGTTTTTTGTCAATCTGACAGGGGAATCCAAGTAGCTTTAATATGCATTTCTCTTATTATTATATTATTACTTTTTTATTGTTAAGCATTTTGATTTGAACATTATTCTCCTTCCATGGCAATAGAGAGTCTTTGAAGTGATCATATTTACATTTTAGAAAGGTCTCTTTAGCCGGGGTCTTGAGGAGAGTGGGTTGAAGCCAGGAGAGACAGGAGATAAGAACACAAAGGAGAAGAATACAATTCATATTAAATGTTTAATGAGAGATACTAAGGGCTAGAAAATACAGCATTTGGAATGGAGAAGAGGAAGCTAATTCCAGAGATAATTGGAAAATAGTGGATTGGATTGCTTGATTACTTGGTGTGAGGGAAGAAAGAGTCTAGGAAGGTTCTCAGGTTTCCAATTTAGGAGACTGAGTGGTTAGTGATTGGGACTGGCAGGGCTGGAGCAGGAACAGATTCTAAAGAGAAGCTGTGGAGTCCCCATGGAATGTCTCCTTGGTTTGTAATGTCTAGAATTTTAGAGGAGTCACGAAGACTAGAGCTAAAGATTTGAAATATATATGTAATCTTATTAATCTGAAGTACTTACAGTAACACTGCTAACAGGGAAAGGTGGAGTAGAAATATCTCTGTTGGAAATTCTTGTAACTGCTTTAACAAGTGGATAAGATTCAGTTATAATTAGCATATTCTTTGTCTGAATGCAAATGCTCTATCTAAAGCTCCTCATTCTTAACTAGGCTAACACTTCCCTTGTTTCCACTGGAAATTTGCTTGGCAAATCGTTTCTGTACTATTATAGGCACAATCCTATTAACAATGTTCTATGAAATATTCTATTGCCAAGTCAACTGTAGTCCAAAGCAGCAATGTTTGAAACTCTGCTAGAAAAGCTCTCCCAAAACTAACTGAGCTTTTATAGTGTCTAGGGTATTTTCTATCTTTCTGACAATCACATTTCTCAGTGAGACTGGCTGAATCTGAGAAACAAATCTGAGAAATGTCCATTTGGACTACGGAATGTCTTTCTTGGCTTTATATTGCCAGAACACAACGCAATGGAGCCTGGCACATAGTAGGTGCTTAATAAATGGTTGTTAAATGGAGAAAACTCTGAAGAAGGGACTTAACAATTGCCTGACATTCAGAGCAAGCTTATTTTCATTTCATTTTCTCATCCTGTATTATAGTTGACACAACTCAGGAATAGTCAACAAACCCTCTACCTGTCTCTCCTCGGTGAATCCTCCAGCCCCTCTATACAGAATAATCATGTGCAGTCTGCTTTTTTGACTGAGATTAGGAGAGAATTGCTAAAATAAGGTAAATTGTATCATTGCCAAGCTGTATTTCAATTCCTCACTCTTTCACAATGTATAAAGCAAACTTAAACACTCCTTACTCTTCCCAAACATCTTGTCCAAAGCTCCTTTTTCTAAACTTACAAAGTACAGAAAAATGATTACAAATTATTTAGGAGTTGGAGTGGGCTGTTGGAGGAGAAGAGAGGGTGAGCATGTATAATAACTGTGTGGCACTTTTTTTTTTTAACCTATCATTTTACTACCAAGATGCTTGCCATCTTCACAAATTAGTTCCCCTACATTTACCTTAAACCTCCTGTCCTGGTGGACCTACCAGTCTCTTTACATACATTGAGTTTTTCATCGCTTTGCTTGCTATTTTCTCTATTTCTATTGCAGTATTATATGTATATGTGTGTGTGTGTGTATATATATATATATGCATAGCTCGTTAATATACAGCTTAGTGAATTTTCACAAAGCAAACACCCCCATGTGAACACTGACACAGATCAAGAAATAGAACACAACAAGCATCCCCAGGAGCTTCTTCCAGTGCCCCTCTCCCAGTCTTTAACTCTTCTTCCCCCAAAGGTAACCATAGCCACTGTCTTGATTATAGCACTATAAATCTTGCCTTTTGGAAGGTAATGTAAATGGTTACATATATTGTGTATGACATGACATATTTGCTTTTATGTCTGGTTTCTTTTGCTCAAAGTTATACATGTGAGATTCATCCACGTTGTTGCATTTACTGGTTGTTCATTACAGAATGGTATTATATGAATATGCCAATTCAGTATATCAGTTTTTCTGATGATAGACATTTGGGTTGTTTGGAGTTTTTGGCCACTGTGAGTTGTGCTGATATTAACATGCATGTCTGTGCTATTACTGATGGTATTCCCTCTTATTGAACTTCCCTCCTCCCCAGCTCGACCCTAAAACTTTTTAATTCCTAACTCAGATTTAGCTACTGTTGCTGTAAATGAATTTTCTCATCTCTCCAAACTTCTGCCTTTCTACTCTCCTAAAGTACATCTCATGTATCACCAAATAGCTCCTTATATTAAAACAATTTATACATGTGAATTATTTCTTCTATTAGATTGTAAGCTCCTGAGGGCAGAAAATGTCTCGTTCCTCTTGTTATTTCCAAGTCAGTGTCTTACTTATATTAGAAATCCAATAAAATGTCTGTTACTGAATGAAGGATGACTTAGAAAAATGTCTCCCTAATGTGTAACATTATTGCATCAGTTTGGTTGAATATGCACCATTTTGATGGGAGGCTGATTAGCAATAAGATTTCTGGTCAGGTGGTTAAAACATAGACTTTTTTTTCTATTCACCTGTAAGATTCATATGATCGATACTTAAAATATCTAAAAAATAGTCTTTAAAAATCAGAAAATGTGCTACTCTTAGATGGAAAATCCATAAATCTCATATGCTGCTCTGTGTGGAATCTTGATTGTATTGGTAAAAAAATCACCGTAGTTGGTATTATTTCAACAAATAATTATTTTATACTCACTATGTGCTAGGCATTGTGTTAGACTCACAATATGCTCTCTATTTATTTCATGTATGAACAGGAAAAAGGTCAGAACATTCTCATTAGGGAGCTACTTTGCATTTTTCAGTATGACCATGATTTAGCATTGAGTATCTTCTTCCATATAAAGAAGGTCAGGACATATTATGCTTCACAGAATTAATTAAGATCAAGTGACAAAGAGACAGAAAAAGAGCAGAAGAGGAAATGTTGGTATTTGGGGAATGCTAATCACTCACCAGTCTCTGTTTTGGCTTCTAGGCAATTAAGAGCAGACAAGGAGCCAAGTAGAGATTGTAATATTAGCTTTTTAATTGATTAGGCTGGATTGGTGAATGTGACAGAACCTTCTGTTTTTGGTACAAATGAATGCACCCACCCAGATCATAGGCAGAGAAATTGGAGATGAGCAGGCCCACACCACAGGAATGAGATCCAGCCACTGAGAGCTAACCGCTTAGTATCAGAAAATAAAGAAAAGCTCATTTCACTGCAGGCCAGGTTGATATTGAGGGATATAGAGCAAGAGACAGTGGAACTTGCTTTGTATTTTTATATTGTTACTTTCCTGCTCTTGGACTGGCAGGCACTCCCCATGCTGAATAACCATTTCTCTGATAATCATGCTGGTGATGGAGAGATCCGGAGTGAGAGGATCACAATGTTAACTCAAGTTGCTCTCCTTCCTGGAGGAGACACCCTATCCTTTCTATGGAACCTTGAGAGAAGGCAGAGAAGATAAGATCAAAAGTAAGAGTCATAATGAGCATAGAAGATTGAGAGAAAAGCTGGAGCATTTTCCCCCTAAAATGTAAAAATCAAAACAGTTGAGAAATGTAAAAAGGTATAACAGAACTGTAGAAAAAAATTTTAGTGCGAATTTCAGGCCAAATTTTGAAAGAGACACAGAAGTTAATTTGTAGGTAAATAGGAAAAGAAAGAGAAATGACAGGAGATCCATATCATTACACTATTTTGGTTGATACCTACCATCCATAAAATGTGAATTGATAACTGAGGTATTACTGGAAAGACCACAGTTGCAAAGAATATCTGCCTAGCTTTGCAATGGATTTTAAGGAGAAGAGAAAGAAAGAAGAATTCTGCACACATTTAGTGGGAACAATGGCTGATGTAGTGAACTGTTTCAGTTCATTCCTGCTGCTATAACAAAATACCTTAGACTGGGTAATTTATAAGCAACAGAAATTTATTTCACAGTTATCAAAGCTGGGAGGTCCAAGTTCAAGGTGCCAGCAGACTTCGTGTCTTAGGAGGGCCTTCTCTCTCTTCTTTGATGGGTGCAAAGCAAGGGTGCTGCATCCTCACAAGGTAGAAGGGGAGGGCAGCTCCCTTCAATCTCTTTTATAAGGGTGCTAATCCCATTCATGAGAGCGAAGCCTTCATGACCTAATCACCTTCCTAAAGTCCTCACCTCTTAATTCCATTACGTTAAAGATTGAGTTTTAACATATATTTCAGGGGCACACTAATATTTAGACCATAGCATTTCACCACAGCCCCTTAAATTTCAAGTCCTTCTCACATGTAAAATGCATTTATTCAAACCCCAAAATCTCCAGGTTTTAGCTTGTTTCATCATCAACTCAAAAGTCTAAAGTCCACTGTCTCATCTAAATATCATCTAAATCATATATATAGGTGAATTTCAAAGTATGTTTCATCCTGAGGCAAATTCTTAATCAGCTGTAAACTTGTAAAATCAAATTATGTGCTTCCAAAATACAATGGTAGGACAGATATAGAATAGACATTCTCATTCCAAAAGGGGAAAATAGGAAAGAAGAAAGGAGCAACAGGTTTTAAGTAAGTCCAAAACCCGACAAAGAAAACAACCTTAAATCTTAAGGTTTGAGAATTGTCTTTGACTCCAAGTTCTTTATTCTGGACACACTGAGGCAGGAGTTTAGCCCCAAAGGTTCCAGGTAGCCTGGCCCCCATGGCTCTGCTGTGTGTAGCCCAAGCTACAGCTCTCATGTGTTGCAGTCTTGGGCCTGTGGCTTTTCTGGACTGGAATTGCACTCTGGTGGCTCTACCAGCCTGGGATCTCAGGGGCAGCCCAGCCCCCACAGCTCCACTGGTTATTGCCTTAGTGGGAACTCTCTTCAGTGGCCCACTCCCGAAGTCCCACCGGGTATTGCCTTAGTTGAGGGTCTCTCCATTGGCCCCATTCCTACAGTTCTGCTGGGTGATGCCCTAGTTAAGGCGATCTGCAACAGCCCAACCCCATGGCTCTGTTAGACTTTGCCCCCTGGTAGGGGCTCTCTGCAATAGCTCTGCCACTGAGGCAGTTCTCTTTGCCTAGATCCCAAGGGTCCCTGGGGCATCCTTTGAAATCTAGGTGGAGGCAACCATGCTCCCATACTCTGTGTGCCTTCAGAGTGAACACCACATGAATGCCACCAAGGTTTGCCACCTGTGCCCTCTGGAGGGATGGCCACTGTGGCTCACTGCATGCTTGGGCCCAGTAGAGCTGCACTTGGGATGGCTGAGGAGCACTGCGCTGGAATGCAGAAAGCGGAGACTTGAGGAGCCTCAGCCCTTTCTTTTGAAATTGTTCTGCTCTCAAGGCCCTAGCACTCTGGAGGCTATGATTGGTGGGGAGACCAGATCTCTGAAATGCCTTCCAGGTCATACTTCATTGTCTTGATGAATAGCAACTGGCTGCCTTCTACCCATAGTAGTCTTCTTATCACATTGTTGCTTGGCAATACTCTTGATATTCTTTTCTTAAAATGCTTTTTCATTCTTTTCACATGGTCAGGTTGAGAATTTTCTATATCTGTAAGCTCTGCATTTCTTTTGTTTATAATTTTTGTTTTTAGTTTGCTTCTCTCTTCTTGCGTTTTACTGTAAGCAGTAAAGAGAAGTGATGCAGCGCCTTCACAGTTTTGCTTAGATATTTCTTCTGCCAAATATTTACTTTTTTTTAGATTTTTAAATTTTATTTTTTATTTTTTTTGAGATGGAGTCTCATTCTGTCACCCAGGCTGGAGTGCAGTGGTGCAATCTTGGCTCACTGCAACCTCTGCCTCCCGGGTTAAAACGATTCTCCTGCCTCAGCCTCCCGAGTGGCTGGGATTACAGATACGTGCCACCATGCCCGGCTAATTTTTTGTATTTTTAGTAGAGATGGGGTTTCACTATGTTGGCCAGGCTGATCTTGAATTCCTGACCTCAAGTGATGAGCCTGCCTTGGCCTCCCAAAGTGCTGGGATTATAGGCATGAGCCACTGCACCCAGCTCCAAATATTTCATTTCATTGCTCATAAGTTTCTCCTTTCACAAAACACTAGGGCACAAACGTAATTCGGGAAAGTTCTTTGTTATTTTATAACAAGGATGGCCTTTCATCCAGTTTCCAATAACATGTTCCTTATTTTATCTGAGACCTTATCAGGAGGTCTTTACCATACCGTCCATATACTACCAACATTCTGATCACAACCACTAAAATAATCTCTAAGACAACTGAGGCTTTCTCTATAGCTTTCCAATTCTTTTGAACTTTCACCAGAATCACCCTTTATGATCCGCTCGCAGCAACATAGGCTTTTTCTAGCCTGTTCCACCAGACTCTTCCAGCCTTTGCCCATTATCCAGTTCCAAACTAATGGGATGCAGTAAAAGCAGTGGTATGTGGGAAATTCATAGCTATAGATACATTAAAAAACAAGATAGATCTCAAATAAACAACCTAACTGTACAAATTAAGGAACTCGAAAGAGAAGAACAAACTAAACTCAAGGCTGCAGAAGGAATGAAATAATAAAGACTAGAGCAGAGATATAGAAAATAAAGAATAGAAAAGCAATACACAAAAGCAATGTAAACAAAAATTAGTTATTTGAGAAGATCAACAAAACTGACAAACCTTTAAGTAGATGGACCAAGAAAAGAAAATACTGATATTACTGAAAGCAGAAATAAAGTGGGAACATTACTACTTATTCTACAGAAATAAAAAGGATTATAGGAGAATGCTATGAACAAACAATGTACTCCAAAAAATTGGGTAACCTAGATGAAATGGACAGATTTCAACAAAGACAAAACCGACCAACATAAAATCCCAAAGAAATAGAAAATCTGAATAGACCTATAACTAGTCAGGAATTTGGAATTAATAATCGACAATTTCCTGGCAAAGAAAAGCCCTGGACCTGATGGCTTCGCCAGTGAACTCTACCACACATTTAAAGAACTAACACTAATCCCCCCCTTTTTTTTTTTTTTTTTTGAGACAGAGTCTCTCTCTGTCCCATAGGCTGGAGTGCAGTTGAGTGATCGCTGCTCACTGCAACCTCTACCTCCCCGGTTCCAGTGATTCTCCTGCCGGTTCCAGTGATTCTCCTGCCTCAGCCTCCCAAGTAGCTGGGACTACAGGCATCTGCCACCACGCCTGGTTATTTTTGTATTTTTTGTAGAGATGGGGTTTCGCCATGTTGGCTAGGCTGGTCTCGAACTTCTGACCTCAGGTGGTCCACCCGCCTTGGCCTCCAAAAGTGCTGGGATTATGGGCATAAGCCACCATGTCCAGCCCTAATACTAATCCTTATTAAACTTTTCCAAAAAGGTTGAAAGGGAGGGAATACTTCTTAACCCATTACACGAGGCTGGTATTATCCTGATACCAAAACCAGACAATGACATTACAAGAAAAGAAAACTACAGACAATATCCCTTATGAACATTGATGCAAAAACTGTCAACAAAATACTTGCAAACTAAATTCAGGAGCATATTAAAAGAATTATCCACTGTGACCAGGCCATATTTATTCCTGAAATGCAAGGATGGATCAACTTACAAAATTTAATCAATGTAATATACAATTTAACAGAATGTAAGAAAAAACCCCACATGGTTATCTAAATTGATGTAGGAAAAACATTTGGTCAAATTCAAACCTGTTTCATAATAAAAATATTAAACAAACTAGGAATAGAAGGAAACTATCTCAGTATAAAAGACATTTATGAAAAACCTGTAGTAAACATCATACTCAATGGTGAAAACCTAAAAACCTTTTCTCTAAGATCAGGAACAAAGCAAAAATGCCTGCTTTTTCCACTTCTCTTCAATATAGTACTGGAAGATCTAGGCAGAGGAATTAGGTAAAATTAAAAAAAGGAAAAAAAAGAAGGCAGCCAAATTGGAAAGAAAGAAGTAAAATTACCTCTGTTCACAGATAATGATATGATCTTCTATGTAGAAAACCTGGAAGAATCTACATGAAACTGTTAGAACTAATAAATGAATTCAGTGGCATAGCAGTACTCAAAGTCAACACACTAAAGTCAATTACTAACAATGAACAATTTCAAAAGGAAATTACAAATATTCCATTTATTATAGCATCAAAAAAATAAAATACTTAGGAATTAACCAAGGAGGTGAAAGACTTACACAGTAAAAATTATAAAACATTGCTGAAAGAAATTAAAGATGACATAGATACATGGAAACACACCTCATGTTCATGAATTAGAAAGTTTATATCAATACTACTCAAAGTAGTCTAAAGATTCACTGCAATCACTGTCAAAATCCCAAAGACTTTTTTTCAGAAATAAAAAATCCATGCTAACAGTTATATGGAATCTCAAGAAAAACTGAATAGCCAAACAATCTCAGAAAACAACAAAGCTGGCTGGATAACTCACACTTTTTTTTTTTTTTGAGTCAGAGTCTCGCTCAGTTGCCCAG
Organism: Homo sapiens; assembly: GCF_000001405.40. Classification (NCBI taxonomy): domain Eukaryota; kingdom Metazoa; phylum Chordata; class Mammalia; order Primates; family Hominidae; genus Homo; species Homo sapiens. Next base: position 164,409,322 of record NC_000001.11, on the reverse strand, counting down.
GCTGGAGTGCAGTGGCACGATCTTGGCTCACTGCAAGCTCCGCCTTCTGGGTTCAAGCGATTCCCCAGCCTCAGCCTCCTGAGTAGCTGGGACTACAGGCACCTGTCACCACGCCCGGCTAATTTTTTTTTATATTTTTAGTAGAGACAGGGTTTCACCATGTTAGCTAGGATGGTCTCGATCTCCTGACCTCGTGATCCACCCGCCTTGGCCTCCCAAAGTGCTGGGATTACAGGCGTGAGCCACCGCGCCTGGCCAACTCACACTTCTTAATTTCAAAACTTACTCCAAAGCTGTAATGAAAAAAGTGTCATGCTAGCATAGACATTAGACACAAATAGACAGATGGAATAGTGTGGGGAGACCAAAAACAAACCCTTACATACGTGATCAAATGATTTTTGATAAAGGTGCCAAGCATTAAATGGGGAAGGACAGACTTTTCACAAAATGGTACTGGCAAAACTGGATATCCACATACATAAGAATAAAATTGGACCTTTATCTAATACCATATATAAAAAGAATTCAAAATGTATCAAAGACCTTAATGTAATACCTAAAATTATAAAACTCCTAGAAGAAACATAGGACAAAAACTTTACAACATTGGATTTGGAATTGATTTCTTGAAGATGGCACCAAAGGTACAGGCAACAACAACAAAAAAAATAGACATATTAGACTGTGTGAAAATTGAAAAAATTTGTGCATCAAAACACAATATCAATAGAGTAAAAAGGCAATCCATAGAATGTGAGAAAATAGCTGGAAAATCATATATACGATAAAAGAATGATATCCAGAATATATAAAGAACTCCTAAAATCCAACAACAACAACAACAACAAAACAAACAACCCAATTAAAATATGGTTGAAACACTTGACCAGAGATTTCTCTAAAGATCTACAAATAACCAATGGGCTCATCAAAGAATGCTTAGATCACTAATCAGTAGAGAAATGTAATTCAAAACTATAGTGAGATACGACTTCACACCACTAGGATGGTGATGATCAAAAGAAGAGAAAATAACAAGTATTCTCGGGAATATGAAGAAACTGGAACGTTTGGACACAGTTGGTGGGAATGTAAAATGGTACAGCCTCTGTGGAAAACAGTATGGCAGTTCCTTGTAAAATTAAAATAGAATTACCATATGATTCAGTATTTCTGCTTCTGGGTATATATCCAAAAGAATTGTAAGCAGGGTCTCAAAGAGATATTTGTACATCCATGTTTATGGCAGCATTATTTACAGTAGCTAAAATGTAGATGCAATTCAAATGTTCATTGACAGGTGAATAGATAAGCAAAATGTGGTATGTACATACAATAGAATATTATTAAGCTTTAAGAAGGAAGGAAATTCTGACATTACACCACAACATGAATGAATCATGAGAACATTATGCTAAATGAAATAAGGCAGTCACAAAAGACAAATATTGAATGATTTCACTTATATGAGGTACTTAGAGCAGTCGGAATTGTAGAGATGAGAAGTAGAATGGTGGTTGCCAGGCACTGGGGTAGGGGAGAACAAGGAGTTACTATTTAGTTGGTATAGTTTCAGTTTTACAAGACGAAAAGTTATGGGGATGGATGGTGGTGATGGTTGCACAATATTCTGAATGTACTTAAGATCACTGAACTATACACTTAAAAATGGCTCAGATGGTAAATTTTATGTTATTTGTATTTTACCACAATAAAGAAAAGAAAACAATGAAATAAAAATTAATGAGTACTACTAAGAAAAAGAGAAATTATTGTGTTTTTTCCTCTTCTCATTTCTCCAATTCTATATCCTCTGTCTTTCAGTGAAAACTGTACCTTCTTCGAGTTAAACTCTGTTTATGTTGTGAATTATTGAACAGTCGTGTTATACTTTTAAGTCATTTCTTGATTTTAATTACTAGACACCAAACGATGATCTGAATTATAATTCCAAAATACCAATGCAATTATAATTCTAAAATACAACATTATGATGCATAAAAGCTAGATACTTTGCATGACTAGCCATGGGTAGTGACATCTCAGTATCTGAACTATTTTCTATGCATACCTCTGAACACATTGACAGAATCTGCTTGAGACAGCCCTAGAGTTGATTAAGGTCCTACAGACTTTTTCCTGTTTTCTCACCTTTTAAAGCTACCTCAGAAGACCAAATTCTGCAGTAATGCTTTAGTCTTTTTTTTTTTTTTTTTTTTTTTGAGACAGAATCTTGCTCTGTCACCCAGGCTGGAATGCAATGACAAAATCTTGGCTCACTGCAACCTCCGCTTCCCGGGTTCAAGTGTTTCTCCTGCCTCAACCTCCCAAGTAGCTGGGACTACAGTTGCCTGCTACCACGCCCGGCTAATTTTTGTATTTTTAGTAGAGATGGGGTTTCACCATGTTGGCTAGGTTGGTCTCGAACTCCTGACCTCAGGTGATCAGGTGATCTGCCCGTCTTGGCCTCCCAAAGTGCTGGGATTACAGGCATGAGCCAGTCCGGCCACCTTAGTCTTAATTCTGCCTTGATTTTTCACACTGTCTGGAATATTTTCATGGAAAACTCAATTTGTATAGGGACCATTTAGCACGAAGAAGGGAGACCTGTACCTCCTCAATTCAGAGAGACACATGAATAGGGAAAGAGGTAATGCGACAGAGCAGAGCCAAAAACCATTTGGCAACCGGGGTTAATGATGAACTGGCAGTTCACAGAAGACTAGCGTAATCCATAGCCCTAGGAAATGGACAGGCTGTGAGTATGTTTTAACTATCTCTGACAATGGAGGACAGGATAAAATTATTGAGTCTGTTCAATGCCCTCACCAAGTTCCTTTAAATATTGATTTTTTGAAGAAAATATCTTGATTTGCTAAACAAACATATGTAAAATAACATGAAAGCATTTATTTTAAATGAAAAGAATAAAATGAGATAGAGTAATGAAGACAATTACATATGTAAAACACAAAATGGACCAATTTTTGGTTAAATTTGAAGAAGTCAACACACAAAATGAGAATGTGATTGTAAAGACATGTATAGTTCATAAAGTCACCTCATGCAGGTGGTTTATGACAATTCTGTGGGAGAAATATGGCAGGGATTGCCATCAAAATTTTCCAATTGAGGAAATAGATTCAGTAGGATCCAGTGCCCTGATTTATGTCACTTGGCTTGTATGGGGCATAATCATGACCAGAACCCACACTTTACTGCAAATTTTTCTAATTCATAGCAGAGTGCACAATAGGAGTCTCTGCTTTAGCTCCTAGGCTCTGGGCAAGACCACAACCAACTCCATCCAACATGGGTGTTATCTCATCAATCTCATTACAGAAATTTTCGGGGAAACGACTCAGAATCTTGTTAACTTTTTGTTTTTCTTTTTTTGATCTTTGGTGCAAAAGTACTTTCCAATATTTAACAGCTTTCTTTCTTTCTTTCTTTCTTTCTGCTGCAATTTAAAATCAATTTCTCTTGTTCTATCTTGATACGTGAAGCCAGTTTCGGTCACCCTTGGTTTTGCTTCCTAAAAGATAGTTAATATTTTAAATATTACTCTTAATTCTTGAATTATCTGGCTGTTCTACCCTGTGTCTGCCCCCAAGTCCTCTACAGGTTTCATTATCATATTGATCTTACGATGATCAAACAAGTTCACTGTAGCCAGTATCAGCATAACATACTGTTACATGCCACTTAAAACTATTGGACTGATTTTGAGTCAGGACTTGGAGTTGCGGGGCAGGGAGCTTTTTCCTTCTTTGAGCAAGTTATTGAAACACTTTTACCTTCCCTTACCTCATCTCAGAAATAAAGATAATCATGCCTATGCTGAGTTATGAATAACAAATAAGGTCGAGTATGAAACAATTTGTAAACTCTAAGAAGCTATAGAAAGGAAAGTTTCCCACTTAGTATAATAAAGTTCTTGGCTGGGCATGGTGGCTCATGCCTGTAATCCCAGCACTTTGGGAGGCCGAGGTGGGTGGATCACCTGAGGTCAGGATTCGAGACCAGCCTGGCCAACATGGTGAAACCCCATCTCTACTAAAAATACAAAAATTAGCTGGGTGTGGTGGGGTAGCACGCACCTGTAATATCAACTACTTGGGAGGCTGAGGCAGGAGAATAGCTTAAACCTGGGAGGCGGAGGTTGCAGTGAGCCGAGATTGTGCTGTTGCAGTGAGCCAAGGTTGCACCATTGCACTCCAGCCTGGGTGACAAGAGCGACACGGTCTTGTTGCATATCTGGGTGAAAAGATGGTTTTTGAAGGTCTGTATTACATAGCAGTCTCCTAAATGTTTGTGGCTAATGAGAAGCAGAAAAGTGAAGGAGAGAGCGCCTGAGCTCTGGACCAGGAAGATCCGTGTGACTGTGGCTCTGTCACTTCCTATTTGCATGACCTTGGGGAAGTTAGGGCCACTCTGATCTTGTTTCTTTACCTGTAAAATGAGGATAATATGTCTCAGGACTGTTGTGAGGAAGCATTTGGCATTGAATAAAAGGCAACACTTGTTATTACTATGGTATGTATATATTTGTGTAACCTGTTTATTCCTTAGAATTGTTGCACAGGCATTGCTATTGTAGAACCAACAGATTCTTAAGAAATCTGTATACTATGACACTTCCGGGTCTAGGCCTAAGAGTTCTTCCTCTGTGTTCTCTCTCTCTAGCTCACCATTTTGAACTTACTCCAATTAGTTAGAGGGGGGCAACACACTGGAGCAATAGAATATAAGCAGCCTGGTATCTATCAACAGGTATATGGAATGTAGCTGCTCACTTTCATGGTTGTGTAAAAAACATAAATTTCTCCCTGCATTTTTATTTTTTCGCCTTGTTACAGAAACCTAGACTTACTCAAAGTAGAACAAAACAAATTTTCCCCTCATTTTTAAATTAGCATACTGAAGATGCTATTACTGTTTAGATAAACATTTTATATAAAATTAACTTTTAAAAAACTTATTGTATAATGATGAGCAATTGTTTAAAAATTTAATGTTTTATTAGTACATGGTAGCATTTTTTGATGTACATATGTATTCATAGTTCTAAAGCTATCCTTACGGCTTTCTTAACAGAGACAAATTCTTCTGGACAGTAAAACCACAATTGAAAATTAAACCTCAATTTACATGGATTTTTTCTTTTTGGCACATGAAACACTAATCACATATTTCTTCAATACTATTGCCAGCTTCCTGAATTATATATTCTTATTCCTATTGTTAAGATGAAAAAACTGAGTCTGAGGGTGGTAAGTAAATGTTGCCATAGCCAGTCAACAATGGAGCCAAAACTCTATTTTGTTTTTAAGTCCTCTGCTCTCCCTTAATTTTACAATATTTGTGTCAGTTGGACCGCAATCTTTTTGGTTTGGCTAGCTTGTGTAGAGCAATTTGAATCTCAGGATCACTTGATTTCTCATATTATCACCCATTAAAAATTTGCTGAGAATCTGAGGTATATGGAATAGCTTCTTCCAAGTTAGCTCTGAACTGGAAGAAAAAGTTCCAGTGTTTTTGGTTTTGGTTTTGGTTTTTGTTTTTGTTTTTTTTTGAGATGGAGTCTTGCTGTTGGAGTGCAGTAGTGCCATATTGGCTCACTGCAACCTCTGCCTCCCAGGTTCAAGTGATCCTCCTGCCTCAGCCTCCCAAATAGTTGGGATTACAGGCACCCACACCATGTGCGGCTAATTTTTAGTAGAGACAGGGTTTCACCAGGTTGGCCAGGCTGGTCTTGAAGTCTTGACCTCAAGTGATCCACCCATCTTGGCATCCCAAAGTGTTGGGATTACAGGCGTGAGCCACCATGCCTGGCCATAAGTTCAAGTTTTTAAGCGATAGGAAAATTGCCACATTTTCTTTAAATTAATTAATTCAATTATTCATCAAATATCTATTGATGCCAATTCTACACCAGGCACTCTGCTAGATCTGGAGGGTAAAAAGTGAATCAAGCGCATTCTCTCTCTGCAGTACAGCTTCACCATAACAATGTGTGTCCTGTTAATTCTACCTGAAATATTTCCCAGGATCCTGAATGTTGCTATATTTCATAATGCCTTCCACATAGTAGAAGTCCAATAAGTATTTGGGAAATAAACAATGGGGAAACAGAGTGCACAGGATATAGATGTCTTACTGTGTAAACCTTATATGTGAAAATCCTCATCCATTATTTCATTTAATTTATCTAACAATTCCGTGAAATAGATCCTGCTCTTTACATTTGCAAATGAAAACGCTGATGTTCAGAAAGGGCAACTTGTCCTGAAAGACACAGCAAATAAGTGATGGAGCCAAGATTTAAACCTAAGACTAACTCCAGCGCCTAGCTACGTTCCTACTCCCACCCCTCTACCATGGCCTTCCAAGATCCAGCAATGAATAGCTAGAAAGTTTTTTCCCCTTAAAGGCAAAATGAGGTTGTTCTCCTCTCTTTGAATCACTGTTCTGTAATTTATCTTCTCAGATGGAAACAAAACACCCAGATTTATTCCTATAGGGCACCTATGTTTTTCACTATGCCTACTAATCAGTGAGGCACTATTTTAAAAATAAAGGGGACTGTTTGTTAGCAATCCTTTCCTGTGATCCAGTTAGCTCTCCTCTCTATTCCATTTCCCGGGGCTGAATTTCTTTAACACCCTGCATCATACATGACTAGATGTATGAGCAGAGGATACAAATAACAAGCTGGCTTAGAGTTCAGATTTTCGCTTAATAAGCCAAGGTCATTTTTAGCTTGTTCTCTTCCTATTTCAGGTACTTCTGCCAGGTATGCTCAACTCTTACTTGCTAAAGACCCCCATATGTATATTAATAACAGTTTTATTGATATATAATGCACATACCATAAAACTCGTCCTTTTATAGTTTATAATTGAGTGGTTTTTAGTATTCACAGAGTTGTGAAACCATCACTACTGTTTAATTTTAGAACATTTTTATCAATTCAGAAAGAAACTCCTGTAACCTTAGGAGTCACACTCCATTCACTCCTCCCCACCCCCCATCCCCACCACCAGGAAGGCAACCAGGAATCTACTTTCTGTCACTGTGGATTTGCATAATCTGATGAATTCATATGAATAGAATGATATAATATGTGGTCTTTGGTGATCGTGGTCATTCACTTAGTGTACTGCCTTTAAGCTTCATCCTTGTTGTAGCATGTATCAGTATTTCGTTCCATTTTATGGCTGAATAATATTCCATTGTATGAATATAGAACATTTTTTTGATTTATTCATCGGTTGATGGACTATTGGGGTTATTTTCACTTTTGGTTGTCATGAGTAATGCTGCTATAAACATTCATGTGCAAGTGTTTGCATGGACATATGTTTTCAATGTTTAACAATCTGAGGAACTGCTAAACTGTTTTCTAAAGTAGCCACTCCATTTTTCATCCTACTGGCAGTTTGTACCAGGGTTCCGAAAACTGTCTCTTATTCTACAAGATACTTATGAGTGTCTGTCTTTTTAAATTTAGTCATCCTAGTAGGTGAGAAGTAGTATCTCATTGTGGTTTTGATCTGATTTTCCTAATGACTAATGCTATTAAGCATCTTTTCATGTGCCTATGTGGTATTTGTTTATCTCCTTTGGAGAAGTATCTGTTTAAATCTTTTGCTCATATTTTAGTGAGGTTGTTTGTCTTTTTTTTTTTTTTTTTTTTTTTTTGAGACAGAGTCTCTCTCTTTTGCCCAGGCTGGAGTGCAGTGGCATGATCTCGGCTCACCACAACCTCCACCTCCTGGGTTCAAGCAATTCTCCTGTCTCAGCCTCCTGAGTAGCTGGGACTACAGGCATGAGCCACCATACCTGGCTAATTTTTGTATTTTTAGTAGAGACAGAGTTTCACCATATTGGTCAGGCTGGTCTCGAACTCCTGACCTCAAGTGATCCACACACCTCGGCCTCCCAAAGCGCTGGGATTACAGGCATGAGTCACCGTGCCTGGCCAGTTGTTTGTCTTAATATTGTTGAGTTATAGGGATTCTTTATATATTCTGGATATAAATCTCTTATCTGATATATGTTTGCAAGTATTGTCTCCCATACCCTGGGTTGTCTTTTCACTTTCTTGATGATATCCTTTGAAGCATAAAAGTTTCTAGTTTTGTTCATCGAAACATAATCGGACTTCATATCGAATTTACCTATTTTTCCTTTAGTCACTTGTACCTTTGGTAGGCCTCTATCTTTTAATTTCTTTTCTCTTTTTTGAGACGAAGTCTCACTCTGTCACCCAGGCTGGAGTGCAGTGGTGCGATCTCAGCTCACTGCAACCTCCACCTCCCAGGTTCAAGCGATTCTCCTGCCTCAGCCTCCCAAGCAGCTGGGACTACTGGCACCTGCAACCATGCTCGGCTAAATTTTTGTATTTTTAGTAGAGATGGGGTTTCACCATGTTGGCCAGGCTGGTCTCAAACTCTGGACCTCAAGTGGATCTGCCCGCCTCCCAAAGTGCTAGGATTACAGGCGTGAGCTACCGTGCCTGGCCGAATTTCTTTTCTCAATAGATAAAAGCTAACCAGCTTGCTGTGTTTTATTCACATAAACAACTAAGGGATTTAGATGCAATCTGTAGGCTTATTTGAAACTTATTGTAAGCCCAAAGGTCTGTTTCCTACTTAGTTAAGAGTAAGAAGATGAGTCTGGGTCACACCAAAGGACATGCTGCAAAAGAATATAAACTCTAACTCAGTATTGATTGTATTTTTTGATGCTGTTAGAGTCAGATTTGAAGAACATCTAGTTTATAGATTTAAAATTCTAAGTGAAAGCATAACTAAGGTATTTCTAAGGCCTGAGAAAACTGGATTTTACCTTACATGGATGGGCAGTCCTCCAAAGGCCAAAAGGTTTAGGGCTAACTTAGGCAACAGGTCTATGCTTATATTCAAGAAAGGAAACAAATATAGAAAATAAGTGAGTGATGAGACATGGAATGGTAGACTAACTTTTATTGACCCCAACTATTCTCAGCTTCTTCACTTATTTTAACCCTTAATTTTTATAACATATCGAGTTGAGCACTGCTATCCCTATTACATACAGAAAATGAGACATGGAGTGGTTAAACATGTTTAAAGCGAAAAAGCTACAAAGTGATGAAAGCAGGTTTAGAACTCTGGTATGATTAAGATAAGAACCATGTTCTTTCCATGTGATGATCCTAAACTAGCAAATAGCAGCTTCTGTCAGCAAAGTTATTTATTTATGAATAGGAGTGACTCTGTTTCAAAGGTAATGAGATCCTTAGCTAACCTCTAACTAGAGAAATCTCAGTGTTGGGAGCCTTGAATCTAAAGGCAGACATAGGCAGCCAAGCAAACCACAAGGGAAACTCTTCTTTAGATGGACATTACAGAAATGTCTGGCATGGATCAATGAGACAACATATATAATTTTATTGTATAAATTAACTATACTGAAGTGTAGTTTACATAAAATCAACAAATTTAAAATGTATACATTATTCCTTGAGTTTTAACAATATATATGCCTTTAAAATCACCATCCTAATCAAGATAGAAAATATTTCCATCAACCCAAATAGATGTTTTTTGTCACTTAGGTGTCAATCTACACATCTTTGTCCACAATCACTGAACTACTTTTTGTCACTATAGATTAGTTTTCCCTGTCCTAGAGTTTTATACAAATGGAAACATCAAATAGGTACTCCTTTGTGTCTGGGATTTTGCTTAGAAAAATCTTGGAGATTCATCCAAGTTGTTGTATACACCAATAATTCATTTCTTTTAATTGCTACGTGGTATTCTGTTATATGAATGTATCAGTTTGTTTACTGATTTATTTATTGTTGGACATTTGGTTTTTTTCCAGTCTTGGTAATTATGAACAAAGTGGCTATCATATTCTGGTAGTCTTTTGTGGACATGTGTTTTCATTTCTCTTGAGTAAACACCTATGAGTAGAATTGCTGAGTGATAGAGTAGACATAGGTTTAACTTTATGTGAAACTGCCAACCTGCTTTCTAAAGTGGCTGTACCATTTTGTACTCTCAACAGCAACGTATGAAGGTTCCAGTTGCTCTGCATTCTTACCAACATTTTATATGGTCAGTATTTATAACTTTTGCCATTCTAGTGAAAATATAATGGTATTCCATCAGGATTTTAATTTTCATTTTCTTGAGGATTTATGTCAAATATCTTTTCATGTATTTTTTGGCGATTTGTGTATCTTTTATTGTGAGTTGTTCAAGTCTTTTGACAACTTATTTTCTAATAATTTTGACTTTTATTTTAGATTCAGGGGCACATGTGCAGGTTTGTTACCTAGGTGTATTGTGTAATGCTGAGGTTTGGGGTACAAATGATCCTGTCACCCAAGTAGTGAGCATAGTATCCAATAGGCAATTGTCAACCCTTGCCTCAACTCTCTTTCCCCCATATAGTACTCCCCAGTGTCTATTGTTGCCATCTTTATGTCCATGTGTACTCAATGTTTAGCTCTCACTTATAAGTGAGAACATGTGGTATTTGGTTTTCTGTCCCTGTGTTAATTCACTTAAGATAACAGCTTCCCGATGCATCCATGTTGCTTCAAGGGAAGTGATTTCATTCTTTTTCATGCTTCTTATTATTTGATGGTATACATGTACCACATTTCCTTTCTCCAATCCACCGCTGATGGGCACGTGCATTGATTCCCTGTCTTTGCTATTGTGAATAGCACTATTTTGCTGTATTTTCACATAGTGGAAAGGATGAGCTAGTGCTCTGGGGTGTCTTTTGTAAGAACACTAATCCCAATCATGAGGGGCTCCACCCACATGACCTAATCACCTTGAGGGTTAGTATTTCAACATATAAATTTTTTGGGGGACAAAACATTCAGGTAATTGTATTTATTTTTCTTTCTAGTTATTCTTGGTTTAATTTGTTCTTTCTTTTTATTAACTTCTTAAGGTGAAAACCCAGATCATTGATTTGAATCTTTCTTTTCCAATACAAGCTTCAAAAACTATGATTTTCCTTCTAGTTACTTTTTAAAATCCTTCTCACTTTTTTTTTTTGAGATGAGGTTTGGTTTTTACTCTGTCACCCAGGCTGGAATGCAATGGCACATGTTTTTTTTTTTTTTTTTTTCCCAAGAGTTTTATAGTTTTAGCTCATACATATAGGTCTTTCAACTATTTTGAGTTAACTTTTTATATCATGTGAATAGGGATCAAATTTCATTCTTTTGCATGTGGCTATTCAGTCGTCTCCACACTATTTGTTGGAAAGAGTATTACTAATATTTTACCATTGACTTGTCTTGGCACTCTTTGGGAACATAAGACACGGACACGCAGTTTTACTTCTGAACTCTTAATTCAATTCTATTCATTTATATGTCCAGCTTTGACAGTTCCACATTGATTACTACTGCCTTGTAGTAAGTTTTGATACCAAGGAGTGCGAGTCTCCAACTTTGTTCCTTTTTGAGATTATTTTGGCTACTTTTTGTCCCTTGCAATTCCATATGAATTTTAGAAACAATTGGTCAATTTCTATAAAGAAGTGAGCTGGAATTCCAGCAGGAATTGTATTCAATCTCTTGGGTAGTGTTGCCATCTTAGCAACATTAAGTCATTTATTCTATGAACATGAGATGCTTTCCTGTTTATTTAGACATTCTTTAATTTATTTCATTAGTATTTTGTAATTTTCAGAGCATAAGTTTCATGCTTCTTTTATTAAATATATTCCTAAGCATTTTACTCCTTTTGATGCTTCTGTAAGTGGTATTGTCTTAATTTTATTTAGGAATTGCTCATTGCAAGTGTATAGAAATGCAATTTATTTTTATATATTTATTTTGTATATTGTAATTTTTTTGAACTTCTTTATTAGTTCTAATAGTTTTTAGCAGACTTATTAAGATTTTCTATCTCCAAGACCATGTCATCTTCAAAGAAATATAGTTTTACTTCTTTCTTTCCAATGCAAATGCCATTGATGGATTGATTGATTGCCTAATTGACCTGCCTAGAACCTCTAATACAGTCTTGAATAGAGGTGTTGAGAATGAGCATCCTTGTCTTGCTCCTGATTCTAGGAGGAAAGTATCTAGTCTTTTTCCATTAAGTATGATGTGAGCTCTGAGTTTTTCTTAAATCCTTTTTATAAGGTTGAGGAAGTTCCCCTCTATTTCTAATTTGTTGAGTGTTTTTATAGAAGTGTGTTCAATTTTGTCAAATACTTTTTCTCTATTGAGATAATCGTGGTTTTTGTCGTTTATTCTATAGATATGATATATTACATTAATTGTTTTGATGTTAAGCCTGCCTACATTTTTGAGATAAATTCCAACCAAGCATAGTTTATATTTTAAAAAATATGTTGCTAGATTAGGTTTGCTAGTGTTTTGTTGAGGATTTTTGCATTTATATTTATAAGAGATATTAGTCTATGGTTCTCTTTGCTTATGATGTCTTTGTCTGGTTTTGGTATTAGAAAAATACTGTTCCCTTCGAATGAGTTAGGAAGTATTCTTTCCTTTATCTTTTCTTGGAAGAGTTTGTGATGAATTGGTATTAATTCTTCTTTAAATGTTTGGTAAATTCCCCATTGAAGTCATCTGGGCCTGGGCTTTGTTTTGGAAGAAAGTAGTTTTATGGTTACAAATTCAGTCTCTTTACTTGTTTATAGATTTATTCAGATTGTTTATTTCTTCTTAAATCAGTTTGGTAGCTTGTTTCTTTCTAGGAATTTGTCCATTTCATCCAAAATATGTAATTTGTTGGCATACTGTTATTCACAGTATTTCTTTGTAATACTTTTTATTTCTATAGAATCAGTAGTAATGCCCCACTCTTATTTTTCTTTCTTGTAATTTGAGTCTTCCTTCTTTTTTTCTTGATTAATCTGCCTAAAGGTTTATCAAAATTTGTTGAGCTTTTCAAAGAATCAGGTTTTGGTTTCTCTATTGTTCTTCTATTTCACTAATTTCTACTCTAATTCTTAGTATTACCTTCTTTCTGCTTCTTTTACTTTGCTCCACTTTTTTAGTGTCTTAAGGTGAAAGGTTAGGATACTGATTAGAGATTGCTCTTCTTTTTTAATACATGCATTTATAGCTATAAATGTTCTTGTAAGTACAATTTAAGCTATTTCTCATAAGTTTTTTATATAACCTGTTTTCATTTTCATTCATCTCAAAATATTTTCTAATTTTTCTTCTGATTTCCTCTTTGACCCATTGGTCCCTATTGTTAATTCTTACATGACATAACTTTCTCCATACTCTTCTTTTAACTTACATTTGTCCTTATAGTCAAACTTCATTTCTTATAGAATGTTTATGGTTGGATCTTGCTTCAATCAGATAATATATTCCTAGATGTAATTGCTGTGTTTAAATCATTTAAACTTAATGTAATTGTTGATATTGTTGGGCCTTATGTCATTTTAAATTTCATGTCTTTTTTATATCTCTTTTACTCATTTTCTTCTTTGTTTGACTTAATTGCATATTCATATGATTTCATTTTATTTTGATTATTACCTTATTAATTTTACTTCTTTAACTTATCACACTCAATCTTCAAATATTACATCAGGTAATATATAAATGTAAAAAAGAATTACCACAACACCTCATTTTCCCTCACTTTTTGTTATGAATTTATACTTGTTACTTCTGCATATGTTTTAAACTATAGAGTCTTTTTCTTAAATAAGCAATTATTATTCCTGCTACTCTTCCTTTTGATTTTTTAGATAAGAATTTACATCTGGGATCTTTTTTTTTTTTTTTTTTCAGTCTGAAGCACTTTCTTTATCACTCTTGTATTGCTGGTCTGATGTGAAGAATTCCTTCTGATTTGTTTGCCTGAAAATGTCTTTATTTTACTTTCATTTTTGAAGGTTATTCTCACTGGGCATAAAACTTCAGGTTGACAGGCTTTTTGGCATATATTTATTTATTGGGTGGTGGCTTTAGCACTTTAAATATATTCTATTGATTTCTGGCTTGCTTGTTTTTCTAATGGAACGTTAGTAATAATTCTTTTTTCTTTTTCTTTTTTTTTTTTTTGGAGTCTCACTCTGTTACCCCAGGAGGGAATGCAGTGGTGCAATCTTGGGTCACTGCAACCTCCACCTCTCAGGTTCAAGCTATTCTCCTGCCTCAGCCTTCCAGGTAGCTGGGATTACAGGCACCCACCACAATGACCAGCTAATTTTTGTATTTTTCATAGAGACAGGGTTTCACCAGGTTGGCCAGGCTGGCCTCAAACTCCTGACTTGAGGAGATCTGCTTGCCTCAGCTTCCCAAAGTGCTGGGATTGCAGGCATAAGTCACTGCTCCTGGCCAGTAGTAATTCTTACTTTTGTCATCCTGCACATAATGTACTCTTTTTTTGATCTGTTTTAAAATTTTTCTCTTTATCACTGGTTTTCAAGAATTTGATTCTGTTGTTGCTTGATGTGATTTTGTTTGTGTTTATTTTGTTTAATTTTTACTAAGTCTCATGTATGTATGGGTTTATGGTTTGCTTCACATTTGGATTTTTTTTTTTGTTATTATTTCTTTAAGTATTTTCTTTTTCCGGGAACCTTCTTCTTCTGAGATTCTAATTACGTGTGTTGTAAATGGCTTAATTATGTCCTAGAATTATATAGACTCCAGTTTTCTTTTTTTGTTTGTTTTTGTGTTTGTTTGTTTGTTTTAAATTGAAACAGGTTTTGAGGTACAGGTGATTTTCTGGTTACATGGATGAGTTCTTTAGTGGTAAATTCTGAGATTTTAGTGCATCCATCACCTGAGCAGGGTGCACTGTACCCAACACATAGTCTCTTGTCTCTCACCCTCCTCCCAACCTTCCCCTCAAGTCCCCAAAGTCCATCATATCACTCTTATGCCTTTGTGCCCTCATAGCTTAGCTCTCACTTATAAATGAGAATAAACAATATCTAGTTTTCCATTCTGAGTTACTTCACTTAGAATAATGGCCTCCAGTTCCATGCAAATTGCTGCAAAAGACATTATTTCATTCTTTTTTTATGGCTGGGTAGTATTTGATGGTGTATATATACCACATTTTCTTTATCCATCCTTTAGTTGATGGGCACTTAGACTGGTTCCACATCTTTGCAATTGTGAATTGCGCTGCTACAAACATGCATGTGCATGTGTCTTTTTTGTGTAATGACTTCTTTTTGTTTTGGTAGATATCCAAGAGTGGGATTGCTGGATCAAATGGTAGTTCTACTTTGAGTTCTTTAAGGAATCTCCATACTGTTTTCCATAGTGGTTGTACTAATTTATATTCCCACAAGCAGTGTAAAAGTGTTCCCTTTTCACCACATCCATGTCAACTTCTATTTTTTTTTTGACTTTTTAATTATGATCATTCTTGCAGGAGTAAGGTGGTATATCAATGTGGTTTTAATTTGATGATTAGTGATGTTGAGCATTTTTTCATATGTTTGTTGGTTGCTTATACATCTTTTTTTGAGATTTGTCTATTAATGAACTTTGCCCATTTTTGATAAGATTATTATTATTTTTTCTTACTAATTTGAGTTTCTTGTAGTTTCTGGATATTAGTCTTTTGCCAGACACATAGTTTGCAAATATTTTCTCCCACTCTGTGGATTGCCTGTTTACTCAACTGGTTATTTCTTTTGCTGTACAAAAGCATTTTAGTTTAATTAGGCCCTATTTATTTTTGGTTTTGCTGCATTTGTTTTTGAGGTCTTAGTCATGAATTCTTTGTCCAAGCCAATATCCAGAAGAGTTTTTCCAATGTTTTCTAGAATTTTTATAGTTTCAGGTCTTATTTAAGTCTTTGATACATCTTGAGTTGATTTTTGTTTAAGGTGAGAGATGGAGATCCAGTTCCATTCTTCTACATGTGGCTTGCCAGTTTTCCCAGCACCATTTATTGAATAGGTTGTCCTTTCTCCAATGTATTTTTTTTTTTGAATATCAGTTGGCTGTAAGCATTTGGCTTTATTTTTGGGTTCTTTATTTTGTTCCATTGGACTATGTGCCTATTTTTATACCAGTACCATGTTGTTTTGGTAACTATAGCCTTGTAGTATAATTTGAAGTCAGGTAATGTGATGCCTCTGGGCTTGTTCTTTTGGCTTAGTATTGCTTAGGCTATATGGGCTCTTTTTTGATTCGATATGAATTTTAGCATTGTTTTTTCTAGTTCCGTGAAGAATGGTGATGGTATTTTCATGGAAATTGAATTGAATCTGTAGATTGCTTTGAGAAATATGGTCATTTACACAATATTGATTCTTCCCATATATGAATATAGGATGTGGTTCCATTTGTTTGTGTCATCTGTGACTTCTTTCAGCAGTGTTTTGTAGTTTTTCTTGTGGGGGTCTTTCACTTCCTTGGTTAAGTATATTCCTTAGTATTTTATTTTTTTGCAGCTGTTGTAAAAGGAAATGAGTTCTTGATTTGATTCTCAGCTTGGTCGTTGTTGGTGTACAGCAGTGCTACTAATTTGTGTATGCTGATTTTGTATTTTGAGACTATAATGGATTTGTGTATCAGATCTAGGAGCTTTTGGATGATGGACTCCAGTCATCTTTGTATAGTTTATTCTTTCTGTGCTTCAGCTTAGATACTTTATATTGCTGTGCTTTAAGTTTCACTGATATTTATTTCTAGAGTTTCTAATTTGGTATTAGACTTATACTTTTTTTTTTGTATTTTGGACCAAAAAACCTTTCTTTTTCAGTTTTACAATTACATTTAAAAAAATAGCTTTTAGCTTTTTTATTATGTTCATGTTTTCCCACAAATTTTTGAGCATATCTTTGATAGCTGTTTTAAAGTTCATGTCTGTCGTTTTGGTTTCTGTTCCCATTGACTAAGGTTTCTTCTGATTATGAGTCACATTTTCTACTTGTTTGTACATCTAGGTAGTTAAAAAAATTCTGGATATTGTCATGTTATAATGTTTAGTGTTGAGATTTTGATATTTTCCATTAGAGTCTATTGACTTTTACTTTGCTAGGTAGTGAAGTTATTTGCAGTGCAGCTTGATGTTTTTGAAGCTTTTTTCTGCCTTTGCTGAGTGGGTCTAGGGTAGTCTTTACTTAGGACTAAAGTAGACCTAAAGCTGAGGCATAATTCTTCAGAGATCTTTTCTAAATATTTCATATATGTAATGAAATCTGTCTACTTTATCTGATTGGAATGCAAAAACCTTCCAACCTCGTGCAAGCTTTGGAAATTTTGCAACTTATAGCTATGCTGTAGTTGTTCTTTGCTTAATTTTATGGAGTTTCACTCTATCCATACCCAGTTTAGTATTCAGGCAGACTCAAAGTGATCTTTAAGGAGATCACAGGATCTGCGTGTGTGTGTTTACAAAGTGTAGCTCCCTCTTCTCAAATGTTCTGTCCACAAATTCTAGCTTTTTCAGGGTCTTTGATATCTACTTTCTGTCTTTTAAGTTCATTAAGATCATTATTTTAAACTTTAGGTCCTCCTCTTTGTGCCTTAACCTGGAAAATATATCCTACAAGAAACTATGTGAATACAAGGAGGAACATCATATTTAGTGTGTAATGACCTTACCAGGCATTATCTCACTTGAGCCATTATTATCATGTTGTAAGTAACATTTTTTCCCATCTAAATATGAGGAAATGGAGATTCTGACAATTTACGGAACTTGAACTTGAAAACAAATTCATACATGTATTCAATGAGCATTATATTTACTGAACATCTACTACGTTTTGGTCTTTTGAAGGTAGCTATTATACATTGATAAGCCAAAGAAGTATGCATCTTATCTTGTGAGGGTTTTGGTTTGGAGAGAAGACTGATAGTAAACAAGAAAGTATAAAAGGAAATATACATGTATATATTGTAAAAAGAGTTGTGAAAGACATAAAGAAGCCATGGAACAACCCTGGTGGGGACCTTGAAAGAAACATGGGAACTTAGGTGGGTAAGGTGGAAGATTGTGTTTTACATGTAAGGGATATTTAAACAGACATCTGAAGGAGTCTAGGGAGCTAACCATGCATGAAGAGTAGGGAAAACGATTTCAGGCAGAGGGTATTATAGTCCTTGATATAGGAAAGAACTTTATGTGTTCAAAGAAGCAAAAAGAAACAAAGATGGTAAAGAATATTGAATAATGGAGAGAGTTACCTCAAATGAGGATGGAGAGTTGGGTAGGAACCTCATCATGCAGGGTTTGCAAGTAGAAAAGAGCTTGGTAAATTATTTGGAAAGTGGAAATACAAGTTATATTTTTTTTAGTTTATCTACTGCATGAGATGTTGTATTTAGGAAGACAATAGGGAAAGCTACAAGAGTCACAAAGAAATTATTTTAGTAATCTAAGTAGGAGATTTCAATAGCTTACTCTAAGTCCATCAAGATGGAGAAAAGTGGGCAGATTTCGGGTATATTTGAAAAGAGAAACTACAGGGCTTAGTGATAGATTGGAGTCTGGGATGATAGTGGAAGTTAAATCAAGGATGAAAGCAAGTTTCTATTTTGAGCAACTGGATAGTTGGTTGTGATATATAGCGAGATGAGAAAGATTGAGAGAGAAACAGACTTGGGTGAAGGAGGAGGAGACTGAAGAATTCAAATTGGAATATGTTGAGTTTTAGGTAACCATGAGATCTCCAAGTGAAGATGTCAGATAAACCATTGGTTTTAAAAGAAATAGCAGAGGAACATTATTGGCTGAGAACATAAATGAGGAATTGTTCACACAGATGTTATTTAAAACTATGTGAATGAATACTCTCAGCTAGATCATGTAGAAAGAAATGAGAAGGCTGCAATGCTCAGGATCTAGGGCTCATAACCTATTATGATTTTAGAGGTCAAACAAAGGAGAAGCTGCTTTCAAAAGACACTGAATAGGAGCAACTGTAGAGGTAGGAAGAAAGCTCTAGGAGTGAGATTAACCCAACACCAAGAGAACATTTTATAAAGAAAGGAAACACGACAAGGAAGGAAGAGTTACCATCTGTTTCAGCCTTTGGTAAGCTTTGCAACCACAGTTTCTGTGTCATGAAAGAGACAGAAGCTAGATATGAGTTATTTGAGGACTTAATGGGTGGTGAGGTAGTAGAGAAAGAATATATAAAACTCCAGAGAGCACTTTGTGAAGAGGAGCAGACAAGAGATATATCAAGGGAGAGTTATATTTTAGGATGACAGAAAATGGAGCACTTCTATATGCTGAACTATTCCACTAAAGAGAGAAAATTTTATGATGCAGAAAAAGAGAGGGTGAGTAAAGGAACAGAATCCTTGGGAAAATAGGAGAGGAAGGGATCAGGACCCATGTAGAAGGACAAGCCTATGAAAAGGAAAAAAAATTCCACTGTAACTGGAAGGTAGAAAGAAAAAGAAGTGTAGATGCAGGTGGCTTTGTAGATGCAGTGAGATGAGCCATTAGGATCTGAATGACAATTTAAAATATCTGAATATAGTATGAGTTGAAGTCATTGGCTTCAACTCATAGGAGAATTAGGGGTATTCTCATTCTCAAGGAGAAAAGAGAAGTATGACTTCTCTTTCATAGAGAAGAGAGGAGAGAGGAGAAGGGTAAGAAATCATTTTCTTAGTGATCCAGAAAACACTAGTAGATTCCCCAGGCAGTGTTGAGAGTATAACTATATTTAAGATCATAATTTAACATAAAATGTTTTAGCCTACTTGTATAAATTTTCTCTATCAGAGTTAAGTTTCTTATGTATAGTAAAAATCACATAGATATTTGAGTTAACACAAGATTGACTTATTATTTTTTTTTTTGAGATGGAGTTTCGCTCTTGTTGCCCAGGCTGGAGTGCAATGGCGCGATCTCGGCTCACCGCAATCCCCGCCTCCTGGGTTAAAGGTATTCTCCTGCCTCAGCCTCCTGAGTAGCTGGGATTACAAGCATGTGCCACCATGCCCGGCTAGTTTTGTATTTTTAGTAGAGACGAGGTTTCTCAATGTTGGTCAGGCTGGTCTCAAACTCCTGACCTCAGGTGATCTGCCAGCCTTGGCTTCCCAAAGTGTTGAGATTGCAGGCGTGAGCCACCATGCCTGGCCTATTTGTTTTTAAAAGAGATATGACAGGGGAGAGGGGCAAGTAGTGGCAACTCCAAAATGTTTACATAAAAGAGACTTAGAAGTGGCATTATAGATTGGAAGAATGGAATGGGGATATGGATATTACAAGTGGGTTGGGGCCATGGAAAATATTTTGAGGCCTCATCTGCATGTTTTCATTTACTTATTTGGGTAGCTAGGAGGTTAGTAAATGAAAATTCTTCAGCTTTCCTCCAAGCCACTCTTTGATGTCCCCACTGGGAACAAACGAGTTGAGTATTTATGCAAGGAAGTGTTTGTACAAAATTGCATAGCATCTGGAAGTGTGGTATCTGCTGTCATGTTTCTGTCCTGAAAGTGTGGTATCTGCCTTTTAGTAGATGTCAATAACATGTGTGTACCTCAGTCCCCTCATCAGGACCATGAAGATAATAAGAGTTTCTAAATTTTGTGGTTGTTATAAGTATTAAATGTATGAATATGTATAAAATGCTTGGACTAGCGCTTAGCCCATGTAAATGCTCAGTATATGTTTCTTCTTACTACTTTCTTAATGTTGTTTTTATTATGGGCAATGGCTTCTGAGCAGAACAAGAAAGGAAATAAATTTGAAAGAGGGCTGATGGATAGTGAGAGAGTAGTGGAATAATGGTATGTAGGTAATGAAAATGTCAAATTGTTATAGTAATAGTAATAGAACAAAAAAGGTGATGGGACAAGAAACTGTTGTATGAGAGCTGGAGATTACCATTCATGATTTCAGGGGTGAAGATAATTTTTCTGATGATAAAATATGTTTTGAAAGAGGGATAGTGTGGCAGATTGTACTATTGTTCTTAATTATGTAATGTCTTCCCTGTACCAGTGTTATACATTACTTTCTCTTATGTGTGCCTAGCAGTGCTTCCCTGTGAAAGAAACATACTTTTCTGCTTTATTGAGTCAGGCTTGGCCATGTGGCTTGGTTTAGTCAATAGAATGTGAACAGAAGTGACACTAGCCATTACTGAGAAGCAGCTTTAAGAACCATCGCGTGGCTCTGTCATTACCCCTTCCATCTCCACCTTGACCTCCATCATTTTCTTGCTGTGTTGTATTGCCAACTTGTTGCAGATAGAGGCTGCTCCTTTAGCCTAGATTCTAGACTTATGATAAAAAATAGTTCTGCATCTTTCATGACAGGCAGAACTATAGATAACCAGCAGCTGACATTTTACATGAGCAAAATATAAGTCTTTATTGTTATAAGGCACTGAAATATTGGGGTGGTTTGTTACTATTGCATAAGCAAAAAATGAATAATAGAGATAGAATGGCTGATGTGGAGTAGAGGAAATTATCTTTGGAGATGAAGAGCTCAAGGACCTGAGAGGCCAAGATTTCAAGAGGCCAGGGTCATCCACATTAATATTGAAACAGACAAATACAATGATTGGGATTAGGTTGGAAAGGAATACTGTGAGCCAGGAGTTCAAGACTTCAGTGAATGAGTGCACATAAACAGGGTATTGGTACAAATAAAAAGTAAAATAAGAGGATTTCTTAGAGGAGGAGAAATTTTTCTTTTCTTTAGAGACAGTCTTGGTATGTTGCCCAGGCTAGGCTTGAACTCCTGGGCTCTAGCAAATCTCCTGTCTCAGTTTTACAAGTAACTGGGATTACAGGCATGAAGTATTGTGCCCAGCTTTGAGGAGAAATTTTTATAAGAGAAACAGAAACAAAGTTGGTTACAAGGAATAAGAATAACTAATTCTACCTCTTAGTCTGCCAGTGCAAGACATGTAAGCTTACATTGGAATAGATTGTAGGGGAAGCAGGAACTTTGGACTATAATTATTTTTCAGTAAATGCAATTTTATGAAGATAATGTGAAGTGATATTGGATTATGTGAAAGAGTTGGTTGATTGCAGACTGGGAGTTCCAGAAGACAGTAAAGAAAAATTCAGGAGACAGGAATTGTGGGCCTGGTGTGGTGGCTCATGCCTGTAATCCCAGCACTTTGGGAGGCCGAGGCAGGTGGATCACCTGAGGTCAGGAGTTCCAGACCAGCCTGGTCAACATGGTGAAACCCTGTCTCTACTAAAAATACAAAAATTAGCCAGGTGTGGTGGCACATGCCTATAATCCCAGCTACTTGGGAGACTGAGACAGGAGAATCACTTGAAGCCAAGAGAATCACTTGAAGTTGTAGTGAGCTGAGATGGCACCACCGCACTCCAGCCTGGGTGACAGAGTGAGACTCCATCAAAGAAAAAAAAAAAAGCAGATATGCAAAGAATATGTGATTTGGAGTAGTTAAGGTGAAGAATAGCTAGGGGGTTTGGATTTCTGGTTATGACTGAGGTCATCAGAAATGGGAGGCTTTCTGGGGTAGTCTTGGTGGGAGACTAGTTCTGGTACTGTGGTCCTGAATGCTTTCCCTGATGCTGTAGTGGTGTCCGGGGCAGATGCTTCTTCCCACCTTAGCCTATTATTAAGGATGCCTAAACAAATTTACAAGAAAAAAGCAAACAACCCCATCAAAAAAATGGGCAAATGATATGAACAGACACTTCTCAAAAGAAGACATTTATGCAGCCAACAGACATATGAAAAAATGCTCGTCATCTCTGATCATTAGAGAAATGCAAATCATAACCAAAATGAGATACCATCTCATGCCAGTTAGAATGGCGATCATTAAAAAATCAGGAAACAACAGATGCTGGAGAGGTTGTGGAAAAATAGGAATGCTTTTACACTGTTGGTGGGAGTGTAAATTAGTTTAACCATTGTGGAAGACAGTGTGGTGATTCCTCAAGGATCTAGAACTAGAAATACCATTTGACCCAGCCATCCCATTACTGGGCATTTACCCAAAGGATTATAAATTATTCTATGATAAAGACACATGCACATGTATGTTTATTGAGGCACTATTCACAATAGCAAAGACTTGGAACCAACCCAAATGTCCATCAATGATAGACTGGATTAGAAAATGTGGCACATATATACCATGGAATACTATGCAGCCATAAAAAAGCCTGAGTTCATGTCCTTTTCAGGGGCATGGATGGAGCTGGAAACCATCATTCTCAGCAAACTATCACAAAATCAGAAAACCAAACACCATATGTTCTCATTCATAAGTGGGAGTTGAACAATGAGAACACATGGACACAGGGAGGGGAACATCACACACCAGGGCCTGCAGGGGGTGGGGGGTTAGGGGAGGAGAAATACCTAATGTAGGTGATGGGTTGATGAGTGCAGCAAACCACTATGGCACGTGTATACCCATGTAACAAAACTGCACATTCTGCACATGCAACCCAGAACTTAAAGTATAATAATAAAAAACTAATATTAAAGTTTAAGGTTTTCTCCTTGGCCTTTTGGTCTGTTTCCCACCTCACACTCCAACCTACAGATATTGCTCTTTCTAGTTTCCGACAACTGAACTTCTTCAGGCTTCACCCTCTCATGTAACACTCTGTGGTTTAGGAATGTTTTCTTTCTTGCACAAATTCCCTTTAACAATGGAACTTTAAAAATCATACAAAGCTAAGAGTGCAAAAAGCTTATTGGGAAAGAAAAAAAACCCAAAATTCATACAAAGTATCTGAAAAGACATATGTGGTCATAGAGCCTCTGGTGCCTCTTAAGGTAACTTAACTCTGCTTGTATTAACTTGACTTTTCCAACTCTGGTCTTCCCTTTGGATAAAGACAGAGAATTTTAGGACCTCAAGATATGGTATCAGCTGAATCTTCCTAGGTGCTCATAATAGTTGATAAAATGAGCATTTTATATCATAATATCATGTAACATTTTATAATTTCTTTTTCATTGCAAGATTGCTTGCTAAAGTTGGGAATATTTTAAAAATTTCATCTTAATAATTAAACTGAAATGGGGGTGATTGCCCTTGCATGAGCAATTGCTAGTTTATTAAATCACTTTACTCTCTAAATATCATTCAGTGTTCAAACATTTAAGTAGCAATCGTTAAGGCTGCCAGAATGATAGTTCCTATTTATGTAGCACCTTCTATGCAGTGACCTCAAATAAGTAACTCAAATGTTGAATATTTTATAGAAATAAACACTGACCTTGAGATCTCGGAATGAATTTCTGTATTGATTATTGCACTCTGCTTATGGTATTGAGTGAGGTCACCTCTGCATTGACAAAATTTTGGTTTTTATTGGCTTCCATTTTTAAGACAAAGAAATTGAATTTATAGATACTATGAAGATTTTAATAGCAGAGTGAAGAAATGGACAAATCTACTATATTCGAATGTGTGTCTTCCTCTTAGTAGATCAAGAGCTCTGTAAGAGTCGAGTGTGATGACTCATGCGTGTATTTCCAGCACTTTGGGAGGGTGAGGCAGAGGGATTGCTTGAGCCCAGGAGTTTGAGACTTGCCTGGGCAACATGGCAAGACTCCATCTCTACAACAAAAATACAAAAATTAGCCAGGAGTGGTGGCACGCACCTGTAGTCCCAGCTACTCCAGGGGCTGAGGCAGGAACATAGGTTAAACCCAAGAAGTCAAGGCTTCAGTGAGCCATGTTTGCACCACTGAACACCAGCCTGGGTGACAGAGTGAGACCTTGTCTCAAAAACAGAAAAAAAAAAAGAAAAAGAAAACAAGAGCTTTACGAGAAACTCAAAAGCCTCCACCAATGCTACCAGTTGAGAACAGGTCTCTTTCCCTACCACTGATCTGGTTGAAATTTTCAGAAGGGAAAAATGTAAACATGATGATAATGATGATGATGCAGAAAACATAATGATGATAGCAGCTATCTTTATTGAAGCTTTCTTTTGTGCCAGATACTGTACATTAATTTTCTGTCCTTTTCGCAAAACCCTGCAAAGTGAGTTCTGTGATTTCTATTTTTCAGATGGAGGACCTGAGGCTCTGAGGTATAAGAAACTAACACCAAATCACGTAACTTGTAACTAGCTGAATCAAGATCCAGATATAGGACTGTCTCAATATCATGTTGACTCTCTAACCACACAAATTTCTATCACCTTTTTAGCACTTTCTGGACACTATTAGTATTTCCTCACTCCTCTTTTTGTCAGGGAAATAAAAAAATTTCTTTTTGCCAAACTATTTATAGAATCATAATAAAAAATTACTTTCATGGTCATTGTTTCTATTGATTGTCACCAAAAGCACACAAGATAAGTATTATTGCCAACCCTAAAAGTGAAGCTCACAGAGTTCTTATAACTTTCTGTAGGCAACATAGCTAGTAAGTGAAAGAGTTGGCAATTTTGCCCAAGTCTTCTAACTTTATGTAAGTTTTCCACTATGCCATTGGGTCTCTCAAATGATTTTTATAGAGCAGGTAACAGTTTACAAATTACTTTTATGCATATGATTTAATTTGCATCTCCTGGTGTCATATAACCAAATTTTGTTCTACATTAAAAGTTTTATAAATATTTTTAGGATTCATTGAGAAATTGCTGATTCTTGTGGTATAATGTTAGATTATTTTAGAAGCCTACCTGTCTCTGTTCAATACCAAATAAAATGTAGTTCTCAAATGAGTGGCAACAAATATGTTTTAGGAAATAAAATACCTCTCAGTAAGCAAATATGTCAGTCTCACCTCTCTCATGGAGGGATTGGGAATATGGAATGGAAAATACAGACACTCTTGGTTTCTTCGCTTTGCCTCCTTCCCTAGGAGTGATGCTCCAGTAGTTTTTATTTTATTTTATTTTTCTTCTGAACTGTAGCCCAAGATCATTTAACTGTTAAGAAACAGAGCTGTGATTTGAACCCAGGCCTCTGCCTCCAAAGTCAATGTTCCCACCCAATATGTTATGCAGTGCTTCTGATCTCTGTCATATGTTACTTTTTCCAATTTTGCCCAGATCACTCTGGGTGAAATGGTTCCTGCCTCCTTTTACTCCACTTCCCCAGGCTACTTGATACATATTTATTTATGTTCAATGACTCAACTCAAATACTACTTGATTTATTCAACACCATTTATTGACCACTGACTATATTCTAGAAACTCTGCTAATGTTGAGGGAAAACAATAAGTAGAAAGACAGTTTCTGGTCACAAAAAGCAACAGTCTAGGAGAGAGGACAGACAATTAAACCAATAGCAATGTGATAATGGCAAAGGACAGGAAGCTGAGAGACTGCAGGGCTCCACACTACTGCCTGATGAGTCTCTCACCATTATGAAGCTCTATGCTATCAGAGAGGGAAAGCTCAAACCAGGACAGTAGAACCCCCACCAAATCAGATCCTCTAGAATTGTTCCCTAATTCCTAGTGCATTGAGAATCCAGTAAGTCAGCGTGATGGGATGATTTTAAGGAACCACTAATGGTCACAGCAGCTAAAGTTGATTGTGCCACAGGGATAATCAGACTTTAGGATGCAGATGACAATCCTGGTGAGTTAGATTTCTCTACAACCTTTTCACTGTCTGCTGATTGCCGTAGTGCATTTTTACTTTTCATCATGACAGAAGGGTCTACCTCATGCCCTAGTCACTTTCACTGTCCATGTTGAAGACCCACTTGACAGCCTCGCCTCACAGTTTCTAAGCCTCTTATCGCCAGGAATAGCATCATCACTCCACTTGAAACATCCATCAGCAGGTCTCCCTGCAGGCCTGCCGTGTCGTCACTCAGAATTCTCTTCTTACCAGAGTCTTTGCAATTGGAATTCTCCCTTGCCTCACATGGCTTTTCCCTTCTATGTCACAGACTGTCGCTGCAGAGCCAGTCCTTCACTCTGTCAGACCCAGCATCTATTCTAGTCGTAGGATATTAGGCAAGTCATTTAAACCTTTTGATCCCCGGTATCCTTATCTGTGTAATAGGGATCATAATACTATCTTGAGGAGCCACCTTAAAAATTAGCTTAAACTGTGATAGAGCTTCTGAGTTCTTTTGCCATTTGGTTCGCCTACTTCTAGGTGTGACATTCACCATACACCACCTGTGGCAGGATAATTTGTATAAATCTTTTCTGTTTCCTACTTGATTCTAAACCTATGAAGGAACATATCTAATTTATATTTATCATGAACCTTGAAAATAATATAAGACAAGCAGGTAAAAGATCGTAAAGTTTTTAAATGAAGAAAATACAATTTTCTGTCCTTAAACCATCCTTGATGTTCCATTTTAATATCCATTTCTCTCCTTATTTGGAGGATTGTTCTAAAATATTTAGGTAGATTAGGATAAGTTTTTCTGACCTTATTCCCCTGCTGTTTAGAACTGGGCTTCCCTTGCATGTCTCTGACTTAGCCATCCAACAATAGCCTTTTAACAGTCAGAATCGGCGCTGCAGGTACTGCAGCTGACATGGGGTTTGGGATTCAGTAAGACTGTCTCACAGCTAGAATGACCTTGACAAGCTTTTTACTTTTTCATGAAATTTACCACCTGTCCTCATTTTCCTTCACCCTGTCCCAATTTAGGGACATGAAGCCCTGGTCTGGGAGAAAGACTGCCAGGGATGTGAAATTCTCCTGACAATTTTTCTAGGTGCCATGGTTTCCTTCCCGTTGACCAGACTGTTTAATATTTAATCTACATTTATCAAGCACATGTTATTTGCAAAGCACAGTGTCCAAATACTGGGACAAGAGGAACTAGTGATTCAGAAGATGTACACGTTTAAAAAAGTATACATTTAGACTTAAGAAGAATTTCTCCCCTGTGTGTCCCATTACAAAGCTAGTATTCAAGATAGAATAACAAGCCTACATTTTAATATAATAGTCATCCTAGGACTATAAAATGAGGAGGATAGAAACTATTATCTCTAAAATCCCTTCCAGCTTTAAGAGACTAGCAGACCCTCTATTGGACTCAGGAGTCACCCATGAACTAAACAACTGATTCCTAAGATGGAAATTTGTTTCAAGGCAGATTCACCTGAAAAATCACTGGTTTGTTCAGGCCTACAGTTACTGCAGACCCACAGATGATTATTATGAAGAATGATAACCAAACGTTATGATCATGTCTACATGTGGTCAGTGAATCAAACCAAATTGGGAGTTTAGTCATGATTGATTTTCTTGGCATCCTGCTAGGTGATGATTGTTTTATAGGAAAAAATGAGTGGTTTTGTGAGTGGTGGCGCCATGTATTCCTGGCCAAACTGGTGACTGTTTCTGCCACCTGGGGTTTTGATGGCAGGAAGCTGTGTTCTGGTGTCTGCCCAGCTGACTCAGCCACAGCCCGGACTCTGAGCCAATGATATTCCCCAGAAGACTGCACCAAATCTTCTCTCCAGTCCAACCTACGAGGGTCTCAGAAAAATGTGTGCTCTTTCTTCTCCATATTCCTCTGCTTTCTAGCTGTATTATTTTGGAAAAAAAAATTAATCTCTCTTAGCCTCACTTTCTTCATATGTAATGTGTAGAAAATATATACTTCACAAGGCTGTTGTGAGAATCACATGAAATTTAAAGTTCCTAAAACATCGAGTAGAACTCCATCCAGTAAAGATTATTTTCCATTTGCCATGTCATTCTTTCCTTATCCACAGGTGTCATACCCCTTGGCACAGCTGAGCTCTGAAACTTTAATTGCTACAATTATTTGTTGAGGCAGAAACATATCCCTGGTTAAATCCAACCCTCTACCCACCCTGCTGCATTCACACAGCTGAACCTCTGGGGGATAGCACAAAATCTTGCAGCTTGACTTTAGTGCAAGCAAGTACTAGGCTGACAGCAATCCCAGTACATTCACCTTTCTGCTTTTCTCCACGACAGTTGTATACTTTCCTTCTCTTCTCAAAAATTCAATATCTCCTCTCCAATAGCACCTTCAGCTAATGACCACCTTCCTATTCCACTGGGGAAACTGAAGCACTCAGAAGACAACTTCCACAAGCCCCCACCACTGCATCTATGCTTCTACCTGTTCCTGTCCTCATAGACCCGACCTCTTTTTTGCTTTGTAGATACATTCTTCACTGTGTCAGTGGTCATCCCTCCCCTTGAGCATAAACTTCCATCCCTTCTCATTGATTCCCAGTAAGTCTCCCCTTTCTTATGCAATAACAAATTTTGTCTCTCTATTGGACCTTTCTCAACATGAATTTGCTTTTATTTGTCTTATCTAAAAACAAAAACTGTCTTTCACTCAATTTCTCCCTCAGCTGGTGGCCTACTTCTTGTCTGAAAAATTCAATTAAATTTTTGTCTTGTCCTTACTGTGCCATGGTTTTTTTCTTCCATTTTTTCTTTCTTTCTTTCTTTTTTTAATTTCCATTTCAATTTTTTCAAAAACTCACTGTGATCAAGCTTTTAACCCTATCATGGCATCAAAGCAACTCTTGTCATGGTCATCAGTGATCTCTGTGTTACTAAATCTAGTAGCTGTTTTATAGTCCTTAACTTAACTGACCTTACCAGCAGCATTTGGTACAGTTGACCATTTCTATTCCCGGGAACACTTTCTTCTTCACTTTACTTCTATGGCTCTTGAATTTTCTCCAGCCTCGTTGGTCATTCCTTGGTCCCTTTACGTGTACCTCCTCATTTCCTCACATGCTTAGGAGTGCCATTAACTAACACAATAACTTTATCTTCCCAGATTTTGAGGCCAAGTGTTTTGGAGTTACTTGTGATTCCTTTGTTTCTTTCATTTTATACATCTAATCCATCTGTGAATCATGCTTGTTCTATCCTTAAAATGTATATAAAATCTGGTTTCTTATCACCTTGATTGCTATCTCCCTGGTCCAAACCATCACATTCTCTTTTCTAAATTATTGTAGTCATTTCCTAACAGACCTCCTTGCTTCTCCCTTTGTCTACTCACCATCTAGCCTAACAGAATGGCTGGAGTGGCCTCTTTAAGTGGATATCAGATCATCTCAGTCATTTTCCTAATACCATCCAATGGCTTTCACCTTGCTCAGATTAGAGTCCCAAATCCTGACAGTGGCCTACAGGGCCCTTCCTGATATGAATCTCAACTGGTTGGGGTCATTGACATGTCCTATATTCCTATATCCAATGGTGGTTAGTCTTTGATTCCTATCTTACTTTATGTGTCAGCAACAGTTGACTCAATTGACCATCCCTCTGTACCCCCACTCCCCCAGCTTTTCAGTGTTAGCTTTTGAAATACATATTTTTTAGGTTTACTACCTATATCACTGGCTGTGTCAAATCAGTTTCCATTGCTGCATCCTTTCCCTTTTCCTACCATCTAAATGTTGTGGTATCCCAGGGCTTTTATTTAAGATATTTTCTGTCCTCTCCCTTATTTTCTATTCCCATGGCTTTAGATATTATCTATATATCTTGACACCTCTGAAGTCTATGGCTGCAGCCCTGGGATCGATGTTTGTCTATCCTACTTATTTACTAGATTTCTAAAAGGCATTTCAAACCTAATATATAGAAAAGACAGATTTTAATTTTTAACTCTAACTCTATGCCCCCTACTTACTTTTTCCCATATTAATAAATGATACAATTTTCCTTGCGGCTGCTTGGGCTAAAGACCAGAAGAGATTCTTCCTTCATCTTTTGCTCTCACCACAAATTCTTTCCATTAGCAAACACTGTTAATATGTGAAATATATCTTGAATCTGGCATGTTTAAATGAAAGAAGGAAAAGATGGATGGATGAATGGATGGATAAATAAATACGGGCCTAATTTTAATCTCTTTCTATTCTTCTGGAAATTGCTTTAAGGAACTCTTTAAATAAATGAAAGAACTACATTCCGAAATGTCCTACATTAATTCAGTAGGTTCTGCTGCATGTAGTAGATGCTCAACTAATATTCATGAAATTCAGAAAATAATTATATTTCAAGCCACAAATAATGAATAGATAATATAATTTTTGCCTATATGGTGCAAATGTTTCATAAAAATGCTAAGATATTTAAACCCCAATCAATTTAAAGAAATATTCAACTATACTCATTTTATATATAGAGAAAATGAAACATTGAAAAGTAAAGTAACTTGTGGGAAGTATGGTAACCGGTCACTTTATTGTAGAGGACAAGGGTGGAAGTAAGTAGACTAGCTAGGAGGCAATTACAATAATATTGGCAGAATACATTTTTTCACTTATAGCATAGGTATGTTTGGGGTAAAGATGTCTAGAAAGCAGATATCTGTTTAGAATATTACATTATACCTTTGAGTTCTATTATTCAATGAGAAATATGTTATCACAAATTAATTATGTAACAGGCTTACTTACTCTTAAATACATTCCTCTTCTATTATGACAAATTATAGGAGGAATGTAAAACTTAGAATTTAAATAATAGTTATGTCTGCTGTTTTTGAAAATTGTATTGGCATGCTTTGGGGAAATTCTGAGTTAAATAAAATCAGTGATTCTTTATATTACAATTTCTGAGAGTTTTAATATGGTTATATATACTGTGAATATTGAAAAAGGGGACATAATATACATTTCCTGTGCTTATTTGATCAGGTGATACTTTTTTCATTTAACATAGATTAATTTCTTGAGGGACATTAGTTTTTTGTGAAGCACATTTTGGAAAATTGTTCATAATTAGCAGTCTCTTAAATGTCTACTTTTAATCCACAACATGCTGCTTTCCTCCTCCTTTAACATAGGTATCTGTATTTCAACTCAGTGTCATAAGGAAGAGCTCTCCAATCAATTTCATTATGCGGTTTAGCTTGCGAATACTATTAATTCTAGGCTTTAGGAAATGTAATATGAATATATGCCCTATTAGTATAAGTACTCTTTGATGTAGCTTTTCACAAGGGCTGTATTTATATGGCTCTCTTCATCCACAAGAGTTGACTCTTCTTGGCAGCAGTCATTTTCTACACACACACGCACATGCACACACATTTTAATTTAATAATATACATGACAAAATGCACAGATATTAAGTGTACCATTCAATGAGGTTTGCTAATTGTATACACCCCCATCACAAAATGTACAAAATATTGTCATCGACCCAGGAAATTTCCACATGCCCCTATCTAATCCTGCCCACACTCCAAAATGAGGCAACTGCTTTCTGATTTCTATCACCACAGATTTGTTGCACCGATTTTTGTCCTTCTTATAAATTGAACCATTTCAAATGTATTCTTTGTTTCTAGCTACCTTGGTGCTTTGTGCAGCTTGTTTTGAGATTAAGCCATATTGTCACATGTATCAGTTGTTTTGTTTCTTTGTATTGTTAAATAATATTCCATTTTAGGAATACATCACATTTTGTTTAATTATTATCCTGTTGAAGAACATTTGGATTTTTTAAAGAGTTTGGGTTTTATGACTAAGATTGCCATGGACATTCTTGAATGAGTGTTTGTTGGCCATTTCCTTTAGATAAATATTTAAGAGTGGAATTACTGGCTCATAGGTTAGCTGTATCTTTACCAAACAGTTTTTCAAAGTAGTTTTTATCATTTTACACTTCACCAACAATGTATGAAAGTCCCAATTTTTTTACATATTTGCTAGCATTTTCATCATCATTCTTTTAAATTTTGGCCATTTTAGTAAATATGAAGTGACATGACATTGTTATTTTTGTTTGCATTTTCTTAATAATGGACATTGAGGACCTTCTCATGTGCTTATTGATTACTCCTATGTTTTCTTCTGTGAAGTGTCTGTTTATGCCTTTTGCCCAGTTTTATTGGGTTGTTGCTGTTTTGACTGTAGATTTATAGGTGTTCTTTCTATATTCTAGAAAAAAACTCTTTGACAGATTATGCACCATAAATATTTCCTCCCAGGCTGTGGCTTGCCTATTCATTTCCTTAATGGTATATTTTGATGAAGAGAAATTTCAATTTCAATGAAATCTAGTTTACCAATGTTTCCTCTTATGATACAGGTTGAGTATTCCTTATCTGAAATGCATGGGACCAAAAGTGTTTTGGATTTAGGATATTTTCAGCCTTGGGGATGTTTGTGTATACATGATATATTACAGGGATAAGACCCAAGTCTAAACACAAAAATATCACTTGTGTCTTATATAGACTATATACCCATAGGCTGAAGGTAATTTTGTATAATACTTTTAATAATTTTGTGCATGAAACAAAGTTTGCATACACTGAACTATCAGAAAGCAAGTGTCATTATCTCAGCCATTTGTGGATTGAACCATTTCGAATGTATTATTTGTTTCCAGCTACCTTGGTGCTTTGTGCAGCTTGTTTTTGAGATTAAGGTAGGTATGCTGACAAAAAAACATTTGTTTGTGTTTTTCTGAGAAAAATCATTTTTTTCTTTGGGGATGCTAAATAAACCATAGGTTGTGTGCCTGCATTTTCACTGTGACTTGTCACATGAGGTCATGGGGAATTTTCCACTTGTGGCATCATGTTGGCACTCAAAAATTTTTGGTTTTAGAGCATTTCAGATTTTGGATTTTCAGATTAGAAGTGCTCCACCAGCATTGTTTTATGTGCTATCTATGAAATATTTGCTTACTCAATGATCATGAAAATGTACTTTCATCTAAAAACTTTATTGTTCTATCTTTTACATTCATATTTGTTTTCCATCTCAAATCAATTTGTGTTTATGCAGTGAGATGGGGTTGAGATTTATTTTATTTTTTCCCTGATGGATATCCAGTGGTTCAGCACCATTTATTAAAATGTCTTTTCTTTCTCCAGTGAATTTATTTGGTGCCTCTGGCAATCATGTTTGTATACATGATTTCATCTTTATGGCTTCTGATGATAGAACAAATTCATTCATTTTGCTAATAATCCCAGACCTCTATTCTGAACCAGGCACTGTGCTAGTCCCTAAAAACACAATGGAAAGCAACAGAGTCATGGTTCCTACCCCCAGAGTGGCTTGGTTAGGTCTAAGCCACTGAAATGTTATCTCAAAGTAGTTCACAACTAAAGATATCTGTAATCCCATGTAGCTGGGATTCTATGGTATGCAGACTTCAGAGTTGACTAATTCCGAGGTTCGAAAGTGTCATCAAGGTCTCAGATTTTTTTCTATCTGTCTGCTTTGCCATCTTCACTCAGATTGACTCCATCCTTCAACTATAAACAAAGATGGCTGCTGTAGTTACAAGCATTGTAACAAGCCAGAATTATACTCAGAGGTGAAAGATAACTTATTTTTCTTTTAGCTTCTAATGAGGCACAGTGTAATTTGGGGGACTGCTAGATACCTGAAAAAAATAGAAAATTATTAGTAAGCCAGATGGAAATAGATGGGTAGAAAACCTCTAGTGTTATAGTATGCTCCTTATAATCAATTAGGAAAGATGGATATTACCCAAGTAAATACACACACAGGAAAGGAATCAATCCAATTCCAGTGAGTATTAACATAGATTTTAAACAAGATTCTCTGATACAGAATAAATGGGGTGGATGGGCAAGGAATTTCCACTTAAGATAGAATGCTCAAGGCAGCCTTCTTGGAGGCAATGGCACCTAAGGGGAGATGCAGCTGAGAAGATGAGCCCATTTTAGCCACATCTGGAGGAGGAAGGATTTTGTTAAAGGGGACAGTGAGTGCAAAGTCTCTGAAGGGAGAAAGCCTGCCATCTTCTAAGAACTGCAAAAGGCCAGTGTGTCAGGAGTCCAGTGAACAAATGGGAGAGTGGTACAACACAAAGTTAGAGAAATAAAAAGGGCTACTTGTCTGGGACATTGTGGGCCTTGTTGGCTCTGGGACCCATTTGAACATTCATATTTTATACTCTGGGAATTTGGAATAGGGAATAGCGGAAGATATTTCAGTTTAGAATGATCTCTTGAGAGGTAGGAATACTAACTGGGGAGCTGGAGTAGGGGTGGGAAGGGAAGGGTTAATCTACCTGTTCCATGAAATGAGAAGCAGGGAAAGTTCAAAGAGAAAGAGAAGAAGCAGATGTGTAGAAAGAAGCTGAGGTGAGGCAGATAGGGAGAAAAAACCCTGATTGCTTTTAGCTTCTTTGTTCCACTGCCTTCCGTAAGTCCCTGCTCTAATCCTTCCTTTAAATTGCATGAATGAGCTGGATTCATTTAGTCAATTCACCTTTCTTGCTTAAGTTAACTTGAATTGAATTTTATTACTTGCAACTAAAAAACCTTTAATCAATAAACATATAATTTCTGTGAGTTTGACATTCGAAGAAGCAAGTTAACTAAAATCAAGTCATCTATATAAGTCAATCTCAGCTAAGAATTGCCTTTTTAGATTTGGTTTTTATTTTGGAGGAGGAACTAAAATGCTGCAAGAGTTAAAAAAAAAAAAAGAAAAGAAAAAATTGAACACGAATGGAAATAAAGCCCCTTATGACCATAACTAATCCATAACTAATTCCTTTCATACAAATATGTTTTTCAAATGTCCATAAAAACTATTCTGTTTACATTCTCTTTTCTTATGCTTATTTTGTCCATATTTTTGAGATTTTGTCACTTTTTTTCCATAGCATTCCTCTCCCATCTCGACAAGTTATTAATAATTATCAGGAATTTGAATACATGAAAGATTAACCATTTCTACTGCTGTGACCAGACTAAACATTTCTTAAAAGAACCATAAATTTCCTCTCATTCTTTGTTATTCTTTTCGTCACATTAACTGGAGAGCTGGTTCTTTTGTCATACTTGAAAACCCACACTTTTTTCTCTTTACAGGAAAAGCTTTCATATGTGTTCTTGAATTTGCTTTCCTAATTGTTTCCTTCTTTCGTTTTGAGTCTTTTCTTTAGCTGTTATTTGGTTGACATGTTGAGAGTTCCACCTCTCCTCATCCCCTCTCCGAATTCTCTGCTTCTTTCAAGGCCTAGTTTGGTTTACTCTTCTGCTGAAAACCTTTGGCTGATTCAATCTGCACAGATTTTTGCCTTCTCTGATACTCTCTTGTGCTTCTTGGCAGAATCACAGTTTAGAATGTAACCTCTCTCTCTCTCTCCTTTTTTTCTCTTTGAATATATGCATTTCCCTTGTCTCCTCAGGACAATGATAACTTTGGGAGAACGGTATCTCAGTTTTACTTGTTTGAGTTAGCATTAGGCTTTGCAGTATAAAACGATAAAGCTAAATAAGTTGGATTAACAGAGTAGTGGCTTATTACTCACTAATGTAAAAGGAACCTGGAGCTTGCAGTTTTTGGGTGGTATGACAGCTCCCCTGTCTTCAAGGACTCAGATTCCTTGCTTTCTTTTGCTCTACCATCCTTAGTATGTGACTTCCACCCTCAACATTGCCTTATTATTCAAGATGACTATCACATTTCCAGCCATCAATTCAGCATTCCTGGAAGGAGGAAAAAGTAAGAGGAATGGACAAAAATGGCTATTCTAAAAGCCCCCAAGATGAGTGTGGTTCTTCCAGAGCACTTGGCACAGTGACAAGCATCATGTAGCACTATGTGCCAAGAATTGTGCTTAATGCTTTACAAATACCATCTTATATACTCTACCCATTCACTATGTGAGATGGATACTACTGCCCCCACTTTATGCATTGGTCATTTGAGGCTGGAAAGGCTACACGATCCAAAAGCAGGAATTGATTGAATTAGGATCCCAAACCAGTTTTCCCTAACTCTAAAGATGGTGGGAAAGAACACCCAGTAGCTTTTTCAACTAGGCCAGTTGTCTAGAAATAATGGCACAAAATTTTCTGAGCTGAAAAAACATTTGGGAAAACAATAATTAGAGGAAATATTCTGTAAAGGAGACTGTACTTAACTTAGAGATGGTAGACTGGGGCATGACTCCAAAATCTGTGATCCATTCTAGCTGTGTGAACTAGAATTTAACATCTTTGGGTCATATTTCTTATATTTGCACAGAATAGATAATGGACTGTTGGAAAGGCCTGCTATAGGCTCAGATAAAGCACTAGCTTGTGAACAATCCTGAGCGATGGCAGTACTGTCCTCTGGGGTGCCATATCTGTGCTGATATACATTCTGTGTCCCTATATTGTATTGAAATGCTTCCCTCCCCCTCATTCATTCCTATCCAACTGGAACCCGTAAATGTGACCTTATTTGAAAATAGGGTCTTTGCAGATATAATCAACTTAAGATGAGGTCATACTAGATTAGGGTAGGCCTTAAATCTAATGACTTGGTCTCCTTATAAGAAGAGGAAAATTTGAACACAGGCTTTCAGAGAGACGTAGGGAATAAAACCATGTGATGAAGGAAGCAGAGATTAGAGTGATACAGCTGTGACCCAAGGACCATTGAAGATCGACAGCAACCATCAGAAGCTAGGAAGAGGCAAGGAATGGTTCATCACTTGAGTCTTTTGAGATTTTAAACTTCTAGCCACCGAACTGTAAAACAAGATCTCTGTTATCTTAAGTCACCCAGTTTTGTTACCCCATCCCTAGGCAACTAATATATTCCCCCTGTAGATGCAACATGTGAGTCTCTGAACCAAAAGGTGGAAGTAGGATGAGTTCTCTCACCATCACTGTGGTGAGAACTCACTTGTGGAATTTACATCTCCTGTCCCAACAGCTTAAGGTTGTACCACATTAGAGATCTTGGTTCCTGGGGTGGGGATGATGTCCCACCAGGCGACATACTAGTTCCACTTTAAAGCTACAATTTTAAACTTAAAGCTACAGTTACAACCTGTTATTTTTGGAAACTTCATGCCAGAGTACCAATAGGCAAAGAAAACATGGATGATATTGGTGGGATGATTGATCTTGATTATCAGGAGGAGTTACAATTGATGAAACAAGTCAGAAAGGAGCATATCTGGAATGTAAGGAGTCACTATGGCATTCACTGGTTTTTCTCTGTCCACTGATAATGATGAACAAGTAACTATTAACAAGCAAAGCCTGACAAGGGCAAGACACTGAGGAATGCATATCCTTTACAGATGAAGGTCTGGTTTACCCTAGTAGGCAAGCAACCTAGATCAGCTGAAGTGCCATCTGATGGTGAGGAAAATATGGGATTGGTCATGCTGGTGGGAGATAATGAACGTCAATTTTTACTTTAAGACCTGTTCCACTAACTCTCTTGCATTAATTACATGCAGAGATTGTGGCCATTCACAACCCTAAATAGGACTAAAAGTTTGGACTTAATAAAGATCGAAGTAATAAAAGGAGTGGACTGTATTGGACACCTTTTGTGTGCTGTTCAAACCCTCTTAGTTCCATCTGTCATTTTAGCCTTTGCTGTGGCAGCATGTTCCATATAATCTTTGACTAGCTTTACACTGGTGAAGCCTGACAACCCTTCTAGTTGGGACTACACTGAATACCTCTTGATTCCTTTCTTAAGGTTTTGCTGATGCTACAATCTGGGACACTTGCTGAAGCTGACTTGACATATATGCCCCTGAGGCCAGTCTTGGCAAGGGGCAAGAGACAATGGGTGAATTTGTCTCCCAACCATACCCAAAGTGTACAGCTTTGTGACTCACTTCATAAAACCCTTCAGAAAGTCCCATGAGATTGAATCCCAGTTACCCATACCTATGGCCAAATTAATTTGTTGTATTGGCTTTTCCTCTCTCTCTCTCTCTTTTACTCCCTCTGTAACTTATTTTCTCTCCAAGGCATCACTTCCCAAATAAATTACCTCTGTGTCAGCCTTTTTCTCAGTTTTGGTATTTGGGGAAACACATGCTAAGTAAAACAAGATTTAATATTTATTCTGCCTGAGGCATAAATATCTCACAGTGTTTTGATGTTACATTGCTCAGAATACTTGCAGTTTAATGGTGAAAAAAAATCTATAATCAAAGGACTGCCTCCTCATATGCATTTTTAGATATTAGCGACCCCTGATACGGTACTTTTGCATTGAAAGATTTTTCTTACACTTTTTAACCAAGGCAGGACCTTGAACTAACTTATTTAGTCTTCATTCTGGGTTCTTGACCAGCTTTTATCATCTAAATAATAATAAATCCCAGTAACTTTTTTTTTTTGAAGAGGTCACAGCTTGAAATAAAAATGCCAAAACCATATTCATGTTAGACTGCTCTACTGCCTTTCACAGTAGGTTTTAGAAAAATGTGCTTATATTTAGCTATCTGACCTCTGACTTCATCCCAGCAGGGTTTCACCCATTTTCAGTTATATTAGGCCTTCATGGAAAAGAGCAACCTCATTCCTGGGGTGACCACAGTTGTATCACTAGTCGTATGTTTATTTTACACAGAACTTAAAACACTCCATTAATTTGGTTCATACTGCTTTGAGAGCTAACTTACTACACTTTATCTGACTTACTTCTATTTTTCAGCAAGGAGAAGTGCACCTTTTTAAATAATCCATGGAATTCAGTCTGAGTGGAGTAGTGTCCTACAGGAGGTAGCAGTTGCCTGGCAGACAAGTCCCAGCACCCGGCAGCTTGGACTTCTTTCCAAGTACATTTAAAGGCGTCTCTTGGAGACTCTTAAAAATATTTTGTGGGGGATGAAATACACCAGAATAGAAAGGTCCTGCGTTTGAGGAGGAGTTAAGAATCAGAACAATTTGCATTGTTCCTATGCATATGATTTTTTTTTTCAATATTTATTCATCTGTTAAGACCTGTGTGAACTCAGTTCACATTATTATTTTCATTTTTAAGTAAAAAAGTTGAGGCACAATCAGGGCAAATTATTTTCTTGAGGGCCAGTTGTGGGAAGGTGGTAAAACAGGAATAAAACTCAGAATCTCCAACACAAAATCCTGTGTTAGGCAACATTTGATCCTGAGCAATGTTCACTGGCTGGAGTTTCAAATCTCCCAGTGTCTTCTTTCCTACAGATTTTGGAGAGATTCAATTCTTTGTCAGTCATTGTTTTTTATATTTTTAGGGCTTGTTTTCTCTCTGTTTTTATTTCTGTTTTTCAAAGCTTCTCCCACAGTATGCACTCTGTCACAAGGTATACATTCCTACTTATGAAACAGGACAGACTCCATAGTTTAGCCACATGTGGCTGCTGGACATTTAAGTGGGGCCAATGGGAATTGAGATGAGCATTAAATGTAACATACCTTGGATTTCAAAGGCTAGCTATAAAATATTGCAATCATTTTTATGTTGATTACATGTGGAAATAATAACGTTTTGGATATATTGGGCTAAATTTATTATTTAAATTAATTTGAACTGTTTCACTTTACTTTTTAAAATGCGTCTATCATATTTAAGTCTTTGAGGAGTCACCACACTGTCTTCCACAATGGCTGAACTAATTTACACTCCCACCAACAGAAATACCATTCAACCCATCAATCCCATTACTGGGTATATACCCAAAGGAATAGAAATCATTCTGTCATAAAGACACACGCGTGCATATGTTAATTGCAGCACTATTCACAATAGCAAAGACATGTATAGCAAAGACATGTAATCAATCTAAATGCCCATCAATGATAGAATGGATAAAGAAAAGTGGTACATATACACTATGGAATACTACGCAGCTACAAAAAAGAATGAGATCATATCCTTTACAGGGACATGGATGGAGCTGGAGGCCATTATCCTTTGCATACTAACAAGGAACAGAAAACCAAATACCACATCTTCTTACTTATAAGTGGGAGCTAAATGATGCGAACACACAGACACATAGAAGGGAACAGTCCACACTGGGGCCTATCAGAGGGTGGAGGGTGGAAGAAGGGAGAGGATTAGGAAAAATAACTAATGGTTACTGGGCTTAATACCTGGTGATGAAATAATCTGTACAACGAATCCCCATGACACAAGCTTACCTATGTAACAAACCTGCACTTGTACCCATGAACTTAAAAGTAAAAGAAAAGAAAAGCCGGGCACGGTGGCTCATGCCTGTAATCCCAGCACTTTGGGAGATTGAAGCAGGCGGATCACGAGGCCAGGAGATCAAGACCATCCTGGCTAACACAGTGAAACCCCATCTCTACTGAAAACACAAAAAAGTTAGTCAGGCGTGGTGGCAGGCCCCTGTAGTCCCAGCTACTCGAGAGGCTGAGGCAGGAGAATGACGTGAACCCGGGAGGCGGAGCTTGCAGTGAGCCGAGATTGTGCCACTGCACTCCAGCCTGGGCGACAGAGCGAGACTCCGTCTCAAAAAAAAAAAAAAAAAAAAAAGTAAAAGAAAAAAATTGTTTAAAAAATGTGACTACCAGATAGTTAAAAATTACATATATATAACTCACACTTGTGACTCAAATTATTTTCTATTTGATAAATAAGCTCTATAGCTTGTCAGTGAGGAGAGAGATATATATAGGTTAAGGTTCTAAAAACTAAGGCCAGTTAGTAGAGCCCTTGAGAGTACTGAAGACTAAATCACTGAATCTCAGAATCAATGCAAACTTCGATCTGCATTGCACAGCATTTAAAACCTCCTTTATTCTGTAAACTTCCCGGAGGCAGAATCAAGGCTTGTCCCATTTACAAGTATATACAGTGGTACTTAGCTCTATGCCTGACATATGTAGGAATTCATGAATCTGAAATGGTGGTTGTTGAAAAAATTCAAGGACAGGGTCATGTGTGATGTCCATGGCTCTACTGGGCAGTCATTTCCATGTTTGATGAGGGGCAGAGTTACTGCTTCAGAAGGCAAGGGAAAGGGGGGTGCCATTTTGCTCTTGGTTAATTCTCTTGTTGTGATGTCTTAAGGCTCTGACTTAAACTATCCCTATTTTATTTTTAATTTCTCCTTGCATATCTCTCTTTCTGTAGCTAGAACTCCTGATCTAAGATATCCCAGAGTATTTTATGTTATTGTGTAGATTAAGACACCACTGTTACCAGCTCTTCAAAATGTGCTGACAACTGCTTTCATTATTCATTCATTCATTCCCTCACTCACATGTTTCATTTAAAATAAATATTTATTTAGTACCTACTTTCCATACAGCACAGTATTAATTATTGTGAGCAGATTAAGAAGAAAATATCAGAAGTTGATAGTATAAACTCTCTTAAGTAGGGCAGTGTCACTTGTGTGTATGTTTTCTCAGTATGACGTTCATAACCCTTTTGCCATTTTGTAAACATATTCTGTATTTACTTTTCTTGTCTTTATCTGTTATGCTCTTCTCGTCACCCAAAAGGCCCACCATATTATGTTTATTTTGAATACTCAATTCAAATTCTTTTGTTTGAAGCCTTTTTTCTTCCTTACTTCCTCCTTCTCATCCCAACAAGTTGTGATTTCTCTTCATGGGTGGGAGTTATAATAAAGGGCCCCTAAGTTGCAGGATTATGGCTACAATTTTAGGTAAAATTAATTGAGATGTTGGAGTAATCCAGTCAATGCATGGTCTCAACTGGCTGCTCAATAGAAACTGATTTCTCTCATTTAATTTTGATTTATTTTGTTTTTGCCTTACTTTAGATATTCATTGAACCTCCCTTGAGTGTCCTCTGCTGTGTCTATCCTGCTAATGAGCACACTGAAATGATTTTAAACAAATTTTGGCTGGGCTCCATAGCTTACTCCTGTAATCCCAGCACTTTTGGAGGCCAAGGCAAGTGGATCACCTGAGGTCAGGAGTTTGAGCCAGGCCAACATGGAGAAACCCCGTCTCTACTAAAAATACAAAAATTAGCCAGGCATGGTGGCACATGCCTGTAATCCTAGTTACTTGGGAGGCTGAGGTGGGAGAATCACTTGAACCCAGAAGGCAGAGATTGCAGTGAGCCGAGATCACACCATTGTACTCCAGCCTGGGCAACAGAGCAAGACTCCGTCTCAAAAAAAAAAAATTTTTTTTTTGGATAAGATTTTGTGTATTTCTAGAATATTTTTGACTACTTTCATAATTGATATCTTTCTACTGAAATTCTTCATCTGTTCATGCAACTTTTTCCACTAGATTCTTTAAAACATTTAGCATAGCTATATTAAAATTTGTGTCTGATACTTCTAACATCTGTCAATTTCTGGGTCTAGTTCTATTGACCAGTCTTATGGTCTGGTTCTATCCTTAACAATTTGCCACACTTTCTTGTTTCTTTACATGTCTAGCAATTTATGATTAAATGCTAGACATTATGAGTGAAAGAACCACAGAAATCTTTACATGTCTAGCAATTTATGATTAAATGCTAGACATTATGAGTGAAAGAACCACAGAAACTAAGGTAAATAACATTTTACCTTAGAAAGGGCATGCACCTTTGTCAGGCTTGTAGGGGTCGGGTGGGAGTTAGTCCCTCTAGTATGTGGTTGACCTGAGTATGCACTTTGTGGTGGCTTTAGTTAGATTCATTTCACCACAAACATCAAATAATTTGAGGGCTGGAACAGAATCTTTCCTTTAGCAGAGAATGTGATCTGAGTTCCTTCAAGTCTTGTCTCCATTGTCCTGCTCTGCCTTAATACACTTGTGACTCTAGGGTAGGGATGAGGGAGCTCTTTCAGCAATTCTGTCTCTCCTCCAGCTACAAGTGGCTGCTACTTCACATTCAGTGTAAGGCCCAGAGATTTTAGAGGAATTGCTTTGCTCTCAGGCCTGAGTAGGCTCTGTATGCTCTTCTCTCCCTTTCCCAGCTCTTCTACAGTAGCTGCTGCCCATATTCCATGTGAGGTCAGGAGTCCCTGGAGACTTTCACTTGATTCTCCTGCCCTGTCCTAAGACTTCAGAAGGCTCCCTTTGGAGCTTTTTTTTTTTTTTTTTTTGAGATGGAATCTCGCTCTGTCACCCAGGCTGGAGTGCAGTGGCGTGATCTTGGCTCACTGCAAGCTCCACCTCCCGGGTTCACGCCATTCTCCTGCCTCAGCCTCTCAAGTAGCTGGGACTACAGGCACCTGCCACCATGCCTGGCTAATATATATATATTTGTATTTTTAGTAGAGACGGGCTTTCACCATGTTAGCCAGGGTGGTCTCGATCTCCTGACCTCGTGATCCGCCCGCCTCGGCCTCCCAAAGTGCTGGGATTACAGGTGTGAGCCACTGCACCTGCCCCCCCTTTGGATTTTTAACATTTTGAACTATTCATTCTGTCTTTACCTTTCTGATATCCTTCAGCACAACTTAACCTCTCCCCATAGTAACCCCTTACATCATTTATTTTAAAATTGACAAACCATTTCATGTTCTCTCCAAATAGGGCAAGGAGAGTACAGGAAAACTATTTCAAATGTCCTGGGCATTGTGCTGAGCACCTCACACACAAGCAGACACACACACACACACACACACACCCCTTATTTTATTTTTATAATGACAGTATTATAATAACTGGTAATATTACCAGTATTGTACTGATAATAATAACAGTATTATTTTCATCATTGTGCAGATAAAAAAATCTAGGACTCAAAAAGGTGAGTTCATATATTTATTCAAACATAATTTTGAAGGCTTAATACTACGTATTTTTAATGCTAAGATGCCCATTTAAACATTTTTTAAAATTGCAACAAATTTCACTATAGATTTAATGTAGTAGTAGCTCTCCCCTACCAGAATGCTATTATTGAATAATATCTAAATGTTGGGTTGGGAGAATAGGATATGTGGTGAAAATGCCTCATGCAGACTTCTTGTCTTTATGGAGATGACAGACCAGCAATCACACAGATTATGGATAG
Organism: Homo sapiens; assembly: GCF_000001405.40. Lineage (NCBI taxonomy): Eukaryota > Metazoa > Chordata > Mammalia > Primates > Hominidae > Homo > Homo sapiens. The sequence continues at coordinate 164,364,706 of NC_000001.11, read as the reverse complement.
TGGAAAAGGGATTCAAATATATATGTCTACTTCCAAAATTCCATCTTGACACTAAGCTATGATGCCCCCTTGGTTGCAGTACCTTAGTTGCCTGCATTGATTACATATCAATAGCTTCTGACTTCATGTTGAGTGCTAAGGTACTGAGTAAACTTTTATTAATTTATTGACTTAAATTTTTTGTCTCAATCTCATCTAGCTTCAATTACTTCAATTATTGACGATTTCTGCTCTTTTTTCTTGCTTCACTATGTTCCTAACTTAGCTTTTCCATCCTTGGGAAACATTCCTCACCCTAGGTACTATTTATTGTCTGTTTTTGGTGCAGCTATGCTCAGATCCTCTCCTCTCTTTCTGGTAGGAGACTGTGACTCTGTGAGCAGGTACTGTCCATTAAACACTTTTTTAGTCTTTTTTTTTGGCTCATTGACTATTTTGTCCTGGTGGAGCCACTCAGCCCTAATCAGGCTTCTCTTTTGGTATGTGGTTTATACTGGAAAATTTGGCTTGAGCTCTGGCTTCCTGGAAGTTTGCCTAGTTGGCTTTTGGAGGTAGCGCCAACCTCATTACATGTGATCTGTGCACATGCCTATGATCTGCCTCTTTTGTGTATTACCTCTTTTGTGTATCTACAATTCTCCTACCATAACAGGTTAGGAGTAATAAATATGGTCACAACAACTGTAAAGTAAATACTCCTAGGTGTTGTCTTTTGGGAGTGGTGACTTTAATGCATGGTGAATTCTTGGCAGTTTTTTTTTTCTTTTTAGAATCTTCCAAAAGAGAGGGTACAAGATTGTTATTTCACATGTGCTAGAAACACCATACCTTCAGCCATCGTGTGCCTATGATTGTTCTTTTCCATTGCTTTGACTTTTTGCTGTTTTTCACCTCCTTTTGTATCTGTAATACCTAACAAGGGTACTTTACAGCTCGGATGACTGCCACTGATGTCAAAGTTGTACTGTATCAATGACATATTGAGTTCTAATGTGGCCAAACACCGTGTTTAAGTTTAAAAGTACTTCTGACATGAATAAAGAGACGGTGTCCTTTAAACATGCCCACTGATGAAAGGGAAAATTCTACCTACCTTTGTGCTTTAAAACAAATTACATGACAAGGGTGCTAAAGCAGTGCTGTCTTGTGATGCTGCATAATTTGGTACAGTTCTCATGAAGAATGTTGCAATTTCAGCTGTCTTTTTCTGTGACTCGCATGATTCCATAGGCCCAGGCTGAAGGACAAACTAGCTGACAGGTATCATGTTGGTCAGAAAATCATGTCCTCTTAGGTATACCTGGATATCATAATTGTCCCAAATTTATGTACCTTACTCCCTCCTTTGGGGAAGGTTTTTCCCAGTTGATTTTTTGGGAGCTCATGCACTGCATACAAATTCTAGAAATACTCAATCCTATAAAGAGGCCACGATATGCACGAATTCCAGAGTGAACATAGTTTAGACACAAAGTGAAACTCTGTCAACCTCCCTCCTCCACCTTTGTAACTCTTTTAGTTGGTGACAAGCTAATCAAGCCTTTTGTCTTCAGGTTTTGCCTTTTATCCAATGGGATAAGAAGAGCATAATATCTTTTTTAATGGAAGAAATGAGAAAATCTGCAAAGTAGACCAATAAATTCTTTGCTGTAACTTCTTTGTGTCACTCCAAGTTACCTTGTGGGACTCTTATAACACTGGCTTTGTGTTAGGTGGTTACCATTCACATGTAGTGATCTGTACGTATTTGGAATTCATTAGTATCACATTTGGTGTGTTTGTAGTTTGTAGTTGGTCTTTATTTGTGCTATTTTCAGAAGCAGAACATCACTATATCCCCAGCATCTTGTAATGAGTTGCTTGCAAAAAGAAGTGCCTTTTTTTGTTGTGTATCTTCAAAAAAATCAATTGAGGTGAGTAGAATATAGATTAAAAGGATAAAGTCAGAGTTAATGTATTATGAGGCTAATATTTTCAACATTAAATGTAAAAAAGTAACGTATGGTTTGAGAGGCTAAGTAGTGTGAAAAAATTGAGAGATAAGTTTAATGCTCATTGAATCAGAAATAATTGAAAAATGTGTTAACCATATATATGAAAACAATACATGAAATAAATATATAAAAATGAGAGAGAAATAATGGCATGATTTACAAAATAACATTGCTACACACACTGTGGAATACAATGTACTCATTAAACTTTACTAGAGAATAGTCGTAATGAAATCCGACATTTTTATTCATAGGCAATAGATTCAATAAGCACCATTTTGTTAAAAAAATACACTAATGGTCCTATTAAAAATAATGACTTTATGCTTAAGTGCCCATTGATTACTTAAAAACTCACATATAAGCTAGAAGAATAATTAATAGAAGAATCATTTCAAAGTTCAATTTCCCAATTACAAAGTTTGTTTCTATATTTACCATAAGAGACAATATTGTCACAAGACACACAGCTGTAATGTTCAATGTTTTTACCACTTCTGCTCTTCAGATCTTCCTGAGGTCGCTGCCTCTCACTGCTTCTGCAGGAGTGTGTTGGGCCCCACATGCTAAGACAGAGCTGTGCCCTGTGACGCCACTGACAGCCAGATTCTGCAGGACATGTCCTCATGTGCCCTTGGGAACATTTGCTTCTCAAATGGAATTAATGTTGCAGAGAGCTGTGTTTAACTCTTCCCAAATATGATCTGCCTTGACAGTCTAAAATTATTGTTGGGGGGATCCTGGATCATGCCCAATTGACTCATTCATAGCTATCAAGAGTTTCAGAGAAGGTATAAAAATGGAGGCAAACAGTTTAGCCCTACTAAGCAGTCTGCTTATAGTCAGTTTTTACTAAAAGGCCAAATAGCCTGTATCTGTTGTGACCCTTTATCTTGGGTGACAAGAAATGCCTAACACCCCAAAGATTACATTTTGCTACTATCTGCTATGCTGCTAATTTGAGGTAGAGTGAGAATCAAAATGCTTTGGATAATAAAATATCATTGTGTTGGGTTTGCTACTTTACATTCTGCACTTCCAAGAAATATCTGTCTTTGTTTTGCCATTCTAAAAGTAAACAGGGAGATTCTCCCTTTGCAATCTTCTAAATGGAGATTGTATGCCTACATAATAGCTGTGCACGTGCTTCTATTAAAGGATGTTGGCCATGCCTGTGGCACACTGTAAGCACCATGCTCACTAAGAATCTGTGAACCAGGAAATTTCATTTACCCTTAGATATCCAAAACACACATCATGAATGAGATTAGTCATCCATGGTTATAAACCTAAAATTGTCAGAAAATATGTGATAGTAACATTTGGGGTGCCCCAGATTCCAATCAAGTCTCCCAGGAATCATTTAAGGGAGGCAGGGCTGCATGTAATTATAGTTGGTAAGGGAAGGCCTAATCCATTTTATTGCAGTCAATCTGGAAAAACAAAAGACAGCAACCAAACTTAAAGCATAAACACAGAATCCCAGAGCCAGAAATTGGCAACATTTGCCTGGGATTGTGTAAAGGGAGAAAAACACACCATGAAAGACATCAACTTTCTCTTCACTGTAAAGGAGTTCTCTGTTGTGGCATAGGAATGTTTCATTAGGCCTATGGCTAGCTCTAGACATTACATTTAGCAACTCTTTTTTCTGAAACAAAGCAAAGGGAACTATATAAATATTATTTCTACCTGTGAAAACCATTTTTTTAAAAAGGTTGATTTGATACAGACTTTCCCATTACAGTAATAAAAAACAATGATAAAATAAGCCGTTTTATAAATAGATACACCTGAAATTATATTGCCACTAATTCTTTTGTTTGGAATATTGTAAAAATTCTTGGGGTTTATACTTCTGTACACACAAATTACATATTTCATAGAGAATATGTAAAAATATTGTATCTTTTTATAATAATTATCTTTTATTCAACAAGGCTTTATGAATACTTACATGTACCTCTCTGTAAAGCACTAGAGACAAAGTACTGATCTTAAGAAGCTTAATAGAAATATGTGTTCCAATGGTTATAGAAAAGGTACCATAAAAGGGATGTGCTACAAGTATGAAGCCTGACACACACACATACACACACACAACCCACCCAGGGTATGAATCTCATGAGACATCAGCAGACAGTGATCATTTCGGCAGGTGGCTGCTAGCCAAACAATGTAAACTCTAACAGGAATTCAAGAGGAAAAGGTTCTTTCCTCATTCAATTATTCATCCATTTCCTCATTTATTCATATATTCAACAGGTGTTTTTGATGGCCTACAGTATGTGAGATACTGTGCTGATTTCACTGTTTCTACCAGGTGGTGGACATGAAATTAGGCACACTATCAAGAGGAAGAGAACAATTTTTTAAAGGGTTATTGTCCTCAAACTTCTTTTTGGTCAGTCTAAATTTCTCTCTCATCTTGGTTTTCCTCCCATGAAGATGTTCAGTGAGATGTCTTGAAAGTATCTCATGCCCCAATCAAAAGCTGAGGTGAAGCCTTGTTAACTATCGCTAGCTTGGCCTAAGCCCTTAGGGAGGGCTGTTTGTTGTTTGTTTGTTGTTGTTGTTATTCTAGCTCATTTTCTGCTTCCATTATTTCAGTGTTAATATAAATAAGGTAAGCAGTGTAAAGGGCTGGACTAAGAGCAGTCATTTGCTCAGGCTCTAGAATAAGCCTTCAGCTAAAGGAACAAAGAATAGCAGAGCATAGTGAAGACTGGGAGAGGCTACCCCCGCAAATGTCATTTAAGTTCAAACTTGTCCAAAGGAAGAACAGAAGAAACTTGGGTAAACAGTGGAGAAGAGGAAAGGGTATACTGAACAAAAGGTAGTTTGAGAAGGCAAAATATGGCACAACTAAAAAACTGAAGGAAGTTTACTATGTAGGGTGCAGGAGCAGGTGGAAGATTTTAAGGAGGGAAGCGTCATTATCTAATTTTATTTTGCAAAGATAAGATTGGACACAAATAACTGAAAAAAGGTAAAACAATTTTCTAGGGAGAAATGACAGCTACCTAGCTTAGAGTTGTTGCAGTAGAGATGAAAAGATATGGACGTATTGAAGAGCTACCTCAGAAAATCTGCAGAAGTTTATATAGTGAATTGTTTTATTTAATTTCTCATAAGGCAGAACCAGAATAGGTGTTGGACAAGGCAGGATAATCATTTGTCTACATGTTGTAAGTTAGACATTCCTAAAGAAATTCTAGGCCGGGCGCGGTGGCTCACGCCTGTAATCCCAGCACTTTGGGAGGCCGAGGCGGGTGGATCATGAGGTCAGGAGATCGAGACCATTCTGGCTAACAAGGTGAAACCCCGTCTCTACTAAAAATACAAAAAATTAGCCGGGCGCGGTGGCGGGCGCCTGTAGTCCCAGCTACTCGGGAGGCTGAGGCAGGAGAATGGCGTGAACCCGGGAGGCGGAGCTTGCAGTGAGCCGAGATTGCGCCACTGCAGTCCACAGTCCGGCCTGGGCGACAGAGCGAGACTCCGTCTCAAAAAAAAAAAAAAAAAAAAAAAAAAAAAAGAAATTCTATCCCCGAGTATGATACTTATAATCTGCAAACCAACGCCTGAAATACTATCATTAATGATTTATTCCTTTTGATAATTGCTACACATTATCTGTTGTCAATTAGACATTATCAGCATGCTCTTCTAAGCTTTACGTGCATTGCAGAAACAACTAGAAGTTACAGGTCCCAGAATCCCTTCCCTTTGTAGTTCTAGGTTAGATTTTTTTTTCCAATAAGAATAACTCACATGTCATTTAGAAGGTGAAAAAGGAGAAGCCGTTATTCTCAGGACACAATTGTGCCAGATGCAAGGGCAAAGGTGAGATTCAAAGTGGCTTTCCAGTGAGCTCTTAAGAATCATTCTCATCACTGCTGCAGGCTGACAGTGCAAACTTCTTAGCAGTTTCCTGGCAAGTTTTAAGAGTCACCCACATTGATGCTTGAGTCTAATATCATTAGTGCTGGCTCCCTGACCTTTGCTCCTGCAGCTTTTCCAAAGATCACACAAACTCATAATTCTGCTACTAAACTTTTTATATCCCAGGTACTTTAAATGGCTTCTGTTTTTCTGATGGAAGTCTGATTGAAACAGATTTCTGTACTAGAAGCATCCCCAAGGGAACAGAACATTTAAAGTGGGAATCTCCAATTAGTTATTTGATCTGATTAGCTTTCGATCATGATTGACCATGTCATGCAATGACGAAATAGTTGCTTAAATTATCTCCTTCCCCTACCTGAAGTCAAGTGTCTACAGAAGGTGAGGCTTGAAATCACCAAGTTCTTGTACTAATAGAACTTTATGGTGCATAAAGAGTGGTGTGGATGTGATGACTGGTTCTTCCTGAACTACAGAATTTAGAGAAAGAAAATCACAAGCTTAAAACCTTATTTATTTATTTATTTATTTATTTCAGCTTTACTGAGGTATAGTTGACACATAATTGCATATATTTATTTATTTTTTTAAATGTAATACTGTTTATTTAACTTCAAAAACATTTCAGCATTCTAAACATACAAAAAAAATAACAGAACATTGCAAATCATTTTTAAGTACAGGAGGTTCTTGAACTTTCATTGATGCAGTGGCTCTTTGCTTTGCTGACAATGAAGAGTTCTACAGTTTGTTTAAAAACAGTCTAAAAACTACCACACTTAAAAAAAAAATATTCTCATGCCAGCTGACCCACCTTTGTCCACAGCTAAGATGGCAGCAGAATGCTATGTCACTATATACAGAAACAAGACAACCTGAAGCTAAATGTATGCCCCCTGCAGGGTCAACAGGTCCAGCCTCACATTGCACGCCCTGAGCTACAGTCTCTCCAAAAGGCATCTTCCCCACAGCCTCAACGCCGAGCAAGGAGCATCAAGAGTTTGTCTTGGTTGTTTTGTTCTTTTTACAAACTATAGATATATATACAGTTGAAAACTCAGAATTTCTAGCCAATAACCATAGTTAACACCACCTTACAAATAATAAAAAAAAGAAAATGCAGGAAACATCTTTAAATGCCTTGTCACACCAACGGCAAAGTGCACAGAGTGAGGAGAACACGAAGAGTGCCTTTTCATTTAAAAAATGTTTGGAAATATGTGCAACTTTGATACAGTTTCAGGGTGCTCCAGACACCCGTGGCCACTTCATGTAAACCACTGACAATTTCTAGAGCACTTTGAGAGACTACAATGTGACCGTGATCAAATTTTGTAATTAAACCTAATGAGGGCAACAGACACTTCTCAAATAAGAGATGTGTCAATTACGGCGCTCCCCTGCTCTAAGTATTCACAAGGAGACGATAAACAGTTTCTTTATTCCTCCTTCTCCTCATCCTCCTCCTCCTCCTCTTCTTCCTCCTTCTCTTCCTCTTCCTCTTCCACCTTTTTCCGGGCAACTTTAGCAGGACCTTTGCACCATCAAACTTTCCTTTCGACTTATAGTCAGCAACATCCTTCTCATACTTCTCCTTCAGCTTTGCAGCCTTAGTGATGTAAGGCTGCTTTTCACTGTCATTTAAATTATTCCACATCTCACTCAGGTTTTTTGCCACGTCTCCAATAGAGATGCCGGGGTTTGTGGATTTGATTTTGGGGTGGAATTCTGAACAGAACAGGAAGAATCCAGACGGTGGCCTTTTGGGAGCATTGGGATCCTTCTTCTTCTTGCCTCCCTTAGCTGGTCCATAATCCTTCATTTCCCGATCATAGCGCACTTTATCTGCCTTTGCCATTTCATCAAATTTAGATTTCTGTTTCCCGGACATGTCTTCCACCTCTCAGAGCACTTCTTGGAAAATTCCACAAAATTGACAGGGACCTCTGGGTTTTTCTTCTTATGTTCTTCTCTACTTGTCTGCACAAAGAAGGCATAAGCAGACATCTTGCCCTTTGGTTTCTTGGGGTCACCTTTAGCCATCCTGACTGTATTGTTCGCTAGTCTGGGCAGCAGCAGGGCACGACGCACGGCTCAGCGCTCCCCAGCCTCGCGCTAGCTGCCTCCACGAGAGCCGCCTCAATTGATATAAATAAATGGTTAAGATGGTAAAATTTTATAAGTATATTTTACCTCGATAAAAATGTTTCAGCAAATGTATTGAAGACGTACAACATGATGTTTTGACATACATATACATTGTGAAATGATTGCCACAATCAGACTAATTAACATATCTCTCTCCTCCCATAGTTACTTTTTTATTTTTGTGATGAGAATACTGCTTCCTTTCTCAATTGGATGGCTTTTCTTTTCTTACCTATTTAAGATTTACTGTCCTAGGAAATTTTAATTTTATAATACAGTATTATTAACTATAATCTCTATGCTGTACATTAGATTTCTAGAACTTAGTCATTCTGCATACCTGAAACTTTGTTCCTTTTGATCAATATCTCCCCATTTTCCCTACTCCAAGTCCCTGGCAACCACCATATTATTCTTTGCTTCTGTGATTTGACATTTTTAGATTCCATACAGAAGTATGATCACGTAGTATTTGTCTTTGTGCCTGGATTATTTTGTTTAGCATAATATCCTCCAGGTTCATCCATGTTATCACAACTGACAGATTTTCTTCTTTGTTAAAGCTGAATAGTTTTCTGCTACATATTTATGTGTGTGTATATGTGTGTGTGTGCGTGTGTGTATGTGTGTGTATTTGCCACATTTTCTTTATTCATTCATCCATCGATAAACATTCAAGTTGATTCTATATTTTGGGTATTGTGAATAATGCTACAATGAACAAGATTGTGTGGCTATTTCTTGAAGGTACTGATTTTATTTCCTTTGAATATATACCCAGAAGTAGGATTGGTGGATCATAGTGTAGTTTTATTTTTAGTTTTTTGAAGAACCTCTGAACTGTTTTTCAAAATGGTTGCACCAATTTATTATACATTCCCACCAACAGTGTATAAGAGTTTCCCTTTCTCCACATCCTGGCCAACACCTACTTCTTGTTTTTTTGATAATAGCCATTCTAACAGATGTGAGGTTGCACTTTTGATTTGCATTTCCCTGTTGAGTAGTGATATGAAACATTTTTTCATATACCCATAAATGACCATTTATATGTCTTCTTTTGAGAAATGTCTATCAGGTCCTTTGCTCATTCTTTAATTAGGTTATTTGTCTTTTTGCTATTGAGTTGAGTTCCTAATATATTTTGGATATTAACTCTTTATCAAATTTATGGTTTGAAAATATCATTTCCCCCTTCCATAGGTTGTCTCTTTAATCTGTTTTTTTTCTTTCCTGTGAAGAAGCTTCTAAATTTGATGCAATCATATTTGTATAATTTTGCTTTTGTCTCCTGTGCTTTTAGGGTTATATATTTTTAAAAAATCATTTCCCAGGTCAATATCAAGAAACTTTTCTTCTATGTTTTTTTCAGGGAATATTATAGTTTTATGTCTTACATTGAAACCGTTAATGTATTTTGAGTTAATTTTTGTACATGGTATAAGTGTTTACTTTCATTCTTCTGTATGTGTATATCTAGTTTTCACAACAACATTTATTTAGGAGACCGTCCTTTCTGTATTGTGTAATCTTGGCACCTTTTTATGAAGGTCAATTGTCTGTAAATATGTGGATTTACTTCTGGGCTCTCTATTCTGTTCCATTGGTGTATATGTCTATTTTTATGTCAGTCGCATAGTGTTCTGATTACTATAGCTTTGTACTATATTTTGAAATTAGTGTAATGCCTCCAGCTGTGTTCTTTTTACTCAAGATTGCTTTGGCTATAACAGTTTTTTTTTGTGGTTTCATATGAATTTTAAGATTATTATTTTTTCTATTTCTGTAAAAAATGCCATTTTAAACTTTAATAGGGGTTGTATTAAATCACTTTGTATATTATGAATATTTTAATACTATTAATGGTTCCTGTCTATAAATATGGACTTTTTTCATTTATTTGTGTCTTCATTATTTTCTTTCATCAGTGTCTTACAGTTTTCACCTTCTTGATGAAATTTATACCTAAATATTTTACTCTTTTTGATGCTATTGTAAATGGATTATTTTCTTAATTTCTTTTCTGGGACAGTTCATTGTGAGTATATAGAAATGCTACTGGTTTTTGCACGTTGATTTTGTATCCTGCACCTTTACTGAATTTGTTTATAAGTTATAACTTTTTTTAGTGGGGTGTTTAGGGTTTTCTATTTATAAAATCTGGTCATCTGTGCACAGAGATAATTTTACTTCTTTTCCAATTGGATGCCTCCCCTCTCCTCCCCTCCCCTCCCCTGCTCTCCCCTCCCTTCTCTTCCCCTCTCCTCCCCTCCCTTCCCCTCCCCTTCCGTCCCCTCTCCTCTCCTCTCCTGACTGTTCTAGCTAGGACTTCCAGTACTATATTGAATAAAAGTGGTCAGAATACATATCCTTGTCTTGTTTCTGATCTTAGAGAGAAAAAATTTAGCTTTTCACCATTGAGTATGATTGTTGGCTGTGGGCTTGTCACACGTAGTTTATGGGCTTGTTACATATAGTTTTTATTATGTCAAAGTGCTTTCCTGGTATACTTAATTTGTTGAGAGTTCTTATCATGGAAGGATGTTGAATTTTATCAAATGCTTTCTCTGCATCTGTTGAAATGATCATATCATTTTTATTCTTCCTTCTGTTAGCGTGGTGTATCACATTTATATTTGTGTATGTTGAACTATCCTTACATCTCAGGAATAAATCCCACTCAGTCATGGTGTATGAACACTTAAATGTGCTGATAATTTCAGTTTGGTAGTATTTTGTTGACCATTTTTGTATCTATTTTCATCAAAGTTATTGGCCTGTAATTTTCTTTTATTATAATGTCCTTTGGTATCAGGGTAATGCTGGGCTTGTAAAATGAGTATGGAAGAATTCCTTTGCTTTAATTTTTTGGAAGAGTTTGAGAAAGATTGGCATTAATTGTTCTTTAAATGCTTGGTAGAATTCATTAATGACAGGCTCAGTTACTGAATTTTTTTGGGGGGGAGGTTTTAAACTACTGATTCAATATTCTCACTCATTATTGATTAGTTTAGATTATATATTTCCTCATGATTCAGCCTTGGTAGGTTTTATGTTTCAAGGAATCTATCCATTTCTCTCGGTTATCCAATTTGGTGGTATATAATTGTTCATAGTAGTCTCTTGTATCCTTCGTATTTATGTGGCATCAGTTGCAATGTCTTCTCTTTCATTTATAATTTTATTTATTTGAGTCTTACCTCTTTTTTCTTAATCTTGCTAAACATTTGTCATTTTTGTTTACTTTTTCAAGAAAACAATTCTTAATTTCATTTCCATTGTTTTTCTATTTTCTTATTTATTTCTGTTTGATCTTCATTATTTTCTTTTTTTTCCTAATAACTCTAGGCTTAGTTTGTTCTTTTTCATTCTGTGAAATGTAATTTTAGGTTTTCTTATTTGAGAACTTCTTTTTCCTTATTGCAGGCACTATTTCTGTAAACTTTCCTCTTTAAACTGCTTTTACTGCATCCACTAAAGTTTATGGTGTCTTTCCAATTTTATTTGTCCCAAAATATTTTTTGATTGCCTTCTTGATTTCCTCTTTGAATTTTCAAGGAATATTATAGTTTCATGTCTTACGTTGAAATCTTTATGAGTCATTTATGAGTGTGTTGTTTAATTTCCACATATTCAAAGATTTGTGAATGTTCCAATTTTTCTCCCATCGCTGAATTTTAGTTCACATTATTGTGGTCAGAAAACGTATTTGATATGATTTTCATTTTAAAAAATTAGTTCAGACTGGTTTTGTGGCCTAACAAAAGGTCTGGAAAAAATGCGTAGTCTACCATTGTTTAAAGGAATACTCCGTATATGTCTGTTAGGTCGATTTGGTCTATAGTTTTGTTCAAATCCTCTGTTTCCTTATTGATTTTTTTCTCTGGATGATTTATCTGATATTGATGGTGGGTACTAAAGTTCCCTACTATTATTATATTGCTATCTACTTTCCCTTTACATTCTGCTAATATTTGCTTATATTTAGGTGCTACAATATATTTATATTTAGGTGCTACAATATTGGGTGCATGCATATTTACAACTGTTATATCCTCTTGATAAAGTGACTCTTTTATCATTATATAATGACCTCCTTTGTATCAAGTGAATGTTTTTGATTTAAAGTCTATTTTATCTAAGTATATTCACACACTTGCTCTCTGTTAGTTACTATTTGAATGAGATGTCTTTTCCCATCCCTTCACTTTCAGCTTGTGTGTACTCTTAAAGCTAAAGTGTTTCTTGTAGGCAACATACATAGTTGAATACTGCTTTTTCATCTGTTCAATCAGTCTATGCCTTTTGATTGGAGAAATAATCCATTTACATTTAAAGTAATTATTGATGGTTAAGGACTTACTATTGCTGTCTTGTTAATTGTTTTCTGACAGCCATTCCTCTGTTTCTTTCTTCCTTTATTGGCATCTTTTTGTGATTTAACTTTTTATTTTTGTAATTGTATGCTTTGATTCCTTTTTCTTTCAGTGTGTTTTCTACAGGTTTTCTTTTTGTAGTTGCTGTGGGGTTTACATAAAATATTTTGTAGTTATTATAGTCTATTTTACGCTGATAACTTTAACTGCATTTGAAAACTCTACACTTTATTTTTCTTCTCCCAATGTTTCATGTCATTGATATCATAATTTATATCTTTTTATATTTTGTATCCATTAACAAATTATTGTAACTATACTTCTCCTTAACACTTTTGTTGTTTAACTTTTATACTAGTGTTAAAAATAATTACACATGTCCAATACAGAATTAGAACATTCTTAATATGATTATATTCTTAACTTTACAATGAGTTTTATTTTATTTATTTATGTCCAAATTTTATTTTAGGTTTAGTGGGTACATGTGCATTTTTGTTACATGAATAATTTACATTTCGTGGGGATTTTGTGCACAGATACTTTTCTTTGCAAACTTACCAGAATCTGTTGCTTTTTGACTTTTTAATAATAGCCATTCTGACTGGTATGAGAAACTATCTCATTGTGGTTTTGATTTGCATTTCTTTAATTATTACTGATGTTGAGCATTTTTTATATGTCTTGTTGGCTGTGCTTATGTCTTCTTTTGAGAAGTGTGTGTTTGTGTTCATGTCCTTTGCCCACTTTTTATTGGGGTTGTTTGTTGATTTGTTTAAGTTACTTATAGATTCTAGATATTAGACCCTTCTCAGATGCACAGTTTGCAAATATTTTCTCTCATTCTTTATGTTGTCTGTTTACTCTGTTAATAGTTTTTTTTTTTTTAATTTACTTGGCCCTGCTCAAGCAGGACTTCAAAACATTTCTTACTAACTCCCATCTGTTCCTCTTCATGGAAATCTTTAATAAAAGGCAAAAGATTTATTCATTCTGAAGAGAAACCATAATGATAGTTTCTTATGCCATGCAGAAGCACTTAAGTTTAATTAGGTCTCACCTGTCAATTTTTGTTTTTGTTGCAATGACTTTTGGTGTCCTTGTTATGAAATCTTTGCCAGTTCTTATGTCCAGAATGGTATTTCCTATGCTTTCTTCTAGGGATTTTATAGTTTAAGTTTTATATTTTATTCTTTAATCCATCTTGAGTTGATTTTTTATACATAGTGAAATAAAGGGGTCCAGTTTTAATCTTCTGCATATGTTATTCCAGGATCATGTATTGAATAGGGAATCCTTTCCCCATTGCTTGTTTTTGTGGAATCAGATGGTTGTAGTTGTGCAATTTTATTTCAGGGCTCTCTGACCTATTCCATTGGTCTATGTGTCTGTTTTTGTACCAGTACCATGATGTTTTGGTTACTACAGCCTTGTAGTATAGTTTGAAGTTGGGTAGTGTGATGCCTCTGGCTTTTCTCTCCCCTAAGGTTTGTTTTGAGTATTTGATCTCTTTTTAGGTTCTGTATATATTTTAGAGTAGTTTTTTCCTAATGCTGTGAAAAATAACATTGGTTAGTGTTATAGGAATAGCATTGGATCTATAAGTTGCTTTGGACATTATGACCATATTAACAATATTGATTCTTCTATCCATGAGCATGGAATGTTTTTCCATTTGTTTGTGTTATCTCTGATTTCTTTCATCAGTGTTTTGCAATTCTTGTTGTAAAAATCTTTCATCTCCCTGGTTAGCTGTATTTCTAGGTATTTTTTTTCCTTTTGTGGCTAATATGAATAGGATTGTGTTCTTTATTTTGCTCTAAGCTTGAACATTATTGGTGTATAGAAATGCTACTGATTTTTGTACTGATTTTATATCCTGCAAGTTTGTTGAAGTTGTTTATCAGATCTATTAGCTTTTGGACAGACAACACGGGGTTTCCTAAGTATAGAATCATACATCTGTGAAGAGAGATAATTTGAATTCCTCTCTTCCTATTTTGATGTTTTTTATTTCTTTCTCTTGCCTGATTGTTCTGGCTAGAACTTCCAGTACTATGTTGAATGGGAGTGGTGAGAGTAGGTATCCTTGTCTTGTTCTGGTTTTCAAGGGGACTGCTCCCACCTTTTGCCTGCTCAGTATGACATTGGTTGTGGGTTTTCATAGATGATTCCTATTATTTTGAAGTATATTCCTTTGTAGCCTAATTTTTGAGGGTTTTTAACATGAAGGGATGTTGAATTTTATTGAAAGCCTTTCTGGGTCTATTGAGATAATCATGTGGTTTTTGTCTTTAGTTCTATTTATGTGATGAATCACATGTATTGATTTGCATATGTTGAACCAACCTTGCATTCCAGGGCTAAAGCTTACTTGATCATGGTGTGTTTTTGATATGTTGCTGGATTTGATTTGCTAGTATTTTGTTGAGGATTTTAGCATGTATGTTCATTAAGGATATTGACTTAAAGTTTTCTATTTTGTTGTGTCTTTGCCAGGTTTTGGTATCAGAATGATGCTGGCCTCATAGAATGAGTTAGGCAGGAGTCCCTCTGCCTCAATTTTTTGGAATAGTTTCAGTAGGATTGGTATCAGCTCTTTTTTGTACATCTGCTAGAATTCAGTTATGCATCTGTCTGGTCCTGAACTTTTTTTGGTTGGTAAGCTTTTTATTTCTATTTAATGTCAGAATTCATTATTAATCTGTTCAGGGTTCCCATCTTTTTTCCTGGTTCAATCTTACGAGGTTGTATGTTTCAAGGAATTTATCAATTTCTTCTAGATTTTCTAGTTTGTGTGCTCAGAGGTGCTTACAATAGTTTATGAAGATTTAAAAAATTTCTGTGGGATTGGTGATAGTGTCCTTTTTGTCATTCCTGACTGCATTTTTTTGAATCTTCTCTTTTCCTTTATTAGTCTAGATAGAGGTCTATCAATCTTATTTATTCTTTCAAAAAACAAATTTTGCTTTTATTGATCTTTTGTATGTTTTTTTTTGTGGTCTCAGTTTCATTCAGTTCAGCTCTGGTGTTGGTTATTCCTTTTCTTCTGTTAGTTTTGAGGTTGGTTTCTTCTTTTTCTAATTCCTCTAGGAGTGATGTTAGGTTGTTAATTTGAGATCTTTGTAGCTTTTGATATGGATGTTTAGCACATAAACTTTTATCTGAATGCTACTTTAGTTGTATCCTAGAGATTCTGGTATGTTGTACCTTTCTTTTCATTAGTTTCAAGAAATTTCTTGATTTCTGCCTTAATTTCATTGTTTACCCAAAAGTCATTCAGGAGCAGGTTGTTAAATTTCCATGTAATTGTATGGTTTTGAGAGATTTTCTTATATTAACTTCTATTTTTATTGTGCTGTGGTCCAAGGGTGTGATTGGCATGATTTTGATTTTTAAAAAATTTGTTGAGAATTGCTTTATGGCTGAGCATATGGTCAATTTTAGAGTATGTGCCATGTGCAGATGAGAAGAATGTATATTCTGCTGTTGTTGGGTAGTGTGTTCTGTAGATGTCTGTTAGGTTGATTTGGTCAAATGTTGAGTTTAGGTACCAAATGTCATTGTTAGTTTTCTGTCTCAATTATCTGTCTAATACTGTCAGTGGGGTGTTGAAGTCTCCCATCATTATCGTGTGGTTATCTAAGTCTCTTTCTAGGTCTCTAATAACTTGTTTTATGAATCTGGGTGCTCTGGTGTTGGGTGCTTATATATTAGGATAGTTAAGTCTTCTTTTCGAATTGAACCCTTTCCCATTATGAAATGCCCTTCTTTGACCTGTTTGATCATTATTGGTTTAAAGTCTGTTTTTTGTGAAATGAAATAGCAACCCCGGCTCTTTTTAGTTTTCTATTTGCTTGGTAGATTTTCTCTGTCCCTTTACTTTGAGCCTAAGGGTGTCATTGAATGCGAGACGGGTTTCTTCAAGACATTATATAGTTGGGTCTTGTTTCTTTGTCCAATTTGCCACCCTGTGCCTTTTAAATGGGCCATTTAGCATATTTACATTCAAGATTAGTATTCATGTATGCAGATTTGACCCTGTAATCATGTTTTTATGTTTTTAGCTGGTTGTTATGTAGACTTGATTGTGTAGTTGCTTTACAATGTTAATGATCTGTGCACTTATGTCTGTTTTTGTGGTTGCTGGTAACAGTCTTTAGTTTCCATGTTTAGCATTCCTTTAATGATCTCTTGTAAGGCAGTTCAGATGGTAATAAATTCCCTTAACATTTGCTTGTCTAAAAGGAATTTTATTTCTCCTTTGTTTATGAAGTTTAGTTTGGCTGGATATAACATTCTTGGTTGAAATTTCTTTTCTTTAAGGATGCTGAATATAGGTCCCCAATTTCTTTTGGGTTGTAGGGTTTCTTCTGAAAGGTCTATTGTTAGCCTGATGGTGTTTCCATTTTGGGTGACATTCCCCTTCAGTGTAGCAGTCTTTAATATTTTTTTCTTTCATTTTGATCTTGGACAACCTGATAACTATGTGTCTTGGGGATGGTTGTCTTATATAGTATCCTGCAGAGGTTCTCTGAATTCTCTGAATTTGAATGTCAACCTTTCTAGTGAGGTTGGGGAAATTTTTGTGAACAATATCCTCAAATATGTTTTCCAAGTTGTTGCTCTCTCTCCCTCTCTTTCAGACATACCAATGAGTAGTAGGTTTTGTTTCTTTACATAATCCCATCTTTCTCAAAGTTTTTGTTCATTCTTTTTTATTCTTTTTGTTTGTTTGTTTTTGACTGACTGAATTGATTCAAAATGGTCTTCAAGCTCTGAAATTCTTTTCTTAGCTTGGTCTATTCTGCTTTTAATACTTCTGATTGTATTGTGAAAATCCTTGAGTGAGTTTTTCAGCTCAGAAGATCAGCTTGGTTCTTTCTTAAAGGGCTATTTTGTCTTTCACTCCTGTATCCTTTTACTGGATGCCTTAGATTCTTTGAATTAGGTTTCAACTTTCTCCTGAATCTGGATGATCTTCATTGCCATTCAGATTTTGAATTCCATGTCTGTCATTTCAGCTCTTTTAGCCTGGTTAAAAGCCATTGCTAGGGAGCTAGTGCAGTTATTCAGAGGTAAGAAGAGAGTCTGGCTGTTTGAGTTGCCAGAGTTCTTGTACTGATATTTTCTCATCTGGGTGGGCTGATGTTCCTCTAATTTTTTTTTTTCTGTTGAAAGCTTTATTTGTACACACTTAGGGTAAATGAAAATTTTATGACTTGGGGAAAACTTCACTCTTTGAAAAGTATTATTTTACACAAGGAGAAGTTAAGGGTACTGGCTCCCAAGACAAAGCTTAGATTCAAGCCCAGTTTCACCATTTACACCAGTCCCCTGATTTTGCTCAGTTTCCTTATGATATAAGGCACTCAGTAGCACATGCCCAGCACACAGTAAGTGCTCAGTAAGTTTTGGCACTATGAAGTTCAAACAGCACCACTGGTAAACTAAGTGCAGATATCAGAGGTGGACACTGTTTATACATCTTCACAGCTGAGGTGATGCCATGGTGAAATTTTTAAATCAAGAGGCCTTTGGGAAAAATGATGAGAATAGCAGAGGAATGGACTTTATTTATTTATTTCTGTGGCATCCAGAAATAAATGTTAAAGGAACCTATTTTATAATATAGTAACTTCTGGACTTTCAGAACAGTGAAAAAAGAGGCTGGGGTAAGGAAGATAAAAGCCCTCCCACCACCCTGCATGCTGACCTAGGGGATGCTTCCTTCTACTCTGTGGTTAGACCCTACAGATGGCAAAAAAAAAAAAAAGCATTCTTCATTCTTTAACCTAAATTATCCCCATGGCTCAATCTCTACAACTTCATCACCAAAGAGAACCCACTTCTCTTATCTAAAAGTTCTGCTGTTCACATAGATAAACACTACCACAAAGGCTCTCCATTCATCTGAATGAAGATGCCAAAGAAGGACTTTCACTGCAGGTTTGTTTGTTGCATTCAAATTATACAATGTAAGGAGTAAAGTGTACAATACACAAAATCCCCAGCATCAAACAAACAAGTGAAACAAAACACCAGCATCACACATTTCCTCTAAATTCACAGTACAAAAGCAAATTATGGAAATGATGTGGTAGGGAATAAACAATGGCACATTTGCTTCTTCCTTAAAGAAAGTCACATCAGTCATTAATATTTATTTCCCTGTGAAGTTCATTGTTCTAATTTTTCAGGGCTCCTTCAACTCTTTTTTTGTTTTTTGAGACAAGTTCTGACTATCACCCAGATTAGAGTGCAGTGGCACAATCAGACCTCACTGCAACCTCTGCCTCTCAGGTTTAAGCAATTTTCCAGCCTCAGCCTCCCAAGTAGCTAGGACTACAGGCCCCTGCCACCACACCTGGCTATATATATATATATATTTTTTTTTTTTTTTTTGCACTTTTTGGTAGAGAGGGGATTTCACTATCTTGGCCAGGCTGGTCTTGAACTCCTCACCTCAAGTGATCTGCCTGCCTTGGCCTGCCAAAGTGCTGGGATTACAGGTGTGAGCCACTGAGCCTGGCCCCTTGCTTCAACTCATAAACTCCAGAAAGCTAAGGAAGAGAAAAATGACTCTCATCCATAGGATTTGACATTCCAACCTTTCATTCACTTGGTGGATGGATACTGAAACCTGCTACATGTCAGGCTTTGCACCCTCCCTCTCTTTGAGAGTTGGCTGATGGCTTTAGCAGGAGTAAGTTGGGAACTGTAACACATACATTTACTTAACTTTATTTAACATTTCCCTTTTTTAAACTATAGATTCAGCTCTGACTATACAATTGTACATTTCTAAGTATTTTTTTCTTCAGCAGTTACAAACTCTTCATCTAGGATGGTGTAAGTATAAAATAGAAATTGCAAAAAGGCAAATATCCTATCTTCATTAGAAATTTAACTTTAGTCCGGTTTCTATCGTAGGATTATTTTCACAAACCCTAAAACTAATCTACAAAAAGCTTTTACTGATCTTCTTCCTTACCAACTGGTAAAACTTCCACAAAATTTTAATCAGTAGCAAACCATGTAACAAGCTTGTGTTTTAACATAAAGCTATGACTATTTGAGAATACTACTTTGGTTAAACGTCATACAAAAAAAAAAAAGAAGAGAAAAAGTATAGGAAAACAGACCCTTTTTCTGCTTAAACTCACAAATGGCAGATTCACAGTGGGCTGGAACAGAAACAGCAGGGCTCTTCAGAAACTCCAGGATTTTTAAAGACATGTTCTCACTATTTTGCCCAGGCTGGTTTCAAACTCCTAGGCTCAAGCTTTCCTCCTGTTCCTGCCTCCAAAGCAGATGGGATTACAGAGCATGCGCCACTATGCCTCACTCAGGTCTTTTGATTAAGCTACCAATAAAGGCTAAGAGCATTCAGACTTATAAAATCCTTGCATGAGACCCCTCGTTCCCTGTGGTTCTCTCGATTCAAGGTAGCATGGTGTCATCTCTCAAGTTGTTCCTGAAGATAAAGAGAGGGTGGATGGCCAGGGCTAGAGCATGATCCATAACAAGGCTAAGTGAATGGTTATAAAGTGTAAGGCAGCAGCTATCTCTGGGGGGCATCAGAAATACCTGAATCTTTCTTTGTCTCTCTCTCTCTTTTTTTTTTTTTCTGAGATAGAGTGTTGCTCTGTCGCCAGGCTAGTGTGCACTGGCGCAATCTTAGCTCACTGCAACTTCCGCCTCCCAGGTTCAAACGATTCTCCTGCCCCAGCCTCCCGAGTAGCTGGTACCTGCATCTTTCTAAACATGTGAGGGCTTGGACCTCACTCCCTACCTCCAAAGGTGGAGCTCCAGGCAGGTAGGTCTTGCCAAAGTTTAGTCAGCAATTCTGATGTGTACCACAGAGAACTAACTATTGGTGCAATGTTTCTGCCATGCATGTGCACAACCTTTATTTGGCATAAGTGAAGATGATTTGTCAATGGTTCATTTTATAAGATCACCACTGTAAGAATTCCTTCCTTTGTCTACCCTGGCTGCAGATTACCCAGCAACAATCATGGATAAAATGTCAATTCCCTTCATAACCAAAGTTAGAATTTTAAGTGAATGTTTGCTTTTCACACTTTGCTTCTTTTATGTGGTAGAGCTAGGATGTACTTTTTGACTTCTTATTTGTAACTAGTTTCACTGAAAATTCTTCTGGTTTTAGTGTGCTGCTAAATCTCTTGTTTTAAAGATAAAGAGATTTGTACATTCTTAAAAAAAGAAGAACATAAGGAAAACATTAATCTTAGCAATTTCTGATAAAAAGAAAAGAAAACCCTGTTTCTAACTTACCACTGATTTTTACTAAACTTTTAAGCTTTAGTTTATGCAACAGGATCACAATTTATTTCCCCAGTTACTCACACCCAGATTGTTTCAAATCCCCAACAGGGAAGTCCAAATCATCATGCCGTAGATTCCTTTGCCTTAGCTTCTGCAGTGTTTCTCTCAAAGGGGCCAGAATGATCCCAGCATTCCTGTCTTCACCCTCAGAAGACAGATTATGCTTTTCGATAATTACAAATTATGCTTTTTGATTTATTCTTGGACAAGTTCTCATAACAAGTAGCGAATGCTCTGTCCCCTTCTGAGGGCTCTCCAGATTGTTGTAGATGAGATATCATTAGTGATCCATTCATTCACTATGTGAATGATGCTCCAGTGTTTTCACAGCACGTCAGATTATGGATGAATTTCTGAGCATCATTTCCAGCCTGAGTATACATGTGAACTCATAGTCTGCCACAATCTGGGTGATGTCTTCTGCCTTCCACAAATTGGGAATACCAAAGGACTCCAATAATCTGTCCCACACAACAGCTTGACCTTTGTTGTACCTTTTGTTTTGGACTCCAGGGATTTCTTTCAACTAGAATCCTGTCTTTGTTCAGTCCACTTCCTCTTTTGTCCAGGCCTTTCTAGCGTACGCAAGTTCTGCTGGTTATCACAGTTACTAGCCTCCAGTTTCTCCTGATGGTGTATAAGCACCTTAACAGTTTCTATCTGCTCCTTTTGAAGACTTTTTATGTATCAACTTCCACCCATTTGGCATTCTTGGTGGGAAGTTTTGACCTGATGACCCAGTGACGGGCAGGAATGAGTCCATTCTCCTGGTATTGCCAACAGGAGAGATTATGTCTTTGACAACTCTGTATCTTCCTGTTCCACTTGTAGTCCTTGGCCAGCTCAAACAACCTGAGGTGCATGTTGGTGATAGGATTAAAAGAACCACAAGCAAGGAGAACCACTTCAGACTTCTCTGAATTTTCCATGGTAAGAAGTTGAAGTTGTTGATTTCATTAGAAAACTGTAATGCCTCCCTTGTCTTTTCCATGCTTCTGGATTTGACGCCTTCCCTCAAGGCATGTCCAGATGCAGGGTTTTCCTTAAAGACCCTCTCAGCCTCACTAGGAAAAAAACCTTAGAAAGGCTGTGGTAGGCTCAGTCAAGGGAGAAAATGTTTCCTCAATCTTTACAGTTGCTATTCTTTGGATGGGGCCTTTTGCTTTTATTTTCTTTGATGCCCTTGAGAATTTGCCCGTGGTATAATTTGGGTTCAGTTGACTGGCTTCATTTCTGGATGATTTCAGGGGGACAAGGCTCAGCTCAGCACTCCTGAGCCATGTGCTCTAACCCTGGGGGCTGGAACAAGGCCCACAGCTTTGTTCTGTGGCCTGTCAAGGTTAAATACCTGGTGTGCCAGAGGGGCTGAGGTGTTCCTGGTTTGCTGGCAACAACACTCCAATGGGAGGTGCTGGCAAAATCACTTCACTGGAGTAGTGGCAGAGCAGTTTGTGCATGTGCACTGGTGGCAGTGGGATGGTAAAGTCCACCCATGCATGCTGGCAAAGCAGTGGGAGGAGGGTTCACTTGGGTGCATACTGACAGGGGCCAGTCTGAAGAAGCTCTTCTACAGATAGGCGGGGTCTGCCAGCAAAAAGGCTATGGCAGTGGCCACTGCGATGCACCCTGGTTGGGCATCCGAGGCTGCACTGCCAGTGGCACAGTGCAGGCAAGTGGGCACAGCCAGGCAGGGACCTCGAGAGAGATTGGCAGACAGGGTGGCACTCAGATCAGAGTGGCCCTGTCTTCTGGGCAAGAGAGCCCTGCTCTGTCCAGCTCCAACAGTCAACAAAGGCCAAACCTTCTTGAGGAATGTGGCAGGCCTTGGGGGATTGGCACTCCTGGTCATGCTCCACTGCAGCCATTCCTATGCGAACGTTTCTGGGCTCCACACAGGTTGGAATCCTGCCCCTGTCAACTCTACAAGCAGCTCTCTCTGCCAGCTCAAATGTTTGTGGGGGTCATGGGATCTCCTGCAGCTAGCATTCTGGGGTCCATGGTGAGAGTAGGCCACTCCATGCCTACTTAAATAATCCCTTCCCCAGGAGCCACTGGGGGCCAGGAATGAGTCCTGGTGCTTGACAACCTAATTGAGAGTTCTCAACTTCCTCCCCCTTCAGCCTAATTTCTGCATCCTCCCTTCATCCACTCTCAATGCCTACCTTCTAAAGATCTGCTTGGGCTGTGCTGTCTTCTTGATGGCCTGCCTGGTTTTTCAGTGGGAGATACTCTTCCTGGCTGCATCTAATCAGCCATCTTGACTCTCCTCCTTTGCTTACAATGAATTTTGTACTTTCATGTGTTTTTATGTTGTTAGTGTCCTTTTGTTTCAAGTTGAAAAACTTTCTTTAACATTTCTTTTAAGGGAGTTCTAGTGGTAATGAACTCCCACAGTTTTTGTTGGTCTAGAAAAGTCTTTATCTCTCTTTCATTGCTAAAAGATAGTTTCACCGAGTATAGTATTCTTGGTTGACAAAGTCCCTCCCCCACCCGCTAGCCATCACTTTAAATATATCATCCCAAGCTCTCCTAGCCTACCAGGTTTCTGCTGTGAAATCTGCTGATAGCCTTTGGAGGTTTCCTTGTGTATAAATGAGTCACTTTCTTCTTGCTACTTTCAAAATGATCTGAAATTCTAGAATGGAAGCAGGGGGTGCATACTTAAACATCAGAAATAAGGTGGGGAAACTCAGTTTAATGGTCATCAAGGCCCACTATTACTTGAGCTGTATAATAAAATATTAAGCATGAAACCTTCTAGGCCTACCTCTTTCCTAGCAATGGATTTCTTTTCTTTTCTTTTTCTTTTTCTTTTTCTTTTTGTTTTTTGAGATGGAGTTTTTGCTCTGTTGCCCAGGCTGGAGTGCAATGGTGTGATCTCAGCTCAGTGCAAACTCCATCTCCTGGGATCGAGTGATTCTCCTGACTCAGCCTCCTCAGTAGCTGGGATTACAGGTGCCCGCCACTGCACCCAGCTAATTTTTGTATTTTTAGTAGAGACAAGGTTTCACCATGTTGGCCAGGCTGGTCTCGAACTCTTGATCTCAGGTGATCCACCTGCCTCGGCCTCCCAAAGTACTGGGATTACAGGCATGAGCCTCTGCATCAGGCCTAGCAATGGATTTCTTTTACTGAGTCACTTGCACTTTGGTTCCAATAATGACTTATAATTTCCCTGTGTTGTGAGATATGACAGTGGTTTGGCACACACAGAATTAAGATTATTGTCATCTCTGTGTCTAGGTTTATGAGCAAGACCCTTTGGCTAGCTCATGGGAGCCTTGAGAAATGGGAATTAGACAAGGCTCAGTGGAAGAATGAAAGCTGTTGTCACTATGGAACCATCTTGTATATTTATTCTTCCTGTTTGCTAATTATATTTTGTTTTCCTTTTCATAGCCTCTATGACAAACTCATGACCCTGTTGCTTTGCATTAAAAACTCTGAGCCTTTTTTTTTTGTGGTTCACTGAGTTCACAGGCACTGTCTGAGTGGCACCAAGCATTAAATTTATCTGAGCAATTCATTGGGCTTTTTGTCTATGAGACTACCAGAAAATTTAGCAAAGCAAAAAACAAACAAACAAACAAACAAACAAAAAAAACACATCATTAACTGATGCCTATAGACTATTCTCTTGCTCAATAAATAACATTGAGCTCAAGTCAATATGGCTGCTACAGACCTAGTCCATGATATACCCCAAAACTGAAATTATCGGAGCTAAATGGAAAGAATCTGGATATGAAAATTTGGGGCAGGTATTTGAAGCTGGACTCAACTACTAATGGTAGAAAAAACAACCAGGCAAGTAAATCTTGGTGTCCAAAAAGCACAGTGATAGATTATTTCTGAACCTTGCCCATCCTATTGGGAGTACAGAGGCACCTGGTACTATCTTTATGGGGTGTTGAGTGTCATTGTCTGAGACTGAGAATGCAGAACAATGGGTGTATGAATGCTGAGGAAGTCAGAAAGATTACCAGGTCTTAAAAGCAAGAGGAAAAGCTCAGTTGGGATATGGAAGTAGGAGTTCAGAGTTTGAGGGAGAAGGTTCAGTAAGAGCAAAATAAGAAAAATGGAGTGGAGCATGAGAAACTTACATTTAACATCCAGGGAGAGTAGGAGTCATTCCACCATTGTCCTGCTGGCAGCTGGATTAAAGATCAAGGAATTTGAGGGCAGCGGACGAAGAGTAGTTGGTGAGCAGATATTATTGCCTCAACCTTGGGTTCTGTCTTCAGAGGTAGGGCTTCAATTTTTGAAGAGAATTTCTGGGATCTATGTATAGTTTTTTTTTGGAGTAAATGAGGGAAATAGGATGCTGGAGTAGGGTTTCAGCCACAGTGAAATTATGGAAGTTCAAAGCTTGGATACGGGATACTTTTTCTTTTTCTTTTCAAACTCAAGTTTTTGAAAAGCAGAAATGTTTTCACAAAAATCACAGTATTCTAGATACCAAAACCAGCATAATAATTTCAATTACAAATTCATTACTTACTAAAGTTCATTAAGTCTTCCTGTGGAATAGAATAGATTCCAAGACCTGGGGTATAATTGGACAGAGGTATTCCCAGCAATGTATGGTGGAGATTGCTAGACAGTTCAGAACAGTTTATACAAGAACCATAATCAAATGGGAAACAAATAATTGATGGGCACCCACTATACACAAAGAACTAGTCATTGAAAAAATCAGGTATGTAAATGTGTGTATGTGCATGTGTGTGTGTATATGCATGTACGTTTATGTGTTTGTGTGCATGTGTGTGTTTGCCTGGGAGGTGAGGGATAAGATGCAAAAAATAAGACATATAAAACTTGGCACAGCTTTTGTTTAGCTCTAAATCTGGTTGAGAAAATAAGTCATAACAAACATTCACATAAAAAATAATAAACATTGTGATAGAATAAGTGAAAAGAAGGTCAAGGTCACTGGGACTATGGTGTTCAGAGAAGCACTAACAAGAGAGATGTATTTGAAACTCGACTCAATTGGAAATGTAGGATTTGGGTAGGTAGAGAAGAGGAGAGAGAACATATGTAGTGAGAGGGAAGGCATTAGAAAAGAGTGTGGAGGGGTAGGTGTGTTGACACTCCAGTGAAGATGCCACTGTGATTGGCATGGAAGGTTTTTGTAGGACAGTAGTATAGCTTAAGCCAAAAGGAAGACAGTTCATATTCTTAATTTAAACCATTATTTTTGACTCTTCTATTACAGTTTGATGTTTATCCCATCACAGCTACTTTTCTGTTGTTGTTCTATTCATTTTGACTTCAACTAGGAATTATATGGGATAAGGAGGTTTTAGGAAATAAATAGCTAACGTTTCGGTGTATTGATTCTTGGAGGTATTTTTAAAATTTCTTAATTTTAGTGCGACAAAAAAGTGTTTGCTTTGTTTGGTTTGTAGTACAACTAATAAGCTGATAAGAGTTCAAGATTTGAACCCAAGCGGCCTTTTCTAAATCCTGTATTCCATCCAATATATGCTGACCCTCTAAATATCCATTCCACCCCTGCTTGAACCCCTCTTGGTTGGATATATATATACAGATATATATATATATATATATATATATATATATATACACATATATATATATGCACCATGTACTGAGCTCTTGGGTGCTCCAAGCACCATGCCAGGTATTTTCTACATTAGAATATACAAAACCATAAGGAATATGTGTTTGTTTGACCTTCATTTAACTGTACAAGAGTATAAAGCCTTGTTTTCTTTTGTAAGAAGTCATCAATGAGTGAATGGCATTGTGTGTACACAAACTTCCAGCAGGGTGACAGGTGACAGTGATTGACTATGTGGGTGGGTATTCCAATGAATGCTGAAATGGGAATGATGCATGCAGAAGGTATGTGAGAGGGAATGTGGCTGTCCTTGACCAAAGTCAGTTAGTCAATTGGGTCTACATTAAGGATAACAGCGTGGCAGGATATGAGGGCACAGCACTTGGAGGCTTGGTTTCCATTTGGAGGGTAGTGGATTCAATCAGAGTATATAGGCATGGCCTACTATCTTAAAATTATTTCTAAAGGCACAGCAATTGTTCTATATGATAAGCTTGGGATAGTCTTCTCTCAGAGGCAAAAAATCGCTAGTCAAATCTGCAAAAGAGTTGTTATGCTCTTTGTGTGTTGTCTGTGTGTATGTGTGTGTGTGTGTGTGTGTGTGTGTGTCTTTCAAAGCCAGCAGTGAAAGGCCAAGTAAAGCACTACAAGGCAACATAAATGATTTAAGACCCAACGATTTTGCCAGGGAAACATTCAAGACGGAGTCTAATCCTTTAATCTAACCCCAGTCCCTTTAAAAGCTTTGAGCTAGGAGTTGACTCAGCATGTCACTGCCAAGAAGATCCATTGACCCTGAGTTCAGTGCTGAGAAATTGAGAAATGTTCTTTTTAATGTCTATTCAATAAATACAGCATCCACCTTGCAAGGGGCTGCACAATCCACTTCAAATCCATTATGGGATGTTCTTGTGGGCTGACAAGTTGTCCTGAGACAACAGTGGCATGAGATGAGGTTAACCCTTCCTGTGGAATGTAAATCATCACAGCCACTGCCATTGCTGGCTCTCCTAAGACCTTGGAAGGAAGATGCTTGAATTGATATGAGAACCCTGTGGTGTTCATTTCCCTTCAGACTAAGGCTATCTTTTACGGAATGCATAAACTCATACACAGAGAACTACATATAACCAACAAAATAGTATTTTAAAAAACAAAAACAATGACAAAAAAGACATTACATCTTTCCTTGTTGTCACACTTGGAGATAGAGATCAGATTTCTCTCACCTCATTTGGCATGGAAAATTTCTATCATGTTGCTTGTGAATACTGTGGCTATACTTTATAAATTCCTCATAAAAACATGTGAAAATGATGTGTGATAAAGAATAGTTGTGATAATAGCAGGTGAATGGAGAAATCTGAGAAATGTAGTTTGGGTGCTGAGATATTAGATTTTTGTGCACATTTCAGTGGTTTATGAGACAAATGGGAGACAATATATAAAAATCAGGACAATTCCAAAAAATGTTTAATGGAGGCTAACTGTCCTCCTATGAGGCCATAGGGAAAAGTGACCTAGAAGTAAACACACTGACAAATGTCTCCAGAGTTGGACCAAGTCAAGGCTGAGGCTCAGTGCTTTGGATTCTTGGCACTATAATAACACATTCTCTGGCATGAAATTATTCACTTCATAGCAAAGTGTGTATGTGTTGAATAAATATTTGTGGATTGATAGATTAGCTGATTTGCTGTATGTGTTATCACATTAGCCAAGATAGACTAAGTCTATTGTTTGCCAAATTGCTCATCACTGTGGGATCCATTCATTTAGCAAGTTCTTATTGAACATCTTCTATCTATCAAGGACCCATTAAAACTTAGAGTTTTGAATAATTGGGAGAACAAAGACTATTTGCAGGGTTGCCAAAAGTGCTTTCCTTGAAGCCAGTCTTACAGAATTTTATAGGTATTTTGTGGAAAATGGTTTCTATTGTCAAGTTAGTTTGGGACACACTAATCAAAATATAGAAGTGGTTTTACCAGAATCCCTCTCCAATAATAAGCTTATCTTAACCGTCAATCTCAAGAAGGGGGGATACAACATGTAATGTTTAGCCAACTTTTGACCATAAAGTAGTCTTTTTTCAAAAAAAAATATTTCTTAGAAATAGCGTTCTGTAGGAGCATACCTTGAAGAATGCTTTCCATTGAGTTCAAGTAGGATGACTTTCTCAAAGCAACTAGAAGAATTTTGCAGTCAACCTTGATTTTCTCCTTTGTGTCTGAGAAGTTGCTAGCAATTTGCTTCAGTGGACTCTGAGGAGGCCAGATTTATGCCTCCCAACAGAGTAAAGTGACTTCAATGTACGGATTGTTGGTGTTGAGAAATGTAAGCTCTGGGGATAAGGGAGGGTTTAAGCAGCCAGGGAATATCTCAGCAGAAAAAAATGACTATATGGTTCTGCCCTTCTCCATCCCTGCCATGTTCCCCCTGGGTCTATTTAGATCAGGGATAGAGCACTATGCCCAGAGCTGGGCTGCCTGTTTGCAGGGTTAAGAGTGATTTCTTCTCCCTTTTTGCACTTTCATGTGCCTCTCACTGCACACCCTCACACCCAAGAGTAGATGTCATATTAATACTTGTTTAAACTGACTTTGTCTCCCTTTTTGCAGAGGAAGAGGTATCCCCATTATCCTAATCAGTATTACCGAGTGAGCAGGTGTGGGAGAGAACAGACATTTATTATATTCCATGGCCCAGGTAAGGTGCTAGCATTTTATACATTGAATTTTGGGGCAGGTATTATTTTTCTCATTTTAGAACCAGGGTTAACATAAGTAACTTACTGTAGGTTATGAAACTAGTGAATGGTAAGAATGGAATTGAATCTGGTTCTGCCCGATTCCAAAGTGCACTACACTGTAAGATAGATGCATGTACAGTGCTTTACAGGAGGCAAAAAGTTCCACATGAGTTATTTCATTTGAATTCTGATCAGTTTTATTAAATTAGCTTGAAGATTAAAATAAAAATAGAAGAGATTCCCACTTACCCAAGGTCACACAGCAAGTCAAAGGCTCAATGAAAAAGATCCCTATCTAAGCTTGGGCTAGACATCCAGTCTCAAAACAGAGGATGACTTAGGTTGCGTTTATTATAATCATGACTATCATTTGTAAATTCATAATGATTCATAAATAATATCCTCCCATGTCATCCTTGAACATTCTAAAGGTAGAATTTTATTATTTTCTGTTTATTTCGAAGAAGGAATATAGGGACAGAAAAGCACTAAGAGATGTGATCATCATCAATGCTAGATACAATGCTAACAATTTGGCAGTTACTGTTTAATCCTCAATGATCTTAACACACATTTTACAGAAGAGGAAAGTGATGTTTCAAAAGCTTCAGGCTTCTTCAGATTCTAGAGCTTCAATTGTCACCCACTGCCTGCCTGCCTCCCAAATTAAGATTCATCCTTAAGACTTCTGTTTCTGATTCACACTCTCTTTCCAATATAGTCATAAACTGTCAAAAGATATGGATGTAAAGTGAGAGTAAATCAATAACCCAAGTACCTTCTGTATGAGAGAAATCACGTGTGTGCATGTCAAAATATGTGCATGCGTAAGGTCATAAATGGAAACCCAGCACACTGTGTCTTAAACAGTTCATTTATTTTAGAACTGAGAGGTCAAGGTTCTTTGTATGTCCCATCTCCATGGCTTTTGATCATGTTTTAGTGAAATCCTGTCGTGAGTCAATCTCTATATCCAAGTTCTGGTAAGTTTTTCCTGATTGATTAGGATGGAGTATCTGTGACTTGATCAGAACTGCATATTGTGAATAGTGTGACAGCCCCGTGTATCACCCTGGGACTCCATTGCAGTAGCTGGAGTCCCAGATTGGATTGTGTCTGAGCATTGACAATCCAGTATTGATGTTCATGTGACACTGGGAGCTACTGTAACAATCTTTATTTTATCTGTGCCTTTTGCTCTCGGGCTTGGGTTGAGCCCCCATAGGGCTACCACGATAATCAACACCTCTAATTAGCACTTAGAAATGTCTGGCTCCCAAGGCTGTCATTAGAAGACAAGCTTGGTGTGCAAAATACTGAAGCTCTTACATTTCCCAAGCAAAATCTTCCTCCTAGGCCTATGTCATGGATCGTGTTTCAACACTCTGCCAGCAGGAGAACTCCCTCCCTGCCCCTCTCATTTAGGAAGAGCTGAATTCAGAGGATGAGGTCTGCCTAGGCAATTGGGAGGCTGGAAATTAGACATTGTATCTCATGCCTGATTCTTCCGCTCACAAAGGCAGGTCCCCGACTTGGGTCTCCACCAACTCTCCACTGCAATGATTGGGATGATGATGTGTGCAGTGATCAATGCAAAAGAAAGTAACAGGAAAATCTTTCCTCTGTTCCACCCTTTCTTTTTCCTTTTATGAATGAGATGGTGGAGAAAGAGCTAAGCAGTCTCATACCTCAATATTCAACAGGCCAAGGGGACTACTACAAAAGATGTTTCCATTCTACTCACTTCCACCCTTCCTCCAGCAGGGAGAGGCAACAAGATAGCTGCACTGAGGAGGTTTTATATAGGGAGGGAAATGATCCATTGGCCAAGGGTACCACGGTGTACTCGAGAATGGGCTGGCAGTTTATTTTCCTCAAGCCATCACCAAGTCAAGTTTAAGCTAATGCTGATAACAATTTATTGCCGTTATCATAGTTGCAGAGCAATGAGAGAGCATTAGGACACCCAGCTACAGCGGATGTCTTTGACTCCCTCCTCTAAATGCATTAGCCTCTTTAATCAGATGATGTCATACCACGTCCCCCATGCAATTTTTAGAGAGTCATCCTTAGATGACTTTATTTATTTTGAAGGGCAAGTCAAATGTAGGAAATAGTAAGAAAAGGGAATGAGGGAGAGTGAGACTGGCCTAGACCACCATTGAAAGGGCTCTGCTGCCTTTCATTCTTACCTCCATCCCCATCCCCTACCCAGTTCTTGCAACCATGGTGGATGGATTGCTCCAGAACCAGATCCAGGGCAAAGTTTTGTGAATAAAAGAGAGGCTGGAAAAGCCCATTGAACCTTCCTAACGTTGCCAGGGATAGATGTAGAAGACTTGCTTTGTGGTCTTCTCTGATCTGCTCACTGGCAAAGTGTTCTGTTCATTATTTTGGTTTCATCTGAAGGAAACAACAGTATTTACTTCCTGAAGACGAGGCAATGACCTCTGGAAACTCCTTCCAGTTTAAGGATTTAGGAAAATAAGCTTTTGTACCATCTTTTCTTTTTCTTTCTTTCTTTTTTTTTTTTTTTTTGAGACAGAGTCTCACTCTGTCACCCAAGCTGGAGTGCAGTGGTGTCATCTCTGCTCACTGCAACCTCTGCCTCCTGAGTTCAAGTAGTTTTCCTGCCTCAGCCTCTTGAGTAGCTGGGATTACAGGTGCACACCACCATGGCCAGCTAATTTTTGTATTTTTAGTAGAGACAGGATTTCACCATGCTGGCCAGGCTGGTCTCGAACTCCTGACCTCAGGTGATCTGCCCACCTCGGCCTCCCAAAGTGCTGAGATTATAGGCATGAGCCACAGCACCCAGACGATCTTTTCATTTTTTTAAAAACAAATTTGACATCATTACCCTCATTTGCAGAATAAAGCTTCAGACTGGTGTCTACTTTCTCTTATGAATATATCTGTGCAGCCCTCAGCTAGTTATCAAGATTGAAAAGTGAGCAGGTGCTACTCACAAATAACCAGTTTATTTTGTTACCTTTCCACACACACATGCACATTTTAATTGAGATCTAGTACCCTGACAATATTTTAAGTCAAAAAACTGCTTATAGTAGTATTTCAGTTCTCCTCTTATGAAGGGAATATGATTCCTATTCAAATTCACTTCTTAAGCACCTAATATTTATTAGGAATGGTTCTAGGCATCTTTTTGCATACACTATCTCTTAAAGCTACTTTAGCACTCAAAATGAAAACTTGAGGTTCTTATTCTTTGTATTTTACACATTAGGAAACTGAATTATGAAGAGAGTGTAATTTATCCAACAAAACACAGGCATGGATTTTGGATTAAAGTGCCTTTTGATTTTTCTTCAAATTAAACTACATGAAGGTAGGTTATTTTCATTTTCCCACAAGGCTTAATCAGGCGCCACTTTGCTAAGAGCAGAAGAAGCAGTCCGGCAAGTGTCTGCTCACTGCGGAGTAGCAGGTGTGGTGTGGTAAGATGGGGATGCCTCCTAATCTTGAGCTCACAAGTGGTGTAACTAGGAACAGGCACCCAACCACTTGAGCCTCAATATTCTCTGTAATATAGGGATTAGTATAACTTCCTTAAAATTGATGGTAGTTGATAATGAAGTAAAGCACCTGCCAAATAGTAGGTACGCAGCACAAATGATTTCCCTTCTTTTGGACAATGATAAAATTGTACTTCTTCTGATACTAACAGCTAGTATTTCTGGGACAGGTTATATTTTGCAACACGCTTTCAGATATTTTTATTTTTTTTGAGATGGAGTCTTGCTCTGTTGCCCAGGCTGGAGTGCAGTGGTGCAATCTCAGCTCACTGCAACCTCTATCTCCCGGGTTCAAACAACTCTTCTGCTTCAGCCTTGTGAGTAGCTGGGACTACAGGTGCACACCACCATGCCCAGCTAAATTTTTTGTATTTTTAGTACAGACGGGGTTTCACCATATTGGCAAGGCTGGTCTCGAACTCCTAACCTCGTGATCCACCGCCTCGGCCTCCCAAAGTGCTGGGATTACAGGCATGGGCCACCGCACCCAGCCCAGATATTTTTACTCTGTCAGCCCACCCCTCTAAACAAGTAAATATCAGAGGTAGTCACAGACTAAGTATTTTTGTATTGTTACCTATCAAGTAGTTTATTCTAAAAGAATAAAACATAGAACCAGTGGGTAAGGCAGACTTGGAAATGGGGGATGTGATGTTGTTTTCTTGAATGAGTACCTGGGAAAAGTAGGAGGTGGGAAATTAGCTTTCTACTTTTTATATCCAATTGAAGCATTTATGTTTGTTTCCACACCTGCCTTGTCAATATGACCAGGATGAATCCTGTTTTGTCTGTTTACTTGATATTTACCCAAGTCTGCCATCAACAAGAAAACACATCGGCATCTCACTTGGCAAGAGGAAGAATTGAGGCAGCAGAGCAGCTGTCATATTTATTTCAGTGGCAAAGCAGGTCAGGAAAATTGATAAAATTAATCATACAAACTAGCAAACATCAGGAGTGAGAACGTGAAGGAACAGATGAGTTCTTCCTTCATTCCAGGCTGCACCTGCCCTTAGTTCTAATGGAATCTGTGCAATTAGCTGATGAAAGCAAGGAAGGAGGGAGTTGTGGCAATGGAAATAAAGGCCTGAAGAGAAATGGGAACATAAGCAATTATTGGGACAGGTCTTAGTCTGTGGACCTGTGGTGTCTGCGAAACTATATTAAATTGTCTGAGGCTGTGGGAAATCCATCTTTAGGTGTTCCATGAAGAGAATAAGTTCAGGACCTAATATTGGCTTGGATCTATGGCAGGTGATCCTAACTTATTTGGGCAGCATTTCTTTCCTGTTATAAGAGGAAGCATGGCCATTACTGCAGTAGTTTTTGACTCTAGATATGCTTCAGTGTCACCTAGAGAGCTTTTAAAAATACTGATGCCCCCCACTCAACCCCAGATGAATTGAATCATGGCCCAGGCATTGATGATTTTTATAAACTTTCCAGGTAAATTCTAAGAGGAGGCCAGTGCTAAGAGCTTGTGGCCTATAGCAGTGGTCCACAAACATTAGCATTCATCAGAATCATCTGCAAGCCTTGTTAAAATTGAGTTTGCTGGGCCCCATTTCTGTGGTTTTTGATTCAGTAGGTCTGGTTTGGGGCTTAAGAATTTTTATTTCTAATAGACTCCAGGGGATGCTTGCATTGCTGATCAGGGGACTATGCTTTCAAAGCCACTGACTAGTGGAAATGGCACGAGGTTCTTTTTCTGATCCTGTATTAATCTGTTCTCACACTGCTGATAAAGACATACCAAAGACTGGGTAATTTATAAAGAAAAAGAGGTTTAATGGACTCACAGTTGCACGTGGCTGGGAGGCCTCACAGTGGAAGGCAAAAGGCCTGTCTTACATGGGGGCAGGCAAGAGATAAATGATAGCCAAGCAAAACCCCCTTATAAAATCATCAGATCTCCTGAAACTTATTCACTACCAGGAGAACAGCATGGGGGAAACTGCCTCCATGATTCAATTATCTCCTACCTGGTTCCTCCCACAACACATGGGAAGTAGAGGAGCTACAATTCAAGATGAGATTTGGGTGGGGATGCAGCCAAACCAACATTTATTAGCTGTATTATCTTAGGAAATCATTTAGTTTCTTAAACTCACAATTATAATAATTATCATCTTTCTTATCTCAAAGATTTTGGTAGATCAACTGAGATAATGTATACAGTAATACTTTGTAAATTATAAAGCATAGGATAAAAATCAAGTTTTACTAATTTCTATTCAAATTCCCATTATGCTTTGGGCTTGTAGATCAAACTATGATTGTGACAACTTAAAGCAAGAGTCATTCATTCACTAAAAAGCTAATTAATAAGTACCATTATATACCCAGCCCTGGATTGAATGCTGGAGATAACAATGACCATGACAAATGTATCTCTTCCCTCATGAAGCTTCTTTTCTGGTGCAGGGCCTAATTCATCTCTTTTTGTATGGCCAGCCGGCTAGCTATGGTTTTCACGTTTTTATAATTGTTTAAAAAGAACTGGAAAATTATTTTTTGATGCACATAAACTACATGGCATTCAAATTTCAGTGTCCATAAGTAAAGTTTTATTGGAACACAGATATGATCATTCATTTTTGTATTTTTAACAGCTGCTTTCACCTTATAATGGCCAAGTAGAGTAGCTCAACAAAGACTGTATGGCCCACAAGGCCTAAAATATCTACTATCTGGTCCTTTACAGAAAGTTTGTAAACTCCTGTTCTAGTGGAAGAGTTAAACTCCACTGCAGCAAAAGCTGGATGGGAAGCAAACAAAATGCAGGATAGAATAACAGGAGTGGGATGTACTTCATACAGGGGGCTCTGGAGGGGCCTCTCTGAAGAGATGACCAGGTTTTTAGGTCCTGGTAAAATAAAAGGAGTTAACCAGGCAACACTTCAAAGAACAGACTAGCATATATAAAGGCCCTGAACTTGGCTTTTTTGAGGCAGTATAAGAAGACTAGTGTCACTGAAATCAGATTCAAGGGGGCATGGTAATTACTGGTTTAAGATGAAGGCACATACTGTCAGGGGGCAGATCAGGAAGGACCTTGTATGCCTTATGAGCTTGATTTTATTGTATGTACAATGGGCACTATTTTAAGGAAGGAAAGAAGGTGATGGTAAAAATAGCTAACTTTTTTTTTTTTTTTTTTTTTTTTTGAGACAGAGTCTCACTCTGTCGCCCAGGCTGGAGTGCAATGGTGCAATCTTGGCTCACTGCAACCTCTGCCTCCCAGGTTCAAGCCATTCTCTTGCCTCAGCCTCCCAAGTAGCTGGGACTACAGGCATGTGCCACTATGCCTGGCTAATTTTTGTATTTTCAGTAAAGATGTGGTTTCACCATGTTGGCCAGGCTGGTCTTGAACTTCTCTCCTCATGTGATCTGCCTACCTCGGCCTCCCAAATTGCTGGGATTCAGGCATGAGTCACTGTGCCCAGCCAAAAATAGCTAACTCTTATTGAGCACTTACCATGTGCCAAGTGTTGTTCTAAGGATGGTACAATCTTCAAAACAATGCTATTAGATATTATTATTATCCTCATCTTACTGATGACAAAAGTAAGTTACAGAGATGTTAATCACCTAATGTCATGCAGCTGGGAAAGTCAGACCTGGGACTTGAACATAGAGTGTGACTTCTCAATTGTTTCATTTATTTATTTTTAACTTTTATTTTAGGTTCAGGGGTACATGTGCAAGTCTGTTATATAGGTAAATTGCATGTCATGGGGTTTGGTATACAGATTATTTCGTCGCCAAGATAATAAGCCTAGTACTTGATAGGTACTTTTTCAATCCTCGCCCTCCTCCCACCCTTCAAATAGGCCCCAGTGTCTGCTGTTCGCTTCTTTGTGTTCATGTGTACTCAACGTTTAACTCCCACTTATAAGTGAGAACATGTGGTATTTGGTCTTCTGTTCCAGTGTTAGTTTGCTTAGGATAATGGACTCTAGTTACATCCACATTGCTACAAATGTCATGATCTCATTCTTTTTTATGGCTGTGTAGTATTCCATGGTGTATATATTCCAAATTTTCTTTATCCAGTCTACTGTTGATGGGCATTTGAGTGGATTCCAAGTATTTGCTATTGTGAATAGTGCTGTGAAAAATATATGCATGCTAGTGTCTTTATGGTAGAATGATTTATATTCCTTTGGGTATTTACCCACTAATGAGATTGCTGGGTCAAATGTTACTTCTGTTTTAAGTTCTATAAAAAATTGCCACACTGCTTTCCACAGTGGCTAAACTAATTTACCGCCCACTAGAAGTGTATACATATTTCCTTTTCTTTGCAACCTCACCAGCATCTGTTATTTTTTGACTTTTTAATAATAGCCATTCTGATTGGTGTGAGATGGTATCTCATTGTGGTTTTGATTTGCATTTCTCTAATGATTAGTGATGTTGAGCATTTTTTCATATGCTTTTTGGCCATATGTATGTCTTTTTTTGAACAGTGTCTGTTCATGTCGTTTGCCCACTTTTTAATGTTTTTTTTTTTTTTTGTAGATTTGTTGAAGTTCCTTATAGTTACTGGATATTAGACCTTTGTTGAATGCATAGTTTGCAAATAGTTTTTCCCATTCAGTAGATTGTCACTTTACTCTGTTTATAGTATCTTTTGCTGTGCAGAAGCTCTTCAGTTTAGTTAGGTCCCACTGGTCAATTTTTGTTTTTGTTGCAATTGCTTTTGGCATCTTCGTCATGAGATTGTTGCTAGTTTCTACGTCCAGAACGGTATTTCCTAGGTTATCTTCCAGGGTTTACAGTTTTACATTCAAGTCTTTAATCCACCTTGAGTTGATTTTTGTATATGGTATAAGGAAAGGGTTCAACTTTAATCTTCTGCATATGGCTAACCAGTTATCCCAGTACCATTTATTGAATAGGGAGTCCTTTCCCCAGTGCTTGTTTTTGTCGACTTTGTTGAAGATCAGATGGCAGTAGATGTGTGGTTTTTATTTCTGAGCTGGCTATTCTGTTCCATTGATCTATGTGTCTGTTTTTGTACCAGTACCATGCTGTTTTGGTTACTGTACCCATGTAGTATAGTTTGAAGTCAGGTAATGTGATGCCTCCAGCTTTGTTCTTTCTGCTTAAGATTGCCTTTCTCTATTGTTTTGAAGGTGTAGTAAGAGAAGAAACAGGCCAGTGGGGAAGCTATTCCTCAAGTCTAAGCAAGAGTTAGTATGGACCGGTCTGAGAAGTTAGCAGAGGAGATGGACAGGAATGGACAAGGCTGAGATACGAGAGGACCTGTGATTGTCTAGCTATGAGGAGAAAGAGAGAGAAGGGCCAAGGACAATGTAAAAGTTTCAGGTGGATGGTTGGTGTATTAATTGACAATACTATGGCCAGAAACCTTGTCAGATGATATACTTTGATTTGGGACAGTAATTGCAAATGTATGCAAATATATATTTATCTCTTACTCCCCTTGGGACTATAATAACCCTTTGAGAGCAGATATAATGCCCCCTCCATCTATCTCTAGCCTGCAATACAGTGTATGGCATATTGCAGTTGTCCAATATAATTTACAGAAAATTGAACAAATTTTAGTATTTTATTCATGTTGCACAAATATAGGTTGACTAGGCTAAGCCAAACTAAATTTTGTCTAGCACACTGATATTTCAATGTTTGAACATTAGTATTCAGGTGGATTCATTTATTTTGGGAAATTATTTTGGCTTCATCATGTCTAAAACTCTTGCCTGACCAGTTCTTGAAATTGTCTGTGTATTCCTCAAAGTACTTATAACTCTTAAACTTAAAAATAAACATAGAAAGGTGAGAAGAGCACATAGAAATGTGTGGACCTACAGATCCTTCAATTGCAGCTCACAGATGAGGATCAGGTCCATTTGAAACAATTAATGTAAGATCAGTTGAGACCATTGTGGATCGTCAGTGACCCTTCCGTTCCCTCGATTCTGATGCCATGACCTCTCCCGACTCACTGGACCCCTTCACATTCTCCAAGATGTCACCCGTAGGTTGCCAGGCAACGCTAACAAGGCTGGTCTTTACCCTGCAGTTAGGCATCAGCTGCTGTCATCATATTTTAAGTTATTATTACTATTTAACAAAACAATGGCTAAGGCTTGTGTAGCTCTCAGTGGGGTACCCTCTGTGGAGAAAATGCTCATGTAGATTTCCTGGGAAACTAATTTATTTTCTTTTCTTAAAACAGATCACAGTTAAGTCTGTAAAAGATAGAAAAGGTCTAGGATGGGGTGGAATGGAGTGTGGTGCTGGGCTGATGAAAAGACACAACACAGGCAGTCTTGAGCAGATAAATAATCAGTATGTGCAAATTATACATAGGAATGGAGCAGAAGGT
Organism: Homo sapiens; assembly: GCF_000001405.40. NCBI lineage: Eukaryota > Metazoa > Chordata > Mammalia > Primates > Hominidae > Homo > Homo sapiens. The sequence continues at coordinate 164,325,694 of NC_000001.11, read as the reverse complement.
ACCTTTATTTTCTGACAGTTGCTAAGACTAACAGTGTTTTGGTAAATTCCTGAGTATAAGCCTGAACTTGAATTATAGACACTGTACCCAGGAGCCAAGCTTTCAATATTGAGGTTGGGCTCAACAAGCAGTATTTTCATTTCTTAGAGTTTTAGGGAATTTTTGTTTTTAATTCTTTACCAATGTCTGACTAACACAACCATAGCACAATTCCTTGATCATACTCTTTACTTGGTAAATATCTGTGGATTTGGGTTGTGAATATAACAAACTTTTTTGTTTTGTTTTGTTTTGTTTGTTTGTTTGAGACGGAGTCTCACTCTGTCACCCAGCCTGGAGTGCAATGGTAGGATCTCGGCTTACTGCAAGCTCCGCCTCCCGGGTTCACACCATTCTCCTGCCTCAGCCTCCCGAGTAGTTGGGACTACAGGTGCCCACCACCAAGCCCGGCTAGTTTTTTGTATTTTTTTTAGTAGAGACGGGGTTTCACCGTGTTAGCCAGGATGGTCTTGATCTCTTGACCTAGTGATCCGCCCGCCTCAGGCCTCCCAAAGTGCTGGGATTACAGGCGTGAGCCACCGCGCCCGGCCAACAAACTTTTTTCATTGTGCTTAGAGCTTGAATGTATCAAACAGTCAAGCGTGTATTTAAGCTTCTACTATTTGTCCTTTGATGTGCCAGAGACTCTAAGATACATAAAGAAGTAGAAGACCTGACTGTGTAATGAAGTGCACAACTTATTTGAAACCATAAATGAAACAATAGTTAACATTTATCGAGCACCTACTATCGGTCAGGCACAGTGATAAACACTGTTAGCCCCTGTCTCTGGTCTTTACAACAGCCCTCCATGGTAGATGTTGTTGCCTGTGTCATCCTGTCCAAGGTCACACAGCTGTTTATTGGGGGAATCAAGTTCTATACCAGGTTGGCCTGGGTCCAAAGCCCTCATATTTTTTCCTGTGCCTGCGGCACTAGCACACATGAATATATATATTTATATATATATATCTATGAATATGAATATACCTATATATAGGTATATATAAGTGCTAGTGTCACAGGCACAGGAAATATATATATATATACTCACATACATGTATATACACATATATGTATATTCATCTGTTCAGTCATTCATCTAATATCTATAAGAGTTTCACATATACCTGCGAGTGTACTCAAAGCATCAAAGAGAGGGAGAGAAAGACATTGCACACCTATTGGACAACACAAAGTTCTTGACTTGTTGGAGCTTACACTCCAATGGAAAGGAAGACAAGCAAGTAACCAAGCAAATAGGCACAAGGATGAGCAAGCAAGCAAGAATCTATAATATCTGATAGTAAAATATGCTATGACTAAACTGAAACAGGCTAAGAGGACAGGGAGTTAAAATGACCTGCTCCAGTTTTCATATTATAAACCCAGAATTGCTGACTTCTAGTCCAGGGTACTTGCCACTTCAGGATACCCTGGAAAAAAACAAAATCTCAAAGCATTCCTGATCATGGACATGGGATTTAGACTACATAATTTGCTAATTGTGTTTTCTTTAATATCACAGTATGATATTCCATTTAGAATTAGGACAAATAACTTTGAGATAGAAGAGTCAAACCAAAATCATATCTTTGTGATATATGTAACTTGACCATCTGCCTACTATTAGAAGCCCAATTCTTTGCTAATGTTGATAGCTGTGATAATAGTAGTAATGAAACAATAAACATTTTTGAGTGCATACTATATGATAGGTCCTGTGCTACTAGTAAAAACAACAAGAAACAAAAAACCTTGCTTTCGCCCAGTGTATTATGACTGAGAAGAGAAGCAGCACTAAAGGTCTTTAAAATTCTGTTGCCTATGCCTTATCTCCCACACCCGCCAAATAATGCAAAATTGAAAGTAGTAAAAAATTGCTGCCAATGCAAAGAGTAATTCTAATATTAAAGAAGAACAACCCAGGAAGACACAATCACTAACAAGCGTTAAAAAAAGGCAGAACAAACCCTTGTATAGAATCTTGCTGACAAGTGCTATTAAATATTAATTCTACAGACCGTGGAGACATCATTAAACAAACATATACACCCTGATGCTGAATGTGCACTGGTCCAAGCATTTGTTTTACATGTGGTTGTTGGCTAGGTGTAGTCTTTTGTGTTGCTTTACCAGGCAGAAGACAATTTTCCCCCTACTTCCATTAATTGTATGCTTACACATCACTGAAATTCTCATTGCCTTTTTGGTTATTTGTCTTGTCTTTGCCTTTCATTTAATTGGAAGGACATTTTTTAGGGAGAATGAAGGGAGTTACCTGTTTTAAGGCTGTCATGCATGGATAAAAACGTTTCACGTTTAGATAGTGATCTAGATTTAAGAATTTAGAGAAATTCAAGCACTGCATGACCTTTGCCAGTTTAATACCCCTTTCCAACTTCTCCTCAAGACTCTTTAATAAAGATCCTAAATATTAGGAAATAAGTAAAATTCTAACCCATAGAAACTAGCAAAGCTTACCTATTCAGTTTATTCCTAAAATAGGAATGTAATTTAAATACCATAGATGTGAAGGGATAACTGCACCATATTTGGAATCACAACCACAGAGCTGCAAAGGGCCTTAGCATTTAGTGCAGTGGTTCTCAAACTTTATTGATGTCAAAACATCCTTGTTAAGGTACAGTTTGTCACCCCCCACCCCCAGAGTTTCTGACTCAGTAGGACTGAGTAGAGGCTCAAGAACTTGTATTTCTAACAAGTTTCCAGGTGATGCAGATGCTGCTGGTTTGGGACCACAGTTTGAGTATCACTGATCCAGTGTAACCCTTACTTTTTACAGATCAGGAAACAGACTTGGAGAAGTTACTACAATTTTCCTAAGGTTACCCCTTAGCTAACAGCTAATTCTCCACTGTAACTTAAGTCTCTGGGCCCTACACCATGCTTTTCCCACTTTGCCGTGGAGAATTTTAGAGATATTATAGGAAGATCAGAACCGTGTTACTCTATCAGGTTTAGTCATTCTACTGAGGAATCCGAGAACCATTCAGTGGAAGAGTGGGAGGCCATCTAAGGGATTCCCCAGCCTTACTGCTCTCTTGCATGGCAATAACCAAGCTTTGGATGTGACATGTCCAGGGCTGCATCACTAGCCAGCGACTGAGCTGGAATAAAAATCTGGCTCTCCAGAATCCCAGAGTGGGCTCTCTCTGCCCCTCATCTCACCAGATGAGACAACCATGGTCAGGCTAATTTCTGTATTTTTAGTAGAGATGGGGTTTCACCATGTTGGCCAGGCTGGTCTCGAACTCCTGACCTCAGGTGATCTGCCCGCCTCAGTCTCCCAAAGTGCTGGGATTACAGGCGTGAGCCACCCTGCCCGGCCTACGCTGGTCTTGAACTCCTGACCTCGTGATCCACCCGCCCTGGCCTCCCATGGAAGAAGAGGTCCATGAAGGCAAAAGGCCCAAGAAGGCTGTAAGGCGGCCTGGAGAGCTCCCATACATGGTGTACCTTCTAGGTTTTGAAATGTAAATCCAGGCTATGGATCTCCTTGAAGTCTTCTTGAAAGTGGGCGATAATGGTCACCATTTTGTCAGTTGGTCCCAACGTCTTGCACAAGAGGCCGGGGCGGGTGGATCGCCTGAGCTCAGGAGTTTGAGAACAGCCTGGGCAACATGGCAAAGCTCTGTCTCCACTAAAAATACAAAAAATTAGCTGGGCGTGGTAGCGGGCGCCTGTAATCCCAGCTACCCGGGAGACTGAGGCAGGAGAATCGCATGAACCCAAGAGGCGGAGGTTGCAGTGAGCCAAGATTGCGCCACTGCACTCCAGTCTGGGCGAGAGTGAAACTCCGTCTCAAAAGAAAAAATAAATAGATAAAAACAAAGTAATAAACATGACCTTTTATGACTGCCTTGGCAGAAAAACACATGCAGTCCAAGCTGGCTTCATTATTTTCTACCTACTGTTATTTCTTCTGATTTTAACATAAATTAAAACGGAAACATTTTCGTGGGCTCCTCCAAGTACCGAAGGCCCCAGGCACGGTGCCACTGGTGCGTAATGGGAAGTGGGCCCTGGGTTGTTGGCGATTCAGCTCCGGGATTTGCATTGAAGCCAAGGGCCTTTGGGTCGGATTATGTGGGCAGCAGCCACCGCCAGACCGCCCTGCGCAGCTCTCAGGTGGAGCAGCCCAGGCGCCTGCAGAGGCCAGGAGCAGGGCGGCGGCGGCGCGCAGGGGAGCTGCCGCGCTCCGCGATTCCCGTGCTGCCCGGCGGGCCCCGCCGGCTGCGGGTGGCTGGAAGCGCGGCCCCCGGAGCTGGCGGCTGCGCCGGCGACCTGCATACGCCAGGGAGGCACGGCCCAGGCTCCCCGGACGCGGCGCACACAACAGAGGGGAACACGGCGCAGTTTTTTTTGCATACAATTATAGTGATGGCATCATTTTTTTTGAAACAAACTGTCCATAAATGTCACTGAAAATCCGGGTCTCCTTTTATTAAAACTGAAAAATGTGTATAAATGTAAATAACAAATGACTGATACAGGGATAAGAACACCACAGCGGCTGCTGGCGTCTCTCTTCTTTCTCTCTTTTTTTCTCTCCTCCTCATGTAATTTGCATTAATAAAGAGGCTGTTCCTTGTCGGAATGTGTTTCATCCGGTTTAAAATCCCAGGGCGATCCACTAGGAAGAGCTCTGGGAGAATCCAACTGTCAGAGCCGACAAGACAAATGAATCCCGGTGTCAGGAGCGTGTGGTTCAACGATGACAGATTGAGAAGAACTGTCCCCCTCTCGACAGGCGGGCTTCATTTTCAAATTAATAAATCTGAATAAAATATTTTTCCTTTCATTACGAGCGGAGCCTGTTTGACAGTTCCAGTGACAGGAGGGAGTAGCAGTGTTGATGAGAACAGTTTGCATGAATTCCACCTGGGCTTTTTCTGTTTTATTTTTACCTGCAATCTCTTCCCTGTTTGCCTCTCTCCTTACCCCCTCCTTTACCTCCCATATTTTCCTTTTCCCCTCCCTTCTATTCCATTCTATCTTCTGTTTCCCCTCATATTCTTGTCTCATGATCCTTCCCTACATTCCGTTCCCCTCTTCACTATTCTGGCTCTCTGAAATGTCACCTTCTTCTATTTTTTTTTTTCTTTTGCTATTCTTTTCATTCACCCGCAGGCTATTGCCCTGATTAAAGGCCAGAGCATTATTTCACTTTTAAAAATGTCCACAACTAATTATTATGAAATGTTTTCTTTATTCCTGTGTTTGCTTAGCACTGATCATATTATGATAATAGCTCAAGTCTAGGTTAGAGGAAATAGCCGATTTCTGTAATTTGTAATTCCACCTTAGGAAACAATCCTCATCATTTTCTCTTCACACAAAAATAAAAGCAACCCTTCCAAACAAACAGACAAAAAAAAAATCCCTTTGTTGTCGGTTTCCCTCCCAAAGCCAAAGGGATGAGATCGCATATAACTTAGGAATTGTACCTGCATTGGCAAATCTTAATGCATGGGGTGACAGGCTGTTCCTCCTAAATAATTTAGGAGCACTTTCTGGGAAACAATATGTGATCATTAGAGAAATACTATTGAAAAAAGTGACTTCTTGATAACAGAGGGGTTTTTGTTTTTGCATTTGGTAGAGAATCCAGTCATAGCAGGCAACTTTCAATGTCCTGGTTCTGCCGCCTAAGATCCACAGAGTTGGAGGAAAATTAATCTGAGTGCAGCAGTCAATGACTCCCAAATCCCCCACCTTAAATGCAGAACTCTCTCCTCTCCTCCCTCCTCAACCTGGAAGGAAGGAAGGAGATCTGCCAAAGCCACCACAAGAAAATGGTAGGGGTGCCAGGAGATCCTGAGGTTTTTGCTCAAGGGTCTGGTCTCTAACCCTGATTTGTTCTATTCTGCCCATCTGTTGTTCCTACTCCTTCCCATCCCTCCACAAGGTGATGGCTTTGTTGTGCAATTTTATAGGACAAACTTAGGTCCCAGAGTTGTACATCTGATGTATATCATGGAACATCTGCTGCCTTAACTCCCAGTAGTCTCTGAGAACACAGGCCATAAAGGTACCAACCTTGTATTTGGGTAAATGTATGTAGGTGGACTCTTCAAGCAACAATGTGAGATCGTATAAGCTTAGAGGAGAAATATATGTATCATATATATGTGCATATATATGATACATATATAAAATAAGTAAATATATACCATTTTGGATATGATACTTAGATTATTCGAGTCATAGGAATTAAAACAAGGCAAAAAATTAGCAGCGCTTTCTAATAACCATGTTTAATCAAGTATGGAAAACTGCACTAGATAGGAAGACAGAGTATAATACTCAAATATCTCAGAGAGATGCCTTCTAGCTTTAATTTTGTTGAAATCCTAGCTTGATTACTATGATAAATGGAAGAGCCATCTATACTAAAAGGTCCAAAGCAAGTCATTAATGGTAGGACGGGAAGAAGTTTGATGGTCAGCATCAAGATTCTAGAAATTCTTACATAAATTGTTATGGTTGCTTTATCATTCGTTTCCTCATCTGCACTTTTTCCACATAGATAAAAAATATCATTCTGCTAATACTGTCTACCAGTGACCTCAAAACACAGTTTCAGGCCAGGCATGGTGGCTTACGCCTGTAATCCCAGCACTTTGGGAGGCCAAGGCTGGTAGATCACTTGAGGTCAGGTGTTCGAGACCAGCCTGGCAAAAATGGCAAAACCCTGTTTCTACTAAAAATACAAAAATTAGCCAGGCGTGGTGGTGGGCGTGTATAATCCCAGCTACTCAGGAGGCTGAGGCAGGAGAATCTCTTGAACCCGGGGGGCAGAGATTGAAGTGAGCTGAGGTCATGCCACTTCACTCCAGCCAGGGCGAAAGAGTGAAACTCCGTCTCAAACAAAAAACAAACAAAAAAACAAAAAAACGGGCCAGGCGTGGTGGCTCACGTTTGTAATCCCAGCACTTTGGGAGGCCGAGGTGGGTGGATCATGAGGTCAGGAGATCGAGACTATCCTGGCTAACATGGTGAAACCCCATCTCTACCAAAAATACAAAAAATTAGCCGGGCGTGGTGGTGGGCACTTGTAGTCCCAGCTACTCGGGAGGCTGAGGCAGGAGAATGGCGTGAACCCAGGAGGCAGAGCTTGCCGTGAGCTGAGATGGAGCCACTGCACTCCAGCGTGGGTGACAGTGTGAGACTCTGTCTCAAAAAACAAAAACACCCCAAAAAAACCCCCACAGTTTCATATCATCTAGATTTGAATGTTTAAATAGCTATTATAAAGATATAGAAAGTGAATATTCCAATATTTTTTACGTATATTAATTCATTTGATTTTCACAATAACCTGGGTAGACAAGATGAGTATTGTAATCTGCATTTTAGAGTTTACAGTTTACAGGAAACTGAGTGTCAGAATTAAGTGACTTAAATGAAATCATTTGGCCCACAAATAGAAAAGGAGGAATTGATTTTTTTCCCTTACTCCACGTGCTATTACCTTTTCACTAAATTATGCTGCACTCTGCAGTATGTGTATGCAAAGAAGTATTCATGTATATCACACAATAGTAGAATTGATTACTATTAATTCACCAATGGTTGAAAATTGCTGCTCTCGAGTTTTGGCGATCCACATTCCAGTATGCTGATTGATTTGTATCTGCCTCTCAAAATCTTTTTTTTTCAGAAGTTTTCTTCTATTTTATTTCTGGATAATATTTAGGTGGCTAAGAAATAGTCATACGAAGACTGTCACTTCTCTCAGTCAAGTGTTGTTATTGACTGCTGTATAGAAAAAAAGCCGACAACAATGTGAAATCCTTGATCGTATTGAAAGAGGATAAGATCATAATAGATACAGTGATTTATATATTTATTCTTTTAAGATGTAGTTTACTTTTAAATTGTGTGAGGACAGGGAATTATACCCTATCATTGTGATTCAGTAAGCTGGTTACTTATTGAGTGTTGGATTTTTTTAAAACAATCTCACTTGCTTCAGGCTTTATTAATAAAAATGGGTGATAATTACTTTTATAGAAAGACTTTTAAGAATCTTGAATATAGTATCTTACATTTACATCTTATAATTTTCAAACTATCACAAAAACATTGCTACTTTTTCTTCATGAATCAGACAGAAAATGAATGAATAAATGAGTGAAAACCACACAGATAAACAAAAGTCTTCATCTCCATGACAGCCCTGTAAGGTAGGCATGATTATTCTTTCACTGCTAAGGACAATCTGAGAGATGAACGGCTTAGAATGGCCAAAGAACTAACATGAGACAGAGCCAAATTCAAATCCAGGTTGTTTCAGTCTAGAGTTCTTTCTACTATATCATAGGTATGCTTTGAATCAAATTTCTAAAATGATAGAAAACCTTTTTATGCTGGGGTTGGCTCTTTCATGTTACTAGAGCAATCAGCTTGGCTTACTATGTAATGCACTCAAGTAGCAATGGTATTTGGCACTAGCTCATGCTGGGTAATGCAGAGGCAGTGAAAAGATAAAATGGGGTCACTTCATTCCATAGGTCCCCTTTCCATTTAGAATTCATTAAATGTAGCTCAGTAGTTTACTAAGCAGATATGGCCCCAGGCTTAGCATATAGTTGTAACTCCATGAGCCCAAGGCCACTATGAACATCAAGGACACCAGGAGCATAAGAATTCATGGCAAGCACAAGCCAGCCCAGGCCAGTGCAAGACCTTCTTCCTTCCAGGCCTCCTGAGTGGTGCTGCAGAAAGTCAAATGATGACATTTCTTTTGCCTCCTTATATAAAGGAAGCACTAAAGGAAGTTGGAAGTGAAGAGCAGGGTCATTCACTTAACAAACATTTTCTGAGTATTGTGCTAGGATATGAGGCTAGAAAACTCAACAAGATTCATTCCTGCCCTCATGTAGCTGGCAGTCATGCAAAAATACATAATTCTCTGTGCTAAGTTCTTTAACAGAGCCATGTTCACCATGCTCTGGGAGCAGAGGATGAAGCAACTAACTTCGTGTGGGGGATTCATGGAATTTCTTTTTGATTGATGCAGAGAAATAGGAGTATTTCATTGTAAGGCACATGCAACATATGGAGGTGTGTAAAGGCCCGTATTAACCTTATTTTTCCATTATTCTTTCATATACATTCAATTTCCCACTTAAATTGAATTGCTTTCATTTTTATAGTAATAATAACTGTCATTAGTGTTATCACTATACCATTTATTAGGCATCTACTGAGTGCCAGGCACTGTGCTATGCCTTCTATACACTTCTCATTAATCCTGACAATAGCTTTGTAAAAGTAAGGTTTTTTTTTTTTTTTTTTTTTTTTTTCTGTTCTATATATGAGTACATTGAGGTTTAGAAATCAAGGACTTATCCTAGGCTATGTGACTAATACGCAGTATAGCTAAGATTCAAATAATAAATTTCTTAACTTCAAAGTCTGAATCATTGATTACAAGGCATAGTATCACTTATCCCATATACACAATGTCTCAATGCCTTTGTTCATTTGCCTAGAATTGCCTTTCTCTGTATTTCCACTTGTCAAATCTCACTCGGGCTCAGTTCAGATGTTTATTTCACTGTGAAATCTTTCCTGATTTTGTATTGCTAGAGTGATGGCTCCACATCAAGGAGATCCTTGAACCTGGAAATCAAGGCAATCATTTTAGAATAACTGCAAATCATGACCTAAGAGCTCGCAGTCCTGCCTTCAGACAGACTTGGTCCATTGTGTCCCTCCCTCAGGAGATGTGAATCACCATTCTTCCTTAAACATCTCCACAAACAGAACTTCTACAGTCTCTCTAAGTAGTCCATTTCTTTTGGCGAATGAACATTTCCCTTGCTTAATCTAAATGCATTCCCTCTTGTTTGGTATTCTGCAGTGGTAGAGGTTACCTGTTCATAGATAATGCGCCATCTGAAAACCATCCCTAGGCTGAAAAACAGTAACCAAGCAACCCTTTGCTTTCTCCTTTCTGACTAACCTTTTGCAATTCTTGTGACCTTTCCTCCAAAGTCTATTTTTCATCCCTTTAATCTTTTTGTCACTGCCCTTTCTCACCTTTAGCGTCAACAGCAAGAAGACCAGGTTCTTACACATAAAAATGCCACTAGCAGGTGGCAGGCAAATTGGCATGCTTAGCACAGCCCCGTGCACCCTCCTGGGATTAATAATAAATACTATTTGATGATGAAATCTGAGTGCATTTTCTTTTCAATGAGACAGTGTCAACTGTTTTCTTCTAAAATAGAAATGAGCAGAATACAAAATTCAACAGCCTTCATTTTTCCCCACTCAGGAGGCTGTTATTACTGATCTGGTTGGCATTCCTCCTGGTTCAGCCCAGACGGGAAGAATCTTAGTGGTGCCATTGCCCATTCCCTTGATAACTAGCTATGATTTATGAAAAATTGGTGATAAGTACTTTGAATACTTTGTTTTCTTTATTTCCTGGTCTGACTGGTATATCTTGAATTTACTGAAGTAAATGATTTTAAACATAAACTAGACTCCAAGTAGAAAAATCAAAGTACAAAAATCATATACACGTATATATGTGTGTATGGTGTGTGTGTGTGTATACACTATTTTTTTTTAAGGTGGACAACTGTGCCAAGGTTAGCAGGATTTATCCTTTTGACATTTACTGAGCACTTTCTGTATTCTCAGGTTAGAGTGGCTTGGCGAGATGAGTGTGAGGAGAGAAGAGAACGTAGATATCTTCAGGGTAATCTAATCCAAATCCTTTATTTCCCAAATAAGCAATCTGAGGCTCTGAGAGGCTGAGTTACATGTACATAATTACCCAAGTGTTTATTGGTAGAATTTGGGTCAAGATTTCATGTCTCATTATGCTTACTTCAGGTCTATTTCTAGTACTACCCTGCTACCTCTGTTTTCGCTTAAAAAGCACTAAGTCAGTGCTATGGCAGAAAGAAGTATACAATGGTGGTTAAGACATTCAAGGAGTACGAACCCCAAAATATGGATTAAGTAAACTTGGCATTGATCTCTCTAGATTTGGAATGGAGGCCTGGAGTACTGCTAACTGTGCCTCCTTTTTTTTTTTCCCCCCCTTCTAGAACCTGGGACTTTGAAGAGCACATAACAAAATTATTTTTTCATTGAGATGCAAAGAGAAATATGATATTCTTTCTTTCTGTGTCAAGGAAAGTCCACATTAGTTACTGCTGAATGTCAGAAAAATGCTGAGTTAAATAATAATGCCAGATATAAACAAGCCAATAACATATACACTAAAAGTATGAGCACCTGATTAATTGCCAAATGAATAATACTATAAATGCTGTAAGACCGTAGATATGGGAGAACAACTGGATAAGGAAGAGAGCCATTTTGGCCACCTCTGCAAGAATGTATAATCTGAATATATAAAAAGGAAAGGGAAAAAGCCTTTAGGGAGATATGGGGGAGATTTTGAATCAAGAAAATGTAAAGTGCATTTGGATAATAATGAATAAATCATTTATTCTACTGGAGTTTTGATAAAGTGAGTTGTTAGAGATAATACTGAAAAGGCAAGTTTGGGTCAGACAGTGAAAAGTGCTGAAAGTCAGGCCAAGGAAAATGGAATTTATTTAAACTCCTTAGAAGAGGATTGTTTCAATATTATGCAGTGAGGCAGCACATAATAACAAATCCACACAAGCTTCCAGGGTTGACCTTAAATTTTTAAATGACTTTCACACAATCTCTAATTTATGAACCGACAGTGACATCTACCACTTGTTCTAGTTAGTTGGGCAAGAATTTTTGAAGGGTGTGCCCTTCCCCCCCCATCTCATTTCCAAGGTGTGGCAGACATTGTTTTCCAATCCTATCCCAGCAACTGACCACAAAATACTTCTTTACACTGTGCTGCCTCCATTCACTGGGAATGACATGTGGCATAAAACCAATTTGTTCATCTGACTTTAGTTGTGTAGCCAAAATATGATTTCCTGAGCAATATTAGCTGCATCTTCCTGTCTATAAAATGGGGCTGGTACTCAGATTTTACGCTCCTTATTGGTAGGAATGTGGTTATTCTAATTCACAAAATATTAAATGTAAATACCACATATAAAATAATCAATGGAGATTTTATGGGTCTATTGAAAAATCTAGGACCTATGGGCAATGTGAAAAGAGACTAAAATGTATTACTGCCATGTGATGGGGGGTAACTAACAGACATAAAAAATCAGAAATTGTTAGGAATGTATCTATTAATATAATTAGGGTACACTATTTAGAAAGACTGTAGACTGGAGAATTACTTGGTTCAGAATTATTTGATTGTATTTGGTAGTCCATATGACATTCACGATTGTTATCTGCTTTGTGGTCAAAGATAAAAAACAGTGTTGTCACTAGACATAGAGTAAAATATTTTCAAAAGGGGGATCAGTTTCTAATGATGAAAAGCAAGTTATTGGAAGAAACATAAACAATAGGACAGAGAGACAATAAAGGAAATTCCTAGCTACCATCATATTATGGAAATATGGTAAATCTTTGAATAGAACAGCTTAGAATCTTCCCTTATATACGTATCGAAAATGTAAAAAATCCTGGAAAAACATTTTAAGTGCCCATATGAGAGAGATAATGTACTAAATTTGGGCCATTTTACTAAGAGTGTGATTTAGAGTAAGTCACTTGCTGAGGACCAAGTGATTTTCTGAAGATGATATAACATGTAATACAAGAAAACTATTCAATTTACCATATAATACTGAAAAAGCTGTGAAGTGTTTGAGACTAATCTCAACCTGAACTTTCAAATTTTGTAACTTTGGAATTTCCTGTCACACAAACCAGAGTGTTTTTTTCCCTCAGTAATTCTCCACAGAACCTTTACAAGATGGCCTGCAGGAACGTCTTTTGTGTGGTGGTTTTGATTTTCTACTGCACTGTTCAAAAGACAGGTTAGCAGTTTGTCTGTATAGTATATAGTTTTTAAATGATGGCATCTAAATTATAAGAACTGACAAATATTTGAATTATTTTACCATTTATCAAATGTTTTCACATACATTTATCATAAATTTAAAAATAAAACTTTATGAGATAAACAATAAATCTATAACCTATAATGGCCATAGCCAGAACTTGAACCTAAATTCCTGGCTCCAAATTCTATGTGCTTTATAATCTATCATGCATCCAATGTATCATATATAATTTGCTGTCCAGTGCAAGAAACCTGGAAAATTTTAGTTGAGATTCTTAGCTTATTTCACTCCCTGAGAGTAAATGAAAGAGAGTCAACATCTAAGTAAAGTTCACAATATTTATACTCAGCTTTAGTGCCAGAAGGTGCCAGAAAAATAAAATATTAAAGTCCCTAAGGAATCAATGATGACAAATTAAAATCAATGACTCCTATGGACAAATCCATGTTAAATAAAAAGTATTCTTTGTGTTTTAAAATGCCTAAAACACGTTGTTTAAAAAAGTGTCACCATCACTTATGACTCCTAAGTTGGTTGGGTGACCCCAGCAACGTAGAGATTCGATCTCGCCTTTCCCGTCTGTGAAATGGAGTTAATGGTACTTGCCATCTCTGTTTGCAGAGAGGCTGTCAAGATAAGTGATCCTATGGATGCATGGCTCCTTGGAGTAGGGAAGTTGTATAAATCCAAAATATTATCATCAAGACGCTGACTGATATTTACATAGCTCTCTTCTCCAGGGCATAGCAGACTTTTATTGCTTTACAGAGCTCCAGGAAATAGAACAGTAATGCTCTCCCCAGACTGGAAGCTGACCAATAGAGTGGATAGGTGGCTGACCTCCACATGGCACAGTGAGGTGATAGCCTTATTGTCGAGTGATGTTGATTAATATTTGTCTATTCAACAATTAGTCCGGTGAGTCCAGCTTGCTGCTGCCTATCACTACCGTAATGAAAGACCTTCTGTTATAGAAAAGTTCATAGCTTCCAGAACGAAATTTAAACTAAACTTTTTTATTTTTCTTGCTGCTCTTAAATTTTCAGATAACTTTCTCCTACACTTACTTTCTGGTTTCAATAGAAACAGCAGAAAAATGCTGACTGTGGAATTCCTGGCCATCAGAACAGGAGAGGGCTTGAATGTCGCAAGAAATATTGGTTTCCTTGAGGCTTTCAGACATTTTTTTCTAACTACATAAATAGCTTAGGGGTGAAAGAAAGAGAAGGCAAGTGATGGGGATGGAGTTGACAAGAGGGTAAAAATGTTACGTTTTCAAAAGAGAGGTAGGTAGGATAAATGTGCTCTTTCTCATTAAAAAAAATAAAATAAAAGGTGTGTGTGTTAAGTAGGAAAAACAGGAATGGTGATGTAAAATAGTGGGTATCAGGAAATTAGCACGTCTGGGTCCTATTCTTAATTCTGCCACTGAATTTGATCTTGAACTAGTTATTTAATCAAACTTGGCTTTAATGTTTGACTCTAAAATTAGAAAGATATACTAGAAGATCTTTAAGCGATGTTTTGGCTCTAAAATTTGCTTTGTTTCCCAAACATCACAAAATCACCTACTGCATTGGCTGGATGTAATTAACTCTACCCTTTGTGCCATGAGAGGACTTTTGCATATGGAAAAGTTACCACGAGAAAAGGTCCCAATCTGGAAGCCCCAAATTCCTCGTTTGGCTTTTTTTTTTCTTAAGTTGTGAAGTGTTCCATGAGGCTCCAGTATCCTTTTTCAAGGCTGAATTTCTCTTGATGACAGAAGGAAGACTCTTACATGGACTTGGGAATCCAAGGGTATCTCTGTGAACCAAAGAACTTAGGAGAGAGTTTGTTTTATTCACAGCCTCCAAGAATGAGTTCCTATCTCTATCAGCTTTGTATTCCAGTAGCTTTGAATACTGGGTTTGCTAATTCATTTACATAAGTATCTCAGCATTTAACCCCAACACAAAGCTCTGGAAAAACAACAAGAAATACAGAAAGAAGAGATAAAACTGCTAATTAATATGCTGAAGTTCTAAGATAATAAGTCAACATAATTGGAAATCTGGATGCCTGAAAATTTTGGTTGATCTAGATAATTTATCTTAAATGGCCAGAAATCTTTCAATGAGTGAAAAATTTATCTGATTGGGTCGAGGCAGATACTGATTCACTGAGTTAACATTGTTATCAAATGGCTCATTATTCATTCAATGCAATTCAATTTAATAATGATAATTCAAATACACGCTGTTAGATAAACAAGGCTCTTGAATCACCCACTTTTGAACCGTACTCTATGTCTTCCTAACAGTATGCAGTTCATGACTAACCTACTAAATATTCTTAGGCAAATATCTGAGGTCCTTTTCCTGCCAGAAATAGTTGAAATTCTATTTTTCCACCTTAAATGAGCAGTTAATACTGCCACTGTGATGTAATAAAATCCATTAAATTTACATGTGCTTTTTATTTTACAAATTAGTTCAAGAGCAGCCCTGATTCTTCAGAGGGATAAATTGAGCACCAAGAAATTCAAGCTTTCTCTTCTCTCTAGTTGAGATCTTTTCCTTTCGATTGTGTCTTGAGATTTTGGTGCTATTTCATAGTGCACTTTCCATAGGACATTTCTCTTGTGATCTTCCTGGTAGTGGCTACAAAGAAATACCAACTAAATATCAATATTATACCCAAAAGTTTTAATTTACTTTTTCAGACTACTTTACCTTGGATAGGAATAGTTATTGCTTTCTTAGTGAATTCAATTGCAGCCTCCAGTTTATATACACTTCATAGTTTGAACCTAGGTAGTGTGACCACAAAAAGTGGAAAATCTCAGCTCTGATTTAAACTAAAGGTTATGTGTAGGTATTATTTTCATTCTACAAATGAACAGTTATTTTAATTTGCTAGATGACTATGGAATTATCCCTCTGTGGCTAGCCAGCTCAGGATCAAAGCTTAGAATATTAGTCAAATGGAATTGAACAATTCTCTGGTCCAGCTTCACATTTTGAAGTATGGAGACTTTACTTATAGAAGCTGTAGGTGTCCCCCATCCATTTTTATCTGTTAATCCAATGTATTGACCACTGAGCATTCTCACAAATATCACCCAGGTGATGTCACATGTTTCAAGAACCTCTTTGGCCAAAGGCTCTCCAGCTCCCTGGGTTGGACTACAAGGAGGCTCAAATTCTTTTTTTTTTTTTTTTTTTTTTTTGAGAAGGAGTCTCACTCTTGTCACCCAGGCTGGAGTGCAGTGGCACAATCTCGGCTTGCTGCAACCTCTGCCTCCCAAGTTCAAGTGATAATCCTGCCTCAGCCTCTCCAGTAACTGGGATTTCAGGCATGTGCCACCATGCCCAGGTAATTTTTATATTTTTAGTAGAGATGGGGTTTCTCCATGTTGGCCAGGCTGGTCTTGTACTCCTGACCTCAAGTAATCTGCCTGCCTTGGTCTCCCAAAGTGTTGGGATTACAGGTGTGAGTCAAGGCGCCTGTCCGGGAGGCTCAGATTCTTACATGTGGGACACGTGCTCTTTGTCCTAGGATAGTGTCTGGTACAATCAAAATGGTAAAAAAAATTCTTCTTAAATGGTTACATTCAAAGCATTTATATCAGACTAAAGGTAGTAGAGAGGTGGTAGTCACTTAGAATAGACAAGACCAGATGCCAACAGGGTGATGCCAGAGTGACTCTGCTGCATAGAGGGCCTAGTTTACCTCAATTCAGTAGGATCATGTGGACCCACAGGAAGCAGAGGACACTGCAGAGCTTTCTCCTTACATGTCAAAAAGAAAACTTTATGGCTCGTATAATTTTTATTTTGAGGAAACGCTATATGATATATTTAGTCAATGTTGGTTATTAGGGCCTTACTATGTGCCAGTCACTGTACTAATATCCAAGGCAAACAAGACTCCCAAAATCTTTCCTGATAAAAAATTTATTGGGTGGTTATAAACTAAGCAATTATAATGAAATATGACAAGTACATGGACAGGAGAAGAACAGGAAGCAATAGGAGTACATAGGAGGAATGTCAGTCCCAGAATATGGAGGGTCAAGGAAGCCTTTTCAGAAAAAATGGAAAGAGGCATTCAATTTGGATTAGACCTAGGTTTGAAACCCTGTCTAGTCATTTCATAGTTGTAAGACCAAAGTTGTTTAATCCATCAAAGCTTCAGTTTTCCCATCTATAAAGCAGAGAAAATTAAAATTAACCATTCATATTTATTTCAATGATCATGTGAATTGAAGCACTTAAAATACCAAGCATGGTGATTGACACAAAACAGATGCTCCAGAAAATATTCATCCTTTCCCCTTTTCCTCATCCCTGTTGTAATACTAACATGCAGTAGTGGCCAGGCTGGCATATAGTACACATTCAACAAATGTTTCTTGAATTGATTTGAATTTCAGCAAAACCACATAACAGTCACCTTGTGCCAACTTTTCTGGAATACTTGTATTTGTAACATCATGTAGAGTCTATACTCATGAGGTCATTTCTTACAGTGATAACATCCAGATAATACTTCTCATCAATCAAAATATATTCAACTCTTATGAAAATGCAGAATATTATAGAGTTTTAGATAATGTCTAGCATGTGTAAATAATTTATGGGTCCTCAGTTTTTCAGAATGGTTGTCCATATTTTGGTAAAATTTACTTCTCTTGGGCATGTGTTCAGGATCTGGAAATACTGAATAGAGGAGTGGGAGAGTTTACGGACTAAAGACAGTCCTTAATTTTGGCTTCATAGAAATTGCGTCATAAAGTGAAATAAGAGTAGAAAATTCAGCAGAGATGCTAACAGGAGTACCCTGAAAGTGATTACAATATTTGTATCTCTTTGTTCCAGAAATATGCATAGATTTGGAATGCATACAACTAATATGGTAGCAAAGCAGGCAAAAGTCCCAGCCATGCCATCACTGTGGAGACTTGGCATAAGAGTTTTAGGCTTCTACGCACAAACCTACAAAACTCTATCCCTCTTGACTTTCACACACCAACAATAACAGAAACACAAGGGAGCAGTATTTCTGCAATCAGGAGCTCCATGAGAGCTGCATTCACTGCTTCCTGGGAGAGACCTCGGGCCCTTTGCGGGATTGGACCATAGCATCTTCTGAACCGCAGTTCGAAAAACACTTAACAATTCCCATTACTTTATGAGAAAAAAGAAAAATCCTGGGGGCATCTGAACTTATTTGGCTCAAAATGTGAAGTGTACCAGTGCCCTATAATTTTTTCTTTTTTTTGTGGCCATGGGGCTCTTTCGAATAGAATGTTTCATTCATTTCCAAAGGGAAGAAGAACTAGAAATCATGCAGACAGTCCTTGAAGACCAGCATTAGGATAAATGTAACAAGGAGCTATGCAAAAACTGGAGAGGAGAACAGCAGGGTCTGAAATCCAGCTTGGAACCCTTTTCTGAAGGGCTGTGAAAATGTTAATGGGGGAATGAGGGCAAGGAGTCCTCAGAGAGTGTATTCCTTCCTCTCTTTAGGACACGTCAACTCCTTGGTCCAGGAATGTTGTCCTGAATTGGCTTTGTTTCTCTTCCTGTTACACAGACACTCTTACGATGTCTGGTTGTATATTTATAACACTTAGAGTTGTATAAAGTACCTTATTTCATTTAAAAAGAGATAGATACCTTTTTCTCCCATTCCACAGAAGGAGAAATAGATATCAGGGAATTTTTAGAACAGTGGTAGAATTGGGGCTAGGGACCATTATGCAGCCACTTCTGTCCTGGCTCTCACTGAAGTTCAATGTGGGGCCGATTACTCTGTTATTGACTAATGACATGAGGTTGTATCATCAACAGATGCACATAATGAGATTTCTCTTCTGTCTTCCCTCCTGGGTCACAGCAAAGCCATTTGTGCATGCTAGAATCAAGTTCCTCCAACTATAAAATAGAGGGAGCAGGCAAAGAACTAGGGAGAGTTATATTCTACCTTTCTTTCTACAGATGATTCCATGACTACATACATACATGAGATAATAATTACCAGGTAAGCAATTTGAGCTTTGACTGAAAAAAAAATAGATGTCATATAAATCTGAGGCATTATCACTATTTTTATTGCTTGGATTAATTGGGTCTCAACACACTATAACAATAAAGATGTTATCGAGGTATATTTTAATTATCTGTTTTGAGGCAAAAATATGGCAGGTGTGTAGAAGTCTAATTTGATGCCAGGGTGTCACAATTCTGCAACTCCTCAGCGTATGTGGAACCATTCTAATCATTGAACTGCCTGAATTTTGTCTAATTCCCTGCAACCTCTGTTTTTGTTTCAGCTCCTATAATTATAAGAAATACATTCTTATTAAACATCTTGGCATATGTTATTGGGATATTGCAATTTTTAAAAATCTCTCTTTTGCAATTCACTATTTTCAAACTGTCAATCTCTGGTTCAGGTCTCATCATGAAGTAACACTCTGCTTCCTGCGGGCTGCCAGGCACATTCTCCTGTGGCACATTCTACCTATGGCTGTAGCTGGACATAATATTCACACCCTTGCCTCAGTAAGGAGAGGGGCCGAAGAGGATTTGCCTGGGTTTGAATACCAGCTCCAATACTTATTATATGCAGGATGGTCATATCCCTGATTTTCTCCAGGCAATCCAGGCTTTTTCTATTTGGTTAGCATAATTACCGATAGCTCAGCTTTTACTCTCAAAGGGTCCTAGCCACCCTTATATATGCGGCACCCCAGGCAGATCACACCCTCTTTAATCCTTACCCTTTTCATCTGAAAAAGTTTTGAAAAATTTAAACTCCTAGCATATAGCAAGTATTCAAGAAATATTAACTAATGTGATTATATTCTACTATGTTATATCTATGGGCCTTTGGAGGGTGATGAACTTATCTCTTCGTTTTTCAGTGGCAGTACTGAAGAATGGCTGCTTGATTCCATTCTTTGTAAGACCCCCATCTGACTATCTCTCCATCTCTGGTCTGGGTTGGCAAGACATTTGGAGTTTTTCTATTTGATAACTGCCATTCCTGGTAGAGAAGAACTCTCTTACCTAGCTGGACATTTGGGCACTGTTGGCATTGTTTTTCTAGACTGGGCCTGACTCTGGTCTTCTTCAATGCGTATTAGATAGATTTCTCTGGATACCTGTGTTCTGCCTCTACTCGAAAGTCTTGAGATCTTACCCTGGCATGCCCACTTCCCTTCTCAATAATTGTAAGGTATAAGGTGAGTGGAGGTGAACATATGGTACAGCCAAACAGCCTATGAGGAGAGGAGGGAAACTGTGAAACTGTGGGTTAAAGGTGAAGACCCAGGGGGCCAGCCAACACTAAGTCTCTTTAAAGAAAGTTGAAATCAAATGCTGGTTACAGACACCAGGTACAAAGGGCAAAGGCAGAATCAAGGTTAACATATAGAATTGGGAGCTTACCATTTGACAGATGCAAGTTCAGAGGAAGAGCGGACAGCGTACAAATGATTCTGGGTGATTTTTGTAGACAATTGAGAGATGTGCTGTACTTGCCTAACTGGCTGATTTGAGTGGTGTGTGGGAGTCTCATGGACTTAAAGGACAGGGGTGAGAGTGAATGCTCTTCTACTCTCTGAGCTGGGATGCTTTCCTGGATATGAATGCCTTCTCAGAACTGGAATGGAGTTGCTACTGTCTCAATTAATGTGTTCTTGATTGACAATTCTTGACTCCTCTTTGGCCCATCGCTTGTCCTGAAATCTCACTAAACTTTTCCCCAGAACTCAGTCTGCCTTTGTCTCCCAAATGTTGTGCCTTTCTGTGGCTTAAGCCTGTCCTGGGAAGTAAAGTAGTCACAAACAGCAGATTGGAGTCCCCCACCCAGGAAAGCTAATAAGAAGCCCATGCCCAGCGCCAGAACAAAATGTAAAGTCCTGCACTGCAATCCAGATTCTAAGAATGAACTAGAGACATGGTAGTTCTGGATCTAGCCAACATTAAACATTGCTACCTGTAGCAACTGTATTTTTAAATGTGCTGTATTCTCGATGCTCTGACACATGGGGTCTTACTGACTTAGGAGGGTCTCCTCCCCTACCCCACTAGGTTAGCTGTTTCTTAGAGATAGTAAACCTACAAGCATACCTTCGATATACAAAGAAAACATAACCTATCTGCCTCCGTCCACTCTAGGACACTATCACCCTGTCCTAATCACCTCAAGGCCAGGTACTAGACAACTAGGGACCACCCCTAGAGCCAGAGCCTACCAAAATTATTCAAACTGTCCAATCTCAAGGCTGCTTACCCTGCCTCACCTGTTTCTTCCCATGAGAAACCCAGTAAAGGTTCCCATTCACAGCTCCTCTCTCTCTCTCTTTCTGCTTGCTCATCTCACCTTGGTGCTTCCCCATGTGGCTCTGCATGGTATGCTATGCCTCTTGTCTCTAGGGGACTGTGAGTAATATAAAAACTTCTTCCTTTATGACAACCATTTCTGTGTCTGTACCTGATTGAAACAAATCCCGGGTACCATTAAAACACAGCCTTTCCATTCATGCTTTGATATTGTCATGCATGACTATTTTGGAAAGCCACTTTTCTCTGGATGCATAGTTAGTTCTCCTCAGCTTGCATCATATTCTATGGGAGATGGAATGGTAAAATGTGATCCTGGAATGTGCTTAAGAGATGGCATCCAGAAAAAGTGGCATACCCCTACCACCAGGATGTACTGGTTTGGCCATCAGTGTGTTAGGATAGGGATTGATATGTTGTGACGTTTTATTGACCAATTGGATGAATGGTCCACTTAAAGATTTATTAAGGGCACAATCAAGAGACTAGTAAATTCATTTAGTTATGAGACATATAATCAAACTTGCCATTTAACTAGGCTTAGGATATATAGGAGAGTGATGATCTATAGCTACTTTTGATCTCCAAACTTTTTTCTGCAAAGTGCCAGATAATAAACTTGGCTTTATGTTTATGAACCAGGCCACAGATGTCTATAACAACTACTCAACTCTGCCATTGTGGTGTGAAAGTAGCCATAGATAATACATAACTTATGGGAGTGTGTCAATAAAACTTTATTTGCAAAACAGGTATCAGGTTGGATTGGCTCACGGGCCATAGTTTGCAAATCCTGGTCTATAGAAAGAAAATCTCCATATTTGTATATTGACATCTAGGCAATCATTGTATACTAAGCTAGCGTATTCAAAACTAAGTTCTTGGATTGATTGGGTCTTAAAAGAAAAAGCAAATTCTTACTTAAGTAATTAACCATCTTTATTACTATAGTAGTTTCCCATTTCTTTTATTTTTCTCTCTCAATGTATCAGTCATTTGAAAGATTTTATTATCTAACAGAAAACTAACACTTATTGATTTAGTCAGCAAACACTTATTGACCTACTCTGTGAAAGGTACTATGTTAGGGGCTAGAAATAGAAAAGTAAATCAAGGAAAACTGTATGCACAATAAGCTTATAGTTTGTAGATAAGATATGTAAATAGAGAAATGTAATTTTTCATGATGTCTTGTAGTAGAGGTGAATCCTTTAACAGCTGAACACACGGCCCTGCCAGCTCTATTTTTTAGTATGAAACTCTTTCCTGTTTTCTCCCCTTAGTAGTTTCATGAGTTTATTAGCATGTTCAAAATGTTACAATACCATAGATTATCCATAATAAACACTTGGGTAATTTGACTGGCTTTGATGATTCCATTTCTTGGATCTTCTAAATATTTTGGGAAAGAGTGTACGTTTTTGGAAAAAAGGCATACGTTTTTGGGAAAAGGGCAGAAATTGAAATACTCTTTAGGCGTGTTTGCTACATCATTCTTTCTATTCTTTTGTATTTAGCCTACTGCGAGAGAGAAATAGAGAGAGAGCACCTGAGAACCAGCAATATAGTGACTGACAAATTTTATTTTCAAAATATTGCCATTATAAAAAAATGACCCTATGCTTACACCATTATTGCATAAAACAAAAACCACTTTAGTACCAACTTATTAGGAAAGATATAAGCTATCTGGTATAATATAATGTATCTGAAAAAAAATATGAAAAAAATATATTTTCTTTTTCTCCTGCAGTGTAAACTGGTGAAAGTTTCATCACAGATTGATTTCAATCTAGTCATACCAGAATTGGAATCTCCTAGGCTAGATTTCAAACACGGATGCAACCCGCATAATCTCTATCAGCAAGCAATGTCTGACAGGCGACTCTGCAACCATTCCTTGCATTAGTTTAGAAGGGGCACCTTTATTATTCTTTCTTGAGTGTCCATGCCTTGTTGACAATAGACATGGTTGGAAGTGGGTAAATGCAATCGGGAAGATATGTCCTTTTAGATGTCCCCATCAGTGTGCAGCTTCTTCTATTTTAATGACAAGATCTGATAAGAATTGCCAAATTCTCTACCAAATGATAAGAATTGCCAAATGATATCATTGCCAAATGATAATAATTGCCAAATCTGATCTTGTCAATCCCTTAACTTAAATTCCATTGCCTTTGCTGCTATTACAGGGTAGCTTTTGAAAGTAGGTCCTCATAATTGAATGTGAGCCTTATTTAGGTGTCGACTGCTATGGTGAAAACTTACGCTGCTGCGGACAACATGGTTTCTTCAAGGGAGGTAGATATGAGTCCATCTTCTTGGCTAAGGGTAGTTTTTAGCTTATATTCTCATACTAAGCCATTGTTCTCAAAGTACAGTTCTCCAATGTCAAGGTGGCTGAATTAGAAGGAGCTTTGAGCAGCAGCCACATGTGTCAGAACCAACTCTCCCTTTCACAACTGGCTACGCTGTAATGTTGAGCCTGGAACCCCTGACAGATCCTCCTCCCATCATGATGGATTCAATTTAGGCACCACTGATCTCTAATTCCAATGTGTCTTGGTCAGAGCAATCTCAGTCCATGAGAAGAGGTCTAATAATATCAGACTTCAAAATGGAAGTGGCCAGGTTCCCTAGCTTTTTCCTTCCACTTGGCTCCCGAATCCCTACATGAAACATAACCACATTCTCCCTAGACAGGGATCTGTACCTCCACTGGCAGTTGTTTCTGAAGACACAAATGGTTCCCTTTAAATCCTTCAGCACAATAGTGGTAGCCAAATTAACTTACATTTACATAATGATGACAGGAAATTCATACATGTCATGGAACAATAAGATTTGCTTTAAGATGAGTTTCTACCTTTATCTCCTGTTTAGAGGAACCTCAGGCAGCCTTTAAGTGACAACTCTCTCTATAGTCCATTTATGGGCCCCTTATTAAACTGATGTATTTTTCAACTAAAAGGTAAGCCAGTTATTTAAATTTCTCATTCAATGATACAATTTTTAATGAGTGAGTATAATTGTCATTTCATATAAGTATAGCTTAATATTCTTACATGTGGCTATGGCTGCATTAAAATTATTACCTACAAGCTGAAACAGTGGTTGATAACTATGCTTGAATATAATTTACTGAAAGTGCCTTGAGATCTTCAGTTTGACAGGATAACAGAAATCCAAATGATTATTTCTTTTATTGTTTTAAAAAATGCCTACACATTCCCTTTGTTTTTATTTAATTGACAAGGTAAAGAGCAATGTTTCTGTGGTCAGTGGACACTTCTCTGTGGAATTTGAACAAATATTTAGGTTGTAGCAGTTTTGCTCTTTCCACTGCAAATTCCATTAACTCTCAAGGCAACGATCTTTCTCAATTCCTTTCTATCGTCATAGGACATTATAACAAGAAAGAAAAAGTGGAAAGATGTAATAACAATTGAATATATGGTTCACAAAACTAAAACCTGCCTACTTCATAGGATGAGAGAAAGGGAAATAAATAAAATCTCACCAAAAGTTAAAACAGTAATCAGGGAGCAGCTGTTCAGAAGGAAGAGATAAAAGCAAATGGCAGAAAGGCCAAGGGAAGCTGAGACCTGGAGCAGAGAGGCTCTGAAGGCTTTGAGTGATTGGCTCAAAGAGAGTGAAACATTAAAGGACGCTTTGAAAACACCTCAAACACAGAAGAAGAAAGGCTAGTTATGCAGGGATTACTTTATCTTGAGGAAGGACATGTTTTATTTCTGTACGTATAAACAGAAATAAAAAGTTATATCACTTTGCTTGTTTCTTTTTCTTGTTAGAAACAGTGCTATTTTGTAAAGATGGTCTCTTGGCTTGACTTGAATAGATCAGATGGTTTGACCCTCATTTAGTTGAAAGAAATTCTTGGAGCATAAAGCAAGAAAGATGATATTCAGGGTGCTTGGGAAAGAATGGCAGCTAATCCGTTGTTTCATATACTGCAGGGAAAAATAATGCAGGTAAATGAAGGGAATAATATATGTAACCTGAATTTGAGGTAGAAAAATGGGTGAATTGGGAAGAGAAGAGTAATGGGATGCTCCCTCCCTCTTGCAACTTAATTTTTTTAAAAGATCTTTTGCGTGCTTCTATACAGCTCAGTGCTATGTTTTTAATATATTTCCTGAATAGAATAGCCCCCATACTTCCTGCTCTTAGCTGCATTGCAGGAAGAATTAAGCATTAGGCCTTTAAACACACCTTTCTTGATTACTATTCTTCAAACAAAAGTCTTTAGAAAACTAAGAGGGAGAGAGAGTGTGTGTGTGTATGTATAAATTTTCTTTACTCTAGCCTAAAAGCTCCAGCCAACCACTTTTCTTAACTATGGGTCTGTTTTTTCCCAAATGGTCAACTGGTACTGATATGTCTTTTTTTTTTTTGTAACCTCAACAGTACTTACAGAAAGCCAACTCATAAATTAATATAGTAATTACTAGACCACCACTACCGCTACTACCATGACTATCACTACTTTTAACCGCCATCACTACTACTACTTCTTACTACGATGACAACCTTACAACTAGCTAACATTTCTTGAGTACTTACTATGTGTCAAGCATTATATTCAACTCTTTCTATGCAATATCAAATTTAAACCTTACAATAACTCACTAGGATTGATGCCCACATTCACATGGCAAGAAACTCTCTGAGCTGGGACTTAAACTTTGATATGATCATCCATTATATTATGCTACCCTGTAATTTGATGCCTCTTCCAACTTTGGTATTTGGTCTCTCTGTTGGCACTATCTGCTTTTGGTTCTCCTACACCATCACTCTCTTACTGTTCCCTCCCTCTGCCACAGATTGCCCTCCCTGAGAGGTGCCCTCCACCAAGTGCTGGAGTCTTGGGTGTGGGGGCTTTTATGTAGCTGATGGTATCTGCCTCTGTGGCTGAAAGATAAGTGTTTCGGGCCATCTGTGCAAGACTGTTAGTCCCACTGAAGAACTTGCTGGTTCTCTCTCATTATGGCATGCTGCTAAAGATCACCGTTGATCTTTTGGGGCTCTGTGACTCTGTTGGGTGCACCAGCTGAGCTGGGCTACGTGTGTCTGTAAACCCCTTCCACTCTAGCTAGGCCATCAGTTCATAGAAGACCTGCCTGCCACCTTCTTTGCCAAAATAAAAGTCTCTTCCTGCTGTAGCTGCTTCCTGGTAGAAGAGAGCAGTCTCTTCCCATCTTCTTTACCCCAACTCTACCTCAGTAAGATGCTCTGACCTTCTATCCTATTTTTGGTAAAGTGGTGATTGGAGGATAGAGGAGTGAGAAATGGAGTGTTGCACTTCAGACATACTTGAAGGAATTGGACGTGCCACTGCTACTCTGACACTCCAACCTCACATGGGTGGTTGTCAATATCATTGATTAGTGATTTCCTGCCTCCTTCTTCAAAGGTACTGCCCATTCTCTGTAGGCACTATGTATACGGTAACTAATTCTACAGCACCAGCCACTGGTGTTCGTTATCATTGAATCCAGCATTGATTCATCACTTGTTGGATAGAGGACAAAGTTACCCATCTGAATCTTCCTATGGAGTTCTGTTTTCCAAGTACTCGCACAAGTTAAAAGTTCTAATATTTTCTCAGGCCATGTGCTTTTTCTGAGGGTAAAGAATGACACTAAAGTTTTTGGTTTCAAACATGTGAAACCCAAGCTCATAGCAGTTGCAGGGAGAACTGGATAGGTGTGAATCAAACGGATTCCCTCTTCCTGCTGGGGCCATACCTAGACTACTTTGTTGGCCTCCCTTGCAGTTGAGTTCCAGTTAATGCAACTGCAGACAGAAGTGATGTGTGTGCCACTTCCAGGTCCACCCACAAAATCCCCAGTGCTATCTTCCATGTGTTCTCTTCCCTCATCTTCCAGTCAGATGTAGACACCGGGGAAGGTTCTGAGAACAATTAGGATAGCAGTGCCATTAAATAAGAGGAGGCTGGGTCTCTAAGTGAACTCTCTCACCTCCATCAATCTGCATTGCACTGCAACAGTAGAAAGAAGCAAATCTTTATTGTGTTAAATTACTAAGAGTGGGGTTCTTTGTTACAGTAGCTGGTATTTTTAAAATGTAAACTAACATGTTATTGTACTAGGTCTTTGTTTCATCCCCACACATTTTAATACAAGCTTTGGATTTTTACCTGGATGGAAATAATAAAATAAAGGAAGGAAAGAGAAGATATGAAAAGGAGAGAAAAAGAATAAAAGGGAGGAAAAAAAGAACAGAATAAAGGAAGGAGTGAAAGGAGGAGGACTGATATTTAGATAAGTCACTTTGATATGAAAAAACAATTACTTAGTTGTTCCAGTCTCAACTGTAGATACATGTTCCAGATCCTGTACATGTTCTGTCGTGTGGCTCACAGAGATATCAACCATGTGACAGACAAACACTTTCTGTTTACTGGAGACCAGCATTGTGGACACCATTCCAAGAATATGCTTTTCTGGCTTTTGAGCCCTTATTCCTTCTGGGCGCTTTCACTCCTTTCTTCATTTTTCTGGAAAAATATTTTCTCCCTCTCTTTTTTGCTTTACACTAATTCTATCTTTCCTTTAATGCCCAAGTCAAATCCTATCTACTTTATGATGTCTTTCTAGATGATTGAAATACATTTTGATCTTTTCCTTCTTCATAATCTCACAATACATTCTGCCCATCCTAGTTATTTTGCCAATTAGTCATATATTGCTTGATATTCTCATTATTTCTATGCATATAGTTTATGTATCTAGATTGTCAGCTTCTTGGGGATGGAGAGGGTGCATTGTTTTTATTCATAGAATTCTCTGGCATTAGATAGGTGCTGGATACCCAGTCGTTTTCCATTATTATTATTATTTTAGATTTTTACTTTAAGTTCTGGGATACATGTGCAGAATGTGCAAGTTTGTTGCATAGGTATACAGGTGCCATCGTGGTTTGCTGTACCTATCAACCTGTCATCTAGGTGTTAAGCCCCAGAGGTCACAGTTTCTATCTATCACAATTACATAAAACTTTAACAAATTTACAAGTTGATGAAAATTAAGTAGAAGGCAATATTTTATAATAGAGAAAGAACTCATTAGGAAATTCATGAATCGTGGTTCTAAAGACAAGATTTGTTATTTTAAGAAAGATGTAATATTGGGATTACAACTTTTATTGTGTTAAAATATTAACAACTCCATAGACCTATGGACTTTATAGTTCATTACAGACATTAATAATGCCAAGGAAGGCAATCAACTTTAGTTCAAATAAGCAAATGATTAGAGACAAACAATAGAAACGGAAACAGAACTCTCATCGATCTGTTCACTCCTCTGGGCATTGCTCTATTATCTATAACATACATGCATTCTTACAGTGCCATTTATGGACACTGCTTCTATTCAGCACTGAACAACATTATACTCGAAGATATATCATTGTGGATTGATATAGAGCAGGATTTCTGAAAATCCTACAAAATTATAGTAATAGTAACAAATCAAAACTTCCCAGCTCTCTTTTGCACTTTGCTTTATCAGCCCTGCTATGGCAGCCGTTTTAAGTTTGTAGACCAATGGAGTTAGAAGAAAAGCAAGACCACAAAACAGAGATGCAACTGCAGCTAGAGAGTATCTGGTGAAAAGGAGCGAAAACAGGAGGTTGAAGCTTGGCAGCCTAGCCAAGTAGGTCCATGGTAGTGACAGGATTTCAGAAACCTCTGACAATTCTAAGACCTCTTTTACTTAAAAGCAGAAAACAATGCCTGGCCAAAAGTGCTGTTTCAATTTAAACGTGTGAGTGGGAGGCATTAGGTCCGCATCATATTAATTCGGGAAGTGTGATGTAAAGAAGAACTGAAAGAGTCCTGTTTTCTCTTCTTACGCCCCTGAGTTCGTTAATCTATTTTTAGCTTTTGTCCTTTCAGCTCAGCCAGGAGCTGCCCTGAGACTCAGCCTATGGCAATGTGCCGGGCTCTGAACTGAGCTGTAAAGAATGAAGGTGAAGCTTTGAGATGCTAGATTCATGGCTGGGGTTTTTACACACACATAAAATATGAATCTCAGTTGTATACAAAGCTGAACCCATCGTGCCAAAAGGATCCCAGTCAAGCAGGCCTGTAAAATGAAATCCTCTTGGACTAATTTAAGGAGACCTGAGTGATATAAATTGTGGCCTGCTCAAATGCAGGAAATAAAAAAAAATTCCAAGTTGAATACAAGCATCTCTCTTGGCGCCATTGGCAGCCTTGGTGTGTGAGCAATGGGAACAAAAAACAGACTGAGAAGTTAGCTCCCGATTCGTTTTCCTAATAACTCAGCAGCTCCCTGTTTATACTGGTCTTGTGGGCCTAATGAAACCCTCTTCAGTAAGAATTTAATACAGAGATAAACTTTTCAATAAATAAATGGCTCTGAGTTGGCTGAACTCTGATGCCTTTCAGTCTGATATAGCCGCTCCTCTGGAATTGGTATGCATAGAAAGAAAATGCTCGTAAAAACCATTCCCGATAAAAGAATTAATTCACACAGAACACTGAGCCGGAACCTCTGCCTATCAGACACTAAGATTTCTCTATTTCATTCGATTTTTCACTAACCATCTTATAGGTCTTTTGTTACCTTACTGGGTACGAGCCTCAAGGTCCCTCTGACCTTCTTAAGCAAGCACTTATGTGACTATTAGAGCTATTAAATACAGTTGCATGTAAAAAGATTTCAATACCTGGTTAGGAGATTCCAGGTACCAGAAGAGGGTGCAGTACAAATAATATGTGAACCTTGAGGATGAGTTTTATTTGAAGCAACAGCCAAACACTTGCTATAGGAAATTAACTTATTAGGATTTGAAGAGGAAGTGCATCATCTTCACTATGCCATGAGAGATCATCTGCTGTTTTCTGCAGAATATGGAAAAGAATTTCTATGATTGCCATTTAGGTAAGTTTCTAGGGAAAGATACTTCCATGAAATCATCGATTTATTAATTTAGAAAACAGTTTTCCATTTAGAATATTCAGCAAGTATTTTTTGAGCATTAGCCTGTGTTCTGGGTATTGATAATATTCCAGGCCATGATCCTTCATCTCGTAAGTCAATCAACATAGAGAAAAGATGACATTGTCGTGAATACTTAATCAAAAACCAGGTTTTCGTTTGCTGTGGTACATTAGAGAATAAGTCAAATATGCATTTTTTTGGTTTCAAAATATAACAAAAATTTATGACTTTATACAAATTGCTGTGACCTATTTCTTGAAACATTGGATAAATTACTTGCTTCCAACCTCACATGATTATAAAAAAGTGAAAATGATTAGTTTGTAATTAATTATAATAGGTGATTCATAGGTATTAAAAGTATAAGAGAAAGTAGACATTGTTTCAGGAAGCCATTTTATGAAACATTAAGAACTATATTTTATATAAGATAAATATTATTGGACACAATATATAAACACATGCTTATTTTGTGTCTAAGAATACAATTTACCAAAAGAAAATGTGAATCTCCAATGTATAGTCACAATATTAAGTAATAACTGAAAGATAGCTTAATACATCAAATAAGAATTTTCAGAAAATATTTACTACTGAGATGTGTGCTATGTAAATTTAAAGAGTATTCTGAAATGATCATCTAACATAAAGAGGATACTTTTTCAATTTTAGGGTCTTTCTCAAATGTTAAAAGTTCTGATTCTCCTCTAGGGAGAGTTTCAAGAGAACATTTTATTTCCTAATAAACAATCAAAACTTTAGTAGTTACTAATATTGTAAGGTCATTCTCATGGGATCTTTTATCAAAAATGGTTGACCTGGATTCTGTTTGAGGTTTAGGTGTGTCAGTCCTGTCAAGCTGCTATGGCTTCAGGGCAAAGTCAGCCTTAGTCTGTGGCAGAATAGGTGCCTGCTTAGTGGTGTGATCAAAGGCATACAGAAGTCTTACAACCCAGAGCTCTCTCCATCAAACAAGTAATACCACAAAGTTTGAAATCCTGGTGTTAATGATTTATTTTTATGCTTCAGCCAGGGATGACAACAGATTTTATTCCACTTTCTAATGTTGGTAGTGACTGCATCTTTAAGATTGTTTGCCTAAAAGATTGTTAGAAAAGACTAATAATATTGTTTAACAATATCTGTCATAAGTAAGGGCTAGGTTACATTTGACAACCTTATGGGTTATTAATTTTATCATATAAAGCATAAATACTCTTTGGAAAGGTGCTGTACCCATCATTTGGTCCATGAGATCCTGTTTATTTATTTAAGTCTGTATATACATATATACATATGAATACATAATTTGTATACATACATATGTAATTATAAATATTTTGGACATATAAACATACAACTAATATAGTATATGAAATTTCTAGATGGTCCACATCCTGGCTTGGTATGAACTTGGTAGTCTCATCTTGTAAGATTATAGTCATTCTAGTGGGTAAGTAGTGGAATCCTATTATGTTTTTAATTTGTGTTTCTCTGATGATTAACAAGGGTTAGAACCTTTTCACATACTTCTTTGCCCTTTGATATGCTTCTTTTATGAAGAATCTGTTTAAGTCTGTTGCATCTGACAAAGGCCTAGTATAAGGAACTTGAACAAATTTACAGGAATGAAAACATTAAAAAGTGGGCAAAGGACATGAATAGATACTTTTCAAAAGAAGACATACCTGTGGTCAACAAGTATATGAAGAAAAGCTCAACATTCCTGATCATTAGAGAAATGCAAATCAAAACCACAATGAGATATCAGCTCACAAAACTTAGAATGGCTATTACTAAAAAGTAAAAAAATAACAGATGCTGGTGAGGTTGCAAAGAAAAGGGAACATATACACAATTGGTGGGAGTGTAAATTAGTGCAGCCATTATGGAAAGCAGTGTGATGATTCCTCAAAGAGCTGAAAGCAGAAATATCGTTTGACCCAGCAACACCATTATTGGATACATACCCAAGGGAATATAAATCATTCTACTGTAAAGAAACATACCCGCAAATGTTCATTGCAGCACTGTTCACAGTGGCAAAGACAGGGAATCAACCTAATAACCCATCAATGGTAGAATGGATAAAGAAAACGGGGTACATATACACCATGGAATACTATACAGCTATAAAAAAGAATCAGATCATGTCCTTTGCAGGAACATGGATGGAGCTGGAGGTCATTATCCTTAACAAACTAATGCAGGAATAGAAAACCAAATACCACATGTTCTCACTTATAAGTGGGAGAGAAGTGATGAAAACTCGTAGACACATAGAGGGGGCTAACACACACTGGCACCTTTGAGAAGGTGGAGGGTGGGAGGAGGGAGAGGATCAGGAAAAATAACTAATGGGTACCAGGCTTAGTACTTGGGTGATGAAATAATCTACAACAAACCCTGTGACATGAGTTTACCTATGTAACAAACCTGCACGTTCCCTGAACCTAAAAGTTAAAAATATTTTTTCTTTTCTATTTTTTTGTTTCTATGATATAGAAATAAAATTAATATTTGTATATTGACCCTATAGAGGGAGAATGTGCCAAATTGACTTATTAATTATAGATATTTTTCTGTAGATTCTAAGACCATGATAAACAGAAGCCCTGGGCATTCTCTTAAAATGCTTTCAATATTTTATCATCAAGTAGATATTTGCTATCAGCTTTTTGTGCATACATATTATCAGATTATGAAAGTTTCCTGCCATTTCAAGATTGCCCCAAAGTTTTAAAAAACTTATGTATGGATATTGTATATTATTAAATGTATATTCTCCAACAGCTAAGAAAATCATATAATTCTTTATTCTGATGAAATGGTGAATTATACTGATTTTTTCCAAAATTTAGTCAATTTTATAGTCATAGAATAAATGAAGCTTGGTCAAGATGCATTTTTCTTTTGTATGTTTTGGGATTTATTGTTATTTTTATATAGGATATTTAATGTCTATTTTCATAAGAAATATTGAGCTACCTTGTAATTGAAATTTTCCTTTCCTACGAGGTTTTTGTCTAGTCTTCGTATCAATAAACCATAGAATAAATTGAGAAGTATTTCATTTTTTCTTTTCTTCTGAACCTATTGTTTGAAACATATAATCAAATTAGCATTGTTTCTCTTTAATGCTTGGAAAAATTTACCAGCAAAGTCATGAGAGTCTGAAGTTTTCTTTATGAGTACAAAGTTGCCTTTTTCAATAATTTTATATATTTCATCTAAAGTTTTAAATTTATTGGCATAAAGTTTTTCATAATATTCTTTTATTTTTAAATGTCTGTAAAACATATAGGACCTGTAGTTATATCAACCATTTCATTAATTGTACTAATATTTGTGCTTTTTCTTGCATTTCATTTTCTTAATTGATCTTGCTAAGCGTTTATGAATTTGGTTAGCATTTTTTAAAAACTTTTTATCCTTTGGATTTTTCACCATTGTTCTTTTTTTTCTATTTGATTTATTTATGCTCTTTCTTTCTTTACAGATTTTCATTGAATTTGCTTCTCTATCTCCTACCTTTTTGAGATTGATACTCGTATCAGGGATTTTTTTTCTTACATATGTACTTAAGAACTTAAATTTTTTTTTTCTAAGCTTAGCTCTAACTTCATCCCATAAAACTTGACTTGTTATGTCTTTATTTTCATTCGGTTCAAAAATTTTTTTATTCCTTTAAGATTACTATTTTGACCCATAGGTTAAGTAGGACTAAATTACCTAATTTACAAACATTTGAAAACTTTCCAGTTATGTTTTGGTTTTTATTTCTAGTTTAATCCCACTGTCAACAGAGAACACACTATGTATGATTCCAGTGCTGAGAAACGTTTTGAGACTTGCTTTATAGCCCAGCATATAATCAATTTTGGTAAATGTTCAGTTTGCACTTGAAAACAATGTGTTTCATGCAGGTGTTAGATACAGGATTCTATTAGTATCAGTTAGGTGAAGTTTATTACTGGTGTTTTCAGATCTTTTAATTGTCTCCTGGTTTTGGTCTGCATTTTAAATCAGCTACTAAAAAGGTGATTGCAATCTTTAGCTATAATTGTATATTTAGTTTTTCTTATATTTGTGTCTTTTGGGGGCCTTTTTCTATGGTAATTTTCTTCACATAATTTCTCATGGTATATAATATTTCTGTTTTGATTACATTAGATAATTATTTGTCTATTTTGTTAAGATAAAAAAACTCTCTGATAGTAGTTTGTATTTCTGTGGGATCAGTGGTGATATCCCCTTTATCATTTTTTATTGCATCTATTTGATTCTTCTCTCTTTTTTTCTTTATTAGTCTTGCTAGCAGTCTATCAATTTTGTTGATCCTTTCAAAAAACCAGCTCCTGAATTCATTAATTTTTTGAAGGGTTTTTTGTGTCTCTATTTCCTTCAGTTCTGCTCTGATTTTAGTTATTTCTTGCCTTCTGCTAGCTTTTGAATGTGTTTGCTCTTGCTTTTCTAGTTCTTTTAATTGTGATGTTAGGGTGTCAATTTTGGATCTTTCCTGCTTTCTCTTGTGGGCATTTAGTGCTATAAATTTCCCTCTACACACTGCTTTGAATGTGTCCCAGAGATTCTGGTATGTTGTGTCTTTGTTCTCGTTGGTTTCAAAGAACATCTTTATTTCTGCCTTCATTTCGTTATGTACCCAGTAGTTATTCAGGAGCAGGTTGTTCAGTTTCCATGTAGTTGAGCAGTTTTGAGTGAGATTCTTAATCCTGAGTTCTAGTTTGATTGCACTGTGGTCTGAGAGATAGTTTTTTATAATTTCTGTTCTTTTACATTTGCTGAGGAGAGCTTTACTTCCAACTATGTGGTCAGTTTTGGAATAGGTGTGGTGTGGTGCTGAAAAAAATGTATATTCTGTTGATTTGGGGTGGAGAGTTCTGTAGATGTCTATTAGGTCCGCTTGGTGCAGAGCTGAGTTCAATTCCTGGGTATCCTTGTTGACTTTCTGTCTCGTTGATCTGTCTAATGTTGACAGTGGGGTGTTAAAGTCTCCCATTATTAATGTGTGGGAGTCTAAGTCTCTTTGTAGGTCACTCAGGACTTGCTTTATGAATCTGGGTGCTCCTGTATTGGGTGCATATATATTTGGGATAGTTAGCTCTTCTTGTTGAATTGATCCCTTTACCATTACATAATGGCCTTCTTTGTCTCTTTTGATCTTTGTTGGTTTAAAGTCTGTTTTATCAGAGACTAGGATTGCAACCCCTGCCTTTTTTTGTTTTCCATTTGCTTGGTAGATTTTCCTCCATCCTTTTATTTTGAGCCTATGTGTGTCTCTGCATGTGAGATGGGTTTTCTGAATACATCACACTGATGGATCTTGATTCTTTATCCAATTTGCCAGTCTGTGTCTTTTAATTGGAGCATTTAGTCCATTTACATTTAAAGTTGATATTGTTATGTGTGAATTTGAACCTGTCATTATGATGTTAGCTGGTTATTTTGCTCATTAGTTGATGCAGTTTCTTCCTAGTCTCGATGGTCTATACATTTTGGCATGATTTTGCAGCAGCTGGTACAGGTTGTTCCTTTCCATATTTAGTGCTTCCTTCAGGAGCTCTTTTAGGGCAGGCCTAGTGGTGACAAAATCTCTCAGCATTTGCTTGTCTGTAAAGTATTTTATTTCTCCTTCACTTATGAAGCTTAGTTTGGCTGGATATGAAATTCTGGGTTGAAAATTCTTTTCTTTAAGAATGTTGAATATTGGCCCCCACTCTCTTCTGGCTTGTAGAATTTCTGCCGAGAGATCAGCTGTTAGTCTGATGGGCTTCCCTTTGTGGGTAACCTGACCTTTCTCTCTGGCTGCCCTTAACATTTTTCCTTCATTTCAAGACAAAATTCAACAACCCTTCATGCTAAAAACTCTCAATAAATTAGGTATTGATAGGACGTTTCTCAAAATAATAAGAGCTATCTATGACAAGCCCACAGCCAATATCATACTGAATGGGCAATAACTGGAAGCATTCCCTTTGAAAATGGGCACAAGACAGGGATGCCCTCTCTCACCACTCCTATTCAACATAGTGTTGGAGGTTCTGGCCAGGGCAATTAGGCAGGAGAAGGAAATAAAGGGTATTCAATTAGGAAAAGAGGAAGTCAAATTGTCCCTGTTTGCAGACGACATGATTGTATATCTAGAAAACCCCATCATCTCAGCCCAAAATCTCCTTAAGCTGATAAGCAACTTCAGCAAAGTCTCAGGATACAAAATCAATGTACAAAAATCACAAGCATTCTTATACACCAATAACAGACAAACAGCCAAACCACGAGTGAACTCCCATTCACAATTGCTTCAAAGAGAATAAAATACCTAGGAATCCACCTTACAAGGGATGTGAAGGACCTCTTCAAGGAGAACTACAAACCACTGCTCAATGAAATAAAAGAGGCCACAAACAAATGGAAGAACATTCCATGCTCATGGGTAGGAAGAATCAATATCGTGAAAATGGCCATACTGCCCAAGGTAATTTATAGATTCAATGCCATCCCCATCAAGCTACCAATGACTTTCTTCACAGAATTGGAAAAAACTACTTGAAAGTTCATATGGAACCAAAAAGGAGCCCGCATTGCCAAGTCAATCCTAAGCCAAAAGAACAAAGCTGGAGGCATCATGCTACCTGACTTCAAACTATACTACAAGGCTACAGTAACCAAAAGAGCATGGCACTGGTACCAAAACAGAGATATAGATCAATGGAACAGAACAGAGCCCTCAGAAATAATGCCGCGTATCTACAGCTATCTGATCTTTGACAAACCTGAGAAAAACAAGCAATGGGGAAAGGATTCCCTATTTAATAAATGGTGCTGGGAAAACTGGCTAGCCATATGTAGAAAGCTGAAACTGGATCCCTTCCTTACACCTCATACAAAAATCAATTCAAGATGGATTAAAGACTTAAACGTTAGACCTAAAATCATAAAAGCCCTTGAAGAAAACCTAGGCATTACCATTCAGGACATAGGCATGGGCAAGGACTTCATGTCTAAAACACCAAAAGCAATGCCAACAAAGCCAAAATTGACAAATGGGATCTAATTAAGCTAAAGAGCTTCTGCACAGCAAAGGAAACTACCATCAGAGTGAACAGGCAACCCACAAAATGGGAGACAATTTTCGCAACCTACTCATCTGACAAAGGGCTAATATCCAGAATCTACAATGAACTCAAACAAATTTACAAGAAAAAAACAAACAACCCCATCAAAAAGTGGGCGAAGGACATGAACAGACACTTCTCAAAAGAAGACATTTGTGCAGCAAAAAACATGAAAACATGCTCACCATCACTGGCCATCAGAGAAATGCAAATCAAAACCACAATGAGATATCATCTCACACCAGTTAGAATGGCAATCATTAAAAAGTCAGGAAACAACAGGTGCTGGAGAGGATGTGGAGAAATAGGAATACTTTGACACTGTTGGTGGGACTGTAAACTAGTTCAACCATTGTGGAAGTCAGTGTGGTGATTCCTCAGGGATCTAGAACTAGAAACACCATTTGACCCAGCCATGCCATTACTGGGTATATACCCAAAGGGCTATAAATCATGCTGCTATAAAGACACATGCACACGTATGTTTATTGCAGCACTATTCACAATAGAAAGACTTGGAACCAACCCAAATGTCCAACATTGATAGACTGGATTAAGAAAATGTGGCACATATACACCATGGAATACTATGCAGCCATAGAAAATGATGAGTTAATGTCCTTTGTAGGGACATGGATGAAATTGGAAATCATCATTCTCAGTAAACTATCGCAAGAACAAAAAACCGAACACTGCATATTCTCACTCATAGGTGGGAATTGAACAATGAGAACACATGGACACAGGAAGGGGAACATCACACTCTGGGGACTGTTGTGGGGTGGGGGAGGGATAGCATTGGGAGATATACCTAATGCTAGATGACGAGTTAGTGGGTGCAGCACACCAGCATGTCACATGTATACATATGTAACTAACCTGCACATTGTGCCCATGTACCCTAAAACTTAAAGTATAATAATAAAAATAAAAAGAAAAAAAAAAAGAAAAAAAGATAAAAAGCTCAGGATTTTGATTTTCAGTTAGATCTGTTCTTTTCGATTATCTGCCTCATTAATTCTAGTTTTATCTTTATTGTTTCCTTCTGTGGGGTAACATAGAGTTACCATATGACCCAGTAATTTCACTCCTAGGTATATGCCCAAGAAAAATGAAAATATATTTACATGGAAATTTGTATATGAATATTCATAGCAGTATGATTTGCAATACCTCCAAAGTGGAAACAATCTAAAACATTCATCAACTGATGAATGTACAAATAAAACATGGTATATTCATACAATGGAATATTATGTAACCATAAAAAGGAATAAAAATATGATACATGCTAATACATGAATGAACCTTAAAAACATTACGCCAAGTGAAAGAAGCAAGTCACAAAAGGCCATATATTGTATTATTCTATTTATGTAAGATGTCACTAATAGGCAAACCCATAAGAAAGGAAACTGGATTGATTATTGTCAGAGGCCTTGTGGGAAATAGAATGGGAATAAATATTAATAATAGCTTTTTATGCTCTATGTTTACTACAATACCTATATTATCTGCATGTTTCTTTTTAATAACTTCATTGACATATAATTCACATTGTATAAAATTCACCTTTTAAAGTGCAAAATTCAGTGATCTTTTAATATATTAAAAAATTGTGCAACCATCATCGCAATCTAAATCCAGTACATTTTCGTCACCCAGAAAGGAATCCCACGCCTACCCAAGAAGTCACCTTCAATTTTTTTTTTCATGTGAATGTCTAATTCGAATTGTTCCAGCACTATTTGTTGAAAGACTATCTTTTATCAATTTTATTGCTCCTTTGTCAAACATCAGTTGACTATATTTATGTGGGTTTATTTCTTGACTCTCTGTTCTGTTCCATGTATCTATTTGTCTGTTCTTTTACCAGTACCACACTGTCTTAATTACTATGGCTGTATAGTAAATCTTGAAGTCAGCTAATGTCAGTCTTTCAACTTTGTGCTCCTTCAATACTATGTTAGTTATTCTGCATCTTTTGCCTCTTTATATAAGCGTTAGAATCACTTTTTCAATGTTCACAAAACAATTTGCTGGGATTTTGATTGGTATTGCATTGAATCTATATATTATGTTGGAAATAACTGTCATCTTGACAATATGGAATATTATTTTCCATGAACATTGAATGTCTCAATTTATCTAGTTATTCTTTGATTTTTTTCATCCAATTTCCATAGTTTTCCTTGTATAGATCTTATACATATTTTGTTAGATTTACACCTAAGTATTTCATTTTTGGGGTTCTTAATGTAAATGATATTGTGTTTTTAATTTCAAGTGCTTCTCGTGCATTGCTGGTATGTAGGAAAATGACTGATTTTTATGTATTAACCTTTTATCCTAAAACACTGCTATAGTCACTTATTAATTACAGAATATTTTTGTCCTTTTTAATATTTTTCTACATAGATGATCCTGTCATCTGTGAACAAAGACAGTTTTATTTCTTCTTCATAGCTGTAAATATTTTATTTCTTTTTCTGGTCTTATTGCAATAGTTAGGACTCCAGTACAATGTTGAAAATCAATGGTGAAGGGAGACATCCTTGCCTTCTTCCTGACCTTAAGGGGAAAGCTTTGCGTTCTTCACCATTAAGTTTGTGTTAGCTGTAGGATTTGTTTTTTTTTTTTTTTTTTTTTTTTTGTAGATATTGTTATCAAGTCAAGGAAGTTCTCCCTCTTTTTATAGTTTACTGAAAATTTTTTATTGTGAATGGGTTTTGGGTTTTATCAAATGCTTTTTCTACCTCTATTAATGTGATCATGTGAATTTTCTTTAGCATGTTAATGTGATGAATTAAATTAATTGATTTTCTAGTGCTGAATCAACCTTGCATACCTGGGATAAATCTCATTTGGCTGTGGTGTATAATTCATTTTATACATTGTTGGATTTAATTTGCTAATATATTGTTGAAGATTTTTGCATCTATACTAATGAGATATGCTGGCCTGTAGTTTTCTTTTCTTGTAATGTCTTTAATTTTGGTATTAGGGTAATGCTAGCCTCGTAGAATGAGTTAGGAAGTATTCCCTCTGTTTCTGTCTGTTAAGAGAGATTGTAGGCTGGGCATGGTGGCTCACACCTGTAATCCCAGCACTTTGGGAGGCTGAGGTGGGTGGATCACGAGGTCAGGAGATTGAGACCACCCTGGCTAACACGGTGAAACCCCATCTCTACTAAAAATACAAAAAATTAGCTGGGTGTGGTGGCGGGTGCCTGTAGTCCCAGCTACTTGGGAGGCTGAGGTAGGAGAATGGCATGAACCTGGGAGGCAGAGCTTGCAGTGAGTCGAGATGGCACCACTGCACTCCAGCCTGAGCAACAGAGCAAGATTCCGTCTCAAAAAAAAAAAAGAGATTGTAGAATATTGGTATAATTTTTCTCCTTAAATATTTGGTAGAATTCATCAGCGAACCCATCTGGGCCTCGTGCTTTCTATTTTTGAAGTTTATTAATTATTTGTTCAATTTGTTTACTGGTATGCACCTATTCAGATTCTCTATTTCTTCACATGTCAGTTTCAGCAAAGGATGATGTTTAGATGATGGATTTTACATCTTTCCTAATACATGCATTCAATTCTATAAATTTTTCTCTGAACATTGCTTTGATTACATCCCACTCATTTTCGTAAGTTATGTTTTTATTTTCACTTAATTCAAAATATTTTAAATTTCTCTTAAGACTTCTTCTTTGACCAATGTATTACTTAAAAGTG
The DNA here is from genome assembly GCF_000001405.40 of Homo sapiens. Lineage (NCBI taxonomy): Eukaryota > Metazoa > Chordata > Mammalia > Primates > Hominidae > Homo > Homo sapiens. Next base: position 164,284,464 of record NC_000001.11, on the reverse strand, counting down.
TGTTACTTAATCTCCATGTATTTTAGAATTTTTCACCTATTTTTCCGTTATTAGTTTTTAGTTTAATTCCATTGTGGTCTGAAAGCAGATATTGTATGATTTCTGTTCATTTAAATTTGTTAAAGTATGTTTTATGAGCCAGAATGTGGTCTCTCTTAGTGAATGTTTGATATGAGTTTGAGAAGAATGTATATTCTGCTCTTGTTGGATGAAGTAGTCTATAGGTGTCCGTTACACCTAATTGATTGATGGTGTTGTTGAGTTCAACTATGTACTTACTCATTTTCTGCCTGCTGCGTTTTTCTATTTCTGATAGAATAGCAGTGAAGTCTCCAATTATAATAGTGGTTCATCTATTTCTACTTGCATTTCTATCAGTTTTTGCCTCATGCATTTTGATGCCTATTAGGTGCATACATTTTAAGGATTGTTATGTCTTCTTGGATAATTCACCACTTTTTCATTGTGTGATGCCCTTCTTGATTTCTGATAACTTTCCTTGATCTGAAGCTTGTTCTGTCTGAAATTAATATTGGTACTACTACTTTCTTTTGATTAGTGTTAATATAGTATATTTTGCCCACCAATTCACTTTTAATCTATATGTATATTTATATTTAAAGTGGGTTTCTTGTAGAGAACATGCAGTTGAGTTTTGTTTCTTGATCCATTCTCACAATCTCCATCTTTTAATAGGTGCATTTAGACCATTGACATTCAAAGTGATTATTGATATAGTTTGATTAATATCTATAATACTTGCTACTTTTTTTCTATTTGTTGTCCCCTTTCTTTGTTCTTATTTTTGTCTTCCATTCTTTTTCTGCCCTTTGTAGTTTTAATTGAACATTTCGTAGTTTCATTTTCTCTCCTTTCTTAGCTGTTTTATCTTTTTTAGTTGCTGTAGATTTTAACAATATACATTCACAACTAATCCAAGCCTACATTCAAATAACATTATACCACTCTACAGGTAGTGTGAGTAGCTTATAATAAGAAAATAATCTTAGCTCTTTACTCCTGTTCTTTGTATCTTCGCTGCCATTTATTTTGCTTACATAGAAGCATACATATGCATATATATGATATATACATAAGCATACATAGTCAAATACATTGTTGCTATTATTATATTGAACAAACTACATGTTGGGACAATTCAAAATAAGATAAGTAAAGGTTTTAATTTTATTTTTATCTATTCTTTCTTTGAAGCTCTTCCTTTTTTTATGCAAACCTGAGATTCTGATCTATGTTATTTTTCTTCTTTCTATAAAGAACTTCTTTTAACATTTAGTGCAAGGCAGATCTACTGGCAACAAATTTTTGTTTGAGAAAGTAATTCTCCTCCACTTTTGAAGGATAATTTCACAGGGTACCAAATCCCAGAGGGCTTTTTTCCCCCCTCAACTCTTTAAATATTTTATTCCACTGTCTTCCTTGTATGGTTTCTGAGAAGTTACATATAATTCTTATCTTTCCTCCTCTATAGATTTTTCTCACTTCTGGCTTCAGAAATTTTTCTCACTTCTGGCTTCATTCAGGATTTTTTCTTTGATTTTCTGTCATTTGAAAATGATATGCTTAGGTGTAGTTTTTAGCATTATCGTGTTTGATGTTCTCCGAGTTTCTGGATTTGTGATTTGCTGTCTGACTCCAATTTGGGGAAACTCTGTCACTTTTTTTTTCCCCCAAATATTTGTCCCATGCCTTTCCTCTCTTTTTTTCCCAAGGGGAAAAAAAGAGAGGAAAGGCATGGGACAAATATTTGAAAAAAATACATGTATGTTGTACCTTTTGTAGTTGTCCCACAGTTCTCAGATACTCTGTTCTGGTTTTTTTTTTTTTTTTTTTTTTTTCCAATCTTTTTATCTTTATTTTTGAGTTTTGGTGGTTTCTATGCAAATGTCTTTAAACTCAGAGATTCTTTTCTTAGCTCTGTCCAGTCTGCCAATACACTCATCAAAGGCATTCCTTTTTTTTTTTCACAGTTTCTTTTCTTTTTTTATCTCTAGCTTTTCTTTTTGGTTTCTTATTAAAATTTCCATTTCTTACATTGTCCATGTGTTCTTGTATGCTGTTTACTTTTTCTGTTAGAGCCCTTACCATTTTAATCATAGTTGTTTTAAATTCTCAGTCTCATAATTCCAATAGCGCTGCATATCTGAGTCTGGTCCTTATGCTTGCTTTGTCTCTTCAAAGTGTGTATGTGTTTGTTTGGGTTTTATTTATTTATTCATTTATTTGCCTTTTAATGTGTCTTACAATTTTTTCTTGATGACTGGACATGATGTACTGGGTAAAAGAAACTGCTGTAAATAGACCATTGGTAATGTGATGGTAAGATTTGGAGGAAGGAGAAACCTATGATTAGGTGTCAGTGTCTTGGTGAGCCTGTATCTTTGACTGTGGACATCACATGTGCTTCTTAGTCCTGCCCTGCCCACCTTCAGTGGGTCAAGATAACTAGAGTGGGCAGGTGTGTTGGGTAGTTTTCTTCTTTAATGTGGAAGGTTAGAGGAGGCTGGAGTTAAATATTTGCCTTCTTTCTTAGCATGCTTTCTGCTGCTATCACAAATGCCTGAGACTGGATAATTTATAATGAGCAGAAGTTTATTTGTTTCACAGTTCTACAGGCTGGGAGGTCCAAGAGAATGGCACTGGCGTCGGGAAAAGGCTTCTGTGCTGCATTATCCTCTGGTGGAAGGCAAAAGGGCAAGCAAGTGTGCATGACAGAGAGAGAAAATTGAGCCAAACTCATTTTTAAAATCAGGAACCCACTTCCACAATAACTAACCCCCACCTGCAATAATAGGGGTACCCCCATGACCTAAACCCCTCTTAAAGATCCCACCTCTGAGCACTGTTATGATGGCAGTTAAACATCAACATGAGTTTTAGAGAAGACATTTAAACCATAGCATCTTTATGTGGAGGAATAGAGCTGGCTACAATTGAGTATTTTTCTTTCCCCAGGTCAGTTTGGCTCTGATAGTACCGTGGTAGGTTAGGCTCTGGTTAGAGTTTCTCCTGAGGGCAGATCCTTTTTAGATGAACAGAATGTTCTGGCATATTTGAAAACAGTTCCCACCCCTAACTTCTCTCCCTGTTGGAAACATGAGAAGATTTTTCTCCAGTACTCACTAGGAGAAGTGTGTTGAGTTCCTGGAGGCAAAACTCACAAAAATGTGGTCTACGACTGGGTTTTTATCTCTTAGATTTGTCCACACTGAGTTTCTATCAATTTGTCAATTTCCGTTCAGGTTTCCATACCTTGACTCTGGTTCCTGCAAAGATTTGTGCTGCATTTGCTTGTCAGTCTTTCCAATTCAGGGGGAAGTGGTTTGCCCTGTGGCCCCCCTCTCAAATGGATTTAAGAAGAATTGTTAATTTTTCAGTTTGTTCAGCTTTTTACTTGTTGAAGTGGAAGCTGGTGACATCCAGCTTCTTATGTGCCAGAGTGAAAACCAGAATAATGTTTTCAAAATCTATTTTGCCAATCTTTGGCTTTTGTTTGGAGTGCTTGGTCTATCTAAATTTAATATAATTACTGCTAAGGTAGAATTTATGTCTGCTGTTTTGGAAACTGTTTTTTGTTTACCTTTTGTGGTTTTTTTTTTATCTCTGCATTCATTGATTACTGCTTTCATTGATATTAAATAGATATTTTCTAGGACACTATTTCTATCCCTTTGTTGTTTTACTATGCTTTTAGAGTTATTTTCTTAGAATTCTCCTGAGTAGTGCAATTAAAATATTAATTTAAAGCGACATAGTTTAGATTAATACCAAATCGATTTTAATAACATACAAAACTTTAGTCCAATATAGCTTCATTTACTTTCCCTTCATTTGTAGTATCATTGTTGTACAAATTCCATCTTTTAAAAAATCTCATTTTAGATTCAGGTGGTACATGTGCAGATTTGTTACTTGAATATATTGCATAATGCTGAGGTTTGAGCGTCAACTGAATTCATCACCAAAATAATGAACACAGCACCTGATAGGTACTTTTTCACCCCTTGCCTCCCTCCCTCCCTTCATTTGGAGTCCCCAGTGTTTATTGTGCCCATCTTTATGTTCATGTGTATCCAATGATTAGCTCCCACTTATAAGTGAGAATATGTAGTATATGGTTTTCTGCTTCTGCACTAATTCACTTAGAATAATGACCTCTAGCTGCATCTATGTTGCTACAAAAGACATGATTTTGTTCTTTTTTATGGCTACATAGTATTCCATGGTGTATACGTACCACATTTTCTTTATTTAATCACTGTTAATGGGCACCTAGGTTGATTTCATGACTTTGCTATTGGAAATAGTGCTGTGATAACCACGTGGGTGCATGTGTCTTTTTGGAAGAATGATTTCTTTTCCTTTGGGTATATACCCAGTAATGCTATTGCTAGGTCAAATAGTAACTCTATTTTGAGTTCTTTGAGAAATCTCCAAACTGCCTTCCACGGGGCTGAGTGAATTTACAGTCCCACCAACATTGCCTTTTCTCTGAAACCTCATCAATATCTGCTATTTATTGATTTTTTAATAGTGGCCATTCTGACTTGTGTGGGATGGCATCTCCTGGTGGTTTTGATTTGCCTTTCTCTGGTGATTAGTGTTGATGACCATTTTTCATGTTTTTTGGCCACTTGTATGTCTTTTTTTTGAGAAGTTTCTGTTCACGTACTTTGCCCTCTTTTTATTGGGGTTGTTGGTTGATTTAAGTTCCTGTAGAGTCTGGGTATTAGGCCTTTGTCAGATCCATAGTTTGCAAATATTTTCTCCCTTTCTGTAGGTTGTTTACTCTGCTGATAGTTTCTTTTGCTGTGCAGAAGCTCTTTGGCTTAATTAGATCCCATTTGTCAGTTTTATTGTTACATTTGCTATGAGGACTTAGTCATAAATTCTTTGCCTAGGCCAATGTCCAGAAGAGTATTTCCTGTTTTCTTGTAAGATTTTTAGAATTTGAGGTCTTAAATTTAAGTCTTTAATCCATCTTGAGTTAATTTTTGTATATGGTTAGAGGTAGGGGTTCAGTTTCATTCTTCTGCACATGGTTAGCCAGTTTTTCTAGCAACATTTAGTGAATAGAGTTGGCTTTCCCCATTGTTTACTTTTGTCAGCTTTGGCAAAGATAAGCTGTTCGTAGATGTGTGGCTTATTTTCTGAGTTCCTTATTCTGTTCCATTGGTCTCTGCATTTATTTTTTGCACAAGTACCATGCTGTTTTGGTAACTGTAGCTTTGTAGTGTAGCTTGAAGTTGAGTAATGTGATGCCTCCATATTTGTTCTTTTGCTTAGGATAGCTTTGGCTAGTCGAGCTCTTTTGGTTCCATATGAATTTTAGAATTTGTTTTCCAATTTTATGAAGAATGATGTTGGTAATTTGATAAGGATTGCATTGAATCTGTAGATTCCTTTGAGCAGTATGGAAATTTTAACAATATTGATTCTTCCAATCCATGAGCATGAAATGTTTTTCCATTTGTCTGTGTTATCTATGATTTGTTTCAGCAGTGATTTTTAGTTCTCCTTGTAGAGATCTTTCACCTCTTTGATTATATATGTTCTGGGGTACTTTTCGTGTGTGTGTGGCTATTGTAAATGGGATTGTGCTGTTGACTTGGTTCTCAGCTTGAGTGCTATTGGTATACATAAATGCTACTGATATTTATGCATTGATTTTGTATCCTGAAACTTTACTGAAGTGAATTATTGTATCAGGCTAGGAGTCTTTTGGTAGTCTTTAGGATTTTCTAAGTATAGAGTCATGTCATCAGCTAAGAGATATATAAATTACATCTTTAATAGCACATTGACACAGTTTTATAATCATTGCTTTATTTGGTTGTCTTTTAATCTGACAAGAGAATAAAAGAGTTATAAACAAAAATGCATTCATACTTTTTTTTTTTTCATTTTGCTGTTTAGTTACCTTTAGTGGTGCTTTTTATTTCTTTAGGTGGATCTAAGTTACTGTCTACTGTCCTTTTATTCTGCCTGAAGAACTCCCTTCAGCATTTTTTTGGTACATAAAATCTTCTGGTGATAAATTACACGTTTTTTTCTTCTGGAAATTTTCAAAATTTTCTTCTTTGGTCTTCAATGTTTCCAATGAGAAGTCTGATGTTAATCTTATTGATGAGCTCTTCTGTATAAAGAGTCACTTAGACTGTGTTTGATTTTATTAGTTGTTTGTCTTATATTAAATCACTCTTGCATTCCTGAGATAAATTCTACTTGGTCAATGTGTATAAACCTTTTAATGTGCTGTTGGATTCATTTTGGCCATATTCCATCAAGAATTTATGCATCTATGTTCATAAAACTTTAGTCTGTAGTTTTTTCTTGAGTTGTCTTTGGATTTGGTATCACGGTAATGCTGCCCTCATAAGATATTTTAGAAAGTTTTCTCTACTCTTCTCTTATTTTTTGTGGAAGAGTTTGAGTAGAATTAGTGTTAATTCTTTCTTAAATGTTTGGTAGAATCCATCAGTGAAGATCATCTATTCCTGGGCTTTTCTTTGTTGGAAGGCTTTTGGTTACTGATTCCATATCTTTAGTTGTTATAGGTCTGTTGAGATATTCTATTTCTCCTTGAGTCAGTTTTTGTGATTTGTGTGTTTCTAGGAATGTGTACATTTAATTTAGATTATTACTTTTAGCTGTACAATTGTTCACAGTATTCTCCTGTAACTCAATTATTGTAAGTTTGTAATAATGTTACTTTATTTCTAATTTTTGCATCATCTCTCTCTCTCATTCTCTTTAAGATTTTTTTTTTTTTTAGTCTAGCTAAAGGTTTGTCAGTTTTGGTGTTTTTTTTAAAGAACTAAATTTAGTTTTGTAAATTCTATTTTTTTCTTTCTTTTTTTTTTTTTAAATTTCTTACTGCTGTCTTTGGGTTTAGTTTACTTTTCTTCTTGTAGTTGTTTATGGTGTGATTTTTGGTTGTTGATTTGATATCTTCCATCCCCTTTAATGTGGGCATTTATAACTACAAATTTCCATCTAAACACTATTTTCACTGCATCCCAAAAGTGTTGGTATGTTGTGTTTTTGTTTTCATTCATCTCCAAGTATTTTCTAATTTTTCTAGTGGTTTCTTTTTTGATACCCATCCAATCAGGGAATAACATTATTTGAAGACTGATATCATGTTTTTAATACCATATTCTATTTTTAGTTTACACTTTCTCATATGGCAAGGGTCAACAAGCTGCAGTCCCACAGTTTTTATAAAGAAAATACTATTGAAACACAGCAATGCTCATTTGTATATGCATTTTCAATGGCTGCTTTCAAGCGATAGCAGTATAGTTAAATAGTTGTGACTCAGACTCTGTGACCTCTAAGCCTAAAATATTTATTATCTGTCTTATTAAGAAAAAGTTTGCCAACTCTTTGTTCAGATTGTTTACAATTAATGTAATTAATTGTAATTTAGCTTATTTTAATGTTGACACATTTAACTAGATCATTTTGGTATTTGTTTTCTATTTGTCCTATCTCTTCTTATTTATAATATATAAGCTTTACTACAGTGTATATCTATTTCTCCCCTCTCATTCTTTATATTATTTTATTTATTTTACTTTTACATATGTTACAAACCCCTTAATACATTATTTTACCTATCACTAATCCCTTAAGAAAACTGAAAAACGACCTCCCTAAAAAAACCAATCTTTTTATGTGCAACACATATTTGCCGTTTCCAGAATTTTTCTTTCTTTCTCTTTCCTTTCTTTTTCTTTTCTTTTCCCTTCTCTCCCTCCTTCCTCTTCTTTCTCTCTTTCTTTCTTTCTTCCCTCCCTCACTCCTTCCCTTCCTCTCTCTCTTTTTTCTTTCTCTTTCTTTCTTCCTTTCTCTTTCTTTTCTTTCTTTTCTTTCTTTCTTTCTTTCTTTCTTTCTTTCTTTCTTTCTTTCTTTCTTCCTTCCTTCCTTCCTTCCTTCCTTCCTTCCTTCCTTCCTTCCTTTTCTTTCTTTCTTTCTTTCTTTTTCTTTCTTTCTTTTCTTTCTTCTTTTTTCCTTCCTTCCTTCCTTTTCTTTTTCTTTCTTCCTTTCTATCTCTTCTTTGCTGTCATACTAAGAAATACAATTTCTATTACAATGCACACATTTACACACATGTAACTGAAAATAGAGTGCCACAAAACAAAATTTGTCCTTATTACATGAGACGCATTCTGATATTTGCTATTGCACTCAGTTTCACTTTTAACAAAACTCATTGTGATCAACTAATTTGATTTCAGGAACTTAAGGAGTTTTAGCCTGTAGTTTGAACAATGCTGACTTTTACAAAGTTCACTTATTTCCATCTCCCAGCTTTATTGAGATATAATTGACAAATAAAATTGTATAAATTTAAGGCATAAAATATGATAATTTGGTATACATAGATATATAGTGAAAAGATTAGCACAATCAAGTTAGTTAACACATCCATCAGCTCATATAGTATTTGTGTGTGTGTGTGTATGTGTGAGAGCATTTAAGACCTACTCTACTAGTAAATTTCAAGTATACAATACAGTAGTATTAATGATAGTCACTATTCTGTACATTGAAATCCCAGAACTCATTCATATTAACTGAAAATTTATACATTGTGACCACCATCTCTCTATTCTCCCACCCAGCCTCTCACAATCACCATTCCATTCTGTGCTTCTATAAGTTCATCCTTTTTAGATTCCATATATAAGTGAGATCAGATAGTATTTTTTTTTGTCTGATTTATTTCACTTAGTATAATGCCCTCGAGGTTCAAACATGTTGCTGCAAATGGCAGGAGTTCCTTGTTTTTATGGATAAATAATATTCTATTGTATACACATACCACATTTTTAAATCCTTTCATCCATCAGTGGACACTGAGGTTGTTTCCATGTCTTGGCTATTGTGAATAATGCTCTAATGAACATGAGAGGACAGATATCTCTCTAAGATCTTGATTGTGTTTCCTTTAGATATATAACCAGATGTGAGATTGCTTGATCATTTGGTAGCTTTATTTTTTGTTTTTTGAGAAAGCTCCATACTCTTTTCCATGATGACTGCATCAGTTTACATCCCTACCAACAGTGCATGAAAGTCCCCTTTTCTCCACAACCTCACCAACACTTATCTCTTGTCTTTTTAATAATATTCATCCTATTAGGTATCAAGTGGTATCTCATCGTGGTTTTAATTTGTATTTCTCTGATAATTAGTGACGTTGAGCACCTTTTAATGTACCTGTGGTTCATTTGTATGTCTTCCTGGGAAAATTGTCTATTCAGATCCTTTTTTAAACAAATTACTTATTTGTTTGCTATTGAGTTATAGGAGTTCCTTTATAGTTTGAGTATTAACCCTTTATTAGATGTATGATTTGAGAATATTTTCTCCCCTTCTGTAGGTTGACTTTTCATTTTGTTGATTATTTCCTTTGTTAGTGCAGAATCTTTTTAGTTTGATGTAGTCTCAGTTTATTTTTGGTTGCTTGTACTTTGGTGTTATACCCCCAAAAAAATCACTGCTAAGACAAATGTTAATGAGCTTCTATGTGTTTTTTTTTTTTTTTTCTAAGAGTTTTATGGCTTTAGGTCTTAAATTCTTGGTCCTTAAACCATTTCAAATTATTTTTTTGAATGGTATAAGGGATCCAATTTTATTGTTTTGCAAGTGGTTATTCAGTTTTCCCAACACCATTTAGTGAAGAGACTATTCTTTCACCATTGTGTATTCTTGGCACCCTGGTCAGATATTAGTTAATTTTGTTTGTGTGAGTTTATTTCTGGACTCTCTATTCTGCTCCATTGGTCAGTATATCAGTTTTTAGGCTGGCACTATGCTGTTTTGATTACTACTATAGCTTTGTAATATAATTAAAACTTTTTTTAAATTTCTATATGTTTTTGGGGAACAGGTGGTATTTGGTTACATCAGTAAGTTCTTCAGTGGTGAGTTGTGAGATTTTGGTGCACCCATCACTCGAGCAATATACACTGAACCCAATTTGTAGTCTTTGTAATATCATTTTAAATTAAGTAATGTGATGCCGCCAGCTTTTTTTTTTTGTTTTTAACTCAAGATTACTTTGGCTATTTTGGAGTCTTTTGTAGTTTTACATGAATTTTAGAACTTTTTTCTCTATTTGTGAAAAATGCCATTTAAATTTTGAGAGGGATTGCATGGAATCTATAGACTACTTTGGGTAGTATGAATACTTAAACAATATGAATTCTGACTCATTATCACAGATATCTTTCCATTTATTTGTGTCTTTATTTCTTTCATCAGTGTTTTATAGTTTTTAATGTAAAATCTTTTACCTCCTCGGTTAATTTATTCCTAAGTATTTAATTGTTTTTGTTGCAATTATAAATGTGATTGTTTTCTTTATTCTTCAGACAGGAAAATGTCCATTTAAAAACATTTGCTAATAGTCACCCACGAAGTTTTGGAAAATAAACAAGGAAGATGTTACGGTTAATTTTATATGTCAACTTGACTGGGCCATGGAACCTCCAGATAGCTCTTTAAACATCAATAGAGATTTTGGTACCGTGAATTGTTCTAAAGAAACAGTTTTTATAATGTATAATGATCAGATAAGGGTAATTAGCACATCCATCATCTCAAACATTTATCATTTATTTGTGTTGGTAACATTCAATATCAGATAAATAGAATTTTAAGGATGAGTTTACTAAATTGGTTCTAGGATTTTTGGAATTGGCTCTATAATCTGAATGACTCAATTTCCAGGAGAGGACTGATAGCCCATGGTGTGATTTGGCAATAGAGATATGAAAAGGACCTGTATTCAATATTCCTAATCAACCATTGATAAGAAGCAAGAAGCTGGGTGATTGTGTTTACAATCTAATAGTTCCCCTTGATTCATGAGGGATACATTCCAAGACCCCCTAGTGGATAACTGAATTTCAGTGTAGAACTGAACTCAATTGCCTTCAGTAAGAATGTGTTTCTGATCATGTCTCTTGCCCAAAAATTTAATGTGATTTCCATCCGAAGCCTTATCATGTACTGTGGCTGTAACTTTGCAATTTGAGGTACAACAGCAAAACTAGCACAAATTTCCTTTTTCTAATTCACAGTTTCATGGATAGAAGAATCATTCTTAGCATAGATCTTAGCATCCTTGGTATATATTTTTTTCCTTTCCTTACCAATTCAAGAAGTTTTACATTTTCACTTAAAGGTAGAACTTGGCAACTTCTATTTGACATATCCAAATTGCCAGCATCATTACTTTTCTGCTTTGGAGCTATTATTAAGTAAAATAAGAATTACTTGGACTCAATTACTATGATACCATGACAGCCAATCTAATAGAAATGGCTACTAAGTAACTAGTGGAAGGGTGGTATATACAGTATAGATACTGCGGACAAAGGGATGGTTTCTCTCCTGGGTGGGACAGAGTAGGATGGCATGATATTTCATGATGGTACTCAGAATGGTATGCAACCTACAAATTGTTTATTTCTAAATTTTTCAATTTAACATTTTTGGGCCACAGTTGATTGACCCTGGGTAACTGAAACTGTGGAAAATGAAGTCACAGAAAAGTGGGGACTACTGTAATTTCAAACACTTCTGAAAAAACTAATAAATATAATGAGGTTATCTGATTGCTCCTAATGCCACTGGAAAAACTGGTGAAAGAAAAGAATAAACTCAAGGATTTGAATTCCTAGCTGAAGTACCACATGAATGACCAGAACACTTCTAGGTCTGCCCTGAAAGAGATTCTTATCTCTTATAGCTACAAAGCTGAAATTGCTGAAAATCAAACACAGAATATTATCCTGTGACTGGATGAATTACAATATCAAGGTGAACTTCCAGCCTTTCAAGGTGCCTGCTGCTAAAGTGAATGCATTGATTAGGAAAGAGTGGGATCCTATAAGTTGGAATGGGGATATATGGGAAGACCCTCATGAAGCTGAAATGTTGAGCCCTTAAATTCTGATAAGTCTTTGCCAATAGAAGAGGTTTCCCCACCTGCTGGGAATCAGCCTTCCTAATTCCAGTGGTAGCAGCCCTTACAACCACAGGGGTAGTGGCCTTTCTCTCCCTGTCTGAGGAGATTAACTCTGCATTGCCTGAGGAAACTGTAATGTCCTCCCCTGAGGCAGTTGCCATGCAAGACAATCCTGATTATCCTCATAACTCACTCCCACAACACCACTTTAGTCCTATACCTATAATTAGATTTACATTTAAGCAGGCTCCTGAAGGAGAGGTACAAAGTGTGACTAATGAGGAAATGTTCTGTCCTTCAAAATAACTAGTTGTGTTTTCTAATTTATACAGACAGAAATCCAGGGAACTGTTGTGGGAATGCAGTCTAAGGGTATTGAACAATAGTGAAAGAAACATAAAGTTGAAACAGGTCAAAGTTATTGATATAGGCTCACTAAGAAGAGATTCTGCATCTTTCTTCCTTTCTTTCTCTCTTTCTTTCTTTCTTTCTTTTCTTCTTTCTTTCTCTTTCTTTTCTTTCTTTCTTTCTCTCTCTTTTCTTTCTCTTCTTCCTTTTTCTTTTCCTTCCTTCCTTCTTCCTTCCTTCCTTTCTTCCTCCTTTCGTCCTTTCTCCTCCGTTCTTCTTTCTTTTCTTGCTTTTTTTCTTTCTTTCTTTCTCTCTCTCTTCCTTCCTTTCTTTCTTTCCTTTCTCTTTCTTTCTCTCTCTCTCTCCCTCCCTCCATCCCTTCTTTCCTTCCTTCCCTCCTTCCTGTTTCCTTCCTTCTCTCTCTTTTTCCTTCTCTTTCTTTTTTTTCCTCACTTTTTAAATCCAAGTTCCCATCTGATGTGTTTTTCTTCTGCTCTAAAGAACTTATTTCAGCATAGGTCTAGGAAGCATATGTTAGCTAGTTATTTTAATATGTTATCTTATATCTTGAATCAGATATGTTTCTGGAAATGGAGAATAGGCCAAGGGATAAGGCATTGAATTGAGAAGGTAAGCTTCAGAAGATATATGCTACAGAGCTTATCAATAAAAAAAATAGACTTGCTTAATCCAATAGTAAATACAGTTTCACTTTTTAAAATTTAGACAAATGGTGAAGGTCAATAGTTAAAGGCTGAAAATAATTTTTGAGCAAGCTTGTTATTAATGATCACAGGAAATATATTAAAATCTATTTTCATTTCTCTGCTTTTGTCTTTAGATTCTAATTAATTGTAGCCCTCACATTAGGGTACTCCAGTGTCCTAAATCAAAGATTATCACAGAAGTTACAATTCATGCCTAGTATAATATCGAAATACCTAGTAAAATGCAGATGTTCAACAAATATTGATTAACGGGCACATAAATGAATGGGTCAAAGTTTTAGTTTCTAAGTAGGCCTTGGAGAGGAACCTCCTTTTCTTTGTACACAGACAGAACACAAAAGACCTCAAAACATGAAATGACTTTTTTTCCTGTATCCAAGGAGGGAAGAGGGAGATTGGGGTTGTGGACACACAGTGTTTAATGAATTCTAAGTGAATTTTTTCTCTACATCCCTAAAGCATTATTACTCCTATTATCCACTTCTGAAAATTTGTAAATTGAATTGATTATTCAGAAATCAACTATTCATGTAGAAAAACAAACTTACTTTCAAGAAGTCAACTAAGAAAAACTTAGTTGGCATATAATAAGTTTGGCCTGGGAGAAAAGTTGGTAGATACAAATCTAGCAGCTTAATATGAATTTCTAATTATTGAATGTAACTGCCAAAATACTTGTTCCTTTTTGAAAAGGAAACATAAAAGAATCAAAGGGCAACATAAATAACTCATATATAATTCATAAGAAAACCCTGTTTAAGTGACAATGGTGCAATTTTCTTATTTGTTTCTATTCCTCAGGCTTCTTATTGGATTAATCTAAACAATTCTTTATAAAGCCTGGTTCTTCTAGTCAGTGCTTGCAAAGGATATATGGCAGCAGGTTTCCTAAAGAAATTTGCAGGGTAACCTTCCATAAAAACTCTAAATTAACCCTGAAACAAAACTTCAAATTTCAGAGAACTCAAAGCCACTAACCTATCTACTGCCACCAGAAATGCTGTGACCTTTTACGGATACAATATTACATTGTTCGACCAAAAGCAAGAAACTGCCAGTGAGGATCTTAAAAGCACCACTACTTACTGATCTATTCAATGTTATCCACGTGTTGATAGAGATCACAGTCAGAAGCATCATTGTTCATTCGTGTATAATCAGTAAGCACATAATTAAGTAGGATGCTCTTATGACTGATGTTAGAGCTACTTTCTGGACAATGGTCATTACTTTTTGTATAGCTCTAAAGAATATTGCAGAAAAAAATGCCTCAATGATCATTATGATGAAAGTTAAGCTTTAGGTATCTTGTCCAAGGTCATTACAATTGCGAAAAGTTTTATAATTTTTAGGGTGGGGAGGAAGATTTTCTAAATTGTAATAGTCACTTCACTACTTCTAAGGTTAAATAAGTTTCAAGTTTTTTGAAAACTTCATAATAATAATGTTTACAAAAATAATTAGAAGAACAAAAGAGGTCACTCAGACTGAGAGACATTAGAGTGTTTATATTTTTACAATAATTTTAGTAATTCTGTGCTGATAAACCTATCAATGCAATAGCATACAAAGCCTAGAAAGAGACCCATTCATATATAGAACACTTAGCATGTAATAAAGCTAGCATTTCAAATAAATGTAGACATTCCAATTAACGATACTAAGTAATTGAAAAAAATTAGGAATTTCAATTGTCTACATCAAATGATGTAATACAATTAAATTTTAGTAGTATTCAGAATTAAATGTAAACAAAAAGTATAAAAAAATAGCTAAAATATTAAATATTGGAAAGCAGGGAATGCCTGCCTAAGAATAATTATAAAATAAAACTAAATGGAAAAAAACGATAGATCTTAATTTAATTTTTAAAGAAACCATCTATGTAAGAATAGCTATAAATTTAAAACAAATAACTTGTATAATTTGTATAATTTTTATGAAAGAAGAAATATTTCTAACTTCATAGACAAAGGATTATTATAAAAAATAGAAAACATAAGCAAAAATACATGAGATACATAACAGCAATTCACAAAAGAAATAAAACAAGTAATCAACATATATGTAGGAAAGGTTTAATGTCACTAATAATCAAACCAGGGTAAATTAAAAATTCAAGTAAGATACTTTTTCACCTAATAAATCAGTGAAGATTTAAAAATATGATAATTATTGATTTTGGTGAGAGTGCAAAGAAATTTGTACCCTCATAAGCTGAGCAGAAGATAAGATAGACAACAGAAGATAGAATAGTTAAACCATGATAGGTACAGACTGAAAAATTCTGTATAAATATTAAAATTTAGGCTTTAGTAGTATATTTGATGACTGAGAAAATAGTGATGTTCAATTGTTGAGTGACATGTAGAATTGCCTTAAAATAATTTTATCTGTCACTGAAGCTATATTTATATTTCAGGAAGGATATATCCCAGTCATTGATTTTCTTAATAAGTTGCCCCATTTTCCAAGTTTAGCTAATTAACATTTATGTCTTCTATAATCAGGAATAGTCATTAACTGACACAGAAACAATTTGGAAGCATATGTAGCAAAAACATAAAAATTATTGCATCCAAATAATGATAAAGTAACAATCATTTAAAAAAATTATTATGTCTTCTAAATGTTCTATAATGAATATATACTTTTTATAATAAGATAATACCCTTGATAACCCTACTTATGTATGTATACACATACACATTTAACATGAAGAGAACTATAAATAAATATGCAAAGATAATTTTGATGCCTTGTGAATGGTGAGGTTTTTGATAGTTTTAATTTTCTTCCTTATACCTTCTGGTATTTTCTATTTTCTATATTTTAAAAATCTATTGTATAACAAAAAAGTAAAGGTTATTTAAGTATCTTTGCTAGGTTATGTTTAGATATTGCTTGATATTTATGTAGTAAAGTTTTTGTACTTATGCTGTAATTAGAAGCAGAGTTTCTCTGCATGAAAGTGGTGAGTATTTATGTATTTAAATTATTAGCAAATTAAAGCACCATCTAACAGCTTGCAATTCTTGCTGGAATGGAGATGTTAAATCCTGATGTGAAACAGGAGAGAAACCTTATGACTGCCAAACCGTTAATCACATAGGGCTCCAATGACAAGAGAATTTACTTCCTAGTTATTTTGCGCTTTCTGCTTCTTTTGGTGGCTGGAAAAATAAGAAAGACAGGAGCAGAAAAGTCAAAAAGAGTGGACAGGTGCTCATACATTTATTTAACTTTATTACATGAATGGGGACTAGTTGGTGGCTGACGTACATCAAAACAGCCTACAAATAATTGAGGAAACAAAAGCCAGCTGAAAGTTGAGTACAAGCTACTAGGAGGTCACTTAACCTCAATCTGGACTGAAATCGTAGAACAGTGTTAGGAGGAATTCTGACACAATATAAAAATTCCAGGTGAGTGGTAAAAAGTGACCCTTTCAACATTGTGTACAAAGCAAGGTTAGATTAAATAGAGATCGATAACTTTTGAAGACTAATTCAAAAAGAGCAAAATTATACTGAGGAATTGCCTTTCTTGGTTAACTTGCTTTGTAGTAGCATTAACACTTTTTTCACTTTTTTGTTGTTGTAAAATATATGTAACACAAAATCTGACATTTTAAGCCATTTTAAGTATACAATTCAGTGGCATTAATTACATTCATAATGCCATGCAACCATCATCGCTATCTCTAAAAGATTTTTATCACCACAAACAGAAACTTTCTAGCCTTTAAGCAATAACTTCTCAATCTCCCATACACTTGCCCTTAGTAACTTTTAATCTATTTTCTGGCTCTACGTATTTGCCTATTTTAGGTATTTCATGTAAGTAGGATCATATAGTACTTGTTTATTGTGTGTCTGGCTTATTTCACACAGCATATTTTCAAGTTTTATCCATGTTGTAGCTTGTATCACAACTTCATTTCTTTTTATTGCTGAGTAATAGTCCATTGTACGTATACACCACATTTTCTTTACCCATTCAACTGTTGTTGGGCACTTACATTGTTTTTACCTTTTGATTATTGTGAATAACGTTGCAATGAATATTCAATTATGAATGTCTGTTTAACCCCCTGTTTTAATCCTTTTGGGTATGTGCCAAGGAGTGGAATTACTGGGTCATATGATAATTATATGTTTACTATTTTGAGGAATTGCCTTACAGTTTTTCACAGTGACTACAACAATTTACTTTCCCACCAGCAATGTATTAGGGTTCCAACTTCTTTACTTACTTGGCAACACTTGCTATTTTCTGTTTTTGTTTCGTTTTAATTATTATGGTCTTCTAATAAATGTGAAACGGTAACTCATTATGGCTTTTATTTGCATTCCTTTAATGATTGATGATGTTGAACATCTTTTCATGTGCTTATTGGCTATTTGTATATCTTCTTGGGAGAAATGTCTATTTAAGTCCTTTACCTATTTAAATTTTTTTTTGTCTTGTGTTGTTGAGTTGTAGGAGTTCTTTATATATTCCGGATATTAAACCCTTAACATATATTATTTGCAAATACTTTCTCCCTTTCTAAAGGCTATCTTTTCACTTTCTTGATAGTGTCCTTTGATGCATAAAAGTTCTTAATTTTGATGAAGTTCAATTTATATATTTTTCCTTTCATTGCTCATGCTTTTGGTGTTATATCTAAGTCTTCATTACCAAATCTAAGGTAATGAAGATTTACTTTGGTTTTCTTTTAATCATGTTGTGGTTTTAGCTCTTATATTTCAGCCGTTGATCCATCTTTGAATTAATTTTTTTGTATATGCTGTGAACTAAGGATTCAACTCTGTTTTCATGTGATGAAAATCCATTTGTCCCAGTACCTTTGTTGAAGAGACTCTTCTTTCCCCATTGAATGAACTCATCACTTTTGTCAAAAATCAATTAGTTATAGATACATTGGTTTATATTCCATATATAACTCTCAATTTCCTTCCATTGGTCTATATATCTTTCTTAATGTCAGTACTACACTGGCTTATGTACTGTAGCTTTGGAGTAAGTTGCGAAATTGGGAAGGATGAGATCCCCAACTTTGTTTTCTTTTTTCAATATTGTTTTGACTATTCAGAGCACCTTTCAGTTCCTTATGAATTTAAGGATTGACTTTTTCATATATGCAAAAATGGCTGTTAGAATTTTGATAAAGATTACACTGAATCTGTAGATTACTTTGGGTAGCATTAACATCTTACCAATATTAGGTTTTATTATCCATGAACACAGGAAGTTTTTCTATTTATTTAGGTCTTTTGAAATTTATTTCAGCATTGTTTCATAGTTTTCAGTGTACAAGCCTTTTACCTCTGTGCGTGTGTGTATAATTTTTTTCTTCTCACTAGAAAAAGAGGAAAACTGGGTTGAAAAGTTGACTAATTTATCTATCGAATAAGTAGCCTGTGTAATGAGCAACACTGGGTGTTCAGAACCAGACTTGAAGCCTCTTGAGAGCTCATAAAACTCAAACTAATAACATGGTAATAAAAGGTGCCCTTGCTTTAATTTGAAGTGTATAGCAAGTCCAATTACATCTTTCTTGAATTTCTGAGGACATGCAAATTTCTCAGTGAGATAATTCTGAGCATCAATTAGTTATGAAATAATTGTAAGCAGCTAATTTTCAGAGGATGGAGTAGATTGCGTAGAGTTTTCAAAAATGGCTTGGGAGTTTTGGCATCTTTAACAGACACAATAGCTGATACTATCATGATAATTTTTTTCTTAAAAGCAGTAATAAAATATTTTATTTTAATTTATCAGGATTTTTAAAATAAATGCTTCAAACGAAAACAAGACAAAATAAAACAAAGAAAAAAATCAGAAATGCTGGGGCAAACTTTGACATGACTCTAATGTTTAACCCAGGATTCCTTAAAACAGTCTCATGATGGCCTGGCCAATCCTGAGCTGTCCCTCCATGACGAAACCCTCAACAGCTCCTGCCAGACAAACTTCCAGGAATTGGGAGAGCTAGAGAAGACTGTTTTACTGAAACATCTCCTTCAATGCAAGTGAGTCTGAAGGGTTTTACTATTTCAGAGTATTTTGGCAAAAGATATCTTTAGATTTTTGTGAGTCTGAGAAATTTTAAACTTTTCTAACAACATCTTATAAAACTATATGGACTTTAAATTTTGATATTTAGGATAAGATTTAACTAATAAATATTTGGGAGGATTTGCAGAATTAAATCACAAATATCCCCTCTGTCTTTATTTGTCTGTCATCCTCATGCAGTCTTTCTGGAAATAATGTCTTTTTCCTTTTCTCTCTCTCTATGTATAAACACCCAAATTCTCTTTTACTTTCCTTTTGCTTTCCTCCAAGCTCTGATTGTTTTCTTAAAGTACATAAAGCCCTGATGACTAGAAAGTTGAGGGCTTCAAAGTCCATGTCTTAAAATTTATAATGTAGCTGCTTGAATTTTGTAATAATATAGGAATGATGTGGGAGTTGATGGTGTAAAACAAATTATAAAGTTGTAGCAGAGGATTTATGAAAACCCTACTGTGGTGTAAAAAGATCACATTTCTCAGAAATTAGGTGTCAATTTCTCAACTAAGACTCCTTGGACATGAAAAAAAGAAGTGTAAGGAGTTTCAAAGAATTATTATTTGTAGCATTAATAAGAAAATGCTACTCTGTTAATACATGGCAGCATTTATTAGATAGCTTTACAATACTGTGGTAAGTGTCCTTCAAAATAGTCTTCAGAGGTAGATTATTAGGACACATTTTCAAATAATAAAAGAAGAATAGTAAACTAAATGATTTTAGAGGCAAACAGTAACCAGGTGTTGTATTAATATATGTATTGGCTGGACCACACACATAGGGTACCCAAGAAATGACTGTTAGATTGTATGTCAGTGCAGCGTTGTTGTCCTTTTTTTAAATAAGAAAAGATATGAAATTAAAAGTAAGGAGAGTTGGCCTTTGAATTACATGGGTTTGGGCTGTGCGGGCTCACTTATAGATGGATTTTCTTCCACCTCTGCTACCCCTAAGACGGCAAGACCAGATTCTCCTCTTCTTCTTCATCATCTCACTCAACTTAAAAACAACGAGGATGAAGCCCTTTATGATGATTCAGTTTCACTTAATGAATAGTAAATATATTTTCCCTTCCTTATGATTTTAATAACATTTTTCTCTAGCTTATTTTATGGTAAAATATAGTCTATAATACATATGCAAAATATGTATTAATCGACGGTTTATGTTAGCAGTAAAGCTTCTGGTCAACAATAGGCTATTAAATAGTCAAGTTTTTGGAGAATCAAAAGTTATATGTAGATTTTTGACTGTGCCAAATGTTATCACCCCAACCCCTACGTTGTTTAAGGGTCAACTGTATACAAATCCTTGGTTCTGGACTCACAGAACTATCTTTCAGAAAAGTATATTCCGCAAAAATTCTGGGGAATACAGATGCAAAATAGAGACTAACTGGGCAACTTCGCTTGCATGCCTGCCTATACCCCAATTTGAGGAAGACTACCTCATGCACAGTCATTCTGATGGGCAGTAGGTATTTTTAAAATTTGGCCCAATTAAATTGGCCCAAGAGAGGGCACTAGGTACTGGGTTGTCTGGTCATGATTTGGTGAGTCATATATTTCCTGTTTGACCTAGCTTTACGAAAGATTTGGCAGCCCAATAACCTTTCTCTCTCAAGCATTTTCAATTAGAAAACTGAAAGGAAAAAGTAGTTAGTGGTGGGACCAGAGGATGAATAGAAGCATTAAGAGAAGACATGAAATAGAATTGCGACTAAACAAACTGAGAACATGTTTAAAGCAAACTTGGAAGACAGCATACACTAAGAGTAAGCATAACAAAACCAGTCAGTAGAGACATGGGAAGAGAAGAACAAGGTAGATGGGCAAGGAAAGACACCATGAGCTGGAGAGACTCTGCGGTGCCAGAGAATGCACCTCCTTGCCTCAGAAGGCTTCCCAGCTTCCCGTTGTGGTTTCTTCCCATGAGGCTGTATGGCAAAATCCTGGATTTCTGTGAGGTTCCTGTACCTTTGCATTAAAAAAAAGCCCAAACCAATAATTTCTGGAGGCAGCTTGAATGGGTCTCTCTTTCTTAAATCTCAAAACCCATTATCAATAAACCCCAAATAAGCCTCACAATCCCCAGAAAATACTATTTTAAGCACAAGAGCCCTATCCATATTTGTAGTTTTATCAAGAGCTGTAACAATGTTGAAACATACATACAATTTTTGGTTATAGGTACTGCTAAACACAGCTGTGCAACTTGGAGTGCTTCTTGCTGTCAGGTTGTAGAAAAGAGTCCTGGTAAAGATCATAAAGAGGAATGTCTTTTGTCCATGACACAGTTACCTACTTCCCACTGCAGTGTCAAGGAAGCTGGTAGGAGTGGCTGTGGGTGAAATGAAGAAGAAGGCTGTGAATGAAGTACACAGAATTATTTCCAATATTGGAATATAGCATGAAGACTGTTGTCGGGGCATAGAATTTTGGAGCTCATAGGACTTCAGGGAGCATTTTATCCAATCTTCTCATTTTGTAGAAGAAGCTGAGGCCTGAATGCCTGATGATATTCCAAAGACAACTAATTATTATGCACAGACCAGGGAGCTGATACCAAGTTCCCTGCCTCCTAGTCCACCATTCTTTCCTCCTTATCTAGTAGCCACTTTCTTTCCTTGTGGATCTTTTTAGGGCAGTTAGCTCAGTGGCTTACCCACAGGCTGGGGGATGGACTGCAAGATCTTGGGTTTCATTAGATAATTAAGTGTGTGCTGCTTTGATTCTCAGTAATATGAGAATACTACAGAAGTGGGAAATAAAAACACAATCTGCCCAGATTTAAGCTTTTAAAGCTTTTATATCTTAGAAATTGATGCACATCAACCTTCAGGGCCTAGATATCAGTCTAGCCTTTCACGAAATAGAAATATGTTGAGCTTGAAGTCATGAATGTCTCCTAATTAAGAAGTTGATGAAGAGTCAGAAATCATAGCCCATGAACCGAGGCTGTAAGAGTAAATTCCGAGATTGTAAGCACATTGAACAAGGTCAAAATTAAGCTTTATGGTTCAAATTTTTATTTCTGTGCGTTGCATATGCCATGAGGTTATTTTCTCAGAGATGGCTGAGTTTTAATTGAGTTGTCACCTGTAGTATATTTTTCCCATTGAGCAAAAAGCCTGCAAATTCAGCTTGGAGGATTTGCCTGAGGCAAGGTGTCATAACCATTCGCAAATCACCACTTGTATCCTGTTTACATCACCTTTGCCCCCACACAAGTCTATGTAACTGATCTCATTTGCCTTTTGCACAAAGGAAGAATTAGGCCCTATAAAATCACTGTTGCATAACTGTAGATATCATAATACCGTGCTAAAGTAAATGACCAAAACAATGAGTCTACTAACTTGAATAATATCTGAACAAAGAGTATAAGAGTAAAAGTGAGTAATGCAAAGCCACATAATCCTAACTGCCATTTACTAGGTGTCTACTATGTGCCAAACATAGTTCATAGTTATTTAATTTCCTTATGATTATCCTTTGGCTATATACATGTCATAAGTGAGTAGATTAAGGTTCAGAGAAACTCAGATCACACATCTAGGAAGTGGCAGAGCTGAAATTTAAATTCAAGTGCCTTTTTATCTAAAGCCCATGAATTCTCTTAACTAGTACATCATCCTGCATCTTGTATGACTGAGAGGTTCTGGCAGTCACAGCTACTTGTAATACTACTTGACCCACTAAGATAGAATATATAGAAAGACAAATGCTTAACAGAAGAACTGAATACAGCTGTCCATGGTGCAATAAATGAACAAACCCTTATTGATATGTATGCTGTGCATGACACAAAGCTCTATGCTATAGCAGGTTCCAAGAAGCAGGAGAATCAGGCTTTGCCCTCAAGGACTGTATAATGCAGTTGGGGCAATAAGATGTGCACATCAAGGGTAACTAACAGCACAGGGCTTATATGATAATAGATGACAAGAAATACCTTCAGGGTAGGAAAGAATAATGAGAAGATGTGAGGTCATCCTTTCCCCCTAGGAGAACAGAGACTTGCAGTACACACTATGCCAGAAAAATCTTCATGGAACTGGCTAATTTTATTTGAACTGGAGATGATTTCTGGGCTGCTGGGTTGCTGACCCCATTCTGGCTCTAAAGTTAGACTTTTTATGAAAAACAGCCTATTAGTAAGACAGTAGAAAGTATATCTGCTCTGTTATTCACTACAGGGTTCTGTTGATCAAATAGCGTACTTGTTTTGACTATATCCTCATCCTCCTGAATCTTTGTTGGAAACTTAAACATGCATAGCAGGTAATCTTGGAAGCAGGATAATATAATTGTGAAGTACTTGTCAATCCCCTAACTCCAGAAAAAATATATTTTGAGATTAAGAAAAATCAACTTAAATTTTTCTGTCCTGTCACCTTCTTGGGTGGTCTTCATGAGTCAGTAAAATGGCATTTAAATTAAGTAATTGTACACCCCTAGCAATCAGTCTGTAATGTCCAGTAATCTTTGCCTAACATCTCCTCATGAAATGGCCCGTTGAGAAACAGAGCAGGCCACCATCACAGAGTGGTGGCTGTCTGCTTCCCCTCTTTGTGTCCTAAATGTGTCACCTCAGCATGCCAGGCTGACATGCCTTGGCCCCACTGTCAGGTTTGTTTGTAAAAGCTACCCAAATCCTTGTTTTACATGCTCCACGTAGTCTTCCCATGTTTGAGTGTATACTGAGATGTCATCAATCAATGCCACACTGTGTTCACCAACTTCATCAGCACCGTGTTTACCTTCTTCTTAAATGTAACTAGTGTGTTTCTTTTGCTGAAAGGGAGACTCTAGAACATATATAAAACCTGAGTGTGGCCAGGGCTCTGCGCGCAGTGACATGCGCATAATTTCAAGAGCCTCTTCATTGCCAAGATCTGATTGTGCAATGACATGCCTATCTCTGTGACCATATGCTTTTGGTGTCCTTGAGAGAGTTCAGGTGAGCAACACTCAAACTCCCATGGAGCATGAGAATCCTCATTTGTTACTTTTGGTTAATCACATCAGTCATTAGAAAGACTTAGAGTATCTGTAGTTATTTTGTCATTGATGTTACAATAGAATCCAGCACAAAGGAAAATAGTGTAACAGTAAAACTGTGGTATCTTTTTCAGAGGGAAGAAAAGTAGTATAATGATAACTAGGAGAAGAAAATTCATATTTGGATGTGGATCATGCCTTTGTCCAAATGTGGAAACCCTGAGCTTATTCCTAGTGTCTGTGTCTAAAAGACGTATTTTATTTTGCATATCTGCCAAAATCTAACCCCAGTCTTCTGCCTGCCAGGTGACCAGTAGATTAATTATTTAGAGTAAATGTTTGTGAGAATGCCCTAGATGCCAATTCACTTCACATTGTTACCTCTATGGGAAATTTTGATAGATAAAGAAAGCTTTGGATATACATGTGGGAGGCTTCTGATCCACCATCTTTTTTTTTTCATTTTTAATGTCTTTGTGTAGAGAAGATCTTTTCTTTCTTTCTTTTCCATCATCTGCAAAGCAAGTTGATCTGAGGTACAGTGTAGAATCTTTAAGTCTACCAAAGTATCAAATGTGAACACCCTTCTTTCTTTCATAGACATATTATTTTACAGAACTACCCTCTCCTTCTTTGTACTCTACTTCCTTTAAGCAGTCCTTTACACTAAAATCAGAAGTTACGTTTTCAGTTTTCTCTTTGGCACCTCTATTTAATCCTGTTAGCCTTCTGAATTTGTATTTGTCTGATGTCCAGGTTGGCCATTTCTAAATTAAAAAAATTAACAACTTAGATTCTGGAGACGGGTTCCTTTTCACAGTAGCCAGCTCTCTTTTGGTTGACCATTTGACTATCTGGGAGTCCTCTTGCTAGAGCAACAGGAAACCACGTGATGACTTCTCTCCTTATTCATTTATTCTTGGGCTTTCATATGGCCTAGTTTTCTGTGCCCTCCACTTTTTGACCTTGGATGTGAAGCATCTTAGTCTTTGATCTCAGATCTGATCTGAATATAACCAGTAGTACCAGAAGGATATCATTTGGGTAAAACTTGCTAGCTGCTGCTAAGAGCATGCAGAGACAGCCCTTGTAAGTATCCAGTTGTTTTAATTTTTTTCTTTCCTCCAGTGTATATTACAAAGTTAAGGATGGGAGGACTGGGAGGTCTGAAGGATAATGTCATTGTAAAGGGCCACTGACACAGAACACACTGAGCAACCTTCTTTTCTCAGTTTGGGCAGATGCTCTGGTTAATTCGGATTCAAAGCAGAGATATGAATCTCTGCTCTGAGTAAGGAAGCTGGAGTTGAGTTAATAAGTGAAGGAACCACTGAGTCTTGATGATAATTCTATAAGATTACCTGCATGCCTAATAATTAAGAAAAATTTCTCTGGAGAAAGAAATTGGCATTCTTGAATGTTGCCCCCTTATCAGAGCCGCACTTCTCTGCAAGATATTCTTTCACAGATTTAAGAACGTATAAACAGATAAAGGTAAAGAGAGTTAGAGGACCTTAGCATGTTTCCCTGAGGCAGAAAATCTGTCCTCACCCTAAGGTGAAACAAAGTGGAAATGGTGCCTTAAAGGCAAATTGAAAAGTATTCATTAATCAACAAGTATTTATTTAGCACTATTTTCAGAATTGTGCTTGGGGCTGTGGTAGGATAATGAAAGAAGTGTAAAATAGAACCTATGCCTGCAGAGAAGTCATGCTCTAATTAGGGAGAGAAGAAATAATAAGAGGAAGTTTAGAATAAATGCTAAATTTTGTGTTTCAGAGCCTAAGAACTGTAAGAAAGAAGCAGGTTATCCATAAGAGCTGGAATAGTCAGAAAAGCCTTTGCTGAAATGATAGAGCTTGGAATGAGTCTTTAAAGATGAGTGAGATATAGGTAAAATGACCCCCACATTAATTAATTCACAGAATTAATTAATTCTGATGCTGGGGAATGTGACCTAGGATACAGCACTATTGTCACGATTCTCTTTAATTACAAAGAGGAAGAATTAACCTATACTATAAAGGCATTTCGAATGCATGGCCACCTTTCAGACAATTTATAGGCATGCCACTTAAGTAGTGGGATTTCTGCTAAGTGACCTCATTTATCCTTTCCACTTTTTTTTTCCTTAGGCATCATAACCTTTAAAGTTTTTGAACTATAACTTTGTATTAATCTTCTTTTCACCATTTGAAAATTTTCATAGCCTGAGAATGAAGATGAGCCTAAGGACTCAGACTAGGAACCTCTCCCATATGTTGTGATCCAGAAATGAACTACCCAACCCACAGAACCTTTTTATAAGTCAACAGAGCAGCCGCCTCTTGTTTCCTAGGTGACAGCCAAATGGCATTGCCCGTTGTGCAGTGTACCTTGCAGGGGGATCCAAGCTGCCACTTCCTTTACATGTCTTCATATGCCCTGGGAAAACTTCTTCGCCATTACTCCATGTCATCGTGAATTAGTCTACAGAAAGTAAAAGAGAGCAGTTCTACCCCTCCATGTTACCTCTCATTTTGCCCTATAATATCCATACACAATGACTTGAAGAGTTCAAGGAACAGCCCTTCAGTTCTTGTGTGTAGAGTGATAATAATACTAACTCACATTTGTGAAACTTTTTGATGTTCTTTTTCTCATTCAATTCATTTACCAGTTTATGAAGCAAGTAAGAAAATAGAGGATTATTAGAACCGATTTACTCAAATAGAAATGCCTTTTCTTCTTTATATAAAATATAAATAGGTGCTTTTTTTAAAAAACAATGTCTTTAAAGCATTTTTAAATGCTGTAAGAAGTGCTTTTTTTCTTTAAATAAAAGTCATAATAAATAACTGTAAAAAATGTGTAAAACACACAGAAACCCTCATACACTGCATTTAGAAAGAAGGAAAATATAGTTGAAAAATCTGAGCCTTTAAGAGGTTAAGACTTGCCCAAGGTCATATTCCTAGATAAAGGACAAGATTGGGCACAACCCTAAATGGCTTGAGGCCAAATCCTATGTCAATGTGCCAGTCAGGATTACTGGAGAACTGCAGTAGCATTGCCACCCTTGATATTCAGGAGGGTATATAATTTTATCAATACAATACAAAGGTTAATGGGATTGCCTCCTTCCAACTCTATCATAGTAAACGCAGGCTTTATGGCAACGTTAAAAAAAATGACCTCTCTCTGCTTTATGCTGATCATTAAGTAAGATTATCTTACACTAGAGATTTACTATACCAAAGAGCACTGACATCACTAACTTCTATTAAGTGTATGATACTTATACTCCATAAAGTGGAGCAAAATACCTTTGTCAGCAATGAAGGGAAAATAGACATGGCCAGAGGCATTCATCCCACACAAAACAGAACCATTGTCTGCAGGAATCTCTCTACCAGCTTCTAATGCTCTCTGGCCAAATCCACCTGATGAAAATCTCAATATGGAACAGAAAGTCTGCTCTGTGATGTCTTTAAATAAATGAGATCAACTCTCTATTAATTTCAATAGGTTATGTAGATTAATCAAAACCTTCCAGTTTCAAGAAAAAAATCGAAGCATGTATTAGTCTGTTCTCACACTGCTATAAAGAATACCTGACTGTGAAATTTATGAAGAAGTTTAGTTGACCAACAGGTTCTGCAGGCTGTACAAGAAACATGGCTGGGAGGCCATAGAAAGCTTACCATCATGACACAAGGTAAAGGAGAAGTAAGCAAGTCTTACGTGGATGGAGCAGGAGAGAGGGCAAAGGGGGAAGTGCTACACACTTTGAAACAACCAGACCTCAAGGGAACTCACTCACTATCACAAGAACAGCAAGGGGGATATCTGCCCTATGATCGAATCAACTCTCACCAGGTCCCTCCCTCAATGTTGGAGATTACAATTCACCATGAGATTTGGGGAGGGACACAGAGTCAAACCATTTCATTCTGCCCTTGGCCCCTTCCAAATCTCATGTCCTTCTTATATTTCAAAACCAATCATGCCTTCTCAATAGTCCTCTAAAGTCTAAACTCATTCCAGCATTAACTCAAAAGTCCAAGTTCAAAGTCTCATCTGAGACAAGTCACCTATGAACCTGTAAAATCAAAAATACGTTAGTTACTTCCAAGATACAGTAGGGATATAGGCATTGGGTAAATGCCCCCATTCCAAAAGGGGGAAATTTTCCAAAACAAAGGAGCTATAGGCACCATCCAAGTCCAAAACCTAGCAGGGCAGTCATTAAATTTTAAAGCACCAAAATAATCTCCTTTGACTTCATGTCTCATATCCAGGCCACACTGATGCAAGGGGTGGGCTCCCAAGGCCTTGGGCAGCTCTGCCCCTGTGACTCTGCAGGGCTCAGTTCCGTTGGCTGCTCTCAAGGCCTGGCATTGAGTGCCTCTGGCTTTTCCAGGTGCATGGTGCAAGCTGTTAGTGGATCTGCTGTTCTGGGGCCCCACCCCACATTTTCTCTTTGCCCTGTCCTAGTAGAGGTTCTCCATGAGGGCTCTGCCCCTGCAACAGCCTTCTGCTTGAACATCCAGATATTTCCGTACATCCCAAGCAATCTAGATAAAGGCTCCCAAGCTTCAATTCTTGTCTTCTGTGCACCTGCAGGCCCACACCACATGGAAGCCACCAAAGCTTGGCACTTGCACCCTCTGAAGCAATGGTCCAAGCTATACCTTGGCTCCTTTTAGCCATGACTGGAGCTGGAGTGGCTGGGACACATGGTGCTGTGTCCTGAAGATGCACAGAGCAGCAGGGCCCTGGACCTGGCTCATGAAACCGTTTTTTCTTCTTAGGCCTCCAGGCTTGTGATGGGAGGGGCTGCCTCAAAGGTCTCTGAAATGCCCTGGAGGCATTTTCCTCATTGTCTTGGCCATTAATGTTCAGCTCCCCTTTACTTATGCAAATTTCTGCAGCTGGCTTGAATTCCTCCCCAGAAAATGGGTTTTTCTTTTCTACCACATGGTCAGGCTGCAAATTTTCCAAAACTTTATGCTTTGCTTTCTCTTTAAATATAAGTTCCAATTTCAGACTATCTCTTTGCATATGGAAATGAGGACAAACAATTAGAAGCAGCCAGGCCACATCTTGAACACTTTGCTACTTAGAAATTTCTTCTGCCAGATACCCTAAATCATCTCTCTCAAGTTTAAAGTTCCACAGGTCTCTAGAGCAGAAGCACAGTGCCACCCCTCTTTGCTAAAGCATTAGCAAGAGTGACCTTTAATCCGGTTCCCAGTATGTACCTAATCGCCATCTGAGACCACCTCAGCCTGGACTTCACTGTCCGTATCACTATCAGCATTTTGGTCACAATGATTCAACAAGTCTCTAGGAAGTTCTAAACTTTCCCTCATCTTCCTTTCTTCTTCTGAGCCCCTCAAACTGTTCCAACCTCTGCCTGTTAGCCAGTTCCAAAGTCACTTTCACACTTTCAGGTATCTTTATAGCAATGCCCCACTTCTCTGGTACCAATTTCCTGTAGTAGTCCATTCTCACATTGCTGTAAAAAACTACCTGAGACTGGGTATTTTATGAAGAAAAGATGTTTAATTGACTCGCAATTCTACAGGCTGTAAAGGAAGTATAATTGGGGAGTCCTCAGGAAACTTACAATCATAGTGGAAGGGCAAAGGGGTAGCAAGCACCTTCTTTACATGGTGGAGCAGGAGAGAGAGTTGGGGGTTAAAGTGCCACACACTTTTAAACCATCAGATCTTGTGAGCACTCACTCACTATCAAAGAACAGCAAGGGGGAAATCTTCCCTCATGATCCTGTCACCTCCCACCAGTTCTCTCCACCAATGTTGGGAATTATAGTTCAGCATGAAGTTTGGGTGGAGACACAGAGCCAAACCATATCAAAGCAGAAACAGTTGAATCAGTATATCTGTATATTACTTTAATTTTTAAATTCTCAAGTGATTAATATTATGATGTCACTCAGGAGTCATGTTTCGTTTCTAGCAAGGAAGTAATACAAGAGAAAGATAGGTATATTTTCTCAGTAAGAATTCTTATAGGAGTTATTTACCCAACAGTATGCACTACTGCTGCAAATAAATGTTAATTTAATAAACATTTATTTAGTATCTATTATTTCTGAGACATCAGAGTAGGGTCTGGTGACACTGAGATGAAAGACACAGCTGCTTTCAAGTAGTTCCCACTCTAGTAGCAAAGACAGAAAAACACACAAGCAGTTGGAAGGGAGAGCACTTAGTGTTCTGAGGAAGGGTGTCTTGGAGACCTGGTCCTGAGTGGTTCATAACAAACCCACTGTGGGATGGTGTGGAGGTATCATCAAAGTGGATTTTCTAGGAGAGGCTTTTTGAAGCCCACATTTGGATTTAGAGCCAAATGTCATGGATATAGGCTTTTGCCCTCACAAACCAGCCATCTGTAGTAAAATATCTACATTGCTTCTTAGAGCTTGGCCTCTAATTCTGTGAAAGATGCTGGAGGCTGACATAGCATAGGGTGGATTCTGGACATTTATAAAAAAATACACTTTCTTTTAAATCAGTATAGAAGCAGGTGATACTAAAATATGACACTAAGATTCTATTTTTATGTATCAAATTACTCATTTGATTAAAACACAGTCTTATGAAAAACATGAATTTTTGTAAATGATTTTCTGTTGAATAAACATAAAAGAAATTTTGTTTCATTTTATACCAAAAATCATTCAAACAGCATCAAGGGACAGTATCATGAAATTTCAGAACACCAAGGGTTAAATAAGAAAAATACTTATTTCTAAAAATTGTAAGGACTGTGCAAGGAATATTCATATTCTCTTTATACAGATTCCTCAATCAATGTTTTATCATATTTATCATATAATATCACATCCATTACAATCCCCATGTTCTCTATATCTATGTATACCTCTCTTTATATATCCAAATTTATTGCTATTAAAGATCTATTTATATAGCAATTTGAAGAGGAAAAGTTTAATGTAAAGAATCACTATAACAAGGGATTGTAGAAATGAGGAACTGGCTAGTAAAAAGTCAGGAGAATTTTAAATAATATAGGAATAATAGATATAAAAGGAGCTACTACTTAGGACTGAGCTAAAGTGCTCAAGGAAGAACCCCTCTAGGGCTGAGATCCAGAAGTTGTTGAAAAGGACATGGCCATGGCTCATTAACTTGCTGAAAATTTGCCCACTGCTGTGCCAGGGAAAATTGTTCACAGGGACCTGTATCCCTGGAGGCCCTCTACTATAAAACCACTGGAAGGGGTTGCAGGTGGAACCTGTTGGTTTCTGGTGCTTTTAGCCACCATGCACTGCATAAATCAGGTGCTGGAGAAGTTGTGCATGCTTTAAGAGCTGAGCCCTGGGGAAGCTGCTTGTGCTGTGAGAGCTGGGTGCTGGATGCTGGGAAAACTATGTGTGCTGCAGAAACCAGGCTTTGGAGAAGCCATCTGCTCTGCAGAGGCCTGCGAAGTGTGCACACTGGAATCAGGAAACAAAGCTCCTTTCTCCTGTAGCACCTCTCTATTTCCCTTTATTGATAAGTCTTTTCGCCAGCTGGCAAAGAAAAAATTAAAGGCCCAGATTCACTTTTGCAGAGCAGGCAATAAAAGTCAAATTTAGAGTTGAGAGATAATAAATTAATAACCTGATCCATTATTTTTATTCTTTTTCTTGGCCATTTGAAATCAAGTTATAGACATATTACCTCCATCATACCTAAGTAGTCCAATGTATTTTCCCCAAGCAAGGACCTTATCTTAATGGCAATACAACCTTCCAAATGAAGAAATAGACATGGATGCAAGACTGTGTCCATTGGGTTACAAGACCCAGTAAAGTCCCTTTTTCTCTTCTGGTCCAGGTTTTTTCCAAGACAACATTTTGCTTTCAGACATTGTGTTTGTCCTTCAATTTAAAATCATACCTCAGGGTGTTTTCTATATATTTTATGACCTTGAAAGTCTTTAAAAATTACAGGTGTTTGATCTTGGTGATGGTGCTATGTTTGTCCACCATAAATTCACCATTTTTACCTTTGTAATTTGGTATGTACATTGTAAAAAAAAAATACCCTGGCATTATGTGAATATCCTTTTTCTCACTCAACATCCATCCACCAATATGAGCAGCTGTGTGTATCTTCTTTCAGAGTCATTTCCCATTTCCATCATTTTAATTTTCATCATTCTTTCTTTATTAGTTAGTATTCTGCTGTAAATCATCTTATCAATTTTCTTTCTATTTCTTTCCTCCTTTCTTCCTTCTTGGTATATATTTGTATGAATCCTGATTCTTATTTTATTCAGTTTATTTAGTATATCTCTGTCATCATTTATTTGACACTCAAACTGTCCCAGAATTGCCAAGTTCCCATTCAAGATATTTCTATGTCCTTTTAATATGCCTACATCATTCTTTGAGCACTTCATTCATTTCTAGAACAAGGTACTTGAGGATCATTTTATGCTTTCCTTATCCCAGCCCTTGAATTAGCCATTTCCCCAGGAAACCCTGGTTCTGGTACTTGGAAACAAAGATCTTATGCTAAGTGTGTTCATTGCTACTCAGGTGTCATTGCTTATTTGCACTCACAGAAGATATCACTAGGAAAATATGTATTTATACACACATATATGCATATATACACACAGATATGTATCTATATTTCTAAATCTTTCTATACCTATGTATTTTTAAAATCACGAATTGACACCTTACCTCCATTGTCTATTTCAATATCTCAGAGGTATTTCTAGTTTTCCCCCTTTTCATATTTGTAAGGTTTTTTTGGGACAGTGAAACTTGACTCCCACTATGTGAAACGTTGATGTATTTGATCCATCTCCTGCAGATGACTGATATGGTTTGGCTGTGTCCCCACCCAAATCTCATCTTGAATTGTAGCTCCCATAATTCCCATGTGTTGTGGGAGGAACCTGGTGGGAGATAATTGAATCATGGGGGTGGTTCTTTCCCATGCTGTTCTCATGATAGTGAATAAGTCTCACAACATCTGATGGTTTTATAAAGAAGACTTCCCCTGCACACACTCTCTTGCCTGCTGCCATGTAAGATGTGACTTTGCTCCTCATTCTTTCCACAGTGACTGTGAGGCCTCCCCAGCCATACGGAATTTGTGAGTCAAACCTTTTTCCTTTGTAAATTATCCAGTCTCAGGTCTGTCTTTATTAGCAGCATGAGAACAGACTCCTCCAATGATTAATCTCTCAGTCATTTTGGCTATCTCTGTAACCCTTAGCTTCACCAACCCTTCCTTCATCTTCTTGCCCCTTCAGCACTGTCCTCTACTGTTGCCTTTTTGACCCACCGCAGTCTCAGTCC
The DNA here is from genome assembly GCF_000001405.40 of Homo sapiens. Taxonomy (NCBI): domain Eukaryota; kingdom Metazoa; phylum Chordata; class Mammalia; order Primates; family Hominidae; genus Homo; species Homo sapiens. Next base: position 164,250,966 of record NC_000001.11, on the reverse strand, counting down.
TCTGTCCTCCTTCTTCCTTTCGAAGAAAGGGCAGGGAATAGAAGAGAAAAGGAAAAATGAATATTTTGATGCAGTAAGAATTGAAGAGAGGATAGACAGTAGAGGGAGGTTTTCAGGAGTCTAAAACTCTCTATAATTTAGCACTTTAACATCTATAATTGTGACAATTGACAGAGGGTGAAATGAAAATTATTTCCAATATTTGTTTAAATTCCAAGTTTTATAAATATTGGTTTAAATTAAGTTTATAATAAGCAAATTTCCTATATTTTCTCATATAAATCTCACCCCCATAATTCAGATATTTTGAGGATTATTTTCCTTAAGCTACTTTTTCATTTTGAGTATATCAACATCAATTCATTGTAATGATTGAATCTTAAATATTGCTGACTTAACTATTCAATGTACAGTAATACAAGTACAATGGATCAGTAATAAAGAGAAATATTTTGTGAAACACCATCAGATTTAGATTAAATTCCTAATGAGCAGACCTTGTGAATGAAAACAAATCTTGCAGCTCCCTGGAAATGAAATGTTACCAGCAATAGTCAATAATCTGAAAAAAGGCAGATTAATATACAAAGGAAAGTTACTAATTTCAGATGCAATCATTGAAAATTCACTTCTGGAGAAGAAAGAACAAAAGTTATTTGGAATATCAATGCAATGAGTAAGCCATTTGTTTAGCATGGTACTACTCTGTAGGGACTTTGTATATTGTCACAGAAATGGATTTTTACTTCTCAGGGATATAGGATGGTATTCTCAGTTATTACTCCTATTTACCTAGAGAAGCAAAGTGAATCATAATAGCGAAATGGGAGAGTTCCCTGGCACTTCTTGCAGGATGTATGACAGGGGTGTGGCTCATCTGTTCGGGCCACCATGTGCTCAAACCCCTTACGGGAGGGAGAGCACACAGTTGGGCAGGTGCAGGAGCTGGGACGAGCACTTTTGGGCTCCGGCCCCACAGTGGCATCTAGGGATGGGTGCCTGTGACTCCCAAGGCCCCAGTGGGTGTGCTACAGTGCTCCTTTAGCGCTACCATTTGCAGATGGCTTAAGGGTTAACCAGCTCAGTGCCCTCTTAGTACTCGGTTTCTTGTCTGGCATCCAGGAAGAATCGGGTCATGCGTGGACTTGAAGGATGGTGAATGTAGGGGTTTTATCAAGTGGTGGAAATGACTCTCAGCAGGATGGATGGGGAGCTGGAAAGGGGCTGGAGTGGGAAGATGATCTTCCCCTGGGGTCTGGCTGTGCAGCGGCCAAACTCCTCTCCTACCGTCCCCAGCCGAACTCCTCTCGATGTTCAGACATTCCTTCTCTTCTCTCCTTCTCTGCCATGCCATTCTGCTGCTCTGTCACTCTTCTGTTCATCTGCTCTTGGAGCCTGGGGTTTGGAGTTTATATGGGTTCAGGATAAGGGGGCATGGCCGGCCAAAAGGCAACTTTTGGGCATGAAAACAAATGCCTGTTACCATTTAGGGTGTGGGTTTCCAGACTTGAGGGTGAGGCCTTTGCCAGGGAACTGCCCTCTTCTGCCCGGTATTTCCGTGTGTTCTGTCTGTATCAATATGATTTGCCATGATTGCCCAGAAAATTTAGGGAGGGGAACATTTTCCCCACGTCATTGTTTAGCATACTCTTGTTTCTCACTCTGTGATCCTCCTGCTGACTTTGTAAAGGAGGTTTGAGAAGCCACAGGATAAACATGGCACTTCTTATCTTTCTCTAACTTCCATTTTGCTTGAGAGAATAATTTAAAATATTACTTGTATTGCACATTGAATACTGTATATTCACATATTATATATAAAACAAGCTACATTAAGTATACCTGAATCTATTTTGTTATATACTCTATTACATTTCCAGCCTCCCTGCAGTGAGGTGGGACCATGTGACTGAGTCCTGGACAAGGGAATGTGGGTGGAAGTAATTCTACCACTTCTGTGCATGAATTGTAACTTCCACAAGTTCCTCAATGTTTTTTCTTTTTCCTCAGGCATAGGCAGACCATCCAGTGGAGGATTATAAGCCCCTCCCAGATGGTAGAACCACTGAGAAGACAACCTGCATTGTACTGTCATATGAGCAAGAAATAAACGAATACACTGAGATTTGAGAGTTGTTTGTTTAGTAGCTCATATCACTTGTTACTTACCTGACTAGTACATATAAAGACAAACACTGGTTTTAATTGATTTTAAAAGTAAAACAGTTAACCTCAACTTGTACCTCAGGTTTGCTGCTTTGGGCTCCGTCTTAAGAACTGGGTACATGTTTGTAATTTTCTGCCCCGGGAAATTCCAATAGAGGCATTTGAGAAGCTCTGGCCTAAAACCACTGACAGGTTCGGAGAACATCTAAAGAGAAGAAAAGGTCTTTTCTAATAATCTATTAGTCTATTAGAGACTATATATTTTGCATACAATATATATATTTGGTGTGGACAAAATGATAGTATCATGCATGAAAATGAATTTCCCCAAAGAGAGAACAATTAGATTTGAACTCTTGATGTCTGTATCCTGCATGAAAAAGGTCCTAGCCCCATTGTCAATATTTACTTTGTCTCATTTTTTAAAATAAATACTTACTCCTTGATGAGTTTTTGCTCCTGGTTTATTATCATTCACTAAAGCACTACTTTTTCATCCTTCTTGGTGATTTCAATGTCCATTTTGATGTCTTTTCAAATACCCTGTGGCATTTTAGTTCTATGTCCCTCTCTCTTTCAATGATCTTATCCTTTGTCTTAAATAAGTCATCTACTTCCATGTTCATGCCTTAGATCTTGGCATTATCAGTGATTATAACATCTCAGCATCTCAGTTTGATGTATTCTATTCTTTGACGATTACTCTCTACCTTCCTAGTGCTCACACTCTGACTCCCTATGTCTTTTAAGGATTAAGTATAATTGGTGTGTGTGTGTATGTGTATATATATATATAATTTATAGTATATGTATATGTATACACATATATATCAGTTGATGCTAATACATTTTCATATTCTGTCCTCACACTTGTAGTCTTACTTACCTTCTCACCTGGCTTAAATTCTCAGTTAAAAATTACAATTATTCCTTTGAAAATGCCTTCAGCTCCCTTGCACTTAGTATTCTTTATTGTACTTCTTTGGCTAAACCACAACTCTTGAGTATTTTAACTCTCAGTATATATTGCACCTGCTCACTTGCAACTGAAATGGCTTGAGGAGAACACACAACTGTGCTGATTGGTCCCATTTTAAAATCATTATTGCTAACCTCAAATGGGCTCCTAATGCTATCTGGCAATAGTACTATATTTTTTGTATCTGTTCACTTATAGATCTCTTAAAAAATTATTTATGCCTTCTCCTCTCTCCTGGAATGTCTAACGGCTTCTTACTCTCCTCACTCTTAGTTGATGACTTTGTTTTCTATTTCACTGCCAAAAAACTTCCTTGAGCAATTACTAACATACTTGCATCCTTATAAGCACTAGTACCTATGGACCCTCACTCCTCTGAACTGCATATATCTACATCTATATCTATATCTATCTATATATCTATAGATATAGCCTCAGACAAGATGGACAGAAAAGGGGATAGCCTTGAACATATATGCTATTGAGCAATCATTTGAGGTTAGCAATAACGATTTTTAAATGAGACCAATAAGCCTAATTGTGTGTTCTCCTCTAGCTGTTTAAATTGCAAAATATATATAAAAATATATAAAATTTATACATATATAATTTTTAAGTAGAACAAAGCAAAACAAAAGCAAACCATTACCCTTGTTACCCACCTTCCGTATACCACTCCAATCTTTTATCCTTCTTGTTGAGATATAACTATGAAGAGTTGTATAGCTCACTGTCTTCAATGTCACTTTTCTCATTTTCTCGTGAACCAGGAATCCACGCAGCTTGCTTGATATTTTCAGATCTTTTTACCATTACTCTCAACATTTTCTAGCCCCATGTCACTGTTTTGTTTATCTAAGTGTTAATCAATGTCTAATATTACATAATATATTTTACTTATTTATCTCATTGAATTTCTTTCTTCTCTGCAAGAGTTTAAGCTTAGTGGAGCAAAGAATTTTCTTGGTGTTTGTTGTTGTTGTTTTACTGCTTTATCTCCAGTCCTAAGAACAGTGCTAGCCATAGAGCAGATGCTCAATAAATATTAGATATATGAATAAATAAACCATAGTGGCAAAATTAGTGTAATTATACATCTCAGTTCATATATGACTGAGGTCTGGGGCCCTGATCTAATATTCCCTCTTCCCCTCGTCTGCATCATGGATTGTGACACTAATCTCTGAAGCCAGTCTCAATTTACTACAAAGAAATATCTCCTATATTTTCTTAGCCAGTGTAATTCTCAAACTGAAGTTCCAGCTGCTTCCAGGGCCAGCACAGTTGTTAATAAGTGGGCTGGATTTTTTTTTTTTACCCTTGATTTAGTTTTCTGCTGATCTTCAGAATGGTGGAGAGTGATGCAGTAAAAATTTAGGCCCTTGCACAAGATGAATGAAATGAAGAAGTTGCAAAATCTAGCTCATTTTAGTCTTTCTTTATAGCCTAATATCTAACGTGGCCACATGAGAAATTCCTTTCAGTGAAAGGATTAGCAGAGAAGATCAATGTGAATCATTCCTGTGGAGCCCTCACTCCCTCCCTTCTGACTCCTGCTTCTGAGACACCTGCATCAAATCTTCCAGCCATTCTACTTTAGTGTTGTAAATTGCTATCCATGCCGTGGACGTGAGCTTATGATGTGCCATTGTTTCTCTATTAACTTCCTCAAAATATCAAATAAAATATACACAATCTTTTCCTTTTAAATTAGCCATGACAGCCCAATTGAGGCCCACCAACACTCACCCATAAATGATACAGATATTGAGCCCTGTGTTCATACTTAACAGTGGCAAGAGATAATTGAGTATCCTGAACTGTGCCCTTCCCACTGAGAATAGCTTATCACTTCCCTCTATTCCTACTGTGCTGTGATACACAACCTCTTTTCTCTACTCTTCATCTTTCTTTCCTCCTCTTTTCTTTGTCCTCCCCTCCTCTCCCAAGTTACTCTGTTTCATTTTCTCCTTCTATTTAGTCTGTTGGTTGTTTCTTGGCAGTGGCATATTTGTTGACTTGCTCTTTTGGTGACATCTTTTAATAAGGAAATTCGTCTCTTGGTGTCTCCTCGCCTAAGGGTGTGCTTACTTAAAGTGTAAAATGTCAAACTCTACCAAGGATGACAATAACCCTCTGGGTAAAGAAGAATCAGCCACTGCATTATTAATCACTCAAGAGGCAGACAGGAAATATCAGCCATCTCAAAGAAAGAAAGACTAGAATTAGCTAGATTTTGCATCTTCTTCATTTCACTCATCTTGTGCAAGGGCTTAAATTGTTACCGCATCACTCTCCGCCATGCTGAAGATCAGCAGAAAACTAAATCAAGGGTAAAAAAAAAAAATCCAGCCCACTTATTAACAACTGTGCTAGCCCTGGAAGCAGTTGGAACTTCAGCCTGAGAATTACACTGGCTAAGAAAACATAGGAGACATTTCTTTATAGTAAATTGAGACTGGCTTCAGAGATTAGTGTCACAATCTGTGATGTGGATAAGGGGAAGAGGGAATAGGCAGGTGACTACACTCTGACCCTTCCTAATGCTTGACTGGCAGAGCTGGCATTCCCAACTGTCCTTACTTAATGTCCCTTAAACATTACAGCAGCCTGACCCTCCTGAAGCTACAGAGAACTGCGGCCTGCAATTTAACAGGGATGAAAACTGGGCCTAATGACATCCTACATGGTCACGCTCTTTCTGGACGGTTACACAAGCATGAAGAAGTGAGGAGAGAACTCTTATTTTGGTTTGTTCTGTAGCAGACCAAGAAGTGATCACAGAGTTATTCCACAGTAAAATAGTCTGGCTGCCAACACCTCTGTATCTGGTATACACACACCTGCATGCATCAGTATTCTTTCTGTAAACTATCAAAACAATTGACAACATCCCACAGAATGCTATAAAAGTTCTCCAAATTCCACAGTGATGGAACTAAAAGCAGAGTTATTTTGTATAGATCCCTTGTAGCTAATAATACTCTCCTGTTTGTTTCATCCAAATAATGGGTTTCTGATTATCTTGACATAGTTCCTAAAACATCAAAATAGCTTGAATTTTCCCAGTGAAGAATTACCTTAAAATTAAACTTTAAAACGATTTTATGTTATATTTGTCATGATTATTTTATGTTACATGTATAAAATTTTCGGTAGTATTTAGATTTATTCAAAAGAAGTGGTTAATATAAAGAATATACTTTAAGATCTAGACTTTTTACTTCCAATCTGAAATGTCATGGGTCAGTTCAAAGCTGACAGGATAAGCATGATTGGAAAGTTGATCAAGTCACCCTGTGGGAATTCAACTGGACAGTTCACAGTAGACAATCAAAAGTCTATGGCTTGGAGCAGACTTTAGAGTTTATTGAGTTACCTGCCTTCATGAAGAACTGCCCCTGAGCATTTAAAGAGTGTTGAATGGTAGGTGTCCTAGTCATCTTGGGCTACCACAGTAAAATGCCATAGACTGGGTGGCTGAAACAAGAGAAATTTATCTTCTCACAGTTCTGGAGGCTGGAAGTCCAAAGTCAAGGCACTGCCATTGTTGAGCTCTGATGAGGTCTCTCTTCCTGGCTTGAAGATGGCTGCCTTCTCTCTGGTCCTCACATGACTATTCCTTGGTGAAGATAGGGGGTAGGAGGGGGGGGGCGAGAGAGAGAGAGAGAGAACACTTTCTTCCTCTTCTTGAAAGACCACTAATTTCATCATGAGGGTCCCACCCTCATGGCCTAACCTAACCCTAATTACCTCCCAAAGCCCCGTCTCCAAATAGCATCACATTGGGGATTAAGATTTCAACATATGATTTTGGGGGAAACACAAAAATTCAGTTCATAACGGTAGAGGTTGTTCTACTTGCCAAACACTGTGCTAGTGTCTTACATGCATTATTTCATTTAATTATCACAACCATGTGAAGTAGGGATTAGTGTATCACTTTGTAGATGAAGAAAATGGGTTTTCAAAAGGGTAGAGAACTTGAAATAAGCAGAAGAGCTGGGTTTCAGCTTCAGTTCCACCTGAAAGTGTAATCTTATTTCTAAAGTCCACCACACAAAAAAATGTTATTATCTTTTACAATAGGTAAATATTTATTATATTTTAAAAATTTGAACAAATTTAGAGGTACGAGTGCAGATACATGGATATATTGTGTAGTGGTAAAGTCTGGGCTTTTAGTGTAACCATCACCCAAAAAGTATACACTGTTTACCTTAAGTAATTTCTCATCCCTCACCCTCCTCCCATTCTCCTACCCTTCAGAGTCTTCCGTGTCTATTATTCCTCACTTTATGTCTATGTGTACACGTTATGTAGCTCCCACCTATAAGTGAGAATATATGCTATTTGTATTTCTGAGTTATTTCATTTAAGACGATGGCCTCCAGTTCCATTTATTATGCTTCTGTGAAAAACATGATTTCATTCTTTTATTATGGCTGATTTGGATGCACAGATTTTTCTCTAGATCTTTGCATTGAAATAACATATATTCCTTTTTCTTTTAATTATAATAAGTCAAATCTTTAACTTGAGCTTGAATCTTTAAAAAACACAAAAGCATGCTCAGGAAATAAATTTATTACACAAAGTCCTTTGAAGCTTTGAGATGTGACATTTTCCTAATGACGTGCAAAGAAATAGGTTCATTGTATTGGAGTTGGTGAGGTGTTATGTAGTTTTGAAATGTGTTCTAAAATTTCGAGTATAAGATAAAATTCAGCCTTCTGAGCTCTGAAGTTTTGTGGTTCTACTTAGAACTAAAATGAGAGATCGAATATCAGCAATATTTAAAAATCCAGCAAATAATTACTACACACATGCCACAAGCCAAAGAACATGCAGGTCCCTATATTCCAGTAGACAGGAAGAATGATAGTATCCCTGCCTTAATGGATCTCCTGCATTTTGAAATTATGATAAATGCTTTTTAAAAATCTCTAAAATGAAATCCAGCAAAAATGATTTGGGAGTATTGTTTTTTTTTCCTGATAAATGACGTTCTAATGACATTTAATAAGTTAGAATTACTGTAGTACGGGTTCATCTGCTTTTATGTTAATTGTCTTGGGCAACATGAACAAGGGTGAAAAATCAATGATTTGTCAACTGGTCATTTATATTTATGTGAACAATCTCTAATAAGTACAAGTCATTCAGTTATTTTCTTCCTTTACTGTTTTGCAAATGATTCAAATGATACCTAGTAGAATTAGTATAAATATCGAGTTGTGAGTAATGTGATTTGGGTTAAAATTCTTGAATTATTTGTAATTAATTGACAGAATTTTAACCATAATTCTAATCATATTCAGTTTCAGCATGTAGAGACTTGCATTGTCTCCTTTACGTAATTCCGTTTAACAGAAAATAAACTATCAGAGCTTCTTTGCTTTAACAATTATGCTGGATAAATTAGTCTGTTCTCACACTGCTATAAATAAGTACCTGGGACTGGGTAATTTATAAAGAAAAGAGGTTTAATTGATATGCAGATCCACAGGTTGTACAAGAGGCATGACTGGGGAGGCCTCAGAAAACTTACAGTCATGGTGGAAGGTGAAGGGGAAGCAAGCATGTCTTCACATGGCTGGCAGGAGAGAGAGAGGGAGAAAGAGAGAGAGAGAGAGAGAAGGGGAAGGTTCCACACACCCTCAAACAACCAGATCTCTTGAGAACTCTATCACAAGAGCAGCAAGGGGGACATATGCCCACATTATTCAATCACTTCCCACCAGGTCCTTCCTCCAACACTAGGAATCACAATTCAACAAGAGATTTGTGTAGGGACACAGAGCCAAACCATATCACTGGGCTGAATAAAGAAATTTGGATTTTCTAGAATATTTAGCTTTAATATTTGAGAAAGAATAAATGCAGTTGATAACATAAAGAACAATTTCTGTATGCCTTATTGAAAGGAATGCCAAAGCCACTAAACACCCCTGAAATAAACTAACAAACCTTTGAAATAAATACCAACTAAGATTTATATTTAGATGGATATGAGGTTAGTTCTTACTACTAGGCAACCAGTTGACCTAAGTTTAATTTAAATCAGCATTGTAGTGTCTTCTAATGGACAGTAAGGATAAGTTCTTTTATACATGGAATACAGTGGTGTTTCCCTCCTCCCACCCCCACTTTAAAAATGCATCTTTATATCTATGATTATGTCTATAGAGCCAAATGAAGTGGGAAAATATGACAGTTATTGGAATAAATGTGGCCAAAATGGAACTGTCATTAAAATTATCTAGGTAATGGGAGATACATTTGGTATTTCTAATGTCTTCATTTCTTTGCTTTCTGCTTTCTGTTCTAGTCCCTTAAAAGATAGTGGGCTCATTGAATGTAACAGCTGGCATTCTAGATAGTGGCAATGTGAAATGGCCAATATATTGAGTATTGGTTATCCTCTTGTGTAAATCCTGAAAGATAACTTCAGTTCCTACAATGGGGGATCTAGCTCCACAGAGATGGACTCTTCCATATTTATATAGGCTATTTCCACTTACATCTCTCTTTCTCCTTCAGTAATGCCAAACTGAGACTTTTAATTTTCTGCTTATACATTGTGTGATATCCTCCAAACACACGGCTATAGGGTTAATTTTTTGTTGTTGTTTGAGTCCTCTACATTTAATCAAGTTTATCAACATATACATATCTGTCTAGCTAAGGATCAAAGGAAATGACAGATACTAAATATATTCACCCTGTCACTAGTAGGACATATGAGGAGTAAGAAAATAAACCCACTAGTAAGCATATTAAGTCAAATCAAAACATCAATTTGTCATTTTTCTTTATTAAGCTTGAAAATAGTTTTTTAAAATATTATTCAGTCCTGGTAAGTTATAAGACACACAATCTAGTGCATTGTTATTTGCAAAAAAAAATTGGTAAAAAATATTTTGAAATAAATTTGTATACACTAATGTTCACAAACTTTGGGACAGTAATCTCACTTGTAGGAATATTTGTAATTACTTAATTCTTACATAGAAAACAATATATAAAAGAGGATGTCAAACAGACCATGGTTTCATAGTTATTGACAAAAACTAAATAACACAGAAGTCTACCAATAAGAAATTACAATACAACTGTGTGGCATGCTTTGCTATTTTTCAAATATTTAAATTAATAGAAATAGAAATCATACAATATTATGGGTCTAATGCTCATAAATGATGTAAAATTTAGAAAGTAATTTGAAAGCTTGGATATCAGTATGTTTACAAATGTACCTTCTTGGAAGTGTATGTCAGTATATAGTATTAGTGTATTATTTAAGGTATTAATGAAAATAATAGACAAACTCTGACATTTCAGTGGTTTTATAATAAAAGGTCATTTCTCACTCATACAAGTTCACAGTAGTTCAATGCTGGTGCTTGGAGGAGAACCTTCTAGGTGATTCAGGGATTCAAGCTCCTTCTATTCCATAACTCCACCATCTCCTCCAGGACCATGGGGTTCATTAGTTTCACCTCAATGAAATGAAAGGCAAGACCGAAAGCGACACCTACTGCTCACCTCAGGCCTGAAGTGACACAACCCCCTCCTAATCAAATTCTATGGGCAAGAACTAGCTACACGATCCCACCTGGACAAGTGCATTGGAGAATGTGGCTTTGCTCGCTGGAAGGCTGCTTTGCAACAATAATGCTACATTAAGGAAGGCAAACACAGATTTTTATGGGGGAAAATACTTTGTCTCTGCCACAATTATTACAGTGGTCAAATACCCAGGCTCTGAAATCAGACTAAGGATGAAATGGGAAATTTAATAGTATCTACTTCATAAGTAGATTGTGAGAATTATATGAAATAATCACAGTGAAGCACTTACATTGTGCTCTACATGGTGGCAGTGAAGATCATGATAATCTTGTTTTCTCTGTCTATAATATTTCAGAAAAATATTAAGGAATAATATAAAATATTAATAGTGATGAAATTCAATGATTTTCCTTCTTTTTCTGGTTTCCAAATTTTCTGTATTATGATTAGGTAACTTTTATTATAAATATTAATTCTCATATGTATCATATGTATCTGAATATAGGCTATTCAAAGTTTTGAAGTCAATTGTATTTAGTCAATACTTTTGTGGCGCTTAATATGTGATGGCCAGATGGCCATTCTTTTAAGCATTTAACAAATCTGTTGGAAACAAGGACTTTGGAAAAGATAGCAGATTACGGTCTTGAAATTCTATGTAAGTAAAGTTGGCTGCAGGATAATCATTAATTATATATATATGTGTGTGTGTGTGTGTGTGTGTGTGTGTATATATATATATAGGCTTTTTTTTAATATGTATGATTTTCCATATGCAAAAAGCTGAAAGCAGACCATGGTTAGGTTAATGGCCTAAACTTGTTCTGCCAGGACAATCCAGGAATGTAAATGTTTGGTTCAACTCAAAAGAATGGAACTCTTGGCAACAGAGTTGTTACTTACCTTTTGCAGAGGAGAGAACTGAGGTTCACAGAGGAAGTGATCTGCCCTCAGTCACACCCCTGCATCACTTTTGGTGCCAGTGGTGTTAATGTTTGGGAAGTAATACAGCACGGAGTTCGGAGGAGCATTTTTATGGCTAAAGGGCAGCATCCTAAGCACTTTAGAAAACTAAGTGATGAGAAACCAGGTTAGATAACAGGCCTTGGGTGAGGAATAGAAAGGTTGATGGAAGGGACTCAAGATACATCACTCGTTTTTTAATTTTGCTTAAGGCTGACAATATTTCTAAAGCCTTCTTAAATAACAGGAGGAAATTTGAATGCAAGAGTTCAAGTAATAATGCTGACCTGAAAAATACAATTGAGATTAAATTTTCATTCATTTGATAAACATGTCAGGAACATTTGATATTCAGACAATAAGGAAACAAAATGAGTAAGACAGACTCTTCCATAGAGGAGCTCAGAGTATAGCTAGGGAGGAAGGAAGTGTAATTACAGTATGTAGTATTACAAGCTGAAGTAGAGGAATATCTAAATTGAAATTTAAAATATGAAAGAGTTTTTCTTATGGAAAAAATAAACTTTTAAAGTACATAGAGAAGTAATAAGGAAGGTTCTCCAACAATAAAAGCAATTTTTCTTATCTAGATTTTATACCAAATAGTTTACCAATATTGAGCTGAATTACCAACTATGTATCCAGAACATTTCACATATGCACACCTTGAGGACAAGAATTGCTACAGTGGGGACATTCAAGATCTTCAAAATCAAGATTGATGTGCTTTAGGAAATGTTGATTCTATGAAGATGCAACTAATATTTATTGAATACACCAATGTGCCAAGTAAGTCCCCATATTCCTATCACTGAATACCAAGATAGGGTTTACTAGAGAACACTCTGGTAAGAAACAATAAAACTCTTTTCTCAAAAAGTGGATTTATTTATGAGCCATTTTAGGTTTACTAGAAACAATCAGTTCTAGTGTTGTCTAGTGTTTTTAGTTCTAAAATATAGATGCACCACTATTGAGCATAACCAACTCTTGCGGAACATTTGCCTCTGCTGTACCTCTGTATTTCTTGCCTAGTTCCTCTCAAATGTCAAATTAACCTTCTGAAACTCCTTATTACATAGTATCTCCAATGAATAAAAAGACTCTTTTTGAGCATGAGTGTGTGTGAGAGAGTGTGTATGTGTGTGTATATATGTGTGTGGGGTGTTTTCCTGGCTAACACATGTCAGGATCTGCCTAAGCCCCTCACTTTGTGCTCAAATGTCACCCTGCCAGAATTCATTACATCCTGTTTATTAATTAATTAAAATATATTTATACAGAACAGGCTTTATGAGATGGAGTAAAAAATAACGTTATGAGAGGCATCCTCCAGACAGGGTGGCTTGTCTCCGATGGCAACCAGGAATGCAACTCCAGCGTTCCCTGTCAATGCCACTGTGAGAGTTGAGGTGATATGAAAATGTAGTAATTAAAGGTAGATGATCAAAGAAATTACTTCAGTTCTGGAACTGGATATGGGTCAAATGTATCTTTTCTAAATCATGGTCTGATCATAAATATCACTTTGGCTTTTTGATAAGAAAAAACACATCAGCGCTCTATACACACACTCACTCACAGACATATACACGTAACTCCAAAGGTGTCATGGGGACATAAAGTGAGGTGCTAAGGCAGCTGTGAAGATTCAGCTAATGCTTACTGACCTTCTGCTGACACCAGCCACTGGACAAGGTGTTTCCATGATCTTTTCTTCAAGTCAGCTTACTATATGACACGAGGACATTTATCTCGCTCCCTTTTATCTCAGGTTTCTTCCTTGTCTTCCAAACGTGGTTAAACAGACCTGCCCAACCTCCCGGAGCTACTGTGAGGGTACCACAGAGTATGAGAACCTGTTTGGAAAAATAAATTGACGTAGCATTAGAAATAAACTGTCATTACTGGATGGGTTTTCTAAGCATCCTTTTAGGAACATATTTTGGTGAAGCAGTACCTAGGCTGTGGCTATGGGGCTCAGTCTTGTATTTAAATAAACCTATATTGACAGATTAAGGTCTTGGGTACAAAAGTTGGAAAGGATGTCAATAATTATTGGATATAATCATGTTGTCTTGAAGATATTGTAAGCTGAGGGTAAGAAAGGCTTATTTTACAAGAAATACATATATGTATACATATATAACATACATATATATATATAAATATTCCATGAGGAACCCTTAGAAAGCTGTGATATACAATTATAAAAAAGAGACCACCCTCACTCCCAACAAAACAAAAAAACAAGAACAACAATAAAAACAAAACAGGCAGTGATGAGAAATAAAAAATAGAAAGTGCCTGAGATGAGGACTTCTTACTTTTGTCTTCCCGCAAATGCAGACATGAAACTAAAATTTATGGTACATAAAATAGTGTCAGGAACATATATTTGTTGAATGAAACATCTGAAAAACATCGAGAGGGAAGTTAGTTGTGACCAATACTCAAGTAGAAGATATTTATTCATTCTGGCTTTTATAACTAAATGGAAATCAATGCGAAAAATCAAATTTGATTTACTTAAATTTTCTTTAAAGCTTGCTTTTTAAGAATATATCTATCTAGTCTATAATATGAGGCATAGCTGTTTGTGATAAGCTGGCTGTTTGCTGTTCAATGATACTAGCAATGATTTTGAGTTGCAATCATTGGCTGTCCAATTCTAGTTTGTGGGTTGTGCTTAATTTAAAATTAATCCTTTTCAAAAAAATGTTAGGCAATAGCTCACGACTATTGTATAATGCATAACTATCAAAATTGTGGGTTACTGCTCTTATATGGTTGATTTTTCTTTCCTGACCTGTATAGAACTTTTAAAATAAGGTAGGAAAAAAAGTTCCTCAATTTGAATATTATAGATTTTTTTCTAGAAGGCAGATATAAGAATTGAACTTGAGGCTGGGTGCGGTGGCTCACACCTGTAATCCCAGCACTTTGGGAGACCAAGGTGGGCAGATCACGAGGTCAAGAGATCGAGACCATCCTGGTTGACAAGGTGAAACCCTATCTCTACTAAAACTACAAAAATTAGCCGGCTGTGGTGGCGGCTCTGGTAGTCCCAGCTACTTGGGAGGCTGAGGCAGGAGAATGGTGTGAACCCGGGAGGCAGAGCTTGCAGTGAGCTGAGATCACACCACTGCACTCCAGCCTAGGCAACAGAGCGAGACTCCATCTCAAAAAAAAAAAAAAAAAATTGAACTTGAGATTACCCAGGGGTTAATTTTCCATCTGTCTTTTATTAATGCAAAATTCTTGAAATTTAAGTGTTGTAGTGGATCATCTGTCCTTCTGTCTTGTTTACTGTATTAGGAAACAGACTCATCAGAGTGTAGCCAGCCACTCCCAGCTAATAAAGAAAGAGCCTGGGTTCCCACTCTTAGCCTAGGCCCTTGCCTCTAAAATGAGTTCCCTTTATAAAAAGTAACTTCACAGAAATGTCAAAAAAAAAAAATTAAATTTCCAAAACAAAACCAGACATGAACCACTGTGTTTTCTGACTAAAGTTTCAAATATTTGTTGGGATTTTAAGTGAGGTATTCTCTGATTTGGAAGTGAGGGTGCATTCCTAACAAAAGGAATGTTTGCCGACTTAAATTACTTCTAGAAGTCTCCAACTCAATGGGAATTTTAAGTGTAGGGAAATCTAGGTGTAAAAGAAAAGACTAGTGTGAGGTAATTTATGTTAGGTGTAACATAAGGGATAATTGTTTTACTTAATTCTACTTTCTCTTCTGTATGCTCGCAAATTATACATCATTGTACTTACTGTTAGAGACAGTCTAGGCCAAGGCAGTTACATGGCAATATGCCTCCTTCCTTTTTCTCTTCTCTTGTTGTGACAACCTTAGAAGCTATCTACTAGAAAACATTTCTACTAGATGGTGTAAGACTACCTATCCCACATGGAACGTTCACGAGCAAGAAATAAACCTTTGCTATGCTAAAGCCATTCAGATTTTGGGGCTTGTTGGATGGGCAGTTGGCATTAGCTACTCATTCTTACAATCATTATTATCAGTCCCCTTTGCCTCTTTTTCTTTGGTTCTCTGTGTATCGTTTAGGGGCCCATTGATATATATGTCTTCCTAGTGATCAGATGTAGAGTTTTCCATAAGAACTTTCCACTATCCAAAGAGAAGTGCCACTTTTAAAAATTGTATCAAAATGTTCTTTGTGAATTTTATACACCTTAAAAAACAAAGTATCTTGGTTCCTGCTAAATGCATATTTTTGTATTAAAATTTGCCTATTCGTGACTTTAAAAAGACAGCACATTGGTGGTAGTTTGAAAACTTTTTTTCTATTATTTTTTTGGTAAGTTTGTGTCTGAATAGCTTAGCAGTATACAGGCTAAAGTAGTGCTGTATATGTTTTTTCTATTGTGGGAAAGTTAAATCTGTTCTATGACCATATTATCCCATCCTTCATTTTAATAATAACTACAGCAAAACAATTATAACAATTTTGGCAAAGACTGTGAGTGGTCCTCCTTTATTCTTGTCTTCTCCCTTTCTCTCTTCCCTCAGATAAGTTGGAGCTTGGCATGTTGCTATCCAGCAATAGACTATATCACTCAGCCTCCCTTGCAGCTAGGCATGGTCAGTGTGACTGGAAGTGATATGTTTGTTCTCCAAGACATCCTCTTAAAAGGAAATTGCTTAGTCTCTCTGCTTTTCTTGGATGTGCTCCTGATGGGGCCAACTCTAATCAAGCAGGTGAGGTTAATGTCCTAAAGCAGTACTTCTCGAACATTAATTTGTTTACCAAAGAATCTTAAAATATGGATTCTAATTCAGAAAATCTGGGTGAGTCTTGAGCTTTCACATTTTTAACAAGTTCCCTGGTGATGCTGTTGTTGATAGTCCAGGACTCTGCACTTGAAATAACCAGATCTTAGAAAATGACTGACACACATGCTAGAAGAAACCTGAGACCCTGGATGACCTCTGGGAGCAGAGCTACACCCCTTACCCTGGACTACTCCTCTCTCCATTGCTTGGAGAGAGATAAATCAACTTCTCTTACATCCACCATGTTTTTGGATTTATTGGTTAGTTCTAGCCTATACTCCAAGGAATACAGAAGTAGTTATAAGGATAATAATAAAAGTAATAATAAATGCCATTTACTGAGTGCTTACCATGTGGCAGACACTTATAGTCATTATCTCTTTAATATTCATAATATCCCAATGAAGTATTATACTCATTTTATAGATGTGAAAGCTAAGGAAAGAAGGAATCCCTAACTGGTCCAAACTCACACAGTATGGCAGCATTGGTATTAAGTGGCAGCACCGTATGAAAGCTTGGATGTCTGTCCTCAAATGAGACATTTATTGCCAAACTGACCACAGTTTGACTAGTGCTTTTAAACGTGGGATCCTCCTGTTTTAGACCTTATCAGCTTTCCCCTGATTTTGTCTCTGGGTGTTTGGGTTAATGTTGACCATTTTCTTCCAGACAACAAGTCAGGGAGGATAGTTCTTTGCTATTTTTGAGAAAGAGGACCGAAAAGTATCATCCTTTCTGTCCACCATTAATTCTTAACCAAGATTACGAAAAAATAATAGACCGAGGTTATAGGAGAAGGCACTAATGTACATATAACATGTAAAGATAAAGATCTGTTCTCCTTTACTGCTTCATCTTACTAGGTTCTTGTCTTCTACTCATCAGCTTTTTTTTTCTTTTTTGGTCTCTGCTATGAGAGAGACAAAAAGAAAGAGATGCTAATGGATCACAAGCCTGCAAAATGTTAAGCCTGGTGGGGGGATGTGGGGGCAAGGGAGGGGATGCCGGAAACCAGCATACTTATCTAATGTTTTTCTGGACGCTGGCTACTTCGCCAATCAGAATTGTTAGGTGGAGTCAACCAGAGATTTGAATGGCCTAGGGAAGGGAAAATGAAAGAACTCTGGCTGCCTCCTGCATTTGTCTCATCCTGGGGATAATTAACTAATGAAGGCAAAGCCAAGTGAGACACTGCATTTCTGAAGCAGTGTCTGGGGAGAATAATAGATTAAGACATTTTCCAAACACAATCCTAGATTAAAAGTCAAACCATAAAAGGAGCCTTTCTTCCAACCCCAGAAGGGTAGACTTCACCTCTAGGGCAGACAGTTTAGGTTTATTATTTTTGTGGCAAAGTAATAATGACATTTCTACTTAAAAGTCCTTATGACCTTTCTAAGGGAGCTGTTTGTGCTTCACTTGTTCTGTCATTTTTCTCCTTTCCCCCAGAGATCACCTTGCTTTTATAACTGTGAGAGACTAATAGAAGGGGCAAGGAAGGGGTAGGAAGAATGAAAAAGACAACATATGAGAAAGAGGTAGTGCAATACTATAATAAGATAAAAAAAGAAGGTGAAGGAGGATAAAATAAGATAAATTTGTCTCTATAGTAAATATAAATTCTAGGTCTCCAAGCTGAAAATATCAGAAAATGCTGTCTTGGTGGCTGATAATTACAAAACCAATAGATTTCCGGTGAAAAATAATCATTCCTGTAATGTATAAAGCCTAGGAAATTGTTACTTAAATGCTGGGACTGTGTAACAGGAGGCTGATTTCTCTGCATTACTTTACCTTTGCCCACTTTATTCACCTCTTATTTTTCTTGAGCACCATTCAGCTCCACCGTCTGCTTCTGTGCAACCCGGTAGCCTCACTGTGATCCTCAGTTTCTTTGAGATTCTGAATTACTTCTCAACGGAATTTTTTTTTCTGGCCTTTCTTCTTAGGGGGTGTTTGTGGAGGATGTTCCACTCTAATCTAAAGGTATCTATATGTTATAGATTCCTTTCCTTCAAGATTCCATCCACATGTGTAAAATTTAAAAACTCAAATTAAGCCATTAGTGGGTAGTAATTAAACCACACATTAATCTTCTCAAGTAATATTTGCATTTTAATACACAAAGGAATTTTAGATATCTTGCTTGGAATTTTAGATATTCTGACAGGATTAGACAGAAATATTTTTAAATACAGAAGTTTTTCCAAGAGAAAGATTTATGTTTGGTTATATAAAAACATCTAGTAACTGAATCTGAATGTCTTCTTGAAAGAGAGAGAGAGAGAGAGAGAGAGAGAGAGATAAGTTCGTTAATTTTGGTATTATTGGGATCAGTTTGATACATAGTGTCTGTTCTATTTCATTTACATAGATAAAATAATAAAACTTATTCAACAGTATTCTTCAAAAAACAAACTTAACTTGCCCAATACGTGATGCATGTATAAAGTAGTAGGTTAATCACCATGCAGAATGGAATTTGTATCAACTCAGTAATTGATAAAGAATTGTAACTGAAGCACAATGCTCTTTTTTATTTTATTTTTAATGGACACGTGACAATTGTACACATTTTTGGGGTACAGGATGATGCTTCAATATTTGTAGACATCATATAAAGATCAAATCAAGGTAATTAGCATATCTATCACCTCAAGCGTTTATCATTCCTCTGTGGTAGGAACATTAAAAAATCCTCTCTTCCAGTTATTTTGAAATATGCAATATAATGTTAACTACAGTCACTGTACTATGCAATAGAATACCAGAATTTATTCCTCTTATCTAACTATAATTTTATAGCCATTGACCAGTCTCTCCCTGTTGCCCCCCAACCCCCACCACCCTCCCCTTACCAGCCTCTAGTAACCACTATTCTACTCTACTTCCATGAAATCAGTTTTTTTTTCTTTTAGATTCCATGAGTGATATCATGCAGTATTTATCTTTCTGTGCCTGCTAATTTTACTTAACATAATGTCCTCTGGGTTCATCTATGTTACTGCAAATGACAGAATTTTATTCTTTTTTAAGGCTGAATAGTATTCCATTGTGTATATAAACCACATTTTCTTTATCCATTCATTTGCTGATGGACATTTGTATTGATTCCACATCTTGGCTATTGTGAATAGTGCTGCAATAAACATGAACATGCAGATAACTCTTCAACATAGTGCTTTCACTTCCTTTGGATAAATACCCAGTAGTGAGATTATTCTGGGATCATATGGTAGTTCTACTTTTAGTTTTTTGAGAAATCTCCATACAGTTTTTCCATCATGGCTGTAAATGTAATTTACATTCCCACTGACAGCCTATAAGTGTTCCCATTTTGCCACATCCATGCCAGTATCTGTTATTTTTTGTCTTTTCAATAATAGCCATTCTAATCGAGGTGACATGATATCTCATTGTGGTTTAAATTTGCATTGAAGTGCTATACTCTTATGAGAGAAAGGGGTACTTATTAAACTCTTTATTAAATCCTACTGCCAACCAGCTGAACCATTCTTTGTAAGCAATAATAAATATTTATTTATTTTTCAGCTGCTGAATTTTGTAGTGATTCGTTACATAGCAGTAGCTAATTGAAACACTTCTCCAAGGCTGAAAAATTCTTTCAGAAGTCCCTTTAACTGATGAACACACAAAATCAGTAATAGATTCAGCAGAATTATTACAGTGTGAAATTAAGCTATTGTGAACCTGTCTTTACTTTGTGGTAAATACTTAGAAGTGATTAAGAGAGACAAGGATGCTCTTAAATTCTTCTCTTCCTTTTTCTTTCTTTCCCTTTATAAAATTTATCAATAACCTGTGATAGGAAATGACAATAGAAATAAGTAAGCCATTGCTTTGTCCTTAAGGTGCTTACAGTATATTGGTCATATATGACTGTGTGAGGGAAGGCAGACAAGTAAATGAATAATTAAAGGACATTCGTAAGACAATAACCAAGGTATGGGAACATGAAAGAAAAAGCATGATGCTTACTTCTGACTAAGAACATAAGGAGAGTGTTTACAAAAGATATCTTATTTGAGCTAAGTTTTGAAAGAATAGGTTAGAACCTTGATGCATAAAACATGATCCACACACCAGTAAATAGCATCAGCCTCACTGTAGGAGCTTGTTAGCAATGCAGAATTTGTGGTTTCTTCTAGACTATTGGATCAAAATCTTCATTTAAAAAAGATCCTCAGGTGACTTATATGTACATTAGAGTGTGGGTTACAATTATGGCTTGGGTGATGGTTCTCGTTTTGTCTACACATTAGAAACATCTGGGAGTTTTGCAAAAAAGTAATGCCCAATGTTGTTCTATCTAGAGTTTCCCATTAAACTGTCTTTGGATGGAGCGCAAACATTAAGATGTTTGGAATATCCAGGCACCAGTGAGTGGTCTAGTATGGCTACAGGCATATGTTAGATTGATAGATTGTTCAGGGGCTTTATGCTGCTGTACATCAAGGTGTAAAGAATAAGTGTGGTGAGATAGATTTCCAAGATTCTGAGAAAATCTTCTGACTCTCTAGTCTGTAAATGTGGAAGTTCTGAAAATGGTCATGATGACTTTGGTTAATGCCTGGATACTGAAATAACTTCCATGCCAAAAATCTTAGAACACCTAGAGATATGGATGTTCTAAATGAGACTGCAAAAGTTACCAAATTGCGAAGATTGGAAGCAGGAGAGAAGGATAAAGAAAATGGATCATATTAGGAGATCTACTTGTCAATGTTATAATGAACAAAAGTTTACTGGCAACTTTGAAAATAAATTTTAAATAATAGTGTCGGGAAGAACTTAATTAATTTACACACTTTCCTTATGGTTTTTGTTCAGTTCTGCATCCTGCCTGCCCTGGCTCTGGTTGGAGAGAGCATTTAAACCCCAGAATCTGTCACTGATGAATATTACAGGTCCCATGGCATTCCCACTGCATTCATTGCAATGTTTGGGCCAAGTTCCAATCAGAAAGTTACTTTCTATTGACTGTAAATTTCACACCTCTAACATGAAGACTTCTCATAACACACACTCTCTAAATTGGCTTCAAGTCCTGCTTGAAACCAAGTATGACACATACCCTCAAATGGGCTTCAAATTGAGCCACAGCCTTGGCTAAACATATTTTAATGACAACACTCAGGTCATCGAAAGAATATTTCCCTCTTCATATGATACATGTGTTGCTGGCATAAAATTATATGACTTACGTCCCCTTTCAGCATTGGGAGGGTCGAGAAATCTTTTTCACTCTCGGTCTGAAATTACTCTGCGGTATAAATTATTACTCACAGTTCAACACTTGCTGTGTTCTGCCCAGAGGTGGCTGCCTCCTCAAAGACTGTGATTTATGGGTGGAGGCAGAAGGGCGAGAGTGCCTCTGAGCAAACATGTACCTGCCCAGTGTTCCCTCTGTCAGATGCAACAGAGGGTTGAGGAGCTGGAGCCCACCAAATGAAACAAATCAGACAAATCACAGAGAAGCCTTTTACCTCCACTGATATGGAATAATTGAGGTGTAGAGGGGAATCACTGAGGGTATGTCTACTCTACTCAGCTGGTTCTTGATGTTTTTCAGATCCATGTGTGTGAACTGGACAAATCTATGATGCTTTTATTAGATGCAGGAGTTATCATAAAATATGGTGGATTTACCACAGGGCATATCTTCCTCAAATGTTATAGCTTTTTTATTATGACCTACACTCGGAGGCATTTAAATAATAGGCCTGTTGGGCTCCTTTACAATATCATATTTTCCATCTCTATCCTGCGTGTGGTTGGGATTCTATATATTTTTGACCTTAAGAAAATACAAAAAAAAGTGTCCCATTTTTATTGTAAAGGAAATAGATTTCCAGCATCTTACCTCCTTCAGAAATTGAAAGACCTGATTTGCAACTGTCTATAAAGACAGCAGAAAACAATGAAACTAAAAGATTATCTGCCATTTTTGTAAACTCTGCATGACTTGCATTAAACCTCTAAGGTGAAAGAGCTTATTTTCAACAAGTTAGAACATTCAGGAATTTAGAGTTACTAATTTTAAGAAAATAGAAAAGGGGTGCTGTGGTTATCTACCAAAAATTCAGATCTCTATAATAAGCATGTTTTCATTAGGAAAAGTTGCCTGGGAGCTATTCTGGCTTACAAAACACTAAAATTAAAGGAATTTGGCCCAGTTAGGAAATGTATCCCTGTGGATGTTCAGAGTGACCACAGACTTCAGTGGCTATGAGGGTGGGTTGGCTTGGGAGTTCCAGGAATTATTTAATCAGAGGTCATCTTCCCATAAGCCACTGCCCATGTAGGTTGAAGTTTTTTTTCTTGATTTTCTAAGTTGATTATTCAACTTTAGCTTTAAATTTCTCTTCTCTGTGTGCATTAAAAGATTAATTTCTTATGCTTTGGGAGACAGAGTCTGTTTTACAGAGGTGATCTCTGTGCACGTAGAGGAAAAGCGATGTTTCTTAGGTCTTCCAATGGATCCTGGCAGATTTTAAGTGAAGATACCTTCCCAACCCCCATTCTGAATTTCAAGTCTTTTCTCTCTAGGTTTACTATCTCCTTTATCATGCAAGTGTAGTTCCTAAAGACACACTTCTCAGACATTATTAACCATTAGAAGAATATTATTAAAGGATCAGTTTGCTAAATGTTAGCAGCATTGCCAGTAGTTACGTTGGGAATTATCTTAAACAAGATAATACATTTGTTTTGTGTGTATCAACCGTAATAGATGTGCATCTATTAGAGCATACCAGATATTTTTGATGTGCTTTAATCTAGATTTTAACAGTGAAAAAACACATGAAAAAATACCGCATAACAATATATCATAATACATATTATATACTATGATATATACATATGCTGTATATTGACAACTATATATAGCTATATATGTTATATATATCATGGTAAACATATATAATAATTGATATAAATAAATTTTAAATTTTTTTCTTAAGAATGAGATGCATAATTTAGTTTCTTCACTTTGACACTGCCTATGTGTATTTCAAATAATTGATTTGTAGAAATTCTGTTTATGCATAAATTCTTAGGAGTGCATTTGGGATATTGAAGAGTGCATAAAGAGTAAAGATTGTTTAGAACCAGACTATTTAGAATTTCAACTCTATCAAGATGCCGAGAAGCACAGTAGAGTACCAGCCTCTAGGATCACTATGTATGTCAAGGAAGGTTTCCCAAAAGATATGACAATCAAGCAGAATCACGAAGGACAGGGAAGAATTCAACAGGTAGAGAAAGAGGCGAGAGCATTCCAGGCTGACTCCCAGTAGAATAAGAAGATGCAAATGTTCTAGGCGCTGGGGGTGGAGAGAGATGGATGCAGTAAGGCTGTAGAGGAGAGAAGGATCAGGTCAGGAAGGGGTTTGTGGTCCAATCTATGGCACTTTTAATTTATCCTGAAGCCATTGAAAGCTTTTAATACAGAAAGTGACATGATGAGTCCTTTGTTTCTGCCCAGAGAGCTTAGCAGGTCATATGCATAACTTTTTACCACGCATACCTAAATACTTGCCATTTCTATCTAACCTAACACACATTAAATAATGTTTGCGGAAAGTGCTATGGAGGGGATCAGATTTGGTTCGTGTCACTGTACAAAAAGAAAGAGATAATGGCTCTGCAGCGTAGACAGCAAAGTCTTTCTTTCAAGGGACAGGTAGGCCTGTGCAGCTGGAGACATTGAATTGAGTGAGACCTCTCTGTTAAATACCTCCTTGTATTAGCAAAGCTCCTTGAGTGGCCTTGAATATCACTGAAGTGCCAGAAAGCTTTATAATCCATAGCTTAAGTTTATTTCAGTGATATGTCGCAGGAATTGTTAAGTAAGAACATGAGCCTGTCTATTCACCCTAACAAGTGAGAGAGGCCAACAATATTTCCCGGATCAGAAGGTGTGTAATAGGAGGAATGGATAAGGCTTCTTGAAAAATAACAGCTGAACCAGAGGAAAGGTTGAAACAGAGTCCAGGAGTAGAGTTTAGCAAGTCCCTGGAAGAAAGAAGTTAGGTTCCATTTACACAATATCGAGTCTGTGCCAAACATAACTAAATGTCTCCTGTATAATTTTGGTTTGTGTGGTTGTAAGATTTTATGGGCTCTTGGAACCAAGAGGAAAGACCAATGAGGAAAGTAACTGTCAACACATGTTCTTAAGGAAATCATACATATCAATTCAACTGGCATTCGGGCATGGTGCTGACATAATAATTTTCAAGCAAAGGTGTGAGATACATCTTTTATACCAGGCTTCAATCACCTGCAGGGACTCCCTGTTGTAAGAGTGGAGAATCAAATGCGGCTTAAATGAAAATAACTTTATTCAGGGAAGTAGGTTCCAGTGTTAGGTGAAGCAGTGGCAAAAACTGATTTTTCAGACCCATGGAGTGTAATCTTTATTCAAGATTATCTTCTTTCTTCCTTCTAATCATACAAAATAATGTCTTCAAATAAGTAGGCTGATCTACCTATGAAAAATATAGTTTCTGTAGGCCATACATTTCTAGCAATGGAGATATTTTTAGTTAAATTGTATTAAAAAGATGGCCGGGTACAGTGGCTTATGCCTGTAATCCCAGCACTTTGGGATGCCGAGGCTGGTGGATCACCTGAGATCAGGAGTTCGAGACCAGCCTGGCCAACATGGTAAAACCCCATCTCTACTAAAAATACAAAAATTAGCTGGGTGTGGTGGTGGGCTCCTGTAATCCCAGCTACTCGGGAGGCCGAGGCAGAAGAATTGCTTGAACCCAGGGGTCGGAGGTTGCAGTGAGCCAAGATTGTGCCACTGCACTCCAACCTGGGCAACAGAGTGAGATTCTGTCTCAAAACAACAACAACAACAACAAAAAAGAGCGAGACTGCCTGCCCACTATGGGCTGGTTACCCCGAACTGAGCCAGCTGGACCTTACCTCTGTTTTCTGGTAAACATATCTACATAATGTTTACTGAGGATATCTAATTATATGCTAGGAACTCTGCAAGTTCTTTATGTAGATCATTTTATCTAATATACAAAGCAATTATCCAAGAAAGGCCCTATTATTAACTCGATTTTTCAGATGGGGAGTCTGTGGCATGAAGTGGTTAAGTAAGTTGCTCAAGGTCATACTGCCATTAAGTGGCAGAACTGAGATTTGAGCTTATGACTACCTAACTCCAGGGCTCAGGTACCATAAATTATTAGTTTAGTTTTTTCTATGTATTAAGTTTGCCAGTTCATTTATGGGCTGAACCTCATACCTTGCGCTTATTAGAACTTTGTTCTTAGGGACCCTAGGCAATAAAACTTTATAGTCAACCATGATAAGACAATATAATGATAATGCCTCAAGGTGAATTATTTATCTCCAAATCCAAGATTCCTGAACAGTCATCTGAGTTTGAGAAAATGTAAGAAAAATAAAGGAACAACTATCTCTGTGGGTGGGGAAAATATGTTTTGAGATTTGGCCTAAAGTTTGGTTAATATTTAACTCACTTTACTTTTAGTTTCAAAAATAAAAAAATATATATTAGTGAAGTCGATGAAATAAAGGATTGTATGTTACAGATTATAAGAAATCAGATAACATACTAATCAAACCTTCTGAACACTGCAGAACCTTTATACGTTTAGAAATTTCGGTGAATGGGGCACATTTAACTCGTCACTGACTATATGATTTTAATATAGTCTTTTACAAGAGCATCAGTTTGTGTGTTATGACAAAATACAGTCCGGGTAATTTTTAAAATTTTATTTAATAATTTTTGGGGTGGAACAAGTGATATTGGCTACATCGATAAGTTCTTTAGTGGTGATTGATTTCTGAGATTTTGGTGTGCTTGTCCCCCGAGCAGTGTGTGCTGTACCCAATGTGCAGTCTTTTATCCCTCACCTTCCTCCTGCCCTTCCCCCTGAGTCCCCAAAGTTCATTATATCATTCTTATGCCTTTGTATCCTCATAGCTTAGCTCCCACTTATAAGTGAAAACATACAATATTTGATTTTCCATTCCTGAGTTACCTCACTTGGAATAATGGCCTCCAAGTTCATCCAAGTTGCTGCAAAGGCCATTATTTCATTCTGTTTTATGGCTGAGTAGTATTCCATGGTGTATATGTACTATGGTGTATATATACCACATTTTCTTTACTCATTTGTTGGTTGATAGGCACTTAGGTTTGTTCCATATCCTTGCCATTGTGAATTGTTCTTCTATAAACATGTGTGCATGTGTCTTTTTCATATAATGACTTCTTTTCCTATGGGTAGATACCCTGGAATTGCAGGATCAAATGGTAGTTCTTTTTTTAGTTCATTAAAGAATCTCTCTACTGTTTTCCATAGTGGTTGTACTAGTTTACATTCCTACCAGCAGTGTAAAGAGTTCCCCTTTCACCCGATTTATGCCAACATCTATTATTTTTTGATTTTTTAATTATGGCCATTCTTGTAGGAGTAAGGTGGTATCTCATTGTGTTTCTAATTTGCATTTCTCTGAAAACTACTGAAGATGAACATTTTTTTCCCTATGTGTGTCGGTTGTTTGTATATCTTCTTTTGAGAATTGACTATTCATGTCTTTTGCCCACTTTTCAATGGGATTATTTGTTTTTATCTTGCTGATTTGTTTGAGTTCCTTGTAGATTCTGAATATTAGTCCTTTGTTGGATGCACAGTTTGTGTAGATTTTCTCCCCTCTCTGAGTTGCCTGTTTACTCAGCTAATTATTTCTTTTGCTGTGCAGAAGATTTTTAGTTTAATTAGGTCCATTTATTTATTTTTGTTTTATTTGCTTTTGGGTTCTTAGTCCTGAATTCTTTGCCAAAGCCAATGTCTAGAAGAGTTTTTATGATGTTATCTTCTAGGATTTTTATGGTTTCAGGTCTTAAATTTAAGCCTTTGATTCATCTTGAGTTGATTTTTGTATAAGGTGAGAGATGAGGATCTAGTTTCATTCTTCTATATGTGGCTTGGCAGTTATCCCAGCACCATTTATTGAATAGGGTCTCCTTTCCCCACTTTAAGGTTTTGTATGCTTTGTCAAAGATAAGTTGGCTGTAAGTATTTGGCTTCACTTTTGGGTTCTTTATTCTTTTCTATTTGTCTAAGTGCCTATTTTTTTAAGCCTTGTAGTATAATTTGAAGTTGAGTAATCTGATGCCTCCAGATTTGTTCCTGTTGCTTAGTATTGCTTTGGTTGTGTGGGTTCTTTTTTGGTTCCATATGAACTTTAGAATTTTTTTTTTCTAGTTCTGTGAAGAATGATGATGGTATTTCAATGGGTATTACATTGAATCTGCAGTTTGCTTTTGGCAGTATGGTCATTTTCACAATATTAATTCTACCTATCCACCTGCATGGGATGTGTTTCCATTTGTTTGCATCATCCCATCTATGATTTTTTTTCAGCAGTGTTTTGTAGTTTTCCTTGTACAGATCTTTCACCTCCTTGGTTAAGTATATTAGTTTATTTTATTTTATTTTTTGCAGCTGTTGTAATAGGGATTGCACTCTTAACTTGATTCTCAGCTTGATGTTGTTGGTGTATAACAGTGCTACTGATTTGTGTACATTGATTTTATATCCTGAAACTTTGGTGAATTCATTTATCAGCTCTAGGAGCTTTTTGGGTGAGTCTTTAGGGTTGTGTAGGTATACAATCCTATCATCAAAGAATAGTGACAGTTTGACTTCCTGTTTTCCAATTTGGATGCCCTTTATATTTCTTTCTCTTGTCTGATTGTTCTGGCTAGGACTTCCAGGCTAAGTAATTTATAAACAACAGAGATTTATTTCTTACAGTTCTGGAGGCTGGAAAGTCCAGGATCAAGGTGCTGGCAGGTTTGGTGTCTGGTGAGGACTCGGTTTTCATTTCAAAGTGGCACCTTGTGGCTGCATTCTCTGGAGGGGATGAACGCTGAGTCCTTGTATAGTAAAAGAGAAGAGAGGGAAAAATGGGCTAAACTAGTTTCCTCCAACTCTCTTTATATAAGGCGCTAATTCATTCATGGCAGCAGAGTTCTCGAGACTTACTTTCCAAAAGGCCCTACCTCTCAATACCACCACCATGGAAATTAAGTTTCAATACATAAATTTTAGGGGGAACAAATTCGAACCACAGCAAGGCGGCCCTAATTTTTTCATAAGAAAAAAATTCCATTTAGATGGCTTTATATTATATTACATCCTAGCAGAGAATGATCATATTTCCTCCATTTCCCCATCTCAGTAAATGCGAATCCTTTTTTTTAAATTTTATTTTATTATTATTATACTTTAAGTTTTAGGGTACATGTGCACAATGTGCAGGTTAGTTACATATGTATACATGTGCCATGCTGGTGTGCTGCACCCATTAACTCATCATTTAGCATTAGGTATATCTCCTAATGCTATTCCTACCCCCTCCCTCCACCCCACAATAGTCCCCAGAGTGTGATGTTCCCCTTCCTGTGTCCAGGTGTTCTCATTGTTCAATTCCCACCTATGAGTGAGAACATGTGGTGTTTGGTTTTTTGTCCTTGCGATAGTTTACTGAGAATGACGGATTTCCAGTTTCATCCATGTCCCTACAAAGGACATGAACTCATCCTTTTTTATGGTTGCATAGTATTCCCTGGTGTATATGTGCCACATTTTCTTAATCCAGTCTATCGTTGTTGGACATTTGGGTTGGTTCCAAGTCTTTGCTATTGTGAATAGTGCCACAATAAACATACATGTGCATGTGTCTTTATAGCAGCATGATTTATAATCCTTTGGGTAAATACCCAGTAATGGGATGGCTGGGTCAAATGGTATTTCTAGTTCTAGATCCCTGAGGAATCGCCACACTGACTTCCACAATGGTTGAACTAGTTTACAGTCCCACCAACAGTGTAAAAGTGTTCCTATTTCTCCACATCCTCTCCAGCACCTGTTGTTTCCTGACTTTTTAATGATTGCCATTCTAACTCGTGTGAGATGGTATCTCATTGTGGTTTTGATTTGCATTTCTCTGATGGCCAGTGATGGTGAGCATTTTTTCATGTGTTTGTTGGCTGCATAAATGTCTTCTTTTGAGAAGTGTCTGTTCATGTCCTTTGCCCACTTTTTGATGGGGTTGTTTGTTTTTTTCTTGTAAATTTGTCTGAGTTCATTGTAGATTCTGGATATTAGCCCTTTGTCAGAGGAGTAGGTTGTGAAAATTTTCTCCCATTTTGTAGGTTGCTTCTTCACTCTGATGGTAGTTTCTTTTGCTGTGCAGAAGCTCTTTAGTTTAATGAGATCCCATTTGTCAATTTTGTCTTTTGTTGCCATTGCTTTTGGTGTTTTAGACATGAAGTCCTTGCCCATGCCTATGTCCTGAATGGTAATGCCTAGGTTTTCTTCTAGGGTTTTTATGGTTTTAGGTCAACGTTTAAGTCTTTAATCCATCTTGAATTGATTTTTGTATAAGGCATAAGGAAGGGATCCAGTTTCAGCTTTCTACATGTGGCTAGCCAGTTTTCCCAGCACCATTTATTAAATAGGGAATCCTTTCCCCATTGCTTGTTTTTCTCAGGTTTGTCAAAGATCAGATAGTTGTAGATATGCGGCGTTATTTCTGAGGGCTCTGTTCTGTTCCATTGATCTATATCTCTGTTTTGGTACCAGTACCATGCTGTTTTGGTTACTGTAGCCTTGTAGTATAGTTTGAAGTCAGGTAGCATGATGCCTCCAGCTTTGTTCTTTTGGCTTAGGATTGACTTGGCGATGCGGGCTCTTTTTTGGTTCCACATGAACTTTAAAGTAGTTTTTTCCAATTCTGTGAAGAAAGTCATTGGTCACTTGATGGGGATGGCATTGAATCTGTAAATTACCTTGGGCAGTATGGCCATTTTCACGATATTGATTCTTCCTACCCATGAGCATGGAATGTCCTCCCATTTGTTTGTATCCTCTTTTATTTCCTTGAGCAGTGGTTTGTAGTTCTCCTTGAAGAGGTCCTTCACGTCCCTTGTAAGTTGGATTCCTAGCTATTTTATTCTATTTGAAGCAATTGTGAATGGGAGTTCACTCATGATTTGGCTCTCTGTTTGTCTGTTATTGGTGTATAAGAATGCCTGTGATTTTTGTACATTGATTTTGTATCCTGAGACTTTGCTGAATTTGCTTATCAGCTTAAGGAGATTTTGGGCTGAGACGATGGGGTTTTCTAGATATACAGTCATGTCATCTGTAAACAGGGACAATTTGACTTCCTCTTTTCCTAATTGAATACCCTTTATTTCCTTCTCCTGCCTAATTGCCCTGGCCAGAACTTCCAACACTACATTGAATAGGAGTGGTGAGAGAGGGCATCCCTGTCTTGTGCCAGTTTTCAAAGAGAATGCTTCCAGTTTTTGCCCATTCAGTATGATATTGGCTGTGGGTTTGTCATAGATAGCTCTTATTATTTTGAAATACGTCCCATCAATACCTAATTTATTGAGAGTTTTTAGCATGAAGGGTTGTTGAATTTTGTCAAAGGCCTTTTCTACATCTATTGAGATAATCATGTGGTTTTTGTCTTTGGTTCTGTTTATATGCTGGATTACATTTATTGATTTGCATATATTGAACCAGCCTTGCATCCCAGGGATGAAGCCCACTTGATCATGGTGGATAAGCTTTTTGATGTGCTGCTGGAATCGGTTTGCCAGTATTTTATTGAGGATTTTTGCATCAATGTTCATCAAGGATATTGGTCTAAAATTCTCTTTATTGGTTGTGTCTCTGCCCGGCTTTGGTATCAGGATGATGCTGGCCTCATAAAATGAGTTAGGGAGGATTCCCTCTTTTTCTATTGATTGGAATAGTTTCAGAAGGAATGGTACCAGTTCCTCCATGTACCTCTGGTAGAATTCCGCTGTGAATCCATCTGGTCCTGGACTCTTTTTGGTTGGTAAGCTATTGATTATTGCCACAATTTCAGAGCCTGTTATTGGTCTATTCAGAGATTCAACTTCTTCCTGGTTTAGTCTTGGGAGGGTGTATGTGTCGAGGAATTTATCCATTTCTTCTAGATTTTCTAGTTTATTTGTGTGGAGGTGTTTGTAGTATTCTCTGATGGTAGTTTGTATTTCTGTGGGATCGGTGGTGATATCCCCTTTATCATTTTTTATTGCCTCTATTTGGTTCTTCTCTCTTTTCTTCTTTATTAGTCTTGCTAGCGGTCTATCAATTTTGTTGATCCTTTCAAAAAACCAGCTCCTGAATTCATTAATTTTTTGAAGGGTTTTTTGTGTCTCTATTTCCTTCAGTTCTGCTCTGATTTTAGTTATTTCTTGCCTTCTGCTAGCTTTTGAATGTGTTTGCTCTTGCTTTTCTAGTTCTTTTAATTGTGATGTTAGCGTGTCAATTTTAGATATTTCCTGCTTTCTCCTGTGGGCATTTAGTGCTATAAATTTCCCTCTGCACACTGCTTTGGATGTGTCCCAGAGATTCTGGTATGTTGTGTCTTTGTTCTCATCAGTTTCAAAGAACATCTTTATTTATGCCTTCATTTCATTATGTACCCAGTAGTCATTCAGGAGCAGGTTGTTCAGCTTCCATGTAGTTGAGTGGTTTTGAGTGAGTTTCTTAATCCTGAGTTCTAGTTTGATTGCACTGTGGTCTGAGAGACAGTTTGTTATAATTTCTGTTCTTTTACATTTGCTGAGGAGAGCTTTACTTCCAACTATGTGGTCAATTTTGGAATAGTTGTGGTGTGGTGCTGAAAAAAATGTATATTCTGTTGATTTGGGGTGGAGAGTTCTGTAGATGTCTATTAGATCCACTTGGTGCAGAGCTGAGTTCAATTCTTGGGTATCCTTGTTAACTTTCTTTCTTGTTGATCTGTCTAATGTTGACAGTGAGGTGTTAAAGTCTCTCATTATTATTGTGTGGGAGTCTAAGTCCTTTCGTAGGTCACTCAGGACTTGCTTTATAAATCTGGTTGCTCCTGTATTGGGTGCATATATATTTAGGATAGTTAGCTCTTCTTGTTGAATTGATCCCTTTACCATTATGTAATGGTCTTCTTTGTCTCTTTTGATCTTTGTTGGTTTAAAGTCTGTTTTATCAGAGACTAGGATTGCAACCCCTGCCTTTTTTTGTTTTCCATTTGCTTGGTAGATCTTCCTCCATCCTTTTATTTTGAGCCTATGTGTGTCTCTGCATGTGAGATGGGTTTCCTGAATACAGCGCACTGATGAATCTTGACTCTTTATCCAATTTGCCAGTCCGTGTCTTTTAATTGGAGCATTTAGTCCATTTACCTTTAAAGTTAATACTGTTATGTGTGAATTTGAACCTGTCATTATGATGTTAGCTGGTTATTTTGCTCATTAGTTGATGCAGTTGCTTCCTAGCCTCGATGGTCTTTACAATTTGGCATGATTTTGCAGCAGCTGGTACCGGTTGTTCCTTTCCATGTTTAGTGCTTCCTTCAGGAGCTCTTTTAGGGCAGGCCTGGTGGTGACAAAATCTCTCGGCATTTGCTTGTCTGTAAAGTATTTTATTTCTCCTTCACTTATGAAGCTTAGTTTGTCTGGATATGAAATTGTGGGTTGAAAATTCTTTTCTTTAGGAATGTTGAATATTGGCCCCCACACTCTCCTGGCTTGTAGAGTTTCTGCCAAGAGATCCACTGTTAGTCTGATGGGCTTCCCTTTGTGGGTAACCTGACCTTTCTCTCTGGCTGCCCTTAACATTTTTTCCTTCATTTCAACTTTGGTGAATCTGACAATTATGTGTCTTGGAGTTGCTCTTCTCGAGGAGTATCTTTGTGGTGTTCTCTGTATTTCCTGAATCTCACTGTTGGCCTGCCTTGCTAGATTGGGGAAGTTCTCCTGGATAATATCCTGCAGCGTGTTTTCCAACTTGGTTCCATTCTCCCCGTCACTTTCAGGTACACCAGTCAGACGTAGATTTGGTCTTTTCATATAGTCCCATATTTCTTGGAGGCTTTGTTCATTTCTTTTTATGCTTTTTTCTCTAAACTTCCCTTCTTGCTTCATTTCATTCATTTCATCTTCCATCACTGATACCCTTTCTTCCAGTTGATCGCATCAGCTCCTGAGGCTTCTGCATTCTTCATGTAGTCCTCGAGCCTTGGCTTTCAGCTACATCAGCTCCTTTAAGCACTTCTCTGTATTGGTTATTCTAGTTATACATTCGTGAAAATTGTTTTCAAAGTTTTGAACTTCTTTGCCTTTGGTTTGAATTTCCTCCTGTAGCTCGGAGTAGTTTGATCATCTGAAGCCTTCTTCTCTCAACCTGTCAAAGTCATTCTCCATCCAGCTTTGTTCCGTTGCTGGTGAGGAACTGTGTTCCTTTGGAGGAGGAGAGGCACTCTGCTTTTTAGAGTTTCCAGTTTTTCTGCTCTGTCTTTTCCCCATCTTTGTGGTTTTATCTACTTTTGGTCTTTGATGATGTTGATGTACATCATCATGGGTTTTTGGTGTGAATGTCCTTTCTGTTTGTTAGTTTTCCTTCTAACAGACAGGACCCTCAGCTGCAGGTCTGTTGGAGTTTGCTAGAGGTCCACTCCAGACCCTGTTTGCCTGGGTATCAGCAGCGGTGGCTGCAGAACAGCGGATTTTTGTGAACCGCGAATGCTGCTGTCTGATCATTCCTCTGGAAGTTTTGTCTCAGAGGAGTACCCGGCCATGTGAGGTGTCAGTCTGCCCCTACCGGGGGCTGCTTCCCAGTTAGGCTGCTCATGGGTCAGGGGTCAGGGACCCACTTGAGGAGGCAGTCTGCCCGTTTTCAGATCTCCAGCTGCATGCGGGGAGAACCACTGCTCTCTTCAAAGCTGTCAGACAGGGACATTTAAGTCTGCAGAGGTTTCTGCTGTCTTTTTATTTGTCTGTGCCCTGCCCCCAGAGGTGGAGCCTACAGAGGCAGGCAGGCCTCCTTGAGCTGTGGTGGGCTCCACCCAGTTCGAGCTTCCTGGCTGCTTTGTTTACCTATGCAAGCCTGGGCAATGGCAGGTGCCCCTCCCCCAGCCTCGCTGCCACCTTGCAGTTTGATCTCAGACTACTGTGGTAGCAATCGGCGAGACTCTGTGGGTGTAGGACCGCCCGAGCCATGTGCGGGATATAATCTACTGGTGCGCCGTTTTTAAAGCCCATCAGAAAAGTGCAGTATTAGGTAGGGAGTGACCCGATTTTCCAGGTGCCGTCTGTCACCCCTTTCTTTGACTAGGAAAGGGAGCTCCCTGACCCCTTGCGCTTCCCGAGTGAGGCAATGCCTTGCCCTGCTTCGGCTGGCACACGTTGCGCTGCACCCACTGTCGTGCGCCCACTGTCTGGCACTCCCTAGTGAGATGAACCTGGTACCTCAGATGGAAACGCAGAAATCACCTGTCTTCTGCGTCGCTCATGCTGGGAGCTGTAGACTGGAGCTCTTCCTATTCGGCCATCTTGGCTGCCAGCCCCTGCGAATACTTTTTATCTAGTTTCTCAGAACAAAAATCTTCGTGTCTTTCTTGACATCCTTCTTTCTCCAACTCGTCAGCTCTACCATGAAATTATATCTAGAGTTTAGCTATTTCTCACCCATTCCACTACTACTACCTAGCCTATGCTACCATCATTTACTACCTGGACTGTTGCAATAGCCTCCCAGCTAGTCTCTCTTCTGACTGGTCTATTTGTCACACAGCAGGCAGAATGACAACCTTAAAATACAATTTTGTTCGTGTCACTCCTCAGCTCAAAGCCTTTCAGTGATTTTCCATCTAACTCAGAATAAAGTTAAAACACTTTACAATGACCTACAAGGCTGTACTTGATCTGATGCACTGAAAACTCTCTGATCTTGTCTCCTACCTTTATGTTTCTCACTCATCATATTCTGGCCACACTATTCTGCTTGCTGTTCTGCCAACAAGCTAAGCATATTCCACACCTCAGTGTCTTTGCATGTCCTATTCTCTATACTTGTCAAGCCTTTCCCTCAGCCACCTACGTAACTCTACTCTTTACTTTCTTCTAGTCTCTGCTCAAATTTCACGTTATCAGAGAGGGCTTCCTTGATAATAATATGCAAAATATTTTATACACACATACATTTGTATGTATAAAAGTAAAATATTTAAAAATAGTTTCTAATTCCAAAACAATTTCTGATAAATATTTATTTCCCTGTACTATTTTCCAAAAAACTTTTAAATTACAATTTATAACATAGTATAGAAAAGTGCACTGCAAAGGTATAGAATTCATTAATTTATCACAAAGCAAACATCTGTTTCACTACCACCCAGGTTAAGAAATTAAACGTTGTCAGCATCCCAGTGTTGAAGAGCACTTATAACCTGCTTTTAATAGCCAATGCCTTCCTTCTTTATAAAGGTAGCCAGTATTTTGAATTTTATGTTAATTATTTCTTTGTTTTTCTTAAATCTTTACCAACTGAGCATGCAATTTTGAACAATATAGTTAAATGTGCCTGCTGTTTGAGTTTCAGATTAAATGTAATCACACTGTATATAATTTTTTTTCTCACCTGGCTCCTTTTGCTTAACATTATGTTGTGAACTTCATTCATTTTATTGCATGTAGCTCTAATTCCTTTATTTTCACTGCAATGTATATTTAATTCTGTGATTATTTGTAGTTTATTTTTTTCATTCTACTCTTGGTGCAGATTTGAATTGTTCCTAATTTGAAGTATTATGAATAATGCTGCCATGAGCATTTATATATAGAAGTCTTCATGCATATGTGCATGGATTTCTGCTGGATATAAACCTTGGAACGGAATTTCTGAGTCATGGGGTATGGGAATGTTAAATTTTAGTTGATAATTCCAAAATGTTTTTAAAGCGGCTGTGCCAGTTTACCCTCTCACCAGCAGGGCACGAGAGTGCTAATTATTTCACATCCCTGACAATAATCAATATTGTTTTATTTATTTATTTATTTTTAGAGATGGGGTTCTTGCCATGTTGACCAGGCTGGTCTCTTACTCCTGGCCTCAAGCAATCCTTCCATCTCAGTCTCCCAAAGTGCGGGATTACAGGCATGAGCCACTGTGCCCGGCCTATTTATTTATTTTTAAATTAACTGACCTTGTAAGTGTGTAGTAGCATTGCATTGTGATTTTAATTTTAATTTCCTGTATTGGTAATTACATTGAGCACCATTTAAAAATATTTATTATCTATTTGAATATTTATTTTTTTAAAATACCTCCTCAAATGTTGCTCACATTTGTATTTGTTTCTTAGTTGTTGGTGTATTCTAATTAATTTATAGGGGCTCATTACATAGTCTGTATTATTCCTTTCTCATTGTATGTGTTGAAAATTTCTTTCCCCACTCCATGTCTTTCCTTTTCACTCTCTTATAGTGCTTTTAGATGAAAAGAGTGTGTAATTTTAACATACTAGAGTTATCAATCTTTTTTTTTTTTTTTTGAGATGAAGTCTTGCTCTTATAACCCAGGCTGGAGTGCAGTGGTGCCATCTTGGCTCACTGCAACCTCCGCCTCCTGGGTTCAAGCAATTCTCCAGCCTCAGTCTCCTGAGTAGCTGGGATTACAGGTGTCCGCCAGCACGGCTGGCTCATTTTTGTACTTTTAGTACAGACAGGGTTTCACCATGTTGGCCAGGCTGGTCTTGAACTCCTGACCTCAGGTGATCAGCCTGCCTTGGCCTCCCAAAGTGCTGGGATTACAGGCATGAGCCACTGTGCCTGGCCTATCAATCTTTTTGTTTATTGTTTGTGTGTCTTTTGTCCTGTGTAGGTCCTCTCTCCCTACCACAAGTTCATGACTATCTTCTATATTATAGTCTAGAAGCTTTATTGATTAAAATTTTGCATTTTAATTGATAGTTTAACTGGAATTGATTTGTATATTTTTGGTATTATTTGAAGTAGGTGTTGACAATCTTTTTTTTACATGAATATTTCAATTGACCCAACAGAGCTTATTATTTCCTATTTGATTTGCAGCATAAAATTAAAGGTCCATTTTCAGATGGCTTCAATTGTTATAGATCTATAGTAAGTCATGGTGTCTGGTAGAACATATCCTCTAACCTCTTTCTGAAGATTTGGATGATAAATTGTCATTTGCATTTCCATATCAATTTAAGAATTATTTTAGCAAGTTTCATTCGATGCATATACACATACACTCTTACCTTTTTGGTTTTTGATTATAATTGTTTAAAATCCATAGATCAATTTGGAGGGTACTGATATCTTTACTATACTAATACTATATTGTATCTTTCAATTTATGAAAATATTTTATTGTCCATTCAGTTAGCTATTTGGTTTCTTTCAATATTTTATGGTTTTGTTTGCTTGTGTCTTATGTAATTTTGATATAATTAATCAAAAGAACTTGATGCTTTTTGATACAACAAAATGGCATCAATTGAAAAAATACTTTTTAGCTGGTATGTTGATATATAGAAATGTGCCTAATTTTTGTAATTTGTCTCTATATTCAGCAACTTTGCTAAACACACTGCTGCCATTATTCACCTGTAATTTTTTTTAAATTTTCTCTGTATGGAATTATCTAATCTGCAAATAACAGTTTTGTTTTTGTGCTTTTAGTCCTTATTTTTTTATTTTATTTTTCTTTTCTTACTAAACTGGCTAAAACCTCCAATACAAAAATAAATAGAATTGAATCTAAAAGGCAGTCTTGATTAGGTCTTATTCAAAAGGAAAGCTTCAAATTTCATAATTGAATATAATACTTTATGTTATTTTGCAGTTATATTTTATTAGACTAAGATATTTTTCTTCTATTTCTAGATTTCTTGTAACCATGAATATGTATTAAATTTTATCAAATGATTTTCATTTACTGAGATGACTTATTAATTTTCTTATTTGGATAATATAAAATACAATTCATAATTTTCAAATTTTCATTTATCTTGCTTTCTTGAAATAAACCAATTTGTGTAATAGACTTTTTATCACTGAATAATTTTCACTAATTTTTTGATTAATTTTTTTCTTGTACTTGAATAATATTAGCCTGTAACTTTGTAATTCTTATAAAGGTTTTATAAGGTTTTGATATGAAAGTTATTTTGGTTTTATAAAATAAATTCAGGAGCACTTTTTATTTCATTCCCTGAAAGAGTTTGAGTAACACTGATGTTATTTGTTGCTCAAATGTTTTTAAGAATTTACCAGTGAAATCATTTGGATTATAGGTTTCTTTGGCAAAGGTTTTATATGATGAATTTAATTTCATTAGTAGCTTCAGGATTATTCAGAGTTTCTGTTTTTAGGTAAGTTTTGTAAATTTTACTTTTTAACAATAAATATTTTCATTTTATCTAAACTTCAAATGTATTTGCTTCTTTTCATACTAACTTGTATTTTTA
The DNA here is from genome assembly GCF_000001405.40 of Homo sapiens. Lineage (NCBI taxonomy): Eukaryota > Metazoa > Chordata > Mammalia > Primates > Hominidae > Homo > Homo sapiens. The sequence continues at coordinate 164,212,095 of NC_000001.11, read as the reverse complement.
AAAACTTTTATTCCATTATTGATCATGTGTATCTCCTCTTCTTTGATCAGTCTTATCAAGAGTTTGTCAATTGTATTTATTTTTTCAAAAAAATAAGTTTTGTTTTGTTAATCTTCTCTATCATATATTTATTTTAATTTCTATTTTCTTGTTCCCTCTATTTTATTTTGGTCATTCTGCTGTTAATTTTCTATGTCTTGAGATAGATACATAATTTCTTAATTTTTAGTCTCTTTTTTCTAACATAAATTTATAGAAAGAGAAATTTCCTGTAAGATGATTTTATTTGCATCTCAAAATATTCAACTTGTATGATTTATGTTACCATTAAGTTAAAGTATTTTTTAATTTTCTTGTTATTTTCTTTCTGACACATAGGTTATTTTCAAGCATGTTTCATAAATTCCATATATTTGGAAACTTTTTTTCTATTTTTTAAGAACTTCTAACTTATTTCACTATGGTCAGAGAATATACTCTATATGATTTCAATCTTTAAAATTCATAGAGACTTAGGTCATGGTCCAGCAAATGATCAACTTTTATAAATATTGTTTGCTTCAGAAAATGTTTATGTTGCAGTTATTTGGAATGGTGTTCTACAAATAATATTCAAAGTTTGATAATTGTACCAGTCCTGCTTGGTCTACTAATGGCAATTAAGTTGTAGTTTTTCATTGACCTTAACCGAGGGTATGGCAATAGTAATCTAGCCAAAAGGGGTCTTCTGTATTCCAGACATACTCTTCTTACTTGCACTGTGGAGTACCTGTCCAATTTCCCCTTGGTAGTTAGGATAGTTAGGATGAATGACCCCAGCCAGCATAGTAACTCTTTTTTATGCCTGTTGATTCAGAAGCATGAGAAGTCCAGTGTCCAAGCATTAGTCTTAACTTTTAGTTCAATGAATTATTGTTGTTTTTCCTGGTGGAAGTTTTCTTGCTGTTGGCACTAAGATTTTTAGGCCAATAAAGCATGAGGACACGGAAACATGAGGCAAAAATATTGCTACTGGGTTACTAGGGGAAATAGTGATGTCACTCTCATTTTCACCCCTTGATTTTTGGACCCATGAATCCTAGCAATGGGAAAAACAGCACCATATTTTGAACACTGATTTGGAGCACATAGAGGCTTCTGAAGAACCCTTCCCCAGTCCTACGAAGTATTGTTGCCACCTAGCTGGTGCTGTAATTGAGACTTCAAAAGGCCATTCCATGATTTTGTCAAACCAGCTACTTCAGGATGCTAGGGAACATGGTGGGAGTGTGAATTTCATGAGCATAGGCCCATTGCTATACTTCTTTTGCTGTGAAGTGAGTTTCTTGATTAGAAGCAATGTCGTATGGAATATCATGCCAGTGGACAAGGCATTCCGTAAGTCCAGATATGGTAGTTTTGGCAGAAGTTTTGCATGCAAAGAAGGCAAATTCTTATTCAGCATAAGTATCTATTCTAGTAAGAACAAGATACTGCCCTTTTTCCATGATGGAAGTGGTCCAGTGTAATCAACTTGCCACCAGGTAGCTGGCTGGCAACTCTGGGAAATGGAATCGTGTCAAAGATTCAGTTTTGGTCTCTGCTGCTAGAAGATTGGGCAATCAGCAGTGGCTGTAGCCAAGTTTGCCTTAGTGAGTGAAAGTTGATGTTGCTGAGCCCATGAATGACTTCCATTCTTGCCACCATTGCTATTTTGGTCATAAGCCTATCAGGCAATGACAGGAGTGGATGGGGAAAGAGGCTGATTGGTATTCACAGAATAGGTCATTCTGTCCACTAGATTATTAAAATTCTCTTCTGCTGAGGTCATCCTTTGGTGAACATTCACATGGAACACAAATGTCTATCACCTTACCTCTTCCCCAAATTTCCTTTTCACGAATTTTCTAATCATGTTCTTTCAAAGTCCTTATCATCCAGCCAATCTACTGGCAACCAGGAATAGGCAGAGAATTGCACATCTGGCCATTCCTCCTTTCAAACAAAATGATCAATCAGGTGCACCGCTCAAAGTTCTGGCCACTGGGAAGATTTTTCACCTTCATCCTTCAGGGATGTGTCAGAAAAGGGCTCTAGTGCTGCAGCTGTCCACTTTTAAGCAGTGCCTGCATATCATGCAGAAATATCTATAAAGCAGGTCTGATCTAAGGGAATGCCCCATAAAGCCATAGGTGCAGGCTTAGAGAGAAAACTCAGGGTAGCAGGAATGAGAAACGTGGACATTTGGACCACTTCTTCATGGAATTCATTTGTGTCGTTAGGGCCTGCTTGGGCCCAGTCATATATATACCCCTTCCATTTGATGATGGAGTGCTTCTGTGATTGCCCAAATTTATGACTTCATGGGTCAAAAAACACACAGGTCATGATGGGCAGCTCCAGTCCCATGGTAACTTGGTGGCCCATGGTTAAGTACTCAGTCTCTACTAAGACCTAGTGTTAGGCAAATACTGTTTTTCAAAAGGAGAGTATCTGTGGAGGATGGTTGGGCTTTGCTTCAAAATTCTAGTGGTCTGTGCTGCAATTCAACTATAGAGATCTGCCAAAGAATTCATATGTCATCCTTATCTGCCTTTGATACTTCAAACACCAGTGGATCTGCTGGATCATATGCCCAAGTGATAGGGCAGATCACATAGCAAACTGGACTTATGGCAGAGCCTTCTTTTGTTCTGAGCCCCACTCAAAGCGAGCATCTTTTCAGATTAGTCAGTAAATGGGCCAGGGTAAAAAACCCACATGAGTAATATGTTGCCGCCAAAATCCAAAATAAAGTCTACTAAGTATTTTGACTCTTTTGTTTTGTGGAAGAGGCCAGATGCAATAAATTATCCTTCACCTTGGAAGGGATACCTTAATATGTCCCACATGATTGGATACCTGGAAATTTGACAGAGGTATAAGGCCACTGAAGTTTAGTCAGATGTATTTATCACCATCTGATATGCAACTGTTTTACCAATAAGTCTAGAGTACTTGCTACTTCTTGTTCACTAGGTCCAATTGGCATGATGCCATGATGTAATAGACCGGTGTGCTATCTTGTGAAAGGGAAAGGTAATCAAGATCCCTGAGAACTAAATTATGACACAGCATTGGAAAGTTGATATACCTCTGAGGTAGGACAGTGAAGGTGTATGCTGGCCTTACCAGTTGAAAGGTAACTGCTTCTGGTCAGCCTTATGGATAGAAATGGAGACAAACGCATTTGTCAGATCAATAGATGTGTTACAGTTAGTACTTGAGTGTTAATTTGCTTAAGGAAAGAAACCACACTGGATACAGAAGCTGGAATTGTAGTCACCACCTTGTTAAACTTATACTAATCCACAGTTATTCTCCAGGTTCCATTTATCTTCTGCATAGGCTAAATAAGTGAGTTGAATGGGGAGCTGGTGGAAATGACCACCCTTGCAATCTTCAAGTCATTAATAATTACACTAATTTCTGTAATTCTTCCAGGAATGCAGCATTGGTTTGGTTTACTATTTCCTAATGGCTTCCACTTGGCACTTTCTACCATAATAGCCCTCACTCCACAAGTCAGGAAATCAATGTATAGATTCTGCCAGCTTCTGGGTAAATATATTCTGATTATAAATTCCAGAACTGGGAAATAATCACAAGATGAATTGAGGAACCACTGGGCCCAGGCCCACAAGAAGATGTACCTAAGCCAAAACTCCATGAATCACCTTAGCTTCTCCATAAGTCCTCACTCTGACTAATGGGCCATAGTACATTTTGAATCTTTGGAAATTAGCATCAGGTCAGAAACAGTCTATAGTACTTCCCCAAATATCTGGCTGTTTCTTTCTCTGTAGTGCCCAGTTGCCGTGGTAAAAGGGCATAAATCCTTTTGGGAAAGGCTGGGAGAAAGATTAACAGTATAAATTCTTACTAGTTTCCTTCCTCAAGGGGACCTAGTCTCTGCTTCATTCAAGGGTCCTAGATTGGTAAGCTGGTTCAAGTCTGAGAATTGACTGAGGATGCATGACTCTCTGTTTTTATAATTCAGGTTAGACTTTTGCTCATTTGACTTATAACTTTTCTGTTTATACAAATCAGTAAAAATGTTTCATTTCTAGGAACACCATTCATTAGCCAATGGTCATAGGTCTGTGTGAGTCTATTTTGATTGTTGCTTTGACTCTGCTGCCTATCATGGTTACCATGCCCACCTTGCCTTTAGTGATTGTGTGACACCACTTGGCCCCTGCCACCTAAGATCCAAGTAATCTCATTGTACTTAGGTTTCCCAATTCAGTGGCTATGTTTCCCACTGTAAGGTCTGGCCTATGAAGAAGACCAATCACGTTGCTCTTCAGGGATGCTGGGGCTTTCCTCACAAATTTACTTCTCATAGTAGTGGTAAAAGGTATTTATTCTGGACTCCCTGCCACAACACCCAGGTGGCTCAGTAGGTTTTAAATAACAAATCCATTTCAACCTTCCAATATCCCTAATCCTTCAAACTACTCTTGTACATTAAACTAAGGCAGGTCCAGCATTTTCAATTCATTCACTGTGGGCCTTGTTTTGGTCCATATTTTAGCCGACTAACCAAACAAATAAAGGCCTTTGTAACTCCCCCAAGCTTCAATATTAAATGTAGATTCTCTGTTTAGTGGGCCCATGTCGATAACTTTGGCCTGATCCAACTTTAGGTTCATTCCATCATTATCACACACCCTTAGTAACCATTCTCACACATGCTCCCGATTTCTATCTGCATAAATTAAAAAAATCCAGCAGTTTCTTTGGAATGTAGTGTATTTTCTCATGGTTCACATTTATACCTCACCTTTAGGAGTCCACTGGGACTTGAATCTAGTTACAGGTTTAGCAGCAAAGACAGGTAATGGAGCTGAGTTCTGAGTAGAATTAACATTGTCTTACACGGCAACGGCCTCAGGCAAGTTCATTACAGTATTTCCAAGAAATGCATGATTAATGCATTTAAGACTGTGGTGGACAGGGTGATACTACTTGGAGTGAAGAGGTCACTCTCAGCCCTTGGCTATAGGAAATAAGGGTCTCCTTCAAGGCGTACATGGAAATCTTTAGGACATTTATGCCACCTTTAATCAGGAAATTCAGATCCCTGATCTCATCCTTTTCTTTCACCACATTGAATGTGGCCATTAGGAGCAATCAGCCAGTCTTATTTTTGTTAGTTTTCCAAAAATGTTTGAAAGTGTTCGATACACATTTATTCAGTTCTTTGTGGTTGATTAGGAATATTTATGTATGTCTATTACCTACAAATTTACTCCATGCACTGTCAGTGCTCTCTTGTCAACTAGACAGAGCCATTAGCTTACTTTAATTGAATCAGGTCTGAGAGCCAATTTCAGAAAACTCAGAACCAATTCAGAAAACTCATCCTTAAAATTCTGTCCCTCCAGAACTAGTCTCAGTACCAAAATATATATTTGTCAGAAAACCCTTGATTTTCTAGAGAAACAGAATCAGAAGAGATATATTATAAGGAACTAGCTAACTTAATAATTTAGGCTGAGAAGTCCCATGTTCTGCTGTCTGCAAGTTGGAGATCCAGGAAAGTCAGTGGTGTAGTTTCAGTACAAATCTGAAGGTCTGAAGGCCTGAAAACCCCCCAAAAAACAATGGTGTAAGATCCAGTCTGAATAAGGAGAAGACTTATGTTCCAGCTCCAAAAACAGTCACATAGAATGGGTGAATTGTCCTTTACCCCACCTTTTGTTCTACTAAGATCTCCAAGGGATTGGATGTGGCCCACCCACATTGGGGAACCTAATCTGCTTTATTTAGTCTATGGATTCAGATGTGAACCACATCCAGAAACACCCTCACAGACACACCCAAGGTAATATTTAACCAAATTTCTGGTATCTCTTGTTCCAATTAAATTGACAAATAACCATCACACTAGTAATTTTATGTGATATATATATGACACTAAAAAATCTCTGTTAACATAAAATAAACTATTCTATATTCTGCTGATACTTTTATTTCCTATTTCTACTAATTACTGAGAGAGATATCTTACAAATTTTCACTGAAGCAAGTAATTTTGCTCCTTTTGAGTCTTTATATTCTTATTTTTGCTCTCTATATTTTTATTCTTTTTTTAGATGTGTATAAGTTTAGAATTATTTTTCTCTTGACCTGTCTTACAGTTCACATTGTTTTTTTTTTCTTTAGCTATGCCTAATCTGCTCTCAAACCATTTTTATTTTTTGAGATGGAGTTTCACTCTTCTCGCCCAGGCTAGAGTGCAGAGGTGTGATCTCAGCTCACTGCAACCTCCGCCTACTGAGTTCAAGTGATTCTCCTGCCTCAGCTCCTGAGTAGCTGGGATTACAGGAGCTCACCGTCACGCCTGGCTAATTTTTGTACTTTTAGTAGAGATGGGGTTTCACCATGTTGGCCAGGCTGGTCCTGAACTCTTGACCTCAGGTGATCCACCTGCCTTGGCCTCCCAAAGTGCTGGGATTATGCTAAAATGATTAATTTTAATTTTTGTGAAAATGATAAGCATATTTATTTAAAAGTCAGTATCTGATAACTCCAATATTGGCATGTCCTGTTGGCTTGTTTCTCTTGTCTGTTATTTCTGTTCACTTTTATTTAGAATATTGATTTCTTCCTGTGGTTACTTTTGATTTTATCATGAACACTGTATTTACAAAATTGTTGGTAGTAACGATCTGAGGTCAGATATTTTTACATTTTTTTAAAGGAAATTTATGTTTATTTCATCCAGGGTCTGGATATATTAGCAATTCAACATCATCTTAATCTAAATTCAGAGACTGAGTCCCCTAAAAGCTGAGGCACAGTCCCCTGAAAGGTGGTCTTCTGTCAGTTTATTCTCAGTCTTAGGCGTGCCCTTCAGATACCAACTCAAAAAGTAAGAGGTAGTTACCAGAGCATATTCCTCTGGCTTGGTAGGTCCCAGACTGTAACTCATGTCCTGTAGTCCTGTGTGGCTTTCAAAAACACAGCTCAGTCTCTTAGCATTCCACTGGAATTGACTAAAGCCCTCATTTTAAAAAGTGGTATCAAATACAATATCTTACTGGTTCTTCAATTTCATCAAGCCCTTTTTAAGATTATTTTGTTCAGCTTTTTTTTCCTCTTAGGTAAGATTGTTCTGCATTTCTGTGTTCATTAATATTGAACTATATTTCTCATCGTACTTTTTATCACCATCCCAATTCAAATTCATATTTGTTTCATATTTGTCTCCTCCCACCGAAATACAAGTTTTATGAGAGCAGAAACTGCCTTACTTTATTCAATAATATATCTAAACAATCTAGAATAGTTCTAGGTACATTGTAGGTAGTCAATAATATTTAGTGAAAGAATTAAATGGATGTGTATTTCTCACTAATGATGAATGTTCTCTATGATGTTTTACATCTGAATAATATGATTTCACATGAATAATCGCACTGGATTATTCCAACAGTTTTGTGAGGTATTATTATTAATCCGTTTGCCAGATGAGAAAACCAAAGTGCAGAGAGATTATGAACAACCTGTATGATTTTACAAACAGTAATATCGGATTCTTCATTTGAACTTAAGTATTCAAAACAAAACTTTGTACAAGTTTTTATCTATTGTGTTATACCTTGATATTTGGTGACACAGGAAATATTTATCTGCTCATTATCCAATTATTTGGAATCTATCATAATTTGAAAACTCTTCCCCATAATTGGTTTCTTTAAAATCATACCTAGATGTCATGCTTGAGTATGCAAAGCTCATACTTCAGTCCTAGAAATATTGGTCGTATTTTTAAGGAAGCATGTCGAAATAAACAGTGGGAAAAAATTGTGTCTTTAAGTAAATAAAAGAGATTTAAGCATTTTTTAAAGTAATAAAACTGTATTTCTTGGAAACATAGATTTTCTTCCCTTCAAATTTGGGAAGTATAAACAGTTATTTCTAAAGCCCTTTGGACTGAATAAGTGAGAATTAAATATATTTTTTCCTCTTATTATAAAAGTTATACTTTATATGCAGAAAATATAGATAATAGAACAAAGTTGAAAACCTTCCTTAGTAAAAGCAATAGCTGTTGTTAGCATTTTTGTTAATAGCCTCTCTCTTTCTCTCTCTCTCTCACACACACACACACAGACACACACACACATGCACGTTCTGGAAACTGGGATAGTATTATAATACTATAGGATTATTTTATAACCGGATTGAATTCAACAATATGTAGGTTTTGATGCAGGTGTTGAGATGCTGACACCCCGTCCTGTTACTCCTCATCTCTGCCCCAGAGTTAAAAATCTGTATATAACTTTGATTCCCCTAAAACTTAACGGCTAGTAGCCTATTTTCTGGCAAGAAGCATTACTGATAACAAAACTTTTTTGTTGCTATTGTATTATATACTGTATTCTTACAATAAAGTATGCTAGAGAGGAAAATGATAGTTAGAAAACCGCAAGGAAGAGAAAATCACATCACGGAAAATGGGGTATCCATCCTCTAAAGCGTTTATCCTTTGTGTTATTTTCTAAGTGGAAGTGGCCATTATAAAGGTCTTCCACCTTGCCATTTTTATATTGAGTGGGCTGAGGAGAAGGAAAAGGAGAGGTTGGTCTTGCTTCCTCTTGGGTGGCAGGGGCAGAAGAAAATCTGCCTGTGGGTGGACCTAGGTTGCTCAAATCTGTGTTGTTCAAGGGTCAACTGTATTGTCAATATGTTTTAATTTTCTCATTTTTCTAAAACAGGACTTTTGGTGGTAACATACAAAATGTAGTGTAATATAATTAACCACACTTCTATTCTTGGACACTGTAGTTGCTTATAAATTTTTGACATCTTTTCAGCTGAAATGAACATTTTTGTATTTTAGTTGTTTTACATGTGCTTATATATTTTACCAGGCTGCATTATTAAATATTAAATTGCTGTGCCAAAGATTATTTAGAATTTTGAGTTTTTTTGTCATGAAATGTTAAATTAGTCTTAAAAATGTGTATTAATGCATAATTTGACTAATATATAAGTAACTATCGCCCCTAAATCTACTCAAACATCGGGAATATCACTCAAAAAACATTACCAATTTGATAAATAAAATATTATTTCTTGTTCTTTAAACATTTATACATTTTTGGAGGGTGAGGATTGAATAACTACCTATGAGGTACAATGCTTATTACCTGAGTAATGAAATAATCTGTACACCAAACACCCACTAGATGCAATTTACCTATATAACAAACCTGCACCTGTACCTCTGAAAATAAAATAAAAATTTAAAAAAGTTGTACATTTTTTTATCTTTACATATAATGAGGTTGACTATATTTTAATTGTTTGGCTCTTTGTAGTTTGTGTATGTTTGTCTGTAATATTCATATTTGTGTTCATATTTTTAAACAATTTTTAATTATTTTTAATTTTTGTAGGTAGATAGTAGGTGTATATATTTGTAGGGTACATGAGTGGTTTTGATATGGGCATGCAAAGCATAATAATCACATCATGGAAAATGGGTTATCTATTTCTAAAGCATTTAGCCTTTGTGCTACAAATAATCCAATTATAGTCTTTTAGTTATTCCAAAATATACAATTAAATTACTATTGACTATAGTCCCCTTGTTGTGCTATCAAATACTAGGTCTTACTCATTTTTTCTAACTTTTGTTTTTTTAGCCCATTAACCATCCTCACCTACCTCCTACACCCCCAATATACTTCCCAGCCTCTGGTAACCATCCTTCTGTTCTCTGTCACCATGAGTTAAATTGTTTTGACTTTTAGATCCCACACATAAGTGAGGACATATGATGTTTGACTTTCTGTGCCTGGCTTATTTTACTTAATATAATGACCTCTACTTCCATCCATGTTGTTGCAAATGACAGGCTTTCATTTTTTTTATGGCTAAATAGTACTCCATTGTGTATAATTATCACATTTTCTTTATCCATTCATCTGTTGAACACTTAGGTTGCTTCCAAATCTTGGCTGTTGTGAACAGTGCTGCAACAAACATGTGAGTGACTTACTTTCTTTGGGGTATATGCCCAGCAGTGGGATCACTGGGTCATATGGCAGTTCTATTTTTTGTTTTTTTGAGGAACCTCCAAACTGTTCTCCATACTGGTTGTAATAATTTACATTCCCACCAACAACATCAGAGGGTTTTCATTTCTCCACATCCTCATTAGCATTTGTTATTGCCTGTCTTTTGGATATAAGCCATTTAACTTGAGTGAGATGATATCTCATTGCAGTTTTGATTTGCATTTCTCTGATGAACAGTGATGTTGAGCACCTTTTCATAAGCCTGTTTGTCAGTTGTATGTCCTCTTTTGAGAAACGTCTTTTCAAATCTTTTGCCCATTTTTTTTCTTTATCCTGGGCAACATAGCCAGATCCTATTTTATTTTATTTTATTTTATTTTTAGACAGAGTTTCACTCTTGTTGCCCAGGCTGGAGTGCAGTGGTGCGATCTCAGCTCGCTGCAACCTCCACCTCCTGGGTCCAAGCGATTCTCCTGCCTCAGCCTCCCAAGTAGCTGGGATTACAGTAATGTGCCACCATGCCCGGCTAATTTTTGTATTTTTAGTAGATATGGGGTTTCACCATGGTGGTCAGGCTGGTCTTGAATTCCTGACCTCAGATGATCTGCCCTCCTTGGCCTCCCAAAGTGCTGGGATTACAGGCATGAGCCAATGTGCCCGGCCAAGACCCCATCTTTAAGTCAATCAATCAATCAATCTTTCTTTCTTTCTTTTTTTTTTTTTTTTTTTGAGACAGAGTCTCACTCTGTTGCCCAGACTGGAGTGCAGTGCTGTGATCACAGCTCACTGCAATCTCTGCCTCCCAGGTTCAAACGATTCTCGTGTCTCAGCCTCCTGAATAGCTGGGATTACAGATGTGGACCACAATGCCTGGCTAATTTTTTGTATTTTTATTAGAGATAGGGTTTCACTATGTTGCCCAGGCTGGTCTCAAACTTATGGGCTCAAGTGATCCACCAGCCTTGGACTCCAAAAGTGTTGGGATTACAGGTGTGAGCCACCGTGCCTGGCCAAAAAATGTTCATATATATATATATACAGACATTTATATAAAGTATATATATACACTTAAAGTATATAAACCTATATCTACACATACTTTTAAGTAACTATAACTTAAGTGTATATATATATACACTTTATATATATACACGTACTTTTTATATATATATAAATATATGTGTATATATATACACAAAATATAAAAAGTATGTATAAAATATAAAAAAATAAAAACTATGTATCTATACACATATATAAATATACCTACTTTTAATATTTATATATGTGTATATATATAAAGTGTATATATACACCTACTTAAGTGTGTATATATATTATATATATACACACACACACACACACACACATACATACTTTTAAGTAACTATAACTTAAGTAAAGTATATATATATATATATATATACTTTAATTTCTGGGGTACATGTCCAGAACGTGCAGGTTTGTTACATAGGTATACATGTGCCATGGTGGTTTGCTGCACCCATCAGCCCATCATCTACATTAGATATTTCTCCTAATACTATCCCTGCCCTAGCCCCTACCTCCTGATAGGCCTGGTGTGTGATATTCCCCTCCCTGTGTCCACATGATTCTCATTGTTAACTCCCACTTATGAGTGTGAATATGTAGAGTTTGGTTTTCTGTTCTTGTGTTAGCTTTCTGAGAATGATGGTTTCCAGCTTCATTCATATCCCTGCAAATGACATGAACTCATGCTTTTTTATGGCTGCACAGTATTCCATGCATATATGGTGTATATGTGCCACATTTTCTTTATCCAGTCTATCATTAATGGGCATTTGGGTTGGTTCCAAGTCTTTGCTATTGTGAATAGTGCCACAATAAACATACATGTGCATGTGTCTTTATAGTAGCATGATTTATAATCCTTTGGGTATATACCCAGTAATGGGATCACTGGGTCAAATGGTATTTCTAGTTCTAGATCCTTGAGGAATTGCCACACTGTCTTCCACAATCATTGAACTAATTTACCTTCCCACCAACAGTGTGAAAGTGTTCCTATTTCTCCACATCCTCTCAGAATCTGTTGTTTCCTGACTTTTTAATGATTGCCATTCTAACTGGCGTGAGGTGGTATCTCATTGTGGTTTTGATTTGCATTTCTCTAATGACCACTGATGGTGAGCTTTTTAAAATACGTTTGTTGGCCACATAAATGTCTTCTTTTGAGAAGTGTCTGTTCATATCCTTTGCCCTCTTTTTGATGGGGTTGTTTGTTTTTTTCTTGTAAATTTGTTTAAGTAGTTCTTTGTAGATTCTGGATATTAGACCTTTGTCACACGGATAGATTGCAAAAATTTTCTACCATTCTGTAGGTTGCCTGTTCGCTCTGAGGCTAGTTTCTTTTGCTGTGCAGAAGCTCTTTAATTAGATCCCATTTGTCTATTTTGGGTTTTGTTGCCATTGCTTTTGATGTTTTAATCAGGAAGTCTTTGCCCACGCCTATGTCCTGAATGGTATTGCTTAAGTTTTTTCTAGGGTATTTATGGTTTTAGATCTTACGTTTAAGTCTTTAATCCATCTTGAGTTAATTTTTGTCTAAGGTGTAAGGAAGGGATCCAATTTCAGCTTTCTGCTTATGGCTAGCAAGTTTTCCCAACACCATTTATTAAATAGGGAATCCTTTCCCCATTGCTTGTTTTTGTCAGGTTTGTCAAAGATTGGATGGTTTTAGATGTGTGGTGTTATTTCTGAGGCCTCTGTCCTATTCCATTGGTCTATATATCTGTTTTGGTACCAGTACCATCCTGTTTTTGTTACCGTAGAACTGCAGTATAGTTTGAAGTCAGGTAGTGTGATGCCTTCAGCTTTGGTCTTTTTGCTTAAGATTGTCTTGGCTATGCTCTTTTTTGGTTCCATGTGAACTTTAAAGTAGATTTTTCCAATTCTGAGAAGAAAGTCAATGGTAGCTTGATGGGGATAGCATTGAATCTATAAATTACTTTGGGCAATATGGCCATTTTCACAATATTGATTCTTCCTATCCATGAGTATGGAATGTTTTTCCATTTGTTTATGTCCTCTCTTATTTCCTCGAGCAGTGGTTTGTAGTTCTAGTTGAAGAGGTCCTTCGCATCCCTTGTAAGTTGGATTCCTAGATATTTTATTCTCTTTGTAGCAATTGTGAATGGGAGTTCACTCATGATTTGGCTCTCTGTCTGTTATTGGCGTATAGGAATGCTTGTGATTTTTACACATTGATTATGTATCCTGAGACTTTGTAGAAGTAGCTTATCAGCTTAAGGAGATTTTGGGCTGAGACGATGGCGTTTTCTAAATATACAATCATGTCATCTGCAAACAGAGGTAATTTGACTTCCTCTTTTCCTAATTGAATACCCTTTATTTGTTTCTCTTGCCTGATTCCTCTGGCCAAAACTTCCAATACTATTTTGAATAGGAGTGGTGAGAGAGGGCATCCTTTTCTTGTGCCAGTTTTCAAAGGGAATGCCTCCAGTTTTTGACTATTCAGTATGATATTGGCTGTGGGTTTGTCATAAATAGCTCTTATTATTTTGAGATACGTCCCATCAATACCTAGTTTATTGACAGTTTTTAGCATGAAGAGCTGTTGAATTTTGTTGAAGGCCTTTTCTGCATCTATAGAGATAATCATCTGGTTTCTGTCATTGGTTCTGTTCATGTGATGGGCTACATTTTTTGATTTGTACATGGACCAGCCTTGCATCCCAGGGATGAAGCCAACTTGATCATGGTGGATAAGCTTTTTGATGTGCTGCTGGATTCGACTTGTCAGTATATTATTGAGGATTTTCACATTGATTTACATCAGGGATATTGGTCTAAAATTTTCTTTTTTTGTTGTGTCTCTGCCAACTTTTGGTATCAGGATGATGCTGGCCTTATAAAATGAGTTAGGGAGGGTTCCCTCTTTTTATACTGTTTGGAATAGTTTCAGAAGGAATGGTACCATCTCCTCTTTGTATGTCTGGTAGAATCTGGCTGTGAATTTGTCTTGTCCTGGACTTGTTTTGGTTGGTAGGCTTTTAATTACTGCCTCGGTTTCAGAACTTGTTATTGGTCTATTTTGGATTTGACTTCTTCCTGGTTTAGTCTTGGAAGCATGTATGTGTCCAGGAGTTTATCCATTTCTTCCGGATTTTCTAGTTTATTTGCATAGAGGTGTTTATAGTATTCTCTGATGGTAGTTTGTATTTCTGTGGGATCAGTGGTGATATCCCCTTTATCATTTTTTATTGCATCTATTTGATTCTTCTCTCTTTTCTTCTTTATTAGTCTGGCTAGCAGACTATCAATTTTGTTGATCTTTTCAAAAAACCAGCTCCTGGATTCATTGATTTTTTGGAGGGTTTTTTGTGTCTCCATCTCTTTCAGTTCTGCTCTGATCTTAGTTATTTCTTCTTTTCTATTAGCTTTTGAATGTGTTTGCTCTTGCTTCTTTAGTTCTTTTAATTTTGATGTTAGGGTGTTGATTTTAGTTCTTTTCTGCTTTCTCTTGTGAGTATTTATTGCTATAAATTTCCCTCTACACACTGCTTTAAATGTGTCCCCGGTGTTCTGGTACATTGTGTCTTTGTTCTCACTGGTTTCAAAGAACATCTGTATTTCTGCCTTAATTTCGTTATTTACCTAGTAGTCATTCAGCAGCATGTTGTTCAGTTTCCATGTACTTGTGTGGTTTTGAATGAGTTTCTTAATCCTGAGTTTAATTTGATTGCACGGTGGTCCGATAAACTGTTTGTCATGATTTCCATTCTTTTGCATTTGCTGAGGAGTGTTTTACTTCCCATTATACAGTCAATTTTAGAATAAATGTGATGTGGTGCTGAGAAGAATGTATACTCTGTTGATTTGGGGTGGAGAGTTCTGTAGATATCCATTAGGTCTGCTTGGTCCAGAGCTGAGTTCAAGTCCTGGATATCCTTGTTAATTTTCTGTCTCGTTGATCTGTCTAATATTGACAGTGGGGTGTTAAAGTCTCCCATTATTATTGTTTGGTCTTTTCACATAGTCCCATATTTCTTGGAGGCTTTGTTCATTCCTTTTCATTCTTTTCTCTCTAATCTGGTCTTTACACTTTATTTCATTAAGTTGATCCTCAATCTCTGATATCCTTTCTTATGCTTGATTGATTCAGCTATTGATACTTACGTATGCTTCATAAAGTTCTTGCGCTGTGTTTTTCAGCTCCATCAGGTCATTTATGTTCTTCTCTAAACTGATTATTCTAGTTAGCAATTTGTCTTACATTTTTTCAAGGTTCTTAGTTTCCTTTCATTGGGTTAGAACAAGCTCATTTAGCTGGAGGAGTTTGTTATTACCCACCTTCTGAAGCCTACTTCTATCAATTCATCAAACTCATTCTTAGTCCAGTTTTGTTCCCTTGCTGGTGAGGAGTTGTGATCCTTTGGAGGAGAAAAGGCATTCTGGTTTTTGGAATTTTCAGCCTTTTAGCGCTGATTTCTCCCCATCTTCATGGATTTATCTACCTTTGGTCCTTGATGTTGGTGACTTTTAGATGGGGTCTCTGAGTGGACGTCCTTTTTGTTGATGTTGATACTATTCCTTTCTGTTTGTTAGTTTTCCTTAAGGAGGCAGTCTGTCTTTTTTGTTGATGTTGATGTTATTCCTTTCTGTTTGTCTGTTTTCCTTCTAACAGTCAGGCTTCTCTGCCGCAGGTTTGCTGGAGCTGGCTGGAGGTCCAGTCCAGACTCTGTTTGCCTGGGTATCACCAGCGGAGGCTGCAGAATAGCAAAGATTGCTGCCTGTTCCTTCCTCTGGAAGCTTTGTGCCAGTGGGGCGCCCGCCAGATGACAGCCAGAGCTCTCCTGTATGAGGTATCTGGTGGGCCTACTGGAAGGTATCTCCCAGTCAGGATACAAGGGGTCAGGGACCCACTTGAGGAGGCAGTCTGTCCCTTAGCAGAGCTTGAGCGCTGTGCTGGGAGATCCGCTGTCCTCTTCAGAGCTGTCAGGCAGGGACGTTTAAGTCAGCTGAAGTTGCACCCACAGCTGCCCCTTCCCCCAGATGCTCTGTCTCAGGGAGAAGGGGGTTTTAATCTATAAGTCCCTGACTGGGGCTGCTGCCTTTTTTTCAGAGATGCCCTGCCCAGAGAGGAGGAATCTAGGGAGGCATGATGGCCACAATGGCCTTGCTGAGCTGCAGTGGGCTCCACCTGGTTCAAACTTCCCAGAGTCTTTGTTTACACTGTGAGGGTAAAACTGCCTACTCAAGCCTCAGCAATGGCAGACACTCCTCCCCCCACCAAACTTGAGCCTCCCAGGTCGACCTCAGACTGCTGTGCTAGCAGCGAGAATTTCAAGCCAGTGGATCTTAGCTTGCTGGGCTACATGGGGGTGGGACCTGCTGAGTCAGGCACCAGAGAAAATCTCCTGGTTGGCCAGTTGTGAAGACTATGGGAAAAACTCAGTATCTGGGCTGGAATGCATCGTTCCTCCTGGTACAGTCTCTCATGGCTTCCCTTGGCTAGGAAAGGGAAATCCCCTGACCCCTTGTGCTTCCTGGGTGAGGCGACACCCCACCCCGCTTCAGCTCAACCTCCATGGGCTGCACCCACTGTCCAATCAGTTCCAGTGAGATGGACGGGTAGCTCAGTTGGAAATGCAGAAATCACCTGCCTTCTGCATTGATCTCGCTGGGAGCTGCAGACTGGAGCTGTTCCCATTCAGCCATCTTGCCAGCCACCCATCCTCGTTTGCCCATTTTTTTATTGGATTATGAGATTTTTTTCTCTATAGAGTTGTTTGAGTTCCTTATATATTCTGATTACTAATCTCTTGTCTGATGGGTAGTTTGCAAATATTTTCTCCCATTCTGTGAGTTGTCTTTTCACTTTGTTGATTATTTCCTTGTTGTGCTGAAGCTTTTTAACTTGATGTGATCCCATTTGTCCATTTTTGCTTTGATTGCCTGTGCTTGTAGGGTATTACTCAGGAAATTTTGCTGAGATGAATGTCATGGAGAGTTTCCTTGTAGTAGTTTCATAGTTTGAGGTCTTATATTTAAGTCTTTAATTTATTTTGATTTTATTATTGTATATGATGATAGATAGGGGTTTAGTTTCATTCTTCTGCATATGGATATCTATTTTTCCCAGTACCATTTATTGAAGAGACTGTCTTTCCCTTGGTGTATGTTCTTGACACCTTTGTTAAAAATGAGTTCACTGTAGGTATGTAGATTTGTGTCTGCGTTCTCTATTTTGTTGCATTGGTCTATGTGTCTCTTTTTATGCCAGTATTATGCTGTTTTGGTTACTACAGCTTTGTAGTAAAATTTAGAAACTCTCCAGGACATTGGTCTGGGCAAAATTTCTTGGGTAATACCCCACAAGTACAGGCAATCAAAGCAAAAATGGACAAATGGGATCACATCAAGTTAAAAAGCTTCTGCACAGCAAAGGAAATAATCAACAAAGTGAAAAAACAACTCAGAGAATGGGAGAAAATATTTGCAAGCTACCCATTTGATAAGGGATTAATAACCACAATATATAAGGAGATCAAGTCAGGACTGGGATTCCTTCAGCTTTGTTCTTTTTGCTCAAAATAGCTTTGACTATTCTAGGTCTTCTGTGGTTCCATATAAATTTTAGTATTTTTTTTTCTATTTCTGTGAAGAATGTCATTAGTATTTTGATAGGGCTTGCATTGAATCTGTAGATGGCTTTGGGTAATATGGACATTTTAACAATATTGATTCTTCCAATCCATGAACATAAAGTATTTTTCCATTTTTTTATGTATGCTTCAATTTCTTTCAACAGCGTTTTATAGTTTTCATTGTAGAGATCTTTTACTTCTTTGGTTAATTCCTAGGCATTTAATGTTATTTGTGAGTATTGTAAATGATATTACTTTTTTGTTTCTTTTTCAGATTGTTCACTGTTTACATATAGAAATGCTACTAATTTTTGTGTATTGATTTTGTGTTCTGCAACTTTACTGAATTTGTTTATCTGTTCCAATAGGTTTTTGGTGGAGTCTTCAAGGTTTTACAAATATGAGATCATATCGTCTGCAAACAAGGATAATTTGACTTCCTCCCTTACAATTTGGATGCCTTTTATATCTTTCTTGTCTTATTGCTCCGGCTAGGATTTTCAGTACTATGTTGAATAACCATGGGGAAAGTGGTTATCCTTGTTTGTTCCAGATCTTAAAGGAGAGGCTTTCAGATTTTTCTCATTCAGTATGATACTAGTTGTGGGTCTGTCATTTATGGCTTTTATTAATTTGAGGTATATTCCCATTATGCCCCATTTTTTGAGGGTTTTTATCATGAAGGGATGTTGAATTTTATCGAATGGTTTTCAACTTCAGTTAAAATGATCATATGGTTTTTGTCCTTTATTCTTTTAATATGATGTATCACATTGATTGATCTGTGTATGTTCAACCATCCTTGCATCCCTGGGGTAAATCTCACTTGATGAATGATCATTTAAATGTATTGCTGAACTCAGTTTGCTAGCATTTTGTTGATGATTCTTAGAGTTCAGCAGTGAAGCCATCAGGTCTTAGGCATTTCTTTAGTGGGAGACATTTTATTACGGCTTTCATCTCACTATTTGTTATTGGTTTTTTCAGGTTCTGGATTTCTTCATGGTTCAATCTTGGTAGGTTTTATGTATCTATGTGTTTATCCATTTCCTCTAGATTTTCCAATTTATTGGCATGTAGTTTCTCATAGTAGCCACTAATGATCCTTTGAATTTCTGCAGTATAAATCGCAGTGTCTCCTTTTCCATTTCTGATTTCATTTATTTGGGCCTTCTCCCTTTTTTTTCTTTCTTAGTCTGGCTAAAGGTTTGTCAATTTTGTTTAACTTTTTGAAAAACTAACTTTTTATTTAGTTGATCTTTTTTCTTGTTTTCTTTGTTTCAAGTTCATTTATTTCTGCTCTGACCTTTACTATTTCTTTTCTCTGCTAATATTGGGTTCAGTTTGCTCTTGCTTTTCTAGTTCCTTAAAATGCTTTGTTAGGTTATTTATTTGAAGTTTTCTTTTTTTTCATGTAGGCACTTTTAGCTGTAAATTTCTCTCCTAATACTGCTTTCAATGTATCATATAGGTTTTGGTATGTTGTGTCTCCATTATCATTTGTTTCAGGACATTTTTCAGTTTTTTTCTTAATTTCTTCATTGACCCACTGGTCATTCAGGAGCATATCGTTTAGTTTCCAAAATTTCTCTTGTTGTTGATATCTAGTTTTATTCCATTGTGGTCAGAGAAAATGCTTGATATTATTTCCATTTTTTGAATACTTAAGACTCATTTTGTGACATGCCATATGGTCTATTGTTGAGAATGATTTATGTGCTGAGGAGACGAATGTGTATTCTGCAGCCTTTGGATGAAATGTTCTGGAAATATGTACTGGGTTCATTTGTTCTGTAGTGCAGATTAAGTCCAATGTTTCTTTGCAGATTTTTTGTCTGGGAGATCTGTCTAATGCAGAAAGTAGGGTGTTAAAAATCTCCAGCTGTTGTGTATTGGGGTCTATCTCTCTCTCTAGTTCTAATAATATTTGCTCTATATAATTGGGTGTTCCAGTGTTGGGTACACATATATTTATCATTGTATGTCCTGTTGCTGGAATGACCCCTTTATCATTACATAGTGATCTCCTCTGCCTCTTCCTACAGTTTTTGTCTTGAAATCTATTTTGACTGATATAAGTATAGTGACTCCTGCTCTTTTTTGGTTTCCATTGGCATGGAATATCTTTTTTCATTCTTTTATTTTCAGTCTATGTGCATCTTTATAGGTGCAGCGTGTTTCTTGTAGGCAACACATCATTGACTCTTATTTTTTCATCTATTCAGACACTCTATGTCTTTTGATTGGAGAGTTTAGTCCATCTACATTCAATGTTATTATTGATAAGTGAGGACTTACTCTTGCCATTCTATTATTTGTTTTCTGGTTGTTTATAATTTTTTTCTTTCTTTCCTTCCTTCTGTTTTCCCTTTAGTGAAGATTTTCTCTTGTGGCATGGTTTAGTAGCTTCCTTTTTATTTTTTGTGTATTTACTGCATGTTTTTTGATTTGCAGGTACCATGAGGTTTGCAAGTACTATCCTATAACTCATTATTTTAAACTTATGACAACTTAACACTGATTGCATAAACCAACAAACAAATATGCAAAAAGAAAAGTAACAAAAACTCTACACTCTAACTTCATCCCCTACTTTTAAACTCTTTGTTGTTTCTCTTTAAGTTTTATTGTACTCCCTGTGTCTTGAAAAGTTGTTGTAGTTATTATTTTTGATTGGTTCATTATTTAGTCTTGCTACTTAAGTCAAGAGAAGTTTATATACTATAATTACAGTGTTAGTCTATTATGTATTTTTCTCTGCATTTACTATTACCTGTGAGTTTTATACCTTCAGGTGATTTCTTTTTGCTCACAAACATCCTTTTCTTTCAGATCAAAGAGCTTCCTTTAGCATTTCTTGTAAGACAGGCCTGGTGCTGATAAAATCCCTCAGCTTTGTTTGTCTGGGCAGGTCTTTATTTCTCCTTCATGTTTAAATGATATTTTTGCTGGATATTATAGTCTAGGGTAAAAGGTTTTATTTATTTATTTATTTATTTATTTATTTATTTATTTATTTCCTTCAACATTTTAAATATGTCATGCCACTCTCTCCTGGCCTGTAAAGTTTCCACTGAAAGGTCTGTTGCCAGACATATTGGAGCTCCCTTGTATGCTCTTTGTTTCTCTTATTGCTTTTAGGATCCTTTCCTTATCCTTGACCTTTGGGTGTTTGATTATTAAATATCTTGAGGTAGACTTCTTTGAATTAAATCTGTGTGGTGTTCTATAACCTTTTTGTACTTGAATATTGAAATCTTTCTCTAGGTTTGAGAACTTCTCTGATATTTTCCCTTCAAATACACGTTCTACCCCTATCTCTTTCTCCATCTCCTCTTTAAGGCCAATAAATTTCTCTTTGAGAGCAGGGTTGATAAATATTTAGGGATGTAATATAAACAATATCATGGCATTTATTTATGTACCCAATGCTATGAATATTTTCAGATCACTTTTATGTAGGCAGTTATTCCCAGTTCCAAATGGCATTTTTTTCTGCAATGAGATTTTAATCCCATTTTTGCCATGGAATATACTGTTAATTATAGAAGTAATATAAAATCATGATCAAAATGGAAACAGACAGAACACCAGGCTTTGAGAGGTATGAGATTATATCATCATGTAATTATAAGTAGTATTTTGAAGATTGTATTGGAGAAAGTTTCTCAGAGAAAAAGTCAAGACAACACTTTGAGTTAGAGCATATACAAAAGATAGGCTTGAGACCAAGTATTAAAAAATCATGGAAAAAGAAGCTGACATAACAAAGCTTATGGCATGAGATGAAAAATGTATAAGAAAACCAGGAAGGTATCAAGAATGGACCAGGCTTCCTTCCTTAGTAAGAGTGTTGGGAAAGAACTCAAAATTCCTACTTATTTATGGTGCTTAAAAACTTCTAATAAATGAAGCAAAATTCCTTTTAGCACAGTTTTAACCATTCTTTAACGTCTTTTTATTTTCTTCATGAAATTCTGATTTATAGAATACTTTTAGATATTATGTTTTTCATACATAAACTACTTGGACTAAGTAGAATATAATTGATAATTAGTGACAAAATATGAGTGCACAGAGTGGGCAAAACAATCAGAACAGCACATCATCCAGATTTTCATGTTAACAAAATTGATTTCTGTCCTGTTATGCTACTGCTACTGTTTGAATATTTATACCTCCCCAAACTCACGTTAAAATTTCATTTCCAATGTGGCAGTATTGAGAGGTGGGCCTTTAAGAGGTGACTCGATAATGAGGGCTCTGTCTTCATGAATGGATTAATCTATTAATGGATTAATGGGTTAACAGATGAATGGATTATCATGGGAGAGAAATTGGTGGCTTTATAAGAAGAGGATGAGAGACCTGAGCTAGCACATTAGCATGCTTAGCTCCCTCATCATGTAATGCTTTGTGCTGTTTGGGACTCTGAAGAGAGTCTCCATCAGCAAGAAGGCCCTCACCAGATGCAGCCCTCAACCTTGGACTTCCCAGTCTCCACATAGGTGAGAATAAATTCATTTTCTTTATATATTATGCAGTTTCTGGTATTCTATTATAAGCAATAGAAAACAAACTGAGACAGTCACATATTACACAAATCATTAATACTAAATTGGGTAGGAAAAATGGGGAAAGGAGGTAATTAGATGTCAGCGAACTATTTTTTTGTGTAACTGGCAAAATCCTCATTATTGTGCAGAAATCTCCCATCCTGTTTCTGTGGCCACAAGTTAGTATGACCTGGTTCTCGACACTCAGCTTGTAAGAAAGGGAAAGGTGGCCCTCCTGTTTCAGCTCAGCCCCTGAGCTCTTGGAAGACTAGTCACCTGGCCCTTGAGTGAGTAACATCTTAGTACCCTAGATTTGACTCCATCACACATGCTGAGTCTTTGTGCTGTAGCCCTTCAGGTTTTCTACAGAAGTGTGTAAATCATTTGTCAGCTCTATAGCTGACAAGCCAAAAGGATGCTTCATGAGTCAACAATACTCATTTTTTTGAACGGCAAATTTCCCTGGTCTCCCCACTCTTTCTTGACAAGGACAGCAGCGGATAGACCTGCTCCATGAATACTAACAGGGCTGTTGGCAGAGCTCAGATGCTCAGGGTCAGGGGCTCCCTACAACTGAAGAGCCATAGGAATTTAGACACTATCTCCTGGTAAGGCCTGAGTGACCTAGCAGGATGTAGCAGGGATATGAGCAATGCAAACTTAACATGGGTGTCAGTGAGCCAAAAGGGGTGGCATCCTAGGGCCTCGGACAGTTCAAGTAAAACCCATGTTTGATGCTGTGGACAAAAAGAAAACCATGAGAGGATGTGAGTACATGAGGCACAAGAAAAGGGGAGTATGCAGGATTACAGCATATCCTCTTCAAAAATTCTGGGGCTGATTGCAATAAAGGGTTAAACTCCCTTAAGACTTGCTTTGGCCTTGACTGCCCACACTCCCAACCTCCCCTGCCACTTCCTCACATTTCTAAGACGTCCCTTGTGCCGAATTCTTATTCAACTTCAAACTGACAAACTGTTTTTAATCTTTTCCTTCCATCCAGCCTGGCGATTGGGAAGCAAAAATCAATACCGGTTGGCAGGTGATCAAGCTGCTTCATACTGGTGTGAGGAGAGAGCAGAGAGTGAGAGCAGAGGACAGGAGGAGGGAATGGGAGGGGAGCAGGAGGGGGCCTGCAGGGAGGGGAAGGAGTTTGACTAAGTACCATGAATTACTGGCTAGAGGTCCAAAGGCCTGAGATTTCTCTGGCCTTGAGCAGGGGAGCTTGGGAATGCCATTAGAACAATTAGGTCATGAGTTCACAGCTGTTGAGGTGCCTTTGGAGAGAGGCACAGAGAATTTCCCTGACACTGAATGGGAGAGGGAGGGAGGGAAAAGAGACAGTGAAAGAGGGACTCAATCTTCCTGTAGCATCCTTTAAGTAGAGACTTGACAGCCTCAGCACCACACAGCGAGGCTGATTTTGCTTTTAAAAAGAAAACAGCATAAACATCTTCCCCATTCAATTAAAAAAAAAGTGTTTAAAATATTTTAAAGGGACTCACAAGTATAGGACGGCAGGGAAGGAAGTAATAGGGAATGATGTCCACCCAGTATCCCTAAAACCCAATGAATGACCTTGGGCGATTTCATATTCAGTTCCAGCCCAGGGGCACTGTGGTCCCTGGTTACTCAATTACTGACATTCTAAAATCTCTCCTAAGGCAGTGGATTCTCACTTAACTGCCCAGGAGTGAGGAAATTTGAAAATGTGATCTTTTTATGAGAAACCTTCAAGTGCAAGATTGAAGTCTGAGCCAGATTTGCCATAATTTCTGTTGCCACGCCATCAAAGTGGGGGATGCTATATGCTCCTATGACCTCAGACAAAATTCTGAGATTTTAACTCAAGGCTCTTCCATAACATCTCCTCTCCCCACAATTTAGGCAGTGGTGCTGTTCTATTATCTTTCTCAAATTAAGGGCAATATGGAGAGAAAGGCAAATACTGGCTTCTGGGTTCCTCCAAATAGCCTAGCATAGATATTGTGGTAGGCACAATAGCTCAATGAAAAAGATTTTTTCAATATTAAGAGTAATAGTTTTGGCATAATAGTGGGTATAAATTCCTGATTAGTCTCCTGTCCCAATTCCTCCAGGAGGAGGGGATATAAACTCTTCCTAAGATGGACCAAACAGTTCTTGTCTCCCCTGGAGAAGGGAGAGCAGATCAGATCACCAGGAGGGCTGTTAGTCATGTGGATCCTGCACTGTGTCTCCTGTCAGCATTGAAGCTCTGGGCCTGGATAGGTAGAAAATATAAACTCAAGTCAGTGTGAAGGGGGTCTCAAAGCAGAAGAAAACTGTGCTTCACTTCCCTGTGTGTGGCCTGGGGAGGCTTCATACCCGGTATAGAAGTCTGAGGCCACCATATTGCCAGAGAGGAAAAGCAAAATAGGCTGAGAAGTGTCTACGAGATGGGCAATTAGATAGGCTTATAAGGTAACTACCACAGTATGGTATGAGGAAGGCAGCATAGATAAAGTTCTTAAGTCCACAGAGAGAGCTTGGGAAATCTGAGAGTGGGCCTGTACGCCCAAAAGGATCTTGACATTCAGGAACAGAGAATCGTGTTATGTGATCCTGGGAGCCTGAGCATACACATGAGGAAAGGAGATATGAGTTACATCTCATTGGAAGCCATAGAGGAGAGACGATGATGCCAAGAACCCCTTTTCCTTCCCGCCCCCAAAGCTATTTTAGGATGATATCTAAATTCCTCTCCAACTTTCATGATAGTGCGGTTGTTTATACTTTGATAGACTCCTCTATAAACAACACTAGTAGCAATGATTAAGGAAGTATAACGTAAACAATTAGATATAGATAACCTTAAAAACAAGACCAGCCACTCAGTAAATCAGCAATGGACCAGAAATGCAGACAAGAAAATGAGTCTGAAGCCACATGACTGCTAGGCTGTGGGTCTGGAAGCAAGTATTGTAGTCAGAAATTTGATATCTGTGAGGCAAAGTATTAAAAAATATGCTATGCAGAGAGAAGAACTAGGGCCAGGCTCACTACTTGGGAGCAGGGAAATGGAAGGGGCACCATTAGTAAAAATTACCTAATTTTAAAATTTTTATTTGGGGAAAGTCTCACTTTGTTGCCCAGGCTGGAATGCAGTGGTACAATCATGGCTCACTACAGCCTCAAATTTCTGGGCTCAAGAGATCCTCTTGCCTCAGCCTCCTGAGTAGCTGGGACTACAGGCATGCACCACCATGCA
The DNA here is from genome assembly GCF_000001405.40 of Homo sapiens. Classification (NCBI taxonomy): domain Eukaryota; kingdom Metazoa; phylum Chordata; class Mammalia; order Primates; family Hominidae; genus Homo; species Homo sapiens. The sequence continues at coordinate 164,186,600 of NC_000001.11, read as the reverse complement.
TGGCTAATTAAAAAAAATTTTTTTTTGTAGAGATGAGGTCTCATGGTGTTGCCCAGGCTCAAGTTCCTGGCTTCAAGTGATATTCCTGCCTCAGTGTCCTAAACTGTTGGAGTTACATGCATGAGCCACAGCACCCAGCCTGCTAATTTTTTTTTAAAGTAATCCTCCTGGCTGAGTCTTTAGCTTATAAGAAGCTATAGGTCTAAAAAGGATATGAATAACAGACACCCTTAGGACCATGACTGAATCATGTTATTTGTATATTTTGTACTGAATCTATGATGCCCCACAAAACATCATTAGACAGGAGCACTGAGTTGACATTTTAAGACCTGGATGGACTGGACGCCTGTGGATTCTAGAGAGAGAAAATTATGAGTGGCAGGCAAAGTCATTGAGCCAAGAGGGAAGGGATTTTAAGAATGCAAGAGGAAGAAATTTCAAGAAAGCAATAAGAGAAATTCTAAACCAAAATTATAAAACACAGTAAGAAGTCAAATTCTAAGGTAGCTCAGAATACCCAATGAAACAAATTTCATAAGATTGTTGGAATAAAACTTTTAAATAAATGTTGTAGTACTCAAATAGATGAATGAAAACACATCCATTAAAAAGAGAAAGAATATATTAAACAAGAGTTTATTAAACCGTGTTGTTTAATAGAAAAATAACCAATTGAAAGTTATATGATTAAAATATCAATTATCAATTGCATTTATTTAGATAAAAATTCTATAGGCAGGAAACTCTAGTCAAGATGCAAAGAGAGAATTTATGTATTGAAAAACTGTGCTGGAACTGCATTACAGAGAAAAAAAGTAAAAAATACAAGAGCAATTGAAAGTCATGTAGGATAAATAGAGAGAGCTATTTCCATTTAATCCTTCAAGGCAAGTTGAAGGAGAAGAAAATGAAAGAATGTTGTTGAACCAATATTTGAAAATATGAGAAGATATTTGCAATATATACATATTGAGAGAGAGAGAGAGACAAAGTATGTATATACCAGAATGAAGAACTGCAATACATTGATAAGAAAAAGTTAAACTACCTAAGAAGAAAATGGGCAAAAGACTTAAATAGGCATTTTACCAAAGAGGATATCCAAATGGCCAATAAGCATATGAAAAAGTTCTCAATATTTGTACTCATCAGATAAATGTAAATTAAAACCATAATGAGATACAACAGCACAGAATCAGAATTCCTAAAATTAAGTAGTCTGATATTTACAAGTGTTACGGTGTGATATTTACAAGTGTTATGGTTACAAGTGTTATGGAGAAAACAAACCACATTGCTGCAAGGTTTATAAATCAGTACATTCAACCTTGAAAAGTTTTTGGCAATATACAATAAATATAAATATATGCCTAACCTACAAATATATGCCTAAACCAGTTCTATATACCCAAGATAAATGAGTACATATGTATGCTAAAAGACGTTCACAGGAAGGTTTTTTTGCAACTTTATTCATAACTCGCTAAAAAGCAGAAACAACCCAAATATCCATCAACAGTAGAATGAATAAACTGTGATATCTTCATACAAAATACTACACAGCAATAAAAAAGAAGGAACTATGGCAAAATGCAACAACATAAGTGAACTTCACAGAAACATTGAAGAGTAAGAGAAGTAAGAAAAAGAGATGAATAAAGAAGCCAAGACAATGGATATTGAACAGAAATGACAAAGATGCTAGAAATGAGTCCAATTGTATCCGTAGTAATATTAAATGTAAATGGACTAAAGTCAACTATTAAAGCATGCTTTAAAAGTTTGGATAAAAAATATGCTCCTTATATGAGATATGAAAAAAATCACACAGAAAGATTGAAAATAAAGGGATAGGATAAGATATGTGAGAAAATACTATGGAAAAGAAAGCTGGTATAGCTACAATAATATGTTTCGATTACAGGATTTCAGGCAAGTAATAGTAGAAGAGAAAAAGATGAACTCACTCGGGAGAAACCAGCCTCCTCACACACCACTTAGGGGAGTGTAAATTGGTAATCACCTTAGAGAACAAGGTAGCCCTATAGCACATGCTCTCCATGCCTTCCTTATAACCCTTCACCTTATATTTCAGCACACACCTGCCTGACTCAGCTGCCAACACTTGCATGCCTTTACCTGAGGGCTTTCTTTGGCTACTGAAATCTGCTTGGCCCTGGGAGTGCCAGGAAATTAACATCCCCAGGAGCATTCCTCAACCAATGACTGATAAAGTTGATGTATAATTATCCCAGTTCCCTTTTCTCCTTGGTGGAATAACTTTGAAGTTTGTGTTCCCCACTGGCTCTCAGAGTCCTTCAGTGGGATTAAACTCCAGTTACCCAGTAACTTGTTTGATCATGTATCCTTTATTCACTACCTCCACTACCCTGTCTCTCCTCCAATTCCATTATTGGTGTTTCCTGGTATCAATTCACAAATAGACTCTGCACACGAATCTCTGTTTGGATTCTATTTCCAGAAGAATCCTATTAAAACAAGCACATTCGCATAATTCTGAATGTGCACATATTCAGATAAATATCCTGGAGAAACTAAAGCATACGTGTACAAGGAAATATAGGTAAGATTTATTGCCTGCTTCATTGTCTGTAATGGGGGAACTGGAGACTTCTTACATATCCACTGTTGGAGAATGGATAAAGAAATTTTAGTCCATTATGAAATGAAAGAAGGTAATCCTGAACCACAGGTACCAACATGGACACATGTACATATATGGTAAAAGTATAAAATCATGCACAAAAATGATAAACACCAAATTTAGGGTAGTGTTTATATAGAGGAAGAGAAGGAATGCTGTTAGGAAGGGTGCATTGGTGACTTTTCTTCAGGATTTTATTTATTAAAATTGGCCTGTAGGAAATATGGAAAATTATTAAGATTTATTAAAAGTGATGAGACACTGATGAATCACCACTAGTTATTTTATGTATAACTGAGATTTTTCTTAAACATTAAAACAAGAAGCAAGAAACAGAAAGCTCAAACAGGGAAAGAAATCTAATTATTTGCAAGGAACTTCATCTAGTCTCTTTGCCACCAAAATTCCTTCTTGGTCCAAAATTAGGTTCAGATTCAGTTTTCCCCACAGGCCATTAGACTTCCATGACTTTAATAACCCAGGAGCTCTAAGAAATCCTGGGCGCCAGTCTCTTTGAGGTTATCTTACCCCCAGAGATAAATTAAACCAAGAGAGAAGGAAACCCAGGAAATTATAACACCTAGCTCTCCCTTATATAGGTAACTCCTACCTAGATGTTTTCCTGGACTTAAATTTTAGAATTTTTACAAAATTACTTTATTTTTATTTTTTAGAGATGAGATCTCACTGTTGCACAGGTTGGAGTTCAGTGACTTGATTATAGCTCACTGCAGTCTTCAACTACTGGGCTCAAAGGATCTTCCTGCCTCAGCCTCTTGAATAGCTGGGATTACAAATGTAAGCCACTATGCCTGACAAATCTGGGGGCTTTAATATAGGTTTGGCTGCACCATGTTGGTGTACAAACTGCTGTTGACTAAGTCTACATCAAAGATGGGAACTGATCTAAAAATGAGCTTATTTTTCTTTTCTCTCTTCTGAATCCTTCTCTTGCTGGAAATCTGCCTGGATGACATCACATTTTATCTGAGAGTCATACTTTGCTCTCCTTCTCACTTATGTCACCCAGCTGATTGGTCACCAAGTTCCGCTTATTCTGTAGTTTTTGTTTGTTTATTTTTTTCTTTCTATTGAGACAAGGTCTTACTCTGTGGCCCAGGCTGGCTGGAGTGCAGTGGTGTAATTGTAACTCACTGCAGCCTTGACCTCCCGAGCTCAAGCAGTTCTCCCACCTCAGCCTCCAGAGTAACTGGAACAATGGCATGTGCCACCATTCCTGAACAATTTTTGAATTTTTTGTAGAGACAAAGTCTCCCTATGTGACAGGCTGGTCTCAAACTCATGGGCTCAAGCAATCCTCCCTCCTTGGCCTCCCAAAGTGCTCGGATTATAGGCATGAGCCACTGTGCTCAGCCTTATACTACTTTTAAAATGCTTCCTAAATCCATTGTTTTCTCCACAATCTACTGCTATTGTCTTCATACACTCATAACCTCCCACCTACACTATTGATCTAGACCACTCCTGATCTTCATTGGCATGGGAGGTGCCTCCTTCCTGGCTCACCATTTGCCATATCCTCCAATCCCTCTGCCCCAGGCCCCGAGTTGTGGACTACCCCTCACTGACTCTTTTCTGTTGAGGGCCCTTCTCCAGGAGTCCTTTTTAGCAGGACTCTTTCTTAAGTTGATTCAGACCAGCTCTTTACGAAAGGGTCTACACATCTTATACCCAGAAAGTAGACATTCTCACCTCATTGTTGATAGAAGTGCACCTGGCTTCTGGTGCAGCCACCTCTCTTATCTCTATCTCTAAGCAGACATCGCTTTCACCTTTAATCCTAGGTAGGTGAAAATTAGACACCCCAGATTTCAGAGGAAACATATCAAATTCTCCAAGGGATACCCATGAATTTTCTTTTCTTACTAGGCTTAATGTAGGAGAAAAGTATCTCCACTCATCCCCCAAGGCTGGTGGGGTAGGGCAGCAGGAATTGTATGGCAAACTGACACTCTCTCCAAAGAATCATGTCTCCAGGACTCTTTTACTTCAGGTTACTTATTAGAGGGTAGTGTCAGCAATAAAGAGAGCGCTCTAATGAAAATTAAATCCCTGAGGGGAGAAATGTTCTGCCAGTTATTGTTTGTTGGTTATAAAGAAATATATTGAATACTGCTAAACATCATATTTCTTGGTATCCAGTGACCAAATGACATAGTTGAAATCTGTCTTTCAATCAGTGTATGTGAGCATTTTACAATCCAAAATTTGATGAACATATTTTCATTAATCTATCTGTTCATTTTTTCATTCATTTAAAAACTATTTATTGACCTCCTTCCATGTGCCAGACACAAAGAGGGCTAAGATATTGTCTGTGTTATTGAGACATTCACTATAATATGTGCCATTTTATGGGAGTTTGGAGAAAGAAGCACTCAGTTCTTTTTGAAACAGATATAAAGAATTTCATGGAGGAATGAAGATTTGAAATCTTTATGTCTTTATCTGAAAAACAAAACAAAACAAACCTCCTTGGATTCCAATTATTGCTGACTCTTTCCTTCAAACCTAATAACATTGAAAGTATAGTCTTACCACCAGTTTATTCTTTAATTCACTAGTTAGGTTTCTGTTCCTTCTCTTCAATGATACTAGCAAAGGCCAGCAAAGTCCTCCTAATCCCCAAGTTGAATGAGTTTTTAATCATCATCTGATTTGGCCTTCCTCTGATAGTTGACAATATTATTTCCTCCTTGAAAATCTCTCCTCCTTTGATTTCTACAACCTTTTTGTCTCTCAGTGTTCTTCTCCTATTCCTCATTATTTCTTAGTTTCCTGAGTTGGATTCCCTTCTTGCACCCATTCTGTATCAGTGATCTTCAGAGTTCTGCCCTGGCTCAGCTTTTCTTTGCACTTTATACTTAGTCATTTTTATAGTCTCAACTACCATTACATAATGATGTGTCATATCTGCATTTATAGTACACACTTGTCTTATTTCCAGGCCAGTACAAATAACAACCTCCTGGAAATCTTCACCTGGATTTCTTGCAAGTATCTTAAAATAAAGGTACCTCAAATAGATCTCATCTCTATCTTTATCTCTAAACATGTTCTTCTTATTATGATCTCTTTTCCCTGGATAGTACCTATCACTCACAACAAATCCTGTGAATCACCCTGGAAACTTTTATCCCCTTTCACCTTCTAAATCCAATCACTCATCAAGTCTCAAAAATTCTTCTCATCACGTTTTCTTGAGTTTATTTTTTCCATCCTCTCTGCGACTCCCTCAGTTTAGGCTGTCATCATTTGCTGATGAAAACACAACTGAATTTTTACTTCTAATCCTGCTCCACTGTTGTTAAAAGTTAATTGTTCTTAAACACAAACTTTATCATACTAATTGGTTGCTAAAAATCCCTTAAGTGTAATTCACTATTTTCAAGATAAAGTCCCACATCCTCAATATGTTATGCAAAGCTTTTCCTAAAATGGCCTCTGCTTTCTTCTCTAATTTTGTATTTTGGTATGCTGCACTTTTGCACAGTCTTTAAAACGCTTTCAATTTGCATTACCTTGTCATTCTGTGTCGTGAATAAGCATTTTTGCTCCTGCTGTCCTCTTTACTCAGAATTACTTTTTTCCACCATCATGTCATCGATTAGCCTGGTGAGACATTATAGCATTTTTAGGACTTTAATTCCAATGACCCTTGCTTTTAGAGCCATATCTGCCTCTCTACAAGGCAGAAATAATCACAGAATCCTTTGTGTCTTTCTCTCCTCCATTTCCCTCTAAGTATACTTTTCTGACATCATAAAAATATCTTCTTTTACCCATTTATGACATACTGTATCTACCAATATGGTGGGCAGAATCATGGCTCCCCAAAGATGTTCACATACTCACCCCTGGAACCTTTGACTATGTTTGGTTACATGTCATTGAGGTAGTAAGTATGCTAATCAGCTGACCTTAAAATAAGATGATCCTGGATTAGCCAAGTGAACCCAATGCAATCACAAGGGTCCTAAAAGTAGAGAAAGAAGGTAGAAAAGTTAGAGTCAGAGAAGCAGATGTAACAAAGGGAGCAAGACTAGAGTGATACAATGGGAGGACTAAATACACCCTTGCTGGCTTTGAAAATGAAAGGGGGCCGTGAGCCTGGGAATGCAGGCAGCCTTGAGGATCTGGAAGAGGGAAGGACATGAATTCTACCTTGCACTTTCCAGAAGAGATACAACCCAGCCAACACCTTGATTTTAACCTGGTGAGACCCCGTTCAGACATCTGATCTCCAGAACTCTAAGATAATAAATTTGTGTTACTTTGTGTTTGTGATGATTTGTTAGAGCAGCAATAGAAAACTAATATAAGCAGCCCAGTGCAAGCTCCTTAAAGGTAGCTCTTTTGTGTCTAGTGTATGGTACACAATTAATATTTAATATTTTAGTGTTGAACAACTAAGCTTAAATCATGGTTACTGGGGGAATTCAAGGAGCTTGCCTACCATCTGTGCATGTGCAAAGCTTTGAAGCATGAAACTCCAATTATGTTACAACTAGTTATAACATAATGTAGTTGTATGGTATGCTCAGAGCTCTTGCCTTGTAGAAATAGGGAAAAAAATGGAAGGTTTAAAATTAAGGCAGAACAGCTTGGTGTGGTGACAATGCATAAGACACAGTCCATCCGTCACATGTATAGTTCTTAACTCGATTTCAGGAGAAAAGAAATAAGCATTCAAAATGAAAACCAACATAAGAGAACACATAAAAAGAGCCCAGATGATGAAGGAATAATTTTACTCTGAGGTGGTCAAGGTAGACATTATAGAGGCAAATGAAAGTTGAGGCACGTGAAGACATTATAAAGGGACATGAAGAAGATTGTCATTCTATACATATTTGCAATTTCATTTTTGGCCTGGCAAGTAAAGTAAGATGATAATGTTGTAGACTTAAAAGAGACCTGTATGTCTAAATGGGCAAATAAGTGGGCCAGTGAATGAATGAATATTGAAAAGAAAGCCAGATTTACATCCTGGGAACATGCCTTTGGGGGAAAAAGGCTTAAAATACACTGAATAAAGACATTTTAGACAATTGTGACTATGCATTTTGCCTAAACATTATATCAAGTCTGAATCTGGAGGCAGCAATAAATAAAGAAGTACCTACATGCATTTTCACTTTGGCCCCTATCCCTTTACTAAACAGTTCTCTCAAAGGACAATGTTTTTCTAATTTTTCCATCAAGTGGCCATTGCTCAGTCCTCAGACTAACTTCTCTGCAGCACGTGACACTGCACTGGACACTCACACCTCTTCATTTCTGTTCACTATGGTCTCTGAAGTGTATCACACAAGCTCTTTATCTCTCTTCCATAGCAACCGTTCACTCTTACCCTTTATGGCTCAAAATTTGTGGGTACTTTTCATGCTCTTTCTGTACCTGGTAATGTTGGACTTTTCGGTATCTCTAGTCAAAGGAAAGTGAAGGAAATATGGGTCCCTAGGGGAATAGAATGGGTGGAAAAGCAGAATCTGCCCATCTTTGTAATCCTCTCCAAGATTACTGAAAACAAGCCCTGGCACCAACTCCTTCAGGGTGCAGCCAGGGGAGCCGGCATCCATGCTGTGTTGGTGGAAAGAAAGGAGAGTTGCTGCTGCAGTATGGCCCATGGGTGGGAGCAAAGGATTTATGAGTGTTTTTCATAAATCAGATGTGTGTCATGGACAAGGAGAACTGGCTTAAGCCATTTAATACTGGCCCAAGAAACTGCCTGGAAAGTTATTGGAACCTGGAGAGAGTCCTTGTGGAGTGGAACAGCAGGTGCTTGGACTACTACAGTGCTTTGCTTATTTCTCAGAGCTAGTTCAGTTGGAAAGACCCACCAGAGCAGGCTCAGAGAAAAACTCCAAGTGGCTTCAAGAGAAGTAGACTGCTTCACATACCTGCCAGGACCCAGAAAACTCAAAGCCATATGACCACAGCTATTGCCAGGCAAAAAATGTTTGCTCTCCTCTTTCCTCTTCTGTGCTCATGCCCCAACACTTACAGGTCAAATACAAGACCTAAAAAGTTTGCAAAGAGATTTTTGAGGGAGAGAAAATAAACAAGCCTCACTCCCCTCCTTGAAGACTGGCCTTGAACAGGTCATAGCTAAGGCTAGGAGAACTGAACTGTGTGCTGTGTCACATATTGACCGGGCATTCTAATTTCTGAATCAACACTGAGTGTGACAATTTAAAGTGGCCACAGGACTTAAATTGACTGTGTTACTAATATTCAGTTTAAGTCACTATCAGTAATATCACAGAAGACCAGAAAATTCATGGACCAGCCAATGTTTTCACACAAGGCAGAAAATAAATTTCTTCTGTTGGATACATATGAAAAGGGCTGTGGGAGAAAGGAATAAAGCTAAAATATGGGACCATCCCACTAGTTGTGTTGTGTTTGGTCTTTTGCTTTGGTTGCAAAAGCAATTGTTATTCTTTAATGATTTCGGAAAGTTGTTTCTTTTCAACTGACACTGAGGACATTGGCTTCAAAAAGAGCACACAGGCCTTGCTCTGTGTGCTTAAATACCTAATGGAAATATTGCAACTCATATGTAAATAATGAGACCACACCCCATGCCTTGTCAACCCTGCCTCTTTCCCTGCCATGAGAACACAGTAGAAGCCCATTGCAATCTGCAACACCTTGTGCATCAGACATGGGTTGGGTTGTTGAGACATCATTATCTAATTCTCCAGAGCCTGGGACCAGACCATGTGCTGAATACCAGAGCAAATCCTTTTTCAACTATTGGAATAATTTTTCAAAACGTGAGTGACCATTAAAAAAATCCTTTCGGAATTCCCTATTTAATAAATGGTGCTGGGAAAACTGGCTAGCCATATGCAGAAAACTGAAACTGGATCCCTTCCTTATGACTTATACAAAAATTAACTCAAGATGGATTAAAGGCTTAAATGTAAAAATCTAAAATCATAAAAACCCTAGAAGAAAACCTAGGAATATCATTCAGGACATAGGCATGGGCAAAGACTTCATGACTAAAACACCAAGAGCAATTGCAACAAAAACCAAAATTGACAAATGGGATCTAATTAAACAAAAGAGCATCCGCACAGCAAAAGAAACTAGCATCAGAGTGAACAGCAACCTACAGAATGGGAGAAAATTTTTGCCATCTATCCATCTGACAAAGGTCTAATATCCAGAATCTACGAAAAACTTAAACAAATTTACAAGAAAAAAACAAACAACCTCATCAAAAAGTGGGCAAAGGATATGAACAGACACTTCTCAAAAGAAGACATTTATGTGGCCAAGGAACATATGAAAAAAAGCTTATCATCACTGATCATTAGATAAATGCAAATCAAAACCACAATGAGATACCATCTCATACTAGTTAGAATGGAGATTATTAAAAAGTCAGAAAACAGATGGTGGTGAGGCTGTGGAGAAAAGGAATGCTTATACACTGGTGGTGGGAGTGTAACTTAGTTCAACCATTGTGGAAGACAGTGTGGCAATTCCTCAAGGATCTAGAACCAGAAATACCATTTGACCCAGCAATCCCATTACTGGGTATATACCCAAAGGATTATAAATATTCTACTATAAAGACACAAGCACACATATGTTTATTGCAGCACTACTTACAATAGTGAAGACTTGGAACCAACCCAAATGCCCATCAATGATAAACTGGATAAAGAAAACGTGGCACATATATACCATGGAATACTATGCAGCCATAAAAAAGAATGAGTTCATGTCTTTTGAAGGGACATGGATGAAGCTGGAAGCCATCATTCTCAGCAAACTAACACAGGGACAGAAAACCAAACACCACATGTTTTCACTCATAAGTGGGAATTGAACAATAAGAACACATGGACACAGGGAGGGGAACATCACACACTGGGTCCTGTTGGGGGGTCGGGGGCAAGGGGAGAGACAGCATTAGGACAAATACCTAATGCATGTGGGGCTTAAAACCTAGATGATGGGTTGATAGGTGCAGCAAACCACCATCGCACATTAATACCTATGTAACAAGCCTGCACGTTCTGCACATGTATTCCAGAACTTAAAGTAAAAACAAACAAACAATAAAACAGAAAATAAAACATCCTTTTGGAGTTATCTTGTTTAGATACTTGTGTATACTCAGAAAAATAATTCTGTAAGGAAAAATTTCTCCATTTGTTCAACAAACATAGATACGACTTTTTCTGGGTTAGGCCCTATATTAAGTAATAGTTGTTTAGGGTGAAATATATAGGCATGTTTCCAGTTTCCACCAGAGTTATAGTTAATAAGAGAGGCCTTTATTAAACAAATAAGCAAAAGGACTTACAAATTTTGTTAAATCCTAGGAAGGAAAGAACAGAGGTCTTCGAAATAATAACAAGAGGAAACAAATTTTGATTAACATAAAAACCACATTATAAATAAAATCAGTCTTGGACTCTGCAGGTGGGTTTTTAAATTGGTACAATAACTTTGGAGAGCAATTCAGCCCATATGTATTAAGAACCTTAAAAAATTTTTCAGATGCTTTGACGTAGTGATTCAATTGTAGAAATTTATCCTAAGAAAATGACTTGAAATGGGACTAAAAACTTATAAGCCTGTATATTCATTGCAGCATTATTTAAAGTAACAAACAACTCAAAACGAATAACGAAAGAGGAATAGTTGCATACATTAGGGTAAATTCAATGATGGAAAATCATGCAGTCTTTTATACAGCATACTCATGATCTATTAAATGGATACACAATTCTGTACATGCATAGTATAATTCTAATTTTAGAAACAAAAAATGAGAAAATATATCATTTAGTGATGACATATTGTGTGTAAGACCTAGAAACAAGGTCAAATAAAAGATGACTTTTTCCTTCTCTATACTTTTCTGCATTTTCCACAATGAAGATGTATTCTTCCAACAGGAAGAAAAAATGGAGCATATTAATAGAACAAAAAAAAATGTAAAAAGACTGAAGGACAACAACTATATAAACTATGAGCATCTCTAGGTTGAATGCTTAATGTATATTTTTATTTAATTTAAAAATGTTTCTGCTTTTTTCTAATTTTGTAAAATAAACATGTTACTATTTTGGGGACATCAACATCTAACCAAATACCAGGCTTTTGAGTCAAATAGACTCAAAATACCAACTCTGCCTCTGAAAAGCCATCTCTGTGAGTTTTCACAAGATATTTAACCTCTCTGAATTTGTTGGTGCATCTGTAAAATAGATGTAGTAAAATGTCTTTAAGTTTATTTTTTTGGTGAATGAAATGAGTAAAATTGTGTAATATTGACTACTGCAATTTGCCATAGAGTAAGTCCTCTTTAAGTTTTTTCTCCTTCTTCTTCTTATTCCCTAGCTTCTCCTACTGTAGCAGTTCTTCTGCAATGGAAAAAAAATCAGTCGTTCAGTTGTACCTGGCTAAATTTCAAACAATAATATAAAAGCTAACATGCTTAAGTAAATTTCATGGGTAGCACTTGACAGGATTTATAATCCCATTATCTAACATTAACATTTTTAATGACCATACATTGATAGAATTCCAGTTTCAATGTTTTCTGGAAATGAAAAGATTGCTGAGTTGTAGCAAATGTGTTCAGTGACTATTTCTGGATACACAAATGATATGCCATTCATGTTGACAAGGTAATGGAAGCTGAACTTACGTCCATTTTTGCAGTCCCTTATATCCCTTGAAGATGCTATCTTCTATTTTAGTTATACCCTTACTGATGAGCCAGCCAAAGTGCAGAACAGAGAAATTATTAGAGTGGAGCTGTACAAACCAGTGAGTTCCTAAAGTTTAAAGCAGGCCCACAATTATTCTCAGTAGTTAAGCACTCTTTCCCCTGAAGAGTCGTTGTATATTCAGCTTAAATATTAGCTCACTTTCTATAATGGCAGTACTCTTAAAAAGATTTTATATGAGTGCACTTGGGAAGCTAGTTATTTAAAGTTACCCTATGGTGAATTCTTTATTAAAATAAATACTTGTTACCAAATTTACCTTTTCTTATATGGGGTTTTGTTTAATGAGCCACATACACATTGATTCCAGTTGAATGAAAAGATATTATTTCACAGGCCAGCAGAACTTTCTAAAGAGAGGCAATTCCTTCAGTCTAGGCTTGTCAGTCTCCCTTTTTATCACCCTGGTACCTGAATAGTAATGGATTGGGCCTGGATAGGGAAGGGCAGGTTCAAGAATTGACCTACAACATACCACATATCTAGGCAGTCCAGTCCTATTCTGGCTACTGCGGCCAGAGGCTGGTAAGTAGTGTCATTCTAAACAGGGAACAAAGTTCAGCTTCTGTGAAGTCAGGGAGTCAGCAGGAGAGCCCCCAGTGGGAGGGCAACTGACTTTTTCCCAGAACAGGGGCTAAGGGTTGCTCAGGATGCGTTTTTACTGCCTTTTGACTGTCAACACCCCAAAATTTCCAACTGTTATTTCTGAGCAATAGAAAGTCATGGATTTCTTTATGATGCGGTGACATGCTGGTAAGTGTTTAACAGGCTGCTGGGAAGAAGTTTGTAGGTATGAGTAAAGGAAGCTCTTATTTGTGGCTTTTGCTGATTTCTGTGGTGTAAATTTTCTTACCATAGCTCATTTCAGGCTATGAGTGTGAAGTCATTGAACAGAGAGTTGGGAAGAGATGGGAAAAATCAGCTCTTAACAGCCAGTGTGAGCCAGCTCTGCTCCATCACACTCTGCTGTAGTTTGATTTTCTTGGGCCCTCCAAATCTCATGCTGAAATCTCATCCACAGTGCTACAGGTGGGGCCTAATGGGAGGTGTTTGGGTCATGGGGAGGATCCCTCATGAATGGCTTGGTGCCACCCTTGAGGTAGTAAGTTCTCACCCTATTATTTCCCTGGAGAGCTAGTTGTTAAATCCTGGCATCCCCTCCCTACCGTTTTCTCTCTTACAATGTGATCTGCATACACAGCTCCCCGTCACCATCTGTCGTGATTGAAAGTAGCCTGAAGCCCTCACCAGAAGCAGATATTGGCACCATGCTTCTTGTACAGCTTGCAGAACTATGAGCCAAATAAACCTCTTTTCTTTATAATGGACTCACCTTGAGTATGCCTTTGTAGCAATACGAACAGATTAAAACGTATCCCCCTTTTCTTGTTTGAGACCATGTCACATGCTCTAAAAACTTCTTTCAAACTTTTATTTTTCTTTTAACCTCTATTTCAACATACTTATTGACTTTTTTCTTCTTTTTCTTCTCTTTCTTTCTCTCTCTCTCTCCCCCCCTCCCTCCCTTTCTCTCTTCCTATTCCCAGTTATCTACAGATGTTTCTCCAATATCATGGCAGGGTTATTGTCAAGTAGTTTTTTTCACCAGATTTTGTTTTAACACATTTTATTTTTCTAAAACAATGAATTTTCATACTCCTGTATTTTTTGGATACAGAGACTTTTTCCTGCTGGCATGTTTTCTCAATCCCTAAGTGATGTTAGGGCAAAGTTATTTTTCTATTGACTTACGCCATATGTAAATATTTTTCTTTCCTATTTTGATTTATATTCCATGTACTATCATATACAATCAATTAATCCTCCAATATTTATTAGGCACAGGATTGATACTGGGAAAACTACAATTGATGATGAGAAGACACTTCTGGCTTAAAATGTAATTGGCAAGAAAAGAATAACATACAGTAAAAAGTAGAGAACTTTATAGGACCAAATATAAATAATGGCTAAATTACATGGTTGTGAACAGAAATTTCAAACTGACAATCTCCAGAAATGTTTTGTTTGGCCTGTACAGTGTTTCTTTTTTTTTTTTTCTTTTTTTTTTTTATTATACTTTAAGTTCTAGGGTACATGTGCACAACGTGCAGGTTTGTTTCATAGGTATACATGTGCCATGTTGGTTTGCTGCACCCATCAACTCGTCATTTACATTAGGCATTTCTCCTAATGCTATCCCTCCCCCAGCCCCTGTCCCCCAACAGGCCCTGGTGTGTGATGTTCCCTGCCCTGTGTCCAAGTGTTCTCATTGTTCAATTCCCACCTATGAGTGAGAACATGCGGTGTTTGGTTTTCTGTCCTTGTGGTAGTTTGCTCAGAATGATGGTTTCCAGCTTCATCTATGTTCCTGCAAAGGACATGAACTCATCCTTTTTTATGGCTGCATAGTATTCCATGGTGTATATGTGCCACATTTTCTTAATCCAGTCTATCATTTGTGGACATTTGGGTTGGTTCCAAGTATTTCTATTGTGAATAGTGCTGCAATAAACATACGTGTGCATGTGTCTTTATAGTAGCATGATTTATAATCCTTTGGGTATATACCCAGTAATGGAATTGCTGGCTCAAATGGTATTTCTAGTTCTAGATCCTTGAGGAATCACCACACTGTCTTCCACAATGGTTGAACTAATTTACACTCCCACCAACAGTGTAAAAGTGTTCCTATTTCTCCACATCCTCTCCAGCATGTCATTTCCTGACTTTTTAATGATCGCCATTCTAACTGGTGTGAGATGGTATCTCATTGCAGTTTTGATTTGCATTTCTCTGATGGCCAGTGATGATGAGCATTTTTTAATGTGTCTGTTGGCTGTATAAATGTCTTCTTTTGAGAACTGTCTGTTCATATCCTTTGCCCACTTTTTGATGGGGTTGTCTGTTTTTTTAAGTTCTTTGTAGATTCTGGATATTAGCCCTTTGTCAGATGGGTAGATTGCAAAAATGTTCTCCCATTCTGTAGGTTGCCTGTTCACTCTAAAGGTAGTTTCTTTTGCTGTGCAGAAGCTCTTGAGTTTAATTAGATCCCATTTGTCTATTTTGGTTTTTGTTGCCATTGCTTTTGGTATTTTAGTCATGAAGTCCTTGCCCATGCCTATGGCCTGAATGGTATTGCCTGGGTTTTCTTCTAGGGTTTTTATGGTTTTAGGTCTAACATCTAAGTCTTTAATCCATCTTGAATTAATTTTTGTATAAGGTGTAAGGAAGAGATCTAGTTTCAGCTTTCTACATACGGCTAGCCAGTTTTCCCAGCACCATTTATTAAATAGGGAATCCTTTCCCCATTTCTTGTTTTTGTCAGGTTTGTCAAAGATCAGATGGTTGTGGATGTGTGGTGTTAATTTGTGAGGTCTCTGTTCTGTTCCATTGGTCTATATCTCTGTTTTGGTACCAGTACCATGCTGTTTTGGTTACTGTAGCCTTGTAGTATAGTTTGAAGTCAGGTAGTGTGATGCCTCCAGCTTTGTTCTTTTGGCTTAGGATTGTCTTGGCAATGCAGGCTCTTTTTTGGTTCCATATTAACTTTAAAGTAGTTTTTTCCAATTCTGTGAAGAAAGTCATTGGTAGCTTGATGGGGATGGCATTGAATCTATAAATTACCTTGGGCAGTATGGCCATTTTCATGATACTGATTCTTCCTATACATGAGCATGGAATGTTCTTCTATTTGTTTGTGTCCTCATTTATTCCGTTGAGCAGTGATTTGTAGTTCTCCTTGAAGAGGTCCTTCATGTCCCTTGTAAGTTGGATTCCTAGGTATTTTATTCTCTTTGTAGCAATTGTGAATGGGACTTCACTCATGTTTTGGCTCTCTGTTTGTCTGTTATTGGTGTATAGGAATACTTGTGATTTTCGCACATTGATTTTGTATCCTGAGACTTTGCTGAAGTTCCTTTATCAACTTAAGGAGATTTTGGGCTGAGATGATGGGTTTTTCTGAATATACAATCATGTCATCTGCAAACAGGGATAATTTGGCTTCCTCTTTTCCTAATTGAATACCCTTTATTTGTTTCTCTTGCCTGATTGCCCTGGCCAGAACATCCAACACTATGTTGAATAGGAGTGGTGAGAGAGAGCAACCTTGTCTTGTGCCAGTTTTCAGAGGGAATGCCTCCAGTTTTTGCCCATTCAATATGATATTGGCTGTGGGTTTGTCATAAATAGCTCTTATTATTTTGAGATACGTTCCATCAATACCTAGTTTATTGAGAGCTTTTAGCATGAAGCGCTGTTGAATTTTGTCGAAGGCCTTTTCTGCATCTATTGAGGTAATCATCTGGTTTTTGTTGTTGGTTCTGTTTATGTGATGGATGACATTTATTGATTTGTGTATGTTAAACCAGCCTTGCATCACAGGATTGAAGCCCACTTGATCATGGTGGATAAGCTTTTTGATGTGCTGCTGGATTTGGCTTGCCAGTATTTTATTGAGGATTTTTGCATCGATATTCATCAGGGATATTGGTCTAAAATTCTCTTTTTTTGTTGTTTCTCTGTAAGGCTTTGGTATCAGGATGATGCTGGCCTCATAAAATGAGTCAGGGAGGATTCTCTCTTTTTCTATTGATTGGAATAATTTCAGAAGGAATGGTACCAGTTCCTCTTTGTACCTCTGGTAGAATTTGCCTGTGAATTTGTCTTGTCCTGGACTTTTTTGGTTGTTAGGCTATTAATTATTGCCTCAATTTCAGAGCCTGTTATTTTTCTATTCAGAGATTCAACTTCTTCCTGGTTTAGTCTTGGAAGCATGTAGGTGTCGAGGGATTTATTCATTTATTCTAGATTTTCTAGTTTATTTGCATAGAGGTGTTCATAGTATTCCCTGATGGTAGTTTGTTTTTCTGTGGGATCGTTGGTGATATCCCCTTTATCATTTGTTATTACGAATATTTGATTCTTCTCTCTTGTCTTATTAGTCTTGCTAGCGGTCTATCAATTTAGTTAATCTTTTCAAAAAACCAGCTCCCGGATTCATTAATGTTTTGAAGGGTTTTTTCATCTCTATCTCCTTCAGTTCTGCTCTGATCTTAGTTATTTAATGCCTTCTGCTAGCTTTTCCATGTGTTTGCTCTTGCTTCTCTAGTTCTTTTAATTTTGATGTTAGGGTGTCGATTTTACATCTCTCCTGCTTTCTCTTGTGGGCATTTAGTGCTATAAATTTCCCTCTACACACTGATTTAAATGTGTCTCAGAGATTCTGGTACATTGTGTCTTTGTTCTCATTGGTTTCAAAGAACATCTTTATTTCTGCCTTCATCTCATTATTTACCCAGGAGTCATTCAGGAGCAGGTTGTTCAGTTTCCATGTAGTTGTGCAGTTTTGAGTGAGTTTCTTTATCCTGAGTTCTAGTTTGATTGCACTGTGGTCTGAACGACAGTTTTTTGTGATTTCTGTTCTTTTACGTTTGCTGAGGAGTGCTTTACTTCCAATTATGTGGTCAGTTTTAGAATAAGTGTGATGTGGTGCTGAGAAGAATGTGTATTCTGTTGATTTGGGGTGGAGAGTTCTGTAGATGTCTATTAGGTCCTCTTGGTGCAGAGCTGAGTTCAATTCCTGGATATCCTTGTTAACTTTCTGTCTCATTGATCTGTCTAATGTTGACATGGGGTGTTAAAGTCTCCCATTATTATTGTGTCGGAGTCTAAGTCTCTTTGTAGGTCACTCAGGACTTGCTTTATGAATGTGGGTGCTCCTGTATTGGGTGCATATATATTTAGAATAGTTAGCTCTTCTTGTTGAATTGATCCCTTTGCCATTATGTAATGGCCTTCTTTGTCTCTTTTGATCTTTGTTGGTTTAAGGTCTGTTTTATCAGAGACTAGGATTGCAACTCCTGCTTTTTTTTTTTTTTTTTTGCTTTTCATTTGCTTGGTAGATCTTCCTCCAACCTTTTATTTTGAGTCTGTGTGTGTCTCTGCACATGAGATGGGTCTCCTGGATACAGCACAGTGATGGGTCTTGACCCTTTATCTAATTTGCTAGTCTGTGTCTTTTAACTGGGGCATTTAGTCCATTTATATTTAAGGTTAATATTGTTCTGTGTGAATTTGATCCTGTCATTATGATGCTAGCTGGTTATTTTGCCCGTTAATTGATTCAGTTTCTTCATAGCATTGATGGTCTTTACAATTTAGCATGTTTTTGCAGTGGCTGGTACCGGTTGTTCCTTTCCATGTTTAGTGCTTCCTTCAGGAGCTCTTGTAAGGCAGGCCTGGTGGTGACAACATCTCTCAGCATTTGCTTGTCTGTAAAGTATTTTATTTCTCCTTCACTTATGAAGCTTATTTTGGCTGGATATGATATTCTGGGTTGAAAATTCTTTTCTTTAAGAATGTTGAATATTGCCCCCCACTCTCTTCTGGTTTGTAGGGTTTCTGCCGAGAGATCCACTGTTAGTTTGAGGCACTTCCCTTTGTGGGTAACCTGACCTTTCTCTCTGGCTGCCCTTAATATTTTTTCCTTCATTTCAGCCTTGGTGAATCTGACATTTATGTGTCTCGGTGTCGCTGTTCTCGAGGAGTATCTTTGTGGTGGTCTATGTATTTCCTGAATTTGAATGTTGGCCTGCCTTGCTAGGTTGGGGAAGTTCTCCTGGATAATATCCTGAATAGTGTTTTCCAACTTGGTTCCATTCTCCTCATCTCTTTCAGGCACATGAATCAAACGTAGATTTGGTCTTTTCACATAGTCCCATATTTATTGGAGGCTTTGTTCATTTCTTTTTACTCTTTTTTCTTTAGACTTGTCTTCTCACTTTATTTCATTAATCTGATCTTCAATCTCTGATATCCTTTCTGCCAGTTGATCAAATCGGCTACCGAAGCTTGTACATGTGTCACATAGTCCTTGTGCCATGGTTTTCAGCACCATCAGGTCATTTAAAGTCTTCTCTACACTGTTAATTCTAGTTAGCCATTTGCCTAACCTTTTTCCAAGGCTTTTAGCTTCCTTGCAGTAGGTTAGAACATGCTCCTCTAGCTCGGAGAAGTTTGTTATTACCAACCTTCTGAAGCCTACTTCTGTCAACTCACCATTCTCCATCTGGCTTTGTTCCATTGCTGGTGAGGAGCTGCGATCCTTTGGAGGAGAAGAGGCACTCTGTTTTTTAGAATTTTCAGCTTTTCTGCTCTGGCTTCTCGCCATCTTTGTGGTTTTGTCTACCTTTGGTCTTTGGTGACCTACAGATGGGGTTTTGGTGTAGATGTCGTTTTTGGTGATGTTGATGCTATTCCTTTCTCTTTGTTAGTTTTCCTTCTAACAGTCAGGACCCTCAGCTGCAGGTATGTTGGAGTTTGCTGGAGGTCCACTCCAGACCCCGTTTGCCTGGGTATCACCAGCTGAGGCTGCAGAACAGCAAATATTGCAGAACAGCAAATATTGCTTCCTGATCCTTCCTCTGGAAGCTTTGTCCCAGAAGGGCACCTGTGTATGTGGTGTCTGTCGACCCCTAGTGGGAAGTGTCTCCCAGTTAGGCTACACCGGGCTCAGGGACCCATTTGAGGAGGCAGCCTGTCTGTTCTCAGAGCTCAAACGTCGTGCTGGGAGAAACACTGCTCTCGGCCTGTACAGTGTTTCATAAAGTTTTCAATCAGTTCCAACACAGTGATTTCACTCAAAATTTAGGTATCATAATTTGACTGGAAGAATAGGATGATCTGAGAGCCCTAGGTTTACACTGGAATAAGGTAGCAATGCCTTAATCCCATCACCATCCCTAACCCCATTTTTCTCTATCTGTAAACTTATCTTGTCCCAGTTTCTAGGCCAACTCTTCCTGTCCTTGGAAGGGATTTATGAAATCTTTGTTTGAACTCCATGTAACCCAGCATCAAGCCAAATCTGCTGCTCTGGTTCAAGAATGCACCGTAATCCTAGAAACCTGGACTCTTTTTTTTTTTTAAATTGAGAATAAGTCCTCGGCCAGGCATGGTGGCTCATGCCTGTAATCCCAGCACTTTGGGAGGCCGAGGCAGGTGGATCACGAGGTCAGGAGATCGAGACCATCCTGGCGAACACTGTGAAACCCCATCTGTACTAAAAATACAAAAAAATTGGCTGGGCATGGTGGAGGGTGCCTGTAGTCCCAGCTAGTCGGGAGGCTGAGGCAAGAGAATGGTGTGAACCCCGTGGGTGGAGCTTTCAGTGAGCAGAAATTGCACCACTGCACTCCAGCCTGGGCAACAGAGTGAGACTCCAACTCAAAAAAAAAAAAAAAAAAAGAAAGAGAATAAATCTTCAATGTCTGTCACTTTTCATATCTAGCCAGGCTAGTCTCTTCTCACCATGTTCCCTTTGTTGTGGTGGTACCTGAAACCCAGATCTTGGTAGAGAGCAGGGAGCTATTACCTAACAGTTTGTAGTGTTGCTATGGAGTCATTGGCTGGATGGGGCAACCTCCCATCCCTGGTTCAACTTCCTAATAAAAATGGCTGGTCAGAACCATAACCAATGACATCATTCTAGATTCTGTTTCTGCTATGTATCAGTGTACATGTTTTTTCATCATGGATAACTCCCACCCACCTACATATCTGCTATTTCCCAGCGAGTATTGTGTCTTAATTGCAGGTCCTGGTCCTTCTCTATGTTCCCCTTCCTACCACAGAAAACTTGTGAGTTCTGACGATCTGATGAAAGAGCACAATTGGTCTGAATGGGGTTGAACTTGCATTGTGCAGAAATAAATTTGACACAGTTCAGTTGGGCCAAGATTAAGAAGGGGTACTAACTACTTCTCAAGAAAAATACTAAATATGATTCTACTGACAATCTTCATTAGATAAATTGAAATATGGAGATACTTTAAAATGGAAAAGTGATTTTTCAGCATAAAACATCATTCTAATTCATTTATCACAAGGCCTTTGTATTCATCTTGTAAAATAATTTCCTCATCTTCTTTTCTTCATCCCCCACTATTTGCTGTTAAATTTGCAATCTCTGACACTTGTTCATAATTCACAACTTCAGTCATTGCTAATGGGAGGTGAGAAAAGGAAAAGAGTGAGAAAATCTTGCTGCTTTTAATATATATTGTTATGAATATTCTTCTAAAAATATACCGACATTCTATCTACAATTATTTTTTCCCTTTTATACTTTACAGCTTCTCTTATTCCTTCAATTACCCCTTCTCTTATTTTTTTCTCTTTCTTTTCCTTATTTTTATTCTTCTTAGTCTCCTCCACTCCCCCCCTTCTTTTTTTCCTTGATTTCTATTGCCTTTTTTCTATACTTCATAGGTATAAAACAGGAAGATCATCATCTCAGAGTCCACTAGGTAACACTCAGGCAACATGACCATTGGAAGTCATGTGGTTCTGCCAGAAATCCCAAATGATGGGGTGGTGCATCTAGCACATATATTTGTCAGAAACAGCACACAGTGGCCTTGGCGAACTATTCATCTAATTCTTATTCAGCATAAGACAATGAGTGTTCTCATTAATACAAGTAAATAATTTCATGCATGCACAAAGGCACAAATTCCTTCTTAGGGCAAATGTTTTGCCCAATAAATCATTTCTTTACTAATATTTTGGTTCTGAGGAATGGTTAGAATTTCTATATTCAGGAAAGATCGTAGTGGAACTAATGATTGCATAGAAGGAAAAGTATATGTGAACTAGTTCCAATAGAAGTAATGTCCTTGGAAGAAAGTCATGGAGAATCTTACCAGCATTGTACCTACTTAATATTCTTGCTCAATGGACCCCTGAGGATCAGATATTGAGTAGCAAAGAGGAGAGAATTCAGAATAAAGAGAATGATTTGTGAATTGAAGCAGCTAACTAAAGGAATGATGAGCATGCTCACTCAAGTCATGATGAAGAGTAGAATATTCTCTGCTTTATAAAATGCAAATAAACAAAGAACACAAATAAACAAAGTAGAAAGTCAACTTCAGATATTTGGCAACTGTTAGGCCTGATACTTATTCTAACATATTTTTATATTACTTTATACTTTTCAAATAAATACTACCATTCTTTAAGCAAACATTTTAGGTAAGAGGACATTCTATGTCCTTTTTATAGATGCAGAAACTGAGACCTGAAGAAGATAAGTGTCTTACTCAGAGACAAGTAAGTGATGAGTGTGAAGTGGAGAAGAAAATCTAGGTCTACTGGCTTTACACGTTTCTATGTGCCTTTCCTGATTCTATTGATAAATAGTGAAGACTAGTTGAATATTGAAATCCAAAGTGCTAAGGGATTGGGATGAGTAAAGTACATAGCAATTATATAGTATAATGGGAAAAATATGTTAACCTTCTGACATTGTTTTCCTATTGAATCCTATTGAAGCCTAAGACAACACAGAGCTTGGGTCATTTGAAGCTGAAATTGAAAAGATGCTGTGAGGCCCAGGATGCCTCTGAGAATAATGGAAGATAGACTGGGTGATCTGTTAAATGTGACTGGCTCAAGTGTAGAGGATTCAAATGGCTCTTGTTGTATTCATTAGAAACAGGTTTGCTTAACAGTCTCTAGAGTTCTCTGAGAATGGAGCTGACATTTGCAAATGATAGGCTTAGAAACTTTCTTCCCTCCACAATTCCCCTTTTCTATTGTTCCTTTTCCTTTGAGCTTTCCTTCTGGATGTTGGTAAATCTCCAGGAAATGCACTTGTGTTTTCTGTTGTCACATCTCATCAGTGCTCTGCTGGGGAGGGGCTGGTGGAGGGAGGCAGGAGAACCAGGAAGAAAGAGAGAATGCCCTGGGCTGAAATGGCAGTAGCGTGCAAATGAATGCCAACTCTGTGAACATTTCCCCAGCAGTCACATTTTATTACAACCAAATTATGGGATGCAATTCCTAGAAAATGGTAAAAGAGGGACAAAAAAAAAAAGAATAAGGTGACCAGGCATAATTTATTTTTTAAAAATTAAGACATTCAAATGGTAAGGGTACCTATCATTCAGTTTATATCCTTTAATAAATACATACATATTTCCTAACTATACTTACCACCCTACATAGGAAATAGAAGAGTGTGTGTGTCCATATTAATTCTTATATCTTCATATAAATCTTTTGTCTTATTACCATCTTGGTTCTATTGTAAATCTTCAGATTTGACCTGGGCAACCAACTCTTCTAAAATGCCTCAGTTCAGAAAGGCAATCCTCAACATTAGCACATTTAACTATGAACAAACTAAGGCATCTGTCAATGACTAGACTCACCCTGATGCCTATTTTGAAATACATATCCCTGGGAATCACTCTTCTGAAATTTTGATTTGCAGGTCAGGGATGGGAAATTCTGATGCACAGCCAGATTTGGAACCAGAAATAAAGCACATGGTTCAAGTAATGCCAAACTGGTAAAGGCAATTCATTACTTTAATAGTCTTATGATAACTCTAGCTTTTTGAAGGATTAAATTTGGGACAAAAAGTGAGGTCTAAATCACATGTCTGTCAGATACAGAATATTTCAGTCTATACGAGAATGAGGAGATATATTATCTTACAGAGGTACTGAGAAGCTCAATCAAAAGTGATTGAGATGTGGTTCCTGCCTTTCATATGCTCTCAGTCTGCTGAGAAAAATAGCAGATAAACAAGTAAGTAGTATACAATATAGCGTATGTAAGATTTGTTGTAGAAACAAAGAACTACGGAACAGAGAAGGGACAAAAACGGGCTCAGCAGGAGGCAGAGGTGGAAGACTTCATGGAGAAAATGACACTTTTGTTGGATACAAAAGGATGCAAAGAATTTAATGAAGTCAAGGTATCTAAAATATACCTTTTCAAATACAAGAAAAAGCACATGGAAAACTGTAGGCTTTTGAAAGTGCATGAGAGTATAATCCACATAAAAACCAGTGTTCCAGTTTGTGCGT
This sequence comes from Homo sapiens, assembly GCF_000001405.40. Taxonomy (NCBI): domain Eukaryota; kingdom Metazoa; phylum Chordata; class Mammalia; order Primates; family Hominidae; genus Homo; species Homo sapiens. Next base: position 164,162,265 of record NC_000001.11, on the reverse strand, counting down.
GGTACAATATTCAAAATAAACCAAAACAAAAGAATTTGACAACCAAAAGTGATTTAAAAATAATTCAAATTTAATTGCATATCCTGAAATTTTTCACATAAACCAAACTAAGTGAAGTTAATCATTATAGGTCTTACATGTACCTTCCTTTCCTTAATGTATGAACTCCTGGCAACTGAGATCTTCTTCCCTGATCCAATCTCCTACTTCCTGCCTCGTCACCCCTTATCCTTGTTAACATTTTTTAACCTTCATTCTTTCAGCTAACTGTATTTAAACTAGTTATTCTCCAAACTCTACATTTATACACCCCTTGAGTTGAGGATATAAAGTTGAGAAATTAGGAAGGTGAAAGTGGCTCAAGTTTATAGAGCGGAGTACCAGAGAAGAGAGAGCTGCACAGAGAGAGCTCAGGAGATCTGCAAGGGGTTACCATTCAGTATTCAGCTGAGTACTGACCAACATATGTATGTGAGAAAACTATCAAATATTAGGGAAAGAGCAACCTGAAAGAATTAAAGGTAACATGCCTGACATTCACCCAGATCTGGGAAACATGCTTTGCTCCAGTGAGACTAGTATACCTTATGATTATGAAGGATTGGGTAGAATACACAGAACAATATTGCCTCAATAGTGCAAAAATAATTATTCCTAGATTAAATACAATCCTGGTACTCCTTATCAAATCTTAGAAGCAAGGCACAAAAGATTCAATTGCTTCCAAGTAACTAAGCTAAATCACAGAACAAAGCTCAAGAATATTCATAAGAAAACAAAAAACATCTGAACACAAGAGGGTAAAATACATGATGGATGACATTCAATAAAAAATTACTAGTGCTATAGCCTGAATATTTATGTCTTCCCAAAATTCAAATGTTGAAATCTTAACCCCCAAGGTGATGGTATTAGGATGTGGGACCATTTGGGAGGTAATTAGGTCATGATGGCAGAGCCCTCAAAAATGGAATTGGTGTTTTTGTAAAAGGAGTTAAGAGAGCTGCATTGCCTCTTCCACTATGTGAAGAAGACATAGTGAGAAGGCACCATGTATGAGAAAGTGGGACCTCACCAGATACCAAATTTGCTGTCACCTTGATTTTGGACTTACCAGCCTCTAGAACTGTGAGGAATAAATTGCTGTTATTTATAAGCTATCCAGTTTATGGTATTTTGCTACATCAGCCCAAATATATTAATTAGACATATGAAGAGGGAAGAAAGTACTATGTACTTTAGAAAAAAAGTACTACTTTTAGAAAAAAGACTAAATCTGTCAAAATCAGTGCAGAGCTGACATAGATGTTAAAATTAGCAGACAAGTATATTAAAATGATTATTATTACTGCATTTAGATATACACAATCTGAAATAAAGACATGGAAGATATAAAAATAACCAAATCAAAATTTTAGAGCTAAAACTATAATGTCTGAAGTTTTATATGTATGTGTAACATACATGTATATATACATATACATGTATATACACACACAAACATACACATACATACACTGAAGGTCTTAACAATATATTAGAGAGAAGAAAAGATTAGTGAACATAACAATATCGTAATAGAAACTTTTCAAAATTAAACACAGGAAGGAAAAACAAAAATACCATTAAAAGAACACTAGAGAGCTGTGGAAAAGCTGTTAAGAAACCTAATATACATGTAAGTGTAACTGTTGGAGGAGAGGGGGTTTGGAAAAAATATTTGAAAAAATAATAGCCAAAAATTTGTGAAACTTAATAAAACCTATAATCACATATCAAAGAAGCATAGTGACCCCAAGCATAAGAGACATGAAGAAAATTACACCAAGGCCCAACATAATCAATTTGCTAACACCATATTACATTTAAAGCATGAAAGATTAATGTAGCAGAAGATTTTTTTTTTGTCAGAAACAATGGAAGCCAGAACACAGTAGACAAATGTCTTTAAAATACTGAAAGAAAAAAAAAGATGTCACTCCAGAATCCTATATTCAGTGAAAATGTATTTCACATTTGAAGGCAAAATACTTTTTTCATACACACAGTAGTTGAAAGTATTTATCGTCAGCACATTCACTGTACAAGAGATATTAAAGGAAGTTTTTAGGAAAAAGGAAAATGACACCAGATGACAATTTCAACCATAACAAAGAAATGAAGGCTAGAAACAACTACAACATGGGTAAATATATAAGAGCTTTTTCTTACATTTAAATCTGTGACCCTAAATTAACATTTAAACAAAAATAATATTAATGTAGTGTGGGGTTTATAACATATGTAAAAGCAAAACGTATGACAATAATAGCCTAAAGGACAAAAAGAGAAAAATGTAAGTATACTACTATAAAGTTCATACATTATATGTGAAGCCGTATACTATCACTTGTAGGTATACTACAGTAACTTAAAGTTGTACATTACAGGCCGGGCACGGTGGCTCATGCCTGTAATCCCAGCACTTTGGGAGGCTGAGGTGGGTGGATCACCCAAGGTCGGGAGTTTGAGATCAGCCTGACCAACATGGAGGAAGCCCGTCTCTACTAAAAATAAAAAAAATTAGCTGGGAGCGGTGGCGCATCCCTGTAATCCCAGCTACTCAGGAGGCTGAGGCAGGATAATCGCTTGAACCTGGGAGGCGGAGGTTGCGGTGAGCTGATATCCCAACATTTCCCTCCAGCCTGGGCAACAAGAGTGAAACTCTGTCACAAATAAATAAATAAATAAATAAATAAATAAATAAATAAATAAATATAAAAATAAAAATAAGATGTACCTTACAAACTCTAAAGCACCTTTTAAAATAACATGGTAGAAATTTATAACTAAAAATCCAACAAAAGAGACAAAATAAACTAAAAACAGTCAATTCAAAAGTAACCACCCTGAATTACTACTACTTCCCTAATAGAATGGCTATAATTAAAAAGAATGACCATATCACATGTTGGCAAGGCTGTAGAGCAACTGGAATTCTCATGCACTGCTGGTTGAAATCCAAAATGGTACAATCACTTTGGAAAAACATTAGGAAAGTTAAGCAAAAATTTACCATATATCCTAGCTGTTTTATTCCTATGCATTTACCCCGAAGAAATGAAAGCTTATGTCTATAAAAGACTTGTACAGATTTTCATAGCAATCTTATATTAGCCTCAAACTGTAAACATCCCAGTTGGCCATCAACAGGTGAGTACTGTGGTATATCCATGCAATGGAATATTACTTAGCAGTAAAAACAATGAACTATTGTCACATTGTACAACATGGATGAATATCAGAATAATTATTCTGAGTTAAAGAAGCCAAACTCAAAAAGGACATACTCTATAATTACATTTGTATACAATTCTAGAGAACTAAAGATATTCTCTGGTAGAAAGCAGATAAAGAGTTTCCTGGTGGATGAGAAAGAAGGAATGGTAGAAAGAAGTAGACAGGAGGGTTTCCAAATGGCATGAGGAAACTTTTGGTGTGATGGATGTATTCACTGTCTTGACTTAATGATGGTTTCATGGTTATACACATATGTCAAAACTCATCAAATTATACAGTTTTTAATATGTGCAGTTTGTTGTATGTAAATTATATGACAAAGAAGGAGACAGTGAGAGAGAGGGAGACCAAATTCAAAATTCTTTTTGGCGAGGTAAAGCCAAATGTAACAATTTGCTCACATGAATAGGTGCTGTCCCTGCCACATGTAAATTTCATTGTACATTATATTAACGGCTTTCTAGTAATACAGATTTTCCAGAGAGACTTCCGCATGTCTGCTGACCCAAGGCTTTCACACAATCAAATGTAGGAGTCAACCCAAACAAACACACTTTAAAAGTTGAATAAAATAATGTCACCTTTCTTTCAAACCCCTGAATTCCATACTTGGTTAAAATTATAGGCATGCCATTGACTATAAAACCATGAAGTGTCTATTCTATTAAGCATGCTAACATATATCTTTCTGTTACTTTTATCAGTGGTGTAGCTCCTTCCCCAAACCTCCATCTCCTTAATTCTCTAACATTATTTCTAGCTCCAGGGGCTCTTTTCATTTACTTTTTAATGCTGTTCTCTTAACTCATAGATTTATTTCAAGATTTTCACCTCATTCTTACATGTTCTATCTTTGATTTGATTCTAATGATAGCTCTTTTTCTTGAACTCTTCCAGGTCTCTTGAGAAATTTTGTCTTAAAACTTTATATCTTGGAAAAATTTGACTGTCTTAGCTACTCATGATGTACAGGAATATAGAAGTCAGGGTCACAGCAAAACAGAACTCACCCCAGGAGGTTCAAATAAAAAAACTTTACTGAAGAGATGACTTTTTAATGAAGGTGTAAAACCAAAAGGGATTTCCAGAACCATGGATGTGGAGCTGCATTTAGAGAGGTGAGTGAATAATGAAGAAATACCCTGATCTTTCTTCTTCTGCCTTCCATTCTCCAGTGAATGTTTCCCATTGCCAGCTGGGAAAGGAAGCATGGAGAATGTTGTCATCAGAGGCCATCCTTCTAGGGGTATGAAGCATAACAGAAAAGACACACATGGATCTGGGAGATACAATAGCAAGCAATTAGTTGCAGAGGGTTATTCTGAAAATTCTCTCTCAGCTCCTATATGTCTCCTATCTCTAATAGATAACTGTTGTATAATGAGCTACATAGTTTCAAAGGTAGAATGTTAAGAGGACTTTAAAAGGGCAGCATTTTCCTCAACTAATATTTATTGAGCAAATCTATGAAAGCACAGTTTGTAGGTGCTGTGGGAACAAAGGAATGAATCCGATCCATGTTCTTGACTGCAGAGGTTACATTTTGTTTGTGGAGGACAAACTTAATATTTTAAAAAAGGTAGTCTATGGTAGGGACTTTAACAGAGATAAAAAATAGTGTGCCTCTGGAGAACAGGGTGGGTATTCGTGTCAGTCTTTGCTCTTTTGTAGCAAAGACACATAGGAACTGTCTCTGTCCTCATGAAGATAATGTTCTTGGGGAAAAGATAAGTTGAAGTACATAAACATATATGACAATATTTCAGAGGGTCATCCAGAGAAGCAGGAGCACTGATAGAGAGTAACTGAGAGTGCAATGCATACCCGGATGACGATGTCTCTTAGAGATGATGACACTCAAGCTGAGATTTCAGAGACAAAAAGATACTGATTATAAAAAGAGTCAAAAGAAAGAATGTTGAGAAAGAGGGAAGAACAGTGAAAAGCCTCTGAAGTGAGAGTTTGAACTGCTTAAGGCATAGAAAGGGGATTACTATAGCCAGAAAGTAGTAAGAGAAGGGGAGAGAGAAAGAGGTGAGTCCGGAAAGACAGGAGATCTAAATCCTGCACGACCTTCTAGACCAAAGCAGAGATTTGGGGTTTCATTCTAAGTGCTAGGTATTTTAAGCAGAAGAGTGACATAATTTGTCTTACAATTTTCTGGGTGAAAATGGAGTCTGGTTAAGAAGAGGAGACTGGAGAGGTGCCAATCATAGTGTTTAGGCATGAGATAATCATGACTTTGCCTAGGGTGGAGCAGTGAAAATAAAGTGGACTGAAATATTTTGGTTGTAGACAAATAGGATTTGTATAAGCAGAGTCGGAAGTGATGTGAGGGAAAGAGAGGAAGGATACCTTCCAGAAATTTTTCACCTGAGGAATCTTCTCTTCAGTGTCCCTGGCACATTATCATCTGGTTTTAACTAAACATGTTCAATGCTGGAGTTCTCACCACTTTGTGAGGCCATCCTTCCAGCACATCATAAGGCAGCTCTGATGGTCACAGTGTCCTCTGCTGTAAATCTACTGGGCCAATGATGTGGTTTTTTTAGGGAAAATTTGAAATTTAAATACATAGTTGATTTATACTCAATAGTCTTTTATGTTTTAACTCCCTATTTCTAGAAACTGTTACTGTAACTAAATTGTAGTTTTTCTGCAGATGCCTCAAGCTCTGCATAGGAAGCTCTAAGGAGCCACATGAAGCCCTACGGCCAGTGGGTTGAAACACCCCTACCATTTTCTTCTTCCCAATGTGGTTTTGAAATTTTCACCATGATGGTCCCCTTCCACTCTGTCTCTTACTCTGTTAGGCAATTGCTCCTTCCGTAAGAGGGAAGAGATGATTGAAGGAGTTTCCCTTTTATTTGCAGTAGTCAGACACCAAACAATCACTGAGGGACAATTCTTTGCATTTTGTGAAGAGAATGATGCATAAAAAGAAAGTACAGCAGCATACTATAAAATAACAATAAAATAATATTTGTCCAAGTTATTATTAAATCTCATATGGGTTTGCTTTGTGCATAGAAAAGAATATTCTATATTTTACCTGATGATTGGGAAAATGTGTAATTTTATGCTTGCTCTAGTAAAGTAGATTGTGGCAAAGCTATACTGCGAGTAGTAGTGAGAACTTACATTTTTCTTGTGCCTTTCATCTCAAAACACTCCAGAAGACTGTATGCATTAAGCATAAAGCATATGGTAAAGCACAGTCAAGATGTGCATATGAGAGATCACCAAACAGATGGATTCCTTCACTGAGATGAGCTGGCTTTGCTCTGTGTAAGGTGGAGGGGCTCAAGCTGAACAATGGACATGATGCTGCTTGCTGTTTGCTCAACATTTGTTAACAGTCAGACAGCTTGCTTTGAGTAATCCGCTTTCTAAGGAAGGGGGATTAAGTGATGCAAACTCATGCAGGGGTTTACTTAATGTGCTTTATGAAGCCTGAGTATTATTCATGGACATTTCCTGGAAGGGCATACATCTGGGTGAGAGGAAATGAAACAGCCCAAAGGAGCAGCTTGAGTAAATTGGAATACACTGGAAATGAGGAGGCCCTGGATACGGCAATGGAGTCTCCCACGAGCCAGGGTGAACAGCGCAGAATGGCTAGTGTTGTTCTGGAGCTTGTATTAGTGTGTCAATAAAAAGTGGATGCAGAGAGCAAGCACAGACATTGCATAGGAAAAGCATTTTTTTTTTTAGGAACTGAGATTACAATTTAGGCTGTGGTTATTAGGAGACAAAGAAGCAGTGGGTTGAAGAAAGAGTTGGCTAGTTTAAATGGCCCTTTTAGATCATCAAGGTCATATGGTCGATTATTTGGCATTTGCTTACTTATCATGGCTTCGCCAAGAATAGGCAGATTAGTTAGTTACGCATAGAGCTGATTCCAGTCTCTCGTGACTAAAATTCACCTTCCGGGCTTACTTCCTTTTAGGAAATGGGATATGAGGCTAGTTTTCCTAATCTTCTTAAACCTTTATTGATACTGTTTAGAATTAGGAACCAAAATCTACTAAAACTCTTTATTGAATAGTTTATCTGATAATAAACCATTGTTTTATCAAAATACATCTGCCCATCTCCCTGAGCTGTATCATTTTTGTTGGCCACTGGTCAATTTGGTTGTTATCTTAATGAAATCAGAGGAATGTTGGTTGCTTTGTCTCAAGCGTGCATGGAAGAGCCTTACTCACATTATGTCTCATTACCTACTACTCACTTCTCATTTATCTGCACTCTCTACCTTTGCATTTGCTGATAGATTCTGCCCTTCAGAAAAATCAGGCAAAAGTTTCCATTCTAGCTGAATGCAGTTATCTGCAATTCTTAAATGACCATCCTTGAAACAGGCAGCAAAGTGCTGTATTATGTGAGTTCAGCAGTCCAGAGGAGGGCACCTATCTTCTAAAAACTCCTGCTGTGGGAAAGTCTTTCATTCATTTATTAGGAGGAAATGGACAATGCACATATTAAAAGTGTTCTTTTGTCCTTAGAGATATATACTGAAATATTTTCAGTTGAAACAATTTGATTTCTGGCATTTGTTTCAATATAATCCTGAGGTGAGGAGATGGTGGTTAGATGTATAGCTGAAAGAAGACTGTCCATTTATTGATAATACTTGTTGGATGTGGATAGTGGATAAAACAGGTGCATTACTCTATTGTCTTTACATTTTTAGATAACTAAAGCATTTAATAATCAAAGTTTTTGAAAAGTACAAGTGTTCTGATGGAATTGGGATCAGGGTAAAATGTTGACAAAGTTTACACAAAGGCAGATTTCATAAATAAGCTGTACAGTGACACCACTCATTCTCCTACCCATCACATACATCAAGAATGAATTGACTAATCACAGCACACTCCCCCTTACACGCTCCCCCATACTGTGTTGAGAAGGTTTCCGAGGCAGCCTTCAGGCAGCCACTGCATGAATTGACTAGTTAGCAAGTAGGATGATAACCATTTGTCACTCCTATATTAAGATATAAAGGAATAAGAATAATTCCCTCACTTTCCCAAAAAGTAGGAGTGGTGGTGTTGGGTGCCTGAAAAAGCTAGAGAAGAAAAATTGGAACATAAAAAAAGGAAATACAGAAAAGACTGAGATCACTAAAGAGAAATTGAGGGTGATCTTAAATGTATCTCCAAGGATTGGCAGAATGGGTTTTTGGGTCCTGGGACACACTGATCCCTCATGATGCTGGAAGTGCTGGAGGCCAGTTAGTGGTTAATGCTTCAGGACTAAGATCTTAACTTTTTGTTCTATTTTTCTGCATAATTTCCAGTTTCTCCAATAAAGATATTTTCTTGAGTTGTTTGTTGAAGAAACTTAAATTCCATTATCTGATGTTTGAAGAGACATTAGAGAGATATGGGAGGAGAAAAATAAATAAAACTTTATTGGGCTTCATGGCAAAAACATTTAAAGAAATAGTGAATTGCCTCCAGAAACCTTGAAGAATAACATAGGTCTATACTTAAGGTCTCTGTAGAAGTGTTGTGCAGGATGTCCCACAATATAAAAAATGAAATATTCTTTTAAATTCATCTTTTTTTTTTTTTGAGACGGAGTCTGGCTCTGTAGCCCAGGCTGGAGTGCAGTGGCGCAATCTCGGCTCACTGCAAGCTCCGCCTCCCGGGTTCACCCCATTCTCCTGCCTCAGCCTCCCGCGTAGCTGGGATTACAGGCGCCCGCCACTAACGCCTGGCTAATTTTTTTGTATTTTTAGTAGAGACGGGGTTTCACCTTGTTAGCCAGGATGGTCTTGATCTCCTGACCTCGTGATCCGCCCGCCTCGGCCTCCCAAAGTGCTGAGATTACAGGCGTGAGCCACTGCACCCGGCCTTAAATTCATCTTTAAACATAACTCCTTTTTTCAAAACTTTCTCTTCCTGCTTTCCTTATTCCCTACCTCCATTCCCACTGTCTCATCATCATTGTGCTTTTCGGTCCACTGCTTTTAACTCTAAGCTTCAACTTCAAATGCTATGCTGTGACACATGGCCTCCCTGTTGGGGAGACCCCTTTGGAAAATGTGGTCACATCTTCACTATCATGGCTTTTACCCCAAGAATCGGCCTTACTGGAACTCTGGTGAATAAAATTCCACAACCTGCTAAAAATAGAACTTTCATGTTCTAGGAATGTTGCCATCATTCCTGTTCCCCAAAGCCATCAAAAGTTAGTGAGTCTCAGATGGATGCAGTGGCTCATGCCTGTAATCCTAGCTCTTTGGTAGGATCACTTGATGCACCAGGAGTTCAAGACCAGCCTGGGCAACATGGCAAAACCCCGTCCTTACAAAAATATTAAAAATTAGCCCGGTGTGGTGGTGCACCCCTGCCTGTAGTCCCAGCTACTCAGTAGGCTGAGATGGGAGAATCATCTGAGCCCGAGAGGTCAAGACTGCAGTGAGCTATGATGGTGCCATTGCACTCGAGCTTGGGCGACAGAGTGAAAAAGGGTCAGTCTGATCTTTCATTTCGGATACCTAGGATGGAGAAGAGAGCTACAACATGCTCCCTAGCTGTGGCCTCAGGAGCTAGGCCCACAAGCGGATGGAGCTAGCCTAGATCTGCTTCCCAAAGCTAAAGTCCAAATCCTGAGCGAGGTTAGGGCAGATTCATAGTTCTGGGATAGGCTTCAAAGAGAAAGTGGTGTTCACTTCACCAGGGCAGGGACAGTCTAGGAAGCCAGAGACAAGCCAAAACATCATGTATGGGATCTGTCTTTATCTTTAATAAATTGCCTCAAAATGGGGAAGCCAAAGAAAGCACACAAAGTAATCATATGTATTCTGGAAGAAGAGTCTGGAAGGATACTTGAGGCAATGGTTTTGGGGGGTGTGGCAGTGTGGGTGGGCGTGGGTGTGTTGTAGTAGTGTGTTGCAGTGGATAACATTAATATAAGACCTAGGAAACACCTTCCTAGGAAACACCTTCCCCATGTCTTGGACCAAAGGTCTTGGCCCTCTGTTCTTGCCTTTAATTTGCCAAGCCATTTCTGCATTGGAGCTGACTCCTCTTGGCACTGATAAATCGATATTCCTGTTTTCTCCAAAGTCATAAAAAATTAGTCTATTCTTTAAAGGTATTTTCCAGGCCTAAGAGTATTTTGGGATTTTAATCCAATTTTTAATTGAATATTTTGTGTGTCTACTAAGTGTTTATATGGTTTAAGATCTTAAAGTACGGTTAAGAAAGCCTTGTTGGGGCTGGCTTTGTATGTGGAGGTGATTGTGTAACTAGTACTGGATGGATTTTCTTCACATATTTCAAATGGAAATTTTTATCATGAACCTTTCATTGTAATTGAATCATCTTCTCTGTGATATTTGGATCTAGTACCCCTATTTTCATGTGGATGTGCCTATCAAAACTAACAAAAGTTTGTATTTTTAACGTAGGTGGTTTTTGCTTATCATTTAGGTTTCTTTAGGGTGTAGAGAATTAAAATTCCATCACTGAGGTGTACAAAAGTCTGTCTCAAAGTATTATTGTATATAATTCATTGAAATAAGTGCACCATTTTTAAAAAGTGCTGTATGATAAGATTTATACTACAGAATGTAATATTTCAGGCTGGATTCTCCAGAAGCAGATACTAAGATGGAATTTGGGGCACAGAGTGTTTAGTAGGGGGTCAATATCTTGGAAAGAAATGAGAGAGAAGAAATATTGGGGAGAGGAGGAAGGAGAACTGTGATGCAGTCTCAGTAAAGCCTCTGCCAACCTGGCACTGAGCTATGGAGTTACTATTGCCTAATAAAGCTCCCCTCCCCAGTGCTACACTGATAAATGTTTAACAACTGGCATTCTGGGGGAGAATTTGTATTCCATGGTGTAAATACTCTTACCATGGCCAAGTTCAGGGCACCAACTTGATGTCACTAAGCAGAGAATCAGGAAGAAATGGACATACTTCACTTTTCAAGATGGTACTAGCTGACTTCAGCAGACCACTGGAGACATCAGACAAAATGGCCAGCCTTTATAACCTTACTTTTCTCAGTGACTGGATGTAGGTTGTTTTGTGAAGGACATGACTTTGGGTAATCCCACTTTCTACAGTTGAGGCAGAACTGGAAGGGGATTTTTACTGCATTCTGCTCAGTGGAGCAGCAGTTCCTTTTTTGCAGGGTTATCTGGATTATACTTCTTTCTGTCTACCACATTCTACTCCCAACCAGACCCACTCTTTTATACTGTGACACTGTAGCTTGTAATTCAGTGGGACTCTCATTGTGTTCCCCTGAAAAGTGTGCCATTTTTGAGGACCCAGAGCTGTAACTGTGCAGAGTTTTAGGGACACAAAGTATGAAGTTACTGGATGTGATGATAAGACTACTCATTACCCAACCCTTTGGTTCTTATAACTATATATTCTTCCTATTAGGTACACCAGATAGTGGTGCTGGCTGAGGCTCTGTGAACAAGAAAGGCAAATGCATATGTGGATTAAGAGTTCTTGTGAAGGTGGACTGCTGGCCCTTTGAGACATGGGCCTCAATGTAGTCTACTTGTCATCAAATGCATAGATGGTATTTTGGAGAAATAGTGACAAATTGAGTGTTCAGTATTGGTCTCTTTCACTGTCACTTTGACTGTTCAGTCACAGTAGTAGCTAGATCAGCCTTTGTAATTGGGAATGCATGGTTTTGAGCTCAGGCTTTCATCTCTGTAACCATGCCACTTTGCTCCAGTGCCCATTATGTGCTGAATAATTTAATATACTCTATCAGTATATTATAGGTATTTAGTGCCTCTTCGGTAGTGGATGCTCTTTGGTGGATATTAATTTGAAGATATTCACACTTATCTTCTTTCATGTGTCTCCATCTAAGATTTATTTGTACCCAATATTCCAGTCTGTTTCCTTTCAGGACCCTGATCATCTGGCTAAGTTATTTACTACTGCTTAGGAGTTCATTTATATTCAAATGTCAGGCCACTTCTTCCACGCAAAGTGCATGAACAGGTGCATTGTTAGAACAGTCACCTGTTGAGAAGATTTCCTCCTGCCATTGCTTTTTGAAACCACTCCTAATGAGGCTGCATGAGGCTGCTGTCCATTTTCAGCTTGCTCCTGGTTACAAAACTCATTCTTACATAAACCAAGCTTGGGCTTTTTCCTCCCCCTTTTAGAATCTCCAAAGAGCCATAGATGAAAGCTGAGGAAGGGGTACTCGTACAAGAGTGGTGGATACCATGGGGAGTATGCAGTTTACTCATGCCCTCTGGCTCTGCTTGAGCTCAATTTCAGAGATGCCAAGTCCATCCCACAGTGGATTGCTGCTGGGCCCATGAACCTTAGGACATGGTGGGTCTAACAGGATCCAGCTCATGATGGGAAGTTCCAGCTGCATAATCATAGTCAGGCCTCTGTTTCACCAGGGTAGAGTAACATAACAAGAGTTGCTTTTCAAAAGGTGTGTAATTCTCTTCAGCAGAGGGCAAGATTCTGCTTTAGAATCCCAGAGGCTGCAAAGGGATTTTCCTGCAAACCCTGCATGGCATCTTTTCCCAGCACTGATACTTCTAATGTCATAGGAGAATGAGGTGGCAAGATGGTTCATACCACAGCCTGGGCCTGCTGAAGAGCCCTCTCCTATTCTGGGCCCTCACTCAAAGCTGGTAGACTTTTGCACCACTCTGTATCTAGTCCAAAGCCATGTTTCTAGGTGTTGAATATGCAGCCACGAGGACCTGAAATATTCTTCATTCATCCTGGTAGAAAGTGCAAGATGCAATAATTTGTCTTCACTTTGAAGAGAATGGCTTGGTGCAGCTCTACTAAATCAATACAGATTTTACAGATATGTTTGGCCCCTGAATCTTTTTAGTGCTCCTCTCCCGAATTCTAGAGTACATGTGCTTTCCTAAAGCCACAAATGTGTTAGTAACCACTTGCTCATCAGGCCCAATCAACATAATGTCATCAATGTGGATCAATGTGATTTTCTGTGGAACATCACAATGTTCCAGTCATCTTTGGACTGAATTATGATAGAAAGAATGGGAGTTAACATATCTTGGGAACAAACTCTAAGTGTATAATGTTATCCATTCCATATGAATACAAATTGCTTTCACTCTAAACAGAAATTCTATTCTAAACAGAATAGGGATGTATTCACCAAGTTAATGGCCCCATGCAACATACCTGAGTTTGTAATAATCTGCTGTTGGCATGGTGGTTGTGATTAATTGGAGCTGCTACATAGTTAAGCTTGCAGTAGTGTACAGTCATTCCTCAGGATCTGTTCAGTTTCTGCAGAGCCTAGTTGATGAATTAAATGGGGATATGATAAAAAAACAATGCCCCCACATGCTTTAATAGTGGCTCTTATCTCCACTATCCCCCCAAGGATGACATATTGCTTTTGATTTACTATTTTGACCAGAGGAAGATACAATATTCCATTTGGCCTTCTCCACTATAGCAGCTGTTACCTACTGGTCAAGTACCCTATGTTTGGCTTACACCAATGCTAAGTATGCCAATCCAGTTTATGCATGCAGGAACAGAGGATATGACTACTGGTGAGTCCACAGGCCTAGTAGACCCAATGCCGGGCCTTTGCCAAGACTCCATTTGTTACCTGATCACTATAAAATTCTACTCTAATAGGGGGTCCTGATGATCCTTCAGGACTCCAGGTATCAATGTCAACTTGACTCTGTGTTCAACAGTCTTCAAAATATCTGGGATTTTTTCTTCCTCACTATACATGGCCATAGTTCCTTTTGGGCAATGGTGAGTGGAATTATTATGGTGTATATACTGGTCAGAGTTGCATGATTCTTCCTTCTGGAGACTCAACCATCTGTTTGGTTAACAGGTTCTTGGTTGGAAAACTGGCTCAAGTCTGGAAACTAAGCAAAGGGTCATGGCTTTGTATTGGGGTTGCTTGGCCTTAACTTCACGATCATCCATCTTTGATTTCTTTTGCTGGTTCAAGCTATTACTCTTGTCACCTGCCCATCTATTTTTGCCTGCCTTCTCCCTGTGGCACAGTATTAACCATCTTCCTATCTCTCTGTGGGTCAGGACTCCTTATCAGCCACTCAGAAATTGCCAGTTTGTATTAGTTGAGATTTTCTGGAATCTGTCAGTTAAGTGTTGCACCTGGCCTCTGTTGTTGTGGGGTGCCTAGTGTCTTTCATGGTTATGTTATATCCCTTACTCTACGTTGTACTTGGCCCTTTACTTGCTTGCCTTCAGCACTAGGTTGAAGGTAATGTGTGGTCAGGCACTTTGCCATATTCATCATTGCATCCTCAGCACTTAGTAAATTCTCTGGTACTTACTTAGTAGGCCTTCAATAAATGAAATACCTAGAATAAAGATCAACCCCTTTAGTTTATAGTTTTGTGACATTTTTTTCTCAACTGCTCCATGAATTTAACATTTATTTCCTGGTTCCTAGCTGTTCTCCATGTGATAAAAGATGCAGACTAAGTGATCCATGAAGTGTGAGGGACACAAAAATGCACCGCCCAGATCTTCCTTTTAGATAGGACTTGCAACCTAGCTGGAGATGTGCCTGACCTGATAAGTGGAGAAAAAGGGACTCTGCCTCAAATGGGCTGCAAAACTGAGCCAATGTAAACCAGCAAGAGCCAGGAATGTATGCCTGGGACTAGATTCTAAGGGTGCTGGATCCAGGATTCCAAAACAAAACTGGCATAGGAAAGGATGTATTGACCTGAAAGCTCTTTCTTTACATATAAGATCTAACACCCCAAGGAAGTAGTGTAAACTTGCTATTGATGTGGCTCCTAGAAGCATTGGAAAAGTCATGGCCCACAGTAAACAGAGATGAAATACCAGATTTGCCACCTTGTACTGTGGAGAAAGAAATAAAAGTTTCCAGGAAGAGAATATGATGGAATGAATATGCTATAAAAATTTAAATAAATATCAAATAATTATGTTTCCATAGAAAGCCCCAAAGGACAGACCACCTACCTAGACCATTAAAAATGCATAGTGAGAAGAGTCCCAGAATGACCAACAGGTTCGGAATTGTACTTTCCCTCCACTGGTCCACATTTCACAAATTGCCTGACCATGAATGTGTTACACCTGTTCTGAGCTTTAGTTTTCTCTTTTGTAAAACAGATCTAACACCTTCCTCATAGTGTTTTCATGAAGATTAATCAAAATACTGTTTGTTATATTCCAGCATAATATTTAACACATAGTAATAACAACAATTACCTGTAAGTATTAATACAAGGTTCATATCAAGTGTGTTGGTATTCTATTGGAGGGACAATATGGAGAAGCTATGTTTTAACCTGCCTAGAATGAGTTTCTAATTCCTGGTTCGTGACTTTCATCTGTGGCTCACTACGCCTTTCTACTCTACATGCAGGCATACAGTCATTCAGAATAGCCTATCCTTCAAAGGACATTTGATGGACAATTGATCCAAAGCAAGCAAATAGGTCACCCCTGGGATCTATTCTAGAACTATTGTGAGGAAAAGGATGTTTTTTAAAAATTTGATTTGCCAGGTCTTATGAATACCTGGTCATGTTTATTAACACTTTGGAAGAGACTGAGAATGAAGCACACAGAGGAAAGTAGAGTGCAGAGACTGTGTGAAAGAGGGAGAGGGCAGAGAGGCACAGATTTGTTACATCTCGGAGGCAGCTACACCTGTCCAGATTCTCCTCTGGAGTGTTTCAATGATGTGAATCAACATCTACCCATACCATATCCTTTAATACCTACATTTAATTGGGTGTCCATCACTTATAGCTAGAAAACTCTTGACTTATAGAGGCAGGCAGTCTATTGTTTAGGAGCAAAGTTAGATTCTCAGGGGAAATAAAATCTAAGTAGGCACTTGAAGAACAAGTAGGAAATGACCAGGAAGAGCGTGTTGGGAAGAAAGATCAGTTAAAATTGCTGAGTTAAATGAACTTCCTCTGAGCCTATTTACCTCATGGTAGATTCAGTTCTAGTGCTTTATTAATCTGAACTCTGCTTCCTCTTGGGATTATAAACAGCAAATTTTAAGGATAAGAGGGCATTGTGAGTTTCAGATTTACTGACGGAATGGCAGGTGACCTTGATATGAACAGTACCTGTGGAGTAGTTGAGGTGACAGCCTGATGATAGTGAGGTACGATTGGAAAAAGCATAAAGCAAAAGTCACAACAAGCAAAAGGATTTGTATGTGCTGCATTATAGTGTGGAGACAGAGAGTTCTTTGCATTCAGTATCCCTTGACATTGTTACTATATAGCAAGAATAATAATATCAGCTAGGTTGTATTGAGCCCTTACCATAACATGTCAAGTGTAGTGTTAACTGCTTCACACTCATCTAATTTTACCCAATCACTCTGAAAGGTAGATACTACAATCATGCACATCATTATTTATTGTTTATCTCTACTGTTTCTTTCACATCACCATGAAAATACATTATCCCTCTCATCTTAAAAAAAAAAACAAAGAAACCTTCTTAACTCCAATTATCTCTCCAATTATTGCCTAGTTCCTTTCATCCTCTTTCTAGATATTCTTTCTATTTAAAAAGTTGTCGAAAACTTGTAGTCTCTCCATGTTCTCTCCTGTGATCCACTCTTTCTTTTTTAAAAATTGAAGTCTATTTAACATTGAATAAGCACACAGATCTCAAGTGCACAGCTCAATTAGCTTTGACAAGCATTGACACGCATGTAACTAGCACCCCAAACAGGATAAAGACATTTTGACTGCACCAGAAATTTACCTCATGTCCTTTTCTAGTCAATTAATGCTTTCCCCACAAGATTTTCTATCTCTGTAGTTTGTTTTTGGACTTTATGTCTTAATGGATTCAGTAATTACTAGTTTGCATCTGGTTTCCTTTCTGCAACATAGTGCCTTTTGAGATTTATTCATTTTCTTGGGTATATCAGTAAGTGGTTCATTATTTTTTATTGCTGAGTAGTATTCCATTGTATAAACATTCTATAGGTTGAATATCCATTCTATTGCTGATAAGTATTTTAGTTGTTTTCAAGTTTTTGACTATTCGTAGAAGGCTGCTTTGAGTATTAGTGTGCAAGCCTTTGAGTGTGTAAATATTTCCATTTATCTAGGGGTGGATGTGTTGGGTATTATAGTGAGTGAATGTTAAATTTTAATGACATTGTCACAGAATTCTTCAAAATGGTTCTAACACTTCACATTTCTGCCAGAAATGTATGAGTTCCATTTGTTCCACATCCTTGCCAACATTTAGTGTGGGTAGTTTCTTTAATTTTAGCTACTCTAGAGAGTATGAATGGTATTTCATTGGAATATCTCATAAATATTCCCTGATGACTTCTCAATCTCTTTTAAATTCACTTTTGAATCAGGCTTTTTGCTCCCAACTCTTCATTCTAAAATAGTTCTTGTCAAGGTTTGCAATAATCATCATATTGGCAAATTGAATGATAAGTTCTTCGTTCTATCATTATTATTATTATTATTATTATTATTATTATTATTATTTTTGAGACAGAGTTTCGCTCTTGTTGCCCAGGCTGGAGTGCAATGGCATGATCTCGGCTCACTGCAACCTCTGCCTCTCAGGTTCAAGCGATTCTCCTGCCTTAGCCTCCCGAGTAGCTGGGACTACAGGTGACCCCCATCACGCCCAGCTAATTTTTCTACTTTTTTTTTGTAGAGACAGTGTCTCACCATGTTGGCCAGGCTGATCTTGGACTCCTGACCTCAGGTGATCCACCCACCTTGGCCTCCCAAAGTGCTAGGATTACAGGTATGAGCCACCATGCCCGGCCAGTTTTCTTAGTATTTTACATGACTTACCATATCACTCTAGTTTCTTTGAAAGCTTCTAGCATCTACTCATCTTCCCTCACTGACAGCTCCTTCTCAAAATCCTATGATGGTTCTTCATCACCCCCTGACTTCTAATATTGTGCTCTAGGACTTATTCCTTGGCCCTCTTCTCTTTCTTTGGTGATCTCATCTAGTCTCATAGTTTTAAATATGAATTCTTTATCTCCAGCTCAGACGTCTCCCCTTTAAACCACAGACATGAGCATGCAAAAGCTGGTTTGATAAGTCTGCTTGGATGTCTCACAGGCATTGTGACTTAACGTATTTCAAAAATGAACTTCCACGGCAAGTCTGTCTATTTGTCAGTTCCCCTGTTTAAGGTAATGGCAGTTTAGCTATCCAATTGCCCAGGCCAAAAGCCATGGCATTATCCCTAACTCTTTGTTTTCTACCCTACATCAAATTCATTAGCAAAGCCTTTGAGTTAGACCTTGAAAATATATCTAGGGTTAAATCACTTCTCACCATTTCCATTACTATCATCTTGGTTCAAGCCAGTAACATCTCACCTAAATTACTGCAAGTTTCCAAACACATTTTTCCACTTTCATCCTTGTCTTCCTAAAAGGTCTTTTAAAATCAGCAGCAAGTGTGATACCCTTGAAATTAAAGTCAAATCACTCTTCAGCTCAAAGCCCCTTATTCATTTAGTAGTTATTACCTACCATGTGCCGGCCAGAGGGATACTAGCGTGTACAAAATAAACAAGTTTCTTGCCTTCCTGGAGCTTGCAGTATATCAAGAAAGATGGATAATAATTACACAATTAGTCCATAATAATTCTAACAAATGTCATAAGGGATAAGCACAAGGAACAATGAGAATATATAAAAAAGGATATATATTAAAAGAATCTGTAATAAAATACTCTAGAAGAAATGCTACTAAAATTAAAATCTGAAGGATGGGTAGCACAGTGTTGGAGCTATGAGTATATAAATATCACATCATTAGAAAGTGGTGAAATGAATATTCAAAACCAGGTTAATATGTCTCTCACCTTGAACTTTTAAGCATCATGTAATAGTATTCTTGATGTTAAATATGGTGACCGTAATTTATCAAGATTTTGAGGCCTATAGGTAATGAAGTCTGAACTCAAATACAGAATCAAGGGTTCTATTTTTTTTTTTAAACTTTAGTGCCCTTCAATCAGTTTTATGACAAGACTTACATTTTAGATGGATAAGGAGAGAATTTTATTAAGAACTATGCTCAGAAAATTCAACTCAAAAATATATGTTATATGGATCCATCATAATCATAATCACCTTTATATAGAGCTTACTATATACTGGGTACTTTGCTGAACACTCTAGTATGAACTATTTTATTTAAATTTCACAACAGCCTTATGAAATAGGGTCTGTCATTCCCATTTTACTGACTTAATAGCTGTGTTATAACTGTGAATATTTCTGCATTTTCAGTGACAGCTGTTGGCGACACCAACTCCTAATCATGTATGAGAAAGAGAGTTGCAAAACATGGAGCACTATTGATTTATTTATTTCAGTGGTTATCTACCCATCCCTGACACTCATCCACATCTGTTGCCTCCAGAAACCAGTGTGCTTTCGTAAGAATTTCAACACCTGCTAAGGAAATCATGGGAAGGTTGTGTATGAACCAGTGTGATGCAGGGATTGCAGAAAAGGAGGCAGTTTAGGCTCCCTGTGTTGGTGTGTGAGTGGCAGTCTGCTTGCATAGGCTCCACCTACGCCCTTTCACCTTGGGGTTGTTATCCTGGTCCCTGTAGCATCATAAAACACATTCTTATTAAAATTATCATGGGTCTTCTTTAATTACCCTAATTGGCAATAGAGATTCTAATTTTAGATTCCTCTGTTAGTGTCAAAAATAAACACATATGCACATATGTAAAAGCAAAGAATAAACGTAACCAACAATAACCAAAAGCGAGCGCAACCCAACTTCTGAGGAATTTCTCTTGCAAACAGCTAATTGAAACATTCCTTCAATTTGCGCTGCTCAGTTTTGACAGTGGCTCTGCCCCTTGTCATAAAATCAATGGTCTTTTTTATCCCTTCTCTTCTTTCAGCGTCTCGCCTCTGACTGTAGGGCCTTCTTTCTCCACTCAGAGTCTTCCTCAGATCATCGGGGTTAAGTGATCTTTTCATACCGCCTGGCCAGACTGTCACAAGACATTGAGTGGCTTTTGAAAATGAGCCATGTTAAATGGACTTGATGGGGGTTACAACCACCATTATTGCTATCACCACTGTGATAAAATGGAGCAATAATGACGGGGAAGGTAGTTATCACTGTCTTTTTGAGATCACTTAAGATAGTTTGGGTCTGAAGCTTTTTGCCAAAGATAAATGGAACACGTACAAGATAAATGTTACTATTGCAGAATCTTTTGTGTGTGAACTCGCGTGGGCCTGTGTTGTTTACCTATGCAGCAGCTAGAGAGGGGAAGATAAAGACATGCTGGAGAACTTCCAGCAGCCACTTGTCACAGCTCAGGGTTAGAGTTAGCTTCACTTAAATGAGAAAGTCAGGATGGAGATACTGGAACAAAATAGAATTGCATGTTGTCATTGTTTTAATTGCCAATATACCATCTATTTGACTTAAGCGTGTGAGATCATGGGATGGGTCAAATTCTATGCTGCAGAAATCTAACAAGCAATCATTATAGGTTAGTTGGAGGGGCCCAGAACTAGTTATTTGGAGCTCTGGGTTCTAGTCTAGTTCTATAAACTAACTTGTTGTGTGACCTTGGATGAAATACTTAACCTTCCTCTGTCTCTGTTTCCTAAGGTGATCAACTTATTCCCGTTGACCCTGGACTGTCCTGGTTTTAGCACTGAAACTACCCAGTCCTGGGAAACTCCTCAGCGCTGGGCAAATCAGATTGTTGGCGATCCTATTGTTTTCTCATCTACCTGATGAAAGCCATTGAATAATGTAAAATGAGTTAGAAATGTAAAGTAATATGATTTTTACGGCATGGTTATCTTATAGGTCATGTATTGGTCCTATCTCTAGACTTCAGAGTCTTAAAGGAGTCTCTACATGTATCAAAAAGTAACCTTCCTTTTAACAAGAAATGCCTGGTCTTGGCCCAGTACAAGCAGGTAATAGGAGACAGAGGCAATTAGCAGACTACCCCTACTTTAATATATATTGGTTAATTTTACAAGAATACAGAAGACCTTTATGAATCCCTTCTGTAGGGAATGCAAACTCCAACTCATCTCAAAACGAGTGGAGTAAAGGAAGGAAATAATTATATAATTACATTGGAATAATTATACATTGTATAATTACAATGGAAAGAAAATAATTTGTGGTCTGAACTCTTTTGTATTTTAAACACTTTGAGCATTGGTTTCCTAAATTGTAAACAGTAAAACTTCGTAAGATTATTGTAAAGAAATTAGATTAAGTTTGTGTATGTGCCTGCCATGTAAAAGTTGGTCAACAAAAGTTAGTTTTCCTTCTAAAAGAATATAGTTCTTGCTTCATTTATACCAGAAAAAAATAGAAGCAACATAAATTTTCAAGCACATTCTCCCTTTTATGATACAGAATGCATACATATATATATATGTACATATATATACACATACATATATAAGAGAAACATTTTTAGAGCAGTTTTAGGTTCAAAGCAAAATTGAGAGGAAGGTACAGAGATTTCTATATGTCCCCTGCTCCCACACATGCATTCCCTCCCTCATTATTAACACCTCTCACTAGAGTGGTACATATGTTAAAGTGGATGAACTTATGTTGGCACATGATTATGACTCCAGAAGTCCATAGTTTACATTAGGGTTCATTCTTGGTGTTGTATATTCCATGGGTGTGGACGAATGTAAAATGATATGTATCCATCATTATAGTAACGCACAGAATATTGTCACTGCCCTACAAACCCTCTCTGCTCTGACTATTTATCCCTGCCTTCCCTCTAACCCCTGGCAATGACTGATCTTTCACTTTCAGGATGCAGAAAGTCCATATGATGTTTTTATTATCTCCATAGTTTTGCCTTTTCCAGGATGTCATACAGTTGGAATAATAGACTATATAGGCTCTACACAGAATTAAAAAGACTCTGCAAGCATTTTCAGATTGCAGAATGCCTATATTTTTGTTTCATGTATTTATAGGTTTTAATGAGGCAAATCACCTGCTGTCTTGATCTTAATTATATTACCCATAAAATGAGGCACTTAAAGCAATTCTGAAATGTCTTTCAATTCTAACATTGTGCTAGTCTAGAATCATCATAGCCTTTAAGATTTTTACTGATGAAAATTTTATAAAGTACAGAGAATCATGTAATAAACTCCCGTGTATTCATTACCAGTTTCACCACTAACAGCATGTTAGGATAGCTTTATATAAAAAGAAAAAATATATAACTATAAAATATTATCTACTCATTGTAAAAGTGTAAGCACTACATGAAAAAGTAAAATGAAACTGATCTTAATTTCCCTTCCTAGAGACAACTATTAAATATATATCTACAGACTTATTATTTGACAAGGCAGTAACATCTTTAAGATTCAAAATGTAGTTCGTAATGATCAATATCCTTCAGTTAGAAACACGAAACAAAATAATGGCATAGAAACTGGCAAGTGAGAGTTTTTATCTAGAACCAGCCACCTGCCCCTTTTCCTTCAAAGACTTCATTTCCTCATCTTGAAACTGAAGGAGTTGGACTGGATGCTGCTGAGTTTATAAGTGGTCATGATATGGTGAAATAATTTAACAGATTAATTTTAACATTCATAGGAAATAAGGTTAAAACCAACAATAGTTTGGGATTACAAAGAACAGTGGATGAAGTACATGGGTAGAACCATCTTTATAAAATTCCAGACAATATTTTTTGTCAATAAGCATTTATATTTTATCTCTACATCATTTCCTTGTTCTCCTATTTTCCTGGCTGCTTAGATTAGCTGGCTGGTTAACTAACTAATACGAAATTGGTCAGTGCATTTGGCCAGAAAACTCCTCCATGTCTCTGCAATACCAACTCCACCATAGTCATCCTTGGAAAAAGATCCGATGGCCCCAGGTGTTCAATGTAGGCCCCAGGGCTCAGTGATCTTCTGAGCTCTGCAGCTTACCTGTGGCCTGGGATAACTGGATAAAGGGCTCAGACTCTCAGGATGCAGAGAGTCCATGCCTGAGCTTCATGATGTATGCCTTCCAGTAACTGCTGTGCACTCACAAAAATCATTTTCATGTAGTCTTTTTCAGCGCGGTGGTACTCCAGACAGCCTCTAAAAACAAATTGGTGGAGAGATTCTTTCCCCATTGCATATTCTTGGCAACTGTGTTGAAGATCAATTAGCTATATATGCGTGGGCCTACTTCTGAGTTCTCTGTTTTGTTGTCTATATGTCTATTTTGATGGCAGTACCATACTGTTTTGATGTATACTATATAATATAGCTTTATACTATATTTTGAAGTCAGGAAGTGTGATGACTCCAGTTTTGTCAAATGTATAGTAGCAGACAATAGAATGGTGGTTGCCAGAAAATGGGGGGAGAGGAATATAGGGTGTTGTTCCCGAGGCATAAGTTACAGTTATATAAGATGAGTATATTTCAGAGATCTGCTGTACAACACAGACTATAGCTAACAATAAGTTATCACAGACTATAGTTAACAAGCTACTGCATCCTTACAATTTCATTAAGAGAGTAGATCTCATGTTAAGTGTTCTGACCACATACTTGAAAAAGGGGCAAAAGAAAATTTATTTGGACTTGATGGGTATATTTATTACTTTCTTTCCTCTTCATTCTTTCCTTCCTCTTTCCTCTGTTACTTTATTTTCTACTTTTATTCCCTTTGTTCATCCTTCATTTCTTTATTAATTATGTATTGAGTCTCTCATGCAAAAAGACCACATTTTAGGCATTTGGGAGTGAGGAAGGTATAAAGATGAGAAAAAAAATTTAAATGCTTTTTAAAGGTTTATATAATATAGTGAAAAAGGCAGACATGCAGACCACCTACTTGGTTCTTTGCTTCTTATTTTTTTGTCAAGATGAGTTATTGCTTTGACATATTTTATAGGTACTCTCTATTTTATTTTTTAGAGAAACCAGCATAGGTATCTACTACTCATTTCCTTACTTTAATTCTTTCTACCTTGATTTGTGAGAAAATGAAGGTCAAGTATTCTGATATCTTTCCCCTAACCCCTTGCGGTAGGGAGAAAAAGCTCTTTCTTCACCTCAGACTTCACAACCTGCTGCCTCTTTGCAGTTTATGTTTCTACAAATGGAAAGTGTGCTGCAGCTGATATGTGAGTGTAATGCTAGAAGTCCTTAGTGCCACTAATCTTTGCCCTGTGGCACAGCAATAATTACCCTACAAGGAAACATAGTAGAGTTTACCAGGACAATGCCATGTAATGACATAGTATTTATAGGTGGCTGTGGATTGTTGTGTAATTACACTGAATAGATCCAAAAGTAATTACCAGCATCCTACCCCTGGGGTTTAGAGAGAAAGAATAATCATGTGTGCAGGCCTCGTTCTCTCAAAGCAAGTCCCTCTTGTAGGGGTTTCCCAGCAGGAAGGGAGCAAAGGAGCTTTAATGATTCTATGTGGTCAAGTACTTTGCCTAAGAGCACTGCTGTTAACCCCATTGCTCTGGCCTGGCTCCAACTCCAGAAACTATGTTTTGGTGTCCCTTGTCTCTCGCATTTCTACTTTCACCCCCAAAGAAGTTTCAGTTCAATGTGACTATGTATATTGCTTTTACTTGTAAACCCAATGTGGCTTGGACTCATTGCATTTCATTTTATGCATCCTCAATGAACAATTGACATCTTCTAGGCACCACCAAGAATGAAAGGTGAAAAAGACATGGTCTCCAATTGTATAATTTCCTACTCTGAAAGGGGGATAAAAAATGCTCACAAGACAATATAAGGCAGAATATAGTGAGTTCCTTAGAAAGCTAAGAAAGCACAGAGGTGACAGAGGTCAGTTTCAATAACAGGAATCATAGATGGCTCCATGGAGAAAGAAAAATTTACGCTGGGCATCAAAAGATGAGTAAAAACTGTTGCTAAGGTAAAGATAATGGAAAGAGGACATGAAAAACAAACAGAAGGAATCACATGAACAACTTTATAGCGGCATAAAATTGAAGAGGAAGCTTGGAAAAGAACAAGAAGTCATGGTTATTTGGCATGTCTGGTACATGAGGGGGACCTGTCAGAGATGTTGAAAGGTGGAATGAAGTCAAACTTTGGAGGGCCGTGAATGCCAAAATAAGGTGTGTGAACTTTATTTCTAATGTAATTAGAAAGCGGCTGTGTGGAGAAACATGATTAGGGATAGACTTTATGAAGTTTTTTTTTTGTTGTTGTTGTTTTGTTTTGTTTTGTTTTTGAGACGGAGTCTCACTCTGTTGCCCAGGCTGGAGTGCAGTGGTGCAATCTCAGCTCACTGCAACCTCTGCCTCCCGGGTTCAAGCAATTCTCCCTGCCTCATTCTCCCAAGTAGCACCCGCCATCACGCCGGCTAATTTTTGTAGTTTTAGTAGAGACAGGGTTTCGCCATGTTGGCCAGGCTGGTCTCGAGCTCCTGACCTCAGGTGATCCGCCCTCTTCAGCCTCCCAAAGTGCTGCGATTACAGGCGTAAGCCACCACACCCAGACTGTTTTTATGAAGAATAATATGGTGACACTACGAAGCATGGATTAGGAGGGAAGAAGAGAAGGGAAAAAGATTTGAGGCTGAATGGTTTGTAAAAAGTCCATGGTAATATCAAGTTGAAAGGTAATTGAATAAATTGAAACTTTATAGTCTTTGACCATCATCTCCCTATTTCTCCCTCCCCACAGCCCTGACAACTGCCATTCTACTCTCTGCTTCTATGAGTTTATTTTAGATCCTATATATAACTGAGACTGCGCAGTATTACTCTCTCTGTGTCTGCCTTATTCCACTTAGCATAATGTCCTACAGTCCCATTCATACTGTTAAAAACGGCAGGATTTCCTTTTTTTAAGGTCGAATAATATTCTAAGATATGTACATACCATATCTTCTTTATCCATTTAGCTGGTAATGGACATTTAGGTTGTTTCCATATCTTGGCTATTGTGATTAACGCTGCGAAGAACACAGGAGTGCAGGTATCTCCTTGAGATCCTGGTTTCAATTTCTTAGGATAAATACTTACAGTCTACTATAAAGCATGGTGTCTATACCTAATAATACTGTACTTAAAATTTGCTAAGAGGGTAGAACTTATGTTGTGTTCTTACCATACACACAATAAGAATGATAATAATAATAATAAAGGCAGTGAGAGGAAGCTTAGGGAAGTGATGGATATGTCTATGGCCCTGTTGGCAGTGATGGTTTCATGATGTATACTTATCCTCAAACTTATAGAATTATATACATTAGATACATATAGCTTTTTACATGTCAATCATACTTCAATAAAGTAGTTTAATAAAGAGTGGTTTAATAAAAGGCAATTGGGGCCACTAAGTGAGCAGCTCTGGAAATGGAAAGAAGAGGAAACTTTAAAAGAGGCACTACATAGGTTCAGTGAACAGATTAAAGTAAGAATTAGAAGTGAGGTTGAGAACAGAGATGATTTGAAGGGGACATAATTATGTCATGAAAATGGCACTGTTATTAGAGGAGACAGTAAACACATGGGAGGAGCCACACAGCAGGAAGGTGAGTTCAACTCTGATTGATAATGTTTTAGAAAAGGTCTGCAATCTCTTCCAAAAACAAGGAGGATAATTTGCCATAAAGCAGTGTTTTTCCAGGAAGGAGGAGTGGTGCTGCCCTGCTCTAGTCCTGTTTCCTCTTCTAAAGAATGAGGGCATCAAACAAGAGGACAGGAATGGTTCAGCTAATGCATGCACGCATGCTCCTTTCTATGAGGAGCTCAAGCAAAGCAAGAAGAGATGAGCCCCCATCTGTCTATAATGTGCATATAAATGTACAAACCCCAGCAAATCAGAATTTTGCTATCTGTAGAGTCTCTGTAGGATCACACTGATGGAGTAACAGTGGAGATTGTTTGTAACAAATTATCTCATTACAGTGTGTTGCCTATAATTACTGTTATTCTGTTGGCTGACATACATAATGGTAAGGCCAGGAAACAAAAAACCACATAACAAGAATTATTCCTCTCCAACCCTCACTTGGTCCCCCATCTCAGTATTATACGATATTTAATAAGGACAGCAAAACAAAAAGTTCATATTTGCAAACCACTTTAAAGAAGAAGGTAATGTGTAAATGATAATACATTTTAAGCACTTAGTAAAATAATCTCTACATATGGAGTATGTGAATGTATAAACATTAATAAGGTCTTTTGGGATATATTAGTTTCTTTTGTGTGTAGATTTGGTTTTTCTACCATTGAAAGCAATATGGATGTCCAGGATTCTAGTTTTCTTATCTTTTATTAAATAGAGATTGTTAGACAAGCCAAACAACAAATGACCTTTTCTGTACACTATTTGTGTTCTGTCCTTAAAAGAAGATTTTGATAGAGAAAAATCTCCTTATTTATGATGCTTATATTTACAAGGAAAATCTTATTCAAAATAATGGAGAGAATGGATAAACTATGGGGTAAACTTAGTTTTGAATATATACTGGCCTATTGTATTAGTCTGTTTTTATGCTGCTGATAAAGACATACCTGAGACTGGGTAATTTATAAAGAAAAAGAAGTTTAATGGACTCACAGTTCCATGTGGCTGGGGAGGCCTCACAATCACGGTGGAAGGTGGAAGGTGAAAGTCACGTCTTACATGATGGCAGACAAGAGAGAATGAGAGCCAAGTGAAAAGGGAAACCCCTTATAAAACCATCAGCTCTCATGAGACTTCCTCACTACCATAAGAACAGTATGGGGGAACCACCCCCATGATTCAATTATCTCCCACTGGCTCTCTCCCACAACACGTGGGAATTATGGGAGCTACCATTCAAGATGAGATTTGGGTGGGGACACAGCCAAACCATATCACCTATATCTTTATTTCATAAAGGGAGATAAACATTAGATTTAACTCGATATGACCAAAATAACATTTCAATGAATGTATTAGTTTGCTGGAGCTGTTATAGCAAATTAGCCCAAGCTTGGTGAATTAAAACAACAGAAAATGAGTCTCTCTGGAGAATAGAGAGATTTGGAGGCCCAAGTCTGAATCAGTGTCACTGAGCAAAAATTGAAGTATTAGCAGAGCCATGCTCCCTCTGGAGGCTCTAAGGGAGAATCTGTTCCTTGCATCTTTCAGCTTCTGGTGTCTACCTGCATTTCTTGGGTTATGGCTGCATCACTCCAATATTTGCCTCCATGGTGACATTGCCATCTCCTGCTCTGTAGTTGTCCAAGCTTCCTCAGCTTCCACTTATAAGGAAATGTGATTGCATTTAGGATCCATCCAGGTAATTCTGGATAATCTCCTCATCTCAAAATCCTTAATTTAAGCACATATGTAAAGACCTTCTTTCCAAATCAGGTTACATTTACAAACTCGAGTTTAGAACCTGATATCATTGGCTGGACATTATTCGGACCACAGCACATTAATAAGAAAATTATTAATAAAATATTTTCCATTTTTTAAGTAAGTCTTTGAAATCTAGCATATATTCTCTATTCATAGCACATCTTAATTTGAATGTTATGTTTTTAATGGATTAAATAAGATGTAGTCTTACCTTATCAATAAAGTGGTATTTGATGGGAAAATATTTCACACTACTTTAGGTTTTTAAATTTAAATCAATTTTTTTTTTACATTGACTATTTATTTCCTCAGAAGCATTGGCCACATTACTGGGGCTAAGTGGCCATTTTAAGCATATCGATAGCAGGTACCATTTTGGATAGTGCAGGTCTAGAAGGCCCCTAATTTTCCTCCTTTTTCCCCAAGCCAATAAGATTATATATATGTGTGCATGTGTGTGTGTGTATATACATATGTATATATACATACATACACACATATATGCATATTCTGTGTATAATTACATCAATACACAGCATTTTTCCATAAATAATTTATTTTTGAGCCTCAAATCCACCTTACTGGCAGCTGTTATTTGCTATATTTTAGAAATGAGTTAACAGACTTAGGACACAGAGGCTGACAAAGATACATAGGTCTTTAGTGCTGGATATATACTTGACCCTAGCAGTATTTCCACAGCACCATACTGTGTTGTTTTTCTAACATCATATTTTTAATGAAACCATGAGAATTTTCTTCCCATTCAGAAGTTCATGCTTGGTTTAGCAACAACTTTGCCCAAGGTTGAATTCTGCCCAAAAACTGCTAAATAAGATGAGGGCATGAAAACAGTGGCATCTAGTTTTGTCAGTTAAGAATTATAATGTTTGAAGAAATTAAAGGAAAACTCCAGAAAGAAAATGTGTTTCTACATTTTGTGCAAATTATACCTTTGCTTTGTTGTAAAATTATAATTAAGTGATACTGTAGTAGTATCTTCAATATGTTAGATTGCGTCAATTTTGTAAATTTGGTTAAGATAAATAACATGTATTCGTATTATTTTCTACTTTTTGTAGTACTTTTGATACATAATTTTATTTGATCTCCTGAATAGCCCTCTAAGTTAGGTAAGAAAAAATTACTTTATAAGGATATTTAAATATACAGTTTTAGGAACGTAATGCATACCAGTATATGTAGAGTGAAAGAAATAAAAAAAATAGAAAAGAGAAGTAGAAGAATTAAATAAATATAAAATAATTAGACTTACTGAAGACTAAAGACAGAAACAGAATATTCCTAGTCTATGGAAATAGCAGTTAGTGGTATTAGAATTCACACATATATATGTAGTGTAGCACTGTTGGTGTCAAAATTCTGATGACTCAGTTCTTTTTCAGTGGCTGCTTTTGACATTTCAGCTCTGCAGAGTGCTGAGGACCCTCTTCTGTGTCAAATAGATATTCCATCTTCTCAGCTGAGCCTCCCCCATCACTTCACTCCTCCCCTCCCCATCCTCACTTCATGTGGTGCTGTTGCTGGTGATATTGACAGACTAAAGGATTGCTCATTCCCCATAGCCCCACAAGGTAAATTAAAAAAAGGAAAAGTCAAAGCTATTTCTGGACCCTCTCGCACTTAGGGACTCCCAACTCAATACATCTTGGTTGCCTGGAAATGGTGCTTATTAATAAGTGAGGAAGGTACAGTTAGTTCATGAGGCTTCAGGGTCACCTATTTAGGGGATAATTTACTTCCCAAACACAATTTTGCTTTGGATTCTTGTAAGCTATTGAGCACAAAATATTTAATATTAAGCAATTACTGTTACCAGATCTGTGAATGCAATAAATGATCAGAGAAGCTGAAGACAATTTCCGAAATCTTTCCAAGCTCCAGTATCTAAATTTCTTAGCAATTAGCCCACCATTCAGTTCAAAACGGGGTTACAATTATTTATAGGATCACAGTGTGTCCACATAAGATTAGATTAAACTGTCACTCCTTCTTTCCAGAAAGTAAAAACAGAAAGAAACAAACACACATGCATGCACACACACACACACACAAACACACACACACGTTTATATATATATACAGGCAGAGAAGAAATGTGATAACAGTTTATAAAATATGTAATCAAGTGGGTGAGTGTTCAGGTAATGTGGTACTTTGAACTTGGATATGTAATCTCTTGAATATGATATTGAACCTCTTGAAATGACCAAGGCAATATAATGTTAGAGAAAAACCTGCATTTGAGTTGGAAGATAGGAAAGGACATTGTACATACAGACCCTTCAAGGAATTTCTAATACACATGACATAAAAAGTAGATGGTTATGTCTGGTGAAGATGGCAAAGTAAAAGCACCTTTGCTTGCCTTCCTAAAATAAACTAAAAATAGAATAATTAAAGCAGAAAACTCTATATTCAGTCATTCTAGAGAGCAATCACTCCTCAAGGCTATGAAAAAGAATATCTGGGGCCTGTGAAAAACAGACCTAGTCAAAGGTGGAAACCGAGAACAGATTCATTCCCTAGAGAATTTGAGCTCTGTGCAAACTTCTCCAAAATAAGGTTAGACATACTAAAGGGCAAAAATATATGGCTCTTAGCTTGAGTTGCAAGCCTAGGTATATGTAAGGCTTCTCAGACAACCTTGTCTGACACTACAGATAGAAAAAAAGAGAAGGGCTTGATTTAAAAATATACATCATTTTTGCAGAAAGCAGGCTATTGTTATGTGGCCATGGCCCTGAAAAGATGCTCATGTCCTAATCCTCGGAACCTGTGGACATGCGAGGTTATATGGCGAGGGGGAATTAAGATTACAGATGGAATTAAAGTTGCTAACCAACTGACCTTGAGACAGGGAGATTATTCCGGATTATGAAGGCAGGCCCACTGTAATCACATGGGTCCTTATATGGGAAGGAGGGAGGCAAAAGAGTCAGAACCAGAAAGCATTAAGAAAAAGACTCTATTGTCCCTTGCTGGCTTTGAAGATGGAAGGTACCACAGCCAAGGAATGCAGGTGAATTACAGAAGCTAGAAATACAAGGAAATGGATCCTCCCCTACATCCCCTAAAAAGGAACGCAGTCCTGTCGACACCTTGATTTTAGCCCAGTGAGACCTGTTTTGGACTTCCAACCTCCTGAACTGTAAGTTAATAAATATATGTTTGTTTAAGCAACTAAATTTGTAGTAATTTGACACAGCATCAATAGGAAACTGACACATGCTGTGACAGAGTGAAGGAGAAACAGTGGATGGCAATCAGTCTTGCAGATGCTAAGCTTATTTTATTTTATTTTTAACTTTTAAGTTCAGAATTACATGTGCAGGTTTGTTATAATGGTAAAGTAATGTCATGGGGGTTTGTCGTATAGATTATTTTGTCACCCAGGTATTAAGCCTGGTACCTAATAGTTATTTTTCTGGATCCTCCCACCTTCCACCCTCAAGTAGGCCCCAGTGTCTGTTGTTCCCTTCTATGTGTCCGTGTGTTCTCATCATTCAGCAACCATAGTGAGAGCATGTGGTATTTGGTTTTCTATTTCTGCATTTGTTTGCTAAGGATAATGGCCTCCAGCTCCATCCATGTTCCTGAAAAGACATGATCTCATTCTTTTTTATGGCTGCATAGTATGCCGTAGAGTATATGTACCACATTTTCTTTATCCAGTCTACCACTGATGGGCATTTAGGTTGATTCAAATTTCTTTGCTATTGTAAATAGTGCTGCAATAAACACATGTGCATGTATCTTCATGATAGAATAATTTATGTTCCTTTGGCTCCGTATATACCCAGTAATGGGATTACTAGGTTGATTGTAATGTTAAATTACTAAATATTTATACCAAAGACTAAATGGGGTTTTGCTCTAATAATAAATACTATTAGGCACCTGCTATGTAGCATACACTGTACTAATACTTTACATGAATTATCTGTAATCCTCAATAGAACCTTGTGAAGTGGGTGTTATTATTACACAAATTTTTAAAATTCAGTTCATGAGGCTCAGAGAGTTAAAGTAACCTACCAAAGTTATAGAGCTAAGAAGAGCTGACACCAGAATTCAGAGCTGTATGTTCTGATTTCAAATCCAGAGCATCCTGCTAGCCCAGAGCAAAGGCACATTTATAGAGTATTGGTGCAGTAGACTGAATGGTTATGTCCCCCCAAATTCATATTTTGAAATCCTCATCCCCAGTGTGATGGTACTTGGAGGTGGGAGCTTTGGGAGATAATGAGGTCATGAGGGTTAAACCCTCATAAATGGAATTAGTGTCATTTTAAAGGGACCCCAGAGAGCTCTTTTGCCATCTTTCTGCCATATGAAGTTACACAAAAAATTGGTGGTGCAACCAGAAGAGGGTCCTCACCAGAACCCAACCATGCTGGCACCTAATCTCAGACTTATCCTCCAGAATTGTGAGAAATAAATTTCTGTTTCTTATAAGCCACCCATCGTATGGTACTTTGTTATAGCAGTTAAACTAAGACATTTGGTCGATTGGTAAGGAAGAGATTGCAGACTAACATCAAAGCTGTCTCTTAACGCAACTCAGTTCTGTTCTCCTCTATTACATGATACATCAATAAATAGTTTACCATATGAGCAAATGGTCCCCATTCAAACTAATAACAAGAAAACAACAGGCATAGTCCTAGCCAGACACTACAAGAAACAAAGGTAAAAAAAAATCTTCACTATAATGCAGAATATAAGGTATACATATAATATTATGAAGCACATGACAGCTATAGGTTAACACACCCTAGGAAACTAAGAAACAAAGAGAAAATGACCTCTTGGCCCAAGAGCTTTTTAAAAAAAGGATACAAGAGCTTAAAGAAGAAATAATAAGGCAACAGTATATGACAAAAATTGAGGAATCAAATAAAAATGGAAACATTTTATAAATGAAAGTCGTATTAGTAGCAGCAAAAAAAAAAAAAAAAAAAAAGGAAATAGATACTCCTGAAACAACAGTAAAGAACAGGGAAAATAGCATTGAGAAAAGCAAACACATAAATGGAAATAAGTAAGAGAAAAATAATAGACATGAGATTCATATAAAGATCTAATAGGTTCATCATTGGTGTTAACTTAGAAAGCTAACAGGACAAATGAAACTATAAAAATTCAAAGTTATAATAGAAAAAAATATGAAATAGTTGAAATACTGGACTTACAGTGTCTTAAGGCATACAGTTATAAACATCAAGACACAGCCTGGTAAAGTTATTATATATCCATGATAGAGGGGGTACTATTGATATAGGCACTGTCTCAGCCCTCTGCCCAAATTACCACTTATTAAGAATCAGACTAGCATCAGACTTAACCACAGCAAAATTTAGCACTAGAAGTCAGTGGAATAAAGTCTATAGAATTTTAAGAGAAAGAAAAAGCCAGAAGGCATCTCAACTAAGGCAAGAAATGGTTATTTTAAGTATGAAAAAAGCCTGGAAATTAGTAGTCATGAGCACTTTAAAATGATCATAAGAAAATTTAAGACACATGAACAATCAATAGAGAAATCTTGGAAATAGTTAAGATGTTAAAATTAATATGGGACTAAGGCTAAACCACTGAAAGTATAATGATAAATAAATAAAAATATAAGTAAGTATGCCAAATTTTGTTATAGTGGAAAGAGAGTTGAAAATTGTAGAAATAAGTAAATGTTTTCATTTTCAGAGAAGGAGTGCTAACATACACCGCTAAAAGTGGATGAATCAAATAATCACTGTTTAAGTACATTACTGTAATGAATAAGGATGACCATTAGAAGAACTGAGAATTGAGTGGTGGAGGGGGGAATGTGAATGAGAAATGGAACTATCAGTGTACAAATACCTTGTCTTCTAATTGTTTAAAGATTATATCTCAAGCAATAGAGGTTTGAGGATATTATCTCAAGTTGTAGAACTCATATCTACAATAAATAAAAAGACAACAGGCCTCCAAATTACCCAAAGTAAAATCATAAACATACAAATCACAGCAAATTCATAGCATGTTGTAGAGAAATAAGAGCAGGACTTTAAAATCTAAAAACACAATGGCAGAGTGAGACCAAACCTCTCTGTCATATAAATGTATAAATGTTAATTGGGCGTACATATTAAAAATTACTTTAGAGATTAATAAAAAGGAAAGCCCACCTGTATGAAGGGTAAGAGAGACTCATCTAAAGCAGTGATCTTAATCAAGTTAGACTAATCATAGGAGCATATATGCTTTGTTCAATGTTAGTAAATCTAACAATAAAGGTATATACTATAAAGCCACATACAATTATTCTCATAGATGACAATAAAAGCAGTTGGTGAAATATGTCATTGAATGCTATGAAAGCTTAATAATTTTTAAAAAATCACACCTCTCATTTTCTCTTCCTCCTTCTCCTTTATCTCTTTCTTCATACATGCATATATTCATATATTTTAATTAGGATCTAGTATTAGGTTTAATAAAGAATGCCAGTGGAGGTTCCAAGATGGCTGAATAGGAACAGCTCCAGTCTGCAGCTCCCAGCGTGAGCGGTGCAGAAGACGGGTGATTTCTGCATTTCCAACTGAGGTATTAGGTTCATCTCACTGGGGCTTGTCAGACATTGGGTGCAGCCCACGGAACAGGGCGGGGCATCGCCTCACCTGGGAAGCGCAAGGGGTCAGGGAATTCCCTTTCCTAGCAAAGGGAAGCCATGACAGATGGTACCTGGAAAATTGGTACACTCCCACCCTAATACTGCACTTTTCCAACAGCCTTAGCAAACAGCACACCAGGAGATTATATCCTGTGCCTGGCTCGGAGGGTCTGATGCCCATGGATCCTCGCTCACTGCTAGCACAGCAGTCTGAGATCAAACTGCAAGGTGGCAGCGAGGCTGTGGGAGGGGCGTCTGCCGTTGCTGAGGCTTGAGTAGGTAAACAAAGTGGCTGGGAAGCTCGAACTGGGTGGAGCCCACTGCAGCTCAAGGAGGCCTGCCTGCCTCTGTAGACTCCACCTCTGGGGGCAGGGCATAGCTGAACGAAAGGCAGCAGAAACTTGTGCAGACTTAAACGTCCCTGTCTGACAGGTTTGAAGAGAGTAGTGCCTCTCCCAGCATGGAGTTTGAAATCTGAGCATGGACAGACTGCCTCCTCAAGTGGGTCCCTGACCCCCCAAGTAGCCTAATGGGAGACACCTCCCAGTAGGGGCCGACTGACACCTCATACAGCCAGGTGCCCCTCTGAGACGAAGCTTCCAGAAGAAAGATTAGACAGCAACATTTGCCGTTCTGCAATATTTGCTGTTCTGCAGCCTCCAGTGGTGATACCCAGGCAAACAGGGTCTGGAGTGGACCTCCAGCAAACTCCAATAGACCTGTAGCTGAGGGTCCTGACTGTTAGAAGGAAAACTAACAAACAGAAAGGACATCCACACCAAAACCAAATCTGTACATCACCACCATCAAAGACCAAAGGTAGATAAAACCACAAAGATGGGGAGAAACCAGAGCAGAAAATCTGAAAATTCTAAAAACCAGAGTGCCTCTTCTCCTCCAAAGAAACACAACTCCTCACCAGCAATGGAACAAAGCTGGACAGAGAATGACTTTGATGAGTTGAGAGAAGAATTCTTCAGACAATCGGTAATAACAAACTTCTCCAAGCAAAAGGAGGATGTTCAAACCCATTGCAAAGAAGCTAAAAACCCTGAGAAAAGATTAGATGAATGGCTAACTGGAATAAACAGTGTAGAGAAGTCCTTAAATGACCTGATGGAACTGAAAACCATGGCACGAGAACTATGTGATGCATGCACAAGCTTCAGTAGCCAATTTGATCAAGTGGAAGAAAGGGTATCAGTGGTTGAAGATCAAATGAATGAAATGAAGTGAGAAGAGAAGTTTAGAGAAACAAGAGTAAAAAGAAATGAACAAAGCCTCCAATAAATATGGGACTATGTGAAAAGACCAAATCTGCATCTGATTGCTGTACCTGAAAGTGACGGGGAGAATGGAACCAAGTTGGAAAACACTCTGCAGGATATTATCCAGGAGAACTTCCCCAACCTAGCAAGGCAGGCCAACTTCAAATTCAGGAAATACAGAGAATGCCACAAAGATACTCCTCGAGAAGAGCAACTCCAAGACACATAATTGTCAGATTCACCAAAGTTGAAATGAAGGAAAAAATGTTAAGGGCAGCCAGAGAGAAAGGTCAGGTTACCCACAAAGGGAAGCCCATCAGACTAACAGCAGACCTCTCAGCAGAAACTCTACAAGCCAGAAGAGAGTGGGGGCCAATAATCAACATTCTTAAAGAAAATAATTTTCAACCCAGAATTTCATATCCAGCCAAACTAAGCTTCATAAGTGAAGGAGAAATAAAATACTTTACAGACAAACAAATGCTGAGAGATTTTGTCACCACCAGGCCTGCCTTACAAGAGCTCCTGAAGGAAGCACTAAACATGGAAAGGAACAACCAGTACCAGCCACTGCAAAAACATGCCAAATTGTAAAGACCATCGAGGCTAGGAAGAAACTGCATCAACTAACAAGCAAAATAACCAGCTAACATCATAATGAGAGGATCAAATTCAAACATAACAATATTTACCTTAAATGTAAATGGGCTAAATGCTCCAATTAAAAGATGCAGACTGGCAAATTGGATAAAGAGTCAAGACCCATCAGTGTGCTGTATTCAGGAGACCCATATCATGTGCAGAGACACACATAGGCTCAAAATAGAGGGATGGAGGAAGATTTACCAAGCAAATGGAAAACAAACAAACAAAAAGGCAGGGGTTACAACCTTAGTCTCTGATAAAACAGACTTTAAACCAACAAAGATCAAAAGAGACAAAGAAGGTCATTACATAA
Source organism: Homo sapiens (assembly GCF_000001405.40). Classification (NCBI taxonomy): domain Eukaryota; kingdom Metazoa; phylum Chordata; class Mammalia; order Primates; family Hominidae; genus Homo; species Homo sapiens. The sequence continues at coordinate 164,124,688 of NC_000001.11, read as the reverse complement.
TGGTGAAGGGATCAATTCAACAAGAAGAGCTAACTATCCTAAATATATATGCACCCAATACAGAAGGATGCAGATTCATAAAGCAAGTCCTTAGAGATCTACAAAGAGACTTAGACTCCCACACGATAATAATAGGAGACTTTAACACCCCACTGTCAACATTAGACAGATCAACGAGACAGAAAGTTAGCAAGGATATCCAGGAATTGAACTCAGCTCTGCACCAAGTGGATCTAATAGACATCTACAGAACTCTCCACCCAAATCAACAGAATACACATTCTTCTCAGCCCACATCACACTTATTCCACAATAGCCCACATAGTTGGAAGTAAAGCACTCCTTGGCAAATGTAGAACAGAAATTATAACAAACTGTCTCTCAGACTACAGTGAAAACAAACTAGAACTCAGGATTAAGAAACTTACTCAAAACCACTCAACTACATGGAAACTGACTAACCCGCTCCTGAATGACTACTGGATACATAACAAAATGAAGGCAGAAATGAAGATGTTCTTTGAAACCAATGAGAACAAAGATACAACATACCAGAATATAGGGGACACATTTAAAGCAGTGTGTAGAGGGAAATTTATAGCACTAAATGCCCACAAGAGAAAGCAGGAAAGATCTAAAACTGACACCCTAACGTCACAATTAAAAAAACCAGAGAAGCAAGAGCAAACACATTCAAAAGCTAGCAGAAGGCAAGAAATAACTAAGATCAGAGCAGAATTGAAGGAGATAGAGACACAAAAAACCCTTCAAAAAATCAATGAATCCAGGAACTGGTTTTTTGAAAAGATCAACAAAATTGATAGACTGATAGCAAGACTAATAAAGAAGAAAAGAGAGAAGAATCAAACAGATGTAATAAAAAATGATAAAGGGGATATCACTACTGATCCCACAGAAATACAAACTACCATCAGAGAATACTATACACACCTCTATGCAAATAAACTAGAAAATATAGAAGAAATGCATACATTTCTGGACACATACACCCTCCCAAGACTAAACCAGGAAGAAGTTCAATCCCTGAATAGACCAATAACAGGTTTGGAAATTGAGGCAATAATTAGTAGCCTACCAACCAAAAAAGTCCAGGACCACACAGATTCACAGCCGTATTCTATGAGAGGTACAAAGAGGAGCTGGTACCATTCCTTCTGAAACTATTCCAATCAATGGAAAAAGAGAGAATCCTCCCTAATTCATTTTATGAGGCCAACATCATCTGTATACCAAAGCCTGGCAGAGAAGCAACAAAAAAAGAGAATTTTAGACCAATATCCCTAATGAACATCGATGCAAAAATCCTCAATAAAATACTGGCAAACTGAATCCAGCAGCACATCAAAAAGCTTATCCACCATGATCAAGTGGGCTTCATCTCTGGGATGCAAGGCTGGTTCAACAAACAGAAATCAATAAATGTAATGCATCATATAAAAAGAACCAAAGACAAAAACCACATGATTATCTCAATAGGCCTTCAAGAAAATTCAACAGCCCTTCATTCTAAAAACTGTCAATAAACTAGGTATTGATGGGATGTATATCAAAATAATAAGAGCTATTTATGACAAACCCACAGCCAATATCATACTTAATGGGCAAAAACTGGAGGCATTCCCTTTGAAAACTGGCACAAGACAGGGATGCCCTCTCTCACCACTCCTATTCAACGTAGCGTTGGAAGTTCTGGCCAGGGCAATCAGGCAAGAGAAAGAAAAAAAGCGTATTCAATTAGGAAAAGAGGAAGTCAAATTGTCCCTGTTTGCAGATGATATGATTGTATATTTAGAAAACCCCATAGTCTCAGCCCAAAATCTCCTTAAGCTGATAAGCAACTTCAGCAAAGTCTCAGGATACAACATTAACATGCAGAAATCACAAGCATTCCTATACACCAATAACAACAGACAAACAGAGAGCCAAATCATGAGTGAACTCCCATTCACAATTGCTTCAAAGAAAATAAAATACCTAGGAATCCAACTTACAAGGGACGTGAAGGACCTCTTCAAGGAGAACTACAAATCACTGCTCAACAAAATAAAAGGGGACACAAACAAATGGAAGAACATTCCATGCTCATGGATACAAAGAATCAACATTGTGAAAATAGCCATATTATAGATTCAATGCCATCCCCATCAAGCTACCAATGACTTGCTTCCCAGAATTGGAAAAAACTGCTTCAATGTTCATATGGAACCAAAAGAGCCCACGTTGCCAAGACAATCCTAAGCAAAAAGAACAAAGCTGGAGGCATCACACTACCTGACTTCAAACTACACTACAAGGCTACAGTAACCAAAACAGCATGGTACTGGTAATAAAACAGAGATATAGACCAATGGAACAGAATAGAGCCCACGGAAATAATACCACACATCTACAACCATCTGATCTTTGACAAACCCTGACAAAAACAAGAAATGGGGAAAGGATTCCCTATTTAATAAATGGTGCTGGGAAAACTGGCTAGCCATATGTAGAAAGCTGAAACTGGATCCCTTCCTTACACCTTATACAAAAATTAATTCAAGATGGATTAAAGACTTAAATGTTAGACCTAAAACCGTAAAAATCCTAGAAGAAAACCTAGGCAATACCATTCAGGCCATAGGCATGGGCAAGGACTTCATGACTAAAACACCAAAAGCAATGTCAACAAAAGCCAAAGTTGACAAATGGGATCTAATTAAACTCAAGAGCTTCTGCATAGCAAAAGAAACTACCATCAGAGTGAACAGGCCACCTACAGAATGGGAGAAAATTTTTGCAATCTACCCATCTGGCAAAGGGCTAACATCCAGAATCTACAAAGAACTTCAACAAATTTACAAGAAAAAAATCAAACAACCCCATCAAAAAGTGGGCAAAGGATATGAACAGACACTTCTCAAAAGAAGACATTTATGCAGCCAACAGACACATGAAAAAATGCTCATCATCACTGGCCATCAGAGAAATGCAAATCAAAACCACAATGAGATACCATCTCACACCAGTTAGAATGATGATCATTAAAAAGTCAGGAAACTTTAATCCATCTTGAATTAATTTTTCCATAAGGTGTAAGGAAGGGTTCCAGTTTCAGCTTTCTACATATGGCTAGCCAGTTTTCCCAGCACCATTTATTAAATAGGAAATCCTTTCCCCATTTCTTGTTTTTGTCAGGTTTGTCAAAGATCAGATGGTTGTAGATATGTGGCAGTATTTCTGAGGGCTCTGTTCTCTTCCATTGGTCTATATCTCTGTTTTGGTGCAAGTACCAAGCTGTTTTGGTTACTGCAGCTTTGTAGTATAGTTTGAAGTCAGGTAGTGGGATGTCTCCAGCTTTGTTCTTTTGGCTTAGGATTGACTCGGCAATGTGGGCTCTTTTTTGGTTCCATATGAACTTTAAAGTAGTTTTTTCCAATTCTGGGAAGAAAGTTATTGGTAGCTTGATGGGGATGGCATTGAATCTATAAATTACCTTGGGCAGTATCGACATTTTCACGATATTGGTTCTTCCTACCAATGAGCATGGAATGTTCTTCCATTCATTTGTATCCTCTTTTATTTCCTTGAGCAGTGGTTTGTAGTTCTCCTTGAAGAGGTCCTTCACGTCCCTTGTAAGTTGGATTCCTAGCTATTTTATTCTCTCTGAAGCAATTGTGAATGGGAGTTCAATCATGATTTGGCTCTCTGTCTGTTATTGGTGTATAAGAATGCTTGTGATTTTTGCACATTGATTTTGTATGAGACTTTGCTGAACTTGCCTATAAGCTTAAGGAGATTTTGGGCTGAGACGATGGGGTTTTCTAGATATACAATCATGTCGTCTGCAAAGAGGGACAATTTGACTTCCTCTTTTCTTAATTGAATACCCTTTATTTCCTTCTCCTGCCTGATTGCCCTGGCCAGAACTTCCAACACTACATTGAATAGGAGTGGTGAGAGAGGGCATCCCTGTCTTGTGCCAGTTTTCAAAGGGAATGCCTCCAGTTTTTGCCCATTAAGTATGATATTGGCTGTGGGTTTGTCATAAATAGCTCTTATTATTTTGAGATACATCCCATTAATACCTAATTTATTGAGAGTTTTTAGCATGAAGTGTTGTTGAATTTTGTCAAAGGCCTTTTCTGCATCTATTGAGATAATTATGTGTTTTTTGTTGCTGGTTCTGTTTATATGCTGGATTACATTTATTGATTTGTGTATGTTGAACCAGCCTTGCATCCCAGGGATGAAGCCCACTTGATCATGGTGGATAAGCTTTTTGATGTGCTGCTGGATTTGGTTTGCCAGTGTTTTATTGAGGATTTCTGCATTGATGTTCATCAGGGATATTGGTCTAAAATTCTCTTTTTTTGTTGTGTATCTGCCAGGCTTTGGTATCAGGATGATGCTGGCCTCATAAAATGAATTAGGGAGGATTCCCTCTTTTTCTATTTATTGGAATAGTTTCAGAAGGAATGGTACCAATTCCTCCTTGTACCTCTGGTAGAATTTAGCTGTGAATCCATCTGGTCCTGGACTTTTTTTGGTTGGTAAGCTATTAATTATTGCCTCAATTTCAGAGCCTGTTATTGGTCTATTCAGGGATTCAACTTCTTCCTGGTTTAGTCTTGGGAGGGTGTATGTATCAAGGAATTTATCCATTTCTTCTAGATTTTCTAGTTTATTTGCGTAGAGGTGTTTATAGTATTCTCTGATGGTAGTTTGTATTTCTGTGGGATCAGTGGTGATATCTCCTTTATCATTTTTTATTGCATCTATTTGATTCTTCTGTCTCTTCTTTATTAGTCTTGCTATTGGTCCATCAATTTTGTTGATCTTTTCAAAAAACCAGTTCCTGGATTCGTTGAATTTTTGAAGGGTTTTTTGTGTCTCTGTTTCCTTCAGTTCTGCTCTGATCTTAGTTATTTCTTGCCTTCTGCTAGCTTTTGAATGTGTTTGCTCTTGCTTCCCTAGTTCTTTTCATTGTGATGTCAGGGTGTCAATTTTAGATCTTTTCTGCTTTCTCTTGTGGGCATTTAGTGCTATAAATTTCCCTCTACACACTGCTTTGAATGTCTCCCAGAGATTCTGGTATGTTGTTTCTTTGTTCTCGTTGGTTTCAAAGAACATCTTTATTTCTGCCTTCATTTCATTATGTACCCAGTAGTCATTCAGGAGCAGGTTGTTCAGTTTCCATGTAGTTGAGTGGTTTTGAGTGAGTTTCTTAATCCTGAGTTCTAGTTTGATTGCATTGTGCTCTGAGAGATAGTTTGTTATAATTTCTGTTCTTTTACATTTGCTGAGGAGTGCTTTACTTCCAACTATGTGGTCAATTTTGGAGTAGGTGTGGTGTGGTGCTGAAAAGAATGTATATTCTGTTGATTTGGGGTGGAGAGTTCTTTAGATGTCTATTAGGTCCTCTTGCTGCAGAGCTGAGTTCAATTCCTGGATATCCTCGTTAACTTTCTGTCTCATTGATCTGTATAATGTTGACAGTGGGGTGTTAAAGTTTCCCATTATTATTGTGTGGGAGTCTAAGTCTCTTTGCAGGTCTCTAAGGACTTGCTTTATGAATCTACATCCTCCTGTATTGGGTGCATATGTGTTTAGGATAGTTAGCTCTTCTTGTTGAATTGATTCCTTTACCATTATGCAATGGCCTTCTTTTTCTCTTTTGATCTTTGTGGGTTTAAAGTCTGTTTTATCAGGGACTAGGATTGCAACCCCTACCTTTTTTTTGTTTTCCATTTGCTTGGGAGATCTTCCTCCATCCCTTTATTTTGAGCCTATGTGTGTGTCTGCACATGAGATGGGTTTCCTGAACACAGCACACTGATGGGTCTTGACTCTTCAGCCAATTTGCCAGTCTGTGCCTTTTAATTGGAGCATTTAGCCCATTTACATTTAAGGTAAATATTGTTATGTTTGAATTTGATCCTCTCATTATGATGTTAGCTGGTTATTTTGTTCGTTAGGTGATGCAGTTTCTTCCTAGTATCGATGGTCTTTACAATTTGGCATGTTTTTGCAGTGGCTGGTACTGGTTGTTCCTTTCCATGTTTAGTGCTTCCTTCAGGAGCTCTTTTAGGGCAGGCCTGGTGGTGACAAAATCTCTCAGCATTTGCTTGTCTGCAAAGTATTTTATTTCTCTTTCACTTATGAAGCTTAGTTTGACTGGATATGAAATTCTGGGTTGAAAATTATTTTCTTTAAGAATGTTGATTATTGGCCCCCACTCTCTTCTGGCTTGTAGAGTTTCTGCCAAGAGATCCGCTGTTAGTCTGATGGGCTTCCCTTTGTGGGCAACCCGACCTTTCTCTCTGGCTGCCCTTAACATTTTTTCCTTCATTTCAACTTTGGTGAATCTGATAATTATGTGTCTTGGAGTTGCTCTTCTTGATGAGTATCTTTGTGGCCTTTTCTGTATTTCCTGAATTTGAATGTTGGCCTGCCTTGCTAGATTGGGGAAGTTCTCCTGGATGATATCCTGCAGAGTGTTTTCCAACTTGGTTCTCCCCATCACTTTCAGGTACACAAATAGACCTAAAACCATAAAAACCCTAGAAGAAAACATAGGCAGTAGCATTCAGGACGTAGGGATGGGCAAGGACTTCATGTCTAAAACACTAAAAGCAAGGGCAACAAAAGCCAAAATTGACAAATGGGATCTAATTAAACTAAAGAGCTTCTTCCCAGCAAAGGAAACTACCATCAGAGTGAACAGGCAACCTACAGAATGGGTGAAAATTTTTGCAATCTACTCATCTGACAAAGGGCTAATATCCAGAATCTACAATGAACTCAAACAAATTTATAAGAAAAAATAATTAAAAACCCCATCAAAAAGTGGGTGAAAGATATGAACAAACACTTCTCAAAAGAAGACATTTATGCAGCCAAAAGACACATGAAAAAATGCTCATCATCACTGGCCATCAGAGAAATGCAAATCAAAACCACAGTGAGATACCATCTCACACCAGTTAGAATGGCAATCATTAAAAAGTCAGGAAACAACAGGTGCTGGAGAGGATGTGGAGAAATAGCAACACTTTTACACTGTTGGTGGGTCTGTAAACTGTTTCAACCATTGTGGAAGTCAGTATGGCAGTTCCTTAGGGATCTAGAACTAGAAATACCATTTGACCCAGCCATCCCATTACTGGGTATTTACCCAAAGGATTATAAATCATGCTGCCATAAAGACACATGCACACGTATGTTTATTGTGGCACTATTCACAATAGCAAGGACTTGGAACCAACCCAAATGTCCAACAATGATAGACTGGATTAAGAAAATGTGGCACATATACACCATGGAATACTATGCAGCCATAAAAAATGATGAGTTCATGTCCTTTGTAGGGACATGGATGAAGCTGGAAACCATCATTCTCAGCAAACTATCACAAGGACAAAAAACCAAACACCACATGTTCTCACTCATAGGTGGGAATTGAAGAATGAGAACACATGGACACAGGAAGGGGAACATCACACACTGCGGCCTGTTGTGGGGTGGGAGGAGAGGGGAGGGATAGCATTAGGAGATATACCTAAGGTTAAATGACGAGTTAATGGGTGCAGCACACCAACATGGCACATGTATACATATGTAATTAACCTGCACATTGTGCACATGTACCCTAAAACTTTAAGTATCATTAAAAAAATTAATTAAAAAAAGTCAGGAAACTACATGTGCTGGAGAGGATGTGGAGAAATAGGAACGCTTTTACACTGTTGGTGGGACTGTAAACTAGTTCAACTATTGTGGAAGACAGTGTGGCGATTCCTCAAGGATCTAGAACTAGAAATACCATTTGACCCAGCCATCCCATTACCGGACATATACCCAAATAATTATAAATCATGCTGCTATAAACATGCAAACGTATGTTTATTGCAGCACTATTCACAATAGCAAAGACTTGGAACCAACCTAAATATCTATTGATGATAGACTGGATTAAGAAAATGTGGCACATATACACCATGGAGTACTATGCAGCCATAAAAATGGATGAGTTCATGTCCTTTGTAGGGACATGCATGAAGCTGGAAACCATTATTCTGAGCAAACTATCGCAAGGACGGAAAACCAAACACTGCATGTTCTCACTCATAGGTGGGAATTGAACAATGAGAACACTTGGACACAGGGTGGAGAACATCACACACTGGGGCTTGTCATGGGGTGTGGGGAGGGAGGAGGGATAGCATTAGGAGATATACCTAATGTAAATGACGAGTTAACGGGTGCAGCACACCAACACAGGAGATATATACATATGTAACAAACCTGCACATTGTGCACATGTACCCTAGAACTTAAAGTATAATAAAAAAAAAAAGAATGCCAGTACCATGTTCCTTAAAATTAACCATACATAAGACAACTATATTACCATATTTACTATTATATTTTTAAACAATGTTCAAAAATTAGATGTACTTGTCAATAAATTAGACAAAAGAAAGAAAAGATATAAAATTTAAGGAGACAAAATGGTGTAGACTTAAGATTGTATTTGTGAAAGCTTCAAAAGAAAAAAATAGTAGAATTTATAAGAGAGTTCAAACAAATGATAGAATACAAAATTAATACTCAAAATTAAAGAACTTTCTTGAATGCTAATAACAATCATGTAGAAGAAAAGATATCATTTTCAATAAAAGCACAAATGATAAAACACTGAAGGTTGGGCCTGTTAAGGGACAATTAGGACCCATATTAAAAAAACTGTAACCCTCCTCCTCCCGATCTGGGAACAGAAATCGATCCCTTGTTTTTTTAAAAAAGATACACTTTTACTTGGAACTGACCCAAATGCCCATCAATGGTAGACTAGATAAAGAAAATGTGACACATATACACCATGGAATACTATGCAGACATTAAAAAGAATGAGTTTATATCCTTTGCAGAAACATGGATGAAGCTGGAAGCCATCATTCTCAGCAAACTAACACAGGAACAGAAAACCAAACACCGCATGTTCTCACTCATAGGTGGGAGTTGAACAATGATAACACATGGACACAGGGAGGGGAACAGCACACACCGGGGCCTGTCAAGGCAGGGGTGTCAAGGAGAGGGAGTGCATTAGGAGAAATACCTCATGCATGCAGGGCTTAAAACCTAGATGATGGGTTGATAGGTGCAGCTAACCACCATGGCGCATGTATACCTATGTAACAAACCTGCACATCCAGCACATGTATCCCAGAACTTAAAGTACAATAAAAAAGATAAACTTTTAAAATAGAAATACATATTATCGTAAATATGTCAGTTGTCTCTTCTCTCTTCAGTAATCTGAAATTTATTGCAATTTGAATAGAAATATCTTTAAGATTCTCATTTGTGGATAGATGAGAAATTTGTATGAGATATTTCTAAAAAAGAAGAGAATGGAGGTATGGACTAAACCTACAATCTGTCAAAAGTTATGTTCTCCAGTCTATATCTGGGCAATGAAAAAAAAATCATTGTTACTAAAACTTGTTTAGCACTGGTGTATAAATGGGTAAATTAGGAGAATAAGATAAAGGATGCAGAAATAAATCCAAATACAAATGGGCAGTTAATATACAATAACAGTGGTATTTCAAGTCATTAGTAAAAGTGATAAATTTTTAAATAAATAGTTTATGCACCACTACTAGATCTGTTGGGGGTAGGGGTGAATAGTATATGAAAGTATTCTTACCACTATGCTGTTAGAGAAAAAAAACTAGAAAATTATTTATAAAGTATTTCTATTTATGTAACAATCTATGTATGTGTGCATATATATTATATGGACATTGTTTCTCTGCCTTTTGGGTAAGACCAACTGTAGTATAGTATATGGACATATATCAAATTGTGAACATAGACATACCTCAATTTTTAGATTAAAAATACATTCTGCCTTCTGTATAGGTCTTAACGGTTTTCAACGTTTTGCTTTTGAAATTGCATAAAGTATGTATTGCTTTTTGGGATTAGGAAAAATATTAAATTGGAACCCAAAAAGTGTAATATACAGTAAATACAGCTTCACTTGTCATTTATTTCTCTGTCACCTATTTATTACACACCTATTAAGTGAGAGGTATTGTGCTAGAATCTGACTTGATTAGCTAATTGTGTTGTTTTGTTGTTGTTATTTATGTAAAACCCTGAATTCAAAAGATATCTACAATTTTTATCTTGATATGGAAGCATGAACAAATGATCAACTTATTAATAGTTTCTATTCTATTTTGTTCTAAGTAAAACTAAGTCGGCTTAGATCAATTTCAATGTTTATTAGCAGGGGCAATTAGACAATTGATTGCCCTTGGATGATTGAAGTTGTCTTAGCTGGAGACGCCTGGGAGTTACAACAGTCCCCATCACCTTATCCCATGTATATAGGCAATAACTGACAGGTGCAGAGGTGTAAAACTCTGCTCTCCTCAAAGTGAGGTAATCCAGACCTCCCCGAGGAATTGAGACTACACCTCACCTGAAGACACAACCTTGGTTAGCTTCTTACCTTTCCCTATTCTGTTCATAAGACACCAAAGATAACAAGAATCAAGGGAGATAGAAAGGCATTCTGGCCCCAGTAACACTAAAAATTGAGGCACAGAGTCCTGGAAAGACACAGAGTTTGGGAGAAACAGCAAGAAATTTTGTTTCTGAAAAACAATAAGTGTGGTGCAGAATTATGGCAAGCTAAATCTGAAAACCTTAGGAGGCCACATTGTGAAAAGCAATATCGTGTGGTAGTCAAAATAATAGATCCTGGAGCCAGACCCCTTGGGTTGGGGCCCTGGCTCCCACACTTATAGCTATTGATTTTTAGCAAGTCATTTCTTTGTTGTACACATTTCCTCATTTCTAAAATGGTGGTAATAGTTCCTATTTTATAGGTTGTGAATTTAATGAGTTAATATAAATAAAACACTTAGAGTTGAGTCTGCATATAGTGAATTCAATATATACACTGTATTGTGAAGAGTCTTACAGATTAAGCTAAAGGAATGTAGAATGTATTCTGTAATAATATAATTGAGCTGATAATGTCTGTGCTTGGTATCTGTTGGACAGTGAAGTAGAGGATGAATTTCATAGAAAAAAAGGCAGAGAATCTTGCTCTCTAAAATTAAAAATTTTGAAAATATTGAGTTTAGGGTGTTTAAGGGTGTAGAGATTTAATTTTCCAGCAGTCAGTGGAAAATATATGTCTGGTAGCTAAGGAAAGAAATCTAGACTAAGAGTGGTGACATACCTTTGGAGACATGGAAGTAACTGAGAATAAATGGGAAAGCATGAGGTACAATGATATTTAAAGAGAAAAGAAGATCAAAGATATTTTGGTACAAGGTGAACCATAAGCAAATAATGTAATAAAATTTAGGGAAAGAGAGATTTCTACAAATAAAAGATGATCAACATCACTAAATACTAAGAAAAGATCCAATAGGATAAAGACTTAAAATACTTTTGATTTGAAAATTAAGTGATTATCATTGAACCAATTTCAGTGAAAGCAATGTAGAAATGCAAAAGATCAAATTTAAAAGAGAGTTAAGGGAGGTTTGAGAAAGGCAGGTGCAATGCTGGCGAAAGAAGGAGGGAATCAAAATTCAGAGTGTAGAGATATTTTAACATCTGAGCTAGATAAAGAAAAATGGAAGGAGAATGAAAATATAGAAGCTCTTAAAATGTTGAACTATTACACTGAAACCAACAAAATAAAATTTTTAATAGGAGTAGTTGCTAAGTTCTGCATTTAGAGTAAAAAGGGTAAATTTATAGGAAAGACCTGGCTGAAAAATAGACACAGATTAAATATGAAACTCTGCTTTTATACAATTGCAAACTCAGTGTGTGATGAAATTGCTGAGAAAAATGTTTCAGTTAATGTGTCAATAGAACTCCTAGTTTATATCCAATATTATGATGGATTCATTGTATTCTGATGAGATTACATCACACCTCCTGAGTGTTTTGGTCTAGGTTGTAGTACCAAGGGTAAAACTGATAAACCTCAGCACCCATGGTAAAGCCTGATGATTGGGCAAACTATGATTATTGATAGATTTTGTAAAATTTTACCTGGGGAAGGGAATGTTTTGAGAGTGATGTACCTGGAAGTGGGTATTATTATTTAAAGAGTTGTATTGCTTTCATACATCCTCTTTTCTCACCTAGTATTATCAAGAAGGTATTGTCTTAAAAAGCTGAAAAACATATCTGCTAAATAAATAAATGGAACTGAACTGTCATCATGAAATGTTGAACTCTTGTCTGCTATGGCACTGCTCCTAATTACCCTCTTCTTTTGAGAAAAAAGTCCATCATCTGCAAGTGAGTGGAGTCCTCCCACACAGGGGTAAAAATGAGACTGTTAATTCAACAACAAAAAAATTAGTGAGTGGTTTTTCTGTATAGGCATTGTGCTCAGTATTGGGTGCAATTGTAAGGTGGTACATTTCAAGCATTATAAAGATGAAGCTTTACAAAATTATGTCTGTTAATAATTGAGCTGCCCAGTTTAAAAAGTTGTATGATCTTTATCACTGGAGACATTCTAAGGGAGATTGTATGAGCATTTGCCAGGCATGCTTGAGAAATCTTCTGTTAGAATATGAAATATACTACATAGCAGCTAAATGAATTCAGGGACTCTAAGACTTCAATGCTACAATTGGGCAACATGCATGAGCAGAGCCCCTCTACATCCCTTACGGACTTCTCACTCCTGTGCATCTTTCTCCATCTTATCATATCAGAACCTGAGCTAGTGCTGGCATCACCTAGTTTTTTGTGGTTGACCAGAAGTCACATTGTATGACCACCAATTCCTCCCTTATTCTCTACAATCCTTCTCCCAGTGAAATATTCACATCTTAGATTATTTTACTCAACTTGTATAAATTCTAGCATCTCTGTGCAGTGTTGGAAGGTTGAGGTGAGGAAGAAGTTACCTAGTATAGAATTGTTAGCTCATTCATTCATTTATTCAACACATCTGTACCAGTCACCCATGGTGGTACAGCCACTCTACCAGTGTTCACAGAGTTCAGTAAACAATTTCCATTTACTTTGTTCAATTTCCTCTGTACTGGTATACAAACATAGTTAGCTTTACTTCTACTTCCTTAGTTATAACTTTTGTTTCATGTCTTCTAGATCATTACTATAGCAATACAAACCTTTTATTTTGACTTAAAAGTAAAACAAAATCTTTTGCTATTTCATGACACCATGGCTTGGTTGTTATTAATTATGCATGCATGTATGCACATATGTGTGTATTTATTTTCTTAAGGCTTGGTATTGATTTTATTAAGACTATTTCTGGGATACTTGGCTTTCTCTTTTAACACTGGTTTCATGTAAACCCCAAAACCCTCAGAAGCCCACTTGTACTTACAGAATACCTTTCAGCTATATACTCAATAAATATTTAAGTAGGACCAGACACTCCTAATTGCTGTAGAAGCAGCAGAGAACAAAACATAGTCCCTGCCCTCATGGAGTTTTTCTTCTAGTAAATTTCTTTTTATGGAAAAAGCCCTAGGGTCATCTCCAAATTTTAAAGGATAAAAAATACAAAATATATGTATGTATATCTGTATTTATATATACACGCACTATATCTCTGTCCTTTCTATTTATCTATATCTATCACTCTATCTATGTATCTATTTATAGAGAGAATTAGAATCAGATTACATTAAATCATTAAACACATCATTATGTAAATATCTGAAGTGAAGACTTTGGGTAGTAGAAGAGAGAACTTGCTACTATAGAAAATGTTTCCTAACTGGTAAAGTACATTTGTACTTTACCCCGACCTAAATTAAAAACTTTAGACCTTCTTATCTAGATGTTCTCGAAGCAAGACATGGAGAGAAGAAATAGCCCATCACCAAGAGTAGCCCAAAATTTGCTCCTTAGTTCTGCCTTCAGGAAAAGAAGAGGAGGTGCAGGATGGAATGTCTAACCTGGGTCAGGCCTACTGAGGTCTGTGGTAGGAAGCTCAGCTGGAGTTCTTAAGCTGGGCAAAGAGATTCTTGGACAGAATTCACTGGGTTCCTGAATGTAAATGGGAAACGATTACATCTTCATTTTTTCTCACTACTAACTAGAATTTAGCATTTTCTTCCATTATGAATGTAGGAAAGAAATCACAGCTTACAGCTGTCATCAATAGAAATCATAGACATTTTCATACCACATTACAGTTGTTGCAGCTGTCTAGGAATAACATTTGTGCTCATCGCTGCTTTGAGATTATGGTGGTTATTAGACCCACCACTAGATCTTATTTAATATGTTAATAAAGGCACATATGGTCCTACATCACAATTTTTTCATAATTTGCTAACTACTTCAATATAATTAGTTTTCTTTGTAATTTATGAATTTTATGTCTTGCATTTCAAAGCACTATGCAGCAAAGGACTCTACAGGCTTCCTCAGCCTGTCAAAGGAGTATGTGGTATAAAAAATTAAGATGCCTGGGCTAACAGAAGATGATCTTACTAGAAACACCAGGACTAAAGAATGTCCTAAGATCTGTGCAGCCATATTCTTAACTTCTCATTTTTTATAAAAGGAGCTAGGATAGGGATGAGTGGACATGGAGGCATGAGAGGGAGGGGTTAATTTCCTCCCTGCAGAGCTGAGACAGAGGGAAAGAACTTCTTTCTCTTAGAGTTTGAATTATAGGTCTATAGAATAAAAGAATACTGAGGGAGGGCCGGGCGCGGTGGCTCATGCCTGTAATCCCAGCACTTTGGGAGGCCGAGGCGGGAGGATCACGAGGTCAGGAGATCGAGCCATCCTGGCTAACACAGTGAATCCCCGTCTCTACTAAAGACACAAAAAGAAATTAGCTGGACGTGGTGGCGGGCGCCTGTAGTCCCAGCTACTTGGGAGGCTGAGGCAGGAGAATGGAGTGAACCCGGGAGGTGAAGCTTGCAGTGAGCCGAGATCGCGCCACTGCAGTCCAGCCTGGGTGACAGAGCGGGACTCTGTCTCAAAAAAAAAATAAGTAAATAAATAAAAAGAATACTGAGGGCGAGCAGGCAGGGATATTGATGCCCAATTTCAATTCGATTTGGGGAGGGTTGGAGTCAATGCCACAGCAGAGTATAATAGAAATGGAAAAGCCACCCTCTTTCTTTGCCATTTGGCATGTATGCTTAAAATCCTTTCTCTAAACACATCTTTATTCTTAAGAGGATCAACATTTAGAAAGGCAAGGTGAGAAAAAACTAAACGTGATTCTACTAAACACCTCAGGAAAACAGGTTACTTGCTTGAGATTTAATGCTAAAGGTACAAGAGGAGGCTGATCAAGATAACAGGTGAGATTATGCAATGATGACGAGTGGAGACCAAAAGGTAGCACATTATGAAAAGAATGTGGGTCTCACCACAGTGCAATTTTATTGTAGCATTTTAAAGGGGGAAGGAAAAAACAGAAAAGGGAGGCGTATAACCCAAATAATCTCTTGACCAAATGTGTCAAGTATATTTGATTCATTTTGAAGCTCACAGCATGTCAGACAGAACCATGCTGCACTATTAGCTTTGTTTTAATAAGCTTTCCTTATTTGAAAAATGAGAAGAGTGGAACAAATAGTTTCTAAGGTTGCTTCTAGCACTAACTTTTCTATGTTTAGAGCTTGTAAATTCTTTAAGAGGCAGATACAATGCCCTATAACTCCTGTCCTCCAGCTGCTCCCTTATCCCCTACTCATAGTATAATGTCCTAAACACATTTCTCAGGTTGGTGCTGACTTAGAGAAACAGAACCACTGACTATAATAGATAACATGTATCAAACTACTGTGTGCCTGGAATTGTGCTAAATGACTTTCACCCATACCTCATTTAATCATCGTATAACATCACTAACGGGTAGATGCGTTCATTTTGAAAATGAAGAGCTAGACTCAAAAACACAGAGCTCTTAAATGCATAGCCAGGATTTAAACCCAGGTCAGCCCAACTACACAGCCTGTCTGTTTCATTATGTTAGTGAAGTGTGAAAGGTGGAAGTATGAAAGGTGACCATTGCCGAGACCAGTAGAAAAGAGTGGGCTCTTTATGTCCTTGCAGCCAGACAACTAAGCCAGGGCCAGCTGGAAGCAGCTATTGTTTGAACCATCTAGATAATAATCTCATCCTCTGTGTGAACTAGTACTGGCTTAAGGTGACATTTCCAATGACTCTTCTACACCCAGAAAGGCACCTGTTGTTCTGGGATGGAAAATAATTTTTGCCCAATAGATTATAGAGGCCCTGAGAATGAGAAGCTGGATACTAAGAATAACCAGTTACCTTGAAAAACTGCTAGCATAAAGTAGATCTCTATTTATATGACAGCATGAATAAAATAGACTATTTTGCATTTATATAGTGCCTTTCCTCTCATAAGAGCCCAGGGGCTTCACTAATACAGCCTTGCAATGAAACACAGTCACCTCTGGGAGACCACCAGGCAGACAACTACAGCTGTGCAGACTGTAACGACAGTGGGGGAGGCGTGCATGAAGCTGAGGATATCAGATGCCTATTCTAAATTGCATTAAATTGAATGCTTTGATAACAATATATGGTTTCAGCACCACAATATAGACACACCCTCATCAATTCTTGAACTTGCTGACAAGAAGGAGAGAAGTAGGTACAAATGCTCTGTTTTGTAGATTGTGAAATAAAATAATTGTTTGAAACATTGCATTTTAAATTTAAGTAAAAATGGTATAATGTCATTTCTGAAGTTATAGCTCCTAATCTGTATAAGTAGCTCTAAATCTACGCTTACATGTCTATATGTGTGTGTGTGTGTGTGTGTTTATGTGGTTGATATTGTATTATACATTATACAAAAAATTACTTTCTTCACTTGCCATTCTGTATTTCTGCATATTATGGAAATAATATAATTTAATGGCACGTACTATATTTCATTTTCTATATCATAACCCCATAATTCACTTAACCATTCCCTTTATGTTGTTTCTTTTCTTCCTTTATAAATAGTGTAATATCTTTGTGTATAAAACTTTGTCTGTATTTATTTCATTTTATTTTCCTGGAAATAGAATGACTGCATGAAATGGGATGAGCATTTTTTTAGGCTATCAATACACTTTGCCAAATTGATAAATTAATTTTCTGAAATTTGTACAAATGTATATTCTCAGAAGTACTGTACATGCCTTTGTCCATCAGTGCTGTGTATTATCATTTAAAGATTATTTTCAAATTTGATAAAAATATATATTCATTCTAAAGTTGTGCGATTTTTAAAAATAATTTATTAGCCATTTGTTTCTTCGTAGTAAATTGTCCATTTTTGGATTGAAATATTGTGATCTTGTACTGATTCAAAATAGCATTTCATATACTAAGAATATTAACTCCTTTTCACTTTTATTAGAAGTATAGCTTCATGTTTTAGAGCACTATCTTTGGAATCATTCAACCTTGACTTCCTAGCTTAGTTCTGCAATTTATAAACTGTGAGATCATGGATAAGTTACTGTACTTTTCAAGCTTCTATTTCCTAAATTACAAAGTGGAGACAATCAGAGGTAGATTTGCCATGAATATAATAAAGGACCTTAGAATTGGATTCACATGGTTATGCTTTTTTTTTTTTTTAATTTGCAGAAATAAGTCATATTAACCACATTCAGTTAACATAACTCTCTCTTTCCATTGCAATTTCCCCTTTATTTCTCTTCTCCTCCACCACATATTCCCTCAATAACATATCCCCTTATGGCAGGGAGCATTGTGGTAGCTGCAGGCATTTGGGGTTTCAGCTAAGAAGAAACTGAGTTGGTGATACATTTAGTTTGGGTTTAGTGGAATACTTTTATATGGCTCACTACCACCTTCATGTATAGCTAGCCCTGCTAGTGGAGGAATAGTTTCCATTGTGCCAAACTCCTTGTGTTCTGACACTAAGATGGATGGGTAGAGTTTCTAATGCACTATGAATATGTTCCCTGATACTCAGCACTGAAAGTGTGTAATTAGTGGGGGAGCATCAAGGCTTGAAATGTATAAAGCCAGAAGTTAGTCTGTGGGAAATTCTCCAGATCTTACAGATCACATATGAAAGAAACTTGATAGAGGTTTACCCAAAATCGACAATAGTTCTAAAAATTTACATGGCAATATTAATAATGATTTGAGAATCTGAAAGAAACTTCTTTAAATTATCAATATTAAAAAATACAATTGCTGTTTTTATGAAAAAGTAATCAGAGTATGTAGCCAAAACATGTACAGGGAAAAGTATCATAGAACTGCCAAACAAGTATTTAATTAAAATACATTTTTTTCCAGATTTTATGGTATTTGTGCAATTTATTAGCTTTTTTGAAGTTTGTGATTTTTCTCTTCCTAAGTTAAAATTCATTTTCTTAACTCATTTTGTATTTGTAACAGTGTATTCTTTTTCTTAAAGAGAGACTCAGAATTGTGATAACTTATGCCCTTCAAAAATCTGGATATATGTAGGCCCACATATATACATTGGGTAAGGTAAAGATGACACTTACCTTTTGCCATGTAGCTAATAAATTTTTGCCACACTGTTTATTTACTATCACTCATTCTCATTAATTTACAATGCTTAATTTATTATTTGTTGACTAGCTTATACATCAGAAGCTGTTCTTGGCCTATTTTGGTTTTTGAGCTCTCTGTATTTTTGGTGCCAGGAGCAAAAGGCTTTCATAACAATACATTAAGAATATGCTTTCCCTTAGCTGGGCGTGGTGGCGCAAGCCTGTAGTCCCAGCTCCTTGGGAGGCTGAGGCAGGAGAATTGCTTGAATCCAGGAGATGGAAGTTGCAGTGAGCCAAGATTGTACCACTGCACTTTAGCCTGGGAGACAGAATGACAGTCCATCTCCAAAAACAAAAACAACAACAACAACAAAACAAAAAAACAAAAAAAGAAACAAAAAGAATTTTTATCTCTCAGGATAAGTCTTCCCATTCATGATAACTTTGATTTTTATGAAAATGTTGATTCTGTCTTGCTTGTTATTCCAAATTGATTCTAACATCATTTTGGTTTTTTCTCCCAGTTTCCTTCAAAATCCCCATTGATATTTTGATTGGTATTGCAAGAAACTTAAAAAATATTGAGTTTAGACTGATGTGTTTACAATATTATCTGTCCATCCAGGAACATAATATAGCTCCATAATCCAAGTCTTCTTTTATATTGTTCAGTATTATTTTGGAGTTTCTTCAAAATATGTTTGTTTAAATAAAAAAACTATTTTTTTCTAGAAAGATTTGAATTACCTCAGAGTTAATTCAGCAAGATCCAGTTGGATAGTTTTCTGGTTTATTGGAGATTTGTCATTTCCTAGAGCAAATTAGGATTCAAAAATGACTTTTTAGGTCTAAAAACATCTTTCTAGTTATTCAAATTTTCCAAGCCTGCTTCTTTTCATTAATTCATTTTTTTGAAATATTTTTAATATTAGTTTTAACACATTTAACTGTGGGATTGAGAATCTCAAAAACAATTCTGGCTTTAGGATCTTTCAGAACATCTAAGTTTTATAACATGTGTGAGGTAATATCCTGCCTGCTTTGCATCTTTTGTGTCTTTTAAACAAACTTGTGACTAATTTAGAAAATATAGGTATTAATGAGAAAAGAAAGACAAACACATGCTAAGTCTCCATGCAATCAATGGTCATGTTGATGGCTACAAGACTGATTTCTTCACTGGCTGTGTTCATTGGTCATTCTAATGATAGCATCAGATCCTCATTAATGTTTCCATGACTGGAATATTTGGGCTATCAATACTGTGGCTCTATCTTATCAATCAGAATGACACAATTAATATTTTTATTAAAACTTTCTAAGGAAACAAAAATAAGTTATTGACATTTGGAATACTTTACAACTCATCTAAAATGTTATGTGCCTATTATTTTCATATTTCAATATTATTGGAAGATTGATGAAAAATTTTTATCCATTAATTTCTATTTCTGGGACAATGTTAACAAAAGGTAATGGACAAACCAATTAATTACCACCTAAAATTAAAAAGACAATGTAAGATGAGAAACTAACCCAAAATATTTTTAAGTGTATTTGTATTGGAAAGCCACAAAAAATGAAAACCGTATGATGAAACCATATTATGCTCTCAGGACCATAGTTATTTCACCTAAAAATGTTGATAATAAGTGAGATTATTGAGTCTTATCTCAGAGGACTGTTTGATTTTTTTTTTTTTTTGAGAAATAATTTTACTAGACTGCTTAAATTCTATGGTGAACTGATGGCTGATTTTATACAAAGGAAATGTTGTGGATCTAATCTCTTACATCATAGTTAGGCTTTTGATTCTGTTTTGAATGATATATATGTATTCATTACCTGAGTAGGCATAATAGACCATATATACATATTAAGGTGGGTAGCTATCACTAGTGAATATGCAAATAATTGATATCAATGGGTTATGTTAACCTAGAATGACATATCAATTGATTTTTTATCACAATTATTCCTGCATTTAATGGGATTTAATAGTTCAATCAATAACCTGAATGACCATCTTCATTAGGTGTGCAAATGATACTAGTTAGTGGAATGAGTATTAAAATTCAGTACAACTAGAGCATGCTTCAAAGATGTAAGAAATACAGAATATTTAATAAGAGAAAATACACTTATGGAAAGATAAGATATATAACAAAATATAGAGAATTACATATATTTCTCAGATTAGACGTATCTGTAAGTCAGCACTTAGTGTGGATCACAAAATAAATAAATATAAAACAAATCTTACCTATGTTAAACAAAGCATAAAGTCTCCTCAAATTATAGTACATAAACAAATTTTAATGTAAAATAAATTAAGCACAGTTTTGCAGTCTATAAAAACAAACGTTATAAATTAATTCACCTGTCCTCAAGTCTGCCTCTACATTTCTGAATACTTAACAGTAGTTTATTTGATATGAAATATTTTAGGTAACCACAAAAGTACAGATAATTACATAATTAATACCTCCATATTTACTACTCAGCTTAAGAAATAAATTGTTTAAAATCTTTTTTGTATGGGGTCAGTTATTTGTGTTTCTTTTATGCATGGTAACTATTGTTTCTTGTAAACTAGAAACTCTCAAGACAGGGAATAAGTCAATCAAGTCACAGCACTTTAACAAAAACTCTACCATATGTATATGCTATGTTTTGTGATAAAATTATCATAAAATCTTATGGTGCCATACCCAGGCTTTCTCTCTCCGTATTAGTTATGTAAGAGTCAATGATGTCCCCAAAGAATTTTAAAAAGACATATAGAAGGCATATGAGTGAAAGCTACAGAAATTGAAGTTTTACAGTCTAGAAGAAAACCTGAGGGATCACTTATAAATAGACTACAATGTAATAGTAATAGTAAATGTAAGTATAATTCAATGGTAAATAGAATGAAAGTTATTTTAATAAATAAAGATAACTAACAGTTATCTGAGAGGTGTTTGGTTACAATACTACCAAAGTACTAAGCCTTAGGGATTATGTTAAGTGCTTTTATGTGGACTATCTTAATGAATATTCACAATAACCTGAGGAAAAATGTTTTATTAGAGCCATTTTACAAATGAGAAATCTGAGGTTGGAAAGAAAGTTTAAATTGTGGAAAATCATATGTTACAAAAAAGAGGGTTAGAATTTTATCCCAATTTGCCCACACTCCTAATTAGCCAAAACATCTCATAAATTATTAGGAACTTTGATCAAACACATGCAACATTTATGTGTACATGTGGGTGTATGTTATAATTAATAAAATATGCCTTTATACATATTACTAAACAATCAAATGCTTTTGCAATTGCTTCTCTCTTTTTACTGTTCCTTTGACATTTCTCTGTTTATATTACCAAAAATTTTTGATTATGCACCATGGGTTACTTCCATGCTTCTCCAAAAAAAATTGAGTCAATAAGTCATACTAGTTCATACTATCACAAAAGTGGTATTAGTTAAACAAATTATTTTATAAAAAGTAAAGAACATTAAACAGTGAATCAACAGCGACAGGAAAGAGGAGAGGAACTATGATGGGTTAAATGTTGAATAGAGGTCTATTATCAATGATGAGGCCATCACTCATATTGGATCACTCAGAGATTGACGCATAACAGTAAGAAGAACCAACCAAAGCAGTTGAAGAACTAGGAGTGGACTGTGGTTGAAGGCTAACAATAGGGAATTTGAGGACCACTGAAGAAATAATTTAGATATTATGGTGGAATCAAAGAGCAAAGATGAGTAGTCAGACCTGTATCTAGAGAGAGGCAATAAAGACAGAATAGTTTACATTACCCCAATGTAGTTGAGAGCCAGAGAAAAAATGAAGTGCAGAAAACTGGAGCATATCTACAGCCAGTGTTTTAGTCAAGCTGCTGTCAGACAAGAGTATTGGGCCCACTCTGGTACTAGCCTGGCCCCTATTATCCTAAGGTCCAAGTCTGCCCCAGCACCAAGCTAGCCCTTTCAGACCCAGGTGCAGCCTGGCCCCCCATGGCCTCAGGCTCTAGGCTTATTCAAGCACCAGAACAGCCCCCTTAGCCCCAGGCTCTAAGCCAGCTCCTGGGGACACATGACTGAGGCACACTTCTGTATGGTGCTCCAGTGCCACCCCAGGGCTAGGCAAGCTCCTGCAGACTCAAGCTCAAGGCTCAACCCAGTGCCAGATCAGATCCTGTAAACCCAGGCTGCAGGCTGCCCCCATGTACCAAGTTAACGGTTTCACTCACCTTCTGATTCAGGCTGACCTGAGAAATCTAGCGGTATTCTTGCCCATGGGCCCTGCCAGATGGCCCACTCAGAATCTCTGGGCAGACTGACTGGTGTGGAGCTATTCCTGCCAAAGCTAGTTTATAAAGACTGGAATTGGTACCTCCTTCTTCAAATCTACAGACACCAGCCTACAGTATAAGGCTCACAAACAATCTGGAAAACATGACACCACCAAAGAAACAAAATAAAATACAAGTAACCAACTTTTTAAAATGGAGATGTACAATCTGCCTGACAAAGAATTCAAAATAATCATCTTGGAGAAGCTCAGTGAGCTACAAGAGAACAAATATAAATAAAACAAAATTAGGAAAACAATATATGGGAAAATAGGGATTTCAAGAAAGAGAGAGAAATCACAAAAACAAAAACAAAGAAATTTTGGAACCAAAAAATACAATTACTTAATTAAAAATTTTTATAGAGAGCTCCAACAGCAGACATGAGCAAGCAAAAAAAAGAATCAATGAGCTTAAAGACTATTTAAAATTATAGTCAGGGGGCAAAAAATTAAAATGAAAAACAGTAAAGAAATCTATAAGAATTATGGGACACCATCAAGTGAACCAATATATAAATTATATAAGTCTCAGAAGAAGCAAGGAAAGAGAAAGAAAAATTATTTAAAGAAATAATGACAAACTTCTTTCCAAATCTGAAGAGACAAATTAACATGCAGACCCATGAACTCCAAGGGACCCCAAATCTATTAAATATAAAGAGACCTTTACCAAGACACATTACAATCAAATTTTCACAAGTGAAAGAAATGAGAAACTTTTTTTTTGAAAGCAGCAAGAGTAATTAGTTACATAGAGGAAATCCCCATAAAACTATCAGAAAATATTATAGCAGATACCTTATGTATGTTGGAAATTAATCTCTTATTAAGTATTTGGTTTGAAAATATTTTCTCCCATTGTAAGTTCTCTTTACTCTCTTCATTTTTTTCCTTTTTCTTTGAAAAAGTTTTAGTTTGATGTAATCCTAAACATGTGATCTATCCTGGACAATGTTCTATGTGCACTTGAGAAGAATGTGTGGTCTGCTGTTAGATAGATGGGATGTTCTTTGTATTTCTCTTAGGTTTATTTGATCTATACGATTGTTCAAGTTCTCTTGTTTTTGTTGATTTTCTATCTAAATGATATATCCACTGTTGAAAATTATATATAATATATAACCAATATAATGTGTTAAATACACAATATAAAAGATGTAAATCATGAAGACAATAACATGAAATGTGAGGGGAAGTAGAGTTAAAGTGTCAAATTTTTGTATGTGTTTGAAGTTAAGCTATTGTCAAATTAAAATAGACTGTTAACAACTACAATATCAAGTTAAGCTGTTATCAAATTAGACTGTTAAAAACTACAATGCTAAGTGAATTTTTATATAGGCCCCATGGTAACCACAAAGGATAAAAAATCTGTAGTAGATACACTAAAGATAAAGAGAAAGGAATGAAAATACACCATTATAAAAATCGAGCCACAAAGGAAGACAGCAATAGTGGAAGACAGTAGGCTAAGAAAGGGTAGGATAATATATTCGAAGTGTTAAAAATATCTGCCAACCAAGAATGCTATAGCTGGCAAACTCTCCTTCAGAAAAATCTAGTCATGAAGGAAAGCAGTAGAGTGGAAGAAAAGAAAAAAAGGAACTACAAAACAGTTAGAAAATAATTAACAAAATAGCAATAGTAAGTCTTAACTTGTAAATGGATTACATTCTCCAATCAAAAGACAGTGGCAGAATGCGTTTAAAAAGTAGAATTACATGCTACCTACAAGAGACTCACTTAAGATTTAAGGACACACAGATTGAAAGTGAAAATATGGAAAAAAAATATTCCACGCAAATAGTAACCCAAAGGGAACAAGGGTGTCTACATTTAGATAAAATAGATGTTAAGTCAAAAACTATAAAAGAAGATAAAGAGGGTCATTATATAATGATAAAGTGGTCAACTGAAGAAGAATATAAAAAAATTATAAATATCAATGCATTCAACATCCTAGTACCTAAATATATATTATAAATATTTATAGAACTGAAGTTAAAAATAAACAGAAATATGATAATTTTAGGGGACTTCTATATATCATTTTCAACAGTGGATATATCATTCAGATAGAAAAATCAACCGAGAAGCAGAGGACTTGAACAACTGTATAAATCAAATGAACCTAAGAGAAAAGCACAGAACATTCCATCCAATAGCAGCAGAATACACGTTCTTCTCAAGTGCACATAGAACGTTCTCTGTGATAGATCATATGTTTGGGATTACATCAAATTAAAAAGTTTTCATAGATAAAAGATACAATGAAGAGAGTAAAGGAAACCTCAGGGTGGAAGAAAATATTTTCAAACCATACAACAAATAAGGGGCTAATTTCCAAAATACATAAGGAACTTAACAATTCAATAGCAATAAAACAAATAACTCTATTTAAAGATGGGCAAAGGACCTTGGACAGATTTTTTTAAAAGAAGACAAATAGTCAAGAGGTATATAAAAAATGATCAACCTTACTAATCATCAGGAAAATGCAAATCAAAACCACAAGATGTGACTTCATACCTGCTAGAATGACTACTGTCAAGAAGACAAAAATTAACAAGTATTGGCAAGGATGTGGAGAAATTGGAACCCTTGCACACTATTGGTGGGAATGTAAAATAGTCTAGCCATCATAACAAAACAATAAGGAGATTCATCAAAAAGTTAAAAATAGATTTACCATATGATCCAACAATTGTACTTCTGTGTATATATATCCAAAAGTATTGAAATAAGAATTTCAAAGAGACATCTGTACCCCCATGTTCATTGCAGCATTATTACAATAGCCAAAATATGGAATCAACCTAAGTGCCCATCGAAGGATGAATAAAGAAAGAAAATGTAAGGTTTAATATATGTCTATATAAAATAAAATATTATTCAACCTTTTAAAAAAGAACATCATTTCATTTGCAAAAACATGGTGAACCTGGAGGATATAATGCTAAGTGAAATAAGCCAGGCACCAAAAGACAAATACTGCATGATCTTACTTATATGTGGAGTGTAAAAAAGTCAATCTCATAGAAATAAGTAAAATGGTCATTACTATGGGCTAGAAGGTAGTGGGATGTAGATGTTGATCAAAGGGGATAAGTAGATGTTGATCAAAGGGGATACAAACTTTTGGTTATTCAGGATGAGTAAGCTCTGGAGATCTAATACACAGCATGGGGACTATACTTAATAATACCGTGTTGTATACTTGAAATTTGCTAACAGAATAAATCTTTAATGTTCTCACCACAAAAAATAAAAAGGAAATTATGTGAGGTGATGGATATGTTAATTAGCTTGATAGTGGTAATCATTTTATAGTGTGTGTATATATATATATTTAAAAAATCAGGTTGCACACATTAAATATATACAATTTCCATTTGTCAATTATACTTTAATGAAGTTGGAAAAAAATGGGAACAAAAGACAAGGGGGTACTGTGCAATTGTTATGCTTGCCATCACTACTCCCCAAACTGCCTGCTTGACTTTTGTTTTTAAGGGTACTATGAGAAACTTCTGACTTCAGGGATCTCAGGGAGTCTCTGGCAGGCTTCAGAAAACCTGTGAAAATTGTAATGTTTCTCTCATGCATGTCAATGAACTCACCAGAGGAACACTTGTGTCTCTCACTACCTCTGAGAACCTATATTTCCCTTATTCAGTCCAGCCCACCTCTCTGTTGAAGTAGCAACCAAATGACAAGTAACACATAAACTTTTGGTTGGATAAATAGACAGATAATCTTTAGAACATCTTCTGTTCCAGTGATTTCATTTCCCTCAGATAGAATGATACCTGGAGATTTAGTCATTTCCACTGGTGATTGGATGCACAAAAATACAAGACAAGGCAAGAGTGCTGCAGCATACAGGAAATGCTCACTTACAAAATCTGTCTCTGACTTTTCATCAGCATTTGTGAGGAATGGGAAAACTTGAACCCATCTAATTTTTAAGAAATTTTAATCCAAAGAATGTGGAATTAGAGCAATTCATGCTTGTTTTACTTTTATTAATAATTTTTTCCTGATAAATAAAATACAATATTGCCATTTTGAAAATTCATGGATGTGGATTATGCTCCGTATTGAGAAGATGGTATTTGTAACTTGTTTTTAATGCCAGAGCCTTAGGGATTCTCGACCACCAATCTATTGATGCATTATTTTCTGAGTTTGTACTATGTGCTGAAAAGCATTCAGCAAATAAAATATACCTCCATGTCACTTTGTTTGCTTTCATACAAGTAAACTTTAAAAAACATCATGAAATTGGAGCGGTCTCCAGCTAGGAAATTTTATTATGGAGATGTTATTGCCAGTATTTCTGAATATTCTCAAGCATACATTCAGTCTGAGAACTGATAAAGTGCTATAATATTATAATTGTATGAGAGTATGTAGAATCTATGTGAATCCTTATATATAAAGATTATACCAATTAAATAAATTTTCTTGAAATTTTATCAAGACATTATATTTAGAATAATTCCAGAATGTCTTTTGCCATTTAATTCATTAATCTGAGTAATCATTTATTTATCCATTCAAAAGTATCTTTATTCTGACTGATTAAATTTAGAAAGAAGGGCAAAGTTTTGAGAATGAGCCCCAGTTTTTAGTTTTAAGTCAGTGAATAGATCTTGTTGTCTTTAACTAGAATGAAAAACCCAGGTGGATGAGCAGGCTTAGAACTGTAACTAAAATGAAAAACACAGGTGGATGAGCAGGCTTAGAACTGATTTTTGTACTTAGCCTCTTTTAGCTCTCTTAGTGAATGGCATTATCATCATCCTGTGCTCAATCCAAAGTGTCAGATGCATGCTTTCCATTTTTCCTCATCAACCAAATACAGTCACAGAGATCTGGTGATTCTAACTCCAAAAGAATCTTCTTCTAAAAAATAGTAATTTGTTTTTAAACAGCTTTATTGAGGCATAATTAATCTATAATAAACTACACATGTTTAAAATGTACAATTTGATAAGTTTCGAGATATGTAAACTTTCATAAAACCATTACTGGAATTATATGAATGAACATATCCATCACCCCCAAAACTTTCCTCCTGCCCTTGTTAAATCTCTTCTCCTTCCTGCTTTGTTCCTTCCCATCCTCAGGTAACCACTGATTTGCTTTCAGTCATTATAGATTAATTTGCATATATCAGAATTGTTTATAAATGGAATCAAGCAGTATGTACTCTATGTTGTCTGGCTGTGAGCGATGATTTTGAGATTCGTCCATATTGTTGTGTGTTTCAATAGTCCACTTCTTTTTATTGCCAAGTCATAGGCTACTGTTTAGCTATACCACAATGTGTTTATTCATTCACTTGTTGTTGATAGACATTTGGGATTTTGCAGTTTCTGGCTGTTAAAAAAAGTTTTTATGAATACTAGTATAAATATTCTTATGGACATATGCTTTATTTCCTATAGGGAAAATACCCAAGAGCAGAATAATTAGATAATATGGTAGATATTGGCTTAATTTAAAACTAAAAAAAACTAAAAACATGCCAAACTGTTTTTAAAGTTGTAGTTCAGCAATTCTACATTTTCAACATCAGTGCGTGAGAGTTCTAGTTCCCCCACATTCTTGTCAACATTGGTATGGTTGGTCTTATTAGTTTTAGCCATTCTGATACATGTGCAGTGGTATCTCACTGTGGTTTCTGTTTGTGTTTACCTAATGACTAATGATGCTGAACATCTCTTTTTATTTTTATTTATTTATTTATTTTTTAAGACGGATTCTCGCTCTGTTGCCCAGCCTGGAAGGCAGTGGAATGATCTTGGCTCACTGCAATCTTCGCCTCCTGGGTTTAAGCGATTCTCCTGCCTCAGCCTCCAGAATAGCTGGGACTACAAGCATGCAAGACCATGCCCAGCTAATTTTTATATTTTTAGTAGGGAGGGAGTTTCATCATGTTGTTCAGGCTGGTCTCAAACTCCTGCCTTCGGCCTCCCAAAGTGCTGTGATTACAGATATGAGCCACCGGGCCCAGCTGATGCTGAACATCTTCTTTTATGCTTAGCTGTCTTGTGTATGTCTTCTTTGGCAAAGTGTCTTTCACATCTTTTGCCCATTTTTCTATTATTAAAAAAATTCTTATTATTGAGTTTTGAAAGTTCTTTATATATTCTACATATAAATCCTTTATCAGTTTTAGAATTTGCAAATAATTTCTTCCAGATTGCAGCTTGTCTTTTCCTCTTAACAATGTCTGCCAAAGAGGAGAAATTTTGCATTTTGATGAAATTAAGTTAATCAATTTGTCAGATTATGGATGTTCCTTAGGTGTCATGTCAATAAAATATTTGCCTACTCAGTGTTTCCAGATTTTCTTGTAGGTTATTTTCTAAAATGTTTATAATTTGTGGTTTTACATCTAAGCATGTGTTTCATTTTGATTGATTTTTGGATCTATAGATTGCTTTAGGGAAAACTGAAATTGCAATAATATTGAGTCTTCTAATCCAGGTATCTTGTATATGTCTCCATTTATGTAGGTCTTCCTTAATTTTTCTTAACAGTATCTTTTAGCATACAGGTCTTGTGCAGCTTTTATCAGATTTCTTCCTCTAAGTCTTGATACTTTTTTTTTTTTTAATAATACTTTAAGTTCCGCAATACATGTGCAGAACCTGCAGGTTTGTTACATAGGTATACACGTGCCATGGTGGTTTGCTACACCCATCAACCTGTCATCTACATTAGATATTTCTCCTAATGCTATCCCTTCCCTAGCCCCCCATCCCCCAATAGCCCCCGGTGTGTGATGTTCCCTGCCCTGTGTCCACGTGTTCTCATTGTTCAACTCCCACTTATCAGTGAGAACACGCGGTGTTTGTTTTTCTGTTCTCGTGTTATTTTTCTGAGAATGATATGGTTTCCAGCTTCATCCATGTCCCTGCAAAGGACATGAACTCATTCTTTTTTATGGCCACATAGTATTCTGTGGTGTATATGGGCCACATTTTCTTTATCCAGTCTATCATTGATGGGCATTTGGGTAGGTTCCAAGTCTTTGCTAATTTTGAAATTATCATTTCACAGCTTAATTTCTGATGGTTCCTTGCTAGTATTTAGAAATACAATTGATTTTTTTATGTTGATCTTAAAAAATTGCAAGCTTACCTATCTTGTTTATTAGATCTAGTAACTTATTTGTAGATTCCATTGGGTTTTCTACAAATAGACTCATGTTGCCTAAGAATAAAGGCTTACTTTTTTCCCACTATGAATCCTTTTTATTTGTATTTTTTTCCTTGCCTTATTGCACTGGCTAGAATCTAAAGTATAATGTTGAACAGACATGGTGAGAGCAGATATTCTTACAACTGACCCACACTTAGGTTTGTGGAGAAAGCACTCAGTCTTTCACCATTAAGTATGTTAACTGTACTTAGTTAACTGTAGGGTTTTTGTAAATACTTTTTATCAGGTTGAGGAAGTTTATTTCTTTTCCTAGTTCACTACAATATTTTATCAGGGAAAGTTGTTGAATTTTGTCAAATGCTTTTTCTGTATTTATTAAGAAGATAATTTGGTTTTTATTTTCAACTGTGTTAATATGATGAATTACATTGTTTGATTTTTTTAATATTAATTTGCTTTCCTGGCATAAACCCACCCAAAGGTCACCTTCAATTGTAATAATCTTTATGTGTCAAGGGAGGTCAGGTGGAGATCATTAAATCATGGGGCAGTTTCTCCCATATTGTTCTCATGGTAGTGAATAAGTCTTATGAGATCTGATAGTTTTATACATGGGAGTTCCCCTGCACAAGCTCTCTTGCCTGCTGCTATGTAAGACATCCCTTTGCTCTTCCCTCATCTTCCACCATGACTGTAAGGCTTCCCCAGCCATGTGGAATTGTGAGTCCGTTAAATTTCTTTCCACTATAAATTACTCAGTCTTGTGTATGGCTTTACTATCAACATGAGAACAGACCAATACAGTAAGCTGGTATCAGGAGTGGGGTGCTGCTGTAAAGATACCTGAAAATGTGGGAGCATCTCTGGAACTGAGTAACAAGCAGAGGTTGGGACAGTTTATAGATCTCTAAAGAAGATAGCAAAACGTGGGAAAGTTTGGAATTTCCTAGAGACTTGTTGAGTGGCTTTGACCAAAATGCTGATAGTGATATGGACAATAAAGTCCAGGCTGAGGTGGTCTCAGATGGAGATGAGAAACCTCTTGGGAACTGGACTAAAGGTCACTCTTGCTATGCAAAGAGACTGGTGGCATTTCGTCTCTGCCCTAGAGATCTGTGGAACTTTGAACTTGAGACAGATGATTTAGGGTATCTAGAGGAAGAAATTTCTAAGCAGCAAAGCATTCAAGAGGGAGCAAAGCATAAAAGTTTGGAAAATTTGCAGCTGACAATGTGATAGAAAAGAAAAATCCATTTTCTAGGGAGAAATTCAAGCTGGCTGCAGAAATTTTGCATAAGTAATGAGGAGCCAAATGTTAATTGCCAAGACAATGGGAAACATGTCTCCAGAACACTTCAGAAGCCTTTACAGCAGCCCCTTCTGTGACAAGCCCAGAGGCCTGGGAGGAAAAAATGTTTTCACGGTCTGGGCCCTGGGTCTTGCTGCTTTATGCAGTCTCAGGACTTGGTGCCCTGTGTCCCAGCTATGGCTAAAAGGGGCCAATGTAGAGCTCAGCCCGTTGCTTCAGAGGGTTCAAGTCCCAAGCCTTGGCAGCTTCCATCTGGTGTGGGGTCTGTGGATGCACAGAAGTCAAGAATTGAGGTTTCTGGAATCTCCACCTAGATTTTAGGAATGTATGCACATGCCTGGATGTCCAGGCAAAAGTCTGCTGCAGGAGTGGAGACCTCATGGAGAACCTCTGCTAGGGCAGTGCAGAAGGAAAATGTGTGGTTGAGGCCTCCACACAGAGTCCCTACTGTGGCGCCACCTAGTGGAGCTGTGAGAAGAAGGCTACCATTCTCCAGACCCCAGAATGGTAGATCCACTGACGGTTTGCACCATGTGCCTGGAAAATCTGCAGACATTCAATGCCAGCCTGTGAAAGCAACTGGGAGGGAGGCTGTACCCTGCAAAGCAACAGGGGCAGAGTTGCCCAAGACTATGGGAACCCACTTCTTGCATCAGCATGACCTGGATGTGAGACATGGAGTCAAAGGAGATCATTTTAAAGCTTTAAGATTTGGCTGCCTTTCTGAATTTCAGACTTGCATGGCACCTTAGCCTTTCATTTTGGCCAATTTCTCCCATTTGGAATGGGTGTGTTTACCCAATACCTATACCCTCATTGTATCTAGGAAATAACTAACTTGCTTTTGATTTTACAGGCTCATAGGTGGAAGGAACTTGCCTTGTCTCAGATGACACTTTAGACTGTAGATTTTTGAGTTGGTGCTGAAATAAGACTTTGGGGGACTGCTGAGAAGGCATGATTGTTTTGAAATGTGAGGACATGAGATTTGAGAGAGGACAAAGGAAAAATTATATGGTTTGGCTGTGTCCTCACCCAAATCTCACCTTGAATTGTAATAATCCCTACATTTCAAGGGCAGGGCCAGGTGGAGATAACTGAATCATGGGGGCAGTTTCCCCCATACTGTTCTTATGGTAGCAAATAAGTCTTATGAGATTCGATGGTTTTATATATGGGAGCTCCCCTATACAAGCTCTCTTGCCTGCTGCCATGCAAGACATCCCTTTACTCTCTCTCTGTCTTCTGCCATAATCGTGAGGCCTCACTAGCCATGTGGAACTGTGAGTCCATTAAACTTCTTTCCTTTGTAAATTACCCAGTCTTGGTTATGGCTTTATTAGCAGCATGAAAACAGACTAATAAACATGATAAGAAACATCATCACCAAATCTCATTTGGTGATGATGTATTATCTTCATATTGTTGGGGTTGATTTGCTAAAATTGTATTTAAAATGCTTGCATCTATGTTCTTGAGGGATATTGATCTATTGTTCTATTTTGTAATGTCTTCAAGTTGTTTTGGTATCAGGGTAATGCTGGGGATGTATCCTCTCTCTTTAATTTTTTAGATGATTTTGTGTAGAGTTGCCTGATATCATGAATTTTACCTTGTTGGACAAATAAGCATATCCATATAAATACATATATCATA
The DNA here is from genome assembly GCF_000001405.40 of Homo sapiens. NCBI lineage: Eukaryota > Metazoa > Chordata > Mammalia > Primates > Hominidae > Homo > Homo sapiens. Next base: position 164,091,609 of record NC_000001.11, on the reverse strand, counting down.
CAACTTTATTAATACCTGCTATTATCATCCTCAGTTTTATAGATGAAGGATGTGAATTACAGAGAGGTCAAGTAACTTACCTAAAGCCACATGTTGGTAAATGATAAATCCAAGATGTGAAAGAGGAGTACTTAGTGCAGAATTTGTGTTCTTAGCCAATATACTATACTCTTTCTCAATTATAGCATGATTTCCTAGGTCTGACTCTTAATATTTTAAAGAAAGCAACACTGTCTCTCTCAGGATGACACAATGCTGTAATGATGGGTCACAGAAATATTTCTCTACTGCTTTTGGCCACCTTCTCATCTCCTCTCCCATATCCTTTCTTCACTACATGAAAATTAAGACTATCAACCCTCAGGCTAACATAACACATCCCCTTGAACATAATCTTATTACTTTCTAAGTTCGCTGTGTCTGCCTCATAAGTTGTTGACAGAAAGATACTAAAGTAATTAAGGACGTTGCTTCCAATATATATATATATTTTTTTGATGAGATGCATTTTGGGGAGGGAAGCAGCTATTGAGCTCAGCTTCTGCAGTTTTCTTCTTCCTGGAGCTGAAGGCACTTGACTTCTACCTGTAGGCTCAGCCCCAACATGGTCTTTAGAACCACTTTTTGGAATGGGCAGAGGGAAACTGACTCAGTAACATACCACTCTTATTGTCATTCTGTTGCAGATTTCTTGGTCTAGTTTTATCAACTAAGCTCCTACCATATTCCTATTTTTTTTATTTGATAAGCATACTGTGGCTTTTCCCTAAATATATAAGGGATTATACCAAACTCATTCCACCTTTCCTAGACTATCCGATTCTAGGATAGGAAATAAAAAACCATCTACTCAGAACCAGCTGATCTGCATAGAATGCATTGCATAACATTATTAATAGAGGGCTGCCTATGGACCCCATCCCTATGTTAGTGATTCTACCATCTGCTGAGATACTTTCTGATGCTAAGTATTTGCCTGCTGTCTGAGTCCCTGGCTTCATCTGCCCACCTGCCATGTAAGTGCATGCCTGAACTAATGCCTGCAGTCTCATGCCCAGTTCTGTGACCATCATGACCTGCTTTGAGGCTATGTTTCCTTCAAGCACTTGCAACTAGGTCTTTTTCCATGGCACTTGTCTGACCAACTGGGTTGTGGTGGTTTCAGACCCCAGATTCCTTGCTGCCCAGTCCTACTATAATTAACCTAACCATATCAAGCTATTAACAGAATAACAAACTCAAAGCAAAAAGCACTTTAGAGTTTATCACCTCTTAACTGATTTGCAAATTTCCCCTTCAATCCTGCGCACAAGTCATTATCCTATCTCCTCTTAAAGACCTCTGGGGAAGGAAAATTGACTATCTAAGGAGACACTGTTTTCTAGCAAGCTCCCTTTGAAAATTCGTTATTCTATTGAGCCAGGTATCACTTTCTTTTAGTTTTTACCCTTTATGAAGACCCCATGGTCAGGCTTAAGGCCATTAATTTTAACAAAAATGTAAACTCAAGTGTTTGAATTTCAATACAATTATAACGCAGAAGTCATGAGTAGGACTTATCAGTTCTATTGGACAACAGCATGCTGGGCTTTACTTTGGCATTAACCAGCTGGTAACCATGGGCAAGTAGCTTAGCTCCACTTCTTTTTCGTGTAAATTGAGAAGCTGAACTAGATTCATGGTTCCAAAATTGTTTATTGGATTTTTTAAGATGTTTACAGACTTCCTAAAAACTAAAAAGTGCTCTGTAAAATAAGATTAGAAATTCTGGGTTAAACAAATTAAATAGATTTCTTTGCTGAAAGAGTTCTCAAAACCTTTAATAAGCTGATGTGCTTTTAGAAGTCCTGGAAGGAAACAGAATAAAAAACGTTTCACAAAATCTGGATTATAGTTTTATTTATTTATTTATTTTTGACCATCTTTTAACAGAGTTTCATTGAACACTTTAGGAAATGCTAGACCTACCTGGTTTCTAAGGCTTAAATAATATGTTATGGATTAGTCGGAGTTCTTCAGAGAAACAGAACCAATAGAACCAATGTATTGGCTTACATCATTACGGAGGTTGAGAGGTTCCCATGATCTGCCATCTGTAAGCTGGAGACCCAGTGGTATAGTTCCAAGGCCTGAGAGCTGGAGAGTCAGTGGCATAGACTCCAGTCTGGGTCTGAAGGCCTGAGAACCAGGAGTACCTAGGGCAGGAGAAAATGGATGTCCCAGCTCAAAAGGCAGAATTAATTCAACCTTCCTCTGCCTTTTTGTTTTATTTAAGCCCTCAAAGAATTGGATAGAGCCCACCTCATTAACTTTAGTCAATCCACCAATTTACATGTTAATTTCTTCTGGAAACACCCTCACAGACACACCCAGAAATAATGTTTAACCACTTATCTGGGCATACTGAGGCCCAGTCAATTTGACACATAAAATTAACCATCACAATGTAATTCTATGACGTGAGAAAATTGCCTTTAAACAGAAAGTTAAAAACTTGCCTTGAGGTAGAAATTTCATCATATATACGGGGTGTCCGTGTATGTGTATAATATATAGTCAAATTTATTTCTCAAGATTAAAATATCAATTGCTTAATATACTTTTCAAAAATTCCCCTCAAATCATACTATACAACTTGCACTTTTTGGGAAGCTCTTCTTGCTTAACACTTATATATTTAGATCACTCCTGAACTGTGCATTCAGCTCATAAGAAATCAGTATGCATTTGTTGATTCATGTATACCCATGTGTCTGTCTCCTAACTAGACCCTTCAAGGGTAAGAATAAGCCGCTTAGTTTTCCTTTATTCAGAGTGCCTAGGATAGGGCTCTAAGTACAAAAGGACTTCACATGTAGATGTACTCTGTCATGATTTATATATTTTCCAGTTTACTAATAGACCAATGTTTCTTCTCCTCTGAGCAATTTCTTTCCCTATACTCTATTTAGTCTCATGATTTTTAAGAAGTGACATTTGCAATTGCTTAAATAATTCCTGTCAATAGTCTAAGTTGTTCAAAAGATGAGTTGAACTTTAGGTGATATTATTTTCTGGAGAGAACTTTAGTCTCATTTGATACCATACCCCAAGAAAAATATGCCGTGCCATTTCAGACAGATTTTAAACTTCCTGTTTATCCCTCCTCCAGTGTGCCAGCTCCTCTGCAGAATGAACTGTCTCCAAATCGCTGAGACTGTAATTTCCATGACAGTGTCGTCCATCTCATTTCTTGCCTGTCCTTTCAGTTTTATGAAGGTTAGAGACATTCTTCCTGGGTGTTTGTCAAATTGTTTATCTAGTCTGGAACCAGCTCCCCATGCTCTGCTCAGAATATTTTATGCAGATGCCCCCTTCCCTTGTTGCTGGGTGCATCTGAAAGCCTGCAGTCACCGAGTCAGGGAGAGAAACATCTATGATGACTGTTCATTTGCTTTTAACCATATTCATTCATGTCAATGTCTGCTACTTACTGGTTGGGCTCAGAATATATGCTGCATCAACAGGATGGGGCACTTTCTGTTTGGTTACGAGTCTGCTGTATTTTTCTGTCTCACTCCAGTTCAATGCACACAGTGGCTCTGAGGTTCCACTTCATCAGTATTCAAACCTGTTGTTCCCATAAGGAGGACATACATACATTCACGAATTTCCTTTCTCTCTCTCTCTCTCTCCTCACTTCCTGGAAGACGTTTTGTAAAAATGAAATATTGTTTCTTATACTGAACCTCTCCAAATATTTAATGGAAAGGGGTTTACGTAGTCATTCGCTGATTCATGCACTTAACAAAGGGTTATTGAGCATGAACGTGTACTAGGCATTTTGTCTGTTACTAGAAACAAAAAGGGAAATAACACAATATTTTTGCCTTTGAAGAAGTTGAAGGGTTTTGTTTGGGGGAGACAAACATTGTAACAAAATAATGAGTTGTCTAGTTAGGACAGGAGCTTGCCATTTTTTTGAAAGCTTTTGGCTAGAAAGAATAAACTTGAATTTCAAAGTTGGTGGCAATTCTTCCATTTTTGTAGGGGAGAGATTTGACTTCTCTGAAAGTAATTATTCTCTTGTGTTTTGATAAGTGTTAATAATGTCTTTATGTGATTTGGATATGCAAAGGTGAAACTGTGATACTATTCCAGAATGGTAAGGATCTGGGCTAAAACTTTCTCATAAATGGTGGACAATTATCTTCACTGTAGGTGGAGCTGCATTCCTGCAAAATATCCTGGTGGGAAGCCTAGCCCTTGATTGGAGTAAGAAGAAGATTGAGATTTTTCCTTTCTGTTGGGTATCAAGAATAGATTTCCTTATAGGGGACCATATTTACAGTCGTATTTCAGATTAAGTTTTTTGTTATTGTATTTTCATTGTTTTTGTTTTTGTTTTTCTGAACTTTAATTCCTCTGTTGCCCTAAGCTTCAGTCAAGTTTTTACTTTTTATAGATGTTAAAAAACTTTGGGAAGTTAGAAAGCAGAATTATGTTATCATTTTGGGTAAAACAGAATGTGAAGAGCAACAGCAACTCATTATGCAATGAGAGGCTGTGATTGCAGGAGCTGAGCACCAGTTAGGTGCCAATCTGTCCTATGAGGTTATGGATGAAAATCAGACTGAGTCTGTGTAACATGAAATTCTTCCTCACAGATGCCCAGAGATATCAGGGAAAGAAAAACAGTAAAGGACTGGACTTCTTGCAGCCACATGGTATGAGTTCTCAGATTATTGCTGTTTGGGAAATGAAAGAAAAGGCAACCACTTCAGAGAAGGGTTCAGAACATTTTGGTATGGTACATTTAAGGGCCCTCCAATGACATTGCATCTCAATCCTAAATATATTACAACAAAAAGACTTTTTGATGCATTTCTTGAGGCTAATGCAAATAAATGTAACCCCTAAAGGCCAAAACAAGCATAGTTGTTTTGAAACACAGTGAGTTAAAACTACAATGAGCTATGAGCAGTGACAAAGAGCAAGCACTAGAATAATCCTGTGTGAAATTTTAAACTAGATTGTAAGTTTGAGATTTTTCAAAATACTTAGGGAGTAGAAATTCAAGCTTCATATCTGCATGAAGGCTAGCTTGTGGTTACCAATATTCAGAGAATATTTTGTTTCCTTTGTTCAGGGCTCAAGTTCAAGATGGACAATTTTATAAATAGTCTCCTGGGTAGGTTTGTTTATTGTTTAACTTATACTGAGGGCATAGAACATTAGAGTCTTAGTTTTATGTGGTGTGGAAAGTTCAAGTTCCTTTTAGACTTCCCAAATGGGGTAGATGCTCAGTTGGGGTTCTGTGTAGCCCTTGTGTGTGCTTCCATGGCCTGATAACTAAAATTGAAGTCCATCCAATTTGATAAATTTTCTCAATGTAAAAGACAGTTTGTTTCTCTGTTTTCTTCTCTGGATTCTATTTTATTTTTTACCTCTAGTAATTTTTTTTTTTTTAACTTCATTATTAATTCAGTGATGCATTTAAAAAAATTATATTGAGTTAGAAAGTGATGCATTTTTTAAAAAGACATAATTTGCATATTACTAAGCATTTTAATTGTTTCTAGGGATGCTTTATTCAGGGTATCAAGTTTACTTCAAAACAGATAAGATGGGAGAAGAAATATGTGATAAATAAGAAATAAAGTAAAATAATTGAATAAGGACAAAATATTTTCATAATCATGTTATGTACAAATAATCAAAATTGCATTTAAGACAGAGCATTTCAAAACTGATTTAAGAGAAAGTCTAGATATAGTCTTCTTTCTAGATATACATTTAAAACATAAGAAACAATAAATAAAATAAAATAATAGAAAAATATATGCCAATTAAATACAAACCAAAAATAATTTGGAGGGTGTATTAACAATATACAAGATGAATAGAGTTATTAAAAATAAAGACAGTTGCTACATTACATTAAATAAAAGATTCAGCTCACCTGAAAATACACCTAACTTGAACGTATTTAATAAAATAACCTCAAAATACGTAAGGTAAAAAATTGATGAAACAATAAGGAGAAGTTGACTAGTTCACAATCAGTGTTGGAGCTTTTAATACACTGCTTTTTAATGACAGTGAGATAAATCAGATAAGAATAGTTGAATATTTAAATATAGCATAATTGAATATTTAGACAATAACATTAGTAAACTTGATTTCATGGGCATATCTAAAATCTCACATGTAATAGATGCAAAAGACATAGTCTCCTTAAACGCGTACGAAATATGTAAAATAGTTAACTAGGTATTAGGCCGTAAGGCAAATTTTGACAAATATAAAAGAATTAGCCGTAAGAATCACAGTCTCTGACAACAACGCAATTAAGTTAGAAATGAATAACAAAAAAGGCAAGTTAAACGCTCCTATGTTTGGAAATTGCAAAACATTTCTAATTAACTTTTAGGTCAAAGAATAAATCATATTATAAATTAAATTACAAAAACTAAATAATAAAAACACTACATATGCAAAAATTATAGAATAAAATAGAAGTGGCACTTCAAATTACATATGTAAACTTCAATACTTACGAAGAAAGATGGCAGAAAATGAATGTGCTCAGTCTTAAGAGGTTAGGAAAATAATGCAGAATATAGCCAATGAAAATAGAATAAAGGATACAATAAAGTTAAGTTCAGAAATCAATGAAATAAAAAACATACATAATACAGATGGAAACAAATCATAATATAAACCTCTGGCATTAGTGATTAATGAAAACTATTTCTACAAGAGTTTCACCAAATTGTCAAGGAGTGGGTAATTTCTGATTTATGCAAAAATTATCTTCAGAGGCTGAAAAAAAAAAAAGAGAACACACCAAAAGTCATTTCATGAGACCAGATAACCCTGAAATAAAAACCAGTTAAAAAAGCAAAAGATTGGAAAATTATAGGGTCAGTCTTATCATGAAAATAGGTGCAAAACTGAATACTTGGAAAATAGATCTGAAAATCTTAAACAAAATATGATTACATTCAATTCAGAAGTGTATAAAAATAAAGAAGACAAATCCACATTATTCAGTGTGCTTACCCTAGGAACAATATTAAATGAGAATGTCTAAAAATATACTTCACCGAATTAATTGATTAAAAGACCAAAGGTGGCAATTTAAAAATCTAGCAAACATTTATGAAAAAAATTAGAACAAAGTAAAAGACATAACATCCTAGGTGTAGAAGTAAACTTTCTTAACCTAGTAAAGGGTGTTTTTAAAAAACTCAATAAAAATGACTTCATTTTTAAGGTTGGAGCATTAGAAGTCTACTCTAAAATTTCAGAAATCAAATATAGGTCAATATTTTACTAGAGTTTCTAGCCAGCAAAATAAGACAAGAATTAACACATAAAACATATAAACATTTGAAATAAAGAGGAAAGTTTTAGTAAAGATTAAAGTTTTTAGTAAGCTTTTAATAAAAACTAAAGTTTTAGTCTTTACAAATGATATGCCACAGCAAGTTTAAAATAATCTACAAATAAATTGTGGGAATCAATAAAAGAGTTTATTAAGCTGGCTGGATATAAAATGAGTACATAAAATTAACAGTGGACTTCTAAATTTACCAAAATCAAGCAGGCAGAAAAAGTCATCATTTATATTATATTAATAAGATTTTGACAAATAGACCAATGTAACTGGAAAAGCCCAGATATAAAACAACACACATATCAAAGTTGACTTATGACAAAATTAGTGCTTTGTAACAGTCAAGAAAGGACCATCTTTTCAGTAGATTGCCACGTGAAGACAAGAATGTGGACAAGTGAGAATTCTTATACACTTTGGATGATAGTACAAATCATTTAACATATATCAGGAAACTATTTGTATTATCTTTAAAATTTATTTTAAAATAATAATTGAACCTCTATCTTATATTAGGTACTATTCTAGTTACTTGTGAATATAAATTAAAAAAATAGGAAAAAAAATATGCCTTCATGTAGGTTCCATTCTAATGAACATCCTCATAGTCTATGTCTTGGAAATTTCATTCTGCAACAATGTTTTAACATGAAGATTCTCCTAAGAATTAAGCCTACATTCCTTAAGGCACCAGCAAACATAACCAATTAATTTTTCTATGCATTTAGAATGATACTAGTTATGTACCATCATTGGGGAAATTGGAAAAATAACAATTTCCATCATTTTCTGTGTTCTGTGGTGCATATGAGGAATTCCAGTTGAGAAAGCCTACAAGAAACTATATCACATGTGCATTAGGATCAAGGTCCAAGAATGTTCATGGTAGAGTTGTCAAATTTAGCAAATAAAAATGCAAAGCATCCAGTTAATTTTGAATTTTTGATAAACAGTAAGTTTTAGTATTAATATACTTTGATGAAATATTTGTGTTTTACCTGGCAACCCTATTTATAGAAACATGATTTATTAGATATGCTAACACACTGTCTCTCCAACAACAACAAGAAGCCAGCAATTAAAGAAATTACATTTCACTGTATTGACAGGGAAGCTGCTCATGAACTAGGAACCTCAGCATACAAGTGCTTAGGAATAGGAACAATCAGACTAACCACAGAGAATTGCTATAAGGAAAAAAAAAAAGAGAGAATAAAAATATTTCAACTGATGAAACTTCCCCTAAAAACCAACCATGTAACAGAAGAGAACTTTGAGATATTATCCTAACTGGATATATTGGATATATCCAATTTGGAATAACATCCAGTTTGAGTATATCCTCAAGCAACCGTTGTAGGAAATAAGAAAACATGCCTACTGTACCAGAGTTAAACCAGAGAAGCAGAATATGTACATATAAAACAAGGAATTGGCTTAAGCAATTGCAGTGGCTGGCTAAGCGAGACTCAAGCCTATAGAACGGTCCATCAGGAAATGAAGAGCAGAAGCAGATTAGAATTTCGGGGACACAGGCTAAAATTTTTGTCTAACAGTGAGGATTTCTTATCTCTTGGAAAAGCCTCAATCTCATGGTTCGTTCTCTACTTTTAAGGGCTTCCAAATGATTAAGTCAGCTTCACTTGGGAGAATCTCAAAGTCCACCAATTAGGAATTTTCATCACTTCTCCAAAATCTCTTTACAGGAGTAAGTAGATTGATTGACTAATCCGCAACTATAGCCTCAACAAGATAACACATCAAAAAGCCATCATAGTCCTCCCCTTGTCAAATTGGCACCCACAGAACACCTCTCTTTAACCATACTTAATGTCCAAATAAAGGTAGCAACAAAATTACGCATCTTCTTAATATAACGCGAGTATCTTGCATGCAATTCAAAACTCACTAACCTTTTCCTTAGAAAAAGATATCAAGTCCTTGAGTAACACTGGCTCTTCTTTAAGATGCTGTAACTTAAATACTGAAAAAAAAACTACTATTAAAACATTTTATGTTTGTTAAAAAAGGGAAAATGCTGAAAATATTTGGTTAATATATGTGCAAACATAATTCATATGAGAAGAGAAAATATGCATAACTGTTACTGTCCTCATTTTGCAATGCAGTTGCAGCTTGTATTTATAACTACCTTCTTTGCTGAGGCAAAGAACCTCAGAGGTTCAGGATTTGTTCTCTGGTGGGGTGATCCAAATTTTTATTCCTGAGGGGCCTGGCTATTAGCAATCCTGCCTGAATTGGGTTGTGATTTTTCATTGACCTTAATTACAGGACATAGAAATACTAAGAGGCATTCTAAGGGATTTGCTGTATTCAAGACATACTCCTCCTTTATCCCATTCTGTAATAACAACACAATTTCTCCTTGATAGTTAAAATCGATCACCCCCAAAAGTAACCTTCGTTGCTTATTGATTCAGAGATAGGAGAAGCCCAAAGTTTTCAGATGGCAGTCTCAATTTCATAGACTCATTGTGTCGTCCCTAGATAGATGCATTCTTTCATTTGGAGCTAAGACCTCTACACCAGCAAAGATGAAGGTCACAAGAACTGGAAACACAAATTTGCTGGTAGATCACTAGAGGTAATAGTGAGAGGAGCCACTCCAAATTCCATAAATTGACTTTTGAACCTGTAAATTGTGGATATGGGAGAAAATGCATCATATATTGGATGACAATTTGTAGTATATATTTCATCTGAGATGACACTGCCCCAGTCCTGCAAAGTATTGCCCTCTACTAGGCACCATAGCTGAGTCTTCAAAAGGCCATTCTACCATACTCTCATACCAACTTCTTCAGGATGATGAGGAACATGGTAAGAAGAGTGAATTTTATGACCACGAGTCTATTGCCACACTTTATTTGCTATAAAATAAATTTACTGGTTAGAAGCAGTGCTGTGTGGAACACCATAATGGTGGAAAGGCAGTCTGTAAGTCCACAGGTAATAGTTTTGGCTGATGCATTGTGGGTAGAGTAGGCAAATATCTATCTAGAGCAAGTTCTAGTAAGAGCAAAGTGCTACCCCTTCCATGATGGAAGTGGTCCAATGCAATCAATTCTCCATCAGGTAGCTCGCTGAACACCCTAGGAAATGATGCCATATCAGGAACTCAGTGTGGTCTCCGATGCTGGTAGATTGGACACTCAGCAGTGGCTGTAGCCAGGTGGCTTGGTAAATGAGGGTCCATATTACTGAGCCCATGTATAACCTTCATTGCTGCTACCATGTCCACTTTCTTTATGAGCACTTTGGACGAGGACAGGAGTGCCTGGGAAAAGATGCTGCTTATGATTCATAGAATGAGCCATTCTATCCAGTTGATTATTAAAATCCTTCTCTGCTATGTCACTCTTAAGTGAGCATTCACATAAAACACGAAAATCTTTACATTATTTGCCTACTCAGAGAGGTCTGTCTACATAGCTCTTTCCCAGAGCTATGTATCCCTTGTCATCAATTTTGTTGTTGTTGTTGTTTGTTTTTGAGACAGAATCTGTCTCTGTCACCCAGGCTGGAGTGTAATGGCGTGATCTCAGCTGACTGCAACCTCTGCCTCCTGGGTTCAAGCGATTGTCCTGCCTCAGCCTCCCGAGTAGCTGGGATTACAGCCATGCATCACCACACCTGACTAATTTTTGTACTTTTAGTAGAGATGGGGTTTCACCATCTTGGTCAGGCTGGTCTCCAACTCTTGACCTTGTGATCCGCCCACCTTGGCCTCCCAAAGTGCTGGGATTACAGGCGTGAGCCACCCCACCCAGCCATCATCGATTTTTTAATCATGATCCTGGCAAGGGCCTGATCAACCAGCAAAATCACTGGCCACAGTCCATGAAATTGTATAGATTAATAACAGGTGATTTCTTCTCCTAAGACAGATAAACAATCATGTGCACTGCATGAAGTGCTGCCCAGTGGGAGGATTTCCTTTCTCATTGTCCTTCGGTATAGCCTAGACAGGGGCTAGGATTGTCTACTTTCAGCTAAGTGCTTGCATATCATACAGAACTACCAGTAAACCAGGCCTAAGTTATTTTCCTCCTTAGTAAGCTTGTTATACAGGACTGCCCATTACAGCACAGGTGCAGGCTGACAGAGAGAAAGTCTTGTGTAGTGGGATTCGGGCATTGACATTTGGGCCATTTCCTCATGAAATTTACTTGTGCATTTAGGGTCTGCTCCAGTTCTCTGTCATCTATACCAGTTTCATTTGACAATGGAATTTGGATGTGCACACCCAGTCATATGATTTGGTGGGTCAGACAATACCCAGTTCATGATGGGAAGCCAAAGTTGCATGATAACTTAGTGGTCCATGGTTAACTGTTCAGTTTCCACTAAGGGCCAGTAACAGGCCAAAAGCTATTTCTTGAAAAGAAGAGTAGCTATTCACACATGACATGGCTTTGCTCCAAAATCCTAAAGGTCAGTGTCATAATTCACTTATATAGGGGTGCCAACCGTCCAAACAGCATTGCTATTTGCCAGTGACACTTCAAGCACCATTATATCTCCTGGATCATATGTCTCAAGTGTCAGCGTCACTTGCATGGCAGGCTAGGCCTGTTGAATAGTCTTCTGTTGTTCTGGGCCCTCTTCAAAACTAGTACCTCTCAAGTCTCTTAGTAAATGGGTCACAATGGTACATCCGAATGGGATGTACCCCAAATCCAAAGAGGCCCACTGCAAGAGGAGCCAGATGTACCAATTAATCAATCACCCTGGAAGAAATATTTTGACATGGTCCCTATAATTGGACCATTAGAAGTTTTACTGAGCTGAAATGTTTCTGAATTCTTGTGGGAATGGATATTAGGAGAATAGGATTAAGGTAATTTGTTATGCAGTAGTGGAAAACTAATGTGTCTAGATTCAGAACTTCAAAAACTAAGAAATATTAACAAAAACAGGGTGAGGTGCAATGAGAGTTGATCAAACTCAAACAAATAAAAACAAAACAGAAAAAGCAGATATATTCTCACTTGGATTTGGCAGAGGAAAAATAATACAATAAAAGAAAACAAATATTTATTATAATTCAGGAAAATATTGAAATAAGGCAAAAATCACAATGCACATATTAACAAGAGCCCATTAAGTATCAGAGAAAATTGACACAGAATAGTCAACTCTAGGACATATTTTAGTAAACCATTAGATGAAAAAAGACAATTTGATTAGCACCAGAATCTTGAAACAAGAGCAGCACTTAATATAAGGCAACTGTGGTAAACATTTTCAAGAATCTCAAGGAAAGAAAATATGAACCACAATTTTATATGCAGCTAATTTATTCTTTAGAACTCAATGATATGGATAAACAATTTTAAGCATAGAACAACTCAGAGAATACTATATTCAGGAACACTTCATACAACCAAGATACTAAAGGATGAGATTCATTTACCAAGGGATGAAAGCAAGAATGTGAAATGATGAGCATTTGTCATCTGTAACTATGGATTCAAAATTAAAACAAAGGTGAAGACAGGTTTAAAATCATAATATATAAATATTACATGTTATGACAAAATAGAAATATAACTAAAAATATGAGTAGAAGGGAAATAAAGGATAAAATAGAATAAAATAACTTATTATAAAGTTGATGGACAGGAGTCAAAGAATACTATATATGAAAAAACAGTTAGTAAAATACTGAATAAGAAAAAAAAAGGAGGTGGACTAGAGCCACTAGAAAATGTACAGATATAATTATAAACACTAGAATTAAAACATAAACCTTCAATACCCAAAAAAGAGAGAGATAGAAAGACAGCAGAGAAAACATACCACTTAGAAACATAGTAAATGTAGTATAATATACACAGTAATTAAAATATAAAATAATGGCAAGATTTGAGAACAAATGTATTAACATCATTAATAAAACTAAATGGACTTTACTGTCATAATAAAAACAAAAAGGTTTAAAAACTGACAAGTAGAGAAAAACCAAATTTATATTGTATAGAGGCAGCCCTGAAATAAAGTGATTCATAATGACAAAAATTAAAGGGATGTGCAAAGATATGTCAGACAAATGGGGAAAAATGAAAGCAGATTTCATGACACTGTTATCAGACAAAACAGACTACAGGTCAAAAAGCACAAATTGAAATAAAGTAGAACATTCTAAATGCTAAAAATAATGATTTTCAGTGAAGATATTATACTTATGAATATTTCTGCACCAATAAAATGCCAATGACCTAAAGCAGAAACTCCACACTACTTAAGGAGAAATCAATGGAAACATATTAATAAAAGGGGACTTGAACACCACTGTCAGTCTATGACAGGTCAAATGGATAAAATAAAAAATCCCTAAGGATACTGAAGATACAAATGATATAATCAATCTAGACTAACATTGAGGATGTGTGTATGTGTATGTGTTTGTGTGTGTGTGTGTGTGTAAAACACTGTAAAAACAGGGAACATATCATACACCTTCTCAGTTGTATATAAAACAGTGACAAAAATTGATCATGAAAATCATTAATTTTCATAAAATAAAAACATTGCAAATGACAATGTCTAATCACAATATAGCAAGAAAAGAAATCAAAAATATTAAGTTTAAGAAGAAGAGCTTTATATGGTAAGTTAAAGTTAATTAAAAACTAGATTAAAAGGAAAATACAAATTACAAATTACAAAATATTGTTAAAATAATGATGAAAATATTACAAAACAGAATTTATAAATTTAAAGCTGTGATTAGAGGAAAATTCACAGACTTAAGCACCTATATAAATGCAAATAAAACAATACAAATAAAAAATTAAATTTCCAACTCATGAATCTAGAAAGTCTAGAACAACATAGTAAATTAAGAGAAAGTACCAAAAAAGTAATGAAACAAACTGGTGAAGTAGAAAACAGGACAACGGAAGAACAAATCAATAAATCAAAATCTTGTTTCTTTGAAAAAATGGACAAAATAGACAAACCACTAGTCCATGTAGTCAAGATACAAGGGAGAATACACAAATAGAGACAACAAGAAATGATAAAAGAGAAATAACTATTGGTACAAAGGAAATTGGTAAAAAACATTATCAGTTAGTTTTATACAATTGTATACAAATAAATTTGAATACCAAAATAGCATAGATAATTTCCTAGGAAAATATATCAAACAAAATTGACTATATTAGAGTCAGAAAACTTAAAACTCCTTTTGCCACAGAAGAAATTGAAAACATTATCAAGAGTTAGGCCACCAAAAAGAAAACAAAACAAGACATAAACAAAATCACCAGGCTCAGGTTATTTCAGGGGAAATTCTGTCAAGCCTTTAGAGACCAGATTACTCCAGTGTTAAATAAATTATTTCAAAGCGTAGAAAATTAAACAAGAAACTCTTATATTCATTTATGAAGCAACTGTAACATTTATATACTTAAACTGGATAAATATAGCTAAATAAATAAAATTCCAGAATTATACAACTTATGAAATTGATGAAAAAATTTAAATAATGTATTAGCCAGCAAACTCCAACACCAAATTGTAAAAAATAATATACTATAGCTAAGTGAAATTTAAATAAAAAATGCAAACATGGTTCATCATAAGGAAACGTACTCTATAACATATCATCTTAATACAGCTAAAGTAAACAAAAAATCAAAATTATCTTCTGTAGATGCTGAAAAAGCCTTAGAATAATTCAATATATTTATTATAAAAACACTGTGAACATAGAAATGGATAGATACCTTTTAAATCCCAAAGCCAACATTGTACATATGGGAAAAATTAGAAGCATTCCCACTTAGGCCAGGAAAAAGGCAAGGATGTCCACTAACCTTATTATTATTTAAGAGTATATTGAGGGGATTAGCCAATGCAAGTGGAAAAGAGAGAACACTAGAGGCATAAGAACTGCAAAAGAAAGAGGGCTGCCTCTATTTGCAGATGACTTGACATTACTGGGGAGTGGGGGTAGAGGAAACACAAAACTAGACCTTGAGAATCAGTGGCAAAGCTAATCCAAACAAATAGCAAAAAAAAAGAACTGAGCAAAATATAAAGATATAAATTTACATGTAAAATCAATAGCTAATAAGAAAATATATTGGAAGGAAAAAAACCTCATTTATAGTAGCATCAACAAGAAAAGTTGAAATGCTTAAATATGCACTTAACAAAAAATGTTCAAAACCTTTATTAAGAAAATTTAAAACACTCCTATATACACAAATGGAGAAATATCCCTTATTCTTCGACAGACTATCTCAGCATTATCAGGAGGTCAGTTCTCTTTAAGTTAATTTATAAGTCTAAGGTGATCTCAATATGAAACACCACAAGTTTTTATGATGCTAGAAAACTGAATTAAAGTTTATATGAAAAATAAATACACAGGGATATCTGGGGAAAACCTGGAAAGGAGGAATGATCAGATATTAAAACATTATACAAAGTCCTAATTTAAACAGTATAGTACTACTGGTACCTCAATAAGTAATTAATAAAATAGAATAGAGAGAGAGTTCATAAATAGACTCAAGTGATAAAGGCAGCATTCCAAATCACTAGGGCAAAGTTGAAACTTCTTCATAAATGTTTTGGGACAATTTAATAGTCATTTGAAAGACATGATAAAGAAATAAACAACTATTTATCACACTATATATACACAGAAATCAGCTCTTAAAGGATTAGAAACTTTAACTTAAATGAAACTATAAATATGCTAAAAGTTAACATGGTTGAATTTCTTTATGACTTGAGCATAGAGAGGGCATTCTAATTAGGACTTAGAGTTCAGGTGCAACTCAAGAAAAGATTAATAAATTTGACTATAAAAACTGAACATCTTTTGCATGGCAGACAACACTATAAGTAATGTCAGAAGGCAAATTACAAACTAGGAGAACACACTTGCAACATTTATTATGGAAATAGGGCTAATATCTATTATATATAATAGACATAGGGCCTATCTCTAGTGTCTATAGGGCCTCATTTATGCCTTTAAATTTCAGCCATTTTAGTGTTATAATTATTTACAAGTCTAGTTTCTCAAGAATACAGCCTCTTCATCCCCAGCAGAGTGCACAATGCTTTACCCAAGCAATTGTTTCATAAATGCTTGTTGAATAGTCATTGTAAATATTTGCATAGCACTCTACAGTTTATAGCACACTGTCATATACAAAGTCATATGAGTTCATGAGGCAAATCTCATAAGTTTTGGTAAGTTTCCTTTTGAGGAGAAACAGGATATTTTACAGCAAAGTTTTCCTGTGACAGTGTAGTTTCTTCCAAACTTTTGGGAACATTGGGTGGCTACTGCTGCTATTCCATTCCCACATCCCCATGCTCTACTTTCCTTCGTACCACTCAGCAATGCAGTATTACAGAAAGAATTGGTTTTGAAGAGGGAGTTCAATGAACATATAATTGTCAATTATTATTAGGAAAGTAGCTAACATAGCTGCTATGTGACAGACCTCCTTCTAAGTGTCTTAAATATATTAACTCATTTACTTTCTCATCAGCCTTATAAAGGCCATACTCTTATATGTCCATTTTTTTATGGAGAGGGGAACTGAGGCCAAGGAAGGCTAAGAAACTTGCCCAAGGGCACAGCTAATAAACTATAGAATTGGAGTCTTTTCAATGTTTTCTGGTTGTAGAGCCCTCTTTTCTTTATCCCTGTTACAATGTTTCCCAAATTTCAAATAGTGACTCTGCAGTGAGTTGCAAAATAAGTTCAGGGGTTCCACCCCATATTTAAAATGGCAGAGAAGGGAGATGGAGCAACATGGCAGAATAAAAAGCACCCTCGATTGTTACCCCAGCAAGGACATCAAGTTAACAATTATTTACACAGAAAAAAACACCTTCCTAAAAACCAAAAATTAGGTGAGAACTCATAGTACCTGGTTTTAACTTCATATTGCTGAAAAAGGGACTGAAGAGATAGAAAAAAACAGTCCTGAATTGTGGATGCCACAACTTTCCCACCCCAGGCAGTGGCAGCCTGGTATGGAGAGTATCTCTGGGTGCTGGTTGAGGGAGAACACAGCAACTGTGAGGCACTCAACTCAGTGTTGTCCTGTTAGAACAGAAAGTAAGGCCGGGCGTGGTGGCTCATGCCTGTAATCCCAGCACTTTGGGAGGCCGAGGCAGGCACATCATTAAGTCAAGAGATTGAGAGCTTCCTGGCCAACGTGGTGAAAGCCCGTCTCTACAAAAAATATAAAAATTAGCTGGGTGTGGTGGTGTGTACCTGTAGTCCCAGCTACTCAGGAGGCTGAGGCAGGAGAATCACTTGAACCTGGGAGGCAGAGGTGACAGTGAGCTGAGATCGCTCGACTGCACTCCAGCCTGGTGACAGAGCGAGACTCTGTCTAAAAAAAAGAAAAAAAGAACAGAAAGTAAAGGCAGCATTTAAACTAGCCTTAGCCAGAGGGGAATTGCTGATCCCAGATGTCTGAAATTGAGTGCCCACAAACCTTGCCACAAAGAAAACATCTGCAGTAGTCTGACAGTTCTCCTTGTGGCCTGGGTTGGCAGTGGCTAGGGGGTGAGTCTGCTCTGCCTTTGAAAAGGGGAGGGAAGAGTGGGAAGGAGTGCATCTTGTTTGAGTGCAGTTCAGTAGAATACCAGGTAGACTTCAAAGGTTTTTGACTCTAGTCCCTAACTCCTGAATGGCACTGCTGGACCCATCCAGGACCTGGGGGACCTGAAGAGAAGGACACAGGTCTGGTTGGCTTTGCCACCTGCTGATTGTACAGTCCCACTGCTGAATGTAGCAGTAGCTAAGAAATGGTCACAGCAGGCCTTGGGTGAGACCCAGTGCTATGCTGGCTTCAGGTCTTACTCAATGCAGTAATAGTGGTGGTGGCCACAGGGATGCCTGTGTCAGTTCACCCCTAGCTTTAAGTGGCTCAGAACAGAGAGAGAGAGAGAGAGAGAGAGACCCTGTATGTTTGGTAAGAACAAGAGTCTCTGTCTAGTAATCCAAATAATTCTTCGGATCTTGTCCAAGGTCATAAAGGCAGTACCTTTATGAATTTACAAGAACCATAAAACCAAAACATTATCGAGCTTGGGGTGTCCCCTACAGCAGATACAGCTTAGATCACAGCAGCCAAGACCTTTCAAATATATGGAAAGCCTTCCCAAGAAGGATGGCTACAAATAAGCCCAGACAATGAAGACTGCAAAAAATACTTAACTCTTCAATCCTCAGATACCAAAGAACATCAACTAGCTTCAACACCATCCAGGAAAACATGACCTCACCAAATGAACTAAATAAGGCACTAGGGACCAACCTGGAGAAAGAGATATGTGAACTTTCAGAAAAAGAATTCAAAATAGTTGTATTGAGGAAACTCAAAGAAATTTGAGATAACAGAGAAGGAATTCAGAATCCTATCAGATAAATTTAACAAAGAGATTTAAATAATTAAAAAGAATCAAGCAGAAATTCTGGAGTTGAAAAACGCAATTGGCATACTGAATAATGCATCAGAGTCCTTTAGAACCAGAATTAATCAAGCTGAAAAAAGATTTAATAAACTTGAAAACAAGCTATTTGAAAATATACAGTCAGAGGAGATAAAAGAAACTTAAAAAAAAGAAGCATACCTACAGGATCTAGAAAATAGCCTCAAAGGGGTAAATCTAAGAGTTACTGGCTTTAAAGAGGAGGTAGAAAAAGAGATGGGGGTAGAAAGTTTATTCAAAGGAATAATAACAGAGAACATTCCAAACCTAGAGAAAGATATCGATATCCAAGTACAAGAAGGTTATAGAACACCAAGCAGACTGAACCCAAGGAAGACTACCTCAAGGCATTTAATAATCAAACTCCCAAAGGTCAAGGATAAAGAAAGGATTCTAAAAGCAATAAGAGAAAAGAAACAAATAGCATACAGTGGATCTCTAATAAGTCTGGCAGAAGACTTTTCAGTGGAAACTCCATAGGCCAGGAGAGTGGCATGAAAAATTTGAAGTGTTGAAGGAAAAAAACCTTTTACCCCAGAATACTATATCTAGTGAAAATATCCTTTAAGCATGAAGGAGAAATAAAGACCTTTCTAGACAAACAAAAGCTGAGAGATTTTGCCAACACCAGACCTGTCTTAACAAGCAATGTTAAAGAAAGTACTTCAGTCAGAAAGACATTAATAATCAATAATTAATCACTCGAAGGTAAAAAAAAAGTCACTGGTAATACTAATTACACAGAAAAACACAGAATACTATAACACTGTCACTGTGGTGTATAAATTACACTTATCCTAAGTAGAGAGACTAGACAATGAACCAGTCAAGAATGATAACCACAAGTTTTCAAGACATAGTCAGTTCAATAAGGTACAAATAGAAACAACATAAAGTTAAAAAGTGGGAGGAAAGACTTAAGGCATAGAGTTTTATTAGTTTTATTTTTGCTTGTTTGTTTATGCAAATAGTGTTAAGTTGTTATCAGGTTGAAAAGATGGCTTATAAGATGATATTTGCAAGTCTTATGGTAACCTCAAACCAAAAAACATACAACGGATACACAAAAAATTAAAAGCAAAAAACTAAATCACATCACCAGAGAAAAATCACCTTCATTAGGGGAAGACGAGAAGAAAAATAAGAAGGAATAGAAGACATGAAAACAACAAAATGGCAGGAGTACATTCTTACTTATCAATAATAACATTAAATGTAAATGGACTAAACTGTCCAATCAAAAAACACAGACTAACTGAATGGATGAAAAAACAAGAGCAATTGATCTGTTGCCTACAAGAACACACTTCACCTTAAAGACACACACAGACTGAAAATAAAGAAGTGAAGAAAATAAAGAAATTTCATGCCAGTGGAAACCAAAAAGAAGCAGGAGTCACTATACTTATATCAGACAAAACAGATTTCAAAACAAGCACTATAAGAAGAGACAAAGAAGGCCACTAGGTAATAATAAAGGTGTCAATTTAGCAAGATGACATAACAATTTGAAATATTTGTGCACCCAACACTGGAGCACCCAGATAGATAAAGCAAATATTATTAGAGGTAAAGAGAGAGGCCCCAATACAATAGTAGATGGAGACTTGAATATCCCACTTTCAGCATTAGACATGGAAGATCTCTTCCAGACAGAAAATCAACAAAGAAACATCAGACTTAATCTGCACTATACATCAAATGGATCTAAGAAATATTTACAGAACATTTCATCCAAGAGCTGCAGAACGCACATTCTTTGCCTCAGCACATGGATTATTCTCAAGGATAGACCATATATTAGGTCACAAAACAAGTTGTAAAACATTCAAAAAAGTTGAAATAATATCAAGCATCTTCTCTGACCACAATAGAATAAAACTAGAAATTAATAACAAGAGGAATTTTGGAAACTGTAAAAATATATGAAAATTAAGCAATATGCTCCTGAATGATCAGTGGGTCAGTGAGAAATTAAGAAGAATATTGAAAAATTTCTTGAAATAAGTGATAATGGAAATGCAACATACTGAAACCTAAGGGATACAGCACAAACAGTACTAAGAGGAAAATATTATCTTTCCTCTTTTTTGATATAGGCACTTACAGCTATAAACTATAGCTATAATTGAAAAATCTACTGATGCATCTTAAAAAAAACTAAAGAAGCAAGAGCAAACCAAACCCAAAATTGGTAGAAGAAAATAAATGTGAGGTTCAGAGCAGAAATCAATGAAATTGAAACAAAAAAATTATACAAGATCAATGAAACAAAAAGTTACTTTTTTGAAAACTTAAACAAAATTGACAAACCTTTAGCCAGACTAAGAAAAAAGAGAGAATATCCAAATAAATAAAATCAGAAATGAAAAAGGAAACATTACAACTGACACTGCTGAGATTCAAATAATCATTAGTACTATGAGCAGCTATATGCCAATAAATTGGAAAATCTAGAAGAAATTGAAACATTTCTACCAACATACAGCCTACCAAGAGTTATCTGTGAGGAAATCTAAAACCTGAAGAGACCAATAACAATTAATGAGATCAAAGCCATAGCAAAATGTCTCCCAGGAAAGAAAAGCCTGGAGACCTGATGGCTTCACTGTTGAATTCTACCAAATATTTAAAGAAGAACAAATACCAGTTCTACTCAAACTATTTCAAAAAACAGAGGAGGAGATAATACTTTCAAACTTTTCTATAAGGCCAGTATTACCCTGAATACAAAAACCAGACAAAGACACATTAAAAACAAACAAAAAAAACTATAGGCCAATATCTCTGACGAATATTGATGCAAAAAATTCTTAACAAAATATTAGCAAACTGAGTTCAACAATACTTTAGAAAGATAATTCATCATGACCAAGTGGGATTTATCCCTGGGATGCAAGGATGGTTCAACATATGCAAATCAGTCAATGTGATACATTATATCAACAGAATGGAAAAAAAGCATATGATCATTTCAATTAATGCTGAAAAGGCATCAGATAAATTTTAAAGCATCAGATAAATGTTATCCTTCATGATAAAAACCCTAACAAATACTGGGGATAGAGGGACCATACCTCAACATAATAAAAGCCATCTATGACATACCCATATTTCGTATCATACTGAATGCAGAAAAACGTAAAGCCTTTCCTCTAATATCTGAAACATGACAAGGATACACACTGTCACCTCTGTTATTCAGCATAGTACTGGAAGTCCTAGCTAGAGCAATCAGAGAAGAGAAAGATATAAAGGGCACTGAAATTGGAAAAGAAAAAGTCAAATTTTCCTTGTTTACATATGATATGATTTTATATTTGGAAAAAACTTAGACTCCACAAGAAATAAATCTATTAGAACTGATAAACAAATTCAGTAAAATTGCAGGATACAAAATCAGCATACAACAGTCAGTAGCATTTCTATATGCCAACAGAGAACAATGTGAAAAAGAAATAAAAAAATAAGGAATCCCATTTACCCGTTAATAATAGCCACATATAAAATTTAATACCTAGGAATTCACCTAACTAAAAAAACAAAAGATCTCTGTAGTGAAAACCACAAAACCTTGATGAAAATAATTGGAGGACATCAAGAAATGTCATTGGTATAATTGTTATTCTTTCAACCCAGAAACATTCCATGTTCATGGGTTGAAAAAATTAATATTGTTAAAATGTCTATGCTACCTAAGAAAGCTATAGATTTAATGCAACCCCTATCAAAATACCAATGACATTCTTTACAGAAATAGAAAAAAAAATCCTAAAATGTATGTGGAACCACAAAAGATCCAGAATAGCCAAAGATATCCTGAGTAAAAAAACAAGAAAAACAAACAACAACAAAAAATCCTAAAATGTATATGGAGCCACAAAAGATCTGGAATAGCCAAAGCTATCCTGAGCAGAAAAACAAGAACAACAAACAAACTAACTAAAAAACAACACCCCCCCTCTTCCCTTCCAAAGAAAACTGGAGAAATCACATTACCTGACTTCAAATTCTACTACAGAGCTATAGTGACCAAAACAGCATGGTACTGGCATAAAAATAGACACACAGCCCAATAGAACAGAATTCAGAACCCAGAAACAAATCCACACACCTATAGTGAACTCATTTTTGACAAAGATGCCAAGAACATACATTGGGGAAAAGACAGTCTCTTCAATAAATGGGACTGGGAAAACTAGATATTCATATGCAGACGAATAAAACTAGATCCCTCTCACCATATACAAAAATCAAATCAAAATTGATTAAACATTTACATTTAAGACCTCAAACTATGAAAATAATACTATAAAACATCAAGGAAACTATCCAGGTCATTGGTCTGTGCAAAGATTTCTTGAGCAGTACACCACAAGCACAGGTAACCAAAGCAAAAATAAACAAATGAGATCACATCAAGTTAAAAAAGTTTCTGCACAGCAAAGGAAACAATCAACAAAATGAAGAGACTACTCACAGAATGGGAGAAAATATTTGCAAACTACTTCTCTGACAAGGGATTAATAACCAGAATATATACGGAGTTCAAATATCTCTAAAGGGAAAAATCTCACAATCTAATAAAAAATGGGCAAAAGATCTGCACAGACATTTCTCTTCCTTTTTTTAGACAGAGTCTCGCTCTGTCACCCAGGCTGGAGTGCAGTGGTGCAACCTCAGCTCACTGCAACCTCTGCCTCCTGGGTTCAAGCGATGATCCTGCCTTAGCCTCCTGAGTAGCTGAGATTACAGGCATGCAACACTACAACCAGCTAATTTTTGTATTTTTAGTAGAGATGGGTTTTGGCCATGTTGGCCAGGCTGTTCTCGAATGCCTGACCTCAGGTGATCTGCCTGCCTTGGCCTCCCAAAGTGCTAGGATTACAGGTGTGAGCCTCATTTCTTAAAAGAAGGCACACAAATGGCAAATAGGCATGTGAAAAGCTGCTCAACACCATTGATCATCAGAAATGCAAATTAAAACTACAATGAAATAATCATATTGCTCTAGTTAAAATGGCTTATGTTTAAAAGACAAGCAATAATAAAAGCTAGTGAGGATATACAGAAAAGAGAACCCTCTTATGCTGTTGGTAGGAATGTAAATTAATACAAACACCATGGAGAACAGTTTGGAGGTTCCTCAGAAAATTAAGAATAGAGTTACCATATGATCCAGCAATCCCACTGCTGTGTATATATCCCAAAGAAAGGAAATCAGATTTCAAAGAGATATCCACACTCCTGCGTTTGTTGTAGCAGTGTTTACAATAGCTAAGATTTGGAAGCAACCTCAGTGTCCATCAACAGGTGAATGGATAAAGAAAATATGGTACATATACTCAATGGAGTACCATTCTGCCATAAAAAAGATGAGCTCCAGTCATTTGCAACATCATGGAGGTCATTATTTTAAGTAAAATATACCAGGCAAAGAAAGACAAACATCACATGTTCTCACTTATTTGTGGGATCTAAAAATCAAAACAATTGAACTCATGGACATAGAGAGTAGAATGATAGTAGTAGCAGATAGAGGCTGGGAAGGGTAGTGGGGGTATAGCGGGGAGGTGGGTATGGTTAATGGGTACAAAAAAAACAGAAAGAATGAATAAGACCTACTATTTGATGGCACAATAGTGTGGCTATAGTCAATAATAACTTAATTGTACATTTTAAAATAACTTGAGGAGTGCAATTGAATTGTTTTAACTCAAAGGATAAATGCTCAAAGGGATGGATACCCCTTTCTCCATAATGTGCTTATTTCACATTGCATGTTTGTATCAAAGCATCTCCTGTACCACATAAATATATATACCTACTATGTACCTGTAAAAATTAAAAAGAAATACTAAAATAAAAAAGCCAGAAACTGTTAAAGGCATTCCACAAAGTAAGGATGATTATTTTTTGAGTGAAACATTTGTTAGAGAAATGTATACACATACATAGTTTCAATATGGTTATGCAGTTTGGGTACTCCACAGAGGCACCCAGCTATGGGTCATGGGAAACAAATACAGCCATCTTCCCATGTGCAGTGTCATGGTCCAGAGGGCCTATGTCTGCAAGAAATGGCATCTTTTTTCTAATTTGCCCATCCAGAGGGAACAACTTCATTGAATATTCAGAAATTATCACATAAGTTAGCAGTGTCTCTGCACACACATATGTGTGTGCTAGATCATGATTTAAAATATCATCCTTATTATGGGCCAAGTGTGAAGACATCTTTTTTAAAAAACTTCCCTACACCATACCACCAACATGAAGTTTTGTGTTTTAAAACAATGACAAAAAGAAGCATGTAAACCTCGTATCATTCATTCCAAAGATAGGGTTTACTAAAGCTGAATGGAAAATAGGAATGAAGCAGATGTTGGCAGGATTTAGAAGCAGTTTCTTTAGCAATTGTCAAGCTCTGATCATAGATATTGGACATAAAACTCTTGAATTGTAAAAATGCTCTTAGGACATAGGTAATTTTCAACATTTGGAACTTAGGGTTTAGCTTAATTACTTTTTAGGGAAGTTCTACTTGAAAATAAAATGTGCTTGAACTTTCTATAATAATAATAATAATAAGGATGAAGAATGCAACAGCTAACAGATACTGAACACTGAAAATGTTAAAAGCACTATTCAGACTGCTTATAACTAGGTCCTCTCACAACAACATTATCAATAGGTCCTCTCGTTATCTTCATTTTGCGTTTGAGGTTACTGAGGCACACAAGAGTTAAAGAGCTCACCCAAGTTCACATAACTAGTTAGGGTTAAACTGAGGAGTTTAACCCAACCACTCTGGCTTTCCAGGTCAAGATATCAACTATTCTTTATTCTGACTCTCAAAACTAATTAAAATAACTAAGGTTATTTTGGTCCCATGACAGCCACTGAAACGGGTAATACTTTTTTCAACTTTCTTAGCTAGATTTTCATGAAATATTTGTCATTACATGGCAAAATTCTAAACAATCCCATCAGTGGTTGCATATCACAGAACTGCTATTCACTCTCTTATCATTAAAAATATGGTGAGGAAAATAGGATGTTATTGTTAAATAATAATGCCAGACTGCTGATCAAGCACAATGTCAGGTATTGCCCTTGGGGGTGCGACATCATAATGTTTGCTACCTCCGCTAAGTACGAGATTGCACTTTCAATAGAGTAAGTCTTTAAGAGGCCAAGGAAAAAGAGTGCTGAGACCTCATGATCTCATTTCAACACATATGCCAGCAAGTGATAAAAACCTGAGAAGTGAAATAGAGAACTATCAGTTGATAAAGAAATAAAATTGTCTCTAAATGCTATGTCTTTCAGAGTTTTTCAGGATACATTCCTGTGTCTGTAAAGACAGCATTTCCTTCTTTAAAGACAGGGTCAGTCAAGGGCAGCCAGTCATTTATCTCTGAGGTGGCAGAAGTCTAAAACTTAAGAACACCCTACTTGAAAATGACAGTCATCTGGAGGCCGCTTTTATGATATCTTCTTCTTTTAAGCTGATAATAGAACACAACTTGGTAAGGGCCACTCCGTGCCATGAATCAAAATGTACTTCACAAAAGTCATTTTCTATTGATGTTTATGTGCCTTTTCCTCATTTATATTGATCAGTGGACATTTGTTTGCCAAGATAAAAGTAAAAGAGATTGCCTGGATGCCCTGTGACATTTTCAAAGGGGAAAATGCATTTTTTCCAGCATTCTATATATGACTGGGTTTCAAAAAGTTGGCCTTACAAATCTACTTTAGAGAGACGTCTGGGATGGAATGAGGAAGAAAATGTTCCCGGGTCATTTCCTGTTTCCCAAGGGTCATTTTTACAAAGTTAAAGTATGTAGCATTTTTTAAAAAATAAAACCAAAACCATATACTTATTGACTTCAGTTAGGTTTTAGGATTTAGATGTTTGTAACCAAACATTGGCACTTACCACACACACAGAATGTTTGAGCTCCAGAAAATCCTTAAAGCTGTGCAACTGTTGTAGATGAAACGATGACTCATAACACATACTGAAGTAAAAGTCCTAATGTGTACACACACACACGTCATCATCTATGCAGATACACATATGTAACTGTCTGTAGAGAAACAGAGAGATATGCAGTGCCCCTTGAAACTGAGTAGAAAATCTGAATGTTGACTTGTTGATTTGGACAAAGTGCTTATTTACATTCAGCTCACAAAAACAAGTGATCAAATCTGTAGCACTAAAAACATTGATATCCATACAACTCTTATATCACAACAAAGTTATTTGCATAAATGATTTATCAAAATAAAATATCTGCTTTAATTTTAAAAAAGGCTACTTTGAGAAAGAAGCTAAAAGTCACAAATTAATGCATTCAGAAATGGAGGCTCAAACCAAATGCCCATTAGCAACAGTTACTGTATTTCGTCTTGACAATAAAATGCATAAGGGCATTGAGGAATTGACCTTTTGTGGTAATACTGTTTGACAACACTTTTTTCCAACTGATCTTAGTGATACTTCAGGTCACATACAAATCTTTTATGACCACCTGAGTTGGCTAGCAATCAAACTCAATTGCCAAATTGAGGAGAACAAGATGCTCTTTTGAAGGTCATCACTAATCTTCTGATTATAGAAATCTATGACCTTTCTTCAGTGTTTATAATTTCTACACTTCCTTAGTTTCTGAAACTAAACTTGGTCATTCTACATGAAGTTCCTATTCTTTTATGTTTCATGATAATGTACTCTTTATCTTAAATAAAATATTCCAACACTTCTTTTTGCTATCTCCTTTTTGTGCTTTTTCCAGCAAAATTGGGATTATTCCAAGATTTAGTCAGTAGTTTTCTCTTCTCTTTCTGTAGTGATTCACATAGTGATTTTATTTATTTGAGTAAACACTCACTTGTGTCATTTGTGCTATAATTTCTGACTCTTAGGCTTGGTTAGCCACAACTGACTTCTAGGAAATGTTGGAAAAGCTAAAATTTAAAGTTCAAGTATATCTATAGAGCCAGGAAATGGCAAGACTTTACAATATTGGAGCAACATGATTTGTTGGCTATTATATATATATATATATAAAATATATATATAATATATATATTATATATAATATATATATACACACACACACACATAAAGGTATATAAAAATATATTAAAAAATATCAAACCTAAGCCATCAGCTGTGGTTTCTTCCCTGAATGCTAATTCTAAATTTTCTAATGTTTTTCTTGATATCACATTAGAATGTCAAATTCAAGATATCACCAGCCAAACTTAGCTGATAATACTCATTGGTGGATTTGCTACCATTCGGACTTTCTCTCTGTGTGTTAGTAGCACCACAACTGTAGAAAGGGAGGCACATATTTGTTCCTGCTTTGGATTGGCTCTTCATTAGGTAAAATTCTTTGGCTAATGATGAATCTATCTGTCCAGCTGTATTTAGGCGTAATCCGTGTTTTTATGTATTTTTTGAATAATCAACACGAGTTCAAATATTCTGAAACTCACTGTTTGCCAGGCTCTCTAGTTCTACTTGGATAGAACATAGATAGTGTGTTTTAGTTTTCCTAACATTTTCTAAAACTCAGTTGTAACAAGTCATAATGCTAGGATACTAGGCACAACCTTAGGATTATTTTTCTGAGGCATCCTTTCCTCGTGCAATACTTTGAATATTATTAATCTACAACACCAGCTATATTTCCAATACTTTAATTTCATCTTTTTAGTGTTCATTAATATTTAAATATCTATGCATTCACTCACTAACTTATCAGAATTCATTTCCTACCTATTTCTTGCCAGGTATCATATTAGTCACTGGGGATACAAATCCAGAAAATGTAATAGTCCTATTCTCAACAATCTTCAGTCTCATAGAATAGTCAAATAAATTAATAAATTGAGTACAATTTGATGGAAATCAAAGTATGTCTGGGGTGATATGTGAGACCAGACAAGTCGAGTGTGTGTCATTAAATAAGTAGGGTAGCAGAAGGGTAAGAAATCCTTTCTAGATAAGAACCCATTGGAGCTGAGTTTGAAAAATTATTAGGATTTAGCACAATTAAAGGGAGTAAGCGATACAAAGGAATTCTTTGTGAAGGCTACAGCATATGCAGGACCCTTGAGACATAAAACATATGGCCACAATTGCTATAAAAGCAAAACCATTTGTTGAAA
This sequence comes from Homo sapiens, assembly GCF_000001405.40. NCBI lineage: Eukaryota > Metazoa > Chordata > Mammalia > Primates > Hominidae > Homo > Homo sapiens. The sequence goes on along the minus strand of NC_000001.11, from coordinate 164,062,535 downwards.
ATTCACAGGAGATAAGTGCAAAGAGGAAGGCTTGAACTAAACTGTGAAGGACCTCATGTTTGGGTGGTGTGCTAAGGAATTTGAACACTATCCTGAAAACTGTGAGGGAACCACTGTATACTTTTAAGCAGAGGAGTGACATGGCTCCCCTAGATAAGCATTTTAGAAAGGCAATTTTGTCAAAATGTGGAGAAAGTGCTGGAAACCGGTAAAACTAAAGGTAGAGAAAATTATTAGGAGAATACAATAACAATCAAGGAAAAATATGTTGGGAGATTGAATTCAGGTTTTGATAGTAAAGTGTAGAGGTAATGACCGATTTGAGAGGCATTTACCTGGCAGAATTACAGGTGCTGGTGAGTAATTTGATTTAGGGGTTGAATGAGTGGGAGAAGGAGAGAAACCTAAGATGAATTCCAGGTTTTTTATTTTCATGATTGGACGTGTAGTTATTTTTTCACTGAGATAAGGCATAGAAGAAGAGGAACAGGTTTTGGAGGAAAGATGATGAATTAAGTTGTGTACCTGTGGAAATTGAAGTTTCTATGAAATATCTACCTAGAAGTGTCATACACGTGTTTGTACTAGTGGTGGTGTTAGCATGTTGGGGGTGGGGCTGCTTGCATCCATGTGCTCATTTGCACCAGCAGTGGTGGCAGTGGGGGGTGTGTGTGGGGGAGGTGGGTTAGGCTCACACTGGCAGCAGTGGCATGGCAGGGTATGTGTGCACCTGTGTCAGTGGGAAAGGGGAGGCAAAGTCTTCCCATGTGTGCCCTGGCAAAATGGTGGGGTGGGCTGTGGGCGAGTGCATGCTAACAAAGTAGCACAGGGAGGCTGTGGTTCGGGGAGGGTCCAGGTGGGGTGGTGCATGTTGGTGGGGGCTGCTCTGCTAGAGCTCTCCGAGTCAGGCATGGTCTGCCAGCAAAGCAGCCATACTGAGGGTCTCCAGGAAGCACCATGATTGGACATCTGAGGGCCTCCAGCCAGTGTGGCCAGGCTGGGACCCCAAGAGAGACCAGTAGACTGAGGGGTGCTCAGATTGGACTGGCCCTCTCTCATGGGCAAGACTGCCCTGGTTTGTCCAGGTCCAACAGTCACCCTGTGGCTAAAGTCTCCTAAAGGAGCATGGTGAGCCTTGGTGTTCACTAACCGTGCCTTGGGCATCGCTAACCATGCCTCACTGCAGACATTTCTGTACCAAACACTATGGGCTTCATACAGGCTGGAGTTCTGCTCTTACCACTTCTCTAAGCAGCTCTCCCTGCCAGCTCCAGTGTCCTTGGGGGTCGTGGAGTCTCCTGCTGCCTGGATTGCCAAAGTTCATGGTGAGAGCTGGCCACTCCTTACCTGTTCAATTCACCCCTTCCCTAGGAGTCGCTGGGGAACAGGAACAAGTCTCAGTGCTCAGTAGCCCTTTGTAGGGTTCCCAGCTCCCACCCCCTTCAGCCCAGTGTCTGGATCCTCCCTCTGTCCACTCTCAATGCCTTTCCTCTGAAGATATGCCCAGAGTGTGTCAGTCTTCCCAATGTCCTGGTCTCTTGGTGACAGATATTTCTCCTGGCTGTGTCTGGTTGGTGATCTTAACTTCTAATGTATTTTTAAATGGTTCAGGAAGAAAGATAATAGATACAGATGAGAAAGAGAGAGAGACAGAGAGAGACATTATAATAAGTCAAATTGTCCATAATGTAAATAATTTGTGAATCTTTTTAAAGAGTGTACAGAAATTCCTTATACTCATCTTGCTACTTTGCTATTTTTCTTCAAGTTTGAAATTATATCAGAATAAAAATACACAAAAATGTACAATATAATATGGACCAATCAGTCACTGATAATGTGTCAAAACATTTTTATTTAGCTTAGGGATGATGCCCCTTTTGTAGCCCTTTCCATTTTTCATAGGGTCAGTTCATTATTTTAACACCTTTCTTTTATTCTCCTACTTTCTCTGTCAGTCTTTTGCATAATCAGGCCATATGGGACAGTGGTTAAGAATGAGGGCTCTAGAGCTAGACCATCTGGTGTGGCTTTGTGACCTTGGAGAAAACACTTAATATCTCAGTTCATTTGTTGTTGTTTAGTCTACAATTAGAAAAAATCAGAGCACCTATATAATAGAATTATTACAAGGTTCTTAAAACTGCCTGGTACAAACTAAACACTTAATAATTTCAGTCCCTTAGGGATGAGCTAAGAGAAGGGTAAAACAAAAAAAAATATTAATAATAATTTCAGTACTCGCTGTGTGGTTTTCTCCTGCCAATTCCTTTCTTTTCTTTTCTTTTTTAAATAACAACTGACTTCAAGAGAGAGCAACTCCTTGGGAATTGTATTGTTTCCAAATTAATTCATATGGTGTGATATGCTATTGAACCTTTATCTTCTTGAGTTGTTCTATGTCATGCTTTCATTTTTTTCGGCATAATGGTAGAATTATTTTAGATGTTAAATATGTTTACTGAGGTAAATGATCTTCTCATGTATTCAGACCCAAATGTTTCTATTACTATATCAATAAGATATAGAATGCTTCAATGCGTTAATGTAGTTTCAACCTAGAAAATCTCATTGGTTTAAATAGGCCAGACAAATATCTATATAAGATTATCCTTCAATAATACCCAAAGTAGAACAATTTCTGCTTTGGAATTTTCTTTTCAATAACAAGTAATTATAAGCAACACTTATGTTAATATGGCTAAAAATAATAAGTTACTTAAGTTAAAAATATAGTTAGTAAACATGAAAGGATAAATATATGAAGCTATGTACAGAGGAAATAGGACTTTTAAACTCAAGATTCTTTGGCACAACCACTTTAAGAGTATATATCATGTGATGGAGATGTTTTAAAAAATAAGGCTGTTTTGAAGTCTTGATTTTAAAGTGCTCCTATCAAATGGGTCAAGTCTACTTCTCCATTCATTGAAATTATCTAGTAACGTAAATAAAAGAATGTCAAGTGCTTCTCCTAAATCACTATCAAAGCTAAGTCACCTTCTTATATTGGGAGAGAAAGTAAGTAGTTTTGACTTTATTCTAATGGCATACCTTTGGAGGACTTTAACATCTTCTGATCATCTCTTTCTGTTTTAATGAAATTACCTTGCTGCTATTACAAACAAACAAAGGATAGCATGCATGACCAAGTTAAGAGTCCATTTCAGTTCAGTTAAGAAATAATGGTAAAAATGGACTTCTATCCATTGGGACCCCAAAATTTTTCTTACTATCTCAATAGGTTATAGGTGTTATTTTGGAAGTAGATAGGACTTGAATGAATTTGTTATATAAATTCAAGGAATTGGAATCAAAGGTTACACTTGGGTCTTGGGCTTGAGAGACCAGTTAGACAATGATGCTATTTAGTGATATAGAGAAGAAAAGAACCAGGTTTGAATGTTAGAAAAATAAACATTGATTTTTGGTGATAAATCATTAAGTTTATGTAATTTGAACTTTGTTCGGATGATATTTGCTTTTCATGGGTGACAAATGTGTTAATGAACAATTTAGCATATATTATTATTAATTCTATGGTGCTAATACAACCTAACATACTTTCTTAGTGTGGCTATATAAAATTAATTCATAAGACTTTTATGTAGAAGAAAAAGGAATAAAAATAAGCTAGCCAAGACATCTTTATGTGATGTTTCCAACTGTCACAAATACGACATGTGTTTTGAGTAGACTAGAGTCTCAGCGACCCTTTCTGTAATGTCCTGCCGAGACCATCACAACAAGTGTTCAGAGCTCAATCAAAGACACCAATTGCCCCTATTAACACAGGGCGTTTATCAAGAAGCTATTCTTATCTTCAGAATAAATACCAAAATATAGCAAATTTCTGGCACTGTCAAATCAAGTAATCAGAGCCCCGTAAGCTGCTGAGACAGCTGGCTTCCCTAGGCTTTCACTCCATTCCACCTTGGCTTCAGCTTCCATGCCAGAGGACAGACAATCTCAGGCAGCTTCAACCGAGTAGAGCAGCCATATCAATAAGCTCTACTGTTTTATTAGGTTTATCAAACAGCAGTCTATCTGGTCTGCTGGCCAGGATGTGCTGAAATGTTATCATAACTCTATCCCACTTTATCTCACAACAGTTATCTGTGAATAACATCTCACATTCATGGTTAAAATATGACTGGCATTTCATTAAAGCTCTACAAGAGTCCGTTCAAAGTACAATAGGGGCAAGGGTAGTGAGTCGTACACGTAAAAGGAAATAGATTCTGGTATGATTTCATTTTAGGAGTAATAAAATTAAGCTCTGGGGCCTTGACACCTTTCTAAGGAAATAACTATTACATTTGCTTGTTATAATTATGCAGGAAAAGAAATTACTGGCATTTTTTTGGTAGCATTTTATATTTTACAAACTGCTTTTATGTTTTTCATTTTATTTGACTTTACCAATAGCTTAAGTTTTAACTACTTTTTGTGCCAGTATTAACTCCTTTTACGGATAGGAGAACTACACAGTGTTCGTCAATTAAGTCACTAACATGAGGATGGCTATGGTGCGATCACAGCGCAATGTTATACTCAGGAGTATAACCCTCAGCAACCCAAAGCACATTTTTCATACAAATGCTCTATTTTCTAATGCAAAAAGTATTGTTCTTAAATATACAGAATGTCTGTTTATAGATGCCATTCACAACCTCTACCCATAACCACACTTTCAACTTTATCAAATGCCAAATTAAAGCAGTTTTTCCACTGGATGAATGAGAAGAAAGAGGAAGGAGGAGGAGGAGAAGGAAAAGGAGGAGGAGGGGGAGGAGGAGCAAAGGGAAAAAGAGGAAGAGGAGGAGGAGACCAGGAGTACTTTACTAATCTCTTTTCTCTAGGTACTTATTTTTCATGGGATTTTGTAAAAGTGCAGAAATATCAATTGGTAATTAGGTTTATCTATTCATTGATGACATTTGTCTTCTGATGCAAATTATAATCATGTATCATATCACCTCACTCCTTGTACCTGGGAGTCATAAAATGTTTTGTCTAGCTTGACAAACTGTACTGTTTTCCTAAAGAAGCCTTCTGTATACCTCTTAGGCAGTTTCTTATGCCCTTCGTTGTGCTAAATTTGACCTGCCTACATAACTGCATTATCACATGCATCACACTGTTCTGCAGGAAATTGTAAACAGGATTTCTCCTCTACTAGACTCTGAAACTCTTGATGAGTTTTACCTTTATCTTTGAATTATGGATACCTAGTCTGGTGACAAAGGAGCTCTCAGATGTAGCCTTAACAAGTTTTGTTGAACGTGATAGAATGTTAATTAAGATGGAATCCCTAACTCAACACTTCCCCAGACACCAATACAACAGAAATTAGGCACCAAAGAGATTGTGAGAAATACTCTTACCAACACCCACTAAATCCCGTGTGGGTTTTGCAAGGAAAAAAATCTGTAAATCAAGTAATCCGTAATTCTCTACCTTTGAACAGATAAAGGAAATAAACTGAAGACAGGATTGTAGACAGGATTTATTCAGAGAACCACTATACTTTGATCTGCAAAGGACTGGGATATGCTAGGGGAGTGCTACCCTCATCACCTGACATCCAGAGTATAGCTTAGAGTTAAGCAGACGTACAAAGAGGTTAGCAAAATATCTAGAGGTAAGAACCCATATATCTCAGATTTTCCAGAACAGTTTTAATATCAAATAGCTGGCCTTGTTGTCCCCCAAGTATACTCATGCTGTCAGACCACATGTTACAATTTTTGCAGTGTAAAATATAGTCACTCCATCTAACAATGACTCAGAAATTTAAAAAATGATGATAGGATTTTCAGATTTTATGTCTGAGGAGTGTGAAAGAAACGATAAAGAGGAAAATGTTTTGGCAGTTCAGAAAAAAGCTGGGCAATGATGGGATATTTCTAATTATCCTTTTAGTCACAGAGACTTAGAAAACTTGGGAGTTTACTTCTGAAAGGCATCTTCTAGCTTGGACAATTAGCCTACATTTCCACTAAGGCTAATGACATTTTAAATATCTTTCCTTTAGTCAGAATCAATCAAACCCAAGAAGAAAAGGGCAAGCGTGGGGCCATTATTGGAGTGAAGCTGGAGGCTAGAGGAATAAAGGTGTCAAGAAACGCAAAGCCAGTAATATGGATGGAATTGGAGAAATAATAAGGAATATGAGAAACATTCTTTCCATTTTTTGTTTTGGCTTCACCTGCAAGTCAGTTTCCTTCTTTTCTGTTTGTAGACTCTGTAATACTCAAACTCCCCTCATTACTAGCAGTTATTGAGCACACCTGCTTTGTGCTTCATTTACATGGTAGCTAATTTAATGCCCACGAAAAGCTTATGAAATGCTCCCATTTTACAGATGAAGCAATTAAGGCTCAGAGAGGCTAAGGAATTTTTCCAGACTAAATTATAGAGCAAAATTTTGAAAAGGGGCCTGTTTGACTCCAGGACTAACACTATTAACCATAATAGCACATTCCTTCATTCCTTCTACCTGGTAGTAGCTGCTGTCCTTCGAATACCAAATTTACACATTAGAGCTCAAAGTACTGGAAACTTATAATTCTAGTTCCTCAGGCCCAGTTCTGAATCTTTGAAGGACAATCTCTGCCTTGTCAAGATTGAATGAGATGGGCACCTCAAGAGAGGTGGTCATGTTTTATGAACATCCCGGCTGAGAGTACATTGTCTTTAATAAGAGGATCTTGTTCTGAGTCCTGATCCACTCCCTAAAATGGGGACTCACGTCCCAAAATATATTATACACCTTTTTCTTTTTGCAAATGGCATTCCAAATCTCTGATTTCAGGTTCATTTGATTTGTTCAATGAATATTTATTGAACACCTGTTATGCATCTGGCATTATTAGAATTGCTCGATTTAGCAAATAAAAATACAGGACACCCAGCTAAATTTAAATTTCAGATAAACAACAACTATATTTTAGCATAAGTATGTCCAAAATATTGCATCAGTATTCTATATTTTATACGGCAATTCCAGGCATTATTTTGTACCCTTAGTGTCATAATAATAAGGAAATTGATCACCAATTTTTCTTATTCACTTAAACTGAACCCAGACTGTTTAGGTTAATGTTGACAGCCTTGAAGGGTACTATTCTCTTTCTTTTTATTTCGATTTGGATTCACTCCCAATATCGGCTATCACTTTCTTTTCTAGAAGGACGAGACTATTATCCAGCTTATTACCTGTGGGGATATTTTGGTAGTTAGAAAAGGAATTAGCCCATTCAAGAGTCCCCCAACCAGATATCATTAAAATCACAGACCTTTGAATTCAGCATAAGCTCCTAAGATTTTGAATCAGTTCCCATGTCTTATTTAGGAAATTAATTATTTAGAAATATTAAATGGGTCGGGAATGGCTAATTTAAAATGATTAAGTTGTCACTAATTAAAAACCAACTTTATGTCCAGAAGAGACTTCTGTCCAGATGTATGTTATGACAACTTGGCTCTCTAAATATCAACTCATTAAAAAGTGTGTTCACACCGTCCCTCTTACCTCCCCTCACTTCACTATTTCTCTTCTCCATCTCCCCTTCACCACACATATATACACACACAATTACACGCATGCAAACACACACATGCACACATCGCACAGTTGAGCGCTGAGCTGGATGGACTGCCTTGTTTTTGCTTAGAGAATGGTATGTATGACTCCAGCAAAGTGCACCTACCTTACCATAACATTCTCCTGCAAAATCCCCCCTCCTTTCATGTCTGGCTCCAGACCACATCCAGTATACCTGAGGCACCGGCTGTGCTTTATGAAGTCTAAAATTTTCGGCTGGTTGTGTCTTTCCATGCAAACTCATTAGGCACTATTTACACCCGCTGCAGCTGCGAAGAGAGAGGTTCTGAACTCTGGCATTCTACAGTAGGCTTTGTTTCTCATTTACATTTGCATATTAAAGTGTTTGCCTGAAATAGGCTATTGAAATTAATTCAGGATTAATTGGTGTCTTTATCTCATTAGGACAATCTAATTTAAGGATGATGAAATTGTTTAGCCTCCCGTTTGCATAATTAGATTGCTTTGAATTGCTGTCATTATTGGCTCTTTAGCATCATCTGTAGGCCTCAAACAGACAAGAGCTTCAACCTCATAAAGACCAATCATGTGTTACAGCAGAGGGCTGTTAACCCCTTTTAACCCAAACTCACTTGGATTAGCAGTCACAATAGACAGGCCTTGGTCCCTGAGAGCCTTGAGTGCCTTCCTTTTTGAATTCTTGATACTCAGATTGATAAATTTATTCCATTTATATATTTGGTCATGGAAACTGTTACAGCATCTTTTCTGGGATCCAAAATGTTCAGAAAACTCACTCCTCTCCTTTCAGCACTACCTTCAATGTTATACTGACCTCCTTTCATTGTAAATTTCCACTCTTTTTCTACTTCCTTAGCTAATTGGAAATTCTTCTATTACTTAAAAATGTGACAACATTACTAGTATCTATGAGCGGATGTTGGGCTTCTACCAAGCTTGACACTCTTGTCTCAACACTCAGCAACAAGTATTATTTCAATGAAGTTACAGAATAAATGAGACATGGGGAGCCATCTGACATTCATTTAATTATTTATTCCTTCAACATTTAGCAAGTGTTTTACTGAGTACTTTTGATGTGCCTGATATTGTTCAAGTTACTGGGAAATGCTTGAGAAATAAGTCACAGGCTCCTCCTGCATTCTGTTTTGGGGAGATAGGAACATAGAATAAGTGACTGGAGGGCTGGGTCCTGGCACTAGCTGACTGCTTTGAGAAAGTACAAAATGTCAGTAAACTTGAATTTCTTCGTCTTATTTCATTAATGAAGGTTTGTACTGCATTAATGGTTCTCATTCCTAGCTACACATTGCAATGACTTGTGAGCTTTTGTAAAGTACCTATGCCTGGATAGAAATAAATTAAATCACAATCTATAGGGATGGGCATGGATTCCTGTATTCTTCAAAATTAGTTGAATGTAAATACTGAAAGCCAATCTCCCGTATGATTTTTAAGGTTGTGTCTAATAACTAACACAAACAAACAAATAAAGAGTATTCACACTTTATTGTAAACTGCAGGTAAGAATGATTGCTGAAATATAAAATTTGGATTTAATTTTTTCAGGTACTGAGAAAAACTAAAATTACAGAATAAAGACCATTTTTAGATTTTAATCTGAAGAAAACAAGAACTCCCAAAATCGATGCTTTATTTAAAGAAAACATACCTGCAGAAGTAAAAGAGTCTTAAATTAAGAAAAACATAAATAATATAAAATAAAACAATAACAATTACCAATGCAGAATATATAAATCACTTGTTAGCATTTTTTTTTCTGAAAAATTGAAGTGGCGTAGAATTCTTACTTTACTTAAAGATGCTTGATTCTTATGTCAGCTATTTTTCTCTTGTACTCTTTCCTAACTCTGCTGGTCATAAAAGAATAGCCAATTGCTACTGAAACAACCCTAATCATGCCACCAAGAGTAAGAACGAACAGAAAAGAATAAAAAAAAATTCTGACATAAAATTATAAGTTAGATAACATTATAGACCTTTTTCATAGATAATTCAAAGGACTTTTTATGAGGACTCCTAATCGATGTGCTTTACAAATAATATTATGATACAGTGATATATTGTTACTATGATTCTAGTTTTATAAAATAGAAAACTAGAATTTAGAAAAACAATAATCTACCATGAAGGCTTAGAACACCTGACTTTTAAAGTCTATTTTTACTTCGAATGAACTTTGCTTTAAATTTAACCTAGCTTTATATCTACAGGGCTAGGATTACAATTACACATTTTTACTATGTCCAGGTTATAAACTATTGGTTTCCTAAAGAAGTGCAATGACACACCCAAGCAGAAGTCTGGAGCCTTGGATTTGAGTAACAAATGGTCTGAGCTTGTATGATTTGCTTAACTTCCATGGCCTAAGTTGCTTCAACTTTTTAAAATCTTTGAAATGCTGGGGAATGTGCAAAAACCCAAACAACTTCAAAAATTTGCTGTATCTAGAACAACTTTCTGGAACATTGATTGAAATTTACTGTATCTTAGGGCATTAAAACAAGTCCTAACACATTTGAAATAATTGGAATCATGTAAAATCAAGCCATACATGTTGGGTGGGAGCAAGGACTGTAGATTGACATGTCATTTTCTCCCATCGCTGTATACAAAGAACACCAGCATAACAACAGCCACCATTGCAACAACTAAAAGATAAAACAAAAGTCTGTCCAAGAATGGCAGTAAATTCTATTCAGGAGTTCAAGTCACAGAAAATATCTGTGGGGTAGGTGCTAATGACCACACCAGTATTCAGCTTGAAAAATATAATTGGTACTGAAAATGATTGACTTCATTCTGGACCATCAAGCCCCCCAAGCTAGATATGAAGAATTAAATGGACCACCAGCTTCTCTGAGTTGGGAAGAAAGACAGAGCAGGAGAGAGGCTGCTTTATGAGTCAATTCACGTTTGGCAACATCTGGTTATGTCTCATCACATTGCAAATTTATGACCCTGGAAACAACATGTTGATGTTGATGATCCTTTGCAAAGAGAAGCCTGAACTATAAACTTATGACCAGAGCAGTGACAAGGGGCTGTGGCTGTTTTTTCTGATCTGACAATCTCTTGCTTGGGTCAAACAGATAAAGTCTCAGACTACTGACCCTTCCTAAACAATGTCATGGATGAATACTGAATGAAGAAGACTCGCTGACAAGAGCAGAAGGTTCTGAGGAAGGCAGGCCTAACTTCCCCCAGAAGAAACCTAGTGAGATTTAGTGGTGGCCAAACCTCACAGAAGTCAAAAAATGAAGAAGACTTATCACAAATCAAGCCTAGAATATTTATTAACCCACACAATGGTCGATTCATCAAATTACAAGGCAGATTTTTTTCTCAGAAAATATCTGGGTTTCCGTTTTAATAAAGTTGAAACCTGGGGGTCAAAGACAACCTGACATGTATGTGTATTATAATTACCTTAAACTTCTCATCATAGCCATGTTATAAGATGAGATACACTATAGCTTTCAAGCACTATGTTTTCAACGGCAGGGGAAAAGAAAGATCTTTTCCACTAAGGGTTATCCTTTGAAATATTTCTTCTCTTATATGAAACTCAGGACTAAAAATTTGTTATTTTGATACAATATATCCAAATATATCACAATTTTTGCTTGACAATCTAGGTAATAGATGAATGATTTTATTTCTGTGTAATATTGTATTAAAATGTCCTTTTTTAAAATTTTACTTTAAGTTCTGGGATCCATGTGCTGAACGTGCAGGTTTATTACATAGGTATACATGTGCCATGGTGGTTTGCTGCACCTGTCAACCCATCATCTATGTTTTAAGCCCCACATGCATTAGGTATTTGTCCTAATGCTTTCCTTCCCTTTCCCTCCGCCTCGCAACAGGCCCCGATGTGTGATGTTCTCCTCCCTGTGTCCATGTGTTCTTATGGTTCAACTCCCACTTATGAGTGAGAACATGCGGTGTTTGGTTTTCTGTTCCTGTGTTAGTTTGCTGAGGATGATGGTTTCCAGCTTCATCCACGTCCCCTGCAAAGGAAAATGTCCTATTTTTAAGACTGGTGATAAATGACAGTGGAGCAAAATGTTTATTCCACACCATGCCCTGAAACTTACTCCATAAAAAACAAAAAAGATTGAAAAAAGAAGAAGAATTTATTTTCTAGAAAAAAAGTAAACATATCTGCCAAATAGGATGAAGACTAAAATGAAGGCACCCTGTCAACCAACTCATACTACTCAGTCCTGGTGCAGCCTTCTTCATAAGTTTGAAAGCCTTGAAAGATGCAAATAATGATAGTTTCCTTGGCAAGATGAGAAATATGTGTATGCATAGGTATCAAAGGTGGGCAAAAGAGAAGTCTTCCTAGCAAAACACTCTCCCACCCGGAAAAAAGCAAGATGGAAGGAAATTAATGGAATAATTTTTCTGTGTTTCTATGCACCGCCATCTTCCCCATCAAAAAGAAGAAAACCAAACAAACAAAACACATAATGGTAAAACATTTATAAAGAGAGCACAGTAAATAACACTTGTTGGCAAAAGTCAGCTGAACAGAGATAAATACAAACTGATAAAACAAACAAAAAAATTCTGAGTATATTATGCAGTCATTTTACCAGGATAGCTTATTAATCTCAAGAAGTAAGCTTGGCAAGCTTGGAAGAGTTGTTCACCAAGATTGAAATATATAAGAGATTTTATATATATATATATATATACATATATATATATAGGATTTTACTTGAATTGAACAGATGACCTTCCCAGCTCATTTTTTTTTTCAACTCATCTCCACTGGTCAGCTTAAATATCATTTTCCTTTCTAAAGAGAATTAATATGCAAAAGTATCCAATGTTAGTCTATGCAAAGCAATTATTTTAAACAATAAAAAAGTGACTTGAAGACACAATTTATGACAAGAATTGCATAAGAAATATACACATTTCTTATATAAAAATAAATTATAAAGTGCATTGTCTCAGGCAAAGAAGAAATGTAAGCACTCAAGTAGAAAAATAAGGCAACAGAATTTGTTAAAAATACTTTGGCCAAGTAAAAGAAAGAAAGAAAGAAAGAAAGAGAAAAGGGAAAAAATGTGTGTGTGTGTGTATATATGTGTGTGTGTGTGTGTGTGTGTGTGTGTGTGTATGTATTTAGTTATGAAAATGAAAATCACATTAGAAGTATTCAGAATTAGAATAGATGTTGCCTAAAAGAGTAGAAGTCATAAAATATGACTTGGTAAAATGATATAAACCAAAATAGATAAGAGCAAAAAGCACAAAATTATATAAGTAGGAGAGATAAAGTGGAGATGCAGTATTTATATAATTGGCTTTCTTAGAGTCAAGAAAGAACTGAAACTCTACATCAAAAGGACGAGTTAACACGGTGTGAGAAGTTACTGAACTCCAAGATTCAAGAGCCAAGAAAGAAAACTATTAACATCAAACCAGAAGAATTAGATCACAAAAAAATTGAAAAAAACTTGATAATGTTTCAAATAGAAATGTAACACCATATTTAATGGTGACATAATAGAAGCAATCACATTCAGAATAAGGACACAAGAAGAGTGCTCACCATCATTATTATTTAAAACTCCTCAGCAAATAAGGGATAAAACCAGTTTTTAAACTCTGATATTCTGATTCATAGAATTTATAGGAAGTCTATCTGAAATTCAAATTGAAGTTATTTTATGCCTGAACTCTAATTGCCTACAGTTCACCACAATTCTTCAATAAAATCTGTATAATTAGCAGCATTGATTTAGTGTTGTTATAAAGAAAGAAGCAAAAAGGGTTACAGTCTCAGAATTTCAAACATGTGGAGCATACAAATGAGCACAGTCCTCATTTATGGAAGTAAAAAAGGATAAGAGATTATTATGAACAATGGTATGCCAACCAATTAGATAACGTAGGTGGAATGTACACTTTGCTAGAAAGATAGAAACCACCAGAATTGACTTAAGAAAAAATTGATTATTTTATCAGACATAAACAAGTAAAGAGCTTAAATTAATAATTTAAAACCTCCAACAAACAAGAGCCCAAGCTAAGGTGACTTTAATCATGATTTCTAACAAAAAATTTAAAGATGAATCAATATTAACTGTTTACAAACTCTACCAAAAATTATAAGAGGATGGAACGCTTTTCAATTCATTTCATGCGATTAAGATTACTGAGATAACAAAAGCAGAGAAAAACATTAATATAAAAGAACGCTATACATTATTACTCTTTGCAAATAGATAAACACAGTCTTTAACAAAGTATTGACAAAATGAATACGGCCAACACATAAAATGTGTTGGAATGTACACTGTGACCAAGTAGAATGTATCTCAGGAATGTGAGATTGTTTTATCATCTAAAAATTAATGTAAGAAGGCCGGGCGCGGTGGCTCACGCCTGTAATCCCAGCACTTTGGGAGGCCGAGGCGGGTGGATCATGAGGTCAGGAGATCGAGACCATCCTGGCTAACAAGGTGAAACCCCGTCTCTACTAAAAATACAAAAAATTAGCCGGGCGTGGTGGCAGGCGCCTGTAGTCCCAGCTACTCGGGAGGCTGAGGCAGGAGAATGGCGTGAACCCGGGAAGCGGAGCTTGCAGTGAGCCGAGATTGCGCCACTGCAGTCCGCAGTCCGGCCTGGGCGACAGAGCGAGACTCCGTCTCAAAAAAAAAAAAAAAAAAAAAAAAAAAAAAAAAAATTAATGTAAGAATATATTAATATTAATCAAATAAAAATCAAACTTCACACAGTCATCTCAATAGATGCTTTTGTCAAAATCCAATAAACTTTCATGCTAAACACACTCAACAAAATAGGAATGGTAGGAAACTTTCTCAACCCAGTAAGGGGCATATACCAAATCCCCACAACTAACATAATTAATGGGGAATAATTGAATGCTTTCCAACTTAAGTAAGGACTTCTATGAAATTAGTGTTTTTTCCATTCCAAAATTTATATATTAAAACCCTAATGCCCAATGTAATGGTGTTGGAGATGGGCCCTCACAATTAGATCAGTGTCTTTATAAGATGAAGCATGAAAGAGCTGGCTTTCTCTCTGCTCTCTCTCCACTGTATGAAGCCGTGAGAAGATGGCTGTCTGCAAAACACAAAGAAGGCTCCCAGCAGATACCAAATCTGCTAGCACCCTGACCTTGAACTTCCAAGCTCTCAGAATTGTGAGAAATAAATGTTTGCTGTTTAAGCTATCCAGTCTATGGTGTTCTGTCATAGCAACCTGAACTAAGGCAAGGACCAACAAGGATGTCTGTTTTGAAACTTCTGCCCAATATTGAACTTCTATGGCATAAGTGAAAAAGCCAGGGGGTGGGGTTGGGGTTGGGGCGGGGGGAAGAAAGAAAGAAAGATAAGAGATGGCAACAATATCAGAAAAGAAAAAATCAATTATCTCTTATCTCTATTCACAGATGGCATGATCTTGTACATGGATAAGCATAAGAATTCCACAGAGAAGCAATCTATTAAAGTTCAATAAATGAGCTCATCAAGGTTGTAGGATACAGGATCAATATATAAAATCCACTGATTTCTAAAACATATGTCCACACAAAAACTCATACACAAATGTTTGCAGCAACATTATTTATAATAACCTTAAAGTGGAAAAGATCTAAATGTTCATCCATGGACATTTATATCCATGGTGAGGATTTAAAAGTTTGGTAATGCTCCGTTGCGTGGTGTTGGGAATGTTAATAAAAGCAAACATTTTGGAAGGCAATTTGAATAGATAAGATGTAGATGTAGATATAAATGTATACTAACTTCAACATTTGAAAATGTAACCTAGGAATCTTATTTCTAGAACCTTATTCTAAATATCTACAAACAGATAAACATATAAGAATATTTAATGCATCACTCTCTGGTGTAATGAAAAAATGTAGTTTAATGGTGAAATGTAGTTTATTGATATTCTTTCACTTATCATGTTTCATAAACATTTATTTTCATAAGTAGATTATAGTTTAAATTCATATGTTTGTAAAATTAAATATACCATGTGCCATGATATATGAAAGAATATCAATACTAGTGATGTAAAATAGGATACAAAAGTGATGAGAAAGGTAAGTGGCAGTAAAATATTACGATACAACATCTATTGAAAAATAAAGAGAATTCAATAAGACATTAATGTACAGAATATACAAAAGGCTCAAACAACAGTAAAGAAACAAATAACCCAGTTTTAGAATAGACATTTCTCAAAAGAAGACATAAAAATGGCCAACAAATATATGAAAAAAGTGCTCAATATCACTGCTCATCAGGGAAATGAAAATCAAATTCACAATGAGCCACCATCTCATCCCAGTAAGCATGGCTATTATCAAAAAGACAAAAACATTATAAATGCTGGTGAAGATGCAGAGAAAAGGGAACATTTATACACTGGTAGTGGGAATGTAAGTTAGTACAGTGATTATGGAAAACAGTGTGGAGATTCTGCAGAAAGCTAAAAATAGAACTACTCTATATCCCAGAAATTCCACTACTGGTTATATATCCAGAAGAAAGGAAGTCAATATGTTGAAGGGATATCAGAACTCCTATTTTTTCATTGTAGCACTATTCACAATAGCCAAGATACGGAATTAGCCTAAGTGTTCATCAACAGATGAATGGATAAAAAAGTGTGATATATGTACACAATGGAATATTATTCAGACATAAAAAAGACTGAAATCTTGTAATTTGCAGCAACATGGATGGAACTGGAGAACATTATGTTAAGTGAAATGTCAGGCACAGAAAGAAAAATGCTGCATGATCTCGCTCCTGTGTGCAAGCTAAAAAACTTGACCTCATGGAAACAGAAAGTAGAAGAGTGGTTACTAGAGGCTGGGAAAGATATAAGGAGGTGGGATACAGGAAGAGATTGGTTAACTAATATAAAATTACAGCTAGATAGGAGCAATGGTATAGTATTCTATAGCATTGTCAGGTGACTATGTTAAACAATAATTTGTTGTATTTTTTCAAATAGCTAGAAGAGCAGATTTTGAATGTTACCAACACAAATAGATGATAAAATATTTCAAGTGATGGATGTGCTAATTCTCCTAGTTCGATTGTCACACATTGTATATGTGTATCAAAATATCACACTATACCCCATAAATAAGTATCATTGTTATGTGCAATTAAATATATATTATAAATAAAGAAATAAAATATATAAATGCTTTTATGTGCATAGAAAATGCCAGAAAAGATAGACATGTAACTTAAAAGTAGGTACTTCTAGGAACAGGATGGAAATCTTTATACTATATATTCAGGCTTATAATTTTTATAACAAATATCTCATAAAAATGTTTGAAATATATATTGAGTTGATGTCACCTTGTTGAAACATATATGGTATTCCATAGGTATTGATGTCTACACAGTGGAAATTTTTTCTCTTATTATCTTAATATTCCCAGTGGTTAGTCATATAATTTGCATTTGATGAACAGACTGCTGGAATGGTAGCTCCACAGTAAATGAGGACTTGGGCTGCTTCTGCCTTTCTGCTCTACCATCCGAGCAGATTACAGCCTCAAGGTCACCGCATGACCTAAGATGGAGGCTGGAGCTCCAGGCATCACATATTTTGTCTTAACTTCTCTGCCTTCTATCTAAAATGTATTTATTTAGAGTGGAGTGTTAACAATCATTGTAATAAGAATGGTACAACTGGCTAATTTCTTTTATAATTAAAATGTCGGGTTAAAAACTATGTTCACTTTGGCCTTTTTCACAATTGGTTTGACACTTCTTTTGGCTTATAAATTAAAACCGATAAAAAAGCAAATAATTTTATAAAGGGACCTAACTATATCAAATGTATTCTATATATTTTTCTGTTATTCAACAATGTACCTTGTCTATTGGTCCCCTCAAAGTTCCCGTCCACTAAACACATTGTTTTTCTAATTCTTCATATTTTTGTACCTAAAAATCTAAAAATCTGGGTGTTCTATAGCAGAACATTGAGTTTTGACAGTTGGTATATCATCTCTGATATTCACATCTGGCAGCATTATAAAGTGACAGGTCTTTCATAATTTCCTTTGAATTCTCTCTGGTAATGTTAATCATAAGTGATGAACTTTGTGTATTCTATGGACATAATGGGCAATTCTATATGACTGAGACTCTAATTTTACTCTCTACTAATGGGCACTAATTGTAACAATCAGTGATTATGTCAGTTAAAGGCAGTGCTGATGGCAATTGATGACAGCAGCGAAGCCCTGACACCATTTTGGAACAGAACTTGGAACAGCCATTTGCAAAGATGGGAGATCAAATTGAATATCAAGTAATTACTTTCCTTACACTCATTTATAAGTTTCTTCTATTTTTGAGTACCATGAATCATGTTGTTCTGAAATGTTGATAGCTTTCTCAACTCACTTTTTTTTTTTTTTACCCATTAGAGTTTTATTTTTATTAAGGTAGATACATCACTCTCAAAACATGAGTGACTTAAGGGATGTTTAAGAGAAAGATACCTTTAAAAACATAACACTGAATAACATTGTCTCTTAAATTAGGAGCAAGTTATGGCTAAGGAAAGTGACAGATGACTACACAACTGCCAGTGGAACATCTGGATTGAGTGACGTGCTAGACTTATTTTTTACTTCCTTGTCAATATTCCTGGGTGTTTACAAGTCTTCTGCTACCCTCAAATAAACACAATCCTTTTCACAGATATTAAATTTGTGTCCTATCTCCAAAGTTATAAAATATTTTCATAGAAGAACATTACTTGACAATTAGGTAGAGAACAAATAATATTTATGGACACAAAATAAAGTGAGAAAGAAACATAATAATAGTAAAAAGAGAACTAACTTTTATTGAATATCTACTATTTACAGATGCTACATTAACTCCTACAACAAATTTATGCAGCAATTGAGGCTAAGAGATCTTCTGTATTAAGCATAAGTATTCCAGGTCACACAGACCATGAATAAGGGCATGGCTTCTAAACATTGTTTAAGACTAAACTTAACTTTGATGTCATGTCCTTCATGGACCCTTTTTGACGACTTCCATGTCGAACATAGATCTCTATCTGCAGGTTGCTATGGTCTCCTTTGCTTCCTTTCATTGTGCTTATCACAGTGCACGAAAACTTTCTCTTCATTTCATCGCCTTGGCTGAACTACAACTTCTTATCACAGTGAAGTTCTCTTATTAATATTTTTAGCCTCAGTCTCTTTAGCATAATATTGAGTGCATAGTAGATACTCAGCAAACATAGAATAAGTAAATAAATGAATGCGTGAATGAGTAGGGCAAAGATTAAGAAAACGAAGTCAGTATCTAAGGAACCAAACACACGATGTGGTCAGGGAAGGGTCTAAGAAATTTTAAACCACACAACTTCTCAAAACTCATCACTGCCTTATGTAGTATGGTTTTCTAGGTAGATACACAGGATCTCAGTGGTTCTTTCTGGATTAGTCTAACTTTACACTACACTAAAGATGTGCCACACCATAACACCAGTTTCTTTAAAAGGTTAATGAGACGTCGTAATTATAAAAGGCTTGAAAATCTTTATAAGAAGTACAATTTAAAGGTAAATGTTTATTCCTCACTTTATTATTTCCCGTTCTCAATATTCAGCCTGAAGCTGATAACAAAATCATCAAGTTCAGGTTTCCCTGATTCATTTTTAGATTTTTCAGGATGAAGATAATATTAGGAACTAACAAAACTACTTGAAAGAAATTTATGTTTAGCAAATTATGTTAGTTTCATTCTATTCTGTGAAATCAACTATAGAAAATTATAATACACAAATATGTTTGAACATAGTACATGTGATATTCTCTATGTATACATGTGTATGTATATTAACAGTGATTATCTTTAAATCGAGTGATTACTAGCCATTTTGATAGTTTAACCTTATTTTTCCTAGCCTTTCCACATTTTTTATAGTAAGTGTGCATTATTTATATTAATAATAAAAATGTCTAACATTTGAGAAGCACTTATCTGATAGATACTGTGCTAAAATCATTATGAGTCATCTTGTTTAATAGTCCACCACACCTCTATAATTTGGATATTATCTCTACTTCATAAATTAGGAAACTGAAGCTTGAAGAATTGCATTGACATTCCTGAGGTTAATAAATGATGGAGACAAGATTTGAACCCAGAGCCTATTATTTTAATCATACATGCCAGATTCACTGGAAATGGAAATGAGAGAGAAATGAAAAGAGAGATAGGCAGACAGAAAGATGGACATAGTTGGAGGTTCTGCAATTGTTTTGCATCAGCAAGGCAATGTGGTATAGTAAAAAAGTTGCTAAATTGAATACATTGAGCTATGGATTCATTTGGATCCATCTTGTTTTCTGAAAGTAACTAAGGTGGGCTTGTAACAAATAATCTCTAATGTATTTTCCAATCTTAAATTCTGACAGTTCAAAGCTCAGAGAACTTGGGTGCTTGAGCACTTGACAGCCTTAAACCAAGGCACTCTTATGTGATAATATACACAGAGAAGACATTACTCTCAGTAATAATTATATTTAGAGATCATTATATTTGTCACCCGAGTGGGACTTTTTTGACTCATGGCCACATGCCTCAATAACCTTATAACCTGCTTCTTATTTTCTTAAACAATTTTGAGATGAACTATTTTTAGCATGCTCTAGACAGAGGAAAGGAACTGAAAGATGGGAGGATGAGGAGAGAGACGGAAGAACAGAGACAGCAAACAAAGTGTCGGAGGGCATTTCTGGAGCAAATGTGTGACTATAACGTTGTATGACTCTAGGAATCGTCATTGAGAAACTAAAGATAATTTGCCACACAATAAAATAGGAAATAAATTCCAGAAATGAAAACTGGGAAATGGAAAATATACGATGTGGTAATTGGCAAGATATACATGGGGACCAACAGCAAATTATTTTGGTCACACAGATTATATAAGCAAACATTTTACTGAACAATCATTCTCTTCTATTCTCTACAGTAAGCAAATTATATGTGGATAGTACATATCTGCTATTCCAGAGACTCGAATCTGTTCAGTAAAGTGTGCATCAGTGCAGTTTGTGCCACACCAATGGAAAGTGCTTGGGTGCTCTCCAGGTTGGTTAAGCCTAAAAAGTCATCTACTGGATTTTTTTTTCAGAGCAGTGAAGTGAATTGATTAAAATGGCCATCAAGAGTGTGGAGTTTTTCACCTTAAGATTATGTCAAATAAAAAATAGTAAGCAGTTTTAATCAATATTAGGAAGCAAATTGAGAGAAGAATAAACAATTATGATAGGAAAATACTTATACCTGATGATGAAGGAAATGCACCTCTGATTTCCAAATCTTTTATTTTTTAGACTTTAAGATTGATTGGAAGAAGTGGAGATCCTGTAATTAGTCTGGGAAGAGAACAAAAATAAGAAACATCATCGACTTCAAATATTAAAAGCTCAGTAAAAGAGAAATGGGTTCGTTTTGACTCAAGGGTATAACTGGGACGAAAAAGAATACACAGGGAGGCAAACTTTGGTTTCATATTACGAAGACTTTACATTAGAATTTTTCAATACCAAAATAGGCTATTGCATGAATTGGGAAAATTTCTTCAATGGGATGTGTTATAGAATCTCTTTGAATATCTGTATAGATGCTAATAGTAGGATTGGTAAATTAATTAGAAGTTTGTGCTGGAATCTGATCTCTACAAGTCTTTTAATTTTAAGACTTCCAATGTAATATAAGCAATGGTGCGAGATTGCATTAGAAAAATTAACAACAATTATAGGAGTACCTAGATTCTTCACAACTCCTTAACCTTGCCTGGAACCAGTGTTTACAAGGGTTGTGGGGAAATGGAATGGTGCAGGAGGAGACATAAGAAGTTATAACAGCAAACAGTGATGACAATACATGTGGAATTTGAATTGAATAAACAGACTAACTGTGATCATAAATATACATAAACCTGCATATTCAAATTCTACCCATTTTCCAAGGTCTAATTCAAGGATCATTCCTTAAAGGAATATCTCTTTAACTTTCAGGAGCTAATTGGTGCAAACATTGTCTCAAGCAATGCAATTCAAGCTGATTGTTTAAATACTTGTAATCTCATCTGCCACTGAAAACCTGAAGGCTAATGATTTAAAATATTAAAGTTCTTTAAAAATATTATTTTAAAAGCTCTGTAGCTAATTTCTCTAATCATCAGATTGCTTTACCTCATTTTTACATTTCTTTCCCTCAATAATCTCGGTTCTTAGATCCTTGATGATAGTGATTCCACTAAATCTTATTTCTCTAAATACTCATCCTTGTTGTTTGGGTCTAATTAAGTTTCCAGGTTGCTTAGGAAACTGAACCTAGGCAGCAGCTGCCAGGGCTTTACAATGAAGTCCCACTCCAATTCAGCTTCTTTGTCAGAGGTTAAATGGACAATATATTTTATTTCAGAAGAAATATTTTTAAGGTAGTATATTTATTTGAAATGTAAAAATATATTTTGAAATGTAATGGTCCAAGAAATCCTTTTTTCTGATGGTTGCTGAAGAAAAAGAGGGCTGTGTTACTGTTAGAACTACATATTCCAGGCGGTAACAAGCCATTGTATCAGATGCAGGCAGTGTTGGGGACCTGGCTGGGAGTGAGATGGGAACTGAATTTGCAGGAGTGCCAGCATCTCTAGACAGCAAATGAAAACCACCTGCCAGAGCAATGATGCCCAGGAGCCTTCCTCAGGCCAGGCAGGCAGAGTCAATTGTTCTTGGAAAATGAAGGAAAGAAAGACTTCTGTGTCACAGAAATTAAAATGGTTCAAGAGAGGAACAACATAAGGATAATGGCCTTAGCAGAGTTATCAAGCTTTCTTGGGTTTTTTTGCATGTTTTATCATTATAATTCAGAATGATTTATTAAAGAGCAAGTTATTAGTATCAACTGCCTAGGCATAATATCAAAAAAGTATATCATTTATTATCAACTATCTTAACATTATTAACTGTTATTTGTGCCATTTGTGAATGCATAGCTTAATTTAGTCATTAAACACACATTGACTGAATGCCAGGTATGTGACATGAAGTGTCAGGTGTGAGTGACACAGAGAAAGTAGTGGAGACAATGCTAGTAAGAAGAGGAAAGAGCAAATGATGCAGGATCTTGCAGGGCATGTTAAAGGTATTTTCTTCATCAAGAGGCTAACAGAGAATTATATAAGTATTTTACAGTAGAAAGAATTTGGTTCATTTGACAAAGAATTCATATTTTTTATGGAACCTGGATTAGAAGTGGGATAGCTGGAAGTAGAGACTTACGAGGAGCTGTTACTGAAATCCAGTGGTGAGATGCTGGTGGCTTAAGCTACAGTAGCAGCAATGGAGATGCAGAGAAGTAAACAAATTTGAGATCGAATTTGAAAGAAAATTTAACACAATTAGCTTTTGGGTATGGGCAGTGAGTGAGAGAAGCTAAGGTATAAGCTGAGGTTTCTGACATAGGCAGGTGGTGTGGTATTAAGATAATCCTTTGAGGTAGAAAAACATCAGAAACAAAGCAGACCATGGAAAAAGATTTACTGAGTAGCAGCCCTGGGTCATGTCTTTCTAGGCATGAGACATAGTGAAAAGCAAGCAGGACAAATATTTTGATGTAAGTAACTCACATTCAGGTTGAGAAAGCAAAAGGAAACAAACTCCCAAATATGTAAATATGCCAATCTTACAGTGGTGAGATATTGGCATCATAGTGGGAAGTGCTAAGAAGGCTAACAAGAAAGGAAAGAACAAGATATGATAGAGAACATAACAAACAGACGATCAAGGAAGATTTCTCTAAGAAGTTGTTCTATGGGACATTCAGCATTGATGAGTAGGAAGTTGCCTTGTAAAGATCTGGGAACACAGCATCCCAGGTAGAAGAACCAGCAAGTGCAGAAACTTTAAGGTGGCATTGAACTAAGAGCTGTATGATTAAAGGTAGTGAGCAGGTGTGTGAAGGGAGTGGTAGGTCATGATACCACACAATTAATCAGGGACCCCAACACGTAGAAACTTGTAGGTTCTGGTAAAGAGTTTTAATATTTTTCTTACAGATGAGAAGATAATGAAAGATTTTCGGTAGGCAATAACAGGGTGGGACTTTTAATTGACTTCTGTGTAGAAAATAGTTTGATTTTAAAGGCATAAGAAAGCAGGATGCCAAGTAAAGATGTAATTATAGATGCAAGTAGATTGGTAAATATGATGGTGATTAGATGAGGCTGTTTTGTTCTTATTCCTATTATTTTCTCAAAGGACTATGAGGAAAAGTATTGATTGAAGATAAGAGGTGAGAAAGAATTTTTGGAGATTTGTGAAAAGAGGACAGGAGCAATATTTTGTTACTTGAGTGCAAGTGAAAAGTAAATATATAGTTGGATTTACCCAGATTTGGAATTTTGTTGACAGTATTAGGGAGTTGAAGATAAAGAAATCAATAACGTTTGCAAGAACATGATTATAATATTGTATCATAGAATGTGCATGAAGGACAGATGGATAGTGAAAAATGGAAAAGGGATAGGCAGCCTTTAAATGAGGGGGAAATTATTGGACTGGTGTTATTAGAGAAAAATACAAAGAGAGGAGGTATGAGAGAGAAAGAGACAGAGAGAGGGTGAGAGACCAAAAGACTTGAAATTGAGATTTCAGAGAAAGTACAATTGGCCATGACATAGAATTGGGTAAGTGAGATGGGTGAAGAACTTGGTCAATAGAAACGAGATTAAAAAAAAAAAGAAGCCAGGATATTGGTGGATATTCAATTAAGTTGGCATTACCAAGCATTGTGATGGGAGCAGGAGTAGAGAATAAAGTGTGTCAGATGCTAAAGTCATCAGTCAACAAAAGAGGAGTCACCAGGATCACAGGCAAAGATGGGGGGATATAACTTGATTACATGAGCTTCAAATTATCTTGGGTATTTGCAGGAGGAATGGGGAAGAGTCATCTTGCCAGAGCATGTGGCTTTATAATCATTCCTTATATGCAGTGTTTTTAGGAAAGGACTAAAGTCTATAAGATAGCCAAGAACATTTTCAGTATGCATCTAGAAGTCAAGGAAGTGAGATGAGTAAGAAATAAAAGATTTGGTTAGTTGATGGCAGTGGTATACAAGAGAGTGTTGAGCTCAACAAATAAGAGTTTTGAAGAGCATCACCCTTTAAAGGAGGCGGAAAAGAAGGAATAATAAAAGAGAACAAGAAACATCTAGAAAGACAGAAGTGGTACCATAAGTAGTGCTATAGGATCCAGGGAAAGATAACACTTCAAGAGGGCGGTAGTCATTGGCAGTGTCAAAGGCTGGGAAGTGTCAATTCAGATAAGAATGGAAGAGTGTCTTTTTGATATAGAAATGTGAGATCATTGATGAATTTGTGAAACGTAACATCAGTGGAGTGATGAAGGCAGAAGTCAGATTGCTTAGATTGAAAAGTGAATTGAAGAAAGAGATGTAGTCAATAAGTGTAAATTATTCTAAAGAAAGTCTTATACGAAGTTTGTGAAGGGAAGGACAAAGATAGCTAAAGAGAGTAGTGTGGTTTAGAAATAATTTATTGTTGTTGTTTTAAATAAAGACGCTGTAAATGAATACATTCTTCTCTGTTAATATTCTTATGACGTCTTATGAAACTGAATACATTTAATTACAATGATCTCTTCACAAAACTAACATCTAAATTCTATTGTGAGTTTATCAAAGGTGGTGAACATATCTTTTATTTATTTATTTATTTTTTTGAGATGGAGCCTCGCTCTGTCACCCAGGCTGGAGTGCAGTGGTGTGATCTCAGCTCACTGTAACCTCCGCCTCCTGGATCCAAGTGATTCTTGTACCTCAGCCTCCCGAGTGGCTGGGTCTACAGGCATGCAGTGGTGAACATATCTTACTTAACTTTGATACCAAAATACCTACCACAGTGGAACATATAAGCATTAAAAATATTCTTTTTGCACTGATTTCTATACCAAAGCTATATTTTGGAAAAATAGAGAGATTAATAGGATTAAAATAAAACACTAGGAAAGGAGAATTCAAAAATGATTTACAGTGGCAAGACAAAGAGGTTAATCTTTATGATATTACGCTTGACAGGAAAATAGATATCCAGAAAGAAACATCAGAAAGACTCCCAAGTATGTAAGTCTAAATTCACTTGATGTGTATGGGCAGCTTGGGGACAGAGAGTCATGAGTAAATTGGCAGTTTAGGAATCATTAGAGTGAAGGGATAGGTGATTATAAAGGAAAAACACTCAGATATCTTCTAGAATTGAGATTGGAGAAGTGAGGAGTGAAGTAGACTGTCTCCTCAACAAATAACCATTTAACTGGGAATATTAACTAAACACCCACACACAAACACAATCAAATAAAGTCTCTGGAAATTGTTTTAAGGGCACACAGTAAATAGAAAAATATTTATTCAAGAAAATCCATAAAATCTCCATAAGAATAGCAAGAGACTGGCGTTTGAGCCATGACCGACATCCCCCTATACCAAGCTATTTCTAATAGAAACTACTAGGAGAACTCTAATCCAGTTGGGTGTGATGAAGAAAATGGGGATTCCTCTTTTCCTAGTGCCAAATCTGGTAATACAATTTAACCCCAGTAAGGGCAGACCACTAGTGTCTCTTGTTTCTCTCAGCCCTGGGTTAGAGAAGCTCCATTCTAGGCAGTCACAGTCAAGATAATTGAGCTCTCTTCCTCTACCCTGTCTTCATCTGTAGGGCAGAAATGCTAACCCAGATACAGAAGGCTGAGAACACTATTCCCTGATCACTCATGCCCCAGCTTACTCATAGGGTACAGCTTCCATGTCAGGAACACAAGAACACAAGTGCCACCACACCCCCAGTACCTGCTTATAGAACAGGGGTGCCAATCCAGAAAAAGTGGGATATTGTCCCTGCCCCTAGCTCTTGTGCGGTGGCACAGAGATTCTGCCCAGGCTGAGAGGCAGGCTGCAAAGAAGGCCTTAATGATGAAGAGCTCCACAGCTCTGCCTGAGGGAACAGATTTTATCTGGAGCAAATCCTAGAGAATTCCATGTCAAAGGTATTACTGAAAACAATGGAGGGGCTTATAGCTCTATAATAAAGGTAGCAACAATAAAAACATCAGAGCAATCAAAAGTTAACTAGCGACTACCTGAAAAAGAGACAGCCACAAAGTGGCCTCCTGGGATCACAGTAAACCCTGGGGGTCAGGAAGGATGTGCACAAATACTAGAAACAATTAGAGCATGGTGTGCACCCATTAAGGAACAGTCAGAGAAGGGCAAGGAAAGGACTTAAACACATTCTCAAGATGCACATTGAACAATCACAAGCAGGCAGAAACCTCACTGCCCTAGGTGATTAAGTGCGTTCTCTGCTCAACCTCTATTTGAATAATAAGCTACACAGAATGAGGGGGAAACTCCTAGAAAGCCAGACTAAAAATGAAAATCACACACATTCCTAACAGTCTGAAAGATTCTGTGCATGCCCAAGAATGTGCCCTTTCTGAGTGTTCATAGAAAGAAAATCCAAGCTACTAGTCCCTGGCTAATCATAGAAAAAATGATAAACTTAAACTGTGAAAGACGTCTAAAAGCCATACACACATTCGATGGTAAAAAGGTAAAAATCTAACTGGTGAAGAAGGATTAAGTATAAACTTTGAACAATAAGTGATTTATGCTAATTCAGGAGCAGCCCCTCAGTTGCAAAACTAAAAGATAAAAGCAAGAAATAAACCAGTCAGAGCAGAGACATCTGAAGCTGCATACAGTGGTGAAAATATATTTTACAGAGTCAGTTAAGCCAAGTCACTAAACAAATAAATAAATGACTAAGCTAACAACAACATCATCAGCCCTGGGGTGGGATGGAAGCATTAGATTCCCAAGTTACTACAATATGTTATCAAAAATGCCCAGTTTTCAACAACAACAATGGCAACAAAATCCAAGACACCAAGAAACACAAAACTGTGATCATACACAGGAAAAAAAAAAAAGCAGGCAATATAAACTGCTTTGAAGAGGGCCAGTGGTTGAACTCAGCAGATAAAGACTTCAAAGTAGCCATTATAAATATAGTCAAAGAACTGCAAGTCATGCTGTCTAAAGAATGGAAGGGAAGTATGGTAATAATATCTCATTAACAAATAATCTATATAAAGATAGAAATTATTTTTTTAAAAAAGAACCAGATAGAAATTCTGGGCTGGGCACAGTGGCTCACACCTGTAATCCTAGCACTTTGGGAGGCCAAGGCAGGTGGATCACTAGAGGTCAGGAGTTCAAAACCAGCCTGGCCAACATGGTGAAACCCTGTCTCTACTAAAAATACAAAAAAAATTAGCCAGGCATGGTGGCAGGCACCTGTAATCCTAACTATTTGGGAGGCTGAGGCAGGAGAATCACTTGAACCTGGGAGGCAGAGGTTGCAGTGAGCTGAGATCTCACCACTGCACTCCAGCTTGGGCAACAGAGCAAGACTCCATCTCAAAAAAAAAAAAATTCTGGATTTGAAAAGTACAACTGACTAAATATGGGACACTATTTAGTGCACCAGCAGCCACATAATGTGAGTAGAAAGAGGAAAAAGAAAGAAGAATAGAGAAAAGAGACAAAGGGGAAAGTATATGCAAATAAATAGTGATTGAAAGCTTCCCAAATCTGATGTTTTTCATCAGATTTACACATCCAAAAAGTACGACAAACTGCAAATTAGATAAATGTATAGAGATCCACACCCAGGCACATCACATTCAAAATGTTGAAAGCAAGAGACAAAGAAGAAATCTGAAAAACAGCAAGAGAAAAATGACTCATCAAGAACAAGGGAACCCAGATAAGATTAACAGCAGACTTTTTATAAGAAAAAATAGAAGCCACAGGCAATGGGATGATGTAGTTGAAATGTTCAAAGAGAAAAATATCAACCAAGAATCTTATATCCAGAAAAATTAGTTTTAAAAAATTAAGGCAGAAAAAAAGACATTCTTAGATAATTAAAAACTAAGAGAATTTGTACTTCACAGACCTGCCTTAAAAGTAAAGAGATCTTTAGGCTAAAAGCAAGTGACACCAAACAGCAATTCAAATACATTCCCCCAAATATAGTGTTGGTAAAGTGATTAAGTAATTAATTATACAAGATAATGTAATTGATATATCATTCTGACACACAATCAATAAGGAAAGAGAAAACTGGAATAACACTATATGCTAAGAGTACCTAACAGACATAAACAGAACATTACAACCACAACCGCAGAATACACTTTATTTTCAAGAAAACATGGGATATTCTCTAGGCTAGATCATATGTTGGTTTACAAAACAAGTCTTCAAACTTAAGAAGATTAGTATCATATCAAGTATATCTTTTCCAACCACAGTGGCATGAGAATAGAAATCAATAACAGAAGAAATTTTTTAAATTTCATTATATGTGGGAATTAACTAACACACTCTGGAACTACCAATAAATCAAAGAAGAAATGAAAAGGGAAATAAAAGTATTTTGAGAGAAATAAAATTAGAACCATAAAATACCAAAATTTAAGGGATATAGCAAATGCAATCCTACGAGAGAGTTTATTTATATTTACAAATGCCTCTTTTGGAAAAAAAAAAAACAAAAATACCTCAAATAAACAACCTAACATTACATATCAAGAAACCAGTAAAAGAAGAACAAACTAAGGCCAAAGTTAGCAGAAGGAAGAAAATAATAAAGATAACAGGAGAAATCAATGAAATAGAGAAAAGAAAACAGTAACAAAGATTTTTAAAGTAGGAGTGTTTTTTAAAAAAAGGTAAACAAAATTGACAACATTTAGCTAGACTAAAAAAGAGGGAAGACTCAAATAAATAGAAACAGAAATAAAAGGTAAATATTATCCTAATGCCACAGAAATATAAAAGATATGAGGACTACTATGAACAATTATATGCCAACAAATTGGACAACCTAGAAGAAAGAATACATATAACCTACTAAGAATAAACAGTGAGGAAATAAATAGGATATCTGAACATACCTATAAGGGGAACAAGATTGCATCAGTAATAAAAAAAACCTCCTTTCAAAAAAAAAAAAAAAAAAAGCCCAGAACCAGATGACTTCATGGATCAATTCTACCAAGCATTAAAGAAAAAATAACATCAATCCTTCTCAAATTATTCAAAAAAAATTAAAGAGGAGAAAATAGTTCCAAACTCGTTTTACAGCACCAACATTACCATCTAACAAGAAACACCTATTTGCTGCCTTTAGAAGACACACTTCAAAATCTATCATCTATCTATCTGTATCTCCTATGGTTATATTTCTCTGGAGAATCATAAATAATACATATTTTGGTACTGAGAGTGGGATATTTGCTTATATCAATTCCTGGACTGAGGGAGATAACAAACCAACCATTTATAAAAATCAAGGAGTTAGGTGCCTGTGTATATGATGCTTTGAACATTTTCAGAAAACTGAAGAATATAATGAGGTTGGCTGGTTGCTCCTAACATCACTGGAGAAACTGGTAAGAGAAAAGAATGAGCTTAGAGACACAAATTCCCTGTTCAAGAGCCATATAAATAATCTGAAGGTATCTACTTATGTCTTGAAGGAGATCTTCATATCCTGTAGTTGCAGGAGTGTGATTGCTGGAAATCAAATACAGAATCTCATCTGAAATTGGCTCAATTACAATGCAATTTAAACTTCTAGGCTTATAGGGTGCCTACTGTTAGGAAGAACATGGATTGGGAAAGAATGGGATCTTATAAGTTGGAATGGGGATGTGTGGAAAGATCCTGATAAATCTGGGGTCATTAAGCCCTTAAACTCTGATGAGTCTTCCTTGTCAATGAAAGTGGTCTCCCCAACTCCAACAAAAGTGGAAGCACCAGCAGAAGCAGCCTCACCATTCTCAGTAGAAGTGACCTCCCCACTCAGTGTTATGGATCTTTTCACCTCCATCTGAGAGGCTTAATTCTGCATTGCCTGAGGAAATTGTAATGGCCTCCTCTGAGGCAGTCGTCATGCAAGAAAATGCTGTTTCTTCCAGGACCCATCCCAGCAACCCCTCTTTGTGTCTGATTCAAGTTCCAGCAGGCTGGTACATGTGTCGTACAAAGTGTGACCCATGAGAAGATGTGTTAAACTACAAAATAACTACTTGAATTTTCTAATTTATACAAACATAAATCCAAGGGAAATGTGAAGGAATGAGTACTAAGGATTAGGGGTAATGATAGAAGAAATTATAGAGTAGTATCAGGCTGAATTTATCGATATGGGCTCACTAAGCAGAGATTCTGCATTTAATGTTACAACATAGGGAGTTAGAAAGATCAGTTGACTGGCTGAAACATGAACAAAAACGTGGTCCTCAGTGAATGAATTGAAGATGCTAGATCTGCTGTGGTTTAACGTAGAAGAAAGAATTTAAATGCTTAGGGAGATGTAAGTGTTAGAGTGGATTTGTTGACTTAAACCAAAAAGCTTCTGCACAGCAAAAGGAGTAATCAACAGAATACTCTGACAACCCATAGAATGGAAGAAAATATTTACAAATTATGCCTCCAACAAAGAATTTATATCCAGAATTCACAATAAATTCAAAAAATTTATCAACAGAAAACAAACAATCCCATTAAAAACTGGGTAAAGGACATGAACAGACATTTCTCAAAAGAAGAAATACAAATAGTTAACAAACACATTTTAAAAAGCTCACTATCATTAATCATTAGAGAAATGCAAATTAAAACCAAAATAAGATACCATCTTACACCAGTCAGAATGGTTTTTATTAAAAAGTAAAAAAACAACAGATTTTGGCAAGGTTGTGGAGAAAAGGGAGTGCTCATACACTATTGGTAGGAATGTAAATTAGTTCACCTGTATGGAAAACAGTATGGAGATATCACAAAGAAATAAAAATATAACTACTATTTGACCCAGCAATCCCACTGAGTATCTATCTACCCAAAGGAAAATAAATCATTTTACCAAAAAGACACTTGTATTTGTACGTTTATTGCAGCACTATTTACAATAGCAAAGTCATGGAACCAACCTAAGTGTGAACCAACAGTTGATTGGATAAAGGAA
Organism: Homo sapiens; assembly: GCF_000001405.40. Taxonomy (NCBI): domain Eukaryota; kingdom Metazoa; phylum Chordata; class Mammalia; order Primates; family Hominidae; genus Homo; species Homo sapiens. Next base: position 164,030,725 of record NC_000001.11, on the reverse strand, counting down.
ATATGGTACACATACACTATGGAATACTACGTGGCTATCAAAAAGAATGAAATTATGTCCTTTGCAGCAATATGGGTGGAGCTGGAGGCCATTCTCCTAAGTAAACTAACACAGAAGCAGAAATTCAAATATCACATGTTGTCACTTATAAGAGGGAACTAAAAAAAGAATGCACATGGACATAAAAATGGGGAAAATAGACTCTGGGTACTCCAAAGGGGAGAAGGTGGGAGGGCATTGAGAGTTGAAAAATTACCTGCTGGGTTCAATGTCTAATATTTGGGTGATGGGTACACTAGAAGCCCAACCCTCAGCATTACACATATAATATTCATGTAGCAAACAAATGCATACACCCCTCAATCTAAAAGAGTAAAATTAAATTAAATTTAAAAGTAAAGTAGGCTATAGTATATGTATGTAACTCAATTATAGAAGTCATATGTGTATAGAACATTGAAAAACATATATTAATAAATTTAAACACTGCAGAGTTTCTGTATATCTTCTTATTGTAGCCATAGAAAACATACAGTGTTTAATCACATGGTGAGTAGAAAGAAAAATTATAACATTCCAAAAATTGGAAGTTGTAGAAAATTATTCTCTGATCACACCACATTTAGAACTGTAAATAAACTGCAAATGTATAAATAAAAAAATCTCAGGGATGTGGAAAGAAAACACCTCCTCACCATACTGTGAGGGTCCAGAAGACATACCTTTCACAAATACTGTGATAAATAAATTTGTGAGGGGAGCCCTGGCATCCCTGAAGAGATCCCTGATAGCTCCTTGTTGTAGGCTATATTTACAGTGGGAACTGCAGCCGCTGAATTGGCAAACCTAAATACAATGAAAGTAATTGGTTTTCACTGGCAGAGACCAAGTAGAGGCACTTAAAGACCAAAGACAAGGTGGGTGTTGTTACTGTGATGGATGACAGAGTCAAAGTAGCAATCAGAATCGTATGATAGATGTAATGTGTTGGCTAGTTGAGCATGGTGTTTTTAAAAGTGAATAGATGGGAAGCCTACTGAATTCTTACTTGATCTATACAAGCAGAAAATTTCTAGGCCAAGTGAAATAAAAATCTAACCTAAGTAAAAAACAGGGAGTCATGGCCATTCAAGCAATTCCTAGACTTGAACCAGTTTACAAATCCAGAACCCCTTGAATAAAAAGGAGGCCAAGTCTGCTCAAGGAAAACCCACACTACACTACCTATAAATTATATGGTTTATCTTTCTCTCAGCATTTCCCAAAGAAACCTACAACCTTTTACCAGGATAACTATGCATTGAGGAAAAGGAAATAATGAGAGCTTTGGGGGATGACTGTACACCAACTTTGAACTGATACTATTCCAGGAGATCCTATTGTCACTTTGGCCTTCTAGTCAGAGTAGTGGCTTATGAAGATCTGGTAATAAATGGAGTTTTAGCTCAGGTCTGTTTCACTGTGTGCTTATTAGTTCCCCAGTTCAAGAACACACAATTGGAATAGACATACTAAGCAGATGGCAGGAACCTCACATTGTTTCTGACTCATGGAGTGAGGACTATTACACTGGGAGAAGCCAAGTGAAAGCCATTAGAACTCTCTCTACCTAGGAAATAATAAACCAAAACCAATAATGCATTCCTGGATGGATTGTAGAGATCAGTGCCACTATTAAGGACTAGGAGGATGCAGGAGTGGTATTTTCACCACATGCCTATTCAACTTGACTATTTGGCTCGTGCAGAAGAAAGATGGATCTTATAGAATGACAGTGGATTATCATAAGCTTAACCAGGTTATGACTCCAATTGCAGCGCTGTACTAGATGTGGTTTCCTTGCTTGAGTAAATTAACATATCCACTGATACCTGATATGCAGTTATTGAGCTGGCAAATGCTTTTTTCTAGTTACTTGTTAGTAAAGACTGCCAGCTGAAGTTTGCTCTCAGATGGCAAGGCTAGCAATACACCTTCACTCTCCTACCTCAGGGGTGTATCAGCTCTCTACCCCTGGGTCATAAATTACTTTGTGGGTATCTTGATCACTTTCTCTTTCCACAAGTTACCACACTGATTCATTACATTGATGATATTATCCTCATTGGACATAGTGAGCAAGAAGTGGCAGCTACTCTAGACTAATTCATAAGCAATTCATGTGTAAGAGGATGAGAACTAACTGACTAAAATTCAGGTGTCTTCTGTCTCAGTGAAATTTCTAGGTGTCCAGTTGTATGGGGCATGTCGAGATATTTCTTCAAGGAAAGGGATAAGTTGTTGCATCTGGCCTCTCCTACAACCAGAAAAGAGGCACAATGCCTAGTGTGCTGCTTTGGACTTCATAGCCAACATATTCACATTTGGGTGTGATACTCTGGTTCATTTACTGAAACACCTGAAAAGCTGCTATTTTTGAGTGAGGTCCGGACCAAGAGAAGGCTTGACAAGAGGTCTAGTTTGCTGTCCAAGTTGCTCTGCTGCTAGGGCTATTTGGTCCAGCAAATCCAATCATGCCTCAAGTGTCAGTCGCAGACAAATATGCTATTTTGAGGCTTTGGCAGTCCCCTGTAGGTGAATCACAAGGCACACCCTTAGGATTTTAGAGCAAAGCCCTGCCCTCCTCCACAGATAACTGCTCTCCTTTTGAGAAACAGCTCTTGGTCTGCTACTGGGCTTTAGTACAGACTGAATGGGTCACCAAGTTACCATGCAACCTAAGCTGCCATCATGAACTGGGTATTATGTGACCCATCAAGCCATAAAGTTGGGCATGAACAGTAGTATTCAATCATCAAATGACAGTGATATATACGTGATCTGGCCAGAGCAGCCACTGAAGGGTCAAGTGAATTACAGAAAGAAATAGTCCAAATATGCATGCTTCTATCATGAAAGGGGCAGCAATTTTTTCTTACTGAAATGAACACTTCCTCTTAATATAGATTTGCCTTCCCGGCATGCAGTGCTTTTGTCAAAACTACCATTCATGGACTTATAGAATGCCTTATCCATCATGTTATGGTATTGCACACAACATTGCTTCTGTCAAGAAACACAACATAAAAGTGCTTCAGTGGGCCCACATTTATGGTATTAACTGGTTTCACCATATTCTGCAGCATTCTGAGACAACTGGCTTGAGGGAAGTGTGGAATGGCCTTTTGAAGACAAAGTTACATTGTCAGCTGGGCAGCAATGCCTTGTAGGCCTGGGGCAAGGTTCTCCAGAAGACCATATACGCTCTGAATCAGTGTCCAATATATGGTGCTGTTTCTCCCATAGCCAAGCTTTTTGGGGCCAGGAATCAAGGGATGGAAATGTGAATTGTACCACTCACTATTATGCCTAGTGATCCACTAGAAAATTTTTTATTTTCTGTTCTGGTGATCTCATACTCTGCTGCACTAGAGGTCTTAGTTCCAGAGGGAGGAATATTTCCACCAGGAATAATAATTATTCCATTGAATTGGAAGTTAAGATGGCCACCTGGCCTCTTTGTAAGACTCCTCATGACTCTGAATCAACAGGATCAACAGGATAAGAAGGCAGTTACTGTGGTGGGTGAGATGAGTGACCGTGACTACCAAGAAGGAGTGCCAATATACAATGGAGGTAAGGAGGAGTATGTTTGGAATACAGGAGATCTCTTACGGTGTCTCTTGTATTACCATGCCCTGTGATTAAGGTCAGTGGGAAACTACAACAATCTAATACATGCAGGCCTAATAATTGACCAGATCCCTCAGGAAGGAAGGTTTGAGTCAACTCACCAGGTAAATAACCACAGCCAGCAGAGGTGCTTGCTGAAGGCAGAGAACACAGAATGGATAGCAGAAGATGGTAGTTATAAATACCAGCTATAACCATGTGACCAGTTATAGAAATAAGAACTGCAAGTGTCATTAGTATTTCTTATTTTTTTATGGATGTGTGTGTGTGTGTGTGTGTATCTGTGTGTATCCTATTCGTTCTATTTCTCTGGAGGACCTGGACTAATACACCATATGATTCAGCATTTTCTCTCCTAAACATAAACCCAGGAAAATTGAAAACATATGTCTACATAAAGACTTGTACACCAATGTTTATGGCATTATCATTCATAATAGCCAAAAGGTGGACCCAATCTAAATGTACATCAACTGGTAAATGAATAAAAACATGTAGTACATCTATACAATGGAATATTATTCAGCAATAATAAGGAATGAAACACAGATACAAGCTTGCACTTTTATAAACCTCGAACATTATGTTGCATGAAGAAAGCCAGTCACAAAACGCCATATTTCGTTATTTTATTTATATGAAAAGTTCAGAGTAGGCAAATCTATAGGAATTGAAAGTACATTAGTGGTTTTCTAAGGAAGAAATAGAGAGGGGTAGAATGGGGAGTAACTGCTATTGCATAGGAGTTTATTTTTGGGGTGATAAAAATATTCTAAACAGATTATGGTGATGGTTTCACAACTGTCTTAATATGCTAATATTATTTATTATTGCATTGTATATTTTGGATGAATAAATTTTGTGCAGTGTGAATTATTTCTAAATGGTGCTTTAAAAAGAAAATAGGTTGATGCATGTATAAGACAATTTTAAAGAACGACAAGCTGTTGATTTGGCTGGAGCAAATGATAAGAAAGAGCATGTGTGGGAGGAGGTGCAGGGGCCTAGTAGTGAGGAAGTAAACTGGAAATACAGGATGCAGCCAGATGTCTGCCTATGGATCTCACTCTGATGATGTCACTCTTCTGCCTAATGAATAATGAGAGTTAATGAAGGCTTTGGGCAGGAGAGTAATGTGATCCAAACAGTGCTATAAGATTGATTTTGATATGGTAGGATTTTTAGTTTACATACACATCATTCTTACATTTTAAAATGCCATCATTATATGCCAATATTATTTCTCATTTTTTGATCAATCCAGTCCTTCTACAGGAACCAAACTTATTTCTTCACTATTTGTCATATTTAAACTGTGTATATTTTTCCTGATTCAATTCACCCCAACTGGAAATCACTCTCCTTTGCCCTCTACTAATATTTTCAGGCCCAATTTGAAACATGTTTCTCTAGAAAGCTTCCCTGATTACCTTCTATTCAATTTTGATCATTTCTCAACTTTAAATATTTCTTTCAACATGTATGCATTCAATACGTACTATGTTGTTGATGTATTTCCTCTTCTATAATTATATAATTTTGATATATGTTTTCATAATATAAATTGAAAGTCAGTGCTACTACTTTGATTTCTGTTGAATGTGTCCTAAGTAGTTACAAAAGGTGAAGCCAGCTGGACTTCCTGGGTGGAGTGGGGACTTGGAGAACTTTTCTGTCTTACAAGGGGATTGTAAAATGTACCAATCAGTGCGCCAAGAGGTTTATAAAATGTAGCTCCAAGAGGTTTATAAAATGCACCAATCAGCAGTCTGTAAAATGGACCAATCAGTGCTCTGTAAAATGGACCAATCAGCAGGATTCTAAAAGTAACCAGTTGCCAGGAGGATTGAAAAAAGGGCACTCTGATAGGACAGAAATGGAACATGGGAGGGGATAAATAAGAGAATAAAAGCTGGCCACCAGAGCCAGCAGTGACCACCTGCTCAGGTTCCCTTTCATGCTGTGGAAGCTTTGTTCTTTTGCTCTTCACAATAAATCTTGCTGCAAGCTCACTCTTTGGGTCTGTACCATCCTTAAGAGCTTTAAGACTGTGAAGGTCCACCGCTTCATTCTTGAAGTCAGCAAGACCATGAATCCACCAGAAGAAACCAACTCCAGACACAGCCACAGCATAGGATTCAGTGCTTAAAAGGTTACTCGGAAAATGTTCTAGCTAGCAAACTCCTTAGGGAGGTATATATAATATTCTTCTTATATACCCTTGTGCCGTAAACTGAATGTGTCCTCCCCAGATTCACATGTTGAAATCTCAACTCTAATGTGATGGTATTAGGAGATGCGGCTTTTGGATGATAATTAGGCCATAAAGGTAGAGCCCTAATGAATGGCATTAGTGCCCTTATAAAGAAATTATGAAATCTTTCTCTCTCGCTTCATTGCTCTCTCTGCCTGCCATATGACGATACCCTAAGAAGACAGCTGCCTGCAAACCAGGAAGAGGCCCTTGACTAGACACTGGATCTGCTGGTGCCTTGAGCTTGAACTTCCTAGCCTAAAACTGTAAGCAACAAATGTGTATTGCTTAAGGCACCTAGTCAAAGATACTCTGTTACAGCAGCCTGAACCAAGACACCTTTCTTCAGATCATTTGGCCAAATCTAATTTTCTGTGTGTGACTTTTAATGGCTACACTCTCAATTTTCAGAATGTGTGATCTATCATATACACTTCTCAGATGATCCTATTGTTACAATAATATGACAAAACACTTACATCTTTCTAACTTTCTCTCCTTCTGACACCTTCTGACTCGTGCTGCATCCAATCACAGTGGCCTGGTGATGACAGGAATTGCTTAGAAAACTAAGTGTCATATCATTGTGACTTCCTCACAGGTGCTAAGAACAACCATATTAGGCACAAAGAGAATTCTCATTCAATGTCTTGCTCAGGAGGTGTACACTACAACTTCATTGCTATTTGGCTTCATTAATAAACAGTTTTAATTAGCAAATTGTCTGAAGGGAAATGACCTCTTATGAGTCAGAAGAATAGCCATCATCATTTTTGCCAAGGCATGAGACCCTAAAAAGGTGGGTCTTCTTCTGAGGAAAAAAAAACACCTGGCTGATTTAATTAAGACCCAATTGCAAGAGTGAAGCCCTAGCCCTCCACTGCCTATCTGAGGGTCACATATGGGAAACTCATAAATGAACATAAAATGTCTTTTTACTTTTTTTGACCGAATGACAAAGAATAAAATTTTTATATTTATTTCCATGTCCATTGCCATTTAGCACCAGGTAGAAAATCTGATTTCAGTGAAAAAGAACCTGCCCTAAATTCAAGAGACTTTAATTCCTACTTTCAAATTCTGGCTCCTACTCTATATTTTGAAACAAGTTGCAGAAACTTGCTGAATTTTGGTCCCAATTGCTCTACCAAAATTTTTAAAGAGTAGTTATAAAGATCAAATGAGCTAAAGAATTGACTTCTAAATTAAAATATTCTATAGCTAAAAGTTAATATTATTTTATAAGATGAAAAATGTCAAATATATATTTCAGATGAATAGAAAGTCTAAAACTAAGTAATGAAATATTTTTTAAGAAAGATCTTGAGAAATTTAATCTTTATCCATGAGCTAAATTAATATGTAAGCATCCAAACTTAAATATCAAATTCTATTTTGTATGCCATCTATTTTAAAAATGGAAAAGCAGGTTCTTTTTAAGTGCAATGAAATCATTTCAAATGGGTCAGATTTTGTAATCGGAAGTAAAGTGCAGCAGACGCTTGGGGGAACAGATCCAGCTGTAGGAGCTAGAAGGAAGTCTTGTCAAAGACAATGGCAATAAGTAACAGGTGGCACTCCTATGGAATTATTGGCATGAGAAAGATTCAGTTGGCTTAACAGGGTGTATCTATGGGATCCAGTTCGAAGAAATGGGGGGGACCCAGGGGAAGAGAGAATTTGTGAAGTCAAACCAGTCATGTCTATGGCAGTTGGCAGGACATTGGATACTTGACTGGAGATCCAGCATATAACAACAAATGGTATCAGAGAGAGAAAAAGTAAAAACAAGGTAAAGACCTGAACTTATCTGGGAAGTAAGAAGTTTATCAAGACAAGATCTCAGCCACAGGGAAACAAGACTAGGATCCAGTTAACTATACTGCATCCAAGATGAGCAGTGGGTCTCTGTACTAAGGTAGGTATCTAGTTATAATAATGATGGTCAATAATGGCACTGATACATTAATAATGGTACCAGTGCATGTTTATTGATTATTTAATACATGCTGGATATAGTTCTTTGTGATACATACTTTATTTTATGTACTTCCTATTGCATCTCTAGAATTGAGTTTTATTATCATACTATTTTATAGATGCGAAAACTGAGGCAGAGAGAGGTTAAACATGAACAAGTCAAGGAATTCCCATCCAGGCATCTGTCTCTAGGGACTCTTAACCACTGCATTATGCGATTTCTCAGTCCTTTGAATGAGCCCAAATTAAGATGATCAACAAAGGTAATTTCATGCTGTCTGATGTGTCATCCCAGTAACCAGAGACAATAAAGTTAAACTGGAAATTTATTATTGATTTTCCAGAAGACCAAATATGGACCATGATAGCAATTTCCATGTCAGGTTTAAATTATAAATAGAATGCAAAATCAAATAATAAGGGAATACAGGAAAAAACAGAGAGGTATACAGGGTGAGATAAGCTTTAGAAATGGGTTGAGGCCTGGAGTAACGAATAGGCATTTGATGATGAGGCCAAGACATATGTAGCTGAGGTAGATACAGGAACTTATGAGAGATGGACTGGACTGAAGAGCACTAGATCCAAAACATGTGGTTAGCACTTATTAAATAACTTCTGCCTGGAGTAAGATTTGGACAGTTTAGGATGGTCTTACCAGCAGGGAGAAAAGGCAAACAGGATTATTATTTTTCTTCAGGAGAAGTTAGCTCTTGCTGATTGTATGTGATCTTTCTCTTCAGATCTCCTGCTTAGCTTAATTAGCATTATTCATTTTTAGAAAAAGTTACGATTCAAAGTGAGTATAGGCCCACACCTTCAGCTATGTGTAAGAATTAAACACAACTGGAAGTTTAGTCAGTTTCACTGTAGCACACACTCCAGGGAAACTGACTGGAAATTTTGTAATTGTACAGAAATAACCTGGTGAGGTTTACTTAGGAATTTTCCAAAATTCAACAATGTATAATACATCATGCTTTGAAAGCTTTTCTTCCTGATGGCATATTCAGGATATTTCCACATTTCCTTGGAAGGGGAAAATGTCCTCTCCTAATTTTTCCCCCTCCCTCAGAGAAAAAATAGAAACAAAACTGGAAGTATACAAAATAAATCATAATGAAAGGGACTCAACATTCTCCTTTAACCAATACCAGATTATGTGTATTGCCTAAAAGGCTTATTCTTAAGTAATCTCAGTAATGTCTCAGAGCAGGGCATTTGGACCTTTGAATGAGTTGAACCCATGGAGTTATTGAATTCTGGAAATACTGTAGAGGTCTTCTCTACATAAACATTCAATTTAGTTTAACAAATATTTGCCTTATCTCTTCTAATATTAGGCATTAGGGAAACAGGATGATTAACACATGATCTGTGCTGCTGCCATAGTTGGTATTTTTCTGTCATGTAAAAGGGTAAGAAGTCCAGGGCTACTATGACAGTTTGAGATTTTGGAGACATAGATTCTTTTACCTTTTTTTTTTTGTATTGAGATTTCTTTGTTGTTGTTGTTGTTGTTGTTGTTGTTGTTGTTGCCCAGGTTGGAATGCAATGGCATGATTTCGGCTCACTGTCCATTTCATTACGGTGAATGATCTTTTCAATGTGCTGTTGAATTCAGCTTGGAAATATTTTGTTGAGGATATTTGCATCTATGTTCATCATAGATATTGGCTTGTAATTTTCTTGTCTTATAGTGATTTTGTCTGGCTGTGATATCAGGGTAATTAATGCTTGCCTTTTAAAATGAATTTTAAAATATTCCTTCTTTTCTTTTCTTTTCTTTTCTTTTATAGACTGAGTTTCATTCTTGTTGCCCAGGCTGGAGTGCAATGGCACAATCTCAGCTTACTGTAACCTCTGCCTCCTGTGTTCAGGCAATTCTCCTGCCTCAGCCTACTGTGTTGCTGGGAATACAGGCATGAGCCACCACTCCCGGCTAATTTTGTATTTTTAGTAGAGATGGGGTTTCTCCATGTTGGTCAGGCTGGTCTCGAACTCCTGACCCCAGGTGATCCCGCCTCTCTTGGCCTCCCAAAGGGCTGGGATTACGGGCATGAGCCACCACGCCTGCCCCTCTCTTAAAGAAGAGTTTGAGAAAGATTGGTTAGTTTGTCTTAAAATGTTTGGTAGAATTAGTATTTAAGCTCTCAGGGCCTGCACTTTTCTTTGATGACTTTTTATCATGGATTCAATCTTGTTACTCATTGTTGGTCTATTCAGATTTTCTACTTATTCATTATTCAGTCTTGCTAGGCTGGCTGTGTCTAGAAATGTATCCATTTCTCCTAGGTTATCCAACTTGTTGCCATATAATTGTTCCTAGTAGTTTCTCATGATCCTTTCTATTTTGGTGGTATCAATAATAATGTCTCTTCTTTCATTTATACTTTTATTTACTTGTGACTCATCTCTATTTTTTGTTAGTTTAGTTAAAGATGTATTGATTTTATTTTTTCAGAACAACAGCTCTTGGTTTTGTTGATCTTCTATTGCTCTTCTACATTCTATTTCATTTACTTCTGCTCTGATCTTTTATTTTTTTTCTTCTACTGACTCTGGGGTTAGTTTTCCACCCGCCTCCCCCTCATTCTTTGAGTTATAACAATAGATTGTTTATTTGAGATCTTTCTTTGATTGTTTATTTGAGATCTTTCTTCTTGTTTGATGTAGGCATTTATTGCTACAAAGTTTCCTCTTAGAATTGCTTCGGCTACATCTGGTAAGTTTTGATATGCTGTGTTTCCATTTGCATTTGTCTCAAAATATTTTTAAATTTCAGTTTTAAATTATTTTTTGACCCATTGTTTGTTCAGGAGCATGCTGTATAGTTTCCACATATTTGCTAATTAAAAAAATTCTTCCTGTTACAGATTTTTAGTTTTATATCATTGTGGTTAGAAAAGATACTTGATATAATTTCAATCTTCTCAAATGTTTAAAACTTGTTTTTTGTCCTAACATATGGTTTATACTGATGAATGTTCTATGTCAATGGATAAAAATGTGTATTCTGCTACAATTGATGGCATATTCTATATCTATCTGTTTGGTCTATTTGATCTAAAGTGTGGTTCAAATCCAATGTTTCCTTATTGAGTTTTATCCAGATGAGCTCTCTATTGTTGGCAGGGCAATATTGAAATCTTTTACTATTATTATATCCTCTTGATGAATTCATCCCTTTATTATCACATAATAACCTTGTCTCTTTTTACAGTTTTTGACTGAATGTCTATTAATGCCTGATATGAGTACAGCCACCTCTGCTCTCATTGGTTTTTGCTTGCATGGAATATCTGTTTCCATCCATGTACTTTCAATACATGTGTCCTTAAAAGTAAACCGAGTATCTTGTACCTACTCTTTTTTTTGATTCAATAATTTAATCTGTTTACATTTAAGGTAATTATTTATAGGTAAAGATGTATTACTACCATTTTGTCCATTGTTTTCTGGTTGTTTTGTAGATCTTTTGTTCCTTTTTTTTCCCTCTCTTGATGTCTTCTTTTGTAACTAGGTAATTTTTCCTAGTGGTATGCTTTGATTCTTTACTTTTTCAGCTTTTTGTGTCTACCATAGGTTTTGGATTTGTGGTTACCATGAAGCTTACCTCAAACATCTTATAGTTATAACAGGATATTTTAAGCTGATAACAGCTTAACTTCAATCACGTAAAAAAAAAAAAAAAACCTCTATACTTTTACTCTGCCTACCCTTCATTTTATGTTTTCAGTGTCATAATTCCTTTCTTTTTTATTTGCATTCCTTGACAAATTATTGTAGCTATTATTAATAGCTTTGTCTTTATACTAAAGATGAGTGATTTATGCACCATGATAATACTATTATTGTATTCTGAATTTAACTATTTACTTTTCCAATGAGTTTTATACTTTCATGTTTTCATGCTGCAAATTATTGTCTTTGCCTTTCTTTCAATTTTTGTAGAAATCCCTTTAGGGTTTCTTGTAAGCCACGCCTGAAAGATTTCTACTAAGAAATGTGCTGTCTGAAGGAGTTCCCTTCTATGTGACAAGTGGCTTTTTTTCTTGCTGCTTTCACAATTATCTGTTTGTCTTTGACTTTTGAGAGCTTTATTTTGTGCCTTGAGTAACATCTGCTTAATCTACCTGGTGCTTTTTGGCCTTCAAGCATCTGGATGTTCATTTACCTCTCCAAATTTGGAAAGTTTTCTGTTATTTTTTTTTCTGCCCCCACCTCCTTTTTTTCCTCTGTTCCTTCTGAGACTTCCATAATTTGTATATTGGTTCACTTGATGGTATTCCATACATCTTATAGGCTTTTTCCCACTTTTTTATTATGCTTTTTTTGTTGTTGCTGTTGTTCTGATGTTGTGATTTCAAATGATCTGTCTTTGAGCTCACTTATTTTTTCTTCTGCTTGAATTAGTCCATCGTTGAAGCTCTCTCTAAAATTTTTAGTTCAGTCATTGTGTTTGTCAGCTTCAGTATTTCTGTTTGGTTTGTTTTTATGTTGCTATCTCTTTGTTGAACTTATCATTTTGTTCATGTATTCCTTTCTTGATTTCATTTGGATATATATGTGTCTGTGTGTGAGAGTGTGTGTGTGTGTGTGTGTTCGTTCTCTTACAGCTCACTGAGCTTCTTCAAGATGATCATGTAGAATTATTTGTCAGGCAGTTCTTAAGTCTTCATTTTTAAAATGTTGGCTACCAGTGCTTTATTTTGTGTCCTTATTGGTGTCATGTTTCCCTGATTGTTTGTCATCCTTGTGGCAAAGCATTGGACTATATGAATTTGAAGCAGTAGGCCCTTATTTCAGTCTTTATAGACTGGCTTTGGCAGGAAAGCCAGCAATCTTCAGTAGTCTGCCAATCTAGATATTCTGGACAGGCTGCCTGGTACGGTCCATGGTGGGCTTGCTGCTGAGGTCCTTGAGAAGGCTGGCCTGGTACCTGAGGGACTAAGTGGGTAGGCCTAGTGCATTAATCTGCAGGGTTAAGTGTGGAAACTCAGTCCACTGAGTCAGGCCTCACACCAGTATTCATTGTGGAGGACCTGTGACTGGTTCCATGAGGGTGGCCCTGGTGCCTTGGTCTGTGAAGGCTGACTTGGAACCTGGATCTATGGGGGCAAATCTAAAGTCTGAGACCACAAGCACTAACTTGGCACTGGGTAGGCCTGGATCCTCTGTCAGTAGGGAACTTCCTGAAACACTGGGTCCATGGGTGTTGGCCCAGTACCTGAGACTATGAGGGCTGGCTTAGAGCCGGAGTCTCCAAGTATCAACCTGGCACTGGAGTAGGACTAGAGACTGAGTGTGTAGCTGCTGGCCTGGACTCCAGAGCACCTGGTGCTAGAATAGGCCTGAAGCCTGGGGCTGAGTTAATCTGGCACTGGGCCAGTCTGAGGCCTGGGGTGGGCCTGGAGCCTGAGTCAATAGGTGTCATCCTGGAGCCTGGGTCTGCAGAGGCAGACCTGGTGCTGAACAGGCCTGAAATCTGTTTCTGTGGGTGCTGACCTGGTGCTGGGGTAGGCCTGAAGCCTGGACTTCAGAGGCTAGCCTGACACTCAGGTGGGCTTGGAGGTTGGGGCTGAGGATGATGGCCTAACACTGGAGTTTTATTTTTAGTTAGATTGTTGCACTATTTTAGGAATTGTATATTCATATAAATTTGAGAATCAGCTGAAAAATTCACACAAACCCTTTTTGGATATCTTAAAACTTTTAAAATAAACTGCTTATTTTAGAAATGGTTTAGTTTTGCAGAAAAGTTACAAAGATAATACAGAGAATTTCCATGTCAAATTTTCCTTTTAAACATCTTACATTAGTTTGGTGCATTTGTCACAATTCATGAACCAATACTGATAAATCATTTTAAACTAAAGTTCATCATTTATTTATATTTTCTTAGATTTTACTTGATGTCCTTTTTATATCACATTACATCTAGTCATGTTTCCTTAGGCTCCTCTTGGCAATGTCAGTTTTTCAGGATTTCCCTGGTTTTGTGGACTACTGGAGAGGTATTTTGTAGAATATTCTCCATTTGGGATTTTTACGATGTTTTGGTCATGAGTAGATAGGTTTTTGAGAAGATGATCACAGAGGTAATGTGCCATTCTTATCATATCATATGAATGGCATATACTATCAGCATTATTTTCTACTGCTAATGCCAACCTTGATCATCTGGCTGAGGAAATATTTGTTAGTTTTCTTCACAAAATTGATTTTTCCCCTTTTCATAACATAACCTTTGGCAGTTACTATGCACAGCCCACACTTTAGGAGTGAGAATTTATATTTTACCTGCTTGAAGCAGCACATCTACATACATTATTAAGAATTTTTTTGCATAGGAAATTTGCTTATTTTCCCCATTTATTTATTTATATCAGTGTGAGCTCATGGATATTTATTTTATCCTTTGGATGATAATCCAGTACTACTTTATTTGGTCTCACTTGGTTGACTCCTGTATCTCTCTGACATATCCCAATGTTTACTGTTTGAGCATTTATTTACTTTCTGACATTACAGAATGTTCCAGGCTTATCTTGTATATTTCCTGTCTTAGTTATAACATCAAACATTTATCAAAAGAACCCTGACTTCTTTTATTTGAAAATAACTTTAGAAACCAACATCTAGGCTCTGGGTGTCTGCTTGAATTTTTATTTGGATCTAGAGATGATTTTGAGAAAAAATTGCACCTTAAAATATTAATTGTCCAATTCATTACTATAGCATGTTTTGCTATTCATTTAGATTTTCTTAATTCCTCTCAGCAATGTTTTGTAGCTATACAGTGTACAGGTTTTCCACATCTTTTATTATAAATATTTGCATATTTTTTATTTTATTATTTACGGCAGGGTTTTTTTGTTCTTGTTTTTTTTTTTGTTTTAATTTCATGTATCAATTGTTTGTTGCTAATACATAGAAATACAATTACTTTTTAAGATACTGACCTTGAATCCTATGACTGCTAAATTTACATATCAGTTCTAGTGTTTTTTTCATTTGTTTTTGTTATTCTGTTTTTCTCTGTACTTTCCTTTGGACCTTCTATGTATACAATCATGCTGTCTCTGAAGAGACTTATATTTTTTCATTTCCAATCTTTATACCTTTCAATTATTTTCCTTGTCCTATTACACTGGTTAGCACCTCCAGGAACGGTCTTTGAAGGAAGTGTTTAATATTTCACAATTAAGTATGATGTGGAGGTTTATTTTTAGATGCCCTTTATCAGTCTGAGGACATTTTCCTTTATGTTAGTGTCTTACTCTGTTTGTACAACTATAAAAATACCACAGATTGGATAATTTATAAAGCACACAAATCTATTTTTCACAGCTCTGAAGGCTGGAAAATCCAAGATCAAGATGCTGGCAGGTTCAGTGTCTGGCGAGGGCTCTCTTGTTGGGTCCTTACATGGCAGAAGTGGGGAGGACAAAAAAGGACCTAAGCTATTTAACTCCAGTATTTTAATAAGGTACTAATCCATTCATGAGGGTACAGCCCTAATGACCTAATCACATCCCCAAAGGTCCCAAATTTTAGTACCTCCAAATAGAAATTAGGTTTCAACATGAATATTAGAGGCTATACATTTACACCATAGCAGTTAGTTTGCCAAGAGATTTTATAATGAACAAGCATTGAATTTTATTACTTTTTTTGCATCTATTGACATAATTAAATTCTGAATGACAGGGACTGATTTTCTGATATTAAGCCAGCTTTTTACTCTGGATAAATTCTACTTGTCATAGTGTCATATCCTTTTTATATATTGCTAGATTTGCTAATATTTTGCTAAGTATTTTTATATTTTCATGAGGAATATTAATCTTTAACTTCCACACATCACTTTTATTCATATTCCCTTGGTCCAAACTTATCATATGTCATGTTGTTTTTTCCAAATATGACTGCAATTATAGCTTCTGTTTTACTTTTTATATTTTTTTTAACAATATGATGCTGACACTTCTCCCATCAAAAGATGGGGTTTATGTTCCATTCCCTGGAATCTTGATTAGCTTCTGAGCATGGCAGAAATGACATTATATTACTTAAAATGCTGGATAATAAGAGGCAGTACAGTCCCCATATTGTTCTCTTAGGACCATGATTTTGGGCCCCATAGCTATTATATAATCAGTCAGACTGTCCTAAGGCCACTGTGTTGTGATCATGAAGAGACACATGGAGAGGCCTTGAGGCTACATGGGAGACATTCTCAGCCAGTTCTTTAATATGCAGCACCCACCCCCCTATTGTTATAGCTCTATCTCCATCTGGCTGAAACCACAAGAGAAAACTAAGCCAACCCTCTCTGTCAAGCCTGTTCTGAATTACTTACCCTACAAAATGTGAGGGATAATAAAATTCTTGTTATTGTTTTAAGCCCCTATGTTTTTGCATGATTTTCTGAAGCAATAGGAGAAGGGAACTTCTGGGAAGCAGTAAACCCAGGTAAATATAAGGAATTTGGTTAGTAAAGAAAGAAGAATAGATACTGGAGGATATCTAGCAGTATCTGCCATATCTTTTATAAATTTATAGTTTAGTAGTAAAATAAAATAATATTTATCAATGTTAAATGTGTCATGTGCTGAGCACTTTAAGTGTACATACAGTGTGGGAGTGAGAATATCTGAGTTGGTAGATCAAAGAAGCCCTCTTTCAAGAAACCAATAGTAAAAACAGAAGCAATAATATTTACCATTAAGTTAGCTCTGAACACTCAAAAGTAGGTATATTATTTCAATGATTTACAAATGAAGATATAGAGACATAAAAAATTACATATCTAGTAAATGGAATCATCTAATTTATCTCCCTCTCTCCCTTCCTTTCTTCCTTCCTTCATTTATTGTAATATGAACATTTTATATAACATATGCTCTCATATTTTAAGTGCACAATGCAGTATTATTAAATATAAACACTATGCTGTACAGTGGTTTTCTAGAATTTATTCATCTTGCATCATTGAAACTTTATACTCACTGAAAAACAATCCCCATTCCTTCTTCACCCAGATCCTGACAACAAACTTTCTACTCTGTTTCTGAATTTGGCATTTTAGATAGCTTATATACATGGAATCACACAGTATTTGTCCTTCTGTGACTGGCTTCTTTCACTTGGCATAATGTCTTCAAGGTTTATTTACATTGTTGAATATGGCAGAATTTCCTTCTTTTTAAAAGCTGAATAATATTTCATTGTGTGTGTATACTACAGTTTCTTTTCCATTTATCTGCATATTGACATTTAGGTTGTTTCTATATCTTGGCTACTGTGAATAATACTGCAATGAACATGGCAGCACAGATTTTTTTTTTTTTTTTGAGATCCTGATTCTAACTATTTTAGATATATACCCAGAAAGGGGATTTCTGAGTTATATGGTAACTCTATTTTTAATTTTTTGAGGAACCTCTATACTGTTTTCCATAGTAGTAGCACCATTTTACATCTCCACTGACACTTTCTCCACATCCTCATTGACACTTGTTATCTTTTTTGTTTTTGTTTTTTGATAATAGCCATTCTAACAGGTATGAGTTGATATTCTCACTGTGGTTATGATTTGCATTCCTCTGATGATTAATGACACTGAGCATACTTTGTAAACCTATTTGTCATTTGTATGTCTTTTTGGCAGAAATGTCTATTCAAATATTTTGTCCATCATAAAATCAGGTTCTTTGCTATAGTATTCTATTGTTGTAAGGGTTAATTTCTTACATATTTTGCATATCAGCCTTTAATCAGAGATATGATTTCCAAATCTTTTCTAATTTTTTCAAGTTTATTTTCTGTTTATTTTCTAACCCTATTTCTTTAACTCTGTTGATTTTTTTTTCCTGTGCAGAAGCTTTTTAATTTTATGTAATCGCATTTGTCTATTTTTGCTTTTATTGTTGGTTATTTTGAGGTGATATAAAAAAAATCATGACCCGGACAGTAACTTGGAGCTTTTCTTCTCTGTTTTCTCCTAGTAGTTTTCCAGCTTCAATTCTTACATTAAATCTATTTTGAATTAATTTTTGTGTATGGCATAAGTTAAAGTTTCAATTTCATTCTTTTGCATGTGAATGTATAATTTTCCCATCACCATTTGTGAAGAGACTATCTTTTCCTCATTTTATTTTTTCTAATGCAATTGTAAATGATATTGCTTTTTTAATTTCTTTTCTGAATAGTTTATTGTCAGTGTACCTAAATTCAAGTGATTTTCCTTTTAATTTTTTAAAAACAGATTTAGAGGGTGTAAGTGTGGTTTTGTTACATGGATATATTGTGTAGTGGTAAAGCCTGGGCTTTTAGTATACCTATCACTCAAATAGCAAACATTATACCAAATAGGTAATTTTTCAATCCTCACCCCCATCCTGCCCTTTCACTTTTTTGGGTCTTCTATGTCTATTATTACACTCTGTATTTCACTGTGTACCCACTGAAAATACAACTCGTTGGCCGGGCGTGGTGGCTCACACCTGTAATCTCACACTTTGGGAGGCCAAGGTGGGTGCATCACCTGAGGTCAGGAGTTTGAGACCAGCCTGGCCAAATGGCAAAACCTTGTCTCTACCAAAAATACACATTTTTTTCAGGTGGTTGGTGCCTGTAATCCCAACTCCAACTCCTTGGGAGGCTGAGGCAGGAGAATCGCCTGAACCCAGGGAGCAGAGATTACAGTGAGCCAAAAGTGTGCCACTTCACTCCACCCTGGGCAAAAGAGTGAGAGACTGTCAAAAAAAAAAAAAAAAAAAAAAAAACCAAAACCAAAACCAAAAACAAAAACAAGAAAATACAACTGATTTTTGTATATTGTTTTCATATCCTGCAACTTTACGAATTCCTTTTATTAATTCAAATAGTTTCATCTTTATGTGGGGCATTTTGGATTTTCTATATATAAAATTATTTTATTTGTAAAGAGACACATTTTTCCATTTTCATGATTTTAATTTTATTTTTCTTGTCTAATTGCTCTAGTTAGGACTTCTAGTATTATGCTAAAGAGAAATGACAAGAATTTTTCAAAAGCTTTTGTTTGTCTGGAAAAGTCCTTATCTCACCATCATTTCTGAAGGACACATTGCTGAATATAGTATTCCTGATTGGCAGATTTCTTTTTTTTTTCTTTCAGCACTTTGACTATATCATCCTACCCCCTTCTAACCTATAAAATTTCTTTTGAGAAATCTGTTGATTTTTTTTTTTATGGAGGTTACTTTTCTTTTACTTTCAAAATTCTTTCACTTTTGACAATTTGATTAATATGCATCTCAGTGTAGACTTCTTTGGGTTTATTCTATTTTATACTCTTTGAACTTTATTCATGAATTTGAATGTCTGTTTCCCTTTGAATTTTGGGAAGATTTTAGGCATTATTTAAAAAAATAGATTCTCTGCCCTTTAGTCTCATTTCCTTTTGTGACTCCCATAATGAACATATTGGTGCATTTGATGTCCCATAAGTCTCTTAGGCTTTCTTTACTCTTTTTAAGTTCTTTTTTCTTTTTACTTCTATAATTGGATAATTTCAAGTGACCTACCTTCAAGATCATCGATTCTTTCATTTGATCAAGTTTGCTGTTGAATGTTTCTGTAGGTTGTTTTTTTTTTTTTTTCAGTTTAGTTATTCTAGTCTTTCTTTCTGTTTGGTTCTTCTTTCATAGTTTTAATCTCTGGTGATATTTATTCTAGTCATATATTGTTTTATTTAACTATGTTTTCGTGTATCTCACTGAACTTTAAGATAATTATTTTGAATGCTTTGAGAATTCATAAATCTTCATTTCTCTATAGTTGGTTACTTCAGGAATTATTTTGTTTCTTAATTGTTTTATATTGTCCTGTTTCTTTGTGTTTTTTGTAGCTTTGCATTGGCGCTTGTGCATTTGAATGCAACAGCCACCTCTAAAATCTTTATGGTCTAGCTTTGACAGGGAAAGATCTTCACTCAGCCTAGTTAGAGATTATGAAAATCTCTCAAACCTTTTCTACGGATGTGACTTCTTTGGATTTGTGTGTGTGAATTTATAAATAGAGGAATACTGCTTGAATATTTTTCAGGAGCCTATATTATCTTGCTCTCTCTGGTGTCTGCTGTATCACAGGTTAATATTTTGGAGATATACTGCACTATTCTTCTTCCATGCCTATGGAATCCTTGTATTCTGCATCTTTTCCATTGTTGCAAATCTGTATAGGGTTTAGTATGTTACCTACTCCATTTCCTTTATTTTTAGCCCTCACAAAACTATGCCAGTTCCATTAGCATTCTGGGTGAGGTGAGATAGAAACCTCAGGCAGAGAATCAAAAGGTTAGCATGTTGGAGGCAAGTCCATTGCTCTATCTCTTTCTCTGGAGCCAAAAGCCTTGGCATTGTATGCCTTCTCTCATTCTTGCAGAGTCATGCCAGCAGAAGAAGGCTGCCTGCCCTTTTTCTTTGTGAGTAGCTTCCTTAGTCATCCAACCTCTTCCATTTACTTCAGTGCTTCAGGTGGGACAAAACAGTAACTGGTCCCTGAGGTAGCACACTGAAAGATCTGAGACATTGAATGCATAATTTACTCTCTTTTCCTCAAAAGAGAAATTGTGGGCTGAAGCTATCTCTCTTAATGCTGAGCCATGTCAGCTTGAGGGAGGTACTGACACAGACTAAGTGAAATTGCTCTTCTTCCTCATTTCATTGAGTCTGTTCTCAATTTTGTGCTCATCTGGGGTACTGACACTTTTTAATTAGATTCTGGGCCTCTCATAGAAGTATTTTAGTTTGGATGTAATTGTTAAATTAGTGTTTCTGTGGAGAGAATGAAGGCTGGCACTTGCCATTTTGCCGACATCCAGACTCTTGTTTCAAATTCAAGAATTTCGACTTGAAAATCTAGAATTGGAGTCCTAAAGAATAGTAAAAAGAAATTATTCAGTGAATAGTGCATTAAAAAGGACAAAAATATTTTCAAACCTGCATTTATAAAAGAAGGTAGTAAAAAAGCAGTTCACAAAGAGCTCCAAGAAGTTTGAAATAATTTAAAATTCAAAGGCTATTGGGGAATAAATAGGCACAAAATTATAGAGGGTCTTAAGTGGCAAGCTAAAATTCTTGTGCTTTATTCTATAAGTGGTAAAGAGCCATTGAAAGATTTTACTCAGATAAATGACAAGTTTACAAATTTTAGACCAGCATTCAGTTACAGTATGAAGGTTGAATTCTAAGATGGTAAGACATAGACAGAAGGACCAATAAAATAATTTCATTAGTTCAACATAAATAACATGATATACTTGCCAGGGAAGCACAAGTAAAGCTGGAGATGAAGGGGCTGAACTTGGGAAGTATTTAAGAGGTAAAACTAGCAGCAGTTAGTCATTAGGGATGAGTGGGTAATGGATAAGGAGAAATCTCAGATGACTTCTTGATTTCTGTATTAACTAATGGTCCACCAAGACACAGAATATAGGAGGACTTGAAAGTCAGTGTGGAATGGAAAAAAATGTTTAGTTTTGAATTGGTATGTGTGTAGTGCTTAGAAGGACATCCAGTGACACATTCAAGAGGAAATAAAATGTATAATTTTGAAATTTGAGTAGCTGTCTAGCAAAAATACATGTTTGGTAATGATAAACATAGTTGTAATTAAACCAGATAAATTGAGGAGGTCATCACTAGAATATATGCAGAAGAACAGAGGGCTAAACTTAGACTTTTAAGGAGCCACTTTTAAAGGGGAGGCCACAGAGAAGGATATAAAAGAGGTTGAAAAGGACAGATGAGAAGAGTGGGTGGAAAACTATAAGGCAATGTCGTCACTAACAACAAATAAATAGGATGTTTTGGAATGAGCAAGCTGCCAATACTACCAGATATTGCAGAAAGATCCAGTCTGAAAAAGCCTGAAAAATGCTTGATGAACGTTTGACAATATGGAGGCCATTCATGACCAATCTACTGACTTTTCTTATATACTGACTTTTCTTAGATTATGATCATAGGGAAATGAATGGAAAATAAGAAATACAAATAGAGGCTCTGTGTCTAATATTCATCTCAAACTTAACATGCCCTAACCAGCACTCTTAATGATGCCCTTTAAACTGGTTCCTCCTTCAGTCATCCACGTTTACATTAATCCAACTCTTTCAGTTGCTTAGACCAAAAATCTTGGCCTCATCTTTGAATCTCCCTTTCTCTCAAACTTAAAAAATGAATCTGCAAATCTCATTAGGTACATCTCCACTAAAATGTAATCATTTGCACTGTCTCCATTACAAAGTCACCTTCTCACTTCCACACTTGCCTTTTTACATTCTACCCTCAGTACAATCTCAAGAGTAATACCATTAAAAAAGGAGTAAAACCAACTCAACTTTGCTCACAATCCTCCACTTTCCTATTATTTTTGGTATAAATACCAAGGCCTTTCAGTGGCTTGCATGGCAGCCTACCTGCCTCCATACCACCCTCAGGGCCTCCTTAAGTTTATTTCCATTTGTCTCCCTTCACTGCTCCCTCTTCTCTAGTCGGTTTGCTTCTCAGCACTCCAGACAAGCTCTTCCCACCGTGCTTTGGCTGTATAGTATTCCAGGGCATGAATGCACCACAATATTGATCTGCTCTATTGTTGATAGATATTTGGATTGTTTCTGGGTCTGGCTATTATGAATAATGTTGCCAGAAATATTCTTATGCAAGTTTTTGGTATGCATTACCATACAGTTTAGTTGTATATAGTCTCAAATGAAATTTGAATATATATACATATACAAGTTCACTTATATATAGTTTCATATCGTAGGGTACTTTTAAGTGCAAGTTTAGTAGATTCTGCCAGTTTACAGAGAAGAATCTACACTCCTAGCAACTTCTGTATGAATAATATAATTGTTTCAGATTCTCACCAACACTTGGTATCAGCAGTCTTTTTGATGGATGTGTAATGGTACTTCACTATACATTTCTTTAATTACTAATTATGTTAGAAACTTTTAAATATATTTAATGGTCATTCAGATACCATATTTCATGAAGGGCTGTTCAAGTTTTTTGACTATTTAAAAATTATCTGTCTTTCTTATTCACATTAAGAGTTATGTTTATTATTGTAGATATGAGTACTTAGTTCCCTTTTACTCTCTTGTTCTTGAATTAACAGAAATTTCCAGTTTTAAAATAGTCCAATTTATAAATATTTTTCTTTGTTGTAAGTGCTAATTGTGTTATTAAAGAAATCTTTTTTTCTAATATCTTCAGTGTGGTGAAGTTAGGTGAGTTAGGTCAAGGTTTCTCTTTCTCGCTCCCTCTTTCCATCTATATGTATACACAAACATGCATAGGTAAAAATATTATCTATGTATATTATATGCGTACATATACATGTTGCATGTGTATATATGTATATAAAATCTAAAAATGTATATTAATATGTGTTTATATATTTATATAGATATAAAACTATAAAACAAGTTGGCCTTGCAACGGTGATTGAAACACTCAGGCTTCCCCAATACTATGCAGTGAAATTTTTCTTATAAATAAAATGAGTATGTATGAATATGTATCTGGACTCTCAGTTTCATTGGTTTATTTGTTTATCCTTTTGACAATACCACACTGTCTTTATTACTACAAATTCTCACACTTCGTTCCTTTTCGTGATTGTCTTGTCTATTTGAGGTCGTATCTATTTTAAATTAGAAATTGATTAAGATGGCACTGAATGTATAAACTTAAAGAGGAACGACATCTTTTTATCTTAACTTTTAAGTTCAGGGGTCCATGTGCAGGTTTGTTACTTGCCTAAACTTGAGTCATAGGGGTTTGTTGTACAGCTTATTTCATCACCCAGGTGTTAAGCCTAGTACCCATTAGTTATTTTTCCCGATTCTCTCCCTCTTCTCACTCTCCACCCTATGATAGGCCCCAGTGTGTGTTGTTCCCCTCTATGTGTCCACGTGTTTTCTTCACTTAGCTCCCACTTATAAGGGAGAACACGTGGTATTTGGTTTTCTGTTCTTGTGTTAGTTTGCTAAGGATAATGGCCTCCACCTCTGTCCATGTTCTAGCAAAGGACATGATCTCATTCTTTTTTATGGCTGCGTAGTGAAATATGTCTTGATACTATGGAAATTTTTAATACATGAACTTGGTGTATACATTTATTTATTTTTCTTAGTAATATTTTATAGTTTTCCCTGTAGGGGTCTTGCATATCCTATTATAATTATTTCTAAGCGTTTAATATTTTTGTTATCATTGTAAATTGTATGTTTTTCTTTTTAAATTTTACTTTTTATGATTTCTTCTCTGGCTTTACATTTTCACCATAGCACTTACCATGCTGTAACACACCATATTATTTATTTATTTATTATTATTTTTTCTTTTTACCTCTAATTTCTTTTTTTTAATTTTATTATTAATTTTATTTTATTTTATTATTATTATACTTTAAGTTTTAGGGTACATGTGCACAATGTGCAGGTTAGTTACATATGTATACATGTGCCATGCTGGTGTGCTGCACCCATTAACTCGACATTTAGCATTAGGTATATATCCTAAAGCTATCCCTCTCCCCTCCCCCCACCCCACAACGGTCCCCAGAGTGTGATGTTCCCCTTCCTGTGTCCACATGTTCTCATTGTTCAATTCCCACCTATGAGTGAGAATATGCGGTGTTTGGTTTTTTGTTCTTGCGATAGTTTACTGAGAATGATGATTTCCAACTTCATCCATGTCCCTACAAAGGACAAGAACTCATCATTTTTTATGGCTGCATAGTATTCCATGGTGTATATGTGCCACATTTTCTTAAACCAGTCTATCATTGTTGGACATTTGGGTTGGTTCCAAGTCTTTGCTATTGTGAATAGTCCCACAATAAATATACATGTGCATGTGTCTTTATAGCAGCATGATTTATAGTCCTTTGGGTATATACCCAGTAATGGGATGGCTGGGTCAAATGGTATTTCTAGTTCTAGATCCCTGAGGAATCGCCACACTGACCTCCACAATGGTTGAACTAGTTTACAGTCCCACCAACAGTGTAAAAGTGTTCTGATTTCTCCACATCCTCTCCAGCACCTGTTGTTTCCTGGCTTTTTAATGATTGCCATTCTAACTGGTGTGAGATGATATCTCATTGCGGTTTTGATTTGCATTTCTCTGATGGCCAGTGATGGTGAGCATTTTTTCATGTGTTTTTTGGCTGCATAAATGTCTTCTGTTGAGAAGTGTCTGTTCATATCCTTCGCCCACTTTTTGATGGGGTTGTTTGTTTTTTTCTTGTAAATTTCTTTGAGTTCATTGTAGATTCTGGATATTAGCCCTTTGTCAGATGAGTAGGTTGCGAAAATTTTCTCCCATTTTGTAGGTTGCCTGTTCACTCTGATGGTAGTTTCTTTTGCTGTACAGAAGCTCTTTAGTTTAATTAGATCCCATTTGTCAATTTTGGCTTTTGTTGCCATGGCTTTTGATGTTTTAGACATGAAGTCCTTGCCCATGCCTATGTCCTGAATGGTAATGCCTAGGTTTTCTTCTAGGGTTTTTATGGTTTTAGGTCTAACATTTAAGTCTTTAATCCATCTTGAATTAATTTTTGTATAAGGTGTAAGGAAGGGATCCAGTTTCAGCTTTCTACATATGGCTAGCCAGTTTTCCCAGCACCATTTATTAAATAGGGAATCCTTTCCCCATTGCTTGTTTTTCTCAGGTTTGTCAAAGATCAGATAGTTGTAGACATGCGGCGTTATTTCTGAGGGCTCTGTTCTGTTCCATTGATCTATATCTCTGTTTTGGTACCAGTACCATGCTGTTTTGGTTACTGTAGCCTTGTAGTATAGTCTGAAGTCAGGTAGCGTGATGCCTCCAGCTTTGTTCTTTTGGCTTAGGATTGACTTGGTGATGCGGACTCTTTTTTGGTTCCATATGAACTTTAGTTTTTTCCAATTCTGTGAAGAAAGTCATTGGTAGCTTGATGGGGATGGCATTGAATCTATAAATTACCTTGGGCAGTATGGCCATTTTCATGATATTGATTCTTCCTACCCATGAGCACGGAATGTTCTTCCATTTGTTTGTCTCCTCTTTTATTTCCTTGAGCAGTGGTTTGTAGTTCTCCTTGAAGAGGTCCTTCACGTCCCTTGTAAGTTGGATTCCTAGGTATTTTATTCTCTTTGAAGCAATTGTGAATGGGAGTTCACTCATGATTTGGCTCTCTGTTTGTCTCTTATTGGTGTATAAGGATGCTTGTGATTTTTGCACATTGATTTTGTATCCTGAGACTTTGCTGAAGTTGCTTATCAGCTTAAGGAGATTTTGGGCTGAGATGATGGGTTTTTCTGGATATACAATCATGTCGTCTGCAAACAGGGACAATTTGACTTCCTCTTTTCCTAATTGAATGCCCTTTATTTCCTTCTCCTGCCTAATTGCCCTGGCCAGAACTTCCAACACTATATTGAATAGGAGTGGTGAGAGAGGGCATCCCTGTCTTGTGCCAGTTTTCAAAGGGAATGCTTCCAGTTTTTGCCCATTCAGTATGATATTGGCTGTGGGTTTGTCATAGATAGCTCTTATTATTTTGAAATACGTCCCATCAATACCTAATTTATTGAGAGTTTTTAGCATGAAGCGTTGTTGAATTTTGTCAAAGGCCTTTTCTGCATCTATTGAGATAATCATGTGGTTTTTGTCTTTGGTTCTGTTTATATGCTGGATTACATTTATTGATTTTTGTATGTTGAACCAGCCTTGCATCCCAGGGATGAAGCCCACCTGATCATGGTGGACAAGCTTTTTGATGTGCTGCTGTATTCGGTTTGCCAGTATTTTGTTATTATCTATGCTCTTTTACTAAAATGCAACCACCATGAAGAGTGGAATTTTTTTGTTTTATTCACCCGTATAATCTAGTACCCAGAATAGTACAGAGTAGGGATTTCATAAATGTATTAATAAATATATTATTCTTTTAAGATTCTAGACCAAGAGAAAGGAGATAAATAATGTGGTAGCTAAGATATGTGAGGTTTTGTTTTATATTAACATTGTTTCTGAACATGTTAATATTCTGAAGTAATAGAGCCAGTATCAAAGGACCGGTTGAAGATATGACATAGTGGGCAATAATCATGTCCATATGTAGGTAGAGGAAGAGCTTTATAAGATTGGAACACCTTGTTTTAAAATGCAGATAAGAATGGAGGGAGTAAGTAGGAATTCTTATTTAGATAATTTTTAAGGAGCTGTTCAGAAGTCAAAGATGTTCATTTCAGGTGTCTTAAAACGTCTTCCCTTCAAACCCTCTCTCCCAGGCAGTCCCCAGTTTCTATTGTCCTCTTCTTTGTGTCCATGTGTACTCAATGTTTAGCTCTCACTTATAAGTGAGAACATGTGGTATTTGGTTTTGTGTTCCTGCATTAATGGGCTTAGAATGATGGCCTCCCACTACATCCACGTTGCTGAAAAGGGCATGATTCCATTCTTTTTATAGCTGTGTAGCATACTATGATATATATGTACCATATGTTCTTTATCTAGTCCACTGGTGATGGGCATCTTTGTTGATTCTATGTCTATGCTATTGTGAATAGTGCTGCAATGAACATGTAAGTGCATGTGTCTTTTTGGTAGAATGATTTATTTTCCTTTGGATATATACCCAATAGTGGGACTGCCAGGTCAAATAGTAGATCTGTTTTAAGTTCTTTGAGAAATCTCCACAGTGCTTTCCACAGTGGCTGAAATAATGTACATTCCCATCAACAATGTATAAGTGTTCCCTTTTCTCCGCAACCTCACCAGCATCTGTTGCTTTTTGACTTTTCAATAATAGCCATTCTGACTGGTGTGATGTGGTATCTTATTTTGTGGTTTTGGTTTGCATTTCTCTAATGATTTGTGATTCTGAGTATATTTCATATATTTGTTGGCCACACGTATGTCTTATTTTGAGAAGTGTCTGTTCATGTCCTTAGCTCATTTTATAATAAGTTTATTTGCTTTCTGCTTGCTGATTTAAGTTCCTTATGGATTCTGGATATCAGACCTGTGTCAGATGCATAGTTTGTAAATATTTTCTCCCATTCTGTAGGTTGTCAGTTTACTCTGTTGATAGTTTTTTGTTTGTTTGTTTGTTTTTGTTGTTGTTGTTGTTTTGCTGTGCAGAAGCTCGTGAGTTTAATTAGGTCCTACTTACCAATTTTTGTTTTTGTTGCATTGCTTTTGAGGACTCAGTCATAAATTCTTTGCCAAGGCCAATGTCTGGAATAGTATTTCCTAGGTTTTCTTCTAGAGTTTTTATTGTTTCAAGTCTTTAATCCATTTTGAGTTAATTTTTGTATATGGTGAAAAGAAGCAGTCCAGTTTCAATCTTCTGCAGATGTCTAGCCATTTTCCCAGCACCGTTTATTGAATAGGGAGTGCTTCCTTCATTATTTTTTATTGTCAACTTTGTCAAAGATAAGGTGGTTGTAAGTGTGTGACTTTATTTCTGGGTCCTCTATCCGTTCCATTGGTCTATGTGTCTGTTTTTGTGCCAGTACCATGCTGTTTTGGTTACTATAGCCTTGTAGTATAGTTTGAAGTTAGGTAGTGTGATACCTCTGGCTTGATTCTTTTTGAGTAGATTTTTTTTTCTGGCAATTCAGGTTATTTATTCCATATGAACTTTAGAATAGTATTTTCTAATTCTGTGAAAAATGATGTTGATAGTTTGATAAGAATAGCATTGAATCTGTAAATTGCTTTGGGTAGTGTGGCCATTTTAACAATATTAATTCTTCCCATTAATGAGCATAAAATATTTCTGCATTTGTTTGTGTCATCTTTGTTTTCCTTCAGCATTGTCTTATAATTCTTGTTGTAGAGATCATTTGCCTCCTTGGTAGGCTGTGTTCCTAGGTGTTTTATTATTATTGTGGCTATTGTAAATAGGATTGCATTCTTGATTTGGCTCTGAGCTTGGATGTTATTCATATACAGAAATGCTACTGATTTTTGTACATTGATTTTGTGTACTGAAACTTTACTGAAGTTATCAGTTGTAGAAGCCTTCTAATGGTGTCTATGGAGTTTTCTAGGTATAAAATCATATTGTCTGCAAAGAGAGATAGTTTGGCTTCCTCTCTTCCTATTTGGATGCTTTTTATATTTTTCTCTTGCCTGATTACTCTGGCTAAGACTTCCAGTACTATGTTCAGTAGGAGTGATGAGAGTTAGCATCCTTGTCTTGTTCCAGTTCTCAAGAGAAATGTTTCCAGCTTTTGTCCATTCAATATGATGTTGGCTGTGGGTTTGTCATAAATGGCTCTTATTATTTTGAGGTATGTTCCTTTGATGCCTGATTTGTAGAGAGTTTTTACTATGAAAGGGCATTGAATTTTATCAGAGGCCTTTTCTGTGTCTTTTGAGATGATCATGTGGTTTGTGTTGTTAATTCTGTTTATGTGGTGAATCACATTTATTGATTTTCATATGTTAAGCAAACCTTTCATCCCAAGAATAAAGCCTACCTGATCATGGTAGATTAGCTTTTTGATGTGCTGCTGGATTTGGTTTGCTAGTATTTTGTTGAAGATATTTGCATCTATGTTAATCAGAGTTGTTGGCCTGAAGTTTCCTTTTTTTGTCATGTCTCTGCCAGGCTTTGTTATCAGAAAGATGCTGGTCTTGGAGAATGAGTAAGGGAGGAGTCTCTCCTCAATTTTTTGGAATAATTTCAGTAGGATTGGTACTAGCTTTGTTTTGTACATCTGGTAGAACTCAGCTGTGAATCCATTTGGTCCAGGGCTTTTTTTGGTTGGTAGGTTTTTTATTACTAATTCAATTCTGGAACTCGTTATTAGCCTGTTCAGGATTTTAATTTCTTCCTGGTTCAGTCCTGGGGGGCTGTGTGTTCCCAGGATTTATCAAATTTTTCTAGGTTTTTTAGTTTGTGTGCATAGAGGTATTCATAATAGTCTGTGAGGATTTTTTTATTTCTGTGGGGTCGGTTGTAATGTCACCTTTGTTGTTTCTGATTATTTGGATCTTCTGTTTTTTCTTTTTTCATCTAGCTAGTAGTTTATTAATTGTATTTAATCTTTCATATAACCAACTTTTGGTTTCCTTGATCTTTTGAGTGGATTTTCACATTTCAATTTTCTTCAGTTCAGCTCTGATTTTGGTTCTTTTTGTAGTCTAACTTTGGGGTTGGTTTACTGTGGTGAAGTTGTATAAGAGTTCATCTGCTGGGCATCACACTTGTAATCCCAGCACTTCTGGCGACCGAGGCGGGCAGTTCACGAGGTCAGGAGATCGAGACCATCCTGACTAACATGGTAAAACCCCGTCTCTACTAAAAATACAAAAAATTAGCTGGGCATGGTAGCAGGTGCCTGCAGTCCCAGCTACTCGGGAGGCTGAGGCAGGAGAATGGCGTGAACCCAGGAGGCGGAGCTTGCAGTGAGCCGAGATTGTGCCACTGTGCTCCAGCCTGGGTAACAGAGCAAGACTCCATCTAAAAAATAAAAAATAAATTAAAAAAAAAAAAGAGTTCATCTGCTGAAAGTAGGGAGAGTAATAAATGAGCAGGGAGGAAAGAGACTTTTGGAGGAAATAGATAAAGCCTAGGAACAGTCACTAGGAAAATGGGGATAAAGAATGATCAAAGACGAGTGAGCAAAGGCCAGGTGTAAGCTTGGAGATTGTGGGTTGTTTGTGGCCCCAAACAACACGATTGTATTTTTTTGTTTTTTGTTTTCTGTTTGTTTGTTGCAGTGTTGCTTATCAAATTAAAGGGGCAGAGTTTACATGATGGATGGGAGTTTGGTGTTTTCTGAGTTGGGACAAAGGAAGAAAATTGGCACAAAAGAGTTGAAGGTATTAGCGAGAAAGTGGTTCCATTGATCACACATTCAGTCTAAGTTGATCACTTAAGAAAGCTGAGTCTCTATGGTGTTGATGAATAGGTTCTATCGTAAAGAGGTGGTTGACCTCTTACAAAGAACAAGTTTTCACCCACCTCTGGTTGTAATTGGAGGGCATGAGCAAATAGTTTCCAACCAAACTTTATCTCCCACCAGCCAACTAGCTCTCTAAAAATCACCATATTGTTGCCATTTCTAATAACAAATGAAAATCTGGCCTCACAATAAACTGTCAAATATATCTATGCCCATGGAGACAAGGGACAGACTATTTGAAACCAAGCCTGTCCCAGAACATCTGGGAAGCTACACAGCCTCCATCTATGAGACTCTGTTTTACACCAAGGGTTTTGAAGACTGTTTCAATGCCCCAAGGCCCAGTGCTGTTCATCCACAGAATGAGGCAAATCAAGTGTGCATAAATTCACCAGGGTAAGAGGCAAAATGTGAATGGATAAAGGGTGCTCTGGTTTGCCTTTCAAGGAGGGTTTTCCCATAGGAAGCAAGTCTGCCCATCCCCACCAGCTACAGCTCAAGTTGGATCTAATTAGGAAAGCCCTGGAGTTTCCGTAGTAACTGTGCAGGACTTTCAGGGATATTCCACACTCTGCCTGGTTACTAGGGAAACAATAGCAGGGGCACCAGGGAAGCTAGGCCTGGCAGGTAGCTGCTGCTTTTGAGGTACATGTCCTATGGGAAGTGTATTCTGACTCCTGGGCTCTCAGTTTAGCACATTTTACCATCCCTGGACTCATCATTTATGAGCAACAACAAAGATTTCTAATTTTAGCAAGAAGGCTGAAAAGCATTTTCTCCTTAATCATGCCTCCTCTCACAGTCAGATTTGTGTGCGAGTGAAAATAATTAGTAATAATAATCATAAAATAACTGTAAAAAGGTGATTTTTCAGCTTACAAGATGAAGGTTGCCTCCTGTGATGTGGGGCACTCGAGGGGCATCTGATTAGAGAGGCCCATTGGGGAAGAGCTTTGTAAAGTTTGAGAAATGTCTCCTGTTATTTGTGAAGCAATATAGGAAAACTTCTCAGACTGAAACAAGAAAAGCAATTAGTTTTCTGTTCAGAAACAAAGAGACATCTGTGCAAAATATGCTAGACTTTCCACAAGGGGCAGGTACTGTACATGAGGAATATATTTCAGCTGTACACATCTCACCTTCTTCACCCACAGTTCAAAAGCCACAGTTAGCTTCAAGTAGAATTATTCACCACTATCTAAGGAAAGGACAGACGTAGTAATAACTGACTTCCAGCTTCCTCAAGGGCACAGGAAAAATATGTGCTGTAGACCCTACTTAGAATATTTACAGACAATTTAATAAGATTTTGGGGACTCTCTGAACCTCACAAATTAAGAATATTCTTATTTTGCAGAAAAGGAAACTGAGGTCCAAGGACATTAGTAACTTATCCAAGTTACAACATAGGTAACTAAGACAGTAGTTGGACCCACATTATCTGGCAATATTAATTACTGAACACTTCATGTGTCTTCCACCATATATATATTCTTTTTTTTTTTTTTTTTTTTTTTGAGACAAGTCTCGCTCTGTCGCCCAGGCTGGAGTGCAGTGGCGCAATCTCAGCTCACTGCAATCTCTGCCTCCTGGGTTCATGCCATTCTCCTGCCTCAGCCTGCCGAGTAGCTGGGACTACAGGCGCCCGCCACCATGCCAGGCTAATTTTTTTGTATTTTTAGTAGAGTTGGGGTTTCACCCTGTTTGCCAGGATGGTCTCGATCGCCTGACCTTGTGATCCGCCCGCCTCGGCCTCCCAAAGTGCTGGGATTACAGGTGTGAGCCACCGTGCCCAGCCTATATATTCTTCTTTAATTCTCAGAAACATCCAGCTAAGTGTGTATCACTATTTCTATTTTACAGAAAAGGGAATAGGCTCAGAGAAGCATTCATTCCCCAAGGTCACACAAATGTAAGTGGTAGAAAGTAGATTCAAACCCAGGCCCATCTGACTTTAAAATCCAAGCACTTTTCAGTGTATTATTCAGCACCTCTCACTTCAGAGTCTGGGTGACTTTCATGAAATGATATGAAGGCCCCTGGCTGGTTAGATATTCATAATGGGGCAGAAGAAAATGAATTATGTAAGCAAGAATTTGAATATTATCCTAAAGCCCTAGCTCTCTCCAGTTTTCTGCCCTAGTTGAAGGATTATAAGTAATAAACTTCTACCCTGTCCCTCTTCTGACATAAGTTTCCCACCCTAGCTTGAATCTACCGTTCAGATAATGCCACTCTTTGCCCTTACCTTTTAATGCTGTCTGTTTTCGTACGTTGAGCCCTAATTCTAGCTCCCAAACTCCTCACCCCCTTACAAATTCTTTACCATCTGTTTCCCCCCACCAACTCTTTTTTAATATCCAAGATTATGTACTGTTACAGGCTTTTTTTTTCTTTTTTTATTTTTATTTTTTTACTTTTTTATTAAACAGTATCACTGGAGATAAGCTCTACTGCCTCTTTCCTTGCCTAAACTTCATTCTCCACTAAATTAGTAAGGAGGCTTTACGTAATTGACTAATTAGGAGAAGGAAGATTTTTGTTTATATGAGCCTTGAACAAAACCTAACTTGAAGTAGGATTGAGATATATTACCTACTCCCATAATGCTGATGTTATATAGTCAATTACATTTATTTTTAAAATTCTATATCATCAATTCTTAACTCCTGTTCTGGGAAACCAGTTGTCACCAGTACTTGTGAGGCTATTCTTCCTAAGTTCAGTAGATGATATTATGATTGATGTTCTAGATACCTTCCTATGCTGATATTAACAATAATAGGTCATAGCTCCTATTGAGACCTTGGTTGTTTTCTACTGGGTTCATTTATGCATCTGTAGTCAAATGCTTATTTCCATTCAGCCCTACAGTTCAGGAGGATAAAAAAATTAATATTCAACATAACTAGTACATATTAAAACATTTTGTAACATCTGTGAGGGTATTACCAAAGTAATGATGCTGCTAAATTTGAAGTTTTGTAAATGTAGAAGGCGTCAGAGTCTTTTCCTCTCCCTTTCCTTCACCTATTTTTAGTTATGTTTCTCCATACAACAGACTTCTTAAAATGTGGCTTATTTTGGTCAATAGTACATTAGGCAATATGAACAAGCAGAGGTATGAAAAGCCCTTGTGTATTGGAGCTTGCCTTTTCTTGCTATGCTTAGAACCCTGAGACCATCACCATATGAAAAAGCCCAAGCTAGCCTGCTGGGGAGAAGGAAGCTTGTAAAGAAGAACCAAAGGGCAGGCAAACACACATGTGGTGTCATTTTGAATTATACACTTACCATCTGGCCTGCTAATGACAGCAGATGTAGCATGGAGCCTATAAGAAAACAGCTGAGCTCACCTAGAGAGGAGACATGCTCAGTGAATTCCACAGAATCATGAACTGCATAAATGAATGTTGTTTCAAGTCTCTAAATTGTGGAAATGCTTATTATGCAGCAAAAGCTGACAGATGCAAGGGAGAAAGAGATAGTAATAAAGTCAGGATGAGGTTACAATCTAGCATTCACTTAGTCTTCACTTACATGTCTGTAAAATATAAATAATTACATTTCACAGATTTTTTTCTAATTAAGCAAGATGTAAATGATTCAGGAGAGAGGGAAAAAAATGTACACTGTGGAAAAGTCAGTGGAGAATTGCCACAGTGATAACCTGGAGTAGGCAAGAGAGGATGCGATCTTGTGCACAAGTAGAGGGATGAGTCTGAACAAGTAAGAACAAAGTTCTATATTAACAGGCAAAAAGCAGATAGATGCCAATAAAGAAATGAATACATATTGTAGAAATTCTTTTCTGATAATGTCTATATTTTTGATGAAATATGAAGCAAAGTCATCAGCTGAGAATGAGGATGATGGACAGGTTGAGGTTTCAGGAGAGAGAAGAAGTATGAAGTATCCATCTGGAAAATTGTAAGAGTGAATAGAATAAAGATTGATAAAATCCTCTCCCTTACAGTCAAAAGCAATATGTGTTAAACATAAGAAAATTTATTGAAAAAAAGTCATACAACCATATAATAGAACAGTAGACAAATTATTAAAATAATTTTTTATATACTTTAAGTTCTGGGATACATGTGCAGAACTTGCAGGTTTGTTACATAGGCACACACGTGCCATGGTAGTTTGCTGCACCCATCAACCTGTCATCTACGTCAGGTACTTCTCCTAATGCTATCCCTCCCCTAGCCCCACTCCTAACCCCCTGACAGGTCCCCCGGTGTGATGTTCTGCTCCCTGTGTCCATTCTCTGTGTTCTCCTTGTTCCTCTCCCTGTGTTCTCATTGTTCAACTCCTGCTTATGAGTGAGAACATGCGATGTTTGGTTTTCTGTTCCTGTGTTAGTTTGCTGAGAATGGTGGTTTCCAGCTTCATCCATGTCCCTGCAAAGGACATGAACTCATCTTTTTTATGGCTGCATAGTATTCCATGGTGTATATGTGCCACGTATTCTTTATGCAGTCTATCATTGATGGGCATTTGGGTTGGTTCCAAGTTTTTGCTATTGTGAATAGTGCTGCAGTAAACATGCATGTACTTGTGTCTTTATAGTAGAATGATGTATAATCCTTTGGGTATATACGCAGTAATGGGATTACTGGGTCAAATGGTATTTTGGGTTCTAGATCTTTGAGGAATCACCACACTGTCTTCCATAATGGTTGAACTAATTTACACTCCCGCCAACAGTGTAAAAACATTCTTATTTCTCCACATCCTCTCTAGCATCTGTTGTTTCCTGACTTTTTAATGATTGTCATTCTAACTGGCATGAGATGGTATCTCATTGTGGTTTTGATTTGCATTTCTCTAGTGACCAGTGATGATGAGCTTTTTTTCATGTTTGTTGGCCACATAAATGTCTTATTTTGAGAAGTGCCTGTTCATGTCCTTTGCCCACTTTTTGATGGGGTTGTTTGTTTTTTTCTTGTAAATTTGTTTAAGTTCTTTGTAGATTGTGGATATTAGTCCTTTGTCAGATGGATAAAATGCAAATTTTTTTTCCCTTTCTGTAGGTTACCTGTTCACTCTGATGATAGTTTCTTTTGCTGTGCAGAAGCTCTTTAGTTTAATTACATCCCATTTGTCAATTTTGGCTTTTGTTGCCATTGCTTTTGGCATTTTAGTCATGAAGTCTTTGCCCATACCTATGTCCTGAATGGTATTGCCTAGGTTTTCTTCCAGAGTTTTTATGGTTTTAGGTCTTATGTTTAAGTCTTTCATCCATCTTGAGTTAATTTTTGTATAAGATGTAAGGAACGGGTCCAGTTTCAGTTTTCTGCATATGGCTAGCCATTTTCCCCAGCACCGTTTATTAAATAGGGAATCCTTTCCCTATTGCTTGCTTTTATCAGGTTTGTCAAAGATCAGATGGTTGTATATGTGTGGCATTATTTCTGAGGCCTCTGTTCTGTTCCATTGGTCTATATATCTGTTTTGGTACCAGTATCATGCTGTTTTGGTTACTGTAGCCTTGTAGTATAGTTTGAAGTCAGGTAGCATGATGCCTCCAGCTTTGCCCTTTTTGCTTAGGATTGTCTTGGGTATACGAGCTCTTTTTTGGTTCCATATGAAATTTAAAGTAGTTTTTTTCTAATTCCAAGAAGAAAGTCAACGGTAGCTTGATGGAAATAACATCAAATCTATAAATTACTTTGGGCAGTATGGCCGTTTTCACAATATTGATTCTTGCTATTCGTGAGCATAGAATGTTTTGCTATTTGTTTGTGTCCTCTCTTATTTCCTTGAGCAGTGGTTTGTAGTTCTCCTTGAAGAGGTCCTTCACATCCCTTGTGAGTTGTATTCCTAGATATTTTATTCTCTTTGTAGCAATTGTGAATGGGATTTCAGTCATGATTTGGCTCTCTGTCTATTATTGCTGTATAGGAATGCTTGTGATTTTTGTGCATTGATTTTGTATCCTGAGACTTTGCTGAAGTTGCTTATCAACTTAAGGGGATTTTGGACTGAGACGATGGGGTTTTCTAAATATACAATCGTGTCATCTGCAAAAAGAGACAATTTGACTTCCTCTCTTCCTAACTGAATACCCTTTATTTCTTTCTCTCGCCTGATTACCCTGGCCAGAACTTCCAATACTATGTTGAATAGGAGTGGTGAGAAAGGGCATCCTTGTCTTGTGCCGGTTTTCAAAGGGAATGCTTCTAGCTTTTGCACATTCAGTATGTTATTGGCTGTGGGTTTGTCATAAATAGCTCTTATTATTTTGGGATATGTTCTATCAATACCTAGTTTATTGAGAGTTTTTAGAATGAAGGGCTGTTGAATTTTATCAAAGGCCTTTTCTGCATCTATTGAGATAATCATGTGGTTTTTGTCATTGGTTCTGTTTATGTGATGGATTATGTTTATTGATTTGCGGATGTTGAACCAGCTTTGCATCCCAGGGTTGAAGCTGACTTGATCGTGGTGGATAAGCTTTTTGATGTGCTGCTGGATTTGGTTTGTCAGTATTTTATTGAGGATTTTGCATTGATGTTCATATTAGCCTAAAATTTTCTTTTTTATTGTGTCTCTGCCAGGTTTTGGTATCAGGATGATGCTGGCCTCATACAATAAGTTAGGGAGGAGTCCCTCTTTTTCTAGTTTTTGGAATAATTTCAGAAGGAATGGTACCAGCTCCTCTTTGCACCTCTGTTAGAATTTTGGTGTGAATCCTCTGGTCCTGGGTTGTTTTTTTTTTTTTTTTTTTTTTTTTTTTTTTAGTCTGGTAGGCTATTAATTACTGCCTCAGTTTCAGAACTTGTTATTGGTCTATTCAGGGATGCGACTTCTTCTTGGTTTAGACTTCGGAGGGTCTAGGTGTCCAGGAATTCATCAATTTCTTCTAGATTTTTTAGTTTATTTGCATAGAGGTTTTTATAGTATTCTCTGATGATAGTTTGTATTTCTGTGGGATCAGTAATGATATCTCCTTTATCATTTTTTATTATGTCTTTCTGATTCTTCTCTTTTTTCTGCTTTATTAGTCTGGCTAGCAGTCTGTGTCTTTTGTTAGTCTTTTCAAAGAAACACTCTTGGATTCATTGATTTTTTTCAAGGTTGTCTCTATCTCCTGCACTAATCTTAGTTATTTTTTGTCTTCTGCTAGCTCTTAAATTTGTTTGCTCTTGCTTCTCTAGTTATTTTAATTGTGAGGTTAGAGTGCTGATTTTAGATTTCCTGCTTTCTCCTGTGGGCATTTGGTGCTATAAATTTCCCTCTAAACACTGCTTTAGCTGTGTCCCAGAGATTTTGGTATGTTGTGTCTTTGTTCTCATTGATTTCAAAGAACTTACTTATTTCTGCCCTAATTTTGTTATTTACCCAGTAGTTGTTCAGGAGCAGGTTGTTCAGTTTTCATGTAGTTGTGCAGTTTTGAGTGAGTTTCTTAATCCTGAGTTCTAATTTGACCGCACTGTGGTCTGAAAGACTGTTTGTTATGATTTCTGTTTTTTTTTTTTCCTGCAGTTGCTGAGGTGTGTTTTACTTCCAATTACATGGTGAATTTTAGAATAAATGAGATGTGGTTAATATTGTTATGTGTGAATTTGATCCTGAAATAATGATGCTAGCTGGTTATTTTGCCCATTAGTTAATGCAGTTTCTTCATCGTGTCTATGTTCTTTACAATTAGGTATGTTTTTGCAGTGGCTGGTACCAGTTTTTCCTTTCCATATGTAGTGCTTCCTTCAGAGCTCTTGTAAGGCAGGCCTGGTCGTGAGAAATTCTCTCAGCATTTGCTTGTCTGTAAAGGATTTTATTTCTCCTTTGCTTATGATGTTTAGTTTGACTCAATATGAAATTCTGGGTTGAAAATTCTTCTCTTTAAGAATGTTGAATATTAGCTCCTACTGCCTTCTGGATTGTGGGGTTTCTGCAGAGAGATCCACTGTTAGTTTGATGGGCTTCCCTTTATGGGTAACCTGACCTTTCTCGCTGGCTTCCCTTAACATTTTTTTCCTTCATTTTAACCTTGGTGAATCTGACGATTGTGTCTTGAGGCTGATCTTCTCAAGGAGTATCTTTATGGTGTTCTCTGTATTTCTTGAATTTGAATATTGGCCTGTCTTGCTAGGTTGGGGAAGTTCTCCTGGATAATATGCTGAAGAGTGTTTTCCAACTGGGTTCCATTCTCCCGGTCACTTTCAGGTACACCAATCAAATGTAGGTTTGGTCTTTTCACATAGTCCCATATTTCTTGGAGGCTTTGTTCATTCTTTTTCATTCTTTTTTCTCTAATCTGGTCTTCACACTTTATTTCATTAAGTTGATCTTCAATCTCTGATATCCATTATTCTGCTTGATCAATTCAGCTATGGATACTTGTGTATGCTTCACGAAGTTTTCATGCCGTGTTTTTCAGCTCCATCAAGTCATTTATATTCTTCTTCTCCACACTGGTTATTCTAGTTAGCAATTCCTCTAACTTTGTTTCAAGGTTCTTAGCTTCCTTGCATTGGGTTAGAACATGCTCCTTTAGCTCGGAAAGTTTATTATTACCCACCTTCTGAAGTCTACTTCTGTGATTTCGTCAAATTCATTCTCCGTCCAGTTTTATTCCCTTGCTGGCGAGGAGTTGTGATCCTTTGAAGGAGAAGAGGTGTTCAGGTTTTTGGAATTTTCAGCCTTTTTATGCTGGTTTTTCCTCATCTTTGTGGATTTATCTACCTTTGGTCTTTGATGTTGGTGACCTTCAAATGTGTTTTTTGTGTGGATGTCCTTTTACTTGATGTTGATGCTATTCCTTTCTGTTTGTTAGTTTTCCTTCTAACAGTCAGGCCCCTCTGCTGCAGGTCTGCTGGAGATTGCTGGAGGTCCTCTTCTGACCCTGTTTGCCTGAGTATCACCACTGGAGGCTGCAGAACAGCAAAGATTGCTCCCTGCTCCTTCCTCTGGAAGCTTTGTCCCACAGGGGCACCCACCAGATGCCAGCCAGAACCCTCCTATGTGAGGTGTCTGTCGACCCCTCGTGTGAGATGTCTCCCAATCAGGAGACGAGGCAGTCTGTCCCTTAGCAGAACTGTAGCACTGTGCTGGGAGATCCACTGCTGCCTTTCTTTCAGAGATGCCCTACCCAGAGAGGAGGAATCTAGAGAGGCAGTCTGACTACAGTGGCTTTGCCAAGCTGCGGTGGGCTCTGCCCAGTGTGAACTTCCAGGAGGCTTTGTTTACACTGTGAGGGGAAAACTGCCTACTCAAGCCTCAGTAATGGTGGACATCCCTCCCCCTACCAAGCTCGAGAGTCCCAGGTCGACTTCAGACTGCTGTGCTGTCAGCAAGAATTTCAAGTCAGTGGATCTTAGCTTGCTGAGCTCCATGGGGGTGGGATCTGCTGAGCTAGGCCACTTGGCTCCCTGGCTTCAGCCCCCTTTCCAGGAGATTGAAAGGTTATGTCTTGCCGGCATTCCAGGTGCGACTGGGGTATGAAAAATAATTCCTGCAGCTAGCTCAGTGTCTGCCCAAACAGTCTCCCAGTTTTGTGGTTGAAACCCAAGGCCCTGGTGGTGTAGGCACCCAAGGGAATCTCCTGGTCTATGGGTTGTGAAGACCATGGGGAAAGCATAGTATCTGGGCCAGAATGCACCATTCCTCATGGCACCATCCCTCAGGGCTTTCCTTAGCTAGGGGAGGGAGTTCCCTGACTCCTTGTGCTTCCCGGGTGAGGTGATTCCCCACCCTGCTTCTGCTCGCCCTCTGTGGGCTGCACCCATTGTCTAACCAGTCCCAGTGAGATGAGTTGAGTACCTCAGTTGGAAATGCAGAAATCACCCGCCTTCTGTGTTGATCTCGCTCGGAGCTGCAGACAGGAACTGTTCCTATTCGGCCATCTTGCCAGCCACCTCTATAAAAATATTTTTAAAAGACTGTTTAAAGTCAAAGGAAAATGCTTGAAAGTCAAAATTAAAAGAAAAAAATGTGATATAAACTATATGTAGAGTATGACCACACTAAAAAATATTTTCACACAAGTTCATAAAAATAAAATAGAAATATATATGCCAACATGTTAACAGTAGTGTTGTCTGGCTGTGGAGATTCAAGTAATTTTTATTTCTTCTTCATATTTTTCCAAATTTACTAAATTTTTTACAAAGAACATGGTTAACAAATAGAAAAAGAAACAATTAATGCTATTTTGAGAACCAACTAACAATGGGAACAACAATTTCTTCCTTCCCTTCCTTTGCCTGCTAGGACAGAATTGAAATACTGGAAATTTCCAACGATGGACAAAGTGCAATAGAAAAATAACAATGAGCATGGAAAATAGAAGAATTACAGAAATATAAATCAGTTAATAAAGTATAGGAGTTTTGCTCTCAGGACTGTCAAGACCTGCCTTGTTTGCTACTGTCTGGCAATATTTATGTTCTATCCCCATACGGCCAGCAGCTCTTTACATTTCCCTACCTTGATTTTATACTGCTTAGCCAGAAGCCTGCCTCCAAATGAAGGATGCAGGCAAGTGAATTCCCCAGTTCAGGACCTCGCTGTGAAACCTTCAGTTTCTTCAAGATCAGTACCATGAGAAGTAAACCTTAGTGCACTGCACTCCTGGGCTTTTTCTCCACTTTCACCTCCTAGTTGGAAGATATATTTCGTATCTGCCACTTCACCATTCAAGTGAAACCCTGCCCCTACCCACTGATTTAATAATAGAATGATACTTTGATTATAAAATAGCCACCATATTCATATCTAGAAAAAATATTTGTTAACTTCAACTATGTACTTGGGTTACAATAGGGAGCAAAACAGAGTCCCTACCCACAAGGAGTTAATATGATGTAGAAAAACCATAATATAATACTGAAGCTTTCAAAGTCTTTTTACTGTGAGTAATACAGTTTACAACAAATTTCAGTACATGCACACACACACGGACACACACACACACATACACATGTATGAAGACTACAGTAAAAGTTTCAGAAGACAATGATGACTGTTATTAAGTGTGATACTTAGATATTTTTTGGTAATTTTATGAGTCAAAAATAAGTAATGACAAGGTGAGATGGCTCACACCTGTAATCCCAGCACTTTGGGAGGCTGAGGCATGAGGATCACTTGAGCCCAGGAGCTCAAGACCAGCCTGGGCAACATAGTGAGACCCATCTGTCAAAAAATAAATGAAAATTAGCTGGGTGCAGTGATGCACACCTGTGGTCTCAGCTACTCGGGAGGTTGAGGTGGGAGGATCACTTGAACCCTGGAGATCTAGGCTGAACTGAGTTGTGATCACACTGCTGCACTCCAGCCGGGCCACAAAGTGAGACCTACCTCAAAAAAAGAAAATAGCAAAAACATGTAAGTCACAAACCCAGTGTTGAAAAGCTCTTGTGTAGTAAAAATAATAGATGAATTGAAGTCAAAAAGACCTGAGTTAATTTACCAAGTC
Source organism: Homo sapiens (assembly GCF_000001405.40). Lineage (NCBI taxonomy): Eukaryota > Metazoa > Chordata > Mammalia > Primates > Hominidae > Homo > Homo sapiens. The sequence continues at coordinate 163,988,419 of NC_000001.11, read as the reverse complement.
TTCTAATTTTTCCTGGCAGGTTATTTACACTTTCTGAGTCTCAGTCTCCTTATCTATAAAATTGATATGATAGCACTTATTTCAAAGGGTAGTTCTAAGGATTAACTAACATAGTATCTTTGAAATTCTTAGCACAGTCCTGGTACATCATAGAAAACATTTGCTAAACAGCAGCTATTATTATTATGATTAGTGCTGTTATTATTTAGGCATTATTATGGCATGCAGGTGAGGTATGTAATTTCCTTAGTTGTGATGTAATCCAAAATTAGATGCTCAGAAGACACATAGTGGTAGTCTGGTGTATAGGTGATGATTCTTAAATGTTAGGTCTATGCTACTTAGACAGAGGACAGAGAAAATCGGTTGTGAAAAAAAGCACTGATCCTTCCAAGGGAAGAAATGTAAAGGATCAGGCATCTCACATCTACAGAAATATTCCATCCCTCTTTTCTTTTTTCTGTTGGTTTAAGACAATGTGGACAACCTAGTATAACTGTATTATTTTTTAAAAAGAGTTATAGAAAAGGAAAAAGATAAAGGATATGTAGTCGATGAGGAGGGTTTGACTTAAGTAGTTTGAAGATGGTCATATGTCTTTGAAAACTCTCTTAAGAAAAAGGCTGGCTGATTTGTAAAAAATTATTGAGAACCTAGTGTTCAACAACCCTTTTAATCTGGGAGTCATGATGATTTGATCATACAGGGACACTATTTGAAAGGGGAAGAGAAAGTCCTGCTAAAGAAATTACCTGGGAACATATAGAAACTATTATTGGATGAAAATACACAATTTTCAGTCTAATATTGTGAGAGACCACACTACTCTAACTCAGTGCTCTAACTCAGTGAATCTCATCTACCTGCAGAACAGCAGTTATGGTTCATTTCCCTCTAGTAAGAGATGGTGGAGATTGGCTCTGTGTCTGTTAATTGGCCGTCTAATATTTCAATATGAAAGTGATCATTAGAAATCCTTTTGAACTACTTAGAATTCAAGATGAACATTAACATATATTTCTCTGTTCCACAAAAACTTATTAACCAGAAAAGAAGAAGAAGAAGAAAAAAGGCCAGGATAAAGAATATCCCCCCCAACCCTTTTAGAGTTGTCCAAAGCATTTACATTAGCCTGAGTGATAGATGGCTGTGTCACTTCACTGAGAGATAAAAATCTCTGACCCTACAATGCTTGGATAAACCATTAAGGAAAATTATGAAAAAGTGAACATCAGTACTAAAGCAAGAATTATCCTTTTTTGGATCTCAAATTCTCTATCACCTATTTTTCCATTCCTCACCCTGTCCCTTTTTACTCTTTATTAGCTTTTCAAAGCCATTACTGGATGAATAGAAATTCTTGCTTGGTGATTTATGTAATTTGATAAATGATCCAAAAATTAAGTCTCTTATCATGGGCAGACTTGTGAATAGCGAGATGTCTTGGAAAGTCAGATAGGCAGGCATGCTTTTGGAATTGGCTTAACCAACTGGCAGTTTCCATAAAGTTCTGTGGCTAGTAATTCTACAAATAGAGTAACACCACTGAAGCTTATTGACATTAAAATTTGAACTTACAAGAATGGTTAGGCAGACTAACTCCAGATTCCTCATTTTCAGTGAAAATGAAGTGTCCAGAAGACTGAAGGACTTTGTCAAATGTCACAAAGCTAGCTGATGCCATGCCAGGTCTCCTGATGTCTGGTCTAGTGCTCCTCCCAGAATGTCATGGTGTCAAACCTATAGAAGAAGTCTTCTTGTTTAATGGATTCAAATGAATCTGAATAAACTTTTCTCTGACATTTTATGATAATTAAGAAATTACTGATTATTTAGATGTACATAGTCCTTTGATAGTAGAAATTGAAAGAAAACAAAAAAAACCCCACAGAATTATCTTGATATTAAAAAAAAGGAAAACAATAGGTGTATATAGATTCTGTGTCTATGAAGGGAGAAGCACAGTTCCAAAGGCTTTAATTTTCAAGCAAATTAACTGATATTTTCATGTGACTGGGTTAAAATGAAAACAAATCATGACTTATGGATTGCATCTAAAGTCAGAAAAGAATTTTAGTGTCACTCTGTATGTTTGTGAGGACCTAACTCCTGCATATTTATCAAACATACAGAAGAGATATTTTCTAGTTTTTCCTTTTTGATATTGCAACAGTTTTATTGGTGTACATTATATCATTATTTCTATCTTGGTGGAAGAAGATGGAGGAAACTACATTATATCATTATTTCTATCTTGGTGGAAGAAGATGGTGGAGAGATATAAAAGGGAAAATCAGGGGCAGTGTGGAGAATTGGAAATGAAATAAGAAAAAAACAAAGTGAAAAGATGTGGGCAAGAGAAGAGTAAGATTCAAGTTCAGTTTTTGAAGACATTTATGTCCTGCTTTATAAAATCATCATGTGACAGTCCTAATAAAAAGAAGAAACAAGAAATGTTTTATAAGCTTGTATTTCCTATCCAATAAAGTAGTATTTACAATCTGTTAACAACCTACTTTTCCAAATTTCCAGTCACTCTGCCTGCATACTGTGTTCTGGTTAAAATCTTTTATTCGTCGTTTGCCAAATATGCCATTCATTTTTATATCTTTCTGCGTATTCTTGCAACTGCATATTCAACCTGCAATGTGTTTCTCTTGTCTACAAACAGTTTTTTCTTCAAACCATAGATTATTCACTTTCTCTGGCCAGAATTAGTCCCACCTTAATCTATGTTCCCACAACATTTTGTCCATACATTTTATAATATTTGCCATCTTTTTTAAAGTTATTCATTGATGTGTTTATTTCCTTTGATAGAATGAGTTCCTTCAAGTTATGGATGTATGTTATCTATATTTGTGGCTGTAGTATGTGCCTGACACATGGGTAGTACATGTTTATTGAAATGAGTTTACATATATTATTGTATTCCCTGTAAGAGAGTAGGGACCAGATTGAAAGTGGAGCCTGGTTCTCTCGATTAAACTGCATGGATCCCTCAACTTTCCAGCTCTTTTTCAGAGCACTTCCTCACCTAACCCAGCTAGAGCAGTCATGCTCTAGTGACTCCAGATGGTTGGAAGGAGCCTTGGGCAGCTGGGTGGGGAACGTACCTTCCATCCGATTGCACTCACCATGGGTGGACAGGTGCCCTCTGTCAGGATGGCTGTAACCAGAAGCCAAATGGGTGGCTCACTGAGGTAAAGGCAGCCAACAAAAATTGCTGTGGTTCCAATTCCAACATTGACCCTAAACTTAGATGATATTATGGCATTGACCTTGAAATAACTGGCCCCTTCCTATGCAGGTCATTTCCCTTATCATTGCATAAGGGCTTGGCCTCTTCCTCAGACACAATTCTCCTCAATTCCATATCCAGCTTGAGAAATAAGCCATCAAGAACTACAATGTCTTGTCCAGTAGGTTATCTGGAGGGCTACCAAATTCCCCTTAGGTGGTAGAGTTTTCTAATGCCACAGGGAATTACAGGTAAACAAAGGAGGTGGATAGGCCAACTTCCTCTAACTCAGGAGTGCTCCTAGAGGGGCTGACCAAGCTTTTTCCAAGCTAGAGCTTTCCCTGATGTATCTGACCCTTTTTACCATTTTCAAGCTGCCAGCATTTCTCTCTGGATATTGCAGAAGCCTCTTACTTGGTTTACAGCTTCTGCCTTCGTATGTCTTTGTATGTCCCTCATGACAAAGTGATTTTGTTGTTTTTGTTGTTGTTACTAGAAGTCAGCTCAGGTCACTCACTGCACAGAATCCTCCAATGGCTTCCTATTTACTTCTGAGTAGATGCCAAAGTCCTTATAATGACCTGCACGGCTTCACGTAGCTTAGTCCCTACTACCGCTCTGACTTCGTTTTCTGTTATTCTCTTCCTCCTTCTCTCTGCTCCTGCCATGCTGATCTCCCTGTTCTCCTCAAACATTCCAGCCAGTCTCCTGCCTCAGGGCCTTTGTACTGGCTGTTCACTTTTGCTTGAATTGTTTTTTCCTCAGCCCTTCCTTAGATAACTACACCACTAATACCTCACCTACTTCAAGCCTTTCCTGACTGCCATTTATAAAATCAAAGCACTCTTCCCCACAATGCTGTTCATCACTCTTCCTGCCTTGTTTTTGCCTGGAATACTTATTACTATCCGATGTACATATTTTGTGGGTTTATCCTTTTAATGTCTGTGGCTTCCCTATAGAATGCATGATCCAGAAGGGCAGAATTATTTGTATGTTTTGTTCATTGTCATATCCTATCTCTAGTACCAGACTGCACATAGTAAGCAATACCTTTTGAATGAATACAAGGTGTTGAAGAGATTAATCACAGTGCCTACTATACACACAATCCTCTTTCAATGGACAAAGCATCATTCATAGTCATTCCTAAGATAAACCTTTTTTTTTCCTTCAGCAGTTGCATGTTCTGTACTACAGAACTCTGTGGTTTCACCCTTGTATGACTTTACCATAGATGATTGAACCAAGAGCAGATACATGACAAAAGGGCAATCAGCCCATAGACTGCTCAGTGATCTGGATGAAAAAACTGTAACCTAACAAGGGGGAAGTGATTAGCTACATTGATTAGAGTCTCTCTCCTAGGAATCTGGGCCAGAAAATAAGAGAAGAATTACTCAGATGGAGGTGAGAAGGAATGAAAAGAGAGAGAGAGAGAGAAAAATTAGCTAGCTCCCAAGAATGTCAATGCCCAAGGGTTAAGGACAAGGAACACTTGCTACTGAAGGAATAATACAGCTGTAAGGAGTTTCTGAGGATCCCTGAGGTTCCTACCTTTCCTACAATAGTATGTTTACCTCATAATAAGTCCTTATAAATAGAAGAATTTGAAAACTCTGTATTCCTTGCTTAAATAAAGCAACCTAAAATTACCTGGCTGCACATTTGCCTTATTGTCAAAATACTGCTCTAGTTTAGGCAGAAGGATCTTCCAGATTTAAATTTCTTAATAATATCATGCAAACATTATTGAACACTGATTATATGTCAGGCACTGTGCTGATCTCTTCCCACGTGATTTTACACAATTGCTTTCATAACAACACTGGGAGATATACACACAAAAGCATTCTGAAATCCACAGAATGTTGCATAAATATGCAAGTCACTGTTTTCCTACAATTGGACCACTAAAATGGCCTTCAAATTGAGCTCCCCATTTCCATTCTTGTCCCAGTATACTCTGTATAGAAGACATATCAAGAAGAGTAATTTTTAAAGAGAATAATCAAATTACGCCAATCTTTTGCTCAAAACCACCCAGGGGATTTTCATCCCATGTAGAATTAAATTCAGGCTTCTTCATTTGCCACAAGGCTTTTAGTCTTCTAGTCCCTGCCCACATTTCCTCCTCGTCTCTTCTCAATCTCTTCTTATTCCCAAACTTCAGCCATCCTACCTCCTGGAGCTTCTTGAGTCTTCCTCAGTCCTCATACATCAGCTGATTCCTCTGTCTAGCTGCCTTCTTCTCAGGATTCAGGTGGTAAGGCAAATGCTACCTTCTTAGAGAAGCTTATTCTCTACACCTGCACTGCCCAATACAGTGGTCACCAGCCACATGTGGCTATAAGGACGTGAAAGGTGACTAGTCTAAGTTGAAAGGGGCTGCAAGTGTAAGCATAAAATATGGACTGAATTTTAAAGACCTAGTACAAAAATAAATACAAAATATATCATCAATATTAAATGTGGAAATTATGATATTGGGATATTTAAATAAAATATAATCTTAAAATTTAAAATTGAATTTACTTTTTAAACTTTTGTTTTAAGAGATAAAGTCTGCCCTCTGTTGCCCAGGCTGGAGTACAGGGGTATGATCATGGTTCACTGTAGCCTCCACTTCCTAGGGTCAAGCCATCCTCCCACCTCAGCCTCCAGGTAGCTGGGACTACAGGCACGCACTATCATGCCTGGGTAATTTTTCTGTATTTTGTAGAGATGGCAAACGTTATTTGTTTCCCAGCCTGGCCTCAAACTCCTGGACTCAAGTGATTGTCCTGCCTTGGCCTCTGAAAGTGCTAGGCTTACAGGTGTGAACCATTGTGCCCAGCGTAAAATTTTTATTGGGTTACTAGAACATTCAAAATTACATATGTGGCTTGTACTATATTTCTATTGGACATTACTGGTCTACACCATTATTCTGTTTATTTTCTTCTTAGCTTTTATGACTCTGAACTTACTTTGCCTATGTGCTTATTTCCTGATGCCACCACAAAAATTAAAGCTCCAGGAGGACTGAGACTTTGCTGTGTTCCCTACTATACATCAAGCACTAGAATAATGACTGGCAGATATTGCATGTCAAATAAGATTCATGGATGATTAAGGAATAAAGCAATGGGGACTTTTTTGTTATTGACTCTATTCTCCTTTCAGTGGATTCTGTTCAACTGAGCTCTCGTGCCTTCAGACCAAAAATAATTCTTTTGTATGATGATGTCACTATTTATATAGACCAAGGATCAGCAGACTTTTTGTGTAAAGGGTCAGTTAATTATTTTAGGCTTGATGGGCAGTCTCTGTGGCACCTACTCAAATCTGCAGCTGTAGAGTGAAAGCAGCCATAGACAATATGTAAACAAATGAGTCTGGATGTTATCCAATAAAAGTTTGCAAAAACAGGTGGTAGGCTAGATTTGGCCATGGGCAATAGTGTGCTGGCTCTTGATATATACAATCTAAAGAAAACATTGTAACCGTAGGACTGTTGAATTAATATACACACACAAATTTTGTAATGTAAAGTGTCATGGTAAGAACAGACATGAATAAAATATGCCCTCAGTTCTCAAGTGATGATATATTAGCTGCAGAAACTAGACATGCAAATATATACATAGAATTCTTAATAAATATGTAAATATTAAGGCCATATTAGAAAACCTTCTAGTAAGGGTTATGACTCCTTTCCTAACCTGATCTACTGGAAATATTGAGTCAGATGTGGAAAAGTTATAGAACTTGAACATTCAAATAGCAAAAGATATTCTTTAAAATTAAGTACTAGGAAAATATGACATTTTATTCTCCAGGGCAGCAGTTGAAGAAGCTTTGAGTTCTACTGATATATTTTGAACAGACTGAATCTTTGTGCATACAACACAATCAGAAATTCTTTAAGGTGTTTAGTATAAAATTTCAAGCTTTGAGGAAAAATGTCTTCCCCAAAAACCTATGTCTGGCCATGTATGCTTTCCATAGGGCCAATTTAACATTTCCTTACAAAACGTGGAGTAGGAAAGGCAAAACTAATGCCATTTGAATTTGACTCACTTAATGAGCTGGGCAAAACTGTTGTAAGATTATGATTTGAATAATTTACACTTAGATATTAGGGAATTATGATGTCCCTCCAGGTTCTCTAACATGTAACATTATCCCAGATTTTCTAGTATATCAAAATGAATATGAGTGCATTTCAAATGAAACTATAGATTCTCTAAATACCAGGGAAGATACCATTATTTTAGAACCAATAGTTCCTTTCATAATCTGATTGAATTAGTCACCTAATTATTTTAAAAAGTCACCTATCCTCCAGGTAAAATATTGCTTGACCTGGTGGTTAGAGTTTCTAGGACACACCCCTTCCTTCAGTAAAGGGAAGAGAAAGAAAAATACTATCTAAAGTCAACTTTATGGTTATCCAAATTTGCTTTCATTGTCTATGAATGTGCAAGGTCTGTCTCTCTCTCTTTCATCTCTGAGTTGTTCCCTTTTATTATCCATCTTGCTGCTGATGAAACATCACTCCTGTGGTTTTTCCAGGAAAGAAAGGTGATTACCAGCTGAATGACAATTGAGTTAAACAAGTCTGCGTTGGAGAGCCAGCTGCTGTAATTTGACATTATAACTACCACTTACAATGGCATTTCTGGAGGGGAACTTACATGTAATCATTGAACTCATATCCTTTGGTACATTTCCATGCAAGAAGGACAAGGGTACAAAAAGCAGGGAGGGAGTGATATAAATGAATAATATTTGTATAGTGCTTTACAGTTTTCAAAGTACTCAATATACATCATCATATATGATTTGCATAAAATATCGTGAGGAGGTAACTGCATTCACGTTTAAGTGAACTGCCACATATAATCATCCATTTACACTGAATATTCTGTTAGAATAACCAGAATGGAAGATGAAGGCAGAAAAATCAATGGACAAAATACAGAATAGTAATTATGACTTAAGGCAAGAGACATACACCAAAGCCACATAACTAGCTGGAGGGGAAGCTGGGACCAGAACCAAAAATTATACTTCTGAGAGTTTGTCCTGTAAACTTTTCTTTCTAGAATTTAGGACTAAATTCTTGGAGTAGAGAAAAACTAGGTAGAGTTGAATATATAAGGAGGGGAAAGGTAACTATCAGCACTAAGAATGCATCCCTTATTCAATTATCCTGCTTGTGTAACAGGACCCAATTCTCCACATGGCATTATTCCTGATCATATATTGTTTCTTAAAAAAAAGAAAAGCTTGAAGTGAAAAACCACAAGGATTTATGAAAGTCCTGTCTTTCTCACTGACATGGAATCACCATTTTAGATTTTGGCAGAAGGAAAGAAAGAAAAGTAGAAAAATTTGAAAAAGAAGGAAGTAAGAAGAAGAGGAGAATGAGAGTGGAGACTTCCTGGTTGTTAAAACCTGCTCAGTTTAGTTATAGTTCAAAAGATAGACCAGATTCCTGACCAGGTTCCTCTTCTATCTGAAATCTACTTTTAAAATTTTCTTTTCTCCCACTCTTTTTATCTATTGCTTGTTTTCCTTCTTTTACACCTTTGGCTTGTGTCTTCTACCTGCCAAGGACTGCACAGATGCCTTTAACTCCCTTCACAAGCTGTTCTCCCCACCCTACCTGGCACCCCACACCTGACTGGGGTAGGGGATGGGAAGAAATCAGGACTACACTTTCATTGACTTCACACTAATACCTAATTTGTAAATCACAAGATTTGACTAAGCAAAGCGTCTGTGCTCTTACCATTTTGCTGCTTGAGATAAGAGAGGCTCAGAGAGCTAGAGGGGATCTGAGAGAGACTTCAGCAGCCTCCTCTTAGAACAACGAAAGGAAAAAAAAACAATCTCTCAGTTTCGGGTCATTCTTTCTCCCTCTCCCTACAACCTACACAAAGTCCTCGTCCAAGAAAGTAATCAGGTCTTTACAAGAAGTAATTTCAAAGCTTCTGTGGGTTCTTTGTGTAGCTAGGTGAACAGCCATTAAGAGGTACATGGATCGGCAAAGAGGTCTATTCCTCACCCTGGCAGGCCCAAGGGGGCACAGTGTTCCACGGAGAGGTATGAATGAATGAAATTAATGTTGCTTTACTTGGGAATGGAAAATACAAGTATGGCAGTAAGAGCTAAAGCCTTATACATAGGTTACTTTGGAAAAGATTTCTCTTCTACCTTTAGTATTAGGTGATTGCTTCTGAAGCTAAGGATTTCTAAGAACTGTCTGATAAAGGTTTGGTACACATAAGAAATAATAATGTAAAAACTGATCCAAGATGATTTAAAAGTTAAAACGTTACATAGATATTACATTTTATTTTGTATGCATGAGAAGTATTTATTTACCAATAAAATGTATTTATTAAGAGCCTACTCTGTGCCAAGCACAGGCCTAAGTGCACAGGATATAGTTGTGGACAAAACAGTTCCTGTTTGTGGAGCTCAGTGGGGTATTTACTGATGGACTAAGTAAGGAGTGTGAGAGAAAGAGTGTTGTAAACTAATCTAAATCAATATGGTCATGTGCAATATTTAGGTTATTCCCGGTAGCTAATTATAACTGCTAAAGAAGTCTGAAGTTGTGAGGGAGAGCTATTTCCTCACGACTTCATAATAAAATGTCTGATTATAATAAGCAAAATCTCAGACCCAATTTCATGACACACAGAGTTATTTACTGGCCACATATTTTTTTGGCAACAGGCACAAAATATTTTATAGACTCACCTACACATACTTAATGAAGTCAAGCTCTCATATGCTGTAAGAAAAATGAACTCTAGGCAGACCAGGCAACTTTTCCAAGGCAGGAGCCAGGATTCTATGTGCTATAGTCAGAATCATGCAATTAGAAATTCTAAATTACTGGCTGGACATAAATGATTAGGGATCCAACCTCATGAGACTCATCCCTAAGAACTGCAGAATACAGGCATTGAAGGAATATTTGCACACAGAGTGGGGAAAATCTGTAAGCTTTTCAAGCCTATCCTTGAATCCTAAAAGCTTTAATTTTACACACACACACACATCCCAGCTCACTTCTAACATCCATCATGCTAATTAATAGGTTGCTAGTTTAACCAATAAAAATCAAATTTGACATCCAGTATGCTAATCAGCAAATGTTTGCCCAATGAGACAGAGATAACAGAAGGGCTTGCAGTGGCCACTTCTGGAGTGACATTCTGACTAATAAAATACTGACTGACTATGCCAGGACTGCGGATTTTTCATAGTATGTTAGCTGAGTAAGCTTAATATTACTGGAATATTTATACTATCTTACTGATCATACTTAACATTCTAAAGTAAATTATAGATGTCAAAATAGGTAGAGGAAGAGGCTACTTAGAAGACTAAGGTTTTGGCCTGAGTAATGGAATAGAATTGCAATTTACTGAAAAGGCACAAATCCTGGGAGCTATAGGTTTAGGGAGAAAATCAGGAGCTCATTTTGGCATTTCAAGTTTAAAATGACGAATATCAAGTGAAAATGTTGAGAAGGATGTTAAATATTAGAGTCTGGCGCTCATAAGAAAAATAGGACTAGACACAGGAATTTGGGAATTATCAAGTGTTTTATGGTAATTAGTCATAAAACTGAGGAAATCATTGAAGGAGTGAAGTAAACAGAATAAAGGAGAGGCTGTGTAGAATGAGCCCTGGGGGCACTTCGGTCAGTATAATAATGATGATGGTGATGATAATGATCGTGAGGAGGATGATAAAAGCCAACACCTACAGAGCACTTACCTTGTGCTGGACTTGTTTTAAGTAATTAAGTGTTTTCATTCAGTTAACCCTCGAAACAATCCTATGAGTCAGATACTGTTATTAACACCACTTTATAGATGAGGAGATTCAGAAAATGTAACTTGCACAAAGTCACTATTAACAAGATAGGGGAAAACAACAGAGGAGACAGAAGGAGCATCCAGTGAAGAAGGAGGGCCAAGACAGACTACAATCATGGGGCCAAGGGAAGAGGGTGAAGGAGAGAAAAATCTAGCGTCAAGTGTCTTAGGTCAAGTTCACGCAAATTAGAGGCATAGCCATTGGTGACATTCCTTAGATCAGCATAGGGTGATAGAAGCCTAACTGGAGTCGATTCAAGAAAGAATTGGAGGGGCCGGACGCGGTGGCTCATGCCTGTAATCCCAGCACTTGGGGAGGCCGAGGCGGGCGGATCACAAGGTCAGGAGATCGAGACCATCCTGGCTAACATGGTGAAACCCAGTCTCTACTAAAAATACAAAAAATTAGCCGGGTGTGGTGGCGGGCACCTGTAGTCCCAGCTACTCCGGAGACTGAGGCAGGAGAATGGCGTGAACCCGGGAGGCGGGGCTTGCAGTGAGCTGAGATCGCACCACTGCACTCCAGCCTGGCCGACAGAGCAAGACTCCGTCTCAAAAAAAAAAAAAAAAAAAAAAGAAAGAAAGAATTGGAGGAGCAAAAATAGAGATACAAAGCATAAAAATCTGTTTTTAAGGAGTTTTTCTGTAAAGGAAGGTAAAAAATAAGGCACTGTATAATGATGTATGTAGCATATTTGCATACTCATGTGAGTGACTAAATAGAGTGAGAAATTTTGATGGCAAAGGAGAGAAGGTAAAAGATGGAAGAGTAGTGCTATTTTAGATGCAGTCATGTTGAGACCCAGAGAATAAGCGGAGAAATTCATTTTAGATAGGTGTTGGGAAAGTTTATGCATTTAATGAGTAGGGAGGTAAAATACTGCATAGGGACATATGCAGATTGCTTGGTACAATTGGTGGTAGGAGTGTGGAAGTTCTCATTTGACTGCTTTTATTTTCTCAGTGAGATAAAAAGGAATGTTATCAGACAATGAGATAGAAATTGTGATGGTTTGAGAAGTGTGAAGGAAGTATAAAATATTAATTTAGAAGGCTGAATAGTGAACTGACTAAACAAATGTAGAAGTAGAGCCAAGTAGTCAGAACAGCCTGCTTGGGGCTAGTGGTCAAGAATTAAAGGGAAGGTGTTGTTTGAAATTGCACGCCATGTTAAAAGTGACGTTTTGCCAAAAAATCTAGATGCAATAGATGCAGTAAGCCAAAGTGATAGGCCAGAACAAAATGCAAACTATCAAAACAGGTGGCTGTAATGTATGCATGTTTTTAGTGGGACAGAGGTAGTCCACGGTGGAAAAACATCACCTGGGAGACGTTTTATGTTCTGCTCAAGAAGAGAACCTGGAAACTCAATGAGGGTTCAACAGAGGGATTCTAGATGTGGAGTGGATCACTACTGAACCATGGAATGACGGGAGAAAGGCCACTTCAAGGAAAGTCCTGTCGATGTCACCGGAGTTACAGCAGAAAGGGCTCATTCAGATATGAAAAAAATCTAAGAGAGACTCCATCTTTGTTCATCTGCTCACAAGGAGCCCTAGACTAGAAGACAACTGCACTGCTCAAGTAGGATTGGCATCTTTTGCTACAGTCTTCTCTCCCCAGAGTGGTTAAAACAGCAATTATCTAACAGGGACAGGAGAAGAAATGCTAAGTAAGGGAAGAAAAAGAAGGGCCAACTAACTCCCCTAGCTATGTAAGCAGCCAGCGTACAGGATGCCTATTGTGATGAGGGGATTTGTCATGAAATCAATATTGGAATTCAATGACTTATTTATGAACTGAGGTAGTGTCTGTAAACCAAAGTAATCAAAGGGTTCTCTATTAGTAAACAGTAAGCATAAAAAAAAAAAAGTCACAGCGCTAGCCCTCCCACTCCCTGGTTTTTTAAAACTCAGAGTCAGGAAGAGGTTTTTCCTACTCAACAAATTTTAAAGTCATAGTAAAAGATTAAAACACAAGTAACAGAAAACCAAATATTGCATGTTCTCATTTATAAGTGGGAGCTAAACCTTGGGTACACATGGACATAAATATGGAAATAATAGAGACTGGGGACTCCAAAAGGTGGGAGGAAGAAGGAGTGAGGGGGCCAGGAAAAACTTCTTATTGGGTACTATGTTCACTGTCTGTGTGACAGGATTAAGAGAAGCCCAAACCTCAGCATCATGCAATATACCCTTGTAACAAACCTGCACATGTACCCCCTGAATCTAAAATAAAAATGGAAATTCATTAACTCTGAAAAGTATTTCTTTACATTATTACTGCAGTATTTTTATATAGCTCTAAAATATTACAAATAATGGCTTATTGATCTCGTTAAGTGACAAAAGTCAAGAAATGACAAAAAGTAAAATTTTGGTGATTAAAATGTTTGCACCATAGACAACCCTGACATTAAAAAAAAATTAAATATTTTGGCCCAAAGTGGTAGGCACACCATTTATCATCAGTTCGACCACTGGAACAAGCCACTACTGCAGAGCTAGAAATGCACTAAGACTAGACCACTAGCGTTGTCTTAGAAATGATCTGTCCTGGCATGTTGAAAAAAAGGGTAAAAGTTGATCATCTTCACAATTCACTATTTCTTTCAATAGTGAATTGGGATAATAAGCCACATGTTGGCCAATAAATAGTCTCTGGTGATAACGTTGTGTGGATTGGCCTTCAAGTGTATCTTCTTTTTTATTCTATACCTGTTTTTCTGTTAGTATTGATCACAATGTATCACTTTCAGTTTATATCATGTCTTATAAAGTAATCAAAAACATTAGATTGTCTATATATCATGGCTCCTTTGGATTAACAAAATTGTCGTCTAATATTTCTCCCTCATATTGGTACTAGATACGTGTTAAGAGCTGTTTCATACTCTTCACACCTGTCATTTCATCCTCACATAAAACTCAATACCTGCCTCCAGATATAAACAATAGGATTTGCTCTTTCACTTTGTGCCATTGATGTCCAAATAGTGTCATTCAACTCCACAATTGCTAGTGGTTTATTCTGAGTTAGCTCTAAGGAATCCCTTTGTCATTAATGTTGCACAAGTTTTATGGTAAGAGCCTGAGCACCATATGGGGTGTTCACCAATCCAAAGAGTGTAACTTTGAATAACATCTCTAGAGTTTTCTCTCTTCCTTGTTTTTGATAATAAAAAATGTATTTCTTTTTTACTGTAAGGCATTATTTTCATTTCATTCGGGGGAAACAATTAATGCTCTGGAAAGTTTACTGTGCTTCATTCTATAATGACACAAAACTTCAGTGACTTTACACTACTTATAATAACATATAAGGCAGTAAGGACTGAAGGTGAATGCATCTGCAGTCCAGGAAGATCCAGTGTTCAGAAATTCATCTTTATACTTTTATATTCTCTTTAATTTTGAAACCACTTGGTATAATTCCCACACTCACAGATGGACTTGTAGAAGTATATACCAAAGTCCTGTTCACAGCTCATCTAACTATGGCTTCTGGTATTTATAGTTATTACTTTATCACTTCTTTATGTTTCCAAAAGCCACTTTTGAGACATTGCCCTGTTTTTGAGAATTGTAGATACAGCATGCAACAAGAGAGATGCAAGTTTAACATAAATGGAAATAACATGAAAATACATTGGCTGAAATGAACTGTACCCTGTTAAGTGAATGTCATTGAAGGTGAACTTACCAATGCAATTCCTGGATGCATGTTCAGACTTTTTAAAAATGTGTGTCTTTTAGGACTCCTACCAAATGTCTTTAAAAATTATAATTTTACATTTCAAGTTTGTGAAATGTAATTAAAGGATATCGTTTATATTTTTTCTGCATCTGTCAAATTGCAGGCTACTTTCTGGAGGCCATCATTGATCAGTGGACACACTTGGTGACGCAGTAGTTTACATTAAATATCTTTAAGCATTATTGTTTGTCCTGGTGAGTTGTGTGTGCATATGTGTTTATCTATGTATATCTGTGTGCAAGCATGTATGCATGGTATATGGTGGTGGTGGGTTGGTGTGTGTATGAGAGAGAGAGAGAGACCTAACATATATCTGTTGGATCATAAAAAGAATAAAAAGGTGTGTTTGTAACTCTCACTGATGAGAAAACTTCAGAGGTGGCTAGATTTGAGTGCCACCTCCCAACCTGGAATATTTTTTGAACTTAGACAATTCAATATGGACTATCCTGCCTGAGCCACTGAAACATTATTTTAGGTACCATAACTTAGATTTAGAAAGCCATCAGAAAATCCTTTAGTCTATGTCTTAAATACATAGGTGTATAGAAATATATATGTAGAAGATTACTTTTCTTCACTTCAGCTATCATCTTTGCCCAGCTGCCATCTGTTTCTCTCCTGGATTATTGCAATAGCCTCCTAATTAGGCTCTCTGCTTTGTCTGCCTACAGTGTATTCTCAACACAAAATCCAAAGTTATGTCATTAAAATATAGATCAGATCATGATACTCCTCTGTTTAATGCCAGAGTCCGTACAATGGCACATGTAAACCCACAGGAACTGTTCCTCTGCAACTCCCCATCTTATCACCTACTATTATTCCCTTTACTCACTGTGCTATAGCTAGACTAGCCTCCAAGAACATGCCAGGAATTCTCCTGCCTCAGTGCTAGTGCATTTTTACTCATGTAACTTGGAATACTAATTTCTCCTTCTATTTATGTGCTATACTTTCTCATCTCCTTTGGTTCTTGACTCCAATGTCAACATCTCAATATGGTCTTCCTTAAGCATTCCCTGTTAAAAATTGTATTCTCCCCTGAAATCCTGTATTCATCAGGCTTCTTCCTTGCTTTTCCATAAAACTTATTTTCATCTGATATATTGCATATTTGGTTTATCCATTTATTTTCTACCTCCTCTCCTACAACATAAACTCTATGAAGCACAAATTTTCATCTATTTCCTTCATTGCTACATCACCAAGGCATAGGTCATTATTTGACACATAGTAAGCAGTTAATAAATATTTGTTTAATGAATAATGAAATGTATTGATGGAGGCAGGAGGATGGATCTTGGAATAAGCCCAATTTCTGTGAGCAGGAGATAGTGCTCTTTCAAGAGTCTAGAAATGTATGTGGTAAAAATTAGAAGAAGAAGACAAGAGGAAGGTGTTTTCCAGAGAAAATTACAGACTAGAAGGCAAGTTTTATAACTGAACTGTACACATGAAATGTTTAACCCTGGGTACTTTCTTAGACTATAACTGTTATATATGACCTGCCAGTTTTACTGTCTTGTTTCATATGATGTAATTCCCTTTAGTTTTACGCAAATACAGTAAAGTCAATAAACCCAAACTCAGCATGGTAGCTATCTGAAGGAAAACACCCTGCCCACCTCCACAGAGCCCCATGAAGCAGGGGCAGACTTGTATCAGAGGAAGAGTGTGTGCTATGATCTACAGGCCATGAGCTGTAGCTAAGTGAATGGTGGCCAGCCAGCACATTGGAGCAGTGGTCAAGGTCACAGCCTGGGAGCAGACATAGGGCAGTCCTCTCTAAGTCATAAATATACTAGTTAGAGGTGATCCTTATGGGAAAAGGAAAAACTGATTCTCAACCTATGGGTAGGTGAAGAAACCCTCAAAAAACAGAATGATTTGTTAAGTTTCCTTAGTCTTTTAATTCTTGATCCACTGCTCCTTCTGTAATTCCAAGACACTCATCTGTATTCAGCTTATTTTTAATGTGAACACTTATGGACCCCAGCTCCTTAATCTATAATATGGGCACAAAAATTCATATCCTTTCACTTTTGTTTATTTTTGTGTGTTTTCCAAGTACTCTGGACTCCCTAAATTTGACATAAATCTTAGAGCTTATTCTATCTAAATTTTAGCAGTTGTTGACAATGTCTCTGCTTTTGTCTACATGGAATTTACCAATAACCCCAGTAAAAGTCAGTTAAGGGAGGAGAAGAAGCTATGTATAAAAGAATTCTGTGATCTATACAGACTGTTCTCTTTTTTTTATCCATAATTCCACTGTCAACAATAAAATATTCCCCAAAAGAAAAGCAGACTGATATGGGTATTTTTTTCCTACTTCCTAATGTCTATATTTTCTAAGCCCATTGTATGATTTAAGAAATGAGAAAAGAAAAAAGTTTATATTAGTTTGAAATAATGTATGATTTTGTCAGTTAGAAATAAAAACAACTTCTCCCAAGGACTCTTAACTCAACCTTTGTTTAGTCATAACTAGTAGAGCTGAAAGGCTGGACAGAGCTAGCTTTGGAAATACTGTCCAGCTCTGTGAAGTCACACAATATTGCAAATGTTCCATTGGCATATTGTTTCTTTCCCCTACAATAATTGCCTTTCTTTTAGATTTCAGTGTTTCCCTTTTGTGTTTACGATAACAGAGGGATGCTTTATTGCATTTCACCAGGCCGGTTGCCATGGTGATCAGCAGTTGCTGTATGCTGTAAAAATAACCCTCCTTCCTTGATAGATTTCACTTGAGTGAAAATAACCCTTAAAAATAGGTTGAAATTTACATACTAACTCTTCCAGCAGGTTCAAGGAGGGCGGGGGCGGGGAAGGAATGAATTACATCGTGATTTGACAAGCTATTAGGCTAGGGGCTACTGGAGGAGGTTTGAGCAGAGAAGTCTCTTGTACACCAGTGTGAGGCCAACCAAACTTCACTATAAAAACCACAAATTTATTTCTTTGTTATTGGATCTTTCCTCGTTAGTGTTGTATGATGATTAAAAAGGATATCAGAAAATTGTTTAGATTTCTGTGTACATGAGGAATAGCAAGAGCTGGTGGCTCATAGATCACATAACAGGTTTGTCTAGACTAGAACACCACTTCTCAAACTGTTCCAGAGAACACTGCTAGATAAAATGTAAATGGGATGCTATTTCAGAAGGTGTTAATAAGATGCTCTATGGTCAAGTATATTTGAGAAACATAACATATTATACTCATAACACATATTATCATGTTGACGTTTCTGAGACACTCTAAAGCAAAACCCACTTCTCTGTGTTTAAGCATGAATATCCTGCCAAATGACAATTACTGGAATCCCATTTTGGGAAACTTTTCAGATCATTCAAGTTCTTTGTATGATTTTAAATGATTTCATAAAGATGGCTTAGCAGACTAGAGGAGATCCTACAAACTTTTTTTCAATATTTTTTCCCCAAGAAAATGAAGAGAAAAAAAACAGGGCAAGTGGTAGTGGTAAAGTTGGAATAGATAAAATTAGTAATGATATATAAGGAAACTATACCTCCTGGGGTGGTTTTACAGGAATTAATAGATTATAGAATAAAACTTTTTGAAAACAAGATCAGAATTGTCTTATACAATTACTGTAGTAATGTGAGGTGAACCAATACATGAAGTACAAACTACTTATGTTCATATAGAATTATTGATTTTTTTCATATTCGAAAAACTGTTGTAGGTTTACATATTTATTCAATATATGAACATTAGGTGTTAGATATTTTGATATATAGGCATACAATGAGTGATAATCACAAACAATCTAATTATTCTCTTTCAGTTATTTTTAAATGGACAATAAATTATTGTTGACAGTAGTTACCATATTGTGCTATCAAATATTAGATCTTCTTCATTCTATCTAACTATATTTTATATCCATTAACCATCCCCACTTCCTCCACCCCACACTACCCTCCCCAGGCTCTGGTAATCATCCTTCTACTCTGTATTTTTATGGGTTTAGTTGCTTTAATTTTTAGCTTCCACAAATAAGTAAGAACACGTTAAGTGTGTTTTCCTGTGCCTGGCTTATTTCACATAACATAATGGCCTTTATTTCCAGCCATGTTGTTGTTAATGACAGAATCTCATTCTTTTTTATGGCTGAATAATACTCCATTGCATATATGTACCACATTTTCTTTTTCTATTTGTCTACTGATGAACACTTAGGTTGCTTCTAATTCTGGCTATTATGAATAGTGCTGCAATAAAAATGGAAGTAAGGATATCTCTTTAATATACTAATTTTCTTTCTTTTGAGTATATACATAGAAGTAGGATTGCTGGATCAAATGGTAGCTCTATTGTTAGTTTTGTGAGGAACCTCCAAACTGATCTCCATAGTGGTTTTACTAATTTACATTCCAACCAAGTGCACGAGGGTTCTCATTTTTCCACATCCTCACAAGCATTTGTTATTGTCTGTCTTTTGGATACAAGCCATTTTAACTGAAGATATTTCACTGTGGTTTTGACTTGTATTTTTCTGATGATCAATAATGTGAAGGATTTTTTCATATATCTGTTTGCCATTTGTATGTCTTCTTTTGAGAAATATCTATTTGGATTCTTTGCCTATTTTTAAATCAGATTATTAGTTTTTTTCCTATTGAATTGTTTAGACTACTTATATATATTCTGGTTATTAATCCCTTGTCATATGCATAGTTTGCAAATATTTTCTCCCATTCTGTGGGTTGTCTCTTCACTTTTTATTTGTTTGCTTTGCCAAAGCTTTTTAACTTGACGTAATTCCATCTGTCCATTTTAGCTTAGGTTGATTATTCTTGTGCGTTATCACTCAAAAACATTTTCCCCAGTCCAATCCTGGAAAGTTTCACAAATGTTTTCTTTTAATAGTTTCATAGTCAGAGGTCTTAGATCTAAGTTTTTAATAAATTTAATTTGATTTTCTATATGGTGAAAGATAGGGGTCTAGTTTCAATTCTTCTGCATATGGACATCCAGTTTTCTCAGCACCATTTATTGAAAAAGCTGTCCCATCCTCAGTGTATGTTCTTGGCCTCTTTGTTGAAAATGAGTTCACTGTATGTGCGTGGATTGTTTCTGGGTTCTCTATGCTGTTCTGCTCTATGTGTCTGTTTTCATGCCAGCACCATGCTATTTTGGTTATGTTAGCTTTGTAGTATAATTTGAAGTCAGATAATGTGATTCTTCCAGTTGTGTTCTTTTTGCTCAGGTTAGCTTTGGGTATTCTGAGTCTTTTGTGGTTCCATATAAATTTTAAGATTATTTTATCTATTTCTGTGAAGAATGTCATTGATATTTTAATGGGGATTTCATTGAATCTATAGACTGCTTTGAGTAGTATAGACATTTTAACAATATTGATTCTTACAGTCAGTGAACATAATATATTCCATATTTTCAGATTCCTCTTTAATTTCTTTCATCAATATTGCATAGTTTTAGTTGTAGAGATCTTTCACTACTTTGGTTAACTCCTATGCATGTTATTATATTTTTAGGTATTGTAAATGAGATTACACTCTTGATTTCTTTTTCAGCTTGTTTGCTGCTGGAATATAAAAATGCTGCCGAGACCAGCTTGGTCGGGGAGACCCTAACCCAGCGGCACTAGAGGAATTAAAGACACACACACAGAAATATAGAGGTGGAAGTGGGAAATCAGGGGTCTCACAGCCTTCAGAGCTGAGAGCCTCGAACAGAGATTTACCCACATATTTATTGACAACAAGCCAGTGATAAACATTGTTTCTATAGATTATAGATTAACTAAAAGCATTCCTTACAGGAAACAAAGGGATGGGCCAAAATAAAGGGATGGGCTGTGGCTAGTTATCTACAGCAGGAGCATGTCCCTAAGGCACAGATCACTCAGGTTATTTTTTGTGATTTAAGAACGCCTTCAAGCGGTTTTCCACCCTGGGTGGGCCAGGTGTTCCTTGCCCTCATTCCAGTAAATCCACAAGCTTCCAGCATGGGCTTCACGGCCATCACGAACATGTCGTACTGCTGCAGAGATTTTGTTTATGGCCAGTTTGGTGGCCAGTTTATGGCCAGATTTGGGGGCCCATTCCCAACAAATGCTGTTGATGTTTGTGTGTTGATTTCATGTCTTGCAACTTTACTGAATTCGTTTACCAGTTCTCGTAGTTTTGGTGTGAAGTCTTTAGGGTTTTCCAAATACGAGATCATATAATCTGCAAACAAGGATAATTTGACTTCTTTCTTTAAAATTTCGGTGCTTTTTGTTTTTTTCTCTTGTCTGAATGCTCTAGCTAGGACTTCCAGTACTACGTTGAATAACAGTTGTGAAAGTGAACATCCTTGTGATGTTCTGAATATTAGAGGAAAGGCTTTCAGTATTTCTCTATTCAGGATGATACTAGCTGTGGATCAGTCATATATGGCTTTTTATTATATTGAGGTATGTTTCTTCTATACCTAGTTTTTTGAGAATTTTTATTATGAAAGGATGTTTAATGTTATTGAATGCTTTTTCAGCATCAACTGAAATGGTCATATGGTTTTTGTTCTTTGTTCTGTTGATACGATGTATCACATTGATTGATTTGGATTTGTTGAACCAGCCTTGCATCACGAGGCTAAATCTCATTTGTTCAGGACAAATGATCTTTTTAATGTATTGTTGAATTTGGTTTGCTGGTATTTTGTTGAAGATTTTTGCATCAATATTCATCAAGGATATTGGTCTGTAGTTTTCTTTTTTTGATGTGTCTTTGTCTGGTTTTGGTCAGGGTAACACTGGCTTCATAGATTCTGTTTGGAAGCATCTCCTCTTCCTCTATTTTTCAGAATAGTTTGAGCAGGATTGGTAGTAGTTCTTGTTGAAATGTTTGGTAAAACTCAGCACTGAAGCCATCAAGTCCCAGGCTTTTCTTTGCTGGGAGATTTTTATTATGGCTTTCATCTCATTACTTGTTATTAGATTGTTTAGGTTTTGGATTTCTTCATAGTTCAATGTTGGTAGGTTGTAGGGACCTACCAAGGTCTAGGAATGTCTAGGAATACATTTATTCCTTCTAGATTTTCCAATTTATTGGGCATATAGTTGCTCATAGTATACTCTAATGATTCTTTGGGTTTCTTCAGTATTGGTTATAACATATTTTTCACTTCTGATTTTATTTATTTGTATTTTCCGTCCTTTTTACTTAGTCTGACTAAGGTTTTATCAATTTATTTTTTCAAAATATCAGTTTTTAGGTTTATTTATCATTTACATATTTTTTATTTCAATTTCATTTGTATCTGCTTTGATCTTTATTATTCCTTTTCTTCTACTAATTTTGGATTTGGTTTGCTCTTGCTTTGCTTTCGCTTTCACTTTGTCCTTAAGATGCATAATTAAAATGTTAATTTGATGTTTTTCTACTTGTTTGATGTAGGCATTTATAGCTATAAACTTTCCTCTAAGTATTACTGCTTTTGCTGTATCCCATAGCTTTTGGTATATTTTCTTTCTATTATCATTTGTTTCAAGAATTTTTTAAATTTTCTTACTGATTTCTTCATTGACCCATTGTTCATTCAGGAGCATGTTGCTTAATTTTCATATGTTTGTATAGTTTCCAAAATTCTTCCTTTTATTGATTTCTAGTTTCATTCCGTCATGGTCAGAGAAGCTTCTTGATATTACTTCAGTTTTTTTTTTTTGAAATGTTTAAGACTTTTTTGTGACCTAACATATAGTTTATCCTTGAGGATGACCTATGTGCTGGGGAGAGGAATATGCATTCTGCAGCCATTGGATAAAATGTTCTGCAAGTATCTATTAGGCCCATTTATTCTATAGTGCAGATTAAATTTGATATTTCTTTGTTGACTTTTTGTCCAGATGATCTGTCCAATGCTGGAAGTGGGGTATTGATGTCTCTAGTTATTATTGTATTGGGGGTCTATCTCCCTCTTTGCTCTAATAACATTTGCATTATATACCTGGGTGTTCCAGTGTTGGGTGCATATATATTTACGATAGTTATATCCACTTGTTGAATTAACCCTTTATCATTATATAATAATATTCTTTGACTCTTTGTATAATTTTGGCTTGAATGCTATTTTGTCTAACATAAGTTTAGCTACTCCTGCTCTTTTCTTGATTTCCACTGATATAGAATATCTTTTTCCATCCCTTTAAGTCTATGTGTGTCTTTATGGGTAAAGTGTGTTTCCTGTAGGCAACAAATGGTTGAATCTTTTTTTTTTTTATTCATTCAACCTTTCTATGTCTTTAATTGGATAATTTAGTCCACTTACATTTAACATTATTCTTGGTAAGTAAAACTTACTCCTGCCAGTTTGTTGTTTTCTAGTTGTTTTGTGGTCTTCTCTTCCTTCTTACCTTCTTTCCTGTCTTCCTTATAGTCAAGGTGAGTTTCTTTGTATGTTTTAATTTCTTGCTTTTTTATTTTTTGTGTATCTATTGTATGTTTTTTGATTTGAGGTTACCATGAGATTTGCAAAGACTATCTTATAACTCATTACTTTAAACTGATGACAACTTAACACTGATTGAACAAAAAACAAAGAGAAAACTAGTAAAACTATCAAAGAAGAAACTAATAAAACCTCTACCTTTATCCTATGCTTTTTAACTTCTTGTTGTTTCTATTTATGTCTTATTTTACTGTCTATGTCTTGAAAAGTTGTTGTAGTTATTATTTTTGATCAGTTCATCTTTTAGTCTTTCTACTCAAGATATGAATAGTTTATGCACCACAATTACAGTGATAATATTGCTTTTTTAATATTTACTATTACCAGCTATCTTTGTACCTTTAGATGATTTCTTATTGCTCAGTAACGTCCCTTTATTTCAGACTGAAGAACTCCATTTAGCATTTCTTGTGAGACAGGTGTTGATAAAATCTCTCGGCTTTTGCTTGTCTGGGAAAATCTTTATTTCTCCTTCATATTTGAAGAATATTGTTGCTGGATATACTATTCTAGGATACAAGTTTTTGTTTGTTTGTTTGTTTGTTTTGTCCTTCAACATTTTAAATATGTCATGCCATTCTCCTGTGGCCTATAAAGTTTCCACTGAGAAGTCTGCTGCCAGATGTATTGGAGCTCCATAGTACGTTATCATTTTCTTTTCTCTTGCAGCTTTTAGGATTTCTTCTTTATCCCTGACTTTCCAGAGCTTGATTATTAAATGTCTTGAAGTAGTCTTCTTTGGATTAGATCTTGTAGGTGTGCTTCATTCTTTATTATTCTTTTTCTTTTGTCTCGTCTGACACTGTATTTTCAAGTAGCTTGTCTTCCAGCTGACTAATTCTTTCTTTTGCTTAATTAATTCTGCTGTTAAGAGACTCTGATGCATTTTTCAGTATGTCAGTTGTATTTTTCAACTCCAGAATTTCTGCTTTTTAAAAAATCATTTCAATTTCTTTGTTAAATTTATCTCATAGAATTCTAAATTCCTTCTCTGTTTTATCTTGTATTTCATTGAGTTTCCTCATAATCACAACAGCTATTTTGAGTCTTCTCTCTGAAAAGTCACATATCTCTGTTTTTCCAGGATTTGTCACTAATGCCTTATTTAATTTTTTGGTCTGAGATCATGTTTTTTTGGATGGTCTTGTGGCTGTGGATATTTGTCAGTTTCTGAGCATTGATGAATTAAGCATTTATTGTAGTCTTCACAGTCTGGGCTTCTTTGTACCTGTGTTTCTTGGGATGGCTGTCCAGGTATTCAAAGGAACTCCGATGTTGCGACCTAAGTTTTTGGTTACTGCAGCCATGCCTGCATTAAGAGGCAACCCAGGCCCAGTAATGCTATGGCTCTTGCAGACTTACAGAGGTACTGCCTTGGTGGTCTTGGATAATATCAGAAAGAATTTTCTGGAACAAGAGCAGAGACTCTTATTCTTTTCTCTTACTTTTTCCCAAGCCAATGAAATCTCTCTCTGTGTCTCTGAGCTGCCTGGAGCAGGAGGAGGGGTGTCAGAAGCACTCCTGTGGCCACCTCCACTGGGACTCTGTTGAGTCAGACTTGAAACCAGCACAGCACTGGGTCTACCCCAAGGCCTGTGGTAACCACTGTTTGGCTACTACCTATGTTCACTCAAGGCCCTAGAGTTCTACAATCAGCAGTGGCAAACACAGCCAGGCTTGTGTCTTTCCCTTCAGGGTGGCAAGATCCTTCCAGCACCACTGGGTCCAGAGATGCTATCTGGCAGCGAGGGCCTGGAGTCAGGAACCTTAAGAATCTGCTTAGTGTTCTATTCTACTGTGGCTAAGCTAGCACACCAGCCACAAAAGAAAGTTCTTCCTACTCTTCTATTTTCTTTCTACAAACAGAGCAACCTTTCCCTATGGCCACCACCACCCCAGACCCATTGTGAGTACTGCCTGGCTACCACTGATATTCACTCACAGCCCAATGGCCCTTCAGTCAGCTTATGATAAATACTGAAAGACCTGGGCCTCTCCCTTCAGGACCATGGGCTCCCCTCTTGTTCAGGGCAGGTTCAGAAATGTCACTGAGGAGCCAAGACCTGGAATCAGAAACCCCCAAGAGCCCACTTGATGTTCTACCTCACTGTGACTAAGCTGGTACCTAAGCTTCAAGATTCAGTCTCCTGTACTTTTCCCTCTCATTTTCTTAAGCAGAGGGAGTATGTCACCATAGCCAGAACAGTTGGGAATGTGCTAGGTCACACCTGAAGCCAAGAAATCTCTGAGTCTCTCTCAAGGCCCACAGTGAGTACTGACTGGGTACCATTTCTGATTATTCAGAGTCTAGGAACTCTTTAGTTGGCAGATGATGAATCCTGCCAGGACTGGGTCCTTCCTTTCAAGGCAGTGGGTTCCCTTCTGGCCCAGGGTGTGTCTAGAAATGTCATGTGGGAGGTAGGGCCTAGAATGGAGACCTCAGGATTCTGACCATTGCCCTATCCAACTGTGGGTGAACTGGTATCCAAGTTGCAAGACAAAATCCTCTACTCTTCCCTCTTCTCTCTTCAAGTGGAAGGAAGGATTCTCTCCTAGAACTGTGAGCTGTGCTAGCTGGAGTTGAGGAAGGAGTTGTACAAGAACTTCTATGCCTGCTCCAGTGTGTGTCTCACTAGGTTGTGTGCCCACCCAAGTCCACTGGCTCAGGGCCCAGCACAGCACCAAAACTTGCCTATAAATTGCAACCCTTGTGGCCTAAACTGTCTTTCAGTTTATTTAGCCTGCAGTGGTGAGGCTTGCCAGAATTTAGGTTTTGACTGCTGGGATGGGTGAGCCCCTCTGGCTAGGACTTGTCTAAATACTCCTTCCATGGATGCTGGCTGAGTTCTGCCCAGTACTGCTTTCCTCTGTGACAGGGCAGCACTGAGTTCCAGTACAAATCCCACAATAACTGTGCTGTCCCTTTCTGAAGTGTACAGATTCTCTCCACACTATGTGGCCACTCCCAGGAGATGAGGGAGGGGTGGCATCAGCAATTCAGTGCCTCTTTCAGTGATATGAAGTTAAAATCAGGTACTGTGATTACTCACCTGATTTTTGGTTCTTATGAAGGTCCTTTTTTGTGTGAAGAGTTGTTCAATTTGATATTCCTGCTGGGAGGACAATTGGTAAAGGCTTCTGTTTGGCCAACTTTCTCTGCCTTCCTTCATGTAATCCTTGATTTTAAAATAAGTTTATGTAAAATGCTTTTGGGTATACCCATACATTATTTCTGTACCTCAGTCTAGGATAATGAACCCAGAGCTAATGCCTTGTTGGCTTTCCCTGATTACATTTCCACATCTGAGATCATCTCTTAGTTTATATATCTCACATTATTATTGCATGTTATGTTTTCCCCAACTCTAGATGAAAACAAAAAACCCCATCAAAAAGTGGGTGAGGGATATGAACAGACACTTCTCTAAAGAAGACATTTATACAGCCAACAGACACATGAAAAAATGCTCATCATCACTGGCCATCAGAGAAATGCAAATCAAAACCGCAATGAGATACCATCTCACACCAGTTAGAATGGCGATCATTAAAAAGTCAGGAAACAACAGGTGCTGGAGAGGATGTGGCGAAATAGGAACACTTTTACACTGTTGGGACTGTAAACTAGTTCAACCATTGTGGAAGACAGTGTGGCGGTTCCTCAAGGATCTAGAACTAGAAATACCATTTGACCCAGCCATCCCATTACTGGGTATATACCCAAAGGATTATAAATCATGCTGCTATAAAACGATGAGTTCATGTCCTTTGTAGGGACATGGATGAAGCCGGAAACCATCATTCTCAGCAAACTATCGCAAGGACAAAAAACCAAACACCACATGTTCTCACTCATAAGTGGGAATTGAACAATGAGAACACTTGGACACAGGAAGGGGAACATCACACCGGGGCCTGTTGTGGGGGTGGGGGAAGGGGGGAGGGATAGCATTAGGAGATATACCTAATGTAAATGACGAGTTAATGGGTGCAGCACACCAACATGGCATATGTGTACATATGTAACAAACCTGCACATTGTGCTTGTGTACCCTAGAACTTAGAAGTATAATACAAAATAAATAAAGAAAATTTAATAATTTATTTTTCTATATACCTTCCAAGGCTTTCTGGAGAAAAATTGGGTACTTCCTGAGATGTTAGTCAAACCCCTTATTTCTAGGGAGGTCAAAAGCTTCTCATATGGTGAGGTTTTTATCTTATTTCTCAGTTTATTGTTTTAAAGATATCATTTTTTACCAGTATGCTGAAAACTTACCAAACAACTTGTGAGCTCTGATTGGTTATTTTCTACTTCTTGGAATTAAGGAACCATGGCCTGATCATACCTGTACTCCTGAAAAGTTATCAATGGAGATAAATTCATGTGTTTTTTCTCTATATATCTAAAGTTATCAATATATTATGACATTTTATATTTATAAATGTTTATAATGCATGTGAGAACACACATTTTATATATATATATATATATATGTAGTAGTTAAAGACAGACCACAGTGATAACAAAGAAAAATTCTTTACCCTTTAACCTTGGCCTCTACCTCACACCATACAAAAATTAGTTGAAATGGGTCATATAAGATTTGTAGAGTAAAAATAAGTGAATATTTTTGAACCTTGGGGTAGGCAAATATTTCTTAAGCAGGATATAAAAAGCCAGAGTGAATAAAGAAAAAAAACAAAGATTGCACTTCACTAAAATAAAAATATTCTACCTATCAAAGCATCTAATTAAGAAAATAAATAAGCAAGCTACAAACTAGGCAAAAATATTTGCAAAACTTATACATAACAAACAGCACATATCTAGAATATGTAAAAGCTACTATAAATCAACAATTAAAAAACAAACCCTCCATTAAAAGTTGGCAAAAGGTTTGAACATATACTTCATAAAAGAGGATAAAGGAATAACCAATAAACCTGTGAAATGGTCCTCATCATTAGTCATGAAGAAAATGTGAATTAAAACCTTAATGAGAATGATATTGGCAAGACAGTGGAATAATAAATCTTGGTACCCATGACCCACCACAGAAAATTAAACAAGCAAGTATCGACAGACATTCTTCTGAAAACCCCAACACCTGAAAAAAAGCCTGAGACATCATAGGTATACCAATCTGAATAAAATCCAAATAAGAGGATAAGTTAATGTTGCCACATTGGCTGTACCACCCCATCTCTTTCCCCAAAGTTGGCATAGTGCCAGAGGAATAAGATTTCCCTTGGCACAGTTTCTGCAGGGGGAAAAGGGAATTGAAGGAAGTTATCCAGCATCCTTAGCATTCTGTAGCACTTCCCAGTAAGCCCACTCTGGTCTCACTTCATGAGGAATACTATGGGTAACAGTGTGGCTTGACTGCCTTAGGGTCAGGTGGAAACAAAGAGAGTGGCAAGTGACAGAGTGACAAGAGATCTTGGTGGTATGCTTCTGCATTCCTACCAGCTGCAGCACTCTATCAGATATATTAGCCAACCTCATAGCACACATGCAAAGCTGAGCTGGTCACTTTTAGAAGCATGGTGGTAAACACAATCTGGCTTGAGCCCCCAGAATGCTAGCCTCTCTACCCAGCCTCAAAGCCCACCTCAATGACTCTACCAGGCAGAGGAACTCCCACTGCCATGAATCTCAGAGAAGCAAAAGAGCTACACTGGCTTGGTTGAGGATGTCAAGCAGTGACTCTGCACAGCCAAAAAACCCACCCAATGACCAGCCCAGGCAGGTAGTCTCCTACCTCTGTAAATTTCAGAAAATGTAAGGGCTAGACCTGTTTTATCTAGGAGGTCAGTCACCCAACCCAGCCTAAAGTCGCCTCCCCCTGCTAGCCCCCCTCCCTGGCACCCTGGCACCCTCAACCATCTTCCTTCTAACAGGGAGGAAATAACTGGGTCATTCATTCTAAGGAGCATAGCCTTGAGTTCCACCTGTTCATAGTGGAATACATACATTTGTAAATGTTTAAAGGGAGTTCACCTAACCTCAGAGATCAACTTGCATCCTTGCCCATCTGCAGAATCCCAAATAGAAAAATTGCCTGGCTAGAAAATACATCTTGTGACCAGCCAGACCAGAAGCCACTGTAGTACCCAGCCTGCAGTTCTGCCTAAAAGCAGAGCCTAACCAATAGTTTCACTGGTCAGTGGAGTCCAGCTAGTAGCCCCATCTGACATCAGAGCCAAAGCAGTGGCCCAGCCAACTAGGGAACTCACAACCAGTTTTGTCACCCCAGCCTCATCACCAGCTGATGCTTCCAGAAATATAGGCTAGGCTGAATAGTGAAGCTGTATGCCCATCAAAGAACACTTGTAAAGGCCAGAAGAAAGGGCTCTCTTTTCAAATGTGCAGACAACAATGTAAGAACTCAGGAATTACGAAGAATCAGGGCATCATAACACCTCCAGAAGAAATTAATAAAGGTTCAGTAACAAAAGTCCAAAAATGGAGATCTATAAAATAACAGAAAAAGAATTCAGAATAATACTCATAAAGAAGTTCCATGAATTGCAAGAATATACAAGTAGAAAATTTAATAAAATTTAGAAAACAGTACATGGAAAAAGCAAAGAGATTAATGAAGATATTTTAGAAACCAGCAAAAGAAGAACTTTCAGGGGACCTGCCCCGAAAATCACATAGGTTCTTTTCTATTTTCCTAAGCATCAGCTGGCTTGAGAAATAAAGGGACAGAGTACAAAAGAGAGAAATTTTGAAGCTGGACGTCCCAGGGAGACATCCCACGTGACGTCTCCGTGGGGATCCATGATGCCCCACAAGCCACAAAAACCAGCAAGTTTTTATTAGGGATTTTCAAAAGGGCAGGGAGTGTGCGAATAGGTGTGGGTGACAGACATCAAGTACTTAACAGGGTAATAGACTATCACAAGGCAAGTGGAGGCAGGGCGAGATCACGGGACCACAGGACCGAGGCAAAATTAAAATTGCTAATGAAGTTTCGGGCACCATTGTCATTGATAACATCTTATCAGGAGACAGGGTTTTGAGATCAACCGGGCTGACCAAAATTTATTAGGCGGGAATTTCCTCTTCCTAATAAGCCTGGGAGTGCTATGGGAGACTGGAGTTTATTTCACCCCTGCAGTCTCAACCATAAGAGACAGGTACGCCCCGGGGGGGCCAGTTCAGAGACCTACTCCTAGGTGCACATTCTCTTTCTCAGGGATATCCCATGCTGAGAAAAATAATTCAGCGATATTTCTCCCATTTGCTTTTGAAAGAAGAGAAATATGGCTCTGTTCTGCCCGGCTCACTGGCGGTCAGAGTTTAAGGTTATCTCTCTTATTCCCTGAACAATTGCTGTTATCCTGTCCTTTTTCCAAGGTGCTCAGATTTCATATTGCACAAACACACATGCTGTACAATTTGTGTAGTTAATGCAATTATCACATAGCCCTGAGGTGACATACAGCCTCCTTGCCTGACAGGATTAAGAGATTAAAGTAAAGACAGGCATAGGAAATCACAAGGGTGTTGATTGGGGAAGTGATAAGTGTCTATGAAATCTTTACAATTTATGTTTAGAGATTGCAGTAAAGACAGGCATAAGAAATTACAAAAGTGTTAATTTGGGGAACTAATAAATGTCCATAAAATGTTCACAATCCATGTTCTTCTGCCATGGTTTCAGCCGGTCCCTCTGTTTGGGGTCCCTGACTTCCTGCAACAAAGAACCATATAAAAGTCCTGGAGATGAATACAATAATGGAACTAAATTATTCAACAGAAAGCTTCATTAGGAGACTTGATCTATCAGAAAAAAAAAAAAAAAAATCAGTGACCTGGAAGACAGAACATTCGAAATTATCCAGTCAGAGAAAAAAGTTAAAAAAGTAAAGTATTTTTTTTTACTTATTACTTATTATTTTTAGATTATTATAGATTTTTGACTTGTGGTTATCACAAGGCTTACCAAAAACTTCTTATAGCTATAAAAAGCCTATGGGAATTATGGGATAGTTAAGAGACCAAAGCTCTAGTTATTAAGAGTTTCAGGGCCGGGCGCGATGGCTCATGCCTGTAATCCCAGCACTGTGGGAGGCCGAGGCGGGAAGATCACGGGAGGTCGGGAGTTCGAGACCAGCCTGACCGACATGGAGAAATCTTGTCTCTACTAAAAACACAAAATTAGCCAGGTGTGGTGGCACATGCCTGTAATCACAGCTACTCAAGAGGCTGAGGCAGGAGAATTGCTTGAACCCAGGAGGCAGAGGTTGTGGTGAGCTGAGATGGTGCCATTGTGCTCCAGCCTGGGCAACGAGAGTGAAACTCCGTTAAAAAAAAAAAAAAAAAAAAAGAGTTTCAGAAGAAGGAGAAAGATGAAAAGGATCTAAAAAAATAAATAATGTCTGAAAACAAAACATGCCTAGTTAAAGGATAGATGTCAACATCCAGTTATAGGAAGTACAGAGGTCTCCAATCAAATTCAACTCAAAGATTAGTATACCAATACACATAATAATCAAACTATTAAAAAGCAAAGACAAAGAAGAAAATGTGAAAGCAGCAAGAGGTAAGAAACACAACACATACAATGGAATTTCAATATGATTATCAGTGAAATTCTCAGCAAGCCAGAAGAGAGGGGACTATATTCAAAGTACCAAAGGAAAAACAAAACAAAACAAAAAAAACCTGTCAACCAAGAATTATTTTTCTTTTTTTTAGGCGGAGCTTCACTCTTGTTGCCCAGGCTGGAATGCAATGGCACAATCTCAGCTCACTGCAACCTCTGCCTCCCAGGTTCTAGCGATTCTCCTGCCTCAGCCTCCCAAGTAGCTGGGATTACAGGCATGCACCACTGTGCTGGGCTAGAACCATACAAAATATGAAATACCATGCTGGGCTAATTTTGTATTTTTAGGAGAGATGAGGTTTCATTATGTTGTCCAGGATGGTTTTGAACTCCTGACCTCAGGTAATCCACATACCTCAACCTCCCAATGTTCTGGGATTACAGGCGTGAGCCACCACGCTGGGCCCCAAGAATTCTTAATCAAGCAAAGCTATCCTTATGTAATGAAGAAGAGATAAAATTTTCCCAGACAAACAAAAGCTAAATTAGTTCATCACTCCCAGGACTGTCTTAAAAAGATGCTAAAGCGAGTTCTTCAATCTGAAGAAAAAGATACTAACAAATAAGCTAAAAATATTTGAAAGCATAAAACTCATTGGTAAAAATAAGTCCACCATCAAGTTCAGAATACTTTAATACTATAACAATTAGTATGTAAATCACTTATAGTTTTAGGATGAGTGTTAAGAGACACAAGTATTTAAAAAATTAAAACAATGTGTTAAGAGATATACACTATAAATAGTTGGAAATTGTGACATTAAATATTCAAACTGTGGAAAACAGAATGTGGTTAAAATGTAGAGTCTTATCATCACAAAGTTCAGTTGTTATGAGCTTACAATAACTTGTTATAGCTATAAGATGTTTTTGGTAAGCCTCATGATAACCACAAATCAAAAACCTATAATATACAATCAAAATTTAAAAGTTAGAAATAAAAAATACTACTAGAGAAAATAACTTAGTCACAAAGGAAGACAGAAAAGAATAGAGGATTTATAAAACAACTAAAAAACAATTAACAAAATGGCAGTAAAAAGTTTTTACTTATCAATAATCACCTTAAATATAAGTGGATTAAAGACTCTAATTAAAAGACAAAGGGTGGCTTAATGAATTAAAAACCAGGGTCAATGATGTGCTGCCTACAAGTACATTTCACTAGTAATGACATATGTAGATAGAAGGTGAGGAGATGGGAAAAGATATTCCATGCAAATGGAAACCAAAAGAGAGCAGGAGTAGCTATACTTGTATTATGTAAAATAAACTTTAAATTAAAAACCATAGAAAAGATAAAAAGGTCATTATATAATGATAAAAGGGATCATTTAGCAAGAGGATGTGACAATCATAAATATAAATGCACCCAATATTGAGGCACCTACATATATACAGCAAATATTAATAGATCTAAAGAAATAAGTTGACTGCAATACAATAATAGTAGAGGACTTCCACATTCCACTTTACAGTAAGGAACAGATTATTCAGACAGCAAATTGTGAAAGAAACATCAGATTTAAACTAAACTCTACACCAAATGGACCTAACAGACATTTATAGAACATTTCATCCAATAGCTTCAGAATATACAATTTCTCATTTGGATATGGAACTTTCTCCAGGACAGATCATATGTTAGACCACAAAAATAGTCTTAACAAATTCTAAAAGATTACAAGCATAGCAAGAATTTTTCTCACCATAAAGATATAAAACTAGAAATTAATAACAGGAGGAAATTGGAAACATTAACAACATATGGAAGTTAAAACAACATGCTCCTGAACAACCAATGGGTTCTTGAAGAAATTATAAAGGAAATTTAAAATATTTCTTGAGGCAAATGAAAATGGAAACCTAGTATACGAAAACCTATGGGATATAGCAAAAGCAGTTCTAAGAGAGAAGTTTATACCAATAAATGCCAAAATCAAAAAAAGAGAAAGATCTCAAATAAACAACATAACATTGTACCTAAGAAACTCAAAATTAATAGAAGAAAGAAAATAAGAAAGATCAGAACAAAAATAAAGACAAAAATATAAAGGTTAATAAAATGAAGAGTTGGTTTTGTAAAAAGACAAAGTAAACAAACCTTTAGTCATCTAACTAAAAAGAAAAGAGTGAGAAGTATTAAATGAATAAAATCAGAGACTAAAAATGAGACATTACAAAGTATACCACAGAAATACTAGGCTCATTAGAGGCTATTATTAACAATTATAAGCCAAAAAAGGGATAACCTAGAAGAGTTGGATAAATTCCCAGAAACATAACAACCTACCAAGACTGAATAATAAACAAAGAGAAAATCTGAACACATCAATAATGAGCAATAAGATTGAATTAGTAACAAAAAGTTTTTCATCAAAGAAAAGCTCAGGTCCTGAGCTATTATTTTGAATAGCTTCAGAAGTTATGGTACCAGCTCCTCTTTGTACCTCTGGCAGAATTGGGCTGTAAATCCATCTGGTCCTGGGCTTTAGTTCTGCTCTGATCTTAGTTATTTCTTGTCTTCTGCTAGCTTTTGAATGTGTTTGCTCTTGCTTCTGTAGTTCTTTTAATTGTGATGTTAGGGTGTCAATTTTAGGTCTTTCCCACTTTCTCCTGTGGGCATTTAGTGCTATAAATTTCCCTCTAAACACTGCTTTAGCTGTGTCCCAGAGATTCTGGTATGTTGTGTCTTTGTTCTCTTTGGTTTCAAATAACTTATTTATTTCTGCTTTTGGTCAAACTCATTCTCCGTCCAGTTTTGTTCCCTTGCTGGCGAGGAGTTGTGATCCTTTGGAGGAGAAGAGGCGTTCAGGTTTTTGGAATTTTCAGCCTTTTTGTGCTGGTTTTTCCTCATCTTCAGGGATTTATCTACCTTTGGTCTTTGATGTTGGTGACTTTTGGATGGGGTCTCTGAGTGGACGTCCTTTTTCTTGGTGTGATGCTATTTCTAAGTTTTCCTTCTAACAGTCAGGCCCCTCTGCTGCAGGTCTGCTGGAGTTTGCTGGAGGCCCACTCCAGACCCTGTTTGCCTGGCTATCACCAGCAGAGTCTGCAGAACAGCAAAGATTGCTCCCTGTTCATTCCTCTGGAAGCTTCATCCCAGAGGGGCACCCACCAGATGCCAGCTAGAGCTCTCCTGTATGAAGTGTCTGTCGACCCCTGCTGGGAGGTGTCTCCCAGTCAGGAGGCACGGGGGTCAGTGACCCATTTGAGAAGGCAGTCTGTCCATCAGCAGAGCTCCCCCACTGTGCTGGGAGATCTGCTGCTCTCTTCAGTGCCGGCAGGCAGGAATGTTTAAATGTGCTGTACTACACCCATAGCTACCCCTTCCCCACCAGGTGCTCTGTCCCAGGGAGATGGGAGTTTTATCTATAAGCTTGCTGCCTTTCTTTCAGAGATGTCCTGCCCAGAGAGGAGGAATCTAGAGAGGCAGTCTGGCTACAGAGGCTTTGCTGAGCTGTGGTGGGCTTTGCCCAGTTTGAACTTCCCCACAGCTTTGTTTACACTGTAGGGGGAAAACCACCTACTCAAGCCTCAGTAATGGTGGACGCCCCTCCCCTCCACCAAGCTTGAGCATCCCAGGTCGACCTCAGACTGCTGTGCTGGCAATGAGAATTTCAAGCCAGTTTATCTTAGATTACTGGGATCCATGGGGTTGGGATCCGCTGAGCTAGACCACTTGGCTCCCTGGCTTCAGCCCCCTTTCCAGGGGACTGAATGGTTCTGTCTCGCTGGTGTTTCAGGCACCACTGGGGTATAAAAACAAAACAAAACAAAACAAAAAACTCATGCAGCTAGCTTGGTGTCTGCCCAAATGGTTGCCCAGTTTTGTGGTTGAAACCCAGGGCCCTGGTGGTGTAGGCACCCGAGGGAACCTCCTGGTCTGTGGGTTGCGAAAACAGTGGGAAAAGCATAGTAGCTGGGCTGGAACGCACTATCCCTCACGGCACAGACCCTCAAGGCTTTCCTTGGCTAGGGGAGGGAGTTCTTCAACCCCTTGAGCTTCCCAGATGAGACAATGCCCTACCTTGTTTTGGCTCGCCCTCCATGGGCTGCACCCACTGTCTAACCCAATGAGATGTCCCAACGAGATGAGCCAGGTACCTCAGTTGGAAATGCAGAAATCACCTGCCTTCTACGTTGATCTCGCTAAGAGCTGCAGACCAGAGTTGTTCGTATTCGGCCATCTTGCCAGCCACAATAAAAAAGTTTTTGTTTTTTTAAACTTTGTATTTCTTTATAGGTATCTATTGGAAACAGAAATCCAGAAAAATGAATTCAGACTTTTATAGGTACCTACTGGGGGCAGGTATATCTATTAGGATACCTTCATAGGTATTCTGGATTCCTTTTTCAATGCTGCCCATTCAAGTCAGAACTTATGGCCCACAGAAAATGGAATAAATAAGTCCACAACAGGCGGTGTACATACTCACTATTGTCTCCTTTGCCTGACTAATAGAAACAGAATATCCATTTCTTGAACCTTATAGGTGGCCATAATTATGTAAGCCTGACATTCATTTTTGAATGTTTGTCTAAGGACTCCAGAAAAGTGGAATTAGGCGAAACAGTAGAGTTTTAAAGTTCCCATTTCTGACATTTACCATCTGGAATGTAGTTTACAATGTTATCTGTCTTTTCCTCTGATGTACTTCCTGCTTGAAGGAGGATGAGAGAGGGGACTCAGAAAAAGGACTTGATAAGGCCTCAAATTTATTGTCAGAATCAGAAGGAATGTTCCTTTTTCCCAAAGTGTAAAAAGTGAGAACTCTCACTTTACCTTGTTTTCTACTCTTCATGTAAACTTAAATACCAGAAAAGGAGAAAATGTTCGCTAACAAATATACTGTTATTTTCTATTCTGGCAAACATAGTTTCATTTTCCATGTAATCCTTACATCTTTGGTTTCTCCCTTTTTTATTTAGAATTTTTTTTCTGGAAAAGAATGAAATAATTCTATTTGACTCTCTTAGTGGCAGGGACTGTGCCACATTCTTCTCTATAACCATTGCACAAAGAACAGTAGCTAATTCAGAGAAAGTTCTCAATATATACTAGTTGAATGAATAAATATATGAATGATATGTATTCTTTAAAAGATGTTTTATATGTATTTCTCAAAAATTATAATGTCATTTTTGATATCATTAAAGTTAGGATGCTAGTATTCCTAATTTTATAGGGAGAATTTCTCTATGATTCCTCCTAGAGAATTAATACCAGATTTGTTATTCATGCTTTTACAAGTATGAGGAGTGTTGAAACTGAAAAATTACCCTTTGTGTAAATAAAATATTTAAAAATTCCTATCTAGAGTGTGATGCTGTTTAATAAATACATATTGATAACACACTTAGAGTCCCTTGCATTCAAAGTGCTATAGAACTGGTCATCACTCCTGTTGAATTTGGGGGTGGGGAGAATCATGTATAAAGCAATATTTATAACTGGTTCACTATTAAGGAAAGGCTTCTTGAACACACATTTCAGTCTGCATTCAAAGGTTTTCACTTGTCTCCATTCCTTAACTATTTTTGTTTCCTTG
Source organism: Homo sapiens (assembly GCF_000001405.40). Lineage (NCBI taxonomy): Eukaryota > Metazoa > Chordata > Mammalia > Primates > Hominidae > Homo > Homo sapiens. Next base: position 163,950,876 of record NC_000001.11, on the reverse strand, counting down.
TTTTTTATTTTTCCTGTAAAAGGAAAGAGATACTGATTTAAGACAATATGACTTTTTTTGTTGTTTTTGTTGCTTAAAGTGAATACTTTTTTTTGAGTGAAGAATCTATTGTGTACTTGAGTTTGTGCTTGGAAAGAAACAAAACCTTTGTAATCAAAGGCAAAGACAGCACATTTAAGCTTTTAATGCTTGCATCTTGATGATTTCATTATTGACTTCTATTAAGCTCTCTCTGGGCTAAGAACCAAACTCCCCCCACAGCTCTACAAAGCTGCATTGCTGAATCTATTTGCTATTAAGTTTAAATCCTCATTTCTCCCCATGACACGCTTATTGGCTTGGGATGATTTCCTCCTGGTCCTATGGAGACATCTGCAGATGCCGTATTAAGTTTCTAATTCTCCATCTTCTCCACTTTCTCCAACAATACTTTGCTGAATTTCATCACCCACATATTTCTCTCTCTTTCTCAATCTCTCTCTCTCTTCCTGTCCCTTTTCTCTGCTAATTCACTCACTTTCCCCCTGGACCTGACGACCATTGTCAGAACCAAATTCTTCTTGCAAGGTGAGCTTAACCATCAGAAGTAAAGTAACGAGGTTATGATTAAAAGTACACCTTGATAGTGGAGTATCCATCAACCTGTCATAGAAATCTTATCTCTGGTGCTAGTCTCATCAATCTGACCTTTCAATTACTATCCCCAGTTCATGACTCTAAGTATATATAACTCAGAGATGGAGTATGAGATACACAACTCTTTTTTTGTTACCTATAACACTTGGTACAATTGGATGTCTCTTTTGTAGAATCTGTATTCTCCCTTTAAGTGCATTTTGTTACGGTCAAACCTGGTCAGTTTTACTTTGACTTGTGTATTAAGATGACTTGAGCTGCTCTAATATACAGACTCTTCAATATCAGAGGCTTAACTCAATAAGATAGTGTTTCTACTCAGGTAACAGTCAATGATGATATCCCTAGTTGGCAAGTGGCAGAAGATTCAGGGACTCAGGTGTCTTCCATCTTGCAGATCTGCCCCTCCCCAGAGACTAGGAGGATTCTGTATTCAGTCAGGAAATCAGAACAGAAAATGTGGAGATGGCTAAACTACTTCTTAAAGTCAGCTCTGCTCTCATGCGATGCACATCACTTCCCCTTATGTTAATGAGAATTACTCACATGACCTCGGCAGCTGGATAAACGGGGAGCTAGCAAATATCGTCTCAGGATAGCCTTATTTCACTCACAATTTATTACTATGTATTAGTCCATTTTCATACTGTTATAAAGAACTGCCATGACTAGGTAATTTATAAAGGAAAGAGGTTTAATTAATTCACAGTTCAGGGTGGCTAGAGAGGCCTCAGGAAACTTACCATCATGGCAGAAGGTGAAGGGGAATCAAGACACCTTCTTCACAAGATGGCAGGAAGGAGAAGTGGTGAGTGAAGGGGGAAGACCCTTATAAAACCACTAAATCTTGTGATAACTCACTCACTATCATGAGAGCAGCATGGGGGAAACCACCTCTATGATTCAATTACCTCCACCTGGTCTTTCCCTTGACATGTGGGGATTATGGGAATTATGGGGATTACAATTCAAGATGAGATTTGGGTGGGGACACAAAGCCTAACCATACCACTGTGGAAGGAAGAGCAAAAATCTTTGGTGGGCTGCTAGCGACAACTTCTTTAGTAATTCAAGTGTATTTCTAAAAATATCTTTCATGCTAATTTTAATCCCAGATGATATTTTTTATTAAATTTTAATTTATAGATGCATTCTGTTTCTTCAGATGCACACTTCAGAAGAAAATTTTTCTTGAGCTTGTGATGATGATACATATGAATGGAGGACATTCTACATGTCAATATAGAACACAATTACAGGTTCCAGATATTCAGGTTACAAGCTGATAAATCAATTTGATTGGTGCGAAGCACCTATGCCTGACTTAAACTCAATCTAATGGCATTTATTAAGTGCCTTTCTGTGCACAAATAAAACAGAGTCAGCCATTATGTACAAAATCCACCTACAGCTTATTAACAATATTTCAAAAGGATTTGGATCCTTCACTCATGTATACAGTAAAGACTACGTATCACTTACACATCTCAGTGACTTTCTAATTTAGTCTAGAAGAGAGAGCTATGGGAAAAAACACCGCCCTGGGTGTCAGCACCCCAGTCCTGGCCTCTATAATTCACACTCACTCTGTGGCCAGGATGTTTCTGTCTCCGTTTTCTTCTCAGTCAAGCAATAAAATTGGACCAGAGAAGTAAGTTCTTAGGTTTTTCCCACTGCTAATATTGACTGAGTAGCCTTATCCAAAATGCTTGGAACCAGAAGTGTTTTGGATTGTGGACTGTTTTTTTTGGGGGGAATGAGAACCACCTATAAACACAACATTTATTTATATTTTATATATACCTTATATATACAGCATGAAGATAATTGTATACAATATTTTAGATAATTCTATCCATGAAACAAAGTTTGTGAAAATGTAACCATCAGAAAGCAAAGACGTCACTATGTCATGATCTCAGTCACCCATGTGAATGACCTGTTATTGTTTGACATGATCATTATTCCTGACTCTAAATTTATTTGCTATCAATAAGCAATTATTTTCTTATACTTATTCACACATAAGTGAATTAGCACAGAAGTGGGAGGGTCTTTTTTCTCTTGGGGATTCTGAATAAACTATTTGTCGCACTCCTGTGGTTTGACTGCAACCCATCACATGAGATCAGGTGTAGAATTTTCCACTTGTGACATCATGTCCGTGCTCAAAAAGTTTCAGATTTTGGAGCTTTTGAATTTCAGATAGTTTTGGATTAGGGATGCTCAACCTGGAGCCCATGCTTCTCTATCCCTCTGTGTCAACAGTTATTCTTCCAAAATCAAAGAGAAAGAAGCAAAAAGAACATTTTTATAGTTAACGTATGATTTGACTAATTTGGTAGTCTTCAGAAGTAGCAGACTGGTCTCTTTTTCTTAAAGCCTGATAATAATAATACTACATCTAGTAAACTGAGAAATTTACTTTTTCAAAAGTTTAAGAATATTTACAAAATCAATCTATTACTTCACAAACCATCAAATACTTAATATTCAGAATTTCGTACAGACAGTATGGACCAATATTGTTGCAAAGAGATCCAACATATTTGTCATCTTGTGCTCAAAAAGTGGTCTGCAGGCTCACCTGTGCAGAACAGCAATTGAAAACCACTACATTCAGACTTCAGTGTGCAAATACACACATACATTCTGCCTAAGGATTGGGTATGCCGCTAATGGATCGAATCTGTTATTGTGTCTGACCACCAGCTGCCCAACGTAGCAATTAGTTCTATAAAATGCCTAATTTTTCATAGAGAATTAAACATGGTAACAGCTTTCAGCCAGATGTGTAGTTGTCTTAAAAGAATAGGTGAGGAGAAGAGAAGAGGCCAAACAATACTGATGGAAAACAAGCAATAATTCCAAGTAAGATTAGAATTTTTGCCTTAGATGAGGGGAAGCAATGCCCAGGAGACCATAGGATGAGTTCTAGAAGTGGAGAGAACTTCTGTATTGACTCACAAGGGAGACTGATAATCTAAGAACCAGCCAATTTCTATCCTTCTGGGCTCTTTCACTACTGTAGGTTTTATCTTATATTTTGAACAGTACTTGGAAAGTTCTTAGGAGGATTGCAGACTAATCACATATTTTTCTTTGAATAATGCTTATTGAGATATCCTGATAAAAGACGAGGGGCATAAAAATGATTTACCAATTTAGGTGGCTTGAAATATAATGAACCCTGAAGAGTTTTCAAATAATGCTAACTACATGTTTATTCTAAATGAGGAAAGAGAGAAATATCTTTGTTGATTAGCATAGGACTAGGAGAAGGTTATGGTTATGGATACTAAACCAGAGAGTTTTTCTCTTGCTGCTAAAGCCAAACACAGTAAAGCCAAAGGAGCTATGCAATGCTTAATAATACCAATAGGCATTGTTAAAGAAGCCTCTCTTATGTACAGGTCCTATAATGGTTCTCTATATACTCACCCATGAAGTTGTTATAATATCTCTAAAATGTATATTTTACAAAGAAATCGAGACTCATAGCATTGTGAAAATTTTCCAAGGTCAAAAATTTGAACCCATGTTTAAAGCTCATACTCTTATCATAAAGCTCTATGCTTTTCCTAGCACCCTTTTGGTCCTTCTTTTGTTTCTTTCAAGAAAATTGCTTTTCTCTTGTGTAAACAAGAATCAGAGGAGAAAGGATTACAGAGAACACTTAGAGAGTTAACTAAGACTTTGAAGAATATAAAATCAATATTTGTAACTAATATACCCGCACATTGGCAGTTAAGATCTTTTGACCCTAAAATGATTGGGGCAGCTTTGTGAAATGTAAGCATCTTAGAGTCATATCAAAACGAAAAGACTTTCCCTTGCAAACTAGAAATTGGGAATGAGCGAAAGAAATGGTTAGCTAATTTTTGAAGAATTAGGACAAAGAAAAAGTTAAATAAAGTAGTGTTTGCTAATAGTTGGGGATAGATACCTAACTCTAGAAAATACTTCTTATTTTCTTATACTTGCTCTAAGTTGCATATACCTTCCCACTAGTAATAAGCAAATATTTATGGTACTTTTAAATGATTTGTTTTAGAGAGAAACCGTAGTTTTCCAAGAGTCCTATATTTCATTTTTTTCATTGCTATTTGTGCCTGAAAAAAATGCAACATTAACATAGTTGAGTGTCTTTGTCAATCTTGTAACAGATACACAATTTATAAACATCAGGTTTATAAAGAGATAACCTTAAGTTTTTGTTTTGCAAACCTAAATCTATACAACTACAGAGAAGTGTGCCATTAAATTCTGTAGGTTCCATCACATCATAGGAATTTCTCTATTTCATTGAATTCCATAATTTTAAAATTCTAGGGACTAAACGAGCTTAGAGCTCATTGAGTGCAGTGATTTTAAACTTTTTTCTTTTCCCATTTTTGCACTCATACGAAAAAATTGTTATATTAAAATCCCCCCAACAGGATAAATTTAATACTAAACAATATGATTTTACTAGGCAGAGTTGACTTTTTAAGGGTCATCAATGTAATAAACTTTTTTTAATCCCTCAAGAACCAGTTTCTGTCTGCGTGGGGGTGATATAGCCTTCACTGAGAATGCACCGTCTAGTCTAATAGTTTCATTCTACAAATAAGGAAATGGAGCCTTCACAGGAAAGCAAAAATAGCCACACAGCAACCAGATGTCAGGACCAAAGTATAGGGATTGGTGTTCTCATGTCAGAATTCTTCCCCAGCTCTGCTCTGCTTCCTGATCTTGAGACTGAGGGGCAGGTCTGAATCGGCATCATATGCTAAGATGGGCTCTGAACTCCTCTACTGGCACCCACCTACCACATGAACAGGTATGGAGTGGGACAGGCACAGTGAGCCCTTATTTTCAGCCTGATTTTCTCCCATAGACTTGTGGAGTACAGAAGGCTTTGTGAGCAGCAGTCCCTGGACCAACACCTGCTGGGTTCAGATCACACTCACTTTGAAATTCAGAACCAGCGGCCATTTTACTCTGGGTTTCTCAGACAAATAATTTGAGAAATCAATATCTATTGTTGACAGCAAGAGTAGTTCTGAAAACCAATTGCCTGCCCACTCTCATGCAATAAGCACTCAGAGAAGCCATGTTTCTAATAAAAAAAAGAATTGAATTTTCTTTGCTGTAGAGCTGATCATTGAAAGCATTTCCTCCTTTAGAGAACTTGGCTGAATGGATTTTACCAGTGGCATCCCTCAGAATCAGAGCTGAGTAGAGGCAAACTGGTGCAGAAGCATTTCCTGTGTCTCTATTTATGTGTTCAGGGATTCCAGTACGTTCTTAGGATGAAGCACTTAGAACTGGAAGAAAAGCAAAGAAGGTAGCATTTCTGAGGCATGATAAACAAGGCTGGTACCTAAAGTATTATGGTTGTGGCTGAGAACTATCATGTAGAGTGGTGGGGTGTTGAAAAGTAAACTATTTAGATGTCACACTTAGTAATTTATTTAAATGTTATTGCTGTTCTGCAACTCCCAGTGGAGTTTCCCTCTTTTCCTCTCACATTTTTAATATCAAATAACTTTGAACAGCCCATATACAAATTTTATAAAATGAAAATTTTGCAAAGAAACCTTAGGATTTTTCATGTGCTAACTGGTAGCAGTAGCTCCAGGGTACTGAAACATTGGTGAGAGCTTCTGTCCTTGCCTAGCATATTGGTCACTAGATGCTGGTGGATGGAAGGAGATCTTGCCCCATGCCTGAGTGTAAGGATATTCAAGGACTTGTACTTACCTATATTGGGATAAAGGAGGAAAGACAAAGCAAACAGAAAAGAGGAGAGGATTCATCTTCTGATGTTTGAGGTTCTATTAGTGATGTCATCTGTGTGGGTTTTGGAAATGCAGATGGGCAAGAGTTACCCATATTGTCCTAAGCAAGATGAAAACTTTATTTTACTTGCGTACCAATTAAGAAAGAATGACTGAGTTGTGCCTCCAATTTAAAAATCAGTATTTTCCTTTTTAGAGGATTTCCTCTCATAGTACTAAGGAACTCTTCTTTACCCTCTGATTTTAGATATGAAATACTTTTTAATGATGTTCCACTTAACACATATTGTGAGCAATCTGCTTGTTTGTTAAACTCCTGTGACTTCATTTTCTAAATAATTGCGTGTCTGTTTTAAAGATGCTGGTAGAAAAAAGTGTACTCCTCAGATGTCTAGAATCCTCTATCATACTCCTCATGATCCTTGCAGATGATGTGCTGATTTATTGATTCCCTCAGCCCCCAGGTGGCTATCATGCATGGCAGGGGAAGTCAGAGAATTCGAGCCATTTTCTTACAGGCTCATGTGTGTCTTATAGGTACTATCATTGTCTCTGTGCTTTATGATCTGTGAAAGGCTTGGAAGCCCTGGCCTAGACCACTGTAGCTACACAGTTTTCTGTTACCATCAAAATTTAAGGATAGCAGTTCAGTTTGTTCCAAGAACAAATTGGCTGGTCACAAGTAGGATGGTGGGGCCGAGAGGATGATGACTACATTTATTGTCTTTCATAAATCCAATCCTGTGCTGGAAAAAAAATATTTTTTGAGACAGGATCTTGCTGTGTCACCCAGGCTGGAGTACAGTGGTGATCACAGCTCACTGCAGCCTGGACCTTGAGGCTCAATGATCCTCCCAGCTTCAGCCTCCTCAGTAACTGGGACTACAGGTGTGCATCACCACACCCAGCTAATTTTTAATATTTTGTAAAGACAGGATCTCCCTATGTTGCCCAGGCTGGTCTCGATCTCCTGAGCTCAAGTGATCCTCCTGCCTCCCTCCCAAAGTGCTGAGATTATAGGTGTGAGTCACCACACCCAGCCTGGAAAATTTACATGCAGGGTTTAAGGCAATCCCTATCAACTGTATGATACCTATATGATTATAATTATGTTAACATAGAAAATAGAGGTTCTAGGAGTCTGATTCTTTTGTTGCTCAAATCCACCCAACTAGTAGAGAGAAGAAAATTAGCTCAAACTCAGTTCTGCCAGCATTCTAAAGGCCATGCTCAAAAAACAAACTAGCAGTAGTAGGATAAATGTATCTTCCAAGGCCCTTCACCTACTCCTCCATCTGATTGCAAGCTCTGTGAGGGTCGGGCTAGGGCTAAGTCCTTTTTGAATCTCCCAGGATATACAGGGCATCTGGTAATGAGTGGTACAATTGGAAAGAGAATATAAACTTCAACATTTTGTTTTTTTAAAAAAGCAAAATCAGTAAGTATAGAGTAGAATTTATAGGCCAGGAAAAAGCAGTGATTATTTTACACAACACAAAAACAGTCTAAAATTCATTATTAATATTTTTAAAAATAGATTCAATTAATTGTAAAACACAATTAATTCGCAAATTCAGAGGAGGGCATTTCATAAAATAAGGTGCAACTGTGTTTCTACCTTTTGTCTTGGAAGAATGACTGAGGTCTAGACTAGTGTTCCATATATAAAGTGTAAATCAAGATGCAAAGAGGATAGCTGTTAGAATCCCATGCAGCATAAGAAATAGGCTCCACTCTGTGGTAAGGTCAACTCTGTGTAGGGTCTTTGGCCGAGAATTTGAGGTCCAGTAGCAAAAAGGATTGAAATCTAAAACAATGGAGAAAATGCATAGGAAAAATGTACATGTTCAATAAAAAACCAGAAAACTTGGAACATTAGTTAACCTCTGGATAAGTCCATTCTAAAACAAATGAAGAAGAAGTAGAACTTAGAAGAGTATATGTCAAAAGTGTACTTTTTATTGAGAGAAACCTAAGACTTAATGATATTGTTCATTAAGGTGCTAGAATTCATAGTTAGAATCTAGAGGAAAAAGTGAAAGTCAAGTTAGAAAAGTCTCTGCACAGTCCTAACCTTTGAACATGATATCTCAGGTGAAATACTCTGTTCTTTGTTCCACTACCAGAGTAGAAAAGTAATGCTCGGTGGACCGCTAGTCACTGGGAAGTGTTTTCTGAGGTTGAAGTCAACCTTGGTTTTTTTTCTATACGCCAGCATGTACACATACTCTACACACACACATACACACATAGACAATGACAAAGAGCAACAACTTCTCACACTCACATTACCTGATATTTTAGGATAGCTATTGAGGAAGCTCCAATATGATAGAAAATCAAGCAAGAGTGAACATAATCACTCAACATTCTCCTGAAGGCCAGAGCAGCAGCAGTGGGGGATTTTATGCTAATAGCACCCATAATCCCATGCTAATTTATTTTATCAAATTAAAGCAAATGCTGCTTTTTGACCCCATGGGCCTTCCATTATTTTTTCTGGGTCCCCACGGTAAGCTAGAATCCATTTAGTAGAAGGGTTTGCCAAGCATATAAATTAATAAAACAGGATTAAAGGGAGACATGGTTATAACCGATTCCTTAATCCCAGTGAATAATTAATGATTGTGATTCATGACTTGGCTGAATTCTTTTTGCATGTGAATAATGAATAGCTTTAAAATAAACTTTCAGTGAAAACCAACCGAGGCAAACTTCTCGCTACTGAAGCTTTTCTTGTAGGCATCAATGTTACTAAGGCAGAATCTCAAGAAGCCTTCTAGGTCTTTATGCTTTTCAGTTCATATTTCAGGGTGAAAGACTAATTCCACTATCCACAAAAATCTCTTACATTTAATTATAAAAATATATATTTTGAAATTTTGCAACAATTATAAGGTAGAAGCCTAGTATTAGATTTAGGTTCTAGTTCAACAAAAGTAATTATTAATAATAATATAATAGTGTCAAGACCCCAAGTCCAAGGTTGATTCTCCCTCATACATTTATTCAAAATAAAATAAGTAATTGTACTTAGAGGCAACTGTATTCAAACACTAGTCTAGGAACTAGAGAAAAACAATGTGTTCGAAAAACACAAACTCTGTCCTTTACTTTGCCAACAAAATGTAATCTGTATGACATTCTTATAATGGTGTAAATAAACTCAAGTAAAATAGATTGTTTCTATAATGGCTGTATCATTTTTGTCCATTACTAAATAAATTCATTTGTATAAAGCGACTGCTTGAGTCTTGGTTACCAAGCAGTGTTGTTTCTTCCATTGGTTCCCCATCGTTCCCAGAATATTGCCTTGCTCTTTTCCCTGGGTATTTATTAGCTACATGTGACATCAGAGGAACAAATAGAATGTCACACGAGATTGATTCATGCACATTCTCCTTCTTCCAGTGCACACCACCTGTTTCTTGTGTCCTCAAACTTTCTAATATATATTCTAGTTCTACAAAGAGAAAACTACATTTAAATATTCTGCACTACTAGTTTGCAAAAACTATTTGTAACACCAGTTTTCTGTCATAAATAATATAAGCTACCTACCCACAAACATGATTTTTAAAAAATCAGTATAATTTCCTAAATGCAATATATAAAGGAGAAGTCAAAGGAAATTAATGTGTAATAACACATTATGTACTTTGATAAAGAAATGCTTAGGAATGCTAAACTAGAAATCATAATTAAGTCATTGAAGCTTGCATCCGTATGTAGATTTACTGTGAATATGACAGCTACGGACGCAAACTATAACATGGGTGGTGTATGGAATACTTAACACCATGAGCAGTTTTTCCCACAATGATGTAATTTCCTAAAATGGTTACCATGATTATGTAAAGTTTCAAGCAAAATGAAGCAAACTCTTTCCTCAACTGACATAGAAGTTATCACTCTAGAAAACTCAGTGTATACTAAAATCATACAAAAACACATAATATTTTACACGTAACATAGGTTTAAAACTCAGGCTATTTAAAGCAGAAGTTTCACCTACATGAATGTAATGTAGGACACAAAACTCTCATTCTTTATTGTGCCACAGATTCAGGCCCCTACTCACTACATGACAGTCATTCTCCACACTCACTGTGTCAACCAAAAAAGCTCCCACACATTTATAAAACATCTTCTGGAAAGCAGTATCATCAGTATCATCTCGTTAATGGCAACTGGTGGAGATATTTGTAACTAATCTACTTGAGAATTTGTGAAGTAGAAACTTTTTCTTTGAAAAATTTGATCAAAGACTTAATGCTTGCAATTGGAGAATCAAATATGTTATTATTTCCATACCTGGGCTAAATATTATGGCCAAATTTACGGTGTGATGAACAAAGGAAACTGGGTCTTTGAAGAGTTCAGTTTAGCTGCCATTTTATTCTATATTCCACAATGTACCACATCTGAATTAAAGAATGGAAATATTGGCCTTTTACAAACTTTCAGGAAAGGAACCATTTATTTATTGACTTGTCAAATATTTATGAAGACTGCTTTGTTTGTGATGCTGTAGAAGATTAAAGAAGTAAAACAGGTGCTTCCAAGTCTCATGGGGTTTATCTCATGGGGAGATAAAGTAGACATAAAATGTATTTTTTTACAAAAAAATCTCCTGCTCCTCTAAAAATGCCACATTTTTTTAAATTTCTGTTTTTATTTATTTATTTAATTTAGAGACAGGGTGTGTTAGTTTGTTCGCACGCTGCTATGAAGAAATACCTGAGACTGGATAATTTATAAGTAAAAGAGGTTTAATTGACTCACAGTTCTACATGGCTGGGGAAGCCTCAGGAAACTTACAATCATGGTGGGAGTCACCTCTTCACAGGGTAGCAGGAGAGAGAATGAGTGCAAGCAGGGGAAATGCCAGACGCTTATAAAACCATCAGATCTCATGAGACTCACTCACTATCACAAGAACAGCACGCCGGGAACCACTCCCATGATCCAATTACCTCCACCTTGTCTCACTCTTGACATGTGGAGATTATGGGGATTACAATTCAAGGTGAGATTTGGGTGGGGACACAGATCCAAACCATATCACAGGGTCTTACTCTGTCACCCACGCTGGAGTACAGGGACACAATCATAACTCACTGCAGCCTCAAACTCCTGAGTTCCAATGATCCTCCCACCTCAGCCTCCAGAGTAGCTGGGAGTACAGATGCATGCCACCACACCCAGCTATTTTTTAATTTTTTCAGGGATGTGGTCTTGCTTTGTTGCCCAGGCAGGTTTCAAATTCCTAGTTTTAAACATTTCTCCCACCTCGTGCTTGGATTTAAGGCATCAGCCACCACACCTGGCCTAAAATTTCACAAATTCTAATATGAATCCAAACCCAACAGCAGTTGCTATTAACATTTTTCCAAGTAAACTGCTCCATGAACAATAATTTTGTACCTAAATTTTTATTCTTAGTCTTCCCCTCATCCCATGTATACATTATATAGAAAAGCTCAAAGCTGGTTCCAGCATTTGCAGATGCCCAAATGGGGTCCTAATCTATATAAATAATTTGATTTTAAAATGTATTATAAAATGTATGTATCCATGCAAGGTACACTGATTTATTAATGAAGTTTTAGGATAATGAGCAGAAAAGAGGTAATTAAATGTTTATTTTCCAATGAATGCATGAGAAGATTACCTGTATAATCCAGGTACCATATTTTCCTGTTTGTGTCTAAGGACTATCTCTTTGTATTCTTTATTGCCAAGTGTGCCATTTTTGAGTAATTTCATATCTCTCACCATGAGAAAAAAGTGAGAAATATGAATCTTTGCTTTTTTTATTGACAAAATATAGGTCTTCTTGCCTGTACACTTCCCAATGCCATTTGTTTAATGCTGGTGACCTCATTATTCATGACGTTGCATCATCAGTTGTGCCACCTGTGAATACTGTCTTTCTGTGACTCTCTCTCATTGATGGCGACCATAAATGCAAACCTCGTTCAGGACATGGAGGAAATTGTGTATAATAATTTTTTAAAATTTACTATTTAGAATTGTATAACATAAAACATATCTTACAACCGTTAGACCTAAAACCATAAAAACCCTAGAAGAAAACCTAGGCATTACCATTCAGGACATAGGCATGGGCAAGGACTTCATGTCTAAAACACCAAAAGCAATGAAAACAAAAGCCAAAATTGACAAATGGGATCTAATTAAACTAAAGAGCTTCTGCACAGCAAAAGAAACTACCATCAGAGTGAACAGGCAACCCACAAAATGGGAGAAAATTTTCGCAACCTACTCATCTGACAAAGGGTTAATATCCAGAATCCACAATGAACTCAAACAAATTTACAAGAAAAAAACAAACAACCCCATTAAAAAGTGTGCAAAGGACATGAACAGACACTTCTCAAAGAGACATTTATGCAGCCAAAAAACACATGAAAAATTGCTCCCCATCACTGGCCATCAGAGAAATGCAAATCAAAACCACAATGAGATATCATCTCACACCAGTTAGAATGGCAATCATTAAAAAGTCAGGAAACAACAGACGCTGGAGAGGATGTGGAGAAATAGGAACACTTATACACTGTTGGTGGGACTGTAAACTAGTTCAACCATTGTGGAAGTCAGTGTGGCGATTCCTCAGGGATCTAGAACTAGAAATACCATTTGACCCAGCCATCCCATTACTGGGTATATGCCCAAAGGACTATAAATCATGCTGCTATAAAGACACATGCACACGTATGTTTATTGCGGCTCTATTCACAATAGCAAAGACTTGGAACCAACCCAAATGTCCAACAATGATAGACTGGATTAAGAAAATGTGGCACATATACACCATGGAATACTATGCAGCCATAAAAAATGATGAGTTCATGTCCTTTGTAGGGACATGGATGAAATTGGAAACCATCATTCTCAGTAAACTATCGCAAGAACAAAAAACCAAACACCGCATATTCTCACTCATAGGTGGGAATTGAACAATGAGAACACGTGGACACAGGAAGGGGAACATCACACTCTGGGGACTGTTGTGGGGTGGGGGTAGGGGGGAGGGATAGCATTGGGAGATATATCTAATGCTAGATGATGAGTTAGTGGGTGCAGCGCACCAGCATGGCACATGTATACATATGTGACTAACGTGCACATTGTGCACATGTACCCTAAAACTTAAAGTATAATTAAAAAAATAAAAATAAACAACCATGTCTTCTCTTGCACACTTTAGGCAGACACCACTGCATTCTTAGAATGTACTCTCTTTCAATATTGACTGTACCTCTGCTTTCTACCCATCACCATCAATGTGAAGAACAGATGAGAAGAAAAAAAAGTGGCATATTTGCTCATTAAATGTCCACTCCTTGCCACTGTGGTATACTGAATAATGACCCCAAAATATAGCAAGATCCTAATCCCTGGAACCTGTCAGTGGCACCTTACATGGCAAAAGAAACTTGGCAGATATAATTAAGTTATGAATTTCAAGATAAGGATATTATCCTGGTTTATCAAGGTAGGCCCTAAATGCAATCACAAGTGTTCTCACAAGAAGAGGCAGAGGGAGATTTGACACAAAAAAGGAGATGACAGTGTGGCCATGGAGGGAAAGACTGGAAGATGTAGCCACAAACAAAGGAATTCTGACCACCACCAGTAGCTGCAGAAGTGAAAGAAGAAATTCTCCCCTAGAGCTTCTGTAGGCAGCGTGGGCCTGCTGAGACCTTGATTTCAGCCTAGTGAAACTGATTTTGGACTTCTGGCCTCCAGAACTGTGAGAGATTAAATTTCTGTTGTTCCGTGCCATCAGTCAAGTTTGTGGTAACTTGTTATAGCAGTCGTAGACAATACTTTCAATGGGCTTAAGACAGACCAAGGAGAACAGATCATTACTTCATTGATTTTAGGCAAGATAATACAATGATTAGAAAGACTCATTAGAATTATGGATCAACCATCTTGAAATCTCTTGGAGAACATATGTACAACCACCCATGGAGTATTGCCTGATACGTAGCGAAAACACTGCAGGGGTAGTGCTAGTGGTAAGGGGCACATAGAATAAAAGATGTCTACCACCATCTTCTCCCTATAGCTGTGGAGATTAGAGGCAGCCCTGCTGCCAGAACACAAAGGGGCCGGAGCTGATGCAAATGCCCTCATATGCAGTTGAAGCTCAATGGTCAGAGTGAGGCAGGACACATAGTCAAGGAAGAAACCCTGTCCTTGGAACATGGCAACTGTGGTGACCAAAGTAAGCCCCAGCATTCACATTGCAGTCCAGCTCATTCAAGAAAAGCTATCTCTAGTAGGAAATTTCCCATATAGAATGCATGCACATTTTGATTTTACCTGTCCTCAGACTGACCTTTTGCTCATTAAAATAGTAAAAAACACACCCCTGGGTGGAGATTTAAGATGCTAATGAGACATGCACTGTATGAACAAGCATATACAGCTACTGTGCATGTGCACCCAGAGGGCCCCCCAGAACGTGCTTACTAGTAACACCTCTTCCCACCCCCTTAGGAATAATGTAAGACTCCCATAAAGGGGATTCCCCATAAAGAAAGCCTCCCTAGTGCCAGTCTTTGCTGTCTCATCCTTACAAGGAGCCCGCCCTGAACTCTCTCTCTCTCAGGGCATACTTTTTATTCTGCATCTAATTTTCAAAATATCCTTTTTCTTTTGCAATAAATTACTTCATGCTCTATCTCCTTTGCTCTGTGTTTCTTGTTTAAATTCTTTTAAACTAAAAAAACCAAAACCGAGGTCCCACAACAGCCATCAACAAGAGATGAACAACTGGTAGCCCAGATCCCTGAGCTCATCTTGTTTCCCATGTGAGTGAACTGATCTTGTTTCCCACGTGAGTGTGCGCCACCCAAAATCAGTGTGTCAACACCATTCTAGAAACCGAATCCTGTACAATACTGTACAATACTCATTTTCCAGAGAGAATGACCCAGGCCATTCTCCTGAAATGAGTTCCAAACAGGAGACCCTAATACAATCCCCTAGACATGAGTCCTGGAGATTCTTGAGATATCCAGCCAACACAATATATGGAGTAAAGGGTTAGAGGGTGCCCCAAATGGGAGAAAAGTGGTCCAGAATTCATTCAGTTTCTAGTCTGAATTTAGGGCACCTCGCATGGGAGCACTGATGGCCCTAGTTGGTCTCAGCCACTGAAAGTGGACTTAGAAACTTTTTTTTTTTTTTTGAGATAGAGTTTCATTCTTGTTGCCCAGGCTGGAGCGCAATGGCGCGATCTTGGCTCACTGCAACGTCTGCCTCCCGGGTTCACGTGATTCTCCTGCCTCAGCCTCCCGAGTAGCTGGGATTACAGGCACACACCACCACGCTTGGCTAATTTTTGTATTTTTAGTAGAGACGGGGTTTCACCATATTGGCCGGGCTGGTCTTGAACTCCTGACCTTGTGATCCATCTGCCTCGGCCTCCCAAAGTGCTGAGATTACAGGTGTGAGCCACCGCTCCCGGCCAGACTTAGAAATTTTTGAGGTTGACATGTCAACGCTCCAGAGATCAAGTCCCTGAGGTGCAGGGTTTAGGGCAGGCACTCTGTTTGTTTATGTCTAAGGATATGGAAGAATTCATTAGTATCCTAAAGAAGTAAAGTATACTGCTATGGGAAAATATATATTTTAAATTTCTAGTGGAACTTCCAGTCTTTCTTTTCAAGAAAATTGAAAATGAATGTGCCCACAGCATGATTCCTTTAGAACAGCCTAATTCAATTTGAATCTTCAGTCTGTGGATTAGTGTTAATTACTTCGGGTTTAATAAAATCCGAATAGTTAGAATTTAGAGCTTCTTAGAGGTTTTCATATATTGCAACAACAAATTAACTTTGTATCCTAATTATTTAACTGTTTGTTGAGAGTATATTGCATTTACAGTACTATGCTAAATTTTCTATCACAACAAATAAATTATTAAACCCAAATCTTGCTTTCAAGGAACTTATAATCTACATAGCAAAAGTAAGAGGGGAAAGACTAATGAAGTAAACAGAAGACCAATTTATAATCTTGACTCAAAAAGGTATTATTTCATGACTTAATGTAAGTTCAAATACAGTTAATTTGTGTGTGTACTGAAATAGTTTATCAATTAGTCAAAATATAAAATTGCAAAAAAAAGTATTCAACATTTCTAGTCTATTAGCTAACATTGGTTTTAAATTACCTGGAACCTTGGGCTAGCCGTGGAAGTAAAACACAACATATATTTAATCAATACATCTATAAATTATATAAAAAATGCAGCAATTAAATCCACTTAACAATCATGCAAAAAGAAGCTCATCAACTCTTCCAGCATATGGAAACTTGCAATTGCCAGCTCCCCTCTGTCTCAGAAAAGTACTGTCTATCTTAAAACTGCCAAACACAGGAAGTAACCACTCAGTAAATTTTTTATTTTATACACTCAAAAAGAAATGGGCTCTGAGTATCCTCCTTTACCTGGGAGATAAGACACTGATCATTTTGCTGACTCTCAGTTGGAAGGAAGCCAGGGTAATAATGGCTATCTGAGGATCTTCAAAGATTTAATCTTGGAGATGAGTTCTTTGCAGGGCTCAATTCCTTTTGCTTTGCCAACCTGTCTGCTTTCTGAAATGGCCGTTAGCGTAAAGGTACCTGACAGAGGTGTACACCTCCTGAAAGCCAAATCATGGAACTACATTTCTGCAAAGCTCAGCTGCACTCACTGGAGGAGACTACAGTGCTGCTTAGGATCAACAGCTGTGCTGCCTGGGTCCCTGCAACCAAGCCCAGACTTTGTGTTTACTGAGCCCAGGCATCTGTACAGCAAATATGCACACACGGTGGAGGATGTGTGGGAGGGTGGAGGAAGAGAGGGAGCAGGAAAAGGAAATCTGGAAGCAGAGCTTCAGTTGATAGAATTCATTCATCATTCATTCATGTGCTAATCATTCATTCCTCAAAGGTTTCTGCATACCTACTATATGGAAAACACTGTTCAACATGTTAAGATACAAGGAGAAACAACACAAAGTCTCTCCCCTCGTGAAGTAACATTCTATGGGGGAAAAAAACTATAAGCAAATTTAAAAAAAAAGATAATATGAAGGAGTGATAAGTGCTATGAGGAGAAATGTAGTAAAGTTAGAGTAAGGCTAAGCTGCTATAGTAAAGAAATCCAATACAAACTCAGTGACTTAAAGAATTTGATAGAAGTTTGTTTCTTGCTTAATAATTTGAGGCGGGTGTTCTAGGTTTGGGGACAGCTTGCTCCAATATAGACCTAGTTTCCTTCCGTTGTGTCACTGAAGAATGCCACAGGGCCATGTTGTTATCTTCATGACTGTGACACAGTGGCTTTCTTGAAGAAGGAGGTCCATGTGGTTTTAACAGAGTTAATGGGAGGGAAAGTGAGAAGCTTGGGGCCACGTCATGAAGGGCCTTGTAGGTTTTGATAAGGTTTTGGAATTAACTCTCTGTGGAAATAGCATCAAAGGAGAAAGAATCCTGAAGGGGAAAAAAAGAGAAAGGACCTTTACATAATGTTGGCTAAAGCTGAAGCACAAGCTGAGTAGAGAGAGCTGTAAAAATGTGAAACACCTTTCTCCACGTAAAATTCATTGACCTTGTGGCCATCAAATGCGGGGGAGAAATCCATTTTATGATCCTACCTTCCAACTGTGGATATCATGGGCTTTCCAAGAAAAGAGATTTTACTTCTTTGGGTTTATGTTATCATTATCAAGAACAAGTATTGAGATAGTCTTTTAACTGCCACCATCGTTCAAGAAAAAGATTACTGAAAGTACTTTAGCCTACGGTATTTACAGCAATTCCTCCTACTACTTAACGTTTTATTTACACTAATGAAAAAGCACTTAAATTCATTTGTATAGGTTGCTCTTTCTCAGAGACTGAGAATAACGAATATGCACTATAAATATATGAAAATGACTGATTTCATTATTCTTCCAATAGTTGTTCCCGATAACAGGAATTTAAAATGCAGACTGAAGTTTCACTTAATGCACTACAAAAGCGACAATTTATGTAGCTTTTCCCTGCTAATGAATGCCTTTCCCAATTATTATCTAAGCAGTTTGTAAGTGGACAATTAAAATTTTACTGTTTCTCCTCAATAGAGGACATAACATTAAAATAGAGAACTCTTCCTACTTTTTACTTTAACAAGATTCAAAAATCAGACTTTCAAGAAATAAATTCTCCTGCTACATTGTCCTTTCATTGCACGCATTATGGAAAAACTCTGATCCTAACTTAAATTAGTTATTTACCTTATTTGAGTATGTATCCAAGATGCTCAGTGCTGCTACAAAAAACAAATAAAAGACTTACATTACAAATTGAAAACATTTCTGTATCTTCAGCCACGTCCAACAATTCTAGTATAGTTTCCTAATTAATTTTCTTACCTGGTCTAAACCTGCTTGGTTGTTTCCAGTTTTCTCCCTGCTCTTTAAACATTTCAGCCTCAACAACAATCTCCCCTCCTCATTAGCATACAGGAACCCTATACTTACTGACACCAAATTTACTAATCTGTACACGTTCTCCCACTCTGTTTTCTCTTTCCTTCTTGTTAGGGTAGAAGAAGTGCCTCATTTTCGCCAAAGCCAAATGCTTACCTGTGCCCTGGGTCCCATCCTCTCTAGCATCCTTAGGAATTTTATTCATTGTTCAGTGCCTCTATTTTCAGTAGCTTCAACCTTTCCTTTTCTGCTGGCTCTTTTCTATTATCCTTTAAGTGTTTCTCTCATTTTAATATTCCATCTCTCTTGCATTTCTATAGGATTTATTGCTGTCCCCATTTCCTTAATTTCTTCTTATTTCTTTTCTTTTTTTTTTTTTTTTTGAGACGAAGTCTGGCTCTGTCGCCCAGGCTGGAGTGCAGTGGCGCGATCTCGGCTCACTGCAAGCTCCGCCTCCCGGGTTCACTCCATTCTCCCACCTCAGCCTCCCGAGTAGCTGGGACTACAGGCGCCCGCCACCACGCCCGGCTAATTTTTTGTATTTTTAGTAGAGACGGGGTTTCACTGTGTTAGCCAGGATGATCTCCTGACCTCGTGATCTCCTGACCTCGTGATCCTCCCGCCTCGGCCTCCCAAAGTTCTGGGATTACAGGTGTGAGCCACCGCGCCTGGCCACTTTCCTTTTATTTCTACTTCGATTCCACTGGGGAGATTACTAGTCTGGCTTCTGTTTCCATTACTCCACTGAAACTGCTTTACTCAAGGTCATCAGTGAAAGCTTGTTGCTAAATCTAATGGGTACATTTTGTAGGCATCTTTTAAGTTGTCTAGAGTTTTGACACTCACAATGTGATTCTCAGAATGGTGGCATCATCATCTCGAACTTGTTGGAAATGCAGAATTTCAGGTCCCATAGCAGACCTACTAAATCAGAATCTCGGCAAGCGGAATCTCAAGGAATTGTGTTTTAACTATAAAGTAATTATAAATAGTGTTTTCTTTTGCACACTATAGTTTGGTAACTACTAATGTAAAGGATATGTAACAGTTCTTCCAAATTTCACACACAGGATCCAACATTGTTCTTTCAACTCCAGGCACCAGTCATACGGCTAGACACTCCTATAGCCTGTAAAATTTTTCCTTGGGAAGAATATAGTTGATGGGTAAGGTATGTTAGCTTTCCCTTCTTGACCCTGTAGTTTTTCAGGCCAAGGAGAGGTTTATGTCTATTGCAGTTAAAAAGAGTTAGGTTGGGTCACAGACAGCTGTCAAAGGGAACTTAGGTACCAACCACACCAATTCTGAAACAAATAAGGATTCATTCTTTTATGGTATTCCTCCCTTTTATTTCTTATTTTTGAAACAGAAACAGAAATTGTTTCAAAAATAAGGAAATAAAAGGGAGGAAATAGTTTTATTTTTTACCAGTTCTCAAAGTCTATGACATCAGCAATAGACATTATTCTACATGAGTTATTGGCTTCTATACAAGTCAGAATTGAAGCTGTTAGCAATGAAGCAAACTGTGGTTGACTAGGAAGAAATTAAAATGATATTGGGGGAGCTCAAGAAATAGGTGGGAGGGCTGACCAACCAAGGTTAAGCTTGTGTTTCAGAAATGTCACCCACAGTCATGTTCCAGAAGCGGTCTGATGAGGAAAACACTGGTTCTGCAGCTCCTGAACACCGATGCTATGGTTGGCAGGTCCACTACTGCTCTATCACAAAGTTGACTGTGAAAAACGATGGCTCAACGCTTCTGCCACTACCTTCACCAGAACATAGATTCCTCATGGTTTTATTCCGTTATGTGGCTCACTTCTCAATCAGAATCTCCAGCAGATGTTCTACTCTCCCTTTAACATTTTATTTAGAAAATTTCAAATCTAGAGAAAAGTTGAAAGAATAATATCATTTATTAATATTCTCCAGCATGTGCTTTTGGTAGGTGGCACTTGGATCATATACTTGCACTCTAGTTGCAAAGAAAGCCAGAAAAATATCATTTCTAGTAATAATTACCTAACCTACTAATTTTGACTCAACAAATTTATCATTCTTACAGTTATATAATTCAGTGATAATTAGGAAAGCAACCACTTTTACAGTCAGGTCAGATTATCTAAATACACATATGTTCTATGTGGCTTTTACTTCTTTTTCAAGGCAAGATAATCATCCCCTTTAGGAAATTTTTCGTACAATGTTTTCAGTCTTCATTTTTCTTTACCTTTCTGCACCATTTGATATCATCTTATATTGTTTAATGTTTACCTTCCTTGTAAGATGTAAACTCCATGAAAGTGCAAAGTGATTCTGAGAGATGTTTCAAAAGTAGATCCTGTGTTTTATCTCTAGTGCTTGTCACCAAATAAAGTCTAAGGAATATATCCCGAATGATTTTAGATGTGAAAGAAGAATAGGCTAATGAGTAAGTTTCAAAATACAAGTTCAATTCCTAACTTGCATTTTCCCACTTATAAATTTTATTTTTCTTTGTGTTTTCTGACATATAATTTATAAATTTATTACTAGCTCTACCTCAGTAAAATTGTATAAAAATTCCACAAACTGATATTAATATTTGAGGTAAGGAGATTTTGAAGATGAAAGATATTTTTTGAAGTGTAGGTAAATACTGTTGAGGGTGTTCTGTTTGACTTGTATCCCCATTTATATTAATGAAACCGGGGGTGTTTTTTCAAATTAAAAAGATGAGATCTAGAGGAGTCAGGAAACTTGTCCGAAACCAATCATAGAAATACTGAAACTAAAAATCATGTTGTTTAGGTATCAGTCTATAGTTACTTTTCTACTACATAATGCTGCTCTTCAAATTTTTACTAAGAAATAAAGATTTTTTAATATTTATCTAATATAAAATCAAATATGTAACTTCTCCAGAGGATAACATCATCAAAACAGAGAAAGAGCCCTACATTAATACAGAAAGTCTCATAGCATCTTAGGGACTATGTTGTACAATTTCTCCCAAGCAAGAATTCTAGCTGCAGCATCTATTATGCATTTGAATACACATAGCCCACTCTTAGATCTGCCACTTCCTGATTGTGTTTTCTTTCACATTGATTTCCTGCAACTTCAGCCACCTCAGTTGTTAGGCAACAGTAAAAATATTTACCCTGCTTACTGAATAAAGAAACTGGGAGCATATAATAAGCCTATATAAGTGAATGCTCTTTGAAAAAGCCAATTAATATAAATACATGGTAACTTAGGAGAGATTTTTTTTGAAAGTCTCATTATACAAAAAGGTAACTTCAAGAAGAATCCCTCACTGGATAAGTCAAAAGCCCTATACACCATTAATTTCAATTCTAGGGAATACTGCTCTAAATATTATGCACCTGTATTCCCAAGCTCTGTGCCATCAGGCTTTTGTTCATTTTCTTTCACTTAGATTTTCTGATTTGTCTCTCTGACCATAATGCTAGTATCAAACAGTGCAGATGTCTCCTCTGTTCTTGAGACAGGCCTGTTTGGGAATTTCAAAGAAGTGGAGGACCATATCCTAGGGCTGAAACAGTTTGTAAGTGGTTCAGTAAACTCTGTTGCCAGAAAATTTCTGCAACAGTATTATAAGGCCCATTTGTATGAATGAGGAAATAGAAACTGTGAGAGGATCCCTAGCTAGCTCACTACTGGTAAGTAGAAGAGCAAATATCAGAGCCTGTATCTCTCTGATTCCAATTTCTGCTCTCCAGGGAACCAGGGAGTTCAAAACAGGAAAGGGAATAAAAGCTGAGCAAAACCAAGGCTAAGAGCCAACTGGGAGAAGAAATAGAGTTTTAAGATTTTAAAAGGGTACTTAAATTCTGTATTTAAAAAAGGAAGAAGAGATGGAGAAGTAATTTCAGGGAGTTGACAGAAAGAGAAAACAGTTTATAGTTCTCTTATCTGGAGGATTTGGAGAGTTGTTAGTAAATTTTATTGTTTTAATTTGAGAATAAATCAGCATCGCCTTGGGCAGCACAGCTGTCACTATCAGCAAGAGAATAACACAAGATCAGATTCAGCAAAGAACTATGGAAAAAGACAATTGTCCCCATCCTTCCAATCCTATAGAAGGATCATGTTTGTAAGGGGTGGAAAATTAGGGGCTTGATTTGATTAATTTTAATGTGTCAACTTACCTGTACTAAGAGATTTCCAGATAGCTGGTAAAACATTATTCTGGGTGTGTCTGTGATGGGGTTTCTGGAAGATATTAGCATTTGAGTCAACAGACAGTGTAAGGAAGTTCAGCCTCATCAATGTGTGTGGGCATAATTTAATCCTTTGAGAACCTGAATAGAATAAAAGTGTGAAAGGTGAGCAAACTTGCTTTCTGCTCAAGCTGGGACATCTATCTTTGCCTGCCCTCAGACATTGGCACAACTGGTTCTCGAGACTTCAGGTTTGAGGTAGAATTATACCACCTTCTTTCCTGGGCCACTAGCTTGGAGATGGCAGATCTTGGGACTTTCAGCCTCCACAATTGTGTGAGTCAATCCTCATAACAAATCTCTTTATCTATATCTATCCTATTGGCTCTGTTTCTCCGGAGAACCCTGACTAATACAGAGGTGTCATCACTTGGTAAACTGACTCTATGCATTATTTGCAGTCGTAGAAACAAAGTTGTTTTACCAGCCACAACATTCACTATTCATCCTGATTCACTCTAATTTTGATAAATATTATTTAGGGTATCAAACCTGAGGAGAAAACACAAACAGTAGAATGAGCTGTTCTTTTTCTTTTTTGTCTTCATCTTATGAATTCTTTTTCTTGGTAAATAATGCTTTAACATGTTACAATGTGCTTTCATGTTAGGATTTTCAGATATTACATGGAACATACCTACACTAAAATATATTTGTTGTTTATCTGAAATTCAGATTTCATTGGTTGTTCTATATTTTATCTGGCAACCCTATCTTATCTCCATTGTTTTCACTTGAGGTCCACAACAATCTTGTTGTGGTTAAGAATTATAATAATTTTCAAATAAATAAGCTGAGATTCAAACCTTTTAATTGACTTTTCAAAATTCTCTTAAGTCCCTAGATACAGGGTGATGTGTATTGTTGCAACTAATGTAAGTCTGAAACTGTTCAGCAGACTGAGAAAAAGAAATACAGTGACAGAGGCAGAGGGACAAAGAATAATGAGGAAATTAAACAAATATCTGACATTGAAGATCTCACCAGCAGGGCAGGACTATATGTTTCTAAAAAAAACATGTTGAAAATAGATCTGATTTAGATGAGATCCATAATCAAGCCATCTGGTTTGTGAGCAGAGCATGACAGCAAGAATGCCCCCAGTGAAAATGGTATCACTGGATCTTATATAATAGCAAAGGGAAACACAGTTATTCCGAGAAGAAGATCAGAATATCAGCTATGGCTGTGAATGAACTGACGGGGTCTAGTTTTTAGAGAAGAGAAACAGAAAAAGAAGTAAGTGCCAAATACAGTCATGGCACAGAGGAGGGAATACTTGAACTGGGTTTCAGACGCAGAAGGAAGGTATCAGTCATTCAGGGGAAAAGAACATTAAGGGAAGATATTTGATTTTCTCTTTTCACCAAAACCCCCAGATAGATTTAAAATTAAATGTACAAAAAGAGGAAAAACTAAAATAGAAGAAAATACAAATGTACATTGAATTGGGGTTCTCCAGAGAAACAGAACCAGTAGGATATGTATGTATGTATGTATGTTAAAGAATTGGCTCATGCAATTGTGGATGCTGAGCAATCCCAAAATCTGCAGTCAGCAAGCTGGAGACCCAGGAGAGCTGATGGTATAGTTCCAGTCTAAGTCTGAAGGCAAGAGAAGACCTATATTCCAGTTTGAAGACAATCAGGTAGAAAGTGCAACTTCTTCCTTACCCCACCATCTTCTCTATTCAGGCTTTCAGAGGGTTGGGTGAGACCCACTAACATTGGAAAGGATAATCTGCTTTACTCAAATGTTAAACTCATTCAGAAACACACTCAGAGGTACACCCCAAATAATGTTTAACCAAATACCTGGGCACCCCATGGCCAGGCAAGCTGACACATGAAGGTAACCATCACATACATTAAAGTCATTTGAAATGGCCATGGACTTTCTAAGCATAAATTCAGTGAAAGGAAACTCAGAAACTATTTCAACCACATACACATACAATATTTTTTGTCTCTCCAAACACCATAAAAACTTAAATATTAATTGTCAAATAGGGAAAAATGCAATATATATGGCAAAGCATAGATATCTTCACTATAAAAGTTTTATAAAACATCAGGAAAAACACAGATACCTCAACAGAATAAAAGGAGGAAAGGAAGATGGAAAGTTAATTAATAGAAAAAGAAGTACAGATATGATTTAACACAGTAGAAATCAATGAAATATGAGTTACAATAAAACAATTTTTGTCAATTTGGCAAATTTTAATGGCATAATTATTAGTGTTAGTAAGAGTATAAAGAAAGTTCTATGCCACACGTGCCTCACGTGGGAGTCAATTTTGTACAATTTGTTAGGTTAGCAATTTGTCTTCTTAGAGAGGTTCAATTCAAGCTCAGATTTTTGTTAAAAAATTCAGAGAAGTATTTAAAATAATGAAAATAAAAATACCTCAAATGTCTTACAACACAGGATCTGTTAAGTAAGCCAGTTTCCTCTAGAGAAAAGAATACTAGATAACTCTTGGAAGATGTATTTTGGTGAATATTTACCGTATTGGAAAAGTCTCTAGAGAAACAATTAAGTGGAAAAACAGAGGGGAAAAAAGCTATATTTTTGTAAAGCACACAAACACACACACACACACTATAAAGCACTGGAAGGAACTCACTGAAACAATAGTAAGTTTATGAGTGATTTTAATATTCTTCCATATATTTTATATTTTAACTTTTATAATCATACATTTAGTATTTTGAAGTTAAACTTTTTAATAAAGTCAACGTGCATACTGAAATATGAACAAATAACAAAGGAAGAGCTGAAAGAAATTTTACAAACTTGAACACATTCTTGTAACTACTCACCAGACCAAGAAATAGCTCACTATTCGCATTCTCCCAGTACCTATCTTGGGACAGCTATCTTTTACTTACTTTTACCTGATTTTGACGTTTGTGTAAGTGGAACATATAGTATCTCACTCATTATGTTTGGCTTCTTTTGCTCCAGTTTATGCTTGTGAGGTTCATTCTTCTCATCTGCAGCAGTATTTTGTTCATTCTCTCATTACTGTATAATGTTGCATTGCCAAAATTTACCACTATTAATTTATTTTTTCTATTATAGATTGGGGTTTGGGCTACATTTTTCGATGTGTCTTTTGGGTGAACATAAATACACAATTTTATTTGGCATGTACCTTGAAGTGAATTTACTGGTGTATTAGTCCATTTGCACACTGCTATAAAGAACTGCCTGAGGCTGGGTAATTTATAAAGGAAAGAGGTTTAATTGACTCACAGTTCAGCATGGCTGCGGAGGCCTCAGGAAACTTACAATCATGGCGGAAGGTGAAGGGGAGCAAGGCACCTTCTTCACAAGGCAGCAGGAAGGAGAAGTGCTGAGAGAAGGGGGAAGAGCCCCTTACATAATCATCAGATCTTGTGAGAACTGACTATCATGCGAACAGCATGGGGGAAACTGCCCTCATGATTCAATTACCTCCACCTGCTCCATCTGGTCTCTCCCTTGACGTGTGGGGATTATGGGGATTACAATTCAAGATGAGAGTTGGGTGGGGACACAAAGCTTAACCACATCAACTGGATTGTTGCCATTTGTCTGTTTAGCTTTATTAGATACTACCAATCTAAGGGTAAAAGTTTTTACCCTTGCTGGTGGTGTATAAAATGTCTAATGGCTTCACATTCCCACCAACTTTAGTATTGTCAGATGATTTCTTTGTTTTGTTTTGTTGTGGTTTGGTTTCTTCAGGTAAGCAATTCTGGTGGGTGTGTATTTAAGTTATTGTGATTTTAATTGATGTCTAATAGAATTGAGCACCTTTTCATATATTATTGGTCTTTTTTTCCTCTTTTAAGAAATATCACTCAGATTGCATTCTCTTCCCCTCACTCTCCCAAAGGAAGAGAAAAATGATCAGCAATGGCAAACGGCAGTTGCAGCAAACCAGTGCCAAGAGCCAGCTTCAAGCTCAGGAGAAAATGCTGCTGTCTGTCCTCATGGTTTTCTGGTTCTTTAGGCATTCAGAAAAACTTCTCGCATAATGATCCCTGAAAGAATAGTCTTTGGATATACACTATTGGAATTCTTCTGCATTTATTCTATTAATACGTAGTAATTACTTATATATACAGGTCATGAGTCCTATGTTGACTATATTTATTACAAATATCTTCTTCTAACAGGTAGTTTGCCTCTTGGCTCATAATGGTGCTTTATTTTTGTTATTATTATTGTAGTAAGAACACTTGATATGCATAATACAGTTAACTATAGGCACAATGTTGTACAGAAGATCTATATAACTTATTCATATTTTATAACTAAAAGTTCATAACCATTGAATGCCGTATATGCCCCTCCATCCATTCTCCAACAATCACCATTCTGCTCTAAGTTTCTGTGAGCTTAACTATTTTAGATATTTGATATAAAAGGAATCATGCAGTGTTTGTTCTTCTGTTGAGACAGGCAGGCAGGCTGGTTTCCTAATTTAATGTAGTTTAGAGAAAAAGAACAAAAGCCCTGTACTCAAGCTATAGCTTACCTAACTTCAAGCCAATCAGCAGCAAAAGAACCAAGGCACTATTTACCACAAGTTCCTGTCATGGGCAGAGGAATTGCCTGGCCAAGTTCCCCAGGGCCTTTCCTGCACAGTTAGACTTAAACTTCACCTTACAGTGACCTCATTTCAATGCTAAAAATTATGCCCAGGGGTGGAGATTTAAAATGATAATGTAATGTGCTAGGTATGAAGAAGCATGTAAAGCCACTGTTCAAGTGCTAGAGAAACCCCTCCTGGACATAACTGATGAAACTCTTTCCCATACTTCTCTTGAGGAGCAGCCCACCCTTTTCCTTTGGTGGTACTGACTCCCCTGTGCACAACCTTAATACACTTTCACTTTCTGTCTGCTGCTATGTCTGGTGATCTCCCTTGATTTCTATCTGGGAGATTTCAAGAACCCAGAGTGTGGTGCTGGTAATACTGTGACTGGCTGATTTTGCTTAGCATAATGTCCTTAAGGTTCATTCATGTTGTCATATATGGTAGAATTTCCTTTTTTAAAAGCTGAACAATATTCCATTATATATATATATATATAAAATAATGGTTAAATAAAATGTGATATATATATATATTTATTTAAAGAAACCATTCATCCATTAATGGACATTTCCATTTGTCATCTACTAAATATATTCAGAAATTTTGATTGAGATCAGAATGTGTGTATAGACAAATATGGGGCAGGTTTACCATGTTTACAATATTGATTTTCTAATAAACAAACATGGTATGTCTCTCAAGTTAATTACATGTTCTTTGATATCTGTCAAAAATGCTTTGTATTTTTTGTGTGCAGTTGTTTTGTGTGTCTCTTGTTAAATTGATTGCTAGTTTTTTATGTTTTTCAAAGTCACTATAAATGGTATTATTTTAATTTTACTTTCCAATTTTTGTTGATATATTGAATTACAGTTAATCTTGTACGTTGGTATTATATTCAATAACCTTGCTAAACTCAGTTAACTAATTATATTAGTTTAGCTAAGTTTTTTTTATTTATAACTAATCAAGTTGTCAACAATTAATGATACTTTCATTTCTTCCATTCTAACTTTTACCCACTTTATTATTTTTTTCTTTATGTACTATCTGGGACTGCAGGACAAAGTTAAATAAAAGTAGTATTAGTGAACATTTATGTTTTGTATTTTTTAAAAAATATAATCATGAGATAAATCAGTGTAAATTTTTTTTCTTGTAAAGTCTGTTAGGTTTTGGTAGTAAGGTTATGCTGACCTCATTTCTTAAATGTGGGAGGTTTTCCAACTTTTCTATTCTTAGGATTTTTTAAAATATATATCATGGGAAATTCTCTATTTTGTAGAATACTCTCAGAATACGAAAGTAAGATTGTCATTGTTTCTTTCTCAAGTGTTTGAAGAATTCACAATTGAAAGCCATTTGGGCCCAGAGCTTTCATTTTGAAAAACATTTTAATTATACGTATAATTTATTTGATGAGAACCAAAATTTTAAAATTGTTTACTCTTTCTTTTGTCAGTCCTAAAACATGGTGTTTTTCAATAGAAATTTGTACATTTTTATACTATGTCCTTTAAGTTTTTCATGTCTATAAAATCTTTAGTGATGTTTTTAATTTCTGATATTAATAATCTGTATTTTTTCCTCTGATTTATGGTTGCTTGTACTTTTTTCTTTTTGTTCATATTTTTAAAAATAAACTTTTGGCTTTGCTTTTTTTGGTTATTAATCTTTGCTTATATCTTTATTTTTTCCCCTACTACTTCCTTTGGCTTTAATTTGCTGTTCATTTTTAAATTTCTTGGGATGAAAAAGATATTGTTGTTTTTCAGCTGGTCTGTGTTTTTGAAATATATAAATTTTAGCTATACAAATTTCTTTAGGCATTGCTTAGCTGAATCTCAGAAATATTGATATATATTTTTATTTCACTGTAATTAGTTACATTTTCAATGAATTTACTCTTCTGAAATATCATTTTATACACCAGCATAGATATGGTATATTGTAGTAACTACTTCATGTGAACTTAATGACAATGTGTATTTTGCAGTTGTTGGATACAATGTTTTATATATATCTATTAGGTCAAACATTTTAATCATATTGTTCAATTATTCTCTATTTTTTGTGTGTTCATTCTATTATTAATTTCAGCTGGATTAAGGTTTTCCTCTGCCAGTTTGCACTTGCCTATCTGCTTTTAAGTCTATTAGTTTTTGCTATATAATTGAGAACATACAAATTTATCCTCTATCTTCCTGATAGACTGAACCTTTTATCATTATGAAATATACCTTTCATCATTATGAAATAGCTCTGTATATTGTAATGCTTCCTGATTAAAAGCTATTTTGTCTGATGTTAGACTGGCAAAATCAGCTTCCTTTGTTTAGAGTGTGCATGATACGCACTTTTTAAAAAACAGTTTACTTGCTCTAGTCCTGCATCTTCAAAATTAAGGTGTGGTTCTTCTAATTAAAATATAGTGGCTTTATTTCTTTTCCAATCTGAAAAATTATTGTTTCATAAATGGATAGTTTAGTCCATTGACATTATGTGTTTACTCTTTTGTCATTTGGTTGTGTGGGGGTTTTTTTTGTACCATTTGTTCTTTGTTATTTCCTTTACATTAATTATTTTATATTATCCTATTTTTGCCTCTATTAGTTTTGTCTTTTAACTAGAACAGTTCATCCATATTTAGATTTCTATCCATTATCTTAAAATTTGTATTGTTGTCCATTTGTTTCATTTGTTCTGCTTCTTTTTATTTGATTTTTTTTAGAATTAGCACATTATACAATTATTTTATTTCCCCTTTTATTAGGCAGTTATTATACATTATTTTAGAAGCTATCCTTTAGATTACAATATACACATGACATATTACTATCTACTATAAGTCAGTAATCTTGCCATGATGAGGCTATCACCTGGACATGGCTAGCACATTGAACATTTTAATCACATTTAAGCTTTCCCTCTTTTGTGCTATTGTTGTCAAGTATTTTAGCCTTAAATGTATTTAATTTAAAACATTATTATTATTGTTTTAGTTAATTTTTATTTAGACTTGCCCAAATATTTATTTTTTCATTTACTCTATTGTTTCTTCTTCCTGTATTTCTTTCTGGGATCAATTTTCTTCTGTTCAAATAATTTTCTTCATTATGCTTTTCAGTATAGATTTGCTCGTGAAAAATTTTCTCAGTTTTGCTTTAATGGACATTCTTTTACTTTGACTTCACTTTTAAATGATATTTTTACTGATATAACATTCTAGTTTGACAGGTTTGTAACCCCGTCACCGCCTCCCAACCAACCCCTCCAATATTTTAAAGGTATCATTGCCTTATTTTCTGGCTTCAATCATTTATGTTGAGAAGGCAGCTGGATCTATTCTTTGCTACTTGAATCTAATGTATTTTTTTTTTCTCTTCTGCTTTTTAAATTTCCCCTTTGTCTCTGGAGTTCAGATGTTTCATTACGATGTGCCTATATGTGATTTTCTTTGTGTTTTATAGATTTACAGATTGTAGTGCTTATAGAATCTGACTTAATATTTTTGTTTGGAAAAATTCTCAGATATTTTAACATTTTACCTACTCTATTTTTTGTCTTCATCCTTTCTGAATTTCCAATTAAATTTGTGCCATGTCTTTTTACCAATTCCCATGTTTTTTATACTGTATGGTTTTCTCCCCTTTCTTTTTTTTAATTTGGATGTTTGCTTCTAATCTGTACGCTAGTTCACTTATCTTCCCTTTAACTATTTGGAGTTATTATTCAAATTCACTATATGCCTGCTAATTTTTATTAAATGCCAGACATTCTGTATGAAAAAAACTACAGGTGCTTTGTCATGTCATGCTTTCAGGAAAGGTTTCACCCTATCCTCTGGATGTCAGCAAGGGTAGGGGCAGGTCATGTATTCCAATCAGGGAGTGAGCTGACTTCATGTTAGAGTTTAGTTTTTGTAAACTTCCCTCTGTTGCATCCCCTTTATTCCTGAGATATAGTTCTCTAGTGATCCCAACTGAAAGCTAGCATGTTTCTTAGAGCCTTTTTAATTGGCAAATTCAGAATGCTAATTAGTGTCACCTTAGTGCTGTAAGATTGCTGAAATCTCAACTCAGGTTTTCAGCTCCTTTTTGTTGGTTTCTTAGTTTAAGCATTAGTTAATGTCTCCAGGAGAAAATCTGTTCAAAGTTCCATGATCAGTTGTCTATGCCTGCCTTCCTCTGGAATCTTGGCATGCTCAAGTCTTGGTACATTTAAAAGCCCAAATTCCAAATTTTGTGTTCGCAGCCCCATGAGGCTGCCAAAAGATCTGCTAAACCACTGTTTTCTTCTTGGATCTCTGCTCAATTTATTGTGTAGCTCTTCAGTGCCTTGCTACCTACAGCTAATTAATTATCACATACTTCAAGGAGAAAACCAGTTCATGAAATGTTGGATTCCCTCAATGAGTGTTCCTTTCTCTAAGGATTCTGGTCTCTTGAGTCCTGACTGTATCAGAAGCTCTCTGATGTTTTCACACATGCATATGTTATATTTCTTTCAGTTTTTAAAGGTGCTTTCAGTGGGAGTGTTGCCTCCTATAAGCTATTTTGTCAAAGTTCAAGGCAGAAATCTTACATTAAAGGTACTTTAAAATTGGTCCTTGTACTAACTGAAGTACACAACAAATACTTTAGGAAAATAAAACAACTTAAGCCAGAATAATACACCAGGAATCACTGGTAAAGAGAAATCAAGTTATTAGGAGCAGCCAGAGGTACTAAGAGAAAAGAAACAAATCTCTGAAGAACTTCTACCTTACAGTTTAGCCTGGAAATAGTTCACTTACTAAAAAGAAAGTTTGGAACCTTCTGTTTGTCAAAGAGGGCCTTTGCATAGTTTAATAAATCATAAAGAAAGTAAGCATATAAAAATGAAAATTGTCTTTGCTAAATCTCCAAGAGAAAACTGTGCTAAGTGTAGAGGAAAAGACTCTACTGGTTCATTGTGGCTGTTTTGGATGCTCAGGACTTTACCCTGCCTGTTAGTTGGTCTAGTAGACATTGTATTAATTGAAACTTTGTCTCAGGGTGCATTCTGAAACATCTTCTAATTGAGGGCTATATTTACATCTGTTAAAGTGCCTCTTGGGTGAAACCCTTCTGCTTCGTTCTTGCCTTTCCTATGAGCCATTCAAAAGGCAGAGTGAAGAAGAGGATCTGCAATCTAGCCTCTGTCTTCTGTATATCTATAAACTATATCCATTAGAATGACAGTCAATGAGCAGTCAGAGAGACATGCAGGAATTTAAATTTTTTTGCACCGATGGCTAGTTAGAGGCTGGTTAACAGGAGGTCCTTCTAGGTGATAGAGCTTGTTTTTTTCTAAACTACTGGAGGCAGGCATATGAGAAGGGAGTTTGGGTTATACTTTAAGACACTTGACTTACCCCTAATGAGTGTTGAGAATTTCTAGAATACTTATAATCAAATATAAGAGTAAAAATATTGACTAAAGAAAAATACAAATGTTACTGGAATGTAATTTGGCCAATAAGAGTTGTCTGATACACATCCCCCCACCCCCAATGAAGGGAACAAAATAACAAATAAACAACTATATTTTGACATGAGTAACTGAGGAAGTATGCTGGAGAACATCAGGGGAGTAGTGAAATTCCTGAGGAGCATGGAAACTCAGGATAGCACCATAGAGAGTGAAGCAGCTCATCCTGTCTCTGCCATTCTGTCTCCCCAACTGGGATCAGCTCAGAGCCAGGGGAGTCTTCTTGTGGGGAAAAGGTAAACTAGAGACCCTTGGGAGTCCCTATCACCACCAGATACAAGTAGCCATTGCTGCAAGAGGATCCCCAGTTCTCATAGGCACCAAATCCAGTATGGACAGTTGCTAGGAGTCCACACAGCTGTATTATCACAGAGCAGAAACACTCTTGGCAACCCCGATCCCTGCAACCTAAGCTGCTACAGTGCCATCTTGAAACCAGACCCAGACCTAGAGTGTGTCCTGCCTTGAGACCAGTAGCCACCAACTCCCTTTATCCCCGATGCCTCACTATCCTTGTACCAACATTCTCATGCATGCCT
Organism: Homo sapiens; assembly: GCF_000001405.40. Taxonomy (NCBI): domain Eukaryota; kingdom Metazoa; phylum Chordata; class Mammalia; order Primates; family Hominidae; genus Homo; species Homo sapiens. The sequence goes on along the minus strand of NC_000001.11, from coordinate 163,917,075 downwards.
GCAACAGCACCAGTACACAGGTTGCTGGGAGTTTATGTCTGAAGGACTGACCAAGACCCCAATGTATGAATGCATGAGGCACCCTATCCCTCAGGAAAACAGTCAGGCCTGCGCAGTAGAGAAGCTCCATGTAGCCAGTTAGCTAGTGCACGCCCCCTCTTGGAATAACATCCAGAATGAATGAGACTCCATCATCCCCAGAGAGGACCCCACACAGCTGCCTGGCCCATACATGCTGCACCTAGCCTGACAACCAGTCTGGTGGTGGCCCCAACCTCCCAGACAGCCTGCCACACAACTTGCTGGCCCACCCCACCCACATGCAATTGGCCCTCAAACCAACCCAGTGCTCTTTACCCCAGAAAAATAATGCCACCACCATCACAAACCCCTGTAGCCTAGGTACCTGAGTCATTTGCACACATTGCAGATGAGGATTACAGCTGAAGAATCTGTTCATAGACCATGCTACTGAGCACACTCAGAACCAAAGTCAACATACCATTTCCAACTGACACCCTAGAACCCATCTACAGGAAAAAGCCTTTTCCTTCAAAAACTATTCCATAAAATTAAAAAAAAATGGCTGCCTACTAGAAATGAATATAGCAATACAGGGACACAAGAAACATAAAAGGCAAGGAAATATGACATCCTCAAAGGAACACAATGAGTGTCCGGTAACAGATCCCAAACAAAAAGATTCTTACAATATAATTGAAAAGGAATTCAAAGTAATGATATTAAGGAAACTCAGTGAGCTATATGATAATATGTACAAACAACATTCAAATCCAGAAAATAACTTATAATTTGAGAAATTCAACAAAAAGATAGATATCAGAAGAAAAAACCAGAATTCTTCAAGTAAAATAATTCATTCAATAAAATAAAAATATAATTGAGAACTTTTATAGCAGACCAGATGAATTTCAGAACTTGAAGACAGTCTTTTGAAATAACCCATTCAGAGAAATAGAAGAGAAGAAAGTCTATGGGAATTATGGGATGCCATTATGTGAACAAATGTTTACATTATAGGAGTATAGAGGAAGAAGAAATAAAGAAAGGCACAGAAAATCTGTTTAACAAAATAATAGCTAAAAACTCTCCAAGTTTAGGGAAAGATATGGACATTCAGATACAAGAAGCTCAAAAGTCCCCGGTGAAATTCAACCAAAAAAAAAAAAAAAAAAAAAAAACCTTCCCTGAGGCATGTTATAATCAAACTGTTGAAAGTCAAAGACAAAAAGAATTCTAAAAGCTGCAAGAGAAATATTTCATCACATATAAGGAAATCTTCATTAGACTATTAGCAAAATTTTCAGATGAAATTTTCCAGACCAGTATAGAATGGGATAATGTATTCAAAGTGCTAAAAGAAAAAAACTATAAGACAAGAATAAAATGTACTATAAATACTAGGCCAGCCTTCCAAGAAATGATTAAGAAGTGCTACAATTGGAAACAAAAGGAAGAAAATTGCTGTCATGAAAGCATGTGAAAGTATAAGTGTCATCAATATAGGAAAATCCGTAACCATATCTTGGTGCCAAAACAGTGTTATGTAAATCTTTCAATCCTGTAGTATGAAGGTTTAAAATAAAAATGGTCAAAAACAACAACACCTATGATTAGTGGCTAAGGCACACAAAAGATGATATTAAGGCAACCAAAATACAAACCCTGTGTGGGGGGAAAAGTCTAGAGTATTTTTATTTGGTCAAATTTAAGTGGTTTTCTGCTGAAAATAGTCTGTTTTAACTACAAGTCTCTTTATGGTAAAACCATAGTAACCACAAAGAAAAAATTAGAGCAGATAAACCAATGAGAAAGAGAAATGAAACAAAGCTTAGAACCACAGAAAACCACCAAACCACAGAAGTAAATAATGGAAAGAAAGAAAAGAAATAAGGATCTACAAAACAATGAGGAAACAATTAACAATATGGCAGTAGTTAGTCCTTACTTATCAATAACAATCTTAAATGTAAATGATGAAATTCCTCAATGAAAAAATATAGAGTGGTTGAATGACTAACAAAACAAGACCCAACTATATGCTGCCTAAAAAGGCTCCCCTTACTGACTAAAAGTGAAAGGATAGATGAAAATATTTCACACAAACAAAAACCAAAAGCCAGCAAGAGTAATCATACTTGTATCATAAAAATATAATTTAAATCAAAAACTATAAAAAGAGATAAAGAAGGTCATTATATAATGAGAGAGGAATCAATATAACAAGAGGATAAAACAATAATAAATATTTTTATGCCTAACACCCAAATATTTAAAGGAAATATTATTAGGTATAAAGGGAAAGAGAGACTCTAATACAGTAATAGTGTGGGGCATCAAAATCCACATTCAGCAATGGACAAATCATCGAGACAGAAAATCAAAAAAGGAACATCAGACTTAACCTATACCGCAGACCAAATGGACGTAAGAGACATTTACAGAACATTCCATCTAACAGCTAAAGAATACATATTTTTATCAACTGCACATGGAATATTCTCCAGAATAGATGGTATGTGAGGCCACAAAACAATTCTTTACAAATTTAAGAATATGAAGATTACATTTTCAAGCCACAGTAGTATAAAATGATAAATCAACAACAAAACCTTACTAATATATGGAAATTAAATAACAGTCTTGTATATAACTAATGGGTCAATGAATACATTTTCTAATTGAAATTTTTTTTGGAAAATAAGAATGAAAACACATCATACCAAAGCCTATGAGACACAGCAAAAGTGGCTCTAGAAGCAAGTGTATGACAATAAAATCTTATATCAAAAAAGATTTCTAATAACCTAACCATGTACCCCAAGAAACTAGAAAAACAAAACTAAACTAAACCCCAATTTGGCAGAAGGAATAAAATAATAAAGCCCAGAGCAGAAATAAATGAATTAGAGACTAAAAAAGTTTCAAAATATCAACAAATTTAAGAGTTGTTTTTGAAAAATAAACAAAATTGGTAGTGTTTTAGCTAGACTAAGAAAAAAAAGACCCAAATAAATAAAATTAGAGATTAAAAAAGGACCATTTCAACTGTTGTCACAGAAATACAAATTATTATGAAAGACTGCTATGAACAACCATATGCCAAAAATTTTGAGAAGAAATAGCTAAATTTCTGGACATATACAACCCACCAAGACTTCAGGACTTCGAACAGCAGCCCCCAAGATCCTGAGGCATAGACCTTGGTTACACCATCGACTTCCCTGGTTCTGAGGCTTTCAAACTTGAATTGAGCTATACTACTGGCATCTCAGGGTCTCCAGCTTACAGACAGGCTGTTGTAGGACTTCTCAGCCACCATAATCATGTGAGCCAATTCCCCTAATAAATCTCACCTGATATATTTATATACACATCTTATCGGTCTGTCTCTCTGGAGAACCCTAACTAACACAGATTTAGCATTGGGGAAGCCAAATATCATTCCTTCTCACTCTATTCTCTACAACACAATGGGAAGAGATCTGTGAAATTGTTCTTTCACAAAAAGGCTGTGATAAGTGTATGAAGCTACTAATAATGAAAGATAAAAGTTTAAAAGCTAATTATTATTGATGATGTGAAAGCAGAAAATTGCTTAATTGCAATGGTCAAGCAATAACCAGAGTTTCAAATGGACAGCACATCTTTACAAAATTTGTAGACCACAATCACTCTCCAAATACAAGGGCAGCCAGTGTTTCAAAAAATCACAGAAGTGAAAACTCAGGCAAAAAATACAAGAACTCTCTCCTACTCTTGCCAAATTATTTAATCATGTACTACTTCTGCTCCTTCTCACATAGCACCATGCTTGGCTTCAAAAACCACCCTTTGTCAGAGAATAAAAATAATTCTACAAATTCAATGACTTTCGGAACCAAAGACATTTGCTGATACTGACGTTTCTTCAGTAGTACAAAACACATTAAATGGTGAACTATTCTTAATTAGAGATTTGACTGTCAAAGAAAATAGACTTATTTTATTTACCACTAAATCTAACAGAAAAACTAGTGCATGTTTGCTTTGGCTAATGGATAGCACTTTCAAATTGTCCCTGCAGTTTTTTAATGAAATATGTACAATTCATACAACTTTTGGATCCAACTTATTCACTCATTTGTATATTAATGACTGAAAAAAAAGTGAAGCACTTTATAAATGGTTATTTGAAATTTTGGTGAACTTTTCAGCAGCAAATAGATTTTAATTGACTCACCAAACCATAATCATAGACTTGGAATTCAGTGTGATCAAGGCTCCTAAAAGTGAATTTCAAGGTGTTATCAATAAAGTTTTTTCCTTATTCAGCTCAATGCATCTGGCAGAAAATTTAGATGAGTGGATTGGCCACGTGATAAGGCCACAATGAAAACTTCAGCTTAAAAATGTGTCATCTGCCTGCATTGGCATTCCTTCTAACTGATGACATTCCAGGAGTTTTTAATAAATTAAAGCTGCATTTGCCCGGAGAAGCCAGTAAGTGGTTCAAAAATAATTATGTGCACAGGAGGATAAAAAGACACATAGTGGTGTTGCTTTTCAATCATCAGTGTTGTTCCTGCCAAATTTGTTGTCAGTATATGAATGCATGTAGAATGGATTTCTGTGTGCTCAAAACAACATGGAAGCATAGCACAGAAGATGAGAAAATGTAACAGGGAATGCTCACATCCATGAATATTGACTCAGAGAAGAATTGCAAAAAGAGCACCATCACGTAGAAAATGAATGTGAATATATTCTCCATGGAGAACCATGCCTCCCCTACACTGCCACAAAAAGCAGATTTACACTTTTTCATATATCAAGTTTTCTTTTTAGGTTTTTGGTCGTTGTTTTTTTTTTCCTTTTAAAATTGTTTCCCCCCTATTTAAATTGTCAGTATTAATTTTTTACAATTTGCTATGTTATTTATTTTATCTTCATATCATTTTTAATATTGGCAGTATTAATTATGTAAAGACTTTTAGAGATCTAATTGTTTATGCACTTTTTGCAAATTTGACTTCACAAAGGTGTGTTGTCACACCGGCTTTGTGTGTAAGCATTGTGCATATGTGTAGAAATGTTGAAATGTCCTCAATAAATGAAGAGATGTCCTTTTTGGACATCTGCATTTGTGAAGGATGAGACTTCTCAAGATGTTGGCTCTTTGGGTGACTGCATATGTGGTGGCGACCAATTATGGTTTTTGATCAGTCTCATCAAATGGCTTAGGTTGTTGGTCATGGTATTTCAGATGATGGTAGTTATATAAACTATTTCTTTATTAGTACTATTTGTCTGCTCATAACTGTTTTACCCATGTGACTGCATTAGTATACATGAGAGTATGTGTTTGCAAAAATATGTATGTTATAGTTGCCCATTTCATTGATTAGAGTGCCCTATGAAGTGTTCTGTCATGTTTTTATAAGTTTCTCAAATAAATTTCCATTTTAAAAATATAAATAAATATATTTTAAGAAATTTTGAAATAATTTTTCCAGAATTATATTTTCAGGACTTTGATCTTCTGGAATTACAACATTAAGGATTGTGATGTTTGGGATTGGATTTTTAAAATTAGATTTTTGAAGTATATTCATAGATATATGCAAATATCACCACAGTAAATTTTAGAATATTTTCATCATCTCTCCCAAAATTCTAGCATGCTTTACCTATCATACAAACCCTTCACCCCTCAGCTGACTCCCACCCTCACCCCCAGCCCTAGGCAACTATTAATCTACTTTATGTCTCTATAAATGTCCTGGTTCTAAACATTTCATGTTAATGGAATTATATAATAGATAGTCTTTTGTGACTTTGCTCTTTTATTTAGCATGATGTTTTCAAGATTTGTCCAAGTTGCAGCATGTATCATTACTTCATTTCTTTTTATGGCTAAATAATATTTCAGTATGTGGATATATCACATTTTGTTTATTTATCAGTTGATAGGTGTTTCCACCTTTTGGTTTAAGATGAATAACGCTTTTATGAAATACTCATTTACAAGTTTCTGTGTAGACTATGTCCTTTGGTGGGTATATGCCTAGGTGTAGAATTACTGGGTTATATGATAACTCTATGTTTAATCATTTGAGGAACTGTCAGCTTGTTTTTCAAAGAAGCTGTACTACTTTACATTCTCACCAGTAGAGTGTAAGCATTCAAATTTCTCCACATTCTTGCCAACACCTTTTATTCTAGTCACCTACTGGGTGTGAAATGGTATCTCGTTGTGGTGTTTGTTTGTTCGTTTGTTTGTTTGTTTTGAAATGGACTCTTGCTGTGTCTCCCAGTCTGGAGTGCAGTGGTGCAATCTTCACTCTCTGCAACCTCTGCCTCCTGGGTTCCAGCTATTCTCCCATCTCTCCTGAGTAGCTGGGATTACAGGTGTGCACCACCATGCCTGGCTAATTTTTTTTTTGTTTGAGACGGAGTCTCGCTCTGTCGCCCAGGCTGGAGTACAGTGGCGCGATCTCGGCTCACTGCAAGCTCTGCCTCCCAGGTTCACGCCATTCTCCTGCCTCAGCCTCCCGAGTAGCTGGGACTACAGGCACCTGCCACCACGCCTGGCTAATTTTTTGTATTTTTAGTAGAGACGGGGTTTCACCGTGGTCTCAATCTCCTGACCTCGTGATCCGCCCGCCTCGGCCTCCCAACCCTGGCTAATTTTTTGTAGTTTTAGTAGAGAGGTGGTTTCACCATGTTGGCCATGCTGGTCTCGAACTCCTGACTGCAAGTGACCCACTCGCCTCGGCCTCCAAAAGTGCTGGAATTACAGGTGTGAGCCACCACGCCCAGCCTCATTGTGGTTTTAATTTGTATTTTCCTGATGATTAATGTTGTTGAGCTTCTTGAAGAAACATTTATTCATCTGATTTACCCATGTTTGATTTGGTTGTCTTTTTATTATTGAGTAGTAAGAATTCTTTACATATTTTGGATACAAGTCACATACAAGATACATGATGTGCCAATATTTTATCTCATTTCTCTGGTTGTCTTTTCACTTTTTTGTGGTGTCCTTTGAAGTAGAAAAGTTTTCCACTTTGGTGAAGTCTGATTTCCTATTTTTTTGTTGTTATTGTTATTGTCATTGCATAAGCTTTTAGTGTCATACCTAAGAATCCTTTGCAAAACCCAAGGTCATGAAGGTTTACCTCTTTGTTTTCTACTAAGAGTTTTAAAGTTTTCACTTTTACACTTAGGTCTTTGATCAATTTTGTATACATTTCTATATGTGGCGTGAGGTAAGCACTGTTTGCATGTGGCTATGCAGTTATCCCAGCACTTTTTGTAAAAAAGAACTATTATTTCTTCATTGGATGGTTTAGAATCCTTGACTAAAATAAGCTGATTATAGGTAAATGGCTTTATTTCTTGAATCTCTATTCTATCCCATTAATTTCCATTAATTTATATGCCTATTCTTTCTCCAGTGGTAGAGTGTCTTGATTATAGTTGCTTTGTAATCATTTTACAAATAGGAAGGCATGGTAACTTCTGGTTGCAAAATGATGGCATAGAAGCAAGCTGGCTTTACTCTTCCAACAGAAAATCAAAAATAAATATATACAATGCCAAAATTGTCTCCATCAATATCACAGAAATAAAACATGAAGATAAGACAGTTCTCAGGGCCACAGAGAAATGAAACAAACAAACAAACAAAAAAATCCCACAAAAATCCAAGCTGATGGTAAGAGAATTAGACTTCCACACCCATGAAACTATTTCCTCCCAATCTATCCAGCATTAAGTGTGCTGAAAATCCTCCTTCTCCAACTCACAGTTTCTACATTGGAAAAGGCGAGCAAGGTAGACAAACAGCTGTCCTACAATCTTGAGTTCACTGGTGAAAGATTGGTTTCTGCCTCAACCTATGGGAAGCTCAGAGATGCCTAGAGGGAGAAATATTCTTAAGGACAGCCAGAGACAAACGAAGGAGGTGAGACCATCATCTCCAGCACTGGAAACTCTGCTCTGAAACTTGGTCATAGGAGACATGAATCAGAGCGGCTTCTCAGCAGCACTGTACTGTAAGAGGTTTGTTCTACAGGTCTCCTGGGCACAAATTCCCAGTCAGACTTCCTATACTCTAAGATATCCTATTTGGGACCTCCCTTACTCAGAATAAGAAGCATTCTGATTGTTTACTAGAACCAAGACAAACCTGGGCTAGAGGCATCATCTGGTGCCAAAAAAAAAAAAAAAAAAAAAAAGGCAGCAACCCATTGGGTGAGGGGGAGAAGAAAGAAAATCAACAGGTAAATTACAAAAACATTTAAACAAACACATCCAAAAAAAAGAAACAAACAAACAAGACAGAAAAGACTGGAATAAATAACTAATCCTTCAATGCAAAGACATAGATATACCTCCAGAAGAAACAGAATACAGGGAATCATAACCTTCTCCAACAGACAAAGCAAGAAACCAGTCACTGACCCTAAAGAGATGTTGATATGTGAACTCTCTACACAAAAAATCAAAATTGCAGTTTTAAGGAAACTATGATCTATAAGATAACATATCAAAGCAATTTAGAGGTTTATTAGAGAAATTTAACAAAGATATTGAAATAATGAATCAAATAGAAATCTTGGACCTGAGAAATACATTTGCAGAACTGAAAAACTCATTAAAGGTTCTCAACAGCAGAATGGATAAAACAGGAAATAACTGGTAAGATTAAAGATAGTCTATTTGAAGATACACAGTCAGAAGAGGAAAAAAATAGTGAATGCATAGAAATGAAGATCATCTATGAGATACAGAAAATTACCTCAAAAGACCAAATCTAAGAATCATTTGTGTTCAAGAGGAAGTTGAGTAAGATTAAGACATAGAAAGTTCATTGAAATAAATAATAACAGAAAACTTTCCAAAACTTAAGCTATAACCAGGCACAGGAAGGTCAGAGAACACCAACCAGATTTGATGCAAGTAAGACTACCACTAAAACATAAAACAATCAAACTCTCACAGGTCAAGGACAAAGAGAGGATCCTAAAAGCAGTCAGAGGAAAGAAGCACATAACGTATAAAGGAGCTGGCAACAGACTTCTCAGTGAAAACCTTACATGCCAGAAGGGAGTGAACAACATTTTTGAAGTGTATAAAGCTATTCAAGAATACTACATTCAGCAAAAATATCTTTCAGATATAAAGGAGAGATAAAGTCTTTTCCAGACAAACAAAAGCTCAAAGAATCCACCACCACCAAATCCAGCTTATAATAAATGATAAAGGGAGTTCTTTAATCTGAAAGAAAAAAACACTAATATGCAAAAAGAAAATATGTGTGAAGGCCCAAAACCAACAAGCAAAATTAAGTATAAGGAAAAACCCAGAAAACTCTAACACTAAAATTGTGGTGTGCAATACAATCATAGCTCTAGCATAAAATCCAAAAAGCAAATCTATGAAAAACAAAAGTAGTAATGCCTACAGCAACCTGTTAAAAAAATAGGCTATATTAAAATATGTAAATTGAGAGAACATAAAGTCAAAATGTAAGGAGGGATAGAGTTAAAGTGTAGACGCTTTTTTTTTTTTTAATTGTTTTTTGAGAGACTTGTTGCCCAGACTGGAGTGCAATGGCACTATCTCAGCTCACTGCAACCTCCACCTCCCGGGTTCAAGTGATTCTCCTGCCTCAGCCTCCTGAGTAGCTGGGATTGCAGGCATGCACAACCATGCCCAGCTAATTTCTGTATTTTAGAAGAGAGGGGGTTTCGCCATGTTGGCCAGGCTGGTCTCAAACTCCTTACCTCAGGTGATCCTCCTGCCTCGGCCTCCCAAAGTGCTGGGATTACAGGCATGAGCCACTGTGCCCAGCTGTGCAGATGCTTTTAAAATTTTTTTTCTTTGTTTCTGTTGTTTTCTTTGTGATATAAGTTGTCATCTCTTTAAAATTGTTATATCTAGAAGATTTTTTGTAAGCCTCGTGGTAACCGCAATGTAAAATATATATTTTTAGTGAAATATGTTCACTAAAAATAAAAAGCAACAAAGTTAAACATACTACCGGAGAAAATTACTTAATCACAAAGGAAGATAGTAAGAAGGGAAGAAAGAAAGAGTTACAAGATAATAAAGGAAGAAACAAACAACAAAATGGCAGTAGTAAATCCTTATTTATCAACAATAACACTGAATGTAAATTTACTCAATTATCTAATTAAAGGCATAGAGCGGCTGAATCAATAAATAAACAAGACCCAACTATATGCAGGCTATAAGAAACCTACTTCACCTATAAAGACTCACATAATCTGAAAGTGAAGAGATTTAAAATGATATTTCATGTAATGGAAACAAAAAAAAAGAGCAGGAGCAGATATACTTATATCAGATGAAATAGACTACAAATCAAAGACTGTAAAAAGAGACAAAGAAGATCACTGTATAATGATAAAGGAGTCAATTCAGTAAGAGGTTTTAACAATTATAAATATCTGTGCACCCAACACCAGAGCTCCCAAGTATTAAAGCAAACATTAATAAATACAAAGGGAGAGATGAACTGCAATACAATTAATAGTATAGGGGACTTTAACACCCCACTCTCAGTAAGAGACAGATCATCCAGACAGAAAATCAACAAAGAAACATTAACCTACACTGAACCAAATTGGTCCAACTGACATTTACAGAGCATTTTACCCATCTGCTACAGAATATACATTCTTTAATCAGCACATGGAACATTCTCCAATATAGACCATATCATAGGCCACAAAACAAATCTTAACACATTCAAATGAGAAGAAATCATATCAACCATCTTTTCTGCTGTTATTCCCACAAGGGAATAAAACTAGAAATCATGAAAATGTGAGGAAGCTTGGAAACTACACAAACACATGGAAATTAAATATGTTCCTGAGTGATCAATGGGTCAATGAAGAAATTAAAAAGAAAATTTAAAACTTTTTTGAAACAAATGACAATGGAAAAACAGCATACCAAAATCTATGGGATGCACCAAAAGCAATACTAACAGAGAAGTTTATAGCAATAAATGTCTATATCAAAACAGTAGAAAGACTTCAAATAAATGAACTGGTAGTGTACATCAATAAATTAGAAAAACAACAAACCAAAGCCAAAAAGAAAAGAAATCATGAAGATCACAGCATAAATAAATAAAAGAAACTAAAAAATGCAGATGACAAGTTGATTTTTTGAGAAGATAAAATTGACAAACCTTTGGCTAGACTAACTAAAAGAAAAAGAGCAAGGACCCAAATAAATACAATCAGCAATGAAAAGAAGATATGAAAACTGAGATCAGCCAGGCACAGTGGCTCATGCCTGTAATCCCAGCACTTTGGGAGGCCAAGGCAGGTGAAACACGAGGTCAAGAGGTCGAGACCATCCTGGCCAATGTGGTGAAACCCCATCTCTACTAAAAACACAAAAATTAGCTTGGCATGGTGGCATGTGCCTGTAGTCCCAGCTACTTGGGAGGCTGAGGCAGGAGAATCATTTGAACCCAGGAGGTGGAGTTTGCAGTGACAGGAGATCTCACCACTGCACTCCAGCCTAGGCAACAGAGTGAGACTCTGTCTCAAAAAAACCAAAACCAAAACCAAAACCAAAAACAAAAAACAAAAAACTGAGATCACAGAAATACAAAGAATTAAAGACTGTTATGAACAACTATATACCAACAAATTTGGAAAATCTAGAAAAAGAAGTATAAATTTCTAGACATCTACAACCTATCAAAATTGAACCATAAACAAATAAAAAATCTGAACAGACCAATAATGAGCAGTGAGATCTAATCGGTAATAAGAAGTCTCCCATCAAAGAAAATCCTAGGACCTGATGGCTTCACTACAAAATTCTACCAAACATTTGAAGAAGAACTAATACCAACTCTACTAAAACGCTTCAAAAAAACTGCAGAGGAGATAATACTTTCAAAATAAATCTATGAGGTCAGCATTACCTTGATAACAAAACCAAACAAGGACACAACAACAAAAATAAAACTACAGGCCAATAAACACAGATGCAAAAATCCTTAACAAAATACTAGCAAACTGAATCCAACAATGCATTAAAAAGATCATTCGCCATGATCAAGTGGAATTTATCCCAGGGATGTAAGGGTCGTTCAACATTCACAAATCAATAAATGTGATAAATCACATTAACTGAACCAAGAACAAAAACCACATGATCTTTTCAATAGATGCTGAAAAAACATTCAATAAAACTCAATATCCCTTTATAATAAAAACCATTAACAAATTGGGTATAGAAGGAACATGCCTCAAAATAATAAAGACCATATGTGACAAACCCACAGCTAACATTGTATTAAATAAGTAAAAAATGGAAAGCCTTTCCTCTAAGATCTAGAACAAAACAAGGATGTCCACTTTCACCACATTTATTCAACATAATACTTACTGGAAGTTATGGCCAGTAATTAGGCAAGAGAAAGTTAAAAAGGGCATCAAAATTGGAAGGGAAGTAGTAAAATTAGTCTTGTTTTCAGACATGATTTTATACCTAGAAAAACTAAAGGCTTCACCCAAAAAACTGTTAGAACTGATAAATGAATTCAATAGTGTTTCAAGATACAAATTCAACACACAAAAATCAGTAGCATTTATATATGCAAACAGTGAATAGTCTGAAAAAGAAATCAAGAAAGCAATCCCATTTGTAACAGCTACACAGAATATAACATATCTAGGAATTGATTTAATCAAAGAAGTGAAATATCTATTCAAGGAAAACTATAAAACACTGATGAGAGAAATTGAAGAGGGCACAAGAAAATGAAAAGATATTTCATGTGCATGAATTGGAAGAATTAATATTCTTAAAATAACAATACTACCCAAAGCAATTTATAGCCAATGTAATCCCTATCAAAATACCAATGACGTTTTTCAGAAAAATAGAGAACACAACCCTAAAATTTATATGGAATCACAAAAGAACTCAGATAGCCAAAGCAATCCTGAGCAGAAAGAACGAAGTTGGGAATCACACTACATGACTTCAAAATATATCACAAGGCTGTAGTTACCAAATCAGCATGGTAATGGCATAAAAACAGATACATAGGCTAGTGGAACAGAATAGCGAACACAGACACATAAATCCATGCATTTACAGCCAACTATTTTTTTTCTTCTTTTGAGACGGAGTCTCGCTCTGTCGCCCAGGCTGGAGAGCAGTGGCGCCATCTGGACTCACTGCAAGCTCCACCTCCCGGGTTCACGCCATTGTCCTGCCTCAGCCTCCCCAGTAGCTGGGACTATAGGCGCCTGCCACCACGCCCGGCTAATTTTTTGTATTTTTAGTAGAGACGGGGTTTCACCGTGTTAGCCAAGATGGTCTCGATCTCCTGACCTCATGATCCGCCTGCCTCGGCCTCCCAAAGTGCTGGGATTACAGGCGTGAGCTACAGCGCCCCGCCAAGCCAACTCATTTTTGAATGGTGCCAAGAACATAGAATGTGAAAAGAACAGTCCCTTCAATAAATTGTGTTGGAAAAACTAGCCATATGTAGAAGAATGAAGCTAGATCTCTATCTCTCACCATATGCAAAATCAAACTGAACTGGATTCAAGATTTTAATATAAGACCTGAAACTATAAAACTCCTAGAAGAAACCATTGGAAAAGTGCTCTAAAACACTGATTTGTGCAAAGATTTTGTGTGTGTAAGACCTCAAAAGCACAGACAACCAAAGCAAAAACAGACAAATGGGATTACATCAAGCTAAAAAAAAAAAAAAAAAAAAAAAAAACTGCTAAGCAAAGTAAATCAACAAAATGAAGAGACAGAATTGGAAATATTTGCAAACTATCCATCTGGCAAAAGATTAATAACCAGAATAAATAAGGAACTCAAACAACTCAATAATTAAAAAAAAGAAAACAGATATTTTGACTAATAAATGAGCAAAATATCTAAACAGACATTTCTCAAAAGAAGACATACAAATGGCCAAAAAGTATATGAGAAATGTTTAATGTCACTAATCATAAGGGGAATGCAAATGAAAACCACAATGAGATATCATTTCACCCCAGTTAAAGTGGCTTTTATTTTAAAAAGGACAAGAAATACAGATGTTGGCAAGGATGTGGAGAAAGGGGCACCCTCATACACTACTATTAGGAATATAAATTAGTACAGACACTATGGAAGACAATATCAAGGTTCCTCAAAAAATGAAAAATAATACTACCGTGTGATCCATCAAGATCCATCAACATCCACTACTGGGCACATAGCTAAAAGAAAGAATATCAATATATCAAAGAGATAGCTGCATTCTTATGTTTATTTCAGCACTGTTCACAATAGCTAAAATCTGCAATCAACTCAGGTGCCCATCAGTGGATAAATAGATAAAGAAAATTACACACACACACACACACACACACACACACACACACACACTAAAATACTATTCAGCCATAAAAAATTGAAATCCTGCCATTTGTAGCAACATGGTTGGAACTGGAGGTCATTGAGCTAAGTGAAAGAAGTCAAGCACGGAAAAACAAATATTGCATGTTTTTATTCATATGTGGGAGCTAAAAAAGTGGATCTCATGAAGGTGGAGAGTACATTGGTGGTTATTAGAAGCCAGGTAGGCAAGGGAAAAGAGGGGAGAAAGAGAGGTTGGTTAATGGGTACAAATACACATTGTGATAGAAGAATAAGACCCAATGATTTATAGATCAGTAGGGTGAATATAGTTTATAGTAATATATTATATATTTTAAAACAGCTAGAAGAGAATAAAGAGGATGTTTCCAGCCTAAAAAATAGACAAATATTTAAGGTGACTAATATCCCAATTTTACTAATTTGATTTTTACAAATTATTTGAATGTGTTGAATTAGCATTTGTGCCTCTAATATATGTAATTTTGTGTTAATAAAATAAATAAAATTTTCAGAAAATCAAGAAGCTGTGAGTCTTTCTGCTTTATGTTTGTGTTTCAAGGCTGTTTTGGCTATTCTGGGTTCCTTCCAATTCCATATGAATTTTATAATCATTTTGTCAATTTCTACAAAGAAGTCAGCTGGGATTCTGACAGACAGGATGTTGAAGCTATAGAAAAGTTTGGTTAGTGTTGATATGTTAACATTGTTAAGTCTTTAAATCCATGAACATGAAAATTTTTCATTTATTTTGATTTTTTTAACTTCTTTCAAGTTTTTTTAGTCATCAGAATAACAATTTTATGCTTCTATGTTTAATTTATTCCTAATATGTTATTCTTCATAATAATATTATAAATTGTATTATTTTCTTAATTTTACTTTTAGATTGTTCATTGCAAGTATATAGAAGCACAATAGATTTGTGTATTGTTCTTGTGTCCTGCAACCTTGCTGAACTCTTTCATTAGTTCTAATAATTGTTTAGTGAATTCCTTAGGAATTTCTTTATATAAGATGATGTTATCTATGAATAGAAATAGTTTTACTTCTTTCCAATCTAGTTGCCTTTTATTTTTTTCTTTTGCTTAACTGTCATGGCTAGAATCTCCACTCTAAGGTTAAATATTAATGGAAGTGGTAAAAGCAGACATTCCTGTATTATTTCTGATATTAGGGGAGAATTATCCAGTCTTTCACATTTTTCATCCATATCAATGAGAGATATTGGCCTGTAATTTTCTTTCTTGTGATGTATTTTGGTTTTTGTATCATGGTAATACCGGCCTCAGAAAATAAAATGGGAAATATTTATTCTATTTTTGAAAGAGTTTGTAAAGAATTGGTATTAACTTTTTTGGTGGGATTCAGTGATGAAGTCATCTGATCCTAGGCTTTTCTTTGTATTATTTTTGATTTACTAATTCAATCTCTTCACTTGTTTTATACATATATTCAGATTGTTTAGGTTTTTTGGTTGTTTTTGTTTTCTTGTTTTTGAGTCAGTTTTAGTAGCTTGTGTATTTCTAGCAGAATCTACTATCGTAACCACCACACAACCAGCTGGCATTTGGAACGGTTTTTCACACTTTCACAGGGAGATCTGATGTTTAGCTGAGTAATTTTTTCTGGCCACTACATATTCTAGTTGGTTGTAATATATGGGGGGTGTGTATATCATATTGGTTGTTAAACATTTTGAATATTACCCCATAAATTATAGTCATACACTAGATACACACACACACACACACACACACACACAAACACAATTATCACTTTTCCTACTGTATTTATTTTCATCCCTTTGCAACATATTAAACATGGGAGTAAGAACTCCTTAGAAGTGATGCTACAGCATAGTGATGACATTCAGTAGCTGGGAAAAGGTGAATAAACAATCATTTAAGTACAACGGATTTGGAAGTTCCTGACCACTTGGAAGATACAATTGGTACTTTTTCTGCTGGACTCCATTCTCTGTAACTAAATACTCCTGATAAAGGAGATAAACCCGTTCTCTTAGTAAATATGATGCTCTCTCAGTCTGAGGTGCTAAAGGAAAGATTCACTCTGAAATCTCTCATGCAATGATTAATGAATCTAATATATATTCCTGATTCACAGTCTATTTCTCATTCCCCTACTTCCAATTTTCTGGTCCAAATGATGAAAGCCAAATTAAAGAAGGCCATCACCACAAATACAGCTTTAATTCTTTATTAATTTTAATCATAAGCAACCTTTCTATGGAAACCATAATGCATTATGAATGTGTTCGCAGAGAGGGGATAATATGGTAGTGATGACATTTCTTGGATCTTTTTTTTTATTATGGTTTAGCATCAACTTCTTCAAACAGAAAAGAGCGGAGACTGATTAAATATCAGGGTTGGAATATAATGAAAGAAAAGTCCATAGCAAATACGTGGTGATTGTTTTAAATCAAATGTGTAGGAGGGTAGATTTCAGGTGATAGCTCAGCAGTTACACTCCTAATCCCAACTGAGGCTGCCATGTCGTTTTTCATTTGGCTTACAAAATGGAGCTGGTTTTCAACAAGTCCCTGCTGGCTGGCCCATGAGCCAAGCACCACATGCCTTCTTTGGCATCCGACAATATTGTTATTAATATTACAAGCTGAGGGAAGGAAGCCTCTGAGGATAATTTCTGCTTTGGAAAGTTGTATTAACTCATTAAAGTCCTAAAACCTCTCAGGCTTCTTTAAGTAAAGTGGGAAGTCTGAAAGAGATGAAAAAATGTACCCTGTGTGCTAAGAAGTGCCAGGATTTCAATTTACAGAATTAGTAAGGTAAAGGGTGAGGTTTTCATTTGGAGGGTTTCTACCTCAAGTTTGCCTATTACAGCAAGTCAGGAACCTTGAAAGTAATCTCATCATGAACTGGTTAATGAGATATGTCATTTAACATTGGCCCAAACACAACCAGCATGTTTCCTTACCTGACCTTGTGCTCTAAACTCAGGCTGGTCTACATTCACACTACCAGACAGGTGTGCAATGGAAGAGAAACACCAGACAAATGCACTTTTTAGGGCCAATGCCCAGGATTTTTTCACTTGAACTTGGCCTTAATTTTTGCCTTTCAATTATGCCATTTCATTCCTCTAGCCCTTTCCTATTTCCTGTTCTGTATGTTTCTGGAGGAAACTTAGGCAAAGAGGGCATGGCAGAATCACTCATAATATTAGAGAAAATCTGCATAAGCGAAGATTATCTCTGAAAACCTGGCAAAAGGAAAAAAGCTAACTGGAAAAATAAACCCCCAACAAAATTTGAACACTGCTGATTTAAAACCCTTATGTCAGAGAATCGGTGATATACTGGGGCAAAGAAGAATGAAAAATTGTGTTTTGTTTATTTTATATTCCAGAAATTACACTATATACTTTACAGGCATTGTGCTATCCAAATGTTGCAGTTGTCCTTGATAGTTTCTGATCAGGATGAAGGTTAGGTTACTAAAATGGAAGGACTCCTACACCAGGAATCAGGTTTAAAAACCTAGCTCTACTTTTCATGGTGCCCTTTTGTCAAGCTATTTTGCCTTTCTTAGACTCTGTATTCCTATTTTTAGAATAAGAGTAGTGAGGCAATGCTGTCTGAGATTGGTTTTAAGCTTTTAGTTTCTTTAATTCCATGAGCCCTTAATAAAATACATTTCTTGGTGATTTTATAGAACCAGTTTTAATTGGTTTATAATCATGGGCTCCTTTGACAATCTAAGAAAACTTACTATAATAGAAATCCATTTATTTCCTTGCCTATTTTTCTTTCCTTTGGGAATCTTTTTCCTTAATCTATGTGGTCCTATTGGGATACAGGGAAGCATGTGGCCCAGCCTAGGCTAATCATAATATCACATTCCCCTGGAGCTAGTGATTGGTTCAAAGGGTGTACATGGGTCACATGCAGACCAATCATGCTCTTTCCAAATAATTTTATAAATTGAAGATAGAAGATTGTTCCCTCCTCCTTTTGTAGGCTGTAGCCCCAGTGTTGCTTCAATCTTCCCAGGGTGTGGGAAAGACAGAAGACATTATTCTAGCAAGATAAGATAAGACTATCACATATAGAGACACAGAAAGATGGGGAGAGACAGAGTCGAGTCAATGGTATTAAAACCATAAACCCAACCAGCTTCATCCCTTGACATCCCAATTATGTGAGTCTATAAATTGTCTTTATCATCTTTTTTTTTTTTTTTTTTTGCCAGGGAGGGGAGTTACATGCTTAAGCTAGTTTTGGTTGTTTATATTTTTATTTTTTTCTTTCACTTTCTTTTGAACACATTCCTATGGACTCATTATTCAGAAAATGAACAATGCCAAAAATGTTTTCTAAACAATGTATCTCAGGGGTGATAGAGCATTAGAGCACACACCTTGTCCCTAGTTTAAAAGACTCTGCCCTAGAATGTAATAATAATAAAACTTTATGTTGTTCCTTGAAAGTTATGAAGCAGTTTCTGTAAAATATTATTTAGTATTAATGAAAACTCTGGGATATTTGTATTATTATTCCCATTTTGCAGTTAAAGGACTGGAGATTCACAGAAGTTCAAAGACTTTTCTGCAGTTACGTACTAGGAAGTAGGGATAGAGACAAGTTCATTCTGCCTTTTTCCAGTTTTGCTTTTTAGAGAAAACAGAGGAAGGAGCATGAGTAGGAAAATCCTCCTTCTCAATTGTTCCATTTGCAGAATAGCAGGAGTAAAATTGAAGGTCGTAATGAAAATTTACAATAATTTCTCATATTATCCCAGCCAACTTCCCATTTCTAATTGATTTTTCTCTTGTTGCTTCTCCAACTTGTGAGTACTGCTCAAACCAAATGTTTAAAAAACTTTCCCCTTGAAGATTTAATGACTCCAAATCTGTATTTGATTACTTAGTTCCATTGGGGTTTATGCTTGTGCAACAGCCAAGATAGAAGAGCAAAAAGAAATCTTGTTGGTCATGCATAATGTATCTGCTGCCACTGGATTTGGGCTGAGACCGAGACTGTGACGTCTTCACCGGGCTTGGCATTTACTTTGAGATGTTTGCTTTGTTTGAACATATTCTCCTCAGACTGTGAGGGGTTTAACTCATGAGTCAACCACATACAACTACTCACACTATAAATTCCAAGAAAAGTCAAGGAGATTTAGCTTCTGGATTTGATCTTTAAATGACCAATAGATTTCATCTTCCTGTAAAGACAGTTAAAATCCTTCCCTTCCTCTTACCCTATTTCCCCCAACATATATCACCTCTTCAAATGAGAATTGGGAGAACCAGGGCCGCAATGTTAATAAATACCATGGTGACCCAATTAGTGGAAAAATATTTAAACTAACTAGGATAAGGTTGAATAGGTCTGGATCTACCATGACTTAGTTGTGTGATCCTAGATCAGTTTGCTTCTCCATTCTCAATTTCCTCAGTGGTAAGAGAAGATGCTAGTGCCAGAGATTTTAATGGAACATCTCTTCTCTAAAATTTTATAAAGTTGTAACAATAGAGCGATTTAATTTTATTTCTAATGTAATTTGTGTTCTACAAGATAGTTTTCAGTCTTTGCTTCTTATTTATTGACTATTGATTATATTTTCTAAACAGAGCCCTAGAAATAAATATTTTTTCAGATTGTGTGAAAACATACTAGTTTAGGGATAATACCAATTCCAATACTGGCTTAAAGTGATTATTTTTAGCATTTGGTTCAAATATATATAAGATTGTGTGTGTTAATATATGTGTCCTTTGACTTTCTGGAGAAATTAAGAATTCTCTTTGAATAAGATTTGGAGAGGTCATTGTGGGACTCAGTTCGTAATTGTATTTGAAAACCATGATTCTATATTTCTTTTTTTGGATATTAGTGGATGACATATTTAAGATAAATTTAGGTATATCTTGAAGTGTCCCACTTCTTATTCTCTAGGAATGAATAAAATACACAGCAAATATAATAACAGTTATAAAATCAAATTGAAATAACTTAATTTAAAAATAAGAAACTCTAAGTTTTATACATATTATATATATGTATATATACTTCTCATACTATAACTTTATATGTAAACAGCTCATAATACCTTTTTCTAGAGAAAATTTAATTTTAACACATAATCCAAAAAATATTAGGCATAGAAAAAAGTTTCAATTTGTTAAATTCTAGTTGTATCACTCTGCTATTAAAGCAAAAACACTTTTAATGAGTCTATGCTGCCTATTAAAGTGAAAATATCTCAACTCATTCAAGATACTTGATAATTTGACCAAATTCAACATTTTAAATGTTTTTATGTAAAACATATTTTACATAAAGTTTGGTAATTTCCAGTCAAACATTACTACATCATTTATTCAGCACATCCTGTACTTTCCCACTGATACATCTTTTGCTCATTCTTTGTTTATAAAAAATCTACCAATTCTGAAAATGTTAACCACATACTGCTTCCTTCATGCATCTATCTCATATTCTTCTAACTAGAATTTGTCCTTTTTTTCCTCCTCTTATCTGTGTCTCGTAATATTTTGTTTGTATCTCTTTTGCAGCACTTAACAGACTGGTTTATAACATTGCTAGTGTCAGAGGACTGATAAATAGAATTGTCATCTGCTTAAACAAAAGCCAACATATGAAAAATCAGAACTTATAAAACAGATTCACTAGGAAGTGATTATGTTTACATCAAGAAGATTCTTAATTTAGCAAAATGATTTGCTATAAAATTCTTTGAAATTACAAATACTTTTAATGCAATAAATATTATTTGATTTATCACAGATTTAACTCAATTTTGTAGAGTATATACCTATTACATTGAGGCAGTAAAAAAACAAAATTCATTTTAGCTCATACAAGTTCAAAACTTGGAATTAAATTGATAGCATAACCACCAGGCCATTCATTTTAAATGTGTACAAGAGTTTTTAGATCCTGTTACTCCAGGAAGCTCAGGTTCCCTACATGAGAGGGGAATCTTGGGTCCTACCCTCTGCCTGACTTCTTCCAGAATCTTTGAGCAGTATCACATAATATTTTAGTCATTTTATGAAACTACTCTGAGCAAGACCCTTGCCCAGGGAATGTGAACAACAAGAACTTTGCTGGACAACAGGGTAACTATAGTCAAAAATAATTTAATTGTACATTTTAAAATAACCAAAAGAATATAGTTGGATTGTTTGTAACACAAAAGATAAATGCCTGATATGATAAATACCCCATTTACCCTGAGGTGATTATTATACGTTACATGCCTCTATCAAAATATCTCATGTAATCCATAAATATATACACCTACTATGTACCTACAAAAATAAAAAAATTTAAAAAATACTTTGCTGGGCAGAAGGATTGTAGTTGCTTTTTGCTCAAGGAGAATGAGGAAACAAGAAAGGCCTTTGTCTGTTAAGAGAACATCATGGGATACTTGAACACTGAACCAACCTTTTTTTCATTCAGATTCATTCTTCCTCTTCCTCTTCCTTTCTGAGTTTCAGAAAACTGTAATTCCTAGACTCTCTTGCCCTCTGGCTTCAAGGTATGTTTGGCCAATGTGCATGACAGGTAAAAGATTGGAGGATGGGTGGAAGGAGAACCCAGTGTTTCTTGTCTTCTCTCTCTCTACTTCATATACTATCTCCGGCTGAGGCTGTGTCTCCCAGACCCCGAGCTGGAACTTGTGGTATGTGTAAGCACAGTTCCAGCTTTACCTGGTGACCCTGGATTTTGGGCCCTGGTAACACTACCTTCTAGAGATGAGCCTCTATTCCTAGGGGTGGCAGTGATTCCCTGCTTGTTCCATTGTCTTTTTGGCTTCTCAATTCTTTCATCACCTGTATAATCAATTTCCTATGTTAAATTTCTTCTGTCTGAAGTATGTAGAGTCATTTCTGCTTTTCTGATTGAATCTTGACTGACAAAGACCCTCAGTTCTGAAACTAGTCTTTACAAAGAAAAGAAGAAAAGCTACCTCAAAAAATAAAGTCTATTCTTCTCTAGGTGCATTCACATATACTATGAGTCTTCCAATAACTATATGAGACAGGCTTCATTATTCCCATCTTGCACATGATGAAGCTAAAAATCAAAAGATTCCATGACCACCCTCAGGACTAAAAGCTCAATGTATCAGGTACAGAATTCACACTTGTCTTCTCCATTTCTCTATTTCCAAATCTATTGCACAGATGGACAGAGGGCTCTTCTTTTGGGATAAGAATCTTAAAGTAGATTCATAGTTCATGATTTCTCAAAGTCCATTTCCCAGTGGGTCTGTTGTAATTCCTTTTTTTTTTTGACACAGTCTTTCTGTCGCCCAGGCTGGAGTGCAGCAGTGTGATCTCAGCTCACTGCAACCTCTGCCTCCCAGTTCAAACAATTCTCCTGCCTCAGGCTCTCGAGTAGCTGGGAGTACAGGTGCGTGCCACCACGCCCGCCTAATTTTTGTATTTTTAGTAGAGATGAGGTTTCACCATGTTGGCCAAGCTGTGACTGTTGTAATTCTGAATCACAAGATGTGTGCCCAATCTTTCTATCCTTCATTCCAGAATTAATTCATGGAGATTTGTGCATTATTAGTCATAGAAGATTTTATTATAAAAAAGAGTTGAAGAAAAGTTAGTAGAAAAAGTTATTTGACTTTCATATCAGAATCAGGGTTGTCCTTTCTCTTCCTGAAAACTCTGCGGTTTCACAGTTAAAATGAAGCATGCAAGGGACAGATACAGTGTGATCATTAGTGATCTTAGGCATCAGACTTGATAGAATTCAGCAAAATACCACAAAATAAAGCACACTGGAAATTGAGACAACAGCAGAAGCAATAAGGTCATTCTCATCTTCCCCTCACCCTTCTTCCCTGAAGCAGGCCAAACAACACAGGAAGGTCACTGTCCGACCTTCCCTCTCTCTTCTCCCTTAAAGAACTTCATGTAACAGGTATCCTGCTCTATACCCAGAGAGAAGGAATGTCACATAGAGATGCCAGGAAATATCTGAACAAACAGGACTTTCTAAGTTCTCCTCAGTTTATTAACCACTAGATCATACCCTTTTGTCCTCTAATCATACTTCTGCTTATCCATCCATAGGAATACACAGATTTCCCTATTTCTTTGAGTCTTTATTTCTGAAGGCTCCTGTTACATAAAACTTAGATTAGGTAAATTTCTATGCTTTTCTCTTGTTAATCTGTCTTTTGTTGTAGGGGTCTCAGCCATGAACATTACAATGGGTGAGGAAAAGATACAGTGGCCCCCGGCTTATCCATGGTTTTTCTTTCTGTGGTTTTAGTCACTCACAGTATAGTACAATAAGATATTCTGAGAAAGAGAGATACACCACATTCACATAACTTTTATTACAGCATATTGGTATAATTGTTCTATTTTATTATTGGTTATTGTTGTTCATCTTTTACTGTGCCTAATTTATAAATTAAACTTTATCATAGGTATGTATGTGTAGGAGAAAACATCGTATATATAAGGTTTTGTATAATTCTTAGTTTCAGGCATTCACTGGGGTCTTGGAACATATCTCCTACAGACAAAAGGAAACTACTGTATTGCTTTTTCTCCCCTACAGATTCAACTATTGTACTTTTGAAATGCAAGTGCACTAGAAAGAATTTACAAAATAAAAATAAAAAACACCCAGCCTTGAAATCAGATTATTTTCTTCAATAGGAGATGTGGGATCTGTTATTCACCCTAAGAATTAGAATTTCATTCATTCATTTATTCTACAAATGTTTTCTAAAGACTTTCACATATGAATTATTCAGCCAGATGCTGCAGAGTTTCACTTGAAAGAGTGAACATAATAATGTCACAAAAAATGCATGTTTACACAGGCCCTTCTAGTCCTGGAAACTAAAATCTATTCATGCAGTAAGTACCTCGTTTCCGTCTCCTCACAACATTTTTTGAGCAAGACTACTGAGGCTAATCAGACAGTCTCGTGTATTTTAGTTGCTTCCTCCTGCATCTATTGTTTCCTTTGTAATATCTTGGTCCTTCTAGCCTTGGTCCTATAGGCTCCTGACTTTCTCCTAGGCAAAATCCGTTTTTCCGCCATACTTCCCTAAGTTTTGAAGACCCCATCTCTCTCTTGCAACATACATGGGTAAAGGGTCAATTCAAAAAAACCCTTTAAAAACATGTAACTGTACAAAAATAGAATGAGTACTCTTTGGATTGAGTGACTTTTCTGTGCTGGAGGTACACGTAGGCATAACTCAAATGTCCACTTGGAGAGGCTGTCACAGAAAAGATTTAAGCAATGGATGTACAATCAGACCTTATGAATCTTAAGGTCTCTTCCAACACTGAGATCCTAATCTGAGGCCTATCATATGTCTATATGTTAGAGCAGAACCATATTTTCCTCACCAAGTCCTTATCGTCCACATAAGCACTTTGCTTTTGTAATTCTAGACTATATCCCCATTCTCAAACACTGCCTTGTTGATGTGTCTTAAGTATCCATACGGGACCAAGTATGTGATAAGAAGAAAAAGAAACGAGAAACAAAAGATGAAAATTCCTGGTAAGTTCAACTCACCATTTTTCACAATCCAGTAAGGGATTCTGGAGGGAGAATGCCTACAACTCTTCGCAAGTACATTTGTGCCAACGGTCCTTGTGAAAATTTTTTTGACAGAAACAAAAAGACTTGGTTCCTGGAGAAAATGATCAGAACTGTGCTTGAGGTACTGCTGGTAGAGCCGTATCACCCACGGCTGGTGGATAATATGGTTACCTGCTGGAGTGGAACCAGCTTATTTGCATGTCATGAGGCTGGCAGCTCCATGTGCCCAAGGCACATTAAACTTTTACCTTACACATGTCAGGAGTGCTTGGGCCACTGCCTCCTTCCCCTCCCCTACTCTCCAGCTTCCATTAGCTTGCTCTGGTTTTCATATTGTATCTACCAGAGGCAATAAGGAATGTTTTGGCTTACTCTTCTTTTGGCTACTACTAACAGATCAAATCTTTATGCATAAGCCTAAGTTATAGGTCTTGTATTATCACACAAGGTTTCACCTTGAAATCCCACTCCCCTTCATGTATTCTGAACTCTGCTGAAACCTAGGAAATCCCCCAATTATGTAGCCTTTGTTTTTGCTTCTCTCCTCTGTGCTTAGAATGTCCTCCACAACCTTTACATGTCTCACTTCTATCTATTCTTCAAGTCTCAGTTCATTTACAGCCTGGAAAACACACTAGTTATTAAAGCAATAAGGAATGTCCTTGTGAGAGAAGCACCAGCATTATTGAGAAGGTGTCCTTTGCAAACCAAAGCTGATAGTAGGATATTATTTAAAAATATGGTTGCTTGATAGAAAAGAAGATAGTAAAATTTCAAAATAAGTGAAGATATGTGGTAGTTCTCAACCATCAAAAGCAAGGTGGGTGGAAAGAGCATAAAGAATGACAAGGTTACAATTAGGAGCCCGAACAGAGCTCTCCTAGAGGCAAGATAGATGAAAAGTAGTGTTAAATGTGTAAAAGAAAGTGATATAACAATGGATAATCAAGAGTCTGAGGCAAGCTGTCCTAATAAAATTCCATAATCTGTGGCCAGATTCCAGATCTGAGATAATATTCAGATCAGGAATCCACTGACAGAAGGAGAAGCCAGGTTCCCCATACATATCATGGTAGGTACATATGGTAATGATTCCTTTAGTTCTTCCTATGATGCTAATGGCAGAACAAGGGCCCTATGGCCATTTACTTAGAAAATATTCAAATATTTTGAGAACTAGTAGGCATAGGGTCCAGGATCCCACTGATACCTAGGAACTTGAAGCATTATTATACCTCATGCTTTTAGACTATGGCATATGAAGGCCAGGTAATAAATGCAGTCTCAGCCCAGGCCTGAATTGGAGTAGATCCAATGGACATACCACTAGTCACTCTCCCATCCTTTTTTTGGAATATGTGATAGGAATGAGTATTTTTGGTATTCGCCAGAGCACTCCTATTAGTTGATTTGCTATAAGATCAGAGCTGTAGTAGTGCGGCAGACCAATTGGAAGCCTCTGAAACTGCCTCATCCCAGATCAAGAGAGTAAATAAAAAATAGTAACTCAAGAAACATCTCATAGCAGGCCCAGCAGCCTTGCTGTTAGAGAAATCTGCCAGAGTCCATGCTATTAGAAGGCTCTGTGCTGAGAAGAGAGGCCATGTGGGATTTATGGAAAGTCTATAGCAGTAGCAAAGTAGTGTAAAGATCTGTGAATGACATATGAACACCTGCTGGAACACATTCACCACAGAAGAGACGCTGGACAATAAGTAGGCAGAATGACTCAGGCAGTCAACCCTAGTCAGCCTCTATCATCAGCCAGCCCAGAAGTAGCACACAAGCTATGTGAATAAAACAGCCATGGTGGCAAGGCTGGAGGGGATGCATGGACAAGAGCATGGGCTCCCGATTACCAAGGCTGTTCTATGTACTGCTACTAGTGATTGTCCAGTAGCAGTATCAGAACTTAACAGCAACAGAAATTATGCTTAGCCCTTCATATAGCATCCTTTCTCAAGGGGACAACTAGCCACCTGGTAGCAAGTTGATTACATCTTATCCCTTTCACCAGAGAAGTGATTAGTGTAATTTATCTTGACTTGAATCCATACATATTCTGGATATGGACTTGCTCAATCCTGCCAATAGGGCTTCAGACAGAACCACTATCAAAGAACCTCTAGAGTGTTTTATCCACCATCATGGAATCCTAAATAACACCAGGCTGTATCAAGACACCTACTTTAAAGCAAAGGGGATGTGGCTACGGGCATCTGAGCAAGAGCTCCACTGCTCTTGCACCAGGCCACGTCACCCAGCAGCAGCCCTCTTTTAGAATAAAAAGCTTATATTTTATTCATATTTATCTCTAGAGCTTTGCAGAAAGAAAGTGTACACCTAAACACTTATTCCTACTGTTTAATTTTGATAAATACTGTTATGTAATAAAGTTTTACTTAGTATGAAATAAAGATACTGGATTCTGGAATTAGATTTGATTTCTTGAAGCTACAATGAATAAATTCCACATGGAATGTTCCTCCTTCACGACATCCTCTTTGCATTCTCTATGCCCCAATCAGCACCTCTTGGGGACTGCCTGTGTTATTTTTCATAGTTTATCCTTATCTGCTCCCCGCATGCTAACTTTCTATACGGCATATTTCTGCACAATTTCTGTTTACTTGTGCAAGCTGTGCAGTGAGGTCAATTCTTTAAGCATACTATGTCCTATAGGCCATGTGCGGTCCACCACCTATTTTCGTACATAAAGTTTTATTGGTCATAGTCAGGCTTGTTAATTTACTTATTATCAATGGCTGCTTTTATGCTACAATGGCAGAGTTGAGTATGTAACAGGGAATGTATGGCTTTTTAAAACCTAAAGTATTTATCATCTGGCCCCTTACAGAGAAATTTTCCAAACCCCATTTTAAGCCAATAGCTGAAGTTAGCAGAATTGCTTTTAGATTCTGTGTTTTTTACCAATGTTTCCAGGGACAGATTTTTGTCTGGATAGATACAGATCACTTTGCCCACACTGAGCAATCCCAACACTAGTGCCATGCTATTACCTTCCTGTTTCAGAAGTGTATACATTACTCAGAAGACACTAAATATGATCTGGAAACCTGGTGCTTCGCGGTTTCAAGGCTCTGATCCACAGGCAGTGGAGGGAGAGAGAAGGGCTAGATAGCAGGCCAAGGTCACTGTGTAAAGGGGCTTCCTATTTAGAGCAATGGTTTTCTTGGAGACCGTGGTGTCTGGTGTTCATCTGATGACACTGCTTTTTTTCTGTTTTCCTCCAACTTTTCCTTCCATGAGTGTCTATCCTCTAAAATTATGGCCAGCCACACCCTTCTTTTGGCTGTTTGGAAAGATTTTTGGCAAATGTTCGTCAATGTGCTCTGAAGACTGAAGCTCGTTATGTTCGTGTTAAGCATTATTTATTAAATGGGACTTCTGCTCTCTCTTCACAGTCTTTCCACTAATTATGCCCATGTTTCATTTTTCTAAGTGAACATCAATGTCACAGAGAAGATTTCCCACAGAAAAGCTGAGCGCCCAGCACTATCTCCCTTAAAACAAATAGATTTTGCATTGAAATCAACATATCTTTCTGAATCGAATAGGTTTTCATGGGGCCAATAAATTTCTTCAAAACAATGCATTTTTATTACAACATATTTTTGTTCAAACCAATACTTTTTGACAACCAGATATTAATGACCTGGCCAGAACTATAAATTTACCCCAAACTATGTGTTTTCTCAGCAGAAAATAATTTTTCTTATACAAACACATTTTTATTTGAATCAATCCTTTTCTGAAATCAGATATATTTCTGCAGGGGACACTGAGAACCTCTTTACTAAGAAATGTCATTTTGTTTAAAGGAACATGGCCTGGATTTCAAGCTTCCCTAGTGACCTACCTTAAACATCTTTATTCAAAAATGAGGTAAAGGCTATTAAAGAATTTTTTTACTTGGTCAGACAGAAATACACAAAGGTATCAATAAACAGTTCTTATAGCATCTCAAAGAAATGCACCTCAAGTTCTATCTATCGTCAGGGCAGACACTAGCCAGCAACACTTTGCCTCCTCGAGTGTAGCAGAGACAAGGATCATATCCATCCTTAGAAATTCATTGTAAATATACAAGCAGAAATGATCCATAGCCACAGTATTAAGGCCCTCTCTTTGCACCAGGCAGCAATGCCTGTACTGCTTTTTTTAGGAAAGTTTTCTTGCCATTTTAGATTTTCTGTTTGTTTAACTGAAGACTGGGAAAGACATACTCCCAGGGAAAAACATTATTTCTACCAGTAGTTTTTACACATCAGCCTTCTCTGGAAGCAGCTCCACATCTTCTTAGATACTGTGGTTTTAACATTTCTCACGTGGAGGTCAAATATAAGAAATTCAACAGTCAACTTCAGGGTGGTTATAAGGAGTTTCTGGTCCCAGAAAAAGTAAATAGCTTGAAAACAATACCTTAAAAACTTTTATCAATTAGATATAATTATGAGAGGTATATTTTCAAGGTTTTCTATTCATTATTTTATTCTTCCCCTTTGCAAGTACATGTCCAGCAGATCAGCTTAAGCCCTCAACAAAGATTCATGAATTCTAGATGGTCTAGGGACTGCCATCTTTGTCTCAACTACAGTAAATTTATGGAAACTGTGTTTCTTGCTACCAGTATGAACACATTCATTTTTCTGTTTCCTACTCATTTTCATAAAATAATAAAAGAAAATCACCAAGGAAATGTTCAAATAATTACACTATGCTTTTCTAGACAGAGGTAGCCATGCAGCTAAAGCAGAACTCTTGGCTGGCAAGTTGTATAGTCATTCAAAATAGTCAATTCTCTCCTAATATAAAAGGGTCCAGTTTCAATGTTATATGAGACAATTTTTCAGTGTATGAGGTAAGAGTGCCTATGTTGCAAAAAATTAAAGACCTTATTGAATAGAAAAAAAGTATTGAAAATGGAACACTCAGTTTTTATTAATAAAAGTAATTACTGGGGTTAAGCCTTTACTATGTGCAAAGCACTGTGATAAGTACCTCAAACCTGTTTTTTTATTTCCATCTTATGAGAAATCGATGAAGTAGGTTTTCTTATTCCCATGTTTAGGTACAGAAACAAAACCAAAACAATCCAAAGAAGCTGTTTACCCAAATTAACATAGCTAATAATTGTATATTAAGAAGGGCTTTGAACACAAATCTGTTTGCCTTCAAATCCAGTGCGCTGTACCTCAAGCTCTCTTACCTTTCCAGGCTGGCTGTTTGAACTTTGGTCTTCTATAAACACAGTATGTTTATAGATGCCCCATCTACCTCTCTGCTTTGTAGTGAGACTCAGATAACAACATGAATGGGAAAATATTCTGAAAATAACAGGCTACAACAGAAATATATAAAGTAGCATTTGGTAAATGCAAGTTCATTTCTGAAACATGGATTGTGTAGATATGCTGTGGGGAGACTAATAGATTTTTTTTCACACTTTTTAATTGATTGCTTCACTTATTTGTGAACATGTTTATGTAGGACTGAAAGTTCCTTACTGGCATGAGAAGCATCTTGAATATTAATGAGGGGACTGAGTTAAGACACAGAAGATGGAGCTGAGGTTACACAATGTAGAAAGATTTGCAAGGTAAATAAATGAGTAATAATAGTAGCCGTATTTTACATGTATAGAACTTTTTAATTTTAAGTTATGAAGCATTTTTACTTAAAAGATCTCCTTCCTTCTTCAAAGTAACTCTGAAGTAAGCAGGGCAAGAAGGTAATATCCCACTTAAAAATGAGGACACTGATGTTCAGAAAGAACAAGTGCTTGTCAAAGGACATGCAGCTTAAATAATTGACAAGGCCAGGGCCATTTCCTCTTCACCATACAGAGAAGTATTTAGTTGTCAAACAAAAAGTAGCAGAACAGAATATCCAAAGAACAAGGAGAAGAGGCATATGTATTTACATATGACATTCAGTATAAGAAGCATTTTCAATTCTTTTACCTCATTTTTTTCCTTTGAATCATCCTGAGTTTGTCACCTGCCCACAGCCATCCAGACCACTGCTGACTGAACCAGGACTGACATGTAAGTTTTCTGCTTTCAAATCTAGTGTTTTATACAACAGCCTATCTTGTGGATGTGGGGCCTTTTGTGAGGGGGCAGAGAGCAGGATTTGTAGAGATGTGATAGGATGCCTGCAGGTCTCCTTAAAATATGGGCCATAGCAAGGCAAGGTGGAGAGGTGATGGCCCAGACAATCGCCTTGCCCCCGGCTATCTAGGAAACCTGGGAACTGGAGGTGCAGCAGGAGTGGCTGCGGTCATCACGGAGCCGTGCTCAGCTGAGTCCAGCGGTGGACTTCAATCAGATGCTGCCCTATGAGTGAGGCACAGGGGCAGGCTGAACACATGAAGACAAAATCCGGGAGGTAGGGAACCAAATGTATCAGGCTGATTTCAAACAACCACCTGGTATTCATGAAAATAAGGCCCATCTTTTGCCGATTTAATTTCATTTGAGAAGTATTATATGCATATGTATAGCACCTATGTTACACTAAGTGCTATGACATGCTAAGTGAGAACCCAAATTGATACGTAAGACCCAACTTCTCTGGACTTCAGTTTTCTTGTCTATAAAATAAGTGGAAAGAAACAGACAATTTTCAGAGGTGCTATGCATTTGATGACACAGTCACTTCTGGATGTTATTTACTGTAAATAAGAAAGTTGCAAAGGTAGAACATCAGCAGTGGACTGGCCCTTAGAACTCTCTTGGCTTAAACACTGCAAAATCAGGGGAGGTGATTTAGGCTGAGACTAGAGGCTGAGTCTTCTGAAGCTGAGTCCTAGGCACCCTCTTTCACAACTCAGCAGCTCCTACCCGCTACACTATGTGTGGAATGCCTGTGTTGGAAGAGACCTTGTTGGTTACCAAGTTGAACTGCTCATCCAATGCTTAAACTGTTTTGGGACAGCCTTACTGTGGGGACATCACAGCTATGTTGACACATCCTTCCAGCCCGGAAAACTTGCTCAATCCAGAGAGAGGCCGTTCTATTTTATAAAGCTACATGTCTTCGTTTTCTTTTGTTTTCTTCCCCTTACACTGAGTTTCTACCTACTGTCCGCCATTTAGAGCTGTAGAAAACATATACATGGTCTCTCTTAGAGATCTGGCTGATGCTTTCCTGACTCATTCATAATTCTTGGCACGGGTCTACACAGCAGGTTGTTCCACATGGTTTTTGAGATTAATATGGAGTCACATTTGGAAAAAGCTGTGACATCCTTCCTGAGAAACACTTCATTTTGTGCCAATTAAGAAGAGGATGTTGAGCTTCACATTGTACAGAAGATGATGACCCATGTAGCACAGGATACTTTCCCAAAGGATGGGACAGTTTTTCCCCATACAGCTTCCTCATCCTTGTTTTACCTGGGGGTACAGCCACATATCCTCATCCACCATTTCTAGTACCTCAACTCTTACCAGACTAAGATAGTTGAACAAGATTTTTGTAAGGCCGAGAAATGAGACAGATATTCCTTGTTCACAATAACACACCACATGTTTACCATAGAAAGGCTTGTCTGTAAGGTGCCGCTTCATCAGAAGTCTACTCTGAAAGAAGCCCTTTCTGTAATACCTCTCCCACCCCATATCCTGCACAGGATCTGAGGCTCCCTCACCTCCCACTTCCTGTTTGCTTGACTGGGAGAACAAGAGGCTGAAAGAAGGAAAAAGCAGATCCTGGGGAAGTGAGTGTGAAGAAGGCAGAGGTTTTCAAACAAGAAAAAGGGAGGAGAAACGAGAAGTAGTTTGCGGGGGAAAGAGAAGAAAACAAAGGCTGTGGAGAAGGAATTCTCCAATTTACACCTCAAGTAGAGTCAGTGTGGACTGAAATTCAAATGTAAGCAAAAAGGAGTGGACTCTCCTGCATTACCCTCTGCAGTTCTGGTTTGCACTTGAATGTCACAATCAGTTCTGGTTTGCACTTGAATAACACATCTGGGCAACACAGCCACCCCTCAAAGATTACAGGCCTAGGGAACACTTGCATGGATAAGGTGATGACGATAGGTCTCTCCATCAGTATCAAGAGTAAGACATGTAGTCACTGTGATATGTTAAGACCAGATCATTATTAATGCTTTAATTCATTCTTTTAAATAATAAACTTGAACACTTATTATGTTCAAGGAACTTTATAGGAACTGTGTTTCATCCTTGTACTGACAGCTTATAAGCTATTTGGGAAAATGAGACATCAAATTGCGGCATAAATTTAGAGAAATTTCACAGAGGGATTTAACCTTAAGTACAAAATGAGTGGTATAAACAATAATTGCTATGAGTTCACGGGAAGATTATACTTTGGAATGATTAGGGAAGGCTATGTTGAGGAGGTGAGTTCACTTTAATGAATGGGTTGGAATTTTAAAAAGAAGAGAGTCGAGACAATCTTAGACATGAGAAACATGTCAAAAGTGCACAGGAAGAATGAGCATACCATAAGTGGGTAATGAGTAGATCCAGTTTAACTGAAGGTGACTGTTTTCAAAAGTAATTAGTGGAAGAATACCCTGGAAAGGTAGATTATGGGTAATTACAGAAGATATGAATATCAGGCAAAGAAAAAAAAATTTGATGAGGAAAGTGTCATGATTCAATGACATTTTAGAAAGAATATAGAACGAGACTGGATAGTAGTGGAAGGGGAGTAGTGGATGGTTAGATCTTAGAGGAGAGATACCCTAGCTAGCAGGCTTTTGTAATTATCCAGGTGGGAAACTTGGTGATGGAAGAATTGAGATGGAAGAATCCCAGCACTTTGGGAGGCCGAGGCAGGTGGATCACTTGGGATCAGGAGTTCAAGACCAGTATGGCCAACATGCGGAAACCCTGTCTCTACCAAAAATATAAAAATTAGCCAGGCATGGTGGCACATGCCTGTAACCCTAGCTACTAAGGAAGCTGAGGCAGGAGAATCGCTTTAACCTGGGAGGCAGAGGTTGTAGTGAGCCAAGATCGCGCCACTGCACTCCAGCCTGGGTGACAAATCAAGACTCCATCTCAAAAAAAAAAAAAAAATTGTTTGAGTGTATTGTGAATATTGTGAGGAGGAAACTAGAGGTATTTGGTAGCTGATTGGATATGGAGCAAGAAGGGACTCAACGATGATTCAGAGGTTTTGAATTTGTGAGTTGTACTACTGGCAGAAGATTTCGAAGCCTAAAATATAAAAGAGCCTGTTGCTGTAGAAGAGAAGGAAAGAGTGATTAGTAGAGAAGAATGTGGACTGAATTTTGAACAGATTTGTTGCAGAGTGATCTCCAGGCTTTTTGGCCTGATAGGCAAAGACGTCCAATTTCTAACTCTGTGTTTCAGTTCTAGTTTCAGATTCTTCCTTCCCCTGAAAGCAGTTTCTCTCAACAGTGTCAGTACTTTAGAATCACCTGGAAGAGAAGAGGAGGGCTTTTAAAAATTCTTATACCTGAGTTATACTTCATCTAATTAAGTCAAAATCTCAGGGAAAGACATCCAAGTACTTGTATTTTTTTAAAAAGCTCCTCAAGTAATTCATTGTGCAACTAAGGTGGAGACTTGCCCTACAGGTCTTAACTGCATGATATTTTCAGTATTTCTTCCCTGGAAACACACTTTTAAAAACATTTTCTAATGAAAATATTTCCATAGGGGATTTGAAATTGTTGCCTATATAAAATATGTTGTAAATTTATACATTTATTTATTTATTTGACAAATGCTTATTGGAGGCTTACCATGCATCAGGCATTATATTAGTACTCAGGTATATCAGTGAACTAATGTAAAAACAATAAAAATATCTGGCTTTCATAAACTTACATCCTAATAAGTACAGGTAAACAATAAATAAAATGCTTAAATTATATAGCATATTAGAAAGTGATAAATGTCATGGGGAAAAGTAAATCAGGAAAGGGATATGGAGAGAATTGCAGATAGGTGAGATTCCAAATAGTAGGCATTTACTATGATAATGATAGTTAGGTAACAGTTGAGATTAATCTTGAAGTAAAGAGTGAGCCATAAATGGAAGAAGAAATTTCCACGGAGAAGGAAGAACATGTGTTGGAGTCCTAAGATGAAAGCACACCTGGACTACTGGAGGAGGCCAAATGCTCAGAGCACGATGAGCAAGGGGAATACGTGAGGTCAAAGGAGTGGGAGGAAATTAGGTACATGTGGTCAGGAGGGCTTTGCAGGTCATTGTAAGGATTTGGGTTTTACTTCTCAGGAGTTGGGAGACTTTGGAGGATGCTGAGCAGAGGAGAGACACGATACAACTTAGGTTTAAAAAAATAAAAATGGCTTTTATGTTCAGAATAGATGGTTGGAGGCCATAGTATAATCCTTAGGTTCCTAGCCACAGTTTTATTGTTTAAAGGTAGCAATAAAACGTCCACTCTATCCTATCTCTGTGTCCTAGAATACTCTTCTCAGTTCACACCTGTCCATTAAAGCTTGGTTCAGATGCGCCCTCCTTTATAAATTCATCCAGTATTGGCCAGACCCGGGGTGAGCATTTGCTCCTTTCAATCTTCGTGTTTTTTTTTGGTTTGGATATTTCCAACATTTAGCATACCTACATTGCACTGATGTTTTCTGTATACTTTTCTTATCTCATCATCTTCTCCATTTTCTGACTCCAAGTCTGATCTTCTGGGTGCCCTGTCTCAGTGCCAACACCCAGGTATCCAAACCAGCAGTGTGGGTGCATCCTTGATTCTCCTCTTTTCCTCAAACCTGTGTTTAGTTATGAAGTTTCACAATTCTACCTCTTAGATAGTTCTAGAATATGGTCGTTTTTCTTCTTCCCCATTACCTCTTCCCAGCCTAGGTCATTTTTATCTCTCATGTAGATTATTGCAAGAGCCTCCT
Source organism: Homo sapiens (assembly GCF_000001405.40). Lineage (NCBI taxonomy): Eukaryota > Metazoa > Chordata > Mammalia > Primates > Hominidae > Homo > Homo sapiens. The sequence continues at coordinate 163,881,099 of NC_000001.11, read as the reverse complement.
CACTCCTCCAGCTCGCAGCCCTTCAATCCTATGTCGATGTTGTGGCCAGATAATTGTTTCTAAAAGGCAAATCTGCTCATATCACTTCTCTGCTTAAACCTCTGTGGTTCTATAAGGTTATTAAGGTAAGGCAAAAATTTCCTAATATGATGTAAAGGATAATTCATGATTTGTCATTTGATTACTTATTCAGTTTTACATCTTGCCATTCTCCACCTCGCCCTCTCTGATCTGGCCAGACTAAATATTCTCTCCTGCTTCAGATTCATGGTGGTCTCTATGCCTGCAACACTCTTTCTTCCTCCCTTTCTATTTTCTTCTCCTAATATACTCCTGCTTTTCTTGGTACCATCCTTCTTTCCCACTGTTCAGCTTAGATGACACTTTTATATGAAAACCTTCAATGATCTTCTGGAAGTGGGTTAAATGTTTCTGCCTTGTGCTTCACTGCTATCATAACACTATACTATTTACTTACCTCAAATCCTCACTAATCTGTTACTGTTGCAAATAAAAGGAATATGCCAATGCCGTTCACCATTTTATTCCAAGCAAAATGCCTCGATCATAGTAGATGCTCAATAAATAATTTTGGAGTCACTATAAAATAAATCCCCTATTATTATATTACAAATAACTTGGAGGTAGACATGGTGACTGATACACGTTTGTTTCCCCACAGAGTGAACACTAAACCAAGAAATAATGGCAGAGAATATTTGTTCATTTTTCATCCTGGTGTCCATGCAGAATCCAATAGAAAAGTAGAATGCTGTAGTTTCCATCAGTCCTGCCTAAAAGCAGAAAAACAGGAGGGCTAGTCAAAATTAATCGAAATATTTATCTCTTTGAAGGAACATGACTGATAAAGCAAATATGAAGTTATCATCATGAGTGTCAAACATAACAGACAACAGAATAAAATGAATCAAAATGCTGGTGAGATACTGGTCACAGGAACTAAGCCAGGATAAATTCAATGCCAGAATTGAAGGGTAAAAATCTACTATATTTTATTAATCTCACATATTTACTCAGCCCCCTAATAGGCCATTCTTAAATGTTCCCAGAGTTTAGGTGACCACACAAGAGCCATTACATTTTCTCCTAAGAGAATATTGACATGAGATTCTGCTGCTTCTATGTTTTGAGATTAAATTCCTTCAGGAATATGGGAGGGAAATTAAAATGGTTTGGACTTTCATATCTTTTGGTTTCCAGGTCCTTTGCTACCCTAAAGATGCCTGGCAATCAGGACCAAGCAGCCCTGCACCATCAAGGTTGAGCATGTTGCTTTTGTTCACTCTTCTGTGAGAGGACATTTCTAGGCATGTAACCACGCCCTCTGAGACACAAGAGTGAATTAAAAGTGGATTTAGAGAGCACCAAGCAATGATAAACTGTACTTCTGAGAGGAATAAATTCACCTCCTACATTCCCTTTAGGCTGCTGAGGGAGTGACCGGCCGAGGAAAGGAGGAAAATTCACCTTACTCTGGCAAACAAACAAGTATGGTGTCTTGTTCCTGTTATATTACAAATAATCCATTAGAACAAGAAAAAAGGCCTTACTTAAATATCTGAAGTTCTAACTTTAAACAACAGTGCAGAATTAAAATCACACCACAAAAAAGAGTTCTCTGGGAATTTATCCTACAGAATGACAAACATTCTTAGAAGTATGTGTGGAAGGGACCATGGATTCTTTAATCCAAGGAGAACCAGATACTTGAACCTCCTCTGTAACACCTGGTCCATAGAGTTGTTCAGCTTGTGCTCTGTTGATAGGAGAGGTTTTGATGACCAAGAATAGGAGGGACCCCTGGAAATGGCCACTAATAGCCTACTCTCCTCCAGTCCAGCCTAGCCGGCAGTCCTGTCACAGCAAGATTTCTGCTGTTTCTTCACAGGACTCAGAGCACCACGAACATGTAAGAAATGCCACTCTGGTCATTGCACTATGCAATGCAGAATTCTCTCTGAGTTATGAAACAAAAAAACTATCTGGTGGAGAATGAAAATTGTCTTCCATAGCATCCTGTTAGGAGCTGAAAAATACAAAGCAGCACCATGGCTTCCCCATTCTCGACCTCTCGGTGATATTCTTTTCACCTCTTTTCCCAACGAACTTGACTCACATTGCTTTTTAATTTTTTTTAGTTTATTTCTAAACTGAAAAATGAAAATTGTGTATTTTTATCATGACAACATGTTTTAAAATACATATACATTGTGCAATGGCTATAAACTAATTAACATACATTGCTCGATTATTTATTTTTGTGGGTGTGTGATAAGAACTCTTTAAATCTACTCTCTTAGTAATATTCAAAAATACAATACATTGCCATTAACTATAGCCGACATGTTTTACAATAGATATCTTGAACTTATTTCTCCAATCTAACTGAAATTTCTTGTCCTTTGACCGATGTCTCTTCAATCCCCATCCCTGGCTGCTGAGGGAGGGCCCACCAAGGGAAGGAGGAAAATTCACGTTTCTTGAATTTCAACTCTGGACTAGCCTTATGCTAACTGCATTCCTTTCTTGGAACATATTTATTGAGATTCTGTGAAGGTATACTTCTCAGCTGTTACATTCAGTCCTTTATGTTTCACGGAGTGGTTCTTATTGCAGTCCTTGGTTTTAGAGGAAAAAAAATATTAAAATTAAGATTATGAACTCCTGTCCTCAGTAGGTAGAATATAATTTATCACTATCAGTTAGTTGATTGTGGATTTATTGCTAGTTTTTATCCTGCATTTCACTTTGTCCTTCTTATTTTGAGCCAATGTTTCTCAAAATTTTCCCCGGAAGTATACCAACAGTACAGGTCCCTTAAATCTTGGGTTGTCTGCAGAAAGTGATATGTGATTTAACTTTATAATTTATCTGGATTTTGCATACTCTATCATTAAATATGTATTGGCTTTAATACAACATATTCTATATGAATATTAATTAAAACCAATGTTTACCCATGACTTCGCATTTCTTGTGTCATATTAAGAGGAAACCCAGAGGAATATCTTCCATATATTAAAATTTTTTAAAAGCTGTAATCTCACCCCTGTAACCTTTCCTGGTCCTTCACAATTTCTCTCTTGACATCCTTGGTGCAACCCCCAAACCTGGATGTTGTGCAGGCCCAGGAGAGTATTTTCCTGCTAAAGGCCCATGGGATGCTCAGCTGTTTTTCATCATGCATATATCTTTCTTTTTTTTTTTTTTTTGAGATAGACTCTTGCTCTGTCACCCAGGCTGGAGTGCAGTGGCACAATCTCAGCTCACTGCAAGCTCTGCCTCCCGGGTTCATGCCATTCTCCTGCCTCAGTCTCCCGAGTAGCTGGGACTACAGGCAGCCTCCACCACGCTAATTTTTTGTATTTTTAGTAGAGACGGGGTTTCACTGTGTTAGCCACGATGGTCTCGATCTCCTGACCTCGTGATCCGCCTGCCTTGGCCTCCCGAAGTGCTGGGATTACAGGCATGAGCCACCACGCCCAGCCCATGCGTACATCTTATGAATACTTTTTGAGTACCTGCCTTGTCCAGGTCACTATGTACTCTCCAATGCTCCTTTTCTCTTTCTATCTGAATCCCTCACTGCACAGTCCTGAACTCTCAGGAATATGGAACATAGACTTCAAGGGATGCCTGACTCTTGTATGTGTGCTAAATGGCTCATTGTTTTAGCTTCTTGTCTGTGTTTCTCTTTCTGATTTTAATAAAATTGGTCCAAAAGGAGTCATAGTTTCTATAATTGGATTTTCTTGAGTTTCCTCTATACTTACATCATCACTTTCTTCCCTATTTTCTTCCCATGGCATAGGTCATGGAGACTAGGGACAATATGGTTTCAATTTTACCCTGTGGCTTACTAGCTATGTGACCTTGAGTAACCCACTTTACTTCCAGAGGCTCCTTTTTCTTCCTGATAAAGTAGAGATAGTCACATTTAACACATAAGTTTGCTGTCCAAGTGATGCTCAAATAAGTCTATTAATGTAAAGCCCATGCATGGACCTGACTCATAATAGATCTTCAATAAGTAATGTGTTTTAGGGCCCAATCAGAGCCAGGATCCTTCTTGCTGCAAATACAGGATGCCACACAGTAGACAGCCTATACACATTCTTCAAGCACCAGGAAGGAAAGCACACTAACAACAACAAAGCAAAAGTTTTGAGAAAAAAAAACAGTGTATCTATTTCAAAAGCATAGTAGTCATTGTGAGAAAAAGTAGAATTTTGACGGAGTTCCTCACCGTTATCTTATGTTAAATCAGGGATGTGTGAGGTCGGAAGCAGCAGCATTGTTTTAGTTCTTACAGCTGTTAAAGGTCTTAAGCCTGCTTAATAGACAGGTGGAAACTTTGCCTTGCGGTGAGTGCTAAAAAGTGATGCCCTTCCCCAGACAACAGTTCTGCATGCTTAGGCTCTCCCTCAAAAAGGGTGACATGGCAACAGTGAAAAATGTCAGTTCTCTGACTTACTAGATAAAAAAAGCCAATGTTTACTGAGCACCAATTATGTGTCACAGTTTACATGCATCATTCAATTTAGACCTCACTGATATTCCTGCCTTGGCACATAAGAAAACTCATGCTTATGCATATAGAGCTATGGGCCATGGGTTATACAGCCACCCAGGTAGAGAATGGGATTTGAAGTCTAGCATTTCCAGTTCTGGAGCCTGAATAGAAAGGGTTAAACCTCTCTATTCTAACCTCTGTGCTAGACAATCATACTGTTTTCCCAGGGCAAATGGCAATTACCGAGGCGGTCTGTATTAATGTCATTTAGGGCAAATCATGTTTCCAGACTGTTTTTTCCAGTGTAAATCTCACATGGATGAAGAAAATACATGACAAAGAAAATGAAGCCAGAAGAGGGAAGCGGGTAGGAGGAAAGATTGCACAAACTTAGGAAGAATTTGCAAAATGAGACAACATAGCTAACCACTGCCACGAAGCTACATTAGGAGGACTGATGAAGTAAGTGGTGTAGCTGGGCCCTGTTCCTTGGAGGAAGGAGCTTTATAAATAACCGAGGCTACTTTCTCTTTAAAAGAGAATTAAATGAATGTTGATTGTTTGCTTAACTAGCACAACGTGACCTTTATTGCTAGTGATTTTTTTTCTTCCGGTAAAAGGCAAGACCCTTGAGATCATAGGGCATCTCCAACATGTGGAGCTGCCCAGAATTTGTACTGAGGGTCCCCAGAAAACCATCTTGGTCCCAGACAACCTCACCCAGGCAAGCATGTGAAGTACATGGGATAGCAAAGGGCTGGGTGCCATGGCATTTGTTTTTCATTGAATAGGATTAGGGATTTTGACATGAATGATTAATCACCACATTGCAGACGGCTGACGAACGCAGGAAAGAGTCCACTGGAAATGGAGGGTGCACGCAATCTATTCCAAACAGCTGCCGGGTGTTCCCATCCCTTCCGCCCTCCCTACTCTTGTCTCAGGTTCCTCCCTCCTTGTTTCTTTCACATTCTCTTTCTTCCTTTTCTAAGTCATTTTGTTTCCTCTCGCTCTCTCCTTTTCTTTCTTTCACAATCATTTTCTTTCCACCCCAGCCCATCTTAATTGATGTTGATTTTCTCTTTTCTTTCCAGCATCACGCACCTTTTGTCTTACTTACATACTGAGCCTGTTATCCAGGCCTGAAGCCCCAAGGGAGAACACCCTGAGGGCTTTGTACAAGCAGGCAACATTTGAAAGTATTAGGCTAAATTGCAGCTTTCCGTATCACACCCTTATGTACAAGGGCAGTGAAGAGGAAAGTGGCCATCCGCTGACTGAAGAACATGAACAGAATTAGACAAAGCCACATATATACAGTTTTATGTAAAGAGCATAGTAGTAGAAAGAGGATGTGTATGGCCACCTGTCTCGAGTCCTGAAGGCTTCAAGTGACTCCTTCCTCCATGTTTGCTATAGTTTGTTAATCTTCTCTTTTACTTTAAAATGGTGTTTCCTTTTAACCATTTGGGTTTTAGAAAGCTGTGTTTGCTGTAATTCTCCTTCGAAAAATTATACCCTCAGAAATCCTTGAGTCTTTACAGCCTAGAGCAAGAACTCTGGAGTCTGATTTTCTTGTTTGATTCCTGGCTTTACACTTTATAGTGGTGATACCCTAAATCGGTGGTTCTCCGCAGTTAGCATGCATCAGAACCAGTGGGGACATTTGTAAAAATGCAGACTGCTACTTTCCACCACTAGAGTTTCTGATTCATGAAGACTAGAATGGGATCTGAAAATCTGCTTTTCTAATAAGCTTCCAAATGATCTTGATGCTGTTGGCCTGGGAATCATACTTTGAGGACCTTTTCCCTAAAATGACTTTCTTGGTCTCCATGCTTGTGGTTCCTTCCATATTTATAAATTCAAGTAAGATTTGTGACCTAGCATTAATAGTTTAGGAAATTGAAGATGGTTCTTAGAGAAAGAAAATGCTACCACCAAAACTGACCAAATATCAGCAATGAGTGTAATGTATCCAAGAAAGTCATCTATGACAAAGCTGTAAACTGCTTCTTAGTCCTCCAGAATCTTTTTTTCATACACATCTATTGATAGATCCCTCTCTTCTCTGTACCATACCAAATGAGTATCTCCCTATCTACCCTTCTCTCAGATTCTTCATTTACAAGTGATTAAAAAAAAATTAACTAGCCAAGCCAAACAAATTAGCAAGCTGTAAGAACCTCCCTCCTCCTGCCCAAAGTGCAGTGTGACTGCCTGCCACCAGGAGTCCTCTTAGCAGTCTGGGATCAATTAGTAATTGTAATTGAAATCGATCATCATTAATGATATAACTTTGGGCTGTTGAAGGTTGATTTCACTAGAATTACATCACAAAACCAGAGGCATTACAAAGAATTGCTGGCAAAAGGAAAATTGGAAAAAACAAACAATCCATAAGCACTGACTCAAGTTGGATGGTCAAGTTGGCCCCTCTGCTTTTATAATCCATTTGTTTCATTATACACAGATGTGGCTTTTCATGCATGGGGTAACATCTGTAAAGGTTTTTAATTAACTGATTAGCAATCAGCTGGCTTGAAACAGATAAGGTATAAGCTTTGTAAATGCCATCAGGTCCTTAAAACAAAGGGCTCTAAACCCAAGGCTGGCTTTGCAGACACCAATCCAACAGTCCCAAGGCTTTTGAGGGAGCTCACTTCTTACAAACTCACATCAAGCAACCCTGTCTATACTGCTGACTCCACTTTATGTAAAGCTAGCCCTGTGGGAGACATTGTCTCAACACAGGTGAGAGTCTTCCTTGAGCATAAGCTTGGAAGGGAGATTGAAGAACATTTGCCTTTGATGAGGAAATATGATCTTAAAGCCCATGGATAGGTGACTGCTGTAATGTACATGGTCTCAAAAAGCTGAGCTGTCACATTTAGCTAATGGATGGAAGCATGAAAAACTTTGGAAATATCAAAGCTTAACGTTTTTCCAGTAACATTAATTCACTTATCCTGTACATAATTTTTTGAGATTACTCATTAAGCTGTTAAAATAGCTTTATATAGAATATGAAAAATATGGTTGCTTGTACGTGACTAAGAGTCTCTCAGGCTTTGTATCTCCTAACATTTTTTTTTTAGTATAAATTTGTACCTGAGTGCTTTATTAACATAGCTTTTTGCATATAATTTCCCTAGTGGTTTTTTGTTTTAAAAGAAAGTATGACTGGAGCAAAGGAACTGCCAGTATTTAATAATGTTTGTATTTAAATATTCTACATAGAATTTGAAGTTAGTACAGTGAGGGAGTAACTTTGTGAGGGGAAGGTACAGATTACCATTTTACTCTTGCTGCCATGTATTTGAGGCTTTTTTTAAATCAGGGGAACTTGAACCAAAAAGGGAAGAAAGCTTGGTGTAAGATATAGTTTCTTTCCCACTCTCAACTACCCACCAAGATCTTTCTTATAAACTGTTTGTAGTTAACCCAGAAACTTCCCTGGCTAAAGTCCACAGACTGGAAATGAGTGTTCCCATCTCTGCCTCTGTCATCAGAACCTGGCCCTACTGAAGCCATTAACACCACTGCCTTGCTCTCTGTCACATGAACATGGTAGAAAATGGATTAATCTGAGAGTGGGTAGAAACTGAGGTGTAGCAGAATTTCACACAACTCGGGAATGTCACCGAAGTTTTCTTAGCGTAAATTTTCTCATATGCCTGGTGAGAAATTGTAAATCATAAAATTGTGTCGAATATGAAATTGAGTTACAAGTACATGAAAATGCCTACAAAAGTTTGTTTTGTTCACCTTCGTCTCTTTCCCCAAACTCCTCACTAAAGAAATTCTTTTCTGCAACCAGAAAAGAATTCAATATTAGGAAAGGTGTAAGAGATGACATTTGCATACCCTGGAGTGCATGGAGCATAGATAATTCTTTATTACACATCATAGTCTGTAGCCTCCCAACGCTGTTCCAACTATATCTGGATGCAGTAAATTTTAACAATTCTCATTAAAGATTAAATTTAACACAGCGACAAAAGTTTATTTGCACTAAGCCTAATGCAGTGTTCATTGTAACTGAGTAGAATCTCACTTTGGGGAAGACGGACTTGAAAATTTGTCATCCACTGTCAAAAGGACAAGGAAATCTACTATCTTTAATACATATAGTAAAAACCTCGAGCGCAGATTAAGGTTCCTTGGAGTCTAGGAAGGGCGCCCCATGCTAGACTGAAGGCCTGTTCAGGATAAGGTTGCCTAACAACTGAGTTCTCCAAGGGAAATGCTGTCAGAAAGCTTGCTTGTCCTCTGTCAGGACAAATTTAGACATTAGGCTTAGGAAAGATGGGCCAATTGCTTAAATAAAATTTGGGAGGATATCCAATTTGAATTTACAGGGACAGTGCCAATTATGTTAGTTACACATAAAGCCGAACTTCTCCTAAGAGCAGCTTGGAATTCTCACTGTGTTCCCTCCCATCCAAAGAAATTATGAGTAAAAAAATAAATAAAATCCAGTTGAATTAAGTCATGAAAAAAAATTGTTCTAATTTTCAGAGTAAACATTGATTTTAAATTTTCCAACCCCCTTCTCTGACCACAAAAAAAGAAACACAAATACTTGTTTCCAGAGACAACACTCATTTCCAGCGTTTGCTCTAGAAAACCGGACTGAAAAAAGCAGCTCTTCAGGTAGGTTTGGCAATAAATTTGAAGCACTGAACACCAAAGACCCTCCTCCCATCTTTATTTTTTCTTGATATCAAGACATTTAGGAAAGTTTTGTGATTTTTTTTTTTTAATTTGGGAATTTCTAGCATGTAGCAAAATGCCAAGCCCAGAGTTCATGCTCAGTAACCATTTTGTGAATGAATAGTTAAAATATGTAAGGTACTTACCAACTTCAGTTCTCTGCTTCATTTTACTTAAGTACATATAATTAGGGGCATTTGTGTGTGTAGGAGGCTATTTGTGTGTAATGGAACATATGGACACATTTTAATGATTGTGTCCTCAAATAAATTGATATTATCACTTCTATCACTTCTTTCTCAGGAAATTAAAGTTTACATGGTCATGATACATTATTTGCCATAGCCTTTTACTGAAAAGTACAAAGTGAACCATTGTGTTTTAATTCCAACAGATTTGAAAAGTAAGATTTTCTTATTTCTTAACATTTTCTTTGTTTTTCACAAATTTATTTACCTACACCTGATGTTATAATAGGTGGTAGTATACTCCTTATGTATAAAATATATATTATTTAATTGGGCAAATATGTCTATAAGATCCATTGAAAGATAACAGTACCCTGTCCCAACCATCCGCAGCCCACCCCAAGGTCCACACTCAAAAAGCAGTTATTGTCAACCTTTTTAAGCAATTTCTGTTGAAACTGATTTCCATGCTGTATTATAACCTGCTTATATTACTTATAACCTGATGTTTTAGCTTTGCATTTTTAGACATTACTTTTTGATGTCCTAGCAGACGAGGCTTGAGTTCATTCCCCTATGCACACACATTCACACACAGAAATGCCATTCCCCATCTTTCCCAATGTAATCATTTCACAATTATTAAGTGAAATCTATAGCCAATGTTTTTTCATTGACAGATAAAATTGAATGTATTTATTGTGTACAAAATATGTTTTGAACCATTATGTAATGGTTAAATCTACTTGACAAATGCATTGCCTTACATAGTTATCATTTTTGTGGTGAGAACACTTAGCATTCACTCTCTTTGCGTTTTTCAGGAATGTAATACATCACCATTAAATATGGCACTGAATTGTAGTCACTGTGCTGCATAATAGATCTCCTAAACTTATTCTTCCTATCTAATTGTAATTATGCATCCTTTATCAACATTCCCCCAGCCTCTTCTCCTGCCTAAACGCCCAGCCTCTGGTAATCACTGGATATAGTTTGGATATGTATCCTCTCTTAAACTCCTGTTGAAATGTAATTCCCAATGTTGGAGGTAGGGACTGGTGGGATGTGACTGGATCAAGGGGATGGATCTCTCATAGCTTGGTGCTGTCCTCACGATAGTGAGTTCTTACAAGATCTGATGGTTTACAAGGTGTGGCACCTCCCCTCTACTCTGGTCTTGCCCCTACTCTGCCATGTGACCTGCTTGATCCCACCTGGCCTTCCACTGTGAGTGAAAGATCCGCCGAAGCCAAGCAGATGCTGGTGCCATGCTTGTGCAGCCTGCAGAACCGTGAGTCAATTAAACTTCTTTTCTTATAAATTACTCAGCCTTAGGTATTTCTTTATAGCAACACAAAGAATGGCCTAACACACCACCATTCTACTCTATATTATTATGAGATCAACTTCTTTAGATTCCACATATGAGGAAGAGCATTGTATTTGTCTTTCTATGCATGGTTTATTTCACTTAACATAATGCCCTGTAAGTCTATCCATGTTATCACAAACAACAGGATTTCCTTCTTCTTATGGCTGAATAGTATTACATTGAGCATATGTATCATATTTTATTTATCCATTTATCTGTTTATAAACAATTAGGTTGATTCCATATTTTAGCTACTGAGAATAATGCTGCAATAAGCATGGGAGTGCAGATATTTCTTCAATGAACTAATTTCATTTTTTTTGGATGTATACCCAGTAGTGGGGTTGCTGGAACATATGACAGTTCTATGTTTAATCTCTTAAGGAAGCTTCTTACTATTTTTCATGACCATACTATTTATATTCTCATCAACAATGTGTAAGATTTTCCTTTTTCAATATCCTCACCAACCCTTGTTATTTTCTGTCTTTTTGACAATAACCATTCTGATAGGAGTGAAGTAATATGTTGTGGTTTTGATTTACATTACTCTGATAATTAGTGATATTGAACATTTTTCCATATACCTGTTGGTCATTTATGTGTCTTCCTTGGAGAAATGTCTATTTAGGTCTTTTGCTCATTTTTTTTTTTTTTTTTTTTTTTTGAGACGGAGTCTCCCTCTGTTGCCCAGGCTGGAGTGCAGTGGCACAATCTTGGCTCCCTGCAAGCTCCACCTCCTGGGTTCACACCGTTCTCCTGCCTCAGTCTCCCAAGCAGCTGGGACTACAGGCGCCTGCCACCACACCCAGCTAATTTTCTGTATTTTTAGTAGAGATAGGGTTTCACCATGCTAGCCAGGATGGTCTTCATCTCCTGACTTTGCTCATTTTTTAATAGGGTTGTTTTCTTGCTATTGAGTTGTTTTAAGTTCCTTATATATTTTGGATATTACCCCTTACAGAATATAGTTTGCAAATATTTTCTCCTATTCCCTAGGTTATCTCTTTGCTCTGTAGATTGTTTCCTTTGCTGCACAGAAGCATTTTAGTTTGGTATAATCCCAGTTGTTTATTTTTGCTTTTGTTGCCTGTGCTTTTAAGGTCATGGCCAAAAAATTGTTGCCCAGACCAATGTCATGGAGACTTTCCCTGATGTTTTCTTCTAGTATTTTCACAGATCCCAGTTTTACATTTAAGTCTTTAATCCATTTTGCCTTTATTTTTGTATATGGTAAGAGATAAAGGTCTAATTTCATTACTTTGTTTGTGGATATTCAGCTTTCTCAACACCAATTATTGAAAACACTGTTCTTTCCTCACAGTGTCTTCCAGGCGTCTTTATTGATAATCAACTGGCTGTTAATGTGTGGATTCATTTTTAAGCTCTTTGTTCTGTTTCATTGGTCTACATGTCTGTTTTTATGCCAATACCATGCTGTTTGGGTTACTACAGCTTTGTAGTATATTTCAAAGTCAGGTAGTGTGATGCCTCCGGGATTATTCTTTTTGCTCAAGATTGATTTGGCTATTAGGGTCTTTTGTGGTTTTATATGAATTGTAGGATTTTTTTTTAAATTTCTGTGAAGAATATCATTGGCATTTTGACAGGAATTGCCTTTGGACAATGTTTAAGTTATGCTGATTATGTAATTATAGTCAGACATCACTTAAAGACAAGGATGTGTTCTGAGAAATGCATCATTAGGCCATTTTGTCATTGTATGAACATCATAGAGTGTGCTTACACAAACCTAGATGACATAGGCTACTGCACACCCAGGCTATAGAGTATAACGTACTGCTTCTAGGTGACAAACCTGTGGAGCATATTACTGAACTGAATCATGTAGGTGATTGTAACATAATGACAGGTATTTTTGTATCTAAACATAGAAAAAGTACAGTAAAAATACAGTATTATAATCTTATGGGACCACCATCATAAATGCAGTCAGTCATCGACTGAAATCTCATTATGCTGCCCATGACTATATTGCTTAGCCATGGATTTCATTGTGACTACACTTCCTCTTTGTAAAATATTTTTTTCTCAAATTAATAACCACTGTCTTGACTTTTATCTATGACTTTAAAATGACATTGTAGTAAAACTTTCTGACAGATTTACAAAGCTACCTCCAAGATGGTCAAACACAGAAGAAACCTATCTGTTTTATCTTGCATGTTTGGGGACATTTCCATTGGACCACATCCTCCTTGGCTCCCATAGAAGGGTTGTGCTTCAGACCTGTCACACCAGCATCAACTTGAGATGATTGCTCTGCCACATATTAGATCCCCATTTTCTTGGATCTCATATCTTCTTTCTTGACTTCTCTCTTGTGTGCAAGCCTACTTTTAGAGGATACCTTAAATCCTCCAGTAACTTCTGAGAAAGTGTACATATGAAAAAATGAAGTGTTAAGAGTTTGCTATTCTTGGGTGTGTCTTCGTTCTACCATCTTGTCTAATTAGTTCAGCTGAATAACAATTCTAGGTGGAAATTGAAAGGCATTTCTCTTTTGTCTTCTATCTTTTTCATTGGCTTCTGGCGTTTGGTGTTTCTATGAAGAAAAATGCCACCTTGAGTTCCAGTCCTTTGTAGAAGACCCATTTTTTTTCTCTCTGAAAAGTGTCTGGGTCACTCCTGGTGTTCTCAGCTTCACCATGATTGAGCCTTAATGGAAATTTGTTTCCATCCACTGTGATGAGCTCTCACCAGGCCCTTTTAATGTTATCTCTTTGACTTTTGGAAAATATGTCAATATTTGGTAATGTTCTCTCTGTTTTTTATTCTCTTTCTAGAACTCATATTATTCAGGTGTGTGATCCTATGCATTAACACTTCAATTTTATTATTTCTTTCAGATTTTCATTTATGTTGTTTTTCTTTCTTCTCATAGTTTTCTTGGGAACTTCTCACTCTTTGAAAGTCCTGATACCTAGAATCTAATCTTGTTTCATTCATGCAGCCAATATCTATTTGTATATTAACTATAGGATTTTAAAATATTCTCTGTGATTTTCTCTGTTTTTCTCTAAGTTTCTTTCTGTCTTTCCTGTATTGGTCTCTAACTTTCATGTTAAATCCTTGCCTCCAAGTCTGGTGATTCTGGGGTATCCATTTACATTTGAGTTAGATGCTAAAAGTCTGATTGCATGTGGATAGAGCTGATACACTATTAGCCCTCACAGAAAAGTTATTGGGTGGGGACATTTTGGGTATGTTCACAATGGATATCTCATCTCAAAATGTCTCATCTCTTGCCTTAGTTTCCTCAGAGGAACTCTCATTTCCCTTTAACATGATTCTTGAAAATAAACACTGACGTCTATAAATATTTTATTGCTGTTGTTGTTTAAATGTTATTACCATACTTGAAACTAGCAGGCCTTTAAAAGTTGAGTTTTGAAATCTGGATGGAAAACATCCCAAGTGGAAAACTGGGGAAGGAAATTTATAACTTGTCAAAACCTTCATGACAGAAACTTTTAACAAAAAAGTACTGTTTATAAGGCGGTAACAGCTGGATTCCCACATGAGATAACTGGTTGGCTTTGCTTTTCATGGTTTTCTCATTTGATTCATGGGAGCTAATGTGAAGCAATACTGATGAGATTCTTAAAATAACTGAAATGTAGGGACCTCCATGGGGCAAGGCCATGTAACTCATGTAACTCATTTAATTGCATATACCAGCTCTTTCCTAGTGCCTGGGTGTTGGGTGTTGTTGGCAGGAGAAAAGCCAAATGAAAAAAATCCAACATCTTTTTCAGACTCTGCAGACCCTGGAAGTCAAGACCACTCAGAGTTCTAATTCCAGTAATTTATTAAATGGAACTGCTCTTGTGACCTCAAACAGAGAGTGCTCTGATAGAAAAAAAATATGAACAGTGCACTTACTTCTCACCCCTAACAGCTGGCCTGAGATAGATATCTACCATTTCTGTCTTCACTAAGGTATCAGGTAATGAGAGCTGGTAAAGGATTTGGTGATGTTGGAATAAAAGCCTTCTATAATACTAAGAGCTGTCAGAATGTGGAAAAAATTGACCATGGAACATTGTTGCCAGCAAGAACTTTTTTTGTGGGATGTGGTCAGCCAGTGTATATTAACTTATATCAACACAGTGAAACATTGCATTGTTGGTCTCTAATAAGGTGATACATCAAATCAAAGATAGATGAAATTATTTGCACCATTTCCAGTGCCAATGAAACAGAGAGGGTGCCTATGGCCATTACTTCAGAGCTGAAAACCATGTGCCTTTTCCCCCAATGGAATATATTGTAAATTGGTCAAGGATTCAAGAAAACCATAAGAAAAGCTGAAAAATGTCTTCCTAGATCATTGCTGCACACACACACATACACACACGTGTGCACTCGCAGTGTACACACATACATGCACACTTACATATTAACAGAGAAGAAACAAGAAATAAATAGCACAAGACTTAACAAGTAAACTAATGACTGATTTTGACTATGAGATAATGGAGCTTTCTGTAAGATAGTTGATATTTATAAATAAAATGGACAAATTAAAGATGATTTAAAAATGATTCTCTACAGAAGGATCTATGTCAGAGTTCCTTGCCTGAGTTGCTTCCCTTGAGCCTTTATTTTATGGTTTTTAGATTAGTAACTGAAGCAATTGTCTAAGAGTTAGGTTGAGAAGGAAGAGGAGAAGGGGCAGCTGCTTCCAGGTGAAAACCAATTTAAAAAAGAAAAGGAAGCCTTGGGGTTGATAATTTAAGGAACTGGAAAACTGGGAACTCATTTGAAACAATTTGATTTTTGTGTGGCTTTTCAAGAATATGATTATCAGTAATTGACAAACTTTATCCACAGAAACCTATAAAACCAATGTTTATTTCTTGAAAGCTATCCACGGCGTTGCATCAGCACTAATTTTTGGAGTTAGGGGAACCCTGTCGTCTTTCTGGGCTTATGCCTGAAGTTCAAAGACTTTTAAATTTCACAATCAATAAACTTAAGACAACTGCAACAAGAAAACATTTGTGTGAGTAGGGGGAGCAGACATAGGGTCACCAGCTATTTTTTTTTTCACAGTAGAGGCTTTAAGCAAAACAAAATCTACTATTTTACTATTTATTTTATTTCATAAGAAACAATAAGATCACCTCAAAAATAAGGCCACAGTCTCAAAATAAAAGGCAGTCGTTTAAGTTAGCTTAAAATAGGTTATTTGTATGTATATTCTTAATGCATGGTCTTTAGGTTTCTGATCTCAGAACATGCTAGTGAACATTTTGCATGATGCAGCGATGGTTATTGGAAGGTCTGTGAGCCATGGATGCAGACATTGCCTGAAATGTCTAAAGAGTTTCCCTGAAAGTCTTCTATTTTTTTTCCTGATATAACTAAGCACTAAAGAAAAGCTTAGAAATTACTTTGTTAAATTATTTGTTTTAGAGTTAAGGAGTGAAGGCTTTGACTTGCTTAGGATAGCTCAGTTTACCAGAGACTGGAAGGGGTTTTGGCCAGCTCTCCCACTGAATGCACTTTAAGATGTCGCCTATTACAATTCTTTTTGCCTGAGACGCTAACATTTTGGCACAGCTGTGCAGGATGTGTAGGCTCTTTAGGGAGGGATCCTTGCAGTTGAAAGAGTTTCATTACCAAGAAGTATTTATTGGGTACCTACTCAGAGCAAGCCCCAATGGGTTAGGAGGAGACTCCTTACTTAAGTTGTATATAATGTGATCTGGAAGACAGGTTAAGTACATGAAAATAAACCTAACAATGTGTGATAACATAGCATTGAACATGTCATGAGCAGGCACAGACAGTGAGTATCAACAGGGCCTGGCAAGAGTGTATAGCTGCATGTTTCCAAGAAACACTTACAGGAAGCAGGGCTGACCCATGTAATTTGGCTTTCGGGCCCAGAATTAGCATCTGACTGTCCAAGATAACCAAGAAGACTGAGCCTGTTAGACCTCTCAAAAAGTTCTGGATGGCCTCATCTTCCATGATTTCAGTTCTTACAAGATGAAGAACTCAGGAATGAGGGCAGAAGGATGAGCAATGAAACATATAACACCTTTTTTTTCATTCTCATTAAATGCTGCAACCTTCTCTATTAAATATGCTCTTGACCTTGTGGGACAAACTCTAGAAGCACATTTCTCATTTGCTGGCCTCTCTCTGGGCCTTCTGCGACATACTGTCGCTCAGACAAGTACTGTTCTTAATGGGTTTATGGGAAAGGCTTGGCCTGCCTTTCCATCTGCACCTTCTGCTGGCTCCCTCTGAAAAGTGCTAGCTTGCCATACGACATTCCCTTGAATTATTTAGATTGGTAAATCTTTCTGCATCTCACATCTTTAGTCCATCTGTTAGCCGGAGCTTTGCCTTTATAGGAAGTGTCCTTTATGCATGCTGGCATCTGTCAGCAGTACACTTTCCTCTTTTATTCATGATCGTCTATGGGAGAGGGTGCAAGCTGCAGAAGCACCGCATGCCTGGTATGCATTTCATTTTAATGGAAGATTACATGACTGGGGTACTGGTTTATTACCTTGCTCCACATGCATCCATTCATCACCTGGCAGCCCCTCACTCAACCTGTTAAGAGCTGCTGGCCCTCCTGCAGCCTCTTGGTCCCAGCTTTTTGCAGGAAGTGGTCTCGATGGGAGAGAGCAAACTGCTCCTTTAAAACAAGAAGAAAGATCGTGAGAAAAGAAAAATTATATAATGGAGAATCAAGGCCAGAAAAAAGGCAAAAGGTCTTGACCTTATGCTGATATCCAGATGCAGACATGGAATTATTTATACAAAGCACTAGATCCATTAAGGAAAATGTTACTGTGAATACCATATCATAGCTGAGTATGTTCTTTCTGAAAATTGTGATCTAAGCTTATACTTTTTTTTTCTGTTTTCACTCATAGGATAATAGAATCTTAGAGCTGGCTTCTCATTCAATTTTCCTTTTATTGATGGAATGGGCTTTATAATAATTTAACTTATAATTTAAATGTTCTCTGGTACCAAAATGTTATCATTTTTATGTCAATATAAAAATAATCAGTAACCCAAATAAGGTTATCAGACATCCTCATTGCAAGCAACCTTCATTGCCTATGCCTCTTTTAGATCAATTAGTACCTGACAATTTTTGCATCGCCCCCTTTCACTCACAAAAGTGTGCTAGTTTGGATGATAAACTATGGCCACCCTAGTACTAAATCATGGGCATGATCACTCTATGTAGGATCATTACTAATACAATTTCAGTGCCCATGTTACTGATTGTGTCTACTCTCCCGTTGGTGCCATGTCAAGCTACTTAACTACGCAAATAATGACTATAGGTGCCCAGTGAGATAGGGGCCAATATCTACATTTGCAAAACATTTTCTCCTTCAATCTAGGATCTTATTCAGCAGAACATTAATTCATTGATTTAATGAATATTTAAAGAGTGCCTACTATGTATCACACTCTTTTAGACACTAGGGATAAAATGTAAGCAAAAGTCTTTGCTCTTGTGGGACTTACATTCATTGAAAATGGCTAAAATTATATTCTGATTGACAGCCAGTTATGGTTTACTACATAAATTAAATTCGTAAAGGAGTGTTTACGAATTAAATTACGAATTAAATTCGTACAGAGTGTTCTAGGCCAGGGAGAGCACAGATTTTGTTAAGTAGTAAAGATAAGCAGAGCGAGGAGGACAACAGATCAGAGAGACAATGAGACCTTAGCACCAATTTAGAGACACTGGAGACATACAAACTCTTATTATATATGAACCATATCCCTTCTCCCTCTGCCACTGCATTTGGTACATCCTAAAAAGAACCAAGAAGGATGAAGGCTGAGGTCCTGACATTTGTTACGGGGACCTATAGAAAAATTGGAAAGTGAAAAGAAGCTACATAGATTACTCCTGTAAGCACAAGTGAGAATTCTCAGATATTTTATTGGAAGGGAACATTGGAGAAAAATCAAATCTGGACTTCTGTGAGATAATCAAGTGAGAACCTGGCTTGTTGAGATTTGGAATTACAGTTTACTGATATGTTTTCAATGTTATCTTCCAACTCTTCCATTGAATTTTCTATTTTTACTACTATATTTTTAATTTTCTGAAGCTCTTTCTGTTCTGTGACTTTTCATTTTTAAAATATCCTACTCAAAGTTTATTAGTATAATATAATCTCTTCTCTCTCTGAAGATAGTAACTACAATGGGGTTATGAAAGCTTTCTTCTCTTTGAAATTGTCTTTGTTTCCTGTGAAGTTCTTTTTTCATACTTGTTGATTTTCATACTTGTTGATTTCCCATGCTCAGAAGAACCCAGAGCTTTGTTTAGTGCTCTGCTGGCACTATCTTGAAATTCTTTAATGTTAGATGCTTTTTACAAATATGGACCTTTGACAGTCCATTTTTGAGAGAGTTATTAAAAGGCCCACTAGAAGCTCTATGTGCTTGGAAAGGACTTGATGACTACTGGCATTCACTGTGTGGTGATTAGGCAGGGACCATATACTTTCATTGCAAATTCCCCCAAATGTCAGTTTCTGTAAGTCTTTTCTCTTTGAAGGTTGCTCTCCTGAGAGGGCTAGCCTCCAATCTCTTGCCTGGAAGACCTAAGCTGTCTACATTACAAAGGGAAAATGGGTGGTAAGACTGGAGAATCTTTTAATTGGGACTGAACGCTTTTACTTAACATCCTTCCCCCTTAGGCACCAGATCTTTCTCTAATATGCCTGGTATATTCCTTTGCTTGGAACCCCTCTGATTCATTTTCCTCAGAGAGTAAAACTGCTTATTCCTGTTAGGATGGAGAGAAAGTAATCACCTATATGAGAAAGTGAAAAAGGGCCTTGGGGGATCAAGTGAACTTCAAACAAACTTTCAGGCAATCTTCCCATTTCAGTCCCTTTATATCTCCACCCTCAGAGATAGGGGGTTCCTCCAATTTCCAAGCCTTTTGAGTGTTCTGAAGCTTGAATTGAGTGGCTTATTTTTGGCCCCTGAACTAAAGGCTTGAGTTTTGATATTTTTGCTCTGCTATGTGAGTTACAAGTAGTCTATCTGCTTTCTCTTTTCAAAAGTATTACCTTTTATCTAGTACCATGTTCTTCTCTCTTCTTTTGAGTTTATTGATTTATACATTATTTAAAATTATTCCATACAATAATAGTAGAATTTCAGGAGGGGGCAGAGATAAAAGTTTATGATCCGTTTTCCAGCTTTAACTGGGGATCCCTTCATTTCTTTCCCAGGGCAAAGATTTCTGATTACTCTTGCAAGTCTTTGTATAAAAAGGTATCAAACTCTCTTGCTATACTAAATACCTTTTCATAACAAAATCCATTGCTTTCTGGCTTGTTTCAACTCCAATTATTACAATAAATATAAAATATAAGATCCATGGAAGGAAGGATTATTTTATGTTGCCACATAATAAAGTAGCAATAAAGAAATAATGTATTATATTGCCTTGGTACTTAAGATAGTGATGATCTATATAGGATTTCAGCCTCAATAAGTCAGAAGGTTTGCAAGAAATCATTGAGAGCAAAAGACTGTTGCTCCTTATTTTTTCTGCTAAGTGAGCCCTCATCAAACAAAATTGGTTCAACTTTCTTGGCAGGTTTAATATAGATAAGAGCCCCAACTGTCTCTCTCACTCTATAAATACTCATTCCATTTGAGCTAGATGACTATGTGGTGGAGAACCCTTGATGTACTGAAGAATGTAGACTAAGAATGTTGTCCTCCCAGCCCTGGGCATCAGAGCTAGCTTCATGGATATCCAGACTGGACAGTTGCCTAGTTCCTCATGCTCAGAAGGACCCAGAGCTTTGTTTTAGTGCTCTGCTGGCGCTATCTTAAAATTCTTAATAATTTTTTAATAAGAAACCACGTGTTTTCATTTTGCATTGAGTCCTGCAAATAATGTAGTTTCAGTCCTATTTGACATATTGAACAAATACCTTGCAAATGTGAGAGTGTCTTTTATGAAGAAACAGTTGGGAATACTCATAGAAGCGATCAAAGCTTAGAGTCTATAAATAATAGGCCAACAAAAGATACAGTACAGTTTGGATCCACAGTTGCAAACACATGTATTCAGGTTCCAGGCAGGCAATTTAAATATAGGAAAAGATTGGTATAATAGAGCAAGGTTAGCTGTGGACGAACAGTAAGACCATGTCCTTTCTAAAGATATTCAAATTCAATTTCATGAACACTGGGTTGTACTGAACAGAATATGCAGGTGGGTATACAAGTGGGTCACCAATTTTCGACCCATGATTTGACACAATCTAGGAGGCAATGGCAAATACATAGTTATTGCCCCAAACACCTGGTCATTTTAAACAGCTTGTTAAGAGCCAAGTGTTCTCTAAGTCAAACCAGTATGCCAGGTCAGTTCATATTGGTTTTTAATTCTTCTTTCATTGCCTTTCAAAGATGTAAATGCATATTTTATACCTAAGACATATACTTGGCACTAGATTTGGTGTTGAATCCTCCTGTTTTTCTTTACTTTGAGTGGAGTCACCCTTGTTATTTATGCTGTATTTAATATTTGCTGTAATATCATTAGATAATTGTGGTGAAGGCATCATTCCTTGAGCAGATGGCCTGAACATTTAGAGTGAGCCCTGTAGCACAATGAATGAAGGCACTAAGAACCTGGCAGAAATGGAACAGAGGTGGGGTGTGTATGTGTATGTGTGAGAGAGTGTGTGTGTGTGTGTGTGTGTGTTCCCCCAAAATAAAATTCACCAAAACAATCGGCAAAAGGTGGCCCAGTCCTGACTCTTGCTGCAGAGACTCCCGAGGGACTAAGACAGTTAAAACTTCAGTGGCTGAACTCTTTCACCTTTAGTTTCTGGGTGTTAGCCAAGCTGCACGCTAACTGATGGAGGTACATTAGTCAGTATACAACTCCTTCCTCAATTTGAAGTTGATTGTTAGTTTCCTCTCAGCATGTCTAAATACATACATATATAAGAATTAAAATTTCTTACCATGATTCTTGGTCTCTCAAAATAAACAAACAAACAAAAACTTAAGTCCTTATGGCCTTGATGGCTACGTGGCATTTGAATGCATAAATATATAAGATGTGTAAAGTATAGGTAAAAAAATGAAAGATGTAGATTCAAGCTCTAATTCTATGTTTATAATATAGACTTGTATAAATCCCTTAACTTTGAGCATCCTTTTCTTATCTGTGAAATGGGATCTTAATGATAACTACCTTTTTGGATTATTGCCAGAATCAGAGAAATAAAGGTCTCTCTCTGTCACCCAGAAGTTTGAAGGTCTTTATAGCTCAGAAGCCTATTCATAGAACACAGAGTGGTAAACCATTTTATATATGAAGCCCAACAATGACTCTTCTCTGGTGGGATAAGGAGAGTATCTCTCATGAGGCAGGTGGGAAAAGCTACTTCTATCCAGAGAAATCACTTTTGTTTAAGAATGTGTAACTTTCCTAAATCAGAACAACTTTCAATGAAGGGGAATACTAGCTACTTTGGTTGGAGACCAAAGATAAAGACAGAAACTGAACTTCATAATCCTTAGGCTTGTGAGTTCTCTAAAGGTCAAAGAGCTAGGCTTTAGAGACACAAGTCATTTCAGTAGACACTGAATTACTGAAGCAACACAAAGCAGCAATAAGAAACTAATATAGACTGGTTTCATCAATTTTTACTCTCCAAAAAATTGTCAATGGGTAACTCATAATATCTGAAATAATATTCAGTACTTACTATATGTTAGGCACTGAATTAAGAAGAATATTTTACATCTATTATCATTTTATCTGCCTGACAATACTTGAAGACTGAAATTAGTATCATTATCATTTTATAGAAAAAAATTGAGGTTAATAAAGGCTAAGTGTCTTTCTTAAGGTCATCAACTAATAATTTACCTGGTTTTACTGTTCCATACCTGATTTATCCCAACTATGAGGTTGTAGTCTTCTTGAAGGCAGAGATTACAACTTAGTTCTCATTATGGTTCCTGAATTCAACTTAAAATATAAATAAAAATGAAGCCCACCTTCATGATGTTAGCCAATGAGAAAATAATTTTATATGCATTAACTTAATCTACAGCCATCTGTTCAGAATTCTACTAATTAAATAAGGAAAGATGTATCTGATTTCCCTTGACAGTCACCTCCACTCTATTTTCTTGTGTCTGGCAGCTATGGCCAGAGGAACATCTCATCTGTGCATCTGGGTTCACTTTCTTCTCATTGGCTGCTCGTTTTTATTATTTATTTATTTTTAAATGATTTAATCAGAGGAAGTTGATTTCTTGCAGGAGATCTGTCATGCAGAAGCCAAATGCTTTTGATATTTCATTAGATGCTGATGGTTTTAGATTTAAAGTTGACACCAAAGTCTAATTAAACATTATGCTAGTGCACATATTCTGCAAATTAAGACACAACACATTACAGAGCCCAGTCTGGGATAAGTTAAAAAGGAAGCTGTCAACATGCAGAGGACCCTGTTAAGTGCCTTAAATACATATTTTGAATTTAAAATGCAAATGGGTTGAAGCCTCTTTTCCTTTCAAGTTGGAAAGGAAAATTAAGGGAGGCAGAGAGTTTTTTGTTTTTTTTTTTAACTAATCACTGAGTTTTGACTCTACTTGCAACCACAGTACATTACAGCAGTTTTAGAAATGGCAAGAGGAACTAATATACAGCTAACAATTCACTTTTGGCTCCTCACTAGCTGAATGAAAAGTAGGAAGCAAACCAATTCCATCAATGTTGACAAGTCAACACATGTATTGAAAAAGAAAAAAAAAACTTTTCAGATTGAAACAGGCAGGACCCCTGGCACTATTTAGATCTGCACAGCTGTGGGAAAATTTCTGTACCTGACTTCATCAAATTGGGGTGGGCGGAGTGTTGGGAGAAGCCAGAGATGCTGTGAAATCTGAGGTGATAGACTCCAGAGGTGCTGAGCTCAGAACAGAGCTGAGTATATTAACTGTGACAAACTGTGTTTCAGCAAAGCAGCGAGTAGGGTGGACCACAGGAAAAAGTGATGTAAGAGGTGGATAAATTTGGGATATTCTGTTCTGCTTTCCTGGATCTCATCCCCATCCCAACTCCCACTACTATCAATTATGTTTGAATGGGACAGTAGCCAATTAAGAGGTTGAGATGAGATTCCGTCATGCTCCACCTAGGTGTAGTTGCTTCTCTGCATTTACTATTTCTCAATCCCTTCCTACTTTTCTTTGAAATGTTATTTGTTTTCATCCAGTAATTACCAAGTGCTTGCTATATTCATGTTCTGGGTAAACACACATATATAAAAAACTCTCTGTTCTGAAAGAGCTTGCATTTGGGAAGGAAAAGAAGATATAGGCCTATACCTTACTGGCTGCGCCTCCAAATGATAAATGCCTCAATGGAGAGTGACACATAGTGTTATCCACCAGGGTGAAGACAAAAAATATGGGGGAGGCAGGTTAGGAAGGAAGGATCTGTGAAGGCCTCACAAAGACAAAATATTTGAGTTGGACCTTTAAATGAAAGTGAGATTTTGACTGTTGGACCTCAACGAGAGGTAAAATATAAACTGAAGTACTTTGAAAACACTGTTGAAAAGTAAAATCATTGGAAGAATTAAAAAGGGTAACATAAAAGACATGTCATGTTCATTCCACTCAGCCAAAGGAAGCACAACTTGATCACTTTCTCTTCCGAGTTGCTTTGATAATAGCTGACTCTAAGCCATTTTAGATGGTCTTTCAAAGGGCTAAAATGGCAGTATTGACTACTTTGAATTTTTAATTACTTTGGTCTTAATAAATAAAACAGAGTTGGGATGCAGGAATCTGATTGAACAATTAATCCAGAAAATTGGATATAGTTGGTTTTATAAAACCTTGTCATTGGATCATTAAATTTGTTTAAATCTTACAGCTTCTTCAGAAAGAACTCCACAAGCTTTGGTCAAAGATCTATTTCAATAGTCAACCCAATTTGTTTTGTTTCCATTAAATTCAGTTCCCACCATATGTACAATAATCTGTTAAATAGCTGGAGAGAAAAACACGTTTGTGCACACACTCGCCCACACATTTTCTTCTCTGCTCTTAAGGAAGTTAACATTTTGATGGAGGGAAGAATTTGTGTACATAAAAAAGTATAGAGCAATAATACATTATATAATAAAACACTAGATTAAATACGATGTGGTGACAAAATCTATAGTAAAAGACAAGCTCTGTAGGTAGCAGAGATGAAAGCAATCAAAACTAGAAAAGCTTGATTGAAGTTGGCTAAAGTAAATAATTTTTTAAATGTATGAACACTACCATCTTAAAGAAGATTTAATAATTTTATCATGGTATATAGTTTGAGATCCAAAAGTGAAGTGACATGGATCTATCAGAAGTTGCAATTTTGCAAAACTTGTCAGTGTACTTTCTTTTGAGGTTCATATCTTTGAAAACTATCTTTAACATTTTGAACTTTTTAATGTTCTTAAAATTATGCTGAGAAGTTTGTGATTTTTAAATTTATCTTGATTTGAAGGCTGAATTAAATATAATTTACTAAATAACATACTTGTGGAAAAATTGATTGAATGCCAAATGGATTTTGCTAACTATAATAATTAAATGGTAATTGCTTAATAATGTCAAATTATTTTATGCTGTGTATAGTTATTAAATACCTGCAAAGAACAATTGAATAGTTTATTGTTTTTTGGCAACTACAATATTGAATAAATTATTTAATAGCATGTAATTGTGTTCTATTCAATGATAAGGTGATAACTGATTGAAAAGTAACAGATGAATTTAGTCTTCACACTCAGTAAGTAATACTACATGGAATAAAAATCCATATTAAATCAAGAAAAGGAATAAATCATATATTTATGCTTATACATCAATAGATTATGTTAAAATTAATTTCTTTTTCATTTCAAAAGTATGCTAGAATGCAAGTTTGTATTTTTAAACATGTTTCTCTAAAAAAATGTTAAAAGATATTACATAAAGCCAGCTTTACCCCTTTCTGTGCAGTGAAGCAGGTGCCTTCCCCATTATATAAGGATGCAGAAAAGAAAATGATATAATGTAACACAATGCCCTATGTGAGCCTGTAGAAGGCTTCTAAGTAATAGGATTCATAATCAATAATCAATGACAAAGTAAGACAGGTTAAGACACAATCTCCTTAAATATGCTCTGTCAAAAGTGGTATTTCCATGGGTAAATTCTCTCTTTTTCTATGCTTTCTTCACTAACAATACCACCTTTGATAATAGGAATATTTACAGAATCATAACACTACAGTTGGAATGGCTCTTAAAATTCATCTAGTTGCTTCATCTTCCAGTGCAGGAATGCACCTCCCATTGGTGTTGCCAATGCACTGCAAGGGGACTCATGCATCTGTGCATGTGTGTGGGGTAAGAAGCCTCAGGCAGAAGTGAGTGTTTCATGAACTACACTATGGTGATAATTGTAGCAAGAATTGCCACAGAATCTTCTCTACTCAGAAGCAGCAAGTACTGCTTCCCACATAGTAACTGACAGAAACGTCCTAGAAAAGAGGGTAGAAAAATGGAGGCAGGTGCAGTGGCTCATGCCTGTAATCCCAGCACTTTGGGAGGCTGAGGCGGGCGGATCATTTGAGGTCAGGAGTTCGAGACCAGCCTGGCCAACATGGAGAAACCCCATCTCTAGGGGGATGGAGCCAAGATGGCCGAATAGGAACAGCTCCAGTCTACAGCTCCCAGTGTGAGCGATGCAGAAGATGGGTGATTTCTGCATTTCTAACTCAGGTACCAGGTTCATCTCACTTGGGAGTGCTGGACAGTGGGTGCAGGACAGTGGGTGCAGCGCACCATGTGTGAGCCGAAGCAGGGCGAGGCATTGCCTCACCCTGGAAGTGCAAGGGGTCAGGGAATTCCCTTTCCTAGTCAAAGAAAGGGGTGACAGACGGCACCTAGAAAATTGGGTCACTCCCACCCTAATACTGCACTTTTCCAAAGGGCTTAACAAATGGCACACCAGGAGATTATATCCTGCACCTGGCTCGGAGGGTCCCACGCGCACGGAGCCTTGCTCATTGCTAGCACAGCAGTCTGAGATCAAACTGCAAGGTGGCAGCAAGGCTGGGGGAGGGGCATCCACCATTGCCGAGGCTTGAGTAGCTAAACAAAGCACCGGGAAGCTCGAACTGGGTGGAGCCCACCACAGCTCAAGGAGGCCTGCCTGCCTCTGCAGGTTCCACCTCTGGGGCAGGGCACAGACAAACAAAAGGCAGCAGTAACTGCTGCAGACTTAAGTGTCCCTGTCTGACAGCTTTGAAGAGAGTAATGGTTCTCCCAGCATGCAGCTTGAGATCTGAAAACGGGCAGATTGCCTCCTCAAGTGGGTCCCTGAACCCCGAGTAGCCTAACTGGGAGGCACCCCCTAGAAGCAGGCAGACTGACACCTCACACAGCAGGGTACTCCTCTGAGACAAAAGTTCCAGAGGAACGATCAGGCAGCAGCATTTGAGGTTCACCAATATCCACTGTTCTGCAGCCACCGCTGCTTATACCCAGGCAAACAGGGTCTGGAGTGGACCTCCAGCAAACTCCAACAGACCTGCATGCAGCTGAGGGTCCTGACTGTTAGAAGGAAAACTAAAAAACAGAAAGGACATCCACCCCAAAAACCCATCTGTACGTCACCATCATCAAAGACCAAAGGTAGATAAAAACACAAAGATGTGGAAAAAACAAAGCAGAAAAACTGGAAATTCTAAAAATCAGAGCACCTCTCCTCCTCCAAAGGAACGCAACTCCTCACGAGCAATGGAACAAAGCTGGACAGAGAATGACTTTGAAAAGTTGAGAGAAGAAGGCTTCAGAAGATCAAACTACTCCAAGCTAAAGGAGGAAGTTTGAACCAATGGCAAAGAAGTTAAAAACCTTAAAAAAAAATTAGTCGAATGGCTAACTAGACTAACCAATGCAGAGAAGTCCTTAAAGGACCTGATGAAGCTGAAAACCATGGCACAAGAACTACATGATGAATGCACAAGCTTCAGTAGCCTATGCGATCAACTGGAAGAAAGGGTATCAGCGATGGAAGATGAAATGAATGAAATAAAGCGAGAAGAGATGTTTAGAGAAAAAAGAATAGAAAGAAATGAACAAAGCCTCCAAGAAATATGGGACTATGTGAAAAGACCAAATCTACGTCTGATTGGTGTACCTGAAAGTGACGGGGAGAATGGAACCAAGTTGGAAAACACTGCAGGATATTATCCAGGAGAACTTCCCCAATCTAGCAAGGCAGGCCAACATTCAGATTCAGGAAATACAGAGAACACCACAAAGATACTCCTCGAGAAGAGCAACTCCAAGACACATAATTGTCAGATTCACCAAAGTTGAAATGAAGGAAAAAAATGTTAAGGGCAGCCAGAGAGAAAGGTCGGGTTACCCACAAAGGTAAGCCCATCAGACTAACAGCTGATCTCTCGGCAGAAACTCTACAAGCCAGAAGAGAGTGGGGCCAATATTCAACATTATTAAAGAAAAGAATTTTCAACCCAGAATTTCATATCCAGCCAAACTAAACTTCATAAGTGAAGTAGAAATAAAATCCTTTACAGACAAACAAATGCTGAGAGATTTTGTCACCACCAGGCCTGCCTTACAAGAGTTCCTGAAGGAAACACTAAACCAGTACCAGCCACTGCAAAAACATGCCAAATAGTAAAGACCATCAAGGCTAGAAAGAAACTGCATCAACTAACAAGCAAAATAACCAGCTAACATCATAATGACAGGATCAAATTCACACATAACAATATTAACCTTAAATGTAAATGGGCTAAATGCTCCAATTAAAAGGTACAGACTGGCAAATTGGATAAAGAGTCAAGACCCATCAGTGTGCTGTATTCAGGAAACCGATCGCACATGCAGAGACACGCATAGGCTCAAAATAAAGGGATGGAGGAAGATCTACCAAGCAAATGGAAAACAAAAAAAGGCAGGAGTTGCAATCCTAAACAGACTTTAAACCAACAAAGATCAAAAGAGACAAAGAAGGCCATTACATAATGGTAAAGGGATCAATTCAACAAGAAGAGCTAACCTAAATATATATGCACCCAATACAGGAGCACCCAGATTCATAAAGCAAGTCCTTAGTGACCTACAAACAGACTTAGACTCCCACACAATAATAATGGGAGACTTTAACACCCCACTGTCAACATTAGACAGATCAATGAGACAGAAAGTTAACAAGGATATCCGGGAATTGAACTCAGCTCTGCGCCAAACGGACCTAATAGACATCTACAGAACTCTCCACCCCAAATCAACAGAATACACATTGTTTTCAGCACCACACCACACCTATTCCAAAATCGACCACATAGTTGGAAGTAAAGCACTCCTCAGCAAAGGTAAAATAACAGAAATTATAACAAACTGTCTCTCAGACCACAGTGCAATCAAACTAGAACTCAGGATTAAGAAACTCACTGAAAACTGCTCAACTACATGGAAACTGAACAACCTGCTCCTGAATGACTACTGGGTACATAACGAAATGAAGGCAGAAATAAAGATGTTCTTTGAAACTGATGAGAACAAAGACACAACATACCAGAATCTCTGGGACACATTAAAAGCAATGTGTAGAGGGAAATTTACAGCACTAAATGCCCACATGAGAAAGCAGGAAAGATCTAAAATCGACACCCTAACATCACAACTAAAAGAACTAGAGAAGCAAGAGCAAACACATTCAAAAGCTAGCAGAAGGCAAGAAATAACTAAGATCAGAGCAGAACTGAAGGAGATAGAGACAAAAAAACCCTTCAAAAAATCCATGAATCCAGGAGCTGGTTTTTTGAAAAGATCAGCAAAATTGATAGACCACTAGCAAGACTAATAAAGAAGAAAAGAGAGAAGAATCAAATAGACGCCATAAAAAATGATAAAGGGGATATCACCACCGATCCCACAGAAATACAAACTACCATCAGAGAATACTATAAACACCTCTACACAAATAAACTAGGAAATCTAGAAGAAATGGATAAATTTCTGCACACATACACCATCCCAAGACTAAACCAGGAAGAAATTGAATCTCTGAATACACCAATAACAGGCTCTGAAATTGAGGCAATAATTAATAATAATTACCAACCAAAAAAATTCCAGGACCAGATGGATTCACAGCCGAATTCTAGCAGAGGTACAAGGAGGAGCTGGTACCATTCCTTCTGAAACTATTCCAATCAATAGAAAAAGAGGGAATCCTCCCTAATTCATTTTATGAGGCCAGCATCATCCTGATACCAAAGCCTGACAGAGACACAACAAAAAAAGAGAATTTTAGACCCATATCCTCGATGAACATTGATGCAAAAATCCTCAATAAAATACTGGCAAACCGAATCCAGCAGCACATCAAAAAGCTTATCCACCATGATCAAGTGGGCTTCATCCCTGGGATGCAAGACTGGTTCAACATACGAAAATCAATAAACATAATCCAACATATAAACAGAACCAAAGACAAAAACCACATAATTATCTCAATAGATGCAGAAAAGGCCTTTGACAAAATTCAGCAACACTTCATGCTAAAAACTCGCAATAAATTAGGTATTGATGGGACATATCTCAAAATCATAAGAGCTCTCTATGACAAACCCACAGCCAATGTCATACTGAATGGATGAAAACTGGAAGCATTCCCTTTGAAAACTGGCACAAGACAGGGATGCCCTCTCTCACCACTCCTATTCAACATAGTGTTGGAAGTTCTGGCCAGGGCAATCAGGCAGGAGAAGGAAATAAAGGGCATTCAATTAGGAAAAGAGGAAGTCAAATTGTCCCTGTTTGCAGATGACATGATTGTATATCTAGAAAACCCCATCGTCTCAGCCCAAAATCTCCTTAAGCTGATAAGCAACTTCAGCAAAGTCTCAGGATACAAAATCAATGTACAAAAATCACAAGCATTCTTATACACCAATAACAGACAAACAGAGAGCCAAATCATGAGTGAACTCCCATTCACAATTGCTTCAAAGAGAATAAAACACCTAGGAATCCAACTTACAAGGGACGTGAAGGACCTCTTCAAGGTGAAATACAAACCACTGCTCAAGGAAATAAAAGAGGATACAAACAAATGGAAGAACATTCCATGCTCATGGGTAGGAAGAATCAATATCATGAAAATGGCCATACTGCCCAAAGTAATTTATAGATTCAGTGCCATCCCCATCAAGCTACCAATGACTTTCTTCACAGAATTGGAAAAGACTACTTTAAAGTTCATATGGAACCAAAAAAGAGCCTGCATTGCCAAGTCAATCCTAAGCCAAAAGAACAAAGCTGGAGGCATCATGCTACCTGGCTTCAAATTATACTACAAGGCTACAGTAACCAAAACGGCATGGTACTGGTACCAAAACAGAGATATAGACCAATGGAACAGAACAGAGCCCTCAGAAATAATGCCGCATATCTACAACTATCTGATCTTTGACAAACCTGAGAAAAACAAGCAATGGGGAAAGGATTCCCTATTTAATAAATGGTGCTGGGAAAACTGGCTGGCCATATGTAGAAAGCTGAAACTGGATCCCTTCCTTACACCTTATACAAAAATTAATTCAAGATGGATTAAAGACTTAAATGGTAGACCTAAAACCATAAAAACCCTAGAAGAAAACTTAGGCAATACCATTCAGGACATAGGCATGGGCAAGGACTTCATGTCTAAAACACCAAAAGCAATGTCAACAAAAGCCAAAATTGACAAATGGGATCTAACTAAACTAAAGAGCTTCTGCACAGCAAAAGAAACTACCATCAGAGTGAACAGGCAACCTACAATATGGGAGAAAATTTTTGCAACCTACTCATCTGACAAAGGGCTAATATCCAGAATTTACAATGAACTCAAACAAATTTACAAGAAAAAAACAAACAACCCCATCAAAAAGTGGGCAAAGGATATGAACAGACACTTCTCAGCAGAAGACATTTATGCAGCCAAAAAACACATGAAAAAATGCTCATCATCACTGGCCATCAGAGAAATGCAAATCAAAACCACAATGAGATACCATCTCACACCAGTTAGAATGGCGATCATTAAAAAGTCAGGAAACAACAGGTGCTGGAGAGGATGTAGAGAAATAGGAACACTTTTACACTGTTTGTGGGACTGTAAACTAGTTCAACCATTGAGGAAGTCAGTGTGGCGATTCCTCAGGGATCTGGAACTAGAAACACCATTTGACCCACCCATCTCATTACTGGTTATATACCCAAAGAATTATAAATCATGCGCTATAAAGACACATGCACACGTATGTTTATTGTGACACTATTCACAATAGCAAAGACTTGGAACCAACCCAAATGTCCAGCAATGATAGACTGGATTAAAAAAATGTGGCACATATACACCGTGGAATACTATGCAGCCATAAAAATGATGAGATCATGTCCTTTGTAGGGATGTGGATGAAGCTGGAAACCATCATTCTCAGCAAACTATCGCAAGGATTAAAAACCAAACACCGCATGTTCTCACTCATAGGTGGGAACTGAACAATGAGAACACATGGACAAAGGAAGGGGAACATCACACACTGGGGACTGTTGTGGGGTGGGGGGAGGGGGGAGGGATAGCATTAGGAGATATACCTAATGCTAAATGACGAGTTAATGGGTGCAGCACACCAACATGGCACATGTATACATATGTAACAAACCTGCACATTGTGCACATGTACCCTAAAACTTAAAGTATAATAATAATAAAATTAAAAAAAAAATAAAAGAAACCCTGTCTCTACTAAAAATACAAAATTAGCTGGGCGTGGTGGCGCGTGCCTGTAATCCCAGCTACTCGGGAGCCTGAGGCAGGAGAATTGCTTGAACCCAGGAGGTGGAGGTTGCGGTGAGCTGAGATCACCCCATTGCACTCCAACCTGGGCAACGAGAGCAAAACTCCATCTCGAAAAAAAAAAAAAAAAGAAAGAAAAGAAAAATTGGTGGAGGAAGAAGCAGGAAGTTTTAGAAGTGGAATATTGGAAAATAAAAATTCTGTGCTGAAGGAGCACATTCTAATCATATGATAAAACTTAACTCTCTCTAGGTATATATAGGTAGATGTATAGATAAATGAGAAAAAGAGGTAAGGACTGAATGTTTGGGTCCCCCAAAGTTCATACTTTGGGGTCCTACTTCCCAATGTGCTGATGGGAGCCTTTGGTAGATAATTAGGTTTAGAAGATATCATGGGGGTGCAGCCCTCATACTGGGATTAGTGCTCTTACAAGAAGAAGAAAAAACCAGGGCTCTCTTTCCCTCTGCCATGTGAAGATAGAAGAAGAAGATGGCCATATGAAAACCTGGAAGATTGTCGTCATCAGACACCAGATCTGTCAATGCCTTGATCTTGTACTTCTCAGTCTTCATGCTGGTGAGAAATATGCGTTTGTTTCTTAAGCCACAAAGTCTATGGTATTTTTTTAATAGCAGCCCAAGCTGACAAAAATAGATAGATGGGACATGACATGATGAATGGATGGGTGGATCAATGAATCAATCACTATTCCTTAGGATTATTGTATTGGTTTTATGACAAAGCCACCTCTCTACCTATGCTCACCATCACTGTGGTTGCTAAACACAGGTTAAAAAAAATTCACATCTTGTAGGCCTAGAATAAATAAACTTTGCTCTTGGACTCCTGATATCTAAAATTAACATTCTTACTATAAGATTAAATGTTTTCTTGGTAAGACATTCAAATAAAAATGATCTTTCCTAACCAATGCATCTCCACCAGTTCTACTCCCCTTGGGCACAGATTATTAAAAGATTATTAACAACTTTTTATCTAGCCTTTTAGAAGTGTGTTTTGGGGTGGATAAGTGAGGCTGTAAAAGAAGGTGCACCAAGTTGACACAAGAGGGGGAGTCAATAAATAATATTCTGGAACTTGATTTTTCTTTAACTTGAAACATAGCTTGGGTATATTTTTATGTGAAGACATATAGATCTACTTACCATTTCATTCTTTTTTATGGTTACATAATATTCTGTTTTATATTGGTGAAGTTATTTATTTAACTAATCTGTACAAGATGGATGCTTACAATATTTACAGCCTTTCATCATACTGGCGTGTTGAATTTTAAAATCAACTCAGAACATGGATTAAGAGCAAGCTGGTACAGAGACTATTCATTAAATAATAGGTCAAACCTATATGACAATAAACACAAGTCTGAAAAGAAGAGCATCAGTGTTCTTTGGTTTGCAATAGATTAAGACAGCAACATAGCTGACTCAATTTATTGCAACATTTAAGGTTGATGATATTAAGGGAAGTTAAAAAATTGGAGTTTGAGACCAGCCTGACCAACATGGTGAAACCCCGTCTCTACCAAAAATACAAAAATTAGCCAGACGTGGTGGCAGGCACCTGTAATCCCAGCTACTCAGGAGGCTGAGGCAGGAGAATCTCTAGAACCCGAGATCGCGCTGAGCTAAGTTTGCGCCATTGCACTCCAGCCTGGGGGACAGAGCGAGACTGTCTCAAAAAAAAAGTGAAAAATAAAAATAAATAAAAAAAATTGTGTCTCTATTCTCTGTGAACACTGGGATGGTCACTTTGTGATTGTGGTCAGTCTGCCTCTTCACCTCCTTCTGGAGGGTGATGATAAATCATATCATGTCACAAACATGCCTATGTGAAGTATTGCCCAGTTTGCCATCATAATGAATAATTGATATTGAAGATAATTAGGATGAACTTAAATACACAAAATGGAAAATGGCACTGGTACTATTCTCTGAAGCTCATCATGCACCATTACATAGAGGACGAAATTTAAAAATCACTTCTCATTCCTTGGCTCTACACTTTTAAATTAAGTCCCCATGCCTCATTCCTTTTTAAAATTATTTTTAGAGTTTTATCAACTTTGTTTTATTATTTGCTACTTTTTAAAAATACTCACCATGGGCCAAGCACTGTGCCAAGAGTGGAAATGCAAAGAGGAAAATGCTCCAAAGTAGTGTCTCCATATCACTTCAAACCAATATTTTAAAAGGGCATGCTGTTATTTTCTTTGCCTTCACGCACAATTGAATCTGGATGCTTTCAGATTGTCCCACTTCACGCTTTCCAGTTACGTTCTGATCTCCTGGGTTCCGGTTTCAAGAAGTGGCAGG
Organism: Homo sapiens; assembly: GCF_000001405.40. Lineage (NCBI taxonomy): Eukaryota > Metazoa > Chordata > Mammalia > Primates > Hominidae > Homo > Homo sapiens. The sequence continues at coordinate 163,846,002 of NC_000001.11, read as the reverse complement.
TAGATGAGTGTAGCTGCAGCTTAAGGAAAGTAGGAACCAGAGTGAGACTGGAGAGGACCTTAGCTAATGAATCTGAACTTTATTTTATAAGTGCAAAAGGTTTTAACAAGGTAGTGATAAAACCAGTGACTTAGAAAGAGAATGGGCAGTAGGGTAGACCAAAGAAAGAATGCTATTAAAGACTGAAAAATACATGATGGAGGGCCTGAAATAAGAAGAGTGAGAGTAAGAAAGGGGCAGTAATTGTAGAGGTATCATGGAATAGCAATCAGAAATACACAGGAGCAACTGAGTACGGGAGTGAGGGGAAAGGGCATACCGATTTTTTCAAAAGCCCATTCTCTTTTTGCGTCTAGTGAGGAGAGGGTGTTCTTTATCTGTGATTGTGTCACTCTTACCAGAGAGCTTGGTGCTATGTGTGTCCCTGTAAAACCCCCCAGCTTCCATTAAACAAAGTGCTCTTCTTAAATGCCTTCCTTGTAAGACCTGGCTGCCCTACCCCAAGCCATTAGTGGGAACAGAACGTTAATAAGGAGGGACTGTGGTATCTCTAAGAGAGGTTGACCTCCTTCAGCGGAAGCAGGGCACCCATTATAGTGTAATGATAAATCACAGGCTTTTCCCTTAAGACTGTTCTCTGAATGCATAAACATACTGGAGGGAGGAAGAAAGAAAATCAAGCAACAGATGAATAGAAAGGTAAAAAAGAAAGAGAGGGACAGGCAATCAACAGACTCCCAAAGGGATTTTAAAAAATAAATACACCATATACATCCACATATTTGCATATAGTGAAACTTCAACATAACCTCATAAGGAAAAGTCTCCATAAAAAAATGTCTAAATGAAGTATAAGATACAAGGGCTTCAATCTGAGAACCGTAAATACAAATGACATCTCTAGGAATGTTTCTCTGTATTTAATATTATGATGCTTTTCTTTTTACTGCTGAAAATTCAAAGGCAAACTAAAACAAGGGGCAAGGGGGAGTATAAATAATCAATAAATTTGTAAGTGAGATTATTATTTACTTTGCTTAGTCAGGCTTTTAGCTGTATCAGTGGTTTCCTCCTGTTTAACAGAAATAGGTTTTCTGAGGAAAAGATTTGCTGGAATCTTTTCTCTTGAAACATAAATTAAGAACCAATATGAGGAAGGTGTTGACAAATCTTGCAGGCTATTCACTGATGTCTAGGAGACACCTCATTAACTGTTGCCAAAGATCTGCTCTTATATTAGCCACAGCACTGTGGCTATCAGATGACTTTTCTTCTAGAATCTAGGACAGACCAGGCAAACATAAAAATGACATTTAGAGCCCTTGGAAGATAGTTTCTTCTTCAGTGGCAACAGGATTAATGTGAAAGCATGCTGGGAATGAGTAAAGCAGGTCCCAAGGCAGTTGATCTGAGCCTTGTGTTTTTATAGCTTGTCTATGTAGATCAGTGAGCTCATCGTGAGTGTGTGGATTAGTTGGACTGCCTCCACCCAGCTCAGGACATCAGACTCCATCTTTGACTTCTACTTCTACTCTGTCTCAGACACCAGGAGCTTCTTGTTTAGACAAAATCTCTCCAAATTTCAAACCTTGTCTTCTGTCAATGACTTTGTCATGGCTTTCCTCAAGTTTGTCACTTTATATCTTTTCCTTTCCAGCTATACCTAGTATAAATCTTATAATCCAGATCTAATCCAGTGGAAATGGGTTTTTATGTGGCAACTAAATAGAGCCAGATTCAATCTGCTTTCTAAGAGACGCGTTTGGATAAATGAAGGATTGTTGGACATTAAGAGCACTGGGAACAAAGGAATTCTAGCTGTTCCTAGCTCTTTGTACCTCTGGATGCACCTTTCTCTATTTAATCTTCTAGTAGACATTTGGGTATATGGCAATTGCATCCTCACCACCCTTGTTCCATCTAACAAGCTTGTATTTGATTTGGATATCCAAATCCAAACAGTTCTGGAGAGGCTGACTGGACCTCTGGCTGTGGAAATGAACTATGTGACCTAGTCTAAGCTAGTCAATATGTTCCACTCTGATTCCTCACATCCTGGCCTGAGTAATAATTTTAGAAATAGATATGCGACTTAAGCTTGTCCAATCAGAATGAATTTCAAAATTTGCTCTAAGGATGGTGGGACAAAGGTCTCTTCTCTCTTCTAAGGCAGGTCTGAACGAGGAAGCATCTAGCTGTTGGAACTGTAGCAGCTCTCTTGGAGCCATGAAGTCAGGCTTAGAATGCAGCCCACAGCAGGTGAAGTAGAGCAAAGAAATGGGAAGTAAATGGGCCTTAGGACAACACTAGGACTCCATATCAAGCTCTCTGGTAGCTAGCCCTATTTCCAGAAATTTCATTTATATGAGGCATTTTATTAAGTCTGAGTCAGGATTTCTGTTACTCATAATCAAATGTGTTGTTAAGTAATTTGCTTGTGAAGGGTATCCCTGGCTTCAATATGGGTTTTGGTCAAGATCCTTTATAAACCTGATGTATAATTTGTCAATAGTAAATGCATTTCCAATGTGTTTTACCTTCAAGCAAAAAGGAACTGACACGGTGAAGTGCATAGTCCAAAATTATTGGTCTATTCCTTTTTTTCTATCGGGCATCTAGCTAACTTTAAAATTCTTTCTCCAATATATTAGATGTATCTTATTTCCATTATATCAAACTTTTACAATTTCATCCAAAGATTGTTTTCCATGTCCTCCCTTCCACTCTCTTTTCTTCATGATTGCTTTTTGTTTTTCTTTTGATTCTATAGCTCTTTTTATGACAGTTACAGGTATCCCCCCCTTCATTTTAGTAAGAATTGCAGTTAGCACCACTTGCATGGCAAAGGACCAGATCATCTTTGGCTTGAGCTGAGAAGTATGTCCTCCCAGACTACTGATTTATGCTTCAGATTTTTCAAATATTTTCTAATAGTGCTTTCCATCAATAGCTACTTTATATGTACAAAGCATTCATTGCTTTTTAATAACCCAGACTTCTTTTCCTTAGCTTTGTTGTTAACATCTATTCTTTTGACCATACGTCTGTTCAGTAAGTCAGTCATTTTTGAGCCATCATGATTTTCATTCCTTTTCTGATTTATTAGCAGACTACTCTCTCTCTAGTAGGCCTTTCTTTCTTAATATATCTGTGAAAGGCTCTTTGACCCCAGCTGTCCTGAATGTTTTACTGTGCTTGCTGGCCACAGCTTTTGCAATGGGTGCAGTTTTATGAATCAAGATGGGCTTTGCTTTTAAAAGCTGCCCTTTTAGTTCGTTTAAATAAAATGTCTCCAGCTGTGTTTATACTACAAAACCATTTGTAACCATCTCCTCCACTTTGGCCCCAAACATTTTTTATTCATGGACTTTTAGATTGCAGCCACAATAGCTCATGCTTTTGTGCTTTGTTATGAATCTATAATAGCACTATTTTCAAGAATTATCAGTCACTACTACCATTTCTGGGCTTGCCCTTGGAGTCTGAGCCCTGAGATCAAAACATTAGCCTTACAAGCAGCATCTCTGCCCAGAGGCCCAGACAATGTTCCCCACTACCAATTTTCAGAAGCTGATGACATCCGGTGAGTAACTCACTTAGTCTACATGGGATGGGGAGGCTGGCATTACCAGAGGCCCCTATGACCAGGAGAAGACCTTCTGGCTAATTATGGGGCAAGAGATTTAGCCCACATGAGCCAAAAAGAAAAGATAACCATGCCGATATTTCAAAAATTATATTTTCACCGTGGCAATGGCACAAAATAACAGAATCCCTTCAGGGATAAATTATTAACCCCTTATTTTCTCTTTTCCCATAATTTTGCTGTATCTCTCATTTTGTTTTTCTATTCTGTTGCCATTTGAGTATTCCTTCAAGTTCACAAGCAGATATAGAATACTCATTTGAATACTCTCCTTTCCCCTACAACTTTGGTCCCATACAAACATAATTTGTATGGCACTGCTGTGGTTGGGTTGGATTTTACTTTGCAGTAAGAAATGTTGCCAGTTCTGGTAATTATTCTCTCACTGTGATAGAGCATTAATGTGTTATTACAGGTAGCACTATACTACGGGTTATCAAATACCAGTAAGGAACATTAGTCAGACTTAGTCAAGGAGAGAGGAAGAATTGGGAATGTGCACTTTAGTGCCCAGTAATGCGAGGTCTCCTACCCTGGGTAGCCCAAACTAGAAAATAATAATGATAATAGGTTGATTCTAAGCCAAGTCCTTAAGAGAAATTGGAAAATCAAGCTGAGAAGACAAAAAACACTAACACCAAGTTCAGAAAGAAAAAAGGATTTTACCTTGGAAATATAGCCAAAAATAAACCAAACAAAACAAGGGTAAAGGAGGTGTTAATGGATCGTAAAGAATGGGATTGGCCTTAGGGCAATAAGTGAAATCATATAAGTGATACTAAATGCGGTAACATTAAATAAATCTTATAAAGTGTTATGATTATTGAGTAATAGAAAGAATGTCTTACAAATAATCTGTTTAAAATATAGTCTACCCTCCTTACCGGTGGCATCCGCATTTGTGGATTCAACAACAAACTGCTGGTCAAAAATACTGAAAAAAATAATAGCATCTGTAGTGAACATGTACAGTTTTTTTCTTTTTATTATTCCCTAGACAGTACTGTATAACAAGTGTTTACTTAACATTTTCATTATATTATTATATGTAATCTAGAGATTATACAAAGTATATTGGAGGATAAACATATATTAAATGTAAATACTACACCATTTTATATCAGAGATTTGAGCATCTGTGGATTTTGGTATCTGTGGAAGGTCCTGGAACCAATTCCCCACAAATATCAAGGGACAACAGGAGTTTAGGCATTGAGATACTTCAATTAGTTTTACAGAAATCTAGATGTAGCCATTGCTCTGGTGATAGTTTATCTGGGGGCTGACATTATTTAAATTACTATTTTTCATTAAAATATTTCCTGAAATATGTAGTAGCCTTTTTGGTTAATTGCTCTAATTTCTTGTAAAAGTAACAAAGCATGTGCTACCTGTGTGGCAGATTTTAGAGGCAGATTTTCCTCCATAGCAGTTATTGATTATATTAGGCAATGTTTAACTTTTCCATGACAAAGGAAAGAAGAATAGCATAATTGTGTTTGAATTTCATCATTCATCATTAATTACATGTTGATTTTGCAAAGTGTCCCTTAACCATAAATATGATTTCATGCCCATTTGTGTTTTAGAAGCATGATCATTAGGGCCTGCAGTTCTTAAAAGACTCAGTGTTCTCTGTAACATGCAGTGTCTTCTCTTTCCTTCATTAATAGATCTAGTGTTCTCAGCTAAATTGGAGAGAATCCAGCAAGTCTTTTCATAGTTAACAGATAAAAAACAAATAAGTTGGTGGGGTGTGGTGGCTCACGCCTGTAATCCTAGCACTTTTGGAGGCCGAGGCAGGTGGATCACTTGAGGTCAGAAGTTCGAGACCAGCCTGGCCAACATGATGAAACCCCATCTCTACTAAAAAGTACAAAAATTATCTGGGTGTAGTGGTGCGCACCTGTAGTTCCAGCTACACAAGAGTCTGAGGCAGGAGGATTGCTTGAACTCTGAATGTGGAGGTTGCAGTGAGCTGAGATCAGGCCACTGCACTCCAGCTTGGATGACCAGCTAGACTCTGTGTCAAAATAAATACATAAATAAATAAAATACAAAATAAATAAATAAATAAGTTATTATCTTTTTTACTCTACTTTAGTTAGAAAGTTCCAGTTGAAGTTAACAGTGAGTTGCTTACATTTTAGAGCTCATGGGGATTTCAGAAATAGAAATTTAATATTTAAGAATATTAATTATAATTTAAAAGAAAGTGATGTACTTAATGAAATATGATATTGTGGGTTGGATCTTGAAAAAAATTAGCACATTAGTGAAGAAACTGGTGAAATGAACAAAGTCTATAATTTAGTTACTAACAATGTGCCCATACCCATTTTCTAGTTTTGAGATGTTAATGTTGGGGGAATAAGGCAAGTGTATCTAGGAACTCTTCATAAAATCTTTAAAAGTTTTCTGTAAATCCAAACTTATTCAAAAACAAAACGTTTATTTAAAAAGTCAGGCGGTCAGTGCAAACCAGAGGACAAATTGTGATGCCTACCATCACTGTGTTTTATTCTTCTTTGGCAATGTTCTTCTCCTGTATTTAAATGGTTGTATTTGTTTCTCTCGTTTTCCAAAGGCAGAAATTAATTATTAAAAAAGTAGACAGTCAGTTCTATGTATATCAATAATATAGGCATTGGAGACACTTATATTAAAACAAAGATCAAACAAAACAAAACAAAGCAACAAACAAAAACAACAACAGACTAGAAAAGTAAAGGTTAGCTTTCCTTCCTCCTTTCTATTTACACCAAGTTCTCTAAAACGACAAAGACTTTGGCTCTTGAGTGGGGTGAGGATTCATACAAACAGTTTATCAGGATCCCCTTGGCACTTGGCTGAGAATACTCTACAAGTTTTTCTCTATGTGGCAACTGCAGATGCTGTTTGGGCACTAGGCCGCACACCCAGTTCTCTGGACAGCGGCAGATCACTTGGTAAGAACAAGACTCAGTAGAATTCTGATTTGACCCCACCCTAAAGACTTGGATAATGGTGGCTGCTCCATAAATATTGTTGAATGAATAAATTAGATTAAGCAGTGAGCTGGTAGCGGTCGCAGAGTCCAAAGAGCTCTGCTGCCCTGGTCTGCAGATGCTGTATTCCTGACCCAAGCCTAACGCCCAAGCAATGTCCAATGCCTTCAGTGCTAAAACTCACTGCTGGATGTGGGCATGTACTAGGAACTAAATCTGCTTTGTCCTTGAACTGCCCGTGGCAAATCTTGTTCAGAGGTAATAATCATACTCTGGAATCAGAATGGAATAATTTTTCAAGGAGCTTTATTCTTGTCTTCAATTGGAGAAGGCCAGTTGACTGTTGGAAGTTTGATTTGGCATGAACAACACAGCTTTATGCATACGTGCATGTGATGAAGGGTAATGACAACCTACATCATTTCAGGAAGAAATTCTTTTGGAACTTACAACTGTCAAAGACTGTGTGGGCCAGTCCTCTGACATCTTTGCAGTTAAAAAAGCTACTGAAGAAAATAATTCTGAAACAATTTATAATCATTTCTGGCACTGCCATTAGTTTCTAAACAGCTTGTACTTTGAAGTTAGTTTTCTTTTAAATGGCCTACGGCAGAATCTCTATTTGTACAAGGACAAAAAGAAAAGAATCGAATGACTGGGTGTATAGAATGAATTTCAGATTCCCAGTTGAAGCAATCACAGTTGGCCATTTGCTAAGTGTCTACACTTTTCCTCTTGGCTTTCATAGGTGATAGTTATTGCTACAATATGTTTAATAACAAGAAAAAAAGGTTTCAAAGTTTTGCCATTCATTGTGGGGTCTATTATCTACCCACAAATGAAGAAGGGCATCTATTGCTTGGAAAGATTTCAAAGGTATGGAACTCCCCTCTCCAATAATCTAATTCCATAATTAGAAACTCATTCCTTTTGGCCTAAAGCATTCTAGTCTGTTAAAATGCAATTGCCCCTGAGAGAAGTAGCATATTAAGCTTTAGAAGCCATTAGTGTAGATCAGTTTAACAGACCTTTCTTGGAGGGTCTGGGGAGAAGAGTAAAAGGTCTGGAGAAAGAAAAGGCAAGGAAGTAGACTCTCCTACATGCATTTAACATGTTTTCACATTTAATCTTTACATGATCTCAGCTTCCGCTTTCAGATGGGGAAAAAGAAACTCACCAACATTAGGCAAATTGCTCAAGAACATCCAACTGGTAACCAAAGAATCTGGGGTTTAAATTTGGTGCAGTTGACTTCTAAACCCAGGTTCTTCCTGTTAGAGGAAGTTTAGAACACAGAGTTGCAAGTCAGGGTAGGGGAGAGCAGAGTTCTACTCAGAACACAATGGGGAGGGACAGGTAGAAAAAAAAGGAGTGGCCATTTGTAAACTGTGTGGTTGCTAAATCCCAAAACCCTTACAAGGTTTAATCCAATAAAATATTTTCTTTATTTTTTAAGGATTTTTGCCAAACCTATATGAAGGCAGATTAATGTAGTGGTTTCGTTCAGGAGTTCTGGAGTCAGAGAAAGATCTGGATTTTCATACGTTCTTTGCTTACTAAATGTGTGGCTTGGAAACCATATTTTTTCCCTTGGTCCCACATTTATAAAGTGCAAATATTAATTGAACCTTCTTCACAGAATTATTGTGATTGTTAAATAAAATACTGCATGTAAAATGCTTAACATTTTGATTGAGACAGAATAAAATGTCCAATGTTTGCTGTCATTATTTCTGCAAGGAAAGACAAGGGGGTGGTATCCTGTAAGATTGATCCTTCCAATCTTTCTTAGAGAAGGAGGAGCCCCAGTCTCTTGAATTTTTGACAATGAGACTTGATTTATAGTGATATTTGAAACTTCCTTTGGGGTGTGTGTGTGTGTGTGTGTGCATCCATGTGTGTGTGTGTGTGTGTGTGTGTGTGTGTTTTCCTTTCCATATGGGGCTTCTCATCAGCTCATTACAGTTCTGGCACCTTCCTGTCTCTGAATATGGAACAGAAAACACTTTCAGTGCAGTTTTCTCTGAGAGGAGAGAGAAAGAGGGAGACAGGAAGAGAAGAGGTGTCTGAAACCGCTGAAGGATCTGGAAGCAGGTTTATGTTAACTCATATCTTTTCTTTAACGATGGTCAAATGTTTCTGATTGCCCTTTGCCATTCCGCACTTGTGTGTCTGTTGGGGTTATGGATGGGAAGAGTCGGTAGATGAGAAACAGTAAACAGGAAGTTTTCCAAAAGATACTAGGATCGTTAAGTCCTGTGTGAAAAACTGAAGTTAAATGGCCTAGGGAAGGGGAGCCGTTCCCTGTCATTCAGAAAAGTCATCTGGCTACAGTGGAGCATAATATCTAGTCAGAAATATTATTCTTCTAAAAGCTGCAGTTTTATGTAGACGGAAATAAGGGAGAAGGAACAGAATCAGGCTATGGACTTGAATATTGCCACAAAAAATGGATTGGGTTGGGGGTGGTCAGGAAGAGGAGGAGAGGGGAAAATGGGATGAAATACAAAACAAAACAAAGCTGAAACACCCAGGAGAGTCCCAACCTCTTAGCTTGTAATAAGTCAGCTTTTGTTAGCTTGGCTTTTGAGTATTAAGCACTCAGTTCATCTCCATTGATTTGTAATGAGGCTGGGAGGCTCACAAAGCCTTAATCAAGCCAGGATCCCTTTAAAATGAACTCTTCTGCGAAGATAGCTGGCAGATAGCATCTGTGGAGGAGCTATGTTGGAGAGAGCTCACTGTCCCCATTGTGAGGCTTACACTGGGCAAGAGAATGGGGTAGGGGCTTCATTAGTCTGATAAAAACAGACAAGCCAACTTTTCATTAGAGGGATGCACAGATCCACTTTACTTGGCTTTCCTCCTTTACATTATAAAAGCATTATCAGGCCCAAGCTTATGGGACTCATTATTCCATACAAACACCAGGCTTGGAGGTGGGGAGGTGCAGTGTGTGCTGAGCCATCCATCCTGGAGTGGGATTGAGGACCTCTGCTAGCTTTTCAAAGCAAAAACACTGCATGAACCACAGGCCAAGCTTCCCATCTCCATGAAATTAAGATCCACAAGATAATCTACTTTCTTTTTCTACTGTCGGACAAGAGAAAATGTAGAACTTTTGACCTTTTGCAATAAGGGGCAATTTCTTCTAAAGCTTATGCATCAGGGTTCTGGGTTATAGAGAAATTCTACTGCTGATGCTTCCCATGATCTCTGCTTTACTAACATGATTTTAAGTACATTAAATAACTCAGACTGCTGTTGTTATTTATCTTTTTTCTTGCATCATGTCTCATTGTGACATCATGCATGATATTTATAAAATTTTACAGTAGATTTTAATTAGAATTTGGGTGTAGAGGCATTGATATTGAGGCTTGGATCAAGATGCCTAATTTAACTTTTGCAGCAGTTTTTCAACCTTGGCCTTTGCCTTCTGCTACCCCCAACTCTTTGTCTTACTCAATTTCTATACTCTCAACTCTTTGCCATCCACTAACCTGAAGAATTTACACCTAAATTCTAAAATATGATCTTGTCAGCAAATTAAAATTCCTGAGTCTATTTTCCCCACCCTTCTTTATATATAATGATGGATAATGTTTAACACTGCATTTTGTCAGGTAACCCCATTTTCTCTCATGTGACATTACTGTTTGATATTATCTTTAGACTAATAATAGTAATGAGTAATACATGCATCAACAGTATAATATGTCCCAAGTTCTGCAAGATACGTTTATTTAAAATAAAAAATACTTAAATTACCTTCATAACCTGCAAAAATAAAAGTACTTTTTAATTTGCTTTTTAAAAGTTCTATGGAAACCTTCGAAGATGTCTGATCCAGCCACGGAAAACACAAATGTTGGGTGTACTCTTGCTCCAGATTAAACAAATACCTTCCTTTCTAAACCAAGATCTGTAGCTTCATGAGAAAAAGAAAATAGGTTGGACCTGGAGAAAGCTGACATCAACACAGAGAACCAGGGATTCATTGCATTCCCTGGCACACCTGAGGCAAAAGCCCAACTTGGCCTGGGACTTCCTGATGTCATTGTCCATTTGTCTATGTACTTTTGACCAATCAAAACTTCATCAGTATTGATGAAGTCTGCCCAAAATGGCAAGGCCCTGGACATGCTTTTGTGAATTTTAGTTCTGCCACAGAACTAGGCATGAGCATTTCACCTGACCTGTTGGCAGTAATGCTCTTTATCTGGTGCCTGAGGACCTGACCTACATGGACTGGAACTTAACACAGTGTCATGTGCTGGAGTCATGTAATCAACTCCTGTTCGCATCAATCCCAATGTTGTTGATGGTGATAAAGCTAGTGAAGCAACTTGACACATTCCTCTCTTTCCCTCTGTATTTTTAACTTCTGACTCAAAGATGACAGAGGCTGAGGAACTGAAATCTCAACTGTATCTACTGGCAGAGATAAGGTGATTCAGCACCTTGGGGTACAAGAATCCACCAGGCGACTCTTTGACTTAAGGTGTTTCCCAGGGGTAGACAATGAGATCAGTCAGGCCCAGAAATACCAAATGTGAGGGACTCTCTCAACTGTGACATGATGAGAAAGGAAATAAACATTATGCTTTTCTTCAGGAGCATCTGAGTTCACTAGACAAAGGCCTAATTTTACCTCTAAGAATGCAGAATTTGGGGCACTGTCAGGTATATATAGATAATAGCATGGTTGATGAAAGAATTCAACTATTTTTCTAGCTTGTGTAAATGTCTGTAAAAGCCTATTAGTTTCTGCTCTCTGAATCTTTACTGAGACAACGGTTACCAATGTTTATATCCAAAGAAGAGGATAAAACTCTGACCCTTTCTTTAACTTTCTCTTATCTGGGATTGCCATACATTATTATTGTAAATACAGAGATGCTATTCAGGCCTAAACCTGTCCTGAATCAGTGGGAATTTAGGGGGTTTGTATCATCTGCTTGAGACCACACCATGGCACATGTCTACTTGAGACAATCTATTTGATCTGAATGTTAATTTTCTACTTTCATTCAATTAAGAGTTAAATTCTTTCTCTTTTATATAACCGGCACTAAAAGGCCTGAGTTATTTTGTTCCTTTTAGTGATAAATCTAATTGGGTCTCAGTCCTAAAAACAACCTCTTTTTTGGCACTTATCCCAAGAGAGATGGAGTGTGGTGTGGAGGTCAAGCAAAGGGTGATAAATTGAGGAATTATGGATCATACCTTCAGCTCTGTTACTTTAATTGCTTTTAGCATCATTGTGGAAGGAGACAAATTCAGCAGTGGTCAAGCACTTAACCAAATAAAGCAAGAATTGAGGGTGTGAGGAACAGGAAGACACAAGCTCTACTGTGGGATTTTCTGAGGTCAAATGATGTGTAACTCCAGGTTTTTCAAACATTAGCAATGGAATCAGTAAAAGTATTGTAGCCATGGAGAGATCAAGCATCTCAAACAGCACTGATTCTAATACAGTGTGAATGGGCTAATTGCAACAACTAGGGTGAGGTGTGTGGGTGAAGGGGGAGCTGTGTGAGTGAATGGGTGGTCTCAAAGACTGCTTTGGACTCCAGTATGAGGTTGGCAAAGCAGGAAAAGGGCCCGCAGGGCAGTACAGAATTGGCCAAGTCTGATGGTTCCTGCAAGGGTCTCCCAGTTTGGACAAAGAAACTCGGAGAACATGGACCTTAGCCGTGGTGGAATTGCATGGGATGCAATGAGGAAAGGTTCTGACTCCTCAAGAATCTCCACACCACATCTTTTCCCCTAATGCTATGAGCTCTGGTGAAAAGACAAGAAAATAGAGAGGAGGAGAACACAATAAACTAATTATGTATTTAAACAAAATTCAGTTTTAAACAAAAAGAAATTTATATAAATTGGTACATTTTAATTTTCTACCACCAGAAGAAAGTTATATATCTGTACTCCTGAACCTTTGACTATAAGAGTTCCTATAAATGTTAAGAAAGAAAGAACAATAGTAAGTATGAATTGAAAAGGATTTTCAGAAAGAGCATAGTTTCTTAGGACTTTGTTGAGAGATTTTCAATTAATCGGTAGAAACAGAAAGTAGGTTGAGGAATGAATGGGAAATGAGGACCTGCAAAGAGTGGCTGCAGCTGATCCAAGAGCAGAGATGGAGAGAAAAGAAATGAGGCTGGAGGATAAATATAACAGGCCTTGGGGTCAAGTCATGAATAGAGGTGGCTGGAACATGCTATGGTTTGAATATGTCCCCACCAAAATTCAGGTGTTGCCAACATGATAGTAATAAGAGGTGAAGCCATTAGGAGGTGATTAGACCATTAGGTCTCCTCCCTTGTGAATGGGTACTTATAAAAAGGCTGCATACAATGTTAAGCTAGCTTGCCCTTTTGCGCTCCTTCTTTCACCAGTTGAGGACACAGCATTTCTCTCTTTAGGAGGATATAGCAACAAGGCACCATGTTGGAAACAAAGAGCATCCCTCACCAGGCAATGAACCTGCCAGGGTCTTAATCTTGCACTTCTCAGCCTCTAGAGCTCTGAGAAAATAAATTTCTGTTCTTTATAAAGTACCCAGTCTCAGGTATTTTGTTATAGTAGTACAAATGAACTAAGACAGAATGCTTGTAAGTTAAAGACAAATCCAACAGAGAAATAAAAGAAGCCACAGGAAAAATAGAACATATCTTGAAAGAGGAGAGAAGTATGGGATAAAGTGATAGGTAGATTGGTTATTCTAAATAGGAAGAGATGTGCTTTATCTTCTCAGACAGGAAGAAAATAGGTAAAATGATTATACTAAGCTTTATATAAAGGGCAATGAGAAATTGAGAGAGGTAGCGGTTGGTCACATTTCCAGCATGGAAAAACTGCAGCATCTCATCTAGACACTGCTGCATGGTTAACCCTCTCCTTTTAGTGAATACTTTTAACTGCCCTCTCACTTCTAGCATCTGAGATTGTTGCATTTTATAAAAAGTCATTGAAACCTCTCTTATGAGTGTTTTACCCTCTATCTGAATCTCCTTTCTCTTTCTAGTTCTCCATTGCCCTTCCATCGACCTGAACTTAGTCTTCACTGCTCCGCATGCAGTCTTTAGATTGGTTGCCTGCCATGTTTCTAAGTGGGAAATTTCCTGATATGTAACCTGCAATATTACTCCATTATCATTATAATAAATCTAGTATTAAGATACACTGTCCTGCATGCCCTAAGTTTCTATCCTACCCACCTTGAGACTCTACTTGTATCAGAGAGGTAGAGACAGAAGATAAACCCTCTCTTGTTGATTTTTAAAAACATACATGTATGATCTTCTTTTCCTTTATCTTCCTACATTTTAGCATAATGAAACTTCCTACTACTAATTGCTGACCATCTTGGAACCTAGTTGGGCAAACAAAACCTTTAGAAAATGATTTTTTAAAATAAGGAATCTGAGGTTGAGCCTATGGCACTCTATTTTCCTCTGTGGAACTCAGGAGATATGGTTGTTTACTTTTCTTCCTCTGGCAGGTATAGGTCCTCCAAATAAAGAGAACTATATCAATCAATAAAAAAAGAGAGCTATATCAATAGTTTGACAATAGTTATTCAAAATGGTGATGGGGATATGGCTTCTTTTTGATAGTATTGAGACTTCAGATTCTAATAACTTTCAATTTCATGGCAACAGAAAAGGCTTGGTTTGTATTATAGCTTAACATCTATGAGAGATTCACGGGATGTTTGTTGGTTGTGCATGAAAGAATAAGGTGAATACTTTGGGGTAACAGTTTTCTGTTAACCTAAACAATTTAGGTCTTCAATAATACAAACTGAGATCTTAAGTGATTGCTTTATTTACTTATGTACAATCAGTGAGTATCATGTGAAACCTCTTGGGATCTGACTTTTGTAAAAATGTAATATATTTAATAGGAAAGAATGTCCCTTTTAATAATGAGAAGAAAATAATATTTATATAGCTGTTCCATAGATAGAATTTTGGAGTCAAACTGAACTAACTTCCAACTCAGCAACTCACCAGCTGTGTGACCAGAGGTAAGTTATTCAATCTCCATGAGCTTCAATTTCTTCAGTCACCAAATGAAAATGATAATATTTAAGTCTGTCACTTCCCACTTAGAAAGGGCTATGATCAGAATCCTGAATTCCTAAATGTTGTTTCACTGTCAATAAGATATAAACTATTAAATTTATTCCAGTCTAATTATATTATTTATGGCTGATTGGTGCTTTGCCTCAAATCCATGTATGAATAGGCTGAAATTCTGTTTCTCTGCTCCCCTAATATCCAATTTCTTCTGTGCCTCCTCTCCCTGTACTCCATCGTGGTCTTACAGGGCCTTCTAAGAGGGAGGGCAGTTCTAATTAGGGGGCTTCTCTGTACCTACCTCACCAAGTGTGCAGTAGGAGAATGAAGAGAAAAAAAAAGAAAAATGAATAGAAAGTGTTTGCACCAGCTCAATTCCACTTGTAATCCCTTGTTCCCTCCACTATGATTTCTTTATCTCATACTGGAGCTCCTGTGCTTGTTCAATGGGAAATGTGTAACACAACAGACTGGAATGTAGTAGGTACTCAATCAACACTGGCCATTTTTATGTCATTGCAATTAATATTTAATAATTTGGTCATTATTAATGAGAGCTACAATAAATAGGGCTTTCTTGGAAAAAAACTCAATATTCCAGACCACAGGCATATCTTTTTATATAGAAGGGGCTTAGAAGTCCCACCTGGCTTCGGTTAAACTGTCATTGATCTTCTAAAGAATATGAATGAAGTATCTGAGTGTTACTAGAACCAGACAGTTTATGAGGACTCCGTTCTAAGCAGCCTCCCTTTCCCCTGGAAACATATAGAAAGGAGGGTCTTAGGAGCCTTGAGGCTGAATATCTCTTAGTTTGTGCACAATTTTCACCATAGATTGATACTGCCCTGGATCTATAGGCTAATGTTTCTTCTCTGAGATTAACATTTAGCAAGAAATGGAAAATAGAGGTGTGGACAGTATAGGATATATTGAACTACACACAGTAATTTGTGCCAGAATCAGAGCCCCAAGTGCCAGTCAATTAGCAGGTCACTACCAAGTCTGTAGTGTATGCCATTTGCTGGTGCACTGAACCTGACTTAGAAGAAACACTCACCTTCTTGGAGACAGAATGTGTGGTTGGCAACATTCTCACTGACCTTCCACTGGCATTTATTTAAGGTCCATGGGGGTACCCTCCCCTAACATTGGGACAGAGAACTTTGAACTTGCAGTGCATCCTGTGAGCAACAAGTACCAGCTGCTGCCAGAGAAACCAAGCAGGATTCAATGCTACCGCGGAGGACACTCTTTCTGAGCTGCCTGGCTCCATCCCAGGCCCAGCATAGATCAACTAAGGGACTCGAGCCCACTATCTACAAAGGACAGAGAAGTCTGGGCTAGTGCAGACAGCAGTTGTGCCAGGGGGTTGCACTGAGGTCCCTACCTGGGAAAAGGGCCAGAAGAATGGTACTTGGAATGTAAGTTTGTCGATCAGGCATCCTGTAATAAAGCAACCTGTGAGTGGAGCCAGACAGCTCCCAAGTCCTTTCACTGAATAAGGCAATAAATACATCACTGCACCATGAAATGGCCTCTAGGTGGCTTTAGAATGGTTAATTATTGATTAATCTTTATTAATTAATGTATTTAAACACTACTCCTGCTAAACAGGAATATGAAAACCAGTGTTCATGAGAATAGAGAGAGAAAGGCCTGCTGTGATCCCATAGCAGGAAGACTGCTCTGGGCACAGACCACTGCCCAGGAGTGGTCAGCCACACTTTAGTCCTGAAATGTTACCACTAGGGTTGGTAGTGCCTGTAGGTATCACTGCAGTTCCAAGACTGGATGTAAAGTAAGGTAGGTGATAAAATGATAACAAAGGAAGAAGGAGACAGATAAATTGAAAGCATGGAAAATGATGGGGAAAACAGGTATGCAGTTCAACTTTTATTTACCATCTACTATTTGCCAGGAATTGAGGTTTTGCTGAATAAGAAATTGTCCTGCCTTTCAGTGATTTACAGTGTAGTAGGAGAAAGAGAAGATTTCAGTTTATTGTGCAACACACGTATCAACAAATTTTCCCAGAAAATTCTGGAAATACAGGATTAGGATCAGAGAGCACTGAAGCAATAATTTAAATCTATCATGTACATCATTAAGTTTGAAGAGGCTCTGAGATGCCATAATAGTAATAATAAACAATAATAAATATCTTCCTTCAATGAGGCGAGAGAAACAAGTAAATTATTCACTAATTTAATCCCATCCTATTTTCTAGGGCTGTGCAGGTAGTCCAGAATTTCCTCAAAGACAAGCACAGCAGGTAAATGCTGGCTTTATCACTTACTGTCTTTTGGGCTTCATGCAAGCTCCTTCACCTTTATGACCTTTAATTTTGTTCTCTGTTTATTGAAGATAATGATACCCTCCTTATGGGGTTGTTATTAAAAATTAGAGATGACTGTGTGGAAAGTGCAGAGATTCCTGACACATAGGAGTCATTTATAAGTAGTGTAAGAGTCATTTATAAATAGTAGTAAGTAGTCACCATTCTATTTGGCAGTGTAAATTGTAATCCTTTTATTATGTGACATCATGCTCAAAAACCTTTGATATTCATTAATGAACATAGTAAAGAAACTATTACACCAGGAAAATAAAGGAATTTTCACCTTCAGAGAATGACAAACTCATAGCTTGCTCAAGAGCAGGGATCCTGTCCCCAGCTGATGTGGGCTTGAATTCAACCACTGCCATTTTCTAGCTGTGTGACCTTGGGCAAATTACTTAACCTTTCTGGCCTCACTTTTCTTATCCATTGGATGAGGAATAATGATAACACCTATCTCAGGGTTGTCATAAGAATTAAGTATTTTATATTCTATGTAAAGCACTTAGCACAGTGCCTGGCATTTAAAAATTCTCAAACGTTAAGTGTTAAAATAATTACTTATAATACTGCTATTAGAAGGGATCACAACTAAGTCCCATCAATGAAAAATATTCTACTGCCTGATTAAAAAGCAAACTCCTCTTCTGTGCTCCCACTACCCCTACCTTTGCCTTACTCAGAACCACTCCCAACCACGCATGCAAACACTTTGTCATATTAAGTTCACCTTGAGAGCATCTAGAGGGACTTTTCCTAACCTCCAAGCTGCAGTGGTCTAGGAGGACCCTAAACCTCAGAGAATCTCAGCAGGACTTAACATCTGTGCACATTTTTTTCATTCTGAAAGCCAAAATACAATGAACTATTCTAGGACATGATGTCAAACGGTTTATGTTCTTCTTGGTAGAACTCACAGGAATGAATAAGTTGGCTTTCCTATCCCCTAGAAGTTTACAGTTTAGAGGGAAAAAATAATGCCTCTATAAGTAATTCAAATATAAGATTTACTGTCTTAAGAGCTAGAAAACCAGTATAAACAAAAAGCAGAGGGAACGTGAAGGAGAGAGAGAATTCACATCTGGGTTGGATAAGGTGATCTTTCAAGGAGGAAGTGGCATCTGAATGATGTTTTGAAGGATAAGTAGAATTTCAATAAAGCAAGAAGATGAGCAAAGTTAGTCTAAACTGAAGAAACTGTATAGGTAAGTGTAATAGCATAAAAATATAGAGAATATTCTAGAACCTATATACTTTTTAAGCAGTGATTTTTATAATTACGTATGTTGTTTAATTTTATAGTTTCCTTGCTTGTTTAAATTTGAGTTACAATTTCAGTTCCTGAGACATACACAGAGTTCCATATTAGAAAAGGCCTTTTTCAGTTCACAGGAGGTAAGGAGGAGATAGTGACATCTCTCCCCTTCGTACCTTCATATTTTTCTCTATGGAAAACCATTTTGTAGAAAATAATGTAGGCTAGAGTCTGGGGCTGGGCCTTGAAAAAGATACCTCTAAGAAATGCTGAGAAATAATTTCCTTAGTATGTCACCTAGGTTCATTTTCGTGTAATCTGGAATGTGTATGATTCGAATAGAAAAATAAAGAAAGACATAAAAGAGAAACAGAGAGGGAGAGAGCAGGAGGAAATGAAGAAGGAGGGAAAGAAGGAAGGAAGGAAGGAAGGAAAGAGGGAGGGAGGGAAAGAAGGAAGGAAGGAAGGAAAACCAAAATAAAGCAAAAAGATAAAAATAAACAAACAAAATCCCAATCCCATGAAATGCTTCCTCTGACCCCATGGGAAGGCTGGAAAAGCAGCTAATGACAACAATTTGTTGAGGAGCAGGCAGAATGAGCTAGGACAGCACTATTTTCTAGGTCTTAGGTGGGCTCCCCCACAGAAGACAAATCATCAAAGGGTAGTGGCTCCCATTTCCCAACCTCCCCACATTATGCACCACTGAATGCCTAAGGGAAAAGGAATAAATAGCCAGGTAGAGTTCAAACCAGAGAAAAATGGAAACCAGATTCTCTGAGGGAAAAACACAATCAACAACACAGCAAGCAGTGAGAGAAACCTGGAAAGCAGAAATGCTAAAGCAAGTGAGTGAGGCTCTTGCAAAAGGAAATTAGATATGAGCTGCCAGGTGATATAGCAGCTGAAAGGTCAGTGCTATTTTGGGCTGAATATGAAGAGGCTTCAGGCATCTCAGGACCAAAAAAATAAAAATGTACAAACTAGAGAGGGTTCAGAGAAAGGCAACAGCATTGATTAAAGAAGGGCGGTTGGCTTTGTGGTGAAAGATTAAAGGCATGAGATAGGCAGGTGCAGCAAGGGGAGTTGATGCCAATTGTATATTAATAGCACTTTGCGGTGACAAAGCACTCAACACTATGTTTGTTTCTTATCTCTCACATGCGTGTTCTCTCCTTGTAATGTATTCATTCATCCAATAGTCAGTTATTGACCATCTGCTTTGTGCCATTTATTGTGCTGGTAAGCTAAAGTTAAATAAGCTACAGCCTCCATCCTTGAAAAGCTCACTGGCTAAGAGAGACAATGACAAGTGGTAAGTGAAATGCCATGGGGTAAGTACTCAACAGGTAACATTAATTCAAGAAAAGAGATTATTGTTGTGTTGTAATAGGGAAGGGAAGGTTTAAAGGAAAGGCAATCTTTTAGCTGAATTTTGCAGAATGAATAGGTTTTCACAAAGTAGAATGGGCAGGGTGGAGGTGGGGAGAACATTCCAAGCAGAGGGAATAGCACAATTAAATGAATGGATTAAGGTGTATGGCCACACAAGGCTAAAGCCTAGAGTGTGGAGATAGAGCAAGGAAGGGATTTTTGTGAAACACGTTACGAAAGGAATCAATCATTTGTTAGAGTATGTTGGAACATGATGATTGACATATGCCTTACTAACAAACATCTTTGAAGGTCTACAATAAAACTCTGTGCTAGACATTATAGGAAATATAAAGGTAGAAATAACAGTTGCTGGCCTCAAGGAGCTTATTAATCAATTAACAAACATTTGTTGAAGTCCTACCATATTCCAGGTACTAAGCTAGAAAGTAAGAGGATTCATCTTGAATAAGAAAAGCTCCCAGAAAGCCTTCAACTGAGATGATGCCAATGGATCAATTATAGAAATTATTAATTATTCAAAAATACAATAGCAGTCCACAGATATTACAGTGTACCAGAGGTAGGGAGGGAGGACAGTATACAGCAACTTTCTGCTTATTATACCTATTGTGATAAAATAAACTCCAAATCTTAGTTGCTTAAAAAAACAATTTATTATCATGATAACACGTGATTCTGTGGATTTACTGGGCTAAGCTGGGTGGTTCTTGTCTTGGGTCTCAGGCAGTTACTGACAGATGGCAACTGGAACTGGAATCATCTACAGGCTTGACTAGGCTGGACATCCACAATGATTCCTTTACTCTTATGTGTGGTGATTCTGATGGGATGGCTGGCACAGCTAGGGGCTACCTAGGCATCTGTCTTTCTCCGTATGGTATCTTCACATGGCTACTTTGTACTTCTTCACAGCACAGTAGTCTCTCCCACAATAGTCTGAGATAGGTGGTCTCAGGCATCTCATATGACATTTGGATTTCCTCAAAGCATACGCTCCAAGAGCAAGTGTTTCTAGAGGCTGAGGAAGAATCCACAAGGCTTTTTATGAACTAACCTTGGACGTCATCCAATGCTACTTCCACCACATTCTATGGGTCAAGATGGAAGTCACAAGGACAACCTATTTAGGGCCTGATCATCAGGAAGCATGAGTTACTGGAAGGCCATCTTTGGAGACAAGCTACTATGGTTCCAAATGACAATAACGATTCCAAAGGAGGAGGGGTCACTGTGTAGAGGACTATTAGGGGGGCCACATCACTGAGGAGGTGCAGCTTAAATTGGAAGAAATGTGAGTTCCACCTAAGGAGAGAGAAGAAAGACCTCATGGTGAAATGAACATATACTCTCAAGAGGATCTGAGTTCAATTCATGCTTCTATCACTTCATAACCATGTACCTTTGGAAGTAATACCTCACAGGGTAGTTGAACAGAATAGCAAAAACATATATTAAAGCCTGGATCATAGCCAGAAAAAAATAGAAAGGAATTATTATTATTAATCACAAAAGAGGACATTCCAAGCTGTGTAAAAATTAGACACTAGGTACTTTGAGGACCCAATGAGTGACCTACAACATCACGTATTCAGAACGGGTTAGAAGAGGCATCGTATTACAAGAGGCTAGATCTCACAGCTTCTGCATTTGTCACAAATTATACTTCCTAAAATGTGTATTTGAAAAAGAATCTGGCCAGACAACATCATGGTATGATTAGAGAACAAAGAAAGATTGCTTTATCTCAAAATGTCATCTTCTCTAATTTGCCCAAGGGTCTTCCACTCCATCATAGGTAGTTCATTCCTCTCAGTTAAGATATCTTATTCCCTGGGGTCACCTATCACAATGGAAATACTCTGGAAGAGGTAATACCCTCAGATATCATCAATTACTCACAATGTATTATACACTTGAGATTACTTTTCAACAATAATAGTCAAGATATTCTAGGCTATGCAGTAGTAAAAACATTCCCACAATCTTCATTATTTTTTAACACAACAAAACTTACTCATTCATACAAATTCCCTTGCATGTCTGGGCAACTCTCCAGGGCAGCTGTCCTCCACGTGTTGAGTCAGTACTCTAGGCTGCTCTGATCTTATGGCACCTCCATATCAACACATGTTCCCATGATCACCACAGCAGAAGAGAAGCTAGAAGACTCATACACTGGCAAATAAATGTTCCTACAAGAAAGTGACATGTATCCCTTCTATTCACATTTTATTGGCTGAAGCAAGTTACCTGGCCATGCCTAGCTTCAAGGAAGTAGGAAATTATAAGTCCCTCATGTGCCCAGAATAACTGGATATCAATTAAAAATAATATGCATAGGGCATTGACCAAAGAAAAAATTCAAAAGAAAAAGAAATTAGGCTGTAATTGAAAATATTTTCAATAGTGAAGTGGAGAGGAAGAGTTAGGTACAAATTAGGAGGCAAATCTAATGGGTCAACATCATTGGTTCCTGAATACATAGACACACAAGGTAACATTCAGCTCCTAGTAGAGGAGGAGGTGTCAGAAATAGAGGTTTCTCAAAAGAAAAACAACTCAGCACCAGCTCTGACTCTTCCACTTTTAAGTATAAAGTCATTTGTCTTTAAACAGTGTTGTGATATTCATCATCATCAAAAAACCAACAGTCTAAAAGTAATCTTTTGCCAAAAATTAACAATTTGAGAGGGTATTGGGGTAGGTATTTCTGGCCAAAGGGTAGGTAGAATGAAATGAAGAAGCAGAAAACCAACAGTCTAAAAGGAATATGGGGGTAGATATTTCTGCCCAAAGAAGGGTTAGGATGAAATGAAGCAGCAGAAACTGGGCCAGAGTTGAAAATTCAGCAAAGAGACAGGCCAGTAAAAATAAAAGGTCATGTCTGGGATCAAGAGATAAAGTCATGAGAAATTTAAAAAGCAAGGATAATGGAAGCTGCTTTGAACTGATTTCAGTTCAGGGCTCTGGAGTGAAATAGGGCAGGATGGTGCTTCCTGAGAATGATGTCTTTGGGGAGGCAGCAGCAGGAAGAGGCTAGTGATCCAAATGGGAATCTACTAGGCTTATAATAGAAATATCCCAAATAATAGAAATATCTCAAATATCCCAAATAGTTCATCCCTCTAGTCCCAGGACTGCTGCCCAACACAGCCTCTGTGAACTTAGGAAGCTCTAAGGGCTTATCTCTGCAGCCCTGACAAGATTCCTACATGATTCACCCTTTAGCCCTAACTGACTGGGGTTATATTAAGTGAATAGCCAGCTGCTTTTTCTGCTTTAATTATTTCTATTTTGAAAATTTTCGACTTACCAAAAAAAAAAATGAGGAGATATTACAGAGAGTTCATATACATTCCCCCTGCACATACCAGTTTTCTCTATTATTTTCATCTTGCATATCTTACACTACTATGATATGTTTGTCACAATGAATAGTCCAATACTGATACATTATTATTATTAACTAATGAAAGGCAACTTTAAAGAAACCACTTCTAGGGTAGATACTGCATGATCTCACTCCTATGTGAAATCTAAAAAAGTTGATCTTATAGAAGTAGAGAGTAGAATAGTGATTACCAGAGGTTGGAGGGTGAGGAATGGGGGGATGATAAGAAGAGGTTACTCAATGGGTAGGAAGTTATAGTTACATAAGAGAAATATGTTCTGATGGTTTTTTGCACAGTAGGGTGACTATAGTTAACAATAATGCATTGTATAATCCAAAATAGCTAGAAGAGAAGAT
This sequence comes from Homo sapiens, assembly GCF_000001405.40. NCBI lineage: Eukaryota > Metazoa > Chordata > Mammalia > Primates > Hominidae > Homo > Homo sapiens. Next base: position 163,822,537 of record NC_000001.11, on the reverse strand, counting down.
TTTGAATACTCTTACCATGAATAAATTGTTAATGTTTGAAGTGATAGACATACTAATGATACTGATTTTATCATTATACAATGTATATAGGTATTATAAACATCATACTGTACCCTGTAAGTATGTACAATTATTATGTATCAATTAAAAACAAAATACAAATTTTAAAAAACCTACTTCAGTATATACTCTAGAGACTGATAATGATCATAGTGTCTATTTTTAAGTGAAGTAGAAGGGGTTATGAAAGAGTTAAACTTTACACATAAAGAATGGAACATTTCAACAATCTTGTCTTTGATAGGCAAAGAAAAACAAGAGCAAAATCACATACAGAAAGAAACTCTAGGATCAATATGAGTATTATTTATGCACTAAAGTTCAAAGTCAGTGAGACAGAATAAAATAGGCAGGACTCTCAAGAGATTGAATTCACGATATCTTTAAAAAAGAAATAAAGAAAGAAAAACAGAAAAAAAAAAAGCCTAGTCACCAGGGAGGACTTTCAGACTACCTGTGCCAACTCTCCTCAAATGCTGGTTTTGGAGACTTTTGGCCTATAATTTCTAATAGTTCCTGTAGACTTTGGCCTATAGTACACTAACAATGAATTCAGTAGCTTGTTCCCACAGGTGGGATCTGGAATTACTCATGTTGCTCCAGGCTGGGTATTTGATCATCACAGGTGAATCTCTGGATACTTGTGTATCTTCTAAGCTGAAGCTTTCTCCACTAACACCCAAGATGTTTGCATATCTTAAACCTTTCCATCATGATTTACTTGTTCAACCCTCCCCTGACACCCTAGCTTGCTTGAATGATGATGCCATGGGTCTTCCCACATGTTTCACCAAAGAGCCAGACTTTGTCCCCACCTGTAGCTGCTGCTTGGGAGTACTGTTTCAGGCCAGGTAGACCTCCTATAGGAGGTCAAATAGACAATTATATTGCTTTTCCGATGGAATATTACTATTTCCAAAAATACCTGCAGCAATTCTTACCTATTTGTTGAGTATCCACAACAGTTGAGATCAGACCTAAGATCACTATATCCATGTGGTCACTGTAATCCAAACTGCTGACTGCCTTCCTTTGTGTACAAACCTGACCATTTCTAGAAAGTCTGACATCACAACACAAGTATACAGCACTATATGATTGACCCGAGCAGATCCAGAAACACAGATCAGCACCAAAGGCTATGTAGGAGGATTACTGCTAGAGTTCATAAGAGAGGCCAGGGGGCACAAATATGGTATAATGATTAGGGAAAGTCATTGATAAGGAGAGATTCTGGTGGTAAATAGAGTTTAGGAATAAGACGAAAAGGAGGCCTTCCAAAAAAGGATTAGTTATCCTTGTCATTTCTCAGGACCTCCATTGAAAGTTACTGGTAGTGACTCAGCAACTGCCCTAAGTATCCAAATCACTGCTCTAAAGCATCAGAGTCGCTTGTCCCTAAATTTCATCTCATCTAGTTTTTGGCACAAACCATAAGATCACTCACTTTAAACATTTATCTTACATTTTCAGTTTTTAGTCATGCTTCTATTTCATTAGTGGAAAAATATGAGAGCCCTCCAGTGGCCAAAAATAAAACCTATAAATTTATATCATCTTTAAGTAAAACCTCTTTAGCCTTGTGGAAGAAAAAAAAAAAAGTTGTATCTGTATTTCAAAACCTAAGAGTTCAGTGATAGATAAGGTGGGACTTTTATTATTGTTCCATTGACTCACAAATAAGTTGAATCATTCTTACCATGGCTAAGGAGAGGCACAACATTGGAAAAAGAATCAGAGATAAAACATTACAACACATAGAAAAAAACCTCCTGGTATAATTTCTTAAATGGATATTTGTTTTGTAAAAATAAAGCAACAACAAAGAAGAGCTAACATTCATTAAGGTCAAGTTAAAGAACTCATATAAAGAAGAACTTGGATTCCTCTCTTTGAAGATATAAATCTGTAGCCATGAGGAACTGCTCCTAAATCCTAATAGGGATTTATATAGATATATGGCTGCACTGTTTTTTTCCTTCCTCCCTCTGGCTTATCTGTGCTGTACACTTTCTCTTATCCATGCTAATGGAGGGGATCAGTAGTGCAGATAATTGAAAGGTTGTGTGCCAACAAACTGCTTTGTGGTTGCTGCCAAAAACTCCCTAGTGTTGCATGGTTAATGAAAAGTCAGGCAATGGCAGGGTTCTCATCACATAGCAGCCCAGCATAATAATAGTAGCTATTATTTATTGAGCCCCCACTACATACCAGATTAAGTGCTTTACATCCAATTATCTCATTACATCCTCACCTACAACCTTACGATATTGGTATATTTTCCCCTCTTTTATGGGTGAGGAAACTGAGGCTCAGAAAGACAAGTAATTTCCAATGACCACTCTACTCATTTCAGTGATAAAGCTGTTTTCTGATCCAAGTTTTTTCTATTAGTGCAAAATTCAAAAATGCAGTAATTTTGTTATGACACCTCCAAATCCTAGGGTGCATCAACCCACACTTGGGGAAAATTTTCTTTAAATATGGGATTTGGAAATATTTTCAGAGCATTGGTCCTGATCTCTATAAAGAGATATTTTCAGGCTAGACTTAGTATCCATAGGCTTTCTGGATTTGAGTTTCTCCTAAAATTTTCAGCTAATTTCTGGATGAAGGAAAGGGTAAAGTGTCCATATGCAGTGGATATATTTTAATCTCGACTTACTAAGTTTCTCAGCAGAGTATGGGCTTAGTAAGGGCTTCCTTCTTAATATCTTTCGTATTTTAGCTTTGGAACCCCATTCATCCTGATTCTTTCTTTACAACTACTTCTAATTTATTTCATGGTGGCTTCTTCGTCTACTCATGCTCTACTGGCATTTTCCTTTGCCTTCTTTTTGGCTTGCGATAACTTCAACCAGGACCCAGATGCCAATAGCTTGCCAGTCTCAACAGTTAGCTCTGATCTCACTCCATTGCCCTAGCTTCATACTTCCAACTGCCAGATAGTTACTTCCATGTAAATATCATATTGGCACCTGAAACTCACCAGTTTTGAGTATATTGCTTAGATTACTAGGAAAATTATAATATTACTTAACAAAGGGCCTAGCATTTAATGACCCTTTTAAGTGATATGCATTGCTGTTACCATTATTAACAAACAATGGATGAATAAACGTATGAAGTTCAAACTTCTTAGCCAAGAATATAGTGACTGTCTTACCCTAGCTTTATATCAACCTTCCTTTTCATGCCCTCAATTCTTTCCATTCTGGTGCCCTCTCCCATCTACCCTCAGATACTCTAAGTTCATTTATTAATTTGCCACACCTAAGTATAGACAATATTTTTATTCCATGTCTCTTGTTCTATGCATTTTTTAAAATTTTCTCTTTATCTTGTAAACTGTGGCTCATAATATAAATTTATTCCAAATGCTTTCTTTTTGTCCAGTTCTTCCAGGCAAAGTTAGCAGTACCACTTTTACCTGTGATCCTGTAGTACCTTGTAATATATAATTTGTATTTTAATGGCAAAACTTGATCAGAATATCTGTCTCTTCTCCACTATGAGCCATCTGAAGTGAAGGACTGAGATGTATGCTTCTTTCTATTTTGCTTATCAAAACAGTTTTTTAGCACACAGTAGAGATTTGATAAGAGAATAAATGATCCAGATTCCATATCTTTGGAACATCCAGGCATAGACAGTGTTTCAAGTAATCAGAATTAACTAAATTAACCCCTCCCGGGTGCCTGAAGAGAAAGGAGAAGAAGCTCCACTTCTGAAATTGTGTGGCATTTGGAGTAAAATATAACGGGGAATTTCATAAGTAAACCCTAAGAAGAGAGGTAGAGGAAACTAGAGGGATGGGTGAGGAGCTAAGAAATCAATAACTATAAATAATTAAAATTTAAATGAGATAGAAATAGCATGAAAGATCAGTATTGCATCTTCTTTCTCACTAATTCAAACCACATTCCTTTCTCTCATTCTTCATTCTGATCATTTTCTTCAGCACTCTGTCTAGGCTCTGGCTCTCCAACAGGAGGACCTTCCCACTCTTTCTCCTTTTTAGTCTTCATTGATGTTATGCTCTGCTGGTTGCATGCAGACACCCTAGAGTAACCCCAGGTCCAAAGGAACCCAGGGAAAGCTGAAGTAGCAGGCAGTAGGAGCAGAAAACAAATTAGATTTGTAGGGTTAGCTATTATGAAAAGTGGGAATTCGAATATAGCTGGCCCATAGGAAAACTGGACCTGGGAATCAATTTGGATTCAGGCATCCTCATAGACAACAGCAGCAGGACTTCAAGAGGGTACCCTGTGGTGTTCCACTTTGGACAAGGCTGGACTACTTTCCATGTATCAACTTCATTATTTTTGTACAAACAACTGACTTCTTGTATACTTACTGTATACTTTTTCTGTATCCTAGCTTCTACTGGTACATATTTTATGATTTTTAAATTCACCCATAATTTTTGTCTCCCTAGTTTGACTTGTCATGCTCCTTTTGGAAGAAGTAATTCATTGTCCCTCAGTTTCTTTTTTTTTCTTCTACAGTAGAGGTTTTTAACCTTATTTGACTAAGCACTCCATTTTACACTGAATATTTTACAAAGCTCTCTTTACTATCCTGAAATTTATAAATATACAAATACTTTATAAGTACTTTAAAATTATCTTAAATATAAAAAAGAGAAAAAAGTTTTATTTAAATTAATTAAGTTTAAATAATATATAATGCAATACGTAAATGCTCAGGCGTACCTACAATAGAAAATGAAATAAAGTAGTAAGATGCTTATACCTACACATGAACCAGGATGAATGTGACACAAATGTGGACTGACACAGTGCCTTATATTGGTGACTTAAACACCACAGACAGCATTGCTGGAGATTGTAAGTTTTGTTTTGGTTTTTGCTGAAATGGTGAACAACTCTAAAGATACAAAAATAATACATAATGAAGTACAATTTTTTTAATTAAAAAAAAGTAGGACCTGGAAGTAGGTATACTCCTAGGAAATTCAGTGTGTATTAAACGATTATATGTTTATATGGGAAATGGAGTTAAGTTCTAGGCACAGAAAATTATAAACATTTTTTTCCCACCTAACTGAATGTCCTTCAGGATATTTTTAAAAATGTAGATACAAGACAACTCTTTATTCTGCTGGGTTATTCTTGACATTGTAGTTCATCCAGCCTCCTTAAACGTGCTAATTAAAACACAAGGAAACCTTCCAGTCAGTCACTGTGTCAAATAAAAAACCACCATACATTTCTAAAATTCCATCTAGGGAATAAGTTGAAAATAAATGTTCTATATAACTAGAATCCTTGATTTTGTAACAGGTATTCAGCAACTCAGAATAACTAGACTGCATTTTCCAGCCTATATGGCAACTAACTATGACCATGTGACTAAATTCTGGCCAATGGATGTGAGCACAACTTTTTAATTTTGCTCTTAAAGATGTTCCTTCTTCTTCTTTTTCCCTTTCCCTCTGGCTTAAATGAAAATGTGGTGGAAGAATTTTTTTTTTAAACATTATAGTGAGGGCATCACTTTCAGGATGAAAAGTAAGATGACAAAAGGATCTTAGTCCTTGAATTGTGGAACTGCTTTACCTGTGGCATCAGACACCTCTGATGCCCCACCTTGCATCTCTTTGGTCTTATCTCTGACTTCATCTGCAGTTGCAGTGGAAAGTCCCATGAGGGCTTTAACTCACTTCATACTGACTGTCCTGCATCAAAGGTGTATTCCACATATCTTTACTTTCTGCTATTTGGCTTCTCCTAAAATTTGAATATCAGAAGCAACTTACTTATCTAGAACATATGGGCAGCTAAGAAGTGCAGGGGTTCTCATGCCCTTGGAGAAAACTATTAACCATTTGGGAATGGGAAACTTTGGATAAATGTTCTTGCTTTCTTTACCCTTTTGGATGCACTATTCTGGGAGACAATCTGAACATGTTTCATGAGATCCCTGCAAAATCTAGCCTCTATTGCCCTTAAATTTTATTAACTTCTATGGATGCTCTAAAGAAAAATAACTACTAAGTCAGGTCATAGGGTTAAAGCAAGAAAGTACCCATAGCAATGATTAAAGTGATACTTATCTTTTGCAGCCACAGGTCAAAGAGTGCTCAAAATTCTAATCATAATTTAATTGTAAAGGTGTAATTACAAGGGATACAAAGAACATGGAATGTGCAGCCACAGTAGGTTTATTTTCTTAGATAATAGGAACTGACAGGAAAACTGAAAAAACCCTGAGACCTAGGATGAAGATATTTGGATGAACGGGTCTGAGAGCTGTGAGTCTTATGTTGCCTTAAAACACCTCCCCATCAAAATACCACCACCATTCTTCGTAGAGTTAGAAAAAGCAATTCTAAAATTCATATGAAACCAAAAAAGAGCCTGCATAGCCAAAGCAAAACTAGGCAAAAAAGAAAAACAAAAACAACAACAACAACAACAACAAAAAAAAAACCTGGAGGCATCACACTACCTGATTTTAAACTATACTATAAGGCCATGGTCACCAAAACAGCATGGTACTGGTATAAAAATAGGCACATAGACCAATTGAACAGAATAAAGAACCCAGAAATAAAAACCCAGAAATAAACCCAAATACTTACAGCCAACTAATCTTTGACAAAGCAAACAAAAACATAAAGTGGTGATAGGACACCGTTTTCAATAAATGATGCTGGGATAACTGGCTAGCCACATGTAGGAGAAGGAAACTGAATCCTCATCTCTCTCCTTATACAAAAATGAACTCAAGATGGATTAAGAACTTAAACCTAAGACCTGAAACTGTAAACATTCTAGAAGAAAACATTGGAAAAACCCTTCTAGACATTGGCTTAGGCAAGGATTTCATGACCAAAAACTCAAAAGCAAATGCAATAAAAACAAAGATAAATAGTTGGGACCTAATTAAACTAAAGAGCTTTTGCACGGCAAGAGGAACAGTCAGCAGAGTAAACAGACAACCCACAGAGTGGGAGAAAATCTTCACAATGTATACATCTGACAAAGGACTAATATCCAAAATCTACAATGAACTCAAACAAATAAGTAAGAAAAAAATCAATCCCATCAAAAAGTGGGCTAATGACATGAATAGACAATTCTCAAAAGAAGATATACAAATGGCCAACAAACATATGAAAAAATGCTCAACATCACTAATGATCAGGGAAATGCAAATCAAACCCACAATGTGATACCACCTTACTCCAGTAAGAATGGTCACAATCAAAGAATTAAAAAAAAGTAGATGTTGGAGTGGATGTAACAATCAGGGAACACTTCTACATTGCTGGTGGGCATGTAAACTAGTGCAGCCACTATGGAAAACAGTGTGGAGATTCCTTAAAGAACCAAAAGTAGAACTACCATTTGACCCAGCAATCCCACTACTGAGTATACCCAGAGGAAAAGAAGTCATTATTTGAAAAAGATACTTGCACATGCATGTTTAGAGCAGCACAATTCACAATAGCAAAATCATGAAGAAAACATTGGAAAAACCCTTCTAGACTAGGATCTAGACCCTTTTATGGGTGAGTACTACTCACCCATAAAAAGGAATGAATTAACAGCATTTGCAATGACCTGAATGAGACTAGAGACTATTATTCTAAGTGAAGTAACTCAGGAATGGAAAACCAAATGTCTTATGTTCTCACTGATATGTGGGAGCTAAGCTATGAGGATGCAAAGGGGTAGAATGATACAATAGACTTTGGGGACTTGGGGAAAGAGCGAGGGAGGGCAAGGGATAAAAGACAACAAATATGGTGCAGGGTATACTGCTTGGGTGACGGGTGCACCAGGATCTCACAAATCTCCACTAAATAACTTACTCATGTAACCAGATACCACCTGCACCCCAATAATTTGTGGAAAAATAAAACTAAAACAAAATCATCTGGACCTGCAGAAGCACGCCAGCTCTAGCTGGAAACCAGCTTCCCTTTATTGAGGAACCATGCAAATACATTAACCAAGGCAAATGCTTCAAAAAATGATGCCTATCTTTAAAATCTGTCCCTACATATCTTTATTGACTGAAAACTAGGATCAGGGCTTATCATAACCCAGGTAAGGGAGTATTGTCCATGTTTCAGAAGGAAATGGCTTACTCAATCCAAAGAATTGTAGTACTTGGCCAATAAGTACAAGCAGAGAGTTGATCTTAGAGGAGTTAAGGACTTGGGGAGAGGGGCAAAATATATAGCTACACAAACCCAGTAGTTATTTGCCAAATGTGTAATTGAGATGTATATACTTAAAAGCTAGCAAAATATTCACACTGGTTTTCTAACCTGTGGAATTTAGAAGCAATTATTTTATATAGGGCTAATGGAAGCCTCTGAAACATCCCTCCATACTCTCTTGCCATTATAGTAAAATAGAAGTAATAATTCATCCTTGAAAGAATTGCAAAAATTGGTGTTGTACTCAAAGACTTAAAGTTTGCAGGAGTGTGGTCTCATCATATTCCCACTTAGTCCCACTGTTGGATATCTGAAAAATCAAATGAATCATAATCAGACGTAAATAATTGTGAATCACCATAAGCTTAATCGATTAGTAGCCCCAATAGCAGCTGTTATGCTGAATGTGGTATCTTTACTGAAATTGACACTTGATTGCCCCTATTAATCTGCCAAATGTGTTCTTTTCTACCGGAAACTGTTCATGTTTACATAAAGACAACAGCTGAACATATCTATTGTCTTGTCCAAGCACTAGGTTAACTCTTTTGCTCTCTTCCACACTGTAATCTGCAGTGACCTTAATCATCTTGACATTCCTCAGAAACATCATGTTAGTCCACTATATCAATGTCTAATGATAATTCTAATTGGACCTAGTGGACAGAGAATAGCAAATACTCTGGATATCCTAATAAGACGCATACATGCCAGAAGGGTGAATGATAAATTTAAGGCAGTTTCAACATTTCAAGGACTTGACACTTTAGTTAAGTGTTTAGGGATTCAATAGATCGGAATGTGAGTGAATATCCCTTATATGTACTTTGTAGTTTAGGCTTCTTTGGATTTTGGAGGTCACACATGCCATGACTGCAAATGTTGCTTTGACCTAATTTTTGAGTGACTCATAAAGTTGTCTGTTTTGAGGAAGACAACCCACATCCACAGGGTTCTAGGCCATTCCTTATACAACCAAACATTGCTCTTGGATGAAATGGTGAACAGACAATTCAGCAACCATAATATAATAAGAGCAAGGCAAACTGTAGACTCAGATAACTCAGAAATGAAGGTTTTGGTCACCTCACCAAGCAAACAACCTATATCAACAGAAGTTCCAGGCAACAGTAAGAGAAATCTAGAATGTATGGTGGAAGGAAGAGATTCTGAATATCAGTTAAAGCCACTGGACTAATTGCAGCAATGACACCGTAGCTTTTTTCAGTAACCCTTGTTTATTAAATCTTTTGCAAAGGTTGCAGCCAGCCATTGCCTTGAAGATTCATCAACAGATCGAACTTTATGTAGGAATGAACTAATTTGCACAATGTAAGGGGTGGACTGTGTCAGATATCTCTGCTGCCCCAACCAACATCATCTTAGTATGCATGTGTTTCATGCCACGACAATAGTGGACAGTTCCATATAGGGTTCAACCAACTTTGTGCTGGCAGGGCTTCCCTTCAAGAATGTTTGTGTGGGTTTTGTTACTGCCCTAGAGCTTCCCTCACATGTAGATCCCTGGCAGAAACTTGCTTTGGCAGAATGCATTATCTTCTAAGATGTTGGAGGGTTAATACCTCTAGGAACAATGCTCAAAGGATAAGAAATGGACGCTGGTGTACAAATGCTCCCATCTCCCATTTTTCAACTGAATCATTCTGGTAGGCATTCTGTATTTTTCTCGAAAGATGCCAGTGGAATTGAGGTCCTACTGCTCAGTAATGTGTCCCTATAATGGCTTTTTCTCCTTTACTATCTCACTTTCCTTGTCCCTCATTCTCGTTTACTATCTCACTTTCCTTGTCCCTCATTCTCGTTCTCTGAAATCATAAACAAAATAAACTCCCTGAAAATAAGTTTCCATCATGGATATGTATTTGGGAGAACACAGAGTAGGCCATCAGCCTACTCAGCTCTGGACTGCTAATTCCTGGTCTGACATAAGATTTAGAAACAAACATTTAACTTATTTATGCCATCATCATTTTGGCCAAAATATATCCAATGAATGTACTCCAATTCTAATATTATGCATATTCTACTTATTTCTATCTTGGTGTATCTTTTCCATTTCAATTTCTATGATTTCTAACCATAGAACCAAATGTCAGTCCTCATCTGGCATTTGTTAATTTAAATTTCAGAGAGAAAGACTTTGATTGACTTGTTATTTCACACCAGGTCAATTCATAGCCTGAACATATAGATTGACTGACCTCATGGCCAAAGTGTATTATTGAATAAATTAACTATGTCCAGAAAGGTGGGGGGCATGTAGTAATAAACACAAGGCTGTTCCTTCAGTAAGTGCGTGAATGAGACAGTTTCCCCAGAAGGGGTTGTGAGTCTGGCCAGCTTCATGACTGACGAGAATAATATAGTCTTCCAAATCTCAGAATCTTTCTCATATATCTCTTATTTTCATTCCTTCATTATCATTTCTGCAAACACAGAACCACCCCATACTTATACTGAGTTCTGATAGGTAACCACAAAAGTCTTCTACAACAGCTTTCATTCATACAGCTTCATCTCATTTTCATTCAGCTTTCAGAACTCTGCCAGAGTCAGATTTCCATTTTGATAATTATCCTTCCCTGCTCAAGTATCTACTGCAGGCATTTCTTGCCTATACATCAATTCTAAACCAGCAACCAGAGGTGTCCAATCTTTTGACTTCCCTGAGCCACATTGGAAGAATTGTCTTGGACCACACATAAAATGCACTGACACTAATGATAGCTGATGAGCTAAAAAATAAAATCGGAAAAAGAAAAATCTCACAGTTTTTTTTTTTTTTTTTTTTTGGAGACAGAGTTTCACTCTTATTGCCCAGGTTGGAGTGCAATGGGTCGATCTCAGCTCACTGCAACCTCCACCTCCCGGGTTCAAGAGATTCTCCTGCCTCAGCTTCCCAAGTAGCTGGGATTACAGGCATGCGCCACCACACCCAGCTTATTTTGTATTTTTAGTAGATACAGGGTTTCACCATGTTGGTCAGGCTGGTCTCAAACTCCTAATCTCAGGTGATTCACCCACCTTAGCCCCCCAGAGTGCTGGAATTACAGGCGTGAGTCACCTCACCTGGCCCTCATAATGTTTTAAAACAGTTTATGAATTTGTGTTGGTCTGCATTCCAAGCCATCCTGAGCTGCATGCAGCCTGCAGGCTGCATGTTGGACAAGCTTGCACCAAGTTTGATATTTAAGAACACCCATAAACTACCTTCTTGGATATAAGGGTTTTTGTTAGGAAAAGACTATGTTTACCTTCCTGGTAAATATCTCTTGGGGTCTCTGTAGAGTTCTAGGGAAACAAGAAGTGCTCAGTGGATGCATGTTGAATTTAATTTAATTGCTGCTTCTGAATCTTTCTCCCGTCATCTTCTTAGGCACTTAAGAAATCCTCCAATCTGAGAAAACAAGCATTTTTCAAATGAGAAATCAATCCAAACAAAAGAAAAAGAGTCTATATCATTTAAAAAAAAAAAAAAAAAGACCTCTATCAAGTGGTATCAACGGAAACTAGAGGAGCACAAAATAGATTGCATATTACCATAGGCTATATCCAGGGGGAAAAAAATAATCCCAGAGTTATTTTTGGTTTTTTATTCAACTAAAAGTCTAATGTGCATTGTTATCTGATCAATTTTGTTAATTTCTTTGTAATTAATAATTAACATGAACAAAAATAAATCCACAAAAAATTGGTCAACATGAAAACATAAACACAGTATTTCTGAAAAAAAATCATCTAATTAAACATTATTAACTGAATTTTACTTACTTTAATATTTGTTGTTATTTTTAAATGTCTCTATTTTAATAATAAATATTGTTTAAAAACTGACTTTCTCTATGTATAATTAAATTTGGCATTTTGTTATAGTTCCATATGGCTAAGGGCAAAACAATTTAGCCATTTAACTCCTGTAATAATTATTAGCATAATCCTACTTCTAGTCAAATCAGGTAGGGAAACTGATTCCCAGTGGTCAATTGCTTCAAGGCTCCCAGTTGCCCTTTAAACTTTTTTGGGAAAGTACCCTTTAGATATCATTGAGGGGTACATAGAATCCCTCCCTAGAGGAAAAAAATGTTTGTTTAAAATGTATTGCATACAATTATTGGAAGTGAGGGGGCTGTGGACTCTTTGAAACCTATCCATTGATTCTCTGGGGGTCTTGGATTTAAAACTTATGTTTTAATAAATGTCTCCAAAGTTACATCATGCTCTTAGGGAACATTGTTGTACACTCATTTAGCCATCCTAAGGCCTTTTATGTATCAGACACTGCTAAGTCCTGAGTAAACAGGTAAGTAAAATATATTCCTTTCCCTAAGGGGGTTTAAAACGTAATATGGAAACACTAAAATGAACACAAGTGCAATGAATGATTCTGAATACTATCATAGAAGTACACTTTGGAAGAAATCAACTTGTGTGTAACATTAAAGGTAAAATGTGGAGTCAGACTGCCTAGGATTACATCCCATCCTGGCTTTTTAGAATTAGTATGATTTTGTGCAGTTTCTTTTTCTGTACATTGCAGGTGATAATATATGCAACTCACAGGGTTTTGTGAGGTTAAATGGCTTGGTGTATGTAAATCATTTAGAATAATTTGTGGGCCATACTAAGGCCTCAATAAATTAAGATTATTAAATTAAGATTATAAATTTTGATTATTGTACTCATCGGGGAAGAGTGCTTGCAGCCAGAAAAGTCCCCCTACATAAATGAAGGGGAAGGAATGGCTAACTAGGGGGCAGGAAAAGGAGCAAAGTAGGAATGGTAAATGTAATGTGCTCTTTTCCTTGTCTTCAGCTGCTCTTCTCTGGGCTTTATAAGAGCTCAATCTTCCAACATTCTCCAGAGGACTCAGATGTGTGATGCTTTTCTCTGTGAAACATCCTTCACTCTAATAACTATTTGCAGCAAGTGCTGCTGTGCAAGCAGAGTAAGTGACTTGCACAAGGTCACATAGGGGAGTGCCCACAGAAAGCCAAGGAAACTCCTTATTTTTGCTTGGTTTCTTCCCCAGCACACCAGATGGACTTCCAAATGAAAATTCATTTATTTGATTTATCCAATGAAGCACACATCCCTTTAAGATGACAATAATTATTTTGGATGGGCATTAGAGCAGAATTTTTTTTTCCTAGGGGCATAGAGCCACTATTTGCAATATAATAAGAAAGTCATCAGAATTATTACCATGACTTAATAGCAGAATGCCAACTATTTGCTGTGTACTTGAATCTCTCCAATAATATGTCAGTTTATTTTAATAAAATTAATTTGTGTCATTTAGTTATATTAATACATAAACTAATAATCTATAAAATATTAAGTATCATTTAAAAAAATTACCTAATAGTTCTAATACAGCCTCAAATTCCTGAAGTGGGATTTTTCAAATATTTTCCTATATAAGGCAACTAAACGTTTCAGCCATGCTTCTTGCTTCTTTACTCTAAATCTTGGTTTTGAGAATTAGGTGAGACAATGTATGTAAAGCGTTTGTCATAATGCCTGATTTAATAGGACTCTTATTAATAATAATATCAATAATAACCTAGTGTTTTCATTCTCATAATATGTTTACTATGGCAACACTAGATTTCTTTTTAATACACAAACCTGAAATATTTATAGATACAGTAGATGAACTAGACTTGACTCACAGGCAGAGGGCACAACAGGTATGATTTCACAGCCGGCAGAAACAACTTATTCGCTTGAAAATCCTCCTTTGCCTTTTGCTTCATTTTTGAAATTCCACAATCAGAATTCCAGCCTTGATTGTATATATAATATCATTGGTATTCTACAACTTTCCCTAGTTTGCCACTGAAGACTAATAATTTAAGTAATGTTCATCCGTTTCACCTAAATGTGGGAAACACCTAGAGAAGAGATTTGATCAGGGTTGCAGGCATGGAGGCGGAAAACACAGCGTGTCTGGTATGTTGCAAATTAGTAATTCAGGCCACACTGATGCAAGGAGAAGGCTCAGACTGTGCCCTTAAACACTGTCCTTCCCCAGGATCCTGATCTCTAGCCTCTTGTTTCATTCCCCACTCTGTCCCTTCCTCCTAGTGATCTCATTCATGTCAAGGTTGAACTAGCTGTCTACTGGCTAAGGACCTCAAACCTTGGCTAAGAACCTCAGACCTTTTACATCAGACCATCATTCTGAGAGGCTGGCTGCTCTATTCAACTGCCGTGGGCTCCTTCCACTTGAGAAAGTTTACATGAGCCTCTGAGAGAGCATCAGTAGCCCTGTATGGGCTTCATTACATTCTACCCATCTTTTCCATAGCACTCACCATAAAAAAACTATAATGGTCTCTTTAATGGTCTTTCACACTGGAATAGGAGTGCACTGGGGGCAGGAACTATGCCTCTTGCTCATTCACTCACACATTATTCATTCAACAAATATACAATTCATATTTAGATCTCAAGGAACAGAACTGTTCTTGGCCACAGAAGGTAGTCAATGAATGTTTGTTGAATGTAATAAATAAATGTTGAAGTAAGTGAATAAGCAAATGTCCAAAATAAAGTGGCTACAAACACTAAATACATGCCTTTCTACTGCACAAGTAGACCTGGGTCTGGCCTTGGTTACTGATGATCAGAAACTGCCATCAGAGGCAAATGTATGACTGTCTCTCTTCCGGAACAATGTGTAGCAAGGTTCAGGAAAAGGCTATGTGATGAGAGTGAGATTAAGCAGTTTGATAACATCAGTCTCCAGGCACCATTTCTCATGGTGGACTGAATGATGAATGCTGGCCTGTCAGGCATCTATCGAAATTCCTGGGGTACCTGTCTTCTGGCTTCCAGGGTAGTTCTATCTCTGAGCAGAAGTCAGGAAATGCATTTCCACATTAATGTTATCTCAGCAGCTCCAGAGACTGGTTTTGTTTCTTGGAATTTCCCACTAGGAAAATGTTTTATTGTACTTTCTTTGACCTCTTGGGTAGCTGGACCTGGGTTGGGTGTTATTTGACTAGATAATTAACATGTCTATAAATGGAATAAAGGGATGTATACCTTGGAGCTTTACAAAAACCAGTTCTGCAGGACAGAGCAACCATTTTTCCTCTGAAACCAAATCAGAAAATGAACCTGGGAATCAAAAAAATGGCTTAAGGTGTCTGACTCAGGATCTTTACAAAGCAAAAAGTGAAGAAGAGTCCTAGTGTTTCCCAAAGGATTTGTATTCAGTAAGCATCATTGTTGATTTCAGGCATAGAATTAGAAGGTAAATTTGTATCTAATTGAACCTTCTCATGTTACAGTGATGAAATAGAGTCCTGGAGATTTGAAGTGACGAGCTCAAGATCACTCAGCTACATAATTGTAGAGCCTGTAGTAGAACCAGTATAACCAAATTTGTTGATTCTTCCCTCATTCTTTCTCTGCCTTTATTTTGTTTGGTTTTGTTTTGAACTATACCACATGGTCTTCGGAAAATATGCTGCGTTCTGGCATATATAGGAATCACAGATTTGTTCAGTATTTAACAAGACTCATTGACATTATACATAAGATACACTTAACCACCATGGAACATTCAAGGATGAATTAGACACTCAGTGTTCATGAAGCATGCAGTCTGCTCTATGATAAAATAACATGAGAGTTTCAAAAATGATCTGTAGTATAGGACCAATGAAAGAAAAGATTTCTTGGGAATCGGAAAATGGAATATGCTGTTGTGCACCATAATAGAATCTAACTGTGTGTCGCCAGCTATTATTTTGGTAACCATCCTTATAGGCATCCAGGGAATCTCCTTTCCGGATGGTAAGCAAGATGCTGATTTGTTCAACAATCTTGCATTTTCCGTTCCTGAGAACTGTCATCCCATGTTTCTCCAGGGGTCTCTGGCTTCATTCACCCAAGTCTTAAATTAAATCCCTTGTGATCATTACTGCTAAGTGGAAGAAGCTGTCCTCAAAATGACTGGGAAGTCTCACATGTGCGTTCAGCAAGGATTTGAGCTATAGGGATAGTTAAGGCTTAGGTCAGAAGTTGGAAATTGGTGGCCTTCAGACCAAATTCGGCCTGCAAGTATATTTTATTTGACATATCTAACGTTGATTCACACAGTGTTTTAAATTTGAACAGTTACCAACATCTAAATACTGAGAAATTGTACTTACTAATCTGGATTTCCAGACTCCATACATACACACAAACTGAAAATTCTCCCCACACTGAGTCTGCCTTTCCACATGGCAATGATCAATTGGAGATCAGTAGTCGCTAGTTCTTTAGACAGTGCATGTGTTTTCTAGTTTGCCACAGTCCCCATAACTTGATAGGACTTTTGCAAAGTGGAGGTGCAGTGTCTGATGCCAGCCATCATGTACCACCTATTCGCTTTTCCAGATGGCAACACCTAGCTCCATAGGTATTAGGCTTGCCACCCTGCTTTAGGTAATAATGCCAATACTTTGATTCGTTTAGAAGTTGTTTTATATTTTTTACGTTAGTTTACATTTGATTAGCATGCAGTATTTACAAATTGCTTTCACATAAGTAAAATTGCCTTCTCACAAGTTAAATTGCCTTCTCACAACTCCATGAAATGTGTGAGATAGTTAAAATTATGTCCATTTCTCAGCTGAAGGCACTGAATCTTGAATAAGTAACATAATTTGCCTAAAGTATACAGATATTCCCAAATTACCCAGCCCAAGGCCTTTTTTGTGACATCTCTACTACCATAGCAATAGATGCTATACCTCTAAGAATAAGAAATAAGTAGACAATTGTCTTTTGGTTCTTGTGTTAGCCACCACACTGCTATTGAAGCAAGCCTGCATTAATATACAATAGCAGTGACTTCAGCTACATTGAAATATCTGTATTAGCCTTTAACCCTAATTCAGAATAAACCAAATGTTCTAATTGATAATTTTTTTTACTACAACTGTTTGGCTTTTAAATTCCACCATGAAACATTAGAATATAAGGCACTTTGTATATAAGTTAGTTTACCCCATTTGTTTTACAGATGATAAAACTGAAATTCAAAGAAATGAATGGCTTATCATAGTCATCTAGACAGTGCCAGGATTGATATGATAAGAGTGTCTCAATACTAAAGACATCCTTCCTGCTTTTCATTGTATAATATATATTCTTTGTAAAGAACTTAATTAGTTCAAGGAACATGCAAATGAGTGTAGAAGATATTAAATAAATTGAAGATGATTCTTACCTGACTTTAAATACCTTTAACCTCCTCTACAAAGTACAAACTAAAACCTATTAAAGAAACCAACAAAGAGCTGTATTTAATTTTGCCATATTATATAAAAGACATATCATGTATTAATGCTGTAGGTGATACTAGAAAAAGTTCTTATAAAATTTATAGACTCAGCTGCTTGGAGTTTTCATCTTTTTCTTTCTTTTGAAGTATTGTAGAGCACAGTACACAGGGAGGATCATGCTATAGTCTTTGGGAAAAGGAGCAGAATCCAAAAACATAAAGAATGGAGCTAAAGACACCAACCCATCTGTAGGGAGGAAAAGGACAGAATTTCAGGCTGAGGAGGGATATCTAAGCTAGCTGGTAGAATATAACTATGGAGATGTAGGCAACATTTTTGCATGAAAATCAGGAAGTATGATATGAGTCCAGTCATAAGTACACCTGCAAGAGAAGTGTCTCCCACTGTGAGGGCCAGTGATCAACATAAAACATAACTGAGTTAATGTGTGTGTTTATTACATTTGCACATCTTTTACTCTTGAACATTGAAATGTCAGGTTGGGGGAGGTGCACTGTAGTATGATGGGCAAGATTTAGGGTGCTATGTTCTATGGCTCTTGATGCTATGGTATAGTAGCAGGGCTCATGATCTTTAGATAGTTTGTGAGGAGAATGAAGAACGCTCTCCAAGATTCCAGTGAAGGGCTGTCACAGGGGTATAGTAGTTTACCAGGGCTTTATCCAAGCAGGCAGGGCTTTATGTTCAAACTTTAGTGTGGTAGTGCAGTAGGATACAAGAGTGCTAAGTGGGGAAACCAAGGCAGAAGACAAATTGATGGTTATAGTTACAAAATGAGGTTACAGATTAATTTCAGAAGGCTGAAAGTTGATGAACAAAATCTATGGATTTACTAATCTACTACAAAATCTCATTCTATAACCATACTGTTAAGACAAGATCCCATCAGTTGAGGGCTGAGGGGTGTAGACAGTTAATGTATGTTCAACTCTGGTCAAGATCACCTCACAACCCAAGCTAGCCTGAAAATAACATCAATGGCTGTCATCAGAAGAGTTTGGGGAGATGAGATGATAAATAGGAATCTTAATGATTTTATATATGGTTATACACATTTGAAAAAATACATATTCTCAAATTAGTAGAATATTTATTATACATATTACAATAAATCCAAAGAGAGTGAAAACCTAAATTAAGCATTATCTCACTTCTCTCTTAACAAGAAGTAACACATTTAAGTAATTTAATTTTTTTCACTTGTATGATGCATCTGCCACTGACATTACATTTCTATTTCTGAAAACATTAGTAAATTATACAGGAACATTAAACATTTCAACCACCATCCTTCATCTTTCAGAAAACAACTCTCTATATTGTTATTGAAGAAAATAGTAATTTTTTAAAAAATATTACTTCATCAGCTTTGGGGCTTTGCACTGTAATTTGAAAGCATTAGGAATAAAAACAGAGAATGAGAGCATGCACACTTGAATATTGAATGAAAATTCTGCTCTTCAGAAACAAACAAGCAAAACTAATTGATCTTCCACAGTTTCCATGTGCTGGATTCCACATGTTTAACAATGCAGTGGCTACTGCTTTCTGTAAATTTGAAATATACGAGAAGATCATTTGATTTTAGTTTTGCTCTGGGATTCCTCTCTTTCCACAAGGCACTGAGAGAGAAACACATCTCAATCATCTGCAGATTACCTACTTTTAATTTGTACATGGCAAATCTTTCAGAAGCAAGGCAAGGCTGGCTTGCTTTCAGCGCCATAATAAAAAACGAGAAGAATGCTTCGTATCCATGTAGCTGATAATTTACATAGTATTTTCACATCTGTTTTTTTTATTTCATTGCCACAGAATTCTTGTGAGGTCAGTAGGGCAAGTATTATCATCTCCACTTATAGATGCATTAACTGAGGGACAGAGAGGCAGCAAAACTTGTGCAAGATCACACTACTAGCACATTTTGGGGACAAGAATAGAATCATAATTTCAGAACCCTTTGTGTGTGTATGTGTGTGTGTGTGTGTGTGTGTAATATGCATAAATTTGTGTGTGTGTCTGAACATGCATATATTTGTGTGTGTTGTGTATATGTGTCTGTATACGTATATATTTGTGTGTGTCTGTATGTGCACATATTGTGTGTGTGTGTGTGAGAGAGATGTGTTGTTCCACTTTACTTCTTTTATCCCAATAAGAAATGATAGAAAAGATATCTTTGGTTTAGCCACCCCAATTAAGTTTTATGATACAAAAATTTGTTCTTTGCCGCACGAAAAATGGATGAACTAACCAGATACAGAGTTAAAACTAAAGCCAAAGATGGCTACTTTGCTCAGGCTGAAGTGGACTGCAGGAAGAAGGGAACCAGAAGAGGTGGAGAGAAGGGGAAGAAGGGGGCCCGCAGAAAGGCCTTGATCAACTATGGAGGAATTGAGGAAAGCCATGATGGAGAATGTAGTTGGATTCTTATTTTTCCCCTCCAGAGTGAAGCCTTCACAATGCAGCTTTGCATTCTTGGATGGAGGTCCCTGAACATCAATTCAATCCATTTCAACATGTATTTATTGAGCACAAAGCATGTGTTCAGTCATGAACACAGCACCGTGGGGAACATAAAAAAAGAACATATTACACAGTTCCCACAATATAAAGAAGCGTGCAATCTTGCAGAGAGGAGGAGAGATGGCAAAAATATATATAAGGCAGTGGAGAAAAATCTAAATACATATATAATAAAGTGCTAATCTGAAGCATTGTAATGCATGGAACAAACAATAGGTGTGCTGGGAACTCAAATAAAGGAGAACTTGTTATTTATAGAAGTTCTGAGTGAAATATTTGTGGAGAAAATAGCGCTGAAGATAAAAAATGAGTAAGAAAATATTGAATTTTTGAGTTGGAATCAGCAACTTATGCTGACCATAGAATTAAATTTCATGCCCCAAATCAGAATTCTCTACAAAGTTTTGATAGCCAGACATTTTGCTTCAACTTGAAGTTTTGGATATAGAAATTCTTATTACTGTGAGATATATCTTTTAAGACTTACAAGACTATGGTCTTAACACTATCTTGTAAACTTGTGGATGGTACTTCCCTATTTTGAGTTGAATTCTACCTTCCTGTCCCTCTTGTCATTTGACCATTATTATGCTGTCTTTGGAACCAGTCAGAATGATCCAAATTTGTCTCCCACATGAGAAACTTTTAGGTGTCTGAAGAGAGCCCTTGTGTCTCCCCAAGTCTTCTTTCCAATCTTTATACCCCAGGTTTTTCTGCCAGACAGCAGTCCAGAGTCTTTGAAGTGAGTTGGGGGAGAGAAGGACTGAGAGGCGCAGTTTTTCTTTTGCCAGGCATTTGCTTGGAATGTACGTCTGTAAGAGTAGAGGTATTAGTATGGGTTCAGGTGGGCAGAAAAGTGTTTCTCATTTTTAGCCTGCTGCCTTCATCAGACTAAATGATTGTGGATTTGTGTGTGTGTGTGTGTGTGTGTGTGCTTATTTGTTCCCCTTTTCCTTTCTGTGATTCTTCCATTCCCTTTTGATAGGGTAACCAAAAGTTAAAAGTGTTGTCATGAGAAAAGAACTTCTATGTACAACACACATCAGAATCTGGAATATAATCTTCCATTATTAAGGAGCAGAAGCATTTCTAATGTTGAACCAACACTCCTTTAGACATAAGCTTTGCCTCTTAGTATGCAGAGTGATACTCAGTACTCACATACAGACAGAACTTGTCCAGGGTCACTGCATGCAGGGTGTGGTTGAGGCCAGTATAAAACCCTAGACTTTAATAACTAAAAATGACTTAAGATACCATCTTGTCCAACTCTCATCCTTTATTTATAGATATGGAGACTTATATGTCCAGTGTTTTATCCCAGAAACTGTAGAGAATATGCTCCATGTGGATTTATCAGTCCATATCAATTTATCTAATGTCTTCTGATGTTAGGCTCAATTCTACAGTGATCAGAATAATTTGTCCTATAAAGCCCCTGGAGATGCGTTTAGAGATGATGATATGCCACCCTGTAAACCACTTATATGAGCCAGGTGCAAGACTTGAGGTAGTGTTTTCCAATTTGCTTTTAGGAACCCATTGTTGAGTCACTACCAGTATTGAGTCAGCAGGATGGGCAGTAGAGAGCTGGGCAACATTTCACACCATGAAAAGGAGTTGCTGGGTCAAAACATCAGAGTGCTGGACCCCTGATCAGTTTTATCCTCACTAAAAGTTAGATAACCAAACATTAGTGGCATGTAAATGTGAGATATTACAGAGAACAAAATACCAACAATGAAGTATTCAAAAAATAAATTTAATCCAATCAAAGTTTTAGATCTAACTTTTAGTTCATAGGAAATATAATAAAGAGAGAAACTAGTGAAAAGATACCAGAAGCAGACAAATGCAAAATGCTGAATATTGTGACCTAGTTTCTTCAATAAGTCAATCAGTAGGTCCGTAGGAGGAAAAGAAATAAATAAATAAGGGAGGGAGATGAGATAATTCTTAATTTAAGGAAATTTAAGAGATATTTACATATAATAACCAAATACAATAAGCAGGCTTTGTTTAAATTCTGATTGAACAAACCAACTGTAAAATATCATTTTTTTAGACAAACAGGGCAATTAAGTATGGACTGCGTATTAAGAGGTATTAAGGAATTATTGTTAAATGTGTTAGGTATAGCAATGGCATTTGGATCATGTAAGACAATGTTATCTTTGTAATGCAAATTAAAGCATTTGAAAGTGAAATGAAGTCAAGTATTTGATTTAAACTACTCCAGAAAAAAATAAATGAGTAAAAAAGATGGGGGATGGGTAAGAAGCACTGATAAAACAAACAAAATAGTGATGGTTATTGATTGCACTAAGATTTTCTGTACACTTGAAAATTTTTATAATAAAAAGTCTAATATTAGACTGACAAAGAAAACACATGAGACTGAATGTTTCATATTTTAGATCAGCAACACTTAGCAAAGTGATTAAATAGTGATGTTACAATCATTCTGAGGGCACATTGAGAGATCTGTGATGATGTGATGTCTTCGTTTGGCTTATGAGGTGTAAAGAGAACTTGTTCCTGATTATAAATTGAGAAAATAGAAAATTTCTTTGTTAGAAGGCATGTTGAAATTTCCTGGGAGGAGGAATTCCTGTAGTGATTATAGGAGATAATTTTATTCCTACTTCTAGCCTGACCTATCTTAATCTCGCCTAATAAAAAGATGTAATTCATTTGCATCAGTTTAGGGATGAGAGTTTAAAAATTTAGGAAAAAAACACTAAAAATGCTTAATAAGCAGTAGATTAACAGGAAATTAGATCATTACCGTGAAACCATTTGTTGCTTGTGGCCTCATTTTGCCCATTGTAGCCTCTCTATGCAATATCAGATATAAGAGAAACAAACCATTTAAATGGGCTGAGTGCAGGGGCATTATCAGGACCATAATAAATTGACTCTGTTTGCTGGGCCCCATTTCAACGGGTGCCAATTTGAATACTTTTTTTTTTTTTTGCTCACCAGATGATCACTTCTCACAGGCATAGCCAATCCTATTCAACTGGCTCCTTTGCCGACTGCCCTTTGGCTGAGGGCTGTTGGAAAAATGGGCTGTCAGCCAGGAGGCACAAATTACTTCTCACTCCTTGTCAATGGTTTGAAATACCTGTCTGCTTTATGAAAAGGCAGGAAATTCTCTATCCACTAGGTTCACAGAAATTCCCTTTGTTTCATCTAAGCAAACCGATTAAGAGATCTTTTATTTCTTCGAGCAGAAAAGTCAAAAGTGGCTAATGTTGACACAAAAATCCATCAGACACAATCATGGAACCACTTACGAGTTTCTTGGTCATGCTATAGTTTAGGCTGAAATCTTGACTACTCACATCAGCTGACCATTAATATTTGACTATTGTTAAGCCAAGAGAACATTCCTTATTCCGTCATTCACTATCTAATAAGAATTATTTGAGTACCAGGCGCAGGGCTAGGTTCTGGGAATATGGCTGTGGAAATAACAAGCATAGGCCCTATGACCATAGAACCTATAATCTAGGGGAGAAGACAGAGTTGAAATGCAATGATGGTATTTGATATTTGGCAATGAGGTGAGGAAAAGCATTCTTAAGAAAGCAAGTATCAAGATGAGATTTGAAGGATAAGAAGGTGTTAGATGGAAGAGGCAGAGGAGTGGATGAGCCATTTATTGAGACTGGGAGAACTATAGATAAAGCCAGCAGTTCAGTTGGCTCCCTAAAAGAGTATCAGTCACACCCCAGATATTATTAAATTGATGGATTTAAATAAGTGCTTTAAAGAGTTGCACATTTCTGTTTGATTTTTTCTTCAATATGTAATATGTGGATGATACATAAAATATGGAAATATCCAGAATTTTAAACTTGAGATGGAATGAATTTTATCTGCTTGACTTTTCTTGTGGGATTCGTAGATTCGTAGTGATTAACCACACCTCTGCTTCCATTGATTTCTCTAACTTTCTCTGTCTGTACTTCTCACTGTGTTTTTGCATGTGTTATACACCAATTTGGTGATGATACTAACATGGCCTGCTCACTCAAGTTGTGTGTATCTTGTAAAGTTGTGTAAATTATCTCTCACTAATAACGCTGTGGGAAACATCATTGAGAGTTGGTGTACGTCAACTAGAACACCCATATAACAGTGACTTCAATGAAACAGAGGCTGATTTTTCTCTCACATAAAATAATTCTAAAGGTAAATAATACAGAGCTAAGATGACAGCTTCAAAGTAACCAGGAACAAGAATCCTTCTATCAGTTGGTTCTACCATCCTTAACACATGTCTTTCATCCTCAAAGTCATCACATGGTTCAAGATGACTGCTGTAGCTCCAGCCATACTAACAGAGATTTGAAGAACAGGAAGGAAGAAGGGCAAAAGGCCACACCTACTGGTGGAATCAGCTGAGTCAGTCCCCTTTAAAGGCTTCATGCACATCACAACCTGTTTTAGAGGTTAGGAAAAAATAGGCTTGACTGATTATTCATTCATTCACTCAATCTGGGTACATTGTTGCCAATAAACAAAAATTATGTTACTCAGAATGAAAGGGAGAACAGATGTTCTATAGCAGCAGTCCCCAAACTTTTTGACCTAGGGACAGGTTTCGTGGAAGACAATTTTTCCATTGACTGGCAGGAGGTGTGGGGGGTGGGGGGATGCTATTGGGATGATTCAAGCGCATTATATTTATTGTGCATTTAGTTTCTATTATTAATACATTATAATATACAATGAAATTATATATATTATAATTTATATTATAGTATACAACTCACCATAATGTAGAATCAGTGGGAGCCCTGAGCTTGTTTTCCTACAACTAGGTAGTCTCATCTGGGGGTCATGGGAGACAGCGACAGATCATCAGGCATTAGATTCTCACAAGGAGCATGCAACCTAGATCCCTCGCATGTGCAGTTCACTATAGGGTTCCTGCTCCTATGAGAATCTAATGCCACAGTTGATCTGACAGGAGCCAGACCTCAGGTGGTAATGTAAGTAAGGGGGAATGGCTGTAAATATAGATGAAGCTTCATTCACTCACCTACTGCTGTGTGGCTTGGTTCCTAACAGGCCACAGACCAGTACTGGGCCATGGCCCTGGGTTTGGGGACCCCTGTTCTATAGAAAACAATCAGCTTCTATCACAATAGCTATTATTTGATGGGTACTCATCACATGCCAGGCACTGTCCCAGACAGTTTAATAATGTCATTTTTATTTAATTCCACAATTTTGTAAAGTAAGTATTATAATCTCATTTTGTGGATATTATAAGCTATGGGTTAGAAACAATGTACAGGCGCAGGCTGGAGCAGTAGAGCAGGGCTGTGGGCAAATACTGCTAGAGATTTTCACACAAAATTCACTTTCTTTTATGTCTCCTTAAGCCCTCTATAATCTACAAAATTCAAGATTCCTGTGTGAATGTGTCCCTTTGTTTCTCATCTCTCTTTTTTCACATGTACCTTGCATGTAGGAAGTGTTCATTAAAGATTTGCTATCTGGTGTCTGTTGAGAGCCAAGAGAGAGTTAGGCAAATCAACCTCAGAGCATCCCATTGCATGCCACAGGTGTTTCTTCCAGCCTTCTTACCAATCAGGGTTGGCCTTTCCAGAACAAACCAGTATTTACAGGAGATTGTACCAAGACGTGTACTTATTCACTACTTGCCTGAGGGCTGGCTGCCTCCAGCTGCTCCCTCTATCCAGGCAGAGGCAACTTGGAAAGGAACAAAAGAAGGTGGGGAAAAACACAGAGCCCAATTTACAGGCAAAGTTTCACATCATACTGATATTACAGCCAGTGACTTCTAAATCCAGCAGTCCTCTAAAGAAATAAACACTAACAATGCAAAACAAATCCATTTGCAAATGACTCATTCCCTGGTGTTTTCTCACTAGTCAGTCTTATGAATCAAGGTTATTGTGTACTTTGACTCTTTTTACAAAACTGCTCTGAACAACTTTAGCTATGAATAATCGGAGACTAAGTATATTTACTCAAGGCATTATGTATTCAGCTCCTGTATGTTACTGTGCAGAGAAAAAGAAACCCTACAAAATGCAAGGATGCATACAGATGGCTTCTGTTATCAAACATTTCTTCCAATAATATAGAAACAAACACTGGATCATGTGTCAGAAAGAAAAACAAACCTGAAAACCCCCCACAATGCAAAAGTTAGAACTATCTTCAGTCTATATGGAGCTTTCCAGACCTTCTTTTGCTTATCTCAATTTCTTTAATAGTAGCAGTAGGTACTTCATAGGTGTAAAATTACCAATTTTTTTCTTTCTTTCTCTCTTCCCATTTCAGTCCATTTCCACCTACCTTTTGTGGCATGTCTAATGCTAACTATGTCATTTATTATCCACCTCCTAGGATGGTTGTCAAATCTTAAATGAGATAGACCATATGAAGTACTCAGTATAGATACATCACTCTTTTGAAAATAGCTAGTGGTAAAAAAAATAGAAATTACTTCAGAAAGCTAATACTTTATTGAATGCACTACAGCTGCTTTCTTCAAACTATGTCTTCATGGGCCCCAGATTTTTTGAAGAGGTACCACAGGGGCAGCCTAGGGGGGTGGCGTGGAGTGACAGTCTATATGTTATGCATATAGACTTCTCGTTAAGACGCCATTTTAAGGAGAAAAAAAGAAAGAAACATTACACTGAAAAATTTGCTACTCTATTTCAAGCTTTATGAATGTAACCCTTCATTTGTTTCAGTCACCTTAGACTTCCCAAATGCCTCTAGATCAGTGCTTATCACATAGCAGGGGCTCAGGTAATAAACGTTGAATGAAGGACTGGAAAGGGCCCAATGTGAAATTTTTAGGATATAGTACAGCGCTCCTTTTAATTTTCTCTAGTGTAAAACAATTTTACTGGGATTTAAAAATCATGATCTACCCATTTCTACACATTTTCATGTCTGGAAGAACATGTGAGCCATTCATTGCTTTTTAAATTTCTTGAAGATATTTAATGAACTACTCTAAAATTCCACTACTAGGCACTGGGAATTTGGAGATCACCCAATCCCTGCTGTCAAATTACCCTTAGTCAAAAAGAAAAAAAAAGATACAAATACCACTATTAAGATAAGGAGATCCATGTTATAATTAAAGAGTTAATACTAAAGTTAATATCTTGCTGTTTACAGCAAAGAGTCAATCCACCTATGTGTTCTCAGAAAAGGCTTCCTAAAGGATACAATTTTTAATATAGGTTGTGAAGAATAAAGAGGATTTCACCATTCACTATGCCCTCAGAGCAAATGATTTAAGCCACAGTAAAAATTAGTCTGCAGCATAGTAAAGTGCTTATAATGGGGTTTGTCATATGGAAAAGAGAATGGGAAGTTAGATCTAGACAATTGTGCCAAACTTATAGAACTCTGGGATTCTACATTCATCTGCCAGTGATGTTTAATCCTTGCTGATAAGGTATAGTTGTTAGACTGCTAGACAGCAGTAGACTAATTGTAATAATAATTAGGATCTGGGCAGATATTATTTCTTTAAAGCAATCAATGACTGCCTGAGAATGCTGAACCTGTGAAAGTTTGAAATGAACGAAGATCTATTAAATCATCTTGGCTGTTCCCCCTGGAGGCCAAATTCAGATCAGATTGTGTCATAGTATCTGCCTTTACTCTAGATCTATACTCAGGTTAGCTCAGGGGGAGAGAGAGAAAAGTGATCAAGATAGCGGTTACCTGATTTGTCAGAGTTTCACACAGAAAATTTCCTACAACTTTGGTTAGCAGAGTTCTGTCCCTTGACTCTGAAGCAACCATTGCTCAGTTGATTTTAAATGAAAAACAATTTAGATAGTTATACAAAGATATACACGATTTTAAATGGTGCTTTTCCTGGTCTATTATCTTCACAGTAAGGTAGCCTCAGTATAGAATCACCTTTTAAGATACAGGGTTGCAAAAATGTTTACAAATACTATGTAAAATTTATAACATACTGATCATTCTTGCATTTATTGCCTTGCCTTATCTTAACACAATCCCCTGCCCCTTTACTGCCTAACCAAGAACCACTCTTGCTATCCTAAATCACTCACGCCAGCCATAGAATAAAATTTGACTCTTGCCTGACTTAAAGGGGATCTCTTCATTCGGTTCACTGACAGTTCATTTATAGACTTCTTAGGATTCTTGGGCATGTCTCTAATAAAACACACACACACACACACACACACACCATGGTCATCATCATCACCATCATCATCTCGTTTGCTTGCAGTGTAGCCACATTTTTCTCCTCTCCCCAACACCTTCCATATAATTGCTATGGTTTCTACAGGTAAATTGGAGTCCTGCCTAATCTCAAATTATATAAAATACATCAATTACAGAAGCTGTGTGGAAAAACTAAGAGAATATTTTAGTTTATTTGGCAAAGCCTAAGAAGTTCTCTCTATAAGAAAAGTTAAGGACCCTTTATTCAATCATTCATTCAACAAATACCATGGAGCACCTTATCTTTTCACTGAGAGCTGTCTTCAGGCTGGCTTGCCAGGCTGTGGGATTTTCACCAACAATCAGAGGACCCATTCAGAAGAAAAACTGCAGACGCCCTCTTGGCTTACCTTATTTACAGAATTGTTTTACTTTGCTCACTTAAATTGTTTTAATGGAATCTGTTTCTAACATGGTAGGCTTAGACCATTTCACATTAACAAGAACATTTGTATTTTTAGAAACCTCCAGAAATCTGGCAACAATGACTGCAGCCTCATATTGACTGCCTCTGTGAGATGGGTTCTGTGCTTTTCAGTGTACCATAGTGACTTGGACCACTCTCCCACCCCACCCCAAGAAGCTGGTTAAGGCACTTGAGTTTATGATACTTGCTTACCATAAACTACTTATCTAGAAAGTAGGTCATTTATCTAGAAAACTACTAGCTATGAGGAAGATGTAGAAAGTTTATGGCATCCCTAGGGAATGAAAACACTAAAAGAAGAGAGCGAGAGAAGTATGAGACCAGGGAGCAATATTGAATCAGACTTCACCCAGTTCACTATTGTATGAGGTTTATCACCTCCAACAAATACCAATCAAGTAGCTGTCTTTTCCTAAAGACTTAGAGGTCCTGTTTAGAGATCCATGGTTGTCAATTGGGATCAGGAAAAATCAATTCCATCATCTTACTATCAGACAAATCATTGGCAGGAGTAACGAGTTTCCTGTAAAATGCATGATCCAGGTGAAATTGTAACATAGATTAAGTTTGACTATTATGCCAGTGACAGACAGAGCTTAGGATGACTCCCAGTGATTCTCACTTCCTGGTGTTTACAGCTTTGTGTAATCCCTTCCTTTTGAGTGTAGGAGATATCTATGGCTTGCTCCTTACAAATAGTATATGGCAAAGGTATTGGGATGCCAGCCCGACAATTACATTATACCATAAGTACTGTACCAGGAATAAGAAGACTCAGTATTAGCAGACTAGAGCTGGAGAACCTCCCTGTAGGCCTGATGAATTAAATCATTGTGTTGGGGAGGCACACATACCAAGGAACTCCGGAGTGGCCTCTGGCACCTGAGGGTAGTCTCCAGCTAACAGCCAGCAAAACAAGGGGGGAGGCCTTTAGTCATATAGTTACAAGAAAATAAATCCTGCCAACAACCTAAATGAACATGAAAGTGAGTTCTTCCCCAGTTGAGCCTCCAGATGAGAACAGCCTCACCAACACCTTGATTGAAGATTTGTGAGACTATGAACAGAGGATTCAGCTAAGCTGTTTCGTGTCCTGACCTACAGAAACTGTGAGATAATAAATGTGTTGTTCAGGAGGCTGAAGTGGGTTGTTCATCTGAGCCCAGGAAGTCAAAGCTGCAGTGAGCTATGATTGCATCACTGCACTCCAGCATGGGTGATGGAGTGAGACCCTGTCTGAACAAAATAACATAAAATAAAAAATAAATGTGTTGTTTTAAGCCACTCAGTCTGTGGTAATTTTATCATATAGCAACAAAACATGAATACAGTGTTCTTCAGTCTCCCTTTTATGTATCCCCTCTTTCCCCCTTGGTGCATCCGTTTAATACTGCCATGAGTTATCCATCTGCCCAATAACTCCCCCACTCTACAATGTATTCCTCAATAGTAGTTTATTTTCTGAAGTGCTTACCCCAGTCCTTCCCATTTAATCTTTACTTGCTTATACACTTACCAGAACAGACAAGTGCCTAGTCCTCTGTATAACAGTTTCCACTGCTGCTATAATAAATTACCACAAATTTACTGCCTTAAAGCAACATAAATTTATTATCTTACAGTTCTGTAGGTCAGGAACCCAAAATGGGTTGCACTGGGCCAAAACCAAGATTTTGATAGGGTTATATTCCCTTCTAGGGGCTCTAGAGGAGAATCTGTTTTCTTGCCCTTTTCAGCTTCTATAAGGTGACCAAATCCTTGGTTTATGGCCCCTTCCTCCAGCAATGTTGTAATGAGTCCTCTCACACTAATATCTCTGTGTTTCTCTTTCTCTTCTGCCTCCCTCGTCTACTTATAAGGGCTCTTGTGATTCCATTGAGTCCACTGGGTAATCCAGGATAAACCCCCTATCTTAATTCAATCTTAAATTTAAATCTTAAAATTAAATTAAATTAAATTAAAATTAAATTTTAAAACAATCTTAATTCCATCTATAGCCTTAATTTCCCTTTGTTGTGTTACCATGTAACATTTGAGGATTAGAATGTGGACATCTCTGGGGAGCTATCTTTCTGCCTACCACAGTTTGTGAAAGCTGTAATTTTAAAAAGCAATCTGTGGGACTCACTGAAGCCCTGGTGCTAATAGTCCATGGCGGTTTATAGGGTTAGCCCTTCCAGAAGAACTTGTATCCTAAAGAGGCCTCTCCAAAATACATTAAACTTTCATATCTAAGGAATTCCCCTTAAACTGGAGGATGTTCTGGCACTGGGGCAAGTCTGGGAGAGAGAGATATAATAAGCAAAGATGCGTTTAACGATTCACAGGTCACATCATAAAAATGACTGTTTGCTCTACTCACTTGTAGAAATAGTTCCCACTTTCTTCTTCATGGTCCATACCGGTATTATTCAACTGTCATAATCTAAATAGGTTGTGGTTATAGGCTTCAATGATGAGGTAGTTAGATTAAAAAAACTAGGAGGCTCCCCACAGAGCTGATACAATGACTGCACCACCCTAGGGAAGGAGCAGAAGCAGTGAACCATTTCGGTTGTCACAAAACCCAAGCAACACTCAAATTCAGGGGCTCAGTTTTGTGACTCCCCAGCTCCCCAGTGTGTATGAATTATCTCAGTGGGAGTTCCAAATTTTCCAACATGTCTCCAAACAAAATCAATTTGAATGGCTTTAATTAGCTTTAATTATATTATTACTATTATTATTATGCTCCCTTTGTGAGGTTGATGAGAAATACTTTCGGAGACACAAACCAACAAGCAAATGATAGATACAAGGAAAAAAAATTGTAAATTAATTGCCTGTATGTCTTCTTACTTATATTTCTGAGATTGAAAATAGGTCAATTGTCAATTATAAATGGTTGTGGCATATACACATATTCTGAGACAAGGTCAAGAAACATAGACTGAGTTATTTCTCTTCAAAATGGCTGTTTTCTCCACAATAGGCACACAGTCAAGAAGACACACTCCCTCTCTCTCTCTCTCTCTCTCTCTCTCTCTCTCTCTCTCTCTATATATATATATATATATATATATATATAATCTGTGTTTTCCTGGTCCTCTAAATCATAGTTCTGAGAACTGTCCTGTAGATCACTGTTTCAACTCCCCCATTTTTTTTTAATCTGGCCATGGTTGTCAAGAGGAAATTAATCTCTTGCAGCCAAATGAAATTTGGGCTTCCCAGCACTAGCCACTAATGAAAAATGCATTAATGGCAAGCATCAGAAAAACCCCTGGCTCTCAGTACCAGAGGGTACATTTAAATGATTCTATGAATATAGATCAATAAAACTAATTTACTTACAGCCTTTGTGTGCAGTATTCAGATCTGAATAAAAGTCATTTGTATTACAATGTTTTGTATTAATTTGAGGTATCTATTGTTTTACATATTAAATTAATCTCGGTCTTTAGACAGAACTTCATATACAATATTAAAATATGAGGCCTGGGATTTGATATTAGTAATGCTATGATTTCATAATTCAGCCTGGTTTGCCTGGATGTCATTTGAAAGGCTTGGAGGGTCCCAGAGGGCCAGCTCTGAGAAGCCAGGGTTAAATTGGAGAGAGAGTAGAGGGCTTTAATATTCAAGTATGCAGCATATCAGCAGCAGTACCCAAGGGCCCACTGGCACTTTGAGGGTTTAGAATGGGAGCCTGCTGAGTAGGGATGTGAGAATGGCGTTCACATGCACCTGAGTGTTTAGAGCGTGATGGCTACTGAATATGAATATCCTGACTCGAATGCTGGGATCAAGAGATTACTTCCTGTTTCAATGAAGATAATTATTCATCCATCCAGTATTTACTTAGCACCTTCTTGTTACTAGGTGTGTAGACATGAAGGTTAAGATAAGATTTTAGGAGCTTAAAATTGACACAGGCAAATCACTAGGCATTGTGACTTAACATGATAAGTCTTGTACCAGGAATAAGTACAGGGTGCTTCTGGAGCCCAATGATACAACTCAGCAGCTACATGTTTCCTGAACTTACTTGGCCATGGAATTCTTTTTATTTAAAAAATACTATTAATAGTCCCTTAAACTCTATTCTAATACATAACTGTGGATGTAAAACAGTGACATAGTTAACCAAGAAGAAATGGCGAAAGTTAAAAATTCAACCCAGCTCTCTCCACTGCTAGAAAGACAAAGCCAAGTCTCTTCACCCACTCTGACTCCTTCAGCACCTTCACCACAGAAGGACTCTTGCTAAGTATCCTGAGATATTTTGTCCTTCAGCTAGATGCTGCAGGAGCTACCTAAATGGTAGCTGTGTCATGTCCTATAGTTCAAAATAAATAATAATGTCCTGAGGACCAATGGCAGTTCTGATATTTTTGGTTTTCAGTTATTTGTTTGAAATGATGTAGCGACTGTTATTAGTCAGTTAATCCAGGTAAGTATCATCTTCCACATCAGTAACATTTCTTCGGTGCCTCTTTCTTAGTTTCAGTCATGATGATAACTGGATGTGCAATGACCTTTATAAAATGCAGAGTTTTAAATATATTTAAAGCATTATTACTAGTAGTATTAGTATTATTGCCAAGAAAATTTTTAAAAAAGCAGAAACTACTTATCTCATCCCACTGTACTTTCAGAATTCTGGGACAGCAGGGATTATGAAACGATTGCACCTCCATGCCTTCACTCACCTCCTATCCCCCAGGTGAGAGTTAAGGTGGTTTAGAGAATGGAATTAGAAGGGGTGACATCGATTCTCTGTGCTATCTGTTAATTGTAGAATGACCCAAACAACACCACCCAGCAACTGTAAACCTTAGTTTGCTTATATATAATATGAGGAAATTAGTGATTGCCATTCCTACCTTAATTAAAAGGACTAAGTTTGGAAATGAGATGATGTGTGGGCAAATGCTGTGTGGACCACAAAGTTCTAGATATTATTTTATCCTTTTACATAATCTCTGTGCTAATTAAGACACTAAGCTTGCTGCTAGGATACATCAATGTGCAAGAAAGGTGCAGCCCCTGTCTCCATGTGGCTTCCAGTCTACTGAGCGAGGCAGGAATCCTGGACCTGAGACCTGTGTGGTTGCACAGGGCCCTGTACTTAGAAGGGTTCTACTTTGTCTTAATGTTCTGCTGTTATTGTCTTAGAGTTGTTAATAATTTTGAATAAAGTATCCTGCATTTTTATTTTGTACTTGGCTTCACAAAATATGTAGTCTCCCCTTCTGGTGGGTATAAGAAGTGAATGTTGAAAGTAAAAAATTAAGGGCTGCCCATGTTGAGCCATACTAAAAAAGAAAAGAAGAAGATAGAGGGGAAACACTCAAAATGTCCCAGTGTCTGCTTTAGATGGATGAGGAGGAGAGACCAAAGGTAGAGAGATGACAAAGGAAGTCTGGATGCTTGCCAACAGACCTAAGTAGAAAAATCTCCTTTAGCGACATAAATAGGTTTAGAAAAGAGAAGCAGATGAGATCAAAATGAAGAGGGGCCGTGGAAAAATCACACTTAAAACCTAACTGTGGCCATATTGCTATAAGAGCCTGAGAGGAGAGCACAGTCAATGCAGGTGTGAAGAAAGAGATAAAATCTAGGATAGTGAAGGGTAACAGCCAGATGACCAGGATGAGCTACATCACCTTGGTGTGGCCAAATTCCTTCAGTATGGAGGTAGAATTATTTATGGATGGTCCCTCCCATAAGGCAAAGGCTCTTGCTTTATTGTTTCATAACAAGATCTGCTTGGGACATCTGCTACTGAACAAATATCTAAGCTTTCCCTGCCCCTCCAGAGGCCCTGAATCTGGATAGCTATGTATCCTGTGTGTTTTGAATCACTATTCTTTCCAGATTACCATGTACAAAAGCTTGGTTTATATATTTTATTAATTTTTTCAGTCATTTTCCATATGACTAAGTTGCTGAAAAATGGTCAGTTTACACTAATCATAAAAATTATATGACTTAAGCTGGATAGTTCTGATCTCTACTCATGTGCATATGAGCTTATAGTCTACTAAGAAAGAAATATAGGAAAATAAACAATTAACATATTGCGCAGTATGTACATTAACAGAGGAATGTACTCTTATGGTGGCCAAAGGGAGGAGACAATTATCTTCAATTTTATCAGGAAGCTATCTCAAGAATGCCACCCACTCTGCCTTAAGCAGGGTCTTGAGGAATATATAGGAGTTTGCCAGTAGAAGGGTGGATTAAGTACACCGTAAGTGATGTGAGAAAATCTTCATCACTTAAGGAAACACAAAAAGTTAATATAAAGAATTAAAATAAAGTATATAAACAAAACCTACTCTTCATCATAAAGTCTAAACTTGCTTTGTACTCTGCACACACCTCAGAAGTAAGTACCTATGCTGAGTGAATAGCCTGAGTTAGAGTTATCATTTTTCTTCTTCCCATGAGTTCTAATATTATAATATCTTAAAACAACTCACCAAGTTGGTGGCAAAACATATAATGCCATTTTTCTTATAAAATCTTCTCTTAAAAAACCCAGAATTCTCTGCATTGGCAATTTGAAAACTGGAATATATATATATCCCCCTATAGATTATGAATATACAGTGTCAACTTTAGACTATGAATATGCAAGGTCAACTTTAAAGGTCAAAAGCCATTAACAAATATGGATTGCATAAACCTCCACCTTGTTATGCTCATTATTATTTTAATTTTATTAATTTCATATTATAATAAATAACAATAATATTACCTGACATGTGTAAGCTTTCTACATTGTAACTTATTTTCATAGCTATTATCTGACTTGGGTTAATACTCAAAAGCTCTGTAAGATTGAAAAGAAAAATACTATATAGATGAGGATGCTATGGATCAAAAGGTTGGAAGAATTACTGAAGGCACAGAACAAATTACTTGATGGGAAAACTCTAGCTCCTAGCACCTTACTTTCCAGTTCAGGGTTCTTTGGCACTTACAGCATCTTTGAATAATTAAATATGTCTATGTAGGATATCATATGTAGGACTGATAAGCTAGTTACAAAATTTTCTTTTAGAGGATTTACTGCAGTTAAAAGGGAAACATCTCTAGTTTTTGTAATCTGCTAAGGAACCAACACAGGGAATTGCTTTCTTAGCACCATTCAAGTTGATGCCACTCTATAAACCAAAGATTCCCCTTTAATTTTTAAAGACAGAGAATCATCAAAGGATACATATCAGGAAAACCCCCCCTAATTATCTCCTAACTATTCACACAGATGTGGGCTCAAGTGCATACTCTAGTGCCAGTCACATAACACTAGATTATTTATTTCTAATGACTTTATTTTTACTAGCGAATACATGAAATGAATTCAAAAGCCCAAAGGAATGAACTCAGTGCAAACAGTTTCACTCCCACTCTTATCTGGAGCAAAGAACTCTTTTTGAACAGCTTTGTTAAGATATAACTTACATATTATGCAATTCACCTATGTAATGTTTACAATTCAAGGTTTTTAGTATATTCGCAGAGTTGTGCAACCATTGCCATAATCTAATCATAGAGTATTTTCACTACTTGAAAAAGACACCTCATACACATTAGCAGTCCTTCTCCACTTGCCCTCTCCCCTAGGCCCCAGACAACAGACATCATTATGTCTCTGTGGATTTGCTGACTCTGGGCATTTCATATAAATGGAATACCACAATATGTGGTCTTTTGAAAATAGTTTCATTTACTTAGAATAGGTATACAAAGTTCATCCATGTTGTAGCATGTGTCAGTAATTCATTCCTTGTTATGGCATAATAAGGTTTTATTAGATGAATATACCACATTTTATTTATTCATTTATTAGTTGATGGACATTTGGGTTGTTTCCACTTGAGGTTATTTAAATAAAACAGGTGCTGGAGAGGATATGGAGAAATAGTAACACTTTTACACTGTTGGTGGGACTGTAAACTAGTTCCACCATTGTGGAAGTCAGTGTGGCGATTCCTCAGGGATCTAGAACTAGAAATACCATTTGACCCAGCCATCCCATTACTGGGTATATACCCAAAGGATTATAAATCATGCTGCTATAAAGAAACATGCACATGTATGTTTATTGTGGCACTATTCACAATAGCAAAGACTTGGAACCAACCCAAATGTCCAACAACGATAGACTGGATTAAGAAAATGTGGCACATATACACCATGGAATACTATGCAGCCATAAAAAATGAAGAGTTCATGTCCTTTGTAGGGACATGGATGACACTGGAAACCATCATTCTCAGCAAACTATCGCAAGGATAAAAAACCAAACACTGCATGTTCTCACTCATAGATGGGAATTGAACAATGAGAACACATGGACACAGGAAGGGGAACATCACACTCTGGGGACTGTTGTGGGGTGGGGGGAGGGGGGAGGGATAGCATTAGGAGATATACCTAATGCTAAATGACGAGTTAATGGGTGCAGCACACCAACATGGCACATGTATACATATGTAACAAACCTGCACATTGTGCACATGTACCCTAAAACTTAAAGTATAATAATAATTAAAAAATATTAATAATAATGCTGCTATAAACATTTGTGTATGAGCTTTTGTGTAAATGAATGTTTTTTTCATTTCTCTTGAGTATATATCTAGGAGTAGATTTTCTGGGACATACGATGATGTTTAATTTTTTGAGGAACTGCTGAAATGTTTTTCAAAGTAGTTGCATCATTTTACATTCCCACCATCAATGTGTGAGGATACTAATTTTTTCAATTCCTCAACAACACAAACAACATTATTGTCTGGTGGGTTTTTTTGTTTGTTTCATTATGCTTCGATTTTTTTTTTTTTTGGATTATATAATTCCTAGCAGGTGAAAAGTGGTATCTTATTGGGCTTTGATTTGCATTCCACTAATAACTAATGAGGCTGGGTATCTTTTCTTATGCTTTTTATATACATTCTTCTGAGAAATGTCTGTTCGGGTCTGCTGCCTGTTTTTAATTGGGTTGCTTATCTCTTTATTATTGAGTTGTAAGAATTTTTTATATATTCTGCTTATGAGCCTCTTATCAGATATATGGTTTGTAAGTGTTTTCTCCCAACTGTGGGTTGTTTTTTTACTTCCTTGATGGTATTTTTCATAAGACAAAGTTCTTAATTTATATCAAGTCCAAATTATCTATTCTTTCTTTTATCACTTGTATTTGTATGCCATATCTAAGAAATCTTTAAGTGAAACTAACAAAGATTTATACCTATTTTTTCTTCTAAATCTCATAATTTTAGCTCTGATATTTAGGTCTGTGATCTATTTTGGCTTAATTTTTGGCACATGATATTTGATTTTGGATATCCAGTGATTCTAGGAACATTTGTTGAAAAAGATCATTCTTTCCTCATTGAATTTTTTTGGCATTCTTGTTGAAAATAAATTGGCCATAAAGTAAGGGTTTATTTTTGAACTTACAATTCTATTATGTTAACCTATGTGTCTTCATATGCTAATATCAAACTGCTTTGATTACTATAGCTTTGGAATACATCTTCAAATTTGAAAGTGTGACTTCTCCAACTTTGTTCTTCTTTACCTAGGTTGTCTTGGCTATTCAGGATTCATATTCATATTTGATATCTGAAAAAAAGGTAGCTGAGATTTTAATAGGAATTGAGTTAAATATGTGGATTTATTTGAAAATATCACCATCTTAACAAATTAAGACTTATGATCCATGACTATGAGATGTTTTTCCACTTATTTATATTTTCTTTAATTTTAGGATTTAACTGATAATTTAATTTAAAACATTATAATTTTCTAAAGTTTCTAAAAATTTCTGATTCTTTTAGGAGTGTTTTGTAGTTTGAGTATAAGTTTTGCACATCCTTTCTTAAATTTAGAAAACATTGTTTATTAACTCCTTCTGTTAAATGTATTCCTAATTCATTATTTTGAGTGATTGTAAATGAAATTGTTTTACAAATTATAATTGCAGATTATTCACTACTAGGGTAAAGAAGTACAACATACTTTTGTATGTTGATACTGTATTTGCAAACTTCCTGAGCTAGTTTATTAACTAGTGGCTTCTTTAAGATTTCTTAGTATATGGAATCATATCATCTGCAAATGATCATAATAGCATGATATTAGCTGTTAGTTTTTTACAGCTGCCGTTTCTCAGGTTAAAGAAGCTTCCATTTATTCCTGGTGTCTTTTTTTTATCATGAAAAGATTTTGGATTTAGTAAAAAAAGAAAACAAAAACAATTCTGCATTTATTGAGTTGAATATGTGGTTTTTGCTCTTTTCTTTATTAGTATGGTGCATTACATTACTGAAACAGATTTGGTCTACTAGTTGGCTGTTTCTGTTTTCTATAAACTTTGTGGTTTTGTTTTTTTATTGTATGTTCTTTACTTTCTTTGGTTAAATATTTTTAAATGTAACATCTCAATTTCTTCAATAATTTTTGAATTGCATCTTTTAGTTATTTTCTTAGGGGGTCACTCTAGGGTTTATCATATATATCTTAATTTATAAGAATCTACTAAGGAATCTAATTCCATTGAATATAAAAATATTACTTCTTTATTACCCTATTCCCTTTTCATCATTTTTCATGGTGTTATTGTTCTACATATCACATCTATATATGTTACAAACCCAACAATACATTGTTATAATTATTACTTTAGGTAATTTTATATCTTTTATATCTTAAGCTGAGTGAAGAAAAATGAACATGTTAAAGAATTGGCTATATAATCTTCTCATTTTACATTGCTGGCTCTCTTTATTTCTTCCTGAATATTTGAGTTACAATTTGGTGTCATTTCCTTTCTCAAATTTAGCTTTGCTCCCATATGCCTTCCTTGTGCTGTTATTGCCAAACCTATTCAATTTCTATGTTTTGAGTCCAACAGTAATACACATATTGTTTTATGTATTTGTTTTTAAAATAAGGTAAAATAAGAAATATGTAATTGTACTGTCTTTTATTATCACCTACATATTTACCTTTACTGGATCTCTGATTTTTTTGTGTGTGAATTCACATTCCTGTCTGGTGTTACTTGCT
This sequence comes from Homo sapiens, assembly GCF_000001405.40. NCBI lineage: Eukaryota > Metazoa > Chordata > Mammalia > Primates > Hominidae > Homo > Homo sapiens. Next base: position 163,782,660 of record NC_000001.11, on the reverse strand, counting down.
TTCAGTTCAAAAATTTTCTTTAGTATGTCTTGTAAGGTGGATCTGTTAGCAATGAATTATTCCAGTTTTTGTTTATCAGGGAATGTTTTTATTTCACCTTCATTTAAAAAAACTATCGAGTTAGTGGGTGCAGCACACCAGCATGGCACATGTATACATATGTAACTAACCTGCACGTTGTGCACATGTACCCTAAAACTTAAAAGCATAATAATAAAACAAAACAAAACAAATAAATAGACTTATTTTCTAAGCAGTTTCAGTTTTCAAAAAAAAAAATTGAGTGAGAAGTATTAAGTCTTCATATGCTACTCACCTCCACCAATTTCTCCTGTTTTTAGCTTCTCCTATTAGTGTGGTACGTTATTATACTTGACGAACCAATTTTGGTACGTTATTATTAACTTCAGTTCATGGTTTACACTAGCATTTACTCTGTGTTGTACATTCTGTGGGTTTTGACAAACGTGTAACATGTATTCACTATTACATTAACATACAGAATAATAGTTTCACTGTCCTAGAAATCTCTTTTGCTGAGTATTCTCTTTCTCTCTCCTCTCAAACCTCTGGCTACCACTGATATTTTTACTGCCTCCATACTTTTGCCTTTTTCAGAATATCATAATGTTGGAATCATGCAGTATGCAGTCTGTTCCGATTAGCTTGTTTCACCTAGCAATATGCATTTAAGCCTCCTCCATGTCTGTTTATGGCTTAATAGTTTATTTTTATTGCTAAATAATATTTCATTGTATGGATGTACCATAGTTTGTATGTCAATCACCCTACTGGAGGACATCTTATTTCTTTCTAACTTTTGACAAATATAAATAAAGCTGCTATAAACATTTGTATGCAGGTTTTTGTGTGGGTGTAAATTTTCAACACATTTGGGTAAATACCAAGCAGTGCAATTGCTGGATCATATGGTGAGAGTATGTTTACTTTTGTAAGAAACCATCACTCTTCCAACATGGCTGTATCATTTGGTATTTCCACCAGTAATAAATCAGAGTTTCTGGTGCTCCACATCCTTGCCAGGATTTTGTGTTGTATTTTGGATTTTGGCCACTCTAATAGGCGTGTAGTAGTATCTCATTGTTGTTTTAATGTGAAATTCCCTAATAATATAGGATGTTGAGTATCTTTTTCTATGCTTATTTGCCATCTGTGTATTTTCTTTAATGAGGTCACCTTTTTATATAATATTTTTTTCTGGATATAAGTTTTTTGACTTTTTCCCCTTTCTTTCAGCACTTTGAATATGTCATCCTATTGTTTCTGGCCTCCATTTTTCTAATGATAAGTCAGCTGTTAATCTTATTTGGGTTATTTTTCTCTTTCTGCTTTCAAGGTTTTATCTTTATTTTTCTCTTTCAATATTTTGAATGTGATGTGTCTGGTGTAAATACATTTGTATTTTTATCCTACTTGCCTATTGTGCAATGCAAGAAATAAAAAATAAGGTTAAAAGGAAATAAACATAAAGGAGCCAGGAATTTTTGGTTTTAAAAATTCCCAGTTGATTCCAGATGGCAAATATTTCTGTAATTAACAAGTAGCTTCTAAGCTAAATAGAAATTTGGGTAATTATAAATGTAGCTTCTGTGAACACCTGAAATGGAAGTCTCTGTATAGATATATCTTTCATTTCATTTGAGAAAACACTTAGGAGTGTTTGTTGGGTGATAAGGTAAGTTTATGTATGTTAAACTTCATAAGAAATTGGATAATTGTTTTGTTTTTGCAATGATATTACAAAGGGGCATGTAGAAACTTTGGGGAATAGTGGAAATATTCGACTTATTAATTATGATGATGGTTTCACAAGTGTCTATATATAACAAATTCATCCATTAGTACATTTTGAGTATGTAGAGGGTTTGTGTGTGTGTGTGTGTGTGTGTGTGTGTCAATTAACCCCAGTAAGATGCTAAACAATTTTTTAAATACATTCTAATTTTCTTTGTGTTTCCTTCCTTTGCATATGTATTATTTTAAATTGGGTGTTTAATTTTCAAAATTTGTGAATTTTTCAGATGTCTTTCAAATTTTTATTTTATTTTAATTTTCTTGTCAGAGAACATGCTTTGTATGGTTTAAATCCCTTAAAATTCTGAAAGACTGTCATTACCCAGAACTCTGACCTATCTTGGTAAACCTTCTATATGCATTTGAAAATAATATACATTCTCCTGTAGTTGAGTGTAGTGTCTACAAATGTCAATCAGGTCAGGTTAATTGACAGTGTTGTTCAAGTCTTCTATATCATACATATGCATATATATTCATATTCTGCTTGTTCTATCAATTACCCAGAGAATATTGTCCATTTATTAACATGAAATGCCCCTCTTTATTTCTGGCAACATTCCTTGTTATGAAGTCTACTTGTCTGATATTAATATATCAACTCTAGTTTTCTTTGGTTAGTGTTTACACTAATTTTTCATCCTTTTACTGTTCATCTGTTTGTGTCTTTATATATTTACATTTTGTTTCAAATAGACAACATTTACCTAGATGTTATTTTTTAAACCCAATCTGACATTTTCTTTATAATTGAAGTGTTTAGGTCACTTACATTTGATGTAGTTGTCAATAAAATTGGTTTAGACCCTCCATTTTGCTATTTGTTTTTTATTTTTCTAATCTTTTATTTGTTCCTCTTTTCTTCTGTTCCTATCTGTTTTAGAAGGATTGAATATATTTTATAAATTTTTTCTCCAGTTTTGACTAGCTAGTTATATCTTTCATTTTATTTTTGAGTGTGGCTGTCCTCAGGTTTACAATATACATCTTGAACTTATTGTAGTCTACCTTTGAATTATATAACACCATTTTACATGTAGTCTAAGGCCATTATATTCTAATTTACCTTCTTCTCATCCATCATTTTAATAGATTTTACTTTGACACAAGTTATGAAACTCCAAATTTATTATAATTTTTGCTTTAAAAATGTAGTTATCTTTTAAAGTGATTAAGATAAGTAGAATATTTCTTCCATATTTACTCACATATTTACCACATCCAGTGCTATTTATTTTTGTGTATAGATATGAATTCCAGCCTGTATTATTTTCCTTCTGCCTGAAGAATTTCTTTAACATTTCTTAAGGTGCATATTTGTTGATGATGGATTCCCTCATCTTTTTTATTATAACATCTTTATTTTGTAACATCTTTATTTTGCTTTCTTTATTGAGAGATAATTTTGTTCAGCAAAGAATTCTAGATTTTTTAAATCTTACAATTTTTTAAATTTGAACTCATTGTCTCTTGGCTTGCATAATTTCAGAATTCCTCTCACTGTTATTCTGTACCACTTTGTGCATATGTATATTTTTATCTGACTTCTATGAATATTATTTTAACGTGTAAATTAGTATTTTATTTTTCTCTTCATCCTGGATTTTTAACCACTTGTTTCATGTGAATTTTTAAAATTTATGCTGTTTATGGCTTGTTGAGGTTTTGGATGCATATATTTATAGTTCTCACCAAATCTGTAGAATTTTTTGGCCATTATATATTCACAGTTAGTTCTTTTCCTCATCTCTTCCCATCTACTTCTAAGATACCAACTGCATCTGTTATAGAATGCTTGATATCACTACACAGTAATTAGGGTCTGTTCATTTTTTTTAAGTTTCTGGCCTTGATTTAGGACAGTTTCTTTTGCTATGCATTTACCTTATCTTTTCTTCTGCAATACTGTGATGATTATCCATTATATCTAGTGTATTTTTAATTTCAATATGGTATTTTTTATTCCCTAAGATTTTATTTGCATCACTTTTATACATTTTCATTTTCTTCTTATGTTCATATTTTGTGTTACCTCTCTAGATATATTTATAATAGCCGTTTTAATATCTTTTGTGCTAATTTCATTCTCTCTCTCACTTTTGAGTCTGTTTCTCTTTATTAACCAACTCTTTGTATGAGTATATTTTCCTGCTTATATGCATGCCTGGTAATTCTTGTTTGAATGCCAGACATTTTAAATTTTATGTTGCTCGTGCTGGATTTTTTGCTATTGTTGTCATTCCTTCAAACAGTTTTAGACTTTGTCCTATAAGGCAGTTAAGTTACTTATTATTAGTTTGATCCTTTGAGTCTTGCTTTTATGCTCGTTAGGGCAAACCAAGGGCAATCTTCAGTTTAGAGCTAATTTATTCCCACTAACAAGGCAATACCTTTGTGAGCACTCTGCCAAATGACCCATGTTTTACAAGGTCTTTCCGTTCTGGCTCTAAGAAATATAAATGATTCCCAGTTGTCTATGAGCTCTAAGAATTCCTCAGCATACTATTTTCCAGAGCTCTTTTTGCCTGTACACAATTACATTATTTTTATTTGTCCATAGATTGCTACTCAATCAATGACTCAAAGGGACTCTCTGAAAATTTCCAGAGTTTTCTCTATGAAATTCCTTCTTCTCTCAACTCTGTTCCAAGAATTCTAGCTACCTTAGCTTCCCTGTACATCAATCTCTATTTCTTCAATTAAGCAAGAACAACAGGCTCTTTTGGGGTTCTCCCACTCTATCCTATGGCCTAGAAACTCCAGGTAGTAAACTGGGACAACATAGGGCTTCTATCATTTGTTCTTTATTCCTTAGGGATCACAGTCCTGCATTGTCTATTGTCCAATGAATAAAAATTGCTGTTTCATATATTTTGTCTGGCTTTCTCCTTTTTAATCTGGAAAGGTAAACATGAGTTATATTACTATATTATGGCTGAATGTGAAACTCCACATATTTTTTCTGATAGCTATATGATAGCTATTTTTTTCTTTTTTTTTAAAGTTATTCACCTCTGTGAGCCTCAGTTTTCTCTTTAATAAATTCAGAATAATAATAATCTTTATTTCACGAGATTATTGTGATAAAAGTGTATAGCATCGAACTACATCTGTAGTAGGCACTAGGTAGGCATTTCTTTCAATTTACTTTGATAATCAAGAGACACAGTACATCACTCTACTTACCAAATCACTTCCTATCCTGACAAAAGTCAGTTGAAGCATATTTTTTTTCCATACCAATGTCCTTGCCAGCCACAGCCTAAAGGGATCTCTCCTTTCTCTGAATTCTTTTAGCAATTATTGTCTGTAAAATTTGTTCAGTAATTAATCATAGGTGCCCTTTAATAGCATAGCTACTGTTGTCTAGAAATGCTATTTAAATCCTCTATTAGCATATCTCAAAATGCTATTTAAAGCCATTATTGTTGGATATTATCTATTGTTTGTAAGTCTCTCTACCCAACAAGACAAGTTTCTCTGAGGGTGTATTACTCATCATAAATGTGTTACTGTCTCTACAGTTCCTGAATCAGTGCCCAGCACATAATAGGGGCAAAATTATTAATTTAGTTTTAATTATATGTGTTCAAAGGAGTTATTTATTCCTTCATGTTTTCCCCTAACTTTTATCTTTTTCTAATCCCTTTCGGAGACTTAAAATTCTATCCCAGAAATGGCATCATCTTAATAACATGGAATTTATACATTGCTCCTGGTATAGAATCCCTCTCCCCTCTTCAGTCATCTTTAAATGAGCAGCCTCTGATCTTGTGTCTCTAAGCCCCATTCTTTGGCATTATTAAAAGAAAAGAATGGGTGAGGAGAGGACCATAAAGCCCAGGACAATAATACATGAGATAGCAGATACCACTTAGAGGCATGGCAGGTCCTCATGGCTGAAGAGCCACATCCAGTTTGACTCTGTTCCTTGTGTGGAGCATGGGGCCTGGCCGTCTCTGTCCATCCAATCTAAGACTCTGATCAAAGGGTCATAACATGAGGCAAATAAATCTCTGTGTTTGTGATTTCTTGGTTATGATCAAAGATAAATCATGTGCTCTGTGTGAGTTGTAGGATTTATTGTTCTGTTAATATTCAAGAGGGGTCTCACCCCCTACCAAACAAACAAACAAACAAACAAACAAACAAAAAACTGTTGTTGTCTCATGAACTTGAAATCTTATTGATAAGCCAAACACAGGAAAGTCATTTACAGGACTCCTTGGAGGGGCAACTGGTATCTGATTTTGCTTTCTCTACCCTATGACCATGCATCATTTTCCCTTGAACTGGAAATTTCCAAGGAGAAATGACACTTTAATGAATGATGGTGTGGATTTAGAAACCTATTTCATCTCAGTGACTTCCACAGAAATTGAATGTTTGCTAGTCACATGATGACTGGTATGACTGAAAACCCCTGCAAACCTGCTAGAATCGGAAAAGTCCTCTGCATTCTTAAGGCCTGACACAAAATTCAGGTACTCATGATTATAACCTGATTACAGTTCTACAGCAGGTTAATGAAGTTTAAATAATTAGAATCTATTGTCGTAAACTATTAAAACTGGTTCTGGTCACTTCCTTTGAGGTGAGTAATAGTGAGAGTGCTATTCTTTCTTACCTCCTGGGAGCCTGAGGCACGATGCAGAGAAGAACCTCACATATCATGCATCATCAGAGGACTAGAGTGAACTCAGGAAATATTTGCTCTTGTCACATTTTCTTCACCGGAGCTAGAGACTTTTTACTAGGAAAAACTGCGAAGTAGGCTGAATATCTCTAATTTCACCTGGTCCGTAGAGGATGCCCTTTCTTCTGCCTCAGATACTCAATACTTTCATGTTCTTTTCCCCTGTCTCCCACAACTTATGGTTCTAAATGAGGAAAAGTCTTAAAAAGTAATTCATTCACAAATTACTCAACTCTTCTCCTTATCCTTTCCTTAACATGGACAAATCTTAACCAAAAAGAGTGAATCTTTAATGAGGTATTTTCAGCATTAGCAAATAAAAATTTAGGGTCACAGAGGCTTTCTCCTGGTTCATAATCCCAAACCACTACAACTACTCTTAGGCCACCAACATTCTCAGGGTGATCCCGCAGGGATGCTTAATGAGTGTTAGCCACTGCGGAGTTCTCTTCCAACAGGCACAAAAAAAGCCAAGCAAAAATGGTCTGTTTCACACCAGCACAGCTAGCAGGGAACCCACTATTTGATATCCTTCATTCAGAGTAGCATGGTTCCCCTGCTTATGAGCAAATCCTTGTTCTCTCGAGCCTCTCCTGATCTTCTCCTTAAATTCTTCCATTTGCACGACGGCTGCTTTGTCCTTTCTTTGACCTCTTCTCTGGGATAAATGAACCAACACTGGGATAGCTGCTTCCTGTGTGAGTCTGTCGGCTTCACAGGAGGAAGGGGAAAAGGCAGAGTGGTCTCTGGTTTCATCCTTCTTAACGTCTATTTTTCACCTCCATTGACTCCCCAGCTCCCTCTGACTCCCGTGGGTGAGCCCTGATTTCCCCCACTGTCAATACCTGAATCCAGCCTCCCTCTCCCCAGCCCCTTGACTTCCCCACTAACACACTGAACCCTTCATGTTTCAGGAAGTTTGTGAGGGCAGTTGGCGAGGTGAATTGTGCTCCCTGACAAGTATGCAAAGCATTCTGTGATATAGTGGATCTGGAAGCCCCTATTATAGGAGATTTACTATTCTGTTCTAAGGTTGCACTCCAGGTTGAAATTGGCTGACAAGGTCTTAGCTTGGGTAGGATTTATTCCCCATATATTAAATTATTTTTTTAATTAGTTCAATGCCCAGGTCATTTCTAAACCGAAGAAATGTGAAATAAATAAGTTTCTGAAGTAAAAAAGAAATAGGCCAGCATTTGAGTGAGTTGTTAAGTTTAGACAAAAATGTTTGTAGCCCCCAAGCCATTATATATTAACTTCTACACATTGGCTTAAGCACCAAGGAGCCACATACAACCTAGACCTTCACAAATTAATTCCTATTGCTACTGGTCTCCTTGGCCTCTGCTTATAGAGCAACTTTTTTTTTTTTTTTTTTTTTTTTTTTTTTTTAGGGAGGCATAAAGTACGTGTAAAATCTTTGGCAGGAAAGCAGAAATTGGGCCTTTTCAGTTAATCTGAAATCTTTTCCGCATCCCTGGTTCAGTGAGTACATAAGCGTGGGAGAGGTGGAAGGAGGGTGTCTGTGCCTGGCAGATTGTGGGGAGGAGGTATTATTGCCTGCGCGCGTGCACACACAGACACACACAGACACACACAAACCCCAGATGGTAACTAGATGAGGGAGAGAAGCCAACAACACCAGGAGTTATTTTAGGAACAAAACTAGGAATCTGCATATGGCTAGATTTTTCATCTCAAACGTTATTCTTGCATATGACAAGCTCCTCGGTAGGGTCGAAGCCAGTCCATTGATCAATTCAAACTATTTTCCTAGATCCTAATTCTTTGGAGGTAGGAGGAAAGGGTGAGTGGTCCTTTTAGCAGACTTGAGATATTGCAGATCTTCTAGTTAAGGCCCTGTCATTTTCCCAGAACCCTCTTCTCTCAGGGTATATACACAAGGACCAGTAATGGCAGAGAATAGTTCAAAGTTATAAGATTGCAGGAATTTAGCAGTTTCTTTATGTCTCTGGTGGCTGATTAACTGTGTTGGTTATGGGATACTGCTGGTGAGAAAAAAAAGTGTTTGTTCTACTTTGAAATTAGCTTTGCAAATGTTCCACACTTACAAACTGCACCTCAAACAATGATCAATAGATTCACAATTTCATACTGTTGGGGAAAAGACAATAAAAAGGAAGAGTATGAATGGTATAACACCCATTCTTTACTACTCCTATTACCACTAAACAATCTCAAACACAACAATGTGTAAATGGCAATTTAGTAATATCATCCATATATATATCAATAATATTATTATGCATGTGTAAATGCATAAAAGACTACCATTTCCTTCCTTTTCTTTAGTTCTATCTTTTTAATTAATCAGTCAATCCATTAATCAATATCTCTTGATGGCCACTATGGGAGGAGTGCTGTGAGTTTCAGGAGTAATCTTAGTTTTCAACAGTATTTATCTGAAATGCAACGGAAAGCTTTTTTTCATTATTTCACACTGTTGCTGGAAAGACTTTGATGCTTCTGTGACTTGGAGAGAGAGTTTCAAACCAAGAATTTTTTTTTTCTCTTCCAGCATGAGGTAAAATGCCACCAAAATAATGTGCCAAGCTCTGGGCCAAGCTCTGGGTATACAAAAGCAATGAAGACACAGTCACCGATCTCAAAGAGCTCACAGTCTAGAGATGAAGACAGCACATAAATAGTAATTACAAGGTGTTGTATTAAGTGGTTTATCAGATGCATATATTAGATTTCATGTTATAAGAACACAAGAGAGTGAGTCATGAATCAGAGTGAGGAATATGGTAATGATCCCTGCCCGATTTTATGTTTTCAGAAGTAGGGTGAGCTTGGTGCTTGCATAATTAAATTCTCATTGCCCTTATAGAAAATTTTGGGATGGCATGGTAGGCACAAGGCTTTGCAGAGCTTTTATAAAGACGGTGTAGCATGCATCTGTTGCTTTATTCAGTAGGTGGACCTCCTTTCTTCTGAGAATAGCAGCCCCTTTAGAGAGAGAAACAATTGTTCTCCTCTTCTTCAAATATGTGATTATATTAAGGATAGTCAATCACAATACCCTACCTACCAAGTCCCAGAGTTCTTTAATTGGAACTATGGGAAAATAGTCCCTCTTGAGTAGAAAGATGTTAATGCATGCCTCTGTCTGCCAAAAGATATGTTTCCAGCTCTTGAGGGAAGTCCATCTGATAGAAAGAAGTAAAGACATAAAGACAAACAGAAATGAAAGAAAAAGATAGAGAGAGAGCTCTCTAGCGGAGTTCACAGTCCTGGTTCTGGTCATCCCTCAGGCCCAGCTGTGCCAGTACAGTACACTCCCTACCATTTGATTGCAGAGCCAAAATATTTCACTTTCTGCCTCAGTTACTTTAAATAGGTGTTTGCCTCTTCCATCCAAGTCCCAACTAATTTAGATGGCTGGCAGAGTCAACACTCGAATTTCTCCAAAAACCAGAATCTATTCAGACTTAGTATGGTATCAATCCACTAATCTACAAGTGAGATCTGTTTCTGCACACTTCTATTACCTGGTGCTAATGACTCCTCTGCCAGAGCGTTCCTACTATTCCTAGCAGGATCTTATTCTAGGCTGCATTAAGCTACAGGAGGCTACAGTGGAGTACTGGGTTAGGAATGGTTTCCAGTATGGAAGGAATAGACAGGAATGTACTGTCTCATGAATCCCAAGCACACACCCTCTTCTGAAATGTGGGCTAGAGACTGAGTGTTAACACCCTGCTCCAAAAATGTGGCTCTACTACAGCAGTGGAAACTTCTGTCAAGCAATGTCTGCAGATTGGCAACTGAGGCAGCTATTTGGAAGCAGGTTGGGAAAACAGAACAGGTCTTATTCACCAGAACTTCAAATTGAATCTGTCTAGAGCTAAGCTTACCATTCACCCTCCCCAATCTGCTTCTCTTCCACTATTCTTCATTTTACTTGCTAGTTACAATATAACCAGTCACACAACTAACACATGAGGGCTTTCTCATTGATGGAGCTTTCTTCCTCAAGTCCCTCAGCCACAGCGTCTAACCAGGCACCATTCCAGTCAATTTTAACCCTTAAGGATATAAGTATATAAATACACATTTCATTGCTTCTATTCATCTCTACTACTAATTACCTGGCTAAGACACTCATTATATTTTACCAAGTCTAGTGTAATGTCCTTTTAACTGGTCTTCCTGGCTCCATTCTTCTCCTCCTGTAATCCATATTTCACACAGCTGTCAGAGTGATTTGTCTGAAATGCAAATACAATCCAGTCGCTTTCCTATTAATACTCGTGCAAGAGTGTCTCATCACTACAGGAGACTTAGTATGACAGACCAGCTCTGTCTTGCAGTTGTTGGTCCTGCCTGCTTTTCCACTTTCATGGCCTGCCACTCCCCACCCCTAAGTTTTCACTTCAGCTGTTCTGCTCTTCTTGCAGTTCCCTGTTTATACTCTTCTTTTACTAGTATGCTTTTTTTATTAGGCCAGAATTAAGGCACTCAGAGCCCCTAAGCATGGAAAAAAATTAGGATTATCCACGTAAAATTCAGAATATAATATTAAACTATAAAAGCAAGTCCAGGATTGTGCTGATTTGCCCTTAATGACGGCTTTCCCCCTCACCCCCACCCCCTGCCTTTATATCAAATATCCAAAAAAGTTTTATAACATCTGGGGTGTATTATGGTATGGGTCAAATGATGGAATAAGAATCCTTGGTGGAGTTGCAATCGTCAAGTTGATGGGACCTGGAAAGTCACAACTTGCAATTGCTCATGCCTTGCCCTTTCTCCTGGTAATAGACCCACACATCTTCCCCTGAAAATACCTTTCAACTCATCAGAGAAAGGAAGGGAGAAGCAGCCCATGTGTGGAGCCCTTCTTGATAACGCTATTGCCTACCTAGAAGGATAGCTTGATTTTTATCCCCAAGCAATTACTTAAATGGTGTTTTAGCCCCTTTTTCTCTGAAGCAGGACATAACCCTTATTGACATTGTGGCTGCTGCCACATCTGTTAAGCTGACAGAGAGAAGGAGCTGGCCTGATCCTTATGATGGATTTGGCGTTGTCAAACCTTCAGCACAATTTGTCATGGGGCAAAAGGGAGCCTGTTGCCAGTGGAAGGTTCCCCAACCCCAGCAACACAGCGGGAGGAGGAGGTCCCCACCCTTCCTTCTCCTATCACTAAAGTTATACTGTCAGCTCTGAAGTGAACCAGAGAGAGGTTCTAACCTCCTTTTAGGAAGGATCTCTCGCTTTTGCCAGCTGCTGATCATAGGAACTGGAAGCAGCTCACAATGCACTGAGAAGGAAATGTCCCCATGTACCTATGTGGAAGTCTCTTGTCAATCAAACTCTCAGAGACAAATAAAAGCAAGAAGAAAATGAGAACAAAAGTACCTAGGCAAGATCTACTGAACAGAGAGAGCCATGGATGGAGATCCATGTCAGTTAATGAATAATGTGTTGCAGGGTTTGCATGAAATGCGTATTTTGTAGAATAAGCTCTGTCCGTACCCACAGTCTAAGACATCTCTATGCCATTACCGACTACTTTATGACTTAGCAGTCTTAACTGGACTTGCATTCAAAAGAGAGGCTGTAGTTACAGACCCCACTGAACTGAGGTCCTCTGGAGGCAATAAAACACTGAGGAGATGCTATCTAGTGGATTTGGAATATGTCATTCACTTGAAAGTCAAGGAGACAGCTGATTTAAAGTTTCCAGCTAGGTCACAGAAAAGTCAGTAGCGGCTGCTTCCAGCCGAGTTCAGAGTCTGAATATTTATGGTGTCAATCTGAAATCCAGATAACCACAAATAATATAAATCCATTAACTCCCCCTCTACAAGAAAAGCTTTTTGGCTGCTAATGCCTTGATTGCTAGGTTACTGTAGGACTGGTGCATGGATTTGTTGCTCTGGGGCTTTCTCTTTTTTTTTTTCTTCTCTCTCTGTTCCTCTCTCTTCTTCTATACCCACATCTCTTCTAGTATCTGTGTACGCTTGTGTCAAGCTGACTGAGGCAACTTCCCAGGAAAATGAGGCAGAGCAGCAATGCTGGAAATGTCTGGCCTTTTTAATTCTTTCTTGATAAAATGCTGTGGTTTTGATAGTCCCTTTGAGAACAGCACTGCTGGATTATTCAGAGTTTCCACCATTTACATAGAGAACATACACTACCCAGGTCACCAGATTATTGCTCCTGAAGTCTCTTGGCTTATTTATTTGCTCCCTAGCAAATAGCTTGTCTCTTGGCTTGTTTATTTTCTCCCTAGCAAATAACTTGCCCATCAGATAATAATCTTATCTTGGGAGCTCAGGGTGGGAACTGTAAGACCATGCAGAAAGGCTGCTGGCTATAGGTAATGCTGCTCCCCTTCCACCAGCCAGCTCTTGGAGGTGGCTCATCCCTCCTAAACTTCTGTTTGGCTCCCTTGCCTGTGCAGCTTTTGTTATCTTATGGTGTCTCTGAGAGCCGAACAGGCCAAAGTAGTCCTGGACAAGGTGGTCCTAGCTGAGATGATCCAGGCTTTCTCATCCCGGAAGAACTCTAAGCACATGGATGGGGCCTGGGACAATGTGCAGAATGAATAACCTGGGCAAGATGCTTCAATTCATGTTTCTATGCAGATGGAGCAGGAGGTTAGCAGAGCCTGTGCCTTCAGCTGCGATGGGAAGGTGTTAAGTTGTTCTGCTTGGTCAAGTCCTATGAAGAAGCCCAGGATCCCAAGATTACCAGCCTGTTAAACAAGCTGATGGTGCTGTTCCTGCCACCCATGACGCTGCCCTCAAGGCCTGCTTCTGGGGGTAGCACAGCAGCTCCTGAGGGTTTGCCATCCTTGGTGCCACTGCCCAGGGAGAGAAGACCTTTGTCTTTCAGATGATAATAAATGGGCCTGTGACTAATGGGCAAAACCTCACAAAGAAAATCTCTGATTGCATGATTGGAATGGTCAGGGATCAATGTACAGCACTCCTCTGAGTTGAACCACTTCTGATTCTGCCGTCTTCAAATATACTCATGATCTTGAAGACAGATGGTAAAATTCAACAATCATTTTTTTTCACCCCTGCCTCCTTCACCATTGCAATTTTACTATGTTGGTCCTATGTTAGATACTTGAGTGTGAATGGCAACAGAGGGACACCCTAGCATCAGGAAAATTATAGCCTTAAACAAAATAATGTTGTCTTACTTAAATATTTCTAAATAATGAATGAATGATGAAGCTCTGGTAGGATCAAACATACAAACAGCTTGACATATGACGTACAAAGCCCTTCTAAAGCGCTGGTTCTCAATCTTGAGCTTAGATCAGTGGCTCTCAACATTCTCTGTGCATCATCATCACATATTAAACTTTTAAAAAACACAGATTTCTGGGCCCCACCCCCAGACATCTGAATTCAATTTGCTTGAGGTAACAATCTGGGCAGCGGAATTTTTTAAAGCATCCCAGATGATTTTAATATGCAACCGGGATGGGGGAGACACTAATTTAGAGATTCAGAGTTCATGAATTCAAGAGTTTAGGCTCTTCAAAAGATTTTTATGCTCGCTAATAAGTAATACTTCCATGTCACATATTTTGTCAGGCATTGTTTTAGGTCGTTTACAAACATAAACTCATTCATTCCTCTCAACAACTCTATGAGAAAAGTACTTTTATTATTCCCATTTTGCAGACAAGAAAACTGAAACAGAAAATCATTAAGCTTCTTGTCCTGAGCCTCAGAGCTGTTTAGTGGCAAATCTGGGGTTTGAACTCATCAGGATACCAGAGATTTGCTGTGTCACTCTACCATAAAGCCTCCCAGAGGTCTGAGGACCACTCACATAGACATTGAAATATCAGAGTCTGTTAAGGAGCATGAGGGAATCAGGATCTCAAATCTGTTTCCATTCAGAGGACATTTCTATTAACTTGGATGCAAGAGGGATCAGTAAAAATCACCAGAGTAGACTCTCCTTAGTCTCTCAGTCTAAATCTCAGGGAATAGGTTTTTAAACTTTAGAATCTAGTTATGCAGCATCTGTGTCTTTTCTTTATGTCTCACTTTTCTTTCTTTCTCTTCTTTCTTTCTTTTTTCTTTCTTTTCCTTTCTTTCTTTTCTTTCCTCTTTCTTTCTTCTTCCTTTCCTTCTTTCTCTTTCTCTTTATTTATTTAATTTATTTATTTTCTTCTTTCTTTCCTCTTCTTTATTTTACAAAAAGCAAACATACAGAATTAAAGTGGTTGTTTTGGTCGATATGTCATTTCCTGCTCTTAAGGCCAGAAGACCTTTAAAAGCCTATTTTAAATCTCAAGTTGCTGCTTAAGCAGTTAATATGTCTTACAAAGTCACATTTAGATGAGTTCAGGCTAAATGAATCAAGAAAGTATCAATTACATAACCTTCAAAAGAAGGCTGCCATAAGAATGGAAAGGAAGAGTTCCCTGGAGTTTGCCTTGTTTTGCAAGACTTCTATGCCTGAAAAAGTGTCTGAAATATTTTTCAAACTCTAAATGGTTTCATACTCCTATTCACTAATAACCATAATGAATGATTACAAAAATCAAAGTCATTTTTTCTCCTTTTTCCTATAAGAAAATGTCACTCAAAAAAGTGCATACCACTCCCATCTTTGTATGTGAGAGTTAGAGTAAGAAAAAACAGGTTTATAACAGGATCAATGCATTTGACAATCACCAAAGATGTATTTAGCGGCAATTGTAAAATTGTATTTATTGTATTTACTGGCCAAACACTGTAGGGTTACCCATAAGATGCAGTTCCTTCTGATATGATATGCTGGATAACTCACTTCCCACTTCTAGATGGAGCTCCATTCCAGCCTCAGGGAGCAATTTGACCCATGGCAAGTTCACATAAAGGCTACTAGATCCATGGTGCTGTGTCAGTCTAGTTGGCTTCACTATTTGCTAATTCAAAATAAACTCAAATAATTCCTGAGCATCTATTCTGTACTAGACAAAGGTACACATTGTTTTGACAGGGCTTCAGTGACAGTGATGTTATCATCAGAAAAGTATTTACTTACCAGGTAATGTGCCCTGGACATTTCCACTGCAACCTGGAGTTTAATGCTACTCTTCACTCCATCCCACATCATTCCTCCCAAGGCCCCACCTCCAAATAGGTGACCGAATCATCCAGGTTTTAGTATTGGAAGTAATATGCCTCCTGGGATTGTTCATATTCTCCTGTCCCAGGAAACCCCTCAATACTGGAAAAAACAAGAATATTTGGTCACCCTACCCCCAACACATCTTTGATCATCAGCTTGTTTAGAAGCCCACACAGGTGAAGTGTTGTAGCTGAGATGGTTCACAGGGGCACTTCGTTTGTCAGTCACCAGCAAAGAACCTAGGGAAAGACTGAGAAAACACATTTTGGCTTTTGTGGTTTTGGTTTGTGGACAAGGGGTGCTATGCTGTTCCTGCCAGAGCAGTGTTACCCTGCACAGGAAGCATGGGTTGGGGGTTATAGAGGGAGTCTATCCTTGTTGAAGAAATGGAAGGCCATTTATGCTTTTTTGTGTCTCATAAATCACCAGCTTCCATACTTGAAAACCCGAAGTCAAAATGCTCAGCCGGAATTGAGAGATGGTCACTCTGCCTTTGGCAGCACGATACCAGCTTCATTTACAGAGCAGGTACCAGCAGCCCTGCTGACTGCGTGTCATGTCATCCATCATGTGAAACTAAACCAACAAGGCGTGAAGAGATGGTGTGGGAACTCTTGTCAGAGGGGTCAGACTACTTCATCAAGGAGGCAGGGCAATGTTTAGGATAGCAGGCTAATGGGAAGGGTTTTTCAGGGCAGAGTTTTAAAGGGTGCTTCCCCATACTCTGAAACGCTCAGGAGGCAGAAGCTCACATTTATTTTGGGGGCACCAAATTACATTTGAGAAGGTACTCTCACTACTGAAAATACACTACTAGCTCATTATTCTTTCTTCCTGCTTGTCCTTTTTAATTTTTTTCCTGTTGTCAAAAGCTGAAGTGACCACCTTGAGAATTGGCGCTACTTTAGAGTACTATTCATGTTTTATGAAAGATAGATATTTTGAAATAGGCTTGACCATTGACATTGTTTGGACCTGTGTCCCTACTAAATCTCATATTGAATTGTGGTCCCCAGTGTTGGAGGTGGGGTCTGGTGGCAGGTGTTGGATCATGGGGGTGGATTTCTCATGAATGGTCTAGCACCATCCCATTGGTGCTGTTCTCATGACAGTGGATGAGTCCTTGCAAGATATGGTTGTTTAAAAGTATGTGGCATCCACTTCACTCCCTCTCTCTTGCTCCTACTCTAGCTATGTGAAGTGTGCGCTCCCCCTTTGCCTTCCGCCATGATTGTAGGTTTCCTGAGGCCTCCCTAGAAACCAAGCAGATGCCAGCATCATGCTTCATGTACAGACTGTGAAACTGTGAGCCAATTAAACCTCTTTTCTTTATAAATGACCTCACCTCAGGTATTTCCTTATGACAATGTGAGAACACACTAATACAATCACTGAGCCAGTCTATGACACAACGGCCCTACGATATGCAACATTTCATGTCAGATCCTCTAGACAGGTACAAGGAAACAGAGATGGACATTGCTTATATACCACTGGGATTTTAAAGTTGGAAAGAACTTGGAAACTATCCAGTTCAACCCCTATTTTCCTCTCTGACTTTATTGAAGAGAAAAATGAGGGTCAGAAAGGAAGAGTGACGTGTGCTCAAATGACTTGGTGAATTAGTAGTAAGGACAAAACTATAACAACAACCCTGTGCACTTTAGCAACACCATCTTTGGTTCCAGTGAGGCCAACGTGAATATATTAAACATGAATACATTAAACTTCAAAATACAGAGATTCATATATATATATGTATATACTCATATATATGTATATACTCATATATGTATATACATATATATATATATATACACTCAACACACAGTGGGCTTCATGTGGAATCCATGCCTGGCACATATTTAGAAGTTCAAAAATTATTTGTTGAATAAGATGAGAAAATAAATTCAGGAAAAACTGACATAAAACAACTGCAATTATAATATTCTGCTCACAAAAATCTGGTCTTTAACTAATAGCTAACATTAATTGGGAACTCAGTGTATGCCAAAACTGTTCAAATGCTTTACATATATTAACTCGTTTAGTTATCACTATAACTCAGTACATTTTAATCTCCATTTTACAGGTGAGGAAACTTAATGTTAAAATATGGAAGTAATGTGTCCAGTACCATGAAGTTAGTAAGTATGACACAGGCGCCTTACTTCCAGAGCCCAAGGAGTTAAGCATTAATCTATACCATATTCACTGCACTGTGCTGTTAATCGTGATAATAATGTTTTAATCTAGTTTATTTTACAAAGTACCTAATAAACTATGTAAAGCAAGCTGTGTCTTAATTCAGTTGTGTTTGTAATCTATATGAGATAATTTTATCCTACCTCCTGATTGGTTGGCATGAAATCTAGAAAATCAGGAGATTATGAATAGACATTTAATCCAATGCTGTGGAAGAGAGTGAGTTCTCATGCAGATGATTTAATATCAGCAAACAAAAATAGTTAAAATGAGGAATAATTTCATCTAGTTTTTACTGAAAATATTCTGTAAGAATAACAGTCCAAATGTTCTTTTTAAAAAAAATTTATTACTTTTTTACTTTAAGTTCCGGGATACACGTGTAGAACGTGCAGTTTTGTTACATAGGTATAAGTGTGCCATGGTGGCTTGCTGCACCTATTAACCCGTCACCTGGGTTTTAAGCCCCTTGTGCATTAGCTATTTGTCTTGATGCTCTCCTTCCCCTCGTCCTCATCCCAACAGGCCCCAGTGTGTGTTGTTCCCCTCCCTGTGTCCATGTGTTCTCATTGTTCAATTCCCACTTATCAGTGAGAACATGCAATGTTTGGCTTTCTGTTCCTGTGTTAGTTTGCTGAGGATGATGGCTTCCAGCTTCATCCATGTCCCTGCAAAGAACATGGTCTCATTCCTTTTTACGGCTGCATAGTATTCCATGGTATATATGTACCACATTTTCCTTATCCAGTCTATCATTGATGGGCACTTGAGTTGGTTCCATGCCTTTGCTACTGTGAATAGTGCTGCAATAAACATACATGTGCATGTATTTTTATAATAGAATTATCTATATTCTGTTGCATATATACTCAGTGATGGGATTGCTGGGTCAAGTGGTATTTCTGGTTCTAGATGCTTGAAGAATTGCCACACTGTCTTTCACAATGGTTGAACTAATTTACATTCCCACTAACAGTGTAAAAGTGTTCCTATTTCTCCACAGCCTCATCAGCATCTGTTGTTTCTTGACTTTTTCATAATTGCCATTCTGACCAGCATGAGATGGTATCTCATTGTGGTTTTATTTGCATTTCTCCAATGATCAGTGATGTTGAGCTTTTTTAATAGTTTGTCAGCCACACAAATGTCTTCTTTTAAGAATGAATGACCTCCCTCTGTTCATATCCCTTGCCCACTTTTTGATGGGGTTGTTTTTTTCTTGTAAATTTAAGTTCCTTGTAAATTCTGAATATTAGTCCTTTGTCAGATGGGTAGTTTGCAAAAATTTTCTCCTATTCTGTAGGTTGCCTGTTCACTCTCATAATAGTTTCTTTTGCCATGTGGAAGCTCTTTAGTTTAATTAGATCACATTTATCAATTATAGCTTCTGTTACAATTGCTTTTGCAAATTTCTTCATAAAATCTTTGCCCATGCCTATGTCCTGAATGGTATTGCCTAGGTTTTCTTCTAGGGTTTTTACGGTTTGGGGTTTTATATTTAAGTCTTTAATCCATCTTGAGTTAATTTTTGTATAAGGTGTAAGGAAGGGGCCCAGTTTCAGTTTTCTGCATATGGCTAGCCAGTTTACCCAGCACCATTTATTAAATAGGGAATCCTTTCCCCATTGCTTGTTTTTGACCAGTTTGTCAAAGATCAGATTGCTGTAGATGTGTGGTCTTATTTCTGAGGTATCTATTCTGTTCCATTGGTCTATATGCCTGTTTTGGTACTAGTACCTTGCTGTTTTGGTTACTGTACCTTGGACTATAGTTTGAAGTCAGGTAGTGTAATGCCTCTAGCTTTGTTCTTTTTGCTTAGGACTGCCTTGGCTATGTGGGCTTTTTTTCTTTTTTCTTTTTTTGGTTCCATATAAATTTTAAAGTAGTTTCTTCGAATTCTGTTAAGAATGTCAATAGTAGTTTAATGGGAATAACATTGAATCTATAAATTACTTTGGGCAGTATGGCCATTTTCATAACTGATTCTTCCTATCTATGAGGATGGAATGTTTTTCCATTTGTTTGCATCCTCTTATTTCCTTGAGCAGCGATTTGTAATTAACCTTAAAGAGGTCCTTCACATCCTTTGTTAGCTATATTTCTAGGTATTTTGTTCTCTTTATAGCAATTGTGAATGGGAGTTCACTCATGATTTGGCTCTCTGTCTACTGGTGGTGTATAGGAATGCTTGTAATTTTTGCACATTGATTTTGTATCCTGGACTCTGCTGAAGTTGCTTATCAGCTTAAGGAGTTTTGGGGCTGAGAAGATGGGGTTTTCTAAATATACAATCATGTTGTCTGCAAACAGAGACAATTTGACTTCCTCTCTTCCTATTTGAATACCCTATATTTCTTTCTCTTGCCTAATCTCTCTGGCCAGAACTTTCAATACTATGTTGAATAGGAGTGGTGAGAGAGGGCATGCTTGTCTTGTGCTGGTTTTCAAAGGAAATGCTTCCAGCTTTTGCCCATTCAGTATGATATTGGCTGTGGGTTTGTCATAAATAGCTCTTGTAATTTTGATATATGTTCCATCAATACCTAGTTTATTAAGAGTTTTTAACATGAAGGGATGTCGAATTTTATTGAAGGCCTTTTCTGTATCTATTGAGATAATCATGTAGTTTTTGTCATTGGTTCTGTGTATGTGATGTATTACGTTTACTGATTTGCATATGTTAAACCAGCCTTACATCCCAGAGATGAAGCTGATTTGATTATGCTGAGTAAGCTTTTTGATGTGTTGCTAGATTCCATTTGCCAATATTTTATGGAGGATTTTTGCATTGATGTTCATCAGGGGTACTGGTCTGAAGTTTTTTTTTGTTGTTGTGTCTCCGCCAGGTTTTGGTATCAGGATGATGCTAGCCTCATAAAATGAGTTAGCAAGGAGTCCCTCCTTTTCAATTGTTTGGAATAATTTCTGAAGTAATGGTACCAGCTCCTCTTTGTACCTCTGGTAGAATTTGGCCGTGAACCTGCCTGGTCCTGTGCTTCTTTTGGTTGCTAGGCTTTTTATTACTGCCTCAACTTCAGAACTTTTTATTGGTCTATTCAGGGATTCGACTTCTTCCTGGTTTAGTGTTAGGAGGGTGTATTCATCCAGGAGTTCATCCATTTCTTCTAGATTTCCTAGTTTATTTGCATAGAGCTGTTTATAGTATTCTCTGATGGTAGTTTGTATTTCTGTGGGGTCAGTGGTGATATCCTCTTTATCACTTTTTATTGTGTCTATTTGATTCTTCTCTCTTTTCTTCTTTGTCCAGCCAGTGGGCTATCTATTTTGTTAATTTTTTCAAAAAACCAGCTCCTGGATTCATTGATTTTTTTGAAGGGTTTTTCATGTCTCTGTCTCCTTCAGTTCCACTCTGATCTTAGTTATTTCTTGTCTTCTGCTAGCTTTTGGCTTTGTTTGCTCTTGCTTCTCTAGTTCTTTTGTGATGTTAGGGTATCAATTTGAGATCTTTCTAGCTTTCTGATGTGGGCAGTTACTGCTATAAATTTCCCACTTAACACTGCTTTAGCTGCATCCCAGAGATTATGGAATGTTGTCTCTTTGTTTTCATTGGTTTCAAAGAATTTCTTGATTTCCACCTTAATTTCATTATTTACCCAGGAGTCATTCAGGAGCAGGTTGTTCAATTTCCATGTAGCTGTGTGGTTTTGAGTGGGTTTCTTATTCCTGAGTTCTAATTTGATTGCACTGTGGTCTGTGAGACTGTTTGTTATGATTTCTGTTCTTTTGCATTTGCTGAGGAGTGTTTTACTTCCAATTAAGTGGTCAGTTTTAGAATAAGTGCCATGTGACACTAAGAATGTATATTCTGTTGATTTGGGGTGGAGAGTTTCATAGATATCTATTAGTTCCACTTGATCCAGTGCTGAGTTCAAGTCCTGAATATCCTTGTTAATTTTCTGTCTCATTGATCTATCTAATATTGACAGTGAGGTGTTAAAGTCTCCCACTAATGTTTTATGGGAGTCTAAGTCTCTTTTTAGGTCTCTAAGAACTTGTTTTATGAATCTGGATGCTCCTATATTTAGGTGCAAATATATTTAGGATAGTTAGCTCTTCTTGTTGAATTGATCCCTTTACCATTATGTAATGCCCTTCTTTGTCTTTTTTGATCTTTGTTGGTTTAAAGTCTGTTTTGTCAGAGACTAGGATTGCAACCCCTGCTTTTTTCTGCTTTCCATTTGCTTGGAAAATTTTCCTCCATCCCTTTATTTTGAGCCTATGTGTGTCTTTGCACGTGACGTGAGTCTCTTCAATATGGCACACAGATGGGTCTTGACTCTTTATCAAATTTGCCAGTCTGTGTCTTTTAATTGGGGCATTTATCCCATTTACATTTAAGGTTAATATTATTATGTGTGAATTTGATCCTGTCATCATGATGCTAGCTGGTTATTTTGCACACTAGTTGATGCCTTTTCTTCATAGTGTCATTGGTCTTTATATTTTCACGTGTTTTGCAGAGTCTTTCTCTCTGGCGGCCCTTAACATTTTTAACATGTTTTTTTTTAACATTTTTCCCTTCATTTCAGCCTTGGAGAATCTGACGATTATGTGCGTTTGGGTGGGTCTTCTCGTGGAGTATCTTAGTGGCATTCTCCGTATTTCCTCAATTTGAATGTTGACTTGTCTTGCTAGGTTGGGGAAGTTCTCCTGGATAATATCCTAAAGTGTGTTAACTCCATTCTCCCTGTCTCTTTCAGGTACTCCAATCAGTTGTAGGTTCAGTATTTTTACATAACTCCATATTTGTTGGAGGTTTTGTTCATTCTTTTTGATTCTTTTTTCTTTAATTTTGTCTGCCTGCCTTATTTCAGCAAGATAGTCTTCCATCTATGATATTCTTTCTTCTGCTTGATTGATTTGGTTATTGATACTTGTGTATACTTCATGAAGTTCTCATGCTGCATTTTTTCAGCTCCATCAGGTCATTTATGTTCCTCTCTAAACCGGATATTCTAGTTAGCAGCTCCTCTAACCTTTCGTCATGGTTCTAGCTTCTTTGCATTGGGTTAGAACATGCTCCTTTACCTCAGCAAAGTTTGTTATTACTCATGTTCTGAGGCCTACTTCTCTCAATTCGTCCATCTCATTCTCCATCCAGTTCTGTGCCCTTGCTGGAGAGGTGTTGCAATCATTTGGAGGAGGAGAGGCACTCTGGCCTTTTGGGTTTTCAGCATTTTTTTCATTGATTCTTTCTCATCTTCATGCATTTGTCCAGTTTCAATCTTTGAGGCTGCTGACCCTTGGATGAGGTTTTTGTGGTGACATTTTTTGTTGATGCTGTCATTTGTTGCTTTCTGTTTGTTTGTTTTTCTTTCAATAGTCAGGTCCCTCTTCTCTAGGGCTGCTGCGGTTTGCTGGGAGTTCACTTCAAGGCCTATTCATCTGGTTAGCTCCCGTGCCTAGAGATGTCATTCAAGGAGCCTGGAGAACAGCAAAGATGGGTGCCTGCTCCTTCCTCTGGGATCTCTGACCTTGAGGGGTACCAACTTGATGCCAGTAGGAACATTCCTGTATAGCATAACTGACAGCCCCTGTTGTGGGGGTTCTCACCCAGTTGGGTGGCATGGGAAGCAGGACCTGTTTAATGAAGCACTTTGGTGTCCCTTGGTGGAGAGGGTGTGCTGCAGTGGGGTGAAACCCACTTGTCTGGGCTGCCCAGGGGCTCAGGCTTAGGGGGATCAGAGTTCTGTCCCTGAGCCCCTGAATGGAATTGTAGTTCCTGCAGGGAGGCCATGCAGCCACAGTGTAGGCTGCTGCCCCTCCCCTAAGGAACTCAGTACTATTAGACAGCAGGCAGCTACAGCAGTAGTGATGGCCGCCCCTCCCCTGGAGAACTTGGCAAGCTTAGGCCAATTCTAGCAAAGTGGCTGTTGTGATTCTTTGCCACTCCATGGTTGGGACCCAAGGCCCCGGTGGCATGGGCTCATGAGTAGGATCTTCCAATGGGTTGCACAGTTTCATGGAAACGTCATGGTTTCCCAGGCTGGGTGACATGCTCACTCACCACCTCCCTTGGCTGGGGGTGGGGGCTCCCCTGCCACCTGATAGCTACATGTGGCAGGGGAGCCCCCACCCCCAGTCAAGGGAGATGGTAAGCAGCCGCACCACACTGCTTTTCCTTCCTCTTCATGGGTCATGCCAGCTGCCTAGTCAGTCCTAATGACAGAACCTGGATACCTCTGTTGCCAGTGCAGGGTTCGCATGCTGTTTTGGATCTTTTTGATGGGAGCTTCCAATCACCACTGCTTCTAGTTGGCCATCTTGGCCCAAAGGAGACCAAATGTTCTTAAACTTTGATCACCATAAACTTACCTGCCTCTACTTTGATATCCTGCTTAGATTCTTTCACTAGAAGGAAACTCCCAAAGAAAATAACCAATCCAGTTACCCCAGTACATCCATTAATGATCATAGAGATCTTTACCTTTAAATATGTAAAATCAAAATCAAAATAATGGGAGTTAAGTTTCTCACTACAAGAGAAGGGAGTTACAAATATGGAAAGGAAGAAAACTGGAATTAATTCCCATAGTACCAGATTAGAATTGGAGGTAAATTCTTGAGGAGCATGCATAGAGATAGATAGATTATAGATAGATAGATAGATAGATAGATAGATAGATAGATAGATAGATAGATAATCATATATATTACAAATAAATATAGATATAATTGTGGCTATAAATATATACATACACAAACATATAGATACATATTGTGTTATTTTCCTAGGGCTGCTGTACAAATTACCCATATTTGGTGGTTTATAACAACAGAAATGTATTTTCTCACTGTTTGGAGGCCAGAAATCCAAAATTAAGTCATTGGCAGGGTTGATGCCTTCCCTGAGGGAGAAGATCCCATGCCTCTGGTCACGCCTCTAGTGGTAGAAAGCACTCCTTGACATTCTTTGGTGATCTTTAGTTTGTAGCTGCATCTCTCCCATCGTTGCCTCTATCTCACATGGCCCTCTTCTCAATGAGTGTCTGTGGCTCTGTGGCTCCATGTCTTCCTTTATTTTCCCTTATAAAGATGCCAGTCATTGGATGTGGGGCCCACTCTAATCAAATATGACCTCATCTTAATTGGTTATATTTGCAAAGGCTCTTTTTCCAAATAAAGGCACATTCTGAGTTATGGGTAGATATTAAGCTTTGTGGATACACTATTCAACCAGTTACATATATATTTCCTAACTTCACCCACTAAGAGAGCTTGGTTGTAGTGACACACCAAAAGCAATGAGCATACCTAGCACTAAGTGCTTGGTTTCTAAATACCATGCTTAAAAGAGCTAGAGATTTTCTTTTATGTGTGTGAGGAGTGGGAATGACTAATTTCAGGATTGGATCTGGAAAAGAATTAGGTGAGAACTGAATATCTTGTGTGAAAAAGCAAGATAGTGATCAAAGAATGATTGGGGAAAAGTGAAAAAGACCTAAAGTCAGTATGAAAGAGCCAAATTTGGAACAATTTGAGCATGAAAATAAATAATGAAAACCATCAGTCAATACTTATATACCTAGATTCATACATAATATACATACTAATTGAAAATAGAGATATTTTTCATTCTTTTTCCAGCAAATATTATTCATCATATGGATATATTGTAGTTCATATAATTGTTTTATTATGAATTCAAATTGTTTCCAATTCTTAGCTATTTTAATAGTATTGTAATGAATATTTTTATAGTCTCCTGTTTTTAAAAGAGCACGAAGAAGCTGGAACACAATTTGTACAGTAGGTGATCTGTGCAGCTAATCACCATGGCACACATTTGACTATTTAACAAACCTACACATCCTGCACATGTACCCCTGAACTTAAAATAAAAGTTGGAAATTAAAAAAAAAGTGGCAGGAGGTGTAGAAACAACATTTTATTGTTAAAGATCTGAGGATATTTAACCTGGAGAAAAGATGATTGGGAGGTAAGTTGCCAAATGGAAATTTTCATCTTTAAAGGGACTCTACAGGAATAATATAGCTTATTATATCTCAGACACTATTCTCAGTGCTATATATATGTATATATGTATATATATGTATATCAGTGTTTGAGCATTTGTCACCTTCTTTGTCACTAATTATTCGTGTGAAGGTGCACAGAATAGTTAGGTTTCAAGGCTCTAATCTTTACAAAGTGAGAATATATATATATATATATATATATATATATATATATATATCATTGTTCTTAATCCTAACCATAATCCTATAGTTACTTTTATTATACTAATTAGGTGAAGAAACTGAGGCACAAAAGGGGTATATTATTGTCCAATATTAAGTGGAATAAAAATATTAAAAAGTGACTAGTATTACCCACTATTTTTTTTGTGCAAAAAGCAATATGGTTTAATGGACATAATCCCGATTACTCAAAAGCAAAGGTACAAATATAGACTCATCCACTTATTCACTATTGACCTATCTGACTTTGTTCTAGTCACATGACTTTCTATGCCTCAGACATTTTTAAAAGGTTTAAAGGTGATCAGTTTAGTTATTTACATAAGAAACATGTATTTACCCCTGAGCCAAGATGGCTGAATAGAACAGCTCTGGTCTACAGCTCCCAGCATGAGCGACACAGAAGAGGGGTGATTTCTGCATTTCCATCTGAGGTACCAGGTTCATCTCACTAGGGAGTGCCAGACAGTGGGCGCAGGTCAGTGGGTGTACACACCATGCACGAGCCGAAGCAGGGCGAGGCATTGCCTCACTTGGGAAGCGCAAGGGGTCAGGGAGTTCCCTTTCCGAGTCAAAGAAAGGGGTGACAGATGGCACCTGGAAAATCGGGTCACTCCCACCCGAATACCGCACTTTTCCCACGGGCTTAAAAAACGGCGCACCAGGAGATTATATCCCGCACCTGGCTCGGAGGGTCCTACGCCCACGGAATCTCACTGATTGCTAGCACAGCAGTCTGAGATCAAACTGCAAGGCGGCAGCGAGGCTGGGGGAGGGGCGCCCACCATTGCCCAGGCTTGCTTAGGTAAACAAAGCAGCCGGGAAGCTCGAACTGGGTGGAGCCCACCACAGCTCAAGGAGGCCTGCCTGCCTCTGTAGGCTCCACCTCTGGGGGCAGGGCACAGACAAACAAAAAGACAGCAGTAACCTCTGCAGACTTAAATGTCCCTGTCTGACAGCTTTGAAGAGAGCAGTGGTTATCCCAGCACACAGCTGGAGATCTGAGAATGGGCAGACTGCCTCCTCAAGTGGGTCCCTGATCCCTGACCCCCGAGCAGCCTAACTGGGAGGCAACCCCCAGCAGGGGCAGACTGACACCTCATGCGGTCAGGTACTCCAACAGACCTGCAGCTGAGGGTCCTGTCTGTTAGAAGGAAAACTAACAAACAGAAAGGACAACCACACCAAAAACCCATCTGTACATCACCATCATCAAGGACCAAAAGTAGATAAAACCACAAAGATGGGGAAAAAACAGAGCAGAAAAACTGGAAACTCTAAAAAGCAGAGTGCCTCTCCTCCTCCAAAGGAACACAGTTCCTCACCAGCAACGGAGCAAAGCTGGACGGAGAATGACTTTGACGAGCTGAGAGAAGAAGGCTTCAGATGATCAAATTACTCCGAGCTACGGGAGGAAATTCAAACCAAAGGCAAAGAAGTTGAAAACTTTGAAAAAAGTTTAGAATAATGTATAACTAG
Source organism: Homo sapiens (assembly GCF_000001405.40). Lineage (NCBI taxonomy): Eukaryota > Metazoa > Chordata > Mammalia > Primates > Hominidae > Homo > Homo sapiens. Next base: position 163,755,123 of record NC_000001.11, on the reverse strand, counting down.
AATAATCAATACAGAGAAGTGCTTAAAGGAGCTGATGGAGCTGAAAACCAAGGCTCGAGAACTATGGGAAGAATGCAGAAGCTTCAGGAGCCGATGAGATCAACTGGAAGAAAGGGTATCAGCGATGGAAGATGAAGTGAATGAAATGAAGTGAGAAGGGAAGTTTAGAGAAAAAAGAATAAAGAGAAACGAGCAAAGCCTTCAAGAAATATGGGACTATGTGAAAAGACCAAATCTACGTCTGACTGGTGTACCTGAAAGTGACGGGGAGAATGGAACCAAGTTGGAAAACACGCTGCAGGATATTATCCAGGAGAATTTCCCCAAACTAGTAAGGCAGGCCAACATTCAGATTCAGGAAATACAGAGAATGCCACAAAGATACTCCTCAAGAAGAGCAACTCCAAGACACATAATTGTCAGATTCACCAAAGTTGAAATGAAGGAAAAAATGTTAAGGGCAGCCAGAGAGAAAGGTCGGGTTACCCACAAAGGGAAGCCCATCAGACTAACAGCTGATCTCTCGGCAGAAACTCTACAAGCCAGAAGAGAGTGGGGGTCAATATTCAACACTCCTTAAGAAAAGAATTTTCAACCCAGAATTTCACATCCAGCCAAACTAAGCTTCATAAGTGAAGGAGAAATAAAATACTTTACAGACAAGCAAATGCTGAGAGATTTTGTCACCACCAGGCCTGCCCTTAAAAGAGCTCCTGAAGGAAGCACTAAACATGGAGAGGAACAACTGGTACCAGCCGCTGCAAAATCATGCCAAAATGTAAAGACCATCGAGACTAGGAAGAAACTGCATCAACTAACGAGCAAAATCACCAGCTAACATCATAATGACAGGATCAAATTCACACATAACAATATTGACTTTAAATGTAAATGGACTAAATGCTCCAATTAAAAGACACAGACTGGCAAATTGGATAAAGAGTCAAGACCCATCAGTGTGCTGTATTCAGGAAACCCATCTCACGTGCAGAGACACACATAGGCTCAAAATAAAAGGATGGAGGAAGATCTACCAAGCAAATGGAAAACAAAAAAAGGCAGGGGTTGCAATCCTAGTCTCTGATAAAACACACTTTAAACCAACAAAGATCAAAAGAGACAAAGAAGGCCATTACATAATGGTAAAGGGATCAATTCAACAAGAAGAGCTAACTATCCTAAATATATATGCACCCAATACAGGAGCACCCAGATTCATAAAGCAAGTTCTGAGTGACCTACAAAGAGACTTAGACTCCCACACATTAATAATGGGAGACCTTAACACCCCACTGTCAACATTAGACAGGTCAACGAGACAGAAAGTCAACAAGGATACCCAGGAATTGAACTCAGCTCTGCATAAGCGGATCTAATAGACATCTACAGAACTCTCCACCCCAAGTCAACAGATTATACATTTTTTTCAGCACTACACCACACCTATTCCAAAACTGACCACATACTTGGAAGTAAAGCTCTCCTCAGCAAATGTAAAAGAACAGAAATAGTAACAAACTGTCTCTCAGACCACTGTGCAATCAAACTAGAACTCAGGATTAAGAATCTCACTCAAAACTTCTCAACTACATGGAAACTGAACAACCTGCTCCCGAGTGACTACTGGGTACATAATGAAATGAAGGCAGAAATAAAGATGTTCTTTGAAATCAACAAGAACAAAGACACAACATCACAACATACCAGAATCTCTGGGACACATTCAAAGCAGTGTGTAGAGGGAAATTTATAGCACTAAATGCCCACAAGAGAAAGCAGGAAAGATCAAAAATTGACACCCTAACATCACAATTAAAAGAACTAGAAAAGCAAGAGCAAACACATTCAAAAGCTAGCAGAAGGCAAGAAATAACTAAGATCAGAGCAGAACAGAAGGAAATAGAGACACAAAAAACCCTTCAAAAAATCCATGAATCCAGGAGCTGGTTTTTTGAAAGGATCAACAAAATTGATAGACCACTAGCAAGACTAATAAAGAAGAAAAGAGAGAAGAATCAAATAGACGCAATAAAAAATGATAAAGGGGATATCACCACCGATCCCACAGAAATACAAACTACCATCAGAGAATACTATAAACACCTCTACGCAAATAAACTAGAAAATCTAGAAGAAATGGATAAATTTCTGCACACATACACCCTCCCAAGACTAAACCAGGAAGAAGTTGAATCTCTGAATAGACCAATAACAGGAGCTGAAATTGTGGCAATAATCAATAGCTTACCAACCAAAAAGAGTCCAGGACCAGATGGATTCACAGCTGAATTCTACCAGAGGTACAAGGAGGAACTGGTACCATTCCTTCTGAAACTATTCCAATCTATAGAAAAAGAGGGAATCCTCCCTAACTCATTTTATGAGGCCAGCATCATCCTGATACCAAAGTCAGGCAGATACACAACCAAAAAAGAGAATTTTAGACCAATATCCTTGATGAACATTGATGCAAAAATCCTCAATAAAATGCTGGCAAACTGAATCCAGCAGCACATCAAAAAGCTTATCCACCATGATCAAGTGGGCTTCATCCCTGGGATGCAAGGCTGGTTCAACATATGCAAATCAATAAATGTAATCCAGCATATAAACAGAACGAAAGACAAAAACCACATTATTATCTCAGTAGATACAGAAAAGGCCTTTGACAAAATTCAACAAATCTTCATGCTAAAAACTCGCAATAAATTAGGTATTGATGGATGTATCTCAATATAATAAGAGCTATCTATGACAAACCCACAGCCAATATCATACTGAATGGGCAAAAACTGGAAGCATTCCCTTTGAAAACTGGCATAAGACAGGGATGCCCTCTCTCACCACTCCTATTCAACATAGTGTTGGAAGTTCTGGCCAGGGCAATCAGGCAGGAGAAGGAAATAAAGGGCATTCAATTAGGAAAAGAGGAAGTCAAATTGTCCCTGTTTGCAGACGACAAGATTGTATATCTAGAAAACCCCATCGTCTCAGCCCAAAATCTCCTTAAGCTGATAAGCAACTTCAGCAAAGTCTCAGGATACAAAATCAATGTACAAAAATCACAAGCATTCTTATACACCAACAACAGACAGAGAGCCAAATCATGAGTGAACTCCCATTCACAATTGCTTCAAAGAGAATAAAATACCTAGGAATCCAACTTACAAGGGATGTGAAGGACCTCTTCAAGGAGAACTACAAACCACTGCTCAAGGAAATAAAAGAGGATACAAACAAATGGAAGAACATTCCATGCTCATGGGTAGGAAGAATCAATATCTTGAAAATGGCCATACTGCCCAAGGTAATTTACAGATTCAATGCCATCCCCATCAAGCTACCAATGACTTCCTTCACAGAATTGGAAAAAACTACTTTAAAGTTCATATGGAACCAAAAAAGAGCCCGCATCGCCAAGTCAATCCTAAGCCAAAAGAACAAAGCTGGAGGCATCACACTACCTGACTTCAAACAACACTACAAGGCTACAGTAACCAAAACAGCATGGTACTGGTACCAAAACAGAGATATAGATCAATGGAACAGAACAGAGCCCTCAGAAATAACGCCACGTATCTACAACTATCTGATCTTTGACAAACCTGAGAAAAACAAGCAATGGGGAAAGGATTCCCTATTTAATAAATGGTGCTGGGAAAACTGGCTAACCATATGTAGAAAGCTGAAACTGGATCCCTTCCTTACACCTTATACAAAAATCAATTCAAGATGGATTAAAGACTTAAACGTTAGACCTAAAACCATAAAAACCCTAGAAGAAAACCTAGGCATTACCATTCAGGACATAGGCATGGGCAAGGACTTCATGTCTAAAACACCAAAAGCAATGGCAACCAAAGCCAAAATTGACAAATGGGATCTAACTAAACTAAAGAGCTTCTGCACAGCAAAAGAAACTACCATCAGAGTGAACAGGCAACCTACAACATGGGAGAAAATTTTCACAACCTACTCATCTGACAAAGGGCTAATATCCAGAATCTACAATGAACTCAAACAAATTTACAAGAAAAAAACAAACAACCCCATCAAAAAGTGGGCAAAGGATATGAACAGACACTTCTCAAAAGAAGACATTTATGCAGCCAAAAAACACATGAAAAAATGCTCACCATCACTGGCCATCAGAGAAATGCAAATCAAAACCACAATGAGATACCATCTCACACCAGTTAGAATGGCAATCATTAAAAAGTCAGGAAACAACAGGTGCTGGAGAGGATGTGGAGAAATAGGAACACTTTTACACTGTTGGTGGAACTGTAAACTAGTTCAACCATTGTGGAAGTCAGTGTGGCGATTCCTCAGGGATCTAGAACTAGAAATACTATTTGACCCAGCCATCCCATTACTGGGTATATACCCAAAGGACTATAAATCATGCTGCTATAAAGACACATGCACACGTATGTTTATTGTGGCATTATTCACAATAGCAAATACTTGGAACCAACCCAAATGTCCAACAATGATAGACTGGATTAAGAAAATGTGGCACATATACACCATGGAATACTATGCAGCCATAAAAAATGATGAGTCATGTCCTTTGTAGGGACATGGATGAAATTGGAAATCATCATTCTCAGTAAACTATCGCAAGAACAAAAAACCAAACACTGCATATTCTCACTCATAGGTGGGAGTTGAACAATGAGAACACATGGACACAGGAAGGGGAACATCACACTCTGGGGACTGTTGTGGGGTGAGGAGAGGAGGGATAGCATTGGGAGATATACCTAATGCTAGATGATGAGTTAGTGGGTGCAGCGCACCAGCATGGCACATGTATACATATGTAACTAACCTGCACATTGTGCACATGTACCCTAAAACTTAAAGTATAATAATAATAATAATAAAAAGAAACTTCCCTATCATGTACCAAAAAAAAAAAAAAAAAACATGTATTTATTAAATGTAGTAGGTACTGTTTCAAATTCGGGTGCTTCAGTTCTCCTGCAAGTTGCAATCTGGAAAAAGAAACCAAGTGACAGATAAATAAACACGTAGATAAAATAGGTTCGTGTTAGATGCGATGAAAAAAAAGAAAACAAAATAATCACATGAAAAGTAGCTATTCTAGATAGGAGGGTCAGGGAAGGCCTTTTGGAGGAGATCTCATTTTCACAGAGTCCTGAATGAGAAGAAGCCAGCCAGAGGAAGATCTAGTAATAGAGGATTCTAGATCAAACCAACTCTATTGACAATCCCTGAGGCAGGACATGCTAGGAGGAGTCGATGAGGAGCTAGAAGCCAGTTTGGTTGGAGTTTCAGTTATCGAGTATTGGGTAGACGGAAGGAGGTTGAAGAAATAGTAGGAGTTCAGTCTGGTTTTGCACACAACAGTGTGAAGAGTTACAAAAATAAAGGATATTTCTAAACATCATAAACCACATGTGCTTCTCATCTTGGTGTTGGCATCATTGCTGCTGCCAAGGCAGGGCACTGCACCTGGCCACAGGAATATTTTCAAATAGCAGTGCCAAATTCACCATAGGCAGCAGTTATCATCTCTCATTCCCTCTTTCCCTAGCACCAGAAAAAAATGCCTTGGATAGACCGGGGGAAAAGGTCTGAATATTTGTCTCCTTTATCAAATGCAACTTCGATTGACAGAATCCATAGCTATGTTGTTTATATGCCCATATAAACAATCACCCTCATTCAAGAAATTAAGTGACCACTCCATCACTTCCTGATGTGTATACATCAGTGTCATTGTACTTAAAGCAACAGGAGAGCTAAGGGCCAGTCAATTAAAATGATCATATGGGTTTATTTAAAAAGTAGGCAGACAGCAATCAGCTTGTTACGATGATGATGAAGGCATGTTTACAAAATACAAATGGAACTCTGATATGGGTCAAGTACAGTGCAATGAAAAAAATATTGTTTTTATAATCATTCTTAAAGTTGACTTTTCCAAAAGGCCAGTACTATTTTGCCTTATTTAACGATAAAGCATTCTCAAGAGATCAAATACATCTTCCACACATGTCTACAATCTAAACCAAAATTTTGTGTCTACATCTACCTGCATGGGAAACACAGTGAGAAAAGAAGAGTTTCCTCAGGGCTCTTTCTTCAATGGAACATACCTTGTTTATATCAAAGCCTTAAGTATTAGTTTCCAGAGCCTTGCCTCTGAATAAGAGGCCAGATAAACTGGAAGCTAAATAGTCAGGTGCCACTGACCAATGAAGAGTCCAACAAGAAGGACCCAGGTGGGAGCAGGGAGTAGAGCTTCTACTACAGTTCTGAACTTGAGCATTTGTCACCTTCTTTGTCACTAATCTGTCACTAATTATTTGTGTGAATGTGCACAGAATAGTTAGGTTTCAAGGCTCTAATCTTTACAGTGCAGTAAGAAGATCATAATCTCTTGAGCTCCCTTTCAGCTTTGGGTCTATGGATTTATAAAGCACATTAGAAATGGAGGTAAATACCCTGCCCCCCAAGAATACTGTGATAGAAGAAGCTCTCAGTACAACAGAATATTGGTAACTATTGGGTGGTCTTTGAGAAAGTCACTTCACATTTCTCTTCTTCAGTTTTTTTTTATTTTTTCATAGGAAAGGGGTATATTAAATCAATGGTCTTCTAGCTAAAAATAATCTTTATTCTAACAAACTTTTACACCAAGTTCAAACACTTAACATTTTAAAAGTAAAGCTGGCCTGATGAAAGTAGAGGCTAAAAACTTAAACCCCTTAACTCTACTGTTCTTGATGGAGCTGTTAATGCTAAGGGATGGCTGCCTATAATTTTACCAGCATCAAACTGATTTGCATGCAGTTTTGGGCAGCCATATTTTATAATGTAAAGTGAGACACACCTGTATTCAGCTCTGGTGTCCTGAATAACTTTTTCACAAGTCAAACCTTGATGCCCTTTCTAAACCCAACTGAGAAATGTCCAAAATGCCAAGTGATAAACTCTAGGACACTTTTACTTTCTACCTAGGGAGTGCCTAAGAGCACTCTGAGACCTCTTCATGACCCAGCTCTGTTCTATCTCTGGAAAAGGAAGAGAGGAATCTCCCTCTACTGGATAAACTTTTTTTCACAGGATTTATGACCACCCACTCTTGTGTCTGCAGGTCAAGGCACAAATAAAGAAGCTCTCTAAGGGAATTGTTATCAATGTAATGAGACTATCAGGGTTTTGGCCTATGAGGTTAAATGTCTTTGAAGACGCAAGGAAACATTTCAGAGAAAATGTTTCTAGCTGTGGCTATGACTATCACTCTTACAACAACCTAAATACAAATCTCCTTTTTCCTAATGAATGACATAACAGGTCTTGACAATCTTTTTTTCCCTCTCTGGAGCCTCGGCTTTCTCACATTTGAAGGGGATTGGCTCCATACAGGTTGCCCTCAAGGATTCCAGAGATTAAGAAGATAAGTGTCAGTAACATGCAAGTTTCTTAATAAAAGGGTGTTACAGGAATATCAAGTCCTATCATGATTCACAGAAGAATTTGTCCCCCAAAAAGGTTCTTGGGGATTAGTTAAGGTTCAGCTGTGTGTACTGAAGAAAGGGCAAAGGCTGAACCTCCTTGTTGATCTGTCTGGCTTCACTGTTACCAAGCAAGCATTGTATAGAATAAAGGGGCAGGCAATCTGCATGGAATTAATGACTCAGTTGTTCATTCAATACTGACATAGTGAGAGTGGAATGTTAAGTGCTTTTTAACAGTCATTAAGCACATTAGAGCTTTTATATCTTGGTCCCTTTGTCTATTACCAAGTTCCTAGTAAATAAAAATGCTATCAAAGTGAGGTGAAAAACACTATGGAACTCAAACTTTTCTTCTCCACCTGGGAGTGCTATAACTAGACTGCAAAATAATTGATTATAAGGGAAAGAAAGATGAGTTGAAAGTGAATAGAGCCCTACTGTATCAATTGCCTATGTGCCTGGCTTTTGCTGGAATGGCATTCCCTAAAGGACTTACAATTCCACAACCCCTCTGACCCAATGCTATTTGTAAAAACTGATTATCAAGACAGCCCCTGGTAAGGCATATCGATCAGTTAGTGCTGAAGTCTGCATCTTTGTTAAGTTAGAAAAATTTTAGCAAGAGATAGACACCTATACCCATACTCACTAAGAACTATATGTCTTAAGATAAATAATTAATATATCATGTAAATAAGTTTGCGATAGGTTCAATGTGAGCCAGACTCCTAGAAAATTTGCCATCTTTTATATTTTCTACAATCTTCTCACATCTTCTAGTGTGATAGAATTAATAGATCTGATAGAAACATACCTGCATTTCCTAAACAATAGAGTTGAGTAAACACTATTAGCCTGCACTTTATTGGCTTAGGTCCCCCCCTTTAACCCACATTTCTACACACTGACACTGCAGTAATAACAGATGATCATAGCCACACACCTGAAGTATAGCGATATCTTGAAGAGTCTTCTGAATTTCTGACTTTGAATTCGCTTTTGGTTCTATATGCATTTATGGTCTATAGAGGGTGAGCAGACTATGGCTCATGGGCCAGATTTGGCCTGCCTTCTGTCTTTGTAAATAACGTTTCATTGAAGCTCATCTATACCCATTCACTTATCTATTTGTTTATGACAAATTTTGCACTACAATGACAGAGTTGAATAGTTGAGACAGAAATTATGTGGTATGCAAAGCCTAAAATATTGACTATCAGCACCTTCTCAGAAAAAAGTTTGTCAATCTGTGGTCTATATTAATTTGGAAAATGGAATTCTGAGCATAAGCTGTGTTGTAAACAATGGCAGCAAGAGTCTGTTCAGCTCATCAATGCTGATTGTTCACATCTCATCTTACCTACATATCTAGTGATATCATGTTGGTAGCTAGAAATGAGCCATGGTGGGGAGTATTTATATCACAGCAATTGTGAAGCACTACCAATCTGATTTCTCTCCTGCAAGGAGCCATTTGATAAATATTTACCAGCACACCACTGGTAGTAACCTTCTATTAGTTACAACTTCTACTTATGCAGGATTAGACGTGCTGGCACCTGTGAAGAGGGTAGGAAAAAACAGTCTTGAATTGCTGACTCCACCCCTTCCCCATACCATGGCAGCAGCCACAAGGGGAAAAAGAGAATCTGTGCCCTTGAGGGAGGGAGACCATACCATCTGGAAGACTTAGCATTGAACTCAATGCTGCCCAGTCACAGTGAGAGCAAAGCTGTACTAGGTTCAGCTGGTGCCCACCCATGGAGGGAGCATTTGGACCAGCACTAGCCAGAAGGGAATCACTCATCCCAGTGGTTGGAACTTCTATTTCTTGGCAAGCCTCACCACCATGGACTAAAGTGCTTTGAGGTTCTAGGGAAACTTGAAAGGCAATCTAGAACACAAGGACTGCAATTCTTAGGCAACTTCCAGTGCTGGCCTGGCCTTAGAGCCAGTGGACAAAGGTGGCATGGGACCTAGTGAGACACCAGCTGAGGCAGCCAAAGGAGTGCTTGTACCACCCCTCCCTGAACCGCAGCCAGCATAGTTCACAGCAACAAGAGGTTGGGGCATCAGGCAGATTTGTGAGGCCCCATTCCAGGTCCTAGCTCCCAGATGACATTTCTAGACATACCCTGGTCCAGAAGGTAAACTGCTGCCTTGAAGGGGAGGATACAGTTTTGGCAGGATTAGTCACATGCTGACTAAAGAGCCTTTGGGCCCTAAATAACCAACAGCATTACCTAGGTAATACACTGTGGGCCTTGGGTGAGACTCAGAGATGTGCTGGCATCAGATGAGACCCAGCACGTTTCCAGCTATAGTGGCTACAGTGAAGGATTCCTTCTGCTTGAGAAAAGCAGAGGGGAAAAAAAGGGGGACTTTGTCTTGCACCCTAGGTACCAGCTCAGCTACAATGGGGCAGAGCACCAAGCAGATTCCTGGGGTCACTGAGTCCAGGCTTAGGATATTAGACAGCATTTACAGACTGGCCCTGGGCCAGAGGGGATCCCACCACCCTGAAGGGTGAGTCCCAGGCCTGGCAGAATTCACTGAGCTGACTGAAGAGCCCTTGGGCCTTCAGTGAACATTAATTGTGGCCTGGCAGAAATCCCTGTGGGCCAGTGGTTGTGGTGGCCACTGGGAGAGACTCCTCTGCCTGTAAAAAGAAGAGAGAAGAGTGAGAAGGATTTTGGTCTCAGGTTTGAGGGCCAGCTTACCCACAGTAGAATACAACACGCAAGGTAAATGTCTATGGTTTTTGACTCCAATACCTGGCTCCCAGACAGCATCTCCAGACCTGCCCAGGGTTTGAGGGAACTGAATGCCCTGAAGGAAAGGCACAAACCTTTCTGGTTTCCCCACTAGCTGATCGTAGAGTCTTAAGCTCTTGAGTGATCATAGGCAGTAGCCAGGTTGTGGTTACAGTGGGCCCTGGGTGAGACCAAGTGCTGTGCTGGCTTCAGATCTGACTCAGCATAGTCTCAGGGGTGGTGGCTACAAGGGTGCTTGCATCACCCCAAAATCAGGCAGCTCAGCACAGAAAGAGAGACTTCATTTCTTTGGGAGAAGGTGAGGGAAAAGAACAAGAGGCTTTCCCTGGTAATCCAGAGAATTCTTCTATATCGAATCCAAGACCACCAAGGTGGTATCTCTATGAGTCAGCATAAACCACAGAATGATTGGGCTTGGGGCATGAGTTCCTTAGAATACTTGGAAAGCTTTCCCAAAAAAGATGAGCACAGACTGCAAAGCCTACAATAAATGCCTAACTCAACAATGCCCAGACACTGATGAATGTCCACAAAGCATCAAGACCATCCAGGAAAACATGACCTCACTAAACAAACCAAATAAGACACCAAGGACCAATCCTGTAGAAACAGAGATATGTGACCTTTCAGGCAGAGAATTCAAAATAGCCATGTTGAGGAAATTAAAGGAAATTCAAGATAACACAGAGGAGGAATTCAGAATCCTATCAGATACATGTAGTAAGAGATTGAAATAAATTAAAAGAATCAAGCAGAAATTCCAGAGTTGAAAAATACAACCGACATACTAAAGAATGCATCAGAGTCTTGTAATAGTAGAATTTATAAAGCAGAAGAAAGAATTAGGGAAGCTCAAAGATTATTTGAAAATACACAGTCAGAAGAGATAAAAGAAAAAAGAATAAAAAAGAATAAAGTATGCCTACAAGATCTAGAAAACAGCCTTAAAGGGGCAAATCTAATAGTTATTGGCCATAAAGAGTAGATAGAGACAGAGATGGGGTAGAAACTTTATGCAAAGGGATAATATTAGAAAACTTCCTAAACCTAAAGAAAGGTATCCACATTCAAGTACAAGAAGGTTATAGAATGGCAAGCATATTTAACCCAAAGAAGGACTACCTCAAGGCATATAATAATCAAACTCTCAAAGGTCAAGAATAAATATTCCTAACAGCAGCAAGAGAAAAGAAACAAATAACATACAATGGAGCTCCAATATGTCTGCCAGCAGATTTTCCAGTGGAAACCTTACAGGTCAGGAGAGAGTGGCATAACATATTTAAAGTGCTGAAGGAGAAAAACTTTTACCCCAAAATTATATGTCTGGTGAAAATATCCTTCAAACAGGAAGAGGAAACAAAGATTTGCCCAGACAAACAAAACCTGAAGGACTTTATCAACACCAGACCTGTCATACAAGAAATGCTAAAAAGAGTTATTTAATCTGAAAGAAAAGGACATTAGTGAGCATTAAGAAATTATTTGAAGGGACAAAACTCATTGACAATAAAAAGCACACAGAAAAACACAATATTATAACACTGTAATTATGGAGTGTAAACTACTCTTAAGTAGAAAGACTAAATGATGAACCAATCAAAAATAATAACTAAAACAACTTTTCAAGACATAGACAGTACAATAAGAAATAAAGAGTAAAAACAAAAAGTTATCAAGTGGGAATACAAAGTTAAAGAGTAGAATTTTCATTAGTTTTCTCTTTGCTTGTTTATGCAATTAATGTGAAGTTGTCATCAGTTTAAAATAGTGGGTTAAAAGATAGTATTTGCAAGCCTCATGGTAACCTCAAATTGAAAAACATACAACAGATACACAAAAAATAAAAAGCAAGAAATTAAATCACACTGCCAGAAAAAAAAATCACGTTCACTAAATGGAAGACAGGAAGGAAGGAAAGAAAGAAGAGAAAACCACAAAACAAAACAAAATGGCAGGAATTAGTCTTTACTTATCAATAATAACATGGAATGTAAATGGACTAAACTCTCCAATCAAAAGATATAGAAAGTCTGAATAGAAAACAAAAACAAAACAAGATCTAGTGATCTCTTGCCTATAAGAAACACACTTCAACTTTAAAGATACACATAAAATAAGGGGATAAAAAAGATATTCTATGTGAATGGAAACCACAAAGAGAGTAGGACAAGGATACTTATATCAGACAAAATAGATTTCAAGACAAAAACTGTAACAAGAGGCAAAGAAGGTCATTATATAATGATAAATGGGTCAATTCAACAAGAGGACATAACAAATGTAAGTATACATGCACCCCAAACTGGAGCACAAATAACATACAATGATATATAAAGCAAATATTATTAATAATAAAGAGAGAAAGACTTCAATACAATCTAGAGACCTCAACATCCACATCCCGCACTGGACAAATCTAGGCAAAAACTCAAAAAGGAAACATTGGACTTAATCTGCACTACAGACCAAATGTGCTTAACAGATATTTACAGCATGTTTTATCCAGCTTCAGAATACCCATTCTTCTCCTTAGCACATGAGTTATTCTCAAGGATAGACAATATGCTAGGTCACAAAACAAGTCTTAAAACATTCAGAAAAATGGAAATAGTATAAGGAATCTTCAGACCAAAATGGAATAAAAGTAGAAATTAATCACAAGAGGAATTTTGAAAACTATACAAACACATGGAAATTAAACAATATGTATTTGAATGGCCAGTGGATCAATAAATGAAGAAATTAAGAAGAAAAATATAAAATGTCTTGAAACAAATGATAATGGAAAGACAACATACCAAAACCTATGTTATATGGTGGAAGCAGTACTAAGAGGGACGTTTATAGCTGTAAGTGCCTACATCAAAAAGAAGAAAAACTTCAAACAAGTAACCTAATGATGCATCCTAAAGAACTAGAAAAGAAGGAGCAAACCAAATCCAAAATTAGTAAAAGAAAAGAAATAATAAAAATCAGAACAGACACAAATGAAATTGTAATGAAGAAAACATTAAAAAGATAAACAAAATGAAAAGATAAATAAAATTTAAAAAACCTTTAGCACAACTAAATAAAAAGAGAGAAGACTCAAATAAATAAAATCAGAGATGAAAAAGGAGATATTACAACCCATACTGCAGAAATTCAAAGGATCATTAGGTGCTACTATGAGCAACTATATGCCAATAAATTGGAAAACCTAGAAGAAATGGATACATTCCTAGATATATACAACCTACTAAGATAGAGCCATGAAGAAATCCAAAACCTGAACAGGTAGTGAGGTTGAAGCCATAATAAATGTGTCCCAGCAAAGAAAAGCCCAGGACCTGATGGTTTTACTGCCGAATCCTACCAAACATTTCAAGAAGAACTAATACCAATCCTACTCAAACTATTCTGAAAAAACAGAGGAGGAGGGGATACTTCCAAGACATTGTATGAGGCCAGTATTTCCCTGAACCCAAAACCACGCAAAGATATATATAAAAAAAAAAAGAAACAAAACGAAACAAAAAAAACATCAGGCCAATATCCCTGGTGAACACTGATGCAAAAATCCTCAACAATATACTGGCAAACTGAATTCAACACCACATTATAAAGATCATTCATCATGACTAAGTGAGATTTATCCCATGGATGCAAGAATGGTACAACATATGCAAATCAATCACTGTGATACATCATATCAACAGAATGAAGCACAAAAATCATATAATCAATTCAATTAATGCTGAAAATGTATTTATAAAATTCAAAATTTCCTCATGATAAAAACCCTCAAAAGACTAGGTATAGAAGGAACATACCTCAACATAACAAATGACATATCTGAAAGACCCACAGCTAGTATCATACTGAATGGAGAAAAACTGAAAGCCCTCACTGGAACATAAAAAGAATGTCCACTTTGACCATTATTATTCAACATAGTACTGGAAATCCTAGCAAGAGCAATTAGACAAGTGAAAGAAATAAAGGGCATCAAAATTGGAAAGGAAGAAATCAGATTATCCTTGTTTGCAGATGATATAATCTTATATTTGGAAAAACCTAAAGCCTCCACCAAAAAAACTACTGGAACTGATAAGCAAATTCAGTAAAGTGGCAGAATGTAAGATTAACATACAAAAATCGTAGCATTTCTATATGTAAATGGTGGACAATCTGAAAAACAGTAATCCCATCTACAATAGCCACAAATAAAATTAAATATCTAGGACTTAGCCAAAGAAGTGAAAATCTTTACAGTGAAAACTATAAAACACTAATTTAAGAAATTGAAGAGGATACATACAAAAATGGAAAGATATTTTATGTTCATGGATTGAAAGAATCAATATTGTTAAAATGTCCAGATTACTCAATGCAATCTACAGATCCAATGCAATCCCTATCAAAATGCCGATGACACAGAAGTAAGAAAAGTATCCTAAAATTTATATAGAACTGCAAAAGACCCAGAATAGCCTAAGGTATCCTGAGCAAAAATAACAAAACTGGAGGAATCACATTACCTGACTTCAAATTATACTACTAAGCTATAGTAACCAAAGCAGCATGATATTGGCATAAAAACAGACACATAGACAAATGGAACAGAATGGGGAACCCAGAAACAAATCTATACATCTGCAGTGGACTCATTTTTGATGAAGGGGCCAAGAACAGAAATTGGGGGAAAGGTCATTCTCTTCAATAAATGACTAGGAAAACTGATATTCATATGCAGAAGAATAAAACTAGACCCCTATCTCTTGCCTTATATAAAAATTAAATCAAAATGGACTAAAGACTTAAATCTAAGACCTAAAATTATGAAACTACTACAAGAAAACATAGGGGAAACTCTACAGGACATTGGTCTGGGAAAAAATTTATTGAGTAATATCCTACAAGAATAAGCAACCAAAACAAAAATTGACATCAAGTCAAAAGGTTTCTGTACAGAAAAGGAAACAATCAATAAAATGAAGATAACACACACAGAATGGGAGAAAACATTATCAAACTATCCATCTGACAAGGAATTAATAATCAGAATATATAAGGAGCTCAAACAATTCTATAGGAAAAAAAACTAACAATCTGATTTTAGAATGGGCAAAAGATCTGAATAGACATTTTACAAAAGAAGACATACAAATGGCAAACAGGCATATATGAAAATGTGTTGAACATAATTGATGATTAGAGAAATGCAAATTAAAACTACAATGAAATATCCTTCTACTTCAGTTAAAATGGCTATATCCAAAAGACAGGAAATAACAAATGCTGGCAAGGATGTGGAGAAAAGGGAACCCTAGTACACTGTTAGTAGGAATGTAAATTAGTACAACACTATGGAGAACAGTTTGGATGTTCCTTGAAAAACTAAAAATAGAGCTACTAATGCTGGTAATAAGGTTTGGCTCTGTGTCCCCACTCATATCTCACCTCCAATTGTAATCCCCACATGTTGAGGGAGGGGCCTAGTGGGAAGTGATTGAATCATGGGGATGGGCTTCCTCCTTGTTCTCTTGATAGTGAGTGATTTCTCAAGAGATCTGGTTGTTTGAAAGTGTGTGGCACTTCCCCCTTCACTATGTAACCCTCTGCCATGGTAAAGATGTGCTTGCTTTCCCTTCACCTTCTGCCATGATTATAAGTTTTCTGAGGCTTCCCAGCCATGCTTCCTGTACAGCCTACAGAACTGTGAGTCAATTAAACCTCTTTTCTTTTTTTTTTTTTTTTTTTTTAATAAATTACCCAGTCTTAGGCAGTTCTTTATAGCAGTACGAAAATGGACTAGTACAGCTGGGTACATACCCAAAAGAAAGGAAATCAATATATTGAATGGATATCTACACTCCCATGTTTATTGTAGCACTATTCATAACAGCCAAGATTTGGAAGCAACTTAAGTGTCCATCAACAGGTAAACAGATAAAGAAAATGTGGTACATATACATAATTGAGTACTATCCAGCCATAAAAAAAGAATTAGATCCTGTCATT
This sequence comes from Homo sapiens, assembly GCF_000001405.40. Taxonomy (NCBI): domain Eukaryota; kingdom Metazoa; phylum Chordata; class Mammalia; order Primates; family Hominidae; genus Homo; species Homo sapiens. The sequence goes on along the minus strand of NC_000001.11, from coordinate 163,738,850 downwards.
TGCAACAACATGGATAGAGCTGAAGGTCATTATGTTAAGTGAAATAAGGCAGACACAGAAAGACAAATTTTGCATGTTCGCACTTATTTGTGGGAGACAAAAATTAAAACAATTGAACTTGTGGAGATAGACAAGAATGGTTATCAGAGGCTGGGAATGATAGTAGGGGGTGTAGAAAGAGGAGTAGGGATGCTTAAGGAGGTCAAATGTAGTTAGAAAGAATGATTAGGGCCAGGAGCAGTGGCTTACGCCTGTAATCCCAGCACTTTGGGAGGCCGAGGCCGGTGGATCACCTGAAGTCAGGAGTTTGAGACCAGCCTGGCCGACATGGTGAAACCCCGTCTCTACTAAAAATATAAAAATTAGCCAGGCGTGGTGGCGTGCACCTGTAGTCCCAGCTACTCGGGAGGCTGAGGCAGGAGAATCACTTGAACCCAGGAGACGGAGGTTGTAGTGAGCCAAGATTGCACCACTGCACTCCAGTCTGAATGACAGAGCAAGACTCTGTCTCAAAAAAAAAAAAAAAAAAAAATGAATTAGACCTAGTATTTGATAGCACAACAGGGTGAGTATAGTCTATAATAATTTTATTGTACACTTTAAGAATAACTAAAAGAGTATAATTGGATTATTTATAACACAAAGTATAAATGCTTAAGATGACAGATTTACATTTACCATATGATTAACATATATTACATGCCTGTATCAAAATATCTCATGTATCCCATAAATATATATGCCTACTATGTACTCTTAAAATTAAAAAAAAATCATTATGTATTATTAAAAATCTTGGTTGTAATCAAATCCAGAGTAAACCATCTTACACTAAAAGGGAAATATATTACGAGGAGAAAAGTGTATCTCCGAGAAAATCCAATTTTAGAAATATAGCTAGACATCAAAGAAAATAATATAACCAGGGACTTCAACTTTGTCAAAACAAATTTTCTAATCCATCAAAAAGAAGGGGTAGGTTCTAAATACAGCTGTGTACAGACCCTAATTTCACAGGGAAAACAAACATATAAACTCTGACAAAAATAAATAAAATAGCAATTTGGTGATCCTGGGGAGAGAAAAAAAGCAAACAGATTCTGAGGATAAAACATATTTTTGAAGAGAAACCAGTGTAGAGTGATTTTCTTGTTGTTATAGGTTTTATCCTGTTGGGATGGCCAGAGACAGTGCTGCAATTGGCAGCTAAAACACCTATGGACAACCAGAGTCTTTCTGGCCCAAAGAATCAGAAGCCAGAGTTTTGGCTAAGAACTGAAAACTGACGGGGAAATTCAGAAAAGAGAGAGCCAGAGAGGAAAAACTTCTAAATTTGGTATATAATCTCTTCCTAAATCTCTGGCTGTCCTCTGAACCATACATGCAGGAAGTTGATTCACAGCAACTCAGATAAAAGCAAATGATCTGAACTAAGATTAGAATAGCTATCCCAAACACAAAAATTTGAATTTGAATTCAACCCATTTAATTGGCTGCTAAAGCAAAAACATCAACACTTTTAAAAAGTCTACAACACCAACCAGAGTTGATACAAGATAATATGTATAACGGTTGGAATGCACTTCAAATTAATTGAGATGCACAGAACTAGGAAAATGTGACTCAGTCTCAAGTAAAAATACAAATGACTGGGACCAACCACTTAATTATTCATAATTTGAATTAGAAAATAGAATTTTAAAGTAGCTACTGCAACTCTCTTCTGGCCATCTGCTTCATTCTCTGTCTTCTCTTTTTCTTGACTTCTCAGACTACAGTTAAAAAATATGTTAACTTTTTAATAGTATCCCATAGGTCACTGAGACTGTGTTTTCCCCCTCCTCCAATACTATAAATTGTTTTCTTCTTAGATTAAATAATTTCTGTACTCCTTTTATTTTCACTGACTTGTTTTTATTTAATCTCCATTATGCTTATAAGTCCTTCTAGTGATTTATTTTTTTACTTTAGATATTCTTTTAATTCTGGGATTTCTATTAGGTTTTTAAAAAATGTTTCTTTTTCCTTTCTTGAGATTTTCTATCACACAATTCATTGTCAATGTATTTTTTCTTTAAAGTGCTAAATAAAAAAAAAACCTGTTTACCTAAGCTCTATATCTAACAAAAATACTATTTAAGAATTAATTTGAAATAAAGGCATTTTCAGATAATTAAGGAGAAAATTTGTTGTAAGCATAGCTGCTTTACAAGGAAAGGAAAAAAACATTCTTCAGACTCAAGGGAAATAATAGGAACAAATCTAAAACTAAATTTCTATGGAAATATAAAAGACTACTTTGTGTTATAATTTTATTAAATTATTAGACATATTTTTTCATAATATTTTACTAAACAGCATTGCCTTCTAAGGATTATGAAGTATATAGATTTCATACCTGCAACAAATATAGAACTAAGAATTGAGGAATGATAAGTAGGCTGCTATAGTTATAAGGTTTCTACAGTTTACACAAAATTGTACGGTATAAACTTTAATTAGGCCATGAAAAGTAAAATATGTATGTTATAATGCTAATAGGAACCACTAAAAGGAAATAAAGGTTGAATATCCCTTATCCAAAATGCCTGGGACCAGAAGTGTTTTAGATTTCTTTTTTTTTTCAGATTTTGAAATATTTGCATTATACTTACTAGTTGAGCATTCCAAATCTATGAATCTGAAATCTGAAATGCTTCAATGACCATTTCCTTTGAGGGTCCAGTCAGTGTCCAAAAATTTTGGGTTTTGGAGCTTTTTAGATTTGGGATGCTCAACCTGTGGTTAATAATGTAAAGAGAGGATTTCTGCTTTTAGTGATCAGTAAAATACTAATGAACCCATTCATCTTCAGATAATACTATAAACTTTGGACATATATTAATACAAAAGGAGGCTATCTGAAAGCACTGAAAGTGAACAGAAATAGCTTCTGGTGGGGTATCCATACTTAGAGGAGGGTAGTTGTTACCACACTTAGTATGAAGGCAGGCACAGTCAAAATGGTGTAGGTGTTGGAGGTAACAATAAAAAATAATTACAGGTTTTCTTGCTTGTGTAACCAGAGGACCAAGGCTGAAAAACTGGCTACTGAAGTGAGAGTGGGGACATAGAATCCCTTGAAGGAAAGAATAGGGAGGAGATTTCCAAATTCTGCTTGACAATCTTTGGCTTACCTCTGAATGATACATGGATGGAGCACATACTAAGAAGCTCAGATAACGCCAGGTGTGGTGGCTCACTCCTATAATCCCAGCACATTGGTAGGCTGAGGCAGGTGGTTTGTTTGAGCCCAGGAGTTCAAGACCAGCCTGGGCTACATGGTGAAACTCCATCTCTACAAAATAAATAAATAAATAAAAATAAATAAGAAGCTCAGATAAAGACAGAATATTTGAATTAAAATGGAAAATATCTGGGCCAGGCGCAGTTGCCCACATCTGTAATCTCAGCACTTTGGGAGGCTGAGGAGTGCAGGTCACTGGAGGTCAGGAGTTCAAGACTAGTCTGGCCTATATGGTGAAATCTTGTCTCTACTAAAAATACAGAAATTAGCATTTCTGTAATCCCAGCTACTTGTGAGGCTAAGGCATGAGAATCATTTGAACCCAGGAGGTGGAGTTTGCAGTTAGCCAAGACTGCATCACTGCCCTCCAGTCTGGGTGACAGAGTGAGACTCTGTCTCAAATAAAAAGGAAAAAGAAAAAGAAAATATCACCTGAAAAACAGCAGTTTATGTCCAACCAGCTTAAGTGCTTGTTAAAATAAAAAAAAAAAAACAAAACCAGAATTCAAAATTTCAGCAACTTAATATTCATAAAGTTCAGATGTAATTCATTACTTAGTCTCAAGAGAAAAGATAAACTGAGATCAACTCCAAAATTACAGAATTGTTGGAATGAGCAGGAAAGCTTACACAAGTAGTTAATAAAATTATTTTCAATGAAATTAAAGAAAATAGGGTTGCAATACATGAAAAATGTAGGGAATATTGGCAGATAAATAGATAGAATAAAATAGACCCAGGACTGGGTGCAGTGGCTCATTTGTAATCCCAACACTTTGAGAGGCTAAGACAAGAGGATTGCTTGAGTCCAGGAGTTCAAGACCAATTTTGGCAACATAGTGAGACCTCATCTATACAAAAAATAATTTTTAAAAATAGCCTGGCATGGTAGCCTGTGCCTATAGTCCCAGCTACTAGGGAGGCTGAGGTAGGAGGGTCACTTGAACCTAGGAAGTAGAGGCTGCAATGAGCCATGGTTGTGCCATTGGACTCTAGCCTGGGTGCTAGAGCAAGAGTCTGTCTCAAAAAGAAAAAAAAAAGTGAAAATTCTAGAACTGAGAATAACATATTAGAATTTCTTTTTAAAATAGGTTAATGAAGATGACAGTGGAAATGTTTAGTTAATGTTAGCTATTAGGTTGGTGCAAAAGTAATTGTGGTTGGTGCAAAAGTAATGGCAAAAACAGCAATTACTTTTGCACCAAACTAATACATCAATAGAAATTGCACAATGCAAACAGCATTGAGAATTAGTATATATACATATGTATAAAATGTCAAGGACCTATTAGATAATATTAGACTGACATATATGCAATCAGAGTCCCAAGAGAAAGGAGATATAGGATGAGACAAGAAAAATATTTCAGAAAGTAATGGCTGAATGTGTCCCAAATTCAACTTAACACTCAAATTTGCTAATTCTAGATATGCAATGACCCTTTAGCAAAATACACATGAAAACAGTCATGCCTTGGTACATTGTATCAAAAATTAATAAAAAAGTTGAAGAGCAAATCCTGAAAGCATCAAAAGAAAAACTAAAAATTACATGAAGGGGAATAACAAAACAATTAATGGCTAACTTCTGATCAGAAATGATGGCAGCCAGAGATAATAAAATACAGCTTTAAAATGCTGATATCAAAAACTGTCAACCCAGAATTCTATATGTAACAAAAATATTGCTTGAGAATGGAAGAAAATGAAAATATTTTAGATAAAAGAAAGCTAAAACCTATCCTACAAGAAATAACAAAGTTATTCAGGCTAAAGAGAAGTGATGATCCAAATAACAGGATTAATTACGTTTTTGATATTCATAGAACCTTAAAAAAATCTTACAGCTATAGAATGTACATTCTTTACAAGTGCACATGATCATTCAGAAAGATAGACTTTATACTGGACCATAAAACGAATCTCTTTAATTAAAAAAATTTGAAATCATTTAGAAAATGTTTTCTAACCATAATAAAATTAAGCTGGAAAACAATAAAAGAAATATATGTGTAAAATCCTCAAGCATTTGGAAATTAAACAACATGCTTCCAAACAATTCATGGCCAAAGAAGTAAAACAAAGCATTGTAAACATCAACTGAATGATAATACAAATGCAATACATCAAATATACAAAATACAAAATGCGATATATGGAAGCAAGCATATTGTTCACAAACAAAATTTGAAAAAGAACAATTATTTACCACCTGATTTTAATATTTCTACAAAGCCAAAATAATCATGACAGTGTGATACTGGCATAAAAGTTGGAAAATAGGTGAATGTAAAAGAGTTAACACAGAAATAGAGTTACATGACATATGATTTTTTGATAATGCATCAGAACAATGAGGAACAAAAGTCTTTTTAACAAATGATGCTAAAATAACTGGATATCTATATGGAAGAAAATGAACTTTGCTACATACAAAAAAGTTAATTTGAAATAGATTTATAGACTTACATATAAATGCCGAAACCTGAGAGCTTTTATAGGTGAAACTTGGGTTTAGACAAAGGAGTATTAGACAGATCCTCGTGACCTTATTGATAAATTAGACTTCATAATTCAAACTTTCTCTCATCCAAAGATACCATTAAGAAAAAGAGCAGGCAACAGCAAACTTGGAGAAAATGTTCACAATACATACATCTCACAAAGAGTTGTATTCAGATTATATAAACACTCACACTCACCTGAACATCTAAAATAAAAAAAGAATGACAACACCAAATGTGGACGAAGATGTAGAGCAGCTGCAACTTCATAGATGGTTGGTGGGAGCATAAAATAGTTCCACTACTTTGAAAAATTTCCCACAATTTCTTTTAAAATTAAACATATGCCAACTATATGATCCAGTAATTCTACTCCTAGGTACTTTTCCAGTAAAAAATGAAAGCATATGATGACAAAAGTCTTGTAAAAGAATGATCACCACAGGTTTATTTGTAATAGTTGAACAATGAGAAACAACTTAGATGCTTAAAAATAGGAGCATTGGTCGGACGTGGTGGCTCATGCCTGTAATTCCAGCACTTTGGGAGGCCGAGGCATGCAGATCACCTGAGGTGGGGAGTTCGAGACCAGCCTGGCCAACATGGAGAAACTCCGTCTCTACTAAAGATACAAAATTAGCCAGGCATGGTGGCACATGCTTGTAATCCCAGCTACTTGGGAGGCTGAGGCAGGAGAATCACTTGAACCCAGGAGGCAGAGGTTGTGGTGAGCTGAGATCTTGCCATTGCACTCCAGGTTGGGCAACAAGAGTGAAACTCCGTCTCAAAAAAAAAAAAAAAAAAGAAAGAAAAGAAAAAGGAAAAAACAAAGGAGCATTAATAAATTATCTGAAATATTGATACTGTGAAATACTACTGACTAATAAGGAAATATTTGCTGCACAAAATTGTATTAGATTTCTATTGGTGCCATAACAAATTACCACAAATTTCGCAGCTTGAAACAGTTCTAATTTATTATTATATAGTTATTTAGGTCAGAAGTCCCATACAGGTTATTTTATCTAACTATAGGCTTGTGGTGAGGCTCAAATGAAGTAAATAATTATATAATGTGGTATTTAAACAAAATTCATCATCCTATTCCTATTCTTTATAGCTTTTTGTTTTTACATGAAGTATTTGTTGAATAAAAAAGTTGATAAGTAGATTATAAGTAAAAATTTATAATTTCAATTTTGACTTCTTCAATCTCATTCTTTTTCAATTCCCCTCAATACAATCTATGTCTTAACCATGGTAATCTTTTAGTCTTTGAAAACCCCAACTCTCTCAACTATTAGGCAGTACTATTCACTGTGCCTAGAATACACTTCCTTCACTTCCTCTGCTTTCCAAATCCTGCCCCTACCTCTCTACCATTTCATTCCTACAATTCAGAAATCCATATATATCCTTCATATTATTGAACTTTACTTTTGAGTATACTTTCCTCCAAACTCTAAATGAACATAAGTCTCCTTACTGTGAATGTCATATTTGTTCAATGGATACGTGAGTTACTGATTTTCTCTATCCACATAGTTTATGCTAAACATCCTCTCTAGTTCTTTTTTTTCCATGCTACATTCTAAAGCCTATGACAGAAGTAATGTTTTCTGTCTTGTTTACCACTATATATATAGTACTTATTGGGGAGCCTAGCAAACAGTGGGTGCCTGATTAATAGTTGTAAAATGGCTGACTGAATGAAGAAATCAATGAGGACAGTTAGCATTATCAATGTTGTGGCCTCCTGCAGCTAATGTGGTTCTTAAAAATTTTCTGATACGCTGAATCAATCTTTCCTGAGAGGTACTTAGTTTACCTTTTTTGCCTTCGACACTTCTGAAAATGTTTCCTCTGGATCAGAAGCGTGTTTCCTGACTGATGCATTCATTCCTGCCTCATTTTAACCTCTTACTTGATCAATGTAAGGCATCTCTCAGAACCACCTTGCATAGCAAGATTTTCTTGTTCTGGACCCTTCTACTAATCACCCAAGCTGATTGCTTCACGCCTTACTCTAAATCTTCCCAGAATAACTTTTTAAAATAACAACAAGCGAAAGCAAGACTTACACATTTATGCTTTGCCATCTAGTTATAGGATATCTTTATCAGAATTCTTATTTATTGGTAACTTTCCCCTTTGGTATTTCAACTCCCTCACATTACATACTATTATATCCTATTATTGTCCACTGAATAAATAAGAAAATCACACGATTTTCTCTAATATAAACACCATGAATATGTGTTGAAGATGGATGTAAGCTGTAGCTACGCAGCTGCAGCTCACACAGAACAACATGGAGTGGAAAGATGCCAGGAAGATCCAGTTTTAGGAAGTTACTGACAAAACCAAAAATAATCATTGCAGGATAATCATGGATCAGGGGCTGCTCTACACAATGGTTGCTGTGGCTGTCTATGAAGATGTTATTATAGGACACAAAGTCCACGCAGCTGGCTTCACAATAAAGTGGAATTCTTTGCAGAAAACTGATGAACTACTGCCAGCTTCTAGGTCCAAGGTAAACAAGAACAGAAAGAATAGATTTATTTTCCATTTGGACTCACATGTAAGCAGACTAACCGCATTGCTATTGCTGAGGCTAAAAAAGGGAGTAGACAGTTTGGATAGAGTTTCAGATTTCTGGTTCTCATGTGCCCTGCAACTCAAATATGCCCAATGGGGAAATGCTGTGGCTTCCATCTGGAAGTTGTGAGTAAAGAATCCCTCAATTTCAGTGCACCTGATCTTGTCACCAAACCTCACCAACTTCACCTTGAGCTAGGATTACTCTGGAATCTAATACCAGTCTATGAGATTACCAAGGATATATATAAAGGGAAGGGGGAACTTGACTTGGGAAGAATAGTTACCTTATGAGTAGTCTTAAAGCCATTTAGCATTTAGACAATGGTTTGTTTGTTTGTTTGTTTGTTTGTTTGTTTTGAAGGGTGCCACAAATGTTGAGGATATTCTTCCTCCAAGTGTGGTACATGGCTCAATTGCATTAGAATTGATCAATTATTCCTGAAATGGTTACGTTCAGTTTCCTGTTCTAGATCCAATGTACTGTTCTTTCTGGTTGTAGAGCATGTGATTCTACATTTTCACAAGCACTCTAAAGTGCTTTAATAACACACTAAAATTGAAATTGAATAAAGCCCATGGGACCCTCAAAGTCCCTAAATTGTGGATAAAATTTAATGCAGTTGCCAAAGAGAAGTTCCATAGCTTTCACACATATTCTAAATGTTCTTGTGCCCCTACAATGTTTTAAGCCATCAGATTACACCATCTTCTGAACAGTGGTTTGGCTTTTGTTGACTCACACTCATGCTAATTATAGCTTTTTTTGAAGCATCGACAAACAACTATAAACCAATTCCCAGATAATCTAGGTCTAAAATTCATAGTAGTATGAAAGCTGCAGGGAAAATCCTTTAGTCTTTGCCTTAATCCTTTCTTTCCCTTATATCCCTAATTTAGATTTCCTATAGTTAAATAGGTAAATGTTTTCAGACTCAACCCCACTTGTAAGCTTGAACCATCCTGACAAGAATACATAATATATAAGAAGTCCTACAATATTATCTATCCATCTGGAATAAGTTTTGTGATCAATAGATCTATAATCTCGGGAACTAGATTTCAGCCCTACATACTTCTGTAAAATAAAGTTACAATACTTCCTACCTGCCTTTCCCCCCTTCTTCTACATGGGTTTCTTACAGATACCATTCTATATCACAAAACTAGCAAGCAATACATTTTCACCTGTTTTATTTTCTTTAAATTCAATCTGGGCTCTAAGCTCCCAGATTCCTTGGTGGACAGAAATCTAATGTCTGCCATTACTGAATTCTTTAAAATATCCATGACAATACAAAAATCCTAAAATGCCTTACCCAGAAGAGCATATTAGGCAAAGGACCTTCAGTCGTTAGGCCAAATTGATTACCATTCAGATATCCATTGACCCACCCTGTATGCGTCATATTGAATTCAGCATTGGTGTTCCTTCCATGCCTTATTTTGAAGATGGGAAATTTTTCTGGAGCTAAGAACCCCAGTGTCTTAGATCCAGTGTCTTCATGTGAATCATATGAAGCCTCTGGAATAATGGGCAGGCATCCTTAGGCTCCTAAACACAAAATTTCTCTCCTGTTACAGAATTTATTGCATGTGCAGGTGACACACGGACCTCTTTGCATTGCTCTTGGGAACTGAGCATCAGGGAACCTAGCACAAATGTTGATGCTCTGGCTACTGCTATTGGTGTGAGCCTCTAATCCATGACTCAGGTGTCCCATGTTTTCTACTAACATCCTTTAAACTGTAGCAGTTTAACAAGTTAGCAAGTAGAGATATTGCTATGGTTTGGCTGTGTCCCCACACAAATCTCATCTTTAATTCCCACATGTTGTGGGAGGGAACTGGTAAGAGGTGATTGAATCAAAGGGGCAGGTTTTTACTGTGCTGCTTTCATGATAGCCAATAAGTCTCACGAGATCTGATGGCTTTATAATGTGGAGTTTCCCTGCACGAGCTCTCTTTTTTGTCTGCTGCCATCCATGTAAGATGTGACTTTGCTCCTTGTTGCCTTCTGCCATGACTGTGAGGCTTCTCCAGCCACCTGGAACTGTAAGTCCATTAAACCCTTTTTCCTGTATGAATTACCTAGTATTGGGTATGTCTTTATCAGCAGTGTGTAAACAGACTAATACAGGTATAATCTCAGTGCTTGTATAATTCTTGGCACTTCTTTGTCCTGCCTGCTGGGTGGGACACCTCCCAACTCTAATAGCAAGATTTACCCCAAACAAATTTGGCTTTGCCAAATTTCTTCCACACTCTATATGGGATTCACCAACAGTCCCTTTAGGGGTCAAGGCCATGCTCCCATAGGTCCTTATCCCAAAGCATTGTGGTATCTACTCCCAAGTTCTTCCTGTCCTCTCCAGACCTTGATGCTGAGGTTCCACCATGCAATATACCTGAGCCAACCTGCATTTTACAAAAAGCCTCAACCAGGATGAAGTGTATAAATAGTGCTTACTTATTTCTATATTTTTTCAGAGTACTTACTAAGCGCCACAGAGGTATAGGCTTTGTTGTAAAATAAATATCTATTTTATTAATCTTTAGGGAGCAGGTAATTTTACATTATGATGAAACGATTAAAGAAGCATTTTTTTACAAACTTTTTTAAATCTAAGTTTCATTTTTTTTTCCTGTTTACCTCTAGGTTCTCTTCCTCTTCTCTCATATTTTATGATCCAATTGGATCATTGACTATAACAGCACTCTTCCTGCCCATGCACAAAACTCTAACTACCCTATGAAAGGGGCCATAACTGTATTCTATGACTCAAGGCATTTCCCAGCCTACAGTTCCTATTTCCCTTCCCAGTTCAAACACTTTAAGTAAGTATGGTTCACAGGAATTTTTCTCTTGGTCTCTTGGATACACACACACAGATATACACATACAAATATGCATACACAAACATGCACATATATACATTACATTAATGAAAAACATTAATATGTATGCATAGTTAAAACGTTAATAAAATCCATATACCCAAAACCCAGCTTACAAATAAAATATCACCAAAGTATTCAAAGTTACCTGTATGACTCTCTGTAATTCCATTCCAGCCCTACAGTAAACTGCTATTTGAAATCATTGCCTTGTTTTTCTTTGCTTAATTTATCTTTTTACTTCATCTCTGTATATATTCCTAAACAATATATGCTTTGGCATGCATGGTTTTGGACTTTTTTGTGAATGGGATCACATGTATTAATTTGTGACTTTTTTCCTGCAATGTTTATGGTAATAATTATCCCTATCACTGCAAATATGGATAGACTCATTCACTTTTACTTGATGGATTCTTATTTTCCCTCCAGCAACTTTGGTTCATTGACTTTTGTCTTTTCTACCTGGCTTTGGTCCCAGATAATGCTTCACATATCACCCTCTGTAATTTGCATTACGTTCTGTAAATCTGGGGCTAGTCCTGTCTTCCTTCTCCTATCTAGCCCAAATCTCTAGGATATCCTAACCAAGTTTGGGTCCTATACCCAAAATCTCTCTCTTTATTTTTTTTTTTTCTGGAAAGGATCATATCTCTTACTTTCCTAGGAGAGCAATGAAGGATCTTAGGCATCTACCTTCTTTTCTACGCAGTAAGATCATGGCTGCTTTTTAAATTTTATTTATTTATTTATTCACTGAAATGGAGTCTCACTCTGTTGCCAGGCTGGAGTGCAGTGGCGTGATCTCGGCTCACTGCAACCTTCGCCTCCGGAGTTCAAGCAATTCTCCTGCCTCAATCTCCCAAGCAGCTGGGACTACAGGCATGTGCCACCACACCCAGCTAATTTTCGTATTTTTAGTAGAGCCAGGGCTTCACCATGTTGGCCAGGATAGTCTTGATCTCTGGACCTCATGATCTGCCCACCTCAGCTTCCCAAAGTGCTAGGATTACAAGCGTGAGCCACCGCGCCCAGCCTGGCTGCTTTTTTTTTTAGCAATCACATGCTGGTAGAAGGTTAAAAAAAATCTGTTTATGATTCCTCTAACTCTTTATCCACCTCCCTTATAGCAGAATGTGTAAGTAACAGATAGTGCAGTCCCACATAGCCCAGAAAATCTACCCATCAAGGTTTAGCTCATCTCAGCCCAGCACCCTAGTCCAAGTGAGGCAAATAAACAGGCAACGTGGTCAACAAACAAAATGAAAAACAGATTCAATGAAAGTTAAGAAAAATAACCAAAAAACTAGTAGGTAAGATGCATTTTAAGGATCTAAAACACATCCTTGTATTAAATGTAGATGGAGGATGGGGAATTGTATTGAATATGAAGAGACCACCTTTTACTCTCATATGCGAAGATAATTTTCCTTTTCAATTCCTCTGTGACCCTTCCCTATCCCCTCTCACTCTTTTCTCCTGCTATCCACATCACCTACCATGTGCACACAGCAGGCAGATTACTTAGTATTAGCACGCTAAATTTCATAGACCTAAATTAAATTAACTGTTCTCAGCCCTTCCTTTCTCAACATTTTTGGTTGAAGTTACAAGATTTGATCTGATTTTGATCTGAGACACAATGCAATGGGTTTTTATGCAGGCAAAAGTTGGTTCATTTAGGCTAGGAAACTGATGGAACAGAGATGCAGGAATGTTAAGAGAGTGAGGGACTGGCAGTAGTGAATTGGGGAAAGGCAATGCCAACAGAATTTTGGCAGTTTTGCTGATTTTTGAAAACATATGCAAGATTAGATTAAAACACTCTTCAAACTAGCAAAAGCTGGGGCCAGATTGTCTCTGCTATAATGTTCAGGCTGGCTGGCACTTTTGACTCTGAATTTCTGTTTAAGTGTCAAGCCTGACCTTTACTCAGTTTAATTCAATTCAATTCAGTTCTACAAAAATTATTGAAGCCAACTTTTGCCAGACTACTGCACTAAAAGACCCTAAAAAATATCATTTAGTGTAAAGATTATTTTTAAACATTAAGAAAAAAATTCCAAGTAAAAGTGATGGTTCTCAGGGAATTTTCCTAGCAAATGGTTTCTCCATCTGACTTTTGTAAGCATGAGCATCAGTTATGACAACAAGCCAGGGTCAGAAAGAAAAGATAAAGGAAGAAAGGCATAAGGGGAAAGAATAAGAAAAGAATAAAAAAGGGAGAAAAAGAAGTATAAGGGTTGGAAGCTGGTTCTGAAATCACATTGGTGAGTATCATGAGATTCATCTTTCTTATTTTCTAATGGGAGGCAGCATGATGTAATGCAATGTCCACTGAGTAAGAGTTGAAAGATCTTTCATGATCTGAATGAGCAACTTCACCTCTCTAAAAGTTATTTTTCTTAAGCGTAAAATGACATAATATGACCTTACATTTTAAAATTGTTCTGAGAGTCCAATTAAGAAGAATTTTTAAAGTCCTTTAGCTACCAAAAATTTAGATTTGAAACTATTTTAGGGATGTGTCTATGTCCTCTTTCATTTTAGTGATCCTCTTCCTAAAGGCCTTTTCTCAAGGGGCATCCTGAGACCTGGAGAGATAAAAGAACATCTTGCAATGGACCAAGGGAACAGTGACAATTACAGATCACAACCTTAGAGTCCCTGTGGTCTGAGCTCATGGTTGTACTGACTTGGTTTGGTGAACTGTGGCAAAGTGAAAAAGGATGGGATCACGAAAAGGACAAAGTAAAGATAATAATCATGTAAAACATCTTTATAAGACTGTGTTTCTCTGAACCTGATGTACCTTCACATCTACTGACAGTATTGTTCCATTATCAGTTTAGTGCCAATAGGTAGGGGAATTATCTTTATTTTAGCCAAATTGTTTACATATTATTTGCCAGCAGGGCTGTCATATATGTGTTCCCCCTTTTTCTGCTGTGCAAAGGTACCAGACACACCAGTGTTGGCCCTGTCTGAAGACTTAGTCTGTCCTTAATCAATAAGAAATCTTGACTCACAAAGCTATTTTGGAGACCAAATCTTGTGCAGCCTTGTTCCATGAAGCCCTCCATCTAGCATAGAGAAGGTCCTAAGCAGTACTCGGCAGAAGTAGAGGAGTTTGGCTAGTGGCCTCTCATTATCTGAGTGTCTCCACAGGCTGTATATTGCATATCTTCCCCATCCTAGCAGGGCTTCCCCAGCTGGATGTCATAATCTGACCAAATATGGTAAATTGATAAAGGTTTAGGGGATTTGAAATCCAAGGAAAACGGCTCTTTTAATAGTGTGTTCCTAAGAATGACAAGCTTTCAAACTCCCCAAAGAAGACTCTCTGCATGGAATGTTAACTATTCTGATGAGTTTCATTTCTCTTCACCTTTTATTTTTTTTAGGAATGAGAGGAGAGCTGGTTAGGAAAGATACCTGTATGGAATATCTAAATTAAAAAGTTGCTTCTATCAGGTCTTATTTAAACTTCCACAAACTAGAGCTATATTCTTGTTCCAATTCATTCTTAGGCAATATATTCCTTACCTAAGATAAACTAGTACTAGATTTCAACTTCCATTGCCTTCCTATAACATGAATGAATGAGTGTGTCTTTAGAATCAGATCCTCCTGTCACTTATTAGCTATGACTCCAGCCAAGTTCTTCACATCTTTGAGATGCAACTCTGCAGTGATTAAGAGGGTGGGCTGTGAAATTAGAGATTTTAAAGTCAACCACACTTATACTCAAGCCCTACCTCCAGTTTTTTGTAGCCCCAGGCAAAACATTTAACCCCTCATAAACTCAGTTCTCTTATCTATAACACGAGAAAAGGAGCATTGATTACAACATTGGGTTGCTGTGTGAATTGAATGAATGTGGTTAGTCCACATAATATTCCCTCAATTAATAGTAGTTAGCTATTACTATATTCTTTGTCTAAAAAGATCGGAGATTAACAAGCTCACTCTTAAGATATTGTAAAAACATATAAGTAACTATGTTAACATGAAGCTTTTTTGTTTTGTTCTGTTTTTGGTGTATCTGGCACATAATTTCTCAATAGCTGATTGGTTTTTTGTTTTGTTTTGTTTTCCTGTTTTGTTTGTTTGTTTGTTTTTGAGACAGAGTTTGGTCTTGTTATCTGGGCTGAAGTGCAATGGCACCATCTTGGCTCACTGCAACCTCCACCTCCTGGGTTCAAGCAATTCTCTTGCCTCAGCCTCCCAAGTAGCTGAGATTACAAGTGTGTGTCACCACACCTGGCTAATTTTGTAATTTTAGTAGAGACAGGGTTTCACCATGTTGGTCAGGCTGGTCTCGAACTCCTGACCTCAAGTGATCCACCTGCTGCGACCTCCTAAAGTGTTGGGATTACAGGTGTGAGCCACCGCGCCCAGCCTTCAATAGCTAATTGTTGAATGAATAAATGCTTGTGGATGTCATATGTTGATCTTTATCAAACACTGCTTCTCTCTTTGTCTGTTTTCCCTTTAATTTTTATTTTGTCTTTTTCTTGTTCTTTTCTCCTTTTCTCTTCTCTTTTTGTTCAATACAAACCATATTTTCCTGTGAAACCATGGTCTTAATTGTTCTCATTCTTACTTTTCAAACACATCAGTAGCCATTTTCATCTACAAGATTGGTTCCCTAAATCCAGTCAAATGATCTCCTCTCTTCCTCTTTACTCTTTCCTTAGACAGAATTTTTCAGTCCTAGGATTCCCTATAGGGCCTGATAATTGCATTTACTGATCAGATTTAGTCAGATTTACTTATTTGTTAAACTGAGTTGAGACTGAGACAGTGGTGGTGAGATTGTTCCAAGACCTTCAACAATCATGTCCCTCAATTAGGTGGCTAATTTTTACACGCAGGGAATTGAATCAAAAGTCAGAATAACAGTTGTTTCAATTAAAATCATTTAAATAGACAAGCCTCAGCTATCCATTAAAAGTAAAATATTTTCTAAAATAGTCAGGATATGTTATTTTATAATAATAAAACCTTGACCCACTGACTTGCAGACACACAAACGAGGTGTTTTAAGTTGAAATAATTTCTGTTCATTTTAAAAATAAAGATAGATGTAAAGGTTACTTCAAATACCTATGTCTACAACTCCCCAATATTCAGGCTTTTAGCCTGTGTACCAAAGCCTTCCTCTTACAGTGTCTCAAGTTGCTAGCGAAGCACTTTATAAATTTTCTAGGTGCCTCTGCATACTGTGTTTTGTTCAGAGATGTAGTTAAGATTTGACTTAATTGCTCCAGTAACCTGATTCTCTTTTTCCTGACAACTGAACATACAGATTGTCGTAGAAATGTCACTGGTAAATTCAAATACATAAAGATGGAATTTCCAGGCCAATGCTGAATAACTAAAACTGCCCACATCATAATTAGGTAGAAACATAGGTGAGATCCAGATAGAAATCTGGAAATATCTATATATTTCCTGCTGAAAATATAAAGAAAATGAAAAGGCATGCTTCAATTTTTAACTAGATTGGAAAAGATCAAGTTCTAATATCAGATATCAGAGGTCAAGCAAAAAATCTTAGGTGAAAAAGTAGTAACTTCATTGCCTATCTAATGACACATAACTCATCCCTATGAAGCAAAAAACAAAAGAATGAGGAACAAGGCATATTATCACTTCCAATTGCCCTCCAATAACCTAGCAGACATTTGAGCACTTTATTCGTTGGAAGAATTTTTTGGTTGTTCCAGTAATTACTGGCTTTGGAATTTCTCTATATGAGAGACTTAAAAGTAGAAAGTGGAGGAGAGAAGGAATTGGAAGTGTCCAAGAACATATTTATAGCATGCTATATAAAACTGAGTAAACATTACGATTTCATGCTTTTAAAAAATGGAATGGAGCTGAGGAAGATGGGAGGTACTCCTTGATGCCACCTCTGGTCAACTCAGTCACCTCCACCTCAAAGCTACCATCTGTATGATACTTCACTGTGAAGTCCAGCAAGGAAGATTGCTCTGGACATACTTTAGATCCCCTTCACAGGAGAGACACTTTAATTTACTATCCTTACAATGTACTTAATACATTTGAATTACAGTTTATTTCAACTACATTTATTGAGTGTCTACTTTGGGTGCAGGTGCATGTAGAAACTGGCACCACAAGGATAAATTAGATATAGCTTCTCTTCTTAGGTAGCATTTAGTTTAGTGACACAACCATATAAGCAGATAGCCCTCTAAAATTTAATAAAGGCTATAACAGAGTTAGACACATTGCCACTGAAAAACATAATTTGAGTGCCAGTTGAAAGAAAAAGTAAAGGAAAATCTAATTGAAAAAAGAATACATATTAGTGAAAGTAGCATCTTCTTTTCCAAATTGCAAATACATTTCATAGCAACTACTAATCATATAGTACTAATTTCCATTTATAAATATACCAGATGTGTGTTAAACTTATAAAGAATTTTTTTCCTTCAGATTTGTAAGGCTAAAAAGAGAGTTCCCATTTAACCCTTGACATTCATTCATCTCTTCTGTCATTTATTATTTAACAGCTATTATGTATCAGGCTTCTTACTTGTTTTATAATTAATTTCCAAAAAGTCATCAAAAAGCAATTTAAACTCCATATGTGTAAGTTGAGCATTGCGATTTTTTACAGGGTTATTATGAAGCTTAAAGGTCATAGAGCGATATAAATATCTATATCTTTTTATTACCGTAACTTATAAAATTGTGTATACAAGAACAAAATGCCCAGGACTTTTTCCTAAATTCATGAGCCTCTTATCTCCTACTCATTGCTACCTAAAGCTCCCTGACACCTACTGTTTCTCAATTATTTATTCCAGGCTCAATATAAAATCACAAGAGGAACTTCTGGCTTCCATTTGGAATGCATAGCAATGTAATGAGCGTTGTTCTCATCCTAAAAACAAGAAAAAGCCAAATAATCTACAAATCACAACTTTTCTTGAACCCATTAGAGAGCTGAGGTCAAAGTACAATTAACTTGCTTGACATCTGAAAAGGACAGGTGTCTCCAACAAAGGTAGGACCCAAGCACGTGCTTTCCCGTGGCAGAGCACATGCCACATAAGCTGGCAGGAAAAAAATTCAGCTTAATTTTTTAAAACAATTGCTAACAGTCAAGTGTGGGCTGAAGGAAGAGTAAAAAAAACCAGTTGCCATGACACAAGAGGAGTTTGCAGCACTTGCAGGCACTTATCCATGGACCTCACAGCTCACAGGAAAGATTGGGGCAGGGAAAGATTCTGAGATAACTTTTTTTTATGGTGCAGACCTGGGAGGTGGGACACAGTAACTGCCAAAGAAGATTACTACCCAGATCCTCACTGAACACAAACTAAGCTACAGAAATTTGAAGCTAGTGGTACTCTATATCAACAACAAAACTCAACCCAGACTAGCTCCAGATAGGCTGATTAAATCCCTCACAGTAAATGTCTAGCAGACGTGTGCGTATTTCCAGAAATAAATACTATTTAACTCAGTCTCTCTTGTCCTACATAAGATATTTCATTTTCAAACAAAAATTATAAGCAAGAAAAATAATGTAAGAAAAACAATACATTGTTAACAGACAAAATAGTCAGCAAAACAATATGCAGATATGACAGATATTGAAACTCTCAGATAGGGGGTTTCAAATAACTATGACTAGTATATTAAAGACTAATGGAAAGGTGGACAGCATACAGAAACAGAAGAGGAGTTTCAGTAAAGAATGAATATTATGAGAAAAAATATAATGGCAATGCAATAACTAAAAAAACCTTGGTAACATGTATAAAGAAAACTGAGTGAAAAGTGAACTTGAGTTTCAGTAAGTAAAAAACAAAGATAAAATTATACAACATTATTTCAATAGGTACAATACTGAAATACAAACTGAAAACTGAGATGAAAAGATAATACAGCATTCAAGATTTGTGAGATAATATTAAATGATCTAATATATGTACAACATGAATCATAAAAGAAGAAAAATGAAGCAAAAGAAATATTGAAATAATAAAGGCTAAGAATTTTCTAAAATTAATGAAAGACATTTAAACACATATCCAAAATCCCCAGAGATCACCAAGCAAGATAAACACATATGCATACACAAACACCCATAAATATATTATATTCAAAATGCGAAAAATCAAACATTAAAAGAAAATCTTTAGGGCAGCTAGATAGCCCTCCTTCTACCCAAAATAAAATACATTGCATACAGAGGAACAAAGAAAATAATTACATGAAATATTTCATGAGAAACTATCCAATCTAGAAAACAATGTAATGACAGCTTTAAAGTGCTGACAGAGAAAGACTGTCAACTAAGAATTGTATACCCAGTTGAAACAACTTCCAAAAATAAAGAGAAATGCAGAGTTTTTATGAGTCAAAGAGGAATTCACAAGATAAGTTATTTTGAGTTGCATGGAAAAGAAAACGAATTAAAATGTGTAGTATGTAGTATGCAACTAAAGCAGAACTTAAAGGATAATTCATAGCATTAAATGTTTACATTAGGAAAAAATGCCTCAAACCTATTATCTAAACATTCACATTAAGAACTAAGAAAAAGGAAAGCAAATCTAACCCACAACAAACAGAAGGAAGGGTAGAATAGAGATAAAAAGAGAAAAGTGTGAAATGGAAAAGTAAAGCACAACAGAAATATTAGTAAAACTGAGAATTCGTTCTTTTTTCCAACTTTTATTTTAGATACAGGGGGTACATGGGCAGGTTTGTTACATGGTAATAATTGCATGATGCTGAGGTTTGAAGTATGGATCCCATAACCCAGGTAGTGAGCATAATGGCTGATGGGTAGCTTTTCTTTAATCTACTCCCCTCCATCCTCTAGGAGTCCATAGTGCCTATTGCTACCATATTTATGTCTATGTGTGCTCAACATTTAGCTCTCACTTACAAGTCAAAAGTATTTGGTTTTTTTGTTTCTGTGTTCATTTGCTTAGGACTATGGCCTCCAGCTCTCTTCACGTTGCTGCAAAGAATATTATTTCATTCTTTATGTGGCTGTGTAGTATTCCATGGTGTCTATGTACCACATTTTCTTTATATAATCTACCATTAGTGGGCACTTGGGTTGATGTGCACCATGTCTTTGCTATTATGAATAGTGCAGCAATGAATATATGAGCACATGTGTCTTTTTGGTAGAATGATGTATTTTCTTTTGGGTATATACCTAGCAATGGGATTGCTTGGTCAAATGGTAGCTCTGTTTTAAGTTATCTGAGAAATCTTCAGACTGCTTTCCATAGTGATTGGACTAATTTATAGTCCTATTAACAGTGTATAAGCATTCCCTTTTCTCCACAGCCTTGCCAACATTTGTTGTTTTTTGATGTTTTTATAATAGCCATTCTGATTGGTATAAGATGGTTTCTCCCTGTGGTTTTTACTTGCATTTCTCTAATGATTAGTGATGCTGAGCACCTTTTTTTCATATATTTGATGGCCACTTGTATGTCTTCTCTTGAGAAGTGTCTGTTCTTGTCCTTTGCCCATTTTTTAGTGGGGTTATTTGTTTTTTGCTTATTGGTTTGTTTAAGATCCCTATAGATTCTGGATATGAGGCCTTTGTCAGATGCATAGTTTGTGAATACCTTCTCCCATTTTGTAAGTCATTTGTATGCTCTGTTGATAGTTTCTTTTGCTGTGTAGAAGCTCTTTAGTTTAATTAGGTCCCATTTGTCTATTTTCAGTTTTGTTGTAATTGATTTTTGGGACTCAGCTAAAAATTCCTTGCCAAGGTCAATGTTGAGAAGAGTATTTTCTAGGTTGTCTTCCAGAACATTTACATTTTTAACCCATTTTGAGTTAATTTTTGTATATGGTGAAAAGTAGGGGTCCAGCTTAAATCTTCTGCAGAAAACTAGCTAGAAGTCAAACTATCTCTCTTCACTAATGTTATGATTCTATACATAGAAAATTCTAAAGACTCTGCCAAAAGGTCCCTGGAACTTATAAATGACTTTAGTAAAGTTTCAGGATTAACGTAGAGCAATTAGTAGCATTTCTATACACCAACAACATCCAGGCTGAGAGTAAAATTAAGAACACAATCCCACTTCCAATAGTCACAAAAAATTGAAATACCTAGGAATGTAGCTAATCAAGGAGGTAACAGAAATCTACAAGGAAAACAACAAAACAATGCTGAAAGAAATCAGAGATAACAAAAACAAATGGGAAAAGATTCCATGCTAAAGGATTAGAAGAATCAATATTATAAAAATGGCCATATTACCCAAAGTAATTTAAGATTCAATGCTATTCCTATCAAGCTACTAATATCATTCTTCACAGAATTAGAAAAAAAGTATTCTAAAATTCATATGGAGCCAAAAAAGAGCCCGAATAGCTAAAGCAATCCTAAGCAAAAAGAACAAAGATGGAGTCATCACACCACCCAACTCCAAACTATACTATACTGTACTGTACTATACTATACTATACTATACTATACTATACTATACTATACTATACTATACTGGCCACAATAATCAAAACAGCTTGGTACTGGTACAAAAACAGACACATAGACCAATGGAACTGAATAGAAAACTCAGAAATAAAGCCACATACCTATAACCATCTGATCTTTGACAAGGCCAAAAAAGATCACCCATAATATATATTCACTCACATAAAATATAAAATCACCCATAATGTAAGCAATGGGGAAAAGACTTCCTATTCAACAAATAGTGTTGAGAACTGGTTCTTTAAAATGATTCATAAAGTTCATAAGCCTTTAGCCAGAGTATCTATGAAAAAAATACATGAGACACAACTTATAATTGTCAGGAAAAGAAAGAGTATACCATTACCAATTTTACAGATATTAACAGGATAATTAAAAAGTATATACTATGGCTACTTTATATCCTTAAATTTAACAATTTTGAATTTGTGTATTCCTGCAAATACACAAAATACTAAAACTCAAGATAAGTAGATAATCTGAATAATTCTGTATCTATTAAATAATTTAAATTAATATTTAAGACATTTTGTATGAAAAATTCCATGTTTGAATAACTTCCCTGGCAAATTCTACAAAAAAAAAGTAAGAATAAATGTCAGTTATTAGAGAAAATATTTCTCAGCTTGTCTTATAAGGCAAGCATTACCTTGTTTTACCAAGCAAAGACATTTCTAACATCATATTTAATGATAAAAGACAAACACTTCCTTCCTAAGATCAGAAACAAAGCAAAGGTATCTGTTTTAGCACTACTATTCAACATTGTACATAGATCCTAGCCTGTGCTTTAAGACAGGAATAAATAAATAAAAGCCAAACAGCTTGAAAAGAAAATAAAACTATCTATTTACAGAGATATGTTTATTTTAAAAAACTCCTTGTAATAATAAGTGAGCTTATAAAAATCACAGAACACAAAGTTGATAGACAAAAAATAATTAAATTTCTATGTTCTAGCTATATACAATTAGAAATCAAAATCTAAAAAAATACAATTTCATTAGCACCAATAAACAAGAAATACTACGTATAAATATACCAAAGTATGTGCAATATAAATATGTTGAAAACTATGAAACAGTCGTGAAAGAAATCATAGAAAATAAATAAACATATTATGTTTGTGGATTGAAAGACCCAATATTACTAAGCTATCAATTCTTCCAAAATTGATTTATAGATCTAATGCTATCTCAATCAAAATCTCAGCAAGGTTTTTGGTAGAAATAAACAACTCTTTCTAAAATTTTTAGGGAAAGACAGATAAATTAGAATAGTCCAAACAATTTTTGAAAAAGAAAATGTCAGAAAACTCACAACACTGATTTCAAGACTTACTATAAAGTTACAGTAACTAAACAGTGCAGTATTGTCAAAAGAATTAGTATATATATACACATATATAAGTGTATATATATACTTCCATATATACACATATATATGTGTATATGTATACTTACATATATACACATATATATAAGTGTATATGTATACTTACATATATACACATATATATAAGTGTATATATATACTTACATATATACACATATATATAAGTGTATATATATACTTACATATATACACATATATAAGTGTATATATATACTTACATATACACACATATATATAAGTGTATATATATACTTACATATACACACATATATATAAGTGTATATATATACTTACATATATACACTTATATATAAGTGTATATATATACTTACATATATACACTTATATATAAGTGTATATATATACTTACATATATACACATATATATAAGTGTATATATATACTTACATATATACACATATATATGTGTATATATATACTTACATATATACACATATATATAAGTGTATATATATACTTACATATATACACTTATATATATGTGTATATATATACTTACATATATACACATATATATAAGTGTATATATATACTTACATATATAAACATATATAAGTGTATATATATACTTACATATATACACATATATACGTATATATATACTTACATATATACACATATATATAAGTATATATATAAGTATATACATACTTACATATATACACATATATGTAAGTATATATATACACATATATAACTATATATACTTACATATATACTAATATATATCAATGATATATATGTATATATCAATATGTATATTGATATATGTATATGTATACATCAATGATATATATATCAATGAAATAGCACAAAGAGTATAGAAATAGACCCATACAACTATAGTCTATTGATTTTCAAAAAGGTGCAAAGGAAATCCAATGGAGAAAGGATAGGCTTTAAAACAAATGGTGTATCAATTGAAAGACTCTATGCAAAAGAAGAAAGAAAAAGAGTAAAACTGGAGGAGAGGGTGGGGAAGAAGGGAGGAAGAGGAGAAAGAACTTTCATGCATACCTCATGACTTATACAAAAATTAATATAAAATGAATAAATCTCAATGTAAAATGTAAACCTATAAAATTTCTGAATGAACACATAGGAGAAAATCTTTATCAGCTTGGGTAAGGCACGTATAACTTGGATGTTACACCAAAAGCATGATCCATAAGTGAAAATGTTGATAAATTAGACTTTATTAAAATTAAAAACTGATGCTTTTTGAAAGGCACTATTAAGAGACTCAATGGACAAACCAGAGAAGAGAGGGAAAAATTTTTAAAGCACATAGCTAATAAAGGACTTTTACCCAAAATACTCTCAAAACATAACATTAAATAAACAACCTAATTTTTTAAATGTGCAAAAGATTTGAAATGACTCTTTATTTTATAAGATATATAAATCAAAGTAAGCATACGAGAAGATGGTCAACCTCATTAGTCATTAAAGAATGAAAATTAAAACCACAATAAGATAACATTACATTCTTATTATAATGCTAAAACAGAAGAAAATAAAACTGATAATACCAAGTGCTGGTGAAGATTTGAAGTAACCATAACTTTCATGCATTGTTGATGGTGATGCAATTTGGCAGTTTCTTTTAAAGTAAGCACATATATATCATACATCCAAGCATCCCTACTCCTGGGTGTTTACTCAAGTAAACCAAAACATATGAACACAAATACCCATATGCAGATACTGATAGTAATTTTATCCATAAACTTCAAAAATTAGAAGCAACTTAAATATTCCTCAACTGGGGAATGGATCAATTTTATGTATAAAATATAGTTTATATATTTATATATTTATTTAACATATTTATAATCATATATAATTTATACATGAATGTATATAAGCATAAATAGTATTCCTATATATATAAAATGAAATACTACATATCCTTATATATACACATATAGATAAAATGAAAAATGTATGTGTATACATATATCCTTTATGTATCCACTATACATATAATATATACAATGAAATACTACTTAACAATAAAAAAGAATGAAATATTGACACACACAATAGGGATGATTCACAATGTGTTAAGTAAAGAAATCAAGACTCAAAAGGCTACATACTGCATAATTTCATTGATATGACAGTCTTGAAAAGGTGAGGTAAAACCATTGGGAAGAAAAAAAACATATCAGTGGTTTCCAGAGACTGGGAGAGAGGGGAGGGGGATGACTCAAAGAGGCATTCAGGAATTTTGAGGAACAATGAACCTATTCTATATTAGGATTGTGGTGGCGTTTACACTAGAGTATTGTTTCACAGAACTGTACACAAATAATGATTATGTGTGTGTATGCATGTGTATATATATATACACACATATATGTGTATATATATACACATATATATGTATATATGTGTATATATGTGCGTATATATATACACACATATATATTCTCTCACATATATCTTCTGTAATTTTTAAATAGAAATTTTGGGCCAGGTACAGTTGCTCAGACCTGTAATTCCAGGGAGGCTGAGGTGGGCGGATCACTTGAGGCCAAGAATTCGAGACCAGAGTGCCCAATATGGTGAAATCCCATCTTTACTAAAATTACAAAAAATTAGGAGGGCGTGGCAAGCACGCTGGTTATCTCAGCTACTCGGGAGGTGAAGGCACGAGAATTGCTTGAGCCTGGGAGGCGGAGGTTGCAGTGAGCCGAGGTTACACCTCTGCACTCCAGCCTGGGCAACACAGCAAGACTCTGTCTCAAAAATATTAAATAAATAAATAAATAAATGAAATTCCTAAGATACACTAATGTAACTTGTCATATGTATGATTTTTCTTCCTGTTCTCATAGGACAATTTTAAGGAGAATATTGTTTCCTGGTTGGTGTTTCCAAAGATGAATTTCCACTTTCATACCATGCCCAGGCTTCTTCTCAATACTGTACCCACTCCTCCCAAATAGCAGATAATTGATTTTCTGACTGGGGAGTGAGAGGCTGACACCCATTTGTCTGGGTTCTTAAATGAGTGGAGTTAATATCATAGAAGCTGCAACCACCTGTGTCTTCTTTCTCTAGATAATTGTTTCATCAAGATTTCTGTGTTTGACAGCTGCAAAGCAGTGACGTCACTTGCAATTGTCTGGACTTTCATGTCTGCCTTGCAGGTCCCATCAGCACAAAGTTTGGCCCAAAACTCTGGAGTAGCGGTTGAATATATGGAAGACGAAACCAAGCCAAGTTCTCCATCACAATTATAAAGATATAATTTGTATCCCTATTGATGCCTATGTTGTTGTTCTGTTATTTGAATGGCAATTGGAGGAAAAGCCTCTTTAGAGAGACCCTTGACACAAATAAAAACACTGAAGAATTATGATTGAGTCAATAAGATGAAAAAGAGATGAAAATATAGTCAATACAAATTTTCTTCATTTGTATGGAATCCAACTTTTCAAGGCATTTCCAAATATGCCTCAGAGATATATATATGGAAATCAAACCATCTCTGACTTGCCGAAGTAAAATTAATGTATCTGAAGGCAGAATCCAGGCACATATAAATTTAGCAAATTCTACAGTTGGATTTGATGCACACAAACTTGGAAATGACTTTCATCTAATAAATTAGGAAATTAAAAAAGAGAGAGATGAGTAAATTATTTGCTAAGGTCACATAGATAGTTAACAGCAATATAGAAATATGAACCCAGGAGATCAAATTCTTATCTCAGCATGATTTCACACTAGTTTATTTTTTTCTCTTTAAAAACAAAATGAATGAGTTCACCTTTTAGATGATATATTTGAAAATTTCCCTGTTGATTAAAACAGACTTTTAAAAATAGTGAAATATACTACGTAATATAAAATCAACCCTATAATGTCAACTGATTTAAATTCAGTTCAACAAACATTTATTTAGTGCCTACTAAGTTGCAATTAAACATAGATTTTGACTTTAAAGAATGAAGATATAATAAACTATCATTTCTTAACTAGATGAATTTTTTAACTTTTGAATATGAACAGGATTTAATTTTCTTCTCTTATTACTTACTCTTTTATTATTAACAAGTAAAAAGTATAAAGTCTTAATAAATGCCAATCACTACTATGTAATTAGGATACGATAGTTTCTTTATATTAATTATTTTGCTTAATACAACAACCTTATGAGGCACTATTATTACTCTTCCCATTTTGCAAATGAGAAAAAATAACTCTAAAAGGTTAAGCAAATTGCTGAAGATCACACAGTTATTTAGTACCAGAACAAATGGGCAAACCCCAATTAATCTTGTTCTAGACGCTCTGAATCCTAAGAACTATTATGTATATATAACTTTAAATATGAAAACTATGTCTAATTACTATATGTCTTCCATAGTACCTAGGAGTCTTTTACCAATGATAAGTGCTCAGTATATATTATGGGTGATTCATGAAAAATAAGTGATTTAATTAGAATTTCATAAAAAGGGTACGAGTTTATTGGGAATATAGGCTTTCAACAAACTATGAAATGGGAAAGGATTCGGGAGGGCATTAGGAGAAAAGAAACAGGAAATAAGACTTCCATAAAGATGATGTTGCTTGGGGAAACCTCTCCAAAGAGGACGCTATTAAACTGGTCTGACATAAACAAATTAAGAAGTAAGAATGAAGGGAAGGGAAGGGGAAGAGGAAAGGGAAGGGGAAGGGGAAGAGGAAAGGGAAGGGGAAGAGGGAGAGGAAAGGGAAGGGGAAGAAAAGGAAGGGACAAGGAAGAGAAGGGAAGGGGAAAGGAAGAAGAAAAGGAAGGAAGGAAGGAAAGAAGGAAGGAAGGGAGGGAGGGAGGATGGGAGGAAGGGAGGAAGGGAGGGAGAAAAGAAAGAAAAAAGAAAAGAAAAGAAAAGAAAAAAGAGAAAAGAGAATCCTAGTATACCAGGTAGTAAGGAGATACATTTCCCTTTTCTGCACGGTTCTGTGTTGTGAAATCAGCCCAGCAGCTGAGCAGTGGCTCCCATCTCCTTCATTATCATAGAGTAGAAGACTTATTCTGGTGAGATTTGGCAGATGATGAGCATTGGCAAATTCCATCTTCTCTGGCTTTAGGCGGTTGATGCAGCATGGTAGCAACACCGGTTGTCCTCAGTACAAACACACACACAGACATACACACACAGACACACACACACACACACACACACACACTTGTGTAGTTCCTGCTACAGGGAGGATCCATTTAGAGTAATTGATAAGAGTTTCCCACCAAGTTCATAATTCTCTTCTCCACAGTACAAATTTTCTGCCCTCAGGAGCATCTGAGAAAGCCTGAAAAAGGGCCCCTGCCAGGGTCAGACTTCAAACTTCAGTTGGATCTGACTGGATTGGGGTGAGAGGTATGTTGAAAACATTGCAGTTATTACTTAGCAATTAGTGGAGGCTAATAGCTGAGGTTGATACCAATAGTAGCAGAACAACCAGATTTTGTTAATAACAGGTTAAAGAGAAAGTTAAAGAGAGCATAGCTAAAACCACAGATATTGCTGGTGGTCAGAAACATTTTGTGCATATCCAAGCTTGGAAACTGTAAGGACCAACATCAGAGGCTGCGAACTGCAGAGGAAATAGACTTCGCTAAATTAGTCCAACTGAGTCACTAAAAAACAAACAAGCAAATAAATAGACAACAACAACAATGGCTTCAGAGGGAAAAGGGCCAATATTTAGAGTTCCTACAACACATTATCTAAAATCTCCAGTTTTCCACAATAACAAAATGAGACATCAAGAAAAAAACTAAAACCAAGGAGGTATGACTCATCTATAGCAATAAAAAGCAGACAATAGAAACTGCCCTGCAGGGGATACACAAAAAGAGAAGACTACAAAATGACTTTTGTAAATATTTTCAAAGACCTAAAGGGAACTATGCTTAAATAATTAGTAGAAAGGATGATGACAATAACTCAACTAAAGAAATGAAAATTATTTAGAAGAACCAAATGGGCATTCTGAAACTGAAAGTACAATAATTAAAATAAAAAGTGCACAAAGAACCCAACAATAGACATGAGATGGCCAAAAAAAGTCAGTGAACTTGAAGATAGATCATAGAGATGATAAAGTCTGCAGAACAGAGAGGAAACAGAATTGAGAATAATGAAGAGAGTCTCCGAGAAATGCAGGACACCATCAAGTATACCCACATAAGGGGAGTATCAGGAAAAAAAAAGAAATAAAATTTAAAAATTTGAGAAAACAGTTATAAAACCTTCCCAAATTTGATGAAAAACACTAATCTACACATTTAAGGAGCTCAACGAAGTCCAAGAATGATAAACATGAAAGAATCTATCATAAGATGCATTAATTATAGGCAAAATGTTAAAAGCAGCAAGAGAAAACCAATTCATCAGATACAAGGATTTCCAATAAGATGAAGAGCTCATTTTCATCAGAAGCAGTGGAAGTCAGTAGGCAGTAAACAGACATATTTAAAGTTCTGAATAAAAGAGTACGAACACCAGAAAACCTATATCCAGTAAAAGTATTTTTGAAAAACAAAGCCAAAAACAACAACCCAGATGAAAACAGAGATTTCATTCCTTGCAAACTTGTATTGTAAGAAATAAGAAAGGAAGTCGTTTTGTTTAAACACAAGCGACATCAGAAAGTAATTCCCATGTACACATAAAAATCAAGAACACTGAAAAAGGTAATTATGTAGGTAATTATGAATGACAGTATAACTGAATAGTTCTTTTCATTTCTTCTCTTATTTAAGGAGTAATTGTATAAAACAATATGCATATAATTGCATTGTTAGGCCTGTGACATATAGAAATGTAATATATTGGTAAAAAAAAATAGCACAAAGGAGACAGGTGGGAACAAAGCTGTATGGAAGTGAGAAATGGAAGTGAAAAAATGCAGTGAATGGTAAATCAAATACAAAGTATGAAATGAAGAGAACAAAAAGTGGTAAAGATGAAAGTTAACACCATAAATACAAACTTGTTTGCTTTCTGTACTAGTCTGTTCTCACACTGCTATGAACAACTACCTGAGACTGAGTAACTTATGAAGAAAAAAAGTTTAATTGACTCACAGTTCTGCAGGCTTAATAGGAAGCATGGCTGGGAGGCCTTAGGAAACTTGCAATCATGGCAGAAGGCAATGGGGAAGTAAGCACATCTTACCATGGCTGAGCAGGGGAGAGAGAGAGGGAGAGGAGGTACCACACACTTTAAGCCATCAAATCTCATGAGAACTCACTATCATGAGAACAGCATGGGGAAAATCCATCCCTACAATCCAGTCACCTTCTACCAGGTCCCTCCTCCAACACTGTGAATTAAAATTTCATGAGATTTGGGTGGGGACACAGAGCCAAACCATATCACCTTCCTTCTCTCGCCTTCTTTAAAAGAAAAAAAATGCATATATTAATCGCAAAAATGTATGGCTGGGTTTCTAACATATATAGATACACCAAGTATGAAAATGAAAGAATATAGCTATACAAGTAAAGTTTCCCTATCAGATTAGAATTAAGGTAGTATAAATCTGAAGTCGATATGCAAGGGAGAGGGTGGGAGGAAGGAGAGGAGCAGAAAATATAACTATTGGGTACTGGGTTTAATACCTGGGTGATGAAATAATCTGTACAACAAACCCCCATGACATGAGTTCACCAATGCAACAAACCTTCACATGTACCCCCAAACCAAAAAATAAAAGTTAAAAATAAAATAAATAAGGTAAAATATACTACAATGCTATAGTAACCTAATTAGCATGGTAGTGGCATAAAAACAGACATATAGACCAATGGAACAGAATGAAGGACCCAGATATAAATCCACACATTTATAGTCTACTCGCTTTTGACAAAGTCTCCAAGAACATACAGTGGGGGAAAGGACAGTCTCTTTAATAAATAAGCAGGGGCAGAAGAATGAAACTAGATCCTGCTCTTTGACCCTACACAAAATCAGATCAATGTAGATTGAAGACAAATCTTACATCTGAAACCATGAAGTTACTAGAATAAAACATTTGTGAACTGCTGCAGGACATTGGTCTCAGCAAAGATTTTTTGTGTTTGACCTCAAAAAGCACAGGGAACAAAAACAAAAATAGACAAATGGGATTATATCCAGCTAAAAACCTTCAGCATAGCAAAAGGAAACAATCAACAAACTGGGAGAAAAAACAATCCACAGAATGGGAGAAGTAAGTATTTGTAAACTATCCGTCAGACAAGGGATTAATAATCAGAATACATAAAGAGCTCAAACAACTAAATAGCAAAAAACAAATAATTTAAAAAATGTGCAAAAAATCTGAATAGACATTTTTCAAAAGAATACATACAAATGCCAACAGGTACATAAAAAATTCTCAACACCATTATTCAGAGAAATGCAAATAAAACTACATTCTCACCCCAGTTAGAATGGCTTATATAAAAATACAGGAAATAACACATGCTGGCGAGGATGTGGAGAAAGGGGAAGTCTCATACAATGTTGGTGGGAATGTAAATTAGTACAGCCACTATGAATAATGGTATGGCATTTCCTCAGAAAACCAAAAATAGAACTATATATGATCTAGCAGTTCCACTACTGAGTTTATATCCAGAAGAAAGGAAGTCAATATATTGAAAAGATATCTGTATTCCCATGTTTACTGCAGCACTTTTTCCAGTAGCCAAAATATGGAATCAACCTAAGCGTCCATTAGCAGATGAATGGATAAAGAAAATGTGATACATATATACAATGGAATGTTATTCAGCCATAAAAAAATCCTATTATTTGCAGCAACATGGGTGGACTTGGAGGTAATTATGTTAAGTGAAATAAGACAGGCACAGAAAGACAAATAGCATATGTTCTCACTCATATGGGGAGCTAAAAAGGTGGATCTCATGAAGATAGAGAGAAGACTGGTAGTTATCAGGTTCAGAAGATTAGGGGGAAGCGGGGATGAAGACAGGTTGGTTAATGGGTATAAGAACACACTTAGAATAACTGGTGTTTGACAAATCAGTAAGGTGACTATAATTAACATTAATCGGTTGTACATTTCAAAATAGCTAGAATAATTCAAATATTTCTATCATAAAGAAAAGAATATTTAAGGTGATAGATATCCCAATTACATTGATTTGACTATATGATTGTATCAAATTATCATGAGTATCCCTAAAATGTGTACATTATGTATTAAAAAATTAAATAACAATGTTTAAATGGATCACAGAACCAAATGTAAGAATTAAAATTATAAATATCTGGCTGGGCACAGTAAGTAGCTCATGCCTGTAATCCCGACACTTTGGGAGGGCAAGGCAGGGGATCACTTAAACCCAGGAGTTTGAGACCAGTCTGGGCAACATAACAAGCCTGCCCCATCTCTACAAATGATAAAAATATTAGTCAGGCAGGGTTGCACACACCTGTGGTCCCAGCTACTCAGGAGGCTGAGATAGAAGGATCCAGTCACCTGACCCCGGGCAATCATGGCTGCAGTGACCCGTGATGGCACTGCACTCCAGCCTGGACGACAGACTGAGACACCATCTCAAAAAAGAAAAACAAAAATAAAAACAACAAAAATCGAGGAAATCTCCATGACTTTGGTTGGGCAGTCCTCTTAGATAGGACAACAAAAGTGAAAGAAGCAAAACTAAAAATTAAATGGATTTGATCAAAATAAAGATTCATGCTTCAGATGATATCATCAGAAAATGAAAAGACAACCCAGAAAATAGAAGAATATCTCCAATCACATATCTGATAAGGGTGTTGCATGCAGAATATATTAATATAAAGTATCCTTGCGGCTCAACAAAAAGATAAGTATCACAATTTAAAAATGGTAAAGGATATGAATAGATATTCCTTCAAAGAAGACATACAAATGGCCAATAAGCACATGAAAAACCATTCGAGCCAAAATGCAAATCAAAATTACAGTAAAATATCCCTTAACACTCAATAGAAATGTTAAAACCAAAGACAGACAATGACAAGTGTTGTCAAAGATATGAAGAAATTGGAGTCCTCATACATTGCTGGTGGGAACATGAAATGGTGCAGATGCTTTGGAAAACAATTTGGCAGTTTTACAGAAAGTTTGAACAGAATTAACATGTGACTTAGCAATTCTCCTCCAAGGATGAAATGAAGAGAAATCAAAACATACGTCCATGCAAAAATCTTGCAGGTGAATGTTCATAGCAATCTTATTTAAAATAGGCAAAAGGAGGGAACAATTTAAATGTGAATCAATTGAGGAAATAAATAAACCATCAATTGATGAAATAAATAAACCATCTCTATCTATACAATGGAATATTATTTGACATTAAAAAGGAATGCAGTACTGATAGATCCACAACATTAGATGAACCATAAAAATATTATGCTAAATGAAAGAAGCTAGTCTCTAGAGACCATATATTGTGTAATTCCATGCATATGAAATGTCAAGAATAGAAAAATCTGTACAGATAGAAAGTAGATTAGTGGTTGCCCAGGACTGGGAGTTGGAAGTGGGATGGGAAGTGGAAGGGATTGGAGAATGACTGCTAATGGGTATGTAGTTTCTTTTGCATGTAGCAAAAATGTAAAATTATACTGTAGTAAAAAATTACACAATTCTATAAGTACACTAAAAACCACTGAATTGTACACTTTAAATGAATGACTTTTATGATTTGCGAACTGTCTCTCTCTATATACGACTATTTTAAAAAAGAAAGGGAGACAGAAAGGGAGAAAGAGAGAATATTAAAGGAAAAAAGATGTGAAAGTTCCAAATACACTCTAGTTTGGCTGAATTTGGCTGAAACATAGGTTGTATAGGGTTGATGTTAAAGAAAAGGTTTACAAACGCAGTTGAGACCAGCTGTAGAAAAATGTGGAAAGCTGTCTTAGACACTAAGGAAGAAGTCTGCATTTATCGAATAGGTGATGGATCCTTATTTGATAAAGACAATATTTAAAATCAGAAGAAAGTAGCACTATCTTTGTTTTACAAAAATCATATTTGTAGCAGATGAGCATAGAATGGAGGGGGAAAATAGTGTAGCCTGAGAGGCCAGGAAGAAGGATATGAAAATAATCCAATTGAGAAATGATACCTGTCATTCTAATGGTTCACCTAGAATCCAACACAGTGTTTCCCTTTTGTTTTGGAGTCAAAGTACATCTACATTACTCTCCATGCATCTATTTGGTATTTAGAATAAAGATAATCAAAATGTGTTTTCTGACAATATTTCCAACATACAATATTTCCAACATACGATCCACCCCGACATTAAGTGAAGTTATCTAGAGCTATTTCATCATTGCTTCCTCTGTCCATGCTGCTCTACTACAGCTGTGTGGGAATGGGCTACAACGTGGTGCTTAAAAGACTTCAGCAGACCTTGCCAAGTATTCAGCTGTAGCTCTTGCCTTTGTCCTCCTATAACAAGATAATGCAAGATACACAACACAATGTCAAACACTGTAGTTATTCATTTAATAGTTATTACTGTCATGTATAAGCTATGCCAAATGTCAAATTTATGCTTCTGATTCTAGAACCATTCAGATGGTTTCTGAGAACTTGGGCATGACTACAGTTCACTGTTATTCTGATTGACCTATGCTATCTAAACCCAATTTAAGTCACCATTGCTCATTTCTGACACAGGTATAAAGGAATGAGGTGTTACTCCCTTTGAGTAAAGAGTACATGTTATGACTTTTCCGCTTTCACTGCTTCAGCATTAACCAGTGCCTTCATGAGTTCCCTGTTAGTTAAAAGAAATATAACTTTCCTTCAGATTTGTTTTTCTAATATGAATTCCCATCTTGTATTGCTAAATGTTTCAGACAATGGAAAAGCGTCTCAACTTCCTAATAGGTGTTTCTTTCTAGACCATATTATTCAGCACCTAAATGTAGCAATTCTTAGGATTTCAGAGATGTAAATGACAAATTTAAAACTTAGAGGAAAAAAAAAGAACTCAGAGCTCATAGATAATATTTCTCAGATGTTTGGTGGAACCAAACAGATGTATAAACTGACACATACTCCAGGGCATAGCATGTTCTTCAAATAGAAATCGAGGATTAGCAGTATTTCTTCATCTGCAAAATGGGATTAATAGTGTTTGCCACCTGTCATCTCACCAGGGTGTTGAGAGGAAAAATAAGTTCATTCAAGGAAAGTTCTCTGAGATATTTAGAAGGCAGCACATTAATGCAGACATCACTTTGTTTCATGGCAAAACAACTGAGATTCTGACTTCCCTGGAGGAGTAAGATCTTATTTCCAAAATGCATGCCTTTGAGAGAGAAAGTTTTAAGAAATAACATTCTATGAGCAATAATTCCATATCTGCCTAATCTAATGAGAGACAGGGAATGATAATTTACCCAGTAGGGAAATGTGCAATTGGAATACTTCTGGCAAATGTCTGGGTACATACATTCTTGTGCGCCCTTTCCTACCTCCAACTTCACCTCTTCCAGACTCCCCCTCCTTATGAAAAGATAAGGTTGAGTTTATTTTGTTATTACAGTTTTAAACATCAGAAATGGATATAAACTATAATTCTTGGTTTTAGACAAGAAGCAACACAGTCTTATCATATGTGAGTTAGAAGCATGCTCTGTGTTAGGAAACAGTTAGATGATATGGTTATATAAGCATGCTCTAGATTCAAATGTTCTGAGTTCAAATGTTGACTTTCAAGCACAGTTAGTTTATCTGACCTTGATTTCCTTGTATGTTAAATTATTACTTGCCTGTAACATTTAATGTGTCTGCCACATGTAATGATCACTCATTAAGTGTCCTGTTACATTTGCTGTCTTCTGAAAGGGCTCAGTAATAATCGTTGGCTCAATGGAGCACCTACTTTCATTCTCTGGAGCTGAAGTGGTTATAGGTCGATGGAAGAAGAAGTCTTACCTAATTATTCATTAAAATAAGTAAAAATAGGGGTTACCAATAGGCTATGAAATGGAAAGCTTGAGTTCCTAGGGTCTTTCTTTCACCAAACACTGAAGAGAGGTTAAATCATTTTAAGACTCTGCCTCCTCTTGACAAATAATAGGCAAAATCACCACCCTTCTCCATGAGCTAAGTAACATTGGTAAAGAGAAACAACATCAGAGAACGTACGTTGATTAGAGGAAGAGCATATAACCCCCTAACATAAGCATGAAACAGTTTTAAATATTAAAGCTCCAGCTCTTATTACCCTAATTTCCAAAGACAGGCAGTTAGTGTCAGTAGGATTATTTTTACTAACAGAAAGAAAACAAAGAGGGAAGAGCTTTTGATTAATATGTGAGTCCTCTGGGAAGTTGTTATCATAGAAGAATTTCTTTTCTCCACATGCACATGGGAGGTTCTACAAAATCCTTCTCATTACAACAGCAGTTTCCCATCCTAAAGAGAGCTGTGAAGAGCTGTACAACAGAAATGCAAAACAGAAGTGAAGAATGCATGATCCATGAAAATGTTGTTGATGAATTCTATGTAGTCAGGGCAGATGGCCTATAAGAACAGAACTTGGAGCAATTGCAGAGATTGAATATTTATCATACTTAGCATCTCTGAAATAGAAAGTGGTTTGTCTAATATTGACAACTAGGTGACGCTAACAACCAAGGTAATAAAAGAAGAAAATTAAGATTACAACCTGTGCAGAGACATGCACCAATACATCCTTGGCTGAATACTTAGCTAAAACATAGTGTGAAGATCTTGGATATTTAACAATAGAACATCAGGACATTTGTATCTGTGTAATATTTTTGAATGGTTATGTATTTCATAATGTTTTTGTTTCATATAGGACACATTGTACACACACGTGGGTATATGAATGTATGTGTTAGTAGTTGTCATTAAAAAGTTTTAATTCAGACATAATTAAAGAGAGGAAACCAAGTTGGTTGGACTGATTATGAGCACTATTGAAAAGCTAACTGAAAACAACAGGTAATGTTACCCATTGTAGGATGGTATCTGAATAGGAATTAATTCCTATGGAAGCATTAACTAATTGCAACAAATTGTTCTTGGTATATGTAAAAGTGGATTAATAAGTTAATAAAGGTAAGATTTTGCTAAATATAAAGAACTTTCTGTTTAATTTGTATCACAGTGGGGGAACCTGTCTTAAGAAATGATGTGTTCTTTCTCATGTAGAGATGTTTAAGTAGACATAGTATGGTAATTCGTCAGAGAAGATGCTGAAGGGGTCATGCACAGGGAAAAATATTATTTCAATCATTAAGAAATATGTATTTGGTGCTAACTATGAGAATGATATGTAGATTTCATGTTGCATGCGAACTCTAACCAAC
Source organism: Homo sapiens (assembly GCF_000001405.40). Classification (NCBI taxonomy): domain Eukaryota; kingdom Metazoa; phylum Chordata; class Mammalia; order Primates; family Hominidae; genus Homo; species Homo sapiens. Next base: position 163,701,260 of record NC_000001.11, on the reverse strand, counting down.
TTGCAGAAGCTTCCTGAGGCAACGTTGAGAGGCTAGCATGAACTCTATAGAAAAGACTGCTATAGCAGATTAGAAATAAATATCATAGAATCAGGAGTAAGGAGAAATAGATTACATTCTAAATTGTTGTATTTCTGACCTACCTGTTTCCAATCACTGTTAGATACTGGAAATACAATAGTAAATAGTGGAGGAATAGGCCCTGAAACATATAGGAAAATAAACATACCTCTGAGAATTTCTAATAATCAGATATTTCTAGGATTGCATTTGAAAGCTTTTATGTCCATAACCTCCAGTGAAGCTTGTAGTATAGGGCTAATTTGAAATAAATTTTCAAGTATGAAATAAATGAGCAAGAATGTTCGCTACAAATACAGAAAATTTCTGTGGGGTCATCAGGAGCTTTGCAATGCCATTTACTTCCTGAATGTCTGTGAATACCTTGTTGGCTAAGTCCCAACAGACAACGAGAACCCAGTGAGGAGGCCCTTAGGTCCTGGAATAGCTTTCTCTTTCCCATGATCAGTGGGTCAGCAACAGCCATCTCAGTTTTTCTGAAAAATTTTTGACAACAAGTCAAATGCATGAGATAAGAAGTAATGGTAACAAGTATCTGGGAGAAACGATCCTTCATTAACTTAAACACAGGGTTGGTGATAAAATGTCAGTTGAATACACAAGTCTTGATTAGAGAGCTCAAGCTGCCTGGCATGAAAATAACCCAGGACACCTACAAAGAAGTAACTGCCCTGGGAAGAGATGCACAGCCAGGTTTGCCCATGGAATGGATTCCCCAGAGGAAAATTATTAAGGCAAGAGATGTCAAAAAGGTAGCAGATCAAGTAAACCCTTGAGAGAGTTGGGAAATAAGTTGTCCAAAGCATTGACCGATGCCCTGGACTGTTAATGAGAGGCTGGAAAAACTTTCTGGCTATCTCCTTACCTGACTTTCCAGCAAAATGGAAAAAGTGGCAGAGAAGTTATTTCATATAAAGTGAGGCTTCCTCACATGTAGTTCTCCCAGTAAAAACTAAGAGGTACTCTCAAACCACCTGGGAAAGTGATATACTAAAGGTCTGGGAAGTCCTACAGGGAATCACAATAATGTGGGCAATTACTCAACACTTATTGATTGGATCCACTATAAACAACACTAGGTCAGGCATTAAAGTCAATTCCAAAAATATTTAAAAATATAATCCCTGTCTTCTATGAAATTCTAGATGAAAATATGAAATCTAGTTGAAAAGATAAAACCATCACTCAGTAATAGTTTAATGAGTGTAAGATATATTTTGATAAGGGCCAAATTTGTAAGGAAAAAATTAAAATGGGCCCTAAAGGTGGGGGATGAATTATTTAAGTAGAGGAAGGAGAAAAACAGCCTTCTTTCAGTATTATCAAAAGACAGAAATCAAGAGTCAAAATAAAGCTCCCATCATCCTAATAAGAACCCTATCTAATAATTGCGGTTCTCCATGTATAAATTTCATGTGTGTCATGGCATCCCCTTTAAATGTTAGTATCTTCACAGTTGTCAGTATATCTCTAAGTCTCTTACATTCTAGTCATAGCAATTTACTCTCAGAATACAACATAACATAATTCAATTCTGATTCCTCACTTCTTCTCAGCCTGGAATATCCTCCTCTCTCTCCACATACACACTCTTCTTTGTGAATCTTCTCTGATCTACCCTGTAGGAATTAACTGCTGTTTTATCTTCAATCCAACAACATGTTCCTTGTATTTTGTTTACTATTTGCTACATTCTACCTTATTTTATATTATATTACAAATAATTGTTTGAATGCCTAGATCCTCCACTGGAGGACATTCTTTCAGGAGAGTTGCATCACTTCTTACTAATTCTTGAAATTTTGTAGCCCCTGATATAGTCCTTTGCTGATATAAGGTGCTTATTTGTGCTTGTTAAATAGAGGACAGATTAACAATGCAACTAGGCACCAAACCAATTTCACTAATTGTCACACAAGCACTATTTGTATTTGTAAAGCACTGCTTTGTTACCTGTTCATGTGGAATAGAATATGATTTAGAGTGTAGTTCTGGAGCAGCCCGGCATGATAGGGCTCAAATCTTTGCTCAGTCACTTAAGAGATGTATGATCTTAGATAAGCTAATTAACATCACCATTTCAGTTTCTTCATTTGTGAAGTGGGATTAATATAACAGCACTTGCATCGTCATATTTTGTAGGCTTAATTATTTTAATTCACATAAAGCCCTTAGAATGCAGTGTCATTCACATAATAAACACTGAATAAATATTAGCTATTTACTATCAACCATCATTATCTAATTCTAATTTTACTTTGACTGGTAAGATTGTTGTATTAACTGTACTTAGTTGTAGGAGACATCATGGTTTGCCCATTCAATCCTTTATTACTCCACCTTATTATTTGGATGTCCATCCATCTCGTGAAGATACACACCTAGAAAAAGTTGAACTATCACAAGATCAATGGAAAATCCTGAATAGTTTAGGTCAAACATGGTTATTCCCTTCCCTGTGGTTTAAAGGTGGGCATATCCTGCAGTTCTGCAATGAGACAAATGGAGAGATAATCTGAGGGACTTCTGAACTAGGGTCTTTGCTTCCTTCCCTCGTCCTTCCTTTCTTTTTTCCTCCCTCTTTCTCGCTTTCTTTCTTTCTCTCAGCAACATGCCAGAAAAAACTGTTCCTCTTCTGCTGTGAATGCAATACACCAGCATCATTTTGTGGCCCTGAGTGTCACAGTCACACTGATGGTAAACACAATAATGATAGCAGAGCACACAGAAAGAGCTTGGACCCAAACTGATATTGTTGACTTGATTTGCTTGCCAAACTTCTGTAAATATAAGAAATATATATGGTAACATTTTTTAAAGTATAAATTTCTAGGTCCTACCCAGGCACCAAATCAGAATATCACAGGGAAGGGGCTGGAAAGCTGTGATTTTTAAGCAGTGAGTCTCAACATCAGTGAAGTTTGGAAACACTGGTTTAACACACTTTTCATTTGGTTTCCTATTACTGCAGTTAAAGGACCATCCATTATATTACAATTCCCTCAGTTCTATGCTTTAGAGTCCTATTATAGGACTACTGTAAAATTTCAGAGGGAATTACTCCTTGGAGTAGGGAATGAGTTAAATAATCTACCACATGCCAATTGCAGGGACTGTGGTTAAGATGTCCTCTCTTGCCCCCTTCCCAAGTTCTTAAATTCCTAGAACACATAGTTGTCTTCAGTGGGCCAGAGGAATCAAGGAATGTTTAAAGCAACCTCAAAAGGTAAGGTCAAGCGATTTCTTTCTTTTTAGGATTTGGGATATCTGACTCTGTTAGACCCACTCTTGGTACCTGCTATGGGCTGAATTGGGCTCCTCCAAAAACGCAGTATCTCAGACTGTATTTACAGATAGGTTCTCTGAAGAGCTAATTAAGTTAGGATGAGGTCATATGGGTAAGCCCTAATTAATTATGACCGATATCCTTATAAAACAAAGAGATTAGGATATAGAAACACACAGAAGGAAGACTATGTGGAGACACAGGGAACAGATGACCATCTTTAAGCCAAGGAAGGAGGCCTCAGATAAATCCAACCCTCCTGGCACCTTGATCTTAGACTGCTAGTCTCCAGCACTCTGACAAAATCAGTTTCTGCTATTTAAGCCACCTAGTCCACGATGCTTTGTTATGGAAGCCCTAGAAAGCTAGTACAGTGCCTTTCAGGCAAGAATGCTTGCAACATATCTTGCTGCATGCTCTGATATCTCCTGAATTACAGACAAAATGTGGCACCTTCCTTTTCAGTCTTGCTAAGGACTAAGTCCCTTTAAGAACTCTGCTTCTGCCCAAATCAGATCATTTCTGGGCATACTATTGCAGTCAGAATGAAAGAGTATATTTTGTTTTGTAATAGCATCACTGTTACTCAACTTGAAACTCTTTGAGGGTAGAAATAATACTTTTGCATAGCTCATTAAAACTCACTTCCGGGACAGGGATGGTGGCTCACATGTGTAATCCTGGCACTTTGGGATGCCAAGGCAGGTAGATCACTTAAGACCAGGAGTTCGAGGTCAGCCTGGCCAACAAGGGGAAATTCCATCTCTGCTAAAAATACAAAAAATTAGCCAGGCGTGGTGGAGTGTGCCTGTAATCCCAGCTATGTGGGAGGCTGAGGCACAAGAATCAATTGAGCCCAAGAGGTGGAGGTTGCAGTGAGTCCAGATTGCACCACTGCACTCCAGCATGAGGGACAGAAAGAGACTCTAGCCTCAAAAAAGTAAAAAAATTCACCTCCACATTCTTTCATGTTTTAATTGTCTGTTTTTGTGACTTTCCCCTCCACTGAGTCTATCTTCAGAATAAAACTGCCTTGCTCACCTTTGTTATTCCAGGACTTATAACAGTAATGTGCATATAATGGACACGCCAAAAATGGGAACCAAAGAAAGAATAGTGAAAAAGTGAGTGAATTAATGAATGAGGCTCAAGGAGCATGCAGTCCAGAGAAACAGTATACTCTTATGCACCAACTGGGCATTTGATAAATATGCCAACTAGCTGACTAGCAAACAGAGCAACTCTGTAAAGATAACAAATTACATCACTTTTCCCTGGCTAGATTGATTACATGTATTACCGCGGCTATTTCTTTCCTGCAACATTTTTCATTATAGGGAATATTAATGAGTTAACAAGGACCCTATCTTTGTTTATCTCCTTTCCCATTTTAACAAGTAATTCTGATGCTAAATGACAAATCTCTGGATTTATAATAGCCTGACCACTGTAAAAACAGTAGTATGGCACAACTTTTAAAAAATTCTCTGTATGGAAATAATTATTGGAATTACTTGGTAAAATCTGAAACCACATCAGTAACAAATACTATACATTTGTAGGTAGAAAGTGTTTACAGGTTTCTGGCCACAACTTTTTAATCTATCTGTATTTAGCCTTTAAAATGTGCAATGTAGTATGCTAATCATCTGTGGGGACAGAAAAAAAAATACATAAAATCTTGCTACCTTACCTCACGATACTTATCACTTGTCTGTGCTAGAAAGATACGTCCAGGTGAAAAGTTTAGATATCAGAATAATAATATAGATATTGTTAATGTCAAATTTGTTTAAGTTAATATGTAATAAGCTTGAATTAATTTGTATTACATACAATTTCCTTCAATATATTTTATTTCAGAGAATATGAACGAAATACATTTATGTGTGTGTCTATGTGTGCGCGTGTATGTGCACATACAAAAAATATTGTATCAGTATCAGTATAGGAAGATAAATGCCAAAATGTGACAGTGATTATCTTTGAATGGTTAAGATTCTGAATAATTTGGAAGTCTTCTTTATGTTTTACTGTATTATGTAAATTTTTACAATTGTATATACAATACCTTTGTTTAGATAAAAATATTGGGCCAGGAATTGCAACTACCACATGAAGAATAGAAAAGGTAAACGTTAAGACTTCAAAGGAAGAGAAGATAACTGGGGCTGGAATATTCAGGAAAGCATTGTGGAGGAGCTAGGCTACGAATGGTGGTAGAATTTGGGTAGCTGAAGATAATGGAGAAAACTCTCAGCCACACGTAAGTACCACCGTTCGATCAACACAAAGCAATCCCACAGGTCACTTTAGACCATGACAAACATGAGTCATAGGCCCCTCAAGAACTCTAACACTATTTTCCCAGAACACATGTCGTTAATCCCCTGCTTTTTTCTATTGCCATCTGGCCTCAAAATCTTGCTCTTGTCCCATGTTTGTAATTCTATAAATGGTTTTTGAACTTGGCTTTTGCGATTAGTTTTTCCTTTTTGGCTTCTGCTCTTTTTCAAGGGTATGGACTCACATGCTTCCCTTAACCCACATTAAGTAGCAAGTCTAACCACAATCAGCCCCTAGGACCCATAGCTCTCCTCTAGTGCTAGCTAGCCCTACAGTGGGGTCCAGACACAGGAAATGGAATGACCAAGTTTGTAATATATAAGGTGTGTTTAGAAATCGGTGTCAGAATTCAGAGGTAGGGTACATCTAGGAAAATTGAGGACAAAAGCAGATTCACACCGTGAAAGACCTGAAAAGCCAGTGTATTTGTTTCTTGTTGCTACTATAACTAATGACCACAAATGTAATAGCTGAAAACAACACAGGCTTGTTCTATAGGTCACAAGTCTGATATGGATGGGCTAAAATAAAGGTATTAGCAGGTTGTGTTTCTTTTGGGATCTCTAAACAAGATCTATTTCCTTGCCTTTCCATCTTCTAAAGACTGCCCACATTCCTTGGCTCATGGCCCCCTTAAATCTTTAAAGCCAGTGATGACCAGTAGAGTCCCATATTACATAACTCTGATTGACTTTTCTTTTGCCATTCTCTTTCACTTTTAAAGACCTTTGTATTACACTGGGCCCACTCAGGTAATCTGGGATTACCTGAGTAATTGTAATTTTAATTTAATTAAAGTAAATTTAATTTTTTAATTTTCAAATAGGAAAATTAAAAACTTTAATTCTATCTGCTCCCTTAATTCTCCCTTGCCATGTAATATAACATACCCACAGATTCCAGGGATTAGGATGTGGACATATTTGGGCATTATTCTTCCTACCACAGGTGGATTAAAGATGTGATATTGTCCTCTAAATAACAAGGAAAATATTTAAAAGTATAAATAAGTGACAATGTAAAAGGAAAATTAAGGTACATAAAATGCAGTTTAGCTTATTTTATTACCAGAAAGTTAAATATTGCCTCTTTAAATGATTAAGCTCTAACTCATATCATCAGAAGATCCATGCCCACTTTTTGCAACTCTGTTTTAACAAAGGAAATTGGGGTCATAGAGATCTAAAAGTGGCAAGCTGCACACTAGGTTGACTAAAACTTAAAGCTACAGAATTATCTGATGAGGACAATGCTCTTCTGTTTTTAACCTCCCAGGCTCAAATATTCTGTGTCTATACACAGAATGATGCTTTCATCTGTAGCAGATGGTGGTAGATTTGACTCAACTTATCTCAATTCTCCATCATACTATTTCTCTCCATCTTCCCATGACTTTCTGCCACCCCCCAAAATTAATTTCAGACAGGCCTTTGTGCTTTGGCTGACATTCAAAACTGTCACCTCCACGTACACATTAACTCCAAGGCCTCTGTCATTCCTCACATTAAAATTCTATCACCAGGAGTCAGCACAGCTTGACTCAGCAAGCTAAGGGGCTGGTTCTGGGCAAGATGCAGTGACAGCAGGCTTCATGTGTGACAACCCCGGTCAATTTGACAGCAATAAGACACCCTCCTTAGAACCAGTTGCAGCTCTTGTTGACCCAAGTGGGAAGGTTATCCTTCTGAGCGATTCTCTTTCCTTCCCATGAGAAAGAAAGGCCAGGGGTTACAAGACAAAGGTTATGAATATTTTATAGTTAAATAAACACAACAGTGAAGAATAATTAATACACTCCAGAATCTAGGTTTACATACTAATTGTGAAGGATAACCATTTGTTGACATTAAGAGCAACTCTTTAAAATGACAGCCCAAGAAATTATACCCACAGTGTAGGCAATAGGCTATTGGCAATTCTGTGTAGAATCCTTGTACGAAAACTGATTTTGAAGTCCACCCAGGGAGTCTTCCTCAATTTATAAATGAGGTTGAAAGGTAAAGTGTTTTCCCAGTGGTCGCACTATTAATCACCACCAAAGCAACTTGTTTTCCCAATCCTCTGCATGCCTGCTCTTTCTCAAGCAGTCCCCCATTTCAATGGGTTGTACAGAAAGTGTCATTATCTGTGATTGGGGAAAAAAGTTAATGATGATAATAGTTTAAGCATTATTCACTCACTCACCTTTTCAGACTAAGCTAAAACACCCACAATTTTAAACATGACACAAAACAAAAGCATTCATTTCAAAATTTACTTCCTCTATGAAGACTTTTATGATCTCTTCCCATGCCCCAGAAGACGCAAGTGTCTCACTCCTATGTGCCATCACTGTAGTCTTTTTTCTTGATTCAATTCAATTTTGTCACATGTAAAACACGTAATTTAAAAGTCAAAACCACATAAACGTATACTCAGACTTTTCTATCTTTGTCTCCTTACCCGCATTCCTCCTGCCTCCTACAGGGAATTATTTCTGTCCATCTCTGTTTTATTCTTGCCCACTATAGTTTTTGGATACCTCGATCATAAAAGCTGTACTCTTTAGGTACTGATACAGAAGGGCTGGGCTCCCAGCTAAATCCCACCCTTAAGCCTGGAACTGCGGCCTTAAATGAAAACAGCTTACCCCGCTTTTCCACCCAAGTGTTGCCTTTTTGGCCTGCTCTACCCCTACCCTGTGCCCATAAACGACTCCAGCTGGCGGAGCAATACAAGCAGCTGAGCATCAAGGATACAAGTGGCTGAACGGTAAGCAGAGAAGCAACTGAGCTTCAGAGACTACAGAAAGAAGAGGCTAATTGCAGATGGTGTGGCTTCTGAGAGGGGCCCAGCCAGAGACGGCCTGGCTTCAGGGAAAGAACATCTTCCCATCCCCTTTCCAGCCTCCCTTTCAGCTGAGAGCCACCCGCCGCTCAATAAAGTCTTCTGCATTCATCACCTTTCATGTGTGACCTGATTCTTCCTGGATGCTGGACAAGAACCCGGGTGCCGACAGGGCAGGGGCTTGCCACCCTGACCCTCCACTGAACTGGTTGGTTGGCACTTAGCCGTCCCCAGACAGCAGGGCTTGAAAGAACATGGCTGTAACACACCTGAATGCTGCTGTGGGGCCCGCACAGAGCCTGCTCCCCCGAGAGAGGAGTGACTGCTGGTTCCAATGTTCGTTGCCTCCGGTTCCCACACTCGCTGCCTGCTGCGAGGAGTGACCAGTTGGCGGGCTGAGTGAAATGAGCCACTCCATTTCCCGCCCGCAAGGGGATTCAAGGGAACTATCCCCATCTCAGTACCTTATGAGAGGTACGTTTTTCTCTCCCATGAGATTGAAAATTTCCTGGTAGTGGGAAGAACATTTTCTTCGTCATTAAAATGATAGTGCCTACAACAAGTTTCGAACACACAAGATCTCATTAAATGTTTATAGTCTGTTGAATGAAACCACCTGAGGATTGTTGCCTCCATAGGCACAAACACATCCTGTTCAATTGGCTGAGTTTTCATTCTTAAGTGACTGTCACACCAAAACATCATAATATCTGTCATTTAGGAGGAAAGTGGGAGAGAAAGACTCAAGAGGAAAGGAAATTGGGCTTAAACTCAGCAGAAATGGAGTTGCGTTCTGCCTTTTTGAGGAATGAGTGTGAACTTAGGCCAAAGCACTGAAAATCCCTGAACCTGTTTCACCGTTTGTAAAATTTGGTTGGTAATAAAGCACACATCACCAAAGGTTTGTGAAAATTAAATTAGATAATCTATAAAAAGAAGCTCTAAACTTTATTCCCACATTAAGAATGGTTAAACATTATTCTGTTTTTTACATAATAGGCATGCTGAATTTGTTGAGATCAAGTATGGGTTGCTTTGAACTCTTTCACCTGATGCAATACTCGTCAATGGTAAGAAAAGGTTACCTATAAAAAACTGTCCCCAGAGCCGTCTCTAGCTGCCTTTTAACTTGATTTTGTCTTTCATAGAGATTTTGAGCAGAAGACATTACAAAATCACCATTGAAGGGGAGATGGGGGTAGAGAGCAATGTAAAGGAGAAGGAAGTGGGAGGTAAGGAAAAAAAATCACCAAGTTCAAGTACTGTTATCCCAGACCTGATTTCCTTCAGATCCTGTTCACAGCCATCCCAGATTTCTGGCACTTAATACCACTAAAGTTGCTTTTGGAATGTCTGATACCATTCCAAACTTGGTGTATCAGCAGAAGACTAGCCAGATATACAAATAAGTCATAAAGACAATGTTTAAGAGAGACTTCAGTATAAGATAGAGAAAGCAGGTGTAAACTTCAGTAATTCCATTTCAACAAGAAAATCTGCTCTGGTACATGGTAGCTAGTTGCCAAGAGAGGGTCACCATAAAAGCCATGAAAGCAGTGAGAAGGTTTCTCTTTTTACAATAACAACTATTTCTTTAACACTTCAAAATTCACAAAGAAATTTCACATGCATTATCTCATTTGCACCTTTATGCAATCTTGTATATATTAATTTTACCCAGCGTTGCAGGTCGGAAAGCTTAAGGGATTTAAAGAAGCTCATATAACCTTAAGTTGTAGAACCAGGATTCGAATGCAGCCTTTTTGACACTAATTTGAAGCTTTAAATCCAGAGCTGCAGTGACAAGGACTAGCAGACCCAATTGTCTGGTGATGCTTACTTCTCTCTGCCTCATTGTGGATATAGCCTCCTCCCTTTAGGTTTTGTGCTCTGCTGCATCCATTGCCTGGAACCCCCTACCTCACCTTTTTGGCCTGTATGAATCCTGACTAGTCCAAGACCACTTTTTAAAAAATATTATGACTTTTAAAAAATTTATGGCCTGGCGCGGTGGCTCACGCCTGTAATCCCAGCACTTTGGGAGGCTGAAGTGGGTGGATCACGAGGTCAGGAGATCAAGACCATCCTGGCTAACGCGGTTAAACACCATCTCCACTAAACATACAAAAAATTATCCTGGCATGTTGGTGGGTGCCTGTAGTCCCAGCTACTCAGGAGGCTGAGGCAGGAGAATGGCGTGAACCTGGGAGGCGCAGCTTGCAGTGAGCCAAGATCGCACCACTGCACTCCAGCCTGGGCAACAGAGTGAGACTCCGTCTCAAAAAAAAAAAAAAAGAAAAAATTACAAGTTTTCAGAGCAGTTTATCTTTACAGAAAAAACTCATCAGAACACACAGAGAGTTTGTACATATTCCCTTCGCACCCTTTTCCTATTATTTATATCTTGTATTAATGTACTACATTTGTTAAAATTGATGAATCAACATTGATGCGTTATTAGAAACTAAAATACATGGTTTACAATAGTGTTCAATCAATACAACATACCATAGCATTGTACATTCCATAGGTTTTGACAAATGTAAAATGACATACGCCCATCATTACTGTGTCACATAGAATAGATTCATTGTCCTAAAATTACCCCAAGCTTCACCTGTTTGTCCCTCCCTCCTATCCCCTTAACCCCCAGAAACCACTGATCCTTTTAGTCTCAATAGTTTTGCCTTTTCCTTTGTCATGTAGTTGAACTTATACAGTATGTAATCTTGACAGATTGGCTTCTTTCACTTAGAAATATGTTTTTATGTTTTCTTCTTATCTTTTCATGGCTTAACAGCTCACTTCTTTTTAGCATTGGACAATGTTCCATTGTACCACAGTTTGTTTAGCCAGTCACCTATTGAAGGGCTAATTAATTGTTTACTGATTTGGGCAATTATGAATAAAGGTGTTATAAAACTTCACGTACAGGGTTTTATGTGAACATAAATTTTCAATTCCTTTAGGTATATACCAAGAAGCATGATTACCGCATTGTATGATAAGAATAAGTTTCGTTGCATAAGAAACTGCCAAACTGTCTTCCAAAATGGCTATACCATTTTGCATTCCCACCATCAAAGAATGAGAGTCCTGCTGTTCTGCATCCTCACCAGCATTTGGTGTTGTTAATGTTATGAATTTGATCATTCTAACCTGTGTGTAGAGGTATCTCGTTGTTTCAATCTGCATTTCTCTAATGACATATGACCTTGAACATTTCTCCATTTGCTCATTTTTTATCTGTACATCTTTGATGAAGTGTTTATTCAGATCATGTACTATTTTTTTAAAAATTGAGTTGTTTGTTTTCTTATTAGGGCCAAGGCCACCTTTTCTTTGGAATTTATCCTGGCCATCCCAGCACTCCCTGTGGCTCATGTGGCCCGTATACCAGTTAGTGCTCAAGTGTTACTGAGTTCACTGTTACCTTACTTGTCATGCCTGGTCTGATTTCCCTAACTTGCTGATAAGCTTCTGCAAGGAAGGGATCACTTTTGTACATCCTTGAAGTAACCATAATATCTAACAGCATGTTTTGTAGAGAGTAGGCTCTCAGAATTTATTTTTAACTAACCAAAAGTTAATGGCCAGGAAAGCAATTCATTTAAAACCAAGACTGTCTCTTTAATCAGAAGGGAGGGAGTTAAGTAGAATAAATGAGGAATCAGGATATTTGTGGTTTAGTTGGGACTCTGAGACGAACTTATTTTCTGACCTTCAGTTTTTTTTTTTGTTTTTTTGTAAAATATCTAGTATCAAGGGCCAATATTATATGGCTATCAAATCACTTTGGAAGTTTGTGAAAAGAGAACTCACTTCTATCATCTAAAAATGTTATATCTTTATCATTTCATCCCCAACTCAAAGAAGGCAGAAGCAAGATTAAAGTTTGTGCCTAACTATATTCAAGGACCATAAATTTGCTGGAGTTAGGACTCCAAACAGTTCGACCACCTCTTAATTAACAAGATGTCTTTATTAAGCAGAATATCTTGTGTTTAATAGAGGCTGGTAGAGAATAGAGGGTTGGAGGCAACATTATAGACATAAAACAGAAGACTTAAATAGAGTCCACTCTGGTAGTATGCTAGGTCCAAGCAACCAATAATCCTATTCATTCATTCAACTGACTTATTTATTTATTCATTTACTTATTTATTTACTCTGTAAATAAAAAAGTAAAACTCAGTGTTCTTTGTATTTAAGTGGGTATGCTCATGTGAAAAATGAAAATCACCAGTCTGCAAATTGGGCTTTGTGAGGTCTTAAGGTGAGCCTCAGCCAATGAATTCCAGATGTCTGTCTTCGCAATTTCTTTGGGTGAGGAAGGATTCTGGTAGTCAAGACAAAACCCAAGAGAATAGTACAGCTAAGATAAAGGCTGTGCCAAGGACCTTTTCTGCTATTGGTTACTTAAATTGTCCAGAGAGTTCATTTTATAAGAATACTTAATGTACCAAAGCCTTTAGATAGTTGTGAATTATAAAATACGGGAGTAGGGAGAGATGGAAGGAGTAGAGAAAAACTAAAAACAAATCGACAGATTCCAAGTGGTACAAAATTTCTTCAACCTTCTAGTCTGTTTCAACACATGAAGTAAATTGGTAGGTAGCTTCGGCAATCTCTTACGCATGGAGAGGCCAGAATGAACTCAGAAACCATGATTCTGCCTAAGCTCCTCCATTAGTGTGTGGCCATGGTTATGCCATTGTATAGTATGGAGTCTGAGCTAACCTCTGGGTAAGAAGGCTGTTAAGTCTCCTATTTCTATCTCAAGACTGCTGAGAGAAATCAAATATTATTTATATTCAAGTGTATTAATTCAATAAAAGTATATAAAATATGAGCCATTATCACTATTAGCACTGGAAATTGATCTTAGAATCTGGAATCCTATTAATAATTAATTTGTTTATAAGGTTAACCTTAGAAATTCCAACTAATATAAAAGCAGACACTATTCATTTTTATTGTTGTTAAAGGAATAACAAATAGCTTATTCAACTTTTTAAAACAATGTTCTTGTCTCTCAATATTTTGATTATGTTTTTGTACCAAGTTAATGGAAAGTTTTAACTTTATTTCAGTGTAATTTCGAACTATTTAATTGAGAATAAATATGTTAAATGTAAAACCATAATAATTTTTGGAAGGCAAAAATGCACTATGATGCATTTAATAACCTGAAAAATATTTCAGATACCTAAAATGCATTCCAGGCATGAAAATATGTGCATTAAAATTTTAAATCAGTTGCCTTGATGTCCAGGGTTAGGTGGGTACCTCTTTTCATCCTTCACTAGGTTCTTTGGACCCTCAAAATGGGATTACTTATACTTTGTTTATTCCATAATGTATCTACATGGTAAATGTTAATAGTGCAGAGAATGTTTTACATTTAACATCATTTTTCTCAATTAAATATATTGGGATTACCCTTGATTGTAGGAAGCACAGATTGCCATGTGTGTTATTCAGCTTTCTCTAGGCTAAAATGCAGGAACAAACAATTCTCAAATTTCAGTGAGTTTCAACAACAAAGGCCTGTTTCTAATGCAGGTTACATTTTGGTGGCAGCTTTGTTCCTCTTCCATGTGTCTTGTTTATTCCAGTATCTAGAGAGGAGCCTCTCCAAACTCAAGGCCAAGGGAAAGGGCAAGAAGATAAGCTAGAACTTTCTAATGACTTTAAAACTCACATTTCCTTGACCAACACAAGTCCTTAGGCCAATCCTGGTGTCAATAGGAGAAAAACAACTTCTCCAGGAAGGCACTTTGTCCCATGGCAAAAGATAGAGACGTACAAGCCCCCTATAGGGAAGGAGAAGAAATAATTGAGAACAATAATACAATTTGCCATACCACCTCTCATATTTTTTAGAAAGATATTTGTCCTTTGATACAGGAGAGATCATAGTTAGCATCTCTCCCTTCTTCCCTCTACCTCTTTCCTTCTCTTGTTCTCTACCTCTCTCACTCTCTTGTTTTCTGTGTCCAAGTACCCAGCTATTGCCCTAAATGATTCATCCTTTCTTCTGAAATGTAGGTGAGGCTGTACCTATGCAAGGGTAGCCAAAGTTGGATACAATTGTGTGGTATTGAGTGGAAGACAGGGACAAACGTTGGTTTGAATATATATTCATCACAGAATTACAGTTCTCTGTGTCTGTAAACATAGAACAAATCCAAAGAGACTAGATCAAGACTTTTCACATTTAATGTTTACAGGAATCACTTGAAGACCTTATTACAGATTCTGATTCCGTAGAACTGAGGGGAAGCCAAGGATTTTACATTTCATAGAAGATTCCTGGTGTGTTGATGCTTCTGGCCCAGGGACTACACTTTGAGTAGCAATGGCCAAGATGACCTCAGAACTTCTTTCAAACCCTGCTACACTCTGAAGTCATTTCTATTCATTTCCCCCATTACATGGCTTAAATAGAGGTACATATACATTGTACGTAATATAAGTAGGCTAAACTTTTATTAAATTGTTTCTTAAGGAAAGAGGGAGAGTTGTACCATCTTTGTGTCCCTAACCCACAGTGTTCTGCCATATGAATAACTGATACTACATGGCAATGGATAAATGAATTACTAAGCCATGGAGGCTAAGGAAAAGACTGCAGAGTAAGACAATGAAAACTTCATGAATATCAAAGTAAACATTCTTCCGGAAGAGTTGGCCTTGCTCCCTTTGCAGACTCTGTGCCCATTGGAATAGTATGTTTTTTGCTAAACCTTTGCTTACACTTCAATGCACATCCTTGCCTCAGGGACATCCCATGATTAAGATTTAGTATCTTAATCTTGGGAATGGGCTTCATTTACGAGGAAGGCAAGGCTATTCAATTCCAATTAACTGCACAGTTCTGTGTAAAAAACAACCTTAAACTTTTAGACTATTTAAAGAATAGCAGAAGCCCCCACCCTTTCTTTTTCATAAAACAAAATTGTCCTGACATGGCTTTCCTGTTCTTTTGAGTCAATAGGCTCAAATGACTTAAAAATAGGTGATGGTTTTACATTTATCATTTGAACAAACATGGGAAATACAGAAATAATTGCTATGGAATTCCGGCTATAATTTTTCCATCCCTACAATTGGCAAGGTGGTTCTTAGGGAACAGTAGACTACATAAATGCACACACTGGGGATGTGCTAGCATCTAGCCTCCTAAGACGTAATGTCATCTGAGGCTAATCTCACTCGGAGGGCACACTAGTGATTTCAAAAATGCTGCATAGGAACACAATGATGTGTACTAGCTCAGTGAAATGCTCTCTCCTGGGGACACCAAATGATTCTAAGATACTCTCAGGACTTCATTTTCACTTATACAATCTTTTTCCTATTCCTATTGTGTGCTGGGGAGAGTTAGGAAGCTGAAGATTAAGGGGTAAACCAGTATGGAGAAAGAAAGGGTACTGAAAAGACCACTGAACTAGAAAATTTGGAGATGTAGGTTGTAATTTCACATATACCACTAATTAGCTGTGACTTGGGCAATATATACAACATGACAAGCCTCAGTTTCCTTATCTGTAAAACAAGAGGATTACAGGCATTTTCTAAGGACCTTTCCAATATTATCCTTCTAAGAGGAAAAACAGTAACAATATCAGATGATTTCATTGATAGTTACATGGAAAGCTGTAATGTGTAAGCGTTTAGGCTGCATAACATATGCAGGATGGTCCATGTGCATACAGAGATGAACTAAACAGGGAGAAAAAAAAGAGAGCCTTGTCACAAAGAGAGATTGGAACTGGAAGTCAGAAGGCCCATTTTTTTAATTTATTCATCATTCATTCATATAACATACATTTATTCAGAAATAGCCACTGAGAGCCAACTGTTTGCAGTCACTACACTTGGGACTGTAATATGACAGTAAAGAGACAGACTTTTCTGCCCTTTTGGAATTCATATTCTCCTGGGAAAGACAGGTAACAAATAAAGAAAGAAAGAAACAGGATAATTGAAGATTGCTATAAATGTCACGGAGGAAATAAATGTGGTACAGAATCCCCAAGTAGCAAAGGGGCTTGATGTGTTCAAGAAAGAGAAAAGGAGCCAGTGTGTTTAAGAAGGCACTGAGCGAGAGAGAGAATATAGGAGATAAAGTTGCAGTGAAATAAGGCTCAGGTCATTCAAGGCCTTAGCGGTCATAGCAAAGATTTTAGATTTTAAAAGCCAAGGGAAATCATTGAAGGGTTCTAGGAAGAAAAGTGACATCTTAATTTAGATCAATCTTTCTGGCTTTTGTGTGGCAAAAGAAGGGGATATTGGACACAGGAAAAAGAATCACTATGGACTCCTGGATTTTTGTTTATTCTTTTACAATCAGAGCCAATTAGAGTCACTTTCATTTTTATGTTCACATTTTCCTAAATATGGCCTAGGGTGAGGAGTAGTGAGGGGACGTGCCAAAAGGAGTGTTGTGACTTTGGATAGGGGCCATTTTCAGTGCCATTTCTCTTTCCCTGCACCCCAAAACAAAATGTTCACTTTATAAATTCCCTGATCCAGACCCAGAATCAGCTCTCTCGTCAGGATCCCAGCTTCCATTGAGTAGGAATGATATCAAAAACTAAAATTTGGGCCCTGAGTGCACTCACTGCTATCAAGTCATTGTTTCCAGGTCATTTTACTAAAATTTCCATATATTCAGAAAGGCTTCTCCTATTTCCAAACTATAAATAAATTTACTCATATTTTCTGATACTTTTTATAATTTTTTTCCATTTTAGATATCTGATTAATGTGGAATTTTTTCTGACATTGTGATATTTGTCAATTTTATCTTTTACTAAATGGCTATCTAGTTTTCTCAACATTGTTTCTTAATAGGTCGTGTTTCCCCAATGATTAAATATGCTGCCTTTATCATTTGCCAAATTTCAACAATCTATTTATGTACTTTATTGTTTCATTGCTCAGTCTGTCTATCCATGTGCCATGCTATGTTTATTTTAGAGCGTTTAGAATATGTTGTAGTATTTGTTAGGGATAGCCCCCCATCATTGAGCATTTTTTGCATGGTATTCTAACTTCTCCATATCCCTGCCAACACTTGTTATTTTCTGTTTTGTTTTGTTTTGTTTTTATAGTAGCCATCCAAATGGATGTGAACTGATATCTCATTGTGGTTTTGGTTTGCATTTATCTGATGATTAGGGATATCTAGCATTTTCACATATGCTTATTGGACATTTGCATATCATCTTTGAAGAAATGTATATTCAAGTCCTTCACTCATTTTTAGAGTAATTTGATTTTTTGTTGTTGTTGAGTTATAGTAGTTCTTTATATATGTTAGATATTAACCCCTCAGCTGATACATGATTTGCAAATATTTTCTCCTATTCTGTAGGCCACCTTTCACTCAATTGATTGTGTCCTTTGATGAACAAAAGTTTTAAATTTGACATAGTCCCTTTTGTCTATTTTTTCTTTTGTTACCTGTGCTTTTGGTGTTATGTATGAAAATCATGGGCAAATCTAATATCATGAAGATTTTTTTCATATGTCTTCTGGGAGTTTTACATTTTTGGATTTTACATTTAAGCCTTTAATATATTTGAGTTAATTTTTGTATATGGTATAAAATAAGGCTCCAAATTCATTATTTTGCATGTGCATATCCAGTTTTCCGAATACCATTTGTTGAAGAGACTCTTTCCCATTGACTGATCTTGGCACCCTCATTTAGGTTTGTTTCTGGACTCTATTCTATTTCATTAATCTATATGTCTGCCTTCACACGAGTATCATACTATTTTGACTGTAATAGCTTTGTAATGTTTTCAAATCAGGAAGCATAAATCCTTCAACTTTGTTTTACTTTTTCAAGATTATTTTAGCTATTCAAGGTTTCCTGAGATCCCATGTTCATTATAGGATGATTTTTTGCTATTTCTGCAAAAAAAAGACACTTGAGATTTTGATGTGGATTGTGTTGAATCTATAAATTGTTTTAGTTAGTATTGATTTCTTAGCAATATTAAGTCTTCCAGTCCATAAACATAGGATGTCTTTCCATTTGTGTCTTCTTTAATTTCTTTCAGCAGTGCTTTGTGGTTTTCAATGTATAAGTTTTTCACATCCTTGGTTAAGTTTATTCCTAAGCATTTTAAGCATTTTTTGAGGCTGTTGTAAATTATTTCTTAATTTCTTTTTTAGATGATAGTTCATAGTTATTGTATGAAAAGACAACTACTTTATGTGTTGATTATATCCTACAGCTATGCTGAATTCATCTTTTGTTCTAATAGTTTTTCTCTGAGTGTGGGATCTTTAGGGTTTTCTACATATAAGGTCATTTTATGTGTGAGTAGAGATAATTTTACTTCTTCCTTTCCAATTTGAATGCTTTTATTTTTCTTGCCTAATTGTTTTGCCTAGAACTTTTGGTATTATATTGAATAGAAATGGTGAAAGTGGGCATCCTTGTCTTGCTCCTGATCTTAGGTATAAAGCTTTCAGTGTTTCACCATTGAGGATAATATTAGTTGTGGACTTTTTATATATCATTGCAGCTTTTTTCACCCCTTGTGGTTCATCACGCAGGAGTGTTACAGCTCTTTTTCTCCCACAGCCCACAGTTCAGCAAGCAGGAGCATTACAGCTCTTTTGCTCCCACAGTTTGATGAGTTCTGGGTATTGTCTCATGACCAAGAGGAATAAGGTACACAGACACCAGAGAAGCGGGTAAGGCAGAGTAGAATTTATTGAGTGAAAGAAAAGCTCTCAACAGCAAGAGGGACCCCAAAATGGGTAGCTGTCTGTGAGGCTGAGTTTGGGGGTTTTATGGGCTTAGAATGGGGAAACACATGTGGATTGGTTTATGGGTAGGCTTGGAAAAGGCACCATTTGATTTGTTAAAAGGTAGCATTTAGAATGAGCCAATAGAGAGAGAGTGGCAAAATGGGGATGGAAGTTCTCACTCCAGTCCATGGATTCTATCAGAACTGGTAGGTTGGTTTTCAGGCTTCAGAGTTTCCTTGGCTTGAAGGTTGAGTTTCACTAAGGACCCATCACTGTCTGTCTAGGAATTTGTCTGTCTCCTGTCACTATCAATATGGCTTTTATAACATTGAAATAGTTTCCTTTAATTCCTACTTTGTTGACTGTTTTTATCTTAAAATGTGTCGAATTTTGTCAAATGTTTTCTCTGCATCAATTCAGATGATCATATATTGTTGTCCTTAATTCTGTTAATGTGATATAATGAAGAATATTGATTTTTATACATTATTTTAATATTCTGCAACTGTACTAAAATTTTATTAGTTGTGTTATATTTCTATAGATGTTCATGGGTTTTCAAGACATACAGCCATATCATATTATCTTCAAATAGAAGTATTTTTAACATAACTTTTCTAATTCTTCTGTCTCTAATTTTGTACTTTTGTCAGAATCTGTGTCCTAAAATCTCCAGTTCTATATTGAAGGATAGTGAAGTGGCATTCTTGCCTGGGGCTAGACTTCAGAAAGAATAAGTTAAGTATTTTTCCATTAAATATATACCAACTTTTGGGTAAGATATAAATCTTTTATCATATTGAAAAATATCCACTGGTTACTTTTATTATGTGTTTCCATTGGAAATGTGAATTAAGTTTTGCAAATGTTTTTTCAGCATGCATGAACATATAGCTTTTCTCCACAGGTCTAGTATATTTGCAGATTTTTAATTCTTGATTTATCCTGCCTTTCTTATATAAACTCTCTTTTGTCCTAATGAATTATTATTTTGCTAATATGCTGTTTGGCAGTGTTAATATTTATTTTAGACTATTGCATCAACATTTGTAAGTGAAAATAGTCTTTAGGTTTGAGGAAAAAAATATTTTTTACATCAAGTTTTGTTGTTAATGTTCATTGTTTTTGTCAGAAACGTTTGGAAGATCATTTTTCTATGTTCTTATACAAATAGGATGACATGGATTTGGAAGTTTCTGTAGAATTCCCCTGTGAAATCATCTTGACCTTCTGATTTTTTTGAGAGTGAGAAGTAACAGTTGACTTTCTCTATTTCTTCTATAGTACTTGGTCTGTTTTCTTTATTGGAATCAGTTTTGACAAATTATGTTTTTCTACAAAATTATTCACTTTTTCATTACTTAAATCTTCTCTGTTTCAATGGTTATTTTTCTTTGTCATTTTTTATCTTGTATATTTGTGTTCTTTCCTCTTATCCCCTTCCCATATACAATCTTACCTTTTTGATTAGATTAGCTAGTGATTGTCTATTTTGTTTATTTTTTAAACCAATATTTATTTATGGTATAGCTATTTTTCTTTTTCTACTTCATTAGTTTCTGTTTGTATTCTGATTTCTCTCCTTTGTTCTCTTTATTTTGTTTTCCAAATTTATTGTCATTGTCCATTTTTATTGACATATATATTTAATACTGAGATAGGATAGTTCCCTTGACCCCCTTTGGAGTAACTTATTTCACTCAGTCCGCCACTGGCCACTCCTCACAGGTTTAGCTGGGAGCCCAGCCCTTCTATATCACTACCATAAGTTTTTTCTGATCACTGCTTTAATTGCATGATTAAAGATATGTGATTCTGAATCACAGTTTTTTATCATTGTTTTTTACAATATCTGTGATATTGGTTTGCATTTCCTCATTTGAGTCCAGTTTTTTCATAATAATCACAGAATTTTATATTTTATTAGCACTTTTAAGAATACATTTTTATAATTTATTTATAATTCACCACTAACATGTGGTGAATTGGTAAATTTTTATAAATGTCCAATATGCATGAGAGAATATTCTCTATTAAGAGAGTGAAAATAAATCCATCTTATTTACTTGTTGTTTGTGTCTTCTCTATCCTTATTTATTTTTTATCCACATTATCTTTCTCAGGCTGAGCATGGCATGTCAAGTCACCTGATGTTTGTGTGCTTCTGTCTCTGCATTTCTTCTAGTTTCTGCTTTAGGAAGGTGGCTGAGAGGGGAAAGTTTCTATCTTGTCTTTGCTTTGAATTGTGGCCTTTGCCTTTATAAAGTTTCTTCTTTGTGTTGTTTATCCCTTTTCTGTTCTGAGTTCTAACTTGTTAGACATCAAGATCATAACCCCCAATTTCGTTTTGTTTGCATTTGCTGGTACATTTTTCTCAGTTCTTATTTTCGGACCTTCTTCACTTCTTTGTTTTAGGTGCATCTAGTGTACACTGTGCAGAGCTGATTTTGCTTTGTGAGCCAATTTAAAAATATTTTCCTTTTAATATGTGAGTTATACTCATTTACATTCATGACCATGACTGATATGTTTCATTTCAGTTCTATCAGTTATTTTACTGTGTACATTGTACAGTTTCACTGTACAGTGACTTGCACCATATGATCTCCCTTTCTCTTTTTTATTTTTTAAACCTTTAAATTGCTTTTGTTTATTTGCTTTGTTTTGGCTACCTTTGTTACATAACAGTTTGTATTCATGACGCAGCTGTTACCTTTACTAAAGCCTCTATATAATGACTAGAGTCTCTCTTTTTCTTATCTAATTTTGAATATTCTACCTAACAGCTTTAAGTGACGTTTTCTGATTCTATCCTTCCTCATTCTCCTTTCTTCTCTGCTTTCCCCACCTAACCCTCTATTCTGCTCTGGAGTAAGTTTTGGAGCCAACTCAATGAACATAAGTAGCTTATTTTCCCAATTAGTTATAAATTAAGATTTGTGAAGTTCTTTGTTTTTACATTATATTGCAAGTCATGATAGGCATGATTTTATTTGCTCTCCTTGTTCATCTGTAACTTTTTTTGAGGATATGTGCAGAGATTATAACTTAGGCTGCTATCATTGTCTTATGGACCTGGAAACTTCTCATAGATTTTCATGAAAATAAGTTAATCTTTGTGAAAGTAAAGACCACTATTATTCTTTGCTGAAAAGACTCTAGGGATTTCTTTTCTTGCATTTGGAGGCAACACATTTTTCTAATTACTGTATATTAACTCTTTTCTATAATGTATTGTGACCCCTTTAGCTTCCTATCATGCCTTTTGTTCTGATATATAGAAACCTTTTGTCTTGATAGGTAGAAAGGTAGAGGAACTTGAGGGGACTGAGACATCTCAGTAGGCTTCCCTAAAGAAAGGAAGAAAGGAAGGAGCTGGAACAGAAAACACCTAAGGGAAGGAAAGATTGATGCAAAGAAAAATAAGAAGGAAATTGTATTCTATTTAGTTCTCTTGTATTTCTATTTAGGCTTGTCCCAGACTGGACAAAGCTGAAGAATCCACTTTACTTAACATTTTCTATGAAATAGATGTTGTACTTGGCCCCTGAGGAATAATGTTATAATATATAGCTAATGACATCAGTAAAGTTTCAAATATATATAGACAATAAGCATTAATCTAACATTATGTTTACAACAGCCCAAGAATTTTTAATTTTTATCCTATTGTAAACATGAGGAAAAAAAACAAGACTCAGATTCAGAGAGGTTGAATGAATGGTTGGAAGTTGCATAACTAAAAACAATAGAGAAGTGACTTAATTCAAAAACTTATTTACTCAAATCTCACCTACTATAATAAAACTTAAGAGGATGAAGAAAGGCAAGAGGAGTGGCCATGACAGGTTTATTCTAGATGCTTAGTGGTGGAGGAAGTAAGTTACTCATGGTCAGAATGGTCTGAGAACACTTTTCAGAAAATATTAGATTTGACAAATTCCCCTCCAGTTCAGGGCAGTACCTGTGTTCTTAATGCCTGTGTATCTCATGTTGCCTGGCTGGACCTGCTATAGAAAAGAATGACTAGCATTCCCTTTGCTTTGTGACTTAACCAGAAGTGGCTCTTTCTTCTTAAAAAAAAAAAGAAACCTTCTCGGCCGGGCCCGGTGGCTCATGCCTGTAATCCCAGCACTTTGGAAGGCTGAGGTGGGCAGATCACGAGGTCAAGAGATCAAGACCATCCCGGCCAACATGGTGAAACCCCGCTTTACTAAAAATACAAAAATTAGCTGGACGTGGTGGTGCATGCCTGTAATCCCAGCTACCCCGGAGGCTGAGGCAGGAGAATCACTTGAACCCGGGAGGCAGAGGTTGCAGTGAGCAGAGATCACACCATTGCACTCCAGCCTGGTGACAGAGTGAGACTCTGCCTCAAAAACAGAGAAACTTTATCTTTGCATAGAGACCTTCAGGCAGGAACTCCTTTTAAATAAGAGATTGTAATTAATATTATCACTGGGTCCTGAGAGGGTACCTTGATTGCATATACAGCAATGGAGTGGGACAAAACACAGATTGCCCGTTATCTCATCAGGATGAAGGTTTGTATTTGAGTTCAGCTGGAGGAACAAAGAAGATCTGTGCACCAGTTTTCTGAGCCAGCCAAACCCCAGCAGGATGGGAAGTGGTCTTGGAATCCTAAGGTTGAATCTGTTATGAGAACAGAGAGGTTTATAAGTATCAGAGCAGCAGGGGAGGGCAAGTGGTTCTAATGGAATTAGGAGATATTATTGACAGGCCCTGGCTCTAGAAGTGTATCCTCAATTTCCCATAGGTGATATTTCTGAGTTAGACCCCTTATTTAAGTTTAAGACTAACAGAAGAGAACCAAAGAACTACAAAGTGGTCAGCTCAAAATCCAATCAAATCTCAAGTAAGTTCCCACTTTGTATTCAGGTGTATGACAATGTGACAAACTATTAGAGCAGAAAGATTTCAAAGGAAAATAACTCGCATTTTCATTTATAGATGAGGAAGAAAAATTTTTCCTGCTTGACTCCTACCCACCCTCTCCAAATAAATGTTAAACATTTGGCCCAGTGATAGAATTAAACCAGACTCCAAAGCTATTAAAATCCATACCTATTTTCAAGACAGCTCTTTGTGGATTGCCCAAATAGGAGGTAGATGATAGAGAGAAAAAAGCACAGATTGCCACTGATACCTGCATTTGAATCTTACCTTCATTACCTATTTTGAGCTGTGTGTTTGTGGGAAAAATCACTTAGCTATCTTGAGCCTTGATTATTTTTTAATAAATAAAGTCTAAAAAAAATCCTTACAGAGAAAGCTAAGAGGAAGGAGCTCTATTTACAGAAGATCGCAGAAAATAAATATTTTAAACTGTTAATCAAAGACTGGTTGAGGCATTGGGAAAGGCAGAAATTGAGGCAGTAGAAAATGGACATTTTAGGAAAAGAGAAGTTCAGAGGCAAAGTCATGACAGACAGGAAATACAAGGCTTAGGAAGACAGTAGTCTCTGTGGTTGAAATTTTGGTGTCATAATAAGAAGTTTAGACTTTGGTGGTTGTAGTAGTTGTAGTAGTAGGTAGCGTTCATTGGGTGTATTCCACAGACAAGGTGATGTTCTAAGATTTGATATTTATTGTCACATTTAACTCCTCTACTAACACCATCAAGCAGGTACTACAGTTATCATTTTACAGATGAGAAAACTGAGCCACAGAAAAGTTAGATTGCTTACCCAAAGTCACATGGATAGCAGATTTAGCAGCTGAGCTGTGACAGGCAATGGGAATCAAACAAGACATTCTTAAATAGGGTAGTAGAAGAGCCACCTGTGTGTGTGTGTGTGTTCATGATATAGATAGAGTGATGGAAACATACATGCATATGCAAGAAGAAGGTATGGACTTGAGAAAATAAAGCCTGAACCAAGGTAAAGGAGGAAGACCAGTTAGAAGTCTGCTATAATATTTCAGTCGAGAGATGAGAGTGGTTAGAATGAAGGCAGCCAAGGAGAAACTGATGAGGTGAGTGACAGAAGATATACTTAGGAGATAAATTGGACAGACTTGGTAATGCAAGGTGAGAAGAAGCAAACCATTGAGGACCATTGTGAGATGAGGAAATTAGTTGGATGAAGATGATGTAAACCTTATAGGCTGGGGTTCTTTTAAAGTAGTTGTTCCCAAGCCTTTAATATGAAAGTGAACCAGCCTTTCTATGACTGAATGACCCCAAGTCCCAGGGGTAAACAATTCTACAAAAATAAATGAGTGACTTTTTTCTACAGAATTAGGACAATACAAACCTTACAGGGAAGAATCTACAAGGTATCTTCCACTTAAACTCTAATGATCTACATTTGCAACTCTGGCACTCTGTAACCTTGGCCTCAGGAAGGAAATGCATGCAGTAGTGACTGACAGGCATTAAGTTCTGGGTTAAGGATAATATGTCTCAAGATTATTTCTTTTTGGGAGTATATGTATGCCCAGATTTATATACTGCACTGGGACAGAAGTCAAACAAGAATGTAAAAATTATCACCACCAGGATATATTTATTATATATGTATATTTTCCCCAATGAATGCTATCCCTTACATGTTAATCAGCAGACAATGTTAAAAAACATGCAGTAAAAAAGCCATTTTGTTTTCTTTAGAAAAACATCTAAATTTCACAATTATCAGTGGAATATTGTGCAGTCATTAAAATAATGCTTCTGAAAAAGTAAGTGATGACTTAAAGAAATATTTATTACATTAAATGAAGTTAACATATATTAAATGCTATATAGATTTTACAATATAAATGCTATATAGTATTCTACCTAACCAATACTCCTCAAAACTCTCAAGGTCATCGAAACAAGGAAAGCCTGAGAAATGTCTTAGTCAAGAGGAGCTTAAAGAAACATGATGACAAAATGTAATATGGAATCCTGGATAAAATCCTAGGACAGAAAAAGGTAACAAGTAAAAGAGCACACTAACATTTAGGTTTATGCAAACTCCTAAATATCAAAAAGTTCAACAAAGGCCTTAATACATACAATGACTACTTAAAATGATGTATTTTTACTGTATTACTTGTCAAAGTCTTTAAAAAAAATTGCAGGTTTGTTAAGAAACTGTGCTAAGTGGCTTCTATTTTATCTTTTATTTTAACGTAGAAGTGGACCCAGCAGTGCCGAGTTACCCCGTAGGCAGACAAAGCACAGCCTTAAGACACGAACAGAGCAGGGCATCAAAACCACTTATTTGAAAGAAGAAGATATTTGATATTTCTCTAACTTATGATTTGGTACTATTTATATTTTGAATTAGTTTGAACCATAAGAAATTACCAAAACTTGACTATTTTTATTTGCAGAAGATAACTTCATATAGTTCAATGTAGGACTTAGAGGAATGAGTAGTCTGTGTTGTTTGGGGCATATGAAGTCTCCATCTGGCTCTGCTGCCAACCCAGTTTTATTGCAGGCTTTTAAGAAGCAGGCTCTTAATTTGAGTGGTCAGCTTTGTAAAAATATCTGCGCAGTGTATGTTTTGACCTCCTTCTCTCATCTCACCTAATCTCACCTCTCCTACCCCAGAAAAAGCAACCTAGTCTGGCAAGGCCTGGGAGGCAAAGGAAGCTTGGTTACCTCTCTAACTCATTAAGCACCTGAGCAAAGACAAAGCAGATTTTGTAGGAAGTTTTTTGAAACTCAGGAAAATCTCCATCCTCAGTGGGCTTGCTAGGAATTAGTATTTGTTTGGGGAAAGCAGAGCCTATGATTTTGTGTGATATTTCCTGAAGGAACTAAGAGTTTCAGTAGAGAGTGAGGAAACATTCTGGAATGAAGATCTGGAAAAAGTATTTGGTTTGTTACAAGGCTCCCTTGCCCCACATTTGACCTGCATTGCAGAGTCTTTAGTAATAAGGCAGTATTTTATCCTAGTTTCCTCCATCCCTCCCTCCTCCTTCTAACTCCTGATTTTTTTTTTCTTTTTTTCTGGAGTAGCAGCCACAGAGCATGGGGTGAAAAGTCGCTGGAAGGACAAGTTGACAGATAGCATTTGGGTCGCTGGGTCACTGAAAGGCGTCGTGATCTGGGCTCAGACAGAGCGATTTCCTCGGTGATTTTAATCTTTCGTCTGTTCACACGTCATGCCACCTGGACATAATGCAGAGAAATCTGGAGGCTTAACAAACCCTTCCCCTAGACCCTAAAGCTTACTTGGACAAAAAGAAAGAGAGAAAGAAAGACAGGGAAAGAGAGTTAACCCTCTCCCTGCCACCCCCATCAACAGCAGAAAAACCTAGGAGTAGAAAGACCTTGCTGGCAATTAATAAGCTCAGGGCTTTGTCTGAGCAACAAGGGCCCTGTCTTTATGGAGACTGTAAATAATATAACAAGTTACCCCATTTACTGCCTTAGACACATATACGTGGCAGCTTTATCCTTTTTCGTTGACCCTCTGTCTACGTTTTGATTTACTTTCAAATATCGTCTCGTAGATTCTTGGAAAACATTTATTTTGGTGGTGGGGGTTGAGGTACAGGCAGATGGAGAAAGGATGTAGAGAAAGAGCTACCCACGAAAGGAAATATTAATATCTTCCCCGTGACTGTGACCAGGCAATCTGTTTTTCTTATTCCCCCATAAGTTTCTGAGCTATTTCCGGCCAAGGGTGTTAAAGCTTAGAATTAATGGATTTCAACAAAGTGGATGCCGATGTTCCAGAGAAATGCTTCTGCTTAACTTGTTAGCAATATGTGCCAGGTCATGCTTGATAGTGCTGGGGAGTGAGGAGGAAAAGGGAGCCAAAGGACTGCCAGGAAGATGCTCCTTCAGGTTTCTTCCCTCTGGACAAGTGGTGGAAAGAGAGAACAGCTCTGGTGCTCACCCCTTGCTCCCACAGAATGCTCCTCTTCTGTTAAAGCACTTATCAAACTTTATCATGGTTATCTGCTTAGATGTCAGCACTAGACTATGAACTCCACAGGGGGACTTTATCCTTCACATCTCTCAAAGTGCCTGGAATATAATGGGACCTTTTAAATATTTGCTTGTTCTTTTTATCAAACAGGGCTTAAGCACCTACTATTGCCAGATAGTTAGTCAATGGGGATACAATGAGGGATAAGTTAGGGTCCCTTTTCTTAAGTTGCTTCTAGTCCAGCCAGGGAGACAGACATACAAAGATAACATTGATAATAACATGCTACAGATGCTTCCCTGGATGTACAGGGCTCCATGGAGGGAATCATTAAAGACAGGGCCATTCTACTGGGGAGGGGAAAGGTGGATTAGGAAAGACATAAAGTGATTGTAGAGGTACAAGCCAGAAGCTACACAGACCAGTGGAAATGCTACCTCAACAGCCTTTGAGAGAAGTAGTGGGATCTGATATACTAGCACTATCAGTGGGGATGAGAGAAGATGCATTAAGAGATAAAAGGAAGGTGGTTCTTCAGAACTCAGTGGCCACCAGTGATACAGGAGTTAAGAAGAAATTACTTAGGCAGATAGCAAGGGTATGGGAGTCCTCCGTAAGGCTTTTCTTTTTAATGAAAAGCAGCCCCAAATTATTTTCCTTTCTAACAAAGAGCAGCCTGTAAAATCCAGCTGCAGACCTAGATACCGGCAGTTGTGCCAATCAAGTTCAAGATGGCGGCTCCATCTTCCCTTCTCTTTGTCAGCCATGTGTGCAGTAAGAAGCAGATAAGATGGCGCTGATCAACTGGAATGCCCATTTGCATGATAAGATTAGCGTGGGGGACCAGCCTTCCCCACACACTACGTAGATGTCATAACTAATCAAACCAATCTATGAGCCGTATGTAAGTCAGACACTGCCTCCCCAAACTGTATTATAAAATGGCGCATTCGCACCAACCACTCCTTTTCTCTGCTAGGAGATCTTCTTTTGGGCTTTCTCAGCTTTTTTCTCTCTTTCCTTCTTTTTCTCTCTCTTTTCTACTTTTTCTGTTGAATTTTCTGCTCCAAAACCCACTCCTCATGTGTGTCTGTGTCCTGAATTCCTTCTACACCAAGACCAAGAGCCAGGGTATGTACCCTAGTCAAGGGAACTGTTTCACCAGGATAAAGAACCAGAAGGAAAAGGAGAAGTTGGAGATAACCTCCTTCTGGCATTGGTGACTGAGCCTCTAAGGGCATGGTTCACCAATACAGGGAAAAGGAAAGAAAGAAAGGAGGTCACGATAGAGGCTCTAATGTCATGGCTGTGTTTGTTAATCTCAATAATCAATTTAACTGTGTTTGCTCAGGTTATTACAATTGCCTTGTCTATGAATGGATACAACTTACCTTGTTGCCATTAACCCTGGAAGAACTCCATTTACTTGTGCCACAGTACAAAGGAAACATCACAGGCAGCAAATGTGTGAACCTAGATTGAGGTCTGGCTCAGAAACCCTGAGTCCCAGTTTACTCACCTCTATGCTAGAGATAAGCACTCCTTCCCTGCCTGCCTACATTATTAGTTTGTGGTGAGGATGGAATGAGATTATGTATCTAAAAGCTACACAATACAAGAAGTGAGATATGCAAGCCCTTGTATCCCAAGAATTTGGAGGGACACTGGCCTTTTCAGCAGAATTGGGGTCACTGACAGAAGGCTAATGAAAATTAAAATCATCCACTGCCTTGAAGTAAACAGACCTGACTCGTGAAGCTAAAACTTCTCTGAAGAGGATATTTGCCAAGCGGCACTGCTCAAAGGGAAGTATTCTGTCAAATCCACCCAGCCTGTGTTCCAGATTGCTGAACTTTCAGGAGGCCCATTTATCGCAGGAAAACTACAACTTCCTTGATCAGGTCACCCCAGCTTGCACAGGTGGTAGCCCTAAACCTTGGCCAAATTCCAGTTTAGGTAATTCTATTTAGTTTTTCATGATTCCAGCTTCGGCTTCACTGGGAACATTGTCCTTCCCTCCTGTCATCCACCTGGAAATTGCCATGGCTAGGAGAGATCTCACTACATTTTTGTGTGTGCTGAGTAGATTTTCCTCCGCTTTGATATGAAGATATTTTTCTTGTTAAACCAATTTCCGGGTAACTTATTTTTAGAACGTAGCCCCAAACCTTTTCTCACTAACCAGGTAAATTAGAGAATGAGAGACCATAATAGCTCTTCCGGAACTTGATTGTTTGTTTGCAGGGTCTGCAAAGGCAAAGAATTGCTAGTGGCCAGGCAGATCACATAAAGTGTGAAGAGGCCAGTGGGGTGCAAGACAAATGGGAGTGATAAGGACTGGGGAGTTCATTTCACATCTAAACTCATTGTTTTAAAGTAAAACATTGTACAGTATAAACAAAACTCACTCCTGAGTTTAATTTGTTTTCCAGGTCACCATTTTTTAATCTCTAATAATCTAACCCTTGAATCTTACAAATTAAAAACAAATAATAGAGGCACTGAGAGATACAATTTACAGAGCCAGTTGAAGGTAAGTCTGCATTATTGTTGCACCTCCTGCCACACAGTCCACACAGCTGGGCTTCCATTCCAGGTTGCTTTCTCTTCCAACCTTTAGAAAGTTGCATTATCCTATCACAGTTTCCCTGCTTTCCTAACATTCTTTCTTACTATCTCTTATGCTAATGGTATGCATTTTTTGATTTTGGTAGAAAGAATGCTGGGACTTTGAATGATATGGGTCCAGTCCTGGTTCTATCCCATATTGGCAGATCAACCTGGGCTGGCTTCTTAACTGATTTTGAGTTTACTCATTAGTGGGCACTATTACAAACTAAAGATTGCTCATCTAATTCAATTTAAAATTTTAATGCCATTCAAATTTTTAAAATTCTCTCCAAATAGTGCAGTAGGCCCACACTAGGATACTATTTATTTGAAGATTAAAGTCACCGCCTATACTTAGTAAATTGATATTTTCTGTAACTGAGACCCTTCCCATTAAAAATGCTGTCCATTATGCAGTAAGTATCCATTGGGTAATCAGATTCTTATTAACTGGATTAGCCCCCATTAGAATTATTTTAAAAATTGTTTTGGAACATTGTTTATAGAGAGATTTGGGATTAAAAACTTGTTCTGTCATTTAAAATTTTTGTGACCTTAGAAAATTATTAAAGCTTAGTTTCCCAATATGTAAAATGAGAAAACAATAGCTACTTCATTAGCATAAGATTAAATGAGAGTGTGTGCAATGCCCCTGGCACATATGCTAAAGTAATATTTATATTACATAGTCAGGTATCTTCGCTAACCCTTTCCCTCCTTTCCTACCTAACTTTTGTGACCAAAACACAGGTTTACTCTAGAGGATCTAACTGCTTTATTTTTAAAAAGGTTTTTAGAAACACATTTTTTTTCTAGTTGAGAGTCTGGAAAACTAAAAAATATGACATAATTTGAATGGAAGTAGCATTTGGTTGCTTAACATGAACCTGACAAATAAATAGATTTCCTTAAAGTTCTCCAATAGAACTGTTATCCCCGTTGGTCCCCTAACTCAAACAACATATTAAAGAAGAATAAAGGATGCATAATTTTTTGAGGTCTGAACTCATTATGTGCTTTTGATTTTCAAAGATATGTTCCAAGTGAATGACAGGTGAGAAAACCCCCTGCCATACTCTCCCACATTCTCCACAAAGGGAAAATTTTGAGTGACAGTTTTGTGCTCATAATCCAACCTTTAGAGAAGTCTCCAAAGGATTTCTTCTTTGAGCATGTGGAGACTTGGTTTAAGCATTACGGTTTGATTGGAGAATGATGAGGCTTGGACAAGTGATGGTGTGGGGATTGGGACACGATCATGTCAGGATGAGATGTAAGGTAGGAAAAATAATACTGGGGCTCTTCTTGCATTATCCCTTTGCCCCAATCCCTGAGGAATCCTGAAACTCTTCATCTTATGGTGGAAGTAGTATGTTTAGTTTAAAATCTTTCGGCACTCATCTAGGGACTGAGTCCACTATGTCTTTGAATTTTAAAGGAAGCTCCCACCTCAATGTTTGCTCCCTGGTTGGTGTTTGGACCAAAATGAGACATACCAGTCCTAGTGATGACCTTTGAATGTACAGCATACCATAATTTCAAGCACTAGAAAAACTTCTAGTAGATGAGTCCCGAATGTAGGAGCAAATAACTCTATAACTTGAACACTTTCCAGCTCAGCCACCATATTTGATGAATGGAGAAAATAAGGCCCAGAGAAACTAAATCGATTACCTAAACTAGGAGTTGGCAAACTATGACTCACAAACCAAATCTGGCTCATGGCCTCTTTTTGTAAACAAGGTTTCATTGAAAAACAGCCATACTCATTCATTTACATATTATATCTGGCTGCTTTCATTTCACAAGAGCAGAGTGTAGTAGCTGCAACAGGGACCATATGACCCTGAAAGCCTAAAATATTTGTGATCTGATCCTTTACAGAAAGTTTGCTGACCTCTGATCTAAAATCACATAGTCAACTGGTAACAAAGCCAGGACTAGAATTAAGGTCTTGAACCACACCAGAAGACACAAAAATAACATGAAAATTTAAAAAAAAGCAACGTATATAAATACTTGGGGTCCTGGAAATAAAAGAAGTTACTGAACCTGATATATTTCTATTATTTGTATTGCTGCTATAATAAATATCAGGATACTCTTCTAAATCTACTAGTCCTAAACTAAACTTTAACCAAGGTCAAAAATTAGAGATGAACTACATTAGTTCACCAGAGTCCTCCATGGCCCATGCATCCATTTATCCAAGATAACTGTCAATCTGCTCATCAGACATGCTGTTGTTATACATTCTCTTTTTGTGCCTTTAAAAAAAAAATCCTGTTTAAGGATCATTCAGCATCTTAATAAGGATTTCATGAAGATTAAGCAGCAAGGGCATTTAAAGAACAAATCACACCCGACAAACTTCATAGCCTTTTACAACGTAATTTCAAATTAGCAGATGAAAGGAAGGCAAGGGATCTTATATCTCTGCCTTTTTGTAAAACACTTGCGACAGGATCTCTCACAAAATGTTAGTGGCAAAGCTATTTTATATCAGCCTTTGCCAATTGAAACGGTCTTCAATGCTTCCACCTATACTGAAGAGAGAGTGATAATAATTGGCAACCCAAGGAGTTTGGGCATGGATGTGGCACCTCTGAGGTTACTAAGCAATATTACCATTAACCTTGAATAGGGCACACTAAAGTCATGATCATCAAATTTGTGGGTGATATTCAAATATAACATCTCAAGGAAGGTCAGTCAAAGAAGAAAAAAAGAATTAAATAAAAGTAAATATATAGACATGGACCCAGCCAAAAAATCTGTGCAGATAAATAATAAGCCAGTGTCTTACCCTTGAAGCAGCTCTTCCAAATTTGAGACCCAGAAGTGACTGAACACCCAAAATATTGAATTGGAAGTTAGGTTTACTACTACTAGACACGAACAGTTTTGGTACAGCCTATCCCTATTCAAATTATGAAGATAAAGATTTCTAAGCAGCATGGCATATTGGTTGTTAAATAATAAAGGAAAAATAACCAATTCATTCATTTGTGTATTCATTCATTCACTCACTCACTCAAAACTGGGTGCCTGTCATGTGCCTGTCACCGCTTTACTTTAAGTACAAAACAAGCATAGATCCTGCCCTTATGGAGTGCTTTCTTCTCTCTCTCTCTCTCTCTCTCTCTCTCTCTCTCACACACACACACACACACACACACACACACACGGTTTTTTGGGAGATACTAAGTACTAGGAAGTAAAATAAAGCAGGATGATATACAATGACAGAGGAGTGGGGGACAGCCTGTACTACATTTGATGGAAGGATGAGGGAAGCTCTCTCGATGAAATGGAATTTGAGTAAAGAAAGGATGATCGAGACAAAGGAAACAAAGTGCAAAGGTCCCAAAATGAGAGCACATTTGATATTTGGAGAACACACTAAAAGAGTATGGAGAACAAAAGGAAAGGTCCTGGGAGCTGAGATCAGAGAGGCAGACAGGTGCAAAGGTAAATATTATCTTGTGGGTTTTGGTAAGATAAAATTTGGTAAGGTAAAATCAATTCATATTTTATTTTTATTGAGATGAAGAGCCACTTTAAGACAGAAACTAACACCTTAAAATGATCACTCTGGTTGCTGTATGGAGAAGAGACAAGGCAGCCAGGTAGAAGGAGGAAGGCAGTTTGAGAGGATAGTACAATATTTTAAGTGAAAGCTGATAGCAGCTTAGACTTTGGTGGATGCAAATAGTGAAGGTGACCAAAAATGGATGGATTATGGATATATTTCGAAGTTATATTCAATAGGATTTATCACGTGTTTGGATGTGGAAAGAAAGAGAATAAAATGAATCACAGATGCCTTTAAGGTTTTTTGGCTTAAACATCAAGATAGTGCAAGTTGACATTTTACTCAGATGGAGAGAATTGGGAGAAGAGAAGCTGAGGGGGTGGGAATCGAGAGTTCAGTTTATACCAATTCAGTGAGTCGGAGCATTGCACACATCACTCTTCCTTATATCTGATCTTTCTGAGAACCTTCTGGAGTTCTCCATCCTAGGACCTAAGTGGTCATCAGAAGTTGAAGTTTTATGCCATGGTAACCAACATTAGGGAGCAAGTATTATGCCCAAGATAAAACAAAACAAAACCAAACAAAAACGTTAAGAATACAGAGAAAAAGCCACAGAGCAGAAATATCACTGCCTCTACCAATGAAAAGCCAAAAGTTAAATCTATTGAAAAGTTAGTAAGAAATAGCAGGGAGCAATTTGGTTTTGGTCATGCGATATTCAAAAAGAGATCTTGAGGGGGGTGAATTTAGAGATGGGAAAAGAAGAACCAAAAGAGGCTTAGGGAAGATGTTAAGTTGCATGCTGTCTTTGGAAAGTAGAGTTATGTGTGGGTTAGTCTGTTGTTCTCAAATTCAGAGCAAAGATAACAAATAGTGTAAAATTGTGGCTTGTCATGATTAGCCGGTCACATTCAGAAAGTTATTTCCTTTTTGGAGCTTCAGTTTCCTTCTCTGTTAAAGATAAGGTATAAACTAGATAGCTTTTTACAATGCTCCCACCTTCCAACATTTAATAAATTCTAGATTATGGCCACTCCCACTGTATCATTTCTCACCTTATGCCATGCGCCTCTCCCATGAAGTGTGTGTTAATAGATGAAGAGGAACTGTTTCAAGACATTCATTTAGAAAGATAGTAATAGCATCAGAAAAAAATAGAACCAAGAAAGTGAGATAAAATTCACTCTGCCTACCACAGAAGGTTATAAAACTTTTCCCTTACTCCCTCAGAGTCCACTTGCCTTTTGAGTTCTACCCCATATGTTGAAGCAGGAAGTGTCCTGCACAATGCAAACTGTTTGACAGCATCCCTAACCTCTTCCCGCCAGATTCCAAGAACAACACCCCCAACCTCCTCCTGTTGTAACAACTAAAAAACATCTCCAAACATTGCCAAAGGTCCCCTAGGGGACAAAATTGTCTCTACTGGAGAACCACTGATCTGAGAGAAGCAAGCCTACCAGTTCCATTTTCCTGCTTGAGTGAAACACCACCCTGGGCAGCATACCCTCTGACCATGGCTCATTACACCAGCCTACAGATAACAATATTTGCCCACCATATAAATTCCCATCCATACAATTAAGTAAGACATGGTTTGTGTATTAGCATATCCAGCTGCTTGATTGCCTTTCTCTGATATTTCAGTCCGAGTACAGTGGTTTGGCATAAATAATACATAGTCAGCTGGAGCCTGAAAGATACTGTAAATATCCAAGTTCTAAACTGCTGTGGTTTTTTCAAGTATACTACATACAAACCACTCTTAGCTTGGGAGGGAAAGGAAAAAATCCAACCCTAATGCCATTGCTTAAATAGGCCCATTAAAAATGAGCTGTGGGTGAAATACTCCTTTATTAAACAGATGACATTACATCAGGAATGATGAATCATAAAGTTTCTTTTCAGTATTACAATGGTATATGACCTTTTAAACTTTAATCATTCACCTCATATTCTGCACTACCATCAGGTTTGCAGGCTTCTTGCTGATTACATTAACATGAGGCAGCTGGGGAGCTGTTGGCATCCATTCTCGACAAGCTTTTAGTAGCATGGCTCCGCGACACAAAGCCAGAGCTGGGGCAGCCCCAGGCCTGTCTGGAAAGCGAAGCATGGCCTCCAGCTCACCGTCAGAGTCCAGCAGTGACAGGAAAACTACTGTTGTGTCTCACACACTACTGTTCTCCCAGAAGTTGGCATAGGATCTAGCACACAGTAAGGACTGACTCTGTCAATGCTTATAGAACAAATCTCAAAAGTATTGGAATAATCTGTTACATTTGGACAGGGCTCCCAGTTTAAAAGATCGTTATTCAGTTTTCACAGGGAGTGGGTGAAGAAGGCCCAAGGTCACGTTGGTAGTAACTGATGGAACTGGATTACAGTTTGTGTTCTTTCCACTGTGGATAGAAGACAACACTGGGCTGTTGATAAAAGCACAGGCTTAGCTTCCATCCCAGCCCTTCAGTAACTGTGCAACCTTTCACAAGTCATTTAAATCCCCTAAGACACACAGTCCTTCTAGGTCGATTGGGAGAACTATTTGAGATGATGCATGTAAAAAGCTTGCCATGATGGATGGCACATGGTAAGCACCCAATGAATGTTATTTATAATTATTTACAACTTCATAAAATATCCTATGGACAAACTGAAAACTACAGAATCCTCAATGGAAAGCAAAATTTGAATTGTCAGTCACCTTGTGAACCATCATCCCTAAAATTTGATTGAGGCCCCAGTTAATCTGCATTTACCTTTCTCTTGATCTTTCTTCTTTCTAGTTGTTAGGAAGCTGAGTAAGGGACAATTAGTCACTTGCCCCTTAATAGCCCTATCCCACAACCTGATAGCAAAAATATCCCACAGCCCCTCTTGAGAAGTTCATTTCATGAAGTCTTTGTGTCAGTGGTAATCTAACTAATATATAAGTATTTTTAATTGTAGTTCTTCTCACCAACATTTTAAATGGCACAGAAGAAAATATAAGGAGGTTCAAGAAGAATTTTAGTAAAGCTTTTTGATAGATTGAGAAGTTAATAAAAATAATTTTGAAATAAATCTTTTGAGTTGTAGCCATGTAAGAAAACTAACATTTTCTAAAAAGAATTATCGATTGGTTTCTGTTCAGAGACAATATGCAAGTGTGGACAATATGCAAGTTTGGATAAAACATTATTTTGTCCTAGGATAGCATATACTATGCTCCTTACGAGACTTCATTCAAAATTAGGATTTCATGTATCATTTAGTATACTTTAGCTATAAATTTCAGAAAAACCAACTAAAGTAAAATGAATGATAAATAACAGAAAGTCAGGAGATATGTTGGTATTAGAGTTCATTATCCTGTTAACCCAACAATCTCAGCAAGACTCAGTTTCTTTCCATCTTTCATTCAGCATTGTCAGTTGTTGCTCTGGTATTTTGCCTAGTTTCCCCCATGGTCTCTAAATGCTATTATACCTTTTCAACATCGTCATAACCAGAGGTGGCAAAGGAAAGGACTACTTCCTTAAAGAAGTCTCT
Organism: Homo sapiens; assembly: GCF_000001405.40. NCBI lineage: Eukaryota > Metazoa > Chordata > Mammalia > Primates > Hominidae > Homo > Homo sapiens. Next base: position 163,663,366 of record NC_000001.11, on the reverse strand, counting down.
TTTGTCAATAGCAAAGAAACCTTTCTCATATTGTTTCCAGTAGGTATTATTTTCTGTTTCATTGGTTGGTTCTGGTTCACATAATTACCCCCAAACTAATCATTGGCAGAGAGAGTGAAATTATAATGACTGGCTTAAAACAATCATGATTCACCCCCTGAATCATGATTTAATACTCTGACCAAAGCTGAGGTTCTGCTTGCAAGTTAGAAAGTGACTGACAGCAGCTATTGGGTAGGCAAACAATTGTCTGTTATCATCCCATTAGTTATATTCTAGTTCAGTGGTTCCTGAATCACCTTTTAAACATTCTGCTCATATGCTAAGTCAATTATATTACAATCACTGGAGTAGGACACAGGAATCAATACTTTTTGAATCTCCCTGGGTGATTCTGAAGTGTAGAGATGTTTGGGGATAACCGTCCTAGCTATCAGTTCATGTGAGCCACGTTAGCAGGGGTCTACTGAGAGATTTCCTTTCTGGTCCACAGGGATCCTGCAGGTCCAGTTTGGTCTCACTGGACACACAGAGAACTGCTTTATGACTTATGTTGACTTGAACAGAATATGAAAATATGTCATCATACCACTACAGAATCAACACAACAGTCAAAATATGAGTCAAAATATGAGAGAAAACCAAAAGTTCCCCAAAATTAGCTGAATATTTTAAAGTATTAAATATTTTATTGTTTTATGACTTTTAAGCCAGTTTATCATTTCCAAATGACGATTAAAATTTTAGGGATAAAATAGCTCTGCATCATAACTTACACTAGGGAGTTTCAGAACTGTAAAGATAATCTAACACAACCACCAGGATGTTAGCTTTACATGACATTTTACAAGGTGGGAATTTTTTCTTTTTCTTTTTTTTTTTTTTTTTGAGACAGAGTCTTGCTCTGTCGCCCAGGCTAAAGTGTGCAGTGGCACGATCTTGGCTCACTGCAAGCTCCGCCTCCCAGGTTCACACCATTCTCCTGCCTCAGCCTCCCTAGTAGCTGAGACTACAGGCACCCGCCACCACACCTGGCTAATTTTTTGTATTTTTAGTAGAGATGCGGTTTCACCGTGCTAGCCAGGATGGTCTCGATCCCCTGACCTCATGATCCGCCTGCCTTGGCCTCCCAAAGTGCTGGGATTACAGGCATGAGCCACCGCACCTGGCCAAGGCAAGAATTTTTTACCCATTTTTTTCACTGCTGTGTCCTCAGTGCCTAGATGAACATCTCATACCATGCCTGGGTTTATGACTCCTTGCTCAATTTCCTCATCTGTTATATGGGGACATGAATACCTTACATGACCCATAGGAGGAAGGAACAACTGCATTTTGAAAATGCAAAACTGAGAGCCAGTTCTAGCACCACCAGCTGAGCAACATGCTAGGGAGTCGCTTAATTTCCCTGAGCTTCTGCAGGAAGAGAAATTCTATTTTGTATCTCAAAGAGTCTCTATGGGACTCCAGGGTGGTGGTGTATGTGAAAGTGCCTTGCAACATGTACATTCCTATACAGATAGGAGTGATTATTTTAAAGGAGATAAACATAAATGTTCAATTAATGCAAGACAAAATTCAGAGTGCCTTCCATCTGAAATGTGCTTTTCTCTTTCTCCCTCTTCCTCTGTCGCTCTCAAAATGTTAATACGGGTCTCCTCTATAAATAACGATAGTGGCATACTGACATCCAGATTTAAACGCTGCAGCACAGCACCCTGTACAAGGAGAAGGCTGACACAGAGCTTCTATTTTTATATGTTTAGTGATATATCCAAGTGTCACTCAACAACAACAGGAAAGGAGCGACTGAGCCGATATCATTCACTCATATCTTCACCCCTCCCCCGCCTACCACTCTGACACATCCGTGACAAGCACTGCCTGGCTCCACCTGCTCACCACCTGTCAATATCTGGGTTGAGAAAAAAAGACTCCAGCACATGACTCTTAATTTTTATTAGTATAAATATATATATTCTAAATAATAATCTATGCTCAGCACTTACATTGCAAGGCCACAAGAATTCCATTGCACTATTTCTTGAAATGTTCTATCTCTGTATCAGATGATCCCTGCAAAGGCTATTCCAGACCTTCTAAGATGGAAATCGAAATAGATTGTGGCATTCAACTGAGATCACTGGGGAAATACAAGGAAATACCATGGACTCTGATTACAACTTCCATCAGGACATAGGACCAATTCTCCTGACTTCAGAGAAAGGTGCTCCTATGATTTTATCTCCTAACTGAGCAAACCAATGCTATGACCCCTCCCTTTTCCTCACAAACCTTTCAGAGGCTACACTGGGGCATATTATCAGGACAAGTAGGGGGTAAGAGCCTCATCAACTAAAAATCAATGTGGCTCTTCACAGTCTCAAAACACCTAGGAATGTGTCATACACAAAAAGATCAAAGCCCACCCAGCAAACAAGTAACATGGAAACCTAACAGTGCTTGTGGCCAGGAGAAGAAGTGAACACATGCCTTAATAATTCATTATTTGGTTGTTATTCAATATGCTACATGTGATTTATAAATTTGCTTGTTGTAGCAATTTGATCGAAGTAGCTAGTCATAGCAAAACAGAGACAGCTATGAAACCAGACAATCATAGGTTCAAATCCTGTCTCTGTAAGTTCCTGGATGTGTGACTTCTGAACATGTTATTTTACTCATTCACATTTGTTTCCTCATGTGTCATAGATTTGGCAATACTTGGAAGATTATTGTGAGGATAAAATGAGAGTATATATGTAGTACGTACTACAGTGGCTGGTTTACAGTAAGCTATAGCTAATACAGTTGTCCCTGGTCCTTGGGTATCTGAAGGGATTGGTTCCAGGACTCCCTGAAGATACCAAAATCTGCAGATGAACAAGTCCCTTACATAAAGTGGTATATATAGTGTTTGCATATAACCTACACATCCTCCCATATACTTTAAAATATACTTTAAATTATCTCTAGGTTACTTGGAATACTTAATGCAATGTAAATGTTACCTAAGTGTCCATCAATGGATAAATAAAGAAAATGTGGTACATGAACACAATGGAGTGTTATTCAGCCACAAAAAAAGAATGAGATCCAGTCATTTGCAAAAACATGGTTGGAACTAGAGATCATTGTGCTAAGTGAAATAAGCCAGGCACAGAAAGACAAACATCACATGTTCTCACTTATTTGTGGGGTATAAAAATCAAGACAAACTCATGGAGATAGAGAGTAGAAGGATGGTTACCAGAGGCTGGGAAGGGTAGTGAGAGTGTGGTAGGGGAGGTGGGGATGGTTAACGGGTACAAAGAAAAGTAGAAAGAATGAATGAGACCTACTATTTGATAGCACAGCAGGGTGACTATAGTCAATAATAACTACATTGTACATTTTAATATAACTAAAAGAGTGTAATCAGATTGTTTGTAACTCAAGGGATAAATGCTTGAGGGGATGCAGACCTCATTCTCCATGATGTGCTTATTTCACATTACATACCAGTATCAAAACATCTCATGTACCCCATAAATATGTATACCTAATATGTATCCACAAAAATTAAAAATTAAAAGAATTTTTAAAATTTAAATGCTATATAAATAGTTTTTGTACTGTATTTTAAAATTTGTATTATTTGTATTGTTTCTTTGACATTTTCAATCTACTGTTTAAGCTACAGATGTGAAACCTGTGGATACAAAGGGCTGATTGTACTTCTTTTAACCTGAATGCATACAAAAATGCTGTTTTAAGCACTTTCTAAGGTATTTCTAAGTGTTTTAGTAGACTTAGTGGCTCCTTTCTCTCTAAAACATTACTTCTACAATTGAATTTTACCCAAGATAACAAAGTGGAGCCTAGGATTACTCTCTATTTGTTGTTCCAGGACATAAGTCTTAAAGAAAAGCCATTGACTTAAAGCTTAATGAGTCTATCCAGAAAGAAGCTATTGTTCCAAATCTAGTACCAGAATTTTGGATAGTATGGACTGTACAAACCACAAACAAAAAAACTGAGGGTGGAACAGAATTGTGTTCAAAAAGTCAGGCAGAGTTCTGGGTGGGAAACTCCACTTCTCTCTCTCTCCTGGGAGTCACTGTGCCCTGAGTTACTCAGGGCCTGGGCTTGGTGCTTGGGACTCACAGAAAAGTGCCCCAGGGCAGAGTTCTAGCTCTGTATTCAAAATTATTCTTCTGCACTGGAGTTAGAGCACTAATCTTGCTCTGGCTCCAGCATTGTGCTAGAGGAGTTAGTTGAGAAAGGATCAAGTGGGGGCTGTGGTGCTGAAAGCAGTACAGCAATAATATTAGCAGTACAACCATGTTACCTAAGTGGAGGCACCAGCGTATTGTCATTTTCACCCCAAGAAGACTTAGGTGTTTGAAGGCCTTCTCATCCTATGGTCACTCAAGAAACTAACAAAGCAGATAACAGTGTTGGTGCACTCACCAGGATGAAAAAATTTCATTTTTCTAAGTTAAGACCTGGCTTCCTAAAGGAAAGATGATTCATGTATATTTCTGGAAGGTTATATAATCTAGGCACTAGATAATCTAAATTTGTTATTTTTATTTAACCTTTGTGTTGTGGATAATGGTATTGTCTCAAATGTATTGATGAGACCATTGAGTTTGAAGAATATTAAGTGGTTAAAATCGCAGTATTAGCTGCAGATGTGGATTCAAACTGAAGTCTGCCTGACTGTAAAACCCCTTATATAAAACCACTCTCACTGTAATTACTGTGAAGAATAGCATCCCGCTATTGAAGACTTTCAAATTTGTCCCTGTTGTCAATTGGGTCATATTTTACCTTCTCAGCTTTATGTTGAAAATTTGCCACTTTGCCAACAAAATCTTATTTACAATGAAGCTAACTACCAAAAAAAAGTCCTTATGAAAATAATTACAGAAGCTAGTACAGTACACAGCACCAAATAGATGCTCAAATATATGGACTACCTTAAATTTGAAAGAATTAGAACTAGCAAAAAATCAAACAAAACAAAACAAAACAAATGATCAATATCTAGGGTGGGAACTGGGGAGACTAAGAAGGTTTCAACACAATTGATACCTTATCTTACAAACTAAAACTTCAAATAAGCCTACTTACTTTTTCCCCGGATTCATAGAACTCAACACAGAGTCATAAATCAGTCATATACAAAGGCACGTATGTAGTATAAAGCCCTAAGAAGATATTATACAAGTTCTTGGTGAACATCTCCAATGATGAACTCAAATTCCTAAGGTAACTAAGGCCTTTTCCAAAAGCTCCAATTGTTAGCAAAAAAAAGTTGGGTCCCCCTTATTCGGCCAGTACATTATCATTCTTCCCTCTCTGTCTGTCTACACAAATGCCTACTAGACCTCCTGAATAGAACGTCAAGAATCTACATCTTACTTGCAAGATTAAGTGCCAATGTGTCTACTGATGCGTATGTGTGAATAGTGGTTGCTTCTTTCTGCTGGCCATGAATTCCTGCCTCCTAGGGCTACATAGCTAAATGTTCTTCCATAGAACAAGCAGAGATCCCTGGAACAAAAAGAATTACAAAGCATAAATCTTTCAGCCAAAAAGAGGAACAGAAAAGATGCCAACTTGTATGGAGATGTGGAAGTGAGAAAACCTTTGATCAGTACTTCATTAGAGTATTCAAGAGGAAGAAACTTGGAAGCTGATGGAAAATCAAGCAGCCTAGCATAATCATAAGCTTTAAATGCTCTTTTCAAACGGTTTGTTTATTTATTGAATTTTTTTCAATTATTTTTTCAATTCAAATTTTTTTCAATTGTTTGTTAATTTCCGTTTTGATTCTAAGCCTATTGGTCAATCAGTGCTGAAAATAAAATGCGACCACGTGACCTGAGAGTACTCTGCCTTATAAGTGTATGGGTACTATATGACAAAGTCAGGCTTAATCGTGAGGGTGAAGGGATGAGAGAATTGTAGGTGAAGGGGAAGAACACAGGAGTTGAACACTGACAATGATATCAAATCACTACTCGGAAATTTTTTGCTGGAAGATAGTGAGAGTGATTATCCAAAACCCTGTGGATTAGGTGTTATACCAGCCTCTACCCTCTGGCCTTCAAGGGTTTCAATAACTTTTACTGTAATAGCCTGAGCTATCACTCCATTTCTGACAAAATTAAAGATTGCTTAGTCAAACCAACTCTAAGGAAAGATAAATTAAAGAAGACTCTAATTAATAGCATATTTGTGGAAAATAAAATTTTATTACACTTGAATGAATGCACTGTTAGGGTGATTTACCAACAGAATGTTGGGATGTTTTGTCTCTGAAAATACATTATTTCTTAAATTTTATAATTTATAGACAAGGTACAATCATAATTAAGTAGCACTATGAACTAAGCACTATGTCTTTCTTAATAATAAGAACTGGTCTCCTAAATAGGCTGTTAAAGCCCAGATAATCTTCTTCACATCTTCAATTTTGTAAAGTTACCCTGACAAAAAAAAAAAAAAAAAAAGCAAACCTCTACCAAGTTAGTATTCAGGATAATCCTACTTCTTAATTAGAATTCTTAGTATGGAAAAAAGTTTTTCTGTCCCAAGAGGATATTCTTAAACAACTAGTATTGGTGAGTTTGACCCACTTTCCATAAAATAGATTTTTCCTGATATTTATCTTCTTCCTCCCACTTTTCTAGTGGCTTTCCCCTCCCTTCGCCTTTTCATAGAACTTATTTTCTCAAGCTGTTCTCAGTTAGGCAGTGTCTGCAAAGAGCGCTGATGTTTTCACTCTGAAAAGTCTCCAGTGATTACACCCAGTCTCTTTCATGCTAGAACTACATATTTATCAACCCCAGAGAGCAAAGATGAGGCGGCACCAGGGTAGTGAGTGATGTGAACTGCTGTCACAGCAGAAATTGTGCTAGGGAGGCCTCTAAATAGGAAAAAAGAAAATAAAAATCTACCAGTTAGGGAGGGGCAGACAGCACAAAGAAAAACAAAAAAATGGATGAGCAAAAAAAAAAAAAAAGAAGGGGCAGGAAGAAAGCAGTGAGCAATCAGAGAGGGCTCAGTTGTGTGTACAGTTGCCAATCCCTGCTGGAAATGCCCTCCAGTGGCTAGAAGTGGGTCATAAGTGTAATGAGCCAGGCAGCCTGACATCTGGACTCTTTAGTCCAGCCTCAGGTTTCCACCTGGGTATGACAACTTGAGAGCTTCAGAGCTCAAAGGTAAGTGGAAGATTTTCTTTGCTTCTTGTCTCCTTCATCAGCCACGTTTTCCTATGTGGGGCAGGGCTCATACTTCTTGGCTACATAGATAAAACCAGGGGAAGCTACAATCCAGACTGGGACTCTCACCCCACTCAAGGCTGCACTGATTTAAGGGAAAAATTGCTCTAACCCCTTTCTAAGCACACAACTTACAAGTTTCTAATTAGCAACCACCCCAGGCCTTTTAATTTGTAGAGTTGCAAATAATGCTCATTTCTAATAATTTATTTCCTCCAACAGCAGCCAACATTTTTGCAAAGACTATTTGGCTTCAAGAAAACTGGACAAGAGTGATGCACTGTTCATCTAAACCATGGCCACTGCTTGTGAAACTTCCCAGAGCAGTTTCATCCTGGCAGTGGATGAATATGGTCATTATCAAACACACATATGGCAACCACATTTTCTGAACACCAAACAGACATATTGGTCTAACAATAGGACAAAATATTTGATATTGGAGAAATGGTACCCATGTTACTGATGCTTTTTACAATATTAACTAGTCCATCTTTACTATCTTCTCCATGTCTTTCTTAACAAATTCCGGATGGAGAATAACTTTCCTTGTATATATATAATTTTTCTTATCCTGAAGCTTTAACCCTTACTCCTCTACCATTACCCTTTGTCTCACTGCCTTACAGACACCACTGACCTCTGTGAAAGGTGAGTGTAAGAAAGTCTAAATGCTTCTTCGTCAATACTACACCATTGCTGCAAATATGACACCAAGTGGTACACAATCAAAACAGGAAAAGAGGGCAAGACACACACCAATTCCATCAAATTTGCTTCAGCTTCCTTAAAACATTAGATAACAAAACTCTGGATTAGAGGCTGGGCCCAAAGCTATATAAGCTTCCCTCAGTTTTCTGACATCTGAGAAACTATAAGAGAATATTTCTGCTTTCAAGAAATTTGTGCAAGGATCATAGATCACTCTATTAAAATAAATTATAAACTTGTTACAGTTTGACTTTGGCATTTCTGAAAATTTTGTTTCTTTCCAGCTGTCCCTATTTCCCACTGTGTCCTTTTCTTTCTCAGTAAATCTAGGGTGGAGTCTGAGAGTCTGCATTTCTAATGAGGCTCCAGGTATTTCAATGCTGCTTGTCATAAACCACACTTTGAGTAGCAAGAAACTAAACAGTCAAGATACAAGACAGGTTAAGTGTACAAGGATATGTACATTTTCATAATTTCCTGAAGAGTACCCTTTTAACAAGGACTGAAGAAATGGCTCTCTCATGACTGAGGAGTGGTGAGTGGATAAAATGTGAGATTTGGAGTCAGACAACATGAGTTCTCAAAGCAGGCTTTGGCATTTGCCAAGTGATCTTGAGTTACTAACTTAATATTTCTGATGCTCAATATTAATCTGTAAAGTTAGGAATTATAAAAATACCTACTTATTCTGCTGGCTGTGAAAATCAAAAGGGACAATCTATGATATAGACTTAAAGTAATACTCACTTGTTAACATAGGTGAATCAAATGCCTTAAGTAGGCCATTGCAGGAGGTGATTTTAGGCGAAAAGTGTTTCCCACGGCCCATCACATCATAGCAGCAGGCACTGTGCTTATTCTGCCACTTTAATGGGCAGTCCTAATTGACTACAAAGAAATCTGTAAAAACAAATATCGTGATTAGGACCTATTGATTTATGCAGGTGGCTTTATTTTAATCAATTATCCACTAGTTACGGAGTTATTTGATGTGTGTTTTTATCTTGTACATATGTTTCCTGAGTTGTCTCAGGCCCCATAGCTTCAGTAAAACTAAGATAAATAGCTGAGCATAAATTCTCAAGTCTGTTCATTGCTCCACGGTATCTATCTTTTTACTATTATGTTTGTTTAAAGGCAGGTTAGAAATGCTTACCTGTCCCAGAGGAAGAGTAATGTGCTTGGTGTTTAAAATACCCAGCTGGTTGGGATTGAGAGCGACTCATGATATTCTTTGCAGGACTTCCTAATTAAAGGAAGGCGGAAGCAACTTTGTCCCAGAATAATGAAAATCAAATGGATGCCATCCCGTTTACACCCTGGAATAACACAAGGAAGGGCCGACTTACAATGTCCAGAATGACCTTGAGGGGCCACCTTACCCTAATATTGGGCTCTCCCTGCTATGTCATAAACCTAAATTTTTATGAAATGAAAATGCTTCCAGAATGTGGTGTCCAGCTCTATGCAAAATGAAATCTAGGCATTCACAGTATGAGGAAACAGAATTGGCAGGTATTATAAGATTCAATCCATGAGGCAAGTGAATAGCAAGCAGCATGAGAAAAAGCAAAGATCTGGTATCAGAAGTTAATTAGAAGATGATGAGAGCAGAAGCTAGGAGGTCCCAAACACATATCTGACAAAACTATATCAAGGAGAAGTGCCTAGGAAAACCAGTGAGGTGACTGAAGATGGCAAAAAGCAGTCCTAAGCATTTGGCAATTCTGCTCGACTTCCCTCTAACTCAGGGATATTTGTATTAGGCTTAGCACACACCTACTGCTTTTGCTGCTGGCATTTTACGGGCACCATCCAACACCTAACTAAGTGATATATCCCCTTGCCAGGGACCCAAGTTCATCATGCACCTGTGTATTTCCTGTCCAATTGAAATTTTAAGCTATTGGAAAGTAGACTTAGATTTCTCTTTTTTAGAGATGAGGTCTCGCTCTGTTGCCCAGGCTGGGGTGTAATGGCAGAATCATGGCTCACTGCAGCCTCAACCTTCTGGACTCAAGCGATCCTCCTACATCAGCCTTACCAAGTAGCATTTTAAAACAACTTTTTGTAGAGACGAAGTCTCACTATACTGCCCAGGCTGGTCTTGAATTCCTGTCTTCAGTCCTCTTGGCTCAGCCCCTCAAAGTCAGACCTATATTTCTCTTCCACCCTTCAATTCTACGCACAAAGCAGAGATGCAATAAATTATGGGTGCATGAAAATTCTTGATAAATGCTGAATGCATTTGGAATGAGAGTTTCACTGATTTGGGGACCTGGTTGCATCCATCATGTTAAGCTTTTTTTGAATCTATTTAGAAACACAGGTCTTATTAGCAAAATAAATGGAGATATTGCTGCTACTGGATTCTTTGCCCCAAAAAGCAAATAATTTTCTGTAACTTTAGACAGTTTCTAAAACTGAACTCTTGGGCAGCTGAAGCACTAAGGTTTATATAGAAAATTGGTCATGCCAGAAAAGAATACATTCCTCTCTGCAGTAGAAATTCTCAATTTCTTGCTTCGGGTTGATCAGAGAATTTCTCAACTACAAACTTGTAATTAGAATTGAGTTTTTCTCTTGCCAATTCAGATTATGATAAACATCTACCATACCACTATGTCTTATTTGCTGACAGGAAGGGACTCAGCTAGTTGGTAATGTGAGAGATTCCTTTTTGGTATTTGGCACAACCTGATTTCATCTCTAGTTGTCTTTATCTATCCCTCCCCACTAGATTTTGGCTCTCCTAGATTCAAATGACATCTTTAAGGGGAGAAACAAAGAATTTGCAATTGTTTCCCAGCAATGTGCAAATTGACACTTAATTGAGAATTAATGGTGTGCTAACTGTTCACTGCAGCTATTCCCACTGCAAATTGCACTGGGACTGCTTGCACTTTTGACTTTGACATGCTTTTTATAGGGGTACATGAGTAATTTGATCTGTAAAAGAAAGAGAAGATTCCACCTCCTGAAGGAAAAGTACTAATTAGCAGCAAAATCTAACTGCTTTTCTCCGACGGGGTCTCTCTCTTGCTATGTTTGGCTTAATGCAAACTCCTGCCATGCTGAGTTTCTGCATTGGATTGTCCAATACATCCTGTTTAATTTTAATTTCCTTTAGCAGAGTTGATATTCAATTAGCCACACCAATGAAGGGATGCATTAGCACACATAATAATCTCTTAACTTTGCGTAGAGCATTAGCATTTACAAAGCACTTTCACATTTGCTCTTCATAACCTCTGTATTTAGCAACGAATATAAGTCCCATTTTACAGATGGAGAAACTTAAGTTCAAAGACATTAACGATATGTCTGAGGTCGCATAGTAAGCTACAGGGGATAGAGAACCCAGATTCCATAGTTTTTAATTTGTTGCTTTTTTTCTATTATGCCAAGAAATGGTATGATTAGGCTCATAGCAACACCCTCCTTACGCCTACATCCACATCATTCATTTATTCATTTATTTTTTCAACATAAAATTTGACTAAACAACACCATATAATACATCCTAAATATTCTTAGAGAATAAGAAAATGCAAGATGGGATTCTCAGCTTTCAAAAAATTCTTTAAAATATGGAAAATATACAAAAAATATAAATGGCGATGTTAGGCAAAAAATCCTTGAGGGTAGGAGCTATGTCTAATTCATCATTTTATCCTTTCACAGTTCCTAACGTAACACAGGGCCTAGCAGATAGTCGGTACTACATAAATATGTTTCAGAAAGAAATGAAGAGCCATGCCCTATCTCCTTGCATTTGCTATGTCCTTTTGTTTATTTTTACAGTAATTTTTTACTCTTAATATATCTTTTATTATTTGTTTATTCTCTGTGCCCTCCACTGGAATGTAGGCATCATGAGGATGGGATTTTTGTCAGTTTCATCCATGATATATGTCAAGCAAGGAAAACAGTGCCTGGCTTTTTTTCACTAGATGGCCCAAAGCAAAATGATATCATTTGAAAGCTGGCTTGGTTGGCCAGTAGAGCCAAAGATTGAATTTAGCATTTCTTATTTCCTTGGCTTTGAAAGCCATAATCTGACTTTGGAAGCCTCACTCCTCTGAGTGTCTAAAGAGAGAAGTGACCTCATTCATTAAGACAAAAACTTCTTTCTTGAGAGTTTGTTTTTTCCCCAAGCATGCTAGTACAATGTGGGGAAGAAACGACATTTATACAGAGAGCCACAATATTGTCCCTTTCCCCTTGGTGTGACTTCAGATGACCTCCTGCCTTAGATGGACCACTAAACTTAGAAAATATCAGAATAACTGTCTTCACATTCCAGAAATGGCTCCCTGTGGATTTAGACCCAGCTTCAGAAAGCAAATTTGCAGTCTAGTGGGTCCAAGAAATTCAGTGTCACACCAAAAAGCTTTCGACCCTGGACCATAGTCTGATCTGTGACAAAAATATCCTTCTCAAGATTCTTCCTACAGTGGGATTGAGGGATTGAGAAGAGGAGAAGAAGCCTTTGCCTCCTGCTGTGATGATGTGAGATCTCCAGCTGTGCCAATTCTCATTAGCACCCAGTGGGGTGGGTGTGGCGACAGGCACATGGAAGACTTGGCTTAGAGCCCAGCCTAAGAAGTCCCTTGAGATGGTCTTTAATAAAACTCCTGGGATGGGTTGGGAAAGTTAATTGCGATGTAAAATGTAGTGTGACTACTTCAAATCAGAAGCGGTTAGAGAGTGTTAAACATTATTTTTTCAAAATTCAATTGTTTTATCAAGAGGAGAATTTTCTGTTCATGGGGCTTTACTACAAGAAGTGTGGTTAGTATTATAGCATGAAATCATTGAGAGTAATTGAGACATTCACAGCATTGCTGTTTCACAGGACAGGGACATGTATCTTCTAGACTGTGCTGTCCCATTCAATAGCCACTGCTGTGATCTGAGTGATCGTGTCCCCACCTCAAATCCATATGTGGAAAACTACCCCCCAAGGGACCTGTATTAAGACTTGGGGACCCTTGGAGGTAATTAGGTCATGAAAGCACCAATCTCATGAATGGGATTAGTGTTCTTATATCCTAGCCACTAGACCACCAGGGAAGCTGACGATTAGTGTGCCCTCAAGCTTGAGGGAGGCTGTTTGTACCTCCACCATGTAAAAACGCAGAAAGAAGGTGCCATCTATGAAGCAGAGATGACTTCACCAGACACCAAATCTGCTGGTGCCTTGATCTGGGACTTCACACCCTCTAGAATTATAAGCAATAAATTTATGTTGTTCATTAAATTACCTAATCTGAGGTATTTTGTTATAGCAGCCTGAACAGTCTAAGACAGCTTCTAATCACATGTGACTATTTGAGCATTTGAAATGTGGCTTATGTGACTGAGGAACTAACTTTTTAATCTTATTTAATAAAAAGTAATTTATATTTAAAACGGATACTCAATTCAGTTGTTGGAAAAGTTTATAGCATAATTGGAACAACCTGGGTATGAAAATTATTTTTTCAACTGTAAATTTCACTAATTCTAAATATAAGCCAAGTATTTCTGATAAAAAGTTAGTGTCTGGATCAAATGTGCTATAAGTGTAAAATATACACAGTATTTGAAAGATAGTACAAAAAAAGTTAAACATATCACAAATGATTGTCTATATTGATTAAACATTGAAATACTATTCTGGATATATTGGGTTAAACAAAATATATTATTCAAAATAACTTCATCTGGTATTTTTAAATGTGGCTTCTGCAAATTTTGAAATTATAAATGTGGCTCACATATTTTCACAGGATAATTTTTTCTAGATAACTATGAGGTACTATTATGGGCTGACTTATGCTCCCTGCATTCATATGTTGAAGTCCTACCCACTAATACCTCACAAGGTGACTGTATTTGGAGATAGACCTTAAAGAAGTAACCTAATTACTTCTTTAGGTTAAATATAGAGTCTTTAAAAAAACTATGTTAAAATGAGGTTGTATAAGTGGGCTCCAAATCCACCACGACTGGTGTCCCTCCTTAAAAAAGAAGAAATTAGGTCACAGGCACACATGGAGGGAAGGCCATATGAAGACACATTGGGAAGACAACCATGTATAATCCAAGGAAAGAAGACTCAAAAGAAAGAACCCTACCAACACCTTGATCTTGGACCTCTAGCCTTCAGAGCTGTAAGAAAATAAATTTCTGATGTTTAAGCCAGGGGTCCCCAACCTTTTCAGCACCAGGGACTGGTTTTGTGGAAGACAATTTTTCCACAGACCAGAAAGGGGGACGGGGATGATTTGGGGATGATTCAAGCACATTACATTTATGGTGCACTTTATTTCTATTATTATTACAGAGTAATATATAATGAAATAATTTTACAACTCACCATAATGTAGAATCAGTAGGAGCCCTGAGCTTGTTTTCCTGCAACTGGACAGTCCCATCTAGGGGTGAAGGAAAACAGTGATAGATCATCAGGCATTAGGCTCTCATAAGGAGCACACAACCTGGATCCCACACATGCGCAGTTCACAAGAGGGATCACGTTCCTGTGAGAATCTAACACCACCACTGAGTCGACAGGAGGTGGAACTCAGGCAGTAATTTGAGCAATAGGGAGTGTCTGTAAATATAGATGAAGCTTTATTTACCCACCTCTCACCTCCTGCTGTGTGGCCTGGTTCCTAACGGGCCATGGACCGGTACCAGTCCCTGGTCTGGGGCTTAGGGATACCTAATTTAAGCCACCCAATCTGGGATACACGGTTATGGCAGCCCTAGCAACTAGCACCAAGCAAGTACCAGAATAATAGCTACTAACTTCATGTTACTTGTTCAATGTCTGTCTCTCCCATTATACCATAAGGTCTATGAAGGAAGGAATTGTACCTTTCTTAGGCACTCTGTATTCCCAGCACTTGGCATAGCTCCTGTTCTGTAGTAAATGTTCAATAAACATTTGATAACTGAGAAGGCAATTAGTTAACTCATTTAATCCATGTAAACAGCTAATTTGGTTGACTGGCGTAAAAAAAAAACCATCTGTTTTTCATTAGTATGGGTTTATAGTCTGAACTTTTTTCAGATAAATTGTTGTCATGCATTTGATCTGTGTTAACCCAAATATTGTATTTCAACCATTGGTATTGGTCAATTGTTTTTAAATCATCAGCTGTTATACCAGGGAAAACACTCTTTGAGCCTGTATATATATTCATAATTAGGCAACAGACTAGGCTTTTTTAAGGGAAAATAAAAACAATCTATCACATTCTTGATTTTCTCACTAATATTTATTACATGAGGACCCATAATTATGTATTGATTAACTGAATTAAGAAAAAAGTCTTAGAGCTGGAAGGGTCATTCAGAGTCCAGTCGTCCCTTCAACGCAGGGTAACTGTTGCAATTTTTTCTGGCTGCTATAACAAAATACCTTAGATTGATAAAAATGTATTTCTTACAATTCTAGAGGTGGCTGGGAAGTCCAAGACCCTCATGACTTAGTAATCTCTTAATGGCCCTACCTCTTAATACTGTCTGATTGGAGAATAAGTTCCAACATATTAACTTCAGGGGGACATGAATACTCAGATCATAGCAATAATCTACTTCAAAATCTCAGTGGGACACTCAGTTTTGATGGGCACTTTTCCCCTTCAATTTTCTCATGTTTGTACTTTAGAATTCTTTGTCTCCAATCCACTTGCCTCAGCAGCGTCATTGTTATATCAATATCGCCTCCTTTTTAGAAGCTATGTCCCTCTCTCAGTGTAGACTCCCTACCTGTCCAGGTGGAAGCACTGAAGAGCCATCTATTTTTGTCTGGCTTTAGCAGTAATAAGAAGTCAGCTTGGATTCTGAAATACCCAAAGAATTTGCATCTCTATGGTTACAGCATGGAGCTGTAAGCTTTCTATCTAAGCCCACTATATTCATATTTATTTCATTCCTTAAGTAAGTAGCTATTAAGCACAAACAATGTTTCTGGCTCTGGACATAGTTATTTTTTCTGTTTTCAAAGAGTTCACATTATATTGAAGGGTGCTAACAGTAGGTGTGGAGACAAGATGTGGTAAGATGTTTATGGACCAAATAATTCACAAATAAATATACAATATGAAACTGTAAAATGTTATATAAGCATAATTATTACAAGCAAAAATATAAAGGTAAAATAAGAAACATGGTTGAAGGAGAAATTACTAAGAAGAAAAAGTATATCAGTACATGTAATAAAGGAACCTGACCTAACCTGGGCTGTCAGGGAATGCTAAACTGAGACCTGAAGAATAAGTTTGAGCTAATTATGTGAAAGGGAGGAAGGAAACTAGAGATAGCATCATGTGTAAATAGCCTATGAAGGAAAGAAACATGGGGCATCTGAGTGTTATGAAATGAAGATGGATTAGTTGCTAGGGTTCAGGTTTTGGAGTTCCTGGTAAGTCAACTGGGGATTATCCTCTTTATCATAAGATGTAACATTTTACATAAGGTGTAATATGACCATACTTATGTTTTGTAAATGAACATTTTGGTTTTTGAATAGAAAACTAATATAAAAGATCAAAAATATATGAAGGACGCACATTATCTGTACAAGAAAAGCTACAAAACTCTAATGAAAGAAATCAGAGAAGTACTAAGTAAATGAACAGGTATTTCACTTATTTCATTTTATTTCATGGTTAAGAAGATTCAATATTGTCATCATGCCAGTACTTCCAAATATGATTTATAGATTCAATGCAACCCCAATCAAAATCCCAGAAAGTTATTTTGTGGGCAACAGCAAACCTACTTATTCTAAAGTTAATATGGAGAGGCAAAAGACCCAGAATAGCCAACACAATATTGAAGGAGAAGAACAAAGTTGAAGGACCTACATAAAGATAATCAACTGATCTTTGACAAGGAATTAAAGACAATGCAATGTAACAGAGATAGTCTTTTCAACAAATGGTTCTGGAACAATTGAACATCTACATGCAAAACAATAAATCTAGACACAGGCCTTACACTTTACATAAATTAACTCAAAATGGAAAATAAACCTAAGTGTAAAATTAAAAACCATATAAACTCCAAGAAGAAAACATTGGATAAAATCTAGATGATCTAGGGTTTGGCAATAACATTTTAGATACAACACCAAAGGCATGATACATAAAAGAAAAAATTGAGAAGGAGGATTTTATTAAAATTAAGAATTTCTTCTCTGTGAAACTTAAGATAAAAAGAGAAGCCTCAAACTGAGAAAGAATATTTTCAAAATACAAACCTGTTAAAAGACTGTTCTCCAAAATATACAAAGAATACTTAAAACTCAACAATAAGAAAAGAAAAATTCTGCTTAAAAAATCGGGAGGAGCCAAGATGGCCGAATAGGAACAGCTCCGGTCTACAGCTCCCAGCGTGAGCGACGCAGAAGACGGGTGATTTCTGCATTTCCATCTGAGGTACCGGGATCATCTCACTAGGGAGTGCCAGACAGTGGGCGCAGGCCAGTGGGTGCGCGCACTGTGCGCGAGCCAAAGCAGGGCGAGGCATTGCCTCACCTGGGAAGCGCAAGGGGTCAGGGAGTTCCCTTTCCCAGTCAAAGAAAGGGGTGACGGACACACCTGGAAAATCGGGTCACTCCCACCCGAATATTGCGCTTTTCAGACCGGCTTAAAAAACGGCGCACAACGAGACTATATCCCACACCTGGCTCGGAGGGTCCTACGCCCACGGAGTCTCGCTGATTGCTAGCACAGCAGTCTGAGATCAAACAGCAAGGCGGCAGCGAGGCTGGGGGAGGGGCGCCCGCCATTGCCCAGGCTTGCTTAGGTAAACAAAGCAGCCGGGAAGCTCGAACTGGGTGGAGCCCACCACAGCTCAAGGAGGCCTGCCTGCCTCTGTAGGCTCCACCTCTGGGGGCAGGGCACAGACAAACAAAAAGACAGCAGTAACCTCTGCAGACTTAAATGTCCCTGTCTGACAGCTTTGAAGAGAGCAGTGGTTCTCCCAGCACGCAGCTGGAGATCTGAGAATGGGCAGACTGCCTCCTCAAGTGGGTCCCTGATCCCTGACCCCCGAGCAGCCTAACTGGGAGGCACCCCCCAGCAGGGGCACACTGACACCTCACACGGCAGGGTATTCCAACAGACCTGCAGCTGAGGGTCCTGTCTGTTAGAAGGGAAACTAACAAACAGAAAGGACATACACACCGAAAACCCATCTGTACATCACCATCATCAAAGACCAAAAGTAGATAAAACCACAAAGATGGGGAAAAAACAGAACAGAAAAACTGGAAACTCTAAAACGCAGAGCGCCTCTCCTCCTCCAAAGGAACGCAGTTCCTCACCAGCAACGGAACAAAGCTGGATGGAGAATGATTTCGACGAGCTGAGAGAAGAAGGCTTCAGACGATCAAATTACTCTGAGCTATGGGAGGACATTCAAACCAAAGGCAAAGAAGTTGAAAACTTTGAAAAAATTTTAGAAGAATGTATAACTAGAATAACCAATACAGAGAAGTGCTTAAAGGAGCTGATGGAGCTGAAAACCAATGCTCGAGAACTACGTGAAGAATGCAGAAGCCTCAGGAGCCGATGCGATCAACTGGAAGAAAGGGTATCAGCAATGGAAGATGAAATGAATGAAATGAAGCTAGAAGGGAAGTTTAGAGAAAAAAGAAAAAAAAGAAATGAGCAAAGCCTCCAAGAAATATGGGACTACGTGAAAAGACCAAATCTACGTCTGACTGGTGTACCTGAAAGTGATGTGGAGAATGGAACCAAGTTGGAAAACACTCTGCAGGATATTATCCAGGAGAACTTCCCCAATCTAGCAAGGCAGGCCAACGTTCAGATTCAGGAAATACAGAGAACGCCACAAAGATACTCCTCAAGAAGAGCAACTCCAAGACACATAATTGTCGGATTCACCAAAGTTGAAATGAAGGAAAAAATGTTAAGGGCAGCCAGAGAGAAAGGTCGGGTTACCCACAAAGGGAAGCCCATCAGACTAACAGCTGATCTCTCGGCAGAAACCCTACAAGCCAGAAGAGAGTGGGGGCCAATATTCAACATTCTTAAAGAAACGAATTTTCAACCCAGAATTTCATATCCAGCCAAACTAAGCTTCATAAGTGAAGGAGAAATAAAATACTTTATAGACAAGCAAATGCTGAGAGATTTTGTCACCACCAGGCCTGCCCTAAAAGAGCTCCTGAAGGAAGCGCTAAACATGGAAAGGAACAACCAGTACCAGCCGCTGCAAAATCATGCCAAAATGTAAAGACCATCGAGACTAGGAAGAAACTGCATCAACTAACGAGCAAAATCACCAGCTAACATCATAATGACAGGATCAAATTCACACATAACAATATTAACTTTAAATGTAAATGGACTAAATTCTCCAATTAAAAGACACAGACTGGCAAATTGGATAAAGAGTCAAGACCCATCAGTGTGCTGTATTCAGGAAACCCATCTCACGTGCAGAGACACACATAGGCTCAAAATAAAAGGATGGAGGAAGATCTACCAAGCAAATGGAAAACAAAAAAAGGCAGGGGTTGCAATCCTAGTCTCTGATAAAACAGACTTTAAACCAACAAAGATCAAAAGAGACAAAGAAGGCCATTACATAATGGTAAAGGGATCAATTCAACAAGAGGAGCTAACTATCCTAAATATATATGCACCCAGTACAGGAGCACCCAGATTCATAAAGCAAGTCCTGAGTGACCTACAAAGAGACTTAGACTCCCACACATTAATAATGGGAGACTTTAACACCCCACTGTCAACATTAGACAGATCAACAAGACAGAAAGTCAACAAGGATACCCAGGAATTGAACTCAGCTCTGCACCAAGCGGACCTAATAGACATCTACAGAACTCTCCACCCCAAATCAACAGAATATACATTTTTTTCAGCACCACACCACACCTATTCCAAAATTGACCACATACTGGGAAGTAAAGCTCTCCTCAGCAAATGTAAAAGAACAGAAATTATAACAAACTATCTCTCAGACCACATTGCAATCAAACTAGAACTCAGGATTAAGAATCTCACTCAAAGCCGGTCAACTACATGGAAACTGAACAACCTGCTCCTGAATGACTACTGGGTACATAACAAAATGAAGGCAGAAATAAAGATGTTCTTTGAAACCAACGAGAACAAAGACACAACATACCAGAATCTCTGGGATGCATTCAAAGCAGTGTGTAGAGGGAAATTTATAGCACTAAATGCCCACAAGAGAAAGCAGGAAAGATCCAAAATTGACACCCTAACATCACAATTAAAAGAACTAGAAAAGCAAGAGCAAACACATTCAAAAGCTAGCAGAAGGCAAGAAATAACTAAAATCAGAGCAGAACTGAAGGAAATAGAGACACAAAAAACCCTTCAAAAAATCAATGAATCCAGGAGCTGGTTTTTTGAAAGGATCAACAAAATTAATAGACCGCTAGCAAGACTAATAAAGAAAAAAAGAGAGAAGAATCAAATAGACACAATAAAAAATGATAAAGGGGATATCACAACCGATCCCACAGAAATACAAACTACCATCAGAGAATACTACAAACACCTCTACGCAAATAAACTAGAAAATCTAGAAGAAATGGATACATTCCTCGACACATACACTCTCCCAAGACTAAACCAGGAAGAAGTTGAATCTCTGAATAGACCAATAACAGGCTCTGAAATTGTGGCAATAATCAATAGTTTACCAACCAAAAAGAGTCCAGGACCAGATGGATTCACAGCTGAATTCTACCAGAGGTACAAGGAGGAACTGGTACCATTCCTTCTGAAACTATTCCAATCAATAGAAAAAGAGGGAATCCTCCCTAACTCATTTTATGAGGCCAGCATCATCCTGATACCAAAGCCGGGCAGAGACACAACCAAAAAAGAGAATTTTAGACCAATATCCTTGATGAACATTGATGCAAAATCCTCAATAAAATACTGGCAAACCGAATCCAGCAGCACATCAAAAAGCTTATCCACCATGATCAAGTGGGCTTCATCCCTGGGATGCAAGGCTGGTTCAATATACGCAAATCAATAAATGTAATCCAGCATATAAACAGAGCCAAAGACAAAAACCACATGATTATCTCAATAGATGCAGAAAAAGCCTTTGCAAAATTCAACAACCCTTCATGCTAAAAACTCTCAATAAATTAGGTATTGATGGGATGTATTTCAAAGTAATAAGAGCTATCTATGACAAACCCGCAGCCAATATCATACTGAATGGGCAAAAACTGGAAGCATTCCCTTTGAAAACTGGCACAAGACAGGGATGCCCTCTCTCACCACTCCCATTCAACATAGTGTTGGAAGTTCTGGCCAGGGCAATCAGGCAGGAGAAGGAAATCAAGGGTATTCAATTAGGAAAAGAGGAAGTCAAATTGTCCCTGTTTGCAGACGACATGATTGTTTATCTAGAAAACCCCATCGTCTCAGCCCAAAATCTTCTTAAGCTGATAAGCAACTTCAGCAAAGTCTCAGGATACAAAATCAATGTACAAAAATCACAAGCATTCTTATACACCAACAACAGACAAACAGAGAGCCAAATCATGAGTGAACTCCCATTCACAATTGCTTCAAAGAGAATAAAATACCTAGGAATCCAACTTACAAGGGATGTGAAGGACCTCTTCAAGGAGAACTACAAACCACTGCTCAAGGAAATAAAAGAGGATACAAACAAATGGAAGAACATTCCATGCTCATGGGTAGGAAGAATCAATATCGTGAAAATGGCCATACTGCCCAAGGTAATTTACAGATTCAATGCCATCCCCATCAAGCTACCAATGACTTTCTTCACAGAATTGGAAAAAACTAAAGTTCATATGGAACCAAAAAAGAGCCCGCATCGCCAAGTCAATCCTAAGCCAAAAGAACAAAGCTGGAGGCATCACACTACCTGACTTCAAACTATACTACAAGGCTACAGTAACCAAAACAGCATGGTACTGTTACCAAAACAGAGATATAGATCAATGGAACAGAATAGAGCCCTCAGAAATAATGCCGCATACCTACAACTATCTGATCTTTGACAAACCTGAGAAAAACAAGCAATGGGGAAAGGATTCCCTATTTAATAAATGGTGCTGGGAAAACTGGCTAGCCATATGTAGAAAGCTGAAACTGGATCCCTTCCTTACACCTTATACAAAAATCAATTCAAGATGGATTAAAGATTTAAACGTTAGACCTAAAACCATAAAAACCCTAGAAGAAAACCTAGGCATTACCATTCAGGACATAGGCGTGGGCAAGGACTTCATGTCCAAAACACCAAAAGCAATGGCAACAAAAGACAAAATTGACAAATGGGATCTAATTAAACTAAAGAGCTTCTGCACAGCAAAAGAAACTACCATCAGAGTGAACAGGCAACCTACAACATGGGAGAAAATTTTCGCAACCTACTCATCTGACAAAGGGCTAATATCCAGAATCTACAATGAACTCAAACAAATTTACAAGAAAAAAACAAACAACCCCATCAAAAAGTGGGCGAAGGACATGAACAGACACTTCTCAAAAGAAGACATTTATGCAGCCAAAAAACACATTAAAAAATGCTCATCATCACTGGCCATCAGAGAAATGCAAATCAAAACCACCATGAGATATCATCTCACACCAGTTAGAATGGCAATCATTAAAAAGTCAGGAAACAACAGGTGCTGGAGAGGATGTGGAGAAATAGGAACACTTTTACACTGTTGGTGGGACTGTAAACTAGTTCAACCATTGTGGAAGTCAGTGTGGCGATTCCTCAGGGATCTAGAACTAGAAATACCATTTGACCCAGACATCCCATTACTGGGTATATGCCCAAAGGACTATAAATCATGCTGCTATAAAGAGACATGCACACGTATGTTTATTGTGGCATTATTCACAATAGCAAAGACTTGGAACCAACCCAAATGTCCAACAATGATAGACTGGATTAAGAAAATGTGGCACATATACACCATGGAATAGTATGCAGCCATAAAAAATGATGAGTTCATGTCCTTTGTAGGGACATGGATGAAATTGGAAACCATCATTCTCAGTAATCTATCGCAAGAACAAAAAACCAAACACCGCATATTCTCACTCATAGGTGGGAATTGAACAATGAGATCACATGGACACAGGAAGGGGAATATCACACTCTGGGGACTGTGGTGGGGTGGGGGGAGGGGGGAGGGATAGCATTGGGAGATATACCTAATGCTAGATGACGAGTTAGTGGGTGCAGCGCACCAGCACGGCACATGTATACATATGTAACTAACCTGCACAATGTGCACATGTACCCTAAAACTTAAAGTATAATAAAATAAATAAATAAATAAATAAATAAATAAAATAAAAATCGGCCAAATATCTTAATAGACACCTCACCAGAGAAGATATTTGAATGGTAAATAAGCATATAAAAAGATATTCCACAGCATATGTCATCATAAAAATGCAAATTAAAACAACCATGGGGTACTACTCTATACCTATTGGAGTTGTCAAAATCCAAAACACTCACAACATCAAATGCTAACAAAGATGTGGAGCACCAGGAACTCTTGTGTATTGCTGGCTGGAAGGCAAAATGGTACAATCAATTTGGAAAAGTTTGGCAGCTCCTTACAAAACTAAATATACTCTTACCTACAATCCAGCAATCACATTTCTTGGTATTTACCCAAAGGAGTTGAGAACTTATGTCCACACAAAAACCTGCACATGGATGTTTTTATCAGCTTTATTCATAATTGCCAAAACTTTAAAGCAACTAAGGCAAGCTTCAGTAAGTGAATGGATTAATAAACTGCACATATCCAGACAATGGAATATTATTCAGTCATAAAAAGAAATGCGCTATGAAGCCATGAAGAGGTATAGAGGAAACTTAAATACATATTATTAAGTGAAAGAAGCCAATCTGTAAAGACTACTTCTGTATGACTTCAACTATGTGACATTCTGGAAAAGGTAAAACCACAGAATGAGTAAAAGTGTCAGTGGTTGCCCGGGATTAGCAGGAAGTGAGGGAGAGATGAGTAGCCAGACCATGGAGGATTTGTAGGGCAGTGAAACTACTCTGTATGATACTATAATGATGGATACATTTCATTATTAGTTTGTCTAAACACATAAAATATACAATACCAAGAGTCAACCCTAATGCAAACTATGGACTCCAGGTGATAATAATGTGTCAGTGTCAGTTCATCATTTGTAACAAATGCACCACTCTGGTGGGGGATGTTGATAATAAGGCAAGCTATGGATGTGTGGAGATGAAGGTATAAGGGAATCTTTGTACTTCTTATTCAATTTTGCTATCAACGTAAAATTGCTCTGAAAAATAAACTCTATTTAAAAAATATGAAAGTGATCAACGTAGGAAGTTTGCAGTAGTTCATGTGAGAGGCAGTGGTAACTAAGGGGCTGGAAGTAAGAAAGAAGACAAATGGATAACTTGGCCTTTTAGTGCAGTGCTTCTCATACTTTAATGTGCAAATGAGTGACCTAAAAATTTTGTCAAAATGTAGATTCTGATTTACTAAGTCTGCAGTGGGCTCTCAGACCCTATTATTCTAATGAGCCTCTAATGAGCAAGGGCAACTACTGTTCCTCAAACCACACTTCAGATAGCAAGGTTTTCAAAACTATAAAACTGCAAGAAGATAACATTGGATAAAATCTAGATGATCTAGGGTTTGGCAATAACATTTGAGATACAACACCAGATTCACGGTCCATGAAAGAAAGAATTGAGAAGCTACACTTAATTAAAATTTAAAATTTTTAGTGGAATCTTGGTGATACAGCATAAGTGGGGAACAGTAAGGTTTCTGTGGGAATTTTGACTTTAAAGGGTTGCCAATATTTCTTTTTTTTTTTTTTTTTTTTTTGATGGAGTCTCACTCTGTTGCCCAGGCTGGAGTGCAGTGGCACAATCTCAACTCACCACAGCCTCCACCTCCCAGGTTCAAGTGTTTCTCCTGCCTCAGCCTCCCGAGTAGCTGGGACTATAGGCACATGCCACCATGCCTAGCTAATTTTTGTATTTTTAGTAGAGTCGAGGTTTCACTCTGTTGGCCAGGCTGGTCTCAAACTCCTCACCTCGTGATCCACCCTCCTCAGCCTCCCAAAGTGCTGGAATTACAGACATAAGCCACCAAGCCTGGCTGGGTCTCCGATATTTCTAATAGGAGATGCCAACTAGGGGATATAGAGCTGGATAAACAGAGTTTATACAGAAAAAGTTCTGGGCTGGAGATACAAACTTGTGAATCAACTGCATACAGGTGAAACTAAAGATTTAGATGTGTATGCAATAACAAATGAAAAATACAGAGTAGGCAGTGAAGAGAGCCTAAGCCAGCCATAAGGAGAAACTACACATGAAGAAAAAAAAAAAGGGGTGGGAAAGCAAAAGAAAACTAGAAGCCTTGTGTTGTGGACACCAAGAAGATATTTCAATAATGACAGAGAGATCAAGAATTGAATGTTGCTGGCAGATTAAATAGGATTAAAATCAAGTTATTTTGATTATTTGCTTTCATCTCAGCTGCTTACTGGGACTAGAGTTAAGTGCCACCCTTTTCACTCAGCATCCCTTTGTCCTCTTTCCCAAGACTGGACCCCATTAGCATGTACTTCCCCCACTCCCACAGCCTCAGATGGATTAATTGTGTTAGTCCATTTTCACACTGCTATAACTTCCCCTAGACTGGGTAATTTGTAAAGGAAAGAGTTTAATTGACTCACAGTTCTGCATGGCTTGGGGGGCTTCAGAAAACTTACAATCAAGGCAGAAGGGAAAGCAGGCACTTTCTCCACGAGGCGGCAGCAGAAAGAGATGGCAAGAGAGGGTACTCGAAGAAGGAACTGTCAAACACTCATAAAACCATCAGATCTTGTGAGAACTCACTCACCATCATGAAAACAGCACGGGGGAAACGCCTCCATGATCCAATCACCTTTCACCAGGTCCCTCCCTCGACATGTAGGGATTATGGGGATTACAATTCGAGATGCGATTTGGGTGGGGACACAGAGCCAAACCATATCACTAACTTAGTGATCTTGAAATTCAACTGTTAAAATTAAAGAATTACATAAAGGAAGGAACCTGGGATTCTATTACTGCTTAGATTAAGGCCAGTCAGAAATATCTGTTTTAGACTTTGTCAAGAATTAATAAATTTGTAACATATATGAGTAATTATATATTTTAGTGTTTGTCTTTTATGGCAGCTAGCAATACTTTAATCAATGGAAGAATGTATGTATTCTCAATTATCAGTTTATAACTCAAAATGTATTTTTTTTCCAATACTAGAGGCACAAAACATTGTCAAGTTTATGTGTGTGTGACAGCCTGATTGGGAACTTGGTTTATGTTTTTGAGTCCTCAGTAAAGTATTAGCTTAGAAGTTATATATTCTGAGTTTTAAACAACTAATTTAGAATGAACTTTCAGAACCATACCCATTTCTAAGTGGAGAGCTGCCTACATGGCAAAGGATTTGTTGCTGAATGGTCAATTTGAAATGCTTGTCATAACTACTAAACTATCCAGACATGGTCAATTTATTTCAGTCAACGTAATGTCTGATTAGTATTGAAGAAATTGAATCAATAGATCTTACACATTGACCTCCAAATGGTCACTCTGGACAGTTGTGGAAACTCAACCAATTCAGTTGCCTCAAAAAATAATATTGGCAAACAAATTATTTTATCAGTCATTTTTGTTTTTAGTGGAGAATTGCATGGTTTCAGTTTAGAATGGGATATGGTCCACTAACCTATGGTGACCAAGATGTAAAATTTGTGAGGTGTTATATCACAAAGCTGATAGGATATAGGAGTTGAAGTAAAGGCACTTTTTAAAACTGAAATAAAATTTATATCAAGTACTATGTATTTGAAACAATGATAGTAGTGACGTACTGGGTGATTATAGCAATGTCACAAGGAATGGGAGGCAGAATTGGAAATACTGTGTTACAAGGTATCACACAACATATACAGTAGCTTAATGTTATTTTAAGGTGAACTTAGATTATCACAAATACATTTTATAAACTCTAGGGCAACCACAAATGTTTTAAAGATGTATAATTTGTATGCTAGAGAGGAGATAAAATAGAATTATATCAAATATTCAGTTAAAACCACAATAGGCAGAAAAAAAGAAACAACAAATGCAATGCATAGGAAACAGTTACAAACATGATATGTATTAATCCAAGTATATTAATAATCATTTTAAATGTTAATGGTTTAAAAACACCAATAAGAAGACAGAGATTGCCAAAGTGGATTTAAAAAGAAGACCTGCTATATGCTGTTAGTAAGAAACTGACTTTAAATATAAAGATTCAGGTAGGTTAAAAATGAGATGGAGCAACCCAAGTGCCCATCAATTGATGAATGGATGGATAAACAAAATGTATATATATATATATATATATATATATATATATATATATATATATATATATACACACGCACACACACACACATACTGTGGAATATCATTAAGCCTTAAGGAAGAAGAAAATTTAGACACATGCTACAACATGGATTAACCTTGACATTATGCCAAGTAAAACAATTCAGTCACAAAAGGATAAATATTGTACAAACTTATTTACACAAAGTACCTAGAATAGTCTAATTCATAGACAGAAAGTAGAATAGTGGTATACCAGGCGTGGGAAAGTGAAGAATGAAAAGTTTATATTTAATGGCTACAAGGTTTCAGTTGGGAAATAATAAAAAGTTTCGGAAACAGATGGTAGTGATGGTTGCACAACAATGTAAATGTACTTACTGCCACAGAACTGTACACTTAAATTAGTAATATATATATATATATATTCATCCACATAAAAAGTAAAAAGCTGAAGTAGCTATATTAATTTCAGACAAAGCTGACTTCAGACAAGGAAGATTATCAGCAATCGAGAGGTGCATTACATAATGATAAAGAGGCTGATTATCCAAGAAAACATATAATTCTAAACATGTACTTACTACAAAGTGTCAAAATACATGAGGCAAAATTTGACAGAACTGAAAGGAAAAATAGAAAAATCCACCATAATAGTTTGAGATTTCAACACTTTTGTTAATAAATCAAGAAAGCAGAAAAGCAGTAAGGATATAGATGACCTGAATTACTGTCAATTAATTTGATTTAATTGACATTTATAGAATTTTTTTTCAACAACAGCAGAATACATATTCTCAAGCTCACATGGAGTATTTAGTAAGATATACCTCATTTTGGATCATAAAACAAACTTTAACAACTTTTAAAGAATAGAACTTACATGAAACATGTTCCTAGAACAGGAATTAAATCAGAAATCAGTAACAAAAAGTTAACTGGAAAGTATTTGGAAATAAAATGACACAATTATAAATAACCCATATGTCAAAGAAGTCTCAAGAGAAAGTTAAAACATTTTGAATGAAATTAAAATAAATACACAACTTATCAAAATTTGTAGAATGAGGCAAAAACAGTGGTTAGAGGAAAATTCATAGCTTTAAATATCTGTATTGGGAAAGAAGAGAGATGTTTGTTTCTTTTTTAAGATGGCTGACTAGAGGCCTTTCCAGCATGCCTCATCGGCTTAAAAAAAACGAAATAATTTCACTTTTTGAAAGTTTATCCAAGAAGGAACACAAGAGTTAAACAGAAAAGCAAAAGGAAACACTAGAATTTAGGGAGGAATAAAAGAACAGGCAGCCCATGTGGCCAGGACCAGCTGAAAACAGGGTGTGAATCCTCAAAATGGGAGCAGGTGAGTGTGTCTCTATGGTTCACTTTCCTACAGGGGAGTTGTGCAATCCAGGCCATAGGAGCGCACCTTGACCCTCCCTAGCCCTGGATATAACTTGGGAAGTAGCCAGGAGACTGTGAGAAGAAACTACTCTGGGAAGTGTTTCATGCATTCCCCCAGACCTGAGCACCTACAGGAGAATACTATATTTTATCCTAGCTTTTAGCAAGCTGTGCAGGGTCCTGGGAACTAGTAGCAGTGACAATTTTTGGCACTAGAGACACTTGGGCTTGGGCATGGAGAACTGAGGGTCTAGCAGGGGAGGGGCTTTCACAGCCAGAACTGAAATTTGAGGGCAGTGTGGGCTCCAGCTGCTGGTGCTGGAACTAGGCTCTCCAATATCCCTGGGCCTGGAGCAGAAAGAGTGGCCAGGGAGTCATGCTATTGACACTGGTGGTGACACCTAAGATCTGGGACTGCATTGCAGACTAGAAACTGATGTAACTAACTGAATATCCTTACTACCTGCCACAGCTGAAATAGAGAAGGGAGCCCCATTAGGTCTGGGGCATGAGAGGAAAGTAGATTTCACTCCCACTGGCAAAGGCTGTGGTACTAGGACCACTCCTTGCCGAGACCCTGGTGCAGCAGCAGTTGCCTCTCACCTAGGCATTTTGCCACAGACCTGAGGAGTGCCTCACTGCACCTGTCAGGGCTAGTGCTTGTACCTGCCATTGAGAGACCTGAGTGCAGGCTTCTCTGGTCCAGTTCTGTCTAGCTTTGTACCACCTCCAAACAGAGGATGGGACCCAGGGTCCTGGATGATCCATGGCCCGACTCACCACCTGAGACAACCAAGTAGTTTTTTTTTTTTTTTTTTTTTTTGGCTAATAGGGGTTGGGTACAAACCCTACTGCTACCACTGCAGCTGGTTCTTACTTGCAAGCATCACCTACTGGAAGTATGCCCACACAGTCCATTACAACTGCTGACACAACAGCATGGTGCTCAGGAATGAGAAAATCTCACAACCACTGCTAACCTCACTGCTTACACTACAGCAGCTGCTCAGACAGCCATAAGCCTGTCTCCCCCAACAAAAGTAAATTCAAAAATAAGAAGTTATTGCTACTGCAGATGTGCTGAAATGAATAAATATACAGGAAGCATGAAAAAGCAAGGTATTATGACACCCTCGCAGGATCACAATAATTCTCAGCCATAGATTCTAACCAAAAAGAAAAAAAAATTCTTGGAATGCCAGATAAAGAATTTAAAATAATGATTTTAAAGCTCAATGAGATGCAAAAGACATATGAAAATTAATACAGAGAAATTAGAAAATCAATTCAGGATATAAATGGGAAATTTATCAAAGATATAAATATCTTAAGAAAAACCAAACAGAAATTCTGGAATTGAAAAATTTATTGAAGGAATTATAAAATGCATTAGAAACATTTAAAAACAGACTAGACCAGGCAGAAGAAAGACTCTCACAACTTGAAGATAGGTCTTTTGAAATAATGCAGTCAGACAAAAATTAAAAAATAAAAGAATTAAAAATAAGCAAAGCCTTTGAGACATATGGGAATACATATATCCATGAGACTTACAAATTACCAATATTCCCAAGAGGGAAGAAAAATTGAAAAGCCCTGAATTTTATATATATTTATTTATATATATATATTTATATATTTATTTATATTATTATATTGAGGGTCTATTTTTTTAATGGTAAAAATTTCCCAAGTCTAACAAGAGACTTAGACATCCAGGTATGGCCCAAGGATCTCCAGAAAAATTCATTGCAAAAAGAAATTCACCACAACATAGTGTAATCAGACTACCTAAAGTCAACATGAAGAGAATTTTAAAATTGGCATGACAAAGGCATCTCGTCATCTATAAAGGAAACTCCATCAGACTAACAGCAGACTTCTCAGCAGAAAACTTACGAGTTAAAATTAAATGAGATAGCATTTTCAAAGTGCTAAAAGTAAAACAACCTCCAGTCAAAATTTTATATCCAGCTACATTAAGATTAACAGATGAAGAGGAAAGAAAGTATTTCCCAGATAAGCAAACACTAAGGGAGTTGTCACCACTAGACAGGCTGTACAAAAATGTTCCAAAGAGTCCTAAGTATGGAAATGAAAAGTCAATATTTACCATTGTAAAAATACATGAAAGTATAAAACTCACAGGTCTTATAAAACAATCACACAATGGAAGAAAATAAGGGAATCGAGTGACAACATGACAGAATTCCACCAAACCACAAAGACAGTTTGAGAAAAAGAAAGAAACAAAGAATTGAAAAACAACTAGGTAACAATTAACGATATGACAGAAATCTCACCTATCAATATTAATCTGGAATATAAATAAATTAAATGCTCCATATGAAAGACTTAGATTTGTGGGATGAATTTAAAAACCATGATTCAACTATATGCTAACAAGAGATTCACCTTACCAGTAAAGATACATTTAACTGGAAATAAAGGGCTGGAAAAAGATATTCAACACAAACAGAAACCAAAGTCAAGCAGGAGTAGTTATACTTGTATCAGATAAATCAATAACAAAACAAAGCAAAACAACAAAAAAAGACAAAGTAGAAAAGTATATAATGGTAAAGGTATATACACCCAATAATGGAGCAACTAAATTAATAAAACAAATATTAATAAACCTAAAGAAAGAGACAGACAACAATATAATAATATTCAAGACTTTTAACACCCCACTAAAAGCACTACACAGATCAGCAAGACAGAAAATCAATAAAGGAACACTTAACATAAGTTGAACTTTAGACCCAATGGGCCCAACAGACATTTTTAGAACTTTCTACCCCAAAACTGTATAATACATTCTTCTCATCAGCATATGGGACATTCTCCAAGATAGATCATATGTTAAGGCACAAAACAAGTCAATAAATTTTAAAAAGTTGAAATCATATCAAATATCTGCCCAGATAACTACAGAATAAAACAATAAATTAATATCAAGAGGAACTTCAGAAACTATATTCATGCATGGGAATTAAACAACATGCTTCTGAATCATCTTTGGGTCAATGAAGAAATTAAGACGCAAATTTAAAAATTTTTTGAGTCAGGCATGGTGGCTCATGCCTGTAATCCCAGCACTTTGGGAGGCAGAGGTGGGCGGATCACCTGAGGTCGGGAGTTTGAGACCAGCCTGATCAACATGGAGAAACCTTGTCTCTACTAAAAATACAAAATTAGCTGGGCATGGTGGTACATGCCTGTAATCCCAGCTACTAGGGAGGCTGAGGCAGGAGAATCACTTGAACCTGGGAGGCGGAGGTTGCGGTGAGCCTAGATCATGCCATTGCACTCCAGCCTGGGCAACAAGAGTGAAACTCCATCTCAAAAAAAAATTTTTTTTGAAATGAGTGAAAAAGGAAATGTAATGTGGAAAGAAACCTCTAGGGTACAGCAAAAGCAGTGCTAAGAAGGAATTTTGTAGCATTAAATGTCTACATCAAAAAAGTAGAAAGATCAGAAATAAACGACCTAATGCTGCACCTCCAGGAACTAGGAAAACAAGAATAAACCTCACACAAAGTTAGCAGAAGAAAAGAAGTATCAACAATCACAGAAAAATATGAGAGACAAAAAAAAAAAAAAAATGAAATGAAACGCTTGTTATTTGAAAAGATAAACAAAATTGCACTGGGTGCGGTGGCTCAAGCCTGTAATCCTAGCACTTCGGGAGGCCAGACAGGCGAATTGCCTGAGCTCAGGAGTTAGAGACCAGCCTGGGCAACATGGTGAAACCCCATCTCTACCAAATACGAAAAGTTAGCCGGGCATGGCAGCATGCACCTGTAGTCCCAGCTACTCGGGAGGCTGAGGCAGAATTGCTTGAACCTGAGAGGTGGAGGTTGCAGTGAGCCGAGATCATGACACTGCACTCCAGCCTGGGCAACAGAGCGAGACTCTGTCTCAAAAACAAACAAACAAACAAAAAGATTAACAAAATTTATGAACCACTAGCTAAACTAACCAGGAAAAGAAGAGAGAATATCCAAAATTATAAATGGAAACGAAGAGATTACAACTGATGTCACAGAAATACAAAAGATCATTGGAGACTATTATCAACAACTATACACTCAAAAACTAGAAAACCTAGAATAAATGAATAAATTTCTGATTACATACATGATATTCTGAAAAACATAAAACTAGGGACATGATAAACAGATCAGTATTTTCAAAGAGTTGAAGATAGAGAGGTTGAATATGTGAAGCACAGGGGATACTTAGAACAGTGAAACTTCTCTGTATGATGCTGCAGTAATAGATACATGACACTAAGCATTTGTCAAAACTCATACAATTTCATACCATGAACAGTGAACTTTAAGGTATGCAATAATTTTCTTACAAAGTTAGGGGATCCCAAAATGGGATGCTGAATGTGGCAATTTGACTGTATTGCAAATGTATGAAACAACCTCACAAAATACAATGGAAGAAAAAGGTGCTGACCTAGATGATTTTGAAAATGAGGCTTTTATAAGACTAAAGGAAAGGAATTTTACAAAAGCACTGTACTGTAGTTTATAAGCTCCCCATGGAGGTAAAGAATAAAATTCTGAAACCAGTATACGTGTGTACTAGAATTAAACAATTAAGTAAATAGATGGTGGATGGTGACTGACAGATTTCTCATTGCTAGACTGGGGGGTTACAGATAAGCAATAGGAGAAGGCTAGAATGATCCATGTAGTAACAAATTAGAGTTGGAGGAATCAGTATGAATTCAGGCTTATCTTAATGTAGGTACAGATAGTTACTTAGAGAAACATTTACAGTATGTGTATATACATTGGTTAGTGTGCACATTGATATTTCCTTGACTGTTTGCTAAAATAGCCTAGAAACAACACCACAGTATCAACAAGTACACCTGGAGCCCAGATCTTGGTTTCTAATACTATCCTCTGATGAAAGAAATGAGGGCTTTTATTGAATATAAAGAAATTATTGGACAAATAAATAAATAAGGCAAAATAGACAAATTTCCCATGAGAAAGAATTCCAAATAATTTATATAGCTACTCCACCTTTAAAGAGGTGAAGCATAACTCTCTGTTTCCTAGGTTTGTGCTGCACATAGTGATTTCCTTACAAAGGGTACAGTATGGAAAGAGAAAAATGAGAGTCACGTCATAGTGGAGAAACCTCACAAACTATTCCATTTCGGTGATCAACATCATCAGTGATAACCATAAATAACAAAGACAGACAAACAGTGATAAGTCCTATTGATATTATGTACCCTCGATATGATGTGATGAATGGCATTTTATTGCTGTGATTCTCTTCTCAAAAACCCATAATCATGAGAGAATCTAATCATGAGAGAACTATCAGAAAAATGTCAATGAAAGAATATTCTACAATATACCTGATCAGCACTCCTCTAAACTGTCAAGGCTATCAAAAATAAGCAAAGTTTGAGAAATGATTATGGCCAAGAGGAGCCTAAGGAGACTTTACTAAATGTAATTCTATAGCCTGGATGGGACAGTGAACCAGAAAAAGGACATTAGATAACAACTAAGACACTTTAGATAAACTATGAACTTTAGTTAATAATAATGTTCCAATACTGGCTCATTAGTTGTTACAAATGCACCATACTAAAGTAAAATGCTAATAATAGTGGGGAACCTGGATGTATGGTATATGGAAACTCTCTGTACTCTCTGTATTTTTTTGTAAATGTAAAACTATTCTAGAATAAAAAATTGGGACAGAGAAAGAGAGTAAGATGCAGAATAACAAGATGAAAATAAGGAGAAGAAGGAGGAGGAGGGGAAGAAGAAGAAGAAGAAAGAGATGAAAAATGAGAAGAGGAAGAAGAAGGAGGAGGAGGAGAAGGAGAAGAGGAGGAAGAGGAGGAGGAGGAAGAGGAAGAGGAAGAAGAAGGAAGAGGAGGAGGAGAAGAAGAAGAAGAACAAGGAGAAGGAGAAGGAGAGGAAGAGGAAGGAGAAGGAGGGAAAAGGAGAAGAGGAGGAGGAAGAGGAGAAGAACAGGAGGGGGGAAAGGAGGAGGAGAAGTAGAAGAGGAGGAGGAGGTGGGTAGAAAAGAGGAGGGGTGGGAGGAGAAGGAGGGGAAGGGGGAGGAGGGGGGATGGGGAAGAGGATGGAGGGGGAGGAGGAGGAGGGAGGGGGAGGAGGAGGGGGAGGGGGAGGAGGGGAGGAGGAGGGGGGAGGGGGAGGGAGAGAGAGAATGAATCTGGGTTCCATAGCAAATAAAATCATTTTTTTCCTATTTACATCTTATTTGTCCCTATAGATCCACTCTGTATTTATCTCTACTCTTCTGCATATTTGGCTTCTGGCTTCCAGTTGCATTCTGGCAATGAAGATGATAGGAAGAAATCAAGGACAGAGGCAGCATAACAGAATGAAACTGGAGAATTAACTCCCTGGAGTAAATTTTCCTGCTGGATTATATTGAGTTGACATCTTTCCATATAACCCTTTTTCTAGATTCCTGTAATAACTTTCTCTTTTGCCCTTCACGTCTGAAGTGGTAGCAAATCCTCTTTGTTAGTAGCCCAGAGGTACTATACCATCCCATGTTGACTTCCTGAGCCCTGCCCACTGCTTTGTAAATAATCTATTAAGCTGTCTTCAATGACCCAGCTTGTGTGTGCCATCTGAGATCTACTAAAACCTGGTGGCTAAACCCTGGATTTTCGGACATAAGCAACAATGTAATGAGAAGAAAGCCCATAAACAATACCTTTAATTTCTACAAGTCTTGGGGGTTTTCAATCCGAAGACCTGGAATCATTTTTCCTCTGTCAAAAGTTGTAGTGGATCACCAATGAAATAACATGAAAAAAAAGATCATAAGATAAACTGCTGAACATCTTTGTATGACTTTTTAATCATGCCTTTTCTACATAACAGTGGTTGCTGGTACTGTGCAATCTTTAGAAGGACACACAAGGTTAGTGCCCTTTACAGAGCATTTCAGGGAACTGTAGGTGAACTAATCATGGAAGCTAAGACAGCAGAGGAATGGAAGCTGTGCCTAATAAAACTCTAGAGAGTGGGGTAAGAGAACCAACATCTGCTAGGGAAATTTCCTTCCATCAGGAAAGAAACTGGTTACTAAATTCAAGCAGAAAGTAGACCAAGGTCAAAACCTGGTTGCCAGTTTTATTTTCAAGGAAGTCAGAAGATCATATTCACAAAGAATTAATTTATATTTTTAAACGATTATAATTTGTTAAAAGTCTTTACCTTTTTCTCCTTTACTTTACTCAACAACAAAGGGAAGTAGATATTTTCAAATCACTCACTTTGCAGGTGAGAAACAGTTTTAGAGAGATCCTGTGACCTGGCTAAGGCTATCCAACTAGTGAGTGGACAAACTGGCACTCTGCAGCCATGCTGAAGAAGCCACTTGAAGCTGAGAAGAGGCAGGGGCCAGGAACAATGGACAGGTCACATAGGGTAGAAATGCAGGAGAGTGGCAGATCAGATATCTAGGAAGATAATCAGCTTGAATAGTCCTGAATACTGAATGAGGTAAGGAAGGTACAGTAATACTTTGACTACCTTATTCTGGAAACTCTAGTTTGTAAAGAGCTTAGGTTTAAAGCACATCCGGGATTCTTAGGAGTTCTGCCAGATGAACAAATACGGTTTCTGATCTTCATATTTTGGTGTGGAATTATTATTTCCAATGGGAGGCTCCATTCCACTTGGGAACATGAATGCCCCATGGGAACATTCCAGCAGCCTTGCAGCCCAAAGTGTCAAGTGTTCTTTAACATCCAGGTGCCCTCATTTGCCATCTCAGCAAATAAAGTTTCTCGCTATTGGACTTCTCAAATACCAAGCTCCTCGGTATATCATTTTTCCATTTGCAGTAACTTGAGACAGACAACTTTTTGTCACACCCAGAGGGTTTCTTTTTACTTCAATTATATAATAGGTTTCCTGGCATTTTTGTCCCCAAATGTAGGTTAAAAAGTGCTTGCTAAAATTAACTTCTGTTATTCTTTACTCACGGGGCTTTCTGGGGAAGGGCTGTCCACTTAAAATAGCTTCTAAGGGAACTATTCGGGACACTTGTAACTTTAGGTTTTATTAAATGACACAAGCTGCTGATGCTGATTTTCCCTGACATGTAACTGAATCTCATTTGATCAGGAAAAACAATGTTCCCTGTGTTGCTGGTAAAGTAATGGGACTCTATGGCCATGCTATACTGCCATTTTAGCAATCTGGATGGGGGTGAATGCAGTACAGTATGGGAAGTCTGAAGATGAATGAATATGACAGGTTGGTGGAGACAGTTTGACTCAGGCTAAAGGGCAAACAGGGACTTTGACCTCTCTTCTGGTGGCCAGCTGTGGGTATCTTGGAAAAGGCAGAAAGAAAGCACAAATCACAGAACTGTCCTGCCCTATGAGAAGAGCTAGACATTTGATACATGCCAGTTCACAGTGATATACACTCTTACACTCACAGAGGTGAAACATAAGTTACATATGCCTATTCACAGAATTACTCTCAATACATAGTTTGTAGTGATTGTTCTCTCATGAGGAATGAATATATACATACACATGTGTGTGTATATATAGATAGGTAGATATTTTCCTTTCTCGCTCTCTCTCTCTCCAAATCACACCAAATTGGAAACAAGTAGGGTTAGGTGCAACCCTGGACACAAGTAGGGTTGGATGCCAACCATATTGCAATGGCATTTGACTTCAAGGCACTATGCTATTTCATTACCATGACTGCTGGGTCCTGGGTGGCTCACATTTCTTTTTGAAGATATTCTAATGGCCCTGATCACAATTGTTCAGTAGGAGCCAATGTTGCCATTGTGGTATCTGGGCAATAAAAGGGCTACAACAGCAACTAAAGAGGGAAAAATAGACTTAATGACCAGAGCAGTTCATAAAACAGACTGTATTCCCCTCTTCCTTTACTCCCTTTATATTCTCTTGTCACCCTACCATACCCAGCTTAAATTATATCACCCATTATTTTTTAATCATTTCATTGCATATACCCTCATCTCCATTATCTCTCTTTTTTATTATGCTCACTCTGCAAAAATTCTGAACCTAGTTAAATGCAACTCTCTATCTACTCTGCACCCACATTTACCCAGAAAAAAATGCTCAGAGAAATGCACTTTGGTCTCAATTTAAAACTTGCGATGGGAGGTAGAGGAAAAATGGCAGATAGGAGGCAGGACTAACTTGCAGCTCCCACTCAGACAGACAGAGCAGCATGTGGAGACCCACATTGGAACTTTTGCTCCAAGAACTACCACAGGCATATACCAGGAAATCTGAGCGAATCCACAGACCCTTTGAAGGAGATGGATTGCTTTGGTAGGCTCCATGGGGCAGGTGAGGAACTCTGAGTCAGCTTGCTTTCTCAGCTGGGAGGCTTGTAACCTGAGGCAAGTTCTCAGCCCTGCCCACTGGCTGCCTGGAAACAAATTCGGTGCTGTTGTTGGGGCATGGTGGAAGTGAGACCAGGCTTTCAAGCTGTGAGCTGCATGGGAGCTGGGTGAAGCCTATGGCTGCCAGTTTTCCCCCATGTCCCTGGTGACCTGTATAATGCAGCAGAGGCAGCCATAATCTCCCTGGGAACATAACTCCATTGGCCTGGGAACCATACCCCATCCCTCACAACAGCTGCAGCAAGGCCTACCCAAGTAGAGTCTAAGCTCAGACACGCCTAACCCTGCCCCTACCTGATGGTCTTTCTCTACCAGCCCTGGTAGCTGAAGACAAAGGATGTAATCTCTTAGGAGCTCTATGGCCCTGCCCATCACCCAGTGCTCCCTATACTACCACAGCTGATATGCTCTTGGAAGTGCCACCTCCTGGCTGGAGGCTAACCAACATAAAACCAGTGCACTTAATAAAAATACAACCAAGGACCCTCACAGAGTCCACTTCATTCCCCTGCTACTTCCACCAGAGCAGATGCTGATATCCATGGTTGAGAGAATTGAAGAGAGAACATATCATGGAAGTCTTTGCAGACACTCCCTAGTACCAGCTCAGAGCCTGGTAGCTCCACTGGGTGGCTAGATTCAGAAGAGAAATCGCAATCACTGCTGTTCAGCTCTCAGGAAGCCCCATCCCTAGGGGAAAGGGGAGAGCACGACTTCAAGGGAGCACCTGTGGGACAAAAGAATCTGAACAGCAGCCCTTGAGTCCAAGATCTTCCCTCTAACATAGTCTACCCAAATGAGAGGAAAAAAAAATTTCTGGCAATATGACAAAAAAAAGGTTTTTTAACACTCCCAAAAGATCACAGTAGCTCACCAGCAATGGATCCAAACCAAGATGAAATCTCTGAATTGCCAGAAAAAGAATTCAGAAGGTTGACTATTAAGCCAATCGAGGAGGCAGAAGAGAAAGGTGAAGTTCAACTTAATGAAATTAAAAAAAAAAAAAAAATACAGGATATGAGTGGAAAAAACTCCAGTGAAATAGATAGCAGAAATAAAAAGCAATCACAACTTCTGGAAATGAAGGACACAGAGAATTGCAAAAGGCACTGGAAATCTCAGCAATAGAATTGCACAGGTAAAGAAAGAACTTCAGAGCTTGAAGACGAGGCTTTAGAATTAACCCAATCTAACAAAGACAGAAAAAAAGAATAAAAAACACGAACACAGCCACCAAGAAGTTTAGGATTGTGTTAAATGACCAAGCCTAAAAATAATTGTTGTTCCTGAGGAAGAAGAGAAATCATAAAGTTTAGAAAATACATTTGAGGGAATAATTGAGGAAAACTTCTGCAGCCTTACTAGAGATCTCACCATCCAAATACAAGAAGCTCAAAGAACATCTGGGAAATTCATCACAAAAAGATCATTGCCTAGGCATATATTTATCAGATTATCTAAAATCAAGACAAAGGAAAGAATCTTAAGATCAGTGAGAAAAAGGCATTGGGTAGCCTATAAAGGAAAACAAATCAAATTAACAGCAGATTTCTCAGCAGAAACTCTACAAGCTAGAAGAAATTGGGGTCCTATCTTTAGCCTCCTTAAACAAAACAATTATCAGCCAAAAATTTTGTATCCGGTGAAACTAAGCTTCATAAATGAAGGAAAGATACTGACTTTTTCAGACAAACAAATGCTGAGAGAATTCGCCACTACCAAGCCAGCACTACAAGAACTGCTAAAAAGAGCTCTAAGTCTTGAAACAAATCCTCAAACAAAAAAAAATAGAATCTCCTTAAAGCATAAATCTCACAGGACCTATAAAACAATAGCCCATTGAAAAGAAAATAACAAGGTATTCAGGCAACAAATAGCAGGATGAATATAATAGTACCTCACATCTCAATACTAACATTGAATGTAAATGGCCTAAATGCTCCACTTAAAGGATACAGAATGGCAGAATGGATAAGAATGTACCAACCAGGTATCTGCTGTCCTCAAGAGACTCACCTGACACGTAAAGACTCATATAAACCTAAGGTAAAGGGGTTGAAAAGGATATTCCATGAAAATGGACATCAAAAGCGAGCAGGAGTAGCTATTCTTGTATCAGACAAACAAACCTTAAAACAACAGCAGTTAAAAAAGACAAAGAGGGACATTATACAATGATAAAAGCACTAGTCCAACAGGAAAATATCACAATTCTAAATATATATGCACTTAACACTGGAGCTCCCAAATTTATAAAACCATTACTACAGGACCTAAGAAATGAGACAGACAGTAGCACAATAATAGTGGGGGATTTCAGTACTCCACTGACAGCACTAGACAGGTCATCAAGACAGAAAGTCAACTAAGAAACAATTGACTTAAACAATACCCTAGAACAAATGGACTTAACAGATATTTACATAACATTCTACACAACAACTGCAGAATATACATTCTATTCATCAGCACATGGAAATTTCTCCAAGATAGACCATATAATAGGCTGCAAAACAAGTCTCAAAAATTTAAGAAAATTGAAATTATATCAAGTACTCTCTCAAACCACAGTGAAATAAAATTGGAAATCAACTCCAAAGGGAACCTTCAAAACAATGCAAATACATGGAAATTAAATAACCTGCTGCTGAATGATTGAGTCAACAATAAAATCAATATGGACATTTAAAAATTCTTTAAACTGAATAATAGTGACACAACATATCAAAATCTCTTGTATACAGCAAAGGTGGTGCTAAAAGGAAAGTTCATAGCCTTAGAAGCCCATATCAAAAAGTCTGAAAGAGCACAAATAGACAATCTAAGGTCACACTTCAAGGATCTAGAGAAACAAGAACAAACCAAACCCAAACCCAGAGGAGGAAAAGATATAACCAAGATCAGAGCAGAACTAAATGAAATTGAAACAAACAAAAATACAAAAGTTAAATGAAACATGAACCTGGTTCTTTGGAAAGATAAATAAAATTGATAGACCATTAGCAAGATTAACCAAGAAGAGAGAAGATTCAAATAAGCTCAATTAGAAATGAAACAGGAGATATTTCAACCAATACCACAGAAATAAAAAAGATCATTCAAAACTACTATGAACACGTTTATGTGCATAAACTAGAAAACCTAGAGGAGATGAATACATTCCTGGAAATATGCAGCCTCCTAGATTAAACCAGGAAGAAATAGAAACTCTGAACAAACCAATAACAAGCAGTGAGGTTGAAATGATAATTTAAAAGTTACCAATAAAAAAAAGTCCAGGACCAGACAGAGTCACAGCTGAATTCAGACATTCAAAGAACAATTGGTACCAATTCTATTGACACTATTCCAAAAGATAGAAAAAGAGGGAATCCTCCCTAAATCTTTCTATGAAGCCAGTATCACCCTAATACCAAAACCAGGAAAGGACGTAACAAAAAAAGAAAACTGCAGACCAATATTCCTGATGAACATAGATGCAAAAATTCTCAACAAACTACTAGCTAACCAACTCCAACAGCATATCAAAAAGATAATCCACCATGATCAAGTAGTTTTCATACCAGGGATGCAAGGATGGTTTAACATATGCAAGTCAATAAATGTCATGCATAACATAAACAATTTTTTTTTTGAGACAGAGTCTCACTCTGTCACCCAGGCTGGAGTGCAATGGCATGATCTCAGCTCACTGCAACCTCCACCTTCTGGATTCAAGCAATTCTCCTGCCTCAGCCTCCCAAGTAGCTGGGACTACAGGTGCCTGCCACCATGGCTGGATAATTTTTGTATTTTTAGTAGAGATGATGTTTCACCATATTTGCCAAGCTGGTCTTGAACTCCCTGACCTTGTGATCTGCCCACCTCAGCCTCCCAGAGTGTTGGGATTACAGGCGTGAGCCACTGCACCTGGCCATAAACAAAATTTAAAACAAAAGTCACATGATCATCTCAATAGATACAGAAATATCATTTGAAAAAATCCATCATCCCTTTATGATTAAAATCCTCAGCAAAATTGCCATAGAAGAGACATACCTTAAGGTAATAAAAGCCAACTATGACAAACCCTCAGCCAACATTGTACTGAACAGGGCAAAGTTGAAAGCATTCCCCCTGAGAACTGGAACAAGACAAGGATGCCCACTTTCACCACTTCTATTCAACATAGTACTGGCAGTCCTAGCCAGAGCAATCAGACAAGAGAAAGAAATAAGGGGCCTCCAAATCAGTAAAGAGGAAGTTAAACTGTTGCTATTTGCTGATGACATGACTGTATACCTAGAAAACCCTAGAAACTCCTCTAAAAATCTCCTAGAACTGATCAATGAATTCAGCAAAGTTTCAGGATACAAAATTACTGTACACAAATCAGTAGCCCTGCTATATACCAACAGTGATCAAGCTGAGAATCAAATCAAGAACTCAACCCCTTTTACAATAGTGGCAAACAAAATAAAATATGTAGGAATATACTTAACCAAGGAGATGAAAGACCTCTACAAGGAAAATTACAAACCATTGCTGAAAGACATAATAGATGACAAAAACAAATGGAAACATATCTCATGCTCATGGATGGGTACAATCAATACTGTGAAAATGACCATACTGCCAAAAGCAATCTATAAATTCAATACAATTCCCTTCAAAATACCACCATCATTCTTCACAGAACTTTAGAAAAAGCAATCCTAAAATTTATATGGAACCAAAAAAGAGCCCACATAGCCAAAGCAATAACTAAGCAAAAAGAACAAATCTAGAGGCATTACATTACACAACTTCAAACTATACTATTAGGTCATGGTCACCAGAACAGCATGGTACTCGTATAAAAAACAGGCATATAGATCAAGGACGAGAATAGAGAACTTA
The DNA here is from genome assembly GCF_000001405.40 of Homo sapiens. Lineage (NCBI taxonomy): Eukaryota > Metazoa > Chordata > Mammalia > Primates > Hominidae > Homo > Homo sapiens. The sequence goes on along the minus strand of NC_000001.11, from coordinate 163,620,182 downwards.
GAAATAAAGCCAAATACTTACAGCCAACTGATCTTCAGCAAAGCAAACAATAACATAAAGTGGCATAAGGACACCCCATTAAACAAATGGTGCTGGGCTAATTGACAAGCCACATTTAGAAGCATGAAACTGGATTCTCGTCTCTCACCCCATGCAAAAATCAACTCAAGATGGAGCAAAGACTTAAATCAAAGACCTGAAACTATAAAAATTTTAGAAGATAACATTGAGAAAACCCTTCTAAACATCAGCTTGGGCAAAAACTTCATGACCAAGAACCCAAAAGAAAACACAACAAAAACAAAGACAAATAGATGGGACTTGATTAAACTAAAAAGCTTCTTTATAGAAAAAGAAATAATCAGCAGAGTAAACAGACAATGCACAGAGTGGGAGAAAATCTTTGCAAGCTATACATTCAACAAAGGACTAATATTCAGAATCTACAAGGAACTCAAACAAATCAGCAATAAAAAAACAAACAACCCCATCAAAAAGTGGGCTAAGGACATGAATAGGCAATTCTCAAAAGAAGATATACAGATGGCCAACAAAGATATAAAAAAATGCTCAACATCACTAATTTTCAGGGAAATGCAAATCAAAACCACAATGCAATACCACCTAACTCCTGCAAAAATGGCCACAATCAAAAAATTTAAAAAAATAAAAAGATATTGGCATGGATGTGGTGAAAAGGGAATACTTTTACACTGTTGCTGGGAATGTAAACCAGTACAACCACTATGGAAAATAGTGTGGAGGTGCCTTAAAGAACTAAAAGTAGGTCTACCATTTGATCCAGCAATCCCACTCTTGGGTATCTACCCAGAGGAAAAGAAGTCATTATACAAAAGATACTTGAACACACATGTTAATAGCAGCACAATTTGCAATTGCAAAAGGATGGAACCAACCCAAACGCCCATCAATCAATGAGTAGATAGATAAAATGGAATACTACTCAGGTATAAAAAGGAATGAAATAATGGCATTTGCAGCAACCTGGATAGAACCAGAGACCATTATTTTAAGTGAAGTAACTCAGGGATGGAAAACTAAACATTGTATGTTCTCACTCATAAGTGGGAGCTAAGCTATGAGGACTCAAAGGCATAAGAATGATACAATGAACTTTGGGGACTTGTGGGGGGAAGGGTGGGAGGGGGGTGCAGGATAAAGGAGTACACATTGAGTACAGTGAACACTGTTAGGGTGATGGTTGCACCAGAATCTCAGAAATCACCACTAAAGAACTTATTCATGTAACCAAACACCATCTGTTCCCCAAAAACCTATGGAAATAAAAATAAAATAAAATAAAATTTGTGGCCAGTGACTTTAAATGGTCTATTATGGTCACTCTGCAATCCTAGTGTTTCCCTCTGCTCATAACTGTTTTTTGCCTTCTACTTTGCTTTCAAACCTCCAACACCTTATTCTTTATTCTTATTATTAGCTGATAGCCTTTCTTCCTATTTAAGTATCTACATATAAAGGAAAAGCAACTAGAAGAGAGCATGCACAGTCTTCCACCATTACATCTACCAGCCTACATTCCTATACCCATATATGCTGTCTTTCCTCCTGTTACATGAATGAATTGATTATGGTCACATTTGAACTCAATCCCATGATCTGTGCAGCAGGTCCCTTCCTCCCTTGCCTACTTAAGGACTATACTCTAGCAATGCCCGTGCTTGGTCTGCATCATAAAGTTTTCCTCTAATCTGGATCATTCCTAACAGCACAGGAATATGTTATAATGTCTTTTGCATTTGAAAAGATATTTTTCTAGGAGGTTGTGGGCAGATTAAAAATAAATAAATAAAAAGATATTTTTCTCTTGATCTCACATCCCTCTCCAGCTACAACTCCATTTATTCACTTTATTTTTACAGCAACATCCCTCCAAAGAGATTTATATTCTCACTAGCTCCAGTTCTTCTTTTCTGGTCTTGATTTAATGCATGGCAATTAGTCTTTTAACCCAGGACTTCACTGAAATAGCTCCTGACAAGGTCACCAATGATGTTGCTGAACCAATACACATTTCTCAGTTCTCATCCTACCAGCAGCATTTGACACAACTGATCATTTTCTCCAACTTGAAACACTTCTTCATGCTCTTCTTGGTCTTTCCTCTCTGCCTGGCTGCTTTTTCTCTATCTTCTTGGCTGTGTTCTCCTCACTCTTCAACCCATAGATGTTGGAATACCACAGGTCTCAGTTCTCAGACCTCCCCTTCTTTTCTATCTATATTTGCTCCCAACATGATTTCATTGAGTTTTATGGCTTCCAATATTATCCTATATAAATAACTGCCAAATTTATATATTCATCCTGGAAATTCCCTCTGAAATCCACAGTTCTATATCCAATACCCACTTTACAGTTCCACTTAATATGCCCTCAAAGAAACTCTTGATTTTCCCCACTAAACTTTCATCCTCAGTAAATGGTAATTTCAGTCTTCTAATTGTTCAGTCCCAAAAGCTTAAAGTAATCCAGTTTGTCATCAAATGCTATTGGCTCTAGATATCTCTAGAGTACATCTAGAATCTGACTACTTCTCATCCCTTAGACTACAACCATCCAAGTCAAACCACTATTAATTCTCTCTTTTATTATCTATTCCATCTTCCTCTCCAGGCCACAGTGGCCAACTTCATAGGAGCTAGTATGATTATTTTAAAACTTAATTTGCTTATGTCTTTCCTGTGGTCAAACTCTCTAGTGGCTTTCCATATCACCTACAGTAAAAGCCAAAGTCCTAAGATTCCCAATAAGCACCTATATAAATTTACCCCTTGCCCACCCCTCTGATTTTATCTCCTACCTCTCTCACTCAGTTCCAGATAAACAGACTTCCTTACTGTTCCTCACTTCACGTCTTTCACGTATCTGTTTACATGCCACTATTAGTGAGATCACCCAAAATAACAACTCCTACCCCTGGCATTCCCTTTGTTGCTTGTCTGCTGCATTTTCTCCTATTGAATCAATCACCATATGCCATGTTCTTGCTTTGTATTTATTTTCTGTTCCTTCAACTAGAAAGTAAACTTTTAAATACAGAGAATGTACCTGTTTATTTACTGCTTGTACCTCCGAGGCCTAGAATATGCTTGGTACATAGTCGACACTCAATCAATATTTATTGAAAGAATGAATGGTGAGGTCATGATGACAAAAATAAATATTCTAATAATTTTAAAGATTTAAACAAGGTGCCTTCCTTGTTTAATCTCCCTCTTTATTATTAGAATATTTGTGTAATCCTTGAGCTTTGAGTAGACTAATCTGTAATTTGTGTGTGTTTATTTTATCTTTCTATAATGTGATTTTATATATTTTTATTGCCACATTGTAATTGGTCATATTATGGGATACAATTTAATGTTTCAATACATATATATATATATGTCTTATAATGATGATCAAGTCCAGGTGTTTAGTATATCCAACACCTCATGCATTTATCATTTCTTTGTGGTGAAAATGTTCAAAAGCCTCTCTTCTAGCTATTTTGTAATATTCTATACCTTACTGTTAACCAGCATCACCCTACTGTGCAATAGAACAGCAATTTGTAATTTAAACAACTCCTTTGATGGAAAGTAAAAAAATACCTAGTGAGATGTTGGGTATAGGAGACAGAACACTGACACTAAGTTGAAACCATTTTATTTTTATCAAGAAAAAGAGAGAGAGACAGAAAGAGACCAAAAGAACAAAAAGTAGACCACGTACATTCAGAAAAAGAAGAATAGAGAAACTATAAAATCAAAAGTCATTTGAATATTGGGGGATGGTAAAGAGGACTTGACTCCTAGAAACAAATTAAGGGAAGAAAAGTAGAAAAGGTGGGCTGCTTGTAAGGCAGAAACTCATCTCTGATCAACCGCCTTACATTAATTTAAGATAATACTCCATTAATCTTCATAGCAGCATCTTTAATTGCAAAATCTTTCATCAGCCTTGTTATTTGCTGCACCTGTCATTGGAGACACTTGGTGGTTTTTGTTGTGTTGTTGTCATTTCTCACACTAATTAGAGGGCTGTTTCGTTGTGTTCTCCTTCAGCGTGGTTCGGTTTAACCAGTAACGCTGCCAATTATGCTCCTGCTCCCCAAGCAGATTTCATCTAGAATTTTGGGCAGATTTCAAAGTTGAGATTGCTTAAAACATTAATTAAATACCCCCACAACAGTAACAACTTTCTTAATACCCTTTAACAATCCCATAATCCATCCTGCATCTGCTGCACAGTCGTTAAACCCCAAATATATGTGTTTAACATTCAATTGGGTGCTTAATGATCTTACCTTAACAGGGCCTATTAAATTTAAAGAGATGTGCATAATTGAGTTATTGCACATTAATTATAAATACCTATTTGCTATTAAAATCACATTCCAAGGGTTAACACCTATCGTTAGATTTGGCTAAACCTTGCCCAATCTGTGTTCCTCTTGGCAAAAAAACACTTACTCTGATAAAGAAATGATAAAGTCTGTCTCTCACTGCAGTGGTCAAGTCGAATTAAAACTACAAATCCCAATCCTAACCAGATAGCTTGGATACCTCTTACAGAGTTACACAGAGAAAGTAAGTATTAGTGCCTCACAGTTTTATAGCACTTAGTACATTTCAAAGAACTTTCACTACATATCATTGCTTCTAAGCTTCCAGAAACCTTAGCATATATACAAGAAGTATACTTTATGCCCTTTATAACAGATGAGAAATGTCAGGCATGGAGAGCTTAAGTGAATGACTATTCTAGTCAGAGCTGACTTAGGTACTGGAAAGGCAAAAGGAGACCAGGTAGAGATTTTGCTTTGGAAAGACAATAAGTAGGACAATAAGGAAACAGCGATGCCCCTAACCAACTTAAATTGTCTTTCCCTCTTCTATAATCCTCTACTTCCCTTCTTGTTGGCTGCTACTTCCCCCTAGCACTATGGTTCTCCATTCCTTTACAAGCTGAAACTGACTGTTTCTTTCTAACTTAATGAAGGGCTTAAGTATCTTCTCCTCCACATTTCACAACACTGATCTGTACCACTTGTTTATCAATTTATAGACCTAAGTAATACATTTGCTTGCTAGTCGATATAATTATGTCTCAGTACAACTTACTTGCATACTTATAGGGGGTACCATAAGCTCTGATTCTTCTAATGTCTAACTCATGCAGTGTCAATGGTGAGTGCCTAATGATTGAGTAGATTAATGACCTTTATTGATACTCTCATTTCACCTTTAAGATAATACCACTTAAAATACTTTGGAATCATCTTCTTTTGTACTGAATCTTTAACTATCCCTGAGGACAATATCTATGAGTTTGGATACCATAGGACTGAGGTATTGTTGTGCACCAATCCCTCACTTTTTTTTTTTTTTTTTTTTTTTTTGCCTGTGCCTGGCTCTGAAGCTCCTCTGGGTGTTCCTCCTCTCAATAATAAAACATGACTGATAACAAGAAACGGCAGCCTTCCAAGTGACTCCCTTTGTAGAAAATCCCCAAACACATTCAATTCAAATTTAAACAGCCACATTTGAAACAAAGAGAGAGATGTAGCAAATGGCCCCCTACTCTGTTTTCTAATTGTCTCCAGAGACAGATTGTGTCTCTTTGAATCTTTTTCAGCCCAGTCACATCAACTCACTGACGGATCCTGTCCTTTTCCATCAGCCTTGGAACTTTCCTTCTTGGGCATAGTATAAGGTTGAGCAGCATGATCTGGGAATTCAGCTATGAATTCTGTGGCTTTCAGATATCTCCCTGTCCTTGAAACTTGGGAAAAGTTTTTACATACAAAAACAAAGCTTGACAAAATGGGAAAATTTCCATGCGACCAGAATCTCTCAGCTCACACCTCATTGGTTCTTCTGTTAGTTTAAGGAATTATAGGTTTTTAGTTTCAACTTCACCTTTGCCTCAATGTGTGTCTAAAAGGAAGTTACTATATCTCTCTGTGCCTCGTTTCCTTCAACAACCAAATGAAGACAGCAATGGCTGTCCAGCTTACTGGATAGAATTCTTATGAAATCTAGTGGAGAAAGGTACACAGAAATGTCTGAAAGGGGCAACACCATACACATGTAAAAGGATTATATCACTTGTCCCAAATAAAAAATCTAATGAGGGCCATATGTGCTCTACACAGGCCTAAAACTGTGATAATTAAGTGAATATCATAGGAAAAGTACCTAAATTTAAGGTAGACAAAGACACCCAATAGTGGTTTCAAAGATGGGAAAAAAAGATCATGTCTTGAATATTTACAAAGCTTTTCTTGAAAAAAAAAAAAAAAAGATGACAGTGTGATATAATGAAACGAGCACTGAACTGAGAGTTAAGAGAAGTGATTCGTTCCAGTTCTGTCATTCACTATCTGGTTGGCTTCAAGCACATTACTGACCTTCTTTGGGGCCTTTGTTTCCTCATTGGTAAAATGAGAGGATTGGACTTAATGGCCTCTAAGGTCCCTGCTGGCTCTAAAGTTCTATGTAGTTCTATATTTCCACCCTGTCACTCCATCATGCAGGACACTGACTCTGACATAGGTTAGTTGAGTTGAGCACTTAGTGGGTTTGAAGCTCTTTACTAATTATCAGCTTTATCTCCCAAAGTGCTGGTCAGAGACTAGGCATAGTGACCTCTGCTTAGAATCCCTCCCATTGCGTGAGCTTCATTGCTTCTGTATTTATATATGTATACACACACACACACACACACACACACACACACACGCACAGCTCAGAAGCAGGGCTCAGAGCCCTGCCAAGGTGACAATTTGTAGACAGACTTGAGGAGATGGTGTTTAAGGACTGAAAAACACACTCCACAGTATTGACTGCGTTATTCAGTGACAACTACCTGCTGCCATGTCTGCTCTATAAAGCGGCGTACCAATGGCTGTGGTGGGCTCTGCATCATGAAGCCCACTCTCCCTATGCTGGTGTCCTCATGACAATGTCCAAATTCTCAGAAAATGTTATTTCTGTTGGCTCTTGGCTCATATTGCTCACCACATTTGGAAACTTACATCTTTTTAATCTAATTTCCATTTATTTCCCATAGTCTGCACTTCATCTCCCCTGCTGTAACTCTTCCCTGTACTTCTAGAGTATCTATCACACTTTAGGATATGTTCTACTGTTATCTGGATTTGTTTTATCTAGAAGTTTTTAGTTCCCATGTGATGTCTTACAGTTTTTTTTTTTTATTTTCTGAGCATTTAGTATCCACAAATTCCATTTTAATTGAATTGATGAATTTTAGTATCTACTTGAAATTATCCCCAATTTGTGTGTTTAATCTTGTTTGTCACCTTTATCATCTCTCCAGAAAGTTCACTTTGATTTTGTATCACATGTTTTTCACCTTGAATAGAAGGACAATTTGTAAATTTATTTTTAAAAATATGGCAGACCATTTCAAAACTGGGAATAAATTCATTTGCTAAAAGACCTTGACAAAGGTTTATAGTGAAATAGCCTTGACCATCAGCAGCATTCTTTTTAAGGGAATGACATTTTATTAATTGTAGCCTAATATGGTATTCCAGGAGAAACCATTTTAAACCTCAGAAGATAGAAAGGATTTCACATAGAAAAAAATGACTTGGTAAGACTCTTCCTTTCCCCTGGATGATTTTCACAGATTAACTGAATATTTTCCATTTTGCACCCAGGATTCTGCAGATGGAGAGATGTCAAATAGAGATCAGATGACAACTTCCAGTTGGGCCTCTCTCACAAGTGAAAACTTGATGGGATGTTTTCACAGGTCCAGGGTTCAGCCCTCAAGTTTCAAGTCTGAAAACTCAGTTTTACCAGCCCACCATAAGGTCATCAAGCTCTTGGACTCAATCAAAGTAAAAAATCTGCATTTACCAAATCCACACGTCAGAATATCAGTTCATCTGGAGTGGGAGATATGTATGGAAATATCATCTAAATTGCAAATTCAACCATATTACTCCCCTGCTTAACATTTTCAATTGCTCATTTCTGCCTACAGGATAAAACCCAGGTTGCTAATAAGGCAGTTCCTGACATAACCTCTTTCTACCTTATTTCCTTCCATACCTCTCCTCACACTCAATTATATTAATGCTCCAATTTCTCCCAAGCACATCACATTCTCCAGAGCCTTTATACTGTCTGTGCTTTCAACATCTGCTTTGAATAGACTTCTCTGCCTCTTTTAAACACAATGCCAACCCTGATTTACCATCCTAATCCTCTATTGCTGCTTCTAATCTTTATATTTCAAGAACAAATTTTGGTCTCTTTTCATTCAATGTGGTCTTATTGACGCTTTCCTACCATAGACTGGGTAAAGTAGTTTCTCTCTGTACTCCCAGTCCATGCCATGCATGTCTCTATAATGGATCCTATCTCTTCACATTAAAATTATGTTTACTTACCTGTTCGCCTAACTAGCCTGCAAGCCCCTTGAGAATGTGAACCACCCATTTTATCCCTTAGTGCTAGAGTGCCTGCAACACTTACGAATTGAGGCACTTAAATATGTTTATTGAATTGGTGAATGAACAAACGTTCTCAGGACTCTCTCTTCTGGTAGATCAGACTACTCAGGACTCAAGTTACAGATTAGGACATTGCTTGGTGAGAACAGATTTGGGCTGAGAGTTGCTTGATGTTTGTAGTTTCCATTTTTATCAAGTTAGAGTAACCAGTTGAAATGCTCTTCTCTCCTCTATGAATATTTCTGTTAGCATCTCAATGCCTTTTTCCCAGATAATGCTACTTAAACTACCATCCATTCTTGCTCTACAGTTTCTTTGTTCTAGTCTCTATACATAAGTATCTTAGTTAGGTCATTTTCATGGTTATTATTTTATGAGCTTTCATTTTTTGACACCAGTTGCATTTCAGCACTGAGGCACCATGCTGATCATCTTCATTAGAATGAGAAACACTGGTCTTTTATCTGGATAGAGTTTTCTGGTTCCCTTAGATAAAGATTGGAGAGTATCTTAGTTTCATAATTACCACATCATCATTACCTCTTGAGAGTTAGTGACTTCTGTTAGTAGATAATTTTACCTATTACATGTTGATGTTTATTAGCTTCCATTTCAGAGGCTGACTTCTGCCTTATCTGGCCCTTATTTCTGAGGGTGAACTAAAGCTCCTATGCCTGCCCCTATTAGACAATGCATTTTAAAAATAGCTGCCAGATCAATCAAAATTTGCATAGCCTCTGGGCTCAGGCAGTGAAAAAAGCGTAGTTCTATGAAGCCTCCTTCCTATATTTCTATACCCTAGAGAAGGTTAGCCTGGGAGAAGGGGCCTATGATAGATCCTAGGGGATGTAGCCTCAGCTGCTGTCTAATGGCTTGGCACCATGGGGAGTTTTCCAGCTTGCTTTGCAAAGTCTGTCCAATCTTGGCTAGCCACACTGCTCAGATAGCCTTCCTAGGGAAGCTGGCTGTGCTGCTTGTGTTCATTTATTTCAAACACAGTGTCTTCTTCTCATCCCTTGATGCCTATTGTGTGGTTTAATTGCTACCCTCTGCCTAGTGGTTGCCAGCATGATAGGCCATGAGACCAACGCACACAATGCAGTGTGTGCTTGGAGGGACTGACAAGCCCAGCTTCCAAACCGGATTCTCAAAGGGAAAGACCAATGAAAATCATCGTCGAGAAAGTGATAATTTCTGTGCCATGCAATTATACCCTTTAAAAAGTATACCTCTGGTGCAGTATCCTGCCAACAGTTTACTGACGACGAGGAAACAAAACCAGCAGTTGATGCTAGAATGGCTATGGAAACCCTGTAATCATCTTAAAAATAGATTTATATAGGGAACCTGGTTGTTATGAGTGTGGTTTTGTACTGTGTTTCAAAAGAAAAAAAATTCCTCCTCACAACTTTAGCCATTTCAATTTGTATTGCAACATCATAGATATTTAGGGATGGAAGACGGAAGGGGGGGTGGTAAAGAAGGGAGGAGGAATAAAATGAGCTGTTAGGGTTTTTCTTTCTGTCACATGCTTATCCTCGCCTTGCCCACCCACAGACACCTCAGCACACACCACACCCCTATCATTATGGGAACATCTCCCCACTGATTACACCCACCAAGAAGCCATAAAAGTAAACCTTGTCATCAGAACTACCCACTCACAAATAACCACTGCCCTAAGTTCCACTCCATCCCATTTCCACCTCTCCATATGCAATACTCTTCAGCACTTTTTTTTCCCACCACACACATATAAAATGCACATGTAGATAACAGTCTTCCACTGACGGATTCACCCACAACGAAAATTGCTAGGGATGCACGTTCCTACCCCCTTTCCCTGCAATTTGTAAGTTAAAGTGAAAAGAGCCTAATAAAGTCAGGGAAGATGTAATCACTGATCAGGTGATAGAATCAAATACCTGCTGACCTCAGTTCTAGGTGATTAGAAAAGCTGGCTTGAGAATTTAAGTGCCATTTGCAATATTGTCAATTGAGTGAGTAGTGTCTGATTTTATGAGAGCCATGCAGTACATGGCAAGGAGAGTAAACTTTGCAGATAGGCAATTTGGGTTTTAATTCAGGCCCTTCCATTCACTTGTTTATATCTCTGAGCAAGTCACTTCTCTCTGTGTCTCAGTTCTCTCATTTGTAAAGTGGGAATTTAAATAGTAACTACCTCAAAGTGTTGTCATGAGGGTACAATTTACAAATATACGTAAAACACCCACAAGACTGTCTAGCACAAATAAAGACCTATTTAATAATATTTGCTATTGCTGTTGTTTGTATACCAAGGTTCAGGGGATTAAGCCTACTGATTGAGAATTTCTTATACTATGTAGATAGGTACATGAATATCCAGAGAACTGGATGGAAATTTATTTAAGAACTTCATGGAATTCCTTAGGAAAAACAAATAAATGGCTCAGCAACTGTCCTGTTTGCTCAAGAAAGTGATATCATATGATTGATTCAAAATGACGTAACCGATTGCTTCTATGTAGAAATGGCCTGAAATACAGAAGAGATGATAGAGTAGGGAACAATAAGGAGAAAATATTTAAAATTACAAGGAGAAGACATGAAAGAGATGGCAGCAAAAGAAAAAAGTAAAAACAAAGTCAGGAAAACACTAATATCTCTAAATAGGTTCATATAATCTATAATACTGTTTTAGCAACATTAGGCTCTTTTCTTTAAAACTTAGTTTACCATATTTTCCATTAAAACTGATTTGCCATTGGAATGTTGTGTGAATGTCAGGTAGTTTGAATTATTTTATATCCTGAAGAATTTAAAATTCACCATAGTACTTCGACTTTATATTCAAACCAGCTGTATTCCTAGAAGATCAGGTACTTGTGAGCAGAGATCTTGCCTAGTTTACAGCTGTTTTCTCATTTTGCTTAGTGCCTAACACCTAGCAGGTGCTCAATACATAGTTATGAAATGAAAGAATAAATGAGTAAGCGAGTGAATGAACCCTCTCATGTAACATGCTTGTGGAGAAACGTAGTATTAATCATGTGGGAATCAGTTGTGACTCAGTTGAAGCCAGGGGATGTAGAATCAGATATGGGACCTTGTCCCAGCTTGGGCAAACACTGGCTCTGAAACATTTACAAGGCATCTGAGACTGTTTTTGTAGCCTTGATAATAATAATTAGCCCCTCACAGGATTCATGTGAGAATTACATGGAAAAAGGTAGCTGAAACACTTTGTTAAGCATAAATTTATGGACAGGTGCAATGTCTTACTTTTAATTGGGTAAACTAAGACCATAGAAAAGAATTAGCTCACCATTGCTTGGAGCTTTAACAAGAAAGCTTAATCCAGGTGGTGTTTTCACTTTGCAAATATTTTCACATAAAAGAAGACATCATGAAAAAAGGAGAAAGTTGAGAAATGGAGCGAGAAAGAGGAGAAGGTAAAGGAGAAATGAAGATGAGTTTGAAGAAAAGGGAGAGAAAGCAATTTCACCTTTGACTATAGTTGCTCAGTGATGGCGGAAATAAACAACATTCTGGAAATTGTTCTTGAAAAATGAACAATCTGTCTTTGATTCTTTTTCCAGATCTCCTCAAAGGGTCTGGGCTAGTATTTGGAGTGACTTTTCAATTAGCCAACCCTCCCAGTGTCTGGATCCAGGCTGGGAGAAGCTTGTCAGGGCAGTGGCTTTTATCTTATTCAGTCATAAGGTACACGGAAATCAATTTTTCCCAATCTCAGTTATAGCTGGAAATCCATCCTTTTTAAGTCAGCAGGAGGATTAATCTATTGAATGGTTTTCAGGATTTTGCTGACATATAAACATTTTAAGAATACATTATATTTTTTCCTCCCTCCCTAGCACTATTTTTAAAATGAAGCCTGCTTGGAGTGCCAGCCAGGAGAAGAAAGATGACCACACATTTTCTCCCCATGAGAGTGCAAACCCATTTTTTTCAAAGCCTGAGCACAAACTTAAATTCGTATTGGTTAGTGCCTTCCTCTCAACCAACTGTCCCAACTCAGAGGAAAGTCCACTTTTTTCATGGAGCTATTACAAATCATTCAGTTTAGAGGACTCCGTATACTGAAAAATCTTCCTTACACATAAGTAACCACTGCAATGAATTGGTTGCTTTGCTGTACTTAAAACTGAAGGTGCTTGGAAAAATTCAACCAGCAGTGTTTTTAGCTAGTATAAGGCTTAGAGCAGTATTTTCCAAAATGCAGGTTATAGAATTCCTAACAGCTAGGGAATCATTTCAAAGAGTCTAGATATATGCCCAAATATTGTTTGTAGAAAATAAAAAGGTTCCTCACACATATATTTCACATTCAAATGTATTTAGGTGCTATTATAACAATAAATGAATATAATATACAAATAATACATTAAATAACAAATATATTAAGAGTAAATATATAATATAATAAAACAACATAAAACATTGAAATATAAATATAACAATGAATAATTGTAATATAACAATACAATGAATATAACATATAATGAATTTAACGTAAATACATATAACAATGTAATCATTTATTAGTTACACTAAGCATATAAAAACACAAAAGCATTGGACACAAAGCAATTTTTTTCTCCTTTGTATCTACTCTGGCAATAGGCCCAAATGCACACTTACTAGTAAGGATGAGCACATCCGTTGGGTCTGTAAATAAGTCATCATACTCGAAAAGTTTAGAACCATTGATGTAGAGTTGATCTACAGACATGAGATTGGGCTTGAATGGAGTGGAGCTAGCAAAAGGAAATGAACCACAAAAAAGATGATGTTATGTGCCATTACAGAATGGGCGATGGGGAGTAGCACTGGGGGTTGCTTGTGGCTCATATGGCTCATGCCTGTGGTCAAAGACCTGGGAGGGGCTCGAATAATACAGTCACCTGTTAATAAGATTTTGTAAAATTTGCAAAAGTAAAATATTTTAATATTAAGTCCAATCTACCTTCTTCTCAGACACACTTTTCTTCCTATCATGGGATATTAAAGTGGCTGTGGTCATTTGGGGGTTTCAGGAAATTAAGCTGGGAATGTATTTAACTTAGATTTAGTGAGGGTAGATTTATGTGGTTTGCAGCCACTTCCACATCTAGTTAGTGTATTGTTAACCATCACAGTGTAAAAATGGCTTCCAGAAATGTCCTTACAGTTTTCTGTGCTGACCTACTTGTTAATGAAATGAAGATGAAATAAATGGTTTTTGTGGTCCTCTGTAACCAGGAGTTGGTGGGCAATAGAAGAGAGACAAGGTTTGAAATGTACAGTGTCAGAAGTTAGTCAATGTAAAAGTCTTCCAAAAATTACATATCTAAAATTGTAAGCAGAAGATTCAGTCATCACCAACAACACGTGGTTAAGATGGAAATACACTCTTGTCAGAAACAGACTTGATTTTTTACATAAAGCGTACCATTATAGAACCACCATAGAACTTATGTTTTTGTGAGACACAGACCTGTAGCAAAACTACAGTGTATATGTCCATGGGTAAGGTCCTATGTTTTACCAGCAATAATAAAAATGAAATTTTAATCAACCATGTTGGAGGAAGTTATAAATAGTCTTTTTATTTTCTAGATAAAAAATATTATTAAAATTGCTTTCATATGAAAAGATGATCAGTGAGTTTGCAACCAAAATATTTAAGAAAAATATACCATAGAGATGTATCCATCCATTCTTGAATAAAAATATTTTATATCTTCATTTTGTTTTGTTTGTGGTATTTTAATTTGTTATAATTTCTTTTCTCATTCTAAATGAATACTCTGACATCGAAGTTTGTGTTGATAATTTTGCATCTTTTTTCTTCTACTGGGCCCCCTAAATTTTGTAAGTCTCAGGCTCCATAAAACTCGTATCCACCCATGGGGAAAGGGAAATGGGCTCACACAGATCTTCTGGTATAAAAACTATGCAGTGCAACTTTCATCAAGTGATTGGGTATTCTTAGGGTTACTACAATTGTTAAGCAACTGGGAACTCATGCTCTGAAGTCAGATAAACTTGAGTTTGCCCAAATATTCACAGCCTTGTTCCATCAACTGTATAATTACACCATTTTTTCTTAAGGATTAAATTAGAGTATATGTAAAGCACTTACTAGTCTACCCAGGTATATGAGATGCACTTAATAAATATGACTGAAAGTCAAAAAGATAAATGTATACAAATACATATACACATATTTCTTAGTGAGGTCAGCATTAACAAACACACTGAAAGTGACTGTCATGTGAAGCTATTAAGCAGGACTAGAAACAAAAATGTCTAAAACACAGACTTGCCCACAGGGAGCCTTCTACCTAGGTGACAGCATTAAAGTTAGTAACTTACACTTTGGACCTGAACTATTCATATTTTCATGCTAAACAAACAGTAATTCATTGCAGGTCTAGTTTATTTTCCTCCATATGTTCTTACAAAGGTCAGGGTAGGTTGTGCAAGTTGATAAATTGTTTTTATTTATTGGCAAGCCTGCACCAAATAACATGCAAATGATATGCAAAATGACACACACATTCACATCAATGACTCAGCCACTTATGGTAATAGCACTCCAAACCTGCTCTGCCTCTGATTGTGGCTGTGCTGTTGTTTCATAAGTATCGATTACTCTCGACTTTTGCTGATGCAGCCAGACAGTTTGTCAGGAGATAGGCCAAAGAGGCCCATCCCTTTAGTTTAATCTGTCCTTCATTCACCTCCTACGTTTATACTAGGACTTGTACCTTTGGGTTTTGGGTCCATCTGCATTATACTGTTGACTGCATTATGTGCAAGAGCTTCATTTCTTGGGTTGTTGTTGCTCTCTCCAAGGTAGAGTAAATGCTATTTAGGTTGCCTTTGTTGAAGTTAAATGACATTCACATTTGGGCCCCCCAAGAATCTAACAATATAGACCATAAGATATAGCCAGTTCATTCCTTATTGCCTCAGAAGGACTATCGTGAAAAATACTATTCTTGCTGGCATCTGCCAGTCAACACTGGGTCTTTCCTCTGAGCACTCATCATGTGAGGTGGCAGTATTCCCTCAGCAAGTGGATGGGCCCGGATCAACCTCTCTCTCCATGATAAACATGTCTGGATGTGACAATCATTTCTTTCCCTGGGAATGCAATGATGATGTGATTTCCAGGGCCCTGCTCTGGATGTATGAGTAACAAACCCATGATCCATCATCCGCAATAAACTGTCTTCGTGTAGGTATTAATTTAGTCTTATGTAATATACAGAAGCGATTTGTTGGCTGGCAAGCAGAAAGCATGTGTTTAAGCAGGCCAAACATATTTGGGCCTCTCCTACACATTGCTCTAACTTGATCGTATATACTATGCATATTGATTGCTACTCTATATTGGAGGCTATTTTCTGAAATGCTTTTTCATGGTCTTCATTACAGCACAGTGCTGTTGTAGAGAAGAAACAGAGGATGGCTGCAGCTAAGCACACTGGGGTTTTCAGGCATTTTAATTCACTAAGCAGTCATGACAAGAAAGAACAATGCAATGGACAGGTTTAATTTTCTCCTCTTTAATGGTTTTTGAATAGATGCTAATTTTCATGAGGTATTTATTAACCTGAATTGGAAACCTTAAAGGCATGCTCAAACCCTATGAAGGGCAAAAAATTTAATTTGTGCTTTAGGAAGCAGGCTGGAAACAAAACCTCAGTTTCTTTTTTTATTCATGGTATCTTCTGTATTAGCTCAAGCCGACAAAAATATAACAGAAATAATAGAGGCATGTATGTAATTTTATGTTTTCTAGCAGCCACATTAAAATATTTTTAAAGATGAAGTTAATTTAATAATATGCTTTAACTCAATATATCAGAGCTATATTTATTTTAACATGTAGTCAATACAAATATATATTTTAATGTACATCGATATAATGAAATTAGTTTACTTTTTTGTACTAAGTCTAATTAATCTGGTGAATATTTCATACTTACATCAAAGTTCAATTCAGACTAGCCAAGTTTCAAGTGTTGGCTACTCCTCATTTTGTTGAACAGTGCAGCTCTAGATAGCCACATGTAGGACTCCTAGTCTGACCTAAGAGTTCAATTTTCTCTTTTCTCAGGGAAGGATAAAAGACTCTATTGATGGTTTACAGATTTACTAAAAAATGTCAGTAAAATATTTTGAAAATAAGAACAACAAATCTATGCTCTATTTGAGCATTAGCCTGACAACTAGGGGTCATAAGTTCTACTCCTGGCCCCAGCATTATTTAGAAGTATAATATAATTCAGTTTTCTCATTTATAAAATGAGGTCCCTGGTCTAGAGAGAACTTGCTAGCTCCTTCCCAAATGTAAAATTATATATTCCATTTTTTTAAATGATTAGTCTACCTTATCTTTCAGAGCAAGAATAGAACAATTTCTTACCGCTATTGTTATAACTGACTGACTTTTAATGTTTTAAGTGTAGACTTTCCCACCTCTTCCCTGGAGAGTCTGTTTCTCAAATTGATGGCATTTGTCCTACACTGTGTTTAATTTATGTTTTCTTTTCCTACATTTAACTCTTCCTCATGATCTCTTGGACCCCTCTGCACATTTCCTTCCCTTCCTTGATGATCCCTGTAGGCAATTAAAATGTTGCTCCCTCTTCAGCTTTCTCCAGCCATGTTCTCTAGACTACTCATTTCCTGTCAGCTCCCCGAATCAGCCAGGTCCTTATGCATTTTTCATGGCTGTCCTTTGCATCCCTATTCAAGAGAGGAGTCACTGAAGTTTGGACTAGAATGTAATACCCTCCCTACTCCCATCTCCCTTATTTCTTTTTTGACTAGGAGAAGACAGCTTGTTGGCCAGTGGAAGAGAGGAAACGTGAACTGCTGTCGATCCCTGCCTTCTGTTCCCAGGGTCTCCAAGGAGAGTTGTAATGTTTCTGAATCTTCTTTTATAAACTCTGCCTTTCTCAATCTTGCTGTTCTCTAAAGCACAAATTCTCTGTTTTCATGCCTCACAGAACTATGAGGGGAGTCTCCCAGAACCTGTCTCTGTGGAGTTCAGAGGAGGAGTGTCCTTTGGACTTCTGTTGTCCAATATGGTGGCCAGTATCCACAGGTGGCTACAGAGCACTGAAAACGTGGTTAGTGGGACTGGGTAAATGAAATCTAAATTTAAATTAATTTACAGTAAAAACCAATGGCTCATTTAGTTATTGCAAAATATTCAAGTATGTTTGTAAGAATTAGGGTATGTGAATACTTTTTTACCCGCAAATTTTATGAAATCTAAATAGACATGAAGGATTTCTAATAAAAATTTAGCATCTAATCTTGGATGTTCTGTAGCTGTAACATACAGAATTTTAAAAACTTTTTATAAAAAAGTAGACTATCTCAATAATTACTTGTATTACATGTTAAATGATAATATTTTTAATATGTTGGATTAAATAAAATATGATTGAAATTAATTGTATAAAAGAAATTATACTTGTTTCTTTTAATTTATTTACATGGTTACTCTAGAAAATTTAGAATAACATATATGGCTCACCTTATATTTCCAATGGACAGCACTGCTGTAGGCAAAGTTTCTCTGGATTTCTGAATCTTCTTTTTAGTTTACATTATTCAACATGCTGAACACTCTGAATACACTATTTTGTGTAAACTTTTCGACTGTGTGTAAAGTAGATGTTATTATCCTTCTTCCACCAGTCAGAAAGAGGCTCAAAATATTTGCATAATTTTTCCCAAACCACAGAGTTACACTTAATAAGTGTAACTTATTATATCCAAAGTAGTAATAAGTGACAGAGCTGGGTCTGAAAATGGGCGCATCCACAGCCCTTATTCTTTTCATTTCACTATGCTGCCTCAGTCCCCGACATTCATATTCTGATGCTTGTCTGCCTTGAGCCCATCAGATGCCCATATCTGAGTCTATTATATGCTCACTTCTGACAACTAATATATTTTTATAGCATATAAAGTTTTTCTTTTACATTTATAATCTTATTTTATCTACCTCCACTTTATGAATTAAGAAGCTCATAGGTGACAGAGTCAGGACTAGAATCCAGAATTCCTTCGTTTTTTTCTTAGATCAAGAATTAGTGAATGGACTAATTCTTATATCAAGAATTAGTGAATGGACAAGAATATGTGAAAAATAATAAAAATGGAAATATCAGGAAGGCCATAATTTAAGTCAGAAGCTTACTAACAGAGTTAGGAAGACTTTCTTGCTGGTATAGTAGATCCTAGGGGTAAAAACATCAATCGTTCTAGGATTAGTCAAGGTTCACTAGAATAATAGAATAGATAGGATCTAGTAGGAGATATTTATGAAGAGGCTTACTATAAATTATTGGGCTCATGCAATTATGGAGCCTGAGAAGTCCCACAATTTGCTTGCTATCTGCAAGCTAGATAGTTAGGAAAGCTGATGGCATAGTCCAAGGGCCTGAGAACCAGAGGGCTGATGGTGTAGATTCCAGTATGGATTTGAAGCATTGAGAACCAGAAGCACAGCAGACAGGAGACCAAAGTTCCAGCTCAAGAAGTCAGACAGAGTTAATTCAGACTTTCTCTGCCTTTTTGTCTTATTCAGGCCCTTAACAGATTTGACAATACCCACCCACACTAGAGAAGGCCATCTGCTTTACTTAATCCACCAATACAAATGCTAGGCTCTTCCAGAAATACCCTTACAGACACATCCAGAATTATTGAAAATAATTCCAATGAAACCAGCTATCTGGCCATTCCACAGCCCAATGAAGTTGACATATAAAATTAACCATCCCAATTTCACTTCTTGTTCACTTGGTACTCATACACATATCCTTGAACCATAGTTAATCTCCAAATAAAGACACTGAAAAGGTCATAATTCCACCTAACATGATGTAACTATCTTGCATATGACCAAAATCTCAATAATCCCTTGATGCAAAGAGTTCTCAAGTCTGAGAATTGACTAAAGGACCATGACTCTCTGTTTTTATGATTCAGGTTAGACTTTTCTTCACTTGACCTAGAACATTTCTGCTTATACATTTCAGGTAAGAATGTAGTAGGTTTCCTATCCATTTCACTTCTAGCAATACCAAAATCAACCAGCTAATGCCATAGCTCTGCATAAGACTATCTGACTATTGTGTTGACTCTACTGGGCCATTATAGTAACGATGCCTGCCTTGTCTTTGGTACTCAACTGCTACTTGGCCCCTGTCACAGTGGGATCCAAATGCTCCCACTACATTTAGGTTTCCCAATTCAGTGACTGCAGTTCTCCCTGTAGGGTGTGGCCTCCAGAGAAGACCAATTACAGAGCTCTTCAAGAATACTGGGGCTCCCCAGACAAATTTATTTCTCACAGTGTTGGTATTAAACTGTGATGTTAATAGTTTAACATTAAACTATTAGTGGGCGAGTAGGTATTAAATTTAAAAATCCACACCAACATTCTAATCTCCCTAAGCTTTTAAATCCCTTCCACTGCATTAAACCAAGGCAGGTTGGATAATTCCAATTTGCTTTCTATGGGCCATCTTTTGGTCCACATTTCAGCCAACCACCCAAACTGCTATAGCCCTTTTTATCTCTCCAAGCTGCAATATTAAATTCAGAATCTCTGCTTAGTGGGCCTATGTCAGTAACTTCGACCTGATCCAACTTTACATTCATTCTATTATCCAATACCCTTAGACTCCATTCCCACACAAGTTTCCTTGATTTCTGTCTGTATAAATTTAAAAACTCTATAGTTCTTTTGAAGGATAGCACATTTCCTCATTAGTAACACTTTGTACCTCACCTTTAGGGGTCTGCTTAAATGTGAGTCCAATTACAGATATAGGACAAAAGCCATGTTGTGAGAGTGCGTTCTACAGAGAATCAACATTGTCTTGCATGACAACTGCCTCAGGGGAGGCCACTACAGTTCCTTCAGGCAATGTGGAGTTAATCTCCTCAGACATGGATAGACAGGCCACTACCACTGTGTTGTAAGGGCTGATACCACTGGAAATGGGGAGGCTGACTCCACTGCAGGAGGGGATACCTCTTCTATTGGCAAAGAAGGCTCATCAGAATTTAAGGGCTCAATATTTCCAGCTTCATGAGAGTCTTCCCATATATCCTTTTTCTAACTTACAGGATTCCACTCTTTCCTCATCAATCTTCTCACTATAACAGTAGGCACCTTGAAAGGCTGGGAGGTCAAGTTGTCATAATTCATCCAGTCACAAGATGATATTGTGTGTTTGATTTTCAGCAATTTCAACTTTGAAGCTATAAGAGATGAAAATCTCTTTC
Source organism: Homo sapiens (assembly GCF_000001405.40). NCBI lineage: Eukaryota > Metazoa > Chordata > Mammalia > Primates > Hominidae > Homo > Homo sapiens. The sequence goes on along the minus strand of NC_000001.11, from coordinate 163,599,361 downwards.
AGGACAAACATAGAAGTGTTCTGGTCATTCATGTGGTGCTTCAGCTGGGAATTCAAATCCCTGAGCTCATCCATTTTTTGTTGCTGTTGTTCATCCAGTTTGTCCAGTGGCATTAGGAGCAACCAACTAACCTCATTACATTCATTAGTTTTTTAAAAATTGTTTGAAAGTACAGTAGTCCCCACTTTTCTGTGGCTTCATTTTCCACAGTTTCAGTTACCCAGGGTCAGCTGTCACCCAAAAATATTAAAAATTCAGAAATAAATCATTTATAGGTCTTCAATTGCATACCATTCTTAATACCATGATGAAATATCATGCCATTCTGCTCTGTCTCACAGAGGACAGAAATGATCTGTTTGTCCAGAGTATCTATACTGTATATACTACATGCCCATTAGTCACTGAGTAGCCATCCATGGTATTAGATTGGCTGTCATGGTATCACCAAGTAACTCTTATTTTACTTAATAATGGCTCCAAAGTAGAACAGTAGTGATGTTGGCAATTTGGAGATGCCAAATAGAAGCTGTAAAGTGCTTCCATTAAGTGACAATGTAAAATTTATTGAATTGATAAAGAAAGAAAATAAATATATGCTGAGGTTGCTAAGATATACACTAAGAATGAATCTTCTATCCATGAAATTGGGAAATAGAAAAAAGAAATTTGTGATAGTTTTGCTTTTGAACCTCAAATTGCAAAGTTACAGCCATAGTGCATGATAAGGGCTTGGTTAAGATGGAAATAACATTAAATTTGTGGATGGGAGACAAAATTAGAAACATGTTCTGACTGATGGCAATTGGGTTCAGCACTATACTTAATTTCAGGCATCTACTAGGGCGTCTTGGAACATATCCCCCATGAATCAAGGGGAACTATTGGATCATAAACACAACCACACAGCTACTTGCTTTTTATCAGTCATTAACAGTATCGAATGGAGGTACTTTTCATATCTCTCTTTCTAAATCACACCATGGACTATCAATGCTCTCTTTACTACTGGAAACTGAATCATTCAGATTATAAAGCCAATTCCAAAAATCCTAAAACCAGTTCAGAAAACTCATCCTTAAAATTCTATTTCTCTGATATTGAATGTTACCAACACAAGTAAATGATAAATATTTGAGATGACAAATATACTAATTTCCCTGATCTGATTGTTATGCATTATTGAAACATCACTATGTATCTCATAAATATGTACAACTATTACATGTCAATTAAAAAATAAAATAAAATAAAATAAAAACTCTTTTCCTCTAGAACCCCTTATAGTACCAAAATTTCTATTGATATTTAACTAACTCTCTGGGGATCCCATGGCTCAGTAGAGTTGACATATAAAATTAACCATCATATCATCCTTGTTTATTTTTCAAAGCTTCATGAATGACTATAAGCAAATATTTTAAATGGACTTAATACAACCTGTAAAATAAATGAAGAAAACAATCCCATTTGCAATAGCATCAAGAACAATTAAATACTTAGGAATAAATTTAACCAATGAGGTAAAAGATCTGTACATTTAAAACTATAAGACACTGATGAAAGAAATTAAGAAGACACAAAAAAATAAAAACATATCTGTGATCATGAATCAGAATTAATATTGTTAAAATATTCATGCTAAACAAAGCAGTCTACAGATTCAATGCAAACACTATCAAAATTTTAATGGCATTTTTCATAGATAGAAAACAAAATTATAAAATTCATATAAAACCACAAAGACCCCAAATAGCCAAAGCAATCTTGAGAAAGAAGAACAAAACTAGAGGCATCACATTACCTAATTTTAAATTATATTACACAGCTATAGTAGTAATCAAAACAGCAGAATACTAGCATAAAAACTGATACATTTGCCAATAGAACAGAATAGAGAGCCCAGAAATAAATCCACACATATAAAATTCACTAATATCTGACAAGGGTGACAAGAACACACGATGGGGAAAAGATAGTCTCTTTGCTAAATGGTGTTGAGGAAACTAGATAACCACAACTAAAAGAATTAAAGTGGATCTTTATCTTATACCACTCACAAAAAATAATTTGAAATGTATTAAAGACCATGAATGTAAGACTAAAACCCTAACACTCCCAGGAAAAAAAATAACGCTCATTAACATTGGTTTTAGCAACGTTATTTTGGGGTATGACGCTGCAAGCCAAAAATAAAATTATAAGCCCTTTCAACCATCCAAATGGACTTCCTCCCCAGCCAGGGCACTCTTAAAAATTTAACTTGAAAGACCAGTTTAGGCCATGACAGGAAGTAAGGGTTGGACATGCCTCATTACACTTCTCTGGTATTTTAACATCAGCACAGACCTTACATTTACAACCTATTCTCTCTGAAGCCTGCTACCTGGAGGCTTCATCTGCATGATAAAACTTTGGTTTCCACAACCTTTATCACAACCCAGTCATTTCATTTCTATGGATCCCAGGTCTTTAGATAAACTCAACCAATTGTCAACTAGAAAATTTTAAATCTACCTATAACCTGGAAGCCCCAACTTTGAGTTGTCCCGTCTTTCTGCACCGACCCAATGTATTTCTTAAATGTATTTGATCAAAGTCTCATGTCTCCCTAAAATGTATAAAACCAAGCTGCACCCCAACCACCTTAGGAACATGTTCTCAGGACCTCCTGAGGTCTGTGTCATAGGTCATGGTCACTCATATTTTGCTCAGAATGAATCTCTTTAAATATTTTACAGAGTTTAACTCTTTTCATTGGCAATAATTTGGTGCCCAAACATGTGGGGCCTCAGAGAGGACTCAGAACTAGATTTTAAAATAAGCAAAGTTTCACTCGCATCCATGTGAAGAGACCACCAAACAGGCTTTGTGTGAGCAATAAAGCTTTTTAATCACCTGGGTGCAGGTGGGCTGAGTTCGAAAAGAGAGTCAGTGAAGGGAGATAGGGGTGGGGCCATTTTATAGGATTTGGGTAGGTAGCGGAAAATTACAGTCAAAGGGGGTTGTTCTCTGGCTGGCAGGGGCGGGGGACACAAAGTGCTCAGTGGGGGAGCTTTTGAGCCAGGATGAGCCAGGAGAAGGAATTTCACAAGGTAATATTATCAGTTAAGGCAGGAACAGGCCATTTTCACTTCTTTTGTGATTCATCAGTTACTTCAGGCCATCTGGATGTATACCTGTAGGTCACAAGGGATATGATGGCTTAGCTTGGGCTCAGAGGCCTGACATTCCTGTCTTCTTATATTAATAAGAAAAATAACATAAAATAGTGTTGAAGTGTTGAGGCAGTGAAAATTTTGGTGGGGTGGTATGAAGAGATAATGGGCGATGTTTCTCAGGGCTGCTTTGAGCAGGATTAGGGGTGGTATGGGAACCTAGAGTGGGAGAGATTAAGCTGAAGGAAGATTTTGTGGTAAGGGGCGATATTGTGGGGTTGTTAAAAGGAGCATTTGTCATATAGAATGATTGGTGATGGCCTGGACGCGGTTTTGTATGAATTGAGAAACTAAACGGAAGACACAAGGTCTGAATAAGAGAAGGAGAAAAACTGGTATTAAAGGACTAAGAATTGGGAGGACCCAGGACATCCAATTAGAGAGTATCCAAGGGGGTTCAGCATAATTACTTGTTTGGTTGGTGAGTTTTTGGGCTCTATTCTTGACAGACTCCTTTTTTTTTTTTAAGTTGGAGGCTGAGCTTGGTGAGGTATGTCTTTAAAAGACCATTAGTCCATTTTACCTTTCCTGAAGATTGAGGATGGTGAGGGGTACAAAGGTTCCACTGAATACCAAGAGCCTGAGAAACTGCTTGGGTGATTTGACTAATAAAGGCCGGTCCGTTATCAGACTGTATAAAGGTAGGAAGGCCAAACCGAGGAATTATGTCTGACAAAAGGGAAGAAATGACTGTGATGGCCTTCTCAGACCCTGTAGGAAAGGCCTCTACCCATCCAGTGAAAGTGTCTACCCAGACCAAGAGGTATTTTAGTGTCCTGACTCGAGGCATGTGAGTAAAGTCAATTTACCTGTCCTGGGCAGGGGCAAATCCCCAAGCTTGATGTGTAGGGAAGGTGAGGGGACCTGAACAATCCCTGAGGAGTAGTAGAATAGCAGATGGAACACTGAGAAGTGATTTCCCTAAGGATAGATTTCCACAATGGAAAGGAAATGAGAGATTCTAAGAGGCGGGCTAGTGGCTTGTAACCTACATGGAAGAGGATATGAAATGATGACAGAATAGAATGGGCCTGTGAGGCTGGAAGGAGATATTTTCCTTGGTCTAAGAACCATTTGCCTTGTGTGGGAAGAGATTGATAGGCGGCAGTTTCAGTGGGGGAGTAGGTGGGAGTGACCAAGGAGAAGGAGAAAAACTCGTAGTGAGGGACGGAAGTTGGAACCCTAGCTGCTTTTTCAGCTACCTTATCAGCATAAGTGTTGCCCTGAGCAATGGGATCTGACACTTTTGATGGCCCTTGCAGTGAATGACTCCAGCTTCCTTTGGAAGTAAAGCGGCTTTGAGAAGAGTTTTTATTAAAGAGGAATTAATGATGGAGGACAATTGCATAGTGAGGAAACCTGTTTTTGCCCATGTAACAGCATGGTGGTGCAGGATATGGAAGGCATATTTAGAGTCAGTATAAATATTGACATGTAGTCCTTTTGCAGGACTGACGGCTCGAGTTAAGGCAATGAGTTCGGCTTGCTGAGAGGTAGTGGAGGGGGGCAGAAAGTATATGCATCAGGTGTGATGAAGAAAATAGATTTTGGAAGTTATGAGAACTGTAGAGAGTGAGATGAGCATAGTTTGTGATTCTGAGGGCTTCTAAAAGTATTAAGGCAGCAGCAGCTGCCACACACAGACATGAGGGCTAGGCTAAAACAGTAAGGTCAACTTGTTTGGATAAAAAGGCTGCTGGGCGTGGTCTCAGCTCTTGTGTAAGAATTTCAACCACACAACCCTGCACTTTGGTTGTGTGTAATGAAAAAAGGGTTGGGATGAGTCAGGGAGAGCTAGTGTGGGAGCAGTCTCTAAAGCTGTCTTCAAGGAACAGAAAGAGGAGTGGGGAAAGGATTTAGGATCTATGGGGTCAGCTAGGTTTCCTAGAACAGAATAATGGGTTGCGGAGGGAGGTATTGAGGATAGGAGAGTATATGGGTTTGGCACCATGGGGTAGATAGGCAAGACAATTTGATTGATAAGGTGCAGGTCCTGAACTAACCTGTAAGGCTTGTCTGGTTTTTGGACAGGTAAAATAGGGGAATTGTAAGGAGAGTTTATATGCTTTAAAAGGCCATGCTGTAACAGGCAAGGTATAACAGGCTTTAATCCTTTTAAAGTGTGCTGTGGGATGGGATATTGGCGTTGAGTGGGGTAAGGGTGATTAGGTTTTAATGGGATGGTAAGGGGTGCATCATCCATTGCCAAGGAGGGAGTAGAGGTGTCCTATACTTGTGGATTAAGGTGGAGAGATACAAGGGGAGGATGTGAAGAAGGCTTTGAACTGGGGAAAAGGGTGGCAATGAGGTGTGGCTGCAGCCTAGGAATAGTCAGGTAAGCAGATAATTTAGTTAAAATGTCTTGGCTTAATAAGGGAACTGGGCAGGTGGGGATAACTAAAAAGGAGTGCATAAAAGAATGTTGTCCAAGTTGGCACCAGAGTTGGGGAGTTTTAAGAGGTTTAGAAGCCTGGCCGTCAATACCCACAACAGTTATGGAGGCAAGGGAAACAGGCCCTTGAAAAGAAGGTAATGTGGAGTGGGTAGCCTCTGTATTAAGAAGAGGTTGAACTTACCCTCCACTGTAAGAGTTACCCAAAGCATCTGTGATGGTCTAGGAAGCCTCCGAGGTGATTGGGCAGTGTCAGTCTTCGGCCTCTAAGCCAAGAAGATCTGGGAAGGAGTCAGTCAGAGAGCCTTGGGCGAGAGTTCCAGGGGCTCTGGGAGAGGCTGCCAGGTGACTTGAACAGTCCGATTTCCAGTGGGGTCCCGCACAGATGGGACAAGGCTTAGAAGGAATCCCAGGCTGCAGGCATGCCTTGGCCCAGTGGCCAGATTTCCAGCACTTGAAGCAAGATCCTGGGGGAGGAAGTCCTGAAGGAACACCTGATCACTGTGGCGTAGGCGTTTTGAAATTCTTGTGTGCTGGAGATGTGGCTGGGGTTTCTCTCACAGTGGAGGCAAGTAATTGCAACTCTTCTCTATTACTGTACACCTTGAAGGCGAGGTTAATTAAGTCCTGTTGCAGGGTTTGAGGGCCAGAATTTAATTTTTGGAGTTTTATTTAATGTCAGGAGTGGATTGGGTAATAAAACGTATATTGAGAATAAGAGGGCCTTTTGATCTTTTAGGGTCTAGGGCTGTAAAGCATCTCAGGGTTGCTGCCAAATGAGCCATGAGCTGGGTTGAGTTTTTATATTTGATGAAAAAGAGCCTAAACACTAACTGATTTGAGAGAGGTCGGATAAAGAAAAAGGAGCATTAACCTTGACTATGCCTTTAGCTCCAGCCACGTTTTTAAGAGGAAATTGCTGGGCAGGTGGGGGAGGGTAGTCACAGAAAAAACTGTAAGCCAGACTGGGTGTGAGGAGGGGAGGTGATAAAAGGATTATAGGGTGGGGGAGCGGAGGCTGAGGAAGAATTGGGACCTGGCTTGGCCTGGTGAGGAGCAGCCTGGGGAGGAGGGGAGAGGTCAGATGGGTCTGTGAAAAAGGAAGATTGGAAAGACTCAGCAACACTTGGGGTTGGGACTGAGGGGACAGGTGGGAGGGAAAGAAGGAAGATTTGGGATGAGTTGCATTGGGAACAGAGACTAGGGAGGGACTGATGTGTAAAAGAATGCCTGGACATCAGGCACCTCAGACCATTTGCCCATTTTATGACAAGAATTATCTAGATCTTGTAGGATGGAAAAATCGAAAGTGCTGTTTTCTGGCTATTTGGAACCATTGTCGAGTTTGTATTGGGGTTAAGCAGCATTGCAGAAGAAAATAAGGCATTTAGGTTTTAGGTCAAGTGTGAGTTGAAGAGGTTTTCAGTTCTTGAGAACACAGGCTAAGGGAGAAGAAGGTGGAAGGTTGCCTGTAGAGAAGGAGGCCAGTCCAGAGAAAAGAGAGGGTAGAGATATGGAGAGAAGGGGTGAGGGGTGCTTGCCCCCCAGGAAAGTGGAGAAGGGGTGGGAGGTGCTTGCCCCCCGGGAAAGTGGAAAAGGGGTAGAGACACAGAGAGAAGGGGTTGGGTGAGCAGCCCTGCGCTGCAATATGGGTGAGCAGCCAAAGCAGGCGTCCCCGCAATAATTAAACACCAAGGGAAGACTGTCTTCATGAGTCCGTGACCAGCACCAGAGTTTTGAGTCCACGGATAAAATGTGTCTCCTTTGTCTCTACCAGAAAAGGAAAGGAACTGAAATTAAGAGAAGGGAGAGATTGAAGTGTGGCGCCAAGGTTGAAAGGAGAAAGAGGTTGAGGGATAGTGAGAGCTTGGAGAAGACAGTAAAAAGCGGCCGCTTACCCAATTTAAAATTGGTGAGATGTTTCTTGGGCTGATTGGTCTGAGGACCAGAGGTTGTAGGTGGATCTTTCTCACAGAGCAAAGAGCAGGAGGACAGGGGATTGATCTCTCAAGGGAGGTCCCCCGATCTGAGTCACGGCACCAAATTTCACACATGTCTGTGTGAAGAGACCACCAACAGGCTTTGTGTGAGCAATAAAGCTTTTTAATCACCTGGGTGCAGGTGGGCTGAGTCCGAAAAGAGAGTCAGTGAAGGGATATAGGGGTGGGGCCGTTTTATAGGATTTGGGTAGGTAGTGGAAAATTATAGTCAAAGGGGGTTGTTCTCTGGCTGGCAGGGGCAGGGGACACAAGGTGCTCAGTGGGGGAGCTTTTGAGCCAGGATGAGCCAGGAGAAGGAATTTCACAAGGTAATGTCATCAGTTAAGGCAGGAACAGGCCATTTTCACTTCTTTTGTGATTCTTCAATTACTTCAGGCCACCTGGATGTATACCTGCAGGTCGCAGGGGATATGATGGCTTAGCATGGGCTCGGGGGCCTGACACAAAGGACCTGAGTAGACATTTTTCCAGGGAAGGCATACAAATGGACAATAGGTACATTAAAAGGTGCTTAACATCAGTAATCATCAGAGAAACACAAATTAAAGCCACAATGGGATACTACATGACACCTATTAGGATGGCTATTATCAAAAAGAGAAGAGATTAAGTGTTTGTGAGGATGTAGAGAAAAGGGACCTTTTGTGAACTGTTGGTGGGGATGTAAGTTGGTACAATAATCATGGAAAACAGTATGGAGCTCCCTCAAAAACAAACAAAAAAAGTGAGCTACCTAATGACCAAACAATCCCATGTCTGGTTATATACCTAAAGGAAACAAAATCAAGATCTTAGATATCTTTTCTCCCATGTTTGTTACAGCTTTACATAGCCAAGCCATGGAAACAACGAAGTGTCCACTGACAGATGAATTCATTTAAAAATGTAGTATGTATATACAATGAAATATTATTTATCCTTAAAAAGATGGAAATCCTGCCACTTGCAACAACATGTTTGAACCTTGACAGCATTATACTAAGCAAAATAAATCAGACAAAAAAGACAAATACTATCTGATCTCATTTTTATATGGATCTAAAAAAGTCAAATTTACAGAAGCAGAAGGTGGAATGGTGACTGAGCAGCTGGGTGGGGGAATCGAGAGATGTTGGTCAAAATGTACAAACATTTAGTTAAAATGAATAAGTTATGGGATTGTAATATACAGTATAGTGACTATGGTTAATACTTTCGTATACTTGAAATTTAATAAGAAAATAGATATTAAATGCTGTCATACATACATACATACACACACACAAATACTAACTATATGAGGTGGTGGATGTGTTAATTAACTTGAGTGCCAGTCACTTCACAATGTATGTATATCAAATTATCATACTATACACCTTAAATTTTTACAATTTTTTCTACCAATTATACCTCAATAAACCCAGGGGCTGGAATAAGTGGACTTTGTCTAAGTCAGTCTTTTGCAAAGTACAGGTCAAAACTCATCAATAGTTCATAAAATCAAATCAGTTGATCACAATGAGTATTTAAAAAAGTGACATAGAATGCAATAGCAAATATCAGAATGTGTCTAATGTAATAAGGATAAATTTTGTTTTATGGCACTCTATCTTCAGTTATATGTGTATAAATGTGTGCATTGTAATAGAAATTGTATTTCTTAGTGTGACAGGAAGGACGGAATGAAGGAAGGAAGGAAGGAAGGAAGGAAGGAAGGAAGGAAGGAAGGAAGGAAGGAAGGAAGGAAACACTGCTCTATACCAACAGAAAAACTGTAGCTATACAATTACGCTGCACCAGCACTACAGTGGGTTGTTGCTTCCAGTAAAGCTCCTGACTATACTGGATCAATCAAGCTGACTGCCTCAGCCAATTTCACAAGGCATAGAATTGTCTCAATTGGTCCAAGAAGATGTCAGTCAGGATGATATACAGTCAATTATATAAGTCCATACCTTCAGTTAAGATTTCAATATATAGCCAGCTCTACTCCCCTAGATTACTTCATCATCATTATTTTTTGCCTTCTGAAACTCAACAAAAATTAAACTCTTCAGGCAACAGCTTTATGTATAGCCATAGCAGTGGATGAACAGTGGGAAGGATTTTAGCTGGCAACAAATATACATACATTTATTAATCTGGTACTTATTGAGTACTTTCTATGGGCAAAATTAACCCAATATGTTAAGAGTAATTAATCACGATAGTGTATATATGCAAAGTTTTCCGTATACACAGATGACTAAATCTGGAGATTACATGGCTTCTCTAAGAGAGATCTTGAAACAAAGATCAGAAGTAAATCAAGAGTCATTTTAGTAAAGAGATAGGAAAGAAACTCATTTGGATTGGGTAGAGAAGTGAGTAGGAGGAGAGAATATGAACACAGAGAATGTAGACAATGTTTTGGAAACTTTTTTCTTAAGTTTCATTTTGTTTGGGAAAAAAAGAAGAAAATAGACTATGCTTGGATAGAGTAGCCAAATCAAAAGAGATATTGCTCAGTTTTTATATTATTAGATGGGAAGGATTTGATCACCTTTAAAGGCTGAAGGAAAATTTCTCGGAGATAGGATATTTCCACATATCCACCTTTCAGGAGTAATTGGACTTAGATAATGCTGTCAGTAATCCTATTATCCACTGTGATGGGAATCATTCTGGATATCTGTGGGGGTCTCCACTATAAACAATCCCCGGCCCCTGTTGCATCAATGCAGGACAGCTTCTATTACAGTTTGACTTATGATGTTTCATCAGAAGTTAAGTCCAGTAATAAGCCTTAGACTCCTAATCTGGTCTGTAAGAGTATCCATAGCACTTGAAAGTCCCCTGCCCCCGAAGCTTGGGAAGGGGTTGGGTAAGTGGATAGCAGTGAGAAATGGCAAATTCTGTCTCATGATTCTCATTCATTAGAAAGACAAAGCTCAATCCATCTAACTGATTTAAATGCCACCTACCATCTGGATTTTTCTGGGTTTTTGTTCCAATGTAAGATTGAATCCTGGTGGGAGGGGAGCACAGGGAAGTGCATTTGACATCCATAACATCGGATCCTGGCACTTTCTCCTTACCATTCCCAGCAATTCTTGTTGCTGACGCCCAACATGCACAATAGGCAAATTCATTTCCAAAGCAAAGGTAAACCTGCTTGTCATTTTTGCCTTCAACATGTCATATGAAGGTGCATATCAGTGTTGGTCAGGGGTGAGGACTACTCCTGAGAAAAGTAGAAGGAAAACTTAGGAGAAAATAGAAAGGTTGTTGGACCTTACGGTTTTTGTGGAGTTCTGCAGAGGCAACAAAGGATGGAACCTCAGGAGTAGAAGGACCATCAGCTCAGATGTGAGCATTCTCTCTACAGTGTCTCCCCAAGCCATTATCCAGCCTGGGAGGACATAATCTCATCTCAGTGACAGGGACATCTTATGTGGTAGCTATTGATAGCTTTGGACAGTTCTCATGACTAATGTTTCTTCATATGTAGCTGAAAAACTCCTTACTCATTGGAATTTTACTCTGATTTTAATAAGAAATAAGGGGAAGAATGACTAATACTAATACTAATACTAATACTAATACTAATAGTCAGAACATCAACATGTCAAGTACTCCTTGTTTAATACTCACCATAGGTCCAAAAGCAGCTAAGCACTTAATAGACGTTATCTCAAAGGAATAAGAATAATGCTCGTTCCACATCTGTGACAGGCTAAATAATGGCCCTCCAAGATGTCCACATCCTAATACCCAGAACCTGTGAATATATTGTATCGCAAATGAGGATTAAGGTTGCTAAGCCACTGATTTTAAGACAGGGAGATTCTCCTAGGTTATTTGTGTGAACACAAGGTCAACACAATGATCCTTAAAATGGGAACGTGTCATAAGAGTCAATGTTAGAGTCCACTGCATCCAGTGTGAAAAAAACTCAACGGGCCACCACTGACTTTGGCTTTAAAGTTGGAAGGGGCCACAGTCAAGGGATGTAGGCAGCCTTCAGAGGCTGGAAATAAGAAAAAAATGGATTGTCCCCTAGAGCCTCCAGAAGGAATACTTCCACCAACACTGTGATTTCAGCACAACCTTGTCAGACTTCTGATCAGACTTACAGATCAGTAAGATAAAGCATTTGTGTTGTTTTATGCCACTAAGTTTGTGGTAATCTGTCACAACAGCAATGAAAAACTAGCACAACATTGAAATCCCTTGCAAAAGTCAGTTATACACCATGTTTTGTTCCCAGGCTAAGCATCCAGGCTCTTACCAGCAAAACCTGGCTTACACACAAAGTATAAAGTATTAAGGCTGTTTGGCTTGATTTGGCTTGGTTGGTATTAAATGTCATATTTAATACAACCAGGATGACTGTTTTCCAGAATGATACCTTTAGGAATCATTATATATTCTTCCTCAATGCTGTCATTGTTTCCAATATTTTGAAACTTGCCTTCAGTTTTGAACACACACAAAAAAATGGTATTATTTTATTACCAGGCATTTTTGTTGCTTTTCAAAACCTCATTTTGAGCCAGAGAAATATTACCCTATCTTAACAATCCTCTTTTCACCTCAGTGTGTTAAGAATTTTGACTATTTGAAAAAATTAAATATACCCCTCAACAGATTGATGTTTAAGACCACGGAAACAACTCTAAACAATGTGCTCAAAATGTTCTGTAGGGAATTTCCCCAAAGAGATCCCAAAACTCTTCTGGGCAAGAGCAGTGTCACTGAATAAGGACAGTACAGACTCGATGCTACCAAAGGGAGATCCTAATGTATATGGTTGTTGAATGTTTCTTAAAAATGAAACAACAAAGGCATCAATTTACATCAAACTGAAATACACTTTTGCAGTAGCAATGGAAACATTTGCTTTTTTTTTTTAATGCTTAAAAAGGGAGGGAGACAGTAGAAACCACTTGTCTTCTCCTCGCATACCTCTTCTTCATTCTGTCATGAAGATAAAAATAAAATCTCTCCCTCATTCCCCAGCCTCCACCCATGCAAGAAAAAAGAAATAGATCTGTATATTACTTAAACAATCTGCTGTAATTATATATGGCCTAGGTATGAATTACTTCGGGCACTGAGAGTCTGGGGAGAAAACTAGAGGACTCTCACTGCCTATATCCCAGTTTTGTTTGTGTGGTTTTTTAAAATGTTGATCCCCAAACAGTAACCAGCCTAATAACTCTCGACATTCCATCACTAATAAACTTGGTAATGGATTTCTTCTCTCTCTCAGCATTTCCTAGGTTTTGCTCAGGCTGCCAATGAAAGTGAAATGTACTCTGTGTTTGCTTCTCTCACTCTCTCTCTCTCTCTCTTTTTTTTCCCCTTGTTCTTTTTTAAGTTATAGCCACTGGAGAGGCTTGATAAGTTTCTCTCTTATCTCACTAAGACATCTGAGACAGATCCATAGTAACTGAATAATCAATTAATTCTCCTGCAGAGTTCCATTTACATAATGAAAATGCAACGTGCTGATATTTTATACAAGTCATTTTTGGTCGTCTAGACTGATAATATATTGTGTATTGATTGAGGGGGAAAGCCTAATGGATCTTCTGTTGTTGAGGTTGCAAAATTACAATTAAAGTAAAATGACAGAAGCAAGCATCTATTGGATTCATATCTATATATCTCTCTTTAATATAAGATTCTAAATGTCTGGACCTGATTAAGGCTTTGCTCTCATTTGAGCAGAAAGGGCACATAATGTGTAACTGTTCGTGTTCTCATTGCTGTAGCCAAAATCAATATTGTACTGTTTGCAAACATTACCAACGTACAAGGCTAAATCCTGTGTCCTCCGCATAACCAGGGAAGCTGTGACTTAAATCATACCTTTACTGTTGATGCAGTGGCCTTTTAACCTGGAGAAGGAAAGGAATCTTAGTAGAGCTTAGACCAAATAAATAAAAATTAAGACTCCTGTGCTCTACATAGTCCTATGGGAAAATAAGACTTAAGTTTTGATCCTTGTTCATCTGCCTTCATGTATTTATAAAATCAGATCGTAATTAATGCTTTTTATTGTAGCCTTAACACAGAGGGCAGTAGTGTAACGGTTAAGCTCACAGGCTCTTAAGTCAGGCTGTGTGAATTGTTACCCTGTCACTTAAGAACTGTCAGTCACAGAATAACTTACTTGATTTCTTTGAGCCTCAGTTTCCTCATCTATATACAGATATAATATTAATGTTCACCCCTTAGTGTTGTTGGCAGAATTAAATGAGCTCATGCTTGTTAAATGCCCAGAATAAGGCCTGTCAAATAGCAAATGCTCAATAAAGTCAGCTATGATTACTAACAAATCCATAAAGAAATGCATCATGGCCCTGGCCCTCCAGGTCTGGGACTTTCTATTTAGTTGAGGAGAGCAGTGGCACATCTAAGAAGATAATTCAAAAGAAGAAAGTTGAAAAAAAGTAGCTATAGCTGGGTGCCTCTAATCCCAGAGGCTTGGGAGGCTGAGGTGAGAGGATCACTTGAAGCCAGGAGTTGGAGACCAGCCTGGGCAACATAGTAGAACCCCTTGAGCCCAGGAGTTCAATGATGCTTCAGTGAGCTATGATTGCACCACTACATTCCAGCCTGGGCGAGATCTTGTCTCAGTAATAATAATAATTTCTCTTTAAAGCAGATATTCATTCAAACATGGCTAGTAGGGGATATGATTTGAATGTGTCCCCAGTAAGCATGTATTTGGAAACTTAATCCCCAGTGCAACAGTGTTGGGAAGTGGGACCTAATGAGAGGTGATTAGGTTATGAGAGCTCTGCTCTCATGAATAGATTAATGCTGTTATCACTGGAGTGGATTTCTTATACAAGACTGAATTCATTCAGCCTTCTCTTATGCACGCATTCTCTCTCTTTCTCTCTCTCTTTGTATCTCTGTCTCTGTCTCTCTCTCTCTTTCTCTTTTGACTTTAGGCCATATGATGCCTTCTGCCATGTGTGACACAGCAGTAGAGACCTTGCCAGATGCAGGCCCCTCAAACCTTAAACTTCACAGTCCAGAACTGGCTTCCCAGTAAGCCAATAAATTTTGGGTGATTATAATTTACCTAGTCAGTGGTATTCTGTTATAGCAGCATAAAACAAATGAAGAAAGTATGTTTTCTATTTTTCTTCTTTTTATTTTTTCTGTATTTTCTAATATTTTCACAATGGCTATGCATTACTTTCATAATCTTAAAGAAGCAGAATTACTTCCACTTCGAAAAAGAGAGGGAAATCTTCAACCCAGGAAGAAGCAATATTATCTGAAGTTCATACATTGTGTTTCTGTGTTTTGTTTCCACCAAATTTTATAGTAGTCCTCTTCCTGAAATGTTATCCATGTTTACTCTCAGATCTCTGCATGGCAACTTCTACCAGATTTTGAAATACCTCCAGAGCAGGACCCCTTTGACAAACCAGGATTAAGTCCAGCTATTGCACCTTTATTTATATGCATATATTTTCCATTTGCTCATTCTGCCTTTTCCCGTCATCACAAACAAAACCTCACAGGTAGAAAACAAGAAGTGACGCTTGTTTTAATTTACTTTTTCTGTGGGCAAACCCTAGAGCAATTACTGAAGTGGGAGGAGGCTCTGAAGCCCTAAGGTGACAATAAAGATGTCTAAGAATTAATCAATCCCTCTTTATTCTCCAATGGGAAAAGGCCTTCTTAGAGTTTAATTCAGCCCTGAAAACAGAGAATACAATTTTAGAGCAGATGTGGAGTAGCACTAACGAGGAAATCAGAGTTGCTGAGTCAATATACAAAACCCAGGAAGTTCAGTACAGCAAACAACAGTAAAGATAAAAACATCCACCTCTTACAAACTCGGTTAATCCTATGTCTGTACCCAGCTCTGGAATCTGACTTCAAGAAAAATTGTTCTGACGTGTGAAAAAGGAAAAGGAAGCTATATAACCTTTGTTTCTTGATGGTTCATTAATTACCCTTTCCAACTATGGTGTATGAACTCAAGTTATTCAGAGTTGAGCTAAAATTAGCATTGGTGGCAGTCACTATTGCATTCTCATCCCATGGAAAGGAATTCTCCCGTGAAGATAATAAATAGCCTAGACTAGGCCATATGCCTTTAAGATTCAGTAAGAATGCAGATGCTTAAAATGACCATGGTAAAAATAAAGTCTATTATTTCACATTGACTGTTTATGATTGACCATGTGCCCTAATTACTAATAATCACCAAAAAGAATGCTTTATATCTATAGATGATCTTCTTTCTATATATGGTCTTAAATCTCTAATGTTTCAAATGTTACAGTAAAGCTAGTCTTAGTACTAGTACCATAGTGTGAAAAAAACAATAAACAAAGAAAATAGACTAGTAACTTTTCTTGATCTTGTACCTGCCAATAAGCACCAATTACTTTACTAACAGTAAGTATCAGTGACACCCCTGGGTAGAAAGATATAATTATACATAACGAGAAACTGAGGCACAAAAAAAGCCAATGATAGATTTAGGATTCTGGACCTACGTGGCGATCTTTAAAGATCAGAGTCCAGCTCGAGTGCCAAGAGGATGAAGAAGTCATGCCAAAGGGCAGAGGCTATCTACAAGACACCTTGCATCTGCCCCAAAGGGATGTCCAGGGAGGTGGTCCCATGAGCAGGAATTATGTTTAAATGCATTTAATTATAATTCTCAGCGCTCAAAGAAAACACATTTTTCCAGAGATTTACATTTTTTCCCTTTAGCTTATGGAGGTTAAATGTAAAAGAACATTAAGGAGGATATTTTCTATTCCTCTGGAATTTGCAAATAAGATCCAAACTATTGAGCTAAGAGATGCCAAATAACCCATATTCAAAGAAGCCTGCCAACAACTGGGACAAACACCACTCTCAAGGCTTCTTAAGAACCAACGATCAACGCAGAGTCAAAAGCTGTCAGCTTGGTGAAAAGATACATGGCTTTCTTTTGCCCTGTCTGCTCTCCAAGAAAGGAAAAAAAAAGGGGTTCTTTACCCTATCAAAAGCCAAATGAAGCAAGTTCCAAATATTAGCCATGTCTATATGAAAGATGATCAGACATTTCAATGTCTCAAAGGCTGGCTTGTTAGGTGTGACTTGCTCCTACTTAAAAGAGGGAAAGGGAAGAAAACATCAGAAAGCAGCCCCCTTTGGCTCTCCCTTGGACCAAATGGATCCCAGGGAAAGAAGCCTGCCTGAATGTTGCCAGCACCCTGCTCAAGCAGGCTGATCACCATCAGTTGAGGGGAACCCAGAAGCTGTGAAGTGTGTCATTGTGCATAAGAACTGAAGTATTGGGATTATCAGGCCAAAGACAGTTTTCTCACCTCAGGGAACTCTGCAGCGGGAGCCTCCTCTTCCATGAGCCCCAACCAATAACTCACACATGTGCTTGTACTCCCCCCAGTAGGACTCCATATCTGACAATATCAGCCCGGGGATCACTGACAACCAACAAAGGGGTTCAAAAACACAACGTTTGCCCTTTCCACACTGTTCTTCTTCTGGGTCCTTATACCAGAGAAGTGAAGCCCTGCAAAGGAAGAGCAAGGTTTCCAGACAAGACATGCTCCAAAGCCTGGAAGAACATAAAAAAGTTAGAGAAGACCGCATTCCCTTCCTACTTCAGCCCCTCAAGCTCAAACCTGGCTGATTCTAAGAGGCTGCAGAAGGAAGGAGATGGGATTTAAATTACTATGAAATCTAAGTTTTTATTTTTATTTTTTTAGAGTCAGGGTCTTGCTCTGTTGCCCAGGCTGGAGGGCAGTGGCCTGATCATAACTCAACTGCAGCCTTAAATTCCTGGGCTCAATCAATCCTCCCACCTAAGCTTCCAGAGTATCTGGGATTACAGGTGCACGCCACCACTCTCAGCTATTTTTTTTTTTTTAACTGAAGCATGGTCTTGGTATGTTGCCCAGGCTGGTCTTAAACTCCTGGCCTCAAGTGATCCTCCTTTTTTGGCCTCCCAAAACACTGGGATTATAGGTTTCCACCAGCATGCCTAATGAAATACAAGTTTTTAAATTGAGTAGACAAAAGCTTTAAAAATTCTAAAAAGATTTTTTTTAAAAAACCAATAAGATCCTCCCAAGATAATGGTGTAAAACTTAAAAACCATAAGCAGTTTACAGTTTTTATAAAGTATAAAAAACTATAATAGTGGGAGCTTGATAGTAGTAACCAGCACTGGGTTAAGACAGCTCAATAAGTTGGTTAAGGTTGGTTAAATAGATGATTTTTACGTAATGCCTTATGTTGGTACTGAGACTTAAACACAGATCATTTGACTTCAGACCTTGAGTTTGTTCTACATTATTGAACTTCTCCCATACCAAATAATTTACCCTGTCTTTTATAAGGAAGGAAATGACAAGAGTGGGAAAAAAAACTAGAAAATTGATAAGGCTTTTATTTTCAGAACTGCTTTAAAATCACCACCTCCTCCAATTTGTTTCTTAAGTAACCAGATTTTAAATCATGTACTTGCAGTGACTAGATAAGATTAAAAACAAATGGGGGTTGGGATGGAGACACGGTCCATTGTGCCTATCAACTTAATAAATGACGTTATCCTCATCAGTCAGGTCCAGAGGCCAGCAAGTCCTGCAGTTTGCTGAGTCAGACCTAGCACATTTAATAAAAGGGATTGAAAAATAATGCTTGATGTTGCTCTAGTTCAGATGAGTAAATTGTGAGGACACCCCATACATTAAGTGAAGCCATTCATTTCCATAATGTGATAGGATCATCTCCATTGATTCCACCCCGCTCTGAGGACAGAAACTTGCCTTGAGTACCTATGAAAGACTTACCAGGGACTCAGAGGAGTTGACATGAGGCAAAGCACTAAACTCTGTGCCCCAAACCCCAGTAGATTTTTCTGCTGACTTCTCTCTCTGAATTTCTTGATTTATGTGTTTACAACCCTCAGGTCAAGAAAGAATGCCAAGATTTTACTTTCTTTTGTGCAGTATATATTAATACTTAGGAGTACATGACTTCCATTTCTAAACTTCCTCATAGTTTGTTGCTCTTAGGTAGTGAGTTTGTGAGGTCTACACCCCAACATGACTGCCTCATATGTATAACTGAGTGAGCTGAAAACGTGTCATCTTTTTCAACATTTCTCAAAGTCGTTTTCATTCTACCACTATTCTCAGTCACTTAGACTGGAACCTCCATTTTGTCACCCAATCCTCTATTGTTGTTTGCATGTCACCTTTGTATACTCTATAGATACTGAGCTACTTCATATTTTATACTTTTGCCCTATTGGAATATTGTGAGAGCCTTCTAAGTCACACTAATTTAATCCAACAACATTCAAGACATCTTTATTGTTGAACATGATAAGCTCTGGATGTGAATGTGACACAACCCATGTCCTCAAATAACTTAAAATCTAATAGAAGAGAGCTGAGTTAGAAAGATCCTTGGAGGCTCAATTCAAATAAGGAACTGATTACTTAAATGATCCCTGATAGTGATTCTGAAAATAAAAATCAGGCTGGTTGTCTAGAGGAGTTAATATCCTTGTTGTAGAAAGCAGCACATGCCAAATTCAAAGAACAAGGCAAATAAGGAACTGAAGTAAACAGCATTGAATGAGATCAGTGTCTTTGAGGTTTGAAAGCAGAACTGGTAAGGTATTGGGGCAGATAGAAGTGCTCCACACAGTACTGATTCTGTGAACTGCAAGAATCTACAGCTAAACCAGGTTAGGCCTACGCACCAGCATAGGCCTGGTGCATAACTGCCTGGATCAGAAGCAGGGACAGGAAAAGTGACTTTAAAATATATTTATGGGCTGGGCAGTTTTAGCAGGTTGTATTCATTAACTCTTTGTATGGACAAACTTTTTACAAAGCTTAAAAATTGTAAATAGCCAGTGTTACCTTTAATACTTACTAAAGGGAAAATGTTAAATAAACAATAAACATAACAGTATCCTTTTCAATGAGACTATCACTTTATTATAGATTTGGTTATACTTGGTAAATTAGGCACTAAATAATATAATTTAGTTAAAGCATTTTTCTTCATGATTAAGTAAAAAGACTACAGCATAGGTGCTCTTGTTGTTCTCCCAACATGTGTCCTGTTATAAAGTCTTGCTGGGCAAAATAGGTTGACATGATACTCTAACAAGACTTCATGGATATGTTATGCACTGGTTTCTAAAGATTGTTTCACAATCTATAAAAACTGATGCTTGTATAAGCCATGCTGATAGGCAGAGCCTCCACATACAACACCACATCTCAGGAGGAATGATCCACATCCTAGACATCACAGAGCAGCATATTTACTATGACAGCTTTCTGGAAGATGTCAGTGATGCTTCCTATTCCAACAAAATCAGTACGCCATGGCAAAAGAAGGAGTGCCCATTTCTAATTCATCTAAAGGCCATATGGGTTAGTGGGCCTGCTGCATAGGCTACAGTGAATCACAGCAAAACTAAGGCCCCCTAGTACCTTCAACTGAGGGCAATAAAGCTTAGCTCTATTTTGCCTGTGACAGTTGACATTTCTTTCTTTCTTTTTGTTTTTTCTTTAGACAGAGTTTCGCTCTTGTTGCTCAGGCTGGAGTGCAATGGCACAATCTCTGCTCACTGCAACCTCCGCCTCCCGGGTTCAAGCGATTCTCCTGCCTCAGCCTCCCAAGTAGCTGGGATTACAGGCATGCGCCACCATGCCCGGCTAATTTTGTATTTTTAGTAGAGATGGGGTTTCTCCATGTTGGTCAGCTGGTCTCGAATGCGCCGACCACATGTGATCTTCCCGCCTCAACCTCCCAAAGTGCTGGGATTACAGGCATGAGCCACTGTGCCCGGCCTAGCTGACATTTCTTGATGCTGTCATGGGTGGTGGTATTTGTTATTCTTATTGTTAACTGACAGCATGGACTTTGTCCATAAGAAAACCCATTAGCCACAATTATGGGTAGCATCTAAGTTTTGTGTTTAATAAGAAGAGTTAACATTTATTAAGCACTTAATATGTGCCAAATACCATTCAAAACACTTCACAATTATTATCTGATTTTATCTTCACAATAACTCCATGAGGTCATATTATTATCCCCATTTTAAAAATGAGGAAGTTGAGACTTGGGTAATTAACTGATTGAAGGTTCATAGAACTAGGAAGTGTTCCATCAATGGTTGTGTATTAGCATATTCCGAAAAGCAGACCAATAATACGCATACAGAAAGGGCTTTTTAAATGAGGATTTGGCTCATGCAATTATGGAACTTGACAAATCCAATGATCTGCTATTTGCAAGCAGAAGCTGTAGAAATCCAGTGGTGCAATTAAGTCTGTGTCAAAAGGCCTAAGAACCAGAAAAGCCAATGGTATAAATCCCAGTCCAAGAGCAGAAGGAGACCAATGTTCCAGCTCACTTATCAGGCACAAGAAGTAGTGAATTCTTCCTTCCTCCACCTTTTGTTCTATTCAGGCCCTCAAAAAGTTGAATGATGTTCATCCATATTGGGGAGGCCAATCTGCTTTACTGAGCCCACCTATTAAAATGCTAATCTTAGCCCAGAGTTCATGCCTGTAATCCCAGCAATTTTGGTGGCCAAGTCTGGAGGATTACTTGAGCCCAGGAGTTTGAGCCAGTCTGGGCAACATGAGACCTTGTCTCTACAAATAATTTTTAAACAAAAACTGGCCAGGCATGATGGTACATTCCTGTGGTCCTAGCTTCTCAGGAGGCTGAGGTGGGAGGATAGCTTAAACCCAGGTGGTCAAGGCTGTAGTGAGCCTGGGTGACAGAATGAGGCCCTGTCACAAGTAAAATATAATACAATACAATACAATACAATACAATACAATACAATACAATACAATAATACTAACCTCACCTGGAAACATCCTGACAAACACACCCAGAAATAATAAGTAATAAATAATAATATCTGGGCACCCCATAACCCTATCAAGTTGATACATAAAATTAATCATGACAAAATATCTGACTCAAGAACCTATATAAATGCCACATGGATTAGAATAACAAGGCAAGTCAATTGGATCACCACATAGTTGATTCACTTTTATATTTATTAAGGTTTGAACTCGTAGACATTAATAGTAGAAGGTTATCACATAGTAGAATAGTCAGGAGTAGGAGTTTTGGAGTCTACCTGCCCAGGGTTTAAATTCTGACTATGCTGTATACTCTTATTATACTAATCATAATCAAATAATTGAAAGGTACATATTTTAATTATCTGATTAATTAATTTGTTAATAATAACAGTGATAAAAAACAACAAACAATGATAAAGCAATAGCTTGAATATAATTGACAATATTGTTTTGAGAACTTCAAATAGTTGCTTCGTTCTGTAAAATTGACTCCTAAAATAAGAAAGATTGGCTCCATTCTCAAATATTCTCAGTATACAAAATAGATTTTGTGGCTTTTGTAACTCTAATCTTATGAAACAATATAATATGGTAAACAACTATCAAATTTAGAACTTTATGGAAAAATAAGATATTAAGTTAGACTGACACTCAAAACCTCTACTCATCTTAGTATTTGAGTGGTTTGGTTAATGGACTCCACGATAATCTCAGATCTCAGTTTCTTGAATCTCATGGAAACAACGTTTGGCTAACTGAACAGATATAGTAAAGTTTGTTATTTCAGTTTTAAACCAATGAGAAGGTTTATGAATGAGTATCCATACAAATATACTCAAAATGGATATAAATTCATTTTACCTTTTCTTTAAATATACCTTCTGAAATCATGCTTATGGGCTATCATTTTCTGTATTAGCTTCACTCATTTTCAACCAAACACTTAAAAGGGTCTGCCTACTATATGAAAGGCAATACGGACTGGAATACAAGACATGGTGCTTGCCCCTAGGATCTTAATCCAGGAAATGATTCAACAAATTAGTGCAGCAGCAAATAATGCTGATCGGTAGTACTTGTGGAAAACAAAGTTCTGCTCCAGGCTTTGTCATTCACTTTCTATTTAACCAGAGGCAAACCAGATTTTTCAGATCTTTAGATTATTTATTTGTAAAATGATAACCTTGATAAAAATTACCTTGGTTTTGTTCTTTACTATGGTTTTTAAAAAAATAAACATTAAAGCATAATTAAAGGAGTAAAGCTCACTGAAACCCCACCACTAGTAATCATTTTGGATCTTTCTGTGTAACTCTTTGCTCGTACTCTGGAGAGACACATGGTTTACATTGATGGGGTCGTGTCACATGTTTCTGTTGTAGACTTTATTTTTAAAATAGCTTTTTTTTAGCTCTCCTTTTTCTTCCTGTTTCATCTCCCAAAATAAACAACATTATCAACACTTCAACTTTTATTATGCTCATGTAACAATATACATACACAATAAAATATACCTATATTGAAGATTTGTATAAATTATACAATTTTATACTAAAATTGACTTGTTCTCACTTAAAAATACTTTCTGATACATTGAAGCTATTTGAAATATGATCTACCTTAACCTGTTTGATTACTGCCTACACATCATTGTATGGATAGACTACAATTTCATTTCTCTGTTTATGAGTGTTTATTTCAGTTTTAGCAATTGACAGCACTCTGCAATAAACATCCTTGTATGTTGTAGTGCTTTTATTTCTGTGAGATAAATTCCCAGAAGTAGGATTGCTAGATCAAAAAATAAGCATATTTTTACTTTTAATATATATTGTCAGAACTTTCCAAAAATGCTGTAATAATTTATATGTCCACAAGCAATATTTAAGAGTACTCTGTACATTACAATCTAGCCAACTCATTTACATTTTCTCCAATGTGAAGGGTATAAAGTTGTTATTTTAATTTGCATTTCCATGATTGCTAGTGAACTTGAGCATTTTTTCCAGTGCTTACTGATGCTTAGACTTGTTCTTCATATTTATTGTTTTTCCAGATGTCCTCCAGGGTAAACATAAGGTCTCTCAGGTTCCTGGAGGCTACCACGAAGAAACAGAATGCCGAAGATGGCAGGGCTGTGGGTACCTCTACCCATTTTAACCAGAACCATTTATCTATTTAGTTCTTTGTAAAATTTGATTTGTAAAAATTGCTTGAGAACTGTTAGACTAAATGCTTTTCAGTATTCCTTCCCTGAGATTTTCTGATGCTAAATAATCTTGTTTGTTAATTTTGTTGTTACTATTATTATTATTATTTTTTTTTTTTTTTGAGACAGAGTCTTGCTGAGTTGCCCAGGCTGGGGTGCAGTGGCGCCATCTTGGCTCACTGCAAGCTCGGCTTCCCGGGTTCACGCCATTCTCCTGCCTCAGCCTCCCAAGTAGCTGGGACTACAGGCGCCCACCACCACGCCCGGCTAATTTTTTTTGTATTTTTAGTAGAGACGGGGTTTCACCGTTTTAGCCAGGATGGTCTCGATCTCCTGACCTCGTGATCCACCCGCCTCGGCCTCCCAAAGTGCTGAGATTACAGGGGTGAGCCACCTCGCCCAGTTTGTTGTTACTATCATTATGCCAGCTAGATTTTAAGTTAATTTTAGCTAGAGTCTTCATCCTACACTCCCTTTGCCTCAAAGGATGATATTAATACAGTAGTTTTTGCACTTTTATGTAAATTAGAATCACATGGAGAACTTGTTAAAAATGTGGATACTCAAATGCCAGTGCCAGAGATTGATTCAGAAGGTGATAGGGTAACGTATTTCTGACAAACAATGACCATACTTTGAGATATTCCAGTATTTGGCACTTAGCTGGTGCTCAACAAATGTTTGGTGATTAATGGATTCTCCTAACCTGGCATCAAGTTCTCCTTGAGTCTGTGTGCTTTGGTGAAGCTACATGTGTTGGCACTGAAAAATTTATTTAAAGTTCCATGCTCCAGTATAATTCAGCCTTTGGAATGCAGTTAACATCTTCAGAAATGAGAGAAACTCTTCACTTTCTAGGGGCAGGTGGGAGGTCAGAGAGAATAAACTTAGGCTCCCCTGTTCTATCCGTAATCTTCCCAGAACATCCATATTGCAGTTCTAGTTTCTTGTCAAATAATTCCTCAGTCTGATCCTATTCCATACCACCGTCACTAGCCAGAGGATGGGGCTACATAAAGAGAATTCAACTTCTGGGCTGAGAAAGCTAAAATTCATTGCAATAAAACCATCCCAGAGAAAATGCCAAAAAAGGAATCATATAAAGATTTATTTCTAAAAAGAAGTATACTAAAGTAATAAACTTTCTCTCTGAAAAGATGGGGCCTGTTCAATCTTATATTCTTTCCTCTAATCCTATCTGCATCCCAATCACCCTGATTTACTCTGTCACTGGGTGATGGTACAAAGGGAAAGATTGCAGATCTAATTAGCATAATATGGATAAGCAAATGAGGCCTAATCAATTATGGTTCACACTTGCTTTCATCACTCGTGCCAACAGTCGGCAAATTCACTGACAGTTCAAATGCGACATTTTTAGAAGCCATCAGTAAATCAATAACAAGTGACAGTAATTCAGATGCACACTTCGTTCTGCCTCCATTTCTGTCCAGGAGATGCAGCCTCACAACCCAGAGACACCTGAGCTCAGCAGTCAAAGCCTTTCACCACTTGAATCTTACCCGTGGGCCAAGTCCGGGCATCCTGATTCTTGGCACCCTGCTACCTATGACGGCTTGCAGGAAAGTTATGGTAAGCATGGTGACTAGAAGGGTTTTTTGCAGTCTGTATTACATTTTTGGAACAAGACTGATGGCTGTATTTCTGAGGAGGCAATATGGTCTAGTAGTATATGCCACAGGGCAGCTGACCTGAATTCTTATCCTGGCTCTACTACTCACTACTTGCATGACCTTGGTGAAAATCACTTAATCTGTCTGGTCTGTGTTACAACTGTACCATCTGTTGAATTGGGGGAGAGGGAGGGAGAATGCTAATATGTACCCTTATTTACCTAACAAGCCTGGGTTGGGGATTAAATGAGATGTCAATGGTGAACATACTTTTCATAAATATAAGGTCATTGGTAGAGCTTCAGGGAGAACAGAGTTTTAGCTTTCAGAGTAAAGAGAAATGGTCTGTTCTCTTGTCTGACATTTATAGTCATTTTATTTTATTCTTATGGTATTCATGTCAAAAATTCCAACCTTAATATGACTCTCATAAAAAGGCAGAACAGGAATTTTAAAGTTCAAATTCAATGTAGTGAAATAAAATCTGAGAAAGCCAGAGTTGGAAAGAACCTTAGTCATCACCATCATCATCACTGTCATCATCACCAACATCACCTTGTATTTCTCTAGTGCTTACAGTTCACAAACTGTAAAGAGTCCTTCACAAACAGGGTTTATCTCTGGGCTTCATACTTCAGGAAGAATATTGAACAACTGCAAATCAATCAGATGATGGAGACTCTGACATGCCACGTAAAAATCTCCTTCCATACGTACATTTGCCATTCCACTGCTTTGAGAATATGTCCATTTACCAGTTCTAAATCCAGCTAAGCAAGTACTATTTCATTCCTATCTCTCCACATTGTCTACGAGGTCATCTTCTCTGAAATTCACATTTTCTAGAACTATAACACCCTCTTATTCTATGTGGTTAGTCTCATTATAATATGCATTTAATAAATCCATGTGTCTCCTACGGCTCACTGCTTCCCATTTTTAGTGTATATAAATTAGTCCTTTAATACTTAATTCTAGAATCTAGAAAATAGTTTTAATTCAATTTACTTAAATACATTTATTAAGTACTGCATCCATTGGCTATTGTTACAAAATTGCTGTGCAACAAAGAACTACAAAAACTTACCAGCCTGAAAAAATAAAAATGTATTTCTCATATGTCTGTCTTTGCAGCTCAACAGATCTTTGCCGAGCTTCCTTATATCTCTGTGGATGGCCTAGGGACTCTGTAAATCTTGGCTGGAACATCTTAGCTGGAGCAGCTCTGTTCAATATGTCTCTCCTCTTCATCCTCTTCCTGAGAATAACTCTCTCATAGTAATGTCAGAAGTGCAAAAGCAAGGATGCCAGTCACACAAGCACTTTCCAAGTCTCTTCTCCTGTCACATCTACTAATATGCCTTTGGCCATAGCACACCACATGGCCAAGCCAAGAGGTGGAGAATTATTTCCTGCCCATAGCAAGAGGTCACTGCCAAGTTACATAGCAAAAGATATGGATAATTGAGGAGAAGAATAATTGTAGCCATAAATGTGAGTACCTTATATGAAAAGTCTTGAGTCAGTTTCTATAGAAAATACAAATGTAAATGGGAAGAGATTTCTCATGTAGGATCTTACAATCTAGTAGTGAATATGAGAGTATTTCATATAAGAAAAAAACTATATTTGGCTGTAGAATGAGAAAAGGCTCTAAAAAAGATGTTATTTGAGATGAATTTCAATGAATAAGTAGGATGTTAACAACCAAAAAGACAGTTAGAGAATGTTCTACGTGGTAGGACCGTCTTGAGAGATGGCACACAGAAGAAAAAGCAAGGAGGCGCCCAGAAAGCAATCAGAGATCCTAGATGACTATAGATAAAGTATATGCATGGTAGTAAATGACCAATACAGCCAGAAAAGGTTAGACTCACTATTTTTAGCATCTCAACTATATCACTAGAGCTCTCACTTCCGTAATTACATTGCCTACACTGCCTATGACCAAATTCCAACCAACCAAACACACACACATATTTAAGGAGAAAGAATTTATCTAAAAATAAGAGATAAAGAGATTTGTATTCTCTCTCTCTCTCATACACACACACAAGAGCCAAGCCTAAATGATCCTCTTGGTGTACCATCAGTATAACACCTTCCCTAACTTTTTAAAGAAACGTTTCGTCTGAGGACATCTGCATTTGCCTGAAACATATTTTCCCAGGGTAGTGCTTGACTTTAAGCTGACTGGAGATATCAAACTTTTTTTCACAGATTCTTTGACATACTTGAACATTATCGAACAAATGCCAGTTATGTCTATCTCTTGAATTGTGTCAATCTGAATTGAAAATGTGCTGACTTTTTTTTCAGCATCATCACTCTCTGTGTTTCTATGCCAACAGTGCAATTGGACATGACTGGCAATATTGGTCACTTCTGTTCCCTGGAAGGTTTAAGTTAGTTCTTGCGCCCACACTTTCAGAATCTGACTTCTTAGAGCCATGCAGAATCACACCTGAGAAATTTGGGGGACAATTACACTTATTTTGTTAGTATAAAGATATAATTGCTGATATGATTATAAACAATAATGTCATTTAGTTCAGTTTTATAAGTGAAATGAGAACTATAGGTTTTATGCAATCAATGTATCTTATCTCTTACAATACTACTCAAATTCACAAATTTTCTTGTTTGAGGAAAGGGCCCCATTAACAAATAATAATTGGAATTATAAAATACTTCTGAAATATAGTATTTTAAATCTTGAAGTCCTATAATGACATCTACCAAGCTACTAAATGTTTTAAAGTAGAAGATGTGTTAATAAACAATAGTAAATAAGAATGATATATGCCATTTATTAACTGTTTGCTGCTGTTCATGTGCTGTACTAATTGTTTGGTACACGTTACCCTATTTAGTCCTCTTACTTGTAAGAATGGTGCTGTTCTCATTCCCATTTTACAGGCGATAAGACTGAGGCTAGATAAGTAACTTGCCCAAACCACGCAACTGGTAAATAGTAAAAGATAACTTTGTCTGACTCAAAAATCCCATTTAGATTTATTCAACAAGGAATTGAGGCCTATTACATACATATAGGTACTATATGTATGTACTATATAGTACATATAGGTTCTATTCTAGACTCTGAGGATCTTACAGTGAACGAAACAAAGGAAAATTCCTGTACTCATAGAACTTATTTTGTAGTCTGTATTATATACTTTCATAAGCAAAATAAATGCTCAGAAAATATGTTTCAGGCAAATGCAGATGTCCTCAGATGAAACGTTTCTTTAAAAAGTTAGGGAAGGTGTTATACCGATGGTACACCAAGAGGAACATTTAGGCTTGGCTCTTGTGTATGTGTGTGTGTGTGAGAGAGAGAATACAAATCTCTTTATCTCTTATTTTTAGATAAATTCTTTCTCCTTAAATATGTGTGTGTGTTTGGTTGGTTGGAATAAATCTACAATTTAGTAGATTGTTGTTCTTCCATATATTAATTAACCTATTTATTTAATCTTCATTATTAAATTACAAGTTCCTTATAGGCTGGAAGTATATAATTCCTTTTATTTTATTTTAATTTTCTTATAGCACAGTGAAGTGATGACAGAATGTGCTTTTCAACATGTAGTTTTTAAACTATTTTTCTTTCTTTCCTTTACTTTTCTTTTCTTTTTCTTTTTTTTTTTTTTTTTTTTTTTTGAGTACCACACTATTATTAAACCCTTGAGAAATCACCAGTGCAGGGCTGTTTTATTGCCTGAAGTTGCTGCTGATTCATTGTAGGGGCAGCAGGGAAGGCGATTAATCCAGGTCTCCAGGGTGTCTACATAACTTTCACTTCCAGATGTTGCGCTGATTTGAATCGTGGGTGTCCAATGCCAACATCTAGAAAAAAAACTTAAGAAGTGGGTTCTTTAAACATTTAGCACCATATTTAAAAACCGTCATTGTGTGATGTCAAAGAAGTTCTTTGCATCTCTTGTACTTATTTCTCTTTGTAGTGTACTTCAGCAGAGGGAAGAGTTAGAAGGAAGAGATAAGATGAAACCTGACTTCTTCAAGTGGTATCTTCCTTTTCCTTTTAAACAGAGTCAAAAGAAGCCGTGCCCTTATTCAATTATTTTATTTTTAGAATTTTGGTAAATATAATGAGAAAAGATTTTCTGATTTAAATATTATTTTAAAATAATTTCTAATTAGGAGATTAAATAATCACTTTTCTCTTGGTCTTTACAGGGATGTTTAAAAGGACCAATGATGGCTTGAATTCCAGGAATGTGGCAGACTAAACAGCTAGATATGTCCTCTCAGTTCAGCACACTTTTGGACTGAAACCCAGTGTCAACACTACATGTCAAATTTTTGAGATTCTGGGAAAGCAGGACTTTGGGGGAAATTTAAAATAATGTTTATAATTAAAAAAAAAAAGAAGACAGGCTGAAAATTCACAAGCTACGTGTCTAGCTTGGGCAACATAGCAAGACCCCATTGCTATAAAAAATAAATAAGTTAGCTGGGGGGGTGTGGTGGCACACACCTGTAGTCCCAGCTATTTGGGAGGCTGAGGCAGGAGGATCACCTGAGCTCAGAAGTTCAAGGCTGCGGTGAGCTATGATTATGCCATTGTATTCCAGCCTGAGTGACAGAGAGAGACCTCATCTCAAAAAAATAAAGTTAGAAAAATAAATAATATAAACACTCAAAAGAAGAAAGATAAGAAAAAAAGTAATAGCTGAACTAATGAAATAGAAAGCAAACATACAACAGGAAGGATCAAAAACCAAAAATCTGGTTTCTTGTAAAGTCTAATAAAATTGACAAACCATTTGCAAAACTAGTTACAGAAAAAAAAACATGAGAAAGCCAGGGACAGAAAAAGAAGGTCCCAAAACACAGTATCACAGTATTAGAAATAAATGGGGAACATGACTACAGATGTATCAAAGTCTAAATAAATAATAAATAGATATTATGACAATTTTATACCAATAAATTGATAAAATTATTAGAAATTATATTGGAAAAATAGAAAATATCCCCCCTAAAAAAGTCACTTTAGAAAAGTCTTATACTGACTCAGCACACACACACTCCTACAATATAATGCAGATCATACAGGTTGTAAAATAGTGAAACATCTACGCATGACTTTTGTTTGTTTGTTTTTTGAGTCACTTTTTCACCCATGCCGGAGTGCAATGGTGCAATCTCAGCTCACTGCAACCTCCATCTCCCGGGTTCAAGCAATTCTCCTGCCTCAGCCTCCCTAGTAGCTGGGATTACAGGCACCTGCCACCACGCCCAGCTAATTTTTTGTATTTTTAGTAGAGACAGAGTTTCACCATGTTGGCCAGGCTGGTCTCAAACTCCCAACCACAGGTGATCCGCCCACCTCAGCCTCCCAAAGTGCTAGGATTACAGGCTTGAGCCACTGTGCCTGGCCTACACATGACTTTTAAGAGCCTCTACCTTGGTCCCTAAGTGTCTCCCGGGCCACGTTTGCCCCTCCTCCAGGACCACTCCTTAAACCTCTCTATAATCCATCAACTTAAGGTTAATTCTGGGCACAGAGGGGGACTTTCAGATCCTCTTTTAGGGCTACTGGTTGGTATCCCTCCTGACTGGTCCAGTATCAGATCCAGTTCACCAGCAATAACTTCTGTCACTCTTGCGTATAGCCATTAATTAAAATGAATTTTTAATTAACAATCTACCCATCAAAAACACAGCAGCTCCAGAAGATTTTACAAATGCGTTCTACCAAACATCGAAGAAATTGGTAAATTCATGCAATTTTTCATATTTCTTTAGACTATAAAAAGAGACAACATTGCCTATTTCATTCTACAGGACTAATCTAGCCACAAACTCACAATGAGACACACAAATTATGAAGACATGAAAATTACATGACAACTTTATTCACAAATTTAGATAAAAAATTTGTGAACATAATATTAGCAAACCAAATTCAGAAATACATGTTAGAGATGATTACATTATTAACAAATTAGATTTATTCCAGGAATGCGATATAGCTTCAGTATTAGAAAACTCATTGATATGATTTACCATTTTAAGAGAATAAAAGCAAAGATATTCTCAATAGATGCAGAAAACTAGCTTGGTAAAATTTAGCTGATATCCATGATTTTTAAAAATAGAATCATAGAAAATTTGGAAAAGATGTGATTTCCTTCATCTGGTAAAAAATATATGCCAAAAACTATAGCAAACTCCATATTTCATGGTAAAATATTAGAAGCAATTTTTTTCAAATTAAAAACAAGATTTTAAAAAGTCTACTGTCAACATGTCTAGTCAACATAGTACTGGAACACAGACAGCTAAATTTGACTACAAAAAACATAACAGATACAAAGATAGTGAAAAAGGAAACTACATTGTTATTATTTTTAGATAATATGATTGTCTACATAGAAACCCCCCAAAAATTGAGATTAATTACTAGAATTATTAAGATAATTTAACGATGCTTCCAGTAATAAGATAAATTTACAGAACTCTATTGCATGGCTATAGAGAGTAAGAAAACATTATAACACATTACATATATATATATATACTTTTATTATGATAACAAATACAAAGAATAAATACATTAAAAGTTGTACAAGACAAAACCTTATGGATAAAATTATAAAATGTTGAAATGCATTAAAGAAACCATAAATAAATGGAAAGGTACATCTTACTGACTTATGGATGCTAATTCTCTCCAAATTATTCATCTTTCTTCACATTCAATTCAATTTCAAATACAATTCTACAGGTTTTTTGTTTGTTTTCTCCTAGCAAGCTGTTATCTACAGGTATTTTTCAAGCGGATTCTACTATTTGTATCTAAGAATAAAACTTTAAAAATAGCCAGTACATTAATGCAGAAGAATGACAAAGTTGTGGATCTGGCTGTAATCAATAATTATTATTGTAAAGTCTGATAAGACAGTGTAGTTTTGGGATAGAAACAGGTAAATACACTAATGCAATCAAATGAAGATCTCATGTATTTAGAAACTTGATAAATGACAGATCTAGCTTTGAAAATCAGTGAATAAAATAGACTCTGTTCAATAAGTAATATGGAAAAAATTAGTGGCCCATATGTAAAAATATGAAATTGGATACATATTTCCTATTTGCAAATATCAGTTGTGCTAAGATTATGACCTTAATGAAAAAGGCAAAATTTAAAACTTTTTAAATATAGAAGACTTTGTGGCTTTAGAATGGAAAAGATTTGTTAAACTAGACTCAAAAAGCAAAATTTATTTTAAAAAATGAATAGATTCAACTATATTAAAATTAAAGTTTGCCTTCAACAAATGATACCATAAAGAAAGTGAAAGAGGCAAGCCACAAAGTAGGAAAATAATGTTTGCAACACATATCATAATAATGGATTTACGTTCAGGAGAAAAAAACAAAAACAAAAAACTAAAATACGAAAAGAAATAAAATACTAATAGGAAAATTGGCAAACCGTCATGACCGAGCATTTTCAAGAGGAGAGACTGTCAATGGTCAATAAACATATGAGAAGATACTAATCTCATTAGTTATCAGGAAAATGTAAATTAAAATCCCAGTGAGATACAACTATATAACCAATAGATTAGCACAAATTAAAATGACAATACAAAACCTGGAAAGAATGTGTAATGAGAAGTTTTATACTCTGTTGATTGGAGGATAAATTGGCACAATTACTTAGGAAAATAATCTAGAAAAGTTGAGGATGTGTAGACCCTAGAACCTAGCAATTCTACTCCAGGAGACACCTACAAGAATGTTCAGAAAAGCAATGTTTGTAATAAAAAATTAATTAATTAATTCTGGTATATAAAAACCAGGCAATAGTATACAGTAAAAATGAGTGAATATAGCTACTTGTAATAGTTTTAATGAATCTCAAAAACATAATATCAAGCAAAATATTGAAACTGCAAAATATATAAGCATGATTTTATTTACATAAGAATCAAAAACAGAAAAAAGTAAATAATTTATTGTTTAGGGAGACATACATGTGTAAAAGCAATGACAAGAAGAGTTATTAACACAAAATTCAGACTGTGGTTAACCCAAGCAGGGTGAGAGGGAGTGTGATTTGCAAAGGGCATGTAGAATGCTAAGAGTTCCTGGTATTCTATTTTGTATGCAGTCTTACTGGTACATAAGTTCATTTCGATATTTTTCTTTAAATTCTAAATATATGTTATATACTTTCTTCTTTGTGGATGATATATTTCATCATAAAAAATTTTTAATATCATGAAAATCCCATGTCGAAATATCTTATGAGTCTCAAAAGAAAAACCCTGGTGATTGCCTATCAAGGCACAGTAATTCAGTGTAAGAAATGAACTCAGAGGCAATGTGCAGAAAATACAACTTATACCGAAGAACCCTGTTACACAGGCTGGGCAACCAGGCACAGAAATGAAATGCAATTTTAGAGTAGCTTAAATCTTCACATTAAAAAAAGAC
The DNA here is from genome assembly GCF_000001405.40 of Homo sapiens. Lineage (NCBI taxonomy): Eukaryota > Metazoa > Chordata > Mammalia > Primates > Hominidae > Homo > Homo sapiens. Next base: position 163,565,559 of record NC_000001.11, on the reverse strand, counting down.
ACAAAAATATATATTGGTTTCAGAGTGGAAACACAAATTTACATTTGAATGAGATTCTTTTGCACAATGAAACCACAAGGGTGAAAACGTTCATGGATCTGTCTGTGGACTCTGTGAACACAACTGTGAACTCCTCCACAGGACTCAGGCAGGGCATTCAGCACTTGCCCTAGAACGAGAACCCTGGGAGGCCTGGTCTGGGAGAAAGTAGCAGCTGGCAATTAGAAGTCCAGGGGAGTGGGTTAACCCACAGCTGGTGGAAATCAACCAAATGACTAAGAAGACAAAGGAAGGCATGGGGGAGGTGCAGAGACACAGACCATGAGTGGAAAGGCATTGACTAAATTAAACCAGACATCCATATAAATTAAGCTTTATTAAAACGGTGTCATGGTTCTGATTCTTTTAATACTAATTTATTGGTTAGATAGGTTCTTATAGCTGAGAAGAGCTCAAGGTACAGGGAAACAGAATGTTCCCTGTGCTTTGGACAAAGAGCACGTGAGGCTTCCCATACTCTCCTTCCTTCCCCTCATTCTCCCATTCTCAAAGAAGTCTACCTGTGTTTCTCTGCATGAAGCCCCTGGAACCAAGCAGCCTAAAGAACAAAGACCTGAGTCAGTGGCTTTAGCAATGCAGTTCGACCTACACTGATCTGGCTTTTAGGCTTTGCCATCAAGAAAACATTTCTTACTGTCAAATGCAAAATTCTAAAATACATTTTGCTAAAGAGAATGTTTTACCACTGAGGCACTAAAAGCTAAATGGGCCACATTTCTGAAAGATATATAAAGTTTAGGAGGAATTAAAGGAGAAATATATCAGCATTTATGGAAGATTAATGAGAGACTGCAAAATATGAAATGTAATGTCCTTAAATTAGTCTGGGAAAAGAGAAATGGAGCAAAGTATTGAGAAAACTGGGATGAAATACAGAAAGGAACCTCTTAGACTGAACATCAGTGAAACGACAGATAGAGAGAAATCTACAATGATACAGGGGCTTTCCCAAGGAAAGGAAAGAAGTGGCCCGGAGGAGACAGATCATTCTGGGTGTCCACTGTTAGGGCTGGGTGAATGAAATGATCTGTTTTGTACCGTATCTTCCATCTTTAATGTCTCATTCCTGTCAAACCACACCACCTATCTATCTTATACCAGGACATTTCATCAAAGTAATGTCATTCCTGGGGTGGGCAAATTGACCTTAGGATAAAATGAAAATTCCAAACTTACTCACACAGTCCAACAAGAACTCCTCTCCCAAGGGAGGCTTCTTGACTAATGCACCTTGACTAATTCCTACGTATTTTCTCGAGGAGGCTGGGGAAGGGGTGACAGGACAGAGGGGCAAGACAGGGGATAGATTTTTTGCTTTAAACAAAAATAAATAACATCTTGGATTTTTGATAAAAACAAAAAATTCACAGACTTATAAGGTTAGAACCTCTGATAAATCAGAATGGACCTAATAAAAAACTCAGGGCAGTTAAGTTCTACAATTTTTGTTTTTATTTATTTTTCCAAATGGAGAAAAAAAGTAACACTTCCTAATATCCTGAAAGCCAATGAGAAATTTAAAGTGAAAATGCTTTATTAACTGTAAACAGTAAAATGTTCGTGATAGAGAGCTTCTTTTGAATCTAGACAACATACATTGTATAATAGTTCAATTACACCATAAGCTTCCTTTTAAAAAAAAAATTCCATGCAATGATGATTTTTCCCATCCCACCCAAAACAATACCACTACACAAGAATGAATGAATGCTTTCTGTATGTTAAGGTCCTAAACACTTACTCACTGTGTACAAAAGACCCATAAAATGGAAATTGTTTCTATCTTTACTTTCCAGAGGAAACAAATGAACTTAAAGAGATTAGCTAATTTGCTGAAGGTCACACGGTGATATTAATAGCAAAAGGATCCCAGCCTAGTCCTGCCACTCAATAACTGTGTGACCTTGGGAAATGTTTGTGTCAAAAGATGATGGCATCTTCCTCTTGAGACTATTAGGAGTGATTAAATGAGATAATATACATAGCGTATTTGACACTAAGTAAACAGACAATAAACCTTAATTTTTATTTTAATTAATTGTAGAAAAAAAGAAGTATTACCTATGGAAATTTTGAAAAAATACAAAGCCCTGAGCTCTACTCCAACTCAGTTCTACAGTGTCAGAATATCTGAGAGTCGGACTCATTAATATTGATTTGAAAAAGTTTCCTTCCAAGTGATTCTATTACAGTAGATGCAGAGCCTGGTATTTACAAACCACTGATATCCGTATTTTGGCCATAGGAGGTTAGTGGAACAAAGACTCTGAGGCTGTGGTGGTTGAAATATGCAAAGACATGAAATCAACCTAAATGCCCAACGATGATAGACTGGATATAGAAAATGTGGTATATATACACCATGGAATACTACGCAGCCATAAAAAAGAATGAGATCATGTCCTTTCCAGGGGCATAGATGGAGCTGGAGACCATTATCCTTTGCAAACTAACACAGAAACAGAAAACCAAATACCACATGTTCTCATTTATAAGTAGAAACTAAATGATGAGACCACACACTGGGGCCTATCAGAGGGTGAGGGTGGGAGGACGGAGAGGATCAGAAAAAATAACTAATGGGTACTTGGCTTAATACCTGGGTGATGAAATAATCTGTACAACAAATCCCCATGACACAAGTTTACCTATGTAGCAAGCCTTCATTTGTACCCCTGAACTTAAAAGTTAAAAAAAAAAAAAAAAAAAGAACTATTACTTCCTGGGAACATGTGCTGAATCTGCCCCTTTAGAATGCATACTATGTAGACAGATTAAGAAGGGTCAACAAAGCACATCCCAGTAACTAGCCACCTGGTCATGAGCATTGTCTCCTATCTCACTTGTAGACTAAGCAGCAGTCAAAAGAAATAGATCCAACACAGGCATGGGATGCATCCCATGCATGTGATGGTTGGTTTGAAACTCTTTGGGCTAAGAAAGAAAAGCATTGTGGGAGGAGAGCTGCTATCACCGGGTTCAAAGTGCTCATGGTCTTGAAAGCCCATTTCACCTAAAACTAAGGTTGGGGCAAAGTCTGTGGTCTCTGCCTGGCTTAGTGCCCCCATCTGGAAAATGAACAAATTAAGTGATCCCGTGACCCTTTCTGCTCCAATGTTCTATGAGTTTAAGACTTACTGATATTTATACTAAGACTTTCTAAATGTGTGCATACGTACGGTGGATGGAGGGAGGGCAGATTCCTGACTGAAGCTACTTCTCATGAATGAAGCATCAGCAATGTCAGGAACCAGATTACATTTGATCAACACAATTGCCTTTTCCCCTTTCCTGGGGATGCTGATCCTTTTGCCTTTGTTTCTGCTGGCTTCCCATCAGGACTCCCTCCTCCTTTTTGCGCTGAATATCAGTCAGCAGGACCCCCTGGATTATCTCATCTCTACCCTCCTACTATGCATTTTCTCTCCCGTGTGTTTATCCTATTTAGAGCTGTGCTTGTTGTGCTTGAAATTTGACCCTGTCTTTTGTTCAGCAAATCAGCAGTGCTTCCCCTGATCCATGTATCCACACTGGTGGTAAATTTGGACTATTGTCTTCCAGAGTCCTTTGGAGCTACTGAGTTTTGGAAATCCATTTATTCTGTATTTGCATATGTATGTTAGTGAACATTCAAGCATCTCATCTACATAAGCAAAAGAACATCTGTTTTCCTTTCTTAACTAGTATTGATCATAGATTTTTCAGGGACTTTATTGCTAGGCTCCTTGGTATCTAATCCCAACATGTATTACAGAGCCACCTCCTGGCCAAAAGAAAGAAAGAAAGTAGGGAAGTGCTGTTTGTGAGGATAGCCGAATAGGGGGACACTGGGGCCTGGGCAGCCCTAAATGTAAACCAGGAGTCCCTCAGACTTTAAGGCAGTAGGGGCCTCCTTGTTAGGGAAATTCTAGGCCTCCTGCTTTAGTAGCAGCAGATATCATAGTCACAAGCAAAAAAAGGCCTGTTTAGAATGGATGATTTGGTTCTTAGTGATGTAGGAGCTCAGGGAAGCATCACTGGCTCTATTCCCCAAGGTCACAGAGATTATATTATTTTTAACCCCAAATCCATGAACTGTCACCTGCTGTACTTCTATGATCAAAATACATTTTCCACTTATTTGTTCACACAACATAACACACCACTAGCATGCCTGGTGCAGAATTGTGAATTGGAGAGGCAATTATGCAATCATTGAAACTGGAGAGGAGAAATATGTAACTATTTTTTAAAGAATAGTTAACTATAGAGAGAGAGCACTAAACTGGGAGTCTGAACATATGCCTTCTAGGCTTGGCTCTGCTGCTCCAGAGATGAGTGAGTTGGCCTATGCTTGCTCCTCTGGGCCTTAGTTTTCTCACTCTCATGGATGAGTTATAAAATCTCTAAGACCTCCTCTATTTTTTAAATGGTGAGTCTGTGGGTAGTCAGTCCTCTTCCTCCATTTTTATGCTTTCTCCTGCTGCTCAATTCACTCAAAACAAACATACAAACACACAAACACACACACACACACAATCTCTCTCAACAGTGCTCAATGGTAACAAAATCTTCCTCTTCATCAAAACGCGGGCTGCATAGCCAAGGAGTTTCAATGAGGCCTTCATAGCCAAAGAGGTTCTGGCCTCAGTATCCTACATTCTTCTAGGTAGTAGTGAATGGAACAGATTTTCACTGAATCAATGAATTCCTGCTACAGAATAATTGTTAACTTCCCAGACCACATCAGGTCAACTCCTTCACTCTTTGAGAACATTTTTGACAACTTAGACTAAATTCTAGACGTTTTAGCAGAAATGGAGACTTACATGAAACATACATTTACAAAGGCTTCCAGAGACCTAGTTTGCAAAATACTAGGCCTAGAAGAGATCTCGTATCTCCTGTTTAATTTCTTAATTTTACAAGTGCTGGAACTGAGGTCCAGATGTGGCACACTCTTAGCCAGAGGCAGATTCAGAACTGAAGGTTGTGTCTTCTAACCGCTGAGCTTACACTTTGCTGTCTCGACTGCTTGCTATACACCTCTTCCGTTTTGAAGCCACTGACATGTCAGTCAGAGGGGTTCTCATGTCACTGGCATGAGCAGGAGACATGTGTCAGCCCTTGGGAAATCTTTCCTCCCCAGGAGAGCAAGGCAAGGGTGCAAGAGAAGAGAGACATGGGATCGGCCTAGAGAATCAGGTTTTCTTAGGAATAAAACTTTGAACTTCAAGGGCAGGAAAAGCATCCTTTTAATTTTTAAATTTCCCTTCCTTGGTCTCAGGCACAGCCCCTGATGCAGAGCAGATTCAATTAATACAAGCTGATGGAGTGAAGCAGGAATAGTGGTAAATTCTGTGTCCCTGAGGGACAAAGTATGTAGAACTGACTCTTAGCTTTCTCCAAAAGAGTAGTGTGGGCTAGAGCAGAGTTTCCTTGACTATCATATATTAAAGTTACTTAGACCTTCTTATGTCCTTATTTTCCAATTTACTCAGCATGGATTCCATACTGTGACACCATAGCCACTCCCTTTCCATTAACCTCAACTCCTTTGCCTTTTGCTGCGTCTATTGTAAGTACCTGGTTCATTGCACCAGCACCTAAGCAGCTGAATGTTGCTGGAGTGAAACACATAAATGCACGCGTGCACACACACACATACACACACACATGCACAAACACCCCCTTCCACATGCACAGAGGTGTGATTTCCTTTTAATTAGCATTATCAATTTGGGTACACAGAACTGTCAGGCAATTCTACTAGTAGCTAAATAAATTCACTTGTTTCTTTTCCAAAAAGATTATTTCACACCTCTTTTCTCCAACATGCTTTCTGTTTCAAACCCAATTTTTAACATGTGACTGCATCTTTCTTCCTAGGGAACATGGATAGAAACATGATTGCTACCTCATTCCCCATTAGCCAACCCATCAGCCTGCCTGATCTCATCCTCATAGGTTCTGCCTTCTTACCACAAAAAAGCGTCCCTGCTCACACCTTGGAGTCCATTCTTTCTCACTTACTCAAATACTTCTCCCACTCTGAAAATATCTCCTTTTGCTCTTGCACCATCAATTTCTTCCTATTAGATCATTACTATCAGGATATAAACCTTAACATCATGCAAAAATATCATCTTTCTAAGGAAGAAAGATCCTCAAAAAACTCTCCCCGTAAGTCTGAATCTCCAGCCGGTTTCATCTCAATTCTTTGCTTCCATGCACAGCAAAATGCCTGAGAAAAGTTGTAAGAAGTTGCACTTCTTAGGAGGGCAGTTGCTGCCTCTACTTTCTCACATTCCATTTCCTCTTTATGCCACTTCCGCTGGGCTTTGTTTCCCATCTCTGAGCCCTGAAACAGAGATCTTTAGAGTTAACCACTAACTTCCATCTTGCCCTAATCCAATAGGCAGCTTGCTCTGCTTATCTCATTCAGATTCTACCCAGTATTCCACTCAGTTGATCACAACCTCCTTCTTCACACATCTTTTCTCTAGGCCTCCAGCGTATGGCATTCACCCAATTTTCCTCTGACCTCCCTACCTTCTCAATCCCTTAACTGGTATTTCTTTCTCTGCAACATCCTTAAATATTGTAGCACTTCAAGGCTCTGAAGGGTCTGTGTGTTGTGAATACCATATGTTCAGGACTCTTGAAACTGTATCTCCAGCCTGGACCTCTCTATTGAAGTTGTAAATCCAAGTGCTTATTTGGCACCATACCTCTTAAATGACTAATCGGTATCTCAAACATGATATGATCAAAACACAGCTCTTGTTTTCCTTTCACCCTCATCTAACAAGTCTGCACCTCCCTATTCTTCCCCATTTTAGCAAATGACAACATTGTTCACTCAGTTAGTTAGGCATGAAACTCAATCTTTGTCCTTGATTGCTCTTTTTCCCTTCACACCCCACATTTAAAACATCAGTGTGCCATATCAAAAATATTTCCAAAATATATCTAGGACCCAGCCACTTCCTACCACTTTCCATGTAACAACTTTATTCCGAGTGAATGAATGAATGAATAATGTGATGGTACCTACAGAGAAAAGGGTGTCTGGCATAAAATTTTTCATTGTTCCTGTGGTGTAATGTCAGATCAGCATGAAGGGAGAGTTTATGAGATGTGGGCTCTGATATCTATTTGCATCCTGGAAGAGGTCACGCTGCTGCCATAATTCATTGGGTCTTTGGCTGAAAGCAATTTAAAAATTGAGTCCAGGCAGGTATACAAAGAAATTTTTCAGTTTAGAACCCTGCTCTGTTTAACCCTCTCCGTTTCTATGTACTGCAGACATCCAGCTTCTTATAAGGATTAACTTGCTTTCCTGACATTTATTTAAGATAGCAGTGTGAGACTTCTGCTTTCAGACAGCTTAAAGGTTCAGAAAGTAGATTTATCCTCCATTATTTGAAACAAAGTAACAGGGAAAATATATAAAATGATTATTTTCAAAGCATTGACTATTATGCAACAAAGGACAGGGGAACCTCAGAGACAGGAAGGAAAACTGAGTATGCCTTATGATTGTCCCAGCCTGCTGACAAGGAATCCTAGTGATCTTTTTCAATAACAAGAACTAACATTTATATGACACTTACTGCTCTAAGTACTTTATGTACATATTAGCTCAGTAAATCCTTAGAATAGCCATTTGAGATAGGTGTGTTATTGTTATCCTTATTTTCCAGAGAAGAAAATATGTTTTAAAGCTTACTCAAAGTTACACAACTGTTACACAATAGAGCTGTGATTGTGCCTAGACAGCCTGGATCCAGACTTTATGCTCATAACTAAAAATTCCCTAAAAATGCACTTCAGTAAGATTACTGACATGTGTGGCAGAGGACGGGGAGTGGGAGAGCTAAGAAGGGTGTCAGGAAGGAACTGGGGGCAAAATGTTCAAGACTGCAGCAATGTGAATAGATCAGAATATGGAATAACAACCATTCCACAGGGAAGAAGGCCATGTGAAGATAGGGGCAGAGACTGGAGCATTGCTACTGCTGTCATAAGCTAAGGAAGGCCAGGTGCTACCGGGAGCTAAAAAACGTAAGGAAGAGCTCTTTCCCAGAGCATTCAGAGGGAGCATGACCCTTTTGACACCTTGATTTTAGACTCCTAGCCTCCAGAAGTGTGAGAGAATATATTTCTGCTTGTGATAATTACCAAGTTTGTGCTAATTTGTTACAGCAGCACTAGGAAGGTAATACAAATTTTGGCTTACAATGCCGAAAGCTGAATCAGTTTTGTCTAAAGGCTATCCAAGCCATCTATCTCCGAGTGACCCAGACTGGACCATGTTGTCTGTCACTGTGGTTTTCTAGTATTCCAGAGCTATACAGCATCATATGGAGTTGCCAGTCAGTGGGTTCTCAGAGCTTTCTAACAAAGCCAGAGGGGCAATATAATCTTGTGAACAAGAACATTGGCATAGCTAATAGTTGACCTTGGTGATTGGATTGGATGGTTTTACAGTTGGCTCATTTCTCTCTACCATCAGCAGGGACCATGTTCTAAAGCATGAAAAGAATCTACAATTCCTCTTATTCTACTTCCAAGGAGCAAAGCCTTACTCAACTCTATAATCTTTGTTTAATACGTGGCTTCAATCTCTACATTATAACTCAATAATTTTTGGCATATTCAATTTCTCTCTGACTTCTGGTCAAGATAACATTGTGAGAATTATTCTTCTAGACAAGTTGGAATAACAAGGATTAGATTTACCCGCCCCTTGAAACAAATAAAATACCAGACACAATATATGAACAGATTTCAAGACATTAAATATGAGACAACAAAGGACAAGGAAACCTCAGAGACAGGAAGCAAATGAGTTAAACCCTATGATTTTCCAAGATTACTGCCTGGGAAGAGTATCTGGGCCACAGCATAGGGACAGGGAACCTAAATAAACTTGGCAGTCTCCCTGAGCTGAAAAAATGGGGCTGGAAGTATAGTTTGACTAAGGCAGCTAGAATTCTCAGTGTTGAGTCCTAAGGAAGATGGAGCTATACAGAGACAGAACACCTGAAATCTTTAAATTCTTAGTTAAGTAGTGATCTGTATCTGTGATTAAGGGAAGGAGCAGGGGCCAGGGAAATAAATACCGGAAAAGATTAGAGGTAATAATTACTTAACCACACACAGAGCCAGGAAAAATGCCTGTTCCCATCAGCCAGAGTAGAAAACTTTGTAACTTATGGAACATCAGAGAGAGTGCTCAAAAACATCTGTCCCTGTATTGTAGCAAAATTAGACTTAGACTACTTTGATCCCTCTAAGAAAACTTATAAGCAAGATCCAAAATTATTAAACTGTTTCCCAGTAACTCAACCTCTTTGCAATACAAAGTTCAAGAATACTGTTAGGAATACAGAAACATACATCACACAAAAATTCACACTCAAGATATCTGTTATCCAATCAAAAATTACCTGATATCCAAAGAAGCTAGAAAATATAACTCATAATAAAGAGAAAATAAATCCATCTAAACTGACCAAGAAATAGCGCAGATTACACAATTAGTAGACAAGTCATTAAAACTATTATTGTAACTGTTATCATATGTTCAATAAACTAGAGGAAGATTAAAATTTTAAGTTAATAAATATGTAGGCTATAGTAAAAAGAAAAGGAAAAGATACAAATTAAACTTTCAGGAATAAAAATTGTACTATCTAAAATAAAATTAATTTGATGGGATTAACAGCAGATTATATATTGCAGAAGAAAAGACTAAACTTGGAGACATAGTTGGAGACAACAATATAAAATATTCAAAAAGAAATTCATAGAGAAAAAAAGAATGGCAAAAAGATGAACAAGGACTTCTGTTTCCAGACTAGATGAAATAAGAGGGACTGGATTTATACTTCCACCTGAAACAACCAAAGGGGAGAAAAAGACAAAATATTTGAAACACGACACAGAACATTAGGCAATATAGGAACTACCTGAGACTGGGAGAAAATTACAAGAAACAATTAGTGGTAACAGTGCCCAGCACACATGTAGAATTAGGAATTGTCCTTGGTCCTATCAGTAAGATTGGAAACCTCATAAATCATGGGCATTGAGATTTACTCAATGCCCAGAAGAGCCTTGCCTCAATAAACATGAGAATATTTATGCAAAAATATCTAACAGCTAGAAAGTAACATTATCACTGTATGGCATCCAAGAAATATTACCAGGAACACACAGAAGTAGGAAAATACTATCCCAACAAGGAGAAAAATTAATCAACCAAAACCAACTTAGAATTGGTACAGAGATTAGAATTAGCAAAAAAGAATATAAAAACATTATTACACATGTATTCCATATATTCAAAGAGTTAGAGACATGGAAGATGTAAAAAATACAAAATAGAACTTCCAGAGATGTAAATTGTACTGTGAGAGATAAAAACCTACACTGGATAGCATAGATGGCAGAGAAGGAAAGACTTATGACCTTGAAGTATTAGGAACTATTCAAGGTGAAACACAGAAGAAGAAGAAGAAGAGTGCATCAATGAGTTGTAGAACAACTTCAAAGGGCCCAATATATGTGTAATAATAGTGACGGAGACAAAAAGAGAAGGAACAAATTTTTGAAGAAATAATGGTAAAAAATGTTGTAAATTTGAGAAAAGCATAGACTCAAAGATGCAAGAAGTTTAATAAATCTGAAACAAAAGAAAAATAAATAAAACAACTACACCAAGTTATATCATAATCAGTATTCAAAACAATGAATGAAGAAAAACATTTTAAAAATGGCTAGAGGAAATGACATGTTATGTGTTAGGAACATGAATACAAAAACAAAGATAAGGATGACAACAGATTTCTCTTCAGAAATAATGCAAGTGAGGAGACAATAAAACATTTTTTAAAGTACTGAGAGGAAAACCAAATCTGTCAATCTAGAATTCTACATCCTGTGAAAATATCATTCAAAATTGAAGATGTCACCGTAAATCTATAACATTTTTTAAAAGTGAAGCTGAAAGAAAAGTTTGGGCATGAAAAAGCAGAGAATTAATCATTAGAAGACACACACTACAAGAAATGTGAAAGACAGCCTTTAGAAGAAGAAAAATGACACCAGATGGAAATACAGAACTGTGTAAAGAGCTGAAAGGCACCGGAAATGGTAACAATGTGGGTAAATACACAAAATTTTTTCTTGTTATTTAAATCTTATTAAAAGATAATTGACTGTTTAAACAAAAGCAATATCAATGTATTTTGGGGTTTATAAAATATGTTAAAGTAAAATACATGACAATATCGTAAAGGCTAAGAGAAGGAAAAATGGAAGTATAATATTTTAAGATCTTTTTTTTTGAGACGGAGTCTCACTCTGTCACCCAGGCTGGAGTGCAATGGCGCGATCTCGGCTCACTGCCACTTCTGTCTCCCGGGTTCAAGCGATTCTACTGCCTCAGCCTCCTGAGTAGCTGGGATTACAGGCACACGCCACCATGCCCGGCTAATTTTTATATTTAGTAGTTTCACCATGTTGGTCAGGCTGGTCTCAAACTCCTGACCTCGTGATCCACCTTCCTCAGCCTTCTAAAGTGCTGGGATTACAGGCGTAATTCACTGCGCCAGGCCTTAATATTGTAAAATGTAAATCCTACATGTGAAGTGTTATCACCTGAAGGTAGATAATGATAAAGATGTACAGCATAAATACTAAAACAATTGTTAAAAATAATGCAACAAAAAGCTATAGCTAGTAATCTAACAAAGTAGATGAAATAAAATTATAAAATAATATTAAACTGATCAAAAAATTGATTAATTTAAAAGTAAAAAAAGTAAGTAAAAGAAAACAAAAGACAAAAAATAAAAAGCAAGTAGCAGGATAATGGACTTAAACTAACCATATTAATAAACAAATTAAATATAAATATTTCCAACACCAGAAGTAAAGGAAAGAAATTTTCAGATTGCACAAAAAAGGAAGACCCAAATATATGGTGCTTATAAAAAATACACTTTGAATATTAATAAATAGGTTAAAAGTAAAAGGATTAAAAAATGTATATTATGATAAAATGAATCAAAAGACAGTCATAGTCACTATAATAATATCCCACAAAATGGATTTTAGAGCAAACAATATTACCAGTTTATTTTATAATGCTACAGGAGTCCATTTATAAAATGAATTTAGCAATTCTAAATGTTTATGACCATAGTCACTGAACTTCAAGACCAAAAATTGATAGAAATGAAAGGAGAAATAAACAAAGGTTACAGATCAAAGAACACAACTTCTACATTAAAAAATTAGAAAAACAGCAAATTAAACCCAAAGTATGTAAAAGAAAGGATGTAATAATGAAATAGAAATTAATAAAATATAAAAAAATGAAGACAATACAGAAAATCAATAAAGCTAAAAACTGATGCTTTGGGAAAATCAATAAAACTTTATCTCAATAAATTTGATCAGAGAAAATATAAGAATACAGCAATTACCAATAGCAGAAATGAGAAAAGTGTCAGCATTTTTATAAATTCTAGAGATATTAATAGAATAAGAGAATATTATGAACAGCATTATGCCAGTAAATTCAGTAACTTAGATAAATGAACAAATTATTTGGAAGATATAAACTATCAAAGCTCATATAAGAAAAAATATATACTATGAATGGTTCATTATGTATTAAAAATTTGAATTTGTAGTTAAAAACTTTCCCACACAGAAAAGTCAAGGACTAGATGCCTTTTCTGGTGAGAACTCTACCAAATATTTAAGGAGGAAATAATACCAATTCTACAAAAAGATTTTTAGAAAACAGAAGAGGAGGGAATACTTCCCAATTCATTCTATGGAGCTCACCATTATCTTGATACTCAAACCAGAGACATTACAGAAATAAAAACTAAAGTTAATATTTCTTATTAACAAAGAGGCAAAACTTATTTTATATAAAATAAAAACTAATAAGATATAAAAAGATGATATATTATGACTAAATGAGGATTATCCCAGGAATACAAGGATAATATAACATTAAAAATTCAATGAATGTAATTTATCATTTTAAAATATGTATGTATATAGGATATAATTATATATGCATATGTATGTTTATAAGGATATAATTATATATACGTATATGAAGCATGCATGTACATCATACATATATGATACGTATATGAAGCATGCATGTACATCATACATATATGATACGTATATGAAGCATGCATGCACATCATACATATATGATACGTATATGAAGCATGCATGCACATCATACATATATGATACGTATATGAAGCATGCATGCACATCATACATATATGATACGTATATGAAGCATGCATGCACATCATACATATATGATACGTATATGAAGCATGCATGCACATCATACATATATGATATGTATATGAAGCATGTATGTATATATAATTATTCACAATAGAAGAAGAATAATCATTTGAAAAAAATTCAACATCAATTTCTGGTTTTAAAAATCTTAGCAAAGGGTATATATCCAAAGGAAGGAAATCAGTGTATCGAAGGGATACCTGTATTCCCATGTTTTTGCAGCACTATTAATAATAGCCAAGATATGGAATCAACCTAAGTATCCATCAAGGGATGAATGAATGAGGAAAATATGGAATACACACAATAGAATATTATTCAGTCATTAAAAAGAATAAAATCCTGTCGTTTGCAACAACATGGATGGAACTGGAGGACATTGTGTTAAGTGAAATAAACCAGACATAGAAAAAATTTGCATGTTCTCATTTATGTGTGGGGGCTAAAAATATTTTTAAGTGAATTCACACAGATAGAGAATAGAATTATGGTTACCAGAGGCTGGGAAGGGTAGCAGGGAGGGAGGAATAAAGTGGGGATGGTTAATTGGTATAAAAATACAGTTAGAGAGATCAGATCTAGTACTTGGTAGCACAAAAGGGTGACTGTAGTCAACAATATTGTATATTTTAAAATAACTTAGGAATAGAATTGAAATGTTCGTAATACAAAGAAATGATAAATGCTTGAGGTGATGGATACCCCAATTACACTGATTTGATCATTATACATTATATGCCTGTATCAAAGCATCACACGTATTCCAAAAATACATAAACCTATTATGTACCCACAATAATTAAAAAATTTTTTAAAGCAAAAAACATCTTAGCTAACTAGTAATAGAAAGGAATTTTCTCAACCCAATAAAGAACATCTCATAAAACCTATAGCTTACAGCACACTTAATAGTGAAATGCTGAATGCTGTCCCCTAAGATTAGGAATAAGGAGAGAATACACACTCTACCTACTTGTATTTAACAGTGTACACTTAGAACCACTAGTCAGCAAAATAATTTAAGAAAAAAATGCATCTCAATTGAAAAGGACAAAGTAAAACTTGTTATTCAGTGAAGACATAACCATCTACATAGAAAATCTAATGAAATATTCAAAAAAGCTACTTGAAATATTATGTACTTTTAGCAAGATTACAAGATCAATGTGCAAAACTCTTAAGTCTATGTACTAACAATAAGCAATCAGAATTAAAAATACTGTTTATAAAAACACAAAAATTTATAAAATGCTTAGGAATCAATCTGCCAAAATATGTACAAGATATATTCACTGAAATCTTCAAAGCCTTGAGGAAAGAAATTAAAGAAGATCTAAATAATTGAAGACACATAACTTGTTTATTGATTAGAAAACTGAATATTATACAAATGTTATTCAGTTCCTTCAATATTGATGCATAACTCAACACCATCTCAATTAAAATTCTAGCAGGTTTTTGTGGAAATGAGTAAGTTGATTCTGAAATGTATCTATAAATGCACAGAACCTAGAATATTTCCAATATCCATGAACAAAAGAATAAAGCTGGATGACTCACACAATCTTGTTTCAATACTTATTATAAAGCCACATTAATCAAGACAATATAGTATTGATGTAAATACAGACACATGAGTGTAATAGACTAGAGAGTCCAGAAATAGACCCACCCTTACAATCAATGGACTTTTTCTACAAAGGTGCAAAGATAATTCAGTGTAGAACAGATAGCATTATCAACAAATGAGGTTGCAACAATTGCATCTCCACAAGTAAAAAGTAAACTTCAATCTTTATTTTGTGACATGTTCAAAAATTAATTCAAGATGGATCATATGCCTAAAGATACTACTTAAAATTACAAAACTTCTAAAAGACAACATAGAAAACAAAATTTTGTGACTTTGGGCTAGGCAAAGATTTCTTAGATATAATACAAAAAGCACAAACCAAAAGAGAAAAATTAATCAAGTTGACTTCATACAAAATTAAAACTTTTGCTCTGAAATACAATGTTAAGAAAATGAAGGCAATCCCAACTGGAAGGAATTGTTTCAAAGCATATATCTATCTAATAAATAACTAGTATCAAAAATACATAAAGAAATTGAAAATGTAATAATAAGAAAACAAAAACATGTAACATAATAGAGAAAAGATTTGAATAGACACTTCACCAGTGATGATATATGGATAGTGAATAAGCTCAAGAAAAGATGCTCAACATCATTAGTGATTAGAAACATGCAAATAAAATCCACAATAAGAACCATCTTAAACCTATCAGAATGGCCAAAATTTAAAATACTGACCATACCATGTGTTTGCAAAGATGTAGAAAAACTAGAACTCATACGGTGTTGTGGAAATGCAAAATGATACAACTGCTTTGGAAAATTGAAAGTTTCTTAAAAAGTTAAATATACATCTATCAAATGATTCAGTCATTCTACTCCTAGGTAAATATTCAAGATAAATGAAAGCATATATCCATTAAAAGACCGGTACACAAATGTTCAGAGAAGTTTGATATGCAATAACCAAAAACTTGAAATGAGCCAAACTTCCATCAATAGGTGAACGGATAAACAAATTGTGGCACATCCATATAATAAAACATTAGTCAATAACAAAAAGGAAGGAACTATTAAACACACAACAACATAGATAATTCTCAGCATACTTATTGTGTATGAAAGATTCTGGACCAAAAAATTGAAATATTGTCTGATACAACTTATATAAAATTTTAGAAACTGCAAAGTAATCTATAGAAACAGAAAACATATCAGTAGCAACAATCAGGATGGGCGTGGAGTGCAAGGAGTTGTGGTCAGGTAGGGAATGAGAAAACTTTTGGAAGTGTTCATTATCTTGATTTGGTGACAGTTTTAAGTATGTGTATGTCTATTAAAATTGATCAAATCATGCACTTAAAATATGTACCATTTATTGTATATTGATCATAGCTCAATAAATCTGTTTTTAAAAATAGCATGGTGAGTTCATATTTGCTCATATTTGCAAGATGATCCCCCACCTCCAAATATATTTTAACACTCTGAAATAAAATATATATCTCCATGGAGCAAAAGTGTAATAGTAAATGGGGCTGAATCTGCAGGTGTTCTGAGCTATATGTTCAAAAGCGGAAAGGCAATGAAAAGCTACAACTCTGTTGGATAATAGGGACTGAAATGTGCCCCCTATAAAAAAGGGAATAAGAACCAATCTCACAACTAAAAACCAGGAATGAGGTGGGCTTCTCCCACTTGTGAAAAATCTCAAAACACTGCTATGGTTATGAATTATACAAAACTGCTTAATTAGAGGGGAAGGAGAAAGGAGACACAGCTTTAGCCAGATATATAACAAGCCACCCAGATAATGATCAGATTTGCAATATCTTGACTATAAAAATGGAGTAGGAGCACTTAACCCTAATAGAAGGCCACATTCTGAACCAGGGTCTCAGGGGCCGACTGAAGTTACCCTTAAAAATACTATGGAGGGACCGGGCGCGGTGGCTCACTCCTGTAATCCCTGCACTTTGGGAGGCCGAGGCGGGCGGATCATGAGGTCAGGAGTTCGAGACCATCCTGGCTAACACGATGAAACCCCGTCTCTACTAAAAATACAAAAAATTAGCCAGGCGAGGTGGCGGGCGCCTGTAGTCCCAGCTACGCTGGAGGCTGAGGCAGGAGAATGGCGTGAACCCCAGGGGGCGGAGCCTGCCGTGAGCCGAGATCACGCCCCTGCACTCCAGCCTGGGAGACAGAGAGACTCCGTCTCAAAAAAAAAAAAAAAAAAAAAAATACTATGGAGGAAGGAGTAAGACAGAGTGCATTTCCACAGAAGATAAAGTATTTAAGCCAAAAAAAAAAAAAAAAAAAAAAAAAAAACCCACGGGGAAAAAAGTGAAGAAAGCCGCCAAAATCAACAATAAAGAAATACATTAATCAGAGATTAAATAAAAGCAACAATGCATATTTAAATGACTTTACAATAATACTTTGAATATTTTCACATAAAGGAAGGAATAATATTCCCCACAAATAGTAAGAAATTATGAAACAATAGAAAGAAGTAAAAGAAAATAGACAAAATGAAAAAGAACTAACAATCCTGGAAATACAGTTAACTCTAAGATTTGACACAAAGTTAGAAATTATTACTAAAAATATTACCCCAAATGCACTACCAATTATTTTTTAAATAAAAATTCAATTTTAAAAGGCATCAGTAATGTAGATAAACAGTACTAATTTTTCTTTAGGATTTCAACTGTTTCATTTTTTTACCTTATTTAGTTTGGTCACAAAGTCCCATTGAAGCATAAATTAAAATTTTTTTAAGTGAAAGAGAAGTCAAGAGTTGCAGAGGTTAAACTGATAGCCTCCAACATAGATCGCAGGAGAAAAAGAGAGGGAATGGTGAAAAGGCACATTTAAAGAACTAATATCTGATAATTTTGTCTATTTAAGAAAGACCATGAGTCTTGAGGTTGAACATTCAAGGGTGTCAATTAAAATGAAACAAATTCATACAGAAACCTGTTAAGGTAAAACTGCAGCATATCAAATAAAAAATCTCCATACCACAAGATTCATACTTTTGTACATGTACAGAGCTTGCTCTCCTTTCACTTTCTTTGTGGTTCTATTTGATTAACAGAAGATTTTAATTTAACACAGCTAAATTTATCAACATTTTCTTTTATGGTTAGTGCTTTCCTCATTTTGTAAAATAAAATTATGGATTCTTCTTCAGATATGTTCATCTTCCTTAGTTGGTAAATGCATGTTTTTCATCAGTTTTGGGAAATTCACAGCCATTATCTCTTTAAATCTAATCTCTTCCCCATTCTCTCTATGGTCTCTTCAGAGACTCCAATTAGATGTATGTGGTACTTTCTCATTCTATTTTTCACACCTATCTATCTATACATATATGTGTGTGTGCGTGTGTGTGTGTGCTGCATAACAATGGTTTTGTCAATGATGAACTATATATATATATATATGTGTGTGTGTATATATATATATATATATATATATATATATATATATATATATATATGATGTTGGTCCCGTAAGATTATAATGGAGCTGAAAACAAATTTTTTGGCCTAGCAACAACCTAGCTATTGAAATGTCATAGCACAATGCATTGCTCACGTGTTTGTAGTGATGCTGGCGTAAACAAACCTGCTTCCCTGCCAGTAACATAAACACATAGCACATACAATTGTGTACATTACATAATATTTGATAATGATAAGAAACAACTATGTTACTGTTATGTATTCACTATACTATACTTCTTAGAATGTACTCCATTTACCTATTTTTTAAAAGAAGGTTAACTATAAAACAGCCTCAAGCAGGTCCTTCCAGAGGTATTCCAGAGGAAGGCATTGTTATCACAGAGAGATGGGTTGCATGTGTGTTATTGCCCCTGAAGATCTTCCAGTGAGACAAGATGTGGAGGTGGAAGACAGTGATGTTGATGATCCTGATGCTATGTAGGCCTAGGCTAGTGTGCGTGTGTTTTAACAAAACAATTTTTAACAAAAAAAAATGAAAAAGTAAAAAATAAAATAAATTTTTAAAATAGAAAAAAATCTCCCTCCCCCTCCCCCTCCCCCTCCCCCTCCCCCTCTCCCTCATGCCGAGCCGAGGCTGGACTGTACTGCAGCCATCTCGGCTCACTGCAACCTCCCCGCCTGATTCTCCTGCCTCAGCCTGCCGAGTGCCTGGGATTGCAGGCGCATGCTGCCACGCCTGACTGGTTTTCATGTTTTTTGGTGGAGACGGGGTTTCGCCGGGTTGGCCAGGCTGGTCTCCAGCTCCTGACCGCGAGTGATCTGCCAGCCTCGGCCTCCCGAGGTGCCGGGATTGCAGACGGAGTCTCGCTCACTCAGTGGTCAATGTTGCCCAGGCTGGAGTGCAGTGGCGTGATCTCGGCTCGCTACAACCTCCACCTCCCAGCCGCCTGCCTTGGTCTCCCAAAGTGCCGAGATTGCAGCCTCTGCCTGGCCGCCCATCGTCTGGGATGTGAGGAGCCCCACTGCCCGGCTGCCCCATCTGGGAAGTGAGGAGCCCCTCTGCCCGGCCGCCACCCGGTCTGGGAGGTGTACCCAACAGCTCATTGAGAACGGGCCATGATGACGATGGCGGTTTTGTCAAATAGAAAAGGGGGAAATGTGGGGAAAAGAAAGAGATCAGATTGTTACTGTGTCTGTGTAGAAAGAAGTAGATATAGGAGACTCCATTTTGTTCTGTACTAAGAAAAATTCTTCTGCCTTGGGATGCTGTTAATCTATAACCTTACCCCCAACCCCGTGCTCTCTGAAACATGTGCTGTGTCCACTAAGGGTTAAATGGATTAAGGGCGGTGCAAGATGTGCTTTGTTAAACAGATGCTTGAAGGCAGCATGCTCGTTAAGAGTCATCACCACTCCCTAATCTCAAGTACCCAGGGACATAAACACTGCGGAAGGCAGCAGGGCCCTCTGCCTAGGAAAACCAGAGACCTTTGTTCACGTGTTTATCTGCTGACCTTCCCTCTACTATTGTCCTATGACCCTGCCAAATCCCCCTCTCCGAGAAACACCCAAGAATGATCAATAAATACTAAAAAAATAAAAAAAAAATAGAAAAAAATCTTATAAAAGAAGGGTATAATGTTTTTGTACAGTTCTACATTGTATTTTAAGCTAAACGTTATTACAAAAGAGTTGAAAACTTGAAGAAAATTTAAAATTGTATAAAGCAAAAAAGCTACAGTAAGCTAAGCTTAATTTATTATTGAAGAAAAAAATGTATAAATGTAGTGTAGCTTAAGTGTGCAGCATTCCTAAAGTCTACAGTAGTGTGCAGTAATGTCCTAGGTTTTCACATTCATTCATCACTCACTCATTGTCTCACCCAGAGCAACTCCCAGTCCTGGAAGTGCCATTCATAGTAAGTGCCCTATAAAGATAAAACTTTCTTGCCAGGCATGGTGGCTCACACCAGTAATCCCAGCACTTTGGGAGGCCAAGGCAGGAGGATCACCTGAGGTCGGGAGTTCGAGACCAGCCTGACCAACATGGAGAAACCCCGTCTCTACTAAAAATACAAAATTAGCAGGGCGTGGTGGCACGTGCCTGTAATCCCAGCTACTTGGGAGGCTGAGGCAGGAGAATCACTTGAACCCGGGAGGTGGAGGTTGGGGTGAGCCAAGATCGTGCCATTGCACTCCAGCCTGGGCAACAACAGTGAAACACCATCTCAAAAAATAATAATAATAAAAAATAAATAATAAAACTTTATTTATCTTTTATACCATATTTTTACTGTATCTTTTTATGTTGAAATATGTTTAGATACACATATACTTACCATTGTGTTGCAATTGCCTATAGAATTCAGTAGAGTAATATGCTGTACAGGTTTATAGCCTAGGAGCAATAGGCTATACCATATAGCCTGGGTTTGTAGTAGGCTATACCATCTAGGTTTGCGTAAGTACCACTCTGTTGACACAATGATGAAATCACCTAACCGCATTTCTCAGAACGTATCACAGTTGTTATATAATGCATGACTGTGTATATATATTTAAATATATATACTGTATATATAAAATTTATATATTTCTTTTTTACTATTTTACCCTTTAACTTTGTCTGATCTGCTGTTTACAGGTATCCAATAAGGACTTTTTGAAGTTAGCGTTTTAGTATTTAGACATTTCATTTATTTCTTTTTTTCATTTTTTAAAAAATTTCTAATAGTTTCTTGTTTTAAGCTCATAAAGATTTCTTCTATATTCTGTACCTGACAACTTTAGCATCTTCAGGACTTGGTGATCTAAATCAGTTACTTGTTTGCTATCATTAATAGTAGCTTGCCTTCTTGCTTGTTTGGTAATTTGTGGGAGGCCTGAAGGCTTAATATGGGAAAGTTCTCCTTCAGTGAGAGTTTTCTTCTCTCTGTGCTAATAGGCCAGGAGGCACCTCTGAGTCAGATTACTTCAGCCCACTTCATCCTGGGTTTCATCTCAGCTCGTTGCCTCGCCTAATTTTTGCTTCAACTTTTAGTTACCGTTTCAGCTTGCTATACGAACCTAGCCTCAGCTTCTTAACTCCAGTTGGTCAGATATTGGCTCCAAACCACTGAAGGACCAGCTCCCAACTTCTAAGGTTCTGGAAGATCCAGGCCAAGCTCATGTGTTTCTTTTTAAATGTATTTCCTTTAGGACAGAGTTTTCTTGGTGACCACTCCTACCTTTTATTAGATAGCTATGACTCAAAAAGTGTTTTCTGTTCTGATTTTACTAGTTGTGGAATGGGATGGTATTAAAAGTAGAACTCTGAAAATATTTTTAAATGAATAACAAATATCCACATTTTGAAGGATAGACACAGAGAGGGAAATGCTGTAACTGGAGAAGCCAGTTATATTACTGTTGATTGGGTACCCATCATGCTAGGCATTACGCTAAATAATTTCCATGTATAATCTAACTCGTTCCTTCATCTGCTCTGTGAGCTAGAGAGGTGGATGTCTTTAACCACTTTTTATACATGACTAAATAGAAGGCTGGTGAGGTCTGGTTACTTGACCAAGTACATTCAACAAATGAGCGACAGACAGAATATAAATCCAGGTATGTATTATTAGAGTAAGAACATTTGTTTTTGAAAGTAAACATATCTCTTTCTGAGTCCTTACTTATACAGACTAATAAGATTTTGAATTACTGATCTTCCATTCCTCAACTGTATAACTGGTTTCATTCTTACGTCATACAGTTGATGTGTGAAATAACATATTAAACAAATTAACATGTTAAAAGAATTAACACAGTGCCTGACACATACGGGCTAAATATGAGTTATTATCATTATTGTTATTATTTTCTGCCACAGATCTTATGTTATCTCCAACAACATACACGGGAGTCTAAACTGTGATCATCATAGGAATTAGACATCATAAATAAATGTCTTTAGCACAAAGTTTTTTCTAAGTTCTAGGCTTATATACAACTGCATATTTTTGACATCTGCCTCCACTCCTGCATCTCAGCCTAAACTCAACCTTATATTTCAATGAACTCCTCCTCATCCTTCTTCCTCCTTGGTGAAAAATATCACCCAACATATTTCAGAAGCCAGAGACCTAAGAATCCTTTTCTAGTCACCACCATATCCTGTAGGTTCACTTCTTTCCATCCACACTGAGGCTCCTCAATTCAAGCCATCATCATTTCTCTTCAGGGTTATAAAACTGACTTTTGGCCAGGCACAGTGGCTCACGCCTGTAATCTCAGCACTTTGGGAGGCTGAGGCAGGTGGATCGCTTGAACCCAGGAGTTCCAGACCAGATTGAGCAACACTGAGAAACCCTATCTCTACTAAAAATACAAAAATTAGCTCAGTGTGGTGGCAGGAGCCTGTGGTCCCAGCTACTTGGGAGGCTGAGGTGGGTGGATTGTTTGAGCCTGGAAGGCAGAGGTTGCAGTGAGCCGAGATGGCGCCACTGCACTTCACCCTGGGTTGTTTGAAATAAGTTTGTTTCAAGGAAAATAAGCCAAAATGGAAGGGAAAGGATTTCAAAGAAGATTATGATATAAATTACTGTAAGTCTTCACAAGCCAGGTCCCTGGGCTAATGCTCAAGTTCTAGCATGAAAGTACCACCAATAATAAAGTGATGAAAAATTAAAAGAGATAAAGCACTGGGCCATGATATGGTTTGGCTCTGTGTCCCCACCCAAACCTCATCTTGAATTGTACTCCCATAATTCCCACATATTGTGGGAGGGACCCCATGGGAGATAATTTGAATACTGTTCTCATGGTAGTGAATAAGTCTCACGAGATCCAGTGGTTTTACCAGGGGTTTCTGCTTTTGCATCCTCCTCATTTTCTCTTGCCGTCAACATGTAACAAGTGCCTTTCACCTCCTGCCATGATTCTGAGGCCTTCCCAGCCATGTGGAACTGTAAGTCCAGTGAAACCTCTTTTTCTTCCCAGTCTTGGGTATGTCTTTATCAGTAGCATGAAAACGGACTAATACAGGCCAGTACCTTCAATAACTAAATAAAATTACATTCAGAGCTCTGTCAGAGAGGTGGTGCTGGATACTCTGAGACATGGGCTCTAAGAAATATATTGGACATTGGTAGCATCAGTTTGGTCAATAGAGTGAAACTTGGAGTAGCTTTCATGGGATCCTGAATGGTGCTGGTGAAAGGAGGAGTTGGTGATAGGCACCAACAACAGTGATTGCATTCTCAGTCAGCACCAATGACATTGACTGCTTCTATGGGATGTCAGTAATTTTGGCAACCAGAGACGTCACCACTGGGGCATGGACAAGAAGGATGAAAATATAGTGGGGAACACATCATAGCCAAGGACTGGAGAACGCATGTAGAAACCTGAGGATTCCTGGACACATTCAGAGTAATTGCAAGATTCTAGAATTCATAAAGAGGGAGTAGAGTTTACTAGAGACAGACTTCTTTGTGGTTTATTCTGATCTTTTAAGCTGATGTGATCTGGGAACCACAGTCTTCAGTGGCAAAAAGGGTTACGCCAATGTAAGTGTTGACAAGGGTAAAAAAAAAAAAAAAAAGAACAAGGCAGGAAAGGAATTTAACAGGAGACACTACAGAGGAAGAAAGTGCCAGAATAGGTGCACCATGGAATAAAGGAGAAAATTTCCTTCAGGAAAATTACTGAGGTCCCATATAACAAAAAGGAAGATTTTCCCTTCCTGGAAAAGGCGTCAGACCTCATCTTCTAATGGAATAATTATGAGTTTAGAAATCATGGTTAAGCTAAATAAAGTAGTAGAAGAAAAAGAAAATATATCTTTAAGAATATATATTTAACGATGAAAGCAGGTTGATAATTAAACTGTAAAGTAAGCATTATTGGTAAATATATTAAGGGGTGTGTGTGTGTGTGTGTGACAGGACATTGGGAAAACATGTTTCTATGAGGACAAATAATAATGATAGTTAACTTACTGAGCAAATACTATGTGTTAGCACTATAGTAAGATGTTTACATGTTTTGGAATAAAACGTTCATATGAAACATGTTATCTTCATTTGATAGATATGGTGCAGAAAGTTAAGCAACTAAACAATAATGGTACAAATGATAAGTAGAGGAACCAGGGTTCAAACCAATGAACCTGGCTCTAAGGACTATGCTTTCAATTATTGTGCAACAGCAGGATAAGGAATTCCACAAATTTAGAGCAGTGCTGTTGGAATCTGTTAGCCCAGGAACCTTCTTTTCTCCCTATTTATGCACTCTGGATATCACAGCAGTCAAGTCATAACATTTTCATAGATTTTAGTTACCCTATCTTTAAAACATGGTTAATTTTATGCAGTTGTGCCCACCTTGCCCCAGAGATTATCGCTAGATATTTGTGGGGATTTTTTAAATTAGTTTTTATTTTATTTTTTTTAAGTTCCCAGATGCATGTGCAAGATGTGCAGGTTTGTTACATAGGTAAACGTGTGTCACAGTGGTTTGCTGCACCTATCAACCCATCACCCAAGTATTAAGCCCGGCATACATTAGCTCTTTTCCCTAATGCTCTCCGCTCCCCCACCACCCTCCCCCGACAGGCCCCAGTGTGTGTTGTTCCCCTGCCTGTGTTGCAGGACTTTTCCTTAGTTCAGCTAAAGACGGGGTTCTTATCACACAGCCATAAAGATTTAGGCGTGCAAACTGTTTTGAAGGGTGAGCAGGGCAGGGTTTATTAGGCATAAAGGTAAAAAGGGGGAACAGGAGCTCAGCGGAGCTAGAGTCCTCCTAGTACAGGCTTCCCACCTCACAGTTCTAATCCCAGGTTCCACCCAGGAAGGGGAAGGGCCAGGCTCCTCCCCACTGCAAATGGCGTGAATTTCTGTGCCTCCACCCCAGCTCAGGTTGGTGGGGGGCTCTGCCTGGAAGCCCTTCCCATCTGGCTGTCTCACCTGTGTCCATGTATTCTCATTGTTCAGCTCCCACTTACAAGTGAGAACATGCATCCCTAGATATTTGCAAAGTTCTCTGAGATTTATTAATAAAAGCTGTGCTGTGAAGATAAAATTTTTAAAAATGATGTACATCTCAGAAAAATTAACTCAAATGGCTTAATGGCCATCAGCACCTAACATTGTATAGTCTACTAAATTGATAAATCTTCTTTAAATGTACCTCATCCAATGGAAAATGCTAAATATCTTTTCATCTTTTAATAGGAGCTAAATAAGAAAAGCCACGTGAGCTAGAGTTTTCTCTTCATTCAACCTTCAATATTTTATCTCAGTTGTTCATTGATTGTCCATGTTGATTTAAGACTGTCCTTCTGGGGAAGACTAAGGTATGACGTTTTGTGAAGTTATGCTCGACAGTATAAGTCTGTGCAGTAGGCAGAAGTGTTACTTTTCTCATTGAATTGATATTTGTGTATAGTAGTGTGGCGTATATTTCCATCTCTCTCTAAAGCATATGAGAAGTTAATTTGGCAGGGCATACCATCTCCCGTTTGTGAACCTTTGTTTCCCATCTGTGTTGTAAAGAGGTTGGACTCAAGTGTTCTTTCCAACTGTAGCACGGGGTGCTTCTCTATTTATTATTCACACTATATATGTCTTAAGTTATACTTAATAAATTTTTTTCTAAAGATAGCCATCTATAGAGAGGGAAACAGGTCACCAAAAAAGGGTGCCAACATTTCTCTTGAATAATAGAATAGACCCTCATCTGTGTAAAATGGTTTATAAGTGGCTCAGCCAAAATACAGGGAGGACAAAAGGAAGGGGAAAACA
The DNA here is from genome assembly GCF_000001405.40 of Homo sapiens. NCBI lineage: Eukaryota > Metazoa > Chordata > Mammalia > Primates > Hominidae > Homo > Homo sapiens. Next base: position 163,539,326 of record NC_000001.11, on the reverse strand, counting down.
GCAGGGTTGACCCAAGTGAGCTCTGCACATTCACTCTGGCTCACTAATGTTCTGTGTGTGCACATAATAAGTGTTTAATAAATGTTTGTCAAATAAATAAAGTCCATGTGCACTTTATGCCTCTCTGGCTCTCAAAGCACTTTCTCATGCATTATCTCATTTGACCCCACAATATCCTTACAAAGTGGCTACAGCAGGTATTCTTAACCCTGTTTTCCAGATTCAAGAAACCGAGCCTCAGAGCATTTGAGTGATTATGCCCAGGTCACAAAGCTAGTAAATGGCAGAGCCAGGTCTCAAACGGAGGGCTTTTAACTTCAACTTCTGTGTTCTTTCCATGGCATTATGCAAGCCTCGTAATTCTAAGATACAGTCCTAAAATAACACAAAAGACTCAGCCAGCCTCCTTCTTTATTCCCTTGACCTCATTAAAGCTTTAAATGGAACTTGTCCTCACAAACTTAGGGTGCAACATCAAATCCGTCTGAGTTTCTAGGGCACGTAGCAACAGCTTGCTTTAATCTAATAATTGGCTGAAGTAGAACCACAGAAAGAACATAAAAAAGGCAAATTGTTATTTTTCAAAACCAAGCCATTCCCTGCCTAAAAGGTTCACAGCTTTTTCCTTTTCCAAGAAAATATTTATCCCCCTAAAAGATTTCTTCCCGTTAACAATATTTTTACAGCCTTTGTGATACTTTTACAGCATTTTAGATGCAATCTAAATACTATATATTTCAAGAATGGAACCATTACATTAAGAACGCTGCATGTGTTTAATAGTGTCTTTTATGAGGTTTATTAAAAGAAGCCATAAATTTCTGAGAAAGGTTTAAGCCATATTACATTGATCTTACTTCTCATTTAAACAAAATGTAAACTTTAAGTAAAACCTTGATGTGGAATGTAAACTCGCTCATATACCCTGAGCTTACTCATTCACATGTGCCACCTTTAAAATATTAAATCATCTATGAAGCACTCCATTTCTTTGAGTGTTTTCCAATCACAACAAATAGCTTTCCGGTGATTGCTTGTACCTGTTGAATTTCTTGAATTCATTCACAGAGAGGAATGGGTGGATACAGAGCAGGGTTTTCAAATCATTCTGGGCTCTGCATGCCTAAGGCAGCTTGCAGCCCAGGTTAACTCTTGAGTTGCCCTCTCCAAAAATAAACTCATATGCCAAAGGTAGGTGCTTTTATCCCCATTTTATAGATGGAAACACTAAGGCACAAATAAGATTGAGCAATTTTCCAAAGTCACACAGTCAATAAGGAAGAGTCAGTGTGTAAACCCAGGCAGTCTGGCTCCAGATGGCTGAAGCCCAAGCTTTGCTCCAGAGTCTGATTCTATCCTGCCTTCTTTATAGGATTATGAGGATTAGATGAGGTAATACACAGAAAGCATTTAGCACAGTGCTTGACAGATAGCACTCAACAAGATTAGCAATTATTAACATCATTAGCTAGTGCGTGTTAAGGCTGATAGTTATTACCAGAGCCATCCTTCACAAGGGTCAGAGCAAACTGTGCTATGTACCCAAAATTACCCTCTGTAATATTGTGATATAATAAGAAATATATATTTGATTTTCATCTGCAGTTTCTGGCACAGAGCTCCTAAAACCCTCAAAATTTCTAAGTGATAGAGGTAAGAGGAGCATCTTTTGTTATTCATAACAAGCTCCTTTCAACCATACCTGAGTTTATGTTAACGAGATAACTGATGGCTGGAAGCCCCTAGATAGTTTTAGGATGAGAGCTGGTTGCCAGAGGAATCAGCAGTGTGACTAGAGGGTTGAAACTTCAGCCCCTAACCTCCAGGGAAGGGTAGAGGGGCTGAAGATTGAGCGAATCACCAATGGCCAATAATTTAATCAATCATTCCTATACAATAGAACCTTCATAAAAACCCTAAACCATGGGGTTTAGAGAGGTTCTGGGTTGGTAAAGGAATCTATATGCCAGGGAGGGGAATAGCACACCCCAAACTGCAAAGGAACAGAAGCTCCTTGCTCTAGACTCTTCCTGACCTCACCCTATGTACCTCTTTACCTGGATGTTCATTTGTATCCTTTATAATAAACTGGGAGATGTAAGCAAAGTGTTTCCCTGAGTTCTGAGAGTCATTTACAGCAAATTATTGAAACTGAGAAGGTGATTGTGGGGACTCCTGATTTGCAGCCAAGACATATAAAATCATGGCAACCTGGGGAACCTCTACTTATGATTCGCTTCTGAAGTAGGGGGCAGTCTTGTGGGTCTGAACCCTTAACCTGCGGAGTTTCAACTCACTTCAGGCAGTTAGTGTCAGAATTGAATTAAATGGTAACATTTCTATCTGGAATGTTCTCTCATTACTCCGCATGGCAAACTCTTATTAATCCTTCAATACAAAGGTCACATGTCATCCTCTCAATTTCTTCTTTACAAACTTTGTTGACATTTATTAAATCATATTTAAAAGGTTGCATTTTACTGATATGTTTACATGTCTCTCTCTCCCACGGAAGTCCAGACGGTAAAATGCTTGAAGAAATGGGCCATGCATCTCCACGTCCTTTCACCTCACACAAAGCCTGGACCAAAAGAGATTTTTCTTAAAAACCTGGCAAGTAAATGAGTGCATGATTACCCTTGTGATCTTAGCCTACTCATTTTACCTCAAAAGCTGGTCATGTCAGAATCAAGAACCAGAAAAAAAAAAAAAAAAAACACCTTCACCCAATGCTGTACCTAAGCTGAGATCTACGGAAGTCATGGAGCAAAATCAGAAATACTGAACTTTCACCTTTGTCAGCTGATGGAAAATAAAGCTGTAGGCTCAGCCTCAGCTGTCATAAAGCTAGCCCAAGTTAAGTTACCTCCTGCTGCTTCACAAAGTTCCTCCTTATGCCACTGTGTCCCAATTTCCCATTTCAGTTCCTCTAAGAGTTAGGCCTCGGTGGCTTCTGTCAATTATTATTCACGTGCTTTCTCAGAAACGACTTGCACATCTTAGAAAGGAGTAGGTGCTCCCTGATAAGGCCTGAGTTGAAGGAATCAAATCCAGGGTTTTTAGAAAGCAGGGAGAAAATGGCTTCCATCAGAGAGCCAATATGGGGAAAGTTTAAAACTTCCAAGTGGGTCTGGAGATTTACAAGAGCTTTTTATAAACAGGTGATCATCACCCCTCACTCTTATTTATTTCACAACCTACCTTCTGCTATATTTTGTATTTTGGGAAGAAAGCCATTTATGTATCAGTTTTCTTATGGAATGGTTAATGTGGTCAGCCTGAACTCAGATATTATCTCACCTAACTAGCTATGTAGTAGTGACATCTACTGGGGAACACGGTCACTTCAGAGTTTTTATTTGTGTAGTGTACTAAGAAACTTTAAAATGTTGACTCACTTAATGTTTGTAACAACCCTATGAGATAGTTAATATTATAATCTGCATTTGTTGGATGAGGAAACTGAGACAGAGCAATGAAACAACTAGCCGAGTGTCATACAGGTATCACGTGGCAGAGCTGGGATGTGAATCCAGAGCAGCATGGCTCCAGCGTCTGTGTGCTTAAACATGAAGATCTGCTGCCTGTTCTGTCATTCATCATCTGAACTCCGAATATGCCCACTAAATAGCATTTTGCCTATTGTTTTGAAGCTATGTGTTTATATTTTCAATTCCCCAATAAACACTGTTCCTCTCAGGGCAGGGTCTGTGTTTCATTTTTATATTTGCAATGTCAGCACTTAGCACAGTTCCTAACACATAATAGGCGTTTAATAAATATTTGTTAAATAAATGTTGCATAAATGAATGAATGAGCAAAAGACTATCTTCGTGTTTGAGGGCAGGTCTAGAGTGGAGAGCGAGAGAATGGTCAGCAAGGCATGGCTGCTCTCTTTGGAGTCATCATACTTCACAATATGGTTTTCAGAAATGCACATGAATGAGAGTTGCGGCATCTATAATTCAAGTCTACTAATCCTTGAGCTTGTGAGAGGTGTCTCATAGCTTTTAGAATTAAGTCCACATTTCCTAGCTTGAAATAGAAGACCCTTTGGGATCTGGCTCCCAACTACCTCTCCAGCTTCTGGGTTTACCACAATACCCTGCATCCTTCCCAGTGATCTTATGCTGCTTGTGAGTCTCTGTGCAAGCCATGCCCTCACACCTGCAAGCTTTGACATTGTCTTTAACCGGAATCCTCTTTGCAACTTACCAGGCCCCTTCTTACTTTGCCTGAGCAAATCATATTCATTTTCAAAATTCAGGCACCATCTCTTCTAAGAAACTTTCCCAGAGGTGACAGGGCTGATACTCTCTTCTGTGGCACAATAGCATCATGGGTAGAGGAAGTGCTCCAGGGTGCAGCTAAGAGGCCTGGGATTGAATCCCAGCCTGACCATTTACTAGATGTGTGACCTTAGGTGAGTGGCTTAATTGTTCTGTGCATTAGTCCTCCCATTTTCAAAATGGGAGTATTGAAAAACACTATCTACTTCATAGTGTTGTAAGCATTGAATGAGTGAATAAATGTACTATGTTTAGAATGGTGCATAGTAAGGGGAATTGAAGTGTTTGCTATGATTATCCCAATATTTTCTACTCATCTTTCTTTTCCTACCAGTCAATGAGTTCCATAACCAGAGGCTGTTTCTTCAGTGTCTTTATGTCCACAGGGCCTAGCAAAGTACCCGTTAGGAAACAATAAATGCCTGGGAGGGAGAGGGAAGAGAGCAATGTAGAAATAAATGTGTTTTTGTGTGTGTGTGTGGTTATAATGCCCTGCAAACAGAATTAGACAGTGTATAAGCTCTGAGCAAGAAATGGAGCAAAGATGGAGCAAAGAAGTACATTTCATTTTGGCTTTGCCTCATTCTTCTCTCTGGGTTGTTCTGTGCCAAAGTTCTTCTCTGGTTGCTTCATCCCCTCAGCCCCTTTCCTACTGTCCAAACCCATCCCCCACCAAGACATCTTTTGAAAGTTACAACCACTTCCACACATGGAAAACATATTGAAGCCATTCTGGATGGTCCTTATGAAGGGACAGAAACCAAAGCGATATGGTCTTTCTGGGGCCAGGCCTCATCAGCTGAGTAGGGAAACATCTCTGTAGGTACAATGTAAAAAAAAGCTAAAATGCATTTGGCTCCAGAATGCTTCCCCTGCCTCTCTCCCTCCACAGCGGAACATTCCGGTATTAGACTCATTCCTTGGTTTAAGTCATTGTATTTCTAGAAAGACTTCATTCCAAATACAAAGATGCTACTCAGAAGACTAATCTCATTTATACACATGGAAGGATTTCTTGTTCCCATGGAAAGCAGAGACCTAGAGACTTTTAGGTAATGAGCTGGTTCAAGTTACAGAGAAAAATAAGGGTTGCCATTTATCAAGTACTTTCTATGTGCTATTAGGCTCCATGAAAATGTCTTTTAAACATTTGACTTTTAAGTGCTGTGTTAAGAAGGTGGGGCTGGGTGGTTGGCCCTAACTGGTATCCCTTTGTTGATAGGAGGAGGAGAGTTTCTGAGGAGATAGGGCAGCTCAAACGAGGGAGAGGTGTGGGCAGTGGGTCAAATACCTCCAAAGGTAAGCCCATATTAGACCGTTTTAGGAGAAGCTGCTTGTGGGATGAGGCAATGGCATCGTTACTTGGGGGGTCATTCCCATCCCTCACTATATGGCCTCAAATTAAACGTGTATTTTATTACCCTCATTCTCTCCCTTTTCCTCTCTTTTTTATTAGAACCCATTCCCAAAGAGAACCAGGTAGATAAACTCTTTTTGCTAAGACCGTGAGTTGTCCATTCACTCATTTGCCCAGTAGGTGTAGATTGTATACCTACGCCCTGCCATACACAGAGGAAGGCGCTAGGATAAGAAATCCACGCAGACCAGCACCACTCTCAGGTTTACAGAACCCAGAGAGAGCTTCAGGTAAACCTGGTATGACAAATTCTTGAAAATTTCACCCCCTCTTGAGTGGATCCCACCTCCCCTTCTTTGCTACCACCTCTTTTGTCAGCCTTCTTCATCCCTCCCGTGGAATCCTGCAGGAGCATCTTAGCTGTTCTGTCTTAGGTTGACAGTCTCTGACTTCGGAACAAGAACCTTGTCCCTTAACAAGATATGTTAGAAGCTTGGGATCTGGCCCCATTTGCTTCCAGAGCCTCCTCCCCTCCGGCTTTCCCATAAGTCACGTATGTCACCCCAGACCAGAGGAGACTCCAGAAGTCTCCTACAGCACAATGTGTACATATTCATCTCTGAACTTTTAGGCTTGTCCCCACTCTCATTCTGTGGTCATTATTCACTTAATAATTATTCTCACCCTTCACAACTCATCTCCACTGGAACCTTCACCAACCTTCTCAGAAAGTTTCTTCCTCCCCTGTGTGCTCCCAGCGCCTTGTCCAGTGAAACCGATCTCCTTGCTTTAATCATTTTCTTACCTGCATGTTTGCTTCCAGAGGCTGTGACCTTTGGGGTCCAGGAAATGTTTCCTAGTGATATCTGTATTTGCCATCCACGAGGCCCCCATCACACTGAAGACGCATGTTAGAGGCCCAAATTATGCTTGAATGAATCAGTGAATGAGATGAAATGAAAAGAAGAAAAGAAAAAATATTTTAAGGGATAAAATACAGTAGAGTTGTGTAAAAGGGCTATGGGAACTCATACCTGGAGTTACTCACTCTACCTAGAGGAAGTGAGGGAAAGGAATCTCCTTTATGCTTTGAAGGATCATTAAGGATTGTCCTCTATTTCTGGTAGAGGTACATTTAAAAGGGGCAGAAAGCACACCTTAGAGGCTGGCAAAATTCCCTAACAGAGATGGGTTAGATTTCCATTACCCTATCATGGGCTCCTGAGTTCACATCATTAAACAGATTCCTATCTGAATATCTAACCCTACTTTCTTATGCATGTTTGTCTTGTCCTGGGAAAATGCAGGAGTCTGTACTTCTCTAGAAAGGCTATTAAAAACTTCTGAGATTATATAATATTTTACCTTTTGCATCTGGCTTATTTCACTTAGCATAATGTTCTCCAGTTTCATCCATGTTGTCACAAAAAACAGAATCTTCTTTTTTATTAAGGCTGAATAATTGCCCATTTTATATATACAAGTTAAGCATCCCAAATATGAAAACCCAAAATGCTCCAAAGTCCAAAATTTTTGGAGTACCAATATGACATTCAAAGGAAATGCTCATTGGAGCACTCTGGGTTTCAGATTTTCAGATTTGGTATGCTCAACCAGTAAATATAACGCAAATATTTCAAAATCTGAAAGAAAGGTAAAAATCCAAAACACTTCTGGTCCTAAGCATTTTGGATAAGGGATACTTAACTTGTGTATATACATCATAGTTAGGTAGGATTAATGGTCTAGAGATGTAAATGTACAGCCTGATCACTATAGTTGATAATAAGGTATTTTATACTGGAAATTTACTAAGAGAGATTTCAGGTGCTCTCACCACACACACACAAAAGATGATAACTATGTAAGGAGATGAATATGTTAATTAGCATGAGTCTAGTAATCATTTCATTATGCATATGTGTATCAAGACATCATGCTGTACACCATGAATATACACAATTTTTATTTAATAAAAGACAGACAGAAATGGCTGGGAGTGACTTGGGCACAAAAGGAATAGCCAGGCCCTGGTGTCTCTTCCTTTCCATCACTTCTGATGTCAGTCTTGCTTCAGTGCTCCCTCCGCATGCAGGCCTGCTCTTATTTGCAGGTCACAATCTCGTGTTCATAAGATCCAAAGTCCAGAGTAAACCTGGATGGGTACACAGGGCAGCTTTTCATAGTCCCATGTCCCATAGTCTCACCAACTCCCACATAAATGCTCTGGGCTTTCAAGTGCTTTAAAGACTCTCCTGGATTTCCCTGTCATTCTTGCTACAAAATTAAGATTAAGAAAGGGAAGAGAGATGGTAATAATGTCAAGAGTAAGGGCACAAGATTTTCTTTTCTTCATGACCATCTTGTAGGAAATGACTAGTTTTTTAATTGCCCATTAAATATGTGTAATTGGCTACTGATTCATTGAAGGCAAGCAGCTCAAATATTTGCATGCATAGATATTTCCTCAAGATATAAAATGCTATGGTGAATGTAAATCTCTCTACAGATGTGGTGATTCTTCCGTACATTGTGTGAGGCACATAACTTAGGCACAGGCTTTCCCATTGCCACATCTATACCCTTTTCTTGACTTTGGAGAAATACTGGCACTTGAATTGAATTCAGTTCCTGTAGCTTTATTTTAATCACCTTCAACTCTACCCTTATCTTATTTCTTGAAAAAAAATTCTACTTTTCTAACTCTCAGTCAAACAAATTAACAAATTTGTGTGTGTATCCTTTCCAAACCTTGAAGAAACCATTTTAATGTTCAGAAAACTATTTATACTTCTGGTAAAAACAAATATTCTACAATGTTTCCTAGCTGTTTTACAAATCAATTTTGAGGAGTTCTGTTATAGAGACAAGTTATAAATATTGGAGCCTGATGATCATCGTCACAATAAAGAGAATAAATAAATATAAAAGTCAAAAACCCCTGAACAGTGATGCCTCTGAAGATACATATCAGCAGGCAGAACATACTCTTCTTCTTTGAAAGAAAGTAAAACTTAACATGAAGGGGAAACATGAAGAACCTTGGAGAATTTTATGTTAGGACATAAAGAAGCCCTGAGCTACTGTATGGATTCAGGCAGAATAGAAGCAAGAGAAATATTGTTTCTCAATGCACTAGGAGCAAAGGAGGCTAAAGAATAGGACAAGGATGAGAGAGGGATGGATGAGAGGAGCAGATGGAGAAGGAGGAGGAAGAAATGGAGAAGGAGAAGGGGGAGATGGAGAAGAAGGGGAAGGAAGGAAGGAAGGAAGGAAGGAAGGAAGGAAGGAAGGAAGGAAGGGAGGGAGGAAGGGAGGGACGGAGGGAGGGAGGGAGGGTGGGAGGGAATGGAGTGAGTTGTCCACTACATCTGACAGCTTAAATGTATTGGTAAATTAACCCCATGAAGGTTAAGTGAAAGAGAAACCACATTGTCAGAATACTAAGGCAGTTCAAAACTAAAGGAAGAGATAAAAAGGCCCAGGAGCACTAGCAACTAGAGTAGGCCAGAAGAGTTAGGACCCCAGCTCTACAGGGAGCCACTGTCAGAGCAACCATGCTTCTCATCCTTATAATTTCTATCAAAGTTTCAGATTTGAAATAGAGAAGATCTGATTGGCCTGGCTTCGGATTTAAAAGCTTCTGGATCAATAGCTATAGCTAATTTTGCGGGGCAGGGGTAAGAGTAGAGGACAGACGTATATCAAAGCCAGTTAAAAAATACCTTTTTAGAGACAGGGTTTCACCATGTTTTTCAGACTGGTCTCTAACTCCTGACCTCAGGTGATCCACCTGCCTCAGCCTCCCAAAGTGCTGGGATTACAGGCGTGAGCCACTGTGCCTGGCCCATCAGAAGCATTTTGAAGAGCTAACAATATAATGGAGAATAAGCAGACAGAATTTCCGTCCCACAGGAAGTTCAGGGGATCTGTATGGGCAAGGCTGCCACCCAATTAGTGTCTATTACCCTAAGTCAAGAAATATTGTTTCTGAGACTGACACAGGAAAATCTGCAAACCAGAAAGCTGTAGACTTATTTCTGCAGGAATTCTTGACAATAAGTCTTCCACTGAAACCCCCAAACCATGTAGCAGCTTATGGAGGTTTCAGTTTTAAGGAGGTAGGGAGAAGAAAGAGAGAGACAGAGAGACAGATGGAGAACATGGTTGAGAGAAAGAGAAGCCTTATCAAGTTAAGGGAAGATCAACTTTATATTAAACAATGTTAGACACCGATTAGGGTTAATAGAAAGAAGTCCAAATTGTACTCACATTTGTGATAATTACTTAGCATAGTACTTGGTACAGTAGATGCATAAATATTAACTAAATCTGAATTCATGCTTTATTTATTGATAGAAAGTCACAAAATATAGGCATAGTAACAGCCATACAGGCTTTACATACAGGCAGTTTGAACTCTGGTATATCATTGCTATGTAACCCTGGACAAAGAAGTTAGGGTCTTTAAACTGAGGACATTAAGGTATATTGATAGAGTTTCATGAAGGTTAAATAAAATAATGTATATAAAATCATATAGTAAGTGCTCAGTAAATATTCACTCCTCTCTTCATCTTCTTATTAAGTGCATGTTCTTAACATCCAGCATTTGATTTCACTAGAAAGCTTATGTTTTAAAACAAAATCTTAAAAAGTTATTCTTATAAATGTAATGTGCTAGACAGAAACTCTAGGTCTTAACTATGTTTCTAGCAGTTCAATGAGACTGTCCATTAAAGGCTGCCGCTATCACCACCTGGTGGCAGCATACTGTATAATTTTTTTAAATTTAAAAATGACATACTCATACATATTTACAGAGTAAAGTGTGATATTTTGATACCTGTATACAATGCATAATAATCAAATTAGGGTAATTAGCATATTTATCACCTCAAATATTTATCATTTCTTTGTGTTGGGAACGTTCAAAATCCTCTCTTCTAGTTATGTAAAAATATAGAATAAATAATTATTAACTATAGTCATCCTTCAGTGCTATAGAACACTAGAACTTATTTCTCGTATCTGAGTATAATATGTGTTCCTTAACCAACACCTTTCCCTATCCCCTCTTCTTTTCACCCTTCCCAGACTCTAGATATCATTATTCTGCTCTTTACTTCTATGAGGTCTTACTTAGCTTCCACATATGAGTAAGAATACATGGCACTTACCTTTCTGTACCTGCCTTACTTCACTCAACACAATATTCTCTAGACTCATCCATGTTGCTATAAATGAGAGGATTTCATTCTTTTTATAGCTGAATAGTATTCCATTGTGTATTTATACCATGTTTTCTTTATCCATTCATCTGTTGATGGACACTAAGGTTGATCCCATGTCTTGGCTATTATGAATAGTGTTTCAGTAAACATGGGAGTGCATCTATGTCTTTGACACACTGATTTTCTTTACTTTGGATCTATGCCCAGTAATGGGGTTGTTGGATCACATGGTAGTTTGTTTTACTTTTTGAGGAGCCTCCATACTGTTTTCCATAATGGCTATACTAATTTACATTTCCACAAACAGTGTATAGTAGTTTCGTTTTCTCCTCCACATCCTTGCCAGCTTTGTTATTTTTGTCCTTTTGATAATAGCCATTCCAGCTGGGATGAGATGGTATCTCATTTTGGTTTTGATTTGCATTTCCCTGATGATTAGTGATGTTCAGCATTTTTTCCATATACTTCTTGAACATTTGTATGCCTTCTTTTGAGAAATGTCTATTCATATCATTTGCCCATTTTGAATTGCATTGTGTGTGTGTGTGTGTGTGTGTGTGTGTGTTGGCTGTTGAGTTGTTTGAATATTCTGAGTATTGTTCCCTTGTTGGATAAATAATTTGCAAATATTTTCTCCCATTCTGCAGGTTGTCCTTTACCCTGTCAATGTTTCCTTTGCTATGCCAAAGTTTTTTAATTTGATATAATCTCATTTGTCTATTTTGGCTTTTGTTGTCCTTTTTATTGTCTTTTTTAAGGTCTTCTCCATAAAAATATCTGCCTAGACTGATGTCCTGAAGCATTTCTCCTAAGTTTTCTTCTAGTATTTTCATAGTTTGAGATTTAGGTCTTTAATCCATTTTGAATTGACTTTTGGATGTGGTGATAGAGGCCTAGTTTCATTCCTCTGCATATGAATATTTTGGTTTTTCCGGCATTATTCATTAAAGAGAATGTCCTTTCCTCAATGTATGTTCTTCGCATCTTTGTTGAAAATCAGGTGTCTGTAAGTATGTGGATTTATTTCTGGGTTCTCTTTCTGTTCCATTGGTCTATGTGTCTATTTTCATGTCAGTACCATGCTGTTTTGGTTATTATAGCTTTATAATATATTTTGAGGTCAGGTAGTGTGATGCCTACAATGTTATTCTTTTCACTCAGGATTGCTTTAGCAAATTTTCCCTGCTTGCAAGATGACATGATCTTACATAGAGAAAAACTAGACTCCATCAAAAAACTCTTAGAATTGAGAAACAAATTTAGTAAAGTTGCAGGATACAAAATCAACATGCAAAAAAAAAAAAAACCATACCATTTCTATATACCAATAATTAACTAGCTGGAAGAAATTTTTATTATTTCATTATGTATATTCATCGCTCAAAATATTCTACAAAAATCAAGAAAGCAATCCCATTTATAATAGCCACAAAAATAATAAAATTTCTAAAAATAAATTAACCAAGGAGGTGAAAGATCCCTATAAAAAAAAATATAAAATTCTGATGAAAGAAATTGAAGAGGACACAAAACAATGGAAGGACATCCCATGTTTATGAGTTTGAAAGAATTAATATTGTTAAAATCATTGTACTGCCCAAAGGAATCTACAGATCTAATGCAATATCTATCAAAATACAAATGACATTCTTCACAAAAATATAAAAAATTCTAAAATGTATATGGAACCACAAAAGACCGCAAATAGCCCAAAGCAATCTTGTATATTTTTGGGTGACAACTATATATAATGAAATCCTAAACATTCCTTAGAGTCTTACATATTACACATATGGGAAAAGTTTAGACAACAACTGTTTGTACAACACATTTTCCTATAACCAATATGTGGTGACACTTTGGTATGTTATGAAGATACCTGAAGCAGTAATCTGGATTTTCAAAATTTACTGATGTCTATCTTTAATGCCATCAGCTTAATACCATTCTCCTTCTATATCCCTCAATACCCCTGTTGCAGCCTGAATTCAAAAGCTTAGGCATTGCTCTGAAGAGTTACGTAAAAATAAAGCAGATCATGACATCAAAAGCATACACAAAAAAGAGAAACAATAAATACATTGGACATCATCAAAATTAAAAACCCTTATGTTCCAAAGGATATTATCAAGAAAGAGAAAAGACAATCCACAGAATGAGAGAGCATTTTTGCAAATCATATATCTGACAAGGGACTTGTATCTAGAATATATAAAAGACTCCTACAACTCAATAAAAAGACCAATCACCCAATAAAAATGGTCAAGAGATCTAAATAGATATTTCTCTAAAGAATATATTCACAAAGCCAAAAAACACATACAAAGTGTTCAGCATTAGCCATCACAGAAATGCAAACTAAAATCATAATGAGATACCATTGCACACACACTAGGATGGCTATAATAAAAAAAGACAGTGAACAACAAATGTTGGCAAAGATTTGGAGAAATTAGCACCCTTATACACTATTGAGAGAAATGTAAAATGGTGCAGCTACTTTGGAAAACAGTCTGGCAGTTTGTCAAAGGATTAACCCGAGGTTATCATATGACCCATCAATGCTACTCCTAGGTATAATCTAAGAGAAGTGAAAACATAAACCCACACAAAAACTCGTACATGAATCTTCATAAGAGCATTATTTGGCTCTTTTCATGCCAAAAAGTGAAAACAACCTCAAATGTCCCTCAATTAATACTTAAGGTGGAATATTACTCATCAATAAAAAGAATAAAGTACCAATACATGCAACATCATGGCTGAACCTTGAAAATACTATGCAAAGTGAAAGAAGCCAGTCACAGAACCACATATTATGTAATTTTATTTATATGAAATACTCAGAACAGGAAAGTCCATAGAAACAGAATGTAAATTGCATTTGCCTGGGGCTGGAGGGGTATGCTGAAGCTGGGAAGTAATGGTTAAGGGAAATGGGGTTTCTTTCTGGGGCAATGAACACATTCTAAAATTGATTGTGGTGATGGTTGCACAACTCTGTGAATATATAAAAAGCCTTTATATATTTATAGGTGAACTGTATGACATATTAAATGGGTGAATTGCATGATATTTTAACTATATCTCAAAAAGTTGTTAAAAAGTAAAAAACAAAGCATGTCCGAAATGGTGATGGAGAAGAGGTTCATCATTTCTCCCCTATGCACACAAAAGTTTCTTCATGTTCTTTTCAGAACTAAAAATTTCAATCTAACATTGGAGGCTAGTCTTTTATAGAAGTTAAAATATTTCTATAGAAGCTAAAATATTTTACATAAACTAATTTGGAGCTTTGGAAACATTTTTTTTTCCTGATTTTATTTTACCATAAAAGAGTATTCTCTTCTGGCTTCAGTGGTGCTCATCAAAATGGGAAAATAACACAATTTTACATTTAACTGTAACAAGATTCACTTTAGATATCTAGAGCAGAGCTAATCTCACCACCAGAAGTCACTGATGTTGGCTGGCATCGCATTACTGATTTTATGATCTGACCCATGGTCACAATCCCTTCCGCAACACACACACACACACACACACACACTCACATTTATGTATGCAGACAATACCACAACTCTGGTTGTGACATGGAACATCTTAGGGAACCTTGTCTGCAGTGCCAAGGCAGGCCCCAGCTAGGCTCGCTTATGCATCTGTTTAGTTTTGACTTCTTATAATCCTAAAAACAATATTTCTGGATTTCTATAGCTCATTGAAACGAATCACAGAATCTATGTATTGAAAAGCACTTTACAAGCATCTAAGTCTTACACAGACTTTCCAATGTGAATTAAACCAACCCAATCTTTCATTCCTATCTGATTCTGCTATAGTCATAGAGATGCTGCGCAAAGGATAAAAGAGCCATTTTTCATGACCTTCCTCGTTTCTCTGAACAAAGCCCAGTGTCAAAATCCTTGGAAAGCATGTATTATAGTGAAGAACAAGATTCAAAAAAATGTTTGGAAGCATTCATGATACAGAAAAATAATTTCCTCTCTCTCATCCCAAAATAAAAAACAACCTTATGATGTGTTAGATTGAAATGTTTAAATATTGAACCAGTGCCAAAAAATGATTTGTAAGCCTCAATAAGTTTCAAGAAATTTAAAAATGATATTATTATCCCATTTGACAGAGTGTCTTTCAGGACTAGGAGCTGTGTGGCCCAGATTAGGGGCCTTCTAATGAAAAATAAACGTGCAGCACATTTGACTTACAAATATAGTGACATATATAATATTCAAAAGACATATATTCAATGAGGTCTATTTGCAATTGCTAGTTACTAGTATCAATTTTGCTTCCTACACAGAGCAATGGGGTCTTTTTTCTTGCACATTAGATGCTGATACTTACAACATAAAGTTTCTTTCCAGAAAGAAAAAAAAAAGACATATACATAGGAAAAACAACGCAGTGCCTATTCGCACTTAATGGACTATTCAAATTTGATATTTAAAAAGAGGGACAACTGATTGTCAAGGAGATGGGTATAATATTTACATATATAATATGAAACTCACATACCATTTGTATATCATAAATGTTGTAACATGAACGATGTTAGCTGTACGCCTGGCAGTCCTTTCTACAGTCTCAGCTCTACCCATCCCAGCTCCTACTATGTAATGAATTTCCTAAAGCCACTGACATTGGAGAAAAGGGCCCTGTTTTGGGTTTGTTTTCTTTTGTTTCTACTCTTCTGTTTCCATATCCTTACCAGAAATGCTTTATGCAAATAGTATCTTTTCCTTTGCCATCTCCTGCTGTGCTACAAAGCACTGGAGAGGAGAGTGAGAGATGGTTAGAAAGGGGGGCAGGGCGAGAAGGGTCCTTGTTCACTCTCAGCTGCTCTGAGCTTAGAGCAGGCGCAAGATTGATGACACTCCCTGGGTGTACAGGAAGATCTCCTCCTTGTGAAACACTGCTCATGAAGCCTGATAGACTTGTCATCTCTTAATAAACATCACTGATATGTCGGAAGGAGAGAGCCAGCATAGGAGAAGGGCATACCCAGCAGAGTGCTTGCCATTCTTGATGATTTTTACTTGGCATGTCCTGCTGATGGTGCCACAGAGGAGTGGGCTTTATTCTGCACCTTGAAAACTCTCTGCAAGGCCTCAATTCCCTCTCGGGACCCAGAGAGGTGTAATTGTGATCCAGCTCCTCCTTCTGGGGGAAACTTCCTAATTTCCCAGGTCTCTTTGCATCCCTGAATATGGATGCAAAGAGGAATTCAGGATTACACTGTTACAGATCTTTCTTTCCCCCTGAAGGCAGGGCACTCCACACACTATTGCTTTCCCTAGTCCCTGGGAAGCTTCTTCTCTGTGCTTTTAGAGTGATATAGAGAGAGCATCAAATAAACTTTAGTAAAGTCACACTGTGGCAGGAGCAACCCCAGGAGAAAGTCTACAAACTTCTTTACCTCTTCCTCCTCTCTTCCCATCTCTTCTTTCTCTACCTAGCTTAAAAATCATTCCTGAAATCCAACCTTCTCCACAAATATGGCCCTCATTAATTCAATGGGCAGTCCTTACTGCCCTTTAGTGCATGCAGTCCATGAAGGGAATTCTCAGAATTTCTTCTCCATTTGACTCCACAGGGAAAACATCTTTGTTTCTCCATCCAGGTCCCACCTAAGAGCTGGCACTGAGCACATGTGCCACAGACATTTGATACAGAGTAAATGTGTGCATGGATGAATTCCATGTTCATTCTTTTCCCTGCCAAACTTGAAACCAAACTTATTTTTGCCGCCTAAACAAACATATAAACATTTCAGTGTTCATTTTGATTTTCACTGGGATGTTTAATTCTTCTTTTCAGTGGGTGATCAGCATGTTCACTTCTACAGACCTACATTACAGCATCCTGGAGGACAGGGAGCCAGGGGCTGTCTCTGGGCAGCACTAGAGTCCTTTTGCAGAAAGTAAAGTCTTTCCTGATGGATGTTGCCAATGACTGTGATAAAGGTGCTCACGGACACCTTCTCCACTACTGCAGATGTATTTCATTGTGTTAAACGAGCCACACAGGCAGCTTAGGCAACACAAGACAGAGGTTTGGCCATTGGAATAACAAAAATCCCGAAGGTATAAATGGGGCCCCAGCCTGGTTGTTGTAGTAGGGCCCTGTGGCCCAGCTTCTTCCTAACTGAGGCCGGAGTCTCCATGCTCTGTTTCCCCCACAGGAAATTGTTCTTCTGATATTTTGAAGTCTTTTATGTGTAACATGTGTGTGCAGCCAAATAGTGAGCTTTCATTTTCATCTTGAAATAATTGTGATTAATAAATTACAATGGAGTTGCAGTATTAGCTTCATTCCCAGGGGAAACACAATATGTTTATATTCCTAGAAGTCAGCCACAGCCTGAACTCAAAAGTTCATGCCCCACCAGAATTCAAAGAGGCTTATAGGAGATGTGTGTCAAGACTGGGGAAAGGGGAAGGAGATGAAGTTTACCTTTAGAATATTCTTCTGTGATCCTCTTTTGTTCTCTATAGTGGGCCTGTTCCTAAGGCAACTGTCTCTTTATTGCTCCCCTATTCCCCTCATCCTCAGACCCAGACCAGCAAACAGCACAAGATGCAGCAGGGCTTCTCTCCTTAGTTCTCTACCTCTCCAGGCCAGCAGCCTTGCAGGATACCTTGCAGGAAGCCTACATCAGCCATTTGCTCTGTAAATTCACTTGCTGGGGCATCTGGGAAAACGGATATTCTGTAGTGGTATGGACAGAGTTCTCTGCTTAGCTCTGTTAGACGACCATTTTTCTTTAGGTTTTGTATTAGTCCGTTCTCACACTGCTATAAAGAGCTACCTGAGAGTGGGTAATTTATAAAGAAAAGAAGTTTAATTGACTCCAGTTCCACATGACTGGGGAGGCTTCAGGAGACTTACAATCATGGCAAGAGGAGAAGGGGCAGCAAGCATGTCTTACTACCACAAAGCAGGAGTGCGAGTGAGTGAGGTGGGACGTGCCACACTTTTAAACCATCAGATCTCATGAGAACTCACTCACTTGCACAAGAACAAAATGGCGGAAATCCACCCCCATGATCCAATCACCTCCCACCAGGTCCTTCCCCTGACATGTGGGGATTACAACTCGACATGAAATTTGGGTGGGGACACAAAGCCAAAGCATATCAGGTAATTTCAGAAATACTGGTAAATTTTGTGGAAATGCTAGAAGTCACTATATAAGAGGCCTTAAACTCAACCTAAGGAGCAAAGACGTAAAAAGTTTCTGCCTGTGAGTGAGACTGGCTTTGATTCCAGGTTCTGCCACTTAATTGTCTGGCTTCAAATTTTTTTTAATTATTAACTTTTAATTTTTATAGGTACATAGTAGATGTGTGTGTGTATATATATGGGATACATAAGACATCTTGATACAGGCATACAATGCATAATAATCATATCAGGGTAAATAGGGTACGCATCACCTCAAGCATTTATCCTTTCTTTGTGTTACAAATAATCCAATTATAC
Source organism: Homo sapiens (assembly GCF_000001405.40). NCBI lineage: Eukaryota > Metazoa > Chordata > Mammalia > Primates > Hominidae > Homo > Homo sapiens. The sequence continues at coordinate 163,520,943 of NC_000001.11, read as the reverse complement.
TTTTTTAGCTATTTTGGTTATTTATTGTACATTTGTACAATAAATGATTGTTGACTATAGTCACTCTGTTGTGCTATCAAATACTAGATGTTATTCATTCTATCTAACTATATTTTGTACCCATTCATCATCCCCACTCCCCCTAACCTCTGACTACCCTTCCCAGCCTCTGGTAACCATTGTCCTACTTTATATCTTCATGAGTTCAGCTGTTTCCATTTTTAGTTCCCCAAATAAGTGAGAATATGTGAAATTCGTCTTTCTGTGCCTGGCTTATTTCACTTAACATAATGACGTGCAGTTCCATCCACGTTGCAAATGACAGGATCTCATTCTTTCTTAAGACTAAATAATACTCCATAGTTATAGGTACCATGCTTTCTTTATCCATTAATCTATTGATGGACACTTAGGTTGTTTCCAAATCTTGGCTATTGTGAATAGTGCTGCAATAAACATAGGAGTGCAGATATTTCTTCAATATATTAATTTTCTTTCTTTTTGGTATATCTAGCAGTGGGATTGCTGGGTTATATAGTAGCTGTATATTTAGTTTTCTGAGGAATCTCAAGTTGTTCTCCATAGTGGTTGTACTAAGTTACATTCCCACCAACGCTATATAAGGGTTCCCATTTCTCCACATCCTCACCAGCATTTGTTATTACCTGTCTTTTCAATAAAAGCCACTTTAACTGGTGTGAGATGATATCTCATTGTAATTTTGATTTGCATTTCTCTGATGATCAATGATGTTGAGCACCATATACCTGTTTACCATTTGTATGTCCTCTTTTCAGAAATGTCTTTTCAGATCTTTCATTTTAAAAAAATTAAATTATGGCCGGGTGTGGTGGCTCACGCCTGTAATCCTAGCACTTTGGGAGGCCGAGGCAGGCAGATCACGAGGTCAGGAGATAGAGACCATCCTGGCTAACATGGCGAAACCCCGTCTCTACTAAAAATACGAAAAATTAGCTGGGTGTGGTGGCGGGCTCCTGTAGCCCCAGCTACTCGGGAGGCTGAGGCAGGAGAATGGTGTGAACCCGGGAGGTGGAGCTTGCAGTGAGCCAAGATCGCGCCACTGCACTCCAGCCTGGGTGACAGAGTGAGAGTCCATCAAAAAAAAAAAAAAAATTCAAATTATTAGAATTTTTCCTATAGAGTTGTATGAGCTCCTTATGTATTCTGGTTTTTTGTTTGTTTGGTTGGTTTTGTTTTGTTTTGAGATGGAGTCTAGCTCTGTCACCCAGACTGGAGTGCATGATCTCAGCTCACCACAACATCTGCCTCCCAGTTCAAGCAATTCTTGTGCCTCAGCCTCCCGAGTAGCTGGGACTACAGGTGCATACCACTACACCAGGCTAATTTTTTGTATTTTAGTAGAGACGGGGTTTCATTGTGTTGCCCAGGTTGGTTGCAAACTCCTGAGCTCAGGCAATTCACCCACCTTGGCCTCTCAAAGTCCTGGGATTATGAGTGTGAGCCACCATGCCTGGTCTTGTATTCTGGTTATTAATCCCTTGCCAGATGGGTAGTTTGCAAATATTTACTCTCATTCTGTGGGTTGTCTCTTCACTTTGTGTATTGTTTTCTTTGCTGTGCAGAAGGCTTATAACTTGATGCAATTCCATTTGTCTATTTTTAATTTGGTTGCCTGTGCTTGTTGGGTATTACTAAAGAAGTCTTTGCCCAGTCCAATGTCCTGGAGAGTTTCCTCAAAGTTTTCTTTTAGCAGTATCACAGTTTAAGAACTTAGATTTAAATCTTTAATCCATTTTGATTTGATGTTTGTATATGCTGGAAGACAGGGGTCTAGTTTCATTTGTCTGCATAGGGACTTCCAGTTTTCCCAGCATCATTTATTGGAGAGATTGTCTTTTTCACAATGTAAGTTCTTGGCATATTTGTTGAAAATGAACTCATTATTGGTGTATGAATTTGTTTATGGATTCTCTATTCTGTTCCACTGGTCTATGTGTCTGTTTTTATACCAGTAGCATGCTGTTTTGGTTACTATAGCTCTGTAATATAATTTGAAATCAGGTAATGTGATTCCTCCAGTTTTATTCTTTTTGCTGAGGATATCTTTGGCTATTCTGGGTCTTTTGTGATCCTATATACATTTTAGAATTGTTTTTTTTTCTGTGAAGACTGTCATTAGTCTTTTGAAGGGGATTGCATTGAGTCTGTAGATTCTTTGGGTAATATGGACATTTAAACAATATTGATTCTTCCAATCCATGAACATGGAATCTTTTTCTATTTTTTAGGGTCCTCTTGAGCATTTTTTCCTTCAATGTTTTATAGTTTTCACTGTAGAGATCTTTCACTTCTTTGGTTAAGTTCCTAGGTATTTTATTTTATTTGTAGCTATTATAAATGGGATTACTTTCTTGATTTCTTTTTAAGATTGTTTGCTGTTGGCATACAGAAATGCTATTGATTTTATATGTTGATTTTGTATTCTGCAACTTTACTTAATGTTTTGATAAGTTCTAATAGTATTCTCGTGGGGTCTTCAGGTTTTTCCAAATATAAGATCATAATATCTGCAAACAAGGAAAATTTGACTTCTTTCTTTCCAATCTGAATGCCTTTATTTCTTTCTCTTTTCTGATTGCTCTAGCTAGGATTTCTAGTGTTATGTTGAATAACAGTGGTGAAAGTGGGCATCCTTGTCATGCTTCAGACCTTAGAGGAAGGACTTTCAGTTTTTCCCTATTTAGTATGCTACTAACTGTCGGTATGTTATATATAGCTTTTATCATGTTGAAGTATGTTCCTTCTATACCCAGTTTTTTTTAGGATTCTTACCTTGAAGGGATGTTGAATTTTATCAAATGCATTTTCAGCATCAATTGAAATGATTATATGATGTTTGCCCTTCATTCTGTTGATATGATGTATCACAGTGATTGATTTGCATATGTTGTACCATCCTTGCATCCTTGAGTCCTTGCATCCTTGCATCCTTGCATCCTTGCATGGGATAAATCTCAGTCATGATGACTAATCTTTCTAATGTGGTGTTGAATTCAGTTTGCTAGTATGTTGCTGAGGATTTCTGCATCAATATTCACCAAGAATATTGGCCTGAAGTTTTTTTTTTTTTTTTAATGTCTTTGTCTGGTTTTGGTATCAGGGAATTACTGGCCTCATACAATGAGCTTGGAAGTATTCCCTCCTCCTCTATTTTTCAGAATAGTTTAAATACGACTCGTATTAGTTTTTATTTAAATGTTTGGTAAAATTCAGCAGTGAAGCCATTGGGTCCCTGGCTTTTCTTTGCTGGGACAGTTTTATTATGGCTTTGATCTCCTTACTTGTTATTCATCTGTTCAGGTTTTGGATTTCTTCATGGTCCAATCTTGGTAGGTTGTATGTGTCTAGGAATTTATCCGTTTCTCCTAGGTTTTGCAATTTATTGGCACATAGTTGCTCATAGTAGGCTCCAATGACCCTTTGATTTTCTATGGTATAGGTTGTAATGTCTCATTTGTCATCTCTGATTTTATTTACTGGGGTCTTCTCTCTCTTTTTCTTAGTCTGGCTAAAGGTTTGTTGATTTTATGAGAACACATGGAGACAGGAAGGGGAACATCACACACACTGGGGCCCATTGTGGGGTCGGGGGAAGGGGGAGGGATAGCATTAGGAGATATATATACCTAATGTTAAATGATGAGTCAATGGGTGCAGCACACCAACATGGCACATGTATACATATGTAACTAACCTGCACGTTGTGCACATGTACCCTAAAACTTAAATTTAAAAAAAAAGAAAAAAAAAGGTTTGTTGATTTTATCTTTTCAAAGAACCAACTTTTCCTTTTATTGATCTTTTGTATTGTTTTCTTCATTTCAATTTCATTTATTTCTGCTCTGATATCCTTCCTTCCTTCCTACTTTCTTTCTTTTTTTCTTTCTTTCATCTTTTTTTTTTCAGTCTTACTCTGTCACCGAGGCTGGAGTGCAGTGGTGCAATCTCAGCTCATTGCATCCTCCACCTCCTTGTGCCTTAGCCTTCTGAGTAGCTGAAATTACAGGCATGTGCCACCACATGCAGCTAGTTTTTGTACTTTTAGTAGAGTTAGGGTTTTACTATGTTGGCTGGGCTGGTCTCAAACTCCTGACCTCAGGTGATCTGCTTTGCCTTCGCCTCCCAAAGCGCTGGGATTACAGGCATGAGCCACCACTCCCAGACATATTGTTTCTTTTCTACTACTAATTTTGGATTTGGTTTGCTCTTGCTTTTCTAATTCTTTAAGATGCATCATTAGGTTGTTTATTTGAAGTTTTTCTACTTTTTTAACATTTAGGCACTTATAGCTGTAAACTTTTCTCTTAGTTCTACTGCTTTTGTTCTATACCATAGGTTTTGGTATGTTGTGTTTCCATTATTATTTGTTTCAAACATTTTTAAAATTTTCTCCTCATTTCCTTCATTGAGCCACTGGCCATTCAGGAGCATATTGTTTAATTTCCTTGTATTTGTATAGTTTCCAAAATTCCTCTTGTTATTGATTTCTGGTTTTATTTTATTGCAATCTGAGAAGATACTTGATATAATTTCATTTAAAAAAATTTTTAAGACTTGTTTTGTAGCCTAACATATGGTCTATCTTTGAGAATGATTCATATGTTGAGAAGAATGTATATTCTGCAGCTATTGGATGAATGTTCTATAAATATCTATTAGGTCCATTTGGCCTATAGTAAATAATAAGTCTGATGTTTCTTTGTTGATTTTCTATTTGGATGATGAAAGTGGGATGTTGCAGTCTCCAGCTATTATTATATCATATTATATCAGAGTCTAACTCTCTCTTTAGCTCTAATACTATTTGCTTTATATATCTGAGTGCTTCAGTTTAAGGTGCATATATATTTACAATTGTTATATCCTCTTGCTGAATTGGCCCCTTTATCATTGTATAATGACATTCTTTGTCTCTTTTTATCATTTCCATCTTGAAATCTATTGTGGCTGATATAAATATAGCTACTCCGGCTCTTTTATGGTTTCCATTTGCATGGAATATCTTTTCCCATCCCTTTATTTTCAGTCTATGTCTGTCTATATAGGTGAAGTGTGTTTTTCTTGTAGGCAACAGATGATTGGGTCTTTTTTTTTTTTTTAATCAGCCACTCTATTTTTTTTTATTTGTTTGTTTGTTTTTTTAGTTTTATTTTTTGAGACAGAGTTTGGCTTTTGTTGCCCAGGCTAGAGTGCAATGGCATGATCTCGGCTCACTGCAACCTCCACCTCCCAGGTTCAAATGATTCTCCTGCCTCAGCCTCCTGAGTAACTGAGATTACAGGTGCCCACCACCATGCCTGACTAATTTTTTGCATTTTTAGTAGAGATGGGTTTCACCATGTTGGTCAGGCTGGTCTCAAACCCTTGACCTCAGTTAATCTTACCCCTCTTGGCCTCCCAAAGTGCTGGGATTACAGACGTGAGTCACTGCACTGTTTTGATTGGAGAGATTAGTCCATTTACCTTCAATGTTATCACTGATAAGTAAAAATTCCTGCCATTTTGTTATTTGTTTTCTGGTTGTTCTGTGGTCTTTTCCTCCTTATTTCCTTTCTTCCTTTCTTCTTTTAGTGAAGATGATTTTCTCTGGTGATATGTTTTAATTTCTTGCTTTTAAATTTTTTGTGTATCTGTTGTATTTTATTATTTGTTGTTATCATGAGGATTGCAAATAATATCTTACAACCTATTATTTTAAAGTGATGACAACTTAACACTGATTGCATAAAGAAACAAGCAAAGAGAATACTAATAAAAACCCTACACTTTAACTTTGTCTTCCTCCTTTTTAACTTTTTGTTGCTTCTATTTATGTCTTATTGTACTATGTCTTGAAAAGTTGTTCTAGATATTATTTTTGATTTGTTCATCTTCTAGTCTTTCTACTCAAGATATGAGTAGTTTATAAACCACAATTATAGTATTATAATATTCTGTGTTTTTCTGTGTACTTACTATTACCAGTGAGTTTTGTACTTTCAGATGATTTATGATTCCTCATTTTATATAAATAGTCTTTTCCTTCAGATTAAAGAATCCCCTTTAGCATTTCTTTTAGGACAAGTTAGATGTTGATAAAATTCCTCAGCTTTTGTTTGTCTGAGAAAGTCTTTATATATATCCTTCATGTTTGAAGAATATTTTTGCCAGATAGACTATTCTAGGATAAAAGTTTTTTTTTTCCTTCAGCCTTTTAAATATGTTGTGCCACTCTTTTCTGGCCTCTAATGTTTCCACAGAGAAGTCTGCTGCCAGATGTATTGGAGCTCCATTGTATGTCATTTGTTTCTTTTCTCTTGCTGCTTCTAGGATCCTTTCTGTATGCTTGACTTTTGGATGTTTGGATTAAATGTCTTGAGGTAGTTTTCTTTGGGTTAAATCTACTTGGTGTTCTATAACCTTCTTGTACTTGAATATTGATGTCTTTCTCCCAGTTTAGAAAGTTCTCTGTTATTATCCCTTTGAATAAACTTTCTACCCCTCTCTCTCTCTTTCCGCTCCCTCTTTAAGGTCAATAAACCTTACTTAGATTTGCCCTTTTGAGGCTATTTTCCAGATCTTGCAGGCATGCTTCATTATTTTTTATTCTTTTTTTCTGTTGTCTCTTCTGACCATGTCTTTTCTAATAGCCTGTTTTCAAGCTCATCAATTCTTTCTTTGGCCTGGTTGATCTGCTGTTAAGATATTCTGATGCATTCTTCAGTATGTCAACTGTGTTTTTCAACTCCAGAATTTCTGCTTAATTTTTTTTATTTTAATGTCTCTTTTAAAATTATCTGATAGGATTCTGAATATCTTCTCTGTGTTACCTTGAATTTCATTGACTTTTCTCAAAACAGCTATTCTGAATTATCTTTCTGAAAGGTCGTATCTCTCTATTTCTTCAAAACTGACCTTTGGTCTCTTATTTACTTGGTTTGGTCATGATTTCCTGAATGGTTTTGATGCTATTCAGTGGTGTCTCAGCATTGAACAGTTAAGTATTTATTGCAGTCTTTGCAGTCTTGGCTTGTTTGTACCCATGCTTCTTGGAAAGGCTTTCCAGCTATTCAAGGGGACTACAGTGTTGTAATATAATTTTTCAGTCACTGCAGCTGTAACTGCATTAGGGGGCACCCCAGGCCTAATAACACTGTGTCTCTAACAGACCCATAGAAGTACTGCCTTGGTAGTCTTAGATAAAATCTAGAACTCTCTAGATTACTAGGTAGGGAGTCTTATTCTCTTCCCTTGCTTTTTCCCAAACAGAGTCTCCCTCTCTCTCTTCTGAGCTGCTTGGATCTGAGGCATGCGTGACACAAGCACCCATGTGGCCACCACCCTTGAGACTGCACTGGGTCAGACCTGAAGCCAGCACACCACTGGGTCTCACCTAAGGCCTGCAGTAACCATTGCCTGGCTACCGCCTATGTTTGCTCAAGGTACTAGCCCTACAATCAGTAGATGGCAAAACCAGTAAGCCTTGTGTCCTTCCCTTCAGGGCAGTGAGTTTCCCTGGCTCTGGGTGGGTCCCTCATCTGGGAACAAGGGCCTGGAGTTGAAAACCTTAGGAATCTACCTGGTTCTCTATTCTACTGCAGCTGAGCTGGCACCCAAGCCATAGGACGAAGTCCTTGCCGCTCTTTCTTCTCCTTTTCACAGGCAAAGGGGCCTCTCTCTGTGGCTGCTACTGCCCTGGGCCCATGGCAAGTACTGCCTGGCTACCACCAATGTTCATTTAAAGCCAAAGGGCTCTTCAATCAGCTTGTAGTGAATGCTGCCAGGCCTGTGATTCTCCCTTCAAGGCAGTGGTCTTCCGTCTGCCCCAGGGCAGGTCAAGAAATCTCTTCTAAGAGTCAAGGTCCAGAATCAGAGCCTCCTTGGTATTCTACCCCACTGGGGCTGAGCTGATAACTAAGCTGCAAGAAAAAGTCCCCTTTACTTTCCCTCTCTTTTTTTCAAGCAGAAGGGGTCCCTCCCCATACCTACCACTTCTGGGAATGTGCTGGGTCACTGCTGAAGCTAGCACTCTCTGACTCTCACCCAAAACCCACAGCAAGTACTGCCTGGGTACCACTTCTGATTATTCAGGGCCTAAGGGCTCTTTAGTCAGCAGATGGTGAATCCTTCCAGGACTGGGTCTTTCCCTTCAGGGCAATGGGTGTGTCTAGAAATGTCATCCAGGAGCTAGGGCTTGAGATGGGGGCCTCAGGACTCTGCCTAATGCTATATTCTACTGGGGCTCAGCTGGTATCCAAGTTGCAAAATAAAGTCCTCTTTACTCTTTCCTCTCCTCAAGTGGAAGGAAGGAGTTCTCCCAGAGCTGTAAGCTGCAGTCCCTGGCGTTGGGGAAGAGGTAATGCGAGCCCTCCCTTGGCCTTCCCAGCTGGTGTCTCACTAGGTCACATGCTCCCAAAGTCCACTGGCTCCAAATGCAGCACAACACCAGGACTTGCCCAGCAACTGCAGTTTTTGTGGCTAGACTACCTTTCAAATTTATTTAGGATTCCAGAGCACTTTGGTCTGTGATGGAAAGACTTGCCAGAACTCACATTCTGACTGCTAAGATGGTTGATTCCACTCTGGATACAGCTGTCTGAATGCTCTCTCTGTGGGCACTGTCTAAGTTCTGGCCAGTGTTGCTTTCCACTGTGACAGGGCAGCATTGAGTTCCAATGCAAAGTCCCACAATACTGCACTCTCACTCCCCAAAGCACATAGATTATTTATCCATGCTACACAGCCACCACAGGTGGATGGGGTGGTGGGTGGCATTGGAAATTCAAGACTGTCTGTCCTACCCTCTTCAGTGCCTCTTTCAGTGATATAAAGTTAAAACCAGGTAGTGTGATCACTCACTTGATATTTGGTTCTCATGAAGTTGCTTTCTTGTATGGATGGTTGTTCAATTTGGTGTTCCTGCAGGGAGGACAATCAGCAGAGGCTTCTATTCAGCCATCCTGCTCTGCCTCAAGCTGGCTTCACAAATTTTTATAACTCCTCCTCAACACTGTTTTGTCACCTTTAAAGATTATCCATGGATACTGTCTTATACACAATAATCACTCAATAAATCATATTTACTGTTAGTATTATCATAGCTTTTATCATCATCATCACTAATATTACCAGGCACAACTGAAGCTTCCTTCATTAGTTCAACAAACACTTATTGATCATGTCCTATGTGGTCAAAGATGATTGAAATGTATGGTGCCTGAAATGAATGTACTTTATTACCCATCAACATAACTGCAAAACTATTCACAGAAACAAGAAATGTCCGGGCTATATCAGGTTGAAGATAAAAATGAAGACATAATTATAATAACAAAAGTACATTATTTGGCTTTGTATCTACCAATTATGAGAGTTAAGGACCTACTCAGTTATTCCCTAATTAAATCTTGGGGTTCCTGAGCAGTTTCTTAGGGCTCATAAAATATTTCCCTTAGCTAGCAAGAGACATATTGGCTATATTATTTTGCTTCTGTTTTCCCCTTTGTTGTCTCCTTTTGCAACTATCCTCAATAAACCCAGAAAGAAAAACTTTTTATCTCTCTTTGGATAGCTCTATACAACATGTTTCTTTAGGGGGTGGGGAGTTAGCAATGAATTTTTTAAATGCTGGCTCAATCCTTTAAGCCAGCTTGCCCTCTCTAGTTTGACAGACCCCACCATTACCAATTGTCTTATATCTGTCACTTCACATTTCACACATCTTTATGCTGCTTGCCAGGACCCTAAAAGATTTTTTTTCATTTTTTTACAAACACCCCTTCCCATGAATTCACTAATTTCAAAAGCTAGTGATATGCCCTGGGGGTATCAAAACTGCTGTCAGACCAAGGAGGCCACACAGTGTGATGCTTTCTCCTGCCTCTTCTCCATTCTGGCTATCCTGGGCACAGAGGAAATACTCCATCATAGAATTAGTGAGTAAATGTGCAGTTGGACACATTCATTCCATATTCCTGCATAATCAAACCATAGCTCCATGAGAAAGAAATCCTTGATGTTATGTCTTGTGATTTAGTATACAAAACAAGGCAGTCTTGTAATTTCCACATATCAGGGAAATCTTAGAGAAACAGCTTTTTATTTTTACTGTCTTTACTGCTGCTCCCTCTCCCAGGCAAGTTTTATGAGAGCTGGAGAAAATAATTGGGGAGCATCTCATTGTTCTCAGAAGAGTGTGTGTGCATGTGCATTGTTGTATTTTACCTCCTCCTTACTCCAGGTAGAAAGATACTGCATTCTCAGAGAACTCTATCAGTCAGAAACACAACGAATTCAATTGCCAGCAACAGAAAATCCCTCAGAAAGTGGTTTACAGAATAACAGATTTAGTTGCAGCATGTAACAAGTTCGAGTATTGGCATTGTAGAGTAAGACAATGATTCAGTGAGCTGGGCCCCTCTTATCTTCCTGCTCTGCCATCTGTACTGTGTGGTTTTGATTTTATGGTCTTAAGATGGCAGCTGTACTTCAAGCATCATGTCTGCAGGCCAGACAGAAAGGAGGAGAAAAGAGCACAAGGCAAAAGGGTGTGAATCAACTTTGTCCTTTTTAAAAGCTTTCTCAGAAACCTCAACCAGTAATTGCCACTCGTATCTCAGTGAACAGAATAGGGTCACATGTTAATATCTATTTTCAAGGAAGTCTGAGGATGAATCTTTTTTAACCAGGCTGAATACCCCACCAAATAAAATCAGTTTTTCATCATCAGGGAAGAAAGAGAGACTGGAAACTGAATAGGTAACTAGCACTGTCTGCCAAGAATAGTGTTTGAAGTAGTGAATAGGGTCATCAAAGACATTTGCATAAGAAAATTTTTAGGTATGATTTCTAAGAAGAACTTTTGTTTTAGGTTGCTGGCACAATACAAAAGCATAACAGGAAATTACAGGACATTTTCATAAGCAATGACTTCTAAGGTCAAAGGTGAAATGACAGATTTCAAACACAACTGCATTTTAAAGTGAGATTACGGACATTCTGTGTAGGTTTTGCATAGGGAGTAGCCATTAACTGGCCCTCTGTTCATAAACTGAGCACACACCTCCAGCCTGCATAAGGAGGGTAGAGGTGTTCCCCTCACCTCAAGTCAGGTGAAAGGGTCTAAATGAGAACGACCTGGAACACTTGACTTGTGTTCATTGGAGGTCAAGGGACACAGGGACCGGTATTTTATCCTGCCTTGGAAAAGACTCAAGATGGGAACTTATGCTTCGTCCTGCCCTGAGAGCAGAGCAAAGGAGGTGGCTGTACTCAGAGTGAGATGCACTTCCCCAAAAATCTAGGAATAAGGGTATGTTTTTCAGGAAGGTATGTTTTTCTATAAGAGCTCCTTCTATGCAAGTACTAACCAGGCCCAAACCTGCTTAGTTTCCAAGATCAGATGAGATTGGTCACGTTCATGGTGGTATGGCCACACACTAGGTATAAGACCTCATAGAAGAGGAACACTCTGGATTTGTTTGAAAATGGCTTGCAACGAAAAAGACCAAGGATTCATCCTAAACTGTCACCTTTTGTTTTCTCTGCAGCAGGTGAGTCATTATGAGTAGGATGACCTTGCATCCTGGTTGGTCTGGGGCAGTCCCATGTGACCTCTGCTGTTACTGCAACATTATTAATAGCTCCTCCTTCCACTCTCCAAAGTGTCCTAGTTTGAATGATAAATTATATGGTCACTTGGTAATAAGGAACTCTTACTGATGCATGGAGCTGGATTACTAGCCTGCTGTTTTTCAAGATTTTAATCTATGAAGGCCCTAAAACATCACTGGAAAGGCACTACCAATACAGTTTTCAAAAGAAAGTATGTATGTGGTTAACAGGATTATTTCAAGGTATTGATTAGGATATAGAAGGCTTGTAGGGTATAACAGCAGATGATTGGTAAATTACCTTCTCAGAAGGATAATTCCAGGTAACTGAAGGACTTTTATCCTGCAAACACGTTAGCAGGCTTGAACAAATCAGGGAATAGAAGAAAATGTGTGGGGTATTACAACTGGTCTTCTGAGTCTATACTCCCAACATGGAATTCAGTGCTAAATAAACATTGAACAAATATGTAAAGAATATATCAGTTTAAAGAGGTGTCCAATAATGTGCCCTGCCATGGATTCTCACATCTTATTCAAGCCTTCTCAACGCATCATAATTTGGCAATTAACAAATTATTATGTGTTTTATTTCTCTACAACATTTTTTTTAGGTTAATGAGGATCTGAATATATCCACAGAGGAGTTTCCTGTATGTAAAATTTATCAGTTACATGACAGCAGGACAAAACATTAGATAACAAATGATCTTCTGGGATATGGATCCTGTTACTATCACATTTTCTATCCTTTCCAGAATGTGAAGAGGAAAAGAGAGAAGGAAGAGAAAAAAGAGCCAAATACACTCCATACACCATAGGAATTAAAAATATCCTGAAGATACAGCATGTTGGACAAATGATAAAATAGTTTCTTCAAAGCTGCTCCATTCACATCAGTGATCAAAAGTTTGATTAGGACAGTGTTCTATTAGGCGCTGCTCACAGTTCCTTCAAATTTGTGATAATTTGTTAATTACCTTTTGGATATAGTCATTTGCAAAGTTTCTAATTTACTTACCTTAAGCCCAGTTCATATTTCTTCCTGTCCAGAGAGTAGCATGAAGGAGCTTGTTATGTGCCCTGCTGAAATCCAACTACACTAGGCCTATTTCATTTCCCTAATACAGCCATCTAATAATAATACTATGAATGAAATAAATGGTGCTGGTCTGGCATGATTTGTTCTTTGTGAGCGCAATACTGCCTAAGTCCTTAATCATTACCGCTACCACTTCTAGATGCCTACAAACTATACACCATAACAACTTGCTAGGGTCAATGCCAGCCTTCTCAGGATTTATGAAATTCATCTTCCTTTTCTTTTTAGGAATCAAAATAGTAGTTGCTCATCTAGACTTATGGCATTTCTCTGATTTACTACAATTCTGCAAATATCACAATTTCAATAAAAGTTGCCAGATATTAAACTTTTACTAGGTGTCAATCAGTGTGATAAGAGCTCTTTTGTACATTATCTACTATATGTAAAGGAGATTAATGGGCCCAGCAGAGCTGTAAGATCTGTGAATATAAAATGCTAATTTTTAACATTTTTAAATTAACATGATAGAATTTGTTGTCTATTTTCAAAACTATCTCGATGTCTATTTACAAAACTCAAATATCCCCAAGTTCTCCTGCCTGCCAAGTTGCACTTTGTCTATAATTTCCTAAAGATCATCATTCAATTTCCTGTTTTTGCTGCCGTCAGGAAGCTCAGTGCCTTTCTCAAGTGCTTCTGAGGATCTCAAGGAGAGTTTACTTAGTCCTGTTGTCATTTGTTACTACTGAGAACAGCTTTCCTAGGCTGTTTCAAGATGCTCCTCCACACCCACTGAGCTTTCTCCTCTTCTATATTCCTTGGTTTGAGCAACTACTCTCTTTATTTCTCAAAAAGAGCTGACACTAGGCCATAATAACCAAAAACTGGAATTGGTGCTTGAAGATGGCACAAGGCAGAAATCTCAGTTCCACCTTACCACTCCGATGGCTCCACCTCACTATGATGGGTGTAGAAGAGCATGAGGAAAAGAGAGGGAGCTAACTTCCAGATTTCTTTATTGTGTCTCCCAGGCCTGGGTGTGGGGATAATCAAACCCTATTCTTTGGGGAACAACAGCCACAAAGTTTCTCTATGTCCTCCACTTTGTTTTTTGTACACACTGGAGCTCTTTCTCCTTCAGGAAGAAAGTTAGAACAAGATGAGATAGGATAGATAAATGACCAGCAGTAAGAGCAAGGCAAGATGTAAGGGGGGCTGCATGTGGCCACACAATTGAGTTGTATATTCATTTCATAGATGCTGCCATTTTAAAACATTGTAGTGTTCCCTTTTGGAATTGTTTTTGATTTATTTAGAAACTAGATATATTCAGTGGAGCAAACTTTGACACTTTCATGGTGATTTTAATTTCTAAAAACAAGCAAAAGGTGTTTAGAACTAAGTCTGGCAAAGTGAATAATTTCCTTCTGGGTCAAAAAGCAGATGTGGTGATATTGTAATAATGCTGATGATTTCTTTAACCGAGGAAAGCGCTATTAAGGATATTCTCAAAGAGAGATTTACAAAGATGTTTGAGCATTTGCAGTCTGAGTATTATGAGGCATAACACTCACCAAAGAAATATTGTAGCGTGACAAAGAACATAGTCTTTGTGGGTTAGCTCTAAGGCTAAAGCCACACTCTTCTCACTCTGTCAATTTGTAAATGATTTTTGGCCATTTTTCATTTCACAGCCTTTAGCTGTAATAAATGAATAATACCTGCCTGTAAAGGTATTGTGAGGATTGTTGTGAGGTGGGTGGCCCACAGTTGGTGCTCTACTAATACTTCTGCTTTCCCTTTTTCAATGAGCAAAACTTAAGATGCTTGAAAGCCTTTGCTGGCTTCCAGTCTCAAGGTGTGTATTTTACAACATAAGAAAAAGTAATCACCTCCTTATTAAAATACTTCAGCCCTCAATTGGTGCCTCCAAGTTTCAACATACACAGGAGCTGAGAACTTTTTTCTAAGTACTCAAGAGGCAAAGATATTTCATGGATAAGACATAATTTCATGAAATCCAAACACTCATAAATGTTGACTCTATCTGTTGAGACAGTCTTCCTTGCCCACCATCCAATAAAATGGACAAATGTTCACCATTTTGCTGCATTGATTGGTGGCGAGTCAGGTTCAGCTGGCATAATGACAGAATCCCGAGCAAATCATACAAATAGTTATTGAGCCAGAAGTTTCTTTCATAGAGTATATTTTCATGCACAACACACACACACATACACACACAAACACTATACAGAGAAAGAGAAAGTGAAGGCTGGGAGAGATACCCATTCTGAAAATCCTACTTTGGGACAATGGAAATAATAATTAACAGATAACAGAAGCACAGTTTTCCATGTAATGGCTTTTGTTTGAGAAATTTTGTCAGCAACTAGTTATATTTTTTATGAAAACTAATTCAAATAATGATAGCAACATTTATGGAGCTACTAAGCATTGTACTAAAGGTTACATCCACATCATCATATTTGCTTCAGCTTAGTATAAAAGTCAGTATCCACTAGTTGCATATTGAAGAATGAGTTTGTACTGATATAAATATTAATTATATAGTTGTATCTATTTGCAAGTAAAAGAGGTGAAGTTCATAAGGGTGTACAGGCAGTTTGGATTTCTTGGCACATCCTCTGGAGTTGGGATATGGACCAGGCTAACTAGGTGGAGACTATTCTTAGATGCTAGGAGAGGAAGGGAGGTCATGAGGGCAAGGAGACAGCCCACTATTCTAAAGCAAATCATTTATTGTTGGATTGCTGGTGATTTTACAAAAGAGATGAGTCCTGCAGCAAGGGCAGCCATGTTTCACCAGCAGGCAGAGTTATGGGGTCAGTCAGAATTCCATAAAGCTTCTGAGGTTTGTGAAAGGCACTATATGGGCCTCGATAAACAACAATGATCAGGTTAAACTCTTGCTTCTGAGATGCCTCTAATTTCCATTTGCAGCAGGACCTGATTTTGAACGTGGGTAACAGCATCCCCCACTGATGCTGCCCTTTGCAAAGCAAATGCATTGTGACAAAATGACAGAAGATAATCTGAAAATCTAAGTCCACTTGATGAGTATGGATGTTGGATTTCAGTATGAAGGTGTTTTACATTACTGCCATCCTCTTTCAGCCAAACAAAGAGAAAGCACTCCTCGGCAGAGCTTTTATTTTGTTTAAAGTCCCTCCGATGGGCTCCTGCTCTTGGTAGTTATGTAACAAAGTGGTGGCATAATATATGGGGGCAGTGGGGCGGGAGTTGAACATACCCGTATTTGCAGCTATAATGAGAGCTTGGAGGTAACAAGGGGGGTAATTTGGATAATAATTAATAACCTGAGTTCCAGGCACAACTGGAGCCGCATGCAAATTCTATGACCCTGCAGTGGCACCTCTTGAAGAAGAAGGTGTTTATTGCCTCTGTCAGGCGTTCCCTTCTCAGCTGCGACTCCTCGCAGCAGCCTTGTTGGTTTGCACACTGCAGCTAAACATTAGGCGGTAATGAATGACAACTCAGCCACTCTGCGCACTGCAGCGAGAAGCTGCCATAATTGGCTCCCCCATCACCACCATCCTCTCCCCCTTTGCAAAGGACAGGAGGTGTTGATAAGCAAGCACTTTGACAAAATGCAAAGGGCAGGAGGACCCACGACAGTACTCTAAGGGCACAGAGGTAGTTTTTCCAACCCCCTATTTACACCCTTCCCAGAGATACAGAGACCACTAGCTTACGATATGAAATATGTAGCTCTCCTCTTCACACTCTGGGAAGTGCTTGACTCTGAGGAGAGAACCTAAGTGCTAGGATTCGGTATATTTGTGCCTGCTTTCTGGGCCTCTATCCCATACTGTGTCTGGGTTGACTATGGATTATAGAATGAGAAGAAATACATGAAAGACTGAAGGAACAGAAGTGAACACATCCTAATTTGAGTTTTATTTCCTACGTTTTTTGTTATTGTTGTTGTCATTTTTAATGTCAGACTGTGTCCAGACCTTAAACAGATGCTGCCACTAAATATATGATCCTGAACAGGATGGATAACAATTCTTACTTGCAAATGACAAAAATTTCAGCCATAATGACTGAAAGTGAAACAAAACAGGTTAAGAATACCTCTAAACGTTAAAGCCATATAAATACAAAGTTCTATTCTTATGCCTATCTTCTACCTTATACCCCACTTTTTTAAAACTTCTTTGATGTTGTCACACAATGAAAGACCTACTTTCTGTTTTTTGAATTTCCCAACAAGGCAAAATCTTCCTTTCTGGCCTAAATGTCTGCATTTAATTGCAAACTAAATGCTCTGTTTCTTACTAGTACACAGACTTAGTGACTAGAATAACAAAAGAGCCAGGAATAAGCTTGATAATGAATAGTAAACATTAGCCTAGTAGACTAATGTTGAATATAAAGTAAAGCTCTAAAAAGTAAGTACTTGGTGCTTACAGGTATAACATAGTTATACTCTGGAAAAAAGTTCTGATTTTTTTAATTACAGTACTAGAAATTTAGCTGAGATTATAATTTAGTATTCTCTTGCTCCATATAGTTATTTGAATAACACATAGAATGATTATTTACCCTGGTAATTCATAAATATAATCAATGATTTTAAAACAAATAAATTAATATGAAGAAATAACTGTACTGAATGTACTGAACTTTACTGAATGTAACCTGTGTAGCCCAGACATTAAGAGCAAAGACTCTTGAGAGGTATTGCCTGAGTATCTCTTAAATAAGGAAGGATAAAAGATTGTGATGATGGAGATGAACAAGATAACCTTAATTTAGACAGAGTAGTCACAAAGGATTGCACAGCCAGAATGTGATAAACAGGAAAGAGATTGTCATAGGATTGGGAGAAGGAGCCAATGGTGAGATGATTTAGGTTGTTGTGGTAGAGACCGGTAGTAGCCTATTCGAAGTTAATTCTCTTCTTCTCCCTTATAAGAGAAGCCTGATTTTTCTGGAAGTTGGAAATTTACTGAAATAAAATATATTATTTTTCTTAGTCTCCTTTGAATACAGATGTGAATATATAATTAGGTTTTACCGAAGGAGACATATGCAGAACTTTCTGGGTAAGAACTTCTAGAAAAGTTTCTGCAAAGGAAAGTAAAGAACTGAAGTTACTTTTGTTGTACCTTATCATTTCTTTTCTTCCCATGGAAAATAAAGGTGATAGCTGGGGGTCCATCAGCCCATCTTATGATCATGGGGCAACATTGAGGATTGAAGCCAGGGCTAAGAATGGCAGAACAGAACAACAGAAGGAGCCAGAGTTCCTCATGACTTTGTGGAGCCATAAAACCAATACTGGATAAACCCTTTTACAGTTCTTTTATATGAGAGGAAAAAACACTTGATCTATTTAAATATCATGGTCAAATCTCTGTTTTAGGAGCCAAACACATTTTCTTGCAGATACAGACACCAAAAACACAAGACTTTTATTTTATTCTCACTGTGATGGGAAGTCATGGAGGGCTTTTTAAGCATATGAATGGCATGACTTAATTTACATGCTTAAAAAGAAAATTGGCTGCTATGTGAAGAACGAATTGAAGGGAAAAAAGGGCAAAGGAAAGAAATCAGTTAGAAATGTATTGCCTTAGTTCAAATGGGAAATAAATATATTATAGCTTGGAGTTGGATGGTGCCAATAGAAATAGAGAAAAAAAAGCCAGATTTGAAACATCTTGGAAGTTGAAGCTACGAGACATGTGAAACCCATGGGTGTTGACGTGAAGTGAGAAAGAAGAAGGTATTAATGATAAATCTCAGGTTTCTGACTTGTTATTTACAACTATAGGAATAAAAAAATTGTCTTAGGTGAGAATGTAGAAAAAGAAAGGGAAAGAAGAGAAGAGGAATCAAGACTAAGCTATGCAAAACTCCAACATTTAGAGGTAAAGTAGAAGAGAATGAGCCAGCAACGAAAACTGAGATGGCAATGTCTGGGAGGTAAAAGGAAAAATAAGAGTGTGGAGTTACAGAACTCAAAAGGGAAGCATGTTTCAAAAAGGAGAGAACGTTCAGTGGTGCCAAGTGCTATTGAGGGTTAAGTAAGATGAGATTCAAGAAAGCATTAATCAAGCATGGGAACATGTCGGCCAATAGCATGTTAACAAGGCAGCTGAATGAAGCCACATTGAGTGGGTTGAAGAGTGAAAAGAGGAGGGGCTTCTGAAAATTAAAAAAAAAAAAAAGTCTATTCTGACCAATCCTCCTACTAAAAACAACTAGAAAATTTGGAACACACACACACATTAATGTACTTGAAGTCTTCATAGATGTTTCAAAGATAAAGCAGGATACCAGTTAAAGCAGTAAGAACAGATTTTAATCAGCAATATATTATTGTAATAAGGAAAAGAGTCCAGCGTGAACTAAACCCAACTACAATCTGTAGAGATAAACAAGCTTTTTAAAGGCGGAATGTGAAAATAGGGAGAGGGGTGAACAAAAGCTCAGTGGAATCAAGGAAGTAAAAAATCATAAAAAGGGCAAAGAGGAGTTGATGAATATAAAACCCATGGGTGTTTGCTAACTGATGCTTACTGAAGTTAGCAAAATTAGCTCCTACTCATCCACCAAGGCTCAGAGACAAGGACTCTATCTTCAGGTGTCAGCTGGATGGAACAAAAGTAAATTCTTTTAGCAGCCTTGGGTTTTCTCAGGCAAATGCTTTAAAGGTGTTAGGGTCATCACAGGGACGTGGCCTTGAGCTGTTGGAAATTATGTTAGTATTTTGTTCAAGTCTTTAAAGGCCAAGGTTGACACCTAGTTGAAAAGGAGCACAGAGGGGGCTGGCTAAAGTTTTATCAAGGAGAGAATCTTTATCAGATATCACAAGGCATCAGCTATTTAGGGGGCCAACATCCACAAGAAGGCAAGCCAAAGAGTTGAGCACAGAATTCAAGGACTCCCATTCCCCGAAGAGGTAGCCAAGAGAAGATAGGAAGACAAAAATGGAGTCCAGGGAGTACAGAGAAGGAGTGCCCTGGTGAAAACCTCTCCCTTAGGCTGTAACACCAAAGGGCTACACAGTAGAAATAACAGTGACTCAGAGTTCAACAGAACTTAGCACAAATGCCAAATTATCTTAAACCCTAATATCTGTGATACCTTTTGTCTCTAGTTGTGAGGCACAAACTAAACCGCATAAAAAGACCATCACTCTGCTCTCAAATTATTTCTATAAATTTTACAAATAATGCCAGCTTGGCACTCAATTAAACAATAGTCAGTTCCATCTGATGGAAAACTAAATGAAATAGTAAGTAACAGTACACTTTAAGGAAAGAAGCAATACTATAAACTGAGAAGAACATTTTAAAATGATGAAAAGGTAAATTCACCAGTAAGATATAACAATTCTAAATATGGATGCAGCTAATACAGTAGCCCAACACATATATAAAATTTTGAATTATTAACAAAATTAAAGGAAGAATATAAAATTCCCAGTCACTACGCATGATTTTCTCAAAAACTGGTAAGATTTTTCTCAACAACTGATATGACAAGCACACAATAAAAAATCAGGATCCAGAAAATTTGAACAACTTGATTAATAAACTATATTTAATTGACATATACAGAACACTGGATAATCCCTGCAGAACACACATTCTTTCAACTGTGAGGAGGTAAATAATCTACCAAACCTGCCCATAAAGTAAATATCAGCAAATCCCAAACTATTGAGACTATGTGGAAATTTTTTGTTTTGTCACACCTAAAGCTAGAAATCAGTAATGAAAAGAAAATTAGAAAACCTCCATATTCCCATTTCTTGGTAAATTAATTAGCATACTTTTAGATAATATATGAATAAAAGAGGGAATCTCAATAGAAATTGGAAATTTTGTTAAGTTGAATAATTATAAAATATAGCATATACAAATTTGTAGGATGCAGCTGAGGCTATGCTTAGAGGAAAAGGCATAGCCTTAAATACATATATTAGACAAGAAAAAGGCTTAAAATCAAGAAACAGTAACATATATCAAAAGTTAGGATAAAATAGCTGTTAAGCTCAAATTATAAGGAAGAAAATAATAAGTATAAAAGCAGAAATTAATGAATCAGAAAACAAATATACAGTATAGCATCAAGAAAGCCAAAAGTTAATCTTTTCAAAGGTTACGAAAATGACAAACCCTGACAAGACTGATCAAGAGAAAAAAGAGGGATGGAAAAATAAGCATTGTGAGGAATTAAAAGCAGACATCATCAGAGATGTTACAGACATTAAAAGTAAGAGAATAGTACAAACAATGTTGTCAGTCACTTTGAAAGTTTAAGTGAAATGCATAAATGCTTTCATGCTACCTACTAAAAGATAATAAAGAATAAAAAAACTTAATAGTTCTATACCTATTAAAGACTACAAACCTGCAAATTCAAACCTTCCAACAAAGAAATAGGCCCTCTCCCCTCTCCCCTCTCCGCCTCTGCCTCTCGCTCTCCTTCTAGCTCTCCGTCTCCCTCCTTCTACGGTCTCCCTCTCTTGTGGAGCCTGGACTGTACTGCCATGATCTTGGCTCGCTGCAACCTCCCTGCCTTGGGCTCCAGTGATTCTCCTGCCTCGGCCTGCCGAGTGCCTGGGATTCCAGGCATGCGCCCCCACTCCTGACTGGTTTTTGTATTTTTGGTGGAGACGGTGTTTCGCGGTGTTGACCTAGCTGGTCTCCAGCTCCTGGCCTCGGGTGATCTGCCCATCTCGACCTCCCGAGGTGCTGGGATTGCAGACGGAGTCTCGCTCACTCAATGCTCAATGTTGCCCAGGCTGGAGTGCAGTGGCGTGATCTCGCTCGCTACAACCTCCACCTCCCAGCCACCTGCCTTGGCCTCCCAAAGTGCTAAGATTACAGCCTCTGCCCGCCCGCCACCCCGTCTAGGAAGTGAGCAGCATCTCTGCCTGGCCACCCATCGTCTGGGATGTGAGGAGCCCCTCTGCCTGGCTGCCCCGTCTGGGAGGTGAGGGGTGCCTCTGCCCGGCCACCACGTCTGGGAGGAAGTGAGGAGCACCTCTGCCCAGTTGCCCTGAATGGGAAATGAGGAGCGCCTCTGACCGGCCACCCCGTCTGGGAGGTGGGGAGCGCCTCTGCCTGGCCGCCCCGTCTGGGAAGTGGGCGCCTCTGCCTGGCTGTCCCGTCTGGGAGGTGAGGGGCATCTCTGCCCGGCCGCCACCCCATCTGGGAAGTGAGGAGCGCCTCTGCCCGGCCGCCGCCCCATCTGGGAGGTGAGGGGCGTCTCTGCCTGGCTGCCCTGCCTGGGAAGTGAGGGGCACCTCTGCCGGGCCGCTCTTCGTCTGGGAGGTGAGGAGCGCCTCTGCCCGACCGCCCCATCTGGGAGGTGGGGAGCACCTCTGCCCTGCTGCTCCGTCTGGGATGTGAGGAGCACCTCTGTCCGGCCGCCCCGCCTGGGAAGTGAGGAGCACCTCTGTCCAGCTGCCCTTCGTCTGGGAGGTGGGGAGCACCTCTGCCCGGCCGCCCCGTCTGGGAAGTGGGCGCCTCTGCCCAGCCACCCCATCTGGGAGGTGACAGGCATCTCTGCCCGGCTGCCCCATCTGGGAGGTAGGAGCGCCTCTGCCCAGCCGCCCTGTTTGGGAGGTGAGGGGCGTCTCTGCCCGGCTGCCATCCCGTCTGGGAAGTGAGGAGCGCCTCTGCCTGGCCGCCACCCTGTCTGGGAGGTGAGGGGCGTCTCTGCCTGGCTGCCCCGCCTGGGAAGTGAGGGGCGCCTCTGCCGGGCCACTCTTCGTCTGGGAGGTGAGGAGCACCTCTGCCCGGCCGCCCCGTCTGGGAGGTGGGGAGCACCTCTGCCCAGCCGCCCTGTCTGGGAAGTGAGGAGCGCCTCTGTCCGGCCGCCCCGTCTGGGAAGTGAGGAGCGCCTCTGCCAGGCCCACCCGTCTGGGAAGTGTACCCAACAGCTCCGAAGAGACAGCGACCATTGAGAACGGGCCATGATGACGATGGCAGTTTTGTCGAAAAGAAAAGGGAGAAATGTGGGGAAAAGAAAGAGAGATCAGATTGTTACTGTGTCTGTGTAGAATGAAGTAGACATAGGAGACTCCATTTTGTTCTGTACTAAGAAAAATTTTTCTGCCTTGGGATGCTGTTAATCTATAACCTTACCCCCAACCCCCTGCTCTCTGAAACATGTGCTGTGTCAGCTCAGGGTTAAATGGATTAAGGGCGGTGCAAGATGTGCTTTGTTAAACAGATGCTTGAAGACAAAAAAAAAAAAAAAGAAAGAAATAGGCCCGAACGACTTTACTAATGAATTCTACCAACTGCTAGAGTAAAAATGAAGACTGATGTTTACATAAACTTTTCCAGCACATAGAAAATGAGTTCCCAATTCATTTTATGCACACATAATCATGATTTTTAATGACAAAGTAGTTGTAAAAAGGAAAAACTATAGGCCGATCTTTCTTATAAAATTATTTTTGAAAAATACTAATAAATGTTTTCTTTGGTTTCTGAGGATTTTTATTCCTTACTTTCATACTTTGACAGTCCTAGTTGTAGCTCCTGCCCTGGGGTTCATCGAGGGATTCTAATTCCTTTTATTAAGTAAAATTCCCTTCTTAAGCAAAAATAAATAAAAATAAAATCAAGAGAATTTCTAGTTTAAAAAGACTGACTGTATGCATTTATATTCTCTCTTTCCTGAAGTCCTTTTAAATGACAGCATAGATACTTTAAATGAAATGGACACATGAAGACAAAGAAAATAGAAAAGGAAACATCCATGGACAAGTGATTGCAAACAAATTTGGAAGAAATAAAGTGAATTGAGGAGTGGTAACTGAGTTAAAGAAGAGGCTGCAAAGCTCTGAGAAGTTATCCTGTTTGCTACCTCAACCCCTGAAAACCTGAACTCTTCAAAGCTTCAGATACTAAAGAAAGTGGAACTAAGAAACTGGGAAATGATTAAAAGTCAGTATAAAGAGTGGTTATCACAAATCCAGCAGCAGACTGGAGGGTTATTTGCTGGAATAACTGAATGGAAGAAACTCCTAAAGAGGAGAACCAAGCATAGTGGATGGTGGAGGTGAAGTGTGGAACAGAGGGTAAGTGTATTAATAAAAATTCCACATTGTAAACACTAAATCTCCTGGGCTATTTATGCATCCCTAGTTCCGTAACACCTGCAACTCACCATATACCTTTCCAGGCTTCACAGAAAAGACCTCAGTTGCTACTGACATGGAATTTTGTCAAATGCATGTATGCAGAATGCCTCATCAGTTTTCTAATACCATGAACTTACTTACATACAAATAAATCATTATGGATTGTAAGATAATTGAAAAAATTAGCAATAAGAAATATAGAAGTCAAAACAAACAAAAAAAAGAATGTAGAATAAAGAAATAATGCAGAGTGTATTAGTTTTCTACTGCTGTGTAACAAATTACCACAAACTTAGCAGCTTAAATAGCACTCATTTCAGCTCACACTTTTATAGGTCTTAGAAGATCAGGAATAGCATGATTAGGTTCTTTGCTCAGTGTTCCACTAAGCTGAAGTCAAGATGTCATCCTGAGTGGGCTCTTGTCTGGATGCTCTAGGGAAGAACCTGCTTCCAAACTTACTTAGATTGTTGAAAAAATTTAGTTCCTTGTGGTTTCTGAAATGAAGTTCCTATTTTCTTGCCAGCTGTCTGCCAATGGTTGCTGTTAGCAACTCAAGATTATCCTCATGGCCTACATACCTTGCCATGTGGCATTCTTTCATCTCCAAAGCTAGCAATGAAGAACTTCCCATGAATAAAATCTCATTCATTCTTTAAATCTTTCACCAGGAGGAACTTGATCCTTTCAAAAATCTCACGTAATTAGGTCAGGTTCACCCAGGACAATTTTTCCTTAAAGTCAGCTGACTTATGACCTTAATTATATCCTCAAACCTAATCACAGCAGTACCTAGAGAATGTTTGATTGGAAAACGGAGAAAATATATATGTACAACATTGGACAAAAAACTTGGGATTCCCCTAAGAATTGTATCTACCATGTAGAGTTCAGAACAAAAGCTTATTAAAGCTATGATTGAAATTTTCAGAGGATTAATAGGATATTTTGCATTCATTAAAAAAGTACTGTATGCCATGAAAAAGGAATAATCAGAGAGCAAGAAAACTCTTAAAATATGAGAGCAAAAATTTTTTAATTTATAGAACGACTGAAAGATAACTAAAGGAAAATAAAATTTTTAATAAAATAACAATCATGTAAAAGGCATGTAAAAGAATTAAAATAAATAGAAAATGTCTATAAGTGAGAAACTAAGAAATAGAATATTAAGAAAAAAATCATTCAAAAAATTGGAGGTGGTTTTGCCTTTGAGTACAACTATGTTGGTGCAAAAGTAATTGCATGATGGTTAGTGATACTGAGCACTTTTTCATATACCTGTTGACTAATTTGTATGTCTTCTTTTGAGAACTGTCTATCAGGAACTTACCCCACTTTTAATTTGATTATTTGTTTTCTCGCTAATGAGTTGTATGAGTTCTTTATATATTTTGAATATTAAGCCCTTATCAGATGTATAGTTTGCAAATATTTTCTCTCATTTCATTGGATGCCTTTTCATTTTGCTTATTGTTTCCTTTGTTACTCAGAAGCATTTTAGTTAGAAGCAATCCCATTTTTCTATTTTTACTTTTCTTTGGAGTCACATCTAAAAATCATTGCCCTGATCAATGTCATGAAGCATTTTTCCTATGTTTTCTTCTAGTAGTTTTAGTTTCTGGTCTTGCTTTTAAGTCTTTAATCTAGTTTGGGTTGATTTTTTGTATGGCATAAGATAAGGCTCCAAATTTATTATTCTACATGTGGATATCCAGTTTTTCCAACACCATTTATTGAAGAGACTAGCCTTTCTTGGTAGCTTTATTGATGATCATTTGACCATAAATGTGTGGTTTTATTTCTGGACTCTAGATTCTATTCCATTGATTTATATGTCTGTTTTTATGCCAATATCATGCTATTTTGATTACTATAGATTTGTAGTGCAATTTAAAATCAGATAGTGTGATGCCTCCAGCTTTTGTTATTTTTCTCAAGATTGCATTGGCTAGTCAGGGTCTTTTCAGAATTTTTTCTATTTCTGTCAAAAATGCCTTTTGAATTCTGAATGAGATTGCATTGAATATGTAAATTGCTTTGGGTAGTATGAACATGTTAACATTAATTATTCCAATGCATAAACATGGAATATCTTTCCATTTATTTGTGTCATTTTCAATTTCTTACTTCTGCTAACGTTAGTCTTAGTTTGTTCTTTTTCTAGTTTGTCGAGGTGTAAAGTTAGATTGTTTATGTGAGATTTGTATTCTTTTTTAATGCAGACACTTCATGCTATAAACTTACTTCTCAGGAGTGCTTTGGCTGCATCCTGTAAATTTTGGTATGTTGTGCTTCCATTTTCATTTGCCTAAATATATTTTGTATTTTATTTTTGATTTTTGATTTGCTCATTGGTTGTTTAGTCATGTGTTGTTTTATTTCCACACATTTGCAAATTTTCAGTTTTCTTTCCTGTTATTCTAATTTTATATCAATGTGGTCAGTAAAGGTACTTGACATGATTTCAATCTTCTTAAATTTTTTAAGACTTGTTCTGTGTACTAACATAGTGTATCCTGGAGAATATCTCTTTTGTTACCATTTGCATAAAATCTATTTTTTCATACCTTCACATTCAGTCTGTGTGTCATTAAAGTGAGTCTCTTTAGAGGCAGCATATAGTAAGATCTTATTGCTGTTTTTTTCCATTAAGCCACTCTGTGTATTTTGATTAGAGAATGTAATCTTTTTATACAAGGTAATTATTAATAGGTAAGGACTTACTGATGCTATTTTGTTAATTGTTTTCTGACTATTTTTCCTTTTTTTTTTTTTTTTTGGCTCCTGCCCTCTTCCTTTGTAATTCTCTGTATTGGCATGCTTCTGCTCCTTTCTCTTTACCTTTAGTGTGTCTACTACAGGTTTTTTTCTTTGTGGCTACCATGAGGCTTATATAAAACCTCTATGGTTATAGAAGTATATTTTAAGCTGATAACCTAACTTTGAATACGAAAGCTCTACATTTTAACTTCTTTTCCCTCACATTTTATGTTATTGACATCACAATGTACATCTTTTATATATTATGTATCTATTATCAGATTATTGCAGTTATAGTTATTTTTAATATTTTTTTCTTTTAACTTTTAGAATAGAGTTAAAAGTGGTTTACACACCACTGTTACAGTATTAGAGTACTTTCAATTTGGCTATATTCTTACCTTTGCAATGAGTTTTATACTTTCATGTTTTCATGTTGTTAGTGAGCATCTTGGAAGTTCTTCAACTTGAAGAACTCTCATTAGCATTTCTTATAAGGCAGGTCTAGTGGTGATAAACTCTCACAGCTTTTGTTTGTGGAAGTCTCTTTATATTTCTTTCATTTCTACAGGGCAGCTTTGGTGGGTATGGTATTCTTGGTTGGCAAGGTTTTTTTTTTTTTTTCTGTTAGCACTTTGAAGATATTAGCCCACTCTCTCCTGATCTGCAAGGTTTCTGCTGAGAAATTTACTTATAGTATTATGGGGAGGAGAAGAGAGTCTGCGTGTAGTGAGTCATTTTTTTCTTGCTGCTTTCAAAATTCTCTTGTCTTTGACTTTTGACAGTTTGATCCTAATGTGTCTCATTAAATAATTCTTTACATTTATATATCTCAGTTTTTATGCTTAGTGATCTGGATGTCACTTCTCCAGATTTAGAAAGTTTTCTGTCTTATTGCTTTAAATACGTTTTCTGCTGTTTTATCATTTTCTGCTCCTCCTGGAGCTCCCATAATACATACATACATACATACACACACATATATATATATATCTATATATTTCAGATTACATACTTTCAAATTATCTGTCTTTCAGTTTGATAATTTTTTCTTCTGCTTGATTTAGTCTGTTGTTGAAGCTCTCTATTGAATTTTTCAGTTCTGTCATTGTGTTCTCAGACCAGAACATCTGTTTGGTTATTTTTTATGGTTTCTCTTTGCTGAATTTCTAATTTTGTCCATGTACAATTTTTCTTAATCTAGGCACTTCATGCAATAAACTTTCTCCTAATAAGTGCTCTTGCTCCATCTCATGAGTTTTGATATGTTGTGTTTCCATTTCCATGTACTGTTTTACTGATTTCTCTAGTTTGTCACTCTGTATTTTCTTGTAGCTCACTAAACTTCTTTATGATGGTTATTTTGAATTCTTTGTCAGGCAGTTTGTAGAGTTCCATTTCTTTGTGGTCAGTAACTGGTGTATTATTTTGTTCCTTTGGTGATGTAATGTTTCTCTGATTATTCATAATTTTTGTGGCCTTGCATTGGTCTCTGCACATTTGAAAAGGTGGATACTTCTTAAAGTCTTTATGGACTGGCTTCTGTAGAGAACGTCTTCCACCAGTAAGTCCATCCAGAGGTACTGGATAAGCCAACTAGTGGGGCCTATGTGTGGGGTTGATACTGGAGTCTTTGAAGAGGTTGGCTTGGTGCCAGGGTCAGTAAGTGAGCAGTCCTGGAGCTTGAATCCACAGAGTTGAACTTGGTGCCTATGTCCAAGGAGACCAACCTGGTGCTTGGATGTATAGGGGCTGGCCTAGAACCTCGGTCTACTGAGGCAGACATGGGTCTTGAGTTCATCAGGTGGGCCTGGACCCTTGATCTGCAGGGGTAGGCCTGGTAACTGAGTCCATGAGGATGGGCCTGAGTTTTGGGTCTCCTAGGACAGACCTGGAGACTGAAAATAAAGGGGCAGGACTGGGTCTCATGTCAGCTGGTACAGGCCTGGAGTCTGGGACTGCAGGAACAGGCCTGGACCCTGGGTCCAGTGGGGTACTGGCCTGGAGCCTGGGATTGCAGGAATGTCCTGATGATTTGGCAGGTTTAGAGCCTGAGACTACAAAGGCAAGACTACAAACTTCAGAGGTAGGCCTGGAACTGGAACAGGCCTGGTGTTTGAGTCCACAGAGCAGGACTGGATCCTTGGGCCACGGGGACCAGCCTGGAGCCTGGGGCCATGAGGTTGGCCTAATATTGGGGTTCTCTGGGGCAGGTGTGGTGCTGGGGTCCATGCAAAGTTTGGTGCTCACTTCACCCCGTCCCCCTCATCGTGTATGGTATCTCTTCATGCAATGCTGTCTGGGGCTGGGGAGGGATAATGTGGATAAGTGAAACTGTCCTTCATACCCTACTTAATGCATATTTTCTTATTTCTGTGTTCCACCCAGGTACTGTACTCTCTCATCTGGATTCCCGAAGCTAGTGTAAAGGGATTTTCATGGGTAGATAGTGTTCAAAGTGATGTTTCTGCCAGTGGATGAGCTCTGAAATATCTTTTTCTACCATCTTGCTGATATAACTACAACTTTATTCCTTCTTTAATGGGCAAAATTGAATAAAACCACTAAGAGCAAGACCAAATGACTAGGAAAATACTCATTCACAAATGTAAAATAAATTTCTCCAGCTTACTATATTAGTTATTCATGGATTATAATGTATGGAGTTCCACATTAACAATAAAATTTAATATTAAATAGAATACTTTCTCCTTCTATCCTGCTGTATAACAAAGAGAAGGATATTAACTAAATCAGCATTAAAAAGAATATTATAGGTTATTAATAAATTAATATTTATTGAAAATGCCTAGGGAGCATATGCATTGACAGTTCAAGCTTTAGCATTTATGCTTTCAAGCAATCCTACTTATAAGTTTGGTTTATGATATTTCTGAAGTTCTCATACTTAATGCATAAATGTGGTTCAAGATCTCAAACATGTAATATAACATCTTGCCCTTATTTTCTTAGTAACTTTTAGATGAAAGAAAATAATACATACTTCTCTTTAGATTGAAATCTCCCTTTTGTGCTGTTAGTGCATAGTTTTTGGTTATGTTTTAAAGGAATGGGATTTACGGGAGATGAAGGTTGCAGTGAGTCGAGATTGTACCACTGCACTCTAGCCTGGGTGACAGTGAGACTCCATCTCAAAAAAAATAAATAAATAAATAAATATAAAATAAAATAACAGGGTTTTAACCATACGCACTCAGCAACTTGTGAGTTATAAACTTAGGAAATATAATACCATAGTGCCTATTCCTCAGAGAGATTTCATCCAGGAATAACTCAGATAGAAAATTCTGCATTCAGAACCAAACTTTGCCTCCACTTACCTAGGCACAATCCTCCTTGGATTAATGTTTACTTAAATTCATAAAAAGAAAAAAAGCGATGCACCTGGGCTTCCCTGATTCTGAGATTTCTCTTGATTTCAAATAGGAAAGAGATTTTTTTAAAATTTTATTTTATTATTATTATACTTTAAGTTTTAGGGTACATGTGCACAATGTGCAGGTTAGTTACATATGTATACATGTGCCATGCTGGTGTGCTGCACCCATTAACTCATCATTTAGCATTAGGTATATCTCTTAAAGCTATCCCTCCCCACTTCCCCCACCCCACAACAGTCCCCAGAGTGTGATGTTCCCCTTCCTGTGTCCGTGTGATCTCATTGTTCAATTCCCACCTATGAGTGAGAATATGCGGTGTTTGGTTTTTTGTTCTTGCGATAGTTTACTGAGAATGATGATTTCCAATTTCATCCATGTCCCTACAAAGGACATGAACTCATCATTTTTTATAGCTGCATAGTATTCCATGGTGTATATGTGCCACATTTTCTTAATCCAGTCTATCATTGTTGGACATTTGGGTTGGTTCCAAGTCTTTGCTATTGTGAATAGTGCTGCAATAAACATACGTGTGCATGTGTCTTTATAGCAGCATGATTTACAGTCCTTTGGGTATATACCCAGTAATGGGATGGCTGGGTCAAATGGTATTTCTAGTTCTAGATCCCTGAGGAATCGCCACACTGACTTCCACAATGGTTGAACTAGTTTACAGTCCCACCAACAGTGTAAGAGTGTTCCTATTTCTCCACATCCTCTCCAGCACCTGTTGTTTCCTGACTTTTTAATGATTGCCATTCTAACTGGTGTGAGATGGTATCTCATGGTGGTTTTGATTTGCATTTCTCTGATGGCCAGTGATGGTGAGCATTTTTTCATGTGTTTTTTGGCTGCACAGGTTCTAACAATAAGATATTAAAAATCTATTTCCTGCACAAAAGAAGACATTTATGCAGGAAATAGATTTTTAATATCTTATTGTTAGAATCTGGGATATGAGCTACAGACAATTAAATGTCATATGTGTATTTCTGCAGTTTTGTCCTCATGTTTTGAATAACACAAGATTACTTAAGACTTCAAATCTATTTTTTGCGCAAGGGAGATTGTTAATAATCCCAATAATTTATAGGAAATGCTGAGCCAACCACATGTAGCTCTATGTAATGAGATTAAACAAGCTCTCAATTTTCAACTCTATTAAAATTACTTCAGTAGTAGCCACAAAGGGTACCTCAGAGCCAGTGAAAAACTTTATATCTCTCCTACCTGATAGTGTCCATCAGTTTACTACTCTAAAAACTAAACTTTAGTGTTAAGAAGTATGCTTTCTATGTAAATCCAGCTCTAAGCCAAGTCTCTTTCATATTCTCCTACCCCATTTCACCTTATCTCAGTCATCCCAACTATATAGAAATTCTTGATCTTCCTTTATATTACCAAAATTCAAAGCACTGGGAAGAGGATCTGGCAGGATTTCTATCATGATATTGATTAGCAGATTTAACTCCATTTTGTAGTATATTTAGATGTTTCTTCCCTTATCAAATTTCTCATCTTGATATTTCTCAAAGACAAAGGAGAAGAGGCCTTTGGTCAGGGATTCATATATGACAAAGATACAATCACAACAAACTCCAACTGGCCTACAGCTTGGTAAAGAAATATTGAAGAATCAGTAGAATTTAAACAATAATCAAAGAGATGGGAGGACATTTCAGCAATAGGATGCAGGTCAACATGTAGTAATATTTAGCAATGAAAACCCAGTTTTCAAGATGGTTTATAATCATGTTTTTATTTAGAAAACTAGAAAGATCTAGAGATGTAAATAAAAGCTGTTGCCATATTTACTGTCCAAACCATTTTTCTTCTTATCACTAGATCTGCACATTACCTGTATAAAGAACCGTATGATCTCTTCCCAAAATTCTTACTGGTAATTTCATGTCTATTATATGGGCATGAAAGAAGAATGACTAGAACTCAGGTAGAATGTATGATTCTCACCATTACCAGAGAGACCTAGCTGCCCTGAATGGGTGCTGTATGTTGTGAGGATGGGACTATAGTCAAGGTTTCAAGATAGAGATAATGGTGAAATCCAGGAAATGAGTGAATGATCAAGAGAATGTCTATAAAATAAAGCTAAGGTATACATTTATAAGACAGAACATGCCCAAATGTCATGTCTTAAGAGTTAGAGGATGAAGATCAAGATTGAATGACAGAATTAATAAAATCAAATGTATCCAGAATCCAAACTGAATAGGCATCATCAAAGTATGGGGAAAGAGTGGTATTAAATTAATATCTTGAATACCTGCTGTGGGAAAGCTTCAGGTGACAACAAGTATGTGTTGCAGAGGTGGACTATAATGATGTAAAGAAAAATCACTAAGAATACATCTAACTCCTGGGCCAATCCTAGAAAATTACCCCCACCATCTCATATATATATATATATATATTCATTACAATAGATTCCAATAGATCCATTCATCAAATGGATAAGATGAAGACTGTCCCATGTCTTAACCAAAATTGTCCTTGAAAACAAATTTCTAAATTAAAAAAAAATCTGGTAAGTAGATTTAAAGCTATACAATTAAATTCTTGAATGTTCTTAATTCAAAAGTTTGGGCTTTTGTAATTAACCTTGATGAACCATATTATAAAATATCTTACGGGCCTCTGTCTTAGTTTTCTATTGCTGTGTAAAAAACTACCACAAATAAAGCAGCTTAAAATAACATTCATTTATTAGCTCACAGTTCTGTAGGTAAGACACTTGGCAGAGCATGGTTGGGTTCTCTGCTAAGGTTGGAAAAAAGGTATCATCAGGCTGCATTCTCATTTGAAGTTCAAATCCCTCTTTAACCCTATCCTTATTATTGGCAGAAATAAATCCTCTGTGGCTATAGGACTATAGCTTCCACCAATTTCCTGGTATCAGCTAGCAACACATCCAGCTCCAAGAGCTGCTCTTTGCCCATACCTTGTCCATGTCTACCTCTACTACAAAACCAACAATAGAGAGCCTCCCTGATGATGAACACCTCTCACATTTTTAATCTCTCTATTTTAAAAGGGCTCACTCATGTGGTTAGCTCAGGCCCATACAAATAATCTCTTTATTTTAGGGTCAATTGAGATTTTAATTGCAGCTGCAAAATCTCTTTACAACTGTACATAGATTAGTGTTTGAGTCAACAACCAGAGGCCAAGAATATTGAAAGGAAAGCTTAGGATTTTGCCTATAACAATTTTTAAGACCAATATCTTGGTACATTATGATACAGTGATTGGTTCAAACAAAACATAATATCAAATAAGACTAGAAAAATCCATAAATCTAATTATATGTGGCCAATTCTTATGATTTCATCCTCCTGATCAGTAACTTTCAACAACTCCAATGCCTATTAAATATACCATAAACTCCTTAGCCTGGCATGGGAGGACCTCCATAATATTGTCCTAGCTTAACTTTCCACCTATGTTTTCTCCTGTGTTTATTCATGCACTCTGTTTCATTTTTTCTCCACATTCTCTCCTTGCTCTTGTTTCTCCAGTAAGGCCATCATCACTCATTATCTGGCACAAGCCCACCATTGTTTATGAACAAAAACAAAAGGGTAATTGAGCACCACATTTGATAGTTTATACCTACTTTAAAGAACACTTTATTGCCTAACTATAAAGATTAAACTAGAGTAGTATTTGAAGCCTATAATGAATCAATTTATTTAGGCCATATCTCCAATTCTTTTCCCTCTTCAACTAGTTCTCTCCGGTGACCCAACCAGTACATTATTCTTTCAACACAGAATTTTGCCCCTTACTGTCTTTGCTTACAATTTTCTCTTTCCCTGAGTTGCTCATCCTCTCCATTTCCACTGTGAAAAATCCTATTTAATCTTCACTTTTGCCAACAAAAGAGTAAGTCCTATTAAATGCTCCTTCCACCATAAACAGCTATACCAGACAGTTTGTATATATATAACAGTTTTCAGAGAGTGAACAAAAGGCAGCTCAGGGCTGTGATTCTTGAGAAGAGGGAAACAAATGAGATAAAAGCAATGATTATCTTAAATTTCTGCCTGGAAGAAATTTCTGGACTCTGTGCTGCCAGAAGGGGAACCCAAACAAAGCCTGGCAGTCTCATAGACTTAAGACAGAGAGTGGAGCTCAAAGATGGTAATATGGCTAAATTTTTCAAGACGGAATACCAAAGAGAAAGGATGTATGCAGAGAAAGTATCCCAGCAATCTGCATGGATTCCCAGGGCTTTTCATAGACTGCTAATCTGTGCCTGCATAAGGAAACTCCACAGGTCATGCTAAGAACTGCCAGAGAAAAAGTAAATGATTAGGAACTATAAGCCAAACAATTCCCAGAGCTTCACAAAGGGCTGGAAGTCTTCTGTGTTCCCACCAGCCAGAGAGGCGAGACAATGTCAAATACATAGGACGTTCCATACAGCACTAGAAGGGTCATACCTCAGTAATGTGAATAATAAAGGCAACTCTATTCCTTTTCTTTAAAAAATTTTAAAACAAGCCTCAAATAATCACTTGATCCATACGGAATTATATTGCCTGACAGAAAAAAATCCCAATGGCGTTTAACTTTTATTTATTTAATTATGTGCTTACTTTTTTTCAGATAGGGCCTTGCTCTGTCACCAAGGCTAAAGTGCAGTGGCGCCATCATGGCTCACTGCAGCCTCAACCATCTGGGCTCAAGTGATCCTCCCAACTCAGCCTTTCAAATAGCTGGGACCACAGGTGCACGCCACCATGCCCAGCTAACCAATGCTGTTTAAAAGGATACAACAAAAATCAGTCAATAGAAATGTACCCAGAGAGGAAGGAAAAATTAAATCAGCAAGACTTAAAAACAGATATTTTAAATATTAGAAATATGCTTAAAAATTGAGAAAAACATAAATCTAATGTTGAAAGAAATAGAAATTATTTAAAGAAAACAATTTCTAGAGTTGAAAATATATTTGAAATGAAAATTACATGAATGGGATTTAAAACAAATTAGACACTGAGGAATAGAAGATTAGTGAACTTGAAGACATAGTAATAGAAAATATCCCAAATGAAACACAGAGAGAATAAAATATTGAATAAAATAAACAATGACTCAGTGGCCCATGGAAAAATAAATAAAAATTGTAGTCCTAGGAAAAGGAGGATAGAAAAAATATTTGAAAAAACGATAGTTGAAATTTTTCCAGTTCGATAATGGTCATAAACCTACCGATCTAAGAATTTCAATGAACCTCAAGCTGGATAAATACATAGAAAAGCACACCAGGGAATAATCAAATTACAGACAAGAAATAGCAGACAAGAAAACCAACTTATGAGCAGAAAAGGGCAAAATGCCAGTAAAGTGAACCATCAAACTTAAAATCCTGTCCATAAATGAGTAACAGTAGAAAAAAAACAGACTTTATCCATGACAAACTACTGCAAAATGTCAGAATTTGTGAACAGCAAGTTAAGACACTGAAAAAAGAAATAAAACACAAAGGTTAAGAAAATTATAACATTGCACTTTAAGCAAGCAAGAACATGAGGATATTAATAAACACCTTGAATCAGAAATACAAAAACTAAAAACAGAAATAAACAAAAAAAGGAAGAAATAAAATGAGTTAATTTTTCTGATGAAGGAAATAGAAAAAAGCAAAAACACACACACACATTTTAAAAAGACCAAATTACTGTATGCCAAGTGAGAATAGATTTAAATGCAAATTAATAAAAGGCATTAAAGAAAATCAGGAAAGCATCAAAGAAAATAAAAACAAGATAAAGAAAGAAATGAAAAGACTCTGGTAAAATGATTAAATGGAAAGCCAAAAAAGAAAAAAAACAGTAAATATTTATTTATACTACTCGTGTCCCTGAAGAAAAAAAGTCAAAACAATGTAAAATAATTAATATTTACACTACAATACAAAAAAAAGAGAGAGCGAGCCTTCAGAAATAAAAGAAGAAATCACACATTGAAAAGGCTTAGCAGGTACCAGAGAAATTGATCTAGAATGATGCAACCTGAGACATAAAGAAAGCAAAAATCTTTTGGGGCTCTGGCCAAAAAGATGAAATAAATTACAAAGCAAGAGAATTAAATTGTTACCAGGTTTCTCAGAAGCAACATGAAAAGATAATAACAGTGGGATCGTATTTTCTAGAAACTCAATGAAACAAACAAGTGTGAACCAAGGATATTATATCCAGTCAATCAGTCATTCAAATTTTAAGGTTATAGAAAAAGTTTTGCATGTGCCTGAACTCAGGGAATACTGTAAGCATGTGCCCTCCTGAGACATCTACTTCAGGGTGTTTCATCCAATCATGAAATCACTGGAAAAATTCCCCAAAAGAGGATTTCATACATTCAATTGTAGAGCTAGGACTAAAACAATTGTGGGGTAAATGTTTGAAAAATATTATGGAAATATTACGTATTCATAGGCCAGGCATGGTGGCTTACGCCTGTAACCCCAGCACTTTGGGAGGCCGAGGTGGGCAGATCACCTGAAGTCAGGAGTTCAAGACCAACCTGGCCAACATGGTGAAACCCCATCTCTACTAAAAATGCAAAAATTAGCTGGGCGTGATAGCAAGTTCCTGTAATCTCAGCTACTCAGGAGGCAGGAGAATCTCTTGAACCCAGGAGGCAGAGGTTGCAGTAAGCTGAGGTGGCACCACTGCACCCCATCCTGGGCAACAGAGCAAGACTCTGTCTCAAAAAATAAATAAATAAAATTTTAAAAAAGAAATATAACATGTTCTTTCTAAGTAGAAAGAACACAACTAAACATCGGGAAAAAAGAATGAAAGGGGAAAGTAAAATATTCATTGAATGCTGCATAGATAATAAATGGGAAGCATAAGATACCGTTTAAAACTGACAAATGGTAAAAGGCTTAGAAAGAATAAAGGGAATTAAGGGCATTATAAACAGTATTAATACAAAGATAACCACTTGTGATAGGCAGAATAATGGTCCCTCCCAAAGATATTTCTGTCCTAATTCTCCCATTCTGTGAATATGTTAGGTAAATGGCAACGGGAAATTAAAGTTGCAGATGGAATTAAGGTTGCTAATCAGTTGATCTGAAAATAAAGAGATTATCCCGAATTATGTGAGTGGGCCTAATGTAAACATGAGGATTTTTTAAAGTGGAATAGAAAATCAGAAGAGAGAATCAGAGACATGACAGCATGAGAAAGATGCAGCCCAACATTGCTGGTTTTGAAGATGGATGAAAAAGGCTGTGAGACAAGAAGAGCAGGCAACCTCTAGAAGTTGCAAATGGCAAATAATGGATTCTCCCCTGGATTCTCCAGAAGAAACACAGACTGGCTGACATCTTAATTTTAGCCCAGAGAAACCCATTTCTGACATCTGACCCATAGAACTTAATTTGTGCTGTTTCATGCCAGTAAGTTTGTAGTAATTTGTTACAGCAGTAATGGAAAATTAATATACTACTAAAATAAAAAGAACCTTCCTATATATCAAAAGATATTTTAAAAAGAAAAGAGAGCCAAATTAAAAAAAACATAACGATATACACAGTTATTACAACATAAGATAATATGACAGAATTGAGACAAAACATGTCATTTTAACAAATACGAACAGGTTTAACTTGCTTATTAAGGGGAAAAGATTTTTAAATTGGCTTATAAAGTAAAACCCAACTATATATTCTGTGTAAGGCATATGGTTAAAACATGATAATTCAGAGTTTAAATATAAAAGGATAAACAAAGACTTAGCAAAGAAATTGAAACAATAAGAAAGTAAGAGGTTATAATTCTAATACCAAAGAATACTTCAAACCAGAAAGACTTAGATAATGAAGAGATTATAAATATTGCTATGAATGCAAGATTTCTAAAATCTATATATATGAGCATATGTTTATGTGCATGTGTGTGCGTGTGTGTGTGTGTGTGTACATATATGTACATACACACTTATCCCTTACAGGTGTTTTTCACTGATAACTTTGATTACCCAGTCATGATGTTTGATGTTTCCCTAATATATACACACACATATATATACAACTATAGATATATTTGTATAAGTATATATGCAGCTGAACCTCTCCACTGAAATGATCTCTCGCTAAAGCTAATAATAACTCACTAATTACCAAGCCCAAAGGCCACTGAATAGTTACTATCTTAGTTGCCCTCTTTTTGGCATTTGATGCTTTTGAGCACTTTTTTTTCTATAAACTACTTACCCAGTTTACTTGTGTGTTAGCATATTCTCCTTAGTCTCATTCTTCAGGGTTTTTTTCAGGTTCTTTTTTTGACTTACCTTTAAACAATGGTGTTTTCTAGGCCTTCACTCTTGATCTTTTCTTGCTGAATAAACTTTCTGGGCAGGATTTTTCAGTCCAACAACCAGTAACTTCTAACATCTCTATGCTGATAACTTCAAATTATGTCTTTACCTTCAGTTTTTTTTTTAATTTTTTATTTTTTACCTGAATTCAAGACTCATTTGTCTACCTATCTTCTAAATATCAAAGGCATTCAAATTATGCTTGTCCAGAATTGACCTCATTTTTTTAAAACTCCCAAATGTGTTCCTTCTTTTATATTCCCTCCTCTCTTATGAAACCACATAAATCAAATCACCCAAACCAAATCTAGCAGATTAGACTTCTCACTCTCCCTGCATAACCAATTGGTCATTAAATCCTATTGACTCTATTCCTTAATAGGTTTTATATAATTTACTTCCTTTTCTTCTCTGATTTAATTCAAAGTTTGAATACAATATGGAGCTTATATTCCATCTCAGGTTTAGGAAGTGGGAAATATAATAAGTTCAGTTTGGGAGGGTGCTGATTTTTAAGGCAAATGAGAAACAATCAACAGGATATACTCATCAGAGACATGGATTCCTGAGCTCAAATATCAGAGAAGAGGACAAGCTGGAAATGAAAGTACAGATTCGAGAACCCTTAGAATATAAACTGTAGTTAAATTCATGAGAGTGTGGGCAGACAGCAGTGGACCAAAGCTAGAAGCCTCGTGGCCTCTAATTCCTTATGGGAAGAAAGCTTTGCTGCTCTATTAGTCCATTTTCATGCTGCTGATAAAGACATACCTGAAACTGGGCAATTTACAAAAGAAAGAGGCTTATTAGACTTAGAGTACCATGTGCCTAGGGAGGCCTCACAATCATGGTGGAAGGTGAAAGGCACATCTCACATGGCAGCAGCAGGAGAGAATGAGAGCCAAGTGAAACAGGTTTCCCCTTACAAAACCATCAGATCTTGTGAGACTCATTCACTATCACGAGAACAGCGCAGGAAAGACCCACCCCCATAATTCAATCACCTCCAGCTGGGTTCCTCCCACAACATGTGGGACTTGTGGGAGTTCCAATTCAAGATGAGATTTGGCTGGACAGAGCCAAACCATGTCATTCTGCCCCTGGCCCTTCCCAAATCTCCTGTCCTCACATTTCAAAACTAATCATGCCTTCCCAACAGTCCCCCAAAGTTTTAACTCATTTCAGTGTTAACTTAAAAGTCCACAGTCCAACATCTCATCTGAGACAAGGCAAGTCCCTTCTGCCTATGAGCCTGTAAAATCAAAAGCAAGTTAGTTACTTCCTAGACACAATGGGTACACAGGCATTGGGTAAATACAGCCATTCCAAATGGGAGAAATTGGCGAAAACTTTCAGGGGACCTGCTCCGAAAATCACATAGGTTCTTTTCTATTTTCCTAAGCATCGGCTGGCTTGAGAAATAAAGGGACAGAGTACAAAAGAGAGAAATTTTAAAGCTGGGCATCCGGGGGAGACATCACACGTTGGCAGGATCCATGATGCCCCATAAGCCGCAAAAACCAGCAAGTTTTTATTAGGGAGTTTCAAAAAGGGAGGGAGTGTGCGAATAGGTGTGGGTGACAGACATCAAGTACTTAACAGGGTAATAGAATATCACAAGGCAAGTGGAGGCAGGGTGAGATCACAGGACCACAGCTCCGAGGCGAAATTAAAATTGCTAATGAAGTTTCGGGCACCATTGTCTTTGATAACATCTTATCAGGAGACAGGGTTTTGAGATCAAAGTCTGACCAAAATTTATTAGGCAGGAATTTCCTCTTCCTAATAAGCCTGGGAGCGCTTTGGGAGACTGGAGTCTATATCACCTCTGCAATCTTGACAATAAGAGACAGGTACGCCCCGGGGGGGCCAGTTCAGAGACGTACCCCTAGGTGTGCATTCTCTTTCTCAGGGACGTTCCATGCTGAGGAAAAGAATTCAGCGATATTTCTCCCATTTGCTTTTGAAAGAAGAGAAATATGGCTCTGTTCTGCCCAGCTCACCGGCGGTCAGAGTTTAAGGTTATCTCTCTTATTCCCTGAACAATTGCTGTTATCCTGTTCTTTTTTCAAGGTGCTCAGATTTCATATTGCACAAACACACATGCTATACAATTTGTGCAGTTAATGCAATTATCACATAGTCCTGAGGTGACATACATCCTCCTCGGCTGACAGGATTAAGAGATTAAAGTAAAGACAGGCATAGGAAATCACAAGGGTATTGACTGGGGAAGTGATAAGTGTCCATGAAATCTTTACAATTTATGTTTAGAGACTGCAGTAAAGACAGACATAAGAAATTATAAAAGTATTAATTTGGGGAACTAATAAATGTCCATAAAATCTTCACAATCCACGTTCTTCTGTCATGGGCTTCAGCCGGTCCCTCCGTTTGGGGTCCCTGACTTCCTGCAATACAAAACAAAGGGGATACAGGGCCCATGCAAGTCCAAAATCCAGTGGGGCAGTCAAATTTTAAAGCTCCAAAACGATCTCCTTTGACTCCATGTCTCACATCCAAGTCACACTGATAAAAGAGGTGGGTTCCCATGGTCTTGGGCAGCTCTGACCCTGTGGCTCTGCAGGGTACAGACTTCCTCCTGGCTGCTTTCACAGGCTGGTGTTGAGTGTCTGCAGCTTTTCCAGGTGCACAGTGCAAGCTGTCAGTGGATCTACCATTCTGGGATCTGGAGGACAGTGGACCTCTTCTCATAGCTCCACTAGGCAGTGCCCCAGTAGGGACTCTGTTTGGGGGCTCTGACCCCACAATTCTCTTCCATACTGCCCTAGCAGGGGTTCTCCATGAGGGCCCCACCCTGCAGCAAACTTCTGCCTGGGCGTCCAGGCATTTTTATACATCTCCTGAAATCTAGGCAGAGGTTCTCAAACTCCAATTCTTGACTTCTGTGCACTTGCAGGCTCAAAACCATGTGGAAACTGCCAAGACTTGGGGCTTACACCCTCTGAAGCCATGGCCCAAGCTCTACTTTGGCCCCTTTCAGCCACAGCTGTAGCAGCTAGGACACAGGGCACCAAGTCCCTAGGCTGCACACAGCACAGGGACCCTTGGCCTGGCCCACGAAACTATTTTCTCCTAGGCCTCTGGGCTGTGATGGGAGGGGCTGCTGTGAAGACCTCTGACATGGCCTGGAGACATTTTCTTCATTGTCTTTGGGATTTACATTCAGCTCCTTGTTACTTATGCAAATTTCTGCAGCCAGCTTGAATTTCTCCTCAGAAAATGGGTTTTTCTTTCCTATCACATTGTCAGGTTGCAAATTTTCTGAACTTTCACACTTTGCTTCCCTTATAAAACTGAATGTCTTTAACAAGACCCAGGTCACCTCTTGAAAGTGTTGCTGCTTAGAAATTTATTCTACCAGATGCCCTAAATCATCTCTCTCAAGTTCAAAGTTCCACAAATCTCTAGGGCAGGGACAAAATGCTGCCAGTCTCTTTGCTAAAATGTAACAAGAGTCACTTTTGCTTCTGTTCCCAACAAGCTCCTCATCTCCATCTGAGACCACCTCAGCCTGGACCTTATTGTCCATATCACTATCAGGCTTTTGGTCAAAGCCATTCAACAACACTCTGGTAAGTTCCAAACTTTCCCACATTTTTCTGTCTTCTTCTGAGCCCTCCAAATTGTTCCAACTTCTGCTTGTTACCCAGTTCCAAAGTCGCTTCCACATTTTCAGGTATCTTTTCAGCAACACCCCACTCTCAGTAACAATTTACTATATTAGTCCATTTTCATGCTGCTGATAAAGACATACCTGAGACTGGGCAATTTACAAAAGAAAGAGGTTTATTGGACTTATAGTTCCACATAGCTGGGGAGGACTCACAATCATGGCAGAAGGTGAAAGACACATCTCACATGGCAGCAGCAAAAGAGAGAATGAGAGCCAAGCGAAATGGGTTTTCCCTTATCAAACCATCAGATCTCGTGAGACTCATTTACTGTCACAAGAACAGCACAGGAAAGACCTACCCCCATAATTCAATCACCTCTCATGGGGTTCCTCCCATGACACATGGGAATTGTGGGAGGGGAGTTACAATTCAAGATGAGATTTGGGTGGGGACACAGCCAAACCATATCAGCTACTGAAGCAGGGAATTTGCTAAATGGAGTGAATTCTTGACAGAGCTGCTTTGGAGAAATAAAATGGGGAGTCGACAAGGAATGTGCAGCATGGCTCTGGGGGAGTGGGGTTGTCGGGGCAGAACAAGGATGTGAGGGGTCCAGAATTCCAACCAAAAGACCCCAGGATGGACTATTATGGTGACTGTTCTGGATGGTGAGTGAAGGGAAGCCAGGCAGTGTGGGGGCTCTGAAAGACTCGCAGAACAAGAGCCAAGGAATGAGAGGTCACGATTAGAGCAGAGCATAGATGTGTAGTGTAAGTAAAAGAGCAAAACATAAGAAAGAATTTAGGTTGGGTCAGAAAATAGATCACTGAGATGCTAAAGGGTGATAATGTAAGAATGATTAGAATCAAGCATGCAAGAAAGCATAATTTGGAGGCATTGGCTGTGATGTCAACAAATATACTGAATCTCTCAAGTATTTTAGGTAGTTTGGGGGTGACCAGGAAGAATTTTACCCAGATATCAAAGTCCTCATTGAAGATTACAAAAAGAGAGGAAGTCTATAGTCACCCATAATATCTCATGATATCTTGAGAAAAAGCAAAGAACGTTAGTTTAAGATAATTGTAATTTTTAGGAAGTCTGATGTGGCTACAGGTCCAGAAACTTTGCTCTGGAAACTGATTTGGAAAATGGGGGACAGGGGAGTCAGGGATTGTGTCTGCTGTTGGGTCCTTGAATTGATCAAAGGCAAAACTCTGGAAAAGCAGTTTATATCTATATGCTTAGGAATTCAAAGGCCTCTAAACATTCTTTCTTTCTTATCAGCTTTCATTTTAAGCCCTAGAACTTCAGAAACTGCTTTACTAGTGAAGGGGGTGGCGGGGTCTGAAAGGAGAGAGGCTACTTTGTCTCTTTCTCTTGAAAATAAAATGGTACTTGGTAAGAAGTCTCTGGAGAAACAGCTGATTCACAGTTCCTCTTGTGACAACGTCACCTTGGCAGTGTTTCTCGGGTCACAGAGGATTTGAGCTTCTGTCATTCACACAGGTCACACTTGCCTGGAGAAGAAGGCAATTAGTATCCTTTCCTGGAAGGCCCACTGGCTTACCCTGAGACTTACTTTGTTTCTGTGACCTTTTTCTGCTCCTAGTTTTATATTTCTTATGAATGCTAAAGGAAAAGGGTTTGGGGCTGCATTATTGTTTGAGTAAATTTGTTTTAGCTGATTTTTTTTCTCTCTGATATTTTTTCCTTCTGATCATAAGCAGAGGTC
This sequence comes from Homo sapiens, assembly GCF_000001405.40. Lineage (NCBI taxonomy): Eukaryota > Metazoa > Chordata > Mammalia > Primates > Hominidae > Homo > Homo sapiens. The sequence continues at coordinate 163,477,209 of NC_000001.11, read as the reverse complement.
ATGAAAAGAGGTGGGACCTACGAAGACGATTACTCTGATAGTAACTGAGGAGAGTAGATGCTGAGAAACACACAGAGAAAAAGCAAAAGACCAAGAGATGGAGACAGACTACGGAAAGCTTCCAGAAATCCTAAAAAGCAGAAATGCTATGCCAATAAACACAAAAATGTCAAAGTAATAGATATTTCCATCAAAAAGTAAATTAGACATTCAAATTAATTATAAACATTAATTAACATTTAATTAATGGAAAATCCTAAAGGATAAAAGAGTCAGTGCCAGAAAAGAAAATTTAGAGATAAGATTCACTTAGATTTCACTGTATCCAATTCTAATTTTCCCTTCCAGAAAGGAGCAGGCTGTTTATAAACCTTTGAAAGGAGGAAGACTCCACCACCCCTTTCTGCCTTACCTTACTAGTAAGGTGGTAAGAGAAGATGTGTCTAGCTCTTCTAAATAGTCCCAGAGCTAGCCATATACAGAAGATTGAAGCTGGACCCTTTTCTTACACCATCTACAAAAATCAACTCAAGATGGATTAAAGACTTAAATATAAAACCTAAAAATATAAAAAGCCTGGAAGATAACCTAGAAAATATCATTCTGGACATAGGACCTGGCAAAGATTTCGTGATAAAGACACTAAAAGCAACTGCAACAAAAACAAAAATTGACAAAGGAGACCTAATTAAACTATGGAGTTCTACATAGCAAAAGAAACTATCAAGAGAGTAAACAGACAACCTACAGAATAGGAGGAAATATTTGCAAACTATCAGATGGATAGTTTGCATCAGATGGATGGTTTCCATCTGATAAAGTTCTAATATCCAGAATCTACAAGAAACTTAAACAAATTTACAAGAAGAAAAAGAAAACAATCCCATTAAGAAGTTGGCAAAAGATATGAACAGACACTTTTCAAAAGCAGATATATGTGAGGCCAAGAAGAGTATGAAAAAATGCTCAACATCACTAATCATTAGAGAAATGCAAATCAAAATCATGATTAGATACAACTCACACCAGTCAGAAAAGTTATTATTTAAAAAATCAAAAAATAACAGATACTGGCAAGGCAGTAGAGAAAAGGGAACACTTATACACTGCTGGTGGGAATGTAAATTAGTTCACCTATTGTGGAAAACAATGTGGTGATTTCTCAATGAACCTAAAACAGAATTACCATTTGACCCAGCAATCCCATTACTGGATATATATCCAAAGGAATACAAATCATTCTGCCACAAAGACATATTCTTGCATATGTTCATCACAGTACTATTCACAGTAGCAAAGACATGGAACCAGCCTAAATGCCTATCAATGGTAGCTACAAAAATTATAGTGGTAGACTGGATAAGAACTAGGGGTTACATACTCATCATAGAATACTACGTAGCCATCAAAAAGAATGAGATCATGTCCTTTGCAGCAACATGGATGGAGCTGGAGTTCATTATCCTAAGCAAACTAACATAGGAACAGAAAACCAAATACCGCATGTTCTCCCTTTTAAGTGGGAACTAAACATTGAGTACACATGGACACAAGGAAAGGGACAACATACACGAGGGCCTACTTGAGGGTGAGGGTCAAAAACCTTTTTATCAGGTACTATGCCAATTACCTGGGTGACAAAATAATCTGTACACCAAACCCTTGCAACATTCAATTTTTGTATATAACAAACCTCCACATGTATCTCTGAGCCTAAAATAAAACTGAATAAAATGAACAAATAAATAAACAGCCCCAGAGAAGAGTCGCTGAGCTCAATTCAAGTCTCAAACTAAAAAAAAAAAAAAAAAATGCTATGTTGTGAAGCAAAAGATTTGGAGGTAGAAATACCATATTTTCTAGGCAAACCCAGATTTCTATGCTCATACAGGGGCTTTTTTCCCCCACTTCTAAGCTTGGCTAAACATCCTGGTTACCACCATACATAATGGAGAGCTTCTCTTTTGCTGCATAATTACTAGTGCCTTAGATTCAACAGGTTTATTAGGGCTAACTCTATCAGGGGCTACACTACATGCTAGACCAATTCAAATATTTAGCAAACTCTATGAATATTTATTGATCATTTATTGATGTCATGGTACTGGGCCCAACACCCAACTTGGTATTATAGAGTGTACCAAAAAAACATGAATGTGATCTCTTACATTCTAAGGAGGAGAAAAGACATATGCATATGGGAAGATTTTAAAAGGACAATAAACACAGACCAAGTCAAATGAGAGACATTTACAGTAAGTAAACGAGGATAGAGATTGCTATGAGCTCAAGTACTCAGAGAAAACTTTTTTCATGATGTCTAATATACAAAGAATGGTGCATGACTAGATGTTTGTTTTAGAATATTATTCAGGTGACATTATTAAGGATGGATCTGAAGAAAAAAAGAAGACAAGGAAACTACTGCTGCATCAGCAATGATACACATTAACATGAGAGCAGTGGGGATGCAGAGAAACAGATGCATTTAAATCACATTAAGTAGATCTCTTGTCAGAACTTAGTGATTGATTGGAAGAGAAGTTGCCAAACAAGGAAGAGTTAAGAATGACACCCAAGATTTTTGTCTAAGAAAATTGTTTAGATGTTTTTTCCATTCACTGAGATGCGAATGCCTATGAAGAGACAGACTTCTGTGTTAGGTGTTATTCGAAATACAGAAATAGTATGAGATGTTGTCTCTGCCTGGATTCCACTTCCATTTTCTCTTTTTTTATATCCTTTATTTCTCGATATAGGGTCTTGAGTAGTTTCATTTCATACATTTATTTAAATATTGTGATGACCTAACTTACTGTCATGTTATCTTTATTTACTTCAGTACTTCTGCCAGGTTTATAGAAGTTAATTTGAAAATAAGCAGGCTGGGCGCAGTGGCTCACGCCTGTAATCCCAACACCTTGGGAGGCCAAGATGGGCAGATCACGAGGTCAGAAGATCGAGACCATCCTGGTTAACAAGGTGAAACCCCGTCTCTACTAAAAATTCAAAAAATTAGCCGGGCGTGGTGGCAGGCACCTGTAGTCCCAGCTACTCGGGAGGCTTAGGCAGGAGAATGGTGTGATCCCAGGAGACGGAGCTTGCAGTGAGCCCAGATGGCCACTGCACTCCAGCCTGGGCAGCAGAGCAATACTCTGTCTCAAAAAAAAAAAAAAAGAAAGAAAGAAAGAAAAGAAGCATAAATAATTCAAAACAAAGAGATTCAAAAGTTTATTTTGTGGGTTTCTCCCTAGCCTCCCACCCCTTACCAACTCTAACTTTTATAATTAAAAGGATACAAAGAGATTAAGACAGACTTTCAGACATCTTCAAAAACTGGTCCAGTCTGTAAAAATGCTTATGAACCTACCAAATATTCCCAGCTTTGCTTGTTTCTAAAGGGAGTTGTACACAAAGGTGATGAATGTTACAGTCCAGAGGCTAGAACTGAGGCTTTGAATTATACTTTCTTTACTTTTTTTCTATGAAAAATTCCAATTTTCTGAAAATTTGAGCTCTCAGCTAGAAATCTCTTAGGCTCTTTGATTCAGGCCTAAGACTGTGAGATGTGGACACATCTATATGGCTGGATTAAGCAGATCATTTCTAGTCTCATTTGACCTAGTCAAGAAGCCAGCTTTCCCCAAATTACAGGTTCTCCCGGGAAAAGGCTTCACTACCCCTGTCTATTCTACTTAGTGTCTGGAACTGATGAAGCAATGGATGTTTTGTGCAGGAGTAAAAGGAGAGAGGGGAATCTGCACATGTCAACATCATGTTGGCAGCAACATACCACCTCTCTACCTGTCTCGAGTTCCAGCAGCATAAGCATGTACCTGCCAAGATAGGAACGATGGAGAGAAGCCAGGGCCCGGGTAAAACGTCCCAACCGAAGTATTTCAAGTCAGTAATAATAGAAACTAGGCCTAGATAAGTCACTCAGAGCCCTGTCTCTCCAAGTGTTTTCCGTCGCATTCAGTGGAAAATGGTCTCTGTGTGCTGGTCCTCCCTCCCCTCCCCACTGATGAAGTATCTTAGCTCCCAATCAGGAGTATTCCTATAGTTCAGAAGTGTTTTCCACTGAGCCATGGCTGCGAAGACCAAACACATATGGCTACAGTAATCTCCCTGGTAAAGTCTTTCAGAATCCTTGGACTTTGAGTCTTTGCCAAGGGTTTACGGTTTGAGAGGTTTTTCATATATTTCCTTTTTGGGGGCCATGAGGAAGGAAGCCAACGGGATGATTTTGTAAAACGGGGAGCCACCCTAAAAACAAGTCAGTAACGGCAGCAGCAACAGCGGCAGCAGCAAGCCAGAGCTGAATTCCATTTAAATAAAATGCCAAAAGGCAGTCAGTGAAAGTGACATTTATGGTGTTACTACAAATGCATTCAGTGGGAAAGCTCAGTAGCAGAAGCAAGGGGGAAAAAAACAAGCTGTAGTGAAAACTGCCATCTGTATATTGTGCCCCGTTTTTAATATTCTGTATTCTCATAAAAAGTGTTGTTTCTGTCACTATTCAATCTCACAAACTCACACAGAACACTGTTAAAAGTCAGCAGTGTGTGAAATGGTATTTTAAAATAAATGAAACCCGCTCGCAGAGCTGCGGAGGAATATTGCAATGCTGGGCGCTGACAGACAGGCACTGAAAAGTAACAACCGTTATCATCTTAAAGCAAAGCGGATTAAATAAAAACCCACAGCCAGTGGTGCATTACCAAGTCTGATATTGACACAGCTGCTGTGGTGGTTATTTTTCATTGTCTCATCAAGACAAAGCATCATGGGATATCAATCTTCCCTCTGTCAGGCCATGCCTGGTATAAAGTTTTTCGTTTACATTTTCATTATATCCCTTTTATCGCCCGTGCCAGCATTTTTTCTTAACTGTGGGGTCCAATGACCTGTGGGGCAGTGTTGCGCTATTACCTTCGGGCCAGAAGAGCTCCCTCCTGGGGCAAAGGGTAGTTTGCCCCTCTTCCCCACCCCCATCACCTTTTAGCTGTCTTATGGCAAAGGATGTCCATTATTCTCTTGTGTTGGTGGATGATTAGAAACTGTAATGTGTGTGTGCTTGTATGTGAGAGAGAGAAATAAGGAGCAAGAGGGAAAGAGGTAATGACTGTGAGAATTAGAAGAGCATTTGAGGATGCTATTTTCTTTCTCTTTTCTCTGGGAAGAACAAGGATAGAAAATACACAGCTCCCTGGAGAACGCTACAGCTGCAAAACCAGGTTAATGCTTAACTTTTATACACCACTGTTTTATTTTCTAGACAGGCTCACTCTTTCCTGATTTGGCCTTTCATTCAGACGTTGGCTGATCTATGGAAAATGTATTTTAATTTAACTCACACACAAAAGAAAACAGTATATCTGAGAAAGATCACTCTTCTTTTGGGAGGCTGATAGAAGTATTCTCTACACTTCTCTCTCCGTCTCTTACTTCCCTTGTTTTGGAAGTTTATTAGTGTAATTTCTTTAGGAGAGAAAATTCAGTTATGAAATATTTTTCAGTATTTTAGTCTCTACTTTGTAAGTCATTGGCCCCGATGGCAGGGGAAACAAGTTTCCTTAGAAAAGTTTAGAAATTTGATTTTTTTTTTCAGATGGAGATAGGTGTAACAAAGAGAGTGGGGCTTAGAGATCACTTTTTGAGCATCTTCCACATGCCCTACGGGAGGGTTGGAAATGAATGTCAGGACAGGCTGAAAGCTTTGTGAGGTATTCAGAAGAAAGGATTGTTCCTCCTGTGTGTCTTCTGCACCAGCAAAAATTGAGTCAGGTCAAAAGATCTGTACAAGTTACAGTAATGTTAACTCGCTACTAAACACATGGCTTCAACACTTAACATCTGAGAGGTTTAGCCAAATAGAAGTTTATTTCTCACTTGCTTCACAATCGATGTGGGTTAAGGTGCCCTCCTACATCCTTTGAAACATGTGACCTCCAAGGTCACTGCTGAAAAAGAAGACAGTATCCAAATATTACACAAGAAGTTTTTAGGACCAGGCATGAAAGAGGTTTTCATCACTTCTGCCAACATTCCATTGGCCAGAGCTCAGGCACATGGCCTCACCCTAACTGCAAAAGAGGCTAGGAACCTTCTAGGAGTCTTCCTATGTGCCCTGAAAAAAAGTGCAGTGAATGCAATAAACTTTTATTGTTGGCCATGGAATCAGGATAGGAAAAGGAAGAGCAGTATAAAATAAGTAAGTGGAAAAGAGGATGTATTGCTGCAGTAAGGATCAATCTGTATGTTATCCCAGTACCCTTTGCCTTCCGTCAGGAAGCAGAGTCCATAGCCATGTTCCTCAGGCTGTGTTCTGGTTATCTATGGCCAGGTAATAACTACCCTCAGAACCGTGGCTTAAAACAGTCATACACATTAATTTTGTTAATAAATCTGAGGTTTGACGGGGTCAGTGAGACAGTTCTTGCTCAAGTGTCTCTAGTGAGATTGCAGCGAGAGAGTGGCTGGGTCACCCAAAGGTTCCTTTACTTACATGTCTCCTGCTTGGACTGGGAACACCCAAAACAGCTGGGACTAGAACATCTGGGGGTCCTTGGGCATCCCTCTAGAAGTGATCTTTCCGTGGTGTCTCTACATGCTGGTCTCATGGTGGCTGGGCTTCTCACATAGCAACTCAAGTTTCTCAGAGAGAATTTCCCAAAAGTAACCAGGAGTTGCAATGGCCTTTTCTAACAGAGCCTCAGAAGTCAGGCTGTATTAACTTCTGCCACATTTTCTTCATCAAGGCAGTCACAAATGTCTCCCTCTCCCCTAACTACCCCCTCAAGTTCAAATGGGGAGATAAAGATTCCACTTGGCTTTTAAAACCATAGCAAACTTGAGAAGTTTTTTGTTATTGTTGTTTGGTTGTTTTTGTTTGTTTGTTTGTTTGTGGGTTTTTTTGAGACAGAGTCTTTTTCTGTTGCTCCTGCTGGAGTGCAGTGTTGCAATCATAGCTTACTTCAGCTCCGAACTCCTGGGCTCAAGTGATCCTCCTGCCTCAGTTTCCCGAGTAGCTAAGACTACAGCCACACACCACCATGGCCAGCTAATATTTTATTTTTTGTAGAGACAGGGTTTCACTATGATGCCAAGACTGGTGTCAAACTCCTAGCTTCAAGTGATCCTCCTGCCTCAGCTTCCCAAAGTGCTAGGATTACAGGCGTGGGCCATTGCGCCCAGCTGAGAAGTTTTTAAGCTACTCATTTTGAGGACGACTAATGTTCAGACTAAATCTATGTCCTTGTAAATTCCTAGATGAAAATTAAAAAGTTAGCCTATCATGGAAATAACCCTAAAATGTTAGTAGTTGTATAACAGAAACGAAATTATGTGTGGATATGAGATTTTTTTCTCTCAAATTCATCTCATTTTACCTCATTTATACTATTTTTACACTTGCAACAACAACAAAAATCCTTCCGCAATTGCTCTAACTACAGCATTATCTCCTACCCATTTATCTCTTCTGTAGCATGTAAAGATTTAGAATGGATTGGTTCAACCAAAAGTTATAGTTAGGAAAAAATTCTGAAAAACCTCAAAATGAAACAATGTCTATAGTGGCTGCCTGACCACTTCTCACCCTTCCTCTTTGAGAGAACTCTGTCAGAGCAGAAAGTTGGCAGCCAGCAGAATAGATAAGGAAAATTTAGTACCATCCTTACAACTGAAGTCCTATTTGCCTGCTGCTCTGCAGATTCAGCCCCAAAATATAGGACCAAATCTGGTACACCTAAAGACTGATGGCCTGGACACTGTTGTGTCCTCTAAGCTTCAGCCTTCCCATCTAACTTTATCATCCATTTTGATCCCTCTTTAGAGTAAGGATTCTGCCTTGGTGTACTGGTGGCACTACAGTTCCCCAGTCCCAAATTTCTGTGCATCATTCTGGGGCCCCAAACGTCTGCTTGGCTCTGAGTTCCAGACAACCACACCACAAATTCTGGCTAACATTTTTCTCCAAATAATCATAGAGTAGCTACCAACCCAGAATAGTATATAAAGTGAATTTCCTGCCGCCATGTCACTCCACCAGATTGGAGTGACATGGAACAATGTCACGACCACTTGAATATTAAGATTTAGACTAATGACCACCCCAGGAGGTAAGCTCCCTAACCAAATTTCTTTCCCTGGTCCTGGCCATTATGTTACTAGCTTAAGTTCTTCTCCCTTCAGTGTGCCATTGAGTTCTCAATATCCTTAACAATTAGACTGCATTAATAATGATAGTTAGGTAAATATGAATTATCCATTATCTATTCCAACCACTTGAATCATATCTCTTCTTTTCTCATATCTTGAGTCTCACCTTGTGGACAGCATTTAACTCTTAAAATTTGCAACTTTATTAATGTGATCTAAATTTGAATTTCTGTGAACCTATGACATATCTAGGTTAATAATACAGTAACTTCCTTTATTCAGTACAGGCAAAAAACTGATCATTAGAAACACAGAATTGAAATAATCTAAACTACCTGTTATGAGCTATTTAGAACACAACATTTTTGGCATAAAGTTGATTCTGAACATAATTAATCATATTCTGATGATTCAGAAGTTGCTTTAGAAACATATTATAAGGTCTACAGCCATACCACTCTGAAGGTGCCTGATCTCGTCTGATCTCGAAAGCTAAGCAGGGTCAGGCCTGTTTTGTACTTGGATGGGAGAAACATATTATAGGGCTGACATCTCATCTTTATGAGCCTCAGTTAACATGAAGTTGTTTCTGGGAGTTTTTAGCAATTGAAAATGCCCTGGTAATGGGATACTGGATAGTAGAGAGTACCTTATGGTACTGTAAGACACTGCAAGATGAATACCTTCCAGAAAGCAATAAAAAGAAAATAACCAGAATGCTACATCTGTCTGTGGTCTCCATAGGTCTCCTCGGGTTTTAAATATTGAAATGCAGCAGGGATGCACCTTTACCATACACAACCTCTTTCCTAAAACAGCTTGTGGCTCACTTCCCATACCTTTTTTCTTGCTTGCAAAAAAATAAAAATAAAAATAAGAATGCCCCAAAGTCAGATCATCATTTAAACTCTGGATTTCCTTTATGGGAATTTCATAATATATTTGCTGCTTACATCCAGATTAAATGACTTAGAATCAGAAACCTACAATGTCATCATTTGGTAAACATCTCACATTTAATAAACATTTGCCCATAACATGTTACCAAGCCTTTTGGGGTTTAAAATAAATAGTATATCTAATTCTAAGCAAAGGACCATGCTCAGTTCCCAGTTAGATATGAATTCCCCACTGGACTATCATAGCCTTTAATCTGATCCCTATAATTTGGAGCTGTTGGATCATAATACACTGTATTTGTCTACTTCTCATATCACCCCAATTAGATCTAAAGGTCCCTATGGACTAATTCTAATTTCATAGAGTTGATGCTTCCTTTTATTAGTTTAGAACTGAAAACTTTCTGAGTTTCTCAAGTTGAGTCTTAAAATAATTACGTTAGATAAGTAAAGAAGATATTATTATGCCTGTGATACAAATAAGAAAACCAAGACACCAAAAATAAAGTTAGTTTCCCAGGATCCTCACAAAAGGGGATGCTGAAGTATTAAATGTATTTACTTGGAAAGAAAAGTCTAAATGGTCAACTGACTTCTCATCTGGTATCCCCCCAAGCCCCTCCCAGCCTTTGTATTTTCAGACTAAAAGGTCACCATCTTCATTGTGATGCATATGCAACACATGCCTCCACCCTAGATGCTCTTGCTTACTGTACTAGTCTTTCCTGAGTCTTTGCTGTTAAGTCATTCTTACAATTCAATGATCCGTCCTGCATGCAGTATTTAAGTTGTAGATGCAGTCACCTTTGCATCACCTGTCAGAACTCTACAAAATATCACAAACATGGAAGAGCCTCAGGAAATATGTGCAGAATGAATACATTTATAATTACACACAGGTCCAGCACACCTTCTTCACTAGAGGCCCAGCAGCAACTTGATCATCTCTGGCATATACTTAGAAGCCCATTAGTCACACGTATTAGCAGAAGGAAACAGAAATAATACTGTTCGTTTATATATTCAACATCATTTTGTTTTGCATACTGGAAAGCTTATGGGCTGTGAGTCCAACAGACTTAGATTTAAATCCCTGCTCTGCCATTTACTAGCTCTGCAAACTTAGACAAATTAACTAACTTTCCTGACTGTCAGTTTTCTTATGTATAAAATGAAATAAGAGCCTCTTTGTGGGGTAATTTGAAAGATTACGATAATATAAGTAAAGCCACAGGCACATACTAGTCACTTAGCCACCTGTAAATATGCTAGCCTCATCTTCACCTCTTTTTAATGTCTTTTTGCCCATCAGAGAAGCTCTTCTAGTCTCCATGGTTTTCAAAGACTGTCTTATGGATCTATGACAACTCCTTAAATATTACATTTTTCAATGACCATAGTCAAAACTCTTGGCAATTCCATGCTTATATACATTGGACCTTTTTACATATAATCCTTTTTTGATTATAGAATATATATGTGTGTGTACCTCATGTTTTCCAATATAGCTCTCTGCAAAGCATTTATACTGAAGAAATGATAATATGTGTTATTTGCATTTATTGCCTATGCATTTCAACTGATAGGAAGTGATGGGATGTATCATATTCTAAAAAGTCTTAATTACTTATATGGACACCTTGCCAGGAGACTTTTCCTAGTTATTAATGGGTGGCACAATTCTTAGCTCATGATCAGGGTGATTAACATTTCCCTTAAAGAGTGCCTTCAAAGTCTCATCCAGACCCCTTTTATTTCTTGATAGAGAAAGTTGTATGATATCTGGCTCCGTCTAAAAGTCAAGGGAATCACTTGTTTTTGAAAAAAAAAAAAAAAAAGAGGGGACGGGGCAGTCAGTGCCCCACCCTCCAGAATGCTGTGCTACACACAAGGCCACAGGATCCCTGAATGCACCTCAAAGACGGTGCAAATGTCTAAACTCCGATCTTCCCTTTAAATTGTTCCAGCAAAACTAATAGCATTCATACATAAATTGCATGCCCTGATTTGGCCACATAAACTTTATAAAAAGATACTGGACAACTAAGACTATACTTTGAATTTAGAACAGCTTCTGGAATATCTGCAGTTAAACACTGGCCCTTTGAAATGAAGGTCTTCTTTGCCCAAATCTATGTATCATGACCTAATGTCTTATTTCTCATTCCTCTGCATTTATGAAATTATTTAAATAAATATTAAGCAGCTTATTTACCAACATTCAATTTCACAGTGATTATGTGGAACATTTCTTTAACATGATTAACCACAGAGTGGAGTCACTTTTCATTAGTAAAACTCATTTTTAACATACCAAATGAGTGTCCTAAAAAGCATTATGGCTTCTTCAGACTACCTCATATAGGTACATTTTTATGGCCTTCATTCTAAGGCCTCAGCAACAGCATTAAATGGAGTTTAAATGTCAGTCTTTTCAATATGCTATCTAAGTATCATTTTAAGTGATCAGTTTGTCTATTCACCCTGACTCAGATGAACTATATGACATCTATGGTTAATTCTCAGTAACTTAGGTACATGCCTTATGATTCTGCCCTCTAAATATTAACCTCAATCAAAATAAATCTCTCCATTCCACATCATTGTTCTGTGATAAAGGTCTTGTTATTTCTTACTGCACTGACTTCAACTCAGTCAGTAAACTTGGCAATCATATAAATAGGTACCTAAACCCTCATATATCTCAGAAAGAAAGCCACTAAACAGACTATTTATATTATTTTCTTTGTCTCTGAAACTCTTCCAAGGACCAATTTAACATTGCTTATACTTGTACAAGACAGAACAGATTTTCTAGATGTCTGTTTGAATAGTGGCCCATTTTAAAATTCCTCCCTCAGGAGGTCAGTACTGACCTAGCCACCAATGGACATTGGCTTTTAGTAGTCTGGGGAAGGGCAGGGATTACTATATTAAATTACAAGGAAACCTGAACCAGAGAGGTGAACTAACCTGACATCTAAAGAAAAAGACTGAATTCCAAGAGTCAGAAAAATTACATAATCACCCTACACCCAGAGAGGTAGAAGAGGAAATAGAAGATACAAGATCAGAACAGGAGGGGGCATTATGGAATGGTCTTACATCCTAAGCTCAGAAAGCCAGTCTTTCCAAAACAACATCAAAGCAGGGGATAAGCAGGCCAAAAACAAGCAGTGGGTGGGACCGTGGTCAGTTGTCCTCAGTAAAAACAGAGGTCCCTGGCTAGAAAATGTAGCTTGCCATTATCAGTGAAGGTTATCAACAGGGCAGGCTTGTTTAAAGGCCAGAAGAATGGCCATTGTAGATGGGTGCCAAAGTCTCAACACAACTGTCCAGACTTTGGCACCCATCTGCATAGACAGCATGACATGTGTGTATATGTATATATATATATATATATATATATATATATATATATATATATATATATATCTATGTAGAGAGAGAGAGAGACAGAGACAGAGAGAGAGAGACGGATAGGATGTGCCCAATGACTGTATACACACACACACACACACACACACACACACACGCACACTTGCCACATCCTATATCCTGATTCTGGGAGCAAGTCATGAAGGAAGCTTTTGGCTTGGGTTTTACGAGTACATTCATTTCTCTCTCTCTCTCTCTCTCTCCCTATTTCATTAAATTCTTTACAAATTTGGTTAGTAAATTAGCATCCATCTCTAGTGCAGGAGGAACAGAATAGTGGAGTGGGTTGAAACTTCCATATCCTGGTGAAGGACTGACAGTCAGTTGGTAGACAGGCTGTGTTTATTCACAACCTCTTTGGCCAGTGACCATGCCAAACTGATTATCTTCATTTCTCATGGTACTTTTTAAAGAATAACTTGGATTTTCTTTTAAGAAATGACTTTGATCTTGAGACATACAATGGATGTTGGTAGGTCACTGCTTCATTACTGCAGCATTTCTGAGAACCAGGGAGAAAGGAGCTCATTCTTTCACATATTCTACCTGGTTTGATGGTGCAGCTTACCTCTGGTACTCCGGTCATGTAACCTGTTGGCAGTACTCATGCCAATCCACTTAAGCCAAGCTTAAATATTTTTCAAAGGCTGAATATCTGCCTCTAGCCATAGGATCCACAGTTATTAAATCTTTCACCAATTTCTTTTCTTTCCCCCATTCTTGACAGCAAAGTTTTATGTTTTATAGAGCAATGTTTTCTCCATTATATAGATTCAATATTTTAAAAAGTTGATGATGCAGAGATCCCAGGAGATATCTGTATCATAAAATGTGATGTTCACAGGAGTGATTCCAGATGCAGATTAATATTTTTAAAGCTTATAGTCTCTTTGAGGAATTCTTTCTCACACTTGAAGCATTCAAGATGGTGTCCTGGTTTTGAGAAATGTCAAAGGGAAACAGTTACTGTCAGCAGATTGACACTGTGACTGAATCTGCAGTAGCATCATTCACACAGTCTTACACTGTCAACAGTTAAAACTCCATCTGCCCAGAGACCTACTATAAAAGATGCAGGATTTTATATGTTAAAATAATTGGATTACAGAAACATTGCATCTCTTTAGTTTCCCCCAAAGAGTGTGCTTCCTTTAATAATAAGTTTATCCGTGCAAACACCTATACTTGATCTTAGCCAAAAAGCCAAGAAGTGATAGGGTAAACATCTATGAGAGCTTAGAATGTGCCAGGCACTGTTTGCAGGTCTTTAATATGTTGACTTATTCAGTCCACCTAACATTGCTAAAAATAAGCGCATGATTACGCCTATGTTACAAAAGAGGAAACTAAGGCAGAAAGAGGTTAAGTCGTTTGAGGTCACAGAGCTGAAATCCAAAGCTAAGAGGATCAGATCCAGAGATATACTTGACCTTTAGAATCATGTATTTCATTGTATTTAAATTTTACTTCAAAATAAAAATAACTATAAATAAATATTGAAGCTTATTTACTGTCTCACATACTGAAATATTTAGGATGAAATATTTAGGGTGAAGGGTACTGATGTCTGCAATTTAAAATGCATTCAAAAGAAGGTGGGTTGATGGCTGGAGAAAGGAATGAATCAATGGATAATTATATGATAAAGAGCAATAATACATTAAAATCCAGGTGGTGGGTATATAGGTGTTCACTGTAAAATTCAACTTGAGATGCTTGATTTACTTCTTGAAGTAATGAGTAAAAAATTAAAAGCTATTGCTGTAGCACTAATTCCAGGAGTTAAGAAAAGAAAGTGATGGGGTAAGAAATGGGGAGAGATGTGGACAGAAAGAATAAGGGATAGTTGTATTAGTTATCTATTGCTGCATAACAAATTACTTGAAAACATATTGGCTTAAAAAATCACACATTTACTATCTCATAGTTTCTATGTCAGGAATCCAGAAATGCTTAACTGGGTAGTTCTGGCCCAGGGTCTGTCATGAGGTTGCAGTCAGGATGTGCTCAGGTAGTTTAGTGATCAGGATAGAAGGCAAGCTTCTCTGTCCTTTCTTTTGTTTCTCAAGGCTCCAAAAATGTCTGTGTTTTTCAGCTTGTCAGAGCCACAGTGGTCAGGATCATCTGCTCTCTTTAACAGTCCAGGTGACATCCACCAATACCATTAAGGTATTGATTGAGCACCTACTATGCGATCCAATAATGTTAGATGCTATGAGAGAGGCATAGAATTATAAGAAATCACCTTGTGGACTGTCAGTGAGTATAAATTTACACCTTTACATTTAAAAGAAGGGAATTAGCCTTCACCTTTCATAGGGAGAAATTCTGAAAAATTTTAACAGCAATGACACTATGAATTATGTGTAATTTCTTAACTCAGCTTATTTCTTAACTGGGGACCATGGGCATTTGGGTCACTTCTTGGAACTCACTTGTGCTTCAGGACCTGTTCGGACCTGATCACGTCTATACCACTTCCATTTCATGATGGAGTGCTGCTGTGCACACCCAACTTTATATCATGTGGACAATCACTGCACTGACAAATAACACTAGACTTTTAATCTCAATCTTCCTAGTCAGTTGTTCTCCACCAAATTCTTATCTATGCTCCTAAAATAACCAGATGACATTTCGTATTGGAAAAACAAATCCAATTTTGAATAGCTAAATAGTTTTGAACAGTTAAATAGCTGTATCTATCCTCAAGTACTAAGGATAATGTGGAGATGTGCTTTCAAAGCAAATTTTAATATAGAGTCCAGTGAAGCTCTATAATTATCCTTAATTTTCAGGTAACATCTAAGCGTAGAACCATTCAGATTCTCTGTGTTCAAGTTTTTAATATGGCCTCAAACTACTTATGTAAATTTACTTACATTATTCCATCTTTTCTGTTACTATGGATATTATTTTCTTCTACCATTTCTCTTGGACTTGTCAATTCCCACCTTCCCATCCTTGTCAAGCCATTCTTCACAGGTAGTCTGACCTTGGTTCCCTTTTACTTCTTGACCCCAAACGACATAGTCATGGCAAATCCATAGAGACAGAAAATAGATTAATGGTTGCCAGGAGATGGGGAAAAGAGGAAAACTGGGAGTGATTACTAAATGATTAGATGGTTTCTTTTGGCATGACTCTCTGAAATGAGATAGTGGTGATGATTCCACAACATTGTGAATATACTGAAAACATTGAATTATATAGTTTTGCACTGTATGCTTTTGCAATGATTAAAATGGTGAATTTTATGTCATGTGAATTTCATCTCAATTCTTTAAAGAGCCAAGGTTAAACTTTTTCACAACCTCACCTAACCCTAACTCAAGATGCTTCAGTGGGAATTCTGTAATCATCTAGATGAGGAGGTTTTTCTGGCATGATTCTTCAGCCTTGCCTTCCTACCTGGCTTCACAAAGATCAAGTCGGTGTCTTTGTTACAGTTTTTCCTAATTCTGTTGTCTTTCATTCCTCAGACATGGGTCTAAGCAACCCTTGAAACTTAAGATTCCTTCACCATCTGCTTATGATAGCAAGCAATTCTACTAAAATCTCACCTAAGCTTTTATAGTGGTTTTAAAACATACCCAAAAATTTTCAGAATTTCTCCCTACAAAAGGTGAAGCCTAATTCCCTTCTTTTTAAGCATAGGCAGAACTTAGTGACTTGCATATAACAAATCAAATATGGCAACAGTGATGGTGTGTGACTAGCTTGTAAAAGGCATGGCATCTCCTTCTTGCTCCCTGTCTTGGATCACTCACTCTGGGGAAAGCCAGCTGCCATGTGGTGAGGACACTCAAGCAGCAAATGGAGAGACCCACGTAGTGAGGAACTGAGGCTTCCTGCCAAAAGCCATGTGAGTGAACCATTTTGGAAGCAGATCCTCCAGCCCCAGGGAAGGCTTCAGATGACTAAACTACCTGAACACATCCTAACTGCAACCTCAGGAAAGACTCTGGGCCAGAACTACCCAGTTAAGCATTTCTGGATTCCTGACATAGAAATGATGAGATTAGTAAAAATGTGGTGTTTTAAGCCAATGTTTTAGAGTAATTTGTTGTGCAGCAATAGATAACTAATAGAATTACCCTTTATTATCTTCTTTCTGTCCACATCTCTTTCTCCATTTCTTACCCCACCACTTTCTTTTCTTAACTCCTAGAATTAATGCCACATCAATAGCTTTTAATTTTTTACTCATTATTTCAGGAAGCAAATTAAGCAGTTCAAGTTGAATTTTACAGTGAACACCTATATACCCACAACCTGGATTTCAATGTTTTACTGCTCTTGTTTTATCACGTATTTATTCACTGATTCATTCCTTTCTCCATTCATCAGCCCATTTTCTTATGGATGCATTTTAATGTAAATTGCAGATATCAGTACCCTTCACCCTTAATATTTCAGTATGCATGGCAGTAAATAAGCCTCAATATTTATTTATAGTTGTTTTTCCTTTGAAGTAAAATTTAAATACAATGAAATGTACAATCCTAACTGTGTATTTGTATTTGATTTTGAAAAATGCATACATCTGTGTATATGCCAAGTCCCTATGAAGATATAGAACATTCAAAGGTGTAAATTTATACTCACTGACACAGTCCACAAGACTATTTCTTATAATTCTATGCCTTCTCATAGCATCCAACATTATTGGATCACATAGTAGGTGTTCAATCAATACTTTTAAGACTATAGTGGATGTCACCTGGACTCTTAAAGAGAGCAAATGATCCTGACCACTGTGGCTCTGACAAGCTGGAAAATAAAGACATTTCTGGAGCCTAGAGAAGCAAAGGAAAGGACCGAGAAGCTGCCCTCTATTCTTTGTCTGTGCAAAACCCCTTAAGGAATAGTTTGTCCACCGAAATTAGCAAGGCGTAGAGATAGTAAAAATGCTTATGAAAGGCAATTTGTTTTCCATGGAATTCACCAGATGGCCCACACTGTTAAGTATTACTTAAATCTCCACTTGGGAAAACCTGTTATCTCCCTCCCTTATAATAACCCCTTGGCCTGAATATTATGACCAGTGCACATAGCAACCATGAAGCTTTGCTACAAGCATTTTAATGGCTTTTGAGAGCACATGAAACAAAGATAGCTTGTAAGTAAAAAATAAAGAATAATCGTCTGGTTTTAGCATATGGAGGCAGTTCCTCCTCTGTCATTACAAGGGCTCAGCTCAATCGGGCTCAGCTCAATCAACCAGAGCTACCTGTGTGCCTGAACCCAGTGCTCACTCCTGGCTTCTGACTGTCCCTCCATTACTCCCAGCATGTCCTGGCACCAGCTGACAGGAGATAGCTCTTAGCAGCTCCCTAGAAATTGTATATGCTGAAACAGGCCTGAATTTACAGTGGAGCGCCTGCTTTCTTTTTTTTTTTTTTTTTTTTTTTTTGGCTTTCTCCGGTCTTCTTTCCTCTGACCCTCTCTCCTTATCTCTAAATCTCTAATCTTTGTCTAGTGCTCTCCTCCTCCCAACACATTTTTGCTAGCTCTTTCCATTTATTTCTCCTCTCACAGCCTATCTTGCTCATGTTGGCTCTCATTCACATCATTTTTATCTCTACCTTCTCACACTCTGTTTCTCTCTCTCTCATTCCTCTTTTCTTCTTTATTTTCATTTTTGCCTTTTGCACTCTCAGTCTCACACCAAACACCCACTTTCCTAATTCTTTCTCCGTTTCCGTCTCCTCCAAGCAGAGCTAGCATGTTGCTCATATTAAAACCTTTGTGAAATGGTGCTGTTCCTCTTTCCTACAAATGCTATACCCTCTCTTCTGTAGCAAACTGAAGAGTCCCGATTTTCAACCATGAAGGTTGTCCAGAGCTGTCTAATTTGTCAGCCTGGTTCCACCTGCCATATGCACAGCCTGAAGCCGCATGACAGCCCTCATTTTCTAAGCTGAACTTCAGCCTTTGCCCTCTGACCCTTTTGTTCACATTCGGTTATTGCAAAGGGACAGAAACACAACCCACTGGTGCCTTATTACAGTTTTAATTTCCCGAGTAGTTCCACCACCTCATTTTCACCTTCAACATCTCTCTCCCTTTGTAGGAGCTCCCCTTTGCTGTCTGTGAAACAAAACCCTTAGAATCACATTTGGATTTTATCTATGATTGAGATCAGTGCTAATATAACATTTCTTTGAGTGTTTTTCTAGTCCTTCTGCCCTTCCCTGATTCTAAATGAATATGCTGATTATCATATAGCTCTTCCTCTTTTCCCAATTAAAAAACACATAGATTAATATAGAACTCTTTTAAGATTAAAAAAAAATTGTGAGGTCTTGTTGATGTTATTACTGTTGTTATTTCTGCTACTGCTGCTTCTGTCCAGAAACTCACCAACAGAGTGTTATATTCCCAAACCTAGGCTTTCAATTCAGAAAAGCAGAGATTAGCAGTCAAAAGTATTTGGCTTTTGAATGTTCCCCTATGGTAAGTTCATTTTGTTTTGAAATTATGCTTAAAATGAATGTCCAGTCTCATTATACAGTTTATCATCATGTCCTATTGTTAATTTTAAAAAACTAATTTATCTTGAAATTGTTAAACCACCAACTAGAAAATTCAATAAATAAACCCCCATTCAAATCGATTTAACTAAAATACACTTTACCAATGTGACTGTATAACTGCCTCTAAAACATCTCTATGGAACAGTAGGGTGGTGAATAGCCTCCCACTCAGCACCCAGCAGGGAACCTTACACATTGTAAACTAAACTCAGAGGAATTATATAAAGGAAATTGTGTCCTTTTTCTTTCCATTTCCAGCAATCTGCAAGGTAGCTAACACTTAACATCTACTCAATAAACTCACAAAAGTGATTAATCTGATCCCACTAATGAATCCAATTATTAGTGATCATTATCATTTTGCATTTTAGAAGTTTGGGAAGGAAAGAGGTCAATGAAATCTGTGGATATTCACATAGCATACTTGAAAGGAAAATGTTGCTTCTTCTCTCTGGATCTCAGTTTCTTCACCAATAAGATAAGAAAAGGTAAATAGTTTCTTAGGTCTCTGACATGTCTAATTTTATAAAATGAACATTCTGACTTAGCCCCATATGACCACAACCTACATACATAACCAGGGAGAAGCCAAGATTTAACAGAAAATAGAAAAGAAACTCATTTGTATTGAGCACCATGGTGTATGTACTTTATATAAAGATGACTCAATGTGCTCCGTTCTCTCTAAATATCCAGAGTCTAGTGACGAAAACAAAATTTAAAGTGCAATTATCTATGAAAATTAGTCTGATGGTAGTTATCATTCTGATTTTCTTAGAAAGGAGTATTACAGTTTCTCTCTATTTCTTTCTCCTCCTTTCCTCATGACTTTCCAACCAATTATATTCCCTATTTATTTTTAATAGCACCATTTTTAATAACAGTTAAAAACATTTCAGCTCCCAGTATCAAACATCTGACTCAGAACATTAATAGTGAGCACCAACAGGATACCTCTACTTTGACCATGAACATCCCTGGGGGCTACAAACAAGGCATGAAGAAGAGAGTAGATTAAGGTTCAACCAGATCAAATCAAGAAAGACAACGTAAGATCCTTCAATGAACTGAATACCTGCCATACATCAAGCACTGCGCTCAAAGCTTAACAAAGGGAACCGTATAATGACAAGATAGTTTCTGTCCTCAAAGTACTTCCCATATAATGGGAAAGAGGCATGGGTATAAACTTCTATTATGTAACGCATGCTTTGAAAAACACTGACAAGATCCTGATGTTGAAGGGAAGAACTGAAAAACCCTTTGCTTTGTGGGGCTTACTTTTGAAAAATGAATGAAAACCTAAATGATAAAGATAGAGTAGAGTATAGCTGAATAGCGAGTAGAGAGTGAGGGTCGACATCCCAGATTTTCCTGGGAATAGACGGTAAGAAACCTGCAATGTGAAGCTAAAGATTCAGGGCGTAATTCATAAGGTAAAGAGGATCTGTGAAGGATTTTAGGTAGAGGAATTCCATGTGTTAGGAAGATTACTATGATAGAAGTTTATAGAGTAGGTTGATGAAGGGAGAAACAGCATTAAAGATGCTGTAAGAAGTCTGATAGTCTTAATTCTATATGCCAAATACTTTAATTCTACTCCTCACCAGCACACAGCAGGATTGTACCTCCTTACTTCCATGAAGTTGAACATGGCATCTGACTTGCTTTGACCAACAAAATTGAGCAGAAGTGACATGTGCTACTTGAGGACAGACACATTCTATTCCCAGTGCAAGACACTGCACATTCTCTCTCTCCCTTTGCCTCAGCAACCAGTAGTTCTGGAGATGATATGGTTTCTTTAGTCTGCATGTCTGACCAGGTTATGATGTGAAGTAGAAGCTCTAGCCAACGTGCGACATACAGCAACAAGAGAAATAAACCTTTGATATTTTAAGCTGCTGAGATTTAAAGGTTTTACCACATTACTACATCTATTCTCACTAATAGTTTGCTTCTAATATTGTCTTGCTTTGGCCAGTTAACACTTTCTTCTAGTTTCTCTCATTACATTATATCCTTTTTCTTTAGGCTATTCACCACCCTACTATTCCATAGAGATGTTTTAGAGGCAATTATACAGTCACACTGGTAAAGTGTATTTTAGTTAAATCAATTTTCTTTAAGAAAAACTGCTCTGTGGCCATGCCTGCATAGCCAGGAAGAGAGACTATAATTCTTCTTTAGGTCCAAACCACTTTACCATTTATGATCAACAGTGTCTCCAAATTACTGCCCTTTTGAAAAATGAATGAAAACCTAAATGATAAAGATAGAGTAGAGTATAGGTGAATAGCAAGTAGAGAGTGATGCTGTATCACCCTTTCTTTAGGATGCCAAGAAGCATCATAGACTACCACAGCTGGATGAACTGAAAGACTAAAAATTGCTTCTGATATAAATTTAATAACAGTACCTTCTGTCCCTGGTTCTTCTGTTTTAAAACTTTGAGGGAACAGTTGCTAGTGTTTTCCACAGTTGTCAACTCTCTAATTCTCCTACACTACTCAAGGCCCTCCCTCTAAGTAGATGGCTCAGGTTCCTCCTTTGTGGAGCAGAAGATGTTAACTTCTTCAGCTATCAGAAATTAAATGGAGCTTTGGACTTGAAAGCAAAGAATGGTTTAAATCCACCTCCTATGTGAAGTCTTCCCTGATAACAGGTACTCTACCTACCCCTACCCAGAACTGCCACTTACATTTCAGAAGGTTGAGGAAAAGTAGGCAAGAACTAGAGAAAATCCAGCTTAGGGTCAATTTGCTGAGCTCTATGCCCTGGCTAGGTGCCACATTAGCCTGAAAGAAAAAGCATCTTTGTCTAATTTGCTCAAATTTAGCATGTGCTAGCTATATTGCTCCAATTCTACCTGGACCCATACCACAATCAACCAACTCTGCTTGCTCCTTCCCTCTAGGCATGAGGCTCATTTTCAAACTTCCAAAGCATTCTTTGTAAGGCCCTCTCCTACCCTTTATATCATTACATTGTAATTACATTTTGGATTTTGTCCACCTCTCTCCACCATACTATAAGTTCCTTGAGGACAGGTAATGAGATTTATTCATGTTGGTATCCTTAAAGATTGACACTAGTTGCTCAATAAATATTTGATGAATTAATAATGAATAACCAGTGAATGAATAATCCTAGGTTCTGCTAACTAGTGGTATAAATTTGAGAATAGCTTGCCCCTCTCACTCTTTACCATTTGAAACAAGAAGTTTGAATTAGGTGATCCGTCGTGTCTTTCTACCTCTAAAATCCCTTTGACAATAAGTCTATCTTAGCTTCTTCACATTTCAAAGTCCTCGTATTTTTTCCTTCTCACGCTCTCCCTCCCTTATGTTTCAGAATTCCAAGATGTCCTCTTTTCTAGACATTTTTTTCCTGCTGTTGTGTAAATATCTTCTCTGTAGACCCTTAAAGCATCTAGCGAGTTTCCTTCTCCCTCTCCCCATTGGCACCTGTGTACATTCTAGTCATCTTGACTGAAGGTTTTGTATTTGGTTCAGCCAATTGCTCTAATTCAGATTTTATGACCACCATGGGTGGCTTCAGTTTCCCTGTAAAGAGAGTCTTCCATCAACTTTGTCTCAATTCCCTCCCTCTTCAATTCCAGCCATTTTTAACTCCCCTGGAATAATTCACACTAATGGCCACACCCTGGACCTCAATCCACAGGGAACTGCTCTACTTTGTAGACTGTTAATTTAAAGGATCCCAGCATCTATGCCTGCATCAGTCACTACCTACTAATCTTCTAATTCTACCACTCCCTAACTTGAATAACATCGGTTGTTCAAATTTCATCCAGAGCACCACTTTCTTGATCCCAATTTTCTCCAAAATTTGTCTCCTCTTGATTTCAGTTCTTTACTTTTCAAGCCCATAAAACACAAATTACATCATTAACCTCTTTCTTGTTAACATCTTCAATCAACTTACCTCTTGTCTTTCCTCTATGCTCAATCAGCCAACTCTTAATCCATTCAACTATTTACCTATTCTGATCCTAAACCTAGACCTTCAAGCTCTACTGGAGAAAACCCCATAGTCTCTCATATTGGTGCCACAGCTTCTTGGTTTCTGATCTCAGCCTGCCTTTCCCCATGGTGCCTCAAGAATTGTCAGTATATCCCTGGATAGCAACCTCTTCCATTTCCTTCAAGAACTATTTCAAACAGTCCTCAAGCTTCCCATCCCAGTACTTCTCCTCTAGTGATTTTACCTCCTGATTCTCTGTAGAAATAGAGATATCAAAGCAAGGACTCTCGACTTCCTTCTCTACCATCACACATCTCCACCTCTGAGAGGTTAAATGACTCATCTCAAGTCACACAGCTAATAAATTCGTTAGGCTTCAAAGCATATATATTTAAGCATCATACTACACAGATCAGTAGTTAAGAACACAGACTTGAGCAACATTTCCTGGTTTAATACTAGCTCAGCCACTTACCAGCTCTGTGACTTTGGCCTATGCATTTGTTTCCCTGTAAAAAAAAAAAAAAAAAAAAAAATAACAAGGTACAGTACCTGCCTCATAGGGCAGTTGTTAGGGCTATTGATAGGATTACATGAGTGAATACTTACAACATGCTTAGAACTGTGCCTGACACATAATTATGCTTACTAAATCTTAGCTATATTTACAAGAAAACCAAACTAGTGTTATGTTGAATAATGGAAGCCAAAGAAGAATAATTTTAAGAAATGAAGATGAGAAATGGCCAAGAGTATCACATATTGCAAAAAAAAGTTTAAAAGGATATGGACTTTTGAAGATCATACTGGATCTGTTGAGTAGGAAGTCAATTGTGAAGCAAGAAAGACTTTATATAATCAAACAAACCTGGATCAATCTCCTGATTTTTGTGGAACCCTGGGGGAGGTAATTAACTTACATGTGAAATGCTCAGTATGCAGCACAATTTTATTAATATTACTGCTTCCTCCTCAATGACACATTTAGTCCTCCACCGCTCCTCTTTCCCTTCAAGTTTTATTTCTAATTTATTCAAGAGTATCCTTTGCTCCTTTTTCTATCTTCCTCATTAGAGATTTTATTCATTTCCCAGCTCCAACTATTAGAGAGATGGCTTTATCCACATCTCAGGAGCTGCCTGCTCAAGACCAATGATTCTCAACCCTGCCTAAACATCAGAGTCACTTGGGCTTCACCCCTAGAGATTCAGATTTAATTAGCCAGGGGTAAGTACAAGCAATTTTTTTTCTTTTCAGGTAATTTGTATGTGCAGCTAGGTTGCAATTTTAAAATCTTTGCTGACATGTTCTACCCAGATATTCTGTGATTACTCTCAAATTTAACATTTCTAAGTCCAAATTCACCATTGTTACCAATTGTATTAATTACATTTCATTCAATTATAAGTAAAAAGAAACTGAGCATAACATACAAAGTGCTGTGCTTTTATTTTTGTTTTGTTGTTGTTGTTGTTTATTTAATTTTTCAGCAACAAGAAATCCATAGGTAGACAGTGCTGACTATAATTTAGTGAGCCAAAGACACCAAGGCTGAAATCTCTAAATACTTTTGGCCTTTCCTTCATGATCCCAGTATGCTAACTATAGTTCTAACCATCGTCTCTGCTTTCCAGGCAGGAGAAAATTTCAGGAAAAAAAACAGAAAAAGTAGCTTCTCTATCAGGAAAACAAATGGTTTATCCAGAAATCACAACAGACTTCAATTTATGTTGCATTGTCTAGTACCCTGTCTGGACATGACCATCTCTATCACATGACCACTCTATCACATGGAAAGGAAATCTGGGAAGATGAGGTTTTAGCTATCAATAATGACAAAGGAAAGAGAAAAAGGGGTTTAAACAGATGCTGGCTACAGTATCTGCCATGAAGTTCATCTTAAGACTTTCTATTTTTATTGTGGTTTTGTTGGTAGGAAAAGTATTATCCTGCAAAACCAGTTTTAAAACCTGGTGTCACCCTCAGGTCTCCTTCACCTACCATACTGCATATGTTTTCAAATAAGCTTTTAACTCTTGAATACATTTTTCCTTTCCAATTCCACTGCTATTCTCCTAATTCAAACCCTTGGTACCTTTGGCCTGAATAGGACACTGGCCACCTTGCCTTCAGTCTCTTTGTACCCTGCCCAAACCATCTTACATACCAACAGTTATTTTACCAAAATAATCAGAAGGCTCTCGTGGTCTCTATGACCAACTGAAGACCAAACTTGCCCTTGTCTTCAAGGCACTTCTCTGTCCATTCCTACAGATTGGGCTGCTCACTGAATACCCACTAGGTCTTTCCACTTCTGTGCTTTTGCTCACACCCTATTCTCTGCCCAGAATGCCTGATTTCTTTTCTTTCCCTACTTTTTTCAACTTCTTCCCATGGTTACATCAGGATTTAGGACAAACAATTTTTATTAGGCTACAATGCTGAAGTTCAAGAACTCACAGTGATAACTTGACATGTTCCAACACTCAGCCCCTAGAAGGCTGGATCCCTTATGTTTTATTCTCTCACACTGTTATGGCTATAAGAAGCTCGAGGCTTCCCCTGGAAAGACATTAGATACACGTGATAGGCAAGCACAGAATAGAGAAATACTGTCAGACTTACTCTTCCTCTGGAAAAATTGTATGGACTCTACTTTCTCCCAATGTAGATCTAGGGCAAATGAAATATTTTAGCTTGCCTCTAGCCAAAGCAAAAGGAGGCTTTCTGGTTGGCAGCCTAGCTCATGTGATGGTTACACAGGTATTGTAGCAAAAGTCTCATTTGTAAGAGCAAATATGCATTTAACTGTCTCTCTCATATTCTGTCTCTTTCTTTCTCCCCCTCTCTTTTTCCCATCTATTTTGGTAAATGTTTAACAATCAGCCATTGGGGGGAAAGCATTGATTTGTCATGTTTTCCAATTGTTGTGGTGTAAGTACTCCAACCATGACCAATTTCAAGCTACCAACTTGCATCATTGAGCACAGAGTTGAGGAGAGAGATGCATAACTGGCTCTTGCAGGAAGGTGTAAGCTGGGGCAAGCACACCACTATGTGTCATTCATTTACTGAATGGCTAATTATCAAGTGCTTACTGTATCCTATGTTGTGTGATCAAGACACTGAAGGAAACAAGATAAGCATGATCCCTGCCTTCATGATATTTGCAATCTAATGAGAGGACAGAAGCTAATTTTTCAGAAATCCAGGCTCTGGTCATCTTTTCCACCTTTAATCCAATTTACTTTTAATTTATGTGATTTATAAATTATTACGTAGGTATCTCTTACCTTGCATTGTGAACTACAGAACAAGGATGTTCCTTCATTTTGACACCATCATATCTAGCCAATATTTATACATAGTACGCCTCTGTACATTTTTACTAAAGGAATAAAAAAATGTAGGAATGGCTGATGGGTTGACTTTGGGAGAGGCGCAGAGGGGTAAGTGGCAGCTGGGGCCAAGGTTAAAGTGGGAAGAAAATCTATTGACAAAAACTGTTCTCTCCCAGTCCCTTGTTGTCCCAGGTGAATTAGTTCATTATGCAAGTCAAGACTTGAAGTATGGACTTCATCCATACTCTCCTTCTCCACTCAGTTCCAAATAAAAATGAGTTACACAGAACCCACTAGCAGTACTTTACGAGTGCTAGCAATTGCTACCATGCATCCTTAATAGCAGCATAATCAAAAGTTATGATGCATTTTTCTGTAATCACAAGAAATGATACCCACTTAGTGCTAAGTAAAGCAAATTCCCCACCAAAAAAAACAGCTAAAGCATTTCAATTTTCATTTTGAAACGAGTGAGTCAGAATCAATTTGGTAAAGCAGTTAACGGCAACTGTGTGCCCCTTTCCAGTTCATACAGGTACAATTTTATTTTAATAAACAGCCAAGCAGAGATCTCTGATGCTGGATTAACATGGTGTGTTTAAACCTTCTGACTATTGTGTATTTAAACTGGGTATTAGAGGCCATCAGCAAAGCACCAACATGAATCTTAAGAAGCAGACCAATTTGCCAGCGTCCAGAACATATCTTTAGAAAAATAAATAAATATATAAACTGGTAAGGAGTTTTTTCAAGGGGATTTCAGAACACTACAGCCTAAAACTGCATCCCAAGTGCCTTTATGTGAACTATTAGCAGTTGCACCAAACCGAGAAGCTACAGCAGGAGGAAAATATCTTTGTTTTGTAAAGAGCATCTGTGAATTGCATTTCCTCAATCTTTCCCCCAAAACGAAGATGTCAGCTAAAAAGACACAAGCGTTAAATTTTAATTGGGTTTAGAAGACCAACATTCTCCCATTTCTTCACCACCACCACACACACACACAAACACGTATACACTTTGCCTTCTCTGGCAACTGTGAAGACAGTTGACAAAATATATTTGTTTAATGTAACTTTATGTCCTAAGGAACCAATTCTTAATAATAAAAAAATTATTGTAACCTTAAATTATCACCATGGCACATTTTCCTCCATATCTCCTTTCTCCTCTGCCCCTTCTCTCTTTTTGTCTTTAATTCTTCTTTAGGAAAACATATTGTAAGTGTGTGTGTGTGTGCATGTGTGTGTGTGTGTGTGTGTTTACATAAGTATGCACAAATAGTTATTTTTTATTTAGCATTGGGTTTTCAGAAGAATTATTGAAGCACAATGAAAAATTCATGATCTCTGAAGTAATTTTTATTTTTCATTTTTTATTTTTCTTGCAATTTATTTATTTATTTAGTCTAAGGTTAAAACAAGAAAACCACATTGCAGCTGGAAGATAAAGTCCCCATAATAAAGCATTCTGAGGTTATTTCCAAAGGCACTGCAGTGATGTAACAGATACACATTCCTGGTACTAATTTATTTAAGCTACAAGTAATGAGAGCATACTGGACATAGGCAATTATTAAAACATAAACTGCTAGAAATGAAATCAATTCAATAATGCAATGTAATGCAAATGCAATTTCTTACTTTTCAGGCTTCAAATCAGTGCTTCCCAATTTCTACTGAAGCAGCTGTTGGAATTGTAGGGTTCTAAGCATAAGACTCAATTAATATTATGCAGGCAAAAGCCAAGTATTGATCCAGCTGATGTGAAATGAAAGTCAATGGGTGCACCTATAGCCAAAATACACCGAAGAAAAAATAGCAGGGGTCCTACTTTTATTTGTATGTGTGAGGTATACATCCCTATTTGTACCCCTAGCCCATAGATCCACTCTAGCCTTGGGAGAACAGGTTTTATTTTGTGAAGTCAGAGGGATTGCTGTACCATTTTATTAAAGCAGGAACCATATTTTGGACTCAGCATAGTGGATATATGTTTGAATTACAGATTACAGGTTTGAAAATACAGTAAAATTTGCTGAAACAACTTATGAAGAAGAATAGATAATTTTTTATAACATTCCATGTATTTTTTTTAAAAAAAAACCTAACCTGAGTTTACTTTTTATCTCAAAGGACACCTTCCGAGGTGAAGCTGAATTAAAAAATAAAAAAGGAGGTGGGGGCAAACACTTATTTTGGAAAATATATAAATATGATGATTCCTATACTCAAATATAAATATAAGAAGGTTGAGAAGGGTGTATGCAAAAGCTGAGTATTGATCTAGTGATGTTATTTCTCATTAATAATATTATGGGTAACTTATCTTCTTTATGTTTATGACACACATTTTCTGATTTTTCTGGAACTTTACATGTTACTTGCAAAACAAAATGGATAATTTTAATATTTTCATGCAGAATTAAAACAAATATACAACTATCTAGAGATGTTTTTAATAACAATGGATGGTCCAAGAGGAAGAGCCTGAGAAGACTTAAAGTATAGGACCCAGTGAAAAGTGTGAAAGTTGAGATCAAGTGACAGCAACTGGAAAAACTGCCTGACAGACTAGGATGCGTGAAATGTCCTGATCATGGAAGGGGTAGATGAGACCTGCAGACTTGGCCACAGTAGGAAAGATTAAACCAGTAAGGCTTCAGACTGTTCTCACCTTGTCTCCTCCTTTAGAACAGTTACAGATTATTGATCAGACCAGCCTTATCTAAAAGCCTGCACAAGAATCTCCGCAATTGAGTATGTAGGAGTCGAAATCCAGTCCAATCTTTACTTACCATGTCTAGTTCCCTGGCATGGGGTAGAACCCTCAGAAAAACAGGCACCTTTTCCTAATCACTGAATAGCATTGTCTGGGGCAGTACAACATCTTGCTCACTGTGAATTAGCTCCATTATAGAATTGCAGATTTTAAAACCCAGCCATGGTTTTCTACCAACATTCTTAGTATTTAAATGCTGAATGTAGTTGTGAGAATATTTTAATGTATGTATCTCAATACCCCATTCTTTTCTTTTCCAAATCCATATTTGGGCAATTGAGCACAGTAGTTAAGTAGTCCCAATGGACAAATTTGCAGATTGTTAAAAGCAATTGAAATAAGAGTTTATAATGGAATACAATTTTGTTATTTGATACTAAGAATGTTCCCTGCTTTATATGAACTAAAGAAGAAATTATCACCTTAAAAAGTGGTTTCAAAGGAAGAATATATATGGCACT
The DNA here is from genome assembly GCF_000001405.40 of Homo sapiens. Taxonomy (NCBI): domain Eukaryota; kingdom Metazoa; phylum Chordata; class Mammalia; order Primates; family Hominidae; genus Homo; species Homo sapiens. The sequence goes on along the minus strand of NC_000001.11, from coordinate 163,447,600 downwards.
GAGTGTAGAGAAAGTGATACCTAAGAAGGAAACTGGTTTAGTATACTTAACCATTTGAGAAGTCTTTTTTTTTTTCATAAATGCCCGCAGTAGGTATATCTCACCTTGCTTTAAAAACAACAACAAAAAAAGGTTTTACAGAGGCTATCAGATGAATTTATTCAGTGGCTAAAGGTAGTCTTAAAAGGAATTACAGCCACCTAGCTCCTTGACTGACATCCTATAGGCTTTATCTGAGGATATAGTTGTCCTGGATAGGCCCAAAGGGAAGAAAAGCATGCGAAAGGAGGGAAAGGCAGAACTAACATTTATCGATTATCTATTACAAGTGAAGCACCATGCCAAGTAATTTTTACATATCTCATTTATTCACAGTAAATTTAACTGACAATTGATTATTCCTCAACATGTAATGACAACACCAGATCTTAGCCAGGCCCAGCATTCTAGGGAATAGAAAAGAAATTATCAAGTTTCCCTGGCCCTGTAGCCTTGGTCAGTTGTCTATGGGAACCCGGGTAGGAGTCACTCAAGAATTACCAGGCTGGCCCAGTGTGGTGGCTCACTCCTGTAGTCCCAGCACTTCAGGAGGCCAAGGTGGGCAGATCACTTGAGGTCAGAGGTTTGAGACCAGCTGGCCAACATGGCGAAACCCCGTCTCTATTAAAAATACAAAAATTAAGGCCGGGCGTGGTGGCTCACGCCTGTAATCCCAGCACTTTGGGAGGCCGAGGCCGGGGGGCGTGTGGGAAGGGAGACGGATCACGAGGTCAGGAGATGGAGACCATCCTGGCTAACACAGTGAAACCCCGTATCTACTAAAAATACAAAAATTTAGCTGGGCGTGGTGGTGGCGGGCACCTGTAGTCCCAGCTACTCGGGAGGCTGAGGCGGGAGAACGGCATTAACCTGGGAGGCGGAGCTTGCAGTGAGCCAAGATCGTGCCACTGTAATCCAGCCTGGGCGACAGAGCAAGACTCCGTCTCACAAAAAAAAAATACAAAAACTAGCCTGTTGTGGTGGTGGGTGCATGTAGTCCCAGTTATTCACGAGGCTGAGGCAAGAGAATCACTTGAACCCGGGAGGGGGAGGTGACAGTGAGCCGAGATCGTGCCATTGCACTCCAGCCTGGGTGACAAGAGCAAGACTCTATCTCAAAAAAATAATAAAAAAAAAACAATTACCAGGCTGTTCAGCAAAGATGGAAACTTGGAGTTGGGAAGCAAAAGCTAAGTAGGACAGTGGATGAAGGAGACTTTTTGTCAGTTAGATGTCTAAGTCGAAACCATCATAATGAATGATAGCTCCAAAGAAGTCTGGGATCAAATTCCAACTAGAGCTGGTTGAAGAATGGAAATGAGATGAGAAAGGAAGGATGGGACACAAGAGACATTCAATTCAGGTGACAAAAGATTCCTTCTTTTCTTTTCTTCTTTTTACTAAAACCAGTTCCATGGATGCTTTAAAAAAAAATCCTTGAATAAAATACAAAAGGGGCACTCGACTTTGAAATGTAGGATAGGGACATATTAGAATCAGAATCATAGAATTTTATAGCTGGAAAGAAACATTAAGATCCCCTAGGCAAGTTTTCATAGTATGTTCTGTTTCTGTGTTCTATGGTACCTTGGGGCTTTAGTGGGCAGGGGGACCAGCAACGGGGCTGGCTGCTATAGGGAATAGGTAGTAGGCAGAGGCTAATTTTACTCTCTTTTCTGTATTAGGATTCTATATAAGACTTCCTTTAAAGGAAAAACAAAGGAGGCCCGGTTTGGTGGCTCACACCTGCAATGCCAGCACTTTGGGAGGCCAAGGTAGGTGGATCACCTGAGTTCAGGAGTTTGAGACCAGCCTGGCCAACATGATGAAACCCCATCTCAACTAAAAATACAAAAATTAGCCGGTCATAATGGTGGGTGCCTATAATCCCAGCTACTTGGGAGGCTGAAGTGGGAGAATCACTTGAACGTGGGAGGGAGAGGTTGCAGTGAGCCAAGATTGCGCCATTGCACTCCAGCATGGGCAATGAAGCAAGACTCCATCTCAAAAAAAAGAAAAAAAAAAAAAAGGAGTTCTATTACGTTAAAAAGTGGAACTCATCAAAATTAAGTTTCTCTCTTTTGACCAATTAAGTCCATGGTGTTGGCTGAAGCAAGAGAGACTTTCCCAAAGATCTGTGAGTGGATAGCCGTGCTTCCAGTCCCCCGACTCCAGGAGACTCTCACCACTACACCAGGCTGCCTCTCATTATGCAGCCTAATTCCCTATGAGATGGTTTAATTAAAATTGTAACCATTTTGGTTTTAATCTTGAGGTTCTAATTATTTTATGTTAAATATCTTGGTAGCTAATAAAAATGAATTAAATGTATAAATACAACATTAAGTTTAAATAATATTTTAAGTTGTGTTTAGATCCTCTATCTTTCTGCCTGTGTGGCCTTTAATATTTTAATCTATTGCTGTCTCTGCAGATAAAGCTACATGTCATTTCTGAGGGTAAATGCCTAATAACTTCTTTCTTCAAGGTCAGGGTATTATTTTGTATGAGGAAAATTGTTCTCCTAAACCAGCCAAGCATAATTACCAAGTGTTTTTTATCCTGCAAGAATTTACATAGACGTGATAAACACTAAGCACCAATAGAGTTCTAATCCCTTCCCAACCAACTCTGGTACTGCCATAAACCTCCAGAAAAAAAAGTCCAAAACCACAGGAGCCCAACATTGCATTTACCACCTCGGGTTTTATGCTCTTAGTCACAGACACAAAGGATTAAGTTTTGGAGCTATGAGGCACACAGGGTCCTAGTATCCCTCCTGGCCTAGCAGTGTCTCCTTCTATAGGTAACAGGAAGCAGCAGCATATGTGTTTGTTTATGTTCAGCACTGGTGAAGTGTTGTGCATGTATTATCTCACCAAATCCTCACACAGACACTATGCAGTGGGTATGAACTATTATTCTTCTTATTTTGAAGAAGTAGAAATAAAGGCACAAAGGTTAAGTAATTTTTCTAAGGTCATGCAGGATTTAACCCAAGCAGCCTGACTTCAGAGTCCAGAGGGTGGGATCTGTGGTGAAGCAGTGCAAATGAGGTTTACTGGAGTGACTCAGATATCAGATCTAAGAAAACAAAAGAAGTCACTGAAATAAGGACTAGGTTAGTGATAGCACAAAATTGGAAAAACATGAACCCCTCTTCTTGGGAAGGTTTGACTTCCCAGAAGGAATTAGGAAGGAAAGATGAGGGGAGAAGAGGTGAAGGAGAAGTAGATACCATATAGTAAGATGCTCCAATCTCTCAATCCATACTCTGAGCTAAGAACAGACCAGGGAACCTAGGAAGCCAAAGGAATATAGGAGCAAGGAGGAAGGAACAATGTAGACTACATGGAGGTAGACTGGAATCTGGGACGCTTGAGAAGGAGCAGAGACACACAGGCACGGAAAAATTAAAAGAAGCTTCTGTAGGTGGGCTGAGAGGGGCCGGTGGAGCTGGATAGTGGAGCTGGCCAAGAGTAAGCCCAAGGAGGCCAGAAGAGGGCAGAGCATGAGGCAGGAGGAAGAGGAGCCAAGCCAGCCTGGGGCAGGTGGCACCTCTATTCACATTCCTATTCCCCAGAGAAGATGTCCCACCTCGTTCTCAACTGCCCCACCTTTACAGTGAACTGCTTAAATGCCAACAATTGTGTCTAAGCATCTTCACTCTTTTATATAAACCATATACTTTAAGATCCAAACAATGCAAAAAGTTAACTTCAAATATTTAAAATTCACAGAATATTTAAAATTAGTACTGCTGCATGTAAAGTTGTCCATCTAGCACAGCTGTCTCTCTTACACATGCTAGTAAAAGACACACTCAGTAATTATGAATTAAATTGGATTGAGCTGGATTGATTGGTGACTCCCTTACTGGAAGTTTCAGTCAAAAACACTATCTGAGGGTGCACAGCTTTAAAGCTAATGTGACATCTTCCCTTACCATTCTCTCATTATCAAAACCATTCTCAGGTAAAAGCAGGAGAAGCCTGGGTATTGAAAAAAAAAAAGGGGACACCAGAGGAGAGCAGGCTCCCTGTTCGTCACATAGGGAAAAATTTGCATAACTGAGAAGCTTGCGGGTGTGGGGGAACAAAACCACTATCTCCACTCTTCTATCTATTGCTAACTCTGCCTATATGCATCTGTTTACATTTGAAACAAATGAAAACCCTTTTCTCTGTTGACATAAAAGCCAGAGACTTGAGCTCCACTCATTGTCATACCTGCTACTAATACTTATGACCATAATTACAATGCCATCCACTCAGAGTACCATAAAGAGAAAAGCATAGGCAACAGACAATAGGAACCAGATCCTATGGGATGCAGAAAATGATCCTGATATCCCAGCCTCACACCGGGCTTCAGGCAGAGCCCCGGCGAAGTGGTAACAGAATGCAGCCTACTTTGGGAGGACTGGGACGGCCGGCGGGGGGTAGGTCCAGCAGTTATGATCAGCTCTGACTCTGGGGATTCTTTCAGGTCTATTTTTAGTTTTCTCCAGTGTGAATGCAATGTCAGGCCCATCCATCTCCTTCCCTCTTCACTTTCTGTTATCACCCTGCCTGAATCTGAGTGACAAACAATGGTCTTCACCAGTTTCAACAATACACAGATTCGTAAGGATTGAATTGACCTAGACACACCATAGAAATTAGCACAGACTCTGGAGGCCTCAAAGAAAATCAGATGGAGGACTTAAATGAAAAATAATCAACGCTGCCTTTCCTTTCTTTATCTTTCTGGTGGTTCATGAGAATAGGGTGGGGGTGGGGGGTGAATTTCTGATAGCAGAGAGCTGCCTCCATCCATATGGGCCCTGCTTGAAACACCCAGAAGGATGGAATTGGGTTAAACTTAGCTCAGAGTGGAAAGAAATGACAACAGCATTGCAAATGTTTAAAGCTTATAAAAATAGACTCAGAACTATGGTTGGTTTTCCCCCCTCCCCAAGTTTGGCATATACTTGGCACTCAAATATTTGTGTAATGAATAAAGATTATATGCAAAATTGTACTAGAACACAATGTTTTCTGTATTTTCCTGGCTATCTATGTCCTCTGGCTATCTATGTGTCTTCTCTTTTAAGCTCTTGTTGCAGTGAACTGCGTATTACTCCTCAAAGCTCCCAGGCATCTGCCCAGGCAGTGCCCCCACCCCGCCCATCTACTGTGCCTTTCCCAATAGTCCATCTGAAAATTTTGATTCATCTTTGCAAACCTTGCCATGGTATCATCTAATCTAGGAAGCCCTTCCTGACTCTCCTTATGGAGAACTTACTTCTCTTTCTCCATGCTATCTGTCTTGTTCATGCTTCCGTTATATTTATCACAGGGTACTGCCAAGTATCTATTGCTTCAATTGTCTCTGATTTCCATGCCGACACGGACTGATATTTCCATGATTAGCACAGTGACAGGCACATAATCTGTTCTCAATCAATGTTTGATGGATGAATAAGTTATCTTGAACTTATTCCAGGCAAACTGGGGGAAAAATGACTTTCCATGACCCAAATTGCACCCAAACCCCACCAATCAGTCTCACAAATGCATAGTTGATCACAAGGAGGGCAAAGAAAAAAGTATGTAGACGATGATCACAAACCCATTCTCACCTTGCAAAGAATAAAAAGGAAGCATAAGTACTAATGATATATTAACAGTAATTCAATTTTAAATAGGCAAGGAGGAGAGAATGCCAATTTGAAGTTTGATAGTTTACGGTGTACCAGTTTCCCAGAGGCATTATAACTCTCACTGCTTGTCACTGGGGTGCAGGCCCCAGTGGAGGCTATGTGGCATAAAAATTATTTCAATGAGCCATGACTTCATATAGTAGCCTTGAAATCATCACTGCAACTTCAACAAAAACAACATTTGTCTACTTTGTGTACTCAAGGCTCTTGTTATTAGAATCTATACAATAGATTCTATCCAGAATTCAGTGCTGTCCCTAAAAATGAATATGCCTTGTCTTTAAAGAGAGGGAGAATAAATTTATCTTTTGCCTTGGAGTTTCAGAAGCTCAAAAACTATACTGTTTATTAATATTAATATGTCATTCCTAAAGGCAATTTTAATAATTTTTTCTAATGTTTTCTATTTCCTAAAAATTTATTATATGTATATGTGTGTGACTTTTTTATTATTGTAAGCTATCTCAAATCCATTCGAGGTATGGGCAGATTATAAGTCACACATTAGATAAGAAAATATAGATGAGCAATTGGCCAAGACTAGGAACCAAGTACAAACTCTAGAGGACCCTTTAACTGAGGACTCATCATTTTTGACCTATACAAATGACAATGTTTTTAAGCCTAATTCCTGCTTCCTATGGGTCAATTTCAAAACTTGGGATTTCCAGTACTTCCTGGTTCTGTGGACTCTAACCCAATCTTCACTCTGCTGCAGTGGTTTTCAAACTCCACTGCATATTGGAATCATTGGAATCATCTGTGGACTTTTTAAATGTCTTCACCCCAAGCCTTACCTCCAACCAATTAAATAAATATCTGAAAAACAAATCAGTATCTCTTAGAGTTGCATACAGGCATCAGTCATTTTGAAAACTCTCCAGGTGATTCTAATATACAGCTGAAGTTGAAAACCATTGGTCTATAGGAACAACCCTTTATGTTTCAAATACACTTCTACCTAATGATCTGAGTGTAGACCCTGTGGAGTTCCACCAAGATCATCTAATTATCAACAGGACTCTAGAGACACCCTATGTGTCCGGCTGTCCTTATAAGCTGAAAGACTGACCTACAACCTGATTATTTTGTTTAGACCCCCGAGCCTTTTTTCGTTTCTGATTAATAACCCTGTTGTCCCAAGGTTACCTAGGGGTAAACTAAGAATACCATATCCTGCCTCTCTACCCCTTTGACATTATCAGATGATATTTTTTTCCCTTTGCTTATTGGCTAGACAGAAAAATAGTCTAATGCACAATCTCTAAAAACCCTTGTCTTCATCTCTGGATAGGAAACGTGTGCTGATGAAGGTTCTTCTTCCTGAAAACACCTGTTTTCCAAAACAGAAAAACAAGAAAGAAACCTGTTCTCACCCAAGCTTCTCCAGTTCTGCTCTCGTGATGATTGCTCAGCTTACAAAGCTATCTGTAAACAGGCATCTGCTCCAGTTCTAAATGTTCAGCAGTGGTTTGCCTTGCCTTCAGAGACCTCGACATCATCCACCTTGGCTCAGCACCCTTCAGAGCCAGTGATGCAAGCCAGATGCTGAGTGCTTCAGGCTGAGTCTGACATCATCCTCTTGTCAGGGACTCTGCCATCTCCCACCATTGGCTGCCGCTCTGTGTGCTGAAGTTAAAGGTGGGCACTTAGCACATTTATTACATACGGGGCTTATTAGATAACTGGGCTCTGTTGTGATAAATTGGCTGTGTGCTTCATTTGGACTCTCAATGCTCTGCAGGTTTTTCTAATTTAGTTTTGCCATGGCTCAGCCAAGATGGGATTCAGAGGAAGAAGACGGGAAAGGAGGAAAAAAAGAGAGAAAAAAAGCTGGTGTGGTATATCAAATTCTTGCTCTGCCTCTTCCTGGCTCTGAAATGAAGGGTCTTTTAAGCTGCCATCCTAAACAGAATCCACAAAGCTGTCTTCCTCAGGAGGTTTGCTTTTCTTAAAGTGCCCCTGCTCTTTCATGATGACTCCTCCATTCATTATGAATATTTACTGCTTTGGTCCAAAGCTGTCACTTTTTTTCCCCTTCCTTTTATGTTTAAATTTAAATGTGCACACATGCACATTCACAAACATCTCCTCAGCACCACCACTAAGCACAGGCGAACAGCGGGGAGGAAGAGAGATGAAGAGAGGAAGTGGGAGAGGGTTGTTGGCCGTGTCCTGTGTGAATTGCTCTATACCTGCAGCCTTTTTAGAGGCTTCAGATCTCTCTCCTCCAAGAGAACACCAGGGCATTGAAGGCTGCTTTGAAACGTGGCAGGCTTTGAGTGCACATGTGCATGCTTGTGCAATGAAACACGAAAATCTATTTCCCTATCAGAGTGACTGACACTTCTTTCCTCCTTAATGCAAGCCTTGATCTTTTCCCGACTGAGTTTTTTTATTCCCTCCAGCTTGCCTTATCAGTAGGTGAACTCTCATCAAAGGACACAGAAATCACATGGTCCTTGATGCCAGGCCTAGCTAAGCATATTAGGGCCACTGACCACCAGGCAAGGGCAACACCTGGGGAGCAGATGCCAGCTCAGTGACCTTGGATAAGGAAACCCCAAGATGTCATCTACCTCCTAAATTGTACAAATGTGGAGAGCAAGGGGAAGTTCGCTTGCTTCCTCTACCTCTCTAGGGTGAGCAGGATAATTCACTGAAGAGATTGTTCTACTAGCCCCCTCTCCAATTCTATTCCACATCATTCCCATTAATTTTACTTAAACTACTGTTTATATAGAGGTGATATTTTATAAAGTACAAACATTATTCAGTGGATGAGCTCTGCACTTCAGAGTCAGCTAGATATGGATATTCCCACCTCCCCTCCTGATCTGTATTTGTGTAAGTTATTCAACCTTTCCAAACCCCAATTTCCCCATCAGCAAAATGAGTACAAAGACTGTACCCACCTCACAAGGTGGGTGTCATACACATAAAGTTCTTGAAACAGGGCCTAATGCATAAGAGTTCAATAATTGTTAGTTATCATTATTATTTCTTAGACATCTTGGAAGTATCAAAGAACCTGTCAGCCACTTTTGCATCTTCATGTCTCTTTTTTGAGAAGGGGCTTTAGGTCCCATGTCAACAAGGGAAGGGCTGAAACAGCAGCAGCTCAGTGGTGGAGGAAGGAGAGAGCTGGGCAGAACGGGAGAAGCCGAGCATTGCTTCCAGCATGACAGGGCTGCAGGGACTCAGGATATGTGGTTTCTCTTGCTCCAGTCTCTCCATTCGAAGCTATATATTTCACCCACCAAATTTGCCAAATGGAATCTTTGGAATTCAGAAGATAAAATATTTCAGAAGAGAATATGGCTTTTTCAGCCCTATTGTGTGTACCAGGTACTAGTCTGGTTTACAATAGCTAAGAGGAGCAGTTGACCATTTGTTCTCTAGGCCTTACTATTTGGGAATCATTCTATAGGAAATGAGGGAAAGGGTAAGGGCCACTGTCATTCCTGGAAACCTCACTATTAACCTGATGGCATCATGTGAATTTCCCATTTTGATCTATAGAGATTGTCTGACTCAGACCATAATTCAAAATCACAATGTAGTAATGACTATACCAATTTAACCTTCTTTCAGAGAGTGAACCCCATTTGTAAAGAGCCATGCTGAGGGTTTCAGACCATAACCCCTTGTATATACTCCTCCCTCAGTATTTGGTAATTGGCTACCTCAACCATTGACATTTACTGAGTGTCTGCCACATGCCAAGTATTGTTAAGAGCTTGGGATAGAAAGATGAGTGTGCCTCCCAGCAGGGGAGGATACAGATAAGAAAGATATGTTTCCTATTTGTATTATAAAGCCACATACCACATTCTCTCTTAACCTCACAATTCTTCAGGTTGGGATCTCTTAGTCTCGGTTTACAGACGGGGAATGGATCCTTTAAGGGGTTAAGAGACTTGCTCAAGGCCAAATAAATCCTTTAATGAATACAATTAATATTTAAACCACATTTAATACTGCAACCTGCCCCCCAACTCCAGCATTCCTGATTCTCTTTCCCTGCTCTACTTTTTGATCTTTGCTTCTCAGTTCATTATTTCCATGCCTTTTATCATTCTAACATACTACATTATTTACTTATTATTTTAGTGGCTTTTTAGCTCCTGTCTTAACTCTCTGGAATGGAAATGCCACAGTGATTCTGTTTTGTTCATTTACTGAACATAGTAAATGTTAATAAGTAGTTGTCGAATAAATGAGTTAATTAACTTAATGAATGGTTCTAAAGGCTTAACTCTTTCTTCTGTTCCTTATTATAATGGATTAAGTCCATAACAAGTAGTATTTAGAAATGTAAATAAAATGCTATGGGAATTCAGAGAAAGAGTTAAAAATATTGGTTAAACTTGGGTGCAAAAAGCTGGAATAGTATTAAAGCCAAGTTTATCAAAGTGTGGCCCACCGATGACCTGTTTTAGCTATCCACCAGGACATGCTAAAACTGCAAGTTTCTGAATCCCACCCCAGACATATTGTATTAAGTTTTCTGAGACAAATAATTTGCATTTTAATGCACTTCCCAGGCTATTGGTATGTACCCCAAAGTTTGAGAATCATGGAAAAGGTACAGATGGGAGATGAGGCTTGGGAAAGTGGTGGAGGAAGGGCACCAGCAATATTGAGTGCTTTTATAGATGAAGAATTGAGGACCAAATGCATTTAGTTCTTTGTCCCAAATCACAAAGCCAATAAGTTAGAATCTGATGTCAAGGTTCTTTCTGGTACATTTATTGGCTTCAGGGATCATTTTTTACTTTTTTACATCCGTATAATGTAGTATTCAATCAATAGTCACTCAATAAATACTTATTGAACAAGCTGATGCCTAACACTGTGGAACTAAATTAAGTAATTGCTCTGACCCTCGCAACTCTTGGCACTAGAGACTCCTCATCTATACGAACCTCCCAGCCAAACGCTCAAATCCTAGACTTTAAAACCCAAGGCCCGGAATAGGTCAAATGTAGCTGGACTGTGACCATTCTGCTAATGGCAGCATCTACCCCTGTCTGGCCTGCAGGGAGTTAGCAATGGGGCAAGGGCAGCCCAGGGGTGGGAAGAAGGTAGGAAAAACGTGGAGGAGAGAGAAGCATTCCAGTCTGGTGGGACTACTTCATATTTTGTGTCACAGTTCCCAACTGTCCCAAGGTACACACACTCACACACACACACACACACACACAATAACAAAAGGTTTCCACAAAGCAGCAGTCTCAAAGTTAACCTGGCTTTCTGCCAAGTCCCTGTATATTATCTCCAATTCTGGGGGTCTATTGGTCCTTTACTTTGCCAACCAAGGGCTTAATTTGAACAACAATAAAAACAAGAAGATCATCATTAAGTTTTATTTTTACCACAAGTTCCCCCCACCAAAAAAAAAAAAGAGAGAAAAAAATAAAACATCCTGACAACATCCCATGTCCCGTCACATCCCATTTTTACAGTGTAGCTGTGGGGTGTGTGATCCGCAGCCAGAAATAAAACAGAACTGGAAGAGTCAGCCATCTGTCTGGAAGCACACACAGTCCCAGATGGCATTTCCTTTCTGGCTTTCTGGTAACAATCTCCTCTGTCTAACGAAATGAAGCAGAAATTGCCCAGTGAATTAGTGGGGTTGATGAACCCCCGTCCTCCTAGCTCTGGCATTAGGATTTGAGATCCCGCAGAAATAATTTATTTGTACATACTATCTTGCCCTTGCTATTGCGATCATCAGAACTGTTCCTCTATATTTTCAAAATGTGTGTATGTGTGCATGTATGAATTTTTCAAGAGCAAGAACTGTTTTCTCTTCTTCTCATGCACCCAGTTCTAGACCACCCGAAGGGCAATATGCTTTTTGTGCCCTGCACACAGTGGGGATAAATGCTCACTGCCTGACTAGCTGGCTTACTAACAGTTCAAATACCTGGCTGGAGAAGGGGAAAGGATTCCTCACAAGCCCTAGTAACTACAGTTCTGTCTGCATTTGCTTCTCCACTAGATGACCAAAGGCAGTCCTTTGAAGATCAATTCTACATCAACCTAAGTACATACAATACAACCTAAGTACATTGGGAAGGAGGGGTAGGAAGGAGGGGTAGAAAGGAGGGCAAGAGGTGGCTAATCAATATGATGTTGTATAAAGACCCCTGGCTTGGCCTTCAGAAGACTATTTTACCTCTCCTACTAACTAGTAGTGAGACCTTGGGCAAGGAAGATATTGAATCTTCAAGAACCTGAGATTTCTCATTTTGTGTTAATTCTGAGCTCTTTGGAGTTCTATCAGAGTCACCTGAAAATCTCCTTAAAACAAATTGCTGGCTCCACTCACAAAGTTTCTGATTCAGTAGATCCGCCATGAGGTCCAAAATTTTCCTTCAAGTTTCCAAGTGATACTAATGCTACAGGTCCAGGAATCACACTCTGAGAACCCCTGGGCTAGTTTATACCATGCATAGCAAGAATTCAGAAATGTTTGTTTACATAAATGAATAGATAGGTGAATCTACAAAATAACTTGAGAAATAGGTAATTTCTGACATGAATCAAATAACTGCAGACAATATGACCACCTCCTTCTTTCAGTTTTGGAGTCATGGATTAGTGATTATATACAGGGCTCAACATAACCCATCAACCATATAAACAAGAATCTAGTACTCCTTCAGGCCAGAAGCCTCTCTGGCTTATAAAACCTTAGCAAGCTGAGAGATAACCCACAAATTTATATGGGAAGATAACCATAATAGTGTTTGAAATGAAATAACTGCTTTCTTAGTGGTAAGGATATTTTAACCCCAAGAAGATAAAGTTAAAAAAAACTAAAGAAAGGCACATGTTATTAATATATTTCTTTATGAATGTATATGTAAATATTTTCTCTGGGTAAAAAAACTTCCCTAAAGAAGATTAAAAACACTTATATATAACAGGAAAACAGGAATCTTCAGTTTCATCCTTTGGTTTATGGCAATTGTTTGGCAATCACAAGGCCAGTTTTACCTATCCCTAATATTCTAAATAAAAGAATTTGTTTTACTTCTTAACTATAAGTTAATGTTGTTAAGCCTGGTTAGGAAAAAATTTTCAAGCACTGACTTTTTCTTGACTAAGGAAATCTCCAAATAGGTAAATCAAGATTTAAGTTAAAATATTATTTGAAATGAAAAACTTTTTGTGGACTTTCCTGAAACTAAGATAAAGATATAGTACTAGATATAAACTACTGGTGGCCTCACAATTTCAACCTTATCACCTCAACTCTTTCCATGAATAAGTAACAATGAGCCTACTCTTTTTAAAAAACATTTTTTAGCTGACAAATAAAAAAAGTATACATTTATGATGAACAACATGATGTTTTGATATATAGACACATGATGATTTGATATACATGATACTGTACATTGTGAAATGGTTAAATCAAGCTATTTAACATATGCATTACTTTACACACTTATTTCTTGTGGTGACAGCCTACTGTGCATTGTTTTGGGGAATTAAAACTAAAAGATGGGATGATCATGACTTTTGAGTTTAATCAGACAATTAATTCTATTCATATAATTTAAAATTTACTCACTGATTAATATATGCAAGCATTACATTGAATGCTGATGAAACAAAGATGCTAAGAAAAGATTTCTCAAAGTGCTCATGGTGAAGGTTTGTGATCTTTGAGAGAAGGGAAAATAACAGTGCCACATACCCTCTAGTTTTATATAAAGGAGGTCATTTTCAAACCATGGCAACAGCAAAATGGAGCCCAAAGAGAGCAACAGTTTTATGAGCAAAAGAAACAGAGATGTAAATTTTAAGTTACTGAGGCAACTGTAATTTGTAAGGAACTGCAGAAGAGAGAGCTGCCAAAGAATGATCACAAATAATCTGAATATAAATTTCTTCAAATGATTAGCCAAATACTTTTCACCCGTCTAGGCTGAGACTACATGAAACATGGCAGAGATTGAGTATAGGAAAGATATACTTAGAGTGGACGTTCTGGATGTTGCATAGTTCTGGGAAGCACTGGTGTTCTGACCAGTAAGAGTGGAGAAACCTCTGGGAACACACAAAACACTCCATTTAAAATTCAAAGGGACAATGCCTTAGGAGTAGAGCTACTCTAGATTTATCCCAACAAACCCTTAAGCCAAGACTTGAGAGGATCAAGCTGATCAGTCAGTAAATTAACTGCCTTCAAGAACAAAGCTTAATATTATTTAAAGGCAGACAACAAAGTAATGTATTAATATTTATGCCAACAAACAATAAAATGTACTAGACATGCAAAGAAGCATGAAAAAAAAACACTTATAACCAGGAAGAAAAAACAGTCAATGGAAATAGGGTAAGAGATCAAGCAGATATTAGAATTAACATGTAATATCTTCAAAACAACTCTTATAAATATGTACAAACAATTTTAAATAAAAAGATGTCCCATTCCTTGAGTGCTGTCTGTGCTTAAGGAGTATTTCTAAAGATTAGAGCTTGGAAAGGGCAAGAGTACACAATCCTGGCCCGCTCTACCTCAGCCAAGAAAAGGCCAACAGCAGTAAGTCACATTTTAGTCTGTACCCCTGATATGATGTGATTAGATGGGCACTCCACCCTGTGAAATCCCACACCCTGTATAACCGTGGGAAAACATTAGTCAAAACAAAATTGAGAAACATTCTACAAAATACCTGACATCGTCCAACCCTTCAGGGTTATCACAAACAAGATAAATTTTCATAAACCACAGAAGAAATGGAGACAGGAAGACTAAATGTTATGTAATATTTTAGATGGACTCCTGGACTGACATTTTTTAAAAATTACAGGGAGAATAGGACTGGAATTCAAATAAAGTGTGGGTTTTACTTAATACCAATAAACAATGTTGGTTTCTTACTAGTGACAAATGCATCATTGTAATAATGTTAGCAATAGGCAGGAATGGATGACAGGTATATGAACTATCTTGGCAACTTCTCTGTAAATTTATAACCATTCTAAAACAAAACAATGCATTAAATAAACTATCATCTCAAATTTGTCTTTGGGAAAAATAAAAAGAAATTTAAAAATAAATATAATAAATTAACAGATGCAGAATCTCAACAGAGACATGGAAATTGTAAAATATTAAAATTCTAAAATTGAGAAATAGCTGACTTGAAATGTACCAGATGAGCTCAATAGAAGATTAGACACTGAAGAAGTAACAATCAATAAACTAGAAGACAGGGCAATAAACTTAAGAATGCACAAAAGAATGATATAAAAAGGAACAGATAGGAAGTAACCAGTGGGACACTATTAAGTGGCCTAACATACACGTAATTGGAGTTACAGGAGAAGGAGAAAGATTGGACCACAAAAGAAATGTAAAGAAATAATGAATAACATATTTTGCAAATTTGACTTAAAAATGCAAACACACTTGGAGTAAGAAGCTCAACAAACTTCAAGCAAAAAGAACACAAAGAAAACCATACCTAGGTATATTATAATAAAACTGATGGACCATCAGTTTTTTTAATAATATACCTAGCTGGATAAAGAAAATGTAGCACATATAAACAATAGAATACTACGCAGCCATAAAAAAGGATGAGTTCATGTCCTTTGCAGGGACATGGATGAAGCTGGAAACCATCATTCTCAGCAAACTATCACAGGAACAGAAAACCAAACACCTCATGCTCTCACTCATAAGTAGGAGTTGAACAATGAGAACACATGGACACGGGGAGGGGAACATTACACACCACATCCTGTTGGGGGGTGGGGGACTAGGGGAGGGATAGCATTAGGAGAAATACCTAATGTAGATGACGGGTTGATAGGTGCAGCAAACCACCATGGCACATGTATACCTATGTAACAAAACTGCACTTTCTGCACATGTACCCCAGAACTTAAAGTATAGTAAAAAAACACAAACAAAAAACCGACGGGTTTTAAAAGCAAAGGCAAACTCCTTAAAGTGACCAAAAATAAAAAGACACTGTGTACAGGGTTCCAATTATAAGAATTATTGCTGACTTTTTGTCAAAAACAGTGCAAGCTAATATATAATGGAATGACTTTGTTAAAGCATGACAACAACGAAAACAAAAATGATGACCTATAATTTTACAATAAGTTAAAATGCCCTTTAAAAATGAATAAAAAATGAAGAGATTTTCAGATAAAGAAAAGTTGAGAGAATTTCTCATAAGTAGACTTACACAACAAAAAATGTTTAAGTTCTTTAGGCTGAATAGAAATGATACAAGATGAAACTAGAATTTACATGAAGAAACAAGAAATGCCAGATATAGTAAGTATGTGGGTAAGCATAAAAGGCTGTTTTTACAGATTAATTTTTAAAAATTCAATTGACTTTAAAGAAAATATAATAACAATATGTTATTTCATACTATTATTGGGTTTATAACATTTAGAAGTAGAAAATGTATGATGACAGTAGCACAAAGGGTTAAATTGTTTAAATGTAACTATACTTGCTAAGATTATTGTATGTAAAGAGGTTTAATGTTAATTCAAGGTTATCTGGAATAAGTTATAAATGTACATTGTTATCCCTAGAACCACAAATAAAAATAACTAAAGAAGTGTGGCTAAAAAGCCAATGAGAGAAATACAATTGTATGTTTCCAAAAACTAATTCATTTTAAAAAAAGGGATAAAACTAAATGACAGATGCAGCAAATAGAACACAAAGAACAGACTGGTAGTCTTAAAGCCAACCATATCAATAATTACATTGGATGTAATAAATTAGAGGCAGAGGTTGATTAAATTTTAAGAAACAAACCCGGACCTAACTATATGCTGTTTACAAGAGACCCAATTTGATTATAAAGATACAGGTAGGTTACAATGAAAGGATAGTAAAAGATACGCCTTATGATACACCATAATCATAAGAATTCTGAAGTAACTATAACACAAAAATAGACATTAATACAAGAAGTATTATTCACAATAAAGAAAAACAGTTCATAATAAGAACAATTCATCAGAACAACAATTGGTCCTTAATATCTATGTACCTAATAACAGATCTTCAAAATATATGATGCAAAAACTAACAGAATTGAAAGGAAAAAGCCAAATTCATAAATATAATTAGACCCTTTAACACTCCTCTCTCAATAATTGTTTTTTTAAATGTAGATCAAAACTAAGAAAGGTTATTGAGATTTGAACAGCATTATCAAACAACTTAATCAAATTTATCATTTATAGAATATTACATAGAACAACTTATGAATGCACAATTTTTTCCAAGCATACATGGAACATTCAAAATACACAAAATGGTACATAATGAGTCTCAGGACATTTAAAGGATTGAAATCAACCAAATATGCTCTCTGGCAAAAATTGAAATAAACTAAATGTTAATAACAGATATCTTTAAAATCTTCAATATAGGGAAATTAAGCAATATATTTCAAAATAACTCATGAACCAAAAAGGAAATTCTGAAACAAAATTAGAAAGTATTTTCAAATGAATGATATTGAAAACAAAACATATCAACATGTATAGAATACACTTAAAATAGTGCTTACAAGGAAATTGGCAGCTTTAAATACTTACACTTACATTAGAAAAAAAGAAAGGTTTAAAATCAATGATCGAAGCTTCATTTTTAAAAACTAAAAAAGAAAAAAATTAAGTACAACATAGAAAATAAAGAGTTGAAATCAAAGAAACAAAAGAAGATCAAAAAATAGAGAAAATTAAGAAACCAAACTTTAGTTCTTTGAAAAGGAGTCAATAGAAAAAATTTTAAATTAGAAATCATTTCTCTTCTTACTCTGGACTTTTGTTCTGTTTTGTTTCTTGGTCTAGACATATTCCTGAAAAAGCTGCAGTTATTTTGCATCTTTGAAGGGAGTCAGCCTGAAGACAATTCTACACACCAAAATGGCACAGCAGGAAGACAGAGCCAGGTCTTTGAAAATACGATTGAGGCCCTGAATTCTCTACTTTAATATATCTTGTTAAGTAAAATAATGTAATTTCTTTATTTAAGCCATTTTAAGATGAATTTTCTCTTAATTACCACCTAAAACATCTTGACTTGTAGAGGTGCTTTAACAGAATTATAAACCTGATGCATTGGTAACAGAAAATGTGGGCTGTAGCAACTATTCTTGGGTTGATCCAGAAAGTAGCATAAAAGATTACCACACCACTATTCCATTCATAAATCAATCAAATCTGGTGTCTCCTATAAGGTTGCAGAAAAAGTTCATAGAAACCAGGAAGTCATATTATTTCTATTATAGACATCACTTATCATATGCTTACAGGGGGATTCTTGCCAATCTTCAAAGAGAAAAGAGAAAGTTCAAAGAAGAATCTAAGAAAGTGTAAGGTCTTTAGGGATATTAATCATGCATTTCTGCTGCTTTGATATCTGTCTGGGTCCTTGCTGATGCTGGAAGAACAGCCCCTCCCAGAGATAACCAATTCCTAGATATAGTAAGGACTCACCTGCAAGCACACCTTTCATTATGCGAACCAACCAATCCAGAGCCCATATCCCCAATCACATCCTCTATCTATTGGGCTCTAACATTTTGGGCCTCTATTCCCTTGCGCTGATCACCACAGGGCCAGATACCAGATGACTAAATGTAGTTCCTACATGCAAATTATTCAAACTAGTCAATCCTAAACCTGTTTACGCAGCCTCACTCATTTCTTCCCATGGAAACTACAATAAAATTTCTGCTCACATTTATTTCCTTGTGCTCCCTCCACCTTGTGGCATGGCATTCCTCCCCCTCTTAAGAACGATAACAAATTATCTCTTCAATGGTATTCATCACCTGATCTGTTAGCCTTATGATACCTGAATAATAACACATACATACATTGTAAAACAGTAAGAAGAGAATAAATTCGCCTAAGGAAGAGAAGAATCACTGTTACATCTAAAGTACGTCTAAATTCTGTGACATCAAATAACATTTATTAAAGGGCCCACATCCTTTTTCATTCATCCTAAATATGTCCCTCCTATACTTAAGAGAACCTCATGTTTTTATGAGATGCCCAAGGCTTGGTGCAATCATAGTTATAACTTACAGGAGATGGGACAGACCTAATAATGTCCCCTTAGAGTTGTGTGAAGTAGGAATTTCCCGTTCTTCTACAGTGAAGATTGAGATGAGTTAAATTTAGAGCCAGAGAAGAGGCAGTTCAATTGAAAGGTTTGCTTTTCTAATAGCAATTGATGTTAAATACTACCGTGGAGGCTAATAAGGCTCTGCCCCCAGTTCCACAGATGTCCTTTCCCCTTTACTGAGAAGTTTCTGGTTGGAACTAACTATAATTAGCCAGAATATCTTTATGAGTATGAAAATTATAGCTCTTAATTCCCTCCTCCTTCTCCAGTTGAGAAGAAGTCTAGACCTACTTGTCCTGTGGTTAGTTTTAAAAGTATTGTGTCAAGGTTTCCATATTTTTATCATGGTGAATATAAAAATCCATTTTCCTTTTTCCTTTTTTCCTTACTAATCACCCCATCCACAGACTGCCTTTATTTCCATAAAGGTTTTTTATCATTTACTGAATAAAATCCAAGTTATTTTGTGGCACATCCACAAGCCTGTCTTACAGACTAAACTAGCCTCATCTGTCCACTCTTTCATACCAAACAATGTACGATGCGAACCCAAACTATCCCGCTGGTGTTTCCATTTTTTCATTGAATTCACCTAACAAGCCCCTCTTCATTCTCTGAACCTCATTTCATGTCACTTCCTCCATGAAATCTTCCATGACTGCCACTTCCATGCTTCCATAACCTCCTGGGCATGCCTTTTCTGTAGGTACTATCACCCTGTATTATAATTATGTACTTGTATGTCAGTATCCTGCAGGCAGAAACAATGCGTTAGGGTACAAATGAACCATGTCTTACAAGTGTATTGATTGACTGCACTTGCAATGGCAGAATAAACCCCTTGAATTACTAGTGTAGGATCCTAGCTGGGCTGCCATGTCTCCTAAGCTATATCCCAAGCTCCTTGTAGTCTACTGGTCACTATATGCTCTGTGATATCAGCATGAAGGGAGAAAGGGTGGCCCATTTTAGAAACAAAATGTGAGCACTTAAGATCTTATAATCATAACCATGGATGACTTTATCTTTGTCAATTTGTGGCTCCTCAGGTGCCACTCAAACAGCAAAATCTCCTATCCCATTTATATGAGGTGTAAATGTGTTTTCACACTTCTGCCTAGTGAGTGCTTTCTATAATGCTGATGGTTAATTACCTGACAATGAATCCCCTCTCCTGGGAGGAGGGGGAGGGGCAGTGGGGAAGGACCGAGGAAATTATTTGGATCACACTTGCTCACACAGAGGAAGCCAAAGCGACATGTGCTATTCCTTAGGAAATGTTTTCTCCTAAGCCACCTATTCCTGTCCCCAGCCCCTCCCACACCTTCACTTCTTATTCATTTTCTCCCTCTGTTTCATCTTTCAAATCACAGAGAACGCCAACTAACCTTCTGGGTTTTCTGGAGATTTCATTGTACTTGGTAATGCATGACTTATAAACATAAATAAAATAAATAGGATTCTGAGGGAATAAATTCTAAGTGGAATATCAATAAATCTCCTCCCCCCGATGATGTTGCTATGATTTTCTCTTTCTTTCTTTTTGCCCACTGCCTTTCCTAGACTGGGAAAGTGGTCTGTTCTTTCCATTGGAAGAAATTAGGGGGAGGGGAAGGCAAGTAGGGAGTAGGGAGAGAGACTGTGTGAGAAATTTAACACAGGGCTGCATTGAAATGTAAATTCCTTCAAATTATTAAGCACCAGAGAGCAGCTCTTGCCAGCTCTTTGTTCCTCAGAGTCAGAATGTGTAATCTAGAAGAATAAATATCCAGTCAGATATCAGCCACACAAAGAAATCTGGGCCATACATATTCAGAGCCCCAAGTCCCACTGATACCCCCTATCTTATCAAGAAGGTTCTGGTCACAGTCTCCAATCACCGGTCAGAACATCTCTAATGGGGGTCAGAATTAAAATTATTTTCTGCTTGCCCCAGTCCCCATCCCTCAAACCCTACTTCTCACCCCTATTAACTGTCTGGAAACCTAGACTGCCTTGTGGGTTCTTTAAACAAAAAAACCATCTGGCTTGCTCCTTCTTTCAGCCTAGCTTTGGAGATGCATTGGCTGGGGCCTTCTTTTTCAATAGAGGATACCTTTTCCAACATTTCTGCCTGGAGTTGCATAGCTCACAGCTTGGGATGAATGACTCTGTGGTCTAATTTACATTTTTAAGTCCCTCTTAGCTTCAAGAACCCTAAGATCTTCCACAGGAGAGTAAGCTGTTATCAGCCCTTTCCTTGTACTTTTTCCCATTTCTAAACAAGACATTTAGCTGGAAACCCATAAAGGTGGTAATAGCACATTTTACAGGCCTGCACAGTCGGTGGCAGCACAAATAGTGTCTTAGGAGCTTAGTAGACCCCTCGACCTGTGTCACCATCTCTCAGATGTCTGCCTTGTCTGGCTTGTAAACTCCTTGAAGTCAGATACTACAGCATTTATTCTTTGCCCTCTCTCCACTGTCCTTCTTCCCCATCATGTGCCTAGCACATACTAGGCACTCAGAAAGTTGGCTGAAAGATTTTGTAAGCCCATATGATAACTTAAGAGAGATTTTGTGTATGTGGCAGAGAAGGGGTAGCAGCTAGTGAAAGGAATTGCACCCATTTCCACATTCAGTGAATACTGTATCTTCTTAAGCCGGGGCCTTTCATTTTATATGGGTTTTACCAGAGCAAGTGTTGTTGTCAAAGATCTTTACCTGTCAACCAGAAGTCATGCTTTCCCAAAAAATGCAATATTTCTTTATCTTATAGTACTTGGAAATGCATGTCACTTTTATTCCAATGCTTATTAATATCTGACTTAATACTTGTAGGGTGCCTGGTTCTCCTTCTAGATTGTAACTTCTTTAAGAATATGGGCCATACAACAGTCATTTCTTTGTACAAAGTCGTAAATGCACTCTGAAATCAGGGAAGTGCTCAATAAATATCCATTGATTTGAGTTAACTGAATCTCCGCTTATCTTCCCTATGACCTGGTGTCCATTACCAAAAGTCTTATTCTTGTCCAGAGGCCCAGGAATCTTTAGGAATCTTTAGGCTCTGAAATGGCTTCCTTCTTCAATGAGAGGCCCTGCTGGTGCCTGTACTGTCACCTCAAAATGTTCTATTGCCCAAGTCTCTCTTCTGTTCCTGACTATTCTGACTTATGATCACCTTCCTACCTTAACGTTTGGGATTTATGTCCCTTAGAACTCTGCCAAGTTCATGCCCCATTGATTGCCTCGATAAGGTGTATCGCAAGCATAGTCCAACCTTATCTTTTATGCTTGCTTTTCAATCGACTACTCTGCTTTGTGAGTGCCCCTGAGCCTGACTGACCATGGGCACAAGTGCTGATAGGCTTGGCTGGCCAAGATCCTCATCAGTCTCAGTATACTTCTAGTCAACAAAATGCAGTCACATTGATCCTGGTGCTGACACAATACAGAGTACATACAATGCAAGTTAGGAAAGAAAAGCAGGATTTGCCCTCACATCACATCCACTTCACAACAAAATTAAGTTCAATTAAATGTAACTGAGCTTTCGTTAACAGACCTAGAGTTCTGCTGAAGGAATTTGTGGAAGAAATTCTTCAATACAGTATTGATTGATGAGTAGATCTAGAACTACAGACTCCCAGATCTGAACCCAGATGAGTTTCTTGGACACATAAGGGAAATGATCAAAGGTGGCATTTGTCAAATGGCTCTTCTCTCTGAAGAAACAGGCATGTGTTTTTGGTGTGAGGACTTTGAACTCTGCTGTTTGCACAAAAACCTAAGGTAAAAAAAAAACCTTCTAAAACAGCCCTTAACAATGAGTTTCTTAGCGTCAAATCAGAGCCTTCCAAGTAGAATGGTGCTTTTCTAAATGCCTGACATACCAAGAACTAAATACATATTTCATGAATGAATGAACACAATATACAAATGAGTGAAAAAAGTAACAATAACAGCTTTAAAAAAGTTACTTAACTTTGCTGTAACAATGGATAGAATATGAGTATATAGAAAAAAAGATATAAAAGGCATCCTTTCTAACCATTGTCTTTGTTTGGCAAAGTCTTCATAGTAATACCCCTTCCATCACTTTATTCCATAGCACAGAAGAAGTCCAAATAAAGAGACAGAAACCTTGGGAAATAGTACTGGGAATGGGAGAAAACTCCTCCAGTGAAAGAATAGAATCATCCCCTCTTATATCTGTTTGCAAATTTGAATTTGCCTCTTTTAGGTTTGCTTAAAAATAATGCCACCCCAGAGGTTGCAGTGAGCTGGGATTGTGCCACTGCACTCCAGCCTGGGAGACAGAGTGAGACTCCGTCTCCAAAAAAAAAAAAAAAAAAAAAAAAAAAAGCCACCCATGCATTAATTTTGTACATTTGTAAAACACTTTCACATCAACTACCTCAATTATTTCTTCAACTCTTCTATGAGGATGACATCATTATCTGCATTTTACATATGGGAGAAACAGACACTAGGAGTTTTATGCGAATGCCCAAAGCTACCCATTTAATGCTTTTTCTAGTTCAATAATTTTGTCTCCTAGGTGGAGAACACGTGAACTATAAGGCAAAGCCCATGGTTCTATATATCTTTGCTATGTATTGTTGTCCCTAGCTGTCCCTGTATTTTTCCCTCTTTTGTTACTTGAATCAGTGATGAGGAATGTATTAGCTTTTTATTGCTGAGTAACAAATGACCACAACCTAGTGGCTTAAAACACAACCATTTATTATCTCACAAGTCTGTAGGTAAGAAGTCCTATGAGCTCAACATGGTTCTCTGCTCACAGTTTCAGAAGGTGCAAACCGAGGCGTCAGCTGGGCTGTGCTCTTACCTAGAGACTCTGGGGAAGAACGTCCTTTCAAGCTCACTCAGGTGGTCTGCAGAGCTCAGTTCCTCACAGTTGTAGGACTGAAGTTCCCGTTTTCTTGTCAGCTATTGGCCAGGAATGGACAGGCTCCTAGAGGCTGTTCTCAGGTCCTTGCCCCATGGCCACCTCCCTGGCAAAGCCAGTAATGGCATGTGGAAGGCTTCTCATGCTACAGATTTCTCTAATTCCCCTTCTGCTGCCAGCCAGAGAAAATTCTGCGTTGAAAGGACTCACATCATTAGGTCAGGCCCACCGAGTCTCAAGGTCAACTGATTTAGGGCTTTCATTACCTCTGCAAAGTCTCTTCACAGCAGTACTGAGATCAGTGTGCAGTGATTAAGTAGGGGCTGGGAATCTTATGGGGAAAGGAGACGTTATATGGTAATCAGTCGCAACAGAAATCCAGAAGAGTTCTTTCTCCTGGTTTTATCTACTTTCCCTTTAGCTTGATTTCTGTGGTTCATTTAGACCACAGTCTAAGGTTACACATCCAACATTTTTCACCAACCTCAAAATCACTCTGAGTTCTACGTCCCCTCCCCAACGTGCGCAGCCACCAAAGGCCTCTGCACACAGCCTCGGTCCCAGCCTGCCCCGCAGTAGCCAACGAGGGCAAAGACAGGGACACTTCCGGCCCTGACGCCTCGCTGTCGCTCCCATGTGCCCCTGCCGGGAAATGGCGGCGGCTGTGCCGGTGCTCCCAGTACGCCTCAGGAATTCCGTGAAGCACCGCTGTGCGGGAGGTGGGGGCCGGCAATACCACAATACCACTGGCGGGGACAACTGAGAAGGCAATGACCAGGATATCAAGGATAACTGGGGCGACAGTGATGATGTGAAAAGAAAGAAAGAGAAGTAAAACTAGAAGTAAAGGTTTCAGAAAAGATAGATCGATAAATAATCGATCGATAGATAGATAATAGATAGATGATAGGCAGGTAGATAAATAGATAATATTATATACATGTATATGTATATGACTCGAGAAAGCCAAAGAGAAATTACAGCAACTGGAAAAAAAAAACATTAAATTAAAAAGATGTTAGGAGAACATAAAGTGCTAACACCAAAGAACAATTAGCAAACTCGACCGGGACTAAACTAAAGAAATTCCAGGAAGAGTCAGACTTCAAACCAGCCAAAAAGACGTTTGGTGTTAATACAGTTTATGGAGCCAAGGCTCTGAACCCACTTTGGAGAGATGGCTTCCTGGATTTTGAAAAGTTACTAAAAAATAAAATTACACAATATGAAAAGTCACTGTATTATGCAAGTTTGGGGTATCCTTAGATGGAGATGTGTGCCTTTTTTTAGAAGTTGATGACTTGAAAAAGATTACTGATGCTCTGCAGTGACAAAAAGAAGCAAGAGAAGCAAAAACAGAAAAGTGTGGTTCCTGGAGGGGGATTAAAGGATTAAAGGCCACCGTTAAAGACGAGACCTCATGTAACATTTTAATCTTCTCCTGGTGTCTTTTGGTTGCTCAGTCCTATGGATTGAATATTTGTTTTCCTCCAAAACTCATACGTTAAAATCCTAACCACAGTGTGATGATATTAGGAGATGGGGGCTTTGGGCCTTAACAGGTGAGATGAGGGTGGAACCCCCATGATGGGATTAGTATCCTTACAAGAAGAGAAAGAGACTAGAGCTCTCTCCTTCTCCCCACAAAGTAAGGATACAGAAAGAAAGTGGCCATCTACAAGCCAGGAAAAAGGAGCTCTCACCAGACACTGAACCTGTCAGCAACTTGATCTTAGTGTTCCCAGCCTCCAAGACTGTGAGAAATAAATGCCTGTTGTTACAGGCATCCAGTCTATGATATTTTGTTACTGAAACTCTGGTTCACTAAGACACTCACAATCCCTTTGAACATGTAGCACAACTTCCTTTCCCTTCATTTCTGCCAAATGCTGCAATTAGAAGTGCAGTATCTTTGTGCTTGCTATTTAATGTCTTGACAATTAGGAGCTAATGTAAGAAAGAGGAAATTGGGTTTTGTTGCCAAGAGGTTAAAATTTGGAAGTTCAATTGCTACTAAATCATAGCGGTTTTTGTAAATCCTAATAATGCTATAATCCTTAGTATCTTATTCCAAAAAGGCAGTGTCACTAAATTGGAAACAAACTACGGCCAAAATTGTATTTACCAGCACCATCCAGTAATGTAGCCTGAACAATACCTCCTTGAACTACTTCTTGTCAAGAAAAGCAGTTTGTAAAAAGGACATGTGGTCTTCACCTACTTTAAAGTTACTTTGTCTAAAAATTGAGTTGGAGGATTCAAAACATAGATTTTGAAGAAGAGTGCTTATTTTTGAGTGAAGTTACTGCTGCTGAAAAGCCACCAATTTGATACTTAAATGATTTAAAAGAAAAAAAAACTTTCAAACTTTGAAGCCCAAGAAAGTAAATCATTATTGTATTATAAGCTGTGGAATGTCTTGAGTGTCTAATGCCTTAACTGTCTAGTTTATATTAATCAGAATATTTCTACTGGTGGACCACTTCAGACAGAGGAGAGAGACTCTATCTCTTTTATTTGCCTAATTTAAGTGTCTGAGAAACAGAATCTCCTTTGTTCTGCTGGACTGTAATGGAAGAACTTCATCTGGGTTTTGGTATTTTCCTTCCCTTATAACATGTGCTCAGCTAACTATACTATTAATAGTTAGCAACAGTTTGCTGAATTTTTATGTTAACAGTTATGATATTACATTTTGTAAGGCAACTAACTGAATAAAATCAATAAAAAGAATACTTTGTTAACAAGGAGTTTAAACATACATATACATATACACATATAATTTTTCTTAAAAAAATAGATACATGGCAATGAAATCAGTGAGATTGTGCTTTTGAATACCACACGATCCATCTACCACACATGAAATCATTTATTTAAGTGTAGATAGCCTAAGTAAAGTTGGCTACCTCATGGCCAATTTTCATACAGTATTAATAATAATAATAACAATAAATAAAAGGACTTTCACAAAATGGTGATCTTAAGACTCTTTAAAAGCCCCCAACAGGATAATTATGCTGCATGGCTCTCAAGCAGCATCCTAAAAATTCTTTTCACTCGTCTTTCACCTCTTTAAACCCAGAAGGGCTGTTTGATGTCTAGGGCAACCTATTCTGCCGTCATTATCCATCCTTTAGTATTTTCTCTCAAGTATTCCCCCAATATCCTCCCGAATTGTGCAGCCCTTCATTACTAATTATATTTTCCCCCTCCTTTTTTCTCTCTGGTTTAATATTTTATTAGGTGGAGAAATTTAATCTCCTGACTTTTTTCTATGATCTCTTTTACCCACTGTCCAGATCAATATAATACATCCTAGACTGTAAATATAAGTTAACATGGAATCTTTTGTGAAAGACTGGCAATACAACAGCAGCCCACATGTTGTCCACATCATGAACTGGATACAGATTTTTAATTTGTGTTCTTCAGTGAGCTTTTTTTTTCTATAATTCAGGTTTCTCCTCTTCCTCTGTTTCCTGACAATTCTCAAGCCTCTGTGTGTTTTGCATTTTGGAGTTTTCTTTTTATCTCCCTTTAAAAACTTGTAACTATATGAGTCAAGTTTAATTATTGATAAATTGTGACTTTGCACCATTAGCTGTATCAATAGCTGACCAGGAAATATCTAATTCACGCTGCATCCATGTCATAGCGATTTCAGTTATTAAAAACAATTCAGGAGGAAAAAAGAAGGCACAAGCCAGACTGAAAAACAAGGTTTATTCCCAATGAAAATGAAACAGCGATGCGCAATTCGCCTTAGACTTAAGGATGTTTTATCTGTGGGTTTCAATGTCCTCTCAAAATTTCCTTATATTCTCTTATTTTATACATGGTGAGGTACAGGTTACCTTTTTGCTCACAGTCATACTGAATGAGAGTAGTAGAGTAAATGAAGAGTGGAATAAGATATCTTTACCCAGAAGTCTGGAGTCTTTCATTAATTCCCACTTCAGGACAGATGGATTTAGAGGTAGGTGAAGGGAAGAAAGAACTGCAGGGAAGGGGAGGATATGGGTGTAAAAAGACTACCACTGTAGTAACAGGCACCCAGTATTCTCAAGGGTAAAGAAGGGGAGGAGGACACAGCCCAGGCTCCATATGCAAACCCCTTACCTGGGACAAGGTCAGCTGTCTTCTCCAGGTTGTGACCTGACCACTTGTTTTTCTGGAATGGTGCTGGGTGTCATATAGTGGAATATAGGGCCTCTGCATGGGAAACCTAATCTAACTCTATCTAGAAACAGTTTATTCAATCACATTACCAGTTTAGAGGTGATTTTTCCACTTTCCCCTTGTTATAGACAGAATTGTGGCTCCTTGTATTGTTTATGGTTCCTTCCTTCCCTCCGTATACAGCACTGCCTTTCCCACCCCTGACATTCATGCAGCAACAACATAAGCATCTGGGACCCACAGAGAGACTGATAGTAAAAGGGCCAGCTCAGAATTGAGTCATTCATGCAGATCTTTTAAAGACCTACAAGTTGAAGAATGGAATAGAAGCCGTGAGAAGGTACACGGCCCATGATCTATGGACTTTTGAGTCAAATAGACCCGAATTCAAAACACATTTTCCCTGCTTATCAGTTTGGCCCCAATTTCACTATACTGAGACTTGGTTTCTCATTTATAAAATAAAGAAAATAATGTGTTCAAAGAAGGACCTATTATTTCCCTCACTCCTTTTCCCCTCTCACCTCTGGAAGGAAGTTATGCCATCAGAGATAAGGACGTTAACAAAAGAAAGATCTTGTTCTTGTATTTGTTATTGGTTTTTGTTTTGTTTTATTTTTTTGAGACAAGAGTCTCTCTCTGTCACCCAGGCTGGAGTGCAGTGGCACGATCTCGGCTCACTGTAATGTCCGCCTCCTTGGTGCAAGCGATTCTCCTGCCTCAGCCTCCCGAGTAGCTGGGATTACAAGCATGCATCATCATGCCCAGCTAATTTTTGTATTTTTAGTAGAGATGAGGTTTCACCATGTTGGCCAGGCTGCTCTCAAACTCCTGGCCTCAAGTGATCGGCCCGCCTCAGCTTCCCAAAGTGCTGGGATTACAGCGTTATTGTTTTTTTATTTT
Source organism: Homo sapiens (assembly GCF_000001405.40). NCBI lineage: Eukaryota > Metazoa > Chordata > Mammalia > Primates > Hominidae > Homo > Homo sapiens. Next base: position 163,418,731 of record NC_000001.11, on the reverse strand, counting down.
TGGCTTTGGTTTTGCATCTGTTCCACTCTGAGGACTTTAACATGCAAAGGACAGCACATTGTAAAGGTTTAAAGTCCTTAATGAATAAAGCTTTCGTAGCTCTTACCTCAAAGCACTCAGTCAGTATGAGGCCAGCATCTTCTGGAGATGGGAAGGACAAGATGGAGGTTCAAAATGTCTGAAGAGAACTTTCCCCCTTCAGAAAAAGGGGGAAGAATTGAGAGAGTGGGCCATGAATACAGTAAGGAAAAATGGAGGGGTAACTGATACCTGTCTCATAGGCTCTTGCAAAAACTACCAATATATATATTTATTATGCTTATATAATATATAAATACGTGGCTCGCAAAACGTAGTCACCAAATAAATGGCGGTCATTACATTTTATCATTATTATTACAATGACAATTAATATCTACAAGTGGCCAGGTACTTGGAGGTGGTCTAGTCCATGTTTCACATTGATAGTGTCATTAGCTTCCCTGCTCCATCTTCCCTGTCTTCCCTCCCTTACACAATCTGCAATAGGGAATGTATGATCCACATCTCACATATCCTGAACCTAGAAGCCCACCAATAGGGCTTTATACAGCTGCCTCTGGGAACTTTCTTACGTGAAACCGTTTTTTTCTTGGGATGTCCTACCTGAGGTACTAATATTATGTTTTTCTGTCAAGACAGGTAGTTAGCTCTTATTAACTCTGCTTTCAGTCTTGGGCTTTCATGATTGAAACACAGTCAAACCGAGAGTGAGTCCTTAGTTCATCAAGCTGTCAACAGTGACTCCACAAGAGTTGGGAACAGAAAATATTATGCCAATAATGGTATGTAAAAAGAAGGACTCTCTTTTATTGGTAACATCTGGCACAGTTTGTTAGAGCAGTCTAACCATGTGGCCAGGCAAGCACTTACTCTGATAAATGAGAATCAACATGGATGTTCGTATACACAGGGGCTCACTACTCCCCACAAAAATTACTCCAGCCTTTCATCCAGTAGCTTCCTTTATAATTTTGTCTTTTTTCTATAATTTCAACCACATGTCCTTCCAGGTTTGGAGCTGCTTACCTCCCTACAAAACCTACATTTTGGCAGAAACCCCAAGGCCTTGGAAGGCAAGACATTTCAGGACACTGCTTCATGACTGCTCCCATTTTCTTGTCTCGCTCTCCACCCACACACCTTGGGCCAGCCTTCCCCCATGACTTCTTCACAGGGATCAGCCTACACGAAGACAGAAGCAGATCAGGGTCTGTATTTTCTTTGCTCCTCACACCATTAACCAGAGTCCCAAGAAAGATACCCCATAAGCACTCAAGACTGGTTAGTACAATGTATAAATGAACAACATTTGCTTTAATGTCTCAATGTATTGATCATCTTCTCTTCCGAAAATGAATTGTTCCCCACTAGTTCCCAAATCCCACACACTGGCAGAATCATATTATTCTGATGTGGAAGATGGGTCCCTAGTGTTTAGGCATGTTATTTAGAGTAGAGCAAACCTGTGAGAAGTGAGATACCAAGTCTTGAAAAAGAATTCTTTCTGTTACTTTAGAACCATGCATGATGATTCTTTTTGTGGAATTTTACTTAATTCTCCTCTCTCTCTCTCTCCCAGCCCATTGTCAACTTTTTTTTTTTTTTTTTTTTTTTTGATACGGAGTCTCGCTCTGTCGCCCAGGCTGGAGTGCAGTGGTGCGATCTTGGCTCACGGCAAACTCCGCCTCCCGGGTTGACGCCATTCTCCTGCCTCAGCTTCCCAAGTAGCTGGGACTACAGGCGCCCGCCACCATGCCCGGCTAATCTTTTGTATTTTTAGTAGGGACGGGGTTTTACCGTGTTAGCCAGGATGGTCTCCATCTCCTGACTTCATGATCCGCCTGCCTCAGCTTCCCAAAGTGCTGGGATTACAGGCGTGAGCCACCGCGCCCGGCCCCATTGTCAACTTTTTAATAAGCCTCTCCCTTCATGACCACTGTCTCCCACATCCCTAAAGAAAAAGGTATGAGACTTAAAAATTGTAGAAATTGATTAGTATTGTTGCTTTGTTTATTAAACACCAACGAATATTTCTTCAGCACCATCTTTATGGCAGGCACTGTATGTAGGCACTAAGGACGAGACAGTGAGGAAAAAAAGACAATTTCACTTTTAAAAGATTTAGATTCTAGCAATGGGTAAACAGGCAATAAACAGTTAATATGTAAAATACATAGGATGTCAGGTGATAATATATGGTAGCAGGGAAAATAAAATCAGAGAAAGAGGCAGAGGAAGTACTATTTTAAACAGAGTGTTTAGGAACAGTGTCCTTGATAAGATGACATTTGCAACGAGACCTGACAGAAGTGAATGAGTGAGCTGCGTGGAAACCCAGAGAAAGTTCATTCCAGGCAGAGGGAACAGCAGGTACAAAGGCCTTGCAGCAGGACTATTCTGGTCCCCTGGAGAAACCATAAGAGGGTTAATGTGGCTGGCCGCTTGATAGGTTATTATAAGAACATTGGCTTTTATTCTGAGATGAAAAACCACTGACAGAAGAATTATAAGATCTGATTTGTGCTTTTAAAAGGATACTTCTGGTGGCTAGCCAGAGAACAGAGTATAGCGGGGGTCAAGGGTAAAAGCAACGAGGCCATAAATTAGGGTGTCCTTAAACCAGGAGGATCAACATAAAGGTGAGGAGCAAAGGCTAGAGTCTGTGTAAACTTAGAAGGTAGAGCTGGTAAGATTGGATGGTGAATTTGTTATGAGATATTTATTAAAATTCAACAATGGCACTAAAGTTTTTACTCTTAGAAAACATAAGAATGAAATTACTGGTTATTAAAATGGGAAAAACAAGGGAAAATAAACAAGTGTGAAGGAATGATCATGATCAACAGTGAGGTTTGAGACATGTTAAGTTTGAAATGCCTAAAGACATCTCAAAACATCCAAGATTAAACGATGACTAGGCAGCTGGACTCAGGGGAGAAGTCAAGATCAGAATGATGTATTTGGTAATCCTTAGCATAGATGATGTTTAAAGTCATGAGGCTGGAGGCACCACACAGCAAGTGATAAGAGATAGAGAAGAAAAGAAGTCTGAGCATTATGCCACAGAGTCATACTAGAGTTTAAGGATCTATGAGGGAGAATCGGCAAAGGGTACAAAAGAAGGAATTGTCAATGAATTAGGAAGTAAACCAGTAAATTAGGAGTATGGCACTGCAGAAGCCAAGTAAAGTAATGAGACTGATCATCTGTGCCAAATGCTGCTGGTGGAGAAAGAGAGATGAGGGCTAGGAATGGACCACTGAACTTCACAACAGGGAGGTCATGGGTGAGCTTAGCAACAGCACTTTGGTAAAGAAGTGGAGGCAAATGCCTGATTGGAGCTGGTGTAAAAGAAGTACAATGTATCGATAATGGGGGTAGAGAGAAACATTTCAGCAAGTTTTGTGGTCATGGGCAACAGAGATATGAGACAGTAACTGGAGAGAAATAGTGGCTCAGGAAGCTTTCTTTTTTTCTCCTTTTTTAAAAAACATGGGGAAAATTATAGCATGCTTGTATGTGAACGGTAATTGTCTAGTAAAAAAGGGGAAATTTGATGCTGTAGAAGAGAAAAGGGAGAATTGGTGGAGAGATTTCCTTAACTAGCAAGAGAGGACAGGCATATATAAGCAGATAGTTGGGCTTTAGAGAGGATAATGGGAAGTTCACAGCTTGCCTTGAGTGGCTGAAGAACATTCAGTTTCATTTTGCCTGGTGCTCAGTGAAGCATTCTACCTCAACTTTACATATCAGCTCAGAGAGAAAGCTGTTCATGTTTATACACCACCTGATCTAGCATTCCTATTTTCTTTTTTAAAAAATTATGCATGTATATATGTGTGTATGTGTTTTCGAGACAGGGTCTTGCTTGGTTGCCCAGTCTGGAGTGCAGGCACGATCACAGCTCACTGCAGCCTCAACCTCCCAAGGTCAAGCTATTCTTCTACCTCAGCATCCCAAGTAGCTGGGACTAAAGGCATGCACCACCAAGCCCAACAAAATTTTTTATTTTTTGTAGAGATGGGGGGTCTCACTATGTTGCTCAAGCTGGTCTCAAACTCCTGGACTCAAGCTACTTTCCTGCCTGGATTACAGGCAAAAGCCACCATGCCCAGCCTCTACTCTTCCATTAATTTATGTATTCAACAACATTCAATTTAGCATTTTCAGTGTATGAAGTATGAAAATAAAGAGAAAAATCAAGAAAATATGCCTATTGCTTAAAAAAAATTACAATTTATCAGGATATATAGGATATGTGCCCAAAACACTAAACCTACACAAGTATGTGGTAAACATCATAAAAAAGACACAGCCAAATGCAACAGTTTAGGGGGAAGAAAAGACATAATGAGTCAAGCCTAGTTTCTTGGCAGAGGTGCCACATGTGGTGCTGGTCCTTCTGAATATAGAGAATTTCACCCAACGAAAGATAAGAGAATGGTGCCCCAGACAGACATCACGGCATGAGTAAAGGCATTTAGGTGGGAAAACATGGAGAATGTATGCTTGTCCTCAGTGGTACTTATATCGTCTCCTATTGCCTGTTTCGTTTTGATTTTGTCTTATTTTTGCCTTGTTACAAGGGTCAAAAAAGATAGAATTACTTGGGAAAGATCTGAGACTAAACCTAATCATTCTTAATGTGAGGTATCCGTTATTCAATGTCCTTCTTCAAACTCAAGTCTAGCTAATTTTTTTAAAAAAATCAAGACATGTGATCTCTGATGTTTTTAAAGATGGAAACACACTCAAGTGTTGCCAAAGACACAGTACAAATTCAAGATAGAGGCTGGTTTAGAGCCAGGGAGTATGTTGTGTATTTCTGCCCTATCTACACACACACAGAGTGTCATGGCTAGGTGAGACCACTTTGTTTAGTTATTACTTCCTGATGTCATGATGAAGAGTAGAGGGTAAAAAGGGTTTCTTATTTGTATATCTGAGAAAGTGATGACAAGATACTTCCTAAGCACATGCATTCAACAAATTTGGATGGCCTCCTGTGACGGACACCTTGCTGGGCTCCAGGAAATGTAGTGGCTATAGAGAGGAAGAACATTCTTTCATTCCTTGATCCTCTACAAATGCATATTGATGGAATGGATTCAGAGCTGGGCAAGGAAATCTCTCTACCACTCCCACTCAAGTAAAGAATTTCTACATTTTAATAACAGTATCAGAGATTTATAGTTTTCCAAGCAAGTCGACATGTAGTACTTCATTTACCTGCCCCACCCCTGCCGCAGTATGCATTCAGCTTAGCTCCTGTCTCCCCACCTTCCCCACTCCACACACATCGTGACTGAGCACTTGTCAAGGATACAGTTTCCAGGGATATGTTAGCAAGAGAACCTTCCACAAGCAAGCAAGAAGCTTTACAAGAAATTTCAGGTTTCTCTATGAGTTTCTAGAAACAATTTCTAAATGTGTTTCTCATTTAAAAGTAACACAACTGTGTAATAATGACCCAATAAATGTATCTTTATCAGCTGAATTACAATGGAGAGATCTTAGCTTGTTGTGCTTCTCCTGATCTTGATTTGTTCGTTTGTTTGTTCGTTTGTTTGTTTGTTTGTTTTGAGACAGGGTCTGGCTCTGTCACCCAGGCTGGAGTGCAGTGTCGCAGTCTCGGCTCACTGCAACCTCTGCCTCCCAGACTGAAACCATCCTCCCACCTCAGCCTCCTGAGTAGCTGGGACTACACGTGCACACCACTACACCCAGCTAATTTTTGAATTTTTGGTAGAGACAGGGTTTTGCCATGCTGCCCAGGCTGGTCTCAAACTCCCAGGTTCAAGAAATCCTCCCACTTTGTCCTCCCAAAGTGCTGGGATAACAGGCTTGAGCCACTGTGCCTGGCCTCTGATCTTGATTTTAAAACTGCACTTTTTGGACTGTTACAGAACAAACAAAAATTCTAATTTATGTGTTACAATACATGGATAATCTTATTATATCTTGTTTCAAGGCGTATGTTTTCATTTCTGGAAGGTAGAGGGGTGCATGCCTCCCATAGTCTCCCTTTATCACCTAATGGGCCATCTTCTCCTCCTTCCTCCTTGTCCAGAGTTGGGGCAAAGCAATGACTCCTGTGCTGTTCTGTTCTAAAGCTGGAGAGGAGTGCTTGGATGACAGCAGATAATGTCTGCCCTAGCCAGCCCACTCATAAGGCCTGAGTCAACTGGCTGCCCATTATGGCCAAAAAAAAAAGACTCTCCGCATTGTCCTGACCTTCAATCCTCCTCCTCCTCACATTGAGTAGAGGGGAGACTGCTGACCTCTTGTGGGCTGTAGGTCTCAATTCCCAGTTCACAAGAAATAGAAATAAATAGTATGTATTGGCTTTATAATTTACAATATTATTATGAAAATGTTAGAGCTGGCCTTATCATTTCCATTTTACAGATGAGGAAGTTGAGTCCCATAGGAGTTAAGTATAGTGGTACAAAATTGCCCACAGCTGGTGGAGCGCTTTGCCAAACCCAGCTTTTCTGCCTGTATGTCCAGTGTGCTCCCCAACACTCTGTGTTTCCTCTGCAAAGCAGTGCTGAGCAGACACGTGTCTAAGGATGTTTGTATGTTTTACAAAGTACCAACATGGTTTAATGTTCCCTAACTCCTTTATTTCTGCAATCTCTAGCCCAGAATAATGTTCCTGGTTAAGTGTAGTCTTTTCCTCCTGTCTTGTTCTTAACATGCAAATATTCCTGGAATAGCATTAAGTCACTTGAGTGAACCATGTAATAAAGGAAACAAACCCAGACTTTGGAGCCTAACACACCCAGTTCAAATCCCAGCTTGGCCACCTATGGGCTATATGGCTAGCGGCAAGTTATTTAATATTTCTAAGAATTAAATTATTTATCTATATAATGGGAATATTAGATTTACAGCACAGTTTTAACAAAAATTTTAGATAATACATGTAAAGTACCTGACACATAGTACACAATCAATGAATCATGCACTTTTTGAGCATATATACTTAAATATGACATGTAGAGCCTGACAGCTTAGATTGGACTCTGCTCTGCCACTCACTAACTCTGTTAACTTAGAAAAAGTAACTGCTCTGTACATGAGTTTTCAAATTTATGAAACGATGTCATAATATTATCAGGATTATCCTAAGGATTAAATGCATTCATACATTTAAAACTGTGTCCAGAGCATTAAAAAGCATAGCTACATTATTACTATAATTATCATCATTACATCCTCAGTGCGGATGAGTTCCTATTCTTCAACTCTAAAATGGAGATATTAAGACAAAATGATCTTTGTCTAGACAAAGTGATCCCTTCTAGCATTGGCATCCTATGATTACAGGACTTCCTCTTGGCAGAGTGGGACAGAGTACCCAGAAGAGAGGAGAACATTGTGGAGGGAAGGAAAAACAAGAGGAAGGTGAAAGAAGTCCACAAAAATAAATTCTGCAGCTTCACATGCTGTTGCTCAGAGGATGCCCTCACTGATGGCTGCTGAAGCCCTCTCCACATGAGATCACAGTCAAGTTAATGGTTATTTCCATCTCCTCCTAAAGCCATTCCATGGGTCCCCTCTATCTCACTGAGGAATGCCTGGTAATTCCACCTGGTACCTCCACATCCATCCACCTCTCTGGTCCTGAACTACACCCTCCCCAGCACGCACTGATGTTAATTTCCACCCCTGAGGACACATGCTTTCATCCCTTGTGTGTGCAGCATGAAAAGTGAGAACTGCTAGGCCCTTGGAACAGAGTGGAGAAAGAATAGGGATGCTCAGGTGGGCCCTGACCCTCAACTAGGCTCAGAGCTCCTGAAGTGCTTCTACACTGCACAGACATGAGGCCTGAGGAGTGTGTGCGTGTGTGTGTCTACATTTCACAGAGGCAGTAGGAAGCAATACTTACCCACCCACCTTCTCTGCATAAAGGGGCACCCTGGTGTCCTTCATGTTCAGAGAGCAGACTGAATGAGGGAGGTCACAGTTGAAATGGGTTTCAGGGCCAAATTATTGTCCTTCCAGACATTAGTTTGCAGTGCAGAGCCAATCTGAAAATGTGGCATGATCAGCAGTCTTGCCTGAGGAGAGACCATGACCTGTGGAAAGGGATGTCATAAATCAAGGCTCAGTTGCCCTGAGTAGGGAGCCCTGGCTGAAGCAGCCCAGGCAGCTGTGAGGCAGGATTGAGATGCATTGGCAGAGCTGTGACGGTGACCCCCAGACTGAAATAATTGGGGTTGGGGGAGGTGCACCCTGGGTCAGACTGAGGGGCACCGGAAGAATGTATGGGAGAAGAAAGCTTTCAAAAGACCTGCCCAGACATGAGAGGCTTTGGTCAGAGTAATTATCTGCCATGTTCATACGCACTAAATTCACTTTTAAAGGAGAAACGCACGCTCCCACAAATACACGGGCACAAAAGGAAAGAAAACCCTTCTGGAAGAAAACGAAGTACTGTAGAGCAAAAACAATAGACCCCAGAGGGAAAAGGTGATTGAAACTTAAAGAACTTTCATTTCAAGGCAAACAGTGCCCTCTAGAGGTGTGAACGCTAGATGCAGGCAAAGTTGAACAAAAGAAGTTCAGTGAAATGAAGTGCTGGAGATGATCCTTCGGCTTTAAATGTTATTGGAGATTTTGTTCCAGGTTAAGGGAGCAGGGAGGAGGACCCTAACCATTTCCTACTTCCGAATGCATGTCCATGAGCCTGTCATTCTCGTGCCTTCCTCAAAAGACCGGGATAACTCCAGGCACCGCAAAGAGACATTTTGCCAAACACAATTTCAAGTAAAATGCTGTTAGAGCAAATGTCGTATTTCGGTCTGTGGCACTAGAAGCGAGGAATTTTCATAGAGAGTGTCATAAAGAGGAAAATGTAGTATAATTTGGGTGGGTGGGAGAGGGCAGGGGGTATAAAATAGATTTTTCGAGAGCCTGTATCTTGAGTGATTAGATCAATAAAACTCCCTCCAGAAGTCACTGCTTTCAAAAGCATGACACCAAAATATAGAGTCCTGGTAAGGAGAATTTCAAAGGCAGAATGTTTTAGTCAAAGAGTCTCCACTATGGGTCCCTCATGAACCCTTGGGCCACTCTAAATCCTCCTTTTGTGAGTCCCCACATGCCCTCGACTTTGATACCATCATCCTCATCTCTCCCTTCTTCTCTTCCACTGCTTTCCACAGTTCCTCACCAGCCCACAGGACAGCATAGCAGAGTGAAAAGACCGCAAGCTTTGAAGCTAAACAGATGTGGACTCCAAGTTCAAAACCATTGACTTCAGGCCATATACACAGGGATCTGAGCCTCTTCTGCATCCTCATCTGTAAGATGTTACTGGTAACAGCCTTCTCACCGTGTCGGTGGGAGGAGGGACTGGCATAATAAGGTGAGTTGTCTACACTGTAAGGGCACAGAGCTGGAGTTCAACAAAAATTCATGACCTCCCCTTTCTCTCTTCCCTGTCACCGCTGAGTAACACCAGAGGCTTCAGCCTGAGCTTTCTGTCTCTATTTTCTTCTTTCCCAGTCCACACTGCACATCAAGAACTACGGAACAAAATTCCTGACTCACTATTTCATCAGGCCATCCCTTATTCCACCACCATCATCTGCATGATAAATCCAAACCCTCAAGCATCCAATTTATCCCCTTCAATTCATGCCCAATTTATCTTCACACCTGATATCTCACTGCTGCTCACTGCTAACCTTCTAACATGGGCTGCCATCTACTTGCCACCCCAAATGCACTACTCATGACTTTCCCTTTACTGCCTCCATTTGGGAAGCTACTTGCCCCCACTCACACCTTGCCCCTCTCCAAAAATCCATATTCTCACCATCCTTCTGGGACAAACTCAAATCCCATCTTCTCGAGTTTTCTCTGGCTATTCCCTGGTGACCTCTGGACCCTTTGCGATTCTAGAACACATTGTGGCTACAGTTTTAGCCTCATTAATATGAAAATGAATACTATATGCTTGGTAAGAAGTATGCACACGTGCAAGTATTGACATGGAAAGATTTTTCTAACATCTTGATGACTTCAAGAGTTAAAAACAACATGCGCTTTCCGAGCCATTTCTGTTTTTTAAAAAGCGTGTGTGTGCGTGTGTGCGTGCGTGTGTGTGGGTGTGTGCATGTGCGTGCACGTCTGGGTGCATGTGCAGGTCTGCGCGTGCGTGTGTGTGCGCGTGTGCGCGCACGTGTGCGTGCTGTGTGTGTGCGTGTGGGTGTGTGCGCACCTGGGCGTGTGTGTGCATGCACGTGTGTGCACTTGTGCGTGTGTGTACACATGTGCATGTGTGTGCACACGTGTGTGTGCGTGTGTGTGTGTAAGAGTGTGTGTGCACCTAGACATATAAATGCACAAGGATGCCAGGGAACTTTTCACTTTCTATGTTATACATTCTGTATTGTTTCAGTTTTTCTGCTGAGCATGTATACAGTTTTACATTTTAAAAACTTTTATTTTTAATGTTTTTTTTTATTATTTTTTGTAGAGGTGAGGTCAGGAACTCAGGAATGTCAAGAATGTCATTGCTTTCCAAAATCAGAGGTTAGGTCTCACTCTGTTGCCCTGGCTAGCCTTGCCCTGCCCTTGAGCTAGACCTCCCCAGCTCAAGCTAGCCTCTTGCCTTGGTCTTCCAAAGTGCTAGGATTACAGGCGTGAGCCACTGCACCAAACCTAAAAAACATTTTTCAAATAACTCAACCCACATTCATTGAGCACCTACTTGTGGCAAGCACTGACCTAGGTGCTGGGCATTTTCCAAGGTGGTCCCTACTTCCTGCAGAGTTGAGAGTCCACTGGGAGAGAAGCCAGCAGAACACCTTGGTGGGGATGTGCAAAGTGATGTGAAACAGTGAGACAGTGCAGGGGGATTCAGAGGAGCGGGAGGCCAGCTCTGTCCAGGGAAGTCAGTCAGGGCTGAGCAAGAGAAGATCACATTGGAGTCATAACAGGAGGATGAGTGGATGTCCATGAAGTGGAGAAGAAAGAATCAGGCATTCTTGCTGGGAGGGAGGAACGTGCACACGAAAACAAACAAGCATTTGAGTGCTTGTCTTGTCTAGAAAGTAGCAAGTAATTTTTGGTGGACAGAGAATCGCATACAGGGTATGGAGACAGGAGATAAGGCTACAAAGAAGGGTTGGGGTCTTATGGTGAAGATACTTGTGTGATGAGATTGGAAATTCATTCTTTACACAACAGGGAACCCAGAGGGTTTTAGGTATAGGCATAGTATGATCATTTACTTCCTGGTATTGTTCTTTAATTATTTCAGGTTTATAATATATTTTCTATGGCTATTGCACATATCTTGGACCCCTCCCTTTATGGAGTTCAAAGTTCTCCAGGAGAGCAACAGAGGCAGCTGGGAACTTGTTCCCAGCCAGAGTCCTGCCATAACTGAAGCACATTTTTCATGATTCTGACTAGGATGTAAAAACAGTGTCTATCCCAGGTATAATGTTCTTGGTGTAGCCCTGGCCCAGGGACATAGCATCTCATTTCTCAGAGTTACTCTCTGAGGGATCAACACAATAGACTTTGCTACACGCCCCCCTTCCCCCTCTTCTGCCCCCAACCCCGGCCTGCACACCCAGCTTCCACAGGGAGGCCTTGCACAGGCAGAGCCCATCCTCCACGGCTGCTTTTGTGAAGGTGCTGAAGGGACGGCTGCTTGGCCCAGGGAGTATCCACATGGCTCCCGATGATAACACCTCAAGCAGGAGAAAAGAAAAACGGTTTTCCGCTGATGGCAGTGTGTACAGCTGGCTGAGCTGTTTGGCACAGTCTCTGCAGCTGTGTATTCATGATGCTATATTTAAGCCAAAAAAAAAAAATCTCTGAATTATATAATTAATACAAGCTGAAATTTGGTTGACCATTTAAGTGTTTGTTTGCTTCTCCCTGCCAAATATCAGCTTCATGAGGGAGAAAGTTGGGCCTCAGGCAGGAGTCCCCCTAAAAGTTTAAACCCCCACTGTGCAGAAAAACAGGCACAGATTCTGCCACATGTGGTGCCACTTGGCTGAGTTTCCCAATGGTTCAAATGATTTCTATGGCAAACCCTCCTGGTGGATGGAAGGAAAACAGAAGCACTGTTTCTCATTCTAGGCAGGAAGCAGGTGATACAGGGCAAGCACAGGAGTGAAGAGGCTGGAAGAGTGGACCTATTCAGACCTATTTCAGGTAAGGTGGATTTCGATGAGAAATGGAGATCACCATGCTGATGCTGTCGGAAAACTACACCTACCCAACACAGAGTGCCTCCCGCTGCTCCAAGGCCCATACTACCTACAGCTTAATCTGAGCCAGACGTGCCCACAAACACGTTCTTCCTCCTTCCTTGGGGCCCAGTATTTGTCCGTGGAGGACATACTTATGGATAAAGGCTTTAGACTGCCCCTGTGAAGAAAGCTGGGAGTCTAATTAGACTTTTTTCCCTGCTTAGGTTTTAAAGGCACAGTGAGGTGAACCCGGGAAATTTGAACCCAAGTTTGGCAGAAATTAAGTCAGTCTGGTGCTTCCAACTAACTCCTTTCTCTTAAAAGTCATGGTAAGACTGAACAGAATTAAGATGGTTCTGGGCCAGGGGCCTCAGGAATGTCATTGCTTTCTAAAATCAGAGACACTCACACCCTGAGGTCCTGAGAGAAAGTGCACTATGGATCAGTGGGTTTGGCTCCTAAAATCAATGCTATGAAGGCTGGGTGGTCAGTCAAGCAGCACTTCATCCTGAGTCCCCTACCATGAATAGTTTCAGACAGAAACAGGCCATGAGGTCTGATGTTTATCCTACTCCTTCTAATTCCCAAGTCCTGGTGTCTGATTTCTCCACTCTCCAGACCACTGAAACGAACAATGGAGCAAGCGAGAGGTCCCTACAACCAGGTCTACTCTGTGTGAAAGTGGGATGGTGGGAGAGAAAGGCAGAGAAACAAAAAAGGAAAATGAACTTCTAATACACGATGACTCCACAAATATAGACTAACTGGGGAGCCAGTCAATCAGGCCTCCTTCCACTCTGCTGTCCAATTATACTATTGCTTTAGTTTTTTAAAGCTTTCCAAAAACTTTTTAGATTGTTAGAACTAGAAAAGAGCTCAGAGACAAATTGGTGGAACTAATCAATTTTACAGAAGTAGACAATCAAAACTACTGTGGGACTTGCCCAAGGTCACACAGCTCGTCAGTGGTAGAGCAGCAGCTACAGTCTGGGTGTTCTTCGGCTGCCCAGCCCTTTCTACAGTCCTGTCCCACCTGTATGACACTGTTTAGTGGTTCTTTCATAAATTTGATTGTTTTTATTTCCCCCTCAATAATGAGGCATTTACTGTATATATTTTTTAAAAGTCTTAAATATCTATGAGTGGTAAACAGCTTTACACAAGTCTAATACTGTGGAGTCACTGTGAGTGCACTCTGGAATAAATGATCAGATTTTGGCAAATGAGTTTTCTTCAGACTAAATATACAAATTCTCTGCTGGAGCTCAAATTGGGACATGTATTAATTAGCAAACGGTGCACTTTTATCATGGATGTGTCCCTAGGCTCTTCAAATACTTCTCTATAAACAAAAATCCATTTTACTATTACATATTATCATTTTGAAGTTCAAAAACAAATTAGGTCGTGGTTTTGAAATAGACCTTATGGGGAGTCTGATTTCTCAGCAGGTGTATGGGTTAGCAGTGTTTAGCAGAAAGGACAAAGGGAGTGGAGGCCTGGTGGGAAATGTGTGTCCCCAAAGCCTGCAGTTCTAGAAGGTTTCACTCAGCTGTTAATTGCAAACCAAACAAATCCTCATCTTGTTCCAATTGAGGGGCTAAGTGGGTAAAATTTACATGTAAGGAAAGAGAAAAGGGGGCCACCCAGCAGGAGTCCTTTTCTCTGCCCAGAATCCAGATAACCCTGAGTGATATTACACTTTTTTATTACAAATCAGAGCCTCAAGGACATCAGGAATGTTGGGTATAACACAGAACTGATCTCTTTCAAACTGAGAGGTTTTGACAGAATTGGTTGGTGAATATGTTAGGCAAAGAAAATGATGTGTGGATTGCTGAGATCTGTGATATTTTTCTAAAAGATTTTCCTGAATTTTCAGTCTTTAAATGGGCAAGCCCTCCTTTTGGTTGACTGATCTGGTTACTTTAGCAGAGTTTTTCCCAGAGGATGAAGGTCCCTGTAATGATCCCTAGTAGGGGCAAGGGCAGGGGAAAATCACCCTTACACCTTCCACTCTCCCCAGCCTTCTCTCAAACATTCAGCCAAGTCCAGGAAAATAATGACATCAAGACCTTTGAAGGGGAAAGAGTCCAACACACACTAGGCTCTCGAAGAGTAGAAAATTAAGATGAAAAAATAATCATACCAAGCCAGTCTCAGCAAATAATATAATGATTTATTTGTTCACTGAGCAAATATTTACAAGCATTTACTATGTGTTAGGCAATCATAAACACAAAAATAGTCCGGGTGCGGTGGCTCACGCCTGTAATCCCAGCACTTTGGGAGGCCGAGGCAGGTGCATCACAAGGTCAGGAGATCGAGACCATCCTGCCTAACACGGTGAAACCCTGTCTCTACTAAAAATACAAAAAATTAGCCGGGCGTCGTGGCGAGCACCTGTAGTCCCAGCTACTCGGGAGGCTGAGGCAGGAGAATGGCGTGAACCCGGGAGAGGAGCTTGCAGTGAGCCGAGATCGCGCCACTGCACTCCAGCCTGGGCAACAGAGCGAGACTCTGTCTAAAACAACAACAACAACAACAACAACAAAAACCACATCTGTATTAGTCAGAGAAGGCTGGAACTCTTTGTGACAACCACCAAACTCCAAACTTTCAGCAGCTCAGCATGAATATTTCAAACCCAATGCTCAAGAGGCAGCCTTCCATTCCACAGCTACACTATCTGGAACATGTGACCTCCAAATTATTAAAGAAGGGCACGAAAGAGTTGAAGGATGAATGGGATGCTTTATGGGTCAGGCTCAGAAGAGAGTTACATGACTTCCGACTGCAGCCCACTGGACAAAACTCAAGCACCTCCTCGAAACCAAGAAATATAGGGAGCAATGGATATTTGTTGAGCACAAATAGTCTTTGGCACATATAATTAGATTTTGACACATTTCACATGGTAGAACCCCCATCTTCTCCAAGAATAAACCTATGAAGTGATTAACCACTAGACCCCTCCCCTTCCTAACAGTGGTGAAAAGGAGAGGTGACTTTCATCAACCTACTTCCTAGTCCACCCAGTCTCCTGAGTGTAGACACAATTTGAGGCACTCCTTCTGACTCACATACACCTCCTGCCAGTCCACACCTATCAACCCATTGATTTTTGTTTTTCTATCATGATTCAGGTTCTTCACAAGTCTCACTCTGACCCATAAGTCTCTCTCCAGTCACCGACTGGACCTACAGATTCTTCATATAACATATGTATATTCTTCACATACCATGCATATATTGTTCATGTAGCATGCATATATTCTTCACATACTATGCATATATTCTTCATATAGCATGCATATGTTCTTCACATAGCATGTGTATATTCTTCACATAGCATGCATATATTCTTCACATAGCATGCATGTATTCTTCACATAGCATGCATGTATTCTTTGCATAGCATGCATATGTTCTTCATATAGCATGTGTATATTCTTCACATAGCACACATGTATTCTTCATATGGCATGCATATATTCTTCACATACCATGCATATATTCTTCATATAGAATTTGTATATTCTTCATATAGCTTGTGTATATTCTTCACATTGCATGTGTATATTCTTCATATAGCATGTGTATATTCTTCATATAGCATGCATATATTCTTCACACACCATGCATATATTCTTCACATACCATGCATATATTCTTCATATAGCATGCATTCACTGAGCCTGAATTAGATGTTTTTTGAGAAATAGGAGCAGATGATTTACTTTTCCATCTCATACCTCAACAGGTTCTTTCCTGCCTTTGCTCACACTGTAGCCCCAGACTGGCATGGCCCCTCCTCTTCATGTATCTCAAGTCTTTCTAAGGCCTCACTAAAATCCTACCACCTGCCTTAAGTTTATAAATCCTCAAACACACTAACTTACATAATCATTTTAAAAAAAAATTCAGACTTCTTTTCATCAAAAAGATTATAAGCTCCTTAAAGAAAGGAGCAAGCCAGGATTCATCTCATAATTCCCCCAGCACCTTCTTATGGTGGTAGGTGCAGAAGTAGCTCTCCTGAGCCTCACAAGGGCACTGAACCACTTCCTTTATGTCACTCTGGAGAGCAAGTTGTGCCCATAGTTTTGCCCTGGAACCTGAATAGCCACAGAATACTCCCAGAAAGGACTGGAATGAAGAAGAAGAAAAAAAAAAAAACGGCAGGCAATAAGCTGAAAGAAGATAACATGAAAAAATGCACGTCTGGGCTTTCAAACATGTTAGAACTGGGTTCAAATTCTGATGTTTCTACAGTTGAGTGATCATAGGCAAATTACCTCTATTTTCTGAGTCTACATTGCCCACTGAAAACATACATTTGGAACATTTGCCTTTCAGTGGTGCTCTGAAGACTAATGGTGACATGTATATGAAGTTTCCAGTAATTTTCTAAGTGAACCCTTAAAAATGCTCATACTTGCCTGGCGCAGTGGCTCATGCCTGTAATCCCAGAACTTTGGGAGGCGGAGGCGGGCAGATCATCTGAGGTCAGGAGCTCCAGACCATCCTGGCCAACATGGTGAAAGCCCGTCTCTACTAAAAATACCAAAATTAGCTGCGTGTGGTGGCAGGCGCCTGTAATCCCAGCTACTCAGGAGGCTGCGGCACAAAAATAACTTGAACCCAGGAGGCGAGGTTGCAGTGACCCAAGATCACGCCACTACACTCCAGCCTGGGCGATAGAGTGAGACTCAGTCACACACACACACACACACACACACACACACACACAAAACAGTGATATGGACCTGAAATTTTTTCTCCTATTCTCTATCTACTCTCAACCTGATGGTTCCTGCTTGCTTCTTTTTAAGTCTCTCTAACTCTACTTATGGTGAACATCAATCCTATCGAGTTTTTGAATTCCCTAGGAAAATGCCTCTAAGTTATTTATGCAAAATACAATGCAACCATGCTTCAGAGAGTTTTCTGGCCAGAATACTGTGAAGGTCACTGGCTCATCAATGGCTGCTTTTGGTTTAAATCCGGATCTCTGTCCAATCAACAGTGGCACTCATGTCAAGGTTACATAGTCCAAAACTCAGTGACTCATGTGTAAGGAATGGCCGCACCTTTTTTTAAAAAAATAAAGTGATTATGTAACTAGCAGATACTGAGTTGTTGGTCTCAATAAATATTCACTGAAAAAATAAATGTGGTGATCTTTCACTGAGCCCACCATCATTGTTGGAATACCTCAGGCACAAATAACTAGCAGAGCAGTACTTCCCCGGGCAGATAAATCACCTGTGGATCTTATTAAAACTGCAGATTCTAATCCATCAGGTCTGGAGTGGGACCTGAACTTCTAACAAGTTCCCAGGAGATGCCATTGACAGTGCATTGACCATTCCTTGAGTGGTAAGGTAGAAGAGAACAGAATCAGTGACTCTTTCCAGCATCCTTCCTGCCTAAGTGGTATATTAATGTTATTGGCAAATTCTTTTTAGGAAGATTGAGAGAATAGAGAACCAAATTAAATTTTGTTTATAGTTCAAGTAGCAAAATTGAAAGCGGGTAAGACAGGACATTGGGTTACTTGTCTTTCCCAGTACCCGTTGTGTAACTGCACTCTTCATCTCTCTACGTCTATGAGTAATGGAAAGTACCTCTTCTTAGTGACTTATATGTCCATTATCTAGTATCATGTTTGCCACATACATAGTAGATTCTCAACAAATATCTATTATACAGAAAAGAATTTCTCTTTGGTATGCCCTAAAATGCTTAGTGCACACAGCAGGCACTCAATAAAAGCTTGTTGAATGAATTAATAAAGATGGAAAGAAGTAATGACTGTGGTCCTGTGTAGAGTAAAATATTATTTCTCATCAAAATCATCTGAGCAAGATCATCTTTTAGGGCTAGATGGGCACTGAGGGAAATAACACTGATGTTAGACCAAGCCCTTGGAAATGAGTAGGCCTCAGCTGACAATCCAAATTGGTTTGGGTACCATCTGGTGCTATGATTGAAGCATTTTTCATGCTCACTAATAAAGAACTCAGGCTGGCTTTAGGGAGGACTGGGTCAAACCAGTGACTTCTATGGGCTGAGCAGGGAACCAGCCCAGAGTGGCTGCAGAGGGAGCTGCTTATTTGGGCTGCCATTTCCTCCTACCCATCGCCAGGAACGTGCCCTATAAGGAAACAAATGCAAACTCCAGGGAAGAGCTCCAGGGCCTAGGCTTTGTGAGAAGCCCACCAGGGAGTACCTGACTGCAGGCTGGAGCATATGAAAAGCTCCTTTCTCTGCACTTGGCTCATAAAAGAAGCCCCATGGCTTGAATCCACCAACTCCCTGCGATCTCCGACAGCAGAGCTGCTCCGAGACCTGCAGACAGGCAGGGGGACAAACGACGGGGGAAATGCTGCCAATACTGGGAACAAAAGCTTGCTCACATTGCTGGAGTTACACGGGATGTAGCCTAGGAGTTTTGCTTTCATGGACGAGAAAAAAAAAGAATATTTAGAGTCTGGGATGGAGAGGACAGAACAGAATTATTATTCTTTGTAAGGAAAACCAGGGAAAACTAGAGGACATAACCAAAACAGAAGCGTTTTTATAGAGCCAACAAATTTCATTTAACAAAATGGTTGAAATTATGTGTTCTTTCTTCAATCTTCATGTCCCCTTCTTTAAAATTAGATCCCCAGTGAAATTCTCAGAGAAAAACCATGGGAGCTTCTTTTACTCTCTCTTGTTTCTTTTGCTTTATTTCTTCTTTTCTCTCTTCTGCTCTGTCTGGAATGGGCTGAGGAATGGCAGTGCCTGTTGACAAAGAGATTGATAAGGA
Organism: Homo sapiens; assembly: GCF_000001405.40. NCBI lineage: Eukaryota > Metazoa > Chordata > Mammalia > Primates > Hominidae > Homo > Homo sapiens. The sequence continues at coordinate 163,399,642 of NC_000001.11, read as the reverse complement.
TGAGACTTGAAAATCATTCTCAAAATGTTACTAGTAGCCCAAATTGAATTTAGAGAAGTGGCCTTAACTACTAATAACTAATAATAAATAGCAGTTTTTAACCACTTACAATGTGCCAGAAACTATTCATAGCACTTTACCCACACTAACTCAATTGTACAATCTACTCCTAGGATGGTATGGTATCCTAGGTGGGTACCATAATAATCAATGACGTTTTAAACATGAGGAAATTGTAAAACAAGAAGGTCAAGTAACTGTCTCTGGGTCTCTCAGAGAGTAAGCCATGAAGTCAGGATTGAAAGCCAGTAAACCTGGCTTCAGAAACTGCTTGAACACCTCACTATGCGGCCTCTGAGAAGGACCATCAGGCATTGGCCCAGTCGCCATGGTGACTCCCTTCCATGCGTCCCTCTCCAATCACTGGGTAGACTGTCTGCCTTCCTCTGGCTTTGGTTTTGTCTCTGGACACCACCTCTTAATCATTCCCCTCTGTTTCATTCGTTGAAGTCAGCTCGCAGGCAAATGTCACTGAGGCTCCAGGGACATCCCATCCAACAGCCCCAGTCTGGTGTCCAAGTCCCTGTGCTCTGGGAGGGGAAATGGAAACCTTCAAGCCCCTCTCTGTGCTCCTTCAACCACCTAATTTTGCCTCTCATTTAACCCACTCTACCCTCTTCTCTTCCTGATAATTTTAATACCTGTTTTCTACACTGTGTTTAGGTACTTGTCCATATTCATTCCACTGCCTTAAATCTGCCTTATTACTCTCAAATCTTGGGTCAGTGTCTACAGCACTTTAATCTCCTCAAAAGTGGAGACTGTGCACATTCTGCATTTGTTTTTCCCCCACAGCATAGCAGAGATGTTGAGTGAATAAATAAATGAGCAAATAAGACTACCATTGTCTTTCTTTACCTCTTATTCTTCTGATCCCAGAAAGTGAATAATAATAATAATCTCATAGTTTAAACTTCAGGCAGCTAAGTAATGCTGGAATGAGTTGTGGTGTGTGTATTATGAGGACATCAGGAATCTGAGATGATCACCCAAGTAACTGAGGCCCAGGGTTGACTCCAGTCCTTATTTTCTGCTGAGACATCTCTCTTCATTACCTTTTTGTCTAGGAACTCTGACCTCAATGACCCAATTGGAGTAGATTTCTGCTTAAGGTTTTCAGAAGTAAATGTGTCATCCTTGGTGGGGAGGGAATCAAGAGGGGAAGAGGAGGGTACTTGAAACAGAACTTTGAGACCAGTACAACTGTTTAGAGGCTCATGAAATCCAAAGAAAATGGAAAGAAAGAAGCATATCATCTGAATTAAATTCCTGAAAGCCTCACGGGTTGTTTTTCTCTTGGTTTTCAGCACACAAGCTGGAAATCAGAGGATGCTTCAATGTGCCCGCCAGCTCAGGCACTCTGTTCTAACTGGGAGAATAAGAAGATAAACCTATTCATCTCCCTCTGCCTTCCAATCCGTCCCTTACTTGATCTGCATTCAGCCTTTGTGTTATTCAGCATCCCCCCAGCAAGTTGTGGTTAAAAGAGCATAGGTCCTGAGGTTAAACAGTCTTCAATCCAAAGCCCTTTCCCACAATTTGTTTATTATGGGATCTTGGACATATTATTTAATTTTTCTGGTCTGTCATAAGATGAAATGAGGCATCATAGACAAGTAGTTAGTAAAGCTCTGGCTCATGTAGTACTGAGTAATGTTGGCCAGATTCCCCACTTTTCTTCCAACCCCTCCAATTTTCTTCTTTTTTCTTTCCTTCTTCAGACCTTTTGTTTGTACGTCTTTACAATCTCCCCTTAACGGCTTACAACTATTTTTTTCTAAATTCTTCAGTTTAATTCCAGCTCCAAGTTGAAAGAAAAAGGAAACAGAAAAGTCATAAAGGTATTCAGCTTCAAAATTATAAATGGAAAAGCACTGCAAATCAGCCATGGCCTGAAAGGAAATAAAATGTTATTGAGATTCTGTGAGTCTGGAGGCACCATCTGGGAGTATAACTTGTGAAGAAACAAATCAAATCAGTGTTTTCTTCATTCAGAAGATACTTTTGCCTCGGGGATCATAGCAGCCTTAAGCAATTTTGGGGGGTGGACTCTGAAGCAGTGTGTATTGGAGAGGAGAGGGAACAAAACCTACTGTGCTGGATCCCCTAATTAGACATGTGACTCCCACCAAATCAATTTGTCTCCCTCAGCCTTTGTTGCTTTGGCCAACCATCAAGCTCATGCAAGACTCCTATGAAAGAGCACAGCTAATTTCATAGCACCTGCTCTCCTGAATCTTATCACCATGAATATTCTACAGGAAGGACTCCTGAGAATATACGCTATCAGGAAACTACCTTTTTACTTTTGCTGCACTCTAGTAACAGGAAAAATAATAACAAGAAGACAAGATGTTAGGTAAGCAAGCTAATATAAGATGTCCTTCGGGTTATAGTCTAAACTCAGGAACTACTCAGTTCAGTTTCCTATAACATCTCTGTTCCCAGTATGAGGAATGAGATATGCACAGATAGCATATAAGGTAGATAAAGACTTATGCTCGAAGAAGGATACGTAACAAGGGAGGTTCCAAAGAAGAACAGCTCAGTCACTTCTAGGAGAGAAGTACCAGCAGGGAAAGCTTTATGGAGAAGGTAGTTTTTGAGTTAGAGCTTAAAGCATGACCAGGATTTGTTAGGTGAAAATGGAAGGTAGAACAATCCAGTTGTGAGTACCACAAAAGCCAAGCATGGATGGGAAAGTATAGGATATATTTTTAAAGGAGTGAAGAATTCAACTGGGAAGGAGATAGAGAATATATACAAAAATGATGAATGGAGGAATGGAAAAGGCCAGAGGAGGTGGGCAGGGAGGATGTTGCATTTCAGATTAAGAAATTTCAACAATGGAAAGCCATAGAACTACTGATGTGCAGAAAACAACCTAGTATTCGCCTTCACATGGAGACTGGTCTTCAGGGAAAAATATTTCCTCTCTCATATCCTTACACAGACTTTAAGCATTCTATGCTTTCCACTAAGATCCCACATTTATCCTCCCCATTTTATCACTGGATAGGTGAATTATTGATCTTAAGTTGGAAGGGAACCCAGAGATTATCTAGTTCATGCTCCCACATGATTGATTTTAAAAGCTGAGGCCAGGTGCAGTGGCTCACACCTGTAATTGTAACACTTTAGGAGGCAAGGCTGGCAAATCGTTTGAGCTCAGGAGTTCAAGAGCAGCCTGGCCAACATGGCAAGTCCCTGTTTCTACAAAAAATCCAAAAAAATTAGCCGGGTATGGTGGCATGCACCTGTTGTTCCAGTTACTTGGGAGGCTGAGGCAGGGGGATCACTTGAGTGTGGGAGGTCAAGGCTGCAGTGAGCCATGCTTATGCCACTGCACTCCAGCCTGAGTGACAGAGCGAGACCTTGTCTCAAAAAAAAAAAAGAAGTGAAAAAAATTGGAGACATAGAGAGCTCTACAAGGACTTTCAGCCAACAGAGGCCACATCTCTTGAGTCATACTCTAGGGCTTTTTCTACCTCACCAGAATATGTCTGATGATGAAATGACTTCTTCTTTTTCTCTTTTTTTCATTCCAGGGCTAGTTTTCTCATTAGCATTGTTAATGTACTTTGGAAACATGCCTGCTCTGCAATAGAGTAATGGCTTTGCTAAGTAGCAACTTCCTTTAAACCATTTTCCTTTTAAAGAGCAAAAAGACTACTTTGGCTCTTCTCCAAAGATTCTTGGAATATTTAACCTAGTGGGCTATCCAGAAAATGATGTTAAGTCAGCATGATATGCATGCTAGAATAGAGAAGAGTAAAGAAGGGGTGACCACCTAATAAAACACTGATAATTGGGTGAAATCATCTTTTGTAGAAGTCTTTGAAAATAGACTAGGGAATGCCAACCTATGCTTCATTGAGGTAGGTCAGAAGTTAACTGACTAAAGGTCAAGAAAATGAAAGCAAATGACATTGGTACTTTCAAGTCCAAAAGGATTTTTGTCTGATATGAGTTTTTATATTGGAACTAATTCAAGTCTTAAAATTAAAATTTATAGCATCTCAACATGATTAAATTCATATATAACAGTTCATCATAGCAATTCAATAACATATTGTAAGAAATGTGTGTATTAATTTCCAATTGCCGTGCAACATGTTACCACGAACTTAGTGGCTTAAGACAATACCCATTTTTTATCTTACAGATATGAGCATGGAGTAACCAAGTGCTCAGTGTCTCTCAAGTCTAAGATCAAGATGTCAGTTGGGCCACATTTTCCTCTGGTGCTCAGTATCCTCCTCCAAGCTCACACTGGTTGGCAGCAGAATTAAATTACTTATTGTCATAGGACTGAGGTCCCCACTTTCTTGTTGGACCTTTCTTAGCTCTTTGGATCTGCCTTCAGATCCTAGCCACAAGACTTCCTCCACAGTGAGATTACAACATAGTTTTGCACATTTCCAGGCCCACAGGAAAGCTATTCATTTTCTCTTTTAAGGGCTCACCTGACTAGGTCAAACCCACCAAAGATAATCATTCATTTGATTAACTCAAAATCAACTGATCAGAGAATTTCATTACACCCATACCATCCCTTTTGCTATGTAATGTAACGTAATTATGGAAGTATGGAAGTGGTATTTCATCATATTTACAGGTCCCACTCACACTCACGGGTAGGGATTATGCACAGCATGTATCCCAGGGGGCAGAAATCTTTGGGACCATTTTAGAATTCTGCCTACCACAATGTGTATGTATCTGAGCCTTCCTTCTAGTGTATGAGCTTCTTCTGGACATGGATCAGAATTAAATTGTTGGTTGAATTAATGGGAAAAAAACTAACTGAAATTAGTTTCCCCAGGCTTTTAAATGTCTCTAGTTTATATCTGCTTGTGTTGAGATACTTTGGCATTAATTATAATCAAGCATAGATTTCCATAAATAAACGGCAGTTTGTAACAAAGATTTGCCAGTATAGCTGACACCTTTAGGAAGTAAAATTTTATAAAATCAGTATAATGACTAATTTCTTCACACAGCTAGCCTATTTATCACAAGTCTTTATTGGATACCAACTTTGCATGCACTGAGTAATGTGCTAGATTACATGGGGAACCAAATAAAAGAATACCAGACATCATCTCTTTTCTCAAGGAGCTCACAGCATAATAAGGAAGAGAACTCTAAAACACATAAAGTAAAATTTAACAACACAAGACACAGCAGTTAATATTTATATCTAAATTGAATAATACAGAAACACATGGCAGAAACTTCCAGAAGTAGATCAAAGTTGGCTGAAGTAAGAAAAAGTTCTAAAATTATATCCATTGTTAAAAGCTAGGCAGGAGAAATTAGACTTGATATGCTAGAAAAGAGCTGTGAAAGGTTTCAATCTGTGACACAAAAAATGAAAGCTGTACATAAGGAAAGTGAGTGTGAAGAGGATTTTGTAGGGTGGATTGGAGCAGAAGAGGCTTTTAAATTGGGGAGATCACTTAGGAAGCTAATGTAGTAATCCAGATAGGAAGTGATGAGGGCCTGGACCATGTGGTAGTATCAGGACCAGACGGAAGATTCAATAAGCTACGCTTTGAAAATACAACAGCATTTTGTCTAGGATTTTACCTGATACGGGGGATAAGACAGAGTTGAAACTATGGTTCGTTTGTTTGTTTGTTTGTTTGTTTTTTAGACGGAGTCTCACTCTATCGCCCAGGCTGGAGTGCAGTGGCGCGATCTCGGCTCACTGCAAGCTCTGCCTCCTGGGTTCACGCCATTCTCCTGCCCTAGCCTCCCGAATAGCTGGGACTACAGGCGCTCGCCACCGCGCCCGGCTAATTTTTTGTATTTTTAGTAGAGACGGGGTTTCACCGTGTTAGGCAGGATGGTCTCGATCTCCTGACCTCGTGATCCGCCCGCCTCGGCCTCCCACGATACTGGGATTACAGGTGTGAGCCACCACGCCCGGCCGAAACTATAGTTTTACATTTAGGTGGTTGTGGCAGAGATTGATGGCTATACATCAACATCCATTTCCGGTTTTTTTTCCTGGACAAAGCGATAGACCATATTTCCCGGCTTCCCTTGAGATATGTGTGACCATGACGCTGAGATCCAGCCAACATAAAAGGGCAGAGATTATGCAGCACTTCAAGATCTGAACTACAGAATCTCCTGCATACAATCCTCCATGTAGTGGGGAGGGCCATCCTGCAGACTTCTTCTCTCACCCTGTGCTATGTATTCAATCGAGTCTGAACCATTATACATTTTTGTCTATTTATTTTAGAATTAAACCACTTTACCATTGACTTGGAATATGGTGGCACCACTAACAGAAGAAGAGCTGGGAAAAAGATGCTCATTTGGAATTTTAGAGAATACTAAAAGAGAGTGGGAAGTCTTATAGGCAGCCGGTAGTACACAGCACAATCAAAGCCTAAGAGAAAGGACTCAATAGTAAATAGAGATTTGTTATTTGCAAATTAAAGTTTGTTGACACTACAGAATAGGAGAATTCTCAGATGAAGAAAGTGTAGGAAAATGAGTGGAGCACTGTGTCTTAAATATATATTCACATTCTCATACATAAAAGCGTGAAAACGTAAGAATAAATATGTCAGCTTAAGAGGAGGAAATATCACCATCTAAACAGTACTGTTTTCAACTTCGTGAACACAGTATGTCTTTCCATTTACCTAAATTTTCTTTAATTTTGTTGAACAATGTTTCATAGTTCTTGGCATACATGTTTTGTACTTCTTTGTTAAATTTATCTGTAAGTGCTTTATTATTTTTGATGCTATTATAAATTTTAAAAGTATTTCCTGGTGTTAATTTTCATAGTTCTGTAAAATAATTTAAAAAACAAAAACATTATTTGCCTGTATGAATATGTTCAGTTCTTGTGTTTATTACTGCTGTTTTATGTTTTGTCTTCTAAACCATTTGCAGTAAAACAACCAGAATCCTTCACTGCATGAAGAGAACAATTGTTAATGGTTTTATGCTAACTTACATTATGTTTATGTTAAATGTCATATTCATACATCGATTTATGAAGTAGTTAGGATAACTAATCATTATTTTTCCTGTAAAAAGTCTGATGACATTTATTTTGTGTTGCCTATATTCAAGTCTCAAAATTTGATAAATAGAACTGTTAAAATATCTATCTATCTATCTATCTATCTATCTATCTATCTATTCACATGAAGGAGTGGAAAAAGGGAGAAGAGCTAATAAAGAATTGAGAAAGGAGGGTTTGAGATATAAGAAAGCAACAAAGATAGCTTAGACATAAAACCTTTTTGTTTCTGATGCATCTTCCACTGACCAACAACAGAGTAAGTCCAGATAAGAGCTCCATCATTAACCTAGGGACATGCAGAATGAACCAGCCACCACTGATTTATTGCCTAACTCTTTCATATTCATTTAATGCCCATTAACACTCAAATGAAGTTATTTAAAACAATGAACTGGCCAGAAAACAGATATCATTAGGGAAAAAGAAAAAGCATGAGATCTGGTTTATGTTATCATCACACCTGTCTTTACTTGACTAAATATTGATTTACACACATTTGAATATTTGTGTTACTTTGCCATCAGCATATCTTAACTTTTAACAAAAAAAAATTAATAAACATATTATCACAGTTGTCTATGTGAATTCCAACAATGCTTTGGTTGATGTTTTTCCATGAAATTGTTCAAGGTATATGGCTTTTATTAACATTATATGGGCACAACCTCAGAGCCAGTACCATAGACCAAAATAAATATCTAAAACCTAATTTTGACCTTGCAGTTTGTTTTATAGCAATCATTTTATGAAAGAAGTAATACATTTTGGTTTGTTCACAGTTTAAAAGTAAAACCCTGGCTAGGCATCATGGCTTATATCTGTAATCCCAGCACTTTGGGAAGCCAAGGCAGGAGGATCACTTGAGCCCAGGAATTCAAAACTAGCGTGGACAACATAGCAAGACCCCCAGCTGTACAAAAATAAAAAAAAAATTACCCAGGCATGGTGGCACATACATGTAGTCCTAGCTATTTAGGAGGCTGAGGTGGGAAAATTGCTTGAGCCCAGGAGTTTGAGGTTACAGTGAGCTATGGTCACAGCATTGCATTTCAGCCTGGGCAACAGAGCAAGTCCTAGTCTCTAAAAAACAAAACAAACAAAAAAAGTAAAAACCTAATAATAGGTGGAATTTAATTGTAAGTTCAGGAAACAAATATAAGTTATTTTGTTGTTGATAATAATTACATTTGGGGGTAATCATTAAAGGCAAAACAAAAAAAGTTCAAAGCAACAGAACTATATTTAAATTAAATGTCAATGCAAAACTATATTTAAATTCAATGTCAATGGCACAGAAAGGTCAAAAAAAGAATAATTGTCAGGTGTGGTGGCTCATGTCTGTAATCCCAGCACTTTGGGAGGCCGAGGCAGGGGGATCACCTGAGGTTAGGAGTTTGAGACCAGCCTGAACAACATGATGAAACCCTGTCTCTACTAAAAATACAAAAAAATTAGCCAGGCATGGTGGCCACCACCTGAAATCCCAGCTACTTGGGAGACTGAGGTAGGAGAATCACTTGAACCTGGGAGATGGAGGTTGCAGTGAAACAAGATTGCACCACTGCACTCCTGCTTGGACAACAAGAGCAAAACTCCATCTCAAAAAAAAAAAAAAGAATAATTTCAGGTGGAAGGTAAAGAATATGATCATTTCTATATTTAAATAGCATTAAGATATTTTGTTAAGAATTCAGAAAGTATCAGGCAGAGGTAGACAAGTGTCTATAGAAGAAACCCTCAGGCAGAGAGGAAAATGCCCATTGGTCAACCAGTCCACAAGGGGAGTGAACACAGCCTTACAGACACTCGACCACACAGATCCTCACCCATTCTCCACTGAGACAATGTGTTCCAGGCATGGTGACTGGCATCACATTTCACTTAGCTGGATGGGGAATAAAACTTCAAAAAGACATGGCAAATTTAAGGCCACATCTCCATTGATACCAAAGCAATGGATCATTGTAATCAATCCAGTCAAAAGAATCTGTCAATTTGAGAAAACAAGCCAGATGAATTGTTTAACAATGCTGACAAAACTAGTGCATTATTTGAGAATTATTTGAGATGTTCACTGTCCCTTGGTGATTTTTTTTTTTTTGCGGTGAGTAACAACAGAGGTCCTTGATATATACGAAGACTTCACTTATTCTTTTTATCATGCAAAGCACCACTTTTCCTTTCTCCTCTTTTTTATACAGTATAACTTTCCCTCAACTTTCAGATAGACAAAATAACAATAATGGAAATGACTCAATGATCTTTTTAATTTCCTAGGCTCTTTCAACCTCTATAGACCCCACTTTAATGCAAATCAAACTTGGGCGGACTGTACATTACCTACTGAAAAATAGTTTCAATTAGAAATTTAATTACACTGTCTTGAGGAAATGGAAACGATAGTTTCTTTGAATTTTATACATTATGGAAACCTCCAAAGTACTATAAATCTGCTAATTGATTTCTGTACCTGTTATGTTTGATTAGGTGTATTTTATTGTCTTCTTGGTTTTAATTAACCCTGGGCTTGTCAAAATGCTTCCAACGACAAAGGATATATGATGAAGTGTGATAAACTCTATTAACAGAGGCTGACTTTTGTCAGTAATTGCTCTCCTGCACAAGAGTTATTAGAAATTAGCACACAGAAAAAAAAAGAAATGGTACTTTTGGTAACAACTTCTATTGGCAGCCATAAATCTGTGGATTGCCCCCTATGTGCTAGTGATAAGCAAATGTGAGTGACTACAGGGTCCTACAGAAGATCAATCACTCACTAGATGTCATATAAATATTAAGAGTGACAAAATAGCAAGAGTTATGAAGTCTGAGTGATAAGAGCAAAAATCATACCACCACCACTAATTGTTCAAATTAAAGAAATATATCCAGAGAATGAACATAAATGTTAAAACAAAGCTACTAGAGTTGAGGCTGACCCAAAGCAGTTACTCAATCAGTGTTTATGCAATTGATGGAAGAATGAATGAATCAGCCAATCAAGGAATTTTTCCAGATAATTAGCATTGTCTGTTATTCTAAAATCATTTTAACCATAACTTTCTACCATGCTGATCAATGCAGATCTTTCTGTTGAAAAAGGAAAGAGAAACATTTATATTCCACTAGCTACTGCTTTAGAAATGGAAAAGAGGGGAAGGAGTTGATTTGTTTGTTCAAACATAACATTAACTTTCGTTTTCCTTAAAGTCTAACATGGTAGTTCAATACCTGCAACATTTTTCTAGGCTTTTAATCCAGAAGCTACTGGCAGAAGAACTCCTCCAGAAAAGTATCATAGGAAAATCATATTCAAGACTGGTATCATGTCAGAACCCCGAACATCTAGATGTGTGACGTAATTTATTGTAATCAGAGGACTTTGCCCTATCAGGTTAGACAAATACCCATGATGCGTACAGCTTAGAAGCAAGCTCTGGGTAGTGGGGACCATGGTGTTGGTAATAATCTGAAGGGAGCAATCATAGTTAGGAGTATGGCAACCAGCCTGAAGGAAGAATCTAGGGAGGAGTGCAAAAACTTATTTGTGGCATGGACATAGAAGAGTGAATTTTCTGGATGTGTGAGAGGAAAGGGAATAGAGAAGCTAAGATTAGAAAGGTAAGAGGAGAGGCTGGGCACAGTGGCTCATGCCTGTACTCCCTGCACTTTGGGAGGCCGAGGCGGGTGGATCACCTGAGGTTAGGAGTTCAAGATCAGCCTGGCCAACATGGTGAAACCCTGTCTCTATTAAAAATAAAAAAATTAGCCGGGTGTGGTGGCATGCTCCTGTAATCCCAGCTACTTGGGAGGCTGAGGCAGAAGAATCACTTGAAACCAGAAGGCAAAGGTTGCAGTGAGCCAAGATCATGCCACTGCACTCCAGCCTAGGCAACAAGAGCGAAACTCCGTCTCAAAAAAAAAAAAAGAAAAGAAAGGAGAAAGTCCTTCCACTTCCATGCCAGGCTGAAGATTCTGGAATTTGTCAGTAGAAGAGAGGCATCTGGTATGCTCCTGACTGCTTGTTATGCACTACAGTGTGCTCCACATGCCAAATTAAGAGTGGCTTTGCCCTGAGAATCCTTATAGACTGAGCTAGGTTGTCTTGTAAAGAGAACCCACAAGGGAAAGAGCAGAACAAACATGAGCAAGTGGTGTTGGTAGGGTTAACTGGTCTCCCCAGCTCCCAAAAAGCTGCAGAAGTGTCTGGGATCTAAGTTTAAAGAGCATTAGCCTTTGGAGGTGAGATGATTGAGAGATGTCCTGCTGTCCATTATACCAGTGGCCCATAAGGATAGACATTACTATTTCAGCTTCATCACTGACACTGATTCCATGGAGAGTACATGGCAGGTGAACCTGAGCCCCAAGAGCTAATGCAGCAACGAGCTGAGAAAGGAACAAAACACTGTATATACAGAGTAGAAGAACAAGCCAAGAATCTCACTCAGATGGCTCCCTAATAAAGAACTCCTGAGGAGATAGATGGCAATCTGAACCAAATAATGATGATAATTATTACACTATGAGCCCATAAGGAAAATAAATTAAAGCGCAAACACTTTCTTGAAGTTGAAATATATGTTTTGAATTTTGAAATTCAGTAGATACAACCCAAGAATTCTATATTCAGTCAAGATGGCAATCACCTACCTACCAGGATAAGAGGAAGATATACAAGAATTTAGAAAATATGTCACTCATATACCCCATCTGAAAAATATATTAATAAAAAGGACTTTAAAGAACTTTTGAATCCCAAGGAAGAACTTAAATTAGGGGAAAATAAAAAGGAGAGGAAAGAGAAGTGAGAAATGGACCTTGCAATATATGTAACTGAATGTAAAGGAATAATGACAGAGTGATGGATAATGAGCAACATCACTGTTCAGATACAATTCTTAGAACAGAAAGCACATACTGTAATGTAAAACCTAAATATAGTTACCTCAGCAATACCTAGAGGTTGTAAAGGTGGGAGACACATGAATGAATTATAAAGATGTTATCTTGTAGGGAAAAAGAGGAAAGGAAAATATAATCTAAAGATCTCATTGTATTGGAGTAGGGAAATCAGTGGATGAAGAGAGTATCTTGGAAGGAGGAAATAGTTGGCACTTTGTTTTCCAAGAATAGTACATAAATACACTCAACAAATGATTGTAGGCATTTATTAAATACTTGTTTAAGCAATAAATTGCAGCTGTTGAGAAACAGGAAAACACCATAAGTTGAATAGAAAATGGTTTTAGAATTTCCAAACAAGAGAAAAAGTGAATAAATAGTGACAATTCAACTAGCATAAAAAATATGAAATCCTAAATTAAACATAAAGTAGAATGGAAAGACTAAAATTAAGTATATGCATTGTTTTCATTAAATGTGAATATGCCAAAGTCCTTTATTAAAATATAGACTGAGACTTTCTTGGTTAAGAAAAGATCAGATATACATTGTTTATAACTTTGTTACTCAAAGTGTGTGGAACTAGCAACACTCGCATTCCCTGAAGCCTGCTAGAAATGCAAAATCCCAGGTCCCACCCCAGACCCACTGAACAGAAACTTTTAATAAAATAAAGGTCATTCATGTGCATGTTAAAGTTTAAGAAGCGTTCATCTTATGAGACATTTAAAACCAATTTATAAAAGAACACTGAAAATAGAGCAGGGAGCAAAGAGGTACCAGACACATGCAAACAAACAAAAAAGTTAGTGTGAATATTAATATCAGACAGGTAGTGTTTAAAGCTAATTGATAGATCAAAGAGAGAAATTGTGTGTTGATTTTTGAAAGCCCAATTTAGATTGGGCACAGTGGCTCATGTCTGTAATCCCAACACTTCGGGAGGCTGAGGTGGAAGAATTGCTTGAGTCCAGGAATTTGTGACCAGCCTAGGCAATATGAGGAGGTCCCGTCTCTACAAAACCTTATTAAAAACAAAAAAAAATTAGGCCGGGCGCAGTGGCTCATGCCTGTAATCCCAGCACTTTAGGAGGCCAAGGTGGGAGGATTGCTTGAGCCCAGAATTTGAGACCAGCCTGGCCAACATAGCAAAACCCCATCTCTACAAAAAAATACAAAATTAGCAGGGTGTAGTCCCAGCTACTTGGGAGGTTGAGGCAGGAGGATCACTTTAATCCAGGACGTTGAGGCTGCAGTGAGCTGTGATTGCGGCACTTCATTCCAGCCTGGGTGACAAAGAGAGACCCTGTCTCAAAAAAAAAAAAAAAATTAGCTGGGCATGGTGGTGCATACCTGTATTATTAGCTACTCTCAAGGCTGAGGTGAAAGGATTTCTTGAGCCCAAGGATTCGCGGTTACAGTGAGCTGTGATTGCGGCACTTCATTCCAGCCTGGGTGACAAAGCGAGACCCCGTCTCAAAAAAAAAAAAAAAAAATTAGCTGGGCATGGTGGTGCATGCCTGTAGTATTAGCTACTCTCAAGGCTGAGGTGAAAGGATTTCTTGAGCCCAAGGATTCGCGGTTACAGTGAGCTATGATCATGCCACTGCACTCCAGCCTGGGCTACAGAGTGAGACCCCGTGTATATTAAAAAAAAAAAAAAAAGCCCAATTTATTATTTTTAATTTGACCACAGGTTCATAAAAATAGATTATTCACAATCCCTCATTCATGATACTTTGTCATCATTGATCCATTCACAGCCTACTTTTATTTAGTTAACTGGATATTTAGTGTATTATTTTTAATTACATCATAAACACCTGAGATACCCTACCCCAAACAATCAGAAGAGCAACAATAACCTACATCTAACCATACTCTCCCTCTCCTATTCCACCCCACTCCCTTCTACCACCTGAGTCCTTTATAGAACACACACTTGCTTTCCTTTTTTATATAATTCCCTTCCATCTATATGTTCTTAAATCACACACACGCGCGCGCGCGCGCACACACACACACACACACACAATTCTTAACGTTATACAAAGGAATTTCATGTATAAAATCTTTGGAGATTTATCTTTTATTAATATCTTATTAATAAGATTCATCCATTTTGTTGTATGTTACTGTAGCTCATCTTTATTGTAATACAACATTCCACTGAGCCATAGTTATCCTCCCATTCTCTCATTGATGAAATTTTGGGATTTTAAAGGGTTTTAATTTTGTTAACCAGAGCTGTAATGAGCATTCTCATACATGCCTCTTGCTGTAGATATGGAGTGTTTCTTAGGTATATATCTAGGCATATAGGATAGGTGACCATCTAACATTAGAAAATGATATCTGACTGGTTTTCAAAGTGTAGAGCACTGTATAAAGATTCTCTCTGTCTACATTCTGTCTTACACTTAATACTGTAGACTTTAAAAAAAATTTGTGTATCAAATGGGTATAAAGTGGTGCGTCATTGTTTTCATGGTTTGCACATACCTAATACTAACGACCATAAATATTTCCCCGTATTTGTATTGGCTTTATGAGACCCTTTTGTGTAAAATGCCCATTCATAACTTTTATCTATTTTTCTATTGGTTGTTTGCATCAAAGGCACATAATCAAACAGATCTGGTGGACAACAGTATGTAAGAGCATGGAGATAGCATGCTACAATCAACAAATTCAGTTTCATAAACACTCATGTATGTATGTGTGCATATGTGTCTATGTACATGTGTGTATGCAAGTGTATGTGTGTGCATGGAGAGAGGGAGAGAGAAATTTACCTCTTTAAAAAATAAATATAAATTTGTTTTATATGACCATGGACTATTTACAGAAATCTCCCATGTGACTGTCATAAAACAAATTTTAAGAATTCTTAAAGATTTTATAGGACGCATTCATTTTAATAAAATTATAAATAAAGAAAAATGGCATAAAATCTCAGCTGATTAGAAATTAAGAAAAGTATCCTTATAAAGCCATTGATTCAAAAAGAAGTCAAAATTGAAATTATAATCTCTAGAAGTCAATTAAGAGTGTGCTTTATATTTTAACCTATAGGAAATATCTAAACTTCTACTCAGACAAAAATTTTAGTAAATGTTACTTAAATAATTATCTAAAGTTTACTAAAAATAAAAATGTCTATTTTAAAAAATAAATAATAAAAACAAAAGAGCTTAGTACTCAATTTAAGAACATTAAAAAGGAACAAAAGAATTCAAAAAAAGTAATGGAGGAGAATGAATAAATACGTCACAATTAATCAAAACAAAAGATGTTCGAAAAGATTAATAACTCCAAAAACTGTTCATTTCAAAGAACTATTAAATAGGCTCTTCACAATTCTGTTTAAGGAGTAAAGAGAAAGAGAGAGTAAAAGTATAAAAACAAAAGGAAAAGGAAACATAATTATAGATTAGGAAGAAATTCTGAAAATTAGAAAATAATACAACATGCAGCTCTGTAGGGCCACATTTGAAAACCTGGAGACAGACAATTTACTAATAAGATATAAATTAATAAAAACTACCTGAGAAGAAATAGAGAATTTAAATAGGCCTGCACACCACAGAAGTGTTTGGAAAATAGAAAAAGTTGTATTATTTACCTTCAATATAATTTAAACAATATTGAAGGTAAATAATACAGCTTTAAAAATAACAAACATAGAAAAACACAATAAACAATAAAGAAACAACAAAAACATAGAAAGTTCTATAATTAATTGTATGGAGAAAGTATAACTTTAATGCTAAAATCTGAAAACGTTACAGAAATGAAGACCTGAATATATTGTGGAAACTGAATTTTATGAGGAAAAAAAAAATGAGCATCTAGTCAGAGAGAAAAGAAACAAACAAACAAACATCAACAATTACAAATAAGTAAATAAAAGCCAAAAAACACATAAACTGTTGACTACAGATGGTAAGAAATATCTATGGACTCAGATTTCTGCTTTTAACATTAACTACTGAAGATAATAGATCAGTAACTACTGAGTACAAAGAAAATAACTGTAACTCAGGAATTCCATGTTCAGTGGAGTTGTAATTCAAATATTAAGAAAAAGATATTCACATACATAAAAAGGCTAATACCAATCCTGAAAATGTTTACTTTAGTTCATGTGCTACTACTTGATAAATGAATCAGTATAAAATAAAAAGATGAAAAAGCTGGAAGCGTACACCAATCTAAATAATTATTGAAGATATGTTTCAAAAAATGAATGAGAAGAGAAAATTTTCTCATACAATAAAAAATCCAGGAGATAGAAAAGAAAAAGATGTCCATTTTACTTTTTACATAATGAGGTTTTCAATTTTAACTACTGTAGATGATAAAACATTTAAGTCCCAAAGGCTTAGTCCTCAGACTCTTTTTCTTTTTGATCTATACTCACTTCTTTGATGATCTCATCCAGTCCCTAGTTTAAATAGCATCAGTAGGCTGTTGACTTCCAAATTTATATCTCTAGACCTGACATCTCCTCTGACTTTAAACTTACAGATCCTTGTCCGCATCTTCATTTGGGTTTCTTACAGGCTTCTCAAATTTGGTATGATCAAATCAAACTTAGGTTTCCTCATCCACAATCTAAGCTCCCAGTCTTGTACACACAATCCATTAGCAAATCCTGGTGTTTCTACATTTAATATATCCAGAATGTCACCATCTCTCATCACCTGTGTCATTAACACCCTAGTCTACTTTGTTTACCTAGATTGTTACAAGACAGTCCTAATAAGTTTCCTCCTCCTACAGATGCTCTCCACACAAGAGCCAGTAACCTTTCTAAAATATGCATTATATTCCTGCTCTGCTCAATGTCTTCACGTATCCTTCAGAGTTAATCCAAAACCCTTTGTATCCCTACATAACCTAGTGCCCTTCTCCACTTTCTCTGACCTCAAGTCCAACCATTCTCTCTATTTGTTCTCTTGCTATAACTGCACTCAGATCTCTACACATGTTCCCACCGCAGGCACTTTGCCATTTCTCTTTCCCCATCTGGAATGCTCTTTCCCCTAGACAGCAAGTACAGCTTTACGAATCTTTGGATCTTCACTCACAAGTCACTTTATGGGAGAGGTCTTCTCTGACCACCTTTCTAAATTAAAGCTCAGCCTTCATTTCGTATCTTCTTATCCTGATCTATTTTGTTTTTGTCTTCACAGCACTCATTACTAATATATTATTTACTTTTGAATATTTATTGGCTGAATATTGCTAAAGGTAAACTCTTTGGGCTTAGAAACTGCTGAACTCTCAGTGACTAGAAAAATTCCTTGCACAGTGCCTAGCACATAGCAACACCCAATAAATATTTATTAAGTGAGTGAATAGGGTAATTACCAGCCACACACACACACACACACACACAGAGCTCCATTCGTAAGAGCATTATTGACTGAATACTAATTCTGCAAGATAATTAGGAAGAAATATGTCAAGTAAGCTTAGGAAATGAAGGGTTAAATAAAATTACTTGGTTTCTTGATTCACTCAATACATATTTATGAAGTGCCTACTATTTGTCTAAAACAGGCAGATATGGTGACTTTTGGAAACAAGACAGACAAGTTCCTACTTTTATGGAGTTTATATTCCAGCTACAAAAACAGCCATAAATCAAATTATTACACATGTAACTATGGAATTGTCATTGTAAACAGTGCTACAGAAGAAAAGCACAGGATGCTCTAAGAGTTTAGAATGTGAACTTGATCTATATTCTAGGTTTCTGTAATGATACTATATCTAATTTGTTAACCAGAAGAATTATGAGAGATTATCCAGGTGTGTGGAGATAGAGAAAAGAGCTCTGGCAGAAGGAATCACTCGTGTGAAGTCCTGAGGCAGGAAGGAACTTGGCTCATTCACTGAACTAATCAAGTCAGAGTGTTATGATGTTAGTAGGGGCCAGAGTGCAGGAGTTCATGAACTGTGTTAAGAATTTGGAATTTGGTCTAAAAGCAAGGGGAAATCACTGAGTAGTTTTAAGCAAGACTTCTCATAGTCCTTAAAATATGAGTATGAATTGTAAATCTCTAAGAAGCATTTTCTCAATTTATGTAACGATAGAAACTACTTTTTGTAGAACCTCTTGATGGTACTATTACCCTGTAATATATTCATATTCTGGAAAATATACAACAGAGAGTAAAAATTATCAAGGAAAACATATTCGAAGTAGAAAAATGATAAGAAAGCATAAAAAGTAACATAAATGAGACTTTATAGCTCAGTTGGATCCATGAATATATAAAGATTCCATTGTACTGTTATAAGGCAAAATTCACCTTTAGTTCCAAAGTCCAAATTCAATTTCCTACTGTCTGTAAAGATTAATATAATATAGCTACCATGAGACTAAAACTTTCCACTTCTAATTATTTACCCAAGACAAATGAGAACGTACTTCCACACAAAAACTTAAACACAAAAGTTCATAGAATCTTTATTTATAATAGTAAAAACTAGAGGTAATCCAAATGTCCATTAAGAGGTGACTCAATAAACAAACTGTGTTATATCCCATACAATAAATATCATATAGCAATAAATAGGAATGCTCTTTGTGCCACTGTGCACTTGGCACATCATACAGTGCCCAGAACATGATAGATGATCAGTAAATACAGAAATAATTTAATTAACACAAATAATACATTTGTTTTAATGGATGTATAGAACTTTGTATATAACCTAAGGCAAATATATATTCATGCAGTTGACCATAAAGAAAATGGACTCGAAAACTCTCTTAAGAACAATGCAATTAAGCCAAAAAATAACAAAACACAATGACAAAGTTGTAACAACTTGACAAAAAGAAGGAAAAAACACTGATTTGAAGGGGAAATAAAAGACAAAAAAGGGAGGAACAAAAATACACAAATTCAGAAATGAGAAAATGTTGTAATTACAAATATAGTTAAAACTAAAAGAATTTTTAAGAAAATTTAAATATATAGTGTAACAATTAATTTGAAAAATATAAATGAAATATACATTTCCAGGAAAATTTAAATTATCAAAATTGATTCCAGATCAGATAGAAAATTTGAATAGACCAATAATAGAGGATATTGGAAACATCAAAGAATTATATTAGAAAAGGTAAAAGCAACCACAAATAGAAATTATACACCAATATCATTTACAAATTTAGATACAAAAAAATCCAAATACTGCATCAGCAAAGAGTCATACAAGACATTTTTAAAAAATTAATCATGATGAAGTACAGCTTATTCCAAAAAGGCTAGGTCAAATCAAAAATAGCAATAAATATTACTTACGTATTTTTATTAAATGCTTAACCCAAGCAAAGCTACTGTTCAGTACATTTTTACCTTTAATCTATTTAAGTTACTTAAAAGAGAAAAAAATTGAACAATAATTGTAAAATACGTATTTAATAAAAATAAACAGCAATTCATAAAATTCTAAGTAAAATAGTAATAGAATAAAAATGCCTAAAAACAATAAAGAGTTTGAAATAAAAATCAATAACAAACAAAATTACATGCTGAAGCAGTGACTATATTTACTTAAAGATGGAAACTGGAGAAATGCCTGCTGTCATCACTAGTTAAACAGAATTCTAGAGTTTATGGCTAATTAAATAAAACAAACAAAAGACATACATGAATATGCATATGCATACACATATTTAATCAGAGATTCAACCAAAACTTAAAACTGGCCAGGCGCAGTGGCTTACGCCTGGAATCCCAGCACTTTGGGAGGCCAAGTAGGGTGGATCATCTGAGGGTGGGAGTTCGAGACCAGCTTGGCCAACATGGTAAGATCACATCTTTACTGAAAATATGAAAATTAGTTGGGCATTGGTGGCACATGCCCGTAATCCCAGCTACTCAGGAGGCTGAGGCAGGAGAATCACTTGAACCCGGGAGGCTGAGGTTGCAGTGAGCCAAGATCGCGCCACTGTACTCCAACCTGGGCAACAGAAAAAAAAAAAAGCGAAAAACGAAACTTAAAACAACTGTTAGAATTACTAAGAACTGAAAGTGGCTGGATACAAGATTAGTGTTAAACAGCTTTCTTTGATATTAACAAATCACATGGAAGCTAAATTGAAAGGAATATCCTATTCATACACATCAACTGAATACGTATTTGGTAACCAGAAATAAATAAATGTAAGAAAATGTGTGGGACTAATGAAGAACAGAACATAAGATCTTTTGTAATATTTTTGTAATTCTAATATTTTTGCTGTTATTTTGGCATTTATTTATATGCAGGCTATGAGACAGGAATCTAGCTTTTCTCCCCTCAAAACAGGTAAATGGCCTCTGGTATTCACACTATTTATTCCCTAACATTTTGAAAATTCAGATTTACCATACAATAAATTCACATACATTTGGATACTTGGATATGTTTAAGCTACTTATGCTATACTACTTATCTATTTGCATGTTTCTGAGCCTATATTCATTTTTAGAGAAAAATATTTGCTAGAGAATTTTAATCTACTAGAGTAGTGGTTGATAACCTCTACTGTAAAACAGAAATGAAAAATTATTGGGGTATTATTAAACAGACTATAGAATTTTGAAGCCAGGTGGTCTTCTTTTGTTTGAGAAATCCTGTGTGTATGAGTCTAAGAAAGTGGATTCCTCACTGTCAGCATGTCCCCCCACCCACCGCCTACCTTGTTTTTGAAACTGTTATTAAATATAATGAGAAATTGATCTTAACAGAAAGTTTTCACCTTCTATGTTCACTGACCTAGTTTGGAGCCCAGCAAGTTGTTGCTCAGCTGTTAAAAAAAAACTGGTGACTCTCTCTAGAGAGTTTTAAAATACTAGTGCCAGGTGCTGCACATTCCTGCAAAGGCACCGCTCAGCATTTCCAGACTACTCCAACTCATCCCTAGGCTGAAGCTAGCAGTTCTGTCAGTCTGTCCCCAAGGTAGCTAGGGGTCCCACCAGGAAAGAAAAGAGTCTTGCTTATTTAATTTTGATTTGCTTTAGAAAGCATATACACACAAATTTTAGTAAGCATCTAAGAGAACTCATTTGTTAACCTAGTAGCTATTTCATTGTGCAAATATATATGGGCATCATCCTTCCTGTTTCCAAGGAGATATAACTGTACCCACAAACAGAACACATGCAGATTGGAAAGCCTTCCTTTTATGAATCTAATCAGAACTTTTTTGATTATTCCATAGAATTCCTATTATTCCATAGAAGGAGCAGGTAGAATCTGGCATTCAGAAAAGTGACAAAGTTAAAAACTGGGCCAATTTACAGTGAATTTTAAGACTGTATAATGCAGCCTTTCAAATCTAGAACTCTAAAATGAATCACTAGTTCAATGTATTATTATGTAAACTTAATTTCCTCTTAAGCACAGCTTTGGATCTTATTTTCAAAGTGACTAATATATAAGAAAGGTCATGAAAGTTGTACATGGACCTTGACTTCAGTAAGTAAATTTAGTTTATTTCCACAACTATTTTTCAAGGAACAGTTGGACTGATAACCAACAACTTCTGTACTTTTGGCCAAATTCAAGTAACAAAGAATAGGATTGGACAGTGCTGTGAATAATTTTCTACCCAGGTTATCCAGGATCTTATCATTTTGGAGGATGATGGAACCCAGTGATAGTTGTTTTCAATCATGATTATGAACCATGAATCATTGCTATCTACTTGTGGAAAACATAAATTGACCAAGTAAGATGATCTAATGTAATTAGCCTGTTTATTTTATAACATCTAATTGGGGTAAAAGAACATCATAATGTATATAATAGTCCATCAGACAATGAATTTGGCCGCCAAGATATCGGTATCAACATGAGAGCAAATAATTCAGTTTGACAAATATTTATGGAATATATATTTTGTCTGGGCACCACGTAAGATGCAAGTGATACAGTGATTTATTTCAACCATAAGAAGTTTACAATCTAGCTAGTGGGAAAGACCCATGAACCTGTGAAGAGATAATCTTTCTGTAATATGATAACTGACAAGTTAGGGGAAAAAAAATTCTTGCAAAATTGTGATAGAGAAAGTGAAGTAACAGTATCCAAAAGGAAGAGCCAGACTCTGGAACCTGAGTCTTCCATGTATAACCTTGGACAGGATACTGAACTTCTTTAGGCTTCAGTTTTCTCATCTGTAAATAGGAGAACACTAGAACTTACCTTGAAAAAATTGTTGCATAGATTTAGAAGAGATTCTTTATGTGATGTGCTTACTTCTTAGTAGTCATTAAGTAAATAGTAAATATTGGTAATATATGCTATTAATATAGAGAACATGCAAATCAAAGCACAACTACTGAAAAGAAAGAGGAAAAGAAAAATTAACAATGTGCATGAAGAGATATTCACAAAAGAATAAATACAAATAGTGTATTAGTTTGTTCTTATGCTGCTAATAAAGACATACCCAAGACTGGGTAGTTTATAAAGAAAAAGAAGTTTAATAGATTTACAGTTCCACATGGCTGTGTAGGCCTCAAAATCACGGCAGAAGGCAAAGAGGAGCAAAGTCACAACTTACATGGCGGCAGGCAAGAGAGCGTGTGCAGGAGAACTGCTCTTTATAAAACCATCAGATCTCATGAGACTTACTCACTATCATGAGAACTGCATGGGAAAAATCCGCCCCCGTGATTCAATTACCTCCCAGTTGACACATGGGGATTATGGGAGCTACAATTCAAGATGAGATTTGGGTGGGGACACAGCCAAACCATATCAAATAGAATAAGAAAAGAGCATCAGTCAAATTTTACTTACAAAAAATAAAAACTGGAATGGTGATTTTTTTAACCATAAGAATTACAGCTTACTTAAAATTAATACTTCACTGCAGCAAGACTGTGGTGAAATGAGCCATCCGAGGCAGCACCAGTGACAGTGCAGAAACTTGTAAGCTTTCTGAAAAGGAATTTGTCAACATGTATCAAAGACCTTCAAAATGTTTCTATGGCTATTGGCCCAATAATTCTACTTCTAGTTTAAATATGCCCATTACACTGTGCTCTCTATAATTATAATTTTTATAACAACCTAGATATAGAATAGAAAAATGGTAAAAACTTTATGCTACATCCATAAGATAGACTATCATGCAGTGATAAACATAAAACTTGGCAATAATTTTTTGATCATATAATTATGATTTAAAAATTAAGAGAGGCTAGACACAGAGGCTCATGACTGTAATCTTAGCACTTTGGGAGCTCAAGGAAGGAGGATCACTTGAGTGCAGGAGCTCAAGACCAGCCTGGGCACCATAGTGAGACCCCATTTCTACAAAAAATAAAAAAAAACAAACAAACAAGTAAAGAAGGCATAAACTTGTTATAATCAGTGTAACCTCTACTATGTAAAAATGTATATGCGTTAGTAAGCTATTGCTGCATAACGAACTAGTCCTCCCCCAAAACTTAATGATTCATCAAAAAACCATTTATTTCACGCATAATTCTGCAGGCAATTTAGGCTGTGCTCAGCTGGGCAGTTCTCCTCATCTAGGTTTATCTCAGCTGGGCTTGTTTGGGCATCTTTGATTTTAGCTGGCAGGGCAGTTCGGAGTGGGCTGCTCTAGAATGATCTCAGATGGGATGATTTATCTATTCTTCAAATGATCTATTCTTTAGCAGGCTAGCTTGGGGTTGTGCTCATAGTGTATCTGGGCTTCGAGAGAGCAGAAATGTGCAAGGCTCAGAATAGGCACACCATCACTTACTTATGCCACATTCTATTTTCAAAACCAAGTCATAAGAAGAACTAAAGGGGTGGGGGGAAGTGATTCTATCTCTCGATAGAGGGAGCTTCAAGGTCATATATCAAGTGGCAAGAATACAGGCAGGGATGGAAAATTGGGGGAATTTTTGTAATTAAGCAATCATAGGATGCATAGAGAAAAGTTTAGAAGATAATACACCAAAAATATTGGCATTGTATTCTGAATGGTAGAATTATTGATAATTTTTTGTTTTGTATACTTTTCTATTTTCACCTTTTCTATAAACAAGCAAGCTTTATTTTTATAAGCAGATAAAAATAAATATGTAAAAATGTCTACCCACTCTACATAAACAAGGTGATATAGACACATTAAAGTAATTGTGGGGTCACAGAAGGAGGTACTTGGCATAGTCTGGGGTGGATGACAGAGAAAGCTTCTCGAGGGGATGACATTTGGTCTGGGCATTCAAAGAAGCATGAGGAGGATTTGACTAAGCCAAGGAAGATGAGGGCATTCTAGGACAAACATACGTGTGGGAAACAACATATTGTTTAGTAAAATCAAAGAGCTAAAATAATGACAGGTAGAGATGACCCAGAGAGGAGCTGTGAGAAAATATAGAATGGGTCCAGGAGAGAAACCTGTGCAATTTGAGGGGAGAGAACTGAAAGGAAATGGGGAGGGCTGGGGGTTGTGCTGGGGAGAAGCTTATGTTTTACTGACTGAAAGTTAGCTATGAAAACCTAGCCCTTTAAACTCAGAGCTGGCTAATTTCCAAATGGGGTTCTCTTTTATGGTCTTAAACATATTGTTATGGTCATGTCAACACTGGTGCTAAAGATGGGAATTTGCTTATAGCTGAAATCAAAACTCCCAGAAAACTAGGGAGCAAAAGTAAAAGGTTGGCCATCTATTTTCTCAGCAGCATCAACTATCCCCCCTTCCCCTTTTGAAGCATAGAGAATCTGAGCAACTGCCTTGCTATGGAAGATTTTTAGAGCAAGATTAATCAGCACCTGCTGATTAAATTTTGGGCTATAAAATTGCAATATAGCTGTCACAGTTCTAGTGACTGTAGTCTGTGTTATGTGTTTTCCAATGAAGTGCTTAATTAAAATGAATGCCTAGATATTTAAATTCCTAGAACCAATCAATCAGCTGGTTGTTTATGACTTATCAAAGGGCCCCTTTTGTCCCTAGTGTGTTGTGGTGTATAATGTAGTTTGGCTTCTAAACCAGAAGTTAACCTATACTCCTGAGAATTGAGTTCACAACCTCATAAGCACCTAACTTTATCAAAGGAGATAAATGCAGCAAAACACTCTAACTGCTATGCTAATGGAGACATGAACAACAAAAGATAATGTGTGGAAATCCAATCACTGGCTTCAAAATGCCTTCTCTCTCAGTAGATTGTCAACTCTTTTCTATTTTTAAGAAGTCTCAGGTCGGGTGTGGTAGCTCATGCCTGTAATCCTAGCACTTTGGAAGGCCAAGGCAGGAGAATCACTTGAGCACAGGAGATTGAGGTTGAGCCTGCAGTGAGCTGTGATTGTGCCACTGCACTCCCACTTGGGTGAAAGAGCAAGGTTATAGATGAAAGATAAGGAAAGAAAGAAAGAAAAAAGAAAGAAAGAAAGAAAGAAAGAGAGAAAGAAAGAAAGAAAGAAAGAAAGAAAGAAAGAAAGAAAGAGAGAGAGAGAGAGAGAGAGAAAGAAAGAAAGAAAGAAAGAAAGAAAGAAAGAAAGAAAGAAAGAAAGAAAGAAAGAAAGAAAGAAAGAAAGAAAGGAAAGAAAGAAGAAAGGAAGGAAGGAAGGAAGAGAAAAGGAAGTCTCAGTAATTAAACATTTATGTTGCATGAAAAAGCAATTGACACCAGTGAAATTTTTTTTTTTACTTCCTTCTGCAACTTTTTTTTGGCTTTTTATCATGATGGGCAGAGAACTGAGAGAAATGGAATTTTTCTTTTAATGATAAATTAATTTTAATTGTCATTGCTAGATTTAGCAAATAAAAAATACAGGATTCCCAGTTAAATTTGAATTTCAGATAAATGATGAATAACTTTTTAGTATAAGCACGCCCTAAACTTATATTTGTTTATTTGCTGTATTTTATTTGCCAACCCTAATTTTAAGGCTTTGCTAAGATCACAAAGTCCTTCTTTACAGAGACACTATAGGACTACTAATACCCATGGGAGAACACAGACGTGAGGTAAGCCATCAGACCATGCTCAGTTATAGCAGAACAAAGGCAGAACTCCTGCTGTCTTGAGCCCCTTGTAGGTTCTCTTCCATGAGGACACCCCTGTATACTTTGGTTGGGCAAGTCATTTGATGAATTTCACAATCTTCCAAATGAGTCCATGGAATTTTAGGTAGCATACCCAGAGAGAAATAAACTTCTTTAGACCAAACTACAAATTAACTAATTTGAGAGCCAACATTTTGACTGCTGGCAGCTATCCAGTCCAAATGTACAATTGAGCATGGTGGTTCACACCTGTGATCCCCACACTTTGGGAGGCCAAAGTAGGAGTTTAAAAAAATCAGGACTTCATAAAAACACAAAAATATGAACTGCCAATGAAAATGTTCACTTTAAGGAATATAACTAACTTAGGAAGAACCCCCTATACATCAACTAGAGCAACGATAAAATAGAATTTGTACACTAATCTTCAATTCCTTCCTCATTAAAAAATTAGAAAAAAACATTTTTTTAGATTGGTTAAGACAAGAGAAAAATAATCTTGGTTGTAGAAACAGCCAGAGTTTTCTTCTTCCGTCTAGTCCTAATTTTGGAGATTCTGCCACATATTACATTCTGTTCTTGTCCCATACTTATCTCTCCGAGATGATGTTTCCATGTTTCAAGGTCTTTATTACTATGTAAAGATTTTTCTTAGTATCTATTTGCAACTGCTCCTTGTTTTTTTCTCAGCTTTAAGTCCTGAGTGTTTTCCAAGTATACTGCTAAGGAGGTTTGCTCCTTCCAATACACTCTGCCAAATGTGTGCTAATTACTTACCACATTAGGAATAGCTTATCTATTTGTCTGCTTGGTGCTACAGCTCAGCTTTCTAATCCTCACTGCCTGTGCAATCAGCATTCTTCCCCACTGGATCTATACGCCAGGGTGAGAGGAGGGTGTTTCTCACCTTTTGGGGAGGAAGTATTTATTAGAGTCTGATTTGAAAATAAATTCCCCACAGAACAGAAACACTGTTTCTGAAACACATTTCATCCATTCATTCCTCCACAAATTATTATTAGCACCTGTTATGCGCCAAGCACGATACTAGGCCCTGAGAACATAACTGTGAACAACTAAAAAATGTGGAAGTCTAGTGTGGAAGTGAGCTATGTATACAATAATTCCAACAGTGTCAAATGCTCTTGATAGAAAATGATCAAGATGACATGTGAGAATGCCACAGAGGGACTCAACTGAGGTTAGGAAAGACTTTTTGGAAGAAATGATAATTACGCTGAATAGTATTTAGCAAGCTTAAAAGAATAGTGTGGAAAAGGGATGTATGAAACAGCATGTGCAAAGGTCCTTAAAGAGAGACGTAGAGGATGACATAATTGTGGAAATGACAAGAATATAAAGGAGCCTTCAGTAGATCCACAAATATCTATGGAGTGCCTACTACATGCCAAGCATTGTTCTACAATCTGGAGGTACAGCTTTGAGTATTATATACATTGAGGAGGAGCTTAAATCCTAGTGGAGGAAGACAGACAACAAATAGGGAAGTATTAATAAGATACCCAAAGTATTGACAAGTTCATTTTTAAAATATAAGGTAATGAGATAGAAACTGAGTGGTTTTGAGGTAGGGCTGCTTTAGCTAGCCTTTAGCCAAGGTAGTAAGGGAACATGTCTTTGAGGAGGTAACATTGTGGTGAGGGCTCCATGTTGAGAAGCAGCAGCCAAATTAAGGTTTGGAACGGCAAGAATGTCATGAGACAAAGAAGTTTTCAAGAGCTTTGAAAGCCATGTTAAGAGTTTTGGCTTTATCCTAAAGGCAATGGGAAAACAGTAGAGACTTTTCAGCAATGGAGTAATAGTTTATTAAAATAGTGATTATTTTGGTTTTGTTGTAGAATGTGGATTGGAGAGGAACAAAACAGTATCTGGTGGGTGAGTCTGAGGAATGGAGAAAAAGAACTGGGCCAAACAATTATAGAAGAGAGTTGACAGGTGTGTTGATTGAATTGTTGTGGAGGTTAAGGGAGAGAGGGATGAGCGAAGGCTTTTTTTCTTTTCTATCACGTGCAATGGGTGGGCTGGTGGTAATATTTGCTTTGAAGAGGAGATGAAAATGATGAGTTCTATTTAGGAAGAATTGAGTTTGAGATGCCTATAGTACACCCAACTGGGGTACCCAGAAGGCAGTCAGATACATGGGTCTGGGGCTCTAAAGAAAAGTCTGGGTTGGATAGATGGACTTGAGAGTTATCAGAAGAGCAGATAATTAAAGCCAAGGGAGAGTGTGAATTATGAAAATAGAGCCTTGAATACAGCCCTAAGGAGGACTAGATTCTGGCTGCTCAGGAGTATGACAGTTTTCCATGCTTGATATTATGCACACTAGACATCCTCTAAACACATCTCTTGGCAGTTGTTAAAATACCTGTCTAGTGCATGGTGACTTTCATCTTACAAAAGTTATTAAATACCAAGCATGCAACAGGTCCTGCGTTAGGCAAGGTATAACACATTAATCATACCTCTAGATAAGAAATGTGTATAGTAGGCCAAGTATGTGAATAGGATAACAAGGATATGAGGATTTCCCCCCATTTTGATTAATAACAACAATAAAGAGAAATTGAGTACCTTTGTGTCAGGGACTGCATCAAACATTGAATGGGCTTTTATTCCTGAGCCCAAGAAGCTCATAGACAATGGTAGAGTCATTCAGATAGGAAATTAATAGTAGCACACTGCGGTATATGAAGAGATAGGTAAAGGATACTGTGAGACATGGAAGAGAGAGTGGTGAAAATGGTTACTATGGAGAAAAGATGATGATACAAGGTTATAGGCCACATTCCTAACCCTAGGACAGAGACAGGTAGTTTCAAGTAATTATGCTAACCCTTACCAGTACTCACAAGGATAAGGCCCTTAAAACTCTCTAGGGTTCATAAAATATTTGTGGCCTGGTGGGTATTTTGAACCTGTTTTCAAATACTACAGTACTGAAAGCTTGATATGGCACTGATACAAAATAATTTAACTAAATGTCAGCTCACTACCTCCTGGTCCAGATCAGGTAGCTGAATAGGAATTTAAGTTCTAAGTAGGAAAGCCAGAGACTGCTTTCAGGAACTGCTGGTAACTTTTTCCCTGTAGCTGGGTAAACATGTGACATTAAACTTCTCTAGCCCAAAGATCTCTTACCTGTAATTTAGGTTAATGGATATGACAAGTTCTGTTTTTTGAGAATGAATGTCATGAGGATCCAGAAACAGAGCAAGTATTCATGAGATCCTGAGTGTTCTTGTTACCCTGGTGGCACTAATATACACTTCTAGATATATCTTCAAGTCAGGCATTGCATTTCAAGTACATGAGACTGGGCATTACATCTTGGGATATCCGTCGACTTACCCAGTGAATTAGTAACATTATTTGCACTACCCATGAATAAACTTATTGAATAGAAAGTACAAGCAAAACCATGTTTTTGGTGGGGCTGGCTGAGATCTCCGTCTGATTGATGTGGATAAAGAAAAACAACAAGAAAAACAACACAGTTGACTTTTGGACAACATGAGGGTTAGGGCAGCTGACACCACACATAGTCAAAAATCCGTGTCTAACTTTTGACTCCCTCAAGACTTAACTACTAAAAGCGTACTGTTGACCAGAAGCCTTACCCATAACATAAATAGCAGGTTGACACATATTTAATATGTTATAGGCATTATATACTGTATTCTTACAGTGAAGTAGGCTAGATAAAAGAAAATGTTCTTAAGAAAATCATAAGGAAAAGAAAATATATTTACTATTTATTAAGTGGAATTGGATCATCATAAAGGTTCTCATCCTCATCTTCATGCTGAGTAGGCTGAGGAGGAGAATAAAGAGAAGGACCTGATCTTGCTGTCTCAGGGGTGGCAGAGGCAGAAGAAAATCTTCACCTAAGTGGATATATGCAGGTCAGACCCCTGTTGTTCAAGTGCCAACTGTATATAGAAGCAGGACCCAAATTGCCTAAGGCTGGCATTATTAATTAGCAGAAGTTATTCATAACCAGGTGATAAGTTTGAAATTTCTCTGGGGTGAAGAGTTGTTTCTAATCCTAACAATGCGATGTTATTTAGTTTTAACCATTCTGGCTGAAGCCAACATATTAACAACTAACTCTGCTTTTCACATGACTTTTCCAGTCCAGACTTTCCAAATAAATCAGGACATTTGTTGATTAACCTCGGCATAAATTTTCAGTTATTTGTGCTGTACTAATAGCCTACTCAAGTCACACAGGATTAAATAAAGGGAAGGCAATAATGCCACCTCTGAACACACCAAAAGGGTTAATGAAGGACCAGCCAGACAGCTGAAGAGCTCACACAGTGAGCCATGAGAGAGAATGTAAGAGTGAATGTCATGGCACTAGGTGAATAGTCTACAGAGATTTGGGGCTCGAAGGGCTAGACCCTGCTATAGCAGGACCTACCAAAAAGATGTTCGGAGCAACTATTGCCCAACATAGACTGGAATATTCTGCTGAATTTTTAAGGAGAGGAAGGTCAGACCTGTCTGTTCTGTCCTGTGGAGCAATTTTGGAATTAGGAAGTGTCTGTCCTTATTGTCTAGCTCCTTTAGTAAGAGATCCTCACTGAGCAGCAGCAATCATGCCAGAAAGACCTAATTTCTTCTGAGTTTTGAGCTAGTTTTCTCTTTTGGCTGCCTTCTCATGAGCCTCAGGAATACGGAGAAATGATAAAGTGTACTTTTCATTCTCAAAAGTCAATAAATGTAAACCTCTAACAGCCACACCAAACATTTTGTCTAGTACAAAAATGAATCTGGACATTTTAGAATCACATCCATGAAATGGGAAGAGCGTCACCTGCCCCTCTGAGCTCAGATGCGGTATGAGAACTGCAGTCATCGTGCATGGCACGGTTTTCTCTGAGCTCAAGCTCTCTGAAGGCTGGTGGGATCCCTCCCACCACCGTATAAATCTCTGTTGCCAAGTAATGCCAATGAACTTCAAAATTCTAGAGCAAGCAAGTGTAGTTTAGTACATTTTTAAAAATTCAAATTCATTACCATAAAAATGAGCCACTTCTCTGTCACAGCTTGCA
Source organism: Homo sapiens (assembly GCF_000001405.40). Taxonomy (NCBI): domain Eukaryota; kingdom Metazoa; phylum Chordata; class Mammalia; order Primates; family Hominidae; genus Homo; species Homo sapiens. Next base: position 163,368,510 of record NC_000001.11, on the reverse strand, counting down.
ATTCTCTCTGACATTCAATTGACTGATCAGCAGACCTGTGCTTTATAGTAGGAGACTTTTTGCATCCCTCTTTGATCTGATTTCCCTCTATTTAATAGACAATTATAGGCTCTTTAAATCCCAAAGGTTCAAAGACAGCAAATAATTACCAGTAGTAATTTTAGAATAAAGCCAATCTAAATGAGTTCAGTTAAATTATGCAATACTAAGTAGTGGCGTTTTTTATTTTAAACAAGGACAGCGAACCAAAACCCCAAACAATCGTTATACTGCCTCAAATTTCTCCTGACAGCTGCCTGTTAAACTTCTGACCTGTTAGTAAAAATCTGCACACCATCTACCAAAGGGATACACACATGATTGCAAACTTCTGTTCTAAGGACATTAAATAAATTATTTCTTTAAGATCGTATGGCAGATCTATAATTAATTAAACCCACCATGATATTACGGCAAAATAATTTAGCTTTTCTAAAAAGGTAAATGTAATTTGCCGATCTGGTATTTGGAAGAATGCTTTGCCCAAAATCAATTCCTTTAGTTTCTAGAGAATAGAAACTAGAGGCAATCTCATTTTAATTATATCTCTTTATTGCTAACAAAGGAATGATTTATGCAATTAAATTAACTGGCTAGAAAATTATTCTCAGCTGGGCTGTCCTAATTCTTTGCTTTCTGAATTGCAGGCTCTTACACTTTCCTATGTAGATTAATTTTTCTGATATGCAAACAATGCCTCCTGTGTTCGTCTTTTCCTTTTTTTTTTTTAATTCAAAAGTCTCCTTTTCTTCTTGCCAATGACATGAGTAATATTTGTTGAACTGCTGGGCTTTGACTAGTTTTTTTTCTTTTTAATGTTGAAAAGATGAAAAAGATCTTTTTTTTCCAATCTCATTATTCCAGAACAGAGCAAGAGTTGAGGGTTTCTTATCTGTGGTACTGGAACAGCAGCAGGAACATGGAAAAATTGCAAAAATGTCAAAGGCTGCAAAATTTGAAAGCAGTTTCAGCAGCTCCAGAAGTTGTAAATTAGCAAATGCTTTTAGGGTCATCTTTCCTCATTGCTTCCCTCTGTCTCTGCCTTCTCTATGCCTCTCTACCCGTGTCCTAGTCCCTCTCTGTCTGTCCCAATTATTTTTTACAAAATGCAAGCAGGTAAATAATGCATTACAATATCAGCAGTCACAAAGCAACATTTATAGAGTGACCTCAGTGAGCAGAACACTGAATAAGGTTGGGTGGGAGTCGGGGTTACAAAAAAATTCAGACACACTCCTTCTGTCCTTAAATAATTGATGATCCAGGAGTCAGTTTTTGGTAGACATTCTTATGAAATAAGATTCATTTCTGTATTCGTGAATTCAAGATAGAATGATGACATTATTTGGGGACTGACAGCATTATTTAGGGCCTAAATTAATTTAGGTTATTTTCAAATATTCTATATATGTTGTTACTCATTCTTTTTAAGATAGGATGAGGTAAGGAGCTGCACAATAAGCAGGCTGGTAGATGTTAAGACAATGTGAAGAGATCAGGTATACTTTTCTTTTCAAAATTGAAAATAGTAGCATGCTTCTGTGTGCATTCACCTTTACTTACTAGTCCAGAAATGGCAACCTTCCTTTGTAAAGGGCCAGATAGCAAATATATTTGGATTTGTGGTCCATATGGTTTCTGTTATAGCTACTGAACTCTGCTGTTATAGCAGGATAGCAGCCACAGACAAAATGTAAGCAAATGATGATAGCTGCGTTTCAATAAAACTTTATTTACAAAGTAGGTAGTGGGCTGTTTTGACACATGGGCTGTGCTTTGCAAACCCCTGCCCTAGCCCCTAGCAACTGCTTTTTGCTTTGTCTGAGGAAAAAAACCCTATCTATTTCAAAAATCAAAATCAGCAAGGCACAGCGGCTCACGCCTGTAATCCCGGCACTTTGAGAGGCTGAGGCAAGAGGATCGCTTGAGTGCAAGAATTCAGGACCAGCCTGGGCAACATAGTGAGACACTGTCTCTACAAAGAAAAAAAAATAGGTGGATGTGGTTGCACCTGCCTATAGTCCCAGCTGCTCAGGAGGCTGCGGCAGGATTGCTCGAGCCCAAGAGGTCCAGGCTGAAGTGAGCTGTGATTGTCCATTGCACTCCAGCCTGAGTGACAGAGCAAGACCTTGTCTCAAAAAAGAAAAATAAAATAAAAAAGCATTAAGTGGGCCCCAATATGTACAAGGCATGGTGCTAGGCCCTCAATCATGAATAACACATAGTTTGCCTTCCAGAACCTCACAGTCTAGAAGACTAAACTTTTTAATGATGTAATGGTTTTAGTGCATTAAAAAGTTAATATTCAGTGGAATAAGTACTATGATGAAAGTTTTTTTTTAAGTGCTGTGGGAGAAGAAAGAAAAAAGACAAACCACAAATAGAAGACATTTGCAAAGCATGCAACTGACAAAGGATAGTATCCAGAATTAAAATATATATATCCTTGAAAGCAGTAAGGAAAGAAATAAGTAACCCAGTAGAAAAATGGCCAAATAAATAAATAAATAAACAGGTAATTCACCAATGAAGAAATGTAAATGGCCAATAAACATATAAAAAGATGTTTATCCTCACTAGTAAACAGACAAACAAAAAGGAAACCTGCAGAGCAATATAATTTCACATCCATCACATTGGCAAACATTAAGAAGTCTCATTATCCCAGTGATGACAAAGATAGGAAGTAACTGGTACACACAAATGCTGCTGGTGCTGCTAATGTAAAATTTGGCAAACCACTTTGGAGACTCCATAATTCTACTCTTCGGCATATATCTCAGAGAAACTTTACCATGTATGTACAAAAAAAAATTTTAAACAAATTTTCATAGTGCACAGCATGTTTATAATAGCAAGAAAAAAAAGAAAGATAAAATCAACCTAAACATCTTTCAAGAGGAGTATGTAGCATAGCCATGCACTGAAATACCATTCAGAAGTAAAAATGAGACAGGAGGAGCTGCATATATAAGTAGGAAAATTGGTCACAAATATAATGCTTATTTATTCAAGAAATATTTGAGTTCCTCCTATATGTCAGGCACTTTTCTAGGTTCTCTGGATATAGCAGTGAACAAAACAAAGTCCTCATTCTTAACTCGCTCCTGTTGAGCAAAAACAGCAAGTTGGAGAATATACAAAGCAAACCATTCAAAGTTTAAAACATGCAAACGATGCTATATATGGGTAGAGTTACTTCATAGAGTCAGTAAAATTCTAAAAAAATTCGTGGGAATAATGAATTTATATTTCAGGATACTGGTTACCTGAGAGCAGTGAAGGGGCTTGTAATTGTGGAGGGCTGTAGAAAGGGCTTCGATTGCATTGCTAATGTTTACTTCTTTAAGTGAGGTAATAGCACACAGATGTTAATTATTATTCACAATGTGGTAGTCTTGTATAATTCTGAAATATACCTATCTTAAAAGAAAACAGAAATGTTTTCAAATCCAATCATTATGTAAAGATTTTGATTATTAAATGTTTCAATCAATTTTTTTTAAATTCAAAACTAAACAGTCCCTTTGACATTCTGAAGATTTACTTCCAGAATAGGAATATTTGACTAGCTAATGACAGATGAAGTACATAATAGAGCTTTTATTCCATTGAAAACAGTGCTGGTTACTGTGGCTTGGTAGAGTATCAATTAATGTGTAGACTTCACTTCTGTTGTATCTGAATTTCTGGATTGAGACCGCGTGTCAGATGTCTATCATTTCTTAGAAATTTCCTGTTAACCAGGAAAAAAAAAAAAAGGATGGGGACCTCAGGGAAAATAGAAAATGAGGAATAATTTTAGCTAGAAGAGTTAGGGAAAACTTCACAATGGGCAGTTAAAGGTCTGGACCTTAATTCCTAACCCTCTTTCACTGCAGCAATGATACCTAACCTTACTTGCCAATCACCTATTATGAAGACTTTCAGGCAACATGCCTCCTCGGGTTGATGGAAGCAGGGCTGACTTGGAAGGCCTAGCTTATTCTGCAGTCACTTTTGGGAGGAAAGTTAACTCTTTTGGACATAGTTTATACCTGTCAAATCATTGGAACTAGTGTAAAATAGGCTGGTCTTGAGCCCTCAAAGAAAAATTGCAATGAACAAAGACATACATAGTGCAAGGAAGCTGGTGGTAAATCTCAGACTGCTACAATAGAAATGAGAGTGAGAAAGATTCATATTTGTCTTTCTTACATAGGAGTCTGAGTAAAAGAGCTAAACTGGGCTTCCCAAAATTTTCAGATTAAATCTTGGGAATTGCACCTGGCTTGTAGAGTTTAGAATATGGGTCCCTGAATTCTGGAAATGTGGCTAATAAATGTCTGATTTCTTTTATTAAAAGTTGGAAGAAGGTCAGATCCTATTTGGAAGCAAGCAACTCATGATATTGTTCTAATGTATGTTGAAGTCAATGAGGAAACATCTGATGAAAAAAATATAGGCCCAGTTTAAAGAGGACTTGAATGCCAACTAAGTAGTTCAGACTTGAACTAATGACGACATTGGCAGCCGTTTTAGGTTTCTGGGCAAGTGAATCAACTGGTTGCCACTAAGAACCTCTTTGAGCCAAAGTTTCCCATCTGTTTCACAGGAGATAATGAGTGCCTCATCTACTAAGTCGTGCTGTGATCACATTAGGCAAGTATAACGTTCCAGTCAAGAAAAAGGTATGTTGTAAGAGATGCACTCGTGTGTTGAGAACATATATTCAGCAGTGTGAGCAGACCAATCAAAGGAATAATTCCCTAATTTTATATTACCTTAAAACGTTGTCTACATGCTGGTGGTAAGGGTATAGAAGTCCCAGTCTCTAGTACAGGGATTGGGGAGTGTGGTAGCCAACTCCACAAGATGGCTGCCAAAGAGCACTGCCTCTTGGTATATATGCTTTTATGAAGTTCCCCAAAACATACACATTGTACCATAGTTGGTCTATGTGAAGAGTAGAACATGGAAGAAGTGATGGTATGTCATTTCCAAGATAAGGTTATAAAAGACATTGTGGCTTCCATCTTGGTTGCACTCTCTCATTTTCTCTCTCTCTCTCTCTCTCTCTCTCTCTCCTATCTCTATCTGCAATCATTTGCTTTAGCTGATGATTGGGGAAGCCAGCTACCATATCGAACAGCTGTATGAAGCCTGTGTGGTAAGGAAATGAGGCTCCTGATAAGAGGCAGCAGGAACTGAGGCCCTTGCCAAAAGTCATTGGATTGAGCCATCTTGGAAGCAGATCTTCTATCCCTAATCAACACTTCAGATGACTGCAGCCCTGGAGGCCAGATTAACTGCAACCTCAAGAAAGTCCCTAAGCCAGGACCAGCCAGCCGAGCTACTCCTATATTCATTGACCCTCAGAAATTGTGTGAGATAATAAACACTTTTTATTTTAAGTTGCTAAGAGTTGGAGTAATTTGTTACATAGCAATAGATACAGGGATTTTGGCCAAAAGAAAGACTAATAACACCTGGTTGAAGAGAGAGTCATTAAGAGTTGACATTGTCCATGGATACTTCTTGAGAGCAGGAGTTTCTTCTTCACCTTGACTTCTTCCAACCCACTCGGATTGGGCCTGTGTGTAGTGCACTCTTAGTAAATATCTATTGAGTTATTGAGGGAAGAAGACCAGCCGTAAATACCGTGAAAGTAAAAGAAGCCTAACCATGGGTATAAGAGGAGGGTTGGGCCAAATAGGAGCTTCATGTAGAGCACATGTCCAGAGAGATCAACCATCCTGGTTTGCCCTGAACTGAGGGGTTTCCTTAAATGTGGGTTGTTTAGTGCTAAAACTGGGATAGTAAGAGGACAAAAGGAACTCATCTAAGAAAAACAGAGTAAGTTAAAGGGATAAACTAATGAAAGACAGCCTATTATTTCTTTGAATATGGTAGGGTTTCTTCATGCATTTGTTCAGCACATATTATTTTGATTCTATTATATGCTAAGTTCTGTAGGTACAAAATGAATTATAATCTCTGGCTTGAAAGAGCACAGATATAAAGTTGTCCTGATTATATAAGAATACATTTGCCCTCCCTGGTAAAATGCAATTTCTTTCTAAAAACTTTTGAAAAGATATTGTTTCTGTAACTCTTTTTTTTCTACAAATCTAGTTTTAAATGATGGCTGTAAATTTCTCAGTACTTTCTGAGTCCTTTCTCCTTTGACGGGTGATACAACTGTTAGCAATAAATGAACATTAGTATTCTAATGGGTGCCATGTGATTTTTTTCTTCTGGGTAGAGTCTATCTCTTTCAAACAGTAAAAGCTCACATAACACCTGTTGCAGCCATTTTTGTCACTTTATATCTTCTGTTTTACTAGCAATAATAGCCATTTCCAAAGCGTGCCAAGTAGTTTACATTTATTATCTGATTTAATCCTTACAACAGTCTTGTGAAATAAAGACTACTAAACTCCTCAATTTGAAAATAAGGAGCCTAAGCCTCAATGCCATTCTGTTTCATGCCCCAGTTTACAAAGCTGGTAAGTTGCAAACATGGAATTCAAATGTCTGTCTCTCAAAACTCCACATTCTGAACAATTGTACTAAATACCTCCACATAATAATTGCTAACACATATAATGTGCTTGACCATGCACTGGGTGCTGTGCCAAGCATTTTATATCTCTCATCACCTCAGTCTTGAAGGGTAGAGAACTTGGTGATGTGAAGGTAGAATCAATGACGAGAAGCAGGAAGGCTATTCAAAGTGTGGTTTGTGGTCCAGCAGCCTCAGCGCCACCTATGAGATTTTTAGAAATGCAGGATCGCAGGCTCCACCCCAACTTACTGAATCAGACTCTTTATTTTAACAGGATTTCCAGGTGACTTGTAAGCATGTCAAAATGCAAGAAGCATTGCTATAGAAGACCTGTGAAGAACCTGACCCCAGTTATGGTTAGATTTCTCTAATGCAGTGCTTCTCTAAATGTTGATCCCTGAACCAACAACATCAGCTTCACCTGGGAACTTGATTGAAATGCAAATTATAGAGCCCCACCCTAGACCTACAGAATCAGAATCTCTGGGGCAATAATCCATTTTAGTCCTCCAGGTGATTCTGATAAATACTGAGGTTTGAAAATCCCCCTTCTAATGTCCTGCAATCCTTACACCTATGCTCAAACAGGAAAGACGAGTTAGCAGTGACACCCAGTGGAGCCAAGCGAAATTTGCAACTTTTAAAAATGAGCATACCTGATTCTTTTTTCCCCTGGTAGGATAAAACTGTCATGATCCTTGTTCTTTGCACTAAAAATACAAGGCTGACTTCTTTTCCTGAAAACTCCTTGCTTTAGGGTCTTGTGCCCATTTTGGATATGCAGATATATTCTTTAATTCAGCAAATATTTCTTCACTGCTAAGTAGGTATAAAGAATTATGACAGAAGTAGTGCAGAAGATATAAAACATATCAAATTGGCCCCAGAGCAGTCTAACAGATATATCTGCCTTTAACAGCATCAGCTACCATTTGAGTGTTTGATGTGTGGCAGGCACTTTGCTAATTGTTCTCCAGAATTCACTCAGTGTTTTCATGCTTGAGATACACACTTGACCATTGAACAACATGGGGCCAAACTTCACAGGACCATTTATACATGGATCTCTTTCAATAAAAGTTACACCAAGATTGCCTGCCTCCCTTTTCACCCCATCCACCTCTTCTGCCTCTGCCTCCCCTGAGACAGCCATACCAACTCCTCCTCTTCCTCCTCTTCCTCAGCCTGCTCAACATGAAGATGAGGATGAAGACCTTTGTGATGATCCAATTCCACTTAATAAATAATAAATGTATTTTCTCTTCCTTAAGATTTTTTAACATTTTCAGTTCTCTAGTTTTATTGTAAGAATATACTATATGATAAATATACAAAATATGTGTTAATTGACTGTTTAGGTTATTGGTCAGTCAATAGTAGGCTTTTAGTAATTTTCGGGAGAGTCAAGTGTTACACATGGATTTTCCACTGTAAGGAGGGTTGGTGCCCTTATCTCTCACATTGTTCAGCCCTCAACTGTATTTGTTATTCCTGTATTTGTTATACTAGAAGTAGTGTGAGGACTTATTCTAGTGTATGTTCCTAGTCACACAGCAGTTCTTAAAATAATCGCCTAGGATTATTGTCATTGGAATCATTTAGTATGCTTGTTTCATGTGTAGAACCCCAGAAACCCACCAAATCAAATCTCTGGGGGGTGTGGCATATTTAACAAGTTTCCCAGGAAAATTTTACACACTTTGAGAACTGCCATACCACACTATATGGTCTCCATCAAAATATTGCCCTTTAAAGTATTATGGGTTAGCATCAAAGATTTGTAGAGCAGTGGGGAGAGACGATCAAGTTTGTATTTTAGAAAGTTCTATGTCATGGCAGTAAGAATGAATTAGAGGTTGGTGGTGGTAGGAACTTACTTTATAAGATTACCAGAAGAAAAGAATGTTACACTGAGAATCCTAGGTGATATTCTAGGTTCATTTCCTAAAAGACTTGCTTGTTTTATGAAATCTCAAATTCTTGTCTCAGAAAAATTCAATTTTAAGAGTTGCATGGAATCTGAACTAGAAATCCTGAACCAATTACTAAGAGGATGACTTAGACAGTATATATATACATCTTTTAAAGATTACTTATATATGTGTATATATATGTATATATATGTGTGTGTATATATATATATATATGTGTATACATATACATGTATACTACAGGTGCGTGCCACCATGCCCTGCTAATTTTTTGTATTTTTAGTAGAGGTGGGATTTCACCATGTTAGTCAGGATGGTCTCGATCTCCTGACCTCGTGATCCACCCGCCTCGGCTTCCCAAAGTGTTGGGATTACAGGCGTGAGCCACCGCACCTGGCCAACAAACAATTTTTAAAAGATAATGTACATAAGGTCAGAATTGGAGACTTGAGATGAGTCATCCTTTTAGCAAAATTTTGAAATAATCTTATGATATTATTTAGAACCTATTTCAACTTTAAACAGATTATCTCTAAATTCTGACACTTTTCTTTTTTTTGAGTTGTTACTATTATTTAAAAATTTTCAGCTTTTAAGTTTCAAACCTTAAAATCCACAGCTATTTTAGCATTGGTTATGCAAGTTATGTTATGCCCCCTGGTGGCAATATGGATAGGAAGATGAGAAGCATATTTCAATCAAAGGGAGAGTGCCAACTTAATTGATATAAGTGGCAGGCCCAGAATTTGAAATGGAATTTCATATAAAACTTTTCTGGTCTTACTAAAAATAGGAAACATCCCGTTAAACTAAAATCAGATGTATTAACTTCAGCCTGCAAGGTGCATATTTCAATTTCCCTTGCTTTGTCATAAAATGGATTAGTTCCTTGAAATATGTCAGTTGAACTTGAAATTAAATATTTTCTCTACATATAGCTAAGTACCTGAACTCATAAGTGATAACTAAAGTCTGTGTCTGCACAGTATTTCCTTTAAGGTCAGGCTTCACCACATGCCACATACCATGAGGCCATTTGCTTCTGCAGAGTATTAATTTCCCCATATTAATAAACTTTAAAAGAGTACATGATCCAAGTAGTCATTTTCAAGAAGGCGCTGGGGAAAATCCTAAATTTACTCAGTTATTCTTTAGTCAAAACAGCCAAATGTGGATTATACTGAAGGCCTCTTAAATAAGGCTTTTTACCTCTTTGGGGGCAAAAATAGAAAGTGAAAATATCAAACTGCTGAAACATATGTTATTTGGCATAAAAAATGCATAAAAGATAACATTTCTTGCTGGGATAAACCTGGCCTCAAGGTTATATGCTTTGGTCATAGGAGAGTGATGGCTATTCCTTAAGTAAACATTTAAGTGACTACCAGGTGCTTGGTTCCATGCTAGAGTAGAAATACTAAAACAGATTAGTTACTGGGCTTGAAAAACCTTAAGTCCAGCAAGGTGTAACATGTGTAAAAAAAAAATACAATATAATGATACAAATTACAGTAAAAATAAAAGAAAAAAGGAAAAGCTGACAGTTAAAAAAGCATTAGATTTCGCTAGGAGCGGTGGCTCATGCCTGCAATCCGAGAACCTTGGGAGGCCGAGGCGGGCGAATCACTTGAGGTTAGGAGTTCGAGCCCAGCCTAGCCAACATGGCAAAACCCTGTCTCTACAAAAAAAATAAAAAAATAAGCTGGGTGTGGTGGCACGCACCTGCAGTCCCAGCTACTCGGGAGGCTGAGGCACGAGAATCACTTGAACCTGGGAGGCAGAGGTTGCAGTGAGCCGAGATTGTCCCACTGCACTCCAGCCTGGGCGACAGAGCAAGACCCTGTCTCTCTCTCACACACACACACACAAGTCTTAGACTTGAAAAATGAGTATTTTCCAGTTGAACAAAGGAAAGACATTATAAACTATGGGGGGAAAAAAACACGTGTAAACACATTAAGTGTGAAGTGCTATGAATGCCAAATAGCTCAGTATTGCTCAAGGACAAAGTTCAAGTGAGAAGTGGCAAGAGAAAAGGTGAGAAAGTCTAGAAGGTGAGAAAGTCTAGATTATGAAGGGTTTTGAAATTCCTGCAGGTTTACTTTATCCTATAAGGGAATGGTCCCAAGAAAAATATTTAATGTTCTGTTTATTAAGTAGTTAGGTCCAGAAAACATAATAAGCATTTATGTCCTAACAATGAATGTTTTAAAATAAAACACAAACTGAAAGAATATTTTTATTACTTTATTTTACTCTTAACCAGTTACTAATTGGGTATCTGTGCCTATTGGGCACTGTACAACTACTCAAACCTTGGAATCAGATTGAACATTGTCATCTTCATTTCCTATTCTATGATTTTCATGTGATACTTGCTTATCTCAGCAAATGCCAAACCCAGCTCCACAAAGATATGATGTCATTGAAAGGAATGTAGTATGCTTTAACATTGGAATTCTGAATGACCTTGAACTAGTAGTTTGTGACGGTGTCCCACAAATATCAAATATTGTTGTTTCCTTTGGAAATTTAAAACATTGCATGATTCCCCTGTGAGTTCGCTAATACACCCTGGCAGGACAGTTTGAAAAGCTAAAAAACTGCACAGATCACAGACACTATCTAATTTGCTTGATGGAATACTCGAATGCCTTTATAGAAGTGGGTTAGAGACTGGGAGCCTGGTAAGATTATTGCAAGTACAGTAATGATGAGGATGCAAATTGCAACATAAGCAAAGGAGATGTGAGAGGGAGATTTGGGTACATTAATCTGTAGTTCTTGCTAACTAAATGGATATAAGGGAGTGAGGTATAGTAGCATAAGAAAGTGGTTGAGTCCTTTTTCCAACACGGCACAAGTGTAGTTAGTGATACTAGTAACCATAATGTTTTTAAATATTTGATAATCATATTTGAATCTAATTGGTTTCCCTTTTTATCCTCTATTTTATATCATGTATTAAACCCATTATTCTGAAAGGGTCCATTATTAGGCTTCATCAGAATGCCAATAAGTTAAATACACCTACTGGCCAATGGATATGCAAGTCTGAAAATCAGGGGATATGATAAATCTAATTAAAAAAACATAAATGTAGTTAAGTTTTACAGGTGTTTAACTTGTGCTGGAAGCTGTGGGTGTAGATAAAAGTTTTCAAGGAGAAATATAGAGTTTACGGTAAGAAGAGGCAAGGGTGGAAGCACAGAGAACAAAAACACAAGAGGTGAAAACAGAATGAGGCTCTAGGGTGGAAAAATTAACAAGAAGACAGGGAATTAGGAGAACCAACAGAGTGGTGTTACTGAGACAAAATGAAAAAAGCACTGGATAGGTAGAATTTGAGGAAAGATTAAAAAGTATGCATGAAATTTTGGTAACTAGGAATTTTTTGGTGACCTTAGAAAGTTCAGAAGATTAGTATGGATAGAAATAACAATTCTGTGATGAACAAGGAATGAAACTAATTCACAAGTATTGATTAGGTTTTCTAGAAATCTGGTTGTGAAAAAAAGTGCAGTAAAGGTGGAGATAGGTCCAAGGGGTCAAACTTTTTAAAATATGAGAGAGATTTGGTGATGTTTATACCTGTTACCTTGCCTTAGAGGCAGCCTTTTCTCTGAATGAAAACTCATGAATATTTAAAGAGAAGCTAGGAAGGGACAAGGCAATAGCGCAATTTGTGTATCCTCATCTGTTCTTCCCTGCACACCCAGCTTTTGCTGCTCCTTCCATTCCAGGGCTTTGCCTTTCATTGAAAGCCTGGTCACTCCCTAAAATAACATTTTATTATCTCTGACAAAGAGGAAAGTACCTGGAGCTTCCATGACCTTAAATACTAATAGAGTTATGGAGTGTTTACCATGTGCCAGGCACTGTTTTAGTCACTTTATACATATTAACTCATTTTTCTTGAAAAAAAATGCCAGTTGCATCAATGAAGAAATCGACTACTAAACTCAAACTTTCTCTTTCAATTAACTACATTGAAAACTGTGGTACACTGAAACATTGTAGACTTCAGTATCATAGACAGTACAGTTCAAATTTTGCTTCAGCTATCTGATCTTTTAGGACCTTTATAATTACTTTATCTATGTAGTAATAAAAATATCTACCTAGAATTGCTTAAGTAAGGATCAAATGAGATCTCAACCACAATGCTGAGGGCACAGTCCGGACTCAATAATGCCACAACTCTATGTCAATAAACAAAACAACAGCCATGATAGTAACAGAAAAAAATATATATATTTCAAAGGTAACTAGTTTTGTTTTACTCAAACTATTTACAACAAGGGGCAGAGTAGAGACATGAATAGCTGCACAAGTTATTTTAATTATAAATTAATAAAAGCCTACATTAAATTCATCTTATTAACTACTTATGAGAGTGTATAAAAACTGATGAAGCCAACATTATTTGGTACTTCTGATACTTCCATTCGCTTCAACTTTTCTTTCTAAATAGAAAATTAAAAGATGGCAAGCCATTTACAAAAAGACATGTAATTTTGTTAATCAGGTTGACATTTTGAACATCTTCCTCTTCAGTTCAGCTGTCTTCTCATCTATCTTAGCATAGGAGTCCTCTGCTGCCTTTTCAATACCGTCGTGGTATTTCTCCAAAGCAGTTTTCAAGTTTAGAAATATTTCCTAAGTAGAAAATGAAACAGAATAATAATTATTCCATGCAACAACCTAAACTACAAATGAGTTATAAGAATTCCAAGTTTATTCATATTTATTAATATTTTAAAGCCTAAATTCTTATGCACACACACAAATGTGCATGTCTATGTCTGCTTTAATTAAAAATTCATTCTGTAAGTTGTACAAACACATCAAAAAGTTTGCTACTTAAGGAACAAAGGAGCGACATGAGACAATGGTTAGGATTCTAATACAATAAGAACAAACATATTTATAATTATCAAGGAAAAATTTTACTTTAGAGCTTTCCATGTTAAACATGGAAAATAACTACATTACTGTGGATAACTATACTCTCTGCATTTGACCCTGATTATCATTTAAAAGGTATGCAAACATTTAATAAGTAATCTATAGGACTGAAGAATATATTAATACCTTGTAGAGTTGTTTGAATAAACTGATCAGATAGTTCAAGCCTATATGGATGTGCTAAGAATTTTAAAAAATAAAACAACAATTTTTATAGATTAAATAAGAAAAAAATTAGCGTGTACACATTTTCTTCTATTTCATACTTGTCAAATATAATATTGATCCTCCTTCCATTATTTACTTCTTTTAGACAAAACAATTCTTAAACTATAATATACATAATACCACAAGAAACTGGTATTTTACAAGGTTACAGGATGTGTTTTGCCACTGAAATAAAACAGTCATCTTTTTCCAGTGGGGGAAGAAAAGCAGTAAATGAATACAATGTTCTCAATTTTAAGTGTCTCTCCCACTAAATTTTTCTTAAGCCTAAAATTTTGGCTACTACTTACCTTAGTTTAAATTCTAGCAGAGATACGATCTGATTTTGAATAAATTACATAGATTATAATTTGATATAGTATAAATTCACAGTATTCCGAAAAAGAACCCTATTTCCAGCAACTCTGCCACCTATGCAAGTTTGAGAACTATTACTACAGATTAAGTGAATGTAAATATATGCTTAAGACTAAACATTCTCCAAAAATCCAAACATAGTTATTAAATCCTAACACAAAAATAGAAGAGTGTGTTTAGATTTCTGAGATCTAAGCAGGTATCAAATTACTACAACTATGATAGAATATGAACCAATAGGAAAATAAATCAAAATTTTTGAAGGCTTTATTTCTTAAATCTTGTAGGAAAAATAAGGTGAATTAGTTGCTAGCTTGTGTGAACGCCATTATAAAAAAACAGCACATTCAGCAGCTATAAATCAATTTAACTTTCTAGCTCTATAGGGGTATATGTTTATTCATTCCAAAAAAGAAAGCTGAATAAATTTGGTAGGAAGATATTCCTTATGAGAAACTATCAGAACTAAGTGTGACTAAATTAAGATATACAATCTGTATGTATCTGAACCAACCATTTCAAAATACCCAAAGGAATACTTTCCTTCCGAGAACAAGTAACACTCTCAAGGAGGAGCAAAATCCTGCTAGTAGAGCCACAAGTGAATGAAACATTAAGGCCCAATTCCAGTGGCACAGGCACAGAGACAAAAACATTTGAAGTTCTAAGCCAACCCTCACAAGATGTTTAATGGTGACAGATCGTATCCCTGACAAATACTATGTATTTTAGCATTTTCGATTAAATTCTACATCCAAGTGGAATTTTACTATATTAATCCACCCTAATTCACATATAATAAGTTTTACTGTGATGGCCTCGTTGAAGTTAAATATTTTTAAAGTCAAAGGCTAGTTCTGTACTGTCGAATACAGCAACCACTAGACACATGTGGCTACTATTTAAATTTAATAAAATTTAATTTAATCAAATGAAATTAAAAATTCAGTCCCTCAGTTGCACCAGCCACACATCAAGGACTCAATAGCCACATGTGCCTACTGGCTACAGTATTCAGCAATACAGAAGAACATTCTCATTACAGCAGAAAGTTCTGTTGGACAGTGTCAGTCTAGATAACTATCTCACTTTTCAAATCAGAAATATTTAAGACTATACACTATCCATGGAGTCTTACAGCCAGTGTAGCCATTTATCACATACGTATAAATTAGTCAACCAATATATTATTGGGTACTTTGTATAAGTAGCACTGTAAATAGTACAATAGTACAATGAAAGACACCAATTATGGTTTCTTTCCTAAATGAACATATAACCAGACCAGTTTGGATATCGAGCACCTGAAATATAGCTAGTGCAAATAAAGAACAAAATTTTTTATTTTATTTCACTGTAATTAATTTAAATGTAAATAGCCACATATTACTAATAGCTCCCCACTGGACAGCACACATCCAGATTATTTGGAATAGACTGAGAGTGCTATAGTATTTGAGAGAGAACAGAAAGATACTTCAAAGAAGTAAAAGAAAGTTATGTGGAAGACATAGTTTCTACTGGACCTTAAATAATGGAAATGATTAGCTTAGATAGAATATTTTTTTTTTTTTTGAGACGGAGTCTCGCTCTGTCGCCCAGGCTGGAGTGCAGTGGTGCAATCTCAGCTCGCTGCAAGCTCCGCCTCCCGGGTTCACGACATTCTCCAGCCTCAGCTTCCTGAGTAGCTGGGACTACAGGCGCCCGCCACCACGCCCGGCTAATTTTTTGTATTTTTAGTAGAGACGGGGTTTCACTGTGTTAGCCAGGACGGTCTCGATCTCCTGACCTCGTGATCCGCCTGCCTCGGCCTCCCAAAGTGCTGGGATTACAGGCGTGAGCCACCACACCCAGCCAGACAGAAAATTTTGAAAGTCCTAGAGGTGGAAATCATTCCTGCCTTGTTCACAACTTACTCTCTGAATCAAGTGTGAAGCCTGACACCTAGCAGATACATTGGCCATTTGTTGAAATACTGACTGGGTGAATGAATGAACTGAAGGAAAATGGCCCTTGTTTTAAACAAGAAAGTGTAGTATTGAGAATAATATTTTAGCAGGATAAATGTGGTAGTACTTAGTATTCAAGGCATATTTGATGCAGAAGAATCTAAAATCAAAGAAACTTAGCAAATGTTGCTGCAATCCATGACTACTACAAAATTATGTGACAGACGTATAATAATAAGAGCGCTGTATGTATGAAGGGCTATGTACATGTATGAAGAGTACCACCATGTAAAAGCAATCATGAAATTAACTTGGAGATTATCTGGATGTCAGAATTATCTAAAGCAAGTCCAAAATTTCAATGCTTTGTGATAGAAAATGATGATGCAATTGAGAAATACAAAGAAATTTATGAAGAAGTTGAGCAAAAGAGAGAAAAAGAAAAGGGAAAGAAAGTGAAGAAAAGGTCAGATGTGGGAAAATGTTGAATGTAATTTTAAAATATTATTTTTGTTGTGAGTGGACAGAACAAGAAACATAGATTTTTGAAAGCTATCCAAATGAAGATAATAATTGAAACTAGAAGAGATAAATTATCTATGGGAAAGAACATTTAATGAAAAAAGACTATGATGATCACAAAATGCAACAGAACTGCACAAAGAACAATTTGGCAATCATATCCTTTTTTCTTTTCATGAAGGATGATTATAAAGTAAGCTAAGAAGAGTTCTTTGACAAAAAGTATTTGATTTTACCAAAGTATTTAGAGACCTTCCCATTTGTGTAACAAATAGATATCACAACGTAGCCTGAATCAAGGTAGGTAAGAACAACTTAGCAAGTTGAAGAATTGTACCCAAAGTTTTGATCAATAGTTCTACGCCTCTAGGATGAAAAAATTATAATGCAGCAAAGGACCTTGTTCTAGTAAACATTTTTATTTTGAAGAAAAAGGCATGCTGATCAAATCTGCAGGTGACACTAAGCAATGAGAAATAGTTAAGGTGGAAGACAGAATGATAGATTTAAACTAACCTTGACATTTTGAAATCTAGGTTGAAATAAATAAAACCTAAAAAAGTAAAATTCTGAATTAAAAGTAACAGTTGTGCTAAAGTATGGTGAAAAACTCTTAACAAGGCAGAACTTTATGTGGAAAAGACAGGAGTCCTTTAACTGATCACAAGGTCAATATAAGTCAAGGGCAAGATGCTGCTGCTAAAAATCTACCCCAATATTATGCTTCACTAAAAATGTGTTTTGGGTCTGGCTGGTCACATCATTATTTTGGAAGACTGTGTTTAGCACTGGGTTGTAAATCTTAAGCAGAATAATGACAAATAGGAAACAGAGATGACAGTAAATAGGATAGTAATAAATCTGAAAATGAAGCTATATAAAGAATGGTGGAAAACTAGGACTAATTATCCTGAATATGAGAAGGCTGAAAGAAACCGTGATCATTATCCTCAAATGTCTGAAGGGTTATTAAGCAGAAAAGGGTACACATTTGCTCCACAGAGAAGATCTGGGCTGACTATAGAGTACAGAAATAAATATTTTAAACTCAAAATAAGAGACAGAATTTTAACAATTAAAGCTGCCCTAGTAGAACAGCTTGGGTGGCCATACCTATTGAAAACTCTATACCATTGAACACAATTAAGCCAAGCCTATTAGTGGGTCTCAAATGCCACATTAAAAAACACATTTCATGGGCCCCATTGCTGGAGATGCTAATCAATGTGTTTGGGTGAGGATTTGTTCATCTTAAAATTCCTCACTGAATTCGAATACACAGCTAGTTTTAAGAAGCACCATGCTAGATGACCTTTCAATTTTATAAATATTTATGGAAAACATACTACACATAAGGCACCATTCTAGGCATGGTTTGACATGATATGCTAAGGTTAACAATAGACAATTGCTACTGTTAAGAAATGGAAAATGTAACTGGCAAGACATATATGCATAAAACTCAAAGTAATATAAGGTAGGCATGGGTATCTCTTATGACTGATAGACAAAGGTGCCTCGAATTTGAGTTAGTAACTAGTTACTAAATTGTTAGTAACTGGTTCACTAACTGTTCCTAGACCATGTAGTAACACATAAATATTTATTGATTTGATTCGGTTAAGAAGCAGGATTAAATATCTGCTAAGTCTTTCTTTTTTTTTTTTTGAGACGGAGTCTTGCTCTGTCGCCCAGGCTGGAGTGCAGTGGTGCGATCTCAGCTCACTGCAAGCTCTGCCTCCCGGGTTCACGCCATTCTCCTGCCTCAGCCTCCCGAGTAGCTGGGACTACAGGCACCCACCACCACGCCTGGCTAATTTTTCTGTATTTTTAGTAGAGACGGGGTTTCACGGTGTTAGCCAGGATGGTCTCGATCTCCTGACCTCGTGATCCGCCCGCCTCGGCCTCCCAAAGTGCTGGGATTACAGGCATGAGCCACCGCGCCCAGCCAATATCTGCTAAGTCTTTCTAATTGCCATACTAGAGAGACTGACTCTTGGTGAATATCAAGTTAAGAGGCAGGAAAAATAAAAGTAGTTGAGGTATAGAAAAAAAAAAACAAAAAACAGAAAAGAGCAGGCCAGGTATTGGGAAGACCATGGACGTGAAATCCCAACCATTTTATTTCTTTTCCTTCCAGTTTCCCTCTTCCTTTCCTCACTCCACTACCTTTCCTTTCCTTCCTTTTAAAGTAGCCTTAAGATAATGCTCACATGTGCAAGTGCTAACAACATAATCTTTCTGGGGGATAAGGTACTGAGAACAGATAAGGGAATTGTCTACTGTGGCTCTGTTAGTATTAAGAATTTTTACAAATTGGGTGTGGATGACGGAAAGTAATGGCAGCAAATGTTTAACTATTTATCAGGTATCAGCGGTTTTAGAAACCTCAATCTAAGTTGTCAATGTAAACAAGGTGAAGAATGAAAAAAAAAGAGGCTAAGGGATTTTGCATAATAAATAGCAATTTTTTGTGATTTCTGGCAGAGCAGTTTGAACTATTGTTCTGGTAGAACACTCTTGAAGACATAAATCAAACTTCAAAAGATAAGGAGACAATAAATATTTAATAAATATATTAGGAATATACTACTTGTTAGAGACATTGGCAGTTAAAAGAATAGAAACAGGTAAACATTTTATGTTTAGCACTGTACTAGCATTTTTAAAGATAAAAATGTAGGAGACAAGATGCCTGTTCTCATTAAACTTAGGACTATTTATGAAGCTTTACAGTAAATATATTCAAAACAAGAATAAAGAGTAAATAATTTTAGGTATCATTAAAAGTCTCATTACACAGAGACCAAGTAAGCTGTTTTGTTTCAGTTAACAACTCAAATACATGAGAGATTATTTGAAATTAACTTCTTATGAACACATATTCACCTGGGACTTCAGTTTCTCCCTTTCAGCAGCATCTTTTAGTTGTTGAATTCCAAGTTTAATTTTTTGGATTTCTTGATTAATTGTGGTTACTCGTTCATAGACAGCACCTCTTTTTTCTTGAACTTTATTGCAATCCCTGAAAGAAAATCGAGACAGCTAATATTTAATCCTCTTCAGCAACTAAAAAGGCAAACACAATTCTAGTTTTGATTCCAAAGTGACCATGTGTCAGTATTTGACAAACCTAAAACTCTTCTCAAGATATAAAAGCAAAGGAATGAAAACCCCAAAGTGTGGTACTATAATCACATCACAACATAGTGTGAACTCTTTCTCTCAATATATTAATGAGATTTTTTTTCCCTCATTGGTGGGTTAGTGAATGAGTAAATCAATCAATCAATCAATATTTAAAATGAAGATTTTTTAAGTTACATTTCCCCAGTTGTACACACTTAGGTACTGTTGGTGGGAATGTGAATCAGTTTAACTTTTCTACAAGGCAGTTTGGCAACAAACATAAAATCCTTAAGTTCTGCCCTTTTTCATCTGCAAGAGGAAGTATGAAGGAAATACTCAGATGATCTCTGACGCACCTTTTAGTAACTGAAGGAATGAGATTATAGACATATCTGGGGCAGGTATTTTAAAAACACATTCTTAGAACTGATGGGTATTTTACCAATAAAGTACCCTAACGTACCAGCTAAAAACATACTTACATACTTAGGAAAGTATTACTTCTTACCTGAATATATGACTTTTTCTCAAAACACAAATGCTGTAACTCTACAGACAAGCTGGACTATAAGATAGGCCATTTAGTTAATTCTGATGCAAGCTAGACCACTATCTCTAAAGTGCAATGAAATAATCAGTAGCATCAGAACCCTTCTGAAGAATGATGCAAAGGAATTGGAACTGTATACCCAGGAAAAGAGTAGCTAAGACATCTCTAAATCTAGAACTAGCAGTATAAGTTTTATAATTAACTCATCTGTTTTAGTCAACTAAAGGTGAAATAAAGATAAAGCTGTTTAAACTCTTTTGGAAAATACCGAGGTTTTGAAATCCTGGGGGAAAAATGTATTTGTTTTTCATAATTGCTTTCTAATACACTAAAATTGAAAACAACTCCATACTCAATTACTGTGCGTTTGTATTGCTTAACATCTTCATGCTTCTTATTTATTTTGAATTGTGCTGTGGCAAGTTTTTCCTTCTTCACAATCATCAGTCTTTTGAACGAATTTTCTTCAGTCTTCAATTTCTTCAGTTCTGACTCATCACTCTCAATTTGGTCCTCCAAGTTCAGGCTCTGTATTTTATAAGAAGTATTTAAAGTCAACATAACCAATTAGGATTTAGAAATAAAATGAAAGAATATTTTCTAGGATGAACTATAATTAAACACAAATTTAAAAAGAGACAAAACTCTTTAAAACCTGAAAGTCCGGCAGAAAAATGCAGATGAACCAGAAGAGACAACAAGGAGGCATCAGAGATACTGAGAAAGGACATGACAACTAGAGAGGTGTTTTCTATCAGTACAGACTGAAAGGGAGACATGTTAAGATTAGCTAAGAGACTAGAGTTGAGGGGTTAGGATCTGAACTAAAGTAGTACAAATAAAGGGAAAAGGGTAGGTGCTAGAAACAATTCAAAGCAGTAGATACACATCTTTTTTGGGTAACACAATGGCAGATGAGGGGACTATGTAGTTGGGAAAGAATACCTGGGGCAATCTCACCTTCTAATCCCTACTTATCTCAAAAAAGAAATTGTTTATCAAATGTAATGTTAGTTATCCTGGAGGCGCAGCCTGGATGAAGATGATCAAGTTAAGAAGCAAAAAAGGATTTTCAAGCTTGTAGCCTGAGAAACCGCCCTTAGCTCTCATTTCTTCAGGGCAGACTATGTAATAAACTTTAAATCTCTCTATAGGTCCTAGATACAGTGTTGGGCACTAAGTTGGAACTTTCTGATGCTAAGATCATTTCCAACTGGTAGAACAAATTTAAAATCCCATGACAGTAGTTCCCCTTATCCATGGCTTCACTTTCCATGGTTACAGTTACCCCTGGTCAACTGTGGTCTAAAAATATTAAATGGAAAGTATCAGAAATAAAAAATTCATCAGTTTTAAATTGTGTGCTGTTCTAAGTAGTGTGATTAAATCTTGCGCCATCCTACTCCATTCCACCCTGGATGTTTGTGTGTGTGTGTGTGCTTTTCAGATGGGGCTTCACTCTGTCACTCAGACTGGAAGTGTGGCGGCATGATCATAGCTCACTGCAGTCTTGACTCAAGTGATCCTCCCACCTCAGACTCCCAAGTGGCTGGGACTACAGACATACACCATTATAGCTGGCTAATTTTTAAAATTTTCTGTAGAGATAGCATCTTGCTATGTTGTTCAAGCTGGTCTCCAACTCTTGGTCTCAATGGTCCTCCCGCCTCAGCCTTCCGAAGTGCTGGTATTACAGGCTTGAGCCACCATGCCCAGCCCTGACCCTGGAAGTGAATCATCCCTTTGCCCAGCAGATTCATGCTGTATACACCACTTGCTCTTTAGTCATCAACATCCAACTGTCGACATCATAGTGCCTTGAGGATCTAGGATCACCTGAAGCAGATGATCCTTACTCTGATGTATGGTCAGAAGATTAACAGTAGCCTAGCAATATCTCACTTCAATTTTTTATGTAGGCATTTTATCATCTCACATCATTGTACTAAACTTATTGATTTTAGTACAATAAGATATTTTGAGAGAGAGACCACATTCACATAACTTTTATTACAGTATATTGCTATAAATGTTCTTTTATTAGTAATTATTGTTAATCTCTTACTGTGCCTAAGTTTTAAATTAAACTTTATCATAGGTATGTACATAAAGGAAAAAACATATATATATATATAAGGTTTGTTACTATCCACAGTTTCAGGCATCCCCTGGAGGTCCTGAAATGAATCTCCTAAGGATAAGGGGGAGCTACTGTACTATTTTCCAAAATATACACAGCAATGTGATGGGTTAGTTATTATTAATTTCATCAGAAGGTTAAAAATTGGGTCTTGCTACTGCTATGTTTAAAAAGAAAAGTGTCTTTTTCATAGCATACATTGCCACATCTATTATACTGTAGAATGACCCTGTTTTTCTTTAGGAAAACATAACAAAAAGTGAAAGCAAAATACAAGGAACTATAGTAAGCTGTTATATAATAAAGACATCAAAATTCCATACAATACAAACCTCCTTTAAGATACTGGCTAATTTTTCCCTATTATCTGAAAGGTCCTGTATTTTCTTTTGATATAACTGCACTTCCAACTGACATGAAGGCAGGCAGTCAACTGAGTCTCCATAGATTTCATATTTCTCCACCACTTCTTGCTTTGAAAGACAAAAAACAGAGACCACAGTTTGATATTCTTCTTTATGAAGCTGCAGTAATATCAATTTGTTTGCTCTTAAATAATTTCCACATTTAATACTGAAACCTTAAGAGCACGGAACAATTAAATTTCTAGGTCAGTAATACAGCACTATTACTGACATGTGTTTAAGCACAAATAATTGTTTTTTAATTGCCAAGTATCTTCAAACAAAGGAAAAGTGCCATAATTTTACTACTCAATGAAATACCTTCCAAAAGTTAATAATGATGATATTAAAATAGTTTATTTTGCTAATACTCAAACTATTTCTGATTACTCCTGGGCAATCAATCGTATTACTCATTTATAATCTTCCCATTCATTTGTATAATAACGACTACTATAGCTAATTCTTTTAAAAACATTAACTCATCTTCTAAAATTACAAAATGAACATATATTTACTACAACCATGGTAACAATACAAAGATTCCTTCCCTTGTCCTCACTAGCCTACCCCTTGTTCTACCTTATTTTTTTCTTTTTCTTACTAATTTGTAAAATACTCTTTGCAAATCATGGATATAATCCCTCTACCTGTCATATGCACCGTAATTATGTTCTAATGTGTCTACTTTTCTCTATAGATTTTCTGTTTCCAATCTTAATTTCAAAAATCTATCTCAGTCCAAGATTATATAAGTGTTCTCCTAAAATCTGTAAAACTTAAATTTTTTAAGGTAAATTTTCAATACATACAAAATTTATTTTTGTAAAAGAGCAAAGTGTAGACCCAACACCCTTTTCTTCCAGATGAATAGCTAATTGAGCCAGAACTGTTTCTTAAATAAATCATCCTTTTCTCATTAATACTCAAATCTATTTCTGGGTTCTCATTTCTGTTCTGGTGATCTTTGTCTAGTCTAGTGTGGTAATCTTAATTGTCAAGAATGAACTGAATAACAAATTCAAACACAAACCACATATGTTTTTTAAATTAATAGTTTAAAAACATTGCTTCACAAAAGATGGTAAATTGTCTACCCACTTCTAAGTTTGTATTGCACCACGTCAATCCATCTCCCACAGTAACCCATAATCTTGAACACACCTTACTCCCCACTACCCCACAGAATTCACATACGCTGTTCCCTCTGCCTTTAATATTCTTCCATACACAATGAATTGGGCCTTGGTACTGCTATGTTTAAAATGAAAAGCGTCTTTTTTTTTATGCTACGATCTGAAGAATGGTAGCATTCTTCCTTCCCTCTTCCACCTGTACTTCCAGCCCAATACTAAACTGGGCTCCCCTTATTACATTATTTCAAAGCACTCTATACTTTCTTTCCTCTTTCTGATACCATTAATAGATTTTAATTTTTCAAGCAGTTAGACATTCACAGCAAAATTAATCAGAAGGTACAGAGATTTCTCGTATACCCCTACCTACACACATGCATACCTTATACTTTGTTATAGTATATATTGTAATTTATAATTACAATTGTTTGTAAAATTACTTAATACTTTCCTCCCTTGTAATAAAGTAATTAAATCTCACCACCCAGCATTTCTGTTTTGATCTCCCAGAGAAAAGCCTCGAAAAATTGTTGCATAATTGAACAAATGTCTTGAAATTATATTTATTTTCCCCATATTCACTCTAGAGAAAAGCTACAGATTAGAAATAAGGTCAAAAAAGTTTAAGAGGAAGAGAAGTATAGATAATTCAGAAATCCAAAAATTAACACATAATTAAACAAGAATTTGCTAATTTTTTTTTTTAGATACAAAAGCATTAAAATAAAAAGAAAACTCACTCTGGCATTTTTAAGCTTCTGGACCGTATCTTTCATTTTTTCTTTATAATTCTTTAACTTCTCTGGAGAATCCACAATTTTTGTTTTCAAACTCTCTTGTATTTCTTTCAAAGAAACCACCGACAATTTTAGTTCATTCTGTTGAGAAAACATTTTTATATATTAGATATAATAAACTTGGTGATTTACCATTCTAGTAATGGGAAAGAACAAAGAAATTAGGTCCATGTTCTCTGTAATGAGGGTAAAATTAAATTCTGAACACATCACTTACCTACTTAATTGCTCACATTTGTCTATAGGCCAAAGATCAAGCTCCTTAGCAGGACATTCAAAGCCTTTCATTACATGGCTCTTAACTCTCTTCCTGTCTAGTCTCATCTCCCACCAGTTCCCTACTGCACCCTACAATCTGGTAATTCTGATCTTATGTTTAGACAAGTATAAGTGATCTTTCTTTGACCAGTAGGGTCCTCCTAGAATATCATTATCCCACTCCGGTCTGCCTGCTAAATTTGTACTGATCCCTGAAAATCCTGCTCCCATTTTCTCTACATTTCTTCTTTAAATAGTACAATTTTTGTACATGCAACACTATAATTATGTACTTAATATGTGTTTCATAAGACTGAGCAAATTGGAGTTGTGAAAATGTATCCTGGTTTTCCCAGTACCCAAACAAAGCTATAGCACTGAGAAGGTGCTCACTACATGCTTGCTGAATGAAAACAAATTCCCTTCTCCTGAATTTCAAAAATGAATGTAACTATTTGAAGAATCAAAGTGAAGGGTAGCTGGAAATTCTCTTGAAAGTTTGTTGTAAGTCTGAAATTATGTCAAAAAAAATTCCTATGAATTTTCTTCTCAGATATTTGTTGATAAGTTGTATTTACATTGTTTGGGGACCCTCTATGACTCTATGTATTGACAGGAAAGATTTTCCAGATATATTAAGTGAAAGAACCAATTCACAGATCAACATATAACACATAAATACATTTCTATAAAAACAGAACAACAAAACAGTGACACATGATTATGTGCCTCTATATGTGTATGCATATGATGTTGGAAAAAGGAAGGGAATAGTATTACCTCAAGGTAAAATGGGCTGAGAGAAGGCCTTTCACATTTCGTACCCTTCTCTGTCTCTCTCTATATGTGTGTATACTCCCCTCTCTCTATATACATACATATATATATATGTATGTGTGGGTGTGTGTATGTAAAGAGAGAATATTTCATAACAGGAATGTATTACTGTGTTGTGTAATTTGTCTAAATATTTTTAACTTAAAAGAAAAGATTCTTACTTTTTGATCAGCTAACTCAGACGCCAAAACTGAATGTTAGATATAATGCATTCCTGTAATTTCTGTATATTTTGTTATTTCATTCTTAGAGTTCTGCAAACCACCACATTATCTACTCTTTTAATGCTCTACAAGATTAGAGGTTATTTTCCTTACAATAGTGTTAACTTTCATCACTTTTCTCCTCTTTATAAAAGGTCTAAACTTAATAAGTACAAAGTGCTTGTTTTAACTTGGATTTAAATGAGACAGAAATAAATAAACAATAAAATTGAGCCATAGTAAGTACTACTCAGATGAAAGCATTTCCCAGCAAAAAAAAAGATAGAAAAATAAGGGAAATATAACACCAGAGTAAGTTTCTCAAGGATCTAAAGTATACATTTTAAAACAATAAGGAAACTATAAAAGTACAATGAGAAAATATAGTATTAAAAAATAATCTGACGAATAGGACCGTCCTTTCTATGTACACAATTAAAGCCAAAAACCATAAAGGCCGTATCTATAAATTTTACTACATAAAAACATAAACCTTTTAATGGGCAAAAAATATATAAATTTGACAGACAAATAAATGGAGAGCTAAAATCCCTAATTCATGGAGTTTCTTGAAAAATAAATAAGTGGCCGGGTGCGGTGGCTCACACCTGTAATCCTGGCACTTTCAGAGGCCGAGGTGGGCAGGTCCCCTGAGGTCAGGAGTTCAAAACCAGCCTGGCCAACATGGTAAAACCCCATCTCTACTAAAAATACAAAAAAATTAGCCGGGAGTGGTGGTGGATGCCTGTAATCCCAGCTACTTGGGAGGCTGAGGCAAGAGAATCCCTTGAACCCGGGAGGCAGAGGTTGCAGTGAGCTGACATCATGCCACACTGCACTCCAACCTGGGCAAAAGAGTGAGACTCCATCTCAAAAAATAAATAAATAAATAAAATAAATAAACAAGGTACACAAACAATATACAAAATAAGAAATAACAAGAAATCACTAAGCAAGATGGACAAAATCACTAGAATTAAAGCAATTAAACTAAAATGAGATTTTTTTGGCCTGGTGTGGTCGCTCATGCCTGTAATCCCAGCACTTTGAGAGGCCAAGGCGGGTGGATCACGAGGTGAAGAGTTTGAGACCAGCTTGCATAATATGGTAAAACCCCGCCTCTACTAAAAACACAAAAATTAGCTGGGTGTGGCGGCACAAGCCTGTAGTCCCAGCTGGTCAGGAGGCTGAGGCAGAAGAATCGCTCGAACCCAGGAGGTGGAGGTTGCAGTGAGCCAAGATCGCGCCACTGCACTCCAGCCTGGGTGACAGAGTGAGACTCTGTCTCAAAAAAACTAAAAAATAAAATAAGTACAAATAAAATGAGATTTTTTTTTCAATGTAACAGTAACAAAGATTTTAAAAGCCTGAAAACATCCAGTTTTGGCAAGGGTATAGGGAAAGGGACAGTCTCTTGTTCTACTGGTAGGAATATAAATTGGTATCTTTCTAGAAATCAGCTTGGCTGCATTGGTCAATTTTACATGTGTATTTCCTATGACCCAGAAATCCTAAACAAAAAAATTTATTTTAAATAAAAGCAGCCTGTTGCAGAAATGTATGTATGTACATATGTATGCATATGATACACACATACATATATTTCTGTTTAATAGCAAAAAATTAGAATCTATGTAAAAGTCTATCAGAAGGGGATTAAAAGGATCTACAAGACAGCACATACATATAATGCTCAACTAGATGCAAGCATTAATATAATGAGGATCTATTTAAAATTCATAACTGTATTATATCGCTAAGTGGAGAAAAAAGCAGGTAAGATGTATTGAGCCTAATATCATTTATGTAAAATTACACATGCATATTTACATTTGCATAGCAAATACAATCTTTGATATAAATCAGATTGTATAGTGAGCTTTCAGGTGATGTTTACTTTCTTCATACATTTCTGTGTTTCGATATTTTTTAAAACAATAGTCATCTATTATATTTAAGTTGAAAAAGATTGTTTCATTTTGAAGGGAAAAAGGGAGAAACATTTGCCCATAATAACACACACAGCTAAAATACTCCTCCACACAATATATTCAAACTTTAAATGCTAGTGAAAAGAAAAGATGTTTACCAAACGCTTGGTTTTCTCTGAAATATTTGACTTCTTTTGGGAATTTCCCTCTTGCAGCACTATCTAAGGGAAAAAGCAAACACGTTTTATAATGATTCAAAACATTTAGATTTAGCCACTCACTGCTGTCTCATAAAATTAAGGTAAGAAAGGAGTTAAATGTGTTAGATCAGATATTCTTCAAACTTTCTCTGTTCATGATGCTCCTAAGCCAAAAGAAATATCTAAGAGTTCCTTTACTAAGTAGTTAACTCCAAATAATGGCCTAGTATTTATGTCCTAACATTGTAGCCCTTTGAAAAATAATACATATAAGTTGAAAGAAAAAATTTTTATTTTGTTCTTAAATAACCTCGAGTACTTCCTAATTAGATGTATGTACCTATTGGGCACTGCATAAATTCACGTACGTTGGAGCGTATATTTCAGATTGGATATAGACATTCTCATTTCCTGTGTCACAGTGATTTTTACATTGTACTTGCTTTTATCACAGCAAATACCAAAATCCCAGCTGCACAAGGATATGAAAGGAATGTGACCAAAAACTGAAACTGTGAACTACCTTGAATTCAAAAAGGATATGACAGATGCTGAGTACTACAGTGGTTCCCTTGAAAATTTAAGATATTTTGAGGCATTCTTGAGGGTTTACTGCAGTATCCAGGGTGCCACAGTGCATGGTTTGGAAGCAGTGAAATTAAACCTAGGAAAACCCTAAAAAATTCTATTCAATAAGACAACAAAAAACTTTGCCAACAAAAACCATCACGGTTCTAGATGGTTGAGAGAAGTATGTATCCATTATAAGGGGCACAAATGGGCACAGAAATATATTCTGTTTCTTTGGTAATAGAGAAAGCAATGTGCTGTTACCTCCACTATATGTCCCACCACATCTACAAACAAATTTTGTTTTTTAAAGTTTAAGGTGCCTCACAACAGATACCGTTTTTTGATGAAAATCCTGATTTAGTGATTGTTGTAGCTCCTGAATTCCATCTGAAAGCTGCTTGAACTCTTCTTGCTCTTCAACTGGAACAGAACTTAACACAGCAAAATAGATTAAAATACTGCTCTTCACTTTTGAAAGGCTAAAATGAAATACCTGTCCTCAAATAACTGAGATGAAGAAATTGTCTACTTTTATGTTTCTGAATTACACCCTTTCATGTGGCAATCATTTAAAATGAATGATCTGGCCTCTACTACAGGCAGAAAATAAAAATCACATGAGCTCCTTCAGTTTTCTACTATCAAATCTATGGATCCATCCACACACATACCTATCCTTTCTAACTTCACTCCTAATAACATGAATATTGTATGCCTTCTGGTAATGCTGATTTCTCTACCTCTGCACTGGCTATCATTGCCTCACAACTCTTACTCCCATACCATCCATTCTTCCGCTACTAGTCCTTCCTTACAACACTTACACGTGTTCAAGTCTCTTCTATAAGAACGTTTTCAAATTTAGTTTTTGCCTATCTGATATATTAGCTATTTTTATATAAACTCCCTGTTTAAAGCCTTTGTCTATTTTTTTAAAGTTATCATTTTTCCTGTCAGTTTACAGGACTGCTTTGTAGTTCTGCATATTATATTTGTATATTAGGAATATTACATGGGTTTTGTTATTAGAGTTGGTAAGGCTTTGTGGCATGTGCTGCAAATATTCTCTCCACTTTGTCATTCTTGTTTTGATTTAGTTGGTGGCATCTTTTACCCTGTTATATTCTAATGTCTGCCTGTAAAGGCAATTTTAACCAGGGGCAGGTTAGAAAATCTCTCATCTAAAACAGATAACCTCAAAGACATCTATAAATTAGAAGAGATTTTAAAAATCCTGCTCAAAATCAATATATATATATAAGGAAGGCCAAGAAATCACAACTGTTGAGTGATTCTTTTCCCTACATAACCTATAAGTCAAAAACAAAACAAATAAATGAAAACTTTGTTGTAGGAGTAAACATTTGATGGAATCAACTGATCTGAAGGAAGATAGTCCAGGCAGTTACTGCTCACCTACATAAGACAATATTCCAGACATAAATCAGGACAGTAAGCTAATGGCTTTAAACAAATCAGGCTAACACACTAACAACAACAACAACAAAAGCCAAAGGATGTATTATATAATTAAGAGTTAGAAGAAAAACTAGTTTTTTCTTTTTTTTTTTTTTAAGAAAAGGCAAACTCAAATACTCTGCTATTTATTAAGGGAGATAAAAGAGACTTAAGGTGGAATATAGGGTTGTAAAATACTACTTACAATTCATTTTGCATTTTGAAATTGCATTTATTTTACTTGTAAATCTCCCACTTACTCAAGTCTCTCCAGTTTCATTAATGCCTCCTGGTGTGCGGCGTTTAACTGTTGCATTTTGTCCGCAGAGGATTTCTATTAAAGCAATTTTAATCATCTCATATTAGTGCATTTCAACACAATCAGTGTGTCCAAAATGTTTACTCATACTATAGTTTGAACCATCAGAAATAAAAAATTTAAGATAGAGTTAGGCCTTCATGACAAATGAATTAGGAATTTCTTTACTCAACACAAATGCTGGATTCTCATCATAGGCACTGAGCTCGGTACTGAGAATTCTCAAGAAGACTAACTTATAGGTCTTGACCTTAAGTAGCTAAGCCTCCTTGAGGAGCCAGATACAAGAATAAAAACCCACAAAATAGCTTGTTATTTTTCATATAATGGGAACCAACAAGAGTGACATCTAACCCAACTTGGGTAATGGCTGGGAAGAAGGGTGATAGGACATCATAGAGGTGATAGATGTCTGAGGTGTGTCTTAAAGATAGTAATTAACCAAGCAAAATTATGAGAGTGTGTGTATGTTGGCACATGAATGTGGTAAGCTTTGAAGATTATATGATGTTTAGGAGTTATAAGGTTAGCATGATTTGTGCAAAGAAGTACGGATCTATATAGCTCAGTAAAGCTGAAGCCTAGGGTCTAAGTGTTTGGAGTTACTCTGGTGTTTTTCTAAGAGTATGGTACCCCATTATTGAAGACAAATGGGAAAAATCACACAGATGACCCATAATCTCCCCCAGTTCTTTAAGTTGTTGATGAAAGGAAAATGAGTTTCTGTCTGTTAAAGAGATTGCCTTGGACTGAATCTGGGCAAGCATGATAAACACCACCACAAACAGTCCAATTATGCCATTATTTAAAAGGCAAATATAAACCTCAAATATGTCCGTTATTTAATAAAAGCTACACTATCTACGCAAACTTCAAAGAAAAAAATGTAAACATATCAATATTCTCTAACATTTCCTAATATAGGAAAACAAGCCTCAGCTACAAGATTTTAAAACAAACAGAACTCAGCCTCTCCATAGTGTTACCAAATTTCAAAGAAAATCTGATTCTGAGATATGCTATCCAGTAACTAAAATCTGCAAGTTAATATAAATATAAAAATGAGTTCAATTCTAAAGGCAATACAGCAATTTGCTGTCTATGACAATCATTTCAAAACAGATTATAAGTTCATAAATAATGTTACTGATCTGGCATGTAACCCCAAAACATATTTAAATCTTACATATTGCCAAAGAAATTCCATATACGTTTCACGGCATGCTTCTCTGAAGTGAATAAAGTTGATAATGCCACTTAAAAACCGACTTGTCCGTTTTGCTTCTAAAATAGAAAGCAAGACTCTTTAAATAAACCTTTGAACTAACATAATATGAAAATGAAAATTCATCCTCTTCCACTATATATTCTGCTCATAATATATAAAATAAAACTGTATAGGATATAACAAAGTGTAGAAAATCTGCTCTAACTTAAAGGTAAAAATTATCTTTGTATTAATAACTTTAAAAAAAAAGGTAAACCACTTTTGGTCATGAAGAAATAACAGAAACCAGAATTACCCTCCCATATTAAAAAACTAGAAAAACAAAAATACATGAAGCAACAAATTTTAGATGCTGGATAAAAGGCAATATAGGACAGCAATCTCCAAGAGAAACAAATGAGGTGAATTCCATTACTGCACCAGTCCATGACTGAAGAGTTTACAGGCTGTACTCCAGAGAAAGAGAACACAAATAAAACTTGTACATCTTGCTGGGTCAAGAAGACAGAGTTTAGAGTTTGCAGAAGCCAAAGCAACTAGGATTTATGGAACTGAGTATTAAGATGAGGAAGCTGTAAAGAGAAAGAGTTCTGGAAATCTGTAGAGGAATCCCCTCAGGTTCTCAGTTAACCAACAAGGTAAAATTCACAATGTCTGGCATCTGCTAAAAATAACCAGACATGCCAAGAAAAAGGACATGATCCATAATAAGAAAATACAATCAATCAACAGAAACATATTAAAACATAACACAAATAACATACATGGTAGATTTAGTAGATAAGAATGTGAAAACAACCTTTATAAATAAATAAAGGGGATAGAGAAAAGAATCAGCAATATGAAGAAATAAAAGCAAAGATTTTTTAAAAAAGATCTGAATTAAGCTTTTAGAGTTGAAAAATACCTGAAATAAAAATTACACTGATGGGAATAACAGTAGTTCAGACCTAAAATAAAAAGGATTCATGAAGTTGAAGACATAATAGAAGTTATCTAAAATAAAGTCCAGAGAGAAAAAAATGAATACAATATCTGTGAGCTGAGAGACAATATCAAACAGCATAACTAATGTGTAATTGGAATCCTACAAAAAGGGACAAAAAGACTTTTACAGAATAGTTGAATATTTTCCAAATTGTATAAAAACAATAACCATATCCAAGAAAGTGAACAAACGTAAATGGCGGGCAGGGGTGTAGGGGGAGGGAAGAAAGAACAGAAAAACAAACAAAAAAAAACCAAAAACAAACACCTAAAAGTCACATTATATTCAAACGGCTAACAACTAGCTTAGAAGACAAAAAAATCTTAGAAGCAGCCAGAGGAAAACAAAACACATTATATAGAGAGAAACAAAGATAAGAAAAGCAATAGACTTCTCATCAGAAACAATGTAAGCCAGAAGACAATGGAGCAATATATTTAAAGCACTGAAAAAACTGTCAACTAAGAATTCTATACTGTAGTCCCTCAGTATCTGCTAGATATTGGTTCCAAGATGCCTAGAGAACCCAAGTCTGTGGATGCACCAGTCCCTTACACCTGGCATAGTGGCTGGGTGTGGTGGCTCACACCTGTAATCCTAGCACTTTGGGAGGCCGAGGTGGGCGGATCACAAGGTCAAGAGATTGAGACCATCCTGGCCAACATGATGAAACCCCTTCTCTACTAAAAATACAAAAATTAGCTGGGTGTGGTTACATGCACCTGTAGTCCCAGCTACTCAGGAGGCTGAGGCAGGAGAATCACTTGAACCTGGGAGGCGGAGGTTGCAGTAAGCCGAGACTGTGCCACTGCACTCCAGCCTGGTGACAGAGCGAGACTCCATCTCAAAAACAAAAACAAAAAAAACAAAACAAGACAAACACACAAAAAATGGCATAGTACAGTCAGCCCTCCATATCTGTGCATTCTGCATCTGCAGATTTAACCAACTGTGGATTGAAAAGTTGACTTTTCATATCCACCGAGGGCTCAAGAAAAACACCTTTTATTTATCCATTTTTCTTTCTTTCCTTCTCAAAAAGAAGCAGGTCTCACTCTGTTGCTCAGGCTGGGATGCAGTGGCACGATCATAGCTCCCTGCAGCCTTGAACTCCTGTTCTCCAGTGATTCTCCCCTCTAAGCTGCTGGAATAGCTAGGATTACAGGTATGCATCACCACATCTGGCTCATTTTTAACATTTTTTTTGTAGAAAAAGGATCTTGCTATATTGCCCAGGCTGGTCTCAAACTCCTGGACTCAAGCAATTCTCTCACCTTGGCCTCTCAAAGTGATAAGATTACAGGTGAGAGTCACTGCACCTGGCCTCAAGAAAAATACCTTTCAAAAATTAAAGTGAAATAAAGGCTTTTTAACAGCACTACAATAAGTGTTAAATAAAATCCTTCATGTCTAAGAAAAATCATACCAGATGGAAATTTGGTGTACTTACAAGAATGTGAGTTAATATAGAAGACATTTTTCCTCATATAAAAAATCCCTTTAAGAAAGAAATCATTATATCAAAAAGATTAATGCACTTGTATGTTTATTGTAGCACTATTCACAATAGCAAACATATAAAATGAACCTGCGTCAATCAGTGGAGGATTGGATTTTAAAAATGTGGTATGCATATACCAGAGAACACTACTCAACCACTAAAAAGAAGAAATAATGTCTTCTGCAGCAATATGGTTGGAACTTGAGGCCATTATCCTAAGTGAAATAACTCAGAAACAGAAAGTCAAATACTGCACATTGTCACTTATAAGTGGGAAATAAATAATGGGTACACATGGACATACAAAGTAGAACAGACACTGGAGACTACAAAATGTGGGAGGGTAGGAGAGGGACAAGGGTTGGAAAATTACTGATTTGGTACAATGTTCACTACTTGAGTGATGGGTGCACTAAAAGCCGAGATTTCACCACTACACAATATATGTATGTAAGAAATGTGGACTTGTACCCACTACATGTATTTTTTAAATGTCAAAATAGAAAATCCTTTAAAAGATAACTGTTTCACACAAATCTAATATCGATTAAGGTGTTTATGATATCTGTAAAAGTAAAATTTATGACACAATAGCACAAAGACCAGTAGTGGAGAAAATAAAAGTATATTATTGTAAGGTATAATATATTTGAAGATAGACAATGGTATGTTAAAGATATATACATGTATACTGAAACTTGGAGCAAATACCATTTTAAAAAGACATATAGCTGATAAGCCAATAACAGACAAGGTAGAATATCTTTTTCATATATAGTATTATATAAAATAAAATTTATTTTAATAGACCAAAATAAGGCAGGAAATGGAGAAAACAGGACTAAAGAACAGGACAAAGAGAAAACAAATAGTATAAAGGTGGATTTAAGCCCAATCATATCAATAATAACATTAAATGTAAATGGTCTAAGACTCCGATTAAAAGACCGAGATAGTGATGTTGAATTTAAAAAGCAAGACCCAACCATATGCTGTCTACAAGAAACCCGTTTTGAATCCAAAGGCACAAGTTACAAGGATGATATGGCATGGTAATACTAATGAAAAGAAACCTGAAGTAGCTATGTTAATATAAAATCAAGTATATTTCAGAACAAAGACTATGTCATCAAGAGGATATAGCAATTCTAAATGTGTACACTTCTAAAACTAGAGCTTCAAGGTACATAAAACAAAAATTAAAAGAACAGACAAAACAGACAAACTCACAATCATAGCTGAAGATTTTAACATCTCTCTATCAACAGTTCAAAGAACAACCAGGAAAAAAGTCTGTAAGGACCCAGTAGGCTTGAACAACGCTATTAACCAACTGGATCCAATTAACATGTTTAAAACACTCCACTCATCAACAACAGCACTCATGGAACTTTTACAAGGGTAGACCATGTGGTGGGCTGAATAATAGCACCCAAAGATGTTCAGGTCCTACTCCTTGGAATTTGTGCATGTTATCTTATTTGCAAAGTGGCTTTATAAGTATAATTGAAGATCTTGAAATGAGAAAATTATTCTAGAATATCTAGGTGGGCCCTAAATGCAATCACAAGTGTCTTTATAAGAGGAAAGTAGAGAGAGATTGGACTATACACAGAAAATAGAAAGCAATGTGATCATGAAAGTAGAAACAGATTTAAATATGCTACACTGCTGGCTTCAAAGACAGAAAGGTCATGAGCTGAGAAATGCAACCCTAGAAGCTAGA
Organism: Homo sapiens; assembly: GCF_000001405.40. Classification (NCBI taxonomy): domain Eukaryota; kingdom Metazoa; phylum Chordata; class Mammalia; order Primates; family Hominidae; genus Homo; species Homo sapiens. The sequence goes on along the minus strand of NC_000001.11, from coordinate 163,332,591 downwards.
AAAGGCAAAGAAACTGACTCTCTCCTAGAGCCATCTGAAGGAGTGCAACCTTAGTAACACCTTGGTTTTGGCTCAGTGAAACCAATTTTGAACTTCTGACCACTAGAACTACAGGAGAATAAATGTATGTTATCTTAAGTCACCAAGTTTGTGGTGATTTATTACAGCCACCATAGTGAACAAATATAGACCATATTCTGGGCCATAAAATAAGTGTGAATACATTTAAATGGATTCAAATGATACAAAGTATATTCTCTGATCACAAAAGAAATAACTTACAAATCAGTAACAGAAAAAATTGTGGGAAAATCCCCAAATATTTGGAAAGCAGACAACACACTTATAAATAACCCATACATGAAAAAAGAAATCAAAAGGGAAATTAGAAAATATCTTGAACCCAATAAAAATGAAAATACAACATATCAAGGTTTGGGGGATGCAGCTAAAGCAGTGCTAGAGGGAAATTTACAGCAATAAATACCTATATTAGGAAAGAAGAAAGGTATCTAATTAATGGACTTGGCTTACTGCCTTAAAAAAAACAAAACTAGAAAAAAAGAGTAAATGAAACCCAAAATAACCATGAAGAAAGAATAACAATAAGCTCAAAATTCAATAATAATCAAAAACCAGAAATACAGAAAAGTCAATTAAGTCAAAAGCTAGTTCTTTGAAAAGTGATAAGCTGATAACCAGACTGGTTAGGAAAAAAAAAGAATAAACAAATTATTAATGACAGAAATGATAGAGAAGATGTTATTACCTACCCCAATAACATTAAAATAATATGGGAATATAATGAACAATTTTATGTTAACAAATTTGCCAACCTAAAAATTCCTTTAAAAAAATAAATCACCAAAGCTCACTCAGGAGTTTTGACAATAAACAACCAGAATAGCCCTTAACCTATTAAAGACTTTGAATTCTTAATTTATCCCAGAGAGAAAACTGCAATCCAAGATAGATCCACTGGTAAATTCTACCAAATATTCAAAAAAGAAATAAATAATACAAATTTTATAAAACAATTCCCAAAAATGGAAGCGGGAATCTTTCCAAATGTATTGTATGAGACTGGTATATCCTGATATTCAGATCAGTCACTGCAGTGACATTGCAAAAAAACTACAGAACAATATCCATCATGAACACAGACAAAAAAACTTAATAAAATATTAGCAAATCAAATCTAGCAATATATTAAAAATATATCATAACCAATCAGGACACATCCTGAATGCAAGGTTGGCTTGATATTCAAAAATCAAGTAATGTAATTTGGTAGATTAAAAAAGAGAAAACCCATGATTATCTCACTAGAGGCCGAAAAGGCATTTAATACCCTTCATGATAAAAACTCTCAGTGAAATAAAGTAAAAGTTGTACATTCTGATAAAAAACATCTAAGAAAAATCCTACAACGAATACTTAATAATGAAAGACTAAATGGTTTCCCCCAAGATCAGAAACAAGGTAATGATGACTGCTCTCATCATTTCAATTCGACATTATACTAAAAGTCCCAGCCAGTGCAGAAACGTAAAAAAAAAAAAAAAAGAATAAAAGGCATCTCTATTAGAAAAAAATTTTGTCCTCAAACAAAAATTGAGAATTGTCAATAAGGAAAATCCTAAGGAATCTACAAAAAAAAAAATCTACTCAAATAATAAGTGATTTTAGCAAAGTCAATATATAAAAATCAATTGTACTTGTCTACACTAACAATGACTAATCAGAAAATTTAAATTAAATTTACAGAACCACTAAAAATTTGATTTAGGCATAAATTTAACAAAATTTATTATACAAGGTCTGCACTCTGAAATTTATAGTACATCATTATGAGAAATTTAACAGCCTTAATAAATGCAGAGATATAGCATGCATATGGATCAGAAGACCCAATATTATTAAATTGTCAAATATCCCCCAAATGAACAATACATTAAAAGTAATCTCAATCAAAATGGCTTTTTCAGGGGAAGAAGGGTAGAAAGTGACAAGCTGGAAATACTAAAATACATATAGAGATGCAAAGGACCAGAATAGCCAAAATAATCTTGACAAAGATGAAGAAAGAGGAGTAACACTGATTTCAAAATTTACTGTAAAGCTAAATAATCAAAGTACTGCTTGACATAAAGATAGACATACAGATCAATGGAGTAGAATAGCGAGCTCAAAAATAGACAAATATACAGTCAATTAATTTTTAATAGACTTCCTTTTTGAAAGGAGTTTTAAGTTCAAAGTAAATCTAAACAGGAAGTAGATAGTTCCCATATACCTTGGGTCCCCACACATGTACAAACTCCTCTCCACCAACTTCCTTCACCTGAGTGGTATATTTGTTACAACTGATGAACTTGCACTGACACATCATTATCATCCCAAATTCAGTTTACATTAGAGTTCACTCCTGGTACTGTACATTCTGAGTTTCAACACATGCATAATGACAAGTATCTACCATTAGAGTAGCATACAGAGTATTGTTACTGCCCTAAAAATCCTTAGTGCTAAAGGGATCCTATTCATCCCTCCCTCACCCCTAACCAGTGGTTTCCACTGATCTTTTCACTGTCTCCACAATATTGCCCTTTCCAGAATGATATATAGCTGTGTAGGCTTTGCAGACTGGCTTCTTTCACTTAATAATATGCATTTAATATTCCTCTATGTCTTCTCATAGCTTGCTAGCTAATTTCCTTGTAGTGTTGAATAACTTCTATTCTCTAGATGTACTACAGTTTATTCATTCACCAAGGCTACTTTCAAATTCTGGTAATTATGAATAAAGTTGCTCTAAACATCTGTGTTTAAGTTTTTGTGTGAATATAAGCTTTCGATTCATTTGGCTAAATACCAAGGAGCATGATTGCTGGATTGTAAAGTTAAGAGTATGGTTGATGCTGTCCTGTCTACAGTGAGTGAGTTCTCACAAGATCTGGTCACTTAAAAGTGTGTGGCACCTTCCCCATTGTGCTTTTGCTCCCTCTGGCTATGTGACATGTCTGCTCCCCATTTGCCTTCTGTCATGACTAAGCTTCCAGAGGCCTCCCCAAAAGCAAGCAAATGCCAGCATCATGCTTCCTGTATAACCTGCACAACTGTGAGCCAATTAAATCCCTTTTCTTTATAAATTACCCAGTCTCAGGTATTTCTTTATAGCAATACAAGAATAGCCTAATACACACACCAAATCTCTTAACTTACAGTAACTTGATGGATAAATATCAAAGTCGAATTTAAGGACAATTAAAGCTAGAATTTTACATTCTAATATAACATTATGACTATTCTTTTAATGATAAAAGATAATTTCTATATGGTAAATAGTAATTCTTACATTTGATAAAATTGGTATGATGAATCCACTATGCAAAATCATACTTACATATTATTTGTAGTCATATTCCCAAATTTATAGAACACTTTTTAAATGGAAGGAGTTTTAAAAAAACATCAGAAAAACAGCTTTTCTGTGGCTCTCAAAAGGAAAAAAAGAAATTCAACAAGATATTAAAAATTCATACTTAAAAATGGGATATACTTTTTAAAGGCAATTTCCTTGAAGTTGTTTTTTTCCTTTTTTTTTTTTTTTACATTTACTGATGGAAAGGTGAAATGGTAGATCGAAGCCAGACATTAAAACTGTTTTAAATTCTCACTTACTTGGACATAGAATATCAGCAGTCTCAAAGTCATTCACCCGGCAGATAGGCAAAAATGAGTCCCTTGAAGATGAAGTACAAAAAGACTATTGAAAAGTATTTTGCACATTAAATGCTAAGCTATAGGATATAAACATCTTATTTTCAGAAAGAGATTTCTGGATATATTTCTTAAGGTCAGTGGACGAAGCCAGAATTCTACTATAATGTATAACCCTATAGCACTGAAATCTATTTTTTCTGTATATTAATCATGTAGTCATGCAATACTAAAGTATAGTTACAGATTCTAATAAATAGTACATAAACTTGGTGACACTAAGACTCTTTTAAGAACTCAAACCTCTTCACAAAGACGGTAAACAATTTTCGACTTACAGTATCTTAGAAGTTCAATTGAAAATATGCTGAGAAAGTGGCACAGTTGGAGGCAGTTCTGTTTGATGACAGTCTACAATTTTGAAAGTTTGAATGAATGTATATGGGATGAAATGAAAAGGAACATAGTAGGTATTCCTTACCAAAGAAAACCATGTCATTAAGAAAACTTAATGTAATATAAATACGAATGTAGACGAAGACAATAAAATCACTCTTTACTCACAGATGAGTAACTAAATTGCTGAATGGTAAGAAGCCTTCCATTAAATGTGGATACATGACTTCAGAGTTCACTGGCATCTAAATGCAATAAACCACAAAATCGACATTACACATTGATTAGACAAAATGAGAAAAATCTTCAACCAAGATCAAAATATATTAACTCACTATCATTAAATTAAAAACCTTAATACATATCCTAGTATAAATGCAGAGTTTTCATCATTATTAATGCTAGGTTCACAGTAGGTGCTTAATAAAGATTTTTAAATGAATTTTAAAAATGGAATAAGGTTAGCATTTACTAAATATCAGGTATTATGCAAATAATTTGCTAAAAGCTCAGTTGCCTCATTTCAATTGTTTCAATCTTACTGCATATCTTCTACTCTAATTTGGGAGTTCTTCCTGAAAAGAGAACAATATGAAGACTTAGCTATTGTTTATTGTAGTCTCTGAAAACAAACCTATAAATCTATAACAATTGCATTGCATCAATGATCTGTGTCATTTAAGTCTTTTACTATGGTTTTCATCTTACTAAATCTATGGATATAAACCATTATTGTGCATAAGATCCCATTGTAAGTGACACTAATTTTATATGTCTTTGAATTTGTTAAAAATAAAGTCAAGAACTTCCTATCCTAAAAGCCAGTATGCATTGTAAGCAGAACTGCAGCAAAACAAAACAAACAAACAAACAAAAAAAACCCCATAATTTTGCCTCATCTTAAACTCACCATGTAAAAATGTTCCAGTCGAATTCCATATACTATTTGTAAGGCTCTCATGTAGATCATGTGCAAGACTTCAGGCTACAGCAAAAAACAACTTTGAATACTCCGATGCATAACTCTAAAGCTATGTCACTATCATCATTACCATACAATATTATAATCGATGAAAGCAAAGAAGAAAAAGGCAACAAAATTATTCCATTTCCCTTGAAATATTCCTTAATTTTTCCAAATTTTAAAACACCTTATGATGCTTAGTTTGCTCATATATAAGTGGTCAATGGGATCAGCTGTTTAAGAATGAGAGCAAGTATACCCAAATCCAATCCAAGCAACCCATCCACCTTAGGAAATAGAAGAAGAAGAGTTAATCTTTCAGAACAGGCTGTCAGGCATGTGGCAGAAATAATGGCACATGGAAAATGTGTGTGTGTGTGTGTGTGTGTGTGTGTGTGTGTGTGTGTGTGAACACAGGAAACCTTGTTTGCTGCCATAGATATTAAGGTTTCCTTAGATTTGAAGTTTAAGGGAACACTTGATCAGGAGGTATAAATGTAATAGGGTTATATAGAATTTTAAAAACCGGATCTTCTAAAACAGCAGTTCCTAAATGCTGACCTGTGAATCTGTTCTGATCCATATATTAATACAAGTTTATTGGGTGAGCATTAAGACGGGAAATATAGGGAAAACGTGGTAATCTTTTAAGAAAGCTGAATTTACTCAGTTTGAAGACATCAGTTATTCTAAGGTATTTCTTCCATTTTCGAGAATCAAAGAGGGTAGTGACATCAGAAAGTTTGAGTTCTACACCATTACACCAGGTTTTACTACGTTATCACTTCAAGTCCAACACAAGAAACTGGAAGGAGACTTTGGGATTTTCTGTGACACATAAATAGTTCATTTTGTATTTAATAACTAAAGATATAAAAAACAATACCTGTCAAAACAAGTCAATTCCCCCTGGGGCATAATGCATGAAAATTAATCTGTAGGCTTCCAAAGAGGATTATTTCTAAGCATTTTTTGTGGTTGAAAACCACTTGGAATAAGTTCCTTGAAGCCCTATCAATAAATGATACTCTCAGACCACCATTCCAATAATAATAATAAAAAATTTAATATACTTTAATATGGTTTAGAAGCTTTTTTTTTTTTAAGAAAACGACTATATTAAAGAATTGAATCCTAATGGGAATGTAGAAGTCACCACACATATAAACTTAGTGTTATTTTTAAATTATGCTAGGTGAGAGATTCTCTCTCAATGAAAATGACTGGTCTCCATCAAATAGGAGGCCATATCCCTTTCTTGCCACACAATAGACCTAGTAGCTTACTTTTTCCCTAAATACCATTATCCACATGCAAACGTAACCACCTTTTACCTTTGGATTTGGATAAAGATCATTCTTGGTGAGGTTTTTACCATCAGCTCCTGTTAAGATCTTATTGCGAATATGAATCACAATCTCAGCTACATTATATCTGGGGAAAGACAAAGTTTCCATCTTGGAAGTTTCCTGTTAATCTGAAGGAAGAAAAAACAATGAGAAATACCACATGATCAGTAGTTCTCATTATCTGGAAACTAATAAACATAATGACAAAATGAGCCAAAGTTGAACTATTCATAGTAGTGTTAACTATCATCAAATATCTTAGTAAGATAAATACAAGTATTTATATATGTATCCTAAAATTACTTTTATTCTAAGGTGACACAGTTATTTTCTGCTAATTTTCTAGTGTCGTTCTCTTTTGTAGGAAGAGAACAACACATTTGGGAAGGAGGACTTTGGTTGAATAGATAGATGAGAAACCACGTGCTTCTCTTTTACATTTGAGGGCCACGGAGCTTAACAAGACCAATCCTAATAATTAATTCTCAAAGCAAGGCATATAGGCAACATCATCAGCAGAAGCTATATATAAACAACAGTAATATAGGGCATAAAAAATTGTATTCAGTTTTGACATCCTATTCATTACATATATAGTGAGATGGCTAATAAGGTTGTAGATGCAAATAGAAGAGAGAAAAAAAACTGAGTAAGAATAGATGATATAATTGATAGGAAATCCTATCACCAGAGTGAGAATTTTAAGAAAACAAAAAACCATTTCTCCTAATGTCTTCACGTAGTGAGTTATTCCTACCTGTGTCCCCCTAGCGTAGTAGTTCTCTAACTTTATCACCAAGGGCACATCTGGCAATGGCTGAAGACATTTTTGATTGTCAGCACAGGAGTGTGGGTGCAACTAGAATCTAGTGGATAAAGACCAGGGATGCTGCCAAACATCTTACGATGTATAGGGTGGCCCCCAACAGCAAAGAATTATCCAGTTCAAAAGGTCAATAAATGCTGATGTTAAAAAACCCTGTACCTGTAATCTCAGCACTTTGGGAGGCCAAAGCATGTGGATCGCTTGAGCCCAGGAGTTTAAGACCAGCCTGGGCAACATGATGAAACCCTATCTCTACAAAACACATAAAAATTAGCCAGGCATGGTGGCCTATGCCTGTAGTCCCAGCCACTTGGGAGGCTGAGGTGGGAGGATCACTTGAGCCTGGGAAGCAGAAGTTGCAATGAACTGAGATCGCACCACTGCACTCCAGCCTGGGTGACAGAGACCCTGTGTCAAAAAAAAAAAAAAAAAAGAAAGAAAAGAAAAGAAACCTTGTCCTAGAGCCTTGCATTTACCCCTGTTATAATACTTGTTACAATGTACTGGAATTATGTTTAAAGAACTCTGACACCACATTGTGAGATTCCGGTAAGTAAGGATCTTTTCATTTTCTTCATATCTCTCCCTGTAACCACAAAAATAGCAGTAGTAACAGCAAGAGAGAAATGAGCAGCAATAGCAGCCACTGTTATTGCTCTCAGCCACTCCCTTAAATACCTGTTGTGTTACCTTCAGATCCCCTACTCTCCAGTGAAGCAAAATGATCTCGGAGACCCAATGTGAATATATTCAATTTTGCAAACAAATTGAAATGGGCCACAATTCTGACAATCTATTTCTTTAGGCTCCTAATTTTTTTAGAATTTTAGGGTTAAAAAGGGGAGCTTTGGCAACTTGCCTAACCTCTAATAAATGGAAGCAATTCTAAACAACCACTAACAAATAACTTCCCAATTCAACTTGAACATGTGACAACATCACAGAATTCACTCTCAATGCAACTTTTTCCCACTTTATTATGGTTCCAAATTAAATAACTCTTCCTCATAGTGTGTGGAAATATGTTTTGTGGTAATTTTACCTCCTGGTCCTATGTAGTCACTGCAACTAAATAGAATATATTAATCTCTGTTTACATGACACCATTTTCAAAAACATGAAGAAAGCTATTACACCTCTGCTAAGCCCTCCCTTCTTTAAAGTAAGTATAATTTCTTTATGTATGGCTATATGTAACTTCAAAATACTCCTTATATGACATTGTTTTAGAAACTACCATCTTATTCATCTTCCTCTAACACACACTATTTTGTAAATGTCTTCTTAAAATGTAGTGCCCAAACTGAACACGACACTCCAGATATGGTTGGTCTAGGGCACAGTATAATGGCCTCTGCTGTAGCACTTACTGATCAACTGAAACTCCAAGAACTTCATCATGACCGTCTTGCATCAAGGCGGCTTCTCCCTGTTCTTTTTTTCCCCCTTTCCCTCTCTTTTTTTTTGGTCACCATCTGCTGTGTCACTTGTGTTCTTGTTGTATAAATTGATTATTTGAAACTTAAGCAAGGATTTGTACTTTCTACTATTAAATTTCATGATTGCAAGCTTTCCTTTTAGAGCTAGGACGTTTTGTCTATTTTTTTTTCTTTGAGGCAGGGTCTCAGTTTGTCATCCAGGCTGGAGTGCAGTGTGGCACAATCACAGCTCACTGCAGCCTCGACCTCCCAGGCTCAAGCTATCCTCCTGCCTCAGCCTCTCAAGTAGCCAGGACGACAGCAGGCACACACTACCACGCCCTGTTAATTTGTGTGTGTGTGGAGATAGGGTCTCACTATGTTGCCCAGTCTGGTCTTGAACTTCTGGGCTCAAGTGATCCTCCCACCTCAACCTCCCAAAGTGCTGGGATACAAGCATAAGCCACCTTGCCAGGCCACAGAGCTGGGATCTTTTGGAATCCAGATTCTGATGCATCACATATTAGATGTTCCCTTCAGCATAAATATGCATTCTACATTTTCATCTAAGTCACAGCCTTAAAAACTGTTCATAAAAGGACTGGACCAAAGAAAGACTTCAGAAAAAGTCACTTTTCCAAAAAAGCTGCATCTGAATTAGAGAGTATTGCAATAGAAAGCGTAGGTGTAAAGTATCTTCATAATTATTATCACTTGTTCCTCTCTTCTCTAATGTTTGGCACTCTGCTATCAGATTAATCCTTATAAAAACACTTAACGCATCATATAATATTTGTATGAAAATACTTCAATTACTCACCTTACCCACCACATCAAATTCAAATTTTTCTGCTAGGCTTCTAAACCCTTTAATAATTGAATGAAATTTCTGCTCCAAGTTAGTCTCCTAACTTTCCCAAACTTCCAGTATTTCCTTTTGGAACCTCCTCCAATATCCAAATTCTATCATTCTTTCGAAGTACAATTTCAGTTACAATTTATTCATTAACGAGAGATGAAGACACTTTCCAACTACATAGTTTGAGCTCCTAGGTGGGATAAAGTATATAAATGACTTAATATATATGCAGTAATACTCTGTCTAACGAGTAGCAAAGATTAACCTATAATTACTCATCTGGTTTCTCATTTATTTGCAGCACCACGATGCTGAGCAGAGTGAGTAGGTACTAAAAGTACTCTGTTAAATTTTACACACTTCGTTTTGTTAAAATAAACTATTTGTGGACATCACAGTTCCACGAGGCAGAGATTAAACAAAAATAAACAGAAATGGCTCCCAACTTCAATGAATTAAGTAAAACGTTCCTTGAACTTTTAAAAGGAACAATGATGGCGTTATGCATGCGTAGTGCTATATATGCGCTGCTCTTTTCCTTTGAATTTTGGATTAGGTGTGATATTTTTACCTTTTCATTCATGGTTTTGGATTTGGTTAAGAAACGTTTGGCAACGGAGATGTGTAAAAAGCTGACAAGCATCTGCAGCCAAATAAACCACATTACCACCGCCTTTCCAAAAATCACACATAAATGTATGCCTAACTTGAACAATTTCAGCTCAAGCTCGTCTTCTTCGGTCTATGCTGCACCAGAAAACACCCGTTAGTTTAGTAGGAACTGAGCTCTGGTTGTTTCTGGGACTAACATCAAATAAAAAGTAACGACGGGCCCGCCCCTCACCTCCCAGGCTCTGGTTTCTTCCGCCTCCTCCCACCGCTGAGCACGACGAAAACACCGCCAGGCCCAGCGTCCCGGCACCTGCCCGCGCCTTGGGATGGAGAAGGCGTCTGTCTGCAGGCTTCCTTCCTCCGTCCTCTCGCGCTCACCTACAGTGCCGGCCGCCGACAGGAAGACGGCGAGTTCGGGGAGCAGCTACAAGCAAAGTCAAAAATCAGCAAACGTCAACCGTCATCACTTTTCAAACTTGCCGCCTCCTACTGGAAGTCCCGCCCCATTCCGCCAAGCCCACGTCCAACCGCGACGGATGCCGGTTGGGCTCAAGAGACGCCAGGCAGGTGGGACTGGAGTTGTCATGGAAGGGGCAGGGCGCAGGGCGGAACCATTGCTCGCGGAGCTGGCGTCGAGTCGGAACCTCGGACTGCAGGAAGTGGGAGCACCGCGGTTTCGGGGAAGAGACCGGGGTTGAGCGTCTAGCCCATCTCTGCGTGACTTCCGCCAGCGTTTAGAGCGTTTTCGGGGTCCGAGTTGAAGAGCAAAACCAAGTGAAGGAAACTTCACTAAGTTCAGGGTGACAAGGGAGGAAGTACAGAGGTAATTTATAGAATTCCAGAGTAATAATAACTTGTTGAACATTGATTATGTGCCGGGTTTTGTTAGATGCTTATAAGCATCATCTCATTTAGACTTCATTAAAGGGGAGAAAAGGGATAGTGGAGAGATACTATCATCCCCTCAGGTGAGGGCTCTGAATCAGAGAATGCAGTTCTCTGCGCACAGTAGTTCACAAGTAGCATAGCTGGGATATGAACACACATCCTCTGACTCTGTGCTCATAAGCACGACTTCAAGAGGTGGAAGGAACATAACAGTTCATCTGGTCAAATCCTCTCGCTTTCACCGATATGAAAACTGGACTCAGAGAGAAGTGATTTGTTAGAAGTTATACAGTAAGTGGGACTGTAAAGTAGAAACCAGGTCTCCTGATTTTAGCTTCTCCCTCTTCGATCAGTGCTTTTCACCTCTGAACTGTTCCCCAAATTTGCACATTCCTGAGTGAGTTGCATTCTTCAGATAAGGGGCCCTGAAATCTGTATTTTTTTACATGGTATTTTGTTTGTTTGTTTTGGCAAGAGTGGAAACACTGCATTTAACACAAGTTAGGAAGCCATGGCAGGCCTGGTTGTCAGGGGAGAAAGCCATTAAGTTTTATTGAGGTTTGGGACAGGAGAAGACGTAATAGGACTTGTATCTGGTCACAGAGTAGAGCATCATCTGGTGACAGTCGTGTGTTGGATGGGGAACCTGAACTGAATTATGTGAAAAAAGTGCTAGAAAGGTTGTATTGAATGTAGACACAAATTCCGCTGCTTTGTCCTGTCCTGAAGAACTAAACCTATTGATAGTGAAGTCTATACCAATTCTAAATAAAAATACATTTCATATCATTAGTTCAGGGCTTTTGTCTTTCCTTTCAATGTCTATTTACTGATGTAAGTCTCAAAGTCGGAATCTAGTAAGACCCAAAAGGACATTAAGAAAATAGATTTTAAAAAAATATTAGAGTCAGTGAGGAAAGCAGAAAAAAGAGACCTGTCTCATTGACACTTGCCAAATCAAATTGATTACTGATACATGCATAATTTCCACCAAATTATATGTCCTTAGAGGCAGGGAAGGGAACCATAGCGTAGTGACTGAGAGCACATCTCTACGGTCAAAGGGAGTTGGATTGAAATCCCTGATCACACCATTTACTACCTAGGTGGACTTAGGCGAGCTATTTAACCTAACTGAGCTCGTTTCTGCATCTTTAAAATAGGGTGACAGTTCTATCTGCTTTATACGGTATCATGAAGATTAAGTGAATTAGTTCCTGTAGAGTGCTTAATTAAGTGCCTGGCAAAATTGTGAGTACTTGAAAAGTATTAGCTGTTATTTTGACTATTATTATTTATACATGGTCCCTAGGAAAATACCTTGCAAGTGGCAAGTGCTCAACAAATGTCTAAATTGTCGTTGAGAATCTAGAAAAAAAACCAAGCGATTTATGTGAAAGCCAAGATTAGAATGGACCATGGAGAAAGAGAAAAATGAGGCAAAGGAAGAAAAGAGCAAGACAACCATTTTGTTATATCAACAATAAATATTGTTTATTTGGGGGTTAATATTACTATTGATGTGATAAATTGAGTTATATTAGAAGTAAATTATTTATTTAAAAAATGAGTGTTTATTCAAATTACCTTAATTAGAAGGTTAAATCTGACTTTTTAAAACTTTTAGTTGCCTGATACTGGTCAGTGTAAGGTAGAAGGTGGAACATCAGAATTCTCAACCTAGACATTAGTCTAAGAGTTTTGTTATCACCCATAAAAACACAGACTATTGCAGAAAACTTTAGTATTCTTTCTGATTGTAGCATCATAATTTTGTACCCTCACATGTGCTACATTTGCCCTACTATTTCATTTTCCCTGACAGCCCTCCTGCTAATACCTCCCTTCACAGCCTAGACTGCATGGTTTATCAGCATCCAAACTTCCTGTGTCTGATGCCTCTGACCCAGGTGCCTGTCAAAATCTTATCCGTGCATCTTGTCTATAAATTCTTAGCTGGAAACACTGGAGAAAATGACACAAAGTGATATATGACAGATTGTCAGTCTCCATCTTCAGCTCTTTCCCTGATTCCTGACAATCCTTTAATTTATCATCAGTAATTTCCCTGTCCTGTAACTTTCAGTGATTTCTCACAAACTTTACCCTTTCTTCATTCCTCTTCCCAACCTAAATTCCTCTCTTTAATAGAAAGTGACCAGAGTGGTCTTAAAGGTGTGTTTCAAGCACATAACACATTCGTATGCATCTGCAATTTGTTGTGTCTATTGCCTTTCTAATTTTAATTTCATGTTCCTTTTCTAGACTGCACTTTAAATTCTGGATGACAGACCTATCAGGACTGAGTGGACCTTTGAGTGACAAGATGGGGGTGTTCCAAAGAGACCATGGCAGCCTGCAGCTAGGACTTTAATGCAAGTGGTGATGCTGTGATATCTAGTGCTTTAAACAAATCTCTTTTTTTAAGTGACAGGGTTTCCAAATTGTTATTTCTACTTTAACAGATCAATAGGGACAAAAAGTTGATTCACTTGGTCTAATGTGGTAGGAATAGGTGAAATACTAAGACTGGATCCTACACTCTACTTCCCATCAGGCACCCATTCTTATGAATAGAGATTCCATAGGGGCCACACACAATCCCAGTACTTTTTTCCCAGTTAATTGAGAAAATTAAAGCCATCATACAATATATAACTTCCTCCCTCTCCACTTCTGTCAATGCCACATATATCCACCTGTCTTATTTGTCTGTCTCAGAAAATGAAATGTACTTCCTCCACCAATGTATGACCACTGTTTCTTGTTCTAGACCTCTCTTTTGCATTTGGTATCATTGATTAAACCCTCCTTGAAACTCGTTTTGCATTTCTCCCATCTTTTTCTACCTGTCTCATGCTTCTTGGGGGTCTTTTTTTCTCTGCCTACCCATTAAATAGTATTTCCCAAAGTTCCAACCTTGAGTTGTTTTCTGTCTGTATCTTCCCTGTGAGCACTGTCCACTCATTGTTTTAACCTATTTGCTCATGGATTCTAAAACTACTGCTATTCCTGACCTGTTCCTTGAAGTTCCGACTTTCGGGAGGCTCACGAGCCCTTCAAACTCTAATTTGTCCTTTGCTTTCATTTGTACTCCCAATTCTATCTCATCTCACTGCTTTCAGCCATAACTACTACCACCCCCACCTACACCGCCAAATCCATCTTGTAAGTAGCAGCCAGAATGACCAGTCTCAAATGTAAATCTATTTCACTTGCCTCCTTAAATTTCTAATCTTCCTCTGCAGTCACCTTCAAGATAGTCCAACTCCATGGCCTGGTGTGCTAGGGTCTTCATTATCTTGCCACTGTTTTCCTTCCCAGTCTTGTTTCCCTTTCCAGTACCATCTCCCATCCTACCCACTTCGCATTCATGAGGCTGCTTTACACCTGAGACCTTTTGCATTCTTGTTGACTTTGTCTGGACTATCTTTATTTTCTTTGGCTGACTCTTCCTTATCCTTACTAATTTTTTAGGGCTCTTGCAAGAAGCCTTTCCTTGTTCCATAGTCTGAGTTAGTTGACTTTTCTCTCTGCTTTCTTGACATTTGTGGGTTCATTCAGAAAATATTCATTGAACCCTTATTTTGTGCCAGACACTGAGCTAGATACTAGAAATATAATAATGAACAAGCAAATATGGCAATAACCAATCTAATAATTTCCTGACAGAGTTTACATTCTCATAGGGAAAAAAGAAAAAAAAAAAGGCAGTTCAGTCTTATTGGCTCCATGCTTGATAATAGCTAGGAATTGAAAGGGTAAAAAACAAGTATTCTAGATAGAGGCTAACAATGTTTATGAAGAAGAACACAGTCTAGGAACTGAGAGATTCTAGACAGGGGTGGAGAGGTAAACAGGGACCAGATCATGAAGAACATTAGTGATGATGTCACAAAGTTTGGACTCCTTCTTAAGGCTAATAGTAACTTTGAATGGTTTCAACATGATTAGGTTAGTATTTAGATGATGAATCGCTACTCTGAGAAAAAGAACTCAAAGGGCAGCAATACCAGCAAGAAGGAAACCAGTTAGGAGATAATTGTAGTAATCCAGGGAAAGAAAGATGGCAGTTTATACTGGGGCATTGCCAGTGTGGATAGAAATAGATCTCAGAAGAATTTTAGGAAGTAGAAGTGGCAAAACTTGGTGACTGAATTGTGAGGGCAGAAGTGGGAGAAATCAAGGATAGAGTTTCTTAAACAAGCTTTGGTGAAGACAGGGACTACCCTATTTGCTGTCATGTATCCACAGCTTAGCACAAATCTTTATACGCTGGAGATGCTTGATAAGTACGAGTGAAATTTTCTGGCTTGAGTACCCAGATAAATGGGATGCCAGTCTCTGATTTAGGTAACACAGAGGCAGACTCACTTGGGAGGTAACTGGTGATTCAGTTTTAAACATGTCTAGCTCAACATGCCTGTGAAACATACACATGACAATGTCCAGATACATGGCAATTGGATGAATGATTCTGAAACTCAAAAAGAGAGGTCTGAGATGGATTCTTTGCATACTTACAAAAAAAAAGTTTATGTTATATTGAAATGATCTGTTTTGTGCCTGTCTCCACTATTATACAGGGCTGGTTCTTAATGACCTTTGATGCTCCAACACCTAACACCATGCCTGGTACAAACTGCACACTCAATTAGTATTTGTTGTTGAACTGAACTCCTTTTGAGACATGATGCGTCTAACAAAGTAATAGTAGTAGCCTCTGAGGAGGGAAACTAGCAGGTCAGAGTGAAAAAGAAATTTTCTTTTTGTTGAATATATTTTAGTTCTTTTTGCCTTTTCCTCCAATGTATTTCTATTTCCTGAGAAATAAAAAGATGACATAAAAAGTGTTCTATTAGATTTTTGTGGACTTAATACCGAAAGCAATATTCCAACTATGTTCTAGTCACTATAGAGTGGAATATTAAAATGCTATCTGATATTATATCATATTAGCTTTTTTTTTTTTTGAGATAGGGTCTCACTGTGTTGCCCAGGCTGGTGTCATCATAGCTTACTGCAGCCTCAAACTCCTGTGCTCAAGCACCACATTACGTTATTGATTGGTTTACAAATTCTATGGTTGTATTATTGATGCCATCATTCAATTCACTTATATGAATTATGAACAGTAATAGCAAGATGAAGTGAAATTATGAACACACATTTTATATTAAGGGCATGAGACAAAATCTTTGAAACTATGTACTGTATTATGCGATATATACAAAATCTGCAAAAGCAAACAAGTGTCATTGTTTTATACCTGCCTAATGTTTCATATGAGAGGAAATAATGATACGTCTCTCCTATCAGCCAACATTTCTAGCTTGCTGACATAGGTAGCATTTAATATGCAAAACCCTTTAATCACAAATATCAGAAAGCACATCTTAACTGTAGTTATAAATGGGTAAGTAAAAATGCGTAATGCTTTTATATATTTTTGAGTTAGTATTGTAGTGTATAATTTTATATAAATGGTTGAGGCCATAGATATTTTGAAAGTACGCTAGTATTTAAAGAAAATGGTAAATTCTAGTAACACTTTTGAATATACAGCATATTCACTGGGTGGCGCTGTTGCATTAGTGTTAACCTTACATAGTTTGAAAGTTTTATTTCATTTTCATTCATAAAAGTAAATTAGAGTGATAAACATTGAACACAATGTTCTGGATGAAAAAAATTAGATTCTAAATTTATTGGCATTAGAATACATGTTTAGAGCCCAGGGTTAAGAAGAAAAATAGCGTTGAATTCAAAATAGCTATCTGCTTTTTATTACCCTTTCATCATTACAAGCCTGTTAATCCACTTGACTTCTCAGCTGTGTTCATCTTTATTAGTGGATTTCAGAACTGAGCTGTACATTTGCAATACAGTATCTTTGTTAAGGACTCGCATGGAATTCTTAGTTTGGAACTATAAAGTACCTATTCTTTGCTAATTTGTGATGAGCTCTAAACAAGATCCAAGGAAGCAAAAAGTTGCTATATTAAACTCTAACCTCTCTAGTATCATTTCCCCAACTTTCACAGCAAACTCTATTATTTTAATATAGTTAGTATAGAGAACCTTAGGAATTATCAGCTGAAACAAATTAGATATTCTTAAAATTTTTTGGTCAATGTGACTTTTTAAAATTCAGTTTTCTTTTGTAGAGATGGGGTCTCACTATGTTGGCCAGGCTGATCTCGAACTCCTGGCCTCAGGCAGTCCTACTGTCTTGGCCTCCCAAAGTGCTGGAATTACAGGAATGAGCCAACATACCCGGCCTAACTTCAATTTTTATATTCTGTATATTTTCAATATTAGTATTACAATATCCAGTGCTATTTTTCAGTTATTTCAAATGAGTTAATGAGATTCTCAGGAAAAATACTGATCTTAATGTAGTCTAATTTTATTTGAATAGTTTTTGGGGCACAGGTCCTTTTTGGTTACATGATTGAATACTTTATTAGTGATTTCTGAGATATTAGTACATCTGTCACCCGAGCAGTGATTGTACTCTAATTTTTAATTAGTTAGTTATAACACATTTTAGAAGGGTGTCTTAGTTCGTTCAGGCTGCTGTAACAAGCTGCCACAAACTGGGTACCTTAAAAGCAACAGAAATGTATTTCTCACAGTTCTGGAGGCTGGAAAGATCAAGGCCCTGGCAGCTTTGATGTCTGGTGAGGGCTTGCTTTCTGGTTCATACATGGCATCTTCTAGCTGTGCCCTCGCATAATGGAAGGCATGAATGAGCTTTGTTGGACCTCTTTTTTAAGGGCACTAGTCCCATTCATGAAGGCTCCCCTGTCATGAATTAATCATTTCTCAGAGGCCCCACCTCCTAATATCACCTTGGGAGTTGGAATTTCAAAATATGAATTTTGGGGAGACACAAATATTCATGCCATAGCAGAAGGGGAATTTTTAAAAAATGAAACTCATAATAACTATCATAAATCAGAAAAATTTGGGGATAAGTAGGTTTTTTTTGTTGTTGTTGTTGTTGTTTTGTTTTGTTGGTGTTTTGTCACAGTTCTGGTGCCATGTTATCATTCTCATGAATTCTTTATGATAGTGATTTATATTGTCTAGAGTACATTTTCTAATATGGACCCTTAGGAGAAAATCACTTCTAAGTTCTCTATATCTTTTTCAAATCCTGTTTTCTCAAAAAGGGGTCTAAGTCTATGCATTTCTATATAAGTACCAAGTAATATTATCTCATTTCATCTTTAGTCTTTGGAAAAATCAGCTGCCAGTTTTTCTTTACTCTTTATTAAGCAAATTCAACCTGGTAAACACAGTTTGACCATATATATTCAAAATTATTACCTGAATATTGTTCCTAGGACAATCCATTAAGATAATTTCCATTTATACACCTTTATACAATATTTTATAATAATGATAGTGCATATTTGCAGAAGATGTACCAGATGCCAGGTGTTCTCCATGTATTACCTCATTTAATTATCACAACAACTGCATGAAGTAGTTTCTCTTCCTATTCCATTTATAAACACACACACACACACACACACACACACACACACATATATATCTTATTTACTTTAAAGAAAACTGGAACAACTAGCTCAAGGTCACATATCTAGGAAACCAGGAAGACAAAAGTTGAACCCAAGTAATTAATGTTAGAAGCTCTGTCCCTAGCTCCTCTACTGTGCTTCCTAATCTCAAACGCTTACACTGGTGGAGGCAGTGTTAATTTTTGTAACCTGTGCAGCAGACCCTTTTTATGTTCTACAGATTTTATCCCTGAATCCTTCTAGAAAGGATTGTATCCTTAGATACCTACTATTCTACCACTTCCCTACAGTACAACACAAAAGATATAGACCTATGAAGGGTTCCTCAGTTCTGTGGGGAAGGGTTTAGTTGGTTGGATACTTTGAATTTCTTTGCTATGCTTTGTTGTTCAAGGGATTATGTGTCTCTCTCCCTCCATAAGCCTTTGGGTGGGTTGGCAGTCTTACACAGACCTTCTAGGCCTTCAGAGATGCCCTACATATGTATTGTCTCATTCCTGACTCTATTTTATTCCTCTGGAAGCCTCTAGGGTCTCTCCCATCCCTTTCTTTCCTAGAATCTCCTATCACTCCAAAGAGAGAATAAAGTTCTCTCTCAGTTTTCTTCCTTTGTGTTAAATATTTCACAGCTTAGTGATTTGTTGATTGCAGTTGCCTCTAGTTCTGTTCATTGGCTAGGGCTTTTCTGAAGATTTTCTCCTAGAGTTAGTATTAACTAAAACAAAACACATTTAACCACATATTCTACCCTGAGGATTAATTTTTTTTAAAGAAAATAACTATTTTTCTGCATGAGGAATTTATAATAACATAATTTTGACATTATTTCTTTAGAATAAACCAGACTATGTTGTGTTAAGAGACATTTCTACCCCAATTGATATTGAACTATTTATCTGAAGTCACTGTTTATCCCCTTACCACAGCTCAGGTGTAACGTTATATGGGGAATTAGTACATTTTATTTCACCCTGTTATATTTTTATTTTAGGTTGAAAGACAGAAAGTAGAATGGTAAACCATGCAGGTGATTAGCTAAGTAGAAAGTAGAAGTTTAAACTAAGATTCTAATCTCAAGATAAATCAGACTTGGCAGGTATTGCAGAGGTTTTGTGTGGATTACAAATACAATAGCCATCATGCCATCAACCAGAATTCATTGAATACATGCACTTGTCAGACCCTGTGTTTTCACAACCAAAAGTTAGGACAGATTACTTACCAGTACAAAATAATGTTTTCACTTTGGATTCTTCCCTGTGTGCGAAAATATAATGCTCTTATATCTGCTGGAGTCCAGATTCCTGTCTACTAATCCATTTTTCACATCATCACAATCTACCTTTTTTATCTAACCTAATCATCCAGTACTGTTTAAAATGTATTCTCTGCTTTAATCAGGCTAGTTTCCTTAAACAATCCTGGTTCATATCACTGTCGTTTTCAGTAGCTTACTTCTACCCTGTGCGCCTTGCTCCTTTTCCATTTAGGATTCCCTTTGCCCTCTTTTCAACCTAGCCAAATTTAGTTCAGCTACCACTTCTTTCACCAGTCCTTTAGTTTCCACTTCACTTCATACAGATCTTTCTTTTATTTAGTCTCCCATTACATATAACTACTATCTGTCCCACATAATTATTGTATTAGTCCGTTCTCACACTGCTATAAAGAACTGCCCAAGACTGAGTAATTTATAAAGAAAAGCAGTTTAGTTGACTCGCAGTTCAGCATGGCTGGGGAGGCCTCTGGAAACTTACAATCATGGTGGAAGAGGAAGCAGGCATGTCTTACATGGCAGCAGGTGAGAGAGCAAGTGAAGGAAGCCAAGGGGGAAGAGCCCCTTATAAAACCATCAGATCTCATGAGAACTCACTCACTATCATGAGAACAGCATGGAGGAAACCACCCCCGTGATCCAGCCACCTCCCACCAGGTCCCTCCCTCAACACCCGGGGATTACAGTTCAAGATGAGATTTGAGTGGAGACACAAAGCCAAACCATATCAATTATATATAAGCATATCTTGTTTTATTGCACTTCACATATCTTGTTTTATTGCACTTCACTTCATTATGATTTGCAGATACTGCATTTTTGACAAATTAAAGGTATGTGGCAACCCCACATTGAGCAAGTCTGTCAGTGCCATTGTTAACAGTGGCATGTGCTCAATTTGTGTCTTTGTCACATTTTGGTAATTCTCTCAATATTTTAAACTTTTTAATTATATATCTATTATGGTGATCTGCAATCGGTAATCTTTGATGTTACTATTATAATTGTTTTGGGGCACCAAGAACCACCCATATAAGAGAACAAACTTAATAAGTAAATATTGAGTGTGTTCTAACTGCTTCATTGACCAGCCATTTTCCCATCTCTCTCCCTCTCCTTGGGCCTCCCTATTTCCTGAGACACAGCAATATTTGAATTAGGCCAATTAATAACCATATAATGTCCTCCAAGCCTTCAAGTGAAAGAAAGAGTCAAATGTCTCACTTAAAATAAAAACTAGAAATGATTAAACTTAGTGAGAAAAGCATATCAAAAGCTAAGATAGGCCAAAAGCTAGGCCTCTTGTGCCAGACAGCCAATTTGTGAATGCAAAGGAAAAGTTCTTGGAGGAAATTAAAAGTGCTTGTCCAGTGAACACACAAATGATAAGAAAGCAGAACAGCCATATTGCTGATATGGAGAAAGTTTGAGTGGTCTGGATAGATCAAATCAGCCACAACATTTTCTTAAACCAAAGCCTAATCCAGAGCAAGGCACTTGCTCTCTTTAATTATATGAAGGCTGACAGACAGGAGGAAGAAGAAAAGTTTGAAGCTAGCAGAGGTTGGTTTGTGAGGCTTAAGGAAAGAAGCCATCTTTATAACATACAAGTGTGTTATGGTTAGGCTTTGTGTCTCCACACAAATCTGGTCTTGAATTATAATCCTCATAATCCCCATGTATCAAGGGAGAGATCAGGTGAAGGTAATTGGATTATGGGGTGATTTCCCCCCTTCTGTTCTTGTGATATTGAGTTGTCATGAGATCTGACGGTTTTATAAGGGGCTCTTCCCCCTTTGCTCGGCATTTCTCTTTCCTGCTGCCTTGTGAAGAAGGTGCCTTGCTTCCCCTTTGCATTCCGCCATGATTGTAAGTTTCCTGAGGCCTCCTCAGCCAAGCTGAACTGTAAGTCAATTAAACCTCTTTCTTTATAAATTACCCAGTCTCAGGCAGTTCTTTATAGGAGTATGAAAATGGACTAATACAAAGTGTAGAGTGAAGCAGCAAGTGCTAAGGCAGAAGCTGCAACAGATTATGCAGAAAATCTTGCTAAGATGATGAAAGTGACTACGCTAAACAACAGATTTTCAATGTAGACAAAACACCTTCTTTTGAAAGAAGATGTCATCTAAGGCCTTTTTTTTTTTTTTTTTTTTGAGACGGAGTCTTGCTCTGTCGCCCAGGCTGGAGTGCAGTCGCGCAATCTCTGCTCACTGCAAGCTCCACCTCCCGGGTTCATGCCATTCTCCTGCCTCAGCCTCCCGAATAGCTGGGACTACAGGCACCCACCACTGCGCCCGGCTAATTTTTTGTATTTTTTAGTAGAGATGGGGTTTCACCGTGGTCTTGATCTCCTGACCTCGTGATCCGCCCGCTTCGGCCTCCCAAAGTGCTGGGATTACAGGCGTGAGCCACCGCACCTGGCCCATCTAAGGACTTTCATAGCTAGAGAAGAGAAGTCATTGCCTGGCTGCAAAGCTTCAAAGGACAGAATGACTCTTGTTAGGGGATAATGCAACTGGTGACTTTAAGTTGAGGCCAGTGCTCACTGACCATTCTGAAAATTCTACAGCCCTTAAGAATTATGCTGAATCTACTCGGCCTCTACTCTGTCAATGGAACAACAAATCCTTGATGACAGCACATCTATTTAAAGCATGGTTTACTGAATATTTTAAGCTCCCTATTGAGACTCTGTCGAGACTGGAAAAAAGAGATTTATTTCATATTACTGCTCATTAATAATGTTCCTAGTCACCCAAGAGCCCTGATTGAGATTTACAAGGAGATTAATATTGCTTCTTGCCTGCTAATACAACATCTGTTCTGCAGCCCATGGATCAAGGAATAATTTCAAACTTCAAGTCTTATTATTTGAGAAATATATTTCATAAGGCTAGACCTGCTTCAGTGATTCCTCTTATAGATATGGCAAAGTAAACTGAAAACCTTCTGGAAAGGATTCACCATTCTAGATGCCATTAAGATCATTTGTGATTCATGGGAGGAGGTCAAAATGTCAATTTATTATAATAGGAATTTGGAAGAAGTTAATTCCAGGCCTTATGAATGACTTCATGACTTTAGTGGAGGAAGCACCTGAAGATGTGATGGAAATAGCAAGAGAACTAGAATTAGAAGTGGCACCTGAAGATGTGACTAAATTGCTGCAATATTATAATAAAACTTGAATGGATGACGAGTTGTTTCTTTTGGATAAGAAAAAAAAAAAGGTTTCCTTAGATGGAATCTATTGCTGGTAAAGATTCTCTAAACATTGTTGAAATGACAGCAAAGGATTTAGAATATTACAAAACTTTGTTGATAAAGCAGTGGCAGGGTTTGAGAGTACTGACTCCAATTTTGTAAGAAGTTCTATGGGTACAATGCTATCAAACACCATCACATTCTACAGAGAAATCTTTCATGAAAGGAAAAGTCAACTGATGTGGCCAACTTCATTTGTTGTCTTATTTTAGGAAATTGCTGCAGCCACCTAAACCTTCAGCAACCACCACCCCCGCTTTTTTTTCTGTCACCCAAGTGGGAGTGCAGTGGCACTACCATAGTTCACTGTAACCTCTATCTCCCCAGCTCAAGTGATCCTCCTGCCTCAGCCTCCCAAAGTGCTGGGATTACAGGCATGAACCACTACACCCAGCCTATCAGTCATCACCCTGATCAGTCAGTAGTCATCAATACCAAGGCAAGACCCTCTATAAGCAAAAAGATGATGACTCACTAAAGACTCATATGAGCATTAGCATTTTTTAGCAATAAAGTATTTTTAACTTAGGATTTGTGTATTTTTAGACATAATATTTTTGTACATTTAACAGACTATAGTGTAAACATAACTCTTTATATGCACTGAGAAACCAAAAAATTTGTGTCATTCCCTTTATTGTGATACTCACTTTATTGCAGTGGTGTGGAACTGAACCTGCAATATCTCTGAGGTATGCCTGTACATAATTATGTACTATTTTATATTGGTTTTGAGTCATTTCATGCAGGTAAATTTGATTATCTCAATTAAATTGCAATACCTTTAAAGTCAAAGACTGAGTCTTATTTGGACTTTTTATTCTCATGACAGTGAACTATTGGCATGGCTCAATCCATTGACCTGTTTTGGTTCCTGATGAAGTTTTGTTAATTTAAATGAGAAAAATAAGGACAGTGAAGTAAGTTTTTTATAAAACTAAATTTATTTGGCTTATAAAACAGTTTAATATTATGCCTTTCCTATATTTTTTGTGTTATCTCTTTTTCTAGATGATTATAATAGATGATAATTTTTAAATGTTTCTATTTGTCAAAGTACAACATTGTCCATCCTGTGTCAGTGTCTAACTTTTCCTTGTACTTATTCAAATAATCTCATAGTTGGAACTTATTACTTATTGTGTCACACAATATGCTGGTAAACACTGAAATGGGGAGGGGTTATTTTCATTCTATTTTAGAATGGCACAGTTTCTATGGTATAGTGACTAATCTGAACTAATATGTAAAAGATTAAGATTCACTTGAGAATCATTTTCAAAGAATAACTTTTTTAAATGTAGCACACTGCTGACTTGTGTAAAAATTAAATGTGATACTGAACTTGTTTGAAACTCAAATTTTTGGACCCCACCCACAGACCAACTGAATCAGGATCTCTGGGTTTAGGAACTTTAAACTCACACTTTAAAGTAGTTCTGCAAGTGATTAGGATGCAGATTGTTCATGGAGTTAAGAACAACTGCTATCCTAGCAGGCTGATACAGATGTAAGTTTCTATCTCATTTCTGCCAGTTACTGCTCATTATTTTCTGGATAAGGTTTCTAAACATCTTTAAGTCTCAGTTTATTCTTCTATAAAATATGGTTACTAATAAGGCTGCTGTGGTGAAGTTTAAATGAGATAATGGATATTAAGTAGTGTTACAATGAAGGTGGTCAATAAATATTAATTTACTTCTTTTCTTTCCTTTGAAATTCCGTTGTACTTCAGTGATGAGTAGTATCAAGAATTTCTGATTCATGTACTAGACATTGCTTTTGGCCGCAGATCTCATCACTGAACCAATCATGTGTTACTAAAGCTCCTTTTTTTTTTATTACTCTTAAAGCCAAAGTTATCTCACTTGCCATTAAGTTGCAGAAGTACAGTACTTTCCTAATCCGCACGCTTCTCTGTCTCCCATCCTTAACCGGCATGGGACCCAGTGGAAGGATTAATGGACTAGAAATCTTTTGGGTATTGATTCCTGCTTAGTAAAATGAGGGACTTTTTCTACATGATTTGATATTTCCTTTCTGTTAAAAAAAAAAGTTCTCACTTTCATGTCACACATAAAATTGAGAAGACATTGTTAAGTTCTCCAACTATTTTACCACTTGGCAATGTAGACCCCTAGATTTATGTGGAAGAAAATTATTTCATTTCAGAGAAGAAAATAAGTAGAGGATCTACTAGAATCAATTTTTACTTGACATTGTCATCTCTTTGACTTAGAAGAGGGATGTGGTAGAGAGAGATAGCAGCTAGAGATCTAAGGGCAGGAAAACCATGCTTTGAGGAACCTTATCCCATATCAGAATCTCAGTAGGTCTTCCCTCTGTTTCAGCCCTCACCTCTTATAGGAGTTGTTCCCAAGTGGGAGGGGAGCCCTTTTTATATATTCAGAATATATATAATTCAGAAATTAGGAGATTAGAATTAAGGTATAATGCATCAGTTTGCTAGGGCTGCCATAACAAGTATCACCAACTAGGTAGCTTAAACAACAGAAATTCATTGTCTCACAGTCCTGGAGCCTAGAAGTACTAGATTAAGATATCAGCAAGGTTGATGCCTTCTGAGGGCTGTGAGGATGAATCGGTTTCATGCCTCTCCCTGGCTTCTGGTGGTTTGCTGGCAATCTTTGGCATTCCTTGGCTTGTAGATTTATCACCCCAATATCCTTTATCTTCACATGGCATTCTTGTGTGTATTTTTGTGTCCAAATTTCCTTTTTTTAATAAGGACATTGGTCATATTATATTAGAGTAAGACCCAACCTAATGACCTCAGTTTAACTTGATTTCCTTTACAAAGACCCTATTTACAAATAAGGTCACATTCTGAAGTATTTGGGATTGGGATTTCAACATATCTCTTTTAGAGGACACAATTCAACCCATAAAACATGGCTCACAGCATCATGAGCCAGAGGCCTTCCTGGGCAGGATCTATATAAATAGCCTGATGGCTCAAACCAGGGCAAATATACCAGCTTGCCTCAGAACAAAATGCAATTCCTGGATTTTTACCTCCTTTGAAAACTGAGTACTAATTACTTATTTTTATATTACCAATGCTCTTTGAGTGCAACATGCTGAGTACATGCGATTCATTTTATTTTTCTTAGAAACAGAGCGCTTAAAAAGCACTGTCTGGATATCTTCAGAGGGAAAAAGGAGAAAGTTAACTGAATTGGTGACACTTCGGGTCTCTCACAGAGGAAGGTAAGGTTTCAGTCAACAGCACATAGAGGATTATCCTCATTTACCCAGGACTGACAGTGTTTGTGAATTCTAAAGCTGTGCATGTAGTGAATATACAAGATAAAATTGAAATGAGAATAACGGAATAGCATTGTAGAAATGATTAAAATGTACCCAAGCCCCAAGTTTTCAGATAACATGATAGTTTTCTAATGGTGAAACTGTTTAAGATGTATAGTCATAAAAAAGATTAAAAAAAATAAGAAACAGTTGTATAGCCAACTTTTAATAATCTGTGTTATAGACTCCATAGCAGATCTGAAGGTAGCTATATGCCAGCAGCAGAAGGTGCACCCTGGAGCACAGTTTTGTAGCAGTTCTCCAAGCTGACCAGCTGAGGACTAGTGACCCTACTTAAGAACAGTTGGCTAAGAGGATAGTCAAGTGAGGGGAATGTGCTACAAGAGAATCATAGTAGATAGAGATGCAAACAAAAGGGAGAGTCTTTCTTCTTGTTCCTTTCTGATCTGTAGAACCTGCAGGCCCACTGTAGAGCTCCCATTGGAGTACAGTGGAGCATGAAGAGAGAATCCTTAGGAGAGCTTGTCAAGGAATTTGGGGGAGGAGTGTGTTTGCAAACATGGGGGAAAGTACTTATTAATCATTTAGATGTTCTGCAGGCAGAAAGCTTACTAGTGTAGTGTGTAGGGCTGCAAGCCACCAAAGTAATGACTACTTGAAAGAGGACCAATAGTTTCTGAAGCTCTGTGTGAAAAGATACAGTGGTTGGGGTGGGGTGCGGAATCTCTAGAGCAGCTCATACAGCCACAGGGCAAAGAGAGGGAACCCCCACACGGAAAAAAAGATTGCAGCAGGGATGGAGAGCTAGTAGCTTTAGGATGACTAGACACTTCTGAAAGTGAGCACTCTGTCCTTACAGAGACCACCAAACCAACAGAAGCCACCAGGACAGCACACAGCCATTCCAAAATTCCAGACCAGGATCATTCCAGAAAAGCCTTACATCTCAGTCCAGTATATGGATGGTTTTGTAAGATGACCTATGATTTTTCTGTTCCTCCTTCCTGCCCCTAACTTCAGAGAAACAGACCTAGAAAGAGGGAAGGAAGGAGTGAAAAAGCGTGCCATACTTTATCTTCTCCCCTTCTGTTTTAAACTAGACAAATCTATATTTTAATTATTATAAGTAACCAGAAAGTTATATGGTCTGGCCAGGATGGCATTAAAGAAAATGAGAGAGAAAAGTTTAAGATAGCATGGTTGGAGACAATAAGTAGAAGAAACCAAGTAGTTCAAGTTTTATAACGCTCTATCTTATAAACACTCTTGAACCAATAATAATGCTATTACTGAAATGCTACACACAATTGAAGACTACTTGTTAGACCAAGACCTTAAAAACTTCTTTACTGATTATTCCCAATGTGTGGCCCTGGTAATCATTGAAGAATCATTGTATTGACTATTAAACATCTAGGGATCACCTGTTTAAATCAAGTTAACAAAACACTTACTTAACAAATATATATTGATTGCCTATTATGAAGTAGATGCTATAGTAGGTGCTGGCAGTATAAACATGAAAAGAGACATTGTGTGTGCATATTAATATACAGCAAATTAAACTTCAGCCAGAGAAGTACTTTACTAGAAGGTTGATAGAAGTGTGGTGGTAGCTTGCAGGAGGAAGCAGTTAGCCTCCTTGGAAATGAGTAATCTTCACAGAAAGTATGACATTTGACCTGCTTCTTGGAGAAGATGCATATTAAACCTATTAAATCCATGTCAGCCTTTAACACCTTTGCTCAGATTAGTTTCTCGAGCTGTTTTCCCACCTGGTGAGCAGATAAGAGCAGGACAGGAAAGTTCTGATGAAAGGAAGAAGTGCCAGAGAGAGAAGGCCTTGCAAGCAAAGAAGCCTGACAGGCAGGAGCCCCTGAGTATCCTAAGGAGAAGTACCAGCGATTTAGGGAAGAAAATTGCTGCCAGAAGTGCAGGAAATAAAAATTCTGACCTAGATCATTTTACTTATGTCTTCCCTGGTTCTATGAATATATCTTGGGGGTCCTTTTATAATCACATTTCATTAACCAGGCAAGATTAATCAGTGACCAGATAGGACAGTCACTGACTCTTAAGACTTTACAATTTGAAACAGTGTGTACAAATGTATAGAGAGACATGTAGACCAGCGGGTTTCCAACCTTTCTGGCACCAGGGACTCATTTTTGGAAGACAGTTTTTCCATGGGATGGGTTGGGGGAGCAGGAGTTGGATGTCAAGGGCGTTGGATATGTGGGGGGATTGGTTTTGGGATGAAACTGTTCCACCTCAGATCATCAGGCATTAATTAGATTCTCATAAGTAGTGTGCAACCTAGATCCCTCGCATGAGCAGTTTGCAATAGGGTTCACACTCCTTTGAGAATCAAATGTGCAGCTGATCTCATGGGAGATGGAGCTCAGGCAGGTGGTAATGCTCACTCACCGCCACTCACTTCGTGCTGTGTGGCCTGGTTCCTAACAGGCCACAGACCGGTACCTGTCTGCAGCTGGGGGTTTGGGAACCCCTGATTGTATACCAGAAAAACAAGGACTGATAGAGCTGCTAATGCCAGTCTCAAATGAGTGAATGAGCAAATACAGAAGTACAGTTTAAGTATACAGAAGCTCTCTTCATCCTTATAGCTCTCTGACGTTTTGATGATTCTACTTTGTATTTTTAAGTTCCAATTTTAAAGAGGTGTGTAATTGAGTGTTAGTTGTGTGATTTGGAGCAAGTCTCTGAGAGATCTCTTTTTAAAAAAATAATCCACAAGCTAGAAGATTGGACTAAATTACCACTATGATTCTTTTCAAAGCTATCTTAATTTACTACTATTTGAAGTTACTTCAGCCAGTGCTAATGATACCGTAGTTGCAGATTTGAACCACTGAGATGCAATTCACTTATTTAAAAACTACTTGATAAGAGTTTGTTGGGAGGATTGCTAGATAAAATATGGGACACTTAGTTAAATTTGAATTTTACATAAAGAATGAAGATTTTTTAATGTAAGTATGTTTCATATAATATTTGAATATGTAAAAGTATCCAAATATACTTAAAAATTATTTTTTCTCCATTTGAAATTAAAATTTAACTATGTGTTCTTTCAAAATCTAGCATTCTTACATCTATGTTAGCTTCAGTTAGAAGCTAGGCTCTGTGGAAGACAAAATGGTGAATCAGTCATAGATCCTTCACTCAGTCTAGAGGAGCAAATGAGAGTCAAATATTAATAATGATATTACAAAGTAAAAAGTGATGAGTTCATGAGAAATATACTAAGAGAGTGCTATAAAGGTTTGCAGGAGGGAGAAATTACTTCCAGCCACAAAAGCAAGAGAAGAACTTGAGCTGGCCTGAGAAAGATGGCAGGATCAAGGCTTCTGAATTTGGTGTGAGGAAGGGGTAAGGTCATTTCCGGTAGAGTGAATGGCTTGAGTAAAAGCATGGAGATGGGAAAGCACAGAGGAAGAGAGGACAGCTAGTCATTTGGTTTGACTGTGGTTTGATTGGGTAAAGGGAAATTAAAGCAGAAAATATTAGAAAGGGAAGGCAGGACCATACCAAGGGAGCCAGAGGTAGGAGGGAAGAAGGCTAGAAATCTGAATAAGCAAAAGAATTTGATTTGATGCTTGAAGGTTTCTGATCCAGGGTGACAATGCATACCAGTAGCGACAAGGGAGAGTGTAAAGAATCATCCCAAACAAATCACTTCCAAGAAAAACTTGGGCTATTAGTGTTGTTTTTAACACATAGCTTAAGAAACATATTAGGTGAAAAGGAAATATAGGTAAGTGGGAAAATCACAAGCTTAGGTATGAAAAGATTCTGGGTTCAAATCCACATTCTCCTTCTGTATGATCTTAAGTTATTTCCTATCTGAAACTCAGTTTCCTTGCATATACAAAAGACTACAAATGCTCTCATTATGCTTGGAAGTTATAAGTACCACTGTATACCTGGCACATTTTGGGAGCTCACTAAAGACTAATTGCCACATGAGTTATTGTTTACTTACTACTTATTCTTCTCTAGTCTTCAGAGTATCTTATTTTATTGTAGCAGGTGAAGATGCTCCCAAGAGATTTAAAAAAATGTTTTTCAAAATATTTTTCTTTATATGAAAAAAACTTTTTCTTAAAATAAAAAACAGCATATCTATCTGAACTAAAAAAAAAAAAACAGGAAAAATTAAGAAGCCAATATTTGGAAAATTTGGTCCAAATACTCACTTTAAATTGATTTCTTCAATACTAGAGAAAGTTAGATTTTCTTCCTAATTGAAATATCACATGGTTAAACCAGGAACCCTGGGAAAAGCTGGGGTATCTTTTGATAATTATGAAGTGAAAGCAAGAATTTCTATTTAATTATTTACACCCTGACCAAATAGTATAGAATTTAGCTCAGCAGGTGAACCAGGGAGTCTCACGGATCCTGTGTACTTAAAGGAATAACAAAGCACGGGGGCTTATGGCCTGTGAAAGCCAGAGTGAAGGGGAGAATTGAGCAGTAATAGGCTCATTTTTTTTCTTTATAAAGACTCATTCTGGGCCTGGCGTGGTGTCTCACGCCTTTAATACCAGCACTTTTGGAGGCCAAGGCGGGAGGATCGGTTGAGCTCAGGAATTTGAGACCAGCCTGGACAACATGGTAAAACCCTATCACTGCAAAAAATACAAAACTTAACTGGGTGTGGTGGCACACACCCGTAGTTCCAGATACTCAGGAAGCTGAAGTGGGATGACCACTTGAACCCAAGAGGCCTGGGCTGCAGTGAGCTAAGATGGTGCCACTGCACTCCAGCCTCAGTGACTGAGTGAGACCCTGTCTCAAAAAAAAAAGACTCATTCTGGATAATTGCCCGTTTCTGATTTTTTTCCTCTAGAATTCTGATTTTTTCCTCTATCTCAGTTTGTGTCTTTGTCCATTAAAATAGGCCACAATGATTGATGATAAATTTGTTCTCTGAGATAGCACCTAGAGGAACAGTTATCCAAAGTGTCCTGTGCCCTGTCAAAGGCTGAAATAACCACCATTGCTGAAATTATGTGTTTATAGATAATGCCTCCCTATTTTGGCATTTTTCTTTCAAAAATGAATTATCACCAGTACCCGCCTTTATTCATATATTTTCTCCTCAACCTCATTGCTGAGTATCTAAAATAGATTTGCAGCTGAAGAACTACTCATTCCCTTGTCTTCCCATACCAGGCCTGTAGCCTGCTTTCAAACTTATTCCTATGCACAACACAACGTGAGCTGTATCTTAGATTTATTCTCACTTTGTATTCAGAGTCAATACACTTGGTAAGTGCACAGCTGTGACACACTAGGATTCCTACAGGCTTTACGCAAATGTACGTGATTTTATCAGTCCCAGAAGACTAGCCCTTGAGAGATTTGCTTGGGTAACATTTTTGGCAGTGCTTCTTTCTTTGTTTTTATTAATGTTCTGGATTCATGTTTGTGAGACTCTCAAATTTATTTCAGATTAGATGAAGGTGACCTTCCCCTTCGCCAAGCAGAATCTCCCATGAGACTCATGAATCCTCTTGAGGCCAATTACAGCTATCACTTGTTAACTGTTGGAGTACTTTCAGTCTTAAAAGAGCTGCTAGAAAATTAAGGCTGCAACATGAAAGAAGAACAAAATGGTCAGGCATATCACACGTTTTTATCAAATGATTTGGTTTAGGACTTGATAACCTGGTTAGTACTTGAGCACTGAAAGATATTTTGAATTTAAAGTAAGATGGAGAAAGTGATGGAAGCTAAATCACAGAGGATAGAAATACGATCAATCGTATTCAGAACAGAAACATCTTGGGCTCAATGTCTGGGAACAATGAGAAGATTAGGCTGCTTTAGAACTTAGCTCTCATTTGTTTTGGTAACCTCCACCTGCAAGAGGACACTCTTCCGTCCCAGTGAGACTGAGGTGAGAATCACAAGACCACTGCCCTCTATCTCATCTTTTCTCCAAGCCTTAGACCATCATGGGATTCACTAACATCATTCACACTTCAGGAGTGATATATCAGAGTGAGCCCCTCTTTTCTGCTCATCTTTCTGCCTCTCTAGAAAAGAGATAATTTCACTGTTTACCTCGGGAAACATGAAAGTTAATGATAAATGTAAATGATAGATGAGGCAAGCATTGAAAGCTATAAAGTTGAAAGTAGGACCTAATACCCTGTAGTAATGTGTACTCCTTTTTAAAAGAAAACACACAAGTCATTTAAGAAAGGTTAATTTCTGCTACCTTTCCAAAATATTCTCAGAATAATTGGAGAGAAAAATTGTGACAAAACACTGGGGGCACCATTGGTGAAAGAAAACTGTATATTCTTGTCTTTCAGTCAGGAAAGAATAATATCTACTTGATCGAAATGATTTTTTTCCTCAGAAACTGTGGTACTGGCTACTAGAAAACAGAGAATTTAAACTATTATTTCTCAGAATGTTTTATCTCCATGACCCAAAGATGGTTTCCCTCCATGAGAAAATATCCCAGTGTTTGTTTTCGAGTTGTCATCAACACAAAGCAGCAGCACGTTCACATATAATGTGTTTCCAGCTTTTCAAAGCATTTTCACTTGTTTCTCAATTGTTTATTACAATAATAACCCTGTGTTGACATTATTATCTTCATTTCACAAATGAGGCAGCTCAGATTCAGACATTAAGGGACCTTCACAATATATTTAGCTTACGGTGGCAGAACGAAGGCAAAACCAAAAGTCCTTGCCAAAGACTACCTCCATTTGTCTTCAATGGACTCCCTGAGTTTTTCATTGTTGCTCTTTTGTGGTATGGCTGAAGCCCTCAAAATTTGGAAAAGACAAGCAAGTACAAGATAGGCACTTAGATTGTCATTCCTCAACTGGCTTCTCTACAGCCTTTTCCTCCCAATATATAAAATACAGCAATAAAGAACAGAAGACTAACATTTTAAACACTGAACTGTTGCTCAAATTTACTCCTCCTGTATAATAGTATAATTTGTTCTTATAAGGTTGTAAAACTGCACTGCATACTTAAATTGCATGTTTCACATGTCTATACTATTCAGCTCCTTTTCTCATCTCTGCAGTGCCTACCCCCAACATACTACTGGCTTAACAATTCCCATGAAACAGTGTTTGAATTTAAGAGGCAGGGCTGTGAGAAACACAAATGGCCATCCTCTCATGTATGTGCTTCTATCACAGAAATTTGATTGTTCTCTAAAGGCAAGCATGGATTTTATTTTATTTCCAGCATCTTCAAGGTAATTATCTACTTAACCTGCATAGTAGCAGTTGTTGAGACTCAGTAAACCTCAAAATGTAGCATTTTGGTATGCTAATTATTTCAAACTGAGGGCACTTGGGAAACAGCAAATACAAGAAAGGGCTCTCTCTGAACTCCCTTAAGTGGCTGAAGATAGAGCCTCCAAAAAGAAACACAATTGTCATAGGTATCCTCCCTGGGAATCTCATCAGTGAAGGAAGATTAACTCACAGGAGACACCACACTCCAGAAAGACTTTGTCACAAACTATCCATTACCTCTTCTTCTGATGAGATCCTTGGAGACAACTTTTATTACCTGAGAGATGTTATCTGTATAACAAGACAACCTTTGTTCTCCATGCATTCCCTCCTCTTACTCCCCTGCAACTTGTATAGACACCACCCCCGATAAACCACCAACCCCTACTCCTTTCTTTAGCTCAGGATGCTATAAAAACTTCTATCATCTGGCCCCTCTTCAAGTCCTCTACTTTGTGGGACTCCTGTGTGTAATTAAAATAGCTTTTCTCCTACTAAACTGTCTACTGTCAGTTTATTTCATAGATTCAATTATTGAACCTTCAGAGGATAGAAGATTTTCTCTCCCCTAAACAATTACAAGAGTAATTTGGAATTTTACTTGTTGTTTTATATGATTAGTTATCTTTATTTGTATACATGCATATGTCTTCTCTATCACTCCAAATGAAGTGATATGCACATATATATATAAAATACATATTTCATATTTATATGTCCTGTTTTCCCTCCATCCCTTGCATTTTGCCTTGTGTATTGTTAGTGTTCAAATAAATATTTGTTATATCAAACAA
Organism: Homo sapiens; assembly: GCF_000001405.40. Classification (NCBI taxonomy): domain Eukaryota; kingdom Metazoa; phylum Chordata; class Mammalia; order Primates; family Hominidae; genus Homo; species Homo sapiens. The sequence goes on along the minus strand of NC_000001.11, from coordinate 163,298,074 downwards.
GGAAATTAAAGAATGAAAAGTCCTACAAACCTATCAATAGTAAACAATAGTGGCTGTACTTTTCTTTCAGAGAAACAAGTCAACAGTTTTCAAACAAAAGCAGTCTTGGAGATATTCCCTAATGACTTGGCAGTCAACAATTCCCAGCTCAAAAAATTTAAAAAGATAAAACAATACATTACCTTTATTGTTACGAATGTCTTCAAAAATAATTTGTTTATTATAAATTTAGTTATGATTTAATTGTTTTGTGAAACTATTGGGAATATATTTCATTTTGTTTCTTGTTCTTGTAGAGAAGAAAAACTAATTTTCTCTCTACTCTGTAGTTCTTAACTGAAATTCCTTGTAACAAAAGACAGGTTAACAAGCAGAAGTTTATTAAAATGTATACTTCATGTTACATGTTACATGGGAGAAGATACAGAGAAATGAGTACAACTGTGGAGCAAATCTCAAAGAAAGTTTAAACTTTAGGATAAATGCCATTGTTTTTTGAAACAAGAAAGAAGGATGTAGGGAAAGACCCAGCTAAGAGGAGATGGCTAGGAAAAGTATCTTAAACAAAGGTAATGGGGAATCCTAATTAGGGAAAGGGAGTCAGGCTGGTGGGACCAAGAGAAAGCAAAAATAAAAAGCAGATAAGGTATAAGTCTACCTTTCTTCATGGTCCAGAAAACATAGCTCTCCTACACAAATAACTCACAATCTTCGTGTGTCCAGCTATCACTGGACTCTTTACTGATCAAAAAATGCAAGTTAGCTAACTGAAACCTTGACGCATTATCTGTATTGCACAAAGCCCTCTTCAGCACACAGCACAAGCACCATGCTATAAAATCACCAACAAATCTTTGTCTCTTTGTAGTCAGCTCCTCTCTTGCTGATTTGCCTGTGGCTTTCTTAGGATGCATTTTCCTACCTTCTCTAATAAATCTGCCTTTCTTTACCTCCAACTGTCTTGGTAAATTATTTTAACCACCCATCTGACACCGGCCCCAGATAGTCACCATCTGCAACAGATAAGGATGATTATGCAAATTTAAGTCAATACCTTTTCCATTTTGTTTAAGAGTCATTAGTGATTTAGTGTCCTTTTCTTCCTGATGCAGGGAGAAAGACTCTTGCAAATAAAGATTCCTTTTACAGATGTAAATTTCTCTCTCTAAAAAAGTAACTTTTTAGGGCCAATCCTGTGTCTGGTGTTTCTCAAAATAACTCATTCAAAATAATATGTCAAAGATTTAGGGTGGCATATTCTGTTCTTCTACAGTCATATTTTGGGGTAGTGTACCTTGAGCACTGCCATATTCCTGTTTAAAATTTTCCCAAGAAGTTTCACAATCCAGAAACTGTGTGGGTAGATTATCCCATGACCTAGGGCTTTTTAATGTAAACAAAAGGAAAAGGTTAATAGTTAGAATAAACTATAACCTAGTTTTTTAGTTTGGAATGCAGTCAAGAAGGTTTCTAAATGTTTGCCTTAAAGCATCTTTTGTAGTTTGAATACCTCCAGTGATGGCTGAGTGGCCCACAGCAACAAGCATGAAGGTTGTCCATACATGAGCTGTTATGATTTATCTGCAGTTTATATCAAGTAGTCCAGTTTTAGCTCACAGGGCTTTAGTAAAGGGGCAGTCTTTATTTTTAGTGATTCCATGTCAGAAAGGTGGAAGAAAATTTGAAATGTTAGTTTTAAGAGGTTTGCAAAGTCTTAGCCAAATATTAGAAGAATTCGGGGTCAGTTAAAGTTTACAGGTAGATCGCAAAACCTCAAAGACAATAAACAGGAGTAGAGTCTAATAACAGGTGTACTATAGTTTTCTATTGGAACATAATTTTTCTCTCTACAGCCACCCCTACTTCTGCCAAAGATAGTTGCAGTAAGAATAGTTTACAAAATAAGTCTACTGTCATCATGTCCTGATTATTTACATAAGTGTAGCAATAGTAGTGATTAACCATAAAGGCTCTTTTTAAGTTGGCTTCACTGGAACTGTAATAAGAAATATCAGATTGGACTTTTTAAAGCATCATAAGGCTAAGATGCCAACCTAAGAACTTGTCATCAGATATTGTAGCTTGATAAATTTTTTTTCCTCTCACTCCTTTGTCTGTACTCTGCCCATTTCTGTGAAAACAGAGAGTTGATTGAAAAAAAAAGATTGATACTTAGCATAATAACAGGCAGTCAGTATTAGCAAGAGTAAGGGATTTTGGTCTTATAAATACCATGTTTTGAAGAAATTAAGGCTTCAAAGCCTCACTTGAAGATTCACAATATCAATCTGATGTCACCCAACAAACTGAAGCCAGGATATTTGCTTAAAACCTTGATGCCTTTGAAGATTCCACTTCAGGATGGATTCAAGTACTTGGCATTGGGTGTGGGGTAAACAGATGGTAGAAAAAGTATAAAGAATCTTGGAAAGAGAGAGGAAGACCGTAGGAAGAGAGAACAATTTGCATGTACTCATCTGGGAACCAATATTGTGTAGTGGTTAATGTCAGCTTCTCTGGAATCAGATGGCCAAGGTTAAAATCAGCCACCTTGTTAAATGAGGAATATAATAGTCATAGCATCAAATAATTATTTTAAGGGTATAAACTTTCCCAAGAAGTTTCACAATCGAGAAACTGAGTTAGTGGATTATCCCATGACCTAGGCCATTTTTATGAAAACAAAAGGAAAAGGTTAATAGTTAGAATAAATTATAACCTAGTTTTTTAGTTTGGAGGGCAGCCAGTCAAGAAGGTTTCTAAATGTTTGCCTTAAAGCATCTTTTTCAGTTTGAATACCTCCACTGCTAATAAAGATTTATTTTATTAGCAGTGTGAGAACAGACTAATACAGTTAATTGGTACTGGTAGACTGGGGTGCTCCTATAAAGATACCTGAGAATGTGGAAGTGACTTTGGAACTAGGTAAAATGCAGAGATTGGAGGAGTTTGGAGGGCTCAGAAGAAAATAGGACAATGTGGCAAAGTTTGGAACTTCCTAAAGACTTGTTGAATCACTTTGACCAAAATGCTAATAGTGATGTGGACAGTAAAGTCCAGGCTGAGGTGGTCTCAGATAAAGATTAGGAACTTATTGGGAGCTGGAGCAAAGGTGACTCTTGCTATGCTTTAGCAAAGAGTCTGGCAGTGTTTTGCCCCTGCCCTAGAGATCTGTGGAACTTTGAACTTGAAAGAGATGATTTAGGGTATCTGGAGGAAGAAATTTCTAAGCAGCAAAGCATTCAAGAGGTGACCCGTTTTTTTCTGAAAGTGTGCAGTTACATGTGCTCACAAAGAGATGGTTTGAAATTAGAACCTATGTTTAAAAAGGAAAGAGAGAGCATAAAGGTTTGGAAAATTTGCAGCCTGACCATGCAATAGAAAAGAAAACCCCATTTTCTGGGGAGAAATTCAAGCCTATTACAGAAATTTGCATAAGTAATCAGGAGCCAAATGTTAATAGCCAAGACAAATGGGAAAATGTCTCCGGGGCATGTCAGAGATCTTCATGGAAGCCCCTCCCATCACAGACCCAGAAGTCTAAGAGAGAAAAATGGTTTCATGGGCCAGGCCCAGAGGCCTGCTGTTCTGTGCAGTCTCAGGACTTGGTGCCCTGCATCCCGGCTGCTCCAGCTCCAGTCATGACTAAAATGGTCCAAGGTACAGCTTGGGCCATGTTTCAGATGGCGTAACGGCGTAAGCCCCAGACTTTGGCAGCTCCCATGTGGTGTTGGGCCTGTGGGTACACAGAAGACAAGAGCTGAGCTTTGGGAGCCTCTGCCTAGATTTCAAAGGATGTATGGAAACACCTGGATATCCTGACAGAAGTCTGCTGCAGGGGCAGCCCTCATGGAGAACCTCTACTAGGGCAATGCAGAAAGGAAATGGGGGGTTGGAGTCCCCACACAGAGTCCCCACTGGGGCACTGCCTAGTGGAGCTGTGAAAAGAAGGCCACCATCCTCCAGCCCCCAGAATGGTAGATCCACTGACATCTTGCCCTGTACACCTGAAAAAGCCACAGGCACTCAATGCCAGCCCATGGAAAGCAGCTGTGGGGGCTATACTCTGCAGAGCCACAGAGGCAGAGCTGCCCAAGGCCTTGGGAGGCCACTCCTTGTATCACTGTGCCCTGGATGTGAGACATGGAGCCAAAGGAGATTATTTTGGAGCTTTAAGCTTTAATGAGTGCCCTGCCAGGTTTCAGACTTATAAACAAAGTGCCTGTGGCCCCTTTGTTTTGGCCAGTTTTACCTATTTGGAACAGAAACATTTACCCAATGTCTGTACCTCCATTGTATCTTGGAAGTAGCTAATTTGTTTTTGATTTTACAGGCTCGTAGTTGGAAGGGACTTCCCTTATCTCTGATGAGACTTTGGACTTAGACTTTTGGGTTAATGCTGGAATGAGTTAAGACTTTGGCAGGCTGTTGGGAAGGCATAATTGTGTTTTGAAATGTGAAAAGGACATGAGATTTGGGAGGGGCCAGGGGCAGAATGATATGGTTTGTCTCTGTGTCCCCACCCAAATCTCATCTCAAATTGTAATTCAAATTTTAACCCCTAAGTGTCAAGGAAGGGACCTGGTGGGAGGTTACTGGATCATGGGGACAGTTTCCCCTTTGCTGTTATCATGATAGTGAGTTCTCACAAGATCTGATAGTTTAAAAGTGTGGCACTTCCTCCCCTCGCTCTTTCTCCTGCCACCATGTCAGATGTGCCTTGCTTCTCCTTCATCTTCTGGAATGATTGTAAGTTTCCTGAGGACTTCCCAGTCATGTGGAACTGTGAGTCAATTAAGCCTCTTTTATTTATAAATACCCAGTCTTAGGTAGTTCTTTATAGCAGTGTGAAAATGAACAAATACACCTTGCTTACACCACATACAAAACTCAACCTGAGATGGATTAAAGACTTAAATGTAAAACTCCAAACTATAAAAACCGTAGAAGACAACCCAGGCAATACCATTCAGGCATAGACAGTGGCAAAGATTTCTTGATGAAGACACCAAAAGCAATTACAACAAAGCAAAAATTGACAAATGGGATCTAATTAAACTAAAGAGCTTCTGCACAGCAAAGGAAACTATCAACAGAGTAAACAGACAACCTACAGAATAGGAGAAAATTTTTGCAATCTATCCATTCGACAAAGGTCTAATATCCAGCATCCATAAGGAACTTAAACAAATTTACCAGAAAACCAAAAAACCCCATTAAAAAGTGAGCAAAGGACATGAACAAAAACATCTCAAAAGAAGACATACATGCAGCCAACAAACACATGAAGAAAAGCTCAATACCACTGATCATTAGAGAAATGCCAATCAAAAGCACATTGAGATACCATCTCACACCAGTCAGGATGGCTATTACTAAAAAGCCAAAAAACAGCAGATGTTGGTGAGGTTGTGGAGAAAAACAAATGCTTTTACATTGTTCTTGGGAGTGTAAATTAGTTCAACCATGGTAGAAAACAGTGTGGTGACTTCTTAAAGACCTAGAGGCATAAATACCATTTGACCCAGCAATCCCATTACTGGTATATACCCAAAGGAATATAAATCATTCTATTATAAAGATGCATGCATGTGTGTGTTCATTGCATCACTATTCACAATAGCAAAAACATGGAATCAACCTAAATGCCCATCAATGATAGACTGGATAAAGAAAATGTGGTACATATACACCACGGAATACTATGCAGCCATGAAAAGGAATGAGATCATGTCTTTTGCAGGGACATGGATGGAGTTGGAGGCCATTATTCTTAGTAAACTAACGCAAGAACAGAAAACCAAATACCACATGTTCTCACTTACAAGTGGGAGCTAAATGATGAGAATGCATGGATATATGTTGGAGAACAGTACACACTGGGGCCTGTCAGAGGGTGGGGGGTAGAAGAGAGAGAAGATAAGGTAGAGTAGCTAATGGATGCTCGGCTTAATACCTGGGTGATGGGATGATCTGTGCAGCAAACCATCATGGCACATGTTTACCTGTGTAACAAGGCTGCACATCCTTCATATGTACCCCTGAACTTAAAAGTTGAAAATTAAAAAAAAAATCATTTCTATTTGGGCTTGAAAAGTAATTATATTGGCACATCTATGCCTTTTATCCCAACGAGTTCTTCCTGCCCACTGCACAAACAGAATCAATTGCCACAGAGATCATGTCATTGCAGTGAAGAAAAATTTAATTAACACAAGTCTGGCCACACCGCTCAGGAAATGGAGTTATTACTCAAATCAATCTCCTCAAAGACTTGGAGAGTTTTTCAAAGACAGCTTGGTGAGCAAGTGGCTAGGCTATGGGGAGTGCTGATTGGTTGGGTCAGAGATGAAATCATAGGGAGTCTAAGCTGGCCTCTTTCACTGAGCCACTTCTGGGTGGGGCCACAGGAGTGGTTGGTGCATCCAGATGGAACTATCGGTTGTCAGACATGCAAAAAAACTGAAATGCTATCTCAAAAGGCCAATCTTAGATTCTATAATAGTGATGTTACCTGCTGAAGTAATTGGGGAAGTTGCATATCTTGTGACCTCTAGAATCATGGCCGGCTGTCATTTATATCTACACATTAGCAGAATTCTGGCTCCTCTCCCTTCCTAGCCTGGTAGTCTGTCATTAACTTCACAAAGGTGGTTGAGTTTGGGGTAAGTACTATTACCACTTAAACTATAAACTAAATGGCTCCCAAAGTTAGCTTGCCATAAACCCAGGAATACTTAAGGGCAGCTTGAAGGGTAAAGGCATGATGGGGTTGGCTAGATAGATACCCCCCTGCCCGCCGCCATAATTTTCTCACTGTTACAATTTTTGCAAACGCAAAACTTCACAACACATTAAATAAAATAAGGAAGCTTCATTAGAGATTTGACATGAAGTAGCAGAGAGTTTTTATGATTCTACAGAGAACCTTTTTTTTTTTTTTAATAAGTGGGCTTATGTATCTTTCTTAGAATGGATGCCCTGAAATGATGAAACTATCTGCAGTACTGGGGATTCACATGATATAAACAAAATCTTTTGATTCAGTTAATTAAACCAGTAAAGTCTATGTAGTAGGAGAACAGTTTGACTAAACTGTTCTGTTATTTTAAATTATTAAACTCCTGTAGTTGGCATTTACAAATAATGTTGGCCTTTTTCTCTCTCATGCTAAATCCAAAGAATTTACTTCAAATAATATTTCTTATTATAACCACCAAGTTTAGGATTGTGTTATAAATAAAATACTTTAGACTGGTTGATCTCATATAATATCAAATGTATCCTCTATTTAGTGAAGATATGAAAGAGGAATCAAGAGAAGCACGTTTTCTGATATTTGAAATCTGATCTTTTTTCTTCTAACTATGGAAGCCCTAAAGTGTGAGATCTTTGAAATATTCATTTTTTTTTTTTTTTTTGGTATGAGCTGCACATGTCTTCTGGACAAGATCCCTAAATATGGGCTGGTTGCCATGAGAGAGAAAATGTGATATTAATGTGGGGTTTATTATAAGAGAATAAATAAACCCCTGCTGGCAACAAATAAAGGCATAATTAGATTACTCTAAAGAAACTTCTCTATAAACACACTGAGATGGCTTAGTAAACAATGAAGAAATGTTATGCAATAGTTTTGGCAAGAATTATACAGAAAGCAACAATGGTCAGATATTGTTTGTAAGATTAAATATTGAAGAGGCGTCATTTGTGTGGGGTAATACCCAAGGTTTGTTGCCTCACACCAAGGAAATCGAGGACGTGGACACAAACAAGGAGTGACTTTAAGAGCAGAGGTTTAATAGGCGAAAGAAAAGAGAAAAGCTCTCTCTCCTGCAGTGAGAGAAGTGCTCCCAGGTGTGTCTTCTGCTTTGTGGTGAAATGCGTGGGGTTTTATAGAGGAGCCTGAGGAGGTGGTGTCTGATTTACACAGGGCATGAGAGATTGGTCAGTCCAGGTGTGCTGTTTGCATAGCGTACAAAGAAGCTGGCTATCCCACCCTAATCTTTTATTATAAAGATAGGGGTCTCATGTTGCCTGCTTTTTTACTGTACATGTGGCAACAAAGAAAATGGAAGAGGGAACCTCCATGTTGAATATTCCTGGCTTCCAAGTATCCCTTTTCTATTGGCATAGCTGCCAGCATTTACCTATGCAGGCTTTTAGCTTGCTTACCTATGCTTGCAGCTTGATTTTTCAGGCTGCTTTTTGTTAGAAAAGAAATTATTTGGGGGCTGCTTTTTATAAAATGGAAGCCTTACCGAGGGCTCTCTTACCCTCACTATCTGCCTAAATAATTTCTAGCTCCTGTATCAATATGAGATGGCGTATAGTTGCACTGAGCTAGAAGATAATGAAATTATATAATCAGAATTTTATATCAGGAAGGGACCTAAAAGATAAATTAACCCAAACATAGCATTTTAAACTATAAAATATAAGATTCAGAAAGATTGACTTTTTCAAAGTCAGATTAGTTTGGGTCATAGTCAATATCACAATTCAGTTTAATGGAACAGAAATATATTGAGCACTTACTATGTGACAGGTTCTTAGAAATTCAGGGAACAAAGATATTTAAAAAGGTGAATCCTACCTTTGATCTTACTGTCTCATTAGACAGCCATTCATTTCATGCGTTCTCTAGATTTGAAAACTTAGTATGGTATTATAGTACAATGATAGAGTATACAAAGTATCTGATTTGCTATTTCTGAAAATCCTTTCTGGAGGAGGTGGCACATGAGTTGGACACACCAAGAAAGGTAGGAAGGGCATTTCAGAGAAAGATAACTGCAGGAGCAAAGGTGTAGGGGTATTGTGTATATATGAACAAACAAGCAGAAAAGGGTGGAGGCAGGAAGTGGCAAGAGCTTTGCTAGGTAGGAACTAAGTCTTACAGGGCAACATTGACAGGCACTTGGGTTTTATTCTGTAGAAAAGTAATATATGACATTCAAAGGATTTCAAAACTGAGAATATAAATGTGAATTTATTTGATATTCTGGTTGCAATATGGAGAAAAGGTGACTGCTTAGGAAGTAACTAGGGTAGCCCAGGAAAGAGGTGATGAGGCCATGATCTAGAACAGTGGTCATACTGGAATATACCAACATATACCAAGAAGGGGAAGATTCGAGAAAGATGAGAATTGTCAGAGGAGTCTATTATTACTTTTAGGTTTCTAATTGAGTACAGATGGTGTTGCCTAAGTATTGGAGCAAAATAGATTGCATTTGTAATAAAACAATAAATTCCATTTGAACACAGTGAGTTTGAGATACCTGTGTGTCATCCAAGTTGATATGTGCAGAAGGACATGTGAGGCTAAAGTTCCTGATAGAGTAAGACTAGGGTGATATATATGGGAGTCAGCAACTTAGTTGAAATGATGAGAGTGAATGAGATCACTAAAAGGTTATAATAATGAAGACTATTGACCCTGCTAAAAGCCTGTAAAACATACACAAACACATACTTATTGAGAAATGATCAGAGAGGAAAAAAAGAATCAATAGAGCATTTGTATTTATGCTGAAGGAGAGAATTGAATTTCAAGAAGTGAGTAGTTAACATCAAATGCTTCGGAGAGGTCCAAAAAGATTTTGAAAATCATAGTTGGATTTGATCATAGGGGCATGTTTGGTAATCTTGCAGAACCATGTGCTGCACAACACGTTGCACAGTGGAACAACAGATGACTGACAGTGACTCCCAATCCAGAGCTCTTTCCAGTATACCACATTGTCAAAACTTTGTCTTAAACTCTTCCCTCTCTACTCTCTCCCAACTACCTGAAGTCCATTGGCAGATTATTATATCTTTTTGTTTAAATACAATAGAGAATTATTGAATGTAACTTCAGAGCTTTATGTTCAGTACTTTTTTGGATCTAAATTTGTAGGTTCTACAGTATCCATTACCTGAAAAAAAAAAAAGTGAAAAGTACCAGGGTCAAGAAAGGCCTTGTAAAAACTGTTGTGTGCTTTTAAATTTATCTAATTTCTAGAAAAAAAATTAATACGTTTTCTGGCTGTATGTTTTACAATATGCTCAACTATCGAGATTATTAGAAATATTAAAAATCAGTTTTGGGACTTCCAAGTTACAATGACAGACTAAAGGTCTCCCTTCAGGGAATGCAGTGCAAATTACAACTAAATTGTAGCATAACTGAAGAAAAGTCTGTAAGGAAACCTTAAAATATAAAGGCAATCCACTCAATGCTGGAACATTAGGACAAATTAATGAGAAAGCTGTGGTGAAATGTAATAAAGTTCATGCAAAGTGGCTGCCCAAATATGACACCACCAGTAGAATTACCCAAAGATGTAAATAGGTTGAATGAATATTCTGTTAATTTAGGTAGTATTGGAGGAGTCATATTAAAGAGAAACATAATGTCTTACCCATCCAGAAAGCATATAGAAGAAATTTGGCAGGTGGACCTTTGGCCCAAAAGGACTAATAAGTTTATCTCAGAAACTTCATGCTTTTAGCCACCAGTTGTAACATACAATCCAATGGCATGGGCCAAACAAGTCCATTCCACAGGCTGAGAGTGGATAACCATTATTTTAGACATCTGCCAGTGTATAAATTTACTTAGGAAATGAATGGCATGGTCCTAAAAGCTCATGGTGATTCTTTAATGAACCAGTGAGAGCCAGGAATGTGAGTGTATGAAGGAGCATGAGTAGTAGGGGTGGGGGAATAGGTGAAGGCCTGGGAGTATCTCTACAAAGCCCAGTTTCCAGATAAAGGCTATAAGGAGAGTAAGGCTCAAAGGGGGAACTGTTCTGCTGTTTTCTTTGTCCTAGCATTCTACATAGAGAAACTGTCTAGTGTTAAGGCAAAGTAAAGGTAAGAAGGGAAACACAAACAATTTTGCAGTTGTTGACCAAAAATCAGAAAATTTCTCCATAGGAAAACTTTGGCATACATAGTTTCAGTATGAACAATATTACTAATTTTTTACTTATTGCACAGGAAATAAATGAAAACTGAGAGATATGTTCCGAGAGCAGAGGAACAATGAAGATCTTGTGAAAAAGTGTTCTGAAATAGTACCTACATTTAAGCTTTTATCTTTCTCAGATTGACCCCACTTCACACACTTTGCTTTCACAAAATATATTTCCTGTTCAAAGATAAGCTATAAACAGCACAGGGAATATGTATAATTACTCTGAAGAAAGGAATGAAAGTAAAGGATAGAATAACATTATCCCCTCTCAAAGGAACAAAAACTTAAAATTTTTTTTTCTAGATGTTCCAAAGAATTTGCATATGGTACTGCAAATATGAGCTAAAAATAAGAAGTTAAAGACAATGAGTATTGAGCTGGCAGAGATTACAGAAAAAAATGGAAGATAAAAATAAAACATTACCAAAAAGAAAGTCAGGGAAGAAGCATCAGAAAGTATCCAAATTGTTTTTGAAAATATGATCATTGATAAAAAGAGTATGCTTGATAAAATACCATAAAATAAAACAAGAAACAATAAAAGGAAAATGAGATTAGGGAGATAATCATTTTATAAAATAGACGAATGACATCAAATATAAATAATAAGAAAAAGATAAAATAGGAAAAAATAATGAGAGACTTTACATATACATGTATACTGTATATTATGTGCATAAATTAATTTACATATGTAATTACATGATCTATTCATATATGTGTATGGTCTTCCTCAGTTTCTGTGGGAGATTGGTTCCAGGACTCTCCCTACTCCCTACTCCCCGAGGATACTAAAATCTACTAATGCTCAAGTCCCTTATGTAAAATGGCAGTATTTACACATAACCTATGCACATCTTCTTATATATTTTAAATCACCTCTAGATTACTTATAACACCTAATACAATGTAAATGCTGTCTAAATAATTGTTGTACTGGTTTTTTATTTGCATTATTTTGTCATTGTTTTATTGGGGGTTTTTTTTCCAAATATTTTTGATTCATGGTTGGTTGAATCCCCAGACGCGGAACACATGGATATGGAGGACTGACTGTATATATATATATAGTGGGGTGTGTCTGTGTGCATGTGTGTGTGTGTGTGTGTGCATAAATTAAATACTTGTATGAGTCTGTTCTCACACTGCTATAAAGACATACCTGAGACTGGGTAATATTATTAAGAAAAGAGATATAATCGGCTCATGGTTCTGTGGGCTGTACAGGATTCTGCTTCTGGGGAGGCGCTGGGAAACTTACCCATGGCAAAGGCAAAGGGGAAGTAGGCACGGTCTTCATATGGCCTGAGCAGGAGAGAGAGAGAGAGAGAGAAGGGGAAGGTGCTACAAACTTTCAAACAACCAGATTCCTTGAGAACTCTATCAAGAGAACAGCAAGGATTAAGTTCGCTCCCCTGATTCAATCACCTCCCACCAGGCCCCTCCTCCAACACTGGGAATTGACATTCCACATGAGATCTGTGTGGGGACACAGAGCTGAACCATGTTTTTATATATTTTTATATATATATTTGTTGTTGTTTGTTTTGTTTTGTTTTGTTTTTGTTTTTGTTTTGAGACAGAGCCTTGCTCTGTCACCCAGACTGGAGTGCAATGGTGCAGTCTCCACCTCCAGGGTTCAAATAATGCCTCAGCCTCCCGAGTAGCTGGGATTACAAGTGCCTGCCACCACGCCCAGCTAATTTTTGTAATTTTAGTAGAGACAGGGTTTCACCATGTTGGCCAGGCTGGGTTCGAACTCCTGACCTCAAGTGATCCACCTGTCTTGGCCTCCCAAAGTGCTGGGATTACAGGCATGAGCCACTGTGCCCAGCCCATATCAATACTTTAAAGGGGATTGTCCTTGGGAACTTGTCAAAGGAAAAGTTAATACAGAATAATTTACTGATATGGTTTGGCAGTGACCCCAGCCAAATCTCATCTTGAATTGTAATTCTCATAATTCCCATGTGTTGTGGGAGGGACTCAGTGGGAGATGATTGAATTATGAGGGCAGTTTACCCCATACTGTTCTCATGGTAGTGAGTAAGTCTCATGAGATCTGGTGGTTTTATAAGGGGTTTCCCCTTTCACTTGGCTCTCATTCTTTCTTACCTGCTACCATGATTGTGAGGCCTCCCCAGGCACGTGGAACTGTGAGTCCATTAAACCTCTTTTTCTTTATAAATTACCCAGTCTTGGGTATGTCTTTATCAGCAGCATAAAAACGGACTAATACATTTACCATGGGACATATCCTAGTGAAATAACTTGAACTTGAAAGAAATAATGAAACAGAGAGGGGAAGAGGGGGAGGGAGGGGAGGAGAGAGGGAGGGACAAAGAGAGGGAGCTGGAGAGGGTAAGAGGAAAGGAAAGAGGGAAGACAGATCCTATTGGAGATACTTGATGTCTTGCCCATCCAGAAGACATAGATTACCTGCACAGCAGAAACAAAAGTTACCTACAAAGCAAAAAGCATAGGGTTGGCCCCAGGATTCTCTAAAGCTCTATTCATTATGAGAACATAGTAGCAGTCCATAAAGGGTCTGAGAGAAAGAAACCAAGACTTAAGAATTTTATATGCATTCATGAATTTTATATGCTGGTAATCTCAGTGGAAAAGATATGCTCAAAGTAAGAAAAAAAAGATATTTAAATAGTGTCTGCACTGTGAAACTGAAACAACAAACATTTAAAATGCACATCTAAATAAGTGAGCAGTATCTTAAGACTTAGAGTAGGTGACTCTGTAGCCATGAGCATGAATAGATAGCTATGAAAAAGAATCAAATAGGGACTTTATGAATGAGGCCTATAGTTGCTGAATGATAACAAGAGATGGGCTAACAAATCTAATGGGCACAGTTGGTGAATAAACCGGTAAGTGAAATGTTGGGCCAAGGATTTCACTTATTATGTAACAACAAAAGAGTTATAGGTCAGATTCTCTTAAAACAGGAATTCAAGCTACTATTTAATCATAAAGAAAAAGATCCAAAATACATCGTGACATTTTTTAAGCCCATTGCGGAATGCTGTGTTAATTTTTTATTGCTACATAACAAGTGACCATAAACAGCAACTTAAATAACACGTTTATGATCTCATAGTTTGTGTTGGTCAGGAGTCTGGATATGGCTTAGCTGAATTTTCTGTTTAGGGTCTCAAAGACTGCGCTCAAGATGTTGGCCAGGCTGCTTTCTCATCTGAAAGCTTGCCTGGAAAAAGAATACCTCCAAATACACTCATTATTGACAGAGTTTCATCTCCTTGCAGTTATGGAAAATAGGGCTTTGGCTTCTTATTAGCTCTTAGCTGGAGGCTGCCCTCAGCTCCTAAAGGCTGTCTTCAGTTCCTTGCAATGTTGAGCTTTCACAACATGGCAGCTTAATTCATCAAGCCTCTAGATGAATTAGGAGAGTCTCTAGAGTGAGCCTGCTGGAAGATCAAGTCTTAAATAATGTAATTATGAGAGTGACATCCCATCACCATTGCCATATCTTATTGTTTAGAAGCAAGTCACTGGATTCTACATACACTCACGGAGTGGAAATTTCATGGAGGTATGAAATCAGGATACAGGAATGATAGGGGAGATACCTTAGAGCCTGCACATCACAGAATCTGTACTATTATCATAATCATAAGTAAAGAGATAATTATTATTCCATTTTAGGTGACACATAATTGTACATAGTCATGGGCTGCAGAGTGATATTTTGATACACGTTTACAATGTGTAATGATCAAATCAGGATAATTAGTATATTTATCACCTTGAACATTTATCATTTCTTTGTGTTGTGAACATTCAAACATTCAAATCCTGTCTTCTAGGATTTTGAACACATACACTAAAGTATAGTTAATCATATTCTCCCTGCAGTGTTACAGAACACTAAAACTTATTCCTCCCATTTAGCTATAACTTGTTAGCCATTAACCAACCTCCCCCTTTCCTTTCTCCCCATTTTCCTTCCCAGGATCTAATAACCACATTTCTATTCTCTAGTTCTATGAGCTCATTTTTTTAATTGCCACAAATGAGTGACAATATGTGGCATTTGTCTTTCTGTGCCTGGCTTATTTCACTTAACATAATGTACTCCAGTCTCATCCATGTTGCCATGAATGACAGGAGGTCATTTTTTTATGGCTGGATAGTATTCCATTATGTATATATACCGCATTTTCTTATTCAATTCATCTGTAGATGGTCATTTAGGTTGGTTCCATATCTTGTCTATTGTGAATAGTGCTGCAATAAACATGGGGGTGCAGGTATCTCTTTGATATACTAATTTCCTTTCCTTTGGATATGTACCCAGTCATCTAGTAGTAGGATTCTTGGAAAATATAATATTTCAATTTTTATTTATTTATCTGTTTATTTAGAGACAGGAGGGTCACATTCTCTCCCCCAGGCTAGAGTGCAGTGGCACCATCATAACTCACTGCAGCTTTGAACTCCTGGGCTCAAGTGATTTTCCCACCTCGGACTCCTAAGTAGCTGAGACTGCAGGCAAGTGCAAACATGCCTGGCTAATTTTTAAAAAATGTTTTCATAGAGACAGGATCTCACTTAGCCTATGCTTGTTTTGAACTTCTGGCTTCAAGCAATCCTCCTGCCTCAGCCTCCCAAAGTGCTGGGATTACAGTCATGAACCACCACATCTGG
The DNA here is from genome assembly GCF_000001405.40 of Homo sapiens. Taxonomy (NCBI): domain Eukaryota; kingdom Metazoa; phylum Chordata; class Mammalia; order Primates; family Hominidae; genus Homo; species Homo sapiens. Next base: position 163,282,428 of record NC_000001.11, on the reverse strand, counting down.
CATATTTTTGTTTTTTGATGATAGTTATCCTAACTGGGGGGAGATGATATCTCATTGTGGTTTTAATTTCCTGATGATTAGTAATGTTGAACATTTTAAAATATACTTGTTGATCATTTATATGTCTTCCTTTGAGAAATGTTTATTCAAATCTTTTTCTATTTTAAAATCAGATTTTTATTTGTTTGTTTGCTGTTGAGTTGAGTTGTTCGTATATTCTGGATATTGATAGTCGCTTGTCAAATGAATAGTTTGCAAATATTTTCTCCCATTCTACAAGTTGTCTCTTCATGCCATAGATGGCTTTCTTTGCTGTACAGAGCTTTTTAGTGTGATATAGTCCTATATGTCTATTTTTGTTTGTGTGTGTGTGTGTGTGTGCGCGCGCGTGCACTTCTGAAGTCTCACCCATAATATCTTTGCCTACAACAATATTCTAAAGCATTTTCCTTTTGTTTTCTTCTAGTAGTTTTATAGTTTCAGGTCTTTAATTCTTTAATTCACTCTGAGAGTTGATTTTTGTATATGGTTAGAAATAGGGGTCTAGTTTCATTCTTATGCGTGTGGATATCCAGCTTTCCCAGCATGATTTATTGAAGACACTGTCCTTTTCCCAATGTGTGTTAATGATACCTTTGTCCAAAATAAGTTGACTGTACAAACATGGATTTATTTGGGGGTTCTCCATGCTGTTCGATTAGTCAATGTATCTGTTTTTATACTAATGCCATGATCTTTTGGTTACTATAGTTCTTGATATGGTTTGGTTGTGTGCCCCCTGCAAATCTCATGTTGAAACATGATCCCCAATGTTGGAGGTGGGATCTAGTGGGAGGTGTTGACTCATGGGGATGGATCCCTCATGAATGGCTTAGTGCCATCCCTTTTGTGATGGGTGAGTTCTTGCATTAGTTTACATGAGAGCAGGTTGTTTAAAGGAGCCTGGCTGGCCCCCTCGTCCTCTTTTCTCTTGCTCCTGCTCTTGCTATGTGATATGCAGCTCCTTGTTTGCCTTGTACCATGCTTGTAAGCTTCCTGAGGCTCTCACCAGAAGCAGATGCTAGCATCATGCTTCCTGTACAGCCTGCAGAACCATGAGCCAAAATAAACCTTTTTTTCTTTATAAATTACCCAATGTATTAGTCCATTTTCATGCTGCTGATAAAGACATACCTGAGACTGGGCAATTTACAAAAGAAAGAGGTTTATTGGACTTACAGTTCCATATGGCTGGGGAGGCCTCACAATCATGTTGGAAGGCAAGGAGGAGCAAGTCACATCTTACATGGATGACAGACAGCAGGCAAAGAGAGGACTTGTGCAGAGAAACTCCCATTTTTAAAACCATCAGGTCTCATGAGACCCATTCACTATTCCAAGGACAGCACAGGAAAGACCCACCCCCATGATTCAATCATTTCCTACCTGCTGCCTCCCACAACTCATCGGAATGAGAGCTACAGGATTAGATTTGGGTGGGGATGCAGAACCAAACCATATTACCTAGTCTCAGGTATTTCTTTATACTAATGCAAATGTACTAACACAGTTTTGTAGTATATTTTAAAGTCAGATAGTGTGATCCTTCCAGTTTTGTTCTTTTTGTTCAATATTGCTTTGGCTATTCAGGCTCTTTTTCAGTTCTATACAAATTTTAGGATTTTTTTTATTTTTGTGAAGAATGCATTGAATGTGTAGATTACTTTGGGTAGGAATTGCATTGAATCTATAGATTGCTTTGCTAGTATGATCATTTTAACAATGTTGATTCATCTAGTCCATGATCATGGGAAGTTTTTTTTACTTTTTTTGTGCTCTTAATTTATTTCCTCAGTGTTTCACAGTTTTCCTTCTAGAGATCTTTCACTTCTTCAGTTAAATCTATTTCTTGGTATTTTTTAAAGCTATTACAAATGAGATTCCTTTTTTGATTTCTATAGCTAATTTTTGAGAGTTTTTAACATGAAAAGTTATTGAATTTTATGAAATTTTTTTTCATATCTATTGAGATGATTATATTGGTTTTGGCCTTCATCCTGTTGATGTGATTTATCACATTCATTGAATTGCATATGTTGAAACATCCTTGCATCCATGGGATAAATTCCACTTGGCCCTGATGTATTATCTTTTTGATGTTATTGAGTTTCATTTGCTAGCAACTTGTTGAGGATTTTTACAACTGTGTTCCTCAAGAATATTGGCTTGTAGGCTTGTTTTTTTTTAATTTGTGCCTGTCTGGTTTTGGTATTAGGATAATGCTGGCCTCCTAAAATGATTTAGGAAGTATTCTCTCCTTTTCAATTTTTGGGAATAATTTGAGAAGAATTGGTATTAGTTCTTCTTTAAACCTTTGGTAGAATTCATCAGTAAAGCCATCCAGTCTTGGACTTTTGCAGGGAGAAGGGAAATTTTTTATTACTGATTCAACTTTGTTATTCATTATTGTTCTGTTCAGAATTTCTATTTCTACCTGGTTCAATCTTGGTAGGTTATATGTATCCAGGAATTTATTTATTTTTTCTAGGTTTTCTTATTTGTTGGTGTGGTTTTTCATAATACTCTCTAATGATCATTTGTATTTCTCTGGTATCAAGTTGTAATCCCTCCTTTTTCATTTCTGATTTTATTTCTGTCTTCTCTTTTCTTTCTCAGTCAAGCTAATGGTTTGTCAATTTTCTTTATCTTATCAAAAATCCAATTTTTCATTTTATTTATCTTTTGTTTTGTGTTTTAAAGTCCCTGTTTTGTTTAGCTCTGCTCTGAATTTACTATTTCTTTTCTTCTACAAATTTTGGGGTTGGCTGCTTCTTGCTTTTCTGATCCCTTGAGGTGCCTTGTTTATTTGAAATCTTTCAGTTTTTTTGATGTAGTTGTTTAGTGCTATAAACTTTCCTCTTAGGACTGCTTTTGCTATGCCCCATAGGTTTTTATATGTTGTGCTTTTATTTTCATTTGTTTCAATACATTTTTAAAATTTTCTTTTTAATCTCTTAATTGACTCAATTGTTGTTCAGAAGCATATTTTTTTCTGTTTCTATTATTTGTACAGTTTCCAGAGTTCCTCTTCTTATTGATTTCTAGTTTTATTCCATTGTGATCCAAGAAGATACTTGATATTATTTCATTTTCTTGTATTTGTTAATATTTGTTTGGTGGCCTAACATGGTCTATCCTGTATAATGTTCCATGTGCTGATGAGAAGGATGTGTATTCTGCAGCTGTTGGAGGAAGAGTTCTGTAAATGTCTACTAAATTTATTTGGTCTATAGTAGACTTTAAGTCTAATGTTTCTTTGTTGATCTTCTGTCTAGATTATCTGTCAAATGCTGAAAGTGGGCTGTTGAAGTCCCCAATTATTGTTGTATTAGGGTCTAGCTCTGTCTTTAGCTCGAATAATATTTGCTTTATATCTCTGGATGCATGTATTTAAAATGTTATAGCGTCTTGCTGATTTACCCCCTTTATCATTATATAGTGACCTTCTTTGTCCCTTTTAACCTGAAGTTTATTTTATCTGGTATAAGTATGGCCACTCCTGGGTGCTTTTGGTTTCCATTTGCATGACATGTTTTTTTCTATTCCTTCACTTTCAGTCTATGTGTATATTTACAAGAGAAGTGAGTTTCTTGTAGGCAGCATATATTTGAGTTTTGTGTTTTAATTCACTCAGCCAGTCTATTTCTTTTAATTGGAGAATTTAAACCACTTACATTCCAGGTTGTTATTGATAGGTGAGGACTTACTCCTGTCACTTTGTTAACTTGTTTCTAATTGTTTGATATATTTCTTATTCCTTTCTTACTCTAATTTTTTGTCTTTGTGATTTGGTAGTGATAACATTTGATTTTTTACCCTTCTTTTCATTTGTGTATCTGCTCTACCAGTGAGTTAATACTTCTGTGTTTTCATGATAATAGAGATCATTCTTTTATTTTCAGGTCCTGAAAATGATCTCCCTTAAGCATTTTTAGTGGCCAGTCTAATGATGAATGTTCTCAGTTTTTACTTGTCTGAGAAAAATTTTATTTCTCCATTTCTGAAGGATAGATTTGTTGGGTATAGTACTTTTTTCCAGCAGTTTTTTCTTTCAGCACTTTTCACAGCCTGTAAGGTGAGAAATCTGTTAGTCTGATGGAGATCCCCTTATATGTAACTTAATGCTTTTCTCTTGCTGTTTTTAGAATTTTATCTTTGTCTTTGACTTTTGACCATAATGTGCCTCAGACAGGACCTTTTTGGATTTAATCTATTTGGGACTTTTTAAGCTTCCTGTATCTGGATGTCTATATTTTTTGCAAGACTCAGAAAGTTTTCTACTGTTATTTTATTAAATAGGTTTTCTATGTCCTTTTCCATCTCTTCTTTTTCTGAAATTTTAAACATTTGCATTTTTTTTGCAAATGTTTAAAATTTCAGAATGTAGGCTTTCTCTATTTTATTTATTTTTTCTTTTTGTCTGGGTTATTTCAAAAGATCTCTCTTCAACTTTAGGAATTCTTTCTATTGCTTGATCTAGTCTATTGTTGAAGCTATCAATTATATTTTTAATTTCATTCATTGAATTATTCAGTTCCAGGATTTCTGATTGGTGTTTTAGTGATATCTATCTTTTCATTGAATTTCTCATTTGGATCATGAATTGTTTCCTTGATTTCTTTGAATTATCTATTTGTGTTCCTCTCATGTTGGACCCCCGTTGATTCAAAGAGGGATGGCACCATGTCTCAGAGGCCAAAGAAGAGACCCAGAGACAATGAATGAGACACAGGACTTACTAGGTTGGACTTTATTAAGGGTACAGTGGTTATGGGCTGGACAGAAGAACCACTACCATTTATAAAAATCACCCAGTTTATATAACATTTTCAATTAGCTTTCTTCACCTAGCAACACCCATTTAACCCAAAACAAAAGGCCTTAATCCCCTGTATGTCCTACATTTTAAAGGATGAGCCAGGGGTTTAGTTGTCATTAATAGTGTGAACCAAAAAGTATCTGATACAAGTATCAATCAATTTAGAAAGTTTATTTTGGCAAGGTTAAGGATGCACTTGTGACACAGCCTTCAGGAGGTCCTGACATGTGCCCAAGATGGGTGGGGCACTGCTTGCTTTTATGCATTTTAGAGAGACATAATGCATCAATCAAAACATGTAAAATGTACATTGGTTTTCTCTGGAAAGGTGGGACAACTCAAAGCAGGAGGTTCCAGGTCATAGGTAGATTTAAAGATTTTCTGATTGGCAGTTGGTTGAAAGAGTTAAGTTATTATCTAAAGACCTGGAATCAATAGAAAGGAATGTCTGTGTTAAGGTAAGGAGTTGTGGAGACCAAAATTTATCATGCAGATGAAGCCTCCTGGTAGCAGGCTTCAGAGACAATAGATTGTAAATGTTTCTTATCAGACTAAAGGTCTTTGTTGATGTTAATCCTGGTCAGCTTTTTCTGAAGTCCAAAAGGGAGGAGGATATAATGAAGCATGTCTGACTCCCAATTCCTGTCATGACCTGTACTAGTTTCTCAGGTTAATTTTGGAATGCCCTTGGCCGAGAGGAGGGGTAGGTTCAAAAGGCTGGAATTTTATTTTTGGTTTACAATCTTCCCCTTCTGGCCAAGATTTGTCAGAGTCAACATTAATGGCCACCAAATTTTTATTTTGTCTTGTAGCATTGCCAGGGTGGCATAGCTGCTGGCCTCAGATTCATCTTGTCCCTTGTTGGGATGCTTACGGCCAAGAGACTTAGAGTCAGAAGACAGCCAATTTAAATGTTCTAGGTCAGACAGTAATGGACATGGACAGCCATTCATTAACCTTTAAAAATGTTTAAGTAATATAAAAACCAACAAACAAAAGTCAAGGCAAATCTACAAAATTGACTTATCTTTAACTTCTATTTGTTGATCTACTATAATCTTGGTTTTAGTTACAGACTTATAGCAATTAGATATACGAACGTAAGCATCGTTATGAAAAAAATTTAAATATCTATCTATCTAAACAACTCATAACTGAGAGTATTGTACCCAGTAAATGTTGTCATGAGTATCTTTATCCTCTCAGTAATTATTTTTTTTAATACTACAGGAAGCAGGAAATTCTTTATGGTTGGGATGGATTAAAATGTGCCACATAGCTGGGTGCGGTGGCTCATGCCTGTAATCCCAGCACTTTGGGAGGCCAAGGCAGGCAGATCACCTGAGGTCGGGAGTTCGAGACCAGCCTGACCAACATGGAGAAACCCCGTCTTTACTAAAAATACAAAATTAGCTGGGCATAGTGGTGCATGCCTGTAATCCCAGCTACTCCAGAGGCTGAGGTAGGAGAATTGCTTGAACCCGGAAGGTGAAGGTTGCAGTGAGCCAAGATCGCGCCATTGTACTCCAGCTTGGGCAACAAGAGTGAAACTCTGAAAAAAAAAAGAATGTGCCACAGAATAATGCAGGAGGTAGACTCTTATTTTACGAGCTATTTAAGCATCTGTGTACCCATTCTTGATTTGGAGGATTTGGAGGCTCTGAGGGCCTGATCTAATTCTATCCCTCAAAACCAGCCCTTACAATTTCCACATACATGGTTTGAAAATTTTACTTATTTCTTTCCTTACTTCCTTTCTTCCTCCCTCCCTTACTTATTATATATCCTGAGCATCTATTTTCTTTAAAGTAATCTTTATTCAAATTAGCCCTATTTCTGCCATGATGTAGGGAGATTAACATATCCTCTCCTGAAAAAGCAATTATAAAGCTGAAAAGAGATGTAAAAAAATAACCATTTCAGTTCTCTGGAAATAACCCAAGTTTCCAATAAACTGAATAACATTTAGTCTTGACATTTATTCTTGAAAATTACTATATCAGCTTTGTTGGCATAGTAATTCAACCAGAGTAGGACAGGCTGTGAAAATCAACAACTTAGCTGCCACTGCTAGAAGGTGTCCCCCTTAATCTGGACTTTAGTCATTTAAAGTGTTGATCTCATATGCTTAAGAGTGAACAGGATGAGTCAGCATCTTCACTAGGCTGATGTTACAGCCCTGTTTGGGGACCATGCAATGGACTAGCAGATTTGCCAGACATTTAACAGTGAAATCTTGGACATGAGCTAAACCTGGGGGCACTAAGAAGATTTATTGAATGTCCTAGGTTGATCAGAGACCATGGGTAGCAGGGACTGGAATGGGCTCAAGCCTACCATACATCCGTAGAATACAGAGCCATGCACAAAGACAGAGGAGATGTGTGAAAAGTTAGGGGTTAATAAAAACCAGAGAAGACTTGAGAACAGCCTAAACTTTTTTGTTTTTGTATTTGAGACAGGTTTTTGCTCTGTCTCACAGTCTGGAGTGCACTGGCATGATCACAGCTCACTGCAGCCTCAACCTCCCAGGCTCAAGGGATCTTCCCAACTCAGCCTCCTGAGTAGCTAGGACTGCAGGTGTGCACTACCATGCCCCGCTAACTCTTCATTTTTTGTAGAGATGGAGTTTCCCTATGTTGCCCAGGCTGGTCTTGAACTCGTTGGCTCAAGCGATCCTTCCACCTTGGCCTCCAAAAGTGTTGGGATTACAAGTGTGACCCACCTTGTAAGTGATACCAGGCCACCTTGAACTTTGAATGCATCTCTAGCTCTGAGGTGTTTTTTAACACTAACCAATTCAATTATCTTATTCTCACAACAACTTGATGTCCAACAATTCAATTCAATTTGGACACTATCTACCTGGAGCTAGCTTCAGTTCCCTCACTTAAAGGGCTCAGTCCCACAGAGTGCCCCCAACTCAAATGCCAGTTGCAAGTTTCAGGCCAGGTATCCTGACAAACAAGTTATAAATTGAGAGTTCCCACATCCATCCCCAGGTTCAATAATTTGCTAGAACAGCTCACAGAGCTCAGGAAAACACTCTACTTATATTTGCCTGCCAGTTTATTGTAAATGATACAAATGGATAAGCAGATGAAAAGGTACATAGGACAAGGTCTGAAAGGGATCCTAGCACAGGAGCTTCTTTTCCCTAAACTTGGGGTCTGCTACCCTTTTGGCGTATGAATGCATTCACCAACGTAGAAGCTCTCTGTATCTTATTGCTCAAGAGTTTTATAGATTCAATCTCCAGCTCCCTTCTCTTTTCCCAGGAGGTCAGTGGGTGGGGCTGAAAGTTCCAACCCTCTAATTTCTTGTCTCTCTGGTAATCAGCCCTATTCTGAGGCTATCTGGTAGTCCCACTCTGTCACCTGATTAGCATACACTCAGGTGTCATTATCAAAATGGGCTCATTATGATTACAAAGGCACTCCTATCACTCAGGAAATTTTAAGGGTTTAGGAGCTCTATGTCAGGAACCAGGGGCCAAGACCAAATGTATTTTTATTTCCATGCCAATTCACACACAAATCCATCAGCAAAGACTAGACACCTTACTGGCTGTGACCAATCTTTGGCTAAACATTAAGCTATGCAGGCACAATGGTGACCTTAGTAAGCCAGGCTTAACTATAAAAACAAGAAAAAACCCAAAGACATTATCAACCATACATTCCAGAGAATCAGATTTCCCAAATTTAGTCCAGGCAAGTTACTAAACAAGCAAAACATTAACTACAAATCTCAGAGGAGAAAATAAAGATCCCAAGATACTGATATACAATATATTATCTGAAATGTCTTATATTCAATAAACAAGACAGATAGAAAGAAACAAGAAAGTGTGATACATACTCTGGGAAAAATAACAGTTCATATAAACTGTCTCTGAGTGGTCCTATATGTTAGATTTAGAAGAAAAAGTCTTCAAAGAAACTATTCACAGAACTAATGAAAATGATGTTTAAATAATTAAAGGAAAGTATGATAGCAATGACCCCAATGATCGAATGAATAGAAAATTTCAGCAGAGATAAAAATCATATAAAAGAACCAACTGGAAGTTCTGAAGTTAAAATATACTAGAATATTTCATAAAAATAAAAGATCAAATAATCAGGAAGATATAATAATTTTAAGTGTATTTCACCTAAAAACAGTGTCCCAGAATATGTGAAGCAAAAAAACTAAGAATTGAAAGTATAGACAACAATAATAGCTGGAGATTTCAATACCCACTCTTAATAATTGATAGAATGCCTAGACCGTAAATTGGCTAGGGTAAAGAAAATTTGAGCAATGCTATCAACCAACTTAATATAACTGACATTTATAGAACGCTCCACCCAAAGAGTTCAGAATACACATTCTTTTCAAGTTTATTTGGAAAATTCTGCAGATAGATGATGTACTGGGCCACTAAATACGTCTCAATGCATTTTTTTTGAAGAAAATTAATCATATGAAGTATGTTCTCTGACCACAACAAAATTAAATTGGAGATCATAATAGAAACAAATCTGGGAAAATGTCAAGTATATGGAAATCAAATGACATACTTATGAAAAAAACCCCTCATGATTCAAAAAAGAAATCACAATGGAATATTTTAAAATATTGTGAATGAATGGAAACAAAACCACGAGTGTGAGCCACTGTGCCTGACCTGTCAATTTTTATAAAGAAAAATAATTGGTGATTTATACTACCAAATTCCAAAACTTATCATAAAGCTGTAGTAATAAAAATAGTGTGGTACTAGCATAAAGATAGGTATATAGATCAATGAAAAAGAGTTGAGATCAGTGGAACAGAAGTGAGAGCCCAGAAATAAACCCATATATCTATGGTTAGTTAATTTTCAGCAACAGTGCCAAGACAATTCAAAGGGGAAAGGATAACTTCTTTTTTAACAAATGATGAAGGAATAATTAAATATAAACCACAACAAAAAAAACTTAGGCCCCTACCTTATGTTCTATTCAAAAATTAACTAAAATGAGTCATAGAGCTAAATATAAAAGTTAAATCTATAAAATTCAAGAGTAAATCATAGGAGGACATCTTTGTGACTTTGGGTTAGCCAAAAAGTTCGTACATAAGATGACCAAAGCAGAAGCCATACAAGAAAAAAATTAGTGAATTTTATTTCATTAAAATTGAGAACTTTTGTGCCTCAAAGGATACCATGAAGAAAAGGAAAAGATAAACTTCACACTAGCAGAAGATATTTGCAAAGTACAAAACTGAAAAGGACTTGTATCCAGCATACATATCTTTATAACTCAATATAAAGAAGGTAAACAATCTAAAACATAGGCAAAAGGTAGGCATAGACATTTTACCAAAAAAGATATATGAAAGAAAATGTAATCCTCATTATTAGTCATTAGGGAAAATAAAATTAAAACCACACCAAGATACCACCATACACCCACAAGAATGTCTATAATAATAAACACAGACACCTCAGCCTGGGTGACAGAGTGAGACTTCACCTAAGAAAAAAAGAAAAAGAGAGAGAGAGGGAGACAGAGAGAGAGGAAGGAAGGAACAAAGGGAAGGAAGGGAAGGAAGGTAGGAAAATAAAAAAATAAATAAGACAATACAAAGCATTGTTGAGGAAATGGAGCAGATGGAACTCTCATTCATTGCTGATGAAAATATAAAATGCTGCAGTCACTTTGGAAAACAGTTGGGCAGTGTCTTAAAAACATTAAACATAAATTTACCATATGACCCAGCAATTCTACTCCCAGGAATCTAAGCAAGAGAAACGAAAACATATGCCCACAAAGGGACTTAAATGCAAATGTTCATAGCAGCAGTATTCATAATAGGCTAAAACTAGAAACAATCCAAATGTCCATCAACTGGTGAGTGATTAACATGTGGTGTGTCCAAACAACAAAATACTACTCAGGAATGAAAAGTAAAAGAGTGACACATGCTACAACATTGATGTCAATTGGGGCTGATTTAATAAGATACCATAGGCTGGGTGGCCTAAACCACAGAAATTTATTTCTCATGGTTCTGTAGGCTGCAGAGTTCAAGATCAGGATGCCAGCAGATTCTCTATCTGGTGAGGGCCTTCTTACTGGTTTGCAGATGGCCATCAACTAGTATCCTTACATGGCAGAGACAGCGAGCCCGAGTCTCTTTCTCTTTTTCGTTATTAAGAACACTGATTCCATCATGGGGGCTCTACCTTCATGACATCATCTAAATCTAAGTAGCTGCCAAAGGCCCCACCTTTTAGTACCATTCCATTGGGGGTTAGTTTGCAGGAAACACAAACATGCAGTCCAAAACAATTAATTACCCTTAAAAATATTATGTCAAGGGTGCCAGATACAAAAGACTATGTATTCTATGGTTCCATTTTTATAAAATGGCCAGTAAAGGCAAATTTATAGAGGCAGAAAGAAGTGCTTGATTGGAGACAGAGGGTATGGTGCACTGCAAATGGGCTTTAGGAAAATTTGGAGGCAATAACAAATGTCCTAAAACTGGATGGTAATGATAATGCAAAACTATAACTCTACTAAAAATCATTGCATTGTATACTTACAGTGGATAAAATATTTAAATTATACCTCAACAAAGCTGTATCTATTTTAAAAAGCTTTAAAAAACCCCAAGGAATGGGAAAGACCAAGGCCTCTGGTCAGGTCTGGCTCTGCATATTTAGACTGAGCTGTAGAGTGATTATTTTTCTTCCTCATTGTCTGACTTGATTAATTCTACTTTCAGAAGGAAAAGTTCATGGGAAATTTAGATGCCTAACTCCCTAGAGGATTTTGAATTTTCTGTTATCGTTGGAGGAGAAACATCCAAATAACAGATGTATGAATTTCATTAATAATGAAAACTTTAGAATTAAAAAAATACTTTTGTAGGATGGATTGTCAGTAGTTTTATTTATTTTCTCAGTAATCTGTCTTCTCAACAGGTAAATTCATTTTCTGGCTTCCACAAATTGAATTAACTACAGAGTTATAAGGTCCGTGTGTACTCTTTTTTATTTTTATTTTTTCCTTTTTAAAGAGAGGGTCTCTCTCTTGCCCAGGCTGGAGTGCAGTGGTGCAATTGTGGCTCATTGCAGCCTTGACCTTCTGGGTTCAAGCAATACTCCCACCTCAGCCTCCCAAGTAACTGGGATTATAGATGTGCACCAACAGGCCTGGCTTTTTTTTTTTTTTTTTTTTTCTCAATAGAGATGAGTTCTGCCTATGTTGCTCAGGTTAGTCTCTAACTCTTGGGCTCAAGCGAGCCTCCTGCTTCAGTCTCCCAAAGTGCTGGGATTACAGGTGTGAGCCACCATGCCCAGCCCTTTATGAACTCTTCAGGCAAAGAAAAAGAACTGTGTCAAGAATTCAAACATCTCTGAGCGATTAGAGGAAGTGACCCCAAGTGCATATATGCCGACTCTATATTCATGAAGTTGTAAATAGTTATATACTACTTATGTAAGGAGGTCAAGGCTGCAGTGAGCTGTGATCATGCCACTGCACTTTAGCCTGAGTGACAGTGAGACTTAGTCTTAAGAAAAAAAATGAGTTAACAGGAGCTGTGAATTCTTTAGAGTTTAATAATAGAGATCTTCTATTTAATTGCTATGTTTAAGTTTATGTCTGCCTTTCCAGTTAGATTTGACAGATTCTGTATAATGTCAAAATAAATGGTTCATTCATTCAATTTATTGAGGGAAAGAGATCATTCTAGAAAAGACAGTCAATTCAATTTTATATGCATGCAGATTAGTGATTATTCTTTTGTCTTCCAAATAATAGTTTAAAAACAAAACCAAATGAGGTGAATAGTAGATCAGAAGTCGGAAAACTGAAGCTTGTTTTGTTAGTAATAACTGTGATTTTTAAATTCTAGGCATTTAAAATCTTTAATTCCCTGTTTCTCTTCATATATTAAATGGATTTAGTAATAACATAATAGTTGCATGGTCCTACTTTGATGATAAGATAAGAAAATTAATATGTAGCCAATCTCAAATAACATGTCTCCAGGCCCCATAACCAACCCTAGAGTGCATAAAAATGAACATAGAACTTTCTTTGATTGTCCCAACCAGAATTTTTTTCCCCACTGAATCCTGTAGTGTCTTTTCTCTTAAACCCCTCTGGCCCTGCTATGTTGGAGAGATGCATATGTGTTATCTAAGCTGAAAGCCCCCATAGAAAGTAACTGGATCCATTGACCTTCTGTTTGCAGCTATGCTTAGCACCATGCCTTACACAGACACCCATTAGCTAAGAAATAAATACAGATGGGCAAACTGAGGTGCCCTTCTCTAGTTCCAGCCCAATTTTTTATTAACCCCTTTTCATATATGTGTACACTTGTAAATATTTCCTAGATTTCTTTAGATAGCCCCACAAACAGTTGTAATATACTATATTTGCATAGAACTTAAAAAATTATTTTCTAAGAGCAATTTATCTTTGTAAGCAAATTTGGTTCTCTCCAGAGATGCAATCCCTGGTCTTTATTCCTTTCAGGACTGCAGGAGATGATGCTACATGGGAGTAGTCGACAGCATAGAGGTCTAGCGATCTGGAGTCTCTGGTCCTACCCATTTAACTTTTACAACTAACCCATTTGACCTTATTCAAAATGTACCTCAGATTATGGTAAGACAGCAGACATGGAAATGATTGTCATGAGAAAGAAGTATACTAACAAATTCCTAAAAATAAGAGATACACCATGCCATGCAGGGCCACAGGAAAGAACACCTAGACCAGTCAGAAGGCAGAAGGAAGAGAGGGGAGAGCATTGCCCAGAGCCTTTACTGGTGTTTTCTCAGGAATGAATGGGCAAGGAAACACTTTAAGATTGGATAGTTTGAGTAATTTTGGTAAGTTGTGGGCTGTAGTAGTGGTGCCTAGCTGTCAGGTAGGTGGTCCTGAGGTGATTTAGGACAGGGGGAATATTGGTTTGGCATGTGAGAGTTTGATAAAACATAGAGTTGGGGATGTGGGTTCTGGATTGGTAGGTTTAAATATCCAAGGCACATATGCTGGGGAGTTTGCTTTCTCTAGGAATTAGCTAGCCCTCGGTGGAACAGTCTCTCCAGGATCAAGGCCTTAAATGCAAGAGCATCAAGAATACAGAAAATAAGACATAGTCAACAGAGATTTTAGTCAAGTCACTTTAACTCTCACACCTGTTTTCTAGTCTGCAAAATGAAAATATTGAATGAAGTCACCTCTAATGTATGTCTCTGGCTATAGGGAAGAATCCCATGGCTCTGGGTTCTGTGCTTCATGCTTCTTCTTATGCCAGTGAGTAATTGCTACAGTAAAAACACTGCTCTGTCCCAATAAGGAGGGTATTGTTTGTGTCTGGAACAACTGTGTATTTTAAAAAGGAGATGGGCTAATAACCCTACCAGCAAAATGTTTAGTGTCTCATTTACACATTTTTTTCCTTATTAGGAGCTGACCAGATAAAATGTTTGAGTTATCTAGTAAAGCCACAGAAACCTTAGGAGGTGGGGAAAATGTCAGCCAAATCTCATTCATATTTGCTAAAAGAATGCAAACCAGTTGGGTCAGATAAGGTATAGTTATTTATAAATCACCTGGGAGCAAGCTATTATTTTAATTGGAGAAAATTTATTATTCAGCTCCTTGAATAATTTGCCAAATATGGTTACAAGCACATCTGTGAATGAATGAAATTTATGAAGGGTAGGCATCACTTAGGTAACTTAAGAAGTATTCTTTTCAGACTACCATCCACAACACAGAAAAAAAAAGTTCAGAAAATGTCATTTTCACTTCTGATTTCTATTTATGACCTATGCCTTTGAATTTGTATTCCCACTCTCTAACCCTTATAAAACTCAAATGATCTCCCAATGACACTAACCTGGCTGTATATATTGCAACTTTGGAGCAGACTCACAATAGGAGTGCCATGTGTGGTATATAGATTGTGAGCTGCTCAACTGTAGGGGGCACAATTTATAATCAGACTCAATCCTGGGCATCCAGATGCTTTCAATTTGGATGACATATAGACATGAGGGGAAAGGCATGAGAGGGTTGCATAGGATGGAAAAATAACTTATGAGTTAAAATTACCAAAGAAGCTCAATGTTCAAATCACAACCCTCACATGTCTTTATCTGCTTGTGCTGCCATAACAAAACACTATAGACTGAGTGGCTTAACCAACATACATTTACTTCTTACATTTCTGGAGTCTGGGAAGTGCAAGTTCAAGGTGCCTGGTGAGGACTCTCTTCTTGGCTTTCATATGGCTGTTTTCTGTTTTCTCACATGGACAGGAAAAAAGAGAGAGAGGGTGAAAGCATGTACACCCTCAAGTTCTCTGGCATCTCCATTTAGAAGAACACTAATCCCACTGTGAGGGCCCTATCCCCATGACTTTATCTAATCCCAATACCTTCCAAAGACCCTGCCTCCAAACACTGTTACATTGAGGGTTAGGGCTTCAACATATGAATTTGGGTGGGACACAAACATTCACTCCATAACACCATATACATGGCACTTCCTAGAATTATGGAGTGCACAATTTTTACAACTGTTCTTTCCCTCTTTCTCTCTGGAGCACCTTCAACCCTATTTTTTATAATATGATATTATTTCACTCACCTTTCAAGGCCCACTTTTCAAGTTTCCAACTCCTTTACCATTTCTTTAAAAATGCTTATTGAGAACTAGGTATTTTCCAGGCACTATAGTGGGTATTGAGCATATAAGATATGCCTCTGCTTTCTCTTTCCATGCAATCAAGAGGGGGAGATAAATGCTAAATGCAGTGAAGTATCAAAGATGTAGTGAAATAAGTCCAGACAAGGAAAACTATTAGTACAAAAAATAAAATGACTCATTCTACCTGAGGAAGCTGAGAGAGGCTGTGTGGTAGATGGAGTGACATACGAATTCACAGAGAAAAGTGAATTTTGAGCTGAATCTTGAAGAATGAATAAGCATTAAATAGGCAGAGTTGAGGGGTATGGGCATTAAAACATTGAGGCAAAGCATGGAGATAGATTATAAAAGCCCTTTATGACCTAAAGGGTTAGAACTTTATCTATAAAATGTAGGGAGCTATTGAAGAAAAACATGGTGTTTTAGAAACATCATTCTTATAGTGATTTGAGAGATGCAAATCCAGAGTAATACAGACAAATTAGGTGACAATTGCAAGAATCAAAAAAGAGATGATGAGGCCCGAACTAAGTAGGTAGTAGTGGAATGAATGTGGGAGTGAATATGAGACATATTAAACAGAGAACATATATAGGATTTGATGAATGAGTGAATGTGAGAGGGGATAAGTGGTAGGGAGGAGATTAGAGTGACCCTTACTTTTCTAACTTAGATGCCGGGGTCTGGGTCTTGCCATAAATTGGGGTTGTAATAAAAACAGGAGCAGATCCCTCTGAGGTTGATGGGGTGGCAGTGCTGTAGGAGATTAGTTCAACACTGAACTGTTGCTGGCCTGGATGTTGAGACTGTTGCAGCCTCCACCTGGAGTCCAGTAGGCAGTTGGGCTGATAACTCTAGGGCACAGGGACAAGTATAGGCTGAAAGTGTAATCTGCACAGGTATATTTATTTGGGGGTTGATTGAAGGCCAAGAAAACATAAAGAATAAAAATAAGTGAGTGCCAGGGATGGAGAACCTTGGAATGGCTAACTTTTAACAAGTAGGCAAGAAGATGAGAAGCCAGAAAAGGAAGTGGTTATTGAGGTAGGGAAAAATCAACCATAACAGGAACAAAAAGATGATTATGTGGAAAAGTTTTAGAGAAAGAGTGAGGATAAGTGAACTGAAACCTGAAAAGATCCTTTCAATTTGAAATGAGTCACAGTTTCCAAAGGATAATGGGAACAGAACCCTGAAGAGTGATTGAGAGGTTGAGATGCATTGACAAAAGAATACATAATCTTTTGAACAGTTGAGTTAAAGGAAGGAGAGATATAGGGGTTTAGTTAGAGAAGGTTGCAAAGTTCAAAAAGAAGATTTATTAGTATTATTACTACTATTATTATTTATAGCCTACTTGAAAGGAGTTTAAAAAGAAAAGAATAGTAAATGCAGGTTAGAAGAGGATGATAAAGGTACAAGTTGCCTTACAAGACTAGGAGAGCAGATGTAGGAAGTATGGAAATAAATTAGCATTGAAGTAAAAAGAGAAACCTCTTCCTTTGATATAGAAATGAAAATAGTGGGGATGAATATATATTTAAGTAAATGTTAAGATTGTAGGCTCAAAGTTAAGATGGTAAGGAAGTTCTTGTCTACTGGCCTTTTTTCCCCCTATGAACTTAAGGGATATGATCGTCATTGAAGTTGCAGCAGAGATGGAATAGGTATCCATCTTTACACTGAAGAGTTTACAAAGTGTAAGGAAACTATGGACTAACCTTTGTGAGACACAGAAAAGACACTGAAGCAGTGATGGTGAAAGGATTGTCAAACAGTACAGGACATACTACTGAGTTGGAGTCCACAAATTTCTAGGGGCAGTAATATACACAAGTATGTAATATGCTTTTGCAATGCTCAGCATTCCAAGTGCACAAGTGGAGAAGGCATGTGGCTGGGTTTACTATGGAGGTAAATTCACAAGGTGGATTCAGAGGGGTAAGGGTCTATGGATTTTGAAGTGCTAGTGAGAGTAGGAGATTCATCATGGATCAAGATTGGCTAGAAAAAGAAGTCATCAGGAGAGTGATGAACTGGGAGAAAATAGGAGGATTTAAAGAACTAAGTCTCAATGAGGTTAAAGAGCAGGTTGACATAGGGAAATATAATGACTCTAAGGATAGGAGATCATAATCAGATATTGAAATATTGGAATTTACCATTTCAGAGATGAGGGTACTCCAAGGTCCAGATTCAGCAATGTGTTTAAATTATTAAAGTGGAAGAAGGACTTTGAGGTCAAAAAGTTTAAGATAAGTTTGTTGGATAGTCATGCATGTGCATGATACAATCATGAATGATCTTGGCAGGAGTTGGGACAGAAATAAAAATTGAGTCACACTAGAATGCTCAAGGATGAAATGTGTGGGGTGTAGGATACAGGGGAAATAATGAACAAAAGAGCTTTTATTCAACTTAGAGTTTACAGTGTGGTATTCACAGATATGATTTCACTTAATTTTCGCAATCTATCAAGTAGATATGACTATTAGTCTAATTTTATAGATAAGGAAACTGAGATAGAATTTGGGACTTGCCAAACAAACATCACTCAAGTTAGTAAGTGACAGAGCTGGAATTCAAGCCCATATTTTCTGACTTCAGATCTCATGTTCTTTCCAGGATAACATACTATCTTAGCTGAGATGAAATCGTACCCCTTGGGGCACACATTTAGCAGAGGGTACTCTAAAGATATAATGCCTTAAACCAAACAAAACAATAATATAAATGTGAAATTTAAGACCTCTTATTAGGTAAGGGGTGCTTTCCCTGAGGCAATGATTAAAGAAAGGAATTTCCCCCAGTTTGTGCCAAAGAAAATGAAAGGCTTACATACATACATCAGTCAAAACTCCCCTCAGCTGCTCCAAGGTAAAGAGCAGAACCAACCCTCAGCCATACACCATAGGTGCTTCTTAATATTCAATTTAACTCAATTACACCTGGACAAAAATGTCAGGTGACAGGATCAGGAAATAAGGCATGGAGCATCTAGTATCCTACTTAAAAACAACATAAAAAATGGATGGTTCAGGTCTTATTGTTCATATCTCTTTCATGATTCTCATTTCCTCTCAAAGACAAAAGTACTGATAATAATTTAAACAAAATATTCCGAAAACACCAAATCTTTCTGGGAACAAGAATCTGAGAGTCCCTGCTTTAGACAACATTATGGTAATTTCTTTCTTCTGTTTGATTTAACATAACTATTAAGGCAGGAAAAAAAGATTTAATCCTCTTTCCCACTTTCCTATAATTTTTGCCACTGGAGTTCATCCATGACAAAAACAGTGAAGGAATGGGATTGGTCTTTGGGAGTTGTTGGGGCTCCTTTCCTACCCAGTAATAGTGGTTAGAATATGGCAGGTGTTAACAAATGGTAACTAAGTTATACTTAGCCTAATAATTAACTGAGGGCACTGCCCATTAGGAGAGAAAACATTCCAACAATGGGAGATTCAAATACTCAAAAAAACATTTTCAGAGAGCTTTGAAGGGGAAAAGAACCTAGTTCAAGAATCTGAAGAAGCAACACTCCTTGAATATGGACAGGGCTGAATATTTGGAAGACTCAGGAAAGGGTCCTCTCTTAGGGAAATGCCTAGTGGGCGTATTACCATGAGTTTAGATAGAGTGGGCCCATAGATGGCAAGCCAGGAGAAAATTGAAATTGCAGAAATTACAGAAGATCTTTTGTAAGATGCAAAAATGTTAAGCAAGTTACAGCTGCCCAGACTGCATGAAAAGGGTTTAAGCTATAAAGCCCAAGCAATGAAGTCCCTGAGGTTCTTTATTTCATAAGATGTGGGTTTGGCTGTGGGTAGGAAGCAGACTTAGCTGAGAGGTGAGCTTCAGTCAGATGCTGCCCTATCAGTTTATGAAATTAATTGCACCTCCATGCCCAGTAGAGAATTTACCACTACTCAAATAGATGCAGGAATCGCCAGCCCATGGAGATCCCTAGGGTCAGAAAGAACTTTGATGTGAATAACAGTAATGTAAAAAGTTTCATTAAAAAGTCAGGAAACAACAGGTGCTGGAGAGGATGTGGAGAAATAGGAACACTTTTACACTGTTGGTGGGACTGTAAACTAGTTCAACCATTGTGGAAGTCAGTGTGGCGATTCCTCAGGGATCTAGAACTAGAAATACCATTTGACCCAGCCATCCCATTACTGGGTATATACCCAAATGACTATAAATCATGCTGCTATAAAGACACATGCACACGTATGTTTATTGCGGCACTATTCACAATAGCAAAGACTTGGAACCAACCCAAATGTCCAACAATGATAGACTGGATTAAGAAAATGTGGCACATATACACCATGGAATACTATGCAGCCATAAAAAATGATGAGTTCATATCCTTTGTAGGGACATGGATGAAATTGGAAACCATCATTCTCAGTAAACTATTGCAAGAACAAAAAACCAAACACCGCATATTCTCACTCATAGGTGGGAATTGAACAATGAGATCACATGGACACAGGAAGAGGAATATCACACTCTGGGGACTGTGGTGGGGTCGGGGGAGGGGGGAGGGATAGCATTGGGAGATATACCTAATGCTAGATGACACATTAGTGGGTGCAGCGCACCAGCATGGCACATGTATACATATGTAACAAACCTGCACAATGTGCACATGTACCCTAAAACTTAGAGTATAATAAAAAAAAAAAAAAAAAAGTTTCAAAACTCAGTGTGATCAGCTCTTCTCCCAGAACATAGACTGGCTTCTCAATTCCAGTACTAACCATGTCAGCCCATTTGACTACTGCCTCCTCGCCTCTAGATTGTTACCTTCATTATGGAGTAGATTATCTGATATTGTGTGGATTGCTTTGCTCAAGAATATCATTGTCCTAGATGCCAATTTGTTACACAGGCCTAGATCATCCCACCTTGAGGAGGGAGGAGAGGTTGAAAAACTGAATGAGAAATAATTTTAAAAAAAAATAGGAATGCAAAGATTTACTAAGAGAAGAATATAATAAAATAACATTTTGAAATATTATCCTTCCCTTCCACCATGTGTTCCCATTTTCTTTACAAGCTAATAGTTCTATATAAGCCAACAGTTATCTGTGTTTGTCATTCTAGGAAAGGACAAAAAGCTTGTGAGCCTCTTGATCCTGGTTTGTTTTTCAAACCTTTCAGGAAAGAATGGAGGGGATCCAAAATGTTTGGGAAACATACAGATTGAGGAGTGAGGCGTTTCCCATTGCACACTAGAAAAATATTCCTCCAGGTTTGGGAAGGGAAAGGGTACTAGAAGGGAGTTGTTGAGAACAGAGAGTTCTGTGGACCCAAGAAAGAGAAAGACTGTCTTCCTTTTTTTCTCTGATGTAAGCCCAGGAAGGTGGTTTGAGGTCTGTGGTCGTCTCAAGAGCAGAGGATGGACCTAGTTTTCTAAATGGAGATGCTTAGACTATGTATGCAGGGAGGACAAAAGGCAGTCTTTAGGAGATGGCTGAAAAGTAGCACAAGAATTCTTGTGTCTTTATGTATGAGCAGGAAGGGGTAGAGAAAACTGCCATACCTAGAAGAGCCACTGAGAGAGGACCATGGGCATCACAGTGATGACTGGTGTGGATGGATGCATGAGGTCCAGACAGCATCCCTACTAGTCTTGG
This sequence comes from Homo sapiens, assembly GCF_000001405.40. NCBI lineage: Eukaryota > Metazoa > Chordata > Mammalia > Primates > Hominidae > Homo > Homo sapiens. Next base: position 163,261,204 of record NC_000001.11, on the reverse strand, counting down.
CCTATATAAGCTCCCCAACTAATCTTAGATTCAAACTGGGGAAAGAAGAGGAAGCACACAACGTTTGTACCATCCCAGCAGAATCTGAGCTTGAAATCCAGTTTAAGTCAAAATACAAAAGTTAAATTTCAATCACATCTGAATTTGAGGCCTCAGATTTATACAAGCTTAACTGCCACTGTATTGTCAACTTCATTCATTTGTATCTTGAGTTTCCAATTAGATGCACACATTGAGACCAAATGTCTTATGCATTCTTTCATTCCTGTCAGCACTTCATGGTCACACAGTCATTTAAACAGATACTTGTAGAGCACCTACAAGTTTCCAGGACTACTTAGTTTTTGAGGACACATCTTTGAACAAAACCGAGACTGTTCTTGATCTCATGGAGCTCACAGTCTAGTACAGGAAACAGGCAATAATCAAAAGAACAAATACATGACATGTTAGGTAGTGGTTAAGTGCAGTAAAAAATATGAATCAAAGCAAGTGGAATATCTAGAGTGTTCACTAATATTGTTTTTTTTTTTTCATTTTTATTTCAATAGCTTTTGAGGTACAAGTGTTTTTTTTGTTACATGAATACATTATATAGTGGTGAATTCTGAGATTTTAGTGCACCCATTACATTATGGTAATGAGTACATTATACCTAATATGCAATTTTTTATCTCTATGCTACCTCGCACCCTCCCCCTGCTGAGTCTGTAAAGTCCTTTATACCACTCTATATGACCTTGGGTTAGAGTGTGCGCTAATTTTGAATCCATGATATTTGCTCAATAAAACTGTGGAACTGAATTGACTGGAAGTCATACTCTTTAAAGCACTGGCGATAATTTCAATAAACTAAGACCATTTTCTAAAGAAAGCCAAAATAGGCAAATGAAAGAAACAAATATTTATATAGGATTAAAAAATGATGCAAACCATCCAAAGATCTCATCAATTGACTGTAAAGCAAGAGAAGCAAAAAGAAAAATCACTCGGGACCTAAATTTATTTTTATTACTTCAAATCCAAATTAATTTCAAACTCAAGGCTCATGCAGTGTTATGGCATCATGAGAAAAAAGCATAGGCTTTGAATCTGAATTCTATATCCCTGTATTACATACAACACTGGAAATGGAAATGATTTATATGGATTATCATTGCTTATGATCATAGGGGAGCATGGGGATATTTTGAATATCTAGAGGGTGCCCTCAGGGTTCTATTTTGGAATTTGCATGTGGCCCTCTTTCTCCAGCTCTTACTTCTGAACCTTGCCTTCCTGGAAGAGGATACAGTCAGTATGTTACCTCAGTACCTCAGTACCTCAGTACCTCCTTCTCCACCTGCAGTCCTCTCTAGCAACCCTCTGCCCCCACTGCCAGCCACTCCGGATTTGCTGATGCCATGTTCTTTCCTCTTTCCAACTCTTGAGACTTGCTTTTCCTAATGTCTTTTCTTCTAATCAGGCTACTCGAAGTTTCTTAATAGATTCCTAGCAAATTATGTAATACTAGTGAGTGATGAAAAACTTCTGTAGCGCCCAGAAATTATGTGATAATAACTCCTTCCAGCTTTTAGGAGTTATATATCATATGGTCCCTCCCTGTCTCCAGCTGTACTGATGTTCTTTCAACATACCTGTGGTTCCTTCCATTAAAATTGTGTACCATACTGTATTGTGAGTTGTTTATGGATCTGTCTTTCCTCAGGGACTGTGAGATCTTTAGAGACTAACACTGTGTAGCTGGGCGTGGTGGCTCACGCCTGTAATCCCAACACTTTGGGAAGCAGAGGCGGGCGGATCACGAGGTCAGGAGATCGAGACCATCCCGGCTAACACGGTGAAACCCCGTCTCTACTGAAAAAAAAAAGATAAAAAAAAAAAAATTAGCCGGGCATGGTGGCAGATGCCTGTAGTCCCAGCTACTTGGGAGGCTGAGGCAGGAGAATGGCATGAACCCGGAAGTTGGAGCTTGCAGTGAGCCGAGATCACGCCACTGCACTTCAGCCTGGCCAACAGAGTGAGACTCTGTCTTAAAAAAAAAATACTAAGACTGTGTCTTATTTTATCTTTTAACTACAAGCTTGATGTAAACTGGGAGGTCAGGTACCTTGTTTGACAAAATGAAGAAATAAACTAGCATCATCGTCATGTTATATACATGGAACACCTTGGCTCTTTGCCTAGCATTATGTTAGTAATTTTACATGTCTTAAAATATTCATTTTGGCAGGGCATGGTGGCTCACACCTGTAATCCCAGCACTTTGGGAAGCCGACATGGGAGGATCACAAGAGCTTAGGAATTCAAGACCAGCCTGCGCAACATAATGAGACCTTGTCTTTACTAAAAGTTAAAAAAAAACTAGCCAAGCATGGTGGCACACCTGTTGTCACAGCTACTAGGGAGGCTGAAGCAAGAAGATTGAGGATTGCTTGAATTTGGGTAGATCAAGGCTGCAGTGAGCTATCATTGCACCACTGCACTCCACCCTAGGCAACAGAGAGACACTGGCTCAAAAAAAAATTGTACACACACACACACACACACACACACACAGACACACTTACTTTAGCATTTTCCTCTTGAAGACAAGGGTGTGGATGTTTTGGTTAAATAACTTAAGGTGAACAGCTAATAGAAAAACTTATCAGGCCAAACCACAGGAAGCTTCAGTGGAGAGAAACTTTTTAGCAGATTTTTTTTTAGCTTTTAGCTTTCCCAAATCACATATAAATGTTTCCGCCTCTGTGTACAATACCAGTTTTGGCTTTGGGATCCTGAATGAGTTATTGTACAAAGACATAGAAGGGGAAAGGGCTTTGCCATGTTTAAGCATTTCTATTTACTCCAGATTTATATCCATATTCCATCCACCCACAAGTAAATTCTGAAAAGGGCATTGTTTTGACAAGTTGTTTCCTTGAGATGATCTGGAATACTATCTTCATTAAGCTGTGGTTTTCCCAGAAGAATGCCCTGAGAAACTAGTTGGGGTTCTTCACTAATAACATTCAAAACCATCAACTAATTCTTCTATGAACAGATTCAAACCACAAAGGTTGTAAATGGCATTGGAAGAAACCAGACCAGCTACAGACATTATTCATATTTTTTTCAATGTAGGATCAAACTTGCTTGCATCCTAGCCGTGCTGAGAGGGCCTGAGCTGGTGGGAACACAGCAGCTGGGGCCCAGCAATCCTGAGCCCTTCATCTCCTGAGGGAGCACTGTCTTTTAAGGTGCCATAGGGATCAGCTAATTAGGCCAGACTGAGGTTCTTGGGTCATGTCTGAAAGAGGAAACGACAAAATCTTCATGGGAAAATTATGCAAAAATTAAAATAGCTGGAATATACAAGTATTATCTAGCACCCTAGGGAGATTGTAAGTATAGCCTGAAAAAGAAGTAGGTGGGAGACAGAATGGAAAAAAGAAAAAAGAACTGGATTAGAAGTTTAGACCCAGCTGTGTTACAATATTCCAGTGTGTGTTGGTATCTTTGTCTAGGCCTCAGTTTCCTTCCAGGAAATGTCACTTCTAGTTACATTCTGTGAGATACTTTCTAGTGTTGAAATTCTGTGGTGCTGTTTTCAACTAAAGTCCCCTGTATTAAAAGCAAAATAGATACAAAAGAGAACATAAAACAAGATTAATTTTAAATGTGTGAAAAAAGTAGTAACATGGAAATAGAGGGAAAAATTTGGGCGTTTGATGGCAGGCTGGGAGTCTGGGGATCTCTATCCACCTTACTTCCCACCCTACATCTGAGCTTTGTATCTCAGAAAGAACAAAACTGGTGATGTTAGATCCCCAAATGAGACCCTTAAAAATCGTCTTTGACTATGAAGAACCCAAAGAGGACCCTAAAGAATCCTCTTTGGCTATGAAGTCTTTTCTGATCTCGCCCTCCCCAACCCCAGGTCCCCCTCCTGTGGGTTTTTCACTTGCCCAGATAGAAATAAGCATTCCTCCTTTTTGCTTTAAATCACCCCTAGTACATATCTCCAAAAAACCACATCTTATTCTTTAATAACTACTTCTTTAGTTGTCCTAATTAGACTAGCCTAGACAAGAATGTCAGCTCCTTGATGAAAAGGATGCTGTCTGAATCATCTTGGTGTTCTCCAGACCCATGACAGTACTAGGCCCATAATAAAACCTCAAAAAATATATGTGCTGAGTAAATGGGAAAGTGAATTATTATGATGAAAAAGAAATTTGAGCACAGATAAAAGGGAAAGGTGGTTGGCAATAGATTACCTTTCAAAACCTTTCCAAACTTGATATTGTTAAACTTTTGTTGATTCACTTAAACAAGTTGTTTTCTAAATATCGGTGTGATTTTGTGACTATGCTCTTCCTTACCCACCCTCATCACTGTGTTCTTAGACACACTTACCTCTTTCTTGCACTTACCTTTCTGCCTCTCTCTCCTCCAACACCAGGATATCAGCATTCTTTGGCTGAGTACTACATTTATCCTTCTCTTCTCTCTGTATCTATAGATTATTCCTTGTTCCCTAGTCTTAGGATGACAGGTTAGGAGAAAAGCATCTTTTAAACTGATTTCCAAATTGCCTAGGAGATGTACTTTTCTTTGTGAAGTTCCTTTTAAGCAACGGTGCTGTTGCAATTAATTATAACCCAGTTTTAATGATACTCTTCTTACTGGATGAATGCGTATCTGCCAAATGATTAATAAATCATCACAGGCGTATTCATCAGCTTCTTCCTCCTTCTTTCTCATTCCTGCTCCCCTCTACCTCCAAACACCACTGAACTTTAAGAAAAATGGTCCCTTGTAAGTTGGATTCCTAGGTATTTTATTCTCTTTGAAGCAACTGTGAATGGGAGTTCACTCATGATTTGGCTCTCTGTTTGTCTGTTATTGGTGTATAAGAATGCTTGTGATTTTTGTACATTGATTTTGTATCCTGAGACTTTGCTGAAGTTGCTTATCAGCTTAAGGAGATTTTGGGCTGAGACGATGGGGTTTTCTAGATATACAATCATGTCATCTGCAAACAGGGACAATTTGACTTCCTCTTTTCCTAATTGAATACCCTTTATTTCCTTCTCCTGCCTAACTGCCCTGACCAGAACTTCCAACACTATGTTGAATAGGAGTGGTGAGAGAGGGCATCCCTGTCTTGTACCAGTTTTCAAAGGGAATGCTTCCAGTTTTTGCCCATTGAGTATGATATTGGCTGTGGGTTTGTCATAGATAGCTCTTATTATTTTGAGATACATCCCATCAATACCTAATTTATTGAGAGTTTTTAGCATGAAGGGTTGTTGAATTTTGTCAAAGGCCTTTTCTGCATCTATTGAGATATCATGTGGTTTTTGTCTTTGGTTCTGTTTATATGCTGGATTACATTTATTGATTTGCATATATTGAACCAGCCTTGCATCCCAGGGATGAAGCCCACTTGATCATGGTGGATAAGCTTTTTGATGTGCTGCTGGATTCGGTTTGCCAGTATTTTACTGAGGATTTTTGCATCAATGTTCATCAAGGATATTGGTCTAAAATTCTCTTTTTTGGTTGTGTCTCTGCCCGGCTTTGGTATCAGGATGATGCTGGCCTCATAAAATGAGTTAGGGAGGATTCCCTCTTTTTCTATTGATTGGAATAGTTTCAGAAGGAATGGTACCAGTTCCTCCTTGTACCTCTGGTAGAATTCAGCTGTGAATCCATCTGGTCCTGGACTCTTTTTGGTTGGTAAGCTATTGATTATTGCCACTATTTCAGAGCCTGTTATTGGTATATTCAGAGAGTCAACTTCTTCCTGGTTTAGTCTTGGGAGGATGTATGTGTCGAGGAATTTACCCATTTCTTCTAGATTTTCTCAAGGAGAACTGCAAACCACTGATCAACGAAATAAAAGAGGATACAAACAAATGGAAGAACATTCCATGCTCATGGGTAGAAAGAATCAATATCATGAAAATGGCCATACTGCCCAAGGTAATTTATAGATTCAATGCCATCCCCATCAAGCTACCAATGACTTTCTTCACAGAATTGGAAAAAACTACTTTAAAGTTCATATGGAACCAAAAAAGAGCCCACATCGCCAAGTCAATCCTAAGCTAAAAGAACAAAGCTGGAGGCATCATGCTACCTGACTTCAAACTATACTACAAGGCTACAGTAACCAAAACAGCATGGTACTGGTACCAAAACAGAGATATAGATCAATGGAACAGAACAGAGCCCACAGAAATAACGCCGCATATCTACAACTATCTGATCTTTGACAAACCTGAGAAAAACAAGCAATGGGGAAAGGATTCCCTATTTAATAAATGGTGCTGGGAAAACTGGCTAGCCATATGTAGAAAGCTGAAACTGGATCCCTTCCTTACACCTTATACAAAAATTAATTCAAGATGGATTAAAGACTTAAACGTTAGACCTAAAACCATAAAAACCCTAGAAGAAAACCTAGGCATTACCATTCAGGACATAGGCATGGGCCAGGACTTCATGTCTAAAACACCAAAAGCAATGGCAACAAAAGCCAAAATTGACAAATGGGATCTAATTAAACTAAAGTTCTTCTGCACAGCAAAAGAAACTACCATCAGAGTGAACAGGCAACCTACAAAATGGGAGAAAATTTTCACAACCTACTCAACTGACAAACGGCTAATATCCAGAATCTACAATGAACTCCAACAAATTTACAAGAAAAAAACAACCCCATCAAAAAGTGGGCGAAGGACATAAACAGACACTTCTCAAAAGAAGACATTTATGCAGCCAAAAAACACATGAAAAAATGCTCACCATCTCTGGCCATCAGAGAAATGCAAATCAAAACCACAATGAGATACCATCTCACACCAGTTAGAATGGCAATCATTAAAAAGTCAGGAAAGAACAGGTGCTGGAGAGGATGTGGAGAAATAGGAACACTTTTACACTGTTGGTGGGACTGTAAACTAGTTCAACCATTGTGGAAGTCAGTGTGGCGATTCCTCAGGGATCTAGAACTAGAAATACCATTTGACCCAGCCATCCCATTACTGGGTATATACCCAAAGGACTATAAATCATGCTGCTATAAAGACACATGCACACATATGTTTATTGTGGCACTATTCACAATAGCAAAGACTTGGAACCAACTCAAATGTCCAGCAATGATAGACTGGATTAAGAAAATGTGGCACATATACACCATGGAATACTATGCAGCCATAAAAAATGATGAGTTCATGTGCTTTGTAGGGACATGGATGAAATTGGAAATCATCATTCTCAGTAAACTATCGCAAGAACAAAAAACTAATCACTGCATATTCTCACTCATAGGTAGGAACTGAACAATGAGAACACATGGACACAGGAAGGGGAACATCACAGTCTGGGGACAGTTGTGGGGTGTGGGGAGGGGGGAGGGATAGCTTTAGGAGATATACCTAATGCTAAATGACGAGTTAATGGGTGCAGCACACCAACATGGCACATGTATACATATGTAACTAACCTGCACATTGTGCACATGTACCCTAAAACTTAAAGTATAATAATAATAAAATTAAAAAATAAATAAATAAATAAATAAAAAGAAAAATGGTCTTGGCCAGGTGCGGTGGCTCACGCCTGTAATCCCAGAACTTTGGCAGGCCGAGGTGGGTGGATTGCCAGAGGTCAGGGGTTCAAGACCAGGCTGCCCAACATGGCAAAAACTTATCTCTACTAAAAAAAAAAAAAAAAAGTTGGGCATGGTGGCGTGTACCTGTAATCCCAACTACATGGGAGGCTGAGGCAGGAAAATTGGTTGAAGCTGGGAGGCGGAGGGTGCAGTGAGCTGAGATCGTGCCACTTCTCTGAAGCCTGGGCAACAGAGTGAGACTCTGTCTCAAGAAAAATGGCCTTATCTGTCTTAGTTTATTTCTGATCATGATCACTGATTTTCAGTTTTGATTGAGATCAGAAAGAAAATGATGAGAGAACTGGTATGTAGATTTCAGAGTACTCGGACACAGGAAACCTGGAGCAGTGGAGGACTGCTTCAACACTTTGATTCTAGAAAAAGCAGAAAACACCTTGTGTTTTTATTAGGAAGATGTTGCAAAAAATTTGTTCATCCTAGTGAAATTTTAGGGATCACTTAAACACACCCAGTGCTCAAATCATACCTATTGTTTAGTGTTCCCAATCAGTATCCTGCAACACTTTCATCACAGATGAGATTCCCATCTGCAACTGGATAGAATACTGATATGAGTTAGAATTACAGGATGTTAAATGTGCTACAGATTCTTCATTTTTACAGATGATGAAATTCGGGCTCAGAATAGAGTGGCCTATCCAAAGTTACACAAACAATTAATGGTAAATCCAAGGCTAGAATCCATGTCTAGTGGCCATCTGTTAGCAATATAATGGCATTTTCCAACCAACTCCCATAAAGACGAAAATTCCCACCCTTAAAATCACTTCTTATTTGTTTTACATTTGTCCCCAGAAAGCCCCAAGCAAAGTACCAATATGCAAGTCAGGAGAATGGTGCATTCTTATAGCATTCATTGCCATAAATTTTGTTCTTAGAGAAGTTTCTGATCCTTAGTAGAAAGTAGAACTCTGAGAGAATTGAGAACACTTGATGTTGGGAGTAAAAGTCAAGAACTTTCTAGAACATTTTCAAGTATGTGTTTTTCAGAACACTTGTGATCTATAACATGTGAATTATGGACCAAAAAAAGAGATAATCTTGGTCAAATCAACTGAGAAACGTCGAAATGTAGTTAAATTAATTTTTTAAAGACTTTTGCTCCACAAAAGACCCTGTAAAGAGGATGAAAGAACAAGATCAGATGGAGAAAATCTTTGCAAACCAAATACCTAACAAAAGACTTTTATGTAGAATATATAAAGAACTCTTCAAAATTCAACAGTAAAATTTGGAAAATGGGCAAAAGACAAGAAAGGCATTACATCAAGAATATATGAATGCAAAATTATTAATGATGTTCAACATGCCCACTAGAATGGCTATAATCAGAGAGACATGCAATACCAAGTGTTGGGAAGGATGTGGAGAAACTAGATCTTTCATACATTGCTCATGGGACTGCAAAATGGTACAGCTACTCTGGAAAATAATTTGGCAGTTACTTAGTAAACTAAATATATATTTAAGATACAACCCAGCAATCATGTTCCTGGGTGTTAATCTCAGAAAAATGAAAACATACATCCACAAAAATACATGTATATGAATATTCATAGAAGCTTCATTTGTAATAGCCAAGAATTGGAAACAACTCAAATGCCTTTCAATGAATGAATGTTTAAATAAATGGTGGTATATACATAGCACAGAAAATGAGTCAACAATCGATACATGTAGCAACATGGATGGATCTCAAAGGAATTATGCTGAGTGAAAGTAAGTCAATCTCAAAAGACTATACATGATTGTATGTATGATTCCATTTATATAACATTCTCAAAGCGACAAAATTATAGAGCTAGGGATAGTGGTTGCTGAAGACCAAGGACACAGCTCCGTATAACTACAGGAGTAGCACAATATGTAGGTTGGAGTTATAAATCTGGGAATCATCAGCATACAGATAGCATTTAAAGCCATAAGATTGAATGAGATCACTTTGGGATAAGTGAAGATAGAAACGATAGAAAAGATGAGAAGTCCAAGGACCAAACCCTGGGTTCTGATACATTAAGAATCCACAAGAAAAGGAGGGATCAGCATAAGTTATTAAAAGACATGGCCAGAGACTGTTAGAGTGGTGGGATTGGGGTTGATTTTTCTCTTTTCTTTACATTTTCTTCACTGTGGCTTTATTACTTTAAAAAATTTTAAAAAGGTCTAAATATATCTTCTCTTCTTTGATGTGTTTGTAAACTCCTTGAAGACAGAGCAAATCTATGTCTTGATTTGGGATTGTTTATATACTTCCACTCCACTGAGAAACCAATATTCTTCACAGAGAAAAAGATTGTTAATTTAAGGAATACATTAGCTAAGGCATTCAGTAGGCATGACAGAGGATCGAGTTCATCTCGTATAGGTTTGCATTGTCTTACATAAATGTAACCTGAGGAAAAAAGAAAAATTATAAAATGTATTACTAGATAACCTTCGGGGTTGAATTTTCCCTCTTCCAGATTCTAAGCTTCATAAGGTCAGGAACATTATCCAGTTCTTTGCACAGTGCTTTCCATTTAGTAAGGTTCCATAAAATTTGAAACATGTATGTCTGCTAAAATCCTCCAAAACCCAAATGCTACATTTAGGAAAAACTATTTTTCCAATAACTGAGCTCTGTGCAGAACTTGCTTATAATTTTTATATGTTCAAATTTTTTCCCTTTTATGGATGGAGTTTTATAGATCATAAATTCCAACTGCTCAGACAACCCTAGAAGTTATTTATTCTTACCCTCTCTACCAATCCTCTTATGTTGAATTACTGACTCAACAGAGCTTAGCTGAAACTGGCACTTTTCTAACACTAATAATATTTTCTATTTTTTCGGGGTCTTTCTGCCAAGAGCTTAAAAAAGTAGTGAGGTAAGCAGTAAAAGGCATTTCCTCTCTGAAGGCCAAATCTTGAAAGTTCACATCAAGATTTGCATCAGCCAATATAAGACTTTCTCCATTCCCACCATACCTGACTGTAGTAGCTTTTCTTTAGCAGAGGTTTAGGGAATGTGGGTTCTGTTTGCAGACAAATCATTTAATCTCAAAGCTGTAATGACTCAATTATAATGCCATAATCACCACATCACCTTCACGTCTCATAATTTTGCTGTGGGAACATTTGAGACAATATTCATAATTGGGTTCAAGATATATTGATGGTTAAAGGCAACTGCCCTAAATACAGATGTTCTTTACATATTTGTCTTTGGCTCTTTTTTTCTTTGCACTCATTTATGATAATTGCAGTGATTGCTTCCAAAAGATTAAATCTGCTACTTGTATCCCCAGTCTTCCTCTCTCTCTAATGCTCAGTTCTGGATAATCAGTAAGTAGCTCTGTACCAACATAGCCTAGGCCATGTTTTAAGAAAAGCTTAGGGCCCAACTGGAGAACCCAATGGTCATCTTCGGGGCCTTGTGTCCTGAGTCAGCCCAGATTCATTAGGTGGTATTAAGTTAAATGAATTAGCTGAGTACTTCCAGCCTCAAGCCCATATTAGTCTAAGAACTGTGGCAGTGATGTACCTAACAACAGGAATACCACGTACTGAGCTAGGGCAGCTGAGAGAAGGCAGAGAAAGATAAATAGATGAGAATCATAACTAGCAATAATTTTAGTGCTTTATGATGTGAACTCATCTATCACCAAAAGCTTGCATTGCAATTACCATCTTCCCCATTTTATCTTATTTTATTTTACTTTATTTTATTTTATTGATTTATTTTGAGATGGAGTCTTGCTCTGTTGCTCAGGTTGGAGTGCGGTGGCGTGATCTCAGCTCACTGCAACCTCTGCCTCCTGGTTTCAAGCGATTCTCCTGCCTCAGCCTCCCAAGTAGCTGGGACTACAGGCGCCTGCCACAATGCCCGGCTAATTTTTGTATTTTTAGTAGAGACAGGGTTTCGCCATGCTGGCCACGCTGGTCTCCAACTCCTGACCTCAGGTGATCCGCTCGCCTTGGCCTCCCAAAGTGCTGGGATTATAGGCGTGAGCCACAGCGCCCGACCTTCCTCATTTTATTAAAAAGGAAATAGCAGCATGGAAAGAGTGGGTGATTTTCTCAAAGAAATATTAACGGTTTGGCAAAAGGTTGGAGTCACAGTTTAATCTTCTAAAAGACAGGTCATCTTTCATGTTGTGAAAAACATAAATGAAAAGAATGATAACCAACATACTAATTAAGAGACTATTGGTATAGTGCAGGTGGGAAGATGATGGAGACTTAAACTAAAAGCTTCTATATGGAAGAACTTATTCTTTCTTCCTTACATTTCCATAAAGGAAATGTATTGTACTCCTCATAGAGAAGATAATATTGAAGTGAATACTTCCAGTTTCTCCATCTACACCTATATTTATTCCAGCTCAGGGAGCAGAGGTAGATGACTTGAAATTTGAGCACCTCATGCCCTATAGGGTAACTTCACTTAAAGAATGTTTATTCAGTTGAATGGCAATATGAGCACATTTCTCTTGTAGCTTTTTGTGTTTTCTGCCCTGGGTTTTATAAGAAGGAACAGGGCTTTTTCACCTCTTCCTCCCATTATGAAGCAGGCAGAGGGGCAGTTGTTCTCCCACTTGGTTGAGGTGGGCTATTCTTCAGCTTCCTCCTCGACATTTGGGTGAGTAAATTGGGCTCAAATGTTCCCACCCATTGGTGCCAATGTCCACATTTAGGGTGAGGTATAAAGATGGTCATAGGTCAACTCCAATCACAATCTCAAATCCAGCTTCACCAAGAAGCTTTGTATTTTGTTTTACTGAACAGCCATCAATAAAGCTGACTCTTTCTTCCTTTTATCTTTCTAGACCTATTAGAGTGCTAAGGAGAAGACAAGTTATTAGCACCCAAAAGAAGCACCAGTGCGGATGGAAATACAAGGTTGACATTCGCTGAGCTGTGTTTTTTTTTTCCAGGGAAATGGTTATTCTTGATATTTTGAGCAAACTCTTCTTCTCTGATCAGTGCCCAGAACAAGGAAACAGGTTAGTCTCTCTGAGCCTTAGATTCCTGATCTGTAAAATAAAGATTAAGGATAGTTCATTTTAAACAAGGGTAATGCTATTTTCTACCCCTTAGGCTTATAAGAGGATATGTACAGAGCCTGGTGAGTTTTATATCATCTCATCTTGAAGGCAATCAAAACTCCTTCTGGGCCTCCATGACACCCTGATGGAGTGTCAGCAGTTATTAAAGTAAAAGAGCAAAGATAAACAACAGGAGTCTTTGATCCCAGGGCCTGGTAATCAGTCCATTAAAAAAATAGAGGATGAGATCCAGTTATGCTCTCTAACCCTATTAAAACCTAGGCAGATCTGACTCTGCATGTTTCCTGGGCCTGCTGGCTTTACCAGATCTAATAAAGAAAGTGGTTTTATCTTTGCTCTTACTAACACTGTCACTCTCTGTACTAAGGGTGGTAATAAGGGTGAGAAGAGAGTGGGATCTGGAAAGCTGAGCACCAGCTGTTCTAACTACATATTTATGAGATACCCTTTGTGTCTAATGTTTCTTTTCCACGGGAGAAACAGAGTCAAGGCCCATAAAGATTGATTATATGCTCAAAGTTACAGAGCAAGTTGGAGTAGGAAAAACTAAGAAAATGTGTTAATTGATTGAAAGAACATTCATTGATCATCCGCCATGGGCCAACGTTATGCTAGGCTGTAAGAGTAGGATTAAAAATATGAATAAATATGAGTCCTTTCTCATCCCTTAGGAGCAATAAAATATTGGTGGCTCTATGAGAGAACATTGTAAAAGATACAACAAAATCACTGAGGGGGAAGTGCCCATTTTTCTAGAAGAAAAGGTTCAGAATATCACTATCAAAAAGTTATATGTAATATAAATTATATATCAAAAAGGTTATATATAAAACCTATACCTATCCTATATATGTCATACGTATACATATATATATATATATATAAATCAACTTCTATCCAGTTCAATTGCAATGTAATTTCCATAACTAAAGTGGTACATATAGGTGATTTAAAAATGTTTTTAGTAGAGTTAAATGCAATTTAGCTGGATTTGTTTGCCTGATAGTGAATCTTAATAGTTGCTGATTACATATTATATTGATCTAAATTAGCAGGTTACCCCTGTCACAGATAATACGGTTAGAAACATACAGCCTAAGAATGGCACCATATCTCCGTGCTGAGAAAAACCTTGAAAGCTCAACAATTCATTTGACTAGAACAAAACTCACATTTTCTTATCAGTTATTTTCTTATAATTATTCAGGTGATTATTTTCTTTCCAGCTTTTATTTTAGGTTTAGGGGGAACATGTGCAGATTTGTTACGTGGATAAATTGTGTGTTGCTGGAGTTTGGTATACAGATTATTTTGTCACCTAGGTAATGAGAGTACAATCCAATAGGTTGGCTTTCAATCTTCACCCTTCTCCCACCTTTCACCCTCTAGTAGGCCCTGGTGTCTATTATTCCCTTCTTTGTGTCCATGTGTACTTAATGTTTAGCTCTCGCTTATAAGTGAGAACATGCAGTATTTGGCTTTCTGTTCCTGCATTAATTGACTTAGGGTAATGGCCCCCAGCTGCATCCATGTTGCTGCAAACGACATGATTTCATTCTTTTTATGGCTATATAGTACTCCATAGTGTATATGTACCACATTTCTTTATCTGGTCCACTGTTGATGAGAATCTAGATTGATTCCATGCAGATGACTATTTTATGATATTGGAATGACTTTTTAATTTTTGGAAAGTTTATCATTCCAATAAATTCCAGAGGAATCAGCAGGTAAATCTAGACTCATCATAGATTGCTCGCAGACACAAGTGGGTTTTGTAACAATATATCACTGTAAGAACTGTTCTTCCCAATGATTAGAGTTGTAGTAAAGTGCTTGGGTATTGTTTTGTTTTTTGTTTTGTTTTGTTTTGTTTTTGTTTTGTTTTTTGTTTTTCAGACAGAGTTTCACTGTGTCGCCCAGGCTGGAGTGCAGTGGCACAATCTAGGCTCACTGCAACCTCCACCTCCTGGGTTCAAGCGATTCTCCTGCCTCAGAGTCCTGAGTAGCTGGGACTACAGGTGCACGCCACTGTGCCCAGCTAATTTTTTGTATTTTTTAGTAGAGATGGGGTTTCACCATATTGGCCAGGCTGATCTCAAACTCCTGACCTCGTGATCCGCCCGCCTCAGCCTCCCAAAGTGCTGGGATTACAGGCGTGAGGCACCACGCCTGGCCCTGTGCTTGGCTATTCTTTTTTATTGTTATTATTTTTATTTATTTAATTAATTAATTTTTTTTTTTTTAAGATGGAGTCTCGCTCTGTCGCCCAGGCTGGAGTGCAGTGGCGCGATCTTGGCTCACTGCAAGCTCCGCCTCCTGGGTTTACTTACGCCATTCTCCTGCCTCAGCCTCCCGAGTAGCTGGGACTGCAGGTGCCCGCCACCACGCCTGGCTAATTTTTTGTATTTTTTTAGTAGAGACGGGGTTTCACTGTGTTAGCCAGGATGGTCTCGATCTCCTGACCTCGTGATCCGCCCGCCTTGGCCTCCCAAAATGCTGGGATTACAGGCGTGAGCCACAGCCCCCGGACTGGTATTCTTTCTCACAAATGGCTGCTTGTTTTTAATTGATGGCCAACTTGAAGGCATAATCTGAGTGATGTATCTGAAGAAGATTATTATACCTCAACTTTACAGAAACGAGTTTATTTTTAAGCTACTATATATTGAGCACACACAATGGATCAAGTGCCATTTTAGATGCTTTTTGTATATTGTCATAGGTAATCCTCATAAACCTTTGAAAATGGTATTATTATACCCATTTTACAGATGCATAATCAGGAATTCAAAGAGGTAAAATAATACATCTAAATTTACACAGGTACTAAGTGGTAAAACTAGGATTTGCTTTTGCATTCTCAACTGTGATAAAATAATCACTATGCCAGGCATTTCAGATGATGAGGCGATACAAAAACCTTGGTTCCTGATTTTTAAGATCTTATGATATGCTTGGAGAATCAGATATTTATGAAAGCAAAATGATGTCAATGCTAAAGTTTTAGAAGCAAAATCTTATAGCAATATTTACAAAGAAAAAATATAGATAGGTTTCTTGGAGTTCTGTGAAACTTCAAAAGAAAATGTTTTCAACAAGTTGTCATGGGGAAAAGATAATTCTGGGCAAGTGTTCTTGTACAAGTATGTGAGCTTTGCTCAGATGTCCATGGGTAGGTGGCTGAATAGAGTTCATGGTGTAGTACATGAGGGATATAGGAGAGGATTAAGCTGGAAAAGTAGAAGTGAGTGAAAAGAGCAAGACGATAGACTACCCATCCTGCAACACACACAAAAGAAAGAATTTTAAAGCTATGAATATTCTGGTGTATTTCAGGATTTCTTAGTGGGAAAAAATCTTTTTCATTGTTGTTTGACGAAATTTACTCAGCAGACTATATTCAATAATGTGACCTAAGGTTTTATTTCTCAGACCTTCTCTTTCCAGTACCTCCTATCTATCTAGATAATACGGAAGCCAGGGAGAAGAATGGGAACCCAAGATCTATGAGCCCTTATGGCATATGAAAAGTGGGTGTTATCTGAAAAGTAGAACTCTAGATGAAACCAGGCCTTTCCCAACAATGGAGCCCAGGACAATGCTGTCTTCAATGTCCATACCATTAGACTTGTTATAGATGAGTTTCTATAATGATGGCTTTCTGGTTAATTAAACCTTCTGAATGATTCTGTGTAACACTGACTTCTGTGATTCATCACAGAACAAGTCTTCCTTCTTTCATGGAGTATTACTGTTTTCAGTGACTATATTTGGTTGTTTACTCTTTTTGGCACCAATCACCCAGTGAATCAACAACCAGAGTTGCAAACAAATTACCCTCATTGTCTTTTCCGAGTCCCTTAATTTACTTTATTTTTCATTTGTTGCAAATGTCATTGTTTCTGCTAATGTTGTTTTTTAACATCTGCCAAGATAAAAAATAAAAAAATCACTTGTAATCCTTGTAGCTTGTTTTCTTCACGAGTCATAGAAGCTATTGTAAGATAAACTTCAAGCAGTTGGGAACAATATGTTTGATAAACTTTGCTGGGTTAAATGCTTTGGAGATCATTCCTGAGCAGGAGTAGCATAATGCATTAATAAGTATATAGTGAAACTTCAGGAGAGATGGAAAGTGTTTACTCATTGAAGTAATTTCTGGGAAAGCAACTTGGAACAGACTTTAGAGGATTCTGTGTTCTGTTTCTGGGTCTTCTTTTGTTAAAATGGCAAAATTATAGCTTTGGAGATGATAGGCTTTATCTTCTTCTCTCTGTAGACCTCAAGCTGTTTCCAGTTAATGCTATTACCAAATTACTCATTGACTTGAAGTACATCTCAAATTGACAACAATAGTGAAAAAGGCAATAGTAGAAATGTTAGCTCTCAGCTATTGTGTGCATACAATAGGTGAGAACTATACTAAATCCTTCTCATAGGTTATTACATTTAATGTTTAACAAAACTTAAAAGTAAACATTTTAACTCCATTTTATATTAGAGTTTAATTATCTTAAGCAAAGTTACACAGTGAAGGAGCCAGTCTTTTGTTTGATTCTAAGGCCCATGTCCTTAACCAATACAATATTCTATCTCTCAGATTCACTGAGTCTTTGCCAAACCAATGTGTGTATGTGTGTGTGTGTGTGTTGTGTGAATGTGTGTAAATGCCTCCTCCTTCTTTTTTTTTTTTAATGTTACTTTAATTTCTGGGATACATATGCTGAATGTGCAGGTTTGTTACAAAGGTAAACCTGTGCCATGGTGGTTTGCTGCACCTATCAACCTGTCATCTAGGTTTTTTTTTTTTTTTTTTTTTTGAGACGGAGTCTTGCTCTGTCGCCCAGGCTGGGGTGCAGTGGCGCCATCTCTGGCTGCAAGCTCCGCCTCCCGGGTTCACGCCATTCTCCTGCCTCAGCCTCCCGAGTAGCTGGGACTACAGGCGCCCGCCACCAAGCCCGGCTAATTTTTTGTATTTTTAGTAGAGACAGGGTTTCACTGTGTTAGCCAGGATGGTCTCGATCTCCTGATCTCGTGATCCACCCCGCTCGGCCTCCCAGAGTGCTGGGATTACAGATGTGAGCCACCGCGCCCGGCCTGTCATCTAGGTTTTAAGCCCTGCATGCATTAAGTATTTGTTCTAATGCTCTCCCTCCCCTTTACTCCCAACCCCTGACGGGTCCCAGTGTGTGATGTTCCCCTCCCTGTGTCCGTGTGTTCTCACTGTTCATCTCCCACTTATGAGTGAGAACATGCGGTGTTTGGTTTTCTGTTCCTGTGTTAGTTTGCTGAGGATGATGGTTTCCAGCTTCATCCATGTCCCTGCAAAGGACATGAACTCATTCATTTTTATGGCTACATAGTATTCCATAGTGTATATGCACCACATTTTCTTTATCCAGTCTATCATTGATGGGCAGTAAATGCCTCCTTCTATGTATAAAGACACCTATACAAATGTATCTTTGAACTTCTGAGTGTAGAATGTTTGCAAACACATAGTAAAACTATTACCACTCACGGTGAGTTGCAGTTATAGAAACTCCTTTTATTCTCTCTTCCCCACAGTCTAACGAATACTGCTTTGCAGAAGTAACTTTATTTTAAACAGATCTGATCATGTCACTACTGCCCTCAGAAAACGTTAGAGGTTCCCTATAGAAAATGTAATGAAGCCTAAATTCCTCAGCCCTCTGTCAACATTTCCCCTGCTGAACTTTCCGATCCTATATTTCATCACATCTTCCCTCCAATTCTAAGCTCTTCTCATAGTAGGCTACCATCATTCCCACCAATATACACACAATTTCCTGACTGTGCACCTTTTTTATGCTGTCCCTTCTGCCTGACATTCAATACTTGTCCTAAGTCTTAAACATCTTTTAAGCCCCAGATGAAAACACTTAAGAACAGAATCTGCCTTATTTTCTCATTGAATATTACATTTGATTATGGTGTGTTTCAAAGTTTGCCTTAGAGCATAATACTCATTTGTGTATGCTTCTATCTTATCTCACAACTCTCTTCCACCTGTGCTCCTTTCAAGCATGAGAACACCTGGTTTATTTGGTATTTACAGTTTCTTGCATAATGCTTAACACATGCTCAGAAAATGTTGGTTAACTTGAAGCAAATATTCACCAATGTTATTTATTTTTATAACTACTTCATTCCACCAGTGCAAAGAATGTACCTATGCTATGAAATGGCCAAAATGTAAATATTTTTCTGACATATTTAAAAAATATGCCATGTTTGATCCATTATCTCTCTATCCTCAAGGAGCCACTAACTCAGATGTTTACGTCAAAACTTTTATAGATCTCATCTATAAGACATGAATGAAAAATTTTAAAAACAAGTTATTATTTTCAAGAAAGATCTTTCTATAAAATGAAGAGGTTTAATTCAAGGTCTCACTTCCTTTATTCCAGTGCTAGCTGTGAAATGTGAAGAAGTAGCCTGAGGTGCTTGAGATTAATACTCTACGGACAATTAATCTAGTTCAATCTTGAGCATAGAATACTTAATACAAGTACTGTACTTATGTAGCCATTCATTTTCCTAACAAAGACTGATTATATCCCCAGGAAGTCAACCACAGCTCTCCATCACTTACAGCCACTGGCCAACACTTCGTCTCCAGTGAAAATATTGTGTCTTTTTCTATTTTAAATATTTTTATCTTATTTTTATACACGAATATCTGTGTATGTCACTGTTCTCTATCTTAAACTAAACATTTAAGAATGGAATGGCCATACCAAAGTCTGGTCAGCCTGATCATTTCAGTCATTTTAATTTAAAGAATGAATTGGATCAGCAACTTAATGATCTGAATTAAGCTGGTTTGGAAATCAGATAATGTGAGAATAAACGACCGTGGGTTGCATAAGTGTGATCCATACCTATCTGGAAGGAAACCGTAAACCAGAATAACCATAGTCTGAAACATGGGGTGGAAAAACAATTTTATCACAAGAAAATATTTTACTCCAAGTTTCTTCAGGTAGGGGAGGCCCTTCTAGAGAGAGACAAAATGCAACTATACATAACAAGAGTTTAGAGCAATGGAAGAGAATCTCCCAGCTATGTTCAGACCAGAAGATAATATATTTCAAATAAGCCACAGAGGTCTTCATTCATTCATTTAACCAGACCTGCTCTGTGCCAAGCACCATTTTAAGAACTGGGGATACAGTTAAGAACAACAACAACAACAATCTGCCATTATTAAACTTACATTCTAATCCAAGAAGAAAATAAATAATCAAATGAACACATAATACAATATCAGTTATTATAGAAGAAAAGTAAAGTAGGGTAAATACATCTAGCCTTTGGGGATAGGTCAGATAACAGAATTTCAGAGAGAGTGGTCAGGGGTCTCTTACCTGAAGACAAGTTAGCAGAAACCCAAAGGAAGCAAGGAAGCAAGCCATGAAGAGATCTTGGCAAGAGTGTTTCAGGCAAAGAGAACAAGTACAAAGACTGGGTGAGAGTAGTTGGCGGGTTTGAGGAACAACCAACAAAGTCATGGTGCCTGGGGCTATAGGCGTGTGCCATCACACGCCTTAGATACATTTTGACAAGTATATTCACCCAGGTAACCATGACCTCAAACAAGATACAGAGTATTTCTATTTTGGCCTGGTGCAGTGGCTCACACCTGTAACCTCAGCACTTTGAAAGGCAGAGGCTGGAGGATCACTTGAGTCCAGAAGTTCAAGATCAGCCTGGGCAGCATAGCAAGACTCTGTCTCAACAAAACGTTTAAAAATTAGCCAGGTGCTGTGGCATGCACCTGTGGTCCCAGCTACTTGAGAGACTAAGGTGGGAGGATCACTTGAGCCCTAGAGTTTGAGGCTGCAGTGAGCTGTGATCACAACTCTGCAGCCTGGGTGAGAGAGTGAAACCCTCCATCTCTCTCTTAAAAAATTTTTTTTCCAATTATCCCTAAGAGTTCCTTCATTTCCACTTCCAGTCAATCTCCACCCTGCCTCCTGATGCATATGGTCTAGTTTTTTTTTTTTTCCCCACCATGAATTAGTTCCACCCATTCTAGAACTTCATATGAATGAAACCATAGAGTATACATTCTTTTGGTAAGGCTTTGTTTGTTTACTGTGTTTTTGAGACTTATTTATGTTTTTGCATACACTATTAGTCTATTCTTTTTTTTAACTGCTGATTAGTTAATATTCCAATGTATGACCATTCCGTACTTATTTGTCTATTTTTCTGTTGGAATTCATTTGAATGGATTCTAATTTCTGACTATAATGAATAAAGATATTATTTTATATAACTCACTGTGTTGATATATCTTTTTATTTCTTTTGGTAAATACTTAGAGTGGAATTGCTGAGGCATAGGGCAGGTGTATTTTTTCCTTTTAATGAAAAAAAAAAACCCTGCTAAACAGTTTTCTAAAGTAGTTGTACCTTTTTTCAAGTTCTTTTGAGGCACTCATTTATTTATTTTGGAATTCAGATAAGAATGAACACATCATAGACAGTCATTGTACAAAGTAATCCAGTTATCTCAATTGAAATTAATAAACGTTTTTGCTTCCAGATAGTTAACACTTTTTTCAGATCAATCTTAGTGCCATGTTATGCAAAAACTAAATTTTAAAAAACGTCTACATAGATTAAGATTGTAGAAGCCAATTATGCTTTTCTCAGTTGGAACTATTTCAAAATAACTGTTTCAGCAATATAAATCAGATCAAGAGGAGGTGAATTTCAGTTTACTTCCTGAAATATAATTCACAAAATAAGACCTTTATCTTTAAGAGGTCCTTTAAGCTGGCTTTTATTCTGCTGTGATTTCCAAAATCTCACTAACAGGGAGAAGAAAAAACTAGCCTTATTTAAAATGTTCTGCCTTTTAATGGACACCAGTTTTAGGTCTTCTTTATGCCATTTAGAAGTGAATCTTTTTCCATTTGGTAACCCTTTTTTTTTTTTTTTTAAGAGACGGATTCTTGCTCTGTCACCCAGGCTGGAGTGCAGTGGTGCAATCTTGGCTCACTGCAACCTCCGCCTCCCAGGTTCTAGAAATTCTCCTGCCTCAGCCTCCTGAGCAGCTAGGACTACAGGCACAGGCCACCACGCCTGGCTAATGTTTTTTTTTTTTTTGGATTTTAGTAGGGATAGGGTTTCACTGTGTTGCCCAGGCTGGTCTCGAACTCCTGAGCTCAGGCGATCCACCCACCTTGGGCTCCCAAAGTGCTAGGATTACAGGCATGAGCCACCGTGCCCAGCCGGAAACCACTTTTTTCCCACTGTTCTCCCAGCTGTTGTAATAGAGCCCCAATTTCTTTCCCTGAAGAGATCCCCACTTTCCTGATGCCATGACAGTTACAGGAAATGGGATTCACCGTTGCTGCATTTCCTTTCAGAGACAGTGCTCTCCTTGGTACCGCAGTAGCTCACATACATGAGTAGTTGCATCATGTTCCCTGGAACCTATAATGAAGTCTTGATAGAGTTTCAATGGTTCTGAACTATCTGTTGCTTTAATTAAATCTTTCCTATTTTTAAACATAAATAATCCAAGACTTTTCTTTTTTTGTGCAGTCTTCGACCTCAAATCCACTTTTGCAACATCATCCTATCACTTGAATAATGAGGCAAAAAGAGTCATTGACTTTGGTGAAAAACCTTCAACATTTTTACTGACCTTATTAAACTCTTCTAAACTTTAATTAGCAGATAAACCTATGTAAGGAGCCACATCAAGATCATGGATAAGGGGAATCAAATGATTTACATGGTTACCAACAAAAATTTTTTCAGTTCCACCCAAATCCTCATTCCTGATATTCCACCCAAGCGTTTTGCATTTTCTGCAGTTTTTACAAAGCTTTAGGACCATGGTCACCAGGTTGCTCTACAATTGTCCCATAAAAGTGGAGGAAGGTCTAGCTAAGTTGGGAAGAATATTAAGAGGAAAGTTCAAACTGTGCTAAGTGGAAGCTCATGAGTTTCTTATTTTAATTTAGCAATCAACACTGAGAGTTTCTGCAACTCCTGGAGCATTTTGGAAATTTGAACTTGAATATTGCAGCAATTTTCATTTTTAGTTAAAAGAAAACATTTGGATTTTGTTCTAATTTATCCTGTTCAGATTGTGGCAATTAATATGATTTTGACACTGAATTCTTTAAGGTGTTTGGACCTTTCCAAATAATGTTATTTGCAGTTCCTGTTATTATTTGCAAGGATATATGTAGATAATTATAAGATTTAATTAGTAAGAGTATTTTATCAGCCAGTCGTGATCTGTAACAAGTATTTTTAAAAAGCTAGTACTCCTATAAAACCTGAAATATCTTAAAATTATAAGATAATCCTCTTTTATTTCTGTTTGGCATGCCCAACAAATCTAACTTTCTTATTTTTTAAACCATAACCATTAAAGTCATCAAATAAGATATCATTAAAATCTAAAAACACAGAATTTACAGGGACAGCCCTGTGTTCAGCATCTTTCTGCCGGTCAGTTGTGAATTCGACTTCAGCATATCATCCGTCAGTGGCAACATCAATCTGTAGTGTAATAATCTTAACATATTCTTTGTGAAGCCTGCCAGTAATTGTTCTGTGCTCTTCTCCTTTGTTGTTTCTCATCCAAATCCTGGTTGACTGAGACATCGTCTTCATCTGAGTAGGAGTGGCAGTGTTGGCAAAATCTACGTTTCCAGGCTTTACTCCATTGAATAAACCCCCCACTGTTCCTGCCCTCCTGCTTTTTTCTTTTTTTTTCCTTCTTCTTTGAGACAGGGTCTCTGTCACCCAGGCTGGAGGGCAGTGGTGCTATCTCAGCTCACTGCAACCTCCACCTCCTGGGCTCAAGTGATTCTCTTGCCTCAGCCTCCCAAGTAGCTGGGACTACAGGTGCACGCCACCGTGCCTGGTTAATTATTGGATTTTTTGTAGAGACGGAGTCTCACCATGTTGCCCAGACTGGTCTTGAACTCCTCAGCTCAAGCAATTTGTCCATCTTGTCAGCCTCCCAAAGTGCCAGGATTACAGGGTGAGCCGCCACACCTGCCCCCTCTGCTGTTCTTAATTCATGATTCTCTTTCACAAGTAAATTGTCAAACTCATCAATCCTTCTGAGAAAAGTGACTGGAATTCTGGAGACTGCCACTTCATTGTAAATAGATGTTGCTTCGGAAGGCAGCCTACTCCAACTACAGCTCAATGCTGGCCTGTGCCCAGGATACATGGGTCTCAGCATCTGGAGAGTACATCAGCAGCCTCACAGGGACCCCGCCGATGCCGCATCCATGTTTCATTCCCTTCAACAATGTTCCAGAGTTGTGGTTCTTCCACATCCTCTCCAACATTTAGTGTCATCAGTTGTTTTAAATTTTAACCTTTTTTTGTAAGTGCATAGAACCATCTCATTGTGGTTTCAATGTGCCTTTTTTTGACACCTAATGATGTTGAACCCTTTTTCTTATGTTCATTGGCCATCTTTTTTTTTTTTTGAGACACAGTCTCACTCTGCTGCCCAGGCTGAAGTGCAGTGGTGCCATCTCAGCTCACTGCCACCTCCACCTCCCGGGTTCAAGTGATTCCCCTGCCTCAGCCTCCCAAGTAGCTGGGATTACAGGCATGTGCCACCATGCCCAGCTAATTTTTGTATTTTTAGTAGAGATGGGTTTTCACCATGTTGGCCAGGATGGTCTCGATCTCTTGACCTCGTGAGCCACCCTCTCGACCTCCCAAAGTGCTGGGATTACAGGCATGAGCCACTGCGCCTGGCCCATTGGCCATTTTTATATCATTCTTTGTAGAGGGTCTGCTCAAGGGTTTTTCCTATTATATTGCTGGTTTGTAGGCGGTATTTATATCTTCTATATAGATTCATATAGGTTATACAATTTTCTAACTGTGAGGGAAAGCCATCAGAAGGTTTGGAACTAGGCAAAGCCAGTAGTTATGCAGAATTTGCACTGTGCGATTTTAGGGGCTGCCATTCACATTTATAGTCATCATAGGTATGTATATTTGTTACAATTTTCCTTGATATAACAGTATATATTAAGGAAGAAACAATTTTTTTTTTCTAATTCACTCAGAAACACCACTTGAGATAATGGTGGACCACTGCCATAGATCTTTATAAGGATTATTTTGTCTTTTGTGTGGATAATTAACTATGAGGAGGCAAGGAGAAGAGGTCATCCAAGCAGAAGGTTGAGAGTGTCAATGAGGTGTTTTGGGAAATTTTGTTGTACTTTTTGCTTTTAGCTGTATAACATATGAGACGAAAGAGGCAATTTAAATTAGTAGCTATTCAGTTTCTAAACAAAATTTAGAAGAAATATGAAGGGCCCCAATTATGCTAGATTGGAAGATGAAACTTTTTCACATCTCCTGTCTCTCTAACTGATGTAATATTCTCAAAGTAAGAGATAGTCTCAGAATCTAGATCAAATCAAGGGCAAGACTATAAACCTTTTGTTAAAATTCTTGAAAAGATTCATGGCTATGCTTGCTAGACTCTCTTAGCTTGGCAAAAAAGCTCCTGAGAATTTTAAAGGCATTGTCCTGGCATGATGTCTAAAGTAGAGAGAAACCTGCCCAAAAAATGAATTGTTGGAATGGATTTTGTCTTGTAAAATGAACTATAACCTGATAGATAATAGAAAGCTCACAAAGTTTTAAGAAGTAAGAGAGTTGTATTACATTAGACTAAAAACATCAGAGATACTACAAAATGAAAGAGACTTCTTGGCTTCTAACTTTCTACAGGCTGAAAGTTTGCTGAGAGAGCTACTCAGCTGCCAACACAGCCATTGCTTATGAAAAAAGGTGTTCCAGAGGGTAGAATCAAGACCCAGAGCGAGAAAGACCCAGATGGGGAAAAATAAGAGATGAGAAGAACCATAGGTTAGGGAACTATTAATACTTTCAGGGATTAGAACTGGGCCCTAATCAAGAAATAGTCCCTACTGTGGAAGGTGAAATTAGCAACATGTCCGTGGCTGGAGGTAAGAATTCCTATAGACCAGTTATTCCATGATTTTCTTGTCCTTCCCCTTTTGAATAGGAGTGTTTGCAGCCAATATCCTACTACTTTTTCAACATTATATATTGTACGTATTGGAGGAGATGATGTCATTTTTGTTCAGAGGTGTCTAGCTTAAGCGGAGTGGTATCAGAGAAGATGTGCTTGAGAAACTACATCCAAAGTGCCTCACCAGTATCTGGACCGGATTTATATGATGAGATCAAGAATTTTAAGCCTGATGCTCTGATTGAATGAGAATGTAGAAGGGATATGAATTACTCTGGCCTGAATTGGCTGTGGTAGATTGTTTTCAAAGATGGCTGCAACAACTCCGCATATTCTGCATGCCCCTCCTCCTATTTGGAGAAAGAATTTTTATCCCCTGTCCTGAAGCTGGGATGTCCCTGTGACTTGCTTTGATCAACAAAATGTGGCAGAAGTGATGGTGTACAATTTCTGAAGGCTGGCACAGTGATATCTTGTAGCTTCTACCTCCAATCTTTTGGAACAGTTTCCTGAGGCTGCCTAGGATGAAAGAAAACATGGAGAAAAAGGCTGAGCCATTAGCCAGAGCCAATTGACAGACTTGGGAGTGGAACCATCTTGGGGTTCACAGCTCAGCCAGCCCTCCAGGTGAATGCAGCTCAGACAAAACCAGCCAATTCATAGAAGTGAGAAAAGATAATAGATTGTTATTGTTTTAGGCCACTAAGTTTTTGTGTGTTTTATTACACAATAATAGATAACAAAAGCAGAGATTGATTTTGTTATAAAAAATCTTTCATCAAAGAAAACTGGCTCAGATGGCTTTACAAACACATTCTATGATCTTTATGGAGGAATAAAACCATTCCATATGAACACTCCCTAAAATAAAAGAGGAAGGAACACTTAAAGTCTAGTTTTATGATATCAGCAAAACTGTGATGTAAATAATGAACAAGTACATTTCTTATAAGAAAAAAAGCATTAGTTCACTATTCCTCATAATTATAGGTACAAATATTCCTAAGAAAATATTGAAAAATTGAATCAGGCAATATATAAAATGGAAAATATTTCAGTACCAAGTGGTACTGTGCATTATAAGAATGCACAGTTGTTCTAGGGGAAAAAATATTATCATCTCAATAGATGTGTAAAAATTTGAAAATCCAGTGCCCACTGATGATTAAGAAGTACTAAGAAAAATAGAAATAGAGAGGAATTTTATCTGGTAAAGAACATCTATAAAAATTCTACAGCTAATAGAATGCATTCTCTCTAAAATCAAAAACAAGGCAAGCATATGTGATCTTATCCCTTCTATTCAGCATTGTGTTTGAAGTCCTAGCCAGCAGTAGGTCAAGAATCAGAAACAAAGGATCAGGGAGTGGAAATGAGTAAGTACTGATTGTCAGGCCCCTGAGCCCAAGCTAAGCCATCATATCCCCTGTGACCTGCACGTATACATCCAGATGGCCTGAAGCAACTGAAGATCCACAAAAGAAGTGAAAATAGCCAGTTCCTGCCTTAGCTGTGATTCCACCATTGTGATCTGTTCCTGCCCCACCCTAACTGATCAACTGACTTTGTGAAAATACACCCTCCCTGCCCTTGTGATAATGTACTTTGTGATAGTCCCCCGCCCTTGTGAATGTACTTTGTACGATACACCCTCCCCACCCTTAAGAAGGTACTTTGTAATATTCTTCCCTCCCTTGAGAATGCACTTTTTAAGATCCACCCCCTGCCTGCAAAAATTGCTCCTAACTCCACCACCTATCCCAAACCTATAAGAACTAATGATAATCCCACTACCCTTTGCTGACTCTCTTTTTGGACTCAGCCCATCTGCACCCAGGTGATTAAAAGCTTTATTGCTCACACAAAGCCTGTTTGATGGTCTCTTCACATGGACACGCATGACACTGATTATTGATTTAAGTATTTATTTTAAAATAATGTGGCTGTTTACATTGAAATTTCCAAACTCCCACTGGAAATTTTTAAAGCAAAGGAATAGCCTCCTCAATGAATGGGAAAGCTATTTGGGGAAAGTTTAATGAGGAACAGGATGCTTACATCATTTTAAAACATCTTTTATTACAGATCACATTAATTACAAAGAGAAAAATGGGAAAACCCCATAGATCTCATTTTAATCAGGTGGTCAAAGTAATGTCATCAATGACCAGACACACAGTGACACAAAGTTAATGTCATTAATCATGTACCTCCTGATATGATGCACAGAGAAGAAAAAATATCACTCAAGTAGTGCTCCTGTTCAAGATTCATAATTAAATCTAACCATGGAGAAATATTTTTTAAAAATCCAAATTAAAGGAAATTCTAAAAATTGACCTTTATTCTCCAAAAATGTCAACATCATAAAGGTTGAAGAATTAGAGTCATGACAATAATGAAATTGATCTTGGATTGGATCTTGAATAAGAGGGAAAAAATGACATAGAAGACATAAAATGTGAACATAGGCTGAATAGTAAATAGTATTATTTTATCGATGTTAAATTTTCTAAATGTGATCAATATACAGTGGTTTTAAAAGAGACACTCTGTTTTTTCATTTGGGTCTATGCTGTACTTCATACTGGAAAATTATTCTTATTTTCTCCATCTATGCATTTTCTGCTGATCTTCAAATTCCTTGTAGAATTCTCTCTTTTCTGAAACCTGTTCTGATGACCCTAGCCCACAGGCATGTCTGCCTCCACAGGATTCCTATAGTATTTAATGTATGTAACACACTATTACATTGACTGGTAAGTTAATGAAATAGAAGGCACAGCATATTAACAGATTGAAGAGACAGGGTTCTGTACCTGGGCATGTCTTCTATTTAATGACATTCATTTCTACCTGTTACTTGACTCCCTTTCCTCCTTGAGACATTTCCTCCTTGAGAGATTTCCTAGTCTCTGAAGAAGCAATCTACAGTAATATATATGCAAACTTCAAACCACAGCAAATATTTCACCCAGACTTATTGTGTATATAACTACATCTCCTACAAAAAGTTTATACTTATCTTTAAGAGTGTGGTGAACAGTATACCAGAAATATATCAGATATACATTATTTGCTTCAGAAGGCACAGGAAACTTTCATTGAGTATGAACAGTGAATGAAGAGACACTAAGGTTGTGTGTCTCTGCTCATCACAAATAAGCAATTCAGAAAATTGCTTCTACTTTAAATGGACAATTGACAAATCTTCATCCCTTAGCCTTCTAGCAAAAACTATCAAAGAATTAGAGTGCTATATCTTAAGTATAAGCAACCACTTAGTTCAGTGCCCATCCTTCCCCACCCCCGCCATCTTTGCATTTCACAAGAAAACAAAACAAAGCAATGGAGTCCTAATAAAAGTAAATTAATCACCCAAGGGTATACAATTACAGGGAAAAAATGACTCTAGAGTCCAGGTCTCATAACTTCTAGGTTTTTTTTTATTTTCTTTGCATATCAGCCTCTCTGATTTTACTCTTAAATACAGAAACTACATTATTTGGGTTATAGCAACTACTGTAGTAGTAGGAGTACTTTACTTCTGCACATATAACGATAACAAGGAAAGGTGGAAGGCCTGCTGTTTCCCTATTGCTTTGAATGAAGTAACAATTTTAACCCTGAAGATAAGAAAATGTTCTATTTAGCCTTTTTTTTTTTTTTTTAATTTTACCACTTGTTTCTTCCCAGGACACCAGATAAAGGAGGACTAATAAGCATAAATGGTCCTGGGGACTCTAGGACAAGGGCTTGGACAAAAGGCAACAGTACCAAATAAGTTCAGTTTATTCTCCATCACACAAAACATTCCTTCAGGCTTACTCTAGCCTTGTGCATACCACTGGACTAAAAATAGACCCAACGTTTATTCCTGGAACATTGTTTAGTTTACTATTGTTAAATTCTCCAGGCAAAGTGTTTTTCCTAGGAGATTACTTCTGGGGATCGCAAAAGCTAAGGTTCTCCTGGGTTACTCCTGCAAAACATACTGCTCTCCTAGTCCCTAACATGATCACAAACTCTTGTCTTTTTCCAATACACAAATTTAACAAGCCAGCTGTCATTTCCATGCCTCTGTTTTCTTGCCTGTAAAATGGGAATAATAACTGCTCTGGTTATTTCATGGGTTTTGTGCAGCTCTAAGTACATAAATGTGTGCAAATGCACAGGATTATTACAGTTGTCAGAGTCTGCCAAGAGGTAATGTTTTTCATTTTTTTATTGTAATTTAATATTTAAAAAAGAGAAAAATGTGGGAAAAGTTTCTCTGAATGTTATCTTTGTACTTTTAGCCTGTCCCTCTGGTCTCCCACAGCTTCTGACATGCATGCAGTTTCTCTCACTCCGCCTCCGCTCTGCTGTATTGGCCAGAGAATGGTGCCTGACTTGACTTTGCCAGTCAGACAAATGTCAATCACTTGTGCAAAGTCCATTTAAAGTCTAGTGTTGCCATCTTATAATCAATAATGGGAAAAGTGACTACAAATGGGATTGAATTTTTTGTAATGTGTCTCTGTGGATTTTTTTAAAAGGACATCTGATTAACATATCCTGTTACGCCTCTTATGTGGCATATAGAAACTTGTTACAAATAACCAGACAACTGTCTTAAGAGGACCCTATTCTAACTAGTCAATGTAGTATGCACTTCTTTTTATATAAATCCAATATGCTGTGAGTTCCTGAAGGTTAATCATCAGGTGTTATAAATCTTTTATCCTTTACAGAGTTAATTAGTGGTAAAAGTAATTTAGTGGCAGAATAGTATCACTGAATGAATTGTCATCAGATACTGAACTTTAGACTGCTTTTAAAAGTACTACAAGAAAGGCATGAGTTGACACAGCCTTCATTAATAGTCAGGTATGGCCAAGGTGTGGGGAGAGTCAATAAAGATGAAACTGAGTTAAACAAATCAGCCTATGTGGACTGAATCCACCAAAAGCTTAGTATCTTACAACTAAGGTAACCACCCAGAGACAAAGTAATAATAGCTCCTATTGATGTTGTTAGCATTATCACTATAACATTTTTTTCTTTTTTTGGCCTGGCTAATAGGGGAGAAAATAGGATTGAAAAAAATATTGACTGTATACCTACTATGTTCCCTGCTCTCCTTTCAATGTTCACAAAAATCTTATGAGGTAAAGAGGGAAATTATGGTTATGTTAATATGAAGTACAAAGATCTCTTTTCCATGTCTTCAACCCAGGTCTTTTGACTCCCAGATCAAAATTTTGAATTTTATCTCTAATTATAAACATCTCCTCTCTCAATGCTTTTGATTAAGAAATGACACGAATTCACAATCAATGGTGAAAGCCATGAGTTTGATGGAGTATTATGGCCTTAATTTACAGAGGAATAAATTCAAGTAAAAAGAGATGAAGAGAGGCTTGTTTCTAATCAGCCAACAATTAGATGTAAAACCCGGGTTTATTTTATTTATATCATTCACTCATGTAGTTATTAATTTGGTGAATATTTGTTAATGACCTACTATGAGCCAGGTATCTGGAGGATGCTGGGAATCTAGAAATGAATAAAAGGAATGGAAATCTCTGCCCTTAGGGAACCCAAATGTTAGTGGGAGTAATCAGACAATAAAGCAGGAAGGACGTAAGGAGAGTATTGTGTATGTGTTGAAATTTTAATTAGAACCATAGGAAAAGTCTCACTGAAAAGCCAATATTTGAGTAAAAGTCTGAAGGAGGTGAGAGAGACAGCCATGTAGCTATCTGAGGAGAGCATTCCAGGGAAATGGAACTGCAAGGGCAAATGCCCTGAGTTACAGCAAAGAAACCAATGTGGTGAGGACAGAGTGAGAGGAAGGGGAGTAGAAGACAGAGTCAGAGAGGTAGCAGTCATTGGACCTAGGGATGGAGGGAACATATGTCAGTCTTGAGACTTTTAATGTTACTACTCCAACTTTGCCTGATGATATGGTTTGGCTCTGTGTCCCCACCCACATCTCATCTTGAATTGTAATAATCCCCACATGTCAAGGGCAGGACCAGGTGGAGGTAATTGGATCACAGGGGAGGCTTCCCCCATGCTGTTCTCATGATAATGGGTAAGTCTCAAGAGATCTGATGGTTCAATAAGAGTTTGGCATTTCCCCTGCTTGCACTCATTCTCTCCCCTGCTGCCCTGTGAAGAGATGCCTTCCACAATGATTGTAAGTTTCCTGAGGCCTCCCCAGCGATATGGAACTGTGTGTCAATTAAACCTCTTTCCTTTATATATTACGCAGTCTTGGGCAGTTTTTTATAGTGGCATGAGAATGGACTAATACAGTAAATTGGTACCCATAGAATGGGGCACTGCTGTAAAGATACTAAAAAATTTGGAAATGACTTTGGAACGGGTAACAGGCAGAGGTTGGAACAGTTTGGAGGACTCAGAAGAAGACAGGAAGATATGGGAAAATTTGGAACTTCCTAGAAACTTGTTGAATGGTTTTGGCCAAAATGCTGATAGTGATGTGGACAATAAGGTCCAGGCTGAGCTGGTCTCACATGGAAATGAGGAACTTCTTGGGAACGGGGGCAAAGGTGGCTCTTGATATGCTTTAGCAAAGAGACTGGTGGCATTTTGCCCTTGCCCTAGAGATCTGTGGAACTTTGAACTTGAAACAGATGATTTAGGGTATCTGGTGGAAGAAATTTCTAAGTGGCAAAGCATTGAAGGGGAAGTAGAGGATGAAAGTTTGGAAAATTTGCAGCCTGATGATGCAATAGAAAAGAAAAACCCATTTTCTGGGGAGAAATTCAAGTCTGCTGCAGAAATTTACATAAGTAATCAGGAGCCAAATGTTAATCACCAAGACAATGGGGAAAAGGTGTCCAGGGTGTGTCAGAGACTTTCACAGCAGCCCCTTCCATCACAGGCCCGGAGGCCTAGGAGGGAAAAATGGTGTCCTGGGCCGGGTCCAGGGCCCCCTTGCTGTGTGCAGCCTTGGGACTTGGTGCCCTGCATCCCAGCCACTCCAACCATAGCTAAAAGGGGTCAGAGTACAGCTCAGTCCATTGCTTCAGAGGGCGAAAGCCCCAAGCCTTGGCAGCTTCCATGTGGTGTTGGGCCTGTGGATGCATAGAAGTCAAGAATTGAGGTTTGGGAACCTCCACCTAGATTTCAGAGCATGTGTGGAAATGCCTGGATGTACAGGCAGAAGTCTGCTGCAGGGGCAGAGCCATCATGGAGAACCTCTGCTATGGCAGTGAGGATGGGAAATGCAGGGTTGCAGACCCCACACAGAGTCCCACAGGGGGACTGCCTAGTAGAGCTGTGAGAAGAGGGCCACCATCCTCCAGATCCCAGACCCCAGAATGGTAGATCCACCAATAGCTTGCACTGTGCACCTAGAAAAGCTGCAGGCATTCAATGCCCCCCTGTGAAAGCATCCTGGGGCAGGGCTGTACCTTGCATGGCCACAGGGATGGAGCTGCCCAAGGTTGTGGGAGCTCACCTCTTGCATCAGTGTGACCTGGATGTGAGACATACAATTAAAGGAGATCATTTTAGAACTTTAAGTTTTAATGACTGCCCTATTGGATTTCGGACTTACATGGGGATTGTAGCCTCTTTGTTTTGGCCTATTTCTCCCATTTGGAGTGGGAACATTTACCCAATGCCTGTACCCCCATTGTATCTTAGAATTAAATAACTTGCTTTTGATTTTACAGGCTCATAAGTGGAAGGGACTTGCCTTGTCTCAGATGAGACTTTGGACTTGGACTTTTGAGTGAATGCTAGAATGAATTAAGACTTTGGGGGACTGTTGGAAGGGCATGATTGTGTTTTGAAATGTGAGGACATGAGATTTGGGAGGGGTGGGGGTGGAATGATATGGTTTGGCTGTGTGTCCCCACCCGATTTTCACCTTTAATTGTAATAATCCCCATGTTTTAAGGATGGGACCAGGTAGAGGTAATTGAATCATGGAGGTGGTTTCCCCCATGCTGTTCTCGTGATAATGAGTAAGTCTCACAAGATCTGATGGTTGTATAAGCATCTGGCAATCCCTGCCTTGCACTCATTCTCTCTCCTGCCACCCTGTGAAGAGGTGCCTTATGCCATGATTATAAGTTTCCTGATGCCTCCCCAACCATGTGGAACTGTGAGTCAATTAAACCTGTTTTCTTAATAAATTACTCACTCTTGTGTATTTCTTCACAGAAGCATGAGAACAGCAAATACAGCTTATATTCAGCAAGATGGAAAGCCATCAGTATGTTTTGAGCAAAGATGTAACCATACTGTGACTTAGCTCTTCCCTTAACATGATCACTCTGATGAGTGTATTAAGAATAGACTAATAAAGACAAGTGTGTAGGAATGGCAAACATTTAAGAGGCTAAATCATTAACTCAAGTGAAAGATGGTGATATCTTGGGCCATGCTATCAAGCACTGGAAGTTGTGAGAGTATTTTTTTCTAATTGTCACTTAGGACTATCACTCCTCTTATTTTGTTATATCATTTTTAAAAATGTCCAATGTTTAGAATGATAATCCTTAAAAACTGAAGTGGATGAGAAATGCAAAACAACTTTTGGTCTTTAAGCGTACTTATGGAGTAAAGAAGTTAAGCACAGGTAAAAATAAAATGCTAATTACTTGAAACCCTTTTTTCCCACTGGATATAATAGCAATCATCTCCAAAGACTCACACATCACATAAAACTTAGCCCTATTTGTAATCATGCTTCTATTTTTGATTAGAAAAGATAATTCTCTAGTTAGTTCTTTGTACCCATAGTTTGCTTTTTGAGCAAAGTCAAGTTCTGGCATATTCTTTGTCTAATATATTAAGCATACTTATTAGGGTGGCGGTGCATCTCAAAAACCACAATAGATTTATGGAACAGGTTTGTTTTTCAGAGGTCTTGGTCCCAGTCCCAACGTGCCCTCTTTTGGAGACCAGAGACTCTAGCATCAGTTGAGCAGTGCTTCCTCCTCAAAGGTATGGGCTACAGGTCCATGGGGCCACTCATTCAAACTTTTAAGTTTAACTCCAACTGGATCCCTTCATTTCCCCAACTCTAGAGGTGGTAGCTGCTTCCTGCAGTTTCTACCCTAGTGATAATTTTATGTTTACTTTTAAGCATTTAAATGTACCCAGTGAACAATTTTTATACCTAATTAACAGTTTTTCGTATTAAATCCTTTCTCTTAAAATTACTTGCGATTTTGACCTCTGGCTGGGTGCGGTGGCTCATGCCTATAATCCCAGCACTTTGGGAGGCCAAGGTGGGCGGATCACCTGAGGTTGGGAGTTTGAGACCAGCCTGACCAACATGGAGAAACCCCATCTCTACTAAAAACACAAAATTAGCTGGGCATAGTGGCTCACGCCTGTAATTCCAGCTACTCGGGAGGCTGAGGCAGGAGAATACTTTGAACCCGGGAGGTGGAGGTTGCAGTGAGCCGAGATTGCGCCATTGCACTCCACCCTGGGCAACAAGAGCCAAATTCTGTCTCAAAAAAAAAAAAAATTACTTGTGATTTTGACCTCCTAACTGAATTGAATCAGAAATTGGAATCAATATTGTCTCAGGAAATAGTCCTTTGAAGATGGAATTTTGGCATTGGTTTGGTAATTCCTTGGTCTTGAATTCAGTGCTGAGATTCTGGCCTTGGGAAATGAGATGCTGGTAATTTATGAAATGCAGTGGTTTCATAGTCAAATTATTATTTGTGATTGATTGGACTGGTGTGTCTAGTGCAGCAAGTGCCTCAGGGTATCAAGTGTCTCATACACTTAACTCTATGGCAGTTACATAATAATAAGTCCTGCAAGGACTGTGATATGTGAGTGTGTGTGGGGTGGGTAGGGGGTGTGGGTGGGTGTATTCTAGCACTTCAAGAGAATGACAAACTCAGATGTTGAAACACTAAGCTTGAATCATGGTTAGAGAGCCCTAAAAAAGCCTCTAATTTTGCAGCCAGAAGGTCAATATTTTCAAAACCAAACACAAGACTTAATTCTATATGTTGCAGAAGTGTCATAGCCTCCCCAAGTTTCTCATGTGAAACTTTGAGCCCCCATAGATCCATTGGGAAGTAACGGATTCATGAGGATGGGTAAATCTGGATGGACTCAGCTATCTCAGCATATTGAAACCTGACTCACTGTGACTCTTCCTTGACAGTGGGAACAGTCTTCCCTTTTGTATCTGAGGAAGCTAGTCTTCTCTTGCTTGAAGAACTTTTAATAACCTTAATTAGATGCTCATTATACTCAAAACCCACCCCAATGGAAACTATGAAACATAGAGGAAAAAAACACAGGGGAAACACTTCATTATTTGATCAAAGCAAGGATTTTTTGAACAAGACCTCAAAAGCATAGGCAACAAAAGTAAGAATAGACCAATAGGATTTCCTCAAACTAAAAAGCTTCTGCACAGCAAAGAAAGCAATCAACAGAGTGACGAGACAACCTATAGAATGGGAGAAAATATTTACAAACTATGTATCTGATAAGGGGTTAGTATCCAGAATATATAAGAAACTCAAAAAACTCAATAACAAAAAAAAAGTCTGATGGCCAAAATATCTGAATATACATTTCTCAAAAGAAGACATATAAATGGCTAAAGAATATATGAAAAAGTGTCCTACATCACTAATCATCAGAGAAATGCAAATCAAAGCAGAATGAGATAACGCCTCACTTCAGTTAGAATGGCTGTTGTCAAAAATAAAAAATAACAAATGCTGGTGAGGATATGGAGAAAGGAGAACTCTTATACAATGTTGGTGAAATGTAAATTAGTACAGCCATTACAAACAACAGTATGGAGGTTCCTTTTTATAGAACTACCATATGACTCAGCAATCCCACTATTGGGTATATATCCAAAGGAAATGAAATCAGCATGTCGAAGAGATATCTGCACTCCCATCTTTATTACAGCACTATTTGTAACAGCCAAGATATGGAACCTATGTAAATGTTCATCAACAGATGAATGGATACAAAAAATGTGGTATATATGCACAGTGGAATACTATTCAGCAATTAAAAAGAGAAACTCCTTTCATTTGCAACAACATGGATGAACATAGAGGACATTATGTTAAGTGAAATAAGCCAAACACAGAAAAACAAATACCACATGATCTCACACATGTAGAATCTAAAAAGTTGATCTCATAGAAGTAGATAGTAGAACAGTGGTTACTGGAGGCTGGGGAGGGGAGGGGAGGGAGGAGGAGGGCATGGAAAGAGGATGGTTAACAGTTAGATAGGAGGGACAAGTTCTGGTGTTCTATTGCACAGTAGGGTGACTATAGTTAACAATAATATATTGCATATTTCAAAATAGCTAGAAGAAAGGATTTTGAATGTTCTCGCCACAAGGAAATGACAAATGTTTGAGGTGATGGACATGCTAATTACCATGATTTGATCATTACACAACATATACATGTACCAAAACATTACACTATACCATATAAATATGTACGATTATTATGTATTCATTAAAAACAAAATAAAACTCAAAAAGCCTTACCACCATGACCTTATGTTGCTCCCAGACCTATAAATAGACTTCAATCTCAGCAAATTTGGATGGGGGCAAGTATGAAGTCTGACCTGGGAGGAAATAGTTTATACGCTAAGATAATTGCAAGGTTTTGCTAATTTAGGTAATTCAAATTGGTGGAATGTGTACATCAAGGAGTATGGAATATAACCTTGGCTTATGTCTAATTTATTGATGAGTTCTTCTGCCAGATACTCTAGAGTATAGCTGGAAGTAGTGCTAAAAAGGTATTTGGTGGATTGATTAAAACTTGGGCTATGTCTAATGAGGGTGAGATGTTAGATCTTTCCTAGCTTAAAGAGAAAGGAAGCCAAAGGTTTGGAGATATAGGAATGCTGAAAAATATGTATCATTTGTGCCCTACACACCTACCAAGCCCTACACTTCATCCCTTAATGGGGTCCAGACAGCAATTACTTCTTCCCCAAGGCATTAAGAAATACATTAGTGGGAGGAGCAGCAGCATCCTTAACAGCTTGAACTATATCTGTACCCTATCATCCTGTGATTGCAGTAGGAGATGCCACCATTAAGAGGGGCTCTCTGATTTCATTGAGATTGTTAGAATCCTAGGATAGAAGTGGTCAGTTGGCAATGCTTTATCACATATGACAAGGTGGGTGCTTTTATTGTAATGGGCAACAGGGACACAGTGGTAATCAGAATTCTTCTGACTCAGAAGACTTTGTAGTGGCTAGTTAATCTTGAAGCAATCAATAGAGGCTGGGCGCAGTGGCTCATGTCTGTATTCCCAGCACTTTGAGAGACCGAGGTGGGAGGATCACCTGAGGTCAGGAGTTTGAGACCAGCCTGACCAACATGGTAAAACCCCGTCTCTATTAAAAATACAAAAATTAGCCAAATGTGGTGGTGCACGTCTGTAATCACAGCTACTTGGGAGGCTGAGGCACCTGGGAGGTGGAGGTTGCAGTGAGTCAAGATCATGCCACTGTACTCCAGCCTGGGTGACAGAGTGAGGCCGTCTTAAAAAATATATAAATAAATAAAAAAATAAATAGAGAAGCAGCTCACTAAAATTTTGCTTTACATAACAGGAAAAACTACAGTTCTGTTGGCCGGAAACCTGACTTCGGTCATCTCAACAAAGAACCCCTGTCTTTAACCTAGTTTCCACACCTAAGCCAGTTCACAGTCCAAGTCCTTTGAGTGCTGAGAGGTCAGGTCTCCTTGAGAATCTTCTCTGTTGCTCTGTCACAAGTATACACTGTAAAGATTCTTCTAAGCTTTCCATAAAGGGACCTGTCGCTATTTAATAAGATATCTATACATGGAGAAAAGGAGAACCCAGATCCTTTTAGGAATTACTAAATACTGACTGTTGAGAATCCAATCACCACTTTGGTCCACCAGTCACGGTGGTGGCTTATGGAGGTCAGGTGATATGATGGTCCCCAACTTTTTGGCACTAGGGACCGGTGTCATGGAAGACAATTTTTCCATGTAAATGGGGTGGGGGGTTGGTGGTTTGGGGATGAAACTGTTCCTCCTCAGATCATCAGGCATTAGATTATCATAAGGAGTGTGCAACCTAGATTCCTCGCATGCACAGTTCACAATAGAGTTCATGCTCCTATGAGAATCTAATGCTGCTGTTGATCCAACAGGAGGCGGAATTTAGGCAATAATACTCACTCACCTGCCACTCACCTGCTGGTCTGTGGCCTGGTTCCTAACAGGTCACGAACTGGTACTGATCAGGCGGCCTGGGGGTTGGGGACCCCTGAGGTAATATATTGAATTTTGGCCGAGTAAGTCCGTCATTATTTCTCTGGTTCCTGAATAAAAAATTGAAAAAAGCTGTATTGGCAACTGGCAGATACTGACATTGGATATCTGACCAATTGAGTAAAGGTCATTATTATAGGAAGGGCCAAGTGAAAACCTATGGAATCTCTATTTTCTACTATGTTAGTAAATCATAAAAATACTGGATTTCTGGGAGAACTGTAGAGGTTAGCCTCATCATAAAAGTCTTAAAAGATGTAGAGATGTTGACAGCTCTTTTATTCTAATTTAAGTCACATGGTTGGCCTATGCAAAATGATCTTAGAGAATGACTGTAGATTATAAACTTCATCAGGAAGCAACTCCAACTGCAGCTGCTGTTCTAGATATAGTAACTTTACTAAAATAAATCAGCACAACTCCCTGATAAGTGGCATGCAGCTATTGAGCTGGCAAATATTTTTTTCTTTATACTAATTTGCAACAAACATCAGAAGCAAATTCTTTTTGTCTGGTATGACTAAAGCTTCATAATCTTGCATTAAGACTACATCAATTTGACTGCCTTCTGCCATAATACACTCTATGGAGATTTTATTGATTGATTGATTGATTGATTGATTGATTGATTTTTGAGATGTAGTCTTGCTCTGTTGCCCAGGCTGGTGTGATCTTGGCTCACTGCAGCCTCTGCCTACTGGTTCAAGTGATTCTTCTACCTTGGCCTCCCAAGTAGCTAGGACTACAGGTACACACCACCACGCCCAGCTAATTTTTATATTGTAGTAGAGATGGAGTTTCACCACGTTGGCCAAGCTGGTCGCGAACTCCTGATATCAAGTGATCTGCTCACCTTGGCCTCTCAAACTGTTGGGATTACAGGAATGAGCCACCGCGCCCGGTCTCTACAGAGATCTTAATTGTCTTCTTGTTCCATACAAC
This sequence comes from Homo sapiens, assembly GCF_000001405.40. Taxonomy (NCBI): domain Eukaryota; kingdom Metazoa; phylum Chordata; class Mammalia; order Primates; family Hominidae; genus Homo; species Homo sapiens. The sequence goes on along the minus strand of NC_000001.11, from coordinate 163,221,177 downwards.
ATTACACTGAGGAAAGAAGTTGGCTGATAGCCATAAAAGGAATCATTTTGCATACATATGTACAAATGGTGGGAAGGGCTGACCAGAGTGTCTCCTGATATAATTCACCAAAAAGAACCTATTAGCTTCCTACTATTGCTATAACAAATTACCACAAACTTAGTGCCTGAAACAACACAGATTTATTCTCAGAAGTCTAAAGTGAATGTCACAACAGGGCTGTGTTCCTTTCAGAGGCATTGAGAAGAGTGATTACTGGACTTTTTCAGCTTCTAAAGGCTCCTTGCTTTCCATGACCCCTTCCTTGCACCACTCCAAACTTTTACTTCCATCATCAGATCTCCTTCTCCTAATTCTGATCCTCCTGCCTTGCTCTTGTAAGGACCTTGTGATGACATTGGGCCCACTGAGATAATCCAGGTTAATTTCCCCATCTCAAGATTCTTATTCTTAACTTAATCACCTTTGCAGAATCCCTTTTACCATAAAAGGTGACATGTTTACAGGTTCTTTGAACTAGGACATGGACATCTTTGAGGGAGGGGGGCATTATTCAGACTACCACAAGAGCACAGCATCAATTCTGTGGCTTGTTATAGAATTGGTCCTGTGGAAATATCAGATGGACTAAGTTTGAAAGTCACCGTAAAGAATCAAAGAGCTAGACTTTTTGAAACTGTCAAAGATGTAAAAGAGAGGAAAAGAGGAGCTACTGCAGATTGAAGGAGATTCATAAAATATGATGACTAAGTGCAACACACACGTGATTCTGAAATAGAAAGTTTGGATACTTAGTAAAATTTGAATGGAGTCTGTGGATTGGATGAGTGTTATATCGATATTGAGAGAAAAACGTGATTATTTTAATGGATGCAGAAAAAAACATTTAAAAAGGAAAAGAACTCCTACAACTCAATAAGAAAAAGGTACACAACCCAGTAGAAAAACATAGAGAATAATTGAACAATTTACAAAAGAATATTTAAATGGTCAATATGTACATATAAAGGAGCTCAACTTCACTGGTTTCAGAGAAATGCAAATTAAAACTCTGATATAATACCACTAAACAAGCAAAAGAATAGCTAAAATTATAAACAGTATCTAGTGTTGATTAGAATGTAGAACAAGTGAAAGTTTTATAGATTGCTGATGGGAATGTAAATTGGTTCAGGCATTCTGAAAAACTGGCGGTATCTACTAGAAACCAAATATATACTCCATGTCCCAGCAATACCAATCCTAGGTATATGTAGCCAACAGAAATGAGTCCATATGTTCACCAAAAGACACATTCATAGAAGCAGTATTCATGATAGCCAAAAATTAGAAAAACTCAATGCTTATCAACAATGTAATGAAAAATAAATTGTGGTATAGTTACAAAATTACAGTAATGATTTTCAAGCTTTTTGGCCTCAGGACATTTTACTTTTTAAAAAATTATTGCAGAACCCAAGGAACTTTTGTTTTTATATTTTATATTTTGTTATATCTATAGCATGTATTATATTGGAAATTAAAACTGAGAAAATTTTGAAAACAGCAATGCATGAACATCATCTACATATCATGTAGCCTCTGGACAACTCCACTGTACACTCATGAGAGAATTAGAATGAAGAGACATATTATATATTACCATTTTATAAAAATGGTTTAGATCTTGTGAACACACTGGAAAAGGTTGCAGGAACCTCAGGAGTCCCCAGATCACATTTTTTATAATCTCTGCTTATACAACAATTAAAATGAAAGAACTACAAGATGCAAAAGTATGGATTAGTTTCCCAAGCTTCATGAAGAGGCCTGACACAAAAGAGTACATCCTATATGATACCATTTATATGAAAATAACCAGGACCAGCAAAACTAAACTATGCTTTTTTACAGTCAACATACTACGGGAATAGGACAAAGAGGGAGAACAGGCAGGGCTTCTGGGGTGCTCTTAGTGCTGTTTCTTAATCTGGGTGCTGGTTGTACGAGTGTGTTAAATTTGTGAAAATCCGTAGAGCTCTCCACTTGTAATACTTTTTTGTATGCATTTACACCTCGATAAAGAGTAAGACAAATACATAAAATATAATAAAAATGTAGTGAAATGCTGATCTATTTTCTTTACTGAGAGCCGTAAATTCTATCCAGGTAAGAGTCATTGAGTTTGAGAATTCCAGTCTCCCAGCAACAAGCTTTGACTCCAGCCCATCCCTCTGGCCCTCACGCAATTATAGACAATAGTTTGGGTGTAGAAGCACTACCATAATCTGCTTCTTGATCCCCAGCTGTTTCCAAGTTATATCTTCACAATACATACATTTCTTCCTTTTGTCAGGTAGAGAACACTTCTTAGGAAATGCTGGAGAATATCCTGAGGCAATCTCTTTGTCTTTTACCATAATCCCATTCCTTAATCTCCTATTTTCCCATAGTTTCTCTCACTAATTTTACCTTGGGTAAAGTTTCCTAACCTTTTTTATGCCACAGACACCTGGGGAACGTAGGTGAAGCCTGTAGACTCTTTCTCAGAATATTTTTACATAAATTTTTTTTTACTATTTTCTCTATTTTTTATTTTTATTTTTACATATTTTATTTTGCATAAAATAAAATGCATAATGCACAGAAAAAAATAAATTGAAATATAGTTGTGAAACTATTAAAAACACATGATGTAATATAGGTGTCTGTAATTCATGTAAATTAATATTTAAGATATACAAAATTAATATCTAACAGTGGATCTACTAAAATTTAAAAATTAGTTTTGAATGTAAATGATATTTTAAGATATTTGTAACAACTATAATGTGATACAAAAATATCTGTGAATTCTATTGGTGACAAATTACAAATATCCATCTGTGGGTTTGTTGGTTCTATATTTATAATTATAGGAAATGCTAAATTTCAGTTAGAGGTTAATGAAAAGAAAGATATCATTTTTCCCTCATTCAAGTTCACATATGCTTTCAATTTTATCAACCGTCTCTCAAATCACCTGAGACACATGGAGCCCTGATGAAGAACTCATGGGTCATACTCAGCTTTTCAAACCTGCATAGCTCCAAATTACCAGACACTTAGTTCACTTGGGCTGCAGGATATGGCAAAGCCATATTACACAATTTTTTTTTTTTTCAGGCAGGTCACTTTTAGCCCAAGCTTGTCTCTATTCCAGGCATGATAAATGGTCAACACAAATCCACATTATAAATAGTGGGTTCCTCATGGCTCCATGTCCTACCTCTTGCGTCCAATCAGTTCTGCGATTTAAAATCTGTTACTCACAGTACCGTAATCTGCGTACCAATTTTCTCTCTGTTAGTTTACATTCCAAATAATATAAATCCCAATTCAAACAGTGTTAACCAATAAGAAGATTTAATAAACCACATATCAGAAGTTTCGCACAATGGTAGAATTCAGGTTCAGGATACTTTTAGTCAGTAGCTCAACAATGTCATCAAGGTTCCAAGTTCTCTGCTCTTCTCTCAGCATTGTTTCCCAAAACAAATTCTAAGGAACACTAGCCCAGGAAAGAAGTGTCTGACAAAACAAAGAAACAAAACCTCAGTGAAAAATGTGCGCAAGAAACATTTCACAGGATATTCTCATCTTACAGATGCACAGTGCTCATTGGCATATCAATGTATGTACAAATATTAGTCTTAAATAATGGTTTTCTTTAATGTTATAATTTACAGGAAAGACTGTGCATAGTTATTTTGTGGAAGGATGCCAATAGTGCTCTATTTTAGGGCCCAAATTTCTTCTCTTTGATGGGAGGAAAAGTGCCAATGCTGATGTCTTTCAGGGACCGTTCTTCAACAATCAGTGTTCCTTCATGCAAAAAACCCAGAGTAAAGGCCAGATTGTTTTGGTTCTATTTCAAAGGGAAGGTGAACTGAACAGCTGAGTCTTTTTATTTTTTTAACTGTTATTTTAGATTCAAGGATACATGTGCAGGTTTGTGATACAGGTAAACTTGTGTCATGGAGGTTTGTTGTACAAATAATTTCACCACCCAGCCACTAAACCTAGTACTCAATAGTTATTTTTTTTATTCTCTCTCTTCTTCCACCCTCCTCCTTCAAGTAGGCCCCTGTGTCTGTTGTTCCCCTCTTTGTGTTCATGCATTCTCATCATTTATCCTCCACTTATATGTGAGACCATGCGGTATTTGGTTTTCTGTTTCTGCATTAGTTAGCTAAGGACCACACTTTGAGCTGACATTAAAAACCCAGTGGAGTTTATGAAGCCAACTGTAATGTGAGTACTTGGGGGTTGTGAAGTTTAGTTGGCGAGGTCGCTGTGAATCAAAATTTATTTCAAATTGGGTTTCATTTAGAATGACTTTAAAGTAACTTTATCCACCCTTTCTCAGGGCCATCACAAACTGAGAACCCTGAAGCCCACAGCATGCTCACAATGGTTCTACAAAGTTATCTGCAAAATACTTGACACTTATTTGAGTCTTACATGATAATATCGTCAGTGAATCCAGTATTAGAGTAACTGTTCTTATACTCAGCACAGTTTTTGTGATTGCAAATGACGACCTACGAAAAATCTCCTAAAAGTAGTTTGCTGACAGGTTATAAATCTCCACCGTGCTATCTATAGCTGAAGTCAATCCGCCTAGTTATTATACACCATAGAGTTGATCTCTGATGAGACAAAATAAAAAGTGTTTATTTATGGATCTTATTGATTTATTTCCTCCACAAGACAGTGGGGGAAATCTGTGAAGGCTGGAGCCCATCTGGTTTGTGAGTCTTTGCACTGTCACTTTTCATATGGTTAAAATTTCCCAGGCCAAGAGGTTTCACTAGGCCCACTAGGCTGCAAGGGAATTGAAGCTCAAATGGTGCCTCATGTCCCCCTCTCTTGCCTTTGCAAGTCTTCAGGATAGCAAATCCTCCCTGGCCCCTGTGCACTTGGCAGCCTTCGATAAGGGGCTGAGACGGGGTAAGGAGTGCTCTTCATGGGTTCCTTCCCGACTCCCACATTAGCACAGGTAAAGCTCTAAGAAGTCCTGGTGAAAAAAACTGTTTAATTTTGTTTTAAACACTGTTTCTAACCTTATTTGGCAAGAAACCCACTAACATCCTACAGAATCAGTGCTCCACTGAACATGCCTTTGGGAGGCCTTCATTACATGACTTCTGCCTGACTCTGGCAAACTTTTTCTCTAAAAAGGTTTAGGTGTCTGCATATAGGAGTGTGTATAAAATTTTTATTTTATTTTATTTTTATTATTATTATTTAAATGAATAGACACGGTGTTTCACTATGTTTCCCAGGCTGTTCTCAAACTTCTGGCCTCTAGTGATCCTCCCACCTTGACCTTCCACGGTGCTGGGATTACAGGTGTGAGCCACTGTGCCTGGCCCAAAAACTTTTAAATGTAGTTTGGATATAACCCAAATGCCTAATAATTCCCTTAGGAAACTGGGGGAAAGAAGACTGGAGAAGAGATTTCAATTTATTTATAAGATTAATTTGTTTTCTAATGTTTGCTTTCATTCTGGTGTAGAAGAGTTAACAGCTCCCTCTCGCAGCTGCCGTCTTGGGTAAAGGTACTATTCTTTGTGGTCCTCCTATTGTCTAACTACACTTTTGTAATTTGCTCCTTTATAAGTAAACTTTCTTCCAATTATCCTAATTTGAGTGTGCCATCTGTTTTCCCACTGACACACTAGTATTGCATGTTTACTATGAGACAGAAAGATTCTAGGTACTTTAGATAAGTTAAATCATTTAATCCCAAATGTAGCTACATCTATTAACTATATCTTATAGATGAAGTGACTGACATCAGAGAGTTTGGATAACTTGCCTAAGGTCACATAGCTAGTTAGCAACATGAGTTTGGAGTAAACCCAAGCAGCAGGGCTCCAGAACACTTGCTTTCTACCATTATACTATGCAGCCTCTCAAATAAATGATTTTGACTATATACGATGAAATACATGCAGCATTTACAATGAATGACATAGATAAATATAAACCAACATGGGTAGATCTCAAGAATCTAAGGTTGAGGCAAAAAGAAAGCTTCAGAATCATTCCATTTTACGTATATTTTAAAATAAATACACAAAACTAGCTTCAGATTGTTTATGGATATATATGTGTGTGTGTTTGTAGTAAATGATAAAAGGTTATTTGAAAGCAAACTAAATGCATCATAATGGTTTTCTTGATAATGGAAGAAAGTGTGTCTAGGGAAGAGAACAAAGGAGATTTCAACTTCACCTACAATGATTTCTTTGTTTAAAACCACAAAGTAATGAAGAATCTTGGAAAAAACAAAATTTGGCAATTTTTGATTCTAGGTCATGAGTACATGAATGTTTGCTACATTACCCATTGCACTAAAGCAAACACTTTTTAAAGCTCAATTCCAAAAAGCAAATAGCAACAATAACACAAAAATTAAAGAAAAAGAAATGTGAATAGTAAATAGAAGGTGAAGGCATGGAGATTAGATATGGAAAAAATTCTTTAAAGAACTTTGGCCATAATGGGGAGGAGAGAGATAAAGGAGCTGTGGTTGGTGGTAGGGGTGAGATTAAGGCTAGGTTCTTGAAGAGAGACTGAAGCATGGTTGTGTGATCATGGAGAATGAGCCCGAAGGAAGGGAGAAACTGATGATGAAGGAGATAGAGGGAGATTATATAGAAAGGAGCAAGGCCCTGTATCTGTGAGCAAGGGTATATATATGTAGTAATAGAAATGTGAAGGTGTTCGTTTCTGAAGGATTCACCCTGAAGTGAAGTATGGATGTGGTGCAACGCCTTGAGGAGAAGGTATGAGATAGTCATTTCAGCAAGTGGGAAACTGAACTTAGTAGAGCAACCTAGTAGAATTTCTGGGGAGAGCCAAGTACCCATTTGAAGTTACTGATCACAGATTTAACATGAAATCTGTCTCTCCTGTGTGAGAACCTATGTGATTTTCTTCAAGAACATTTAGTTTCTTGGTGAAATTAGACTTAGGTTTTGCTATAAGAATACATTGGAGAAATCAGGAGTCAAGGGAGTGTTTGCAACAGTAATCATACTTTAGTCCCATGGAGCCCAACCATGGGACTAAAGTAGGGAAATAAATAGAAGAGGGATTTGAAGACTGGTGAGAAAGTAGAGTTCAATCGATTAATTATCTGATGAGGTCAAAAGATTATTTTAATGGGGTTACTTGATCAGTTAATCTCAAAGAATAGGAGATGGTGTCAGAAAACGGAAGGTTTGGATTTGAGATCTTGCAGGTGGAGAAGTTTCTGGTAATGACGAAATTCTGGGTGAATCATTGGTGGAGTGATGCAAAGCTAATTAGAAATGAGTGTTTTTAAATCCATGGTGGAAATGTCAACTGAAGGGAGATTCAGGGGGGCTTTCCCCTGAATACAGATGACACAGTGAATGGAAGATTGTGATCCTGCAGTTGAAGTTCTTGGAGCGTAGGAGGAAAAACCAGGAGGGAGAAGTTAGTTTTGTTTTATTTAGCTTCAAACATGGATTAAATAAACAAAGAGTTTTGTTTTCCTTGCATATCCAGAAGCCTGGATGTAGGCTCTCCAGGCTGTAAACAGTAGCCACATAATGCCAATAGCCTCCTTTTATCCTTCCTCTAAACCATCTTTAGCTTGTGGCTTTTGCCTCCATGCTTGCTGCCTCATGGTTATGAAGATCCATCATCAAGTTAGCATTACACTCAGAAAGAATGGAGAGGAGGGGGACAAAATGAGAGAGCCAGCTGACTCTTCCCCCATTTCCAGTGACTTCTTGCGAATTCTGTCCAGTATTTTGTGTTTACACCACATTAACTAAAACCATGTGACATGGCTAATCTTAGCTTCAAGGGAAACTTAAGTTTTAATTTTTCCTTTAAACCTGGGCATATTTTTGCTCCATTCAAAATCAGTTTTCTTTTTTTTTGGAAAAAAGCAAGTAATGCATAGCAACTAATAGCATCTGCCATGTGTTATATCCAGGACATGAGTTTTAATGGATAAATTAATTTTGTGAAACCAAGGAGGCTTGTTAATCTGAAAATAACTATGTACAGCAAAAGGGAAGACTAAATTACCTTTTGATCCTGCGATCCACAGGATACAAGTAAAGAAAATTAAAATTATATTTATTTTTTCTTGTGTGAGCTACAGTTCAATTTCATTGAAGTCTAGGAAGTGGTAGAAGTGAAAAGAGAAGAAGAAAAAGATAGGGAGCATAAGCTAATTCATAAAGACACAGATATAGGAGGGCCAGTGATATGGATATAAGAGAAAAAGGAATTGGAACAAAATAGTGTGAGATTAATAGTTGATGAATAGTGAGGCTTTACCTCTGCAGGTGCCTGAGGTAAACAGAGACATAATATAGGATGGTGTTGATCCCTAATAGTATATTGGAGGAGAGTGTATATCATTTTGTGGCTGTGGTCTAGATACTTAGGTTAGTGGTGTATTGGCTCCCAGGACAGCTGTCCCCTTGACTTACATGCAGAACAGTGAGGGAGCTATAAGGAAGCCTGCTCCTCAGGCTTCACTGGAGCTAAGATGCTGTGTGTCAGTGGCAGGCATGCCCAGCACAGTTATGGAGGTTGTGTTCTGCACAATAGCACACAGCCAAAAGAGGTTGGTTATCTGATGAGCCAGTGCCTGTGCCTTGGTGCTTTGAGAATCAAGCCATGTACTTAGGTGTTTTGTCCACCTTGAAGAGCCTTTCTTTTCTAGTTCTCATTAAGACAATATTTCCAGGCAATGCTATGATATTTGTGGGTATTCCTATTTATTTAATTAACTTATGTATTTTTTTCAGTAACAGAGATTTACTTATACAGGTTCTCCAGCCTACATGTTTTGGGGGACCCAAAGACAAATAAAACATGTTCCCTATTTATCCTCAAGAAGCTTAGTGTATACCAAGGAAATAAGACACAATAGCTGTAATCACCCAGACTCAAAGAGCCCCAGCATGTTAGAAATGGAAGGGAACTTAGAGGCCATCTATTCAAATCACTCATTCAGACATGGGAACCAAAACTAAATAAAGACATTTGTGAAGAAGGAGAGTAGGAATTGCAAGACTAATCCTCAATCCAAAAGATGTTTCTTATTTTGTGGAAAAGGAATTAAGTCGAAGACATTTTGGCTCAGAAAGATCAAAAAGGACTTTGTTTTTAAAATGTCCTTCAGTACTACATTGGATAATATTTGTAGTGAGAACATGGACTTACAGAATGTTCTTCCAACAGAAATTATTTGTCGGGGGAGGATGCTGTTCTCCAGGGAAAGGGACAGCTTTTTTTAATGGCCACTACTGACCTTGAGGATAAATACAGCATTAGAGTAATTATACCAGAAAAGCAGCTCTCATAAAACTATGTTGACTGTTCTTTTCAGAGACAGAGTAGGACTCCTTGTTTATAAATATTATCCAGAGGCAAAAAGCATGGAGCCTGAACCCAACTCCATCCTACTTCTCATATATCATATGTGGTGAGAAATTCCTGGAATTTCCATTAGAATCATCTTATTCTATAGTTGAGTGGAGTTTAGATACAGTGAGGCCATCCCCCAGAGAAAATTCTATCAAAACATTTAATAATGTAACAGAATATAGTTTTCCAGTCACGATTCTTTCATGAACCAAGCGAAAAGAGCTAGTGAGAATCTTTCTAAACTTCTATGCCTTCACCACCTCCTCAACTAAGAAGGACTTACCAAAAAAGCCCCCAGACTCCTCACATTTTGTTCCCTTAATACGTTTTCTTAGAATCATCATTTTATTCATTTTCTTTTCACTTTGTCTCAGAATGGACCTACACATTTCCAAACCTCAGCCTTCCCACTCCATTCACTCTGCTCACATTTCATTCTCCTATTAAACATAATTAACCTTATGGCTCCTTAAGTTAACGTACCATTTCTCTCCTTCCAATCACCCTTAACCTCCTGAAAAAAGAAATCTTTGCTCATTGCTTTAACTACCTCAACTCCCATTCACTAGCAAATTTCTTACAAATGGAGTTCTGCACCCACAACTTCTCTGACATCATGATCTTCAGGGTATTTTTTCAGTCAATTAACTTAGATAAACCTGAATCAAACCTTACCCATTTCACTCCTGTTTACTCTTGGCTTAATTCAGGATTCCTAAATGCTCTTAGCTTGAGTCTTCCATATGCATAATCCAGATTTAAACTATTCATTCCCCCACTCCATTCTCCAGATTCCAACCAAGACACCAACATATGACCAGGTTCAAAAGCCAGTGTATACAGTAGAGCCAGGCATAGCCAACGTAGAGACCTGACTTTCATGCAGTTTGCCTTGGGAGAAAACTCTTAGAGGAGGTAATTCCATAGAAGATAAAATCCTAGACAGAAATTAAAAGCCATGAGTAAATTCAGTGTCATGGAAAAAAATTTTTTAAAAAAAGGTAATTTCAATAGCAAATCTTTGTTGAGTGCTCATTGTGTGTAAGGCACTGTTATAAACACTTTTAGGCATTGTCTCCTTTAATTTCACTTTATAGAAAATACAGAGGTGCTCAAATTTTAAGTAATTTGCCCAGTGTCACAGTTAGACAGTGATAGAACTATAGTTTGAATTGAGATACTTTCTCTCTTTCTTCAGTCTGTACTCTTAACCCCTATATTCTACTGCCTCCTAAAAAGTCACTGGAATCCTTTAAAAGTGTTTAAAAAAATTTCAGGGCAATTAAGCCAGGCCATTATATCCATAAAACTAGAACAAGAACAGTTATTGAAAAGAATCAAATAGAAATCTTAGAAGTAAAATGTATAGTCATTAAAATGTTTAATTCAGAAATAATTGATAATTCTTTAATAAGAATAAAGACATACAGCCTGGCATGGTGGGTGGCTTGTGCCTGTAAGCCCAGCATTTTGGGAGGACAAGGCAAGCGGATTGCTTGAGCCCAGGAGCTCGAGACCAGCATGGGCAACATGGAGAAACCCTGTCTGTACCCCAAAAAATACGAAAAAAAAAATTAGTTGGGCGTGGTGGTGCATATCTGTAGTCCTAGGAACTTGGGAAGTTGAGGTGAGAGGATGACTTGAGCCTAACAAGCAGAGGTTATAGTGAGCTGAGATTGCACCACTGCACTCCAGCCTGGCTGATAGAGCCAGACCCTGTCCCAGAAAAAAAAAAGAATAAAGACATACAGAAAAAGAAAATTACAGTTGTAATCTTAAAACCAATATCATACTTATTGAGGAAACACTAGAAAATGTCCACTAATATCAGGAATAATGCAAAAATATGCCCTTCTCAATATTGTACTATAGATATTAGATAACATAAAGAAAATCACTTAGAGGCATAAAATTTGGTAAAGAAAAAGAAAACTATCTCTTTCTTGCAGAAGCTATGACAGCAAGCCTCAAATACCCTAGAAAACTGACAATAAAACTAACTTGAACAATAATATAATTCAGTGAGGTATCAAAATATACACTTAATAAGAAATTAATTAGAGGACATAATGGTAGAGAAAATCCCATTTATAATAGAAGCAAAGAAGATTAAATACTTAGGGATAAACTTAGCAAGAAACGTATAAAACCAACAAAAGGAAAATTATAAAACACTCTTGGCAGATACACAAGTAGACTCAAACAAATGGTAAGATATTCCTGTCTTGGGATAGGATGACTTAATGCTATAAAGATGTCAGTTCTCCCTAAATTCATTTATAAATTTAACACAATCCTAATAAAAATTTCAACAAGCTTTTGTAGGGAATAAAAGACTTGATACTAAGGTTCAACTTGAAAAGAATGGATATACATGAATACCTAGACATTAAACACTACCAATCTCGCATAATTAAAACAGTATTCTACTGGTAATCGAAAGGACAAATATACTGGTGGAAAAGAATAGTTCAGAAATAGACTTAAGTACACGTGGAAATTTAGTGTAAGATACTCTGTAATTTCAATTTGTATTTCTTCTTTTCACTCAGTTATTTAATAGAAAGTTTTTGAATTTCCAGGAGGAAGGGCCTTTTTGGTTTTGTTAATCACATCTAGTTTTAATTCACTGCAATCATAGAACATTTTTTGTAATATTTCTACTTAATTGGACTTAACTAATTTTCTTTTTGAATTGTTATATCCTAATTTTCTGTGAATATTTCATAGGTATTTGAGAAGAAGTTAGATTCTCTATTAGCAGGGTGTAGAGTTTGATATATATCCATAAGAAGTACGTGTGAGTGTGTGTGTATGTGTGTGTGTTTGACCATAATACTTATTTTTTGTCTTCTTTCTTGTACTAAGAATGAGGCATGCCAGTCTCTGATTATTAGCATGTTTCTATGTACTAGAAAGGTAGTTGCTGTGTTACTTTGTGCAAAAATATTTATATTTAATATTTCCATTTTAAGTTGTGGCTTTTAAGCCTTAAAAAGTATTTACCTTTGTTATATTCAATACATTTTGACTTGGATTTATTGTCTGTCAGGTTTACTTCTCTTGCGTTCTTGCTGTTTATGTCAATTATACCCTTGTCCATTTCTTTATTTTTAATCTTTCTAAATAACTTTGTTTTAGGTATGTCCTTTGTATACAGAATATAGTTAGGTCTTACTTCTGACTTTTTTTTTTTTTTTTTTTTTTTTTTTAATGGAGGTGGAGTCTTGTTCTGTTGCCCAGGGTTGGAGTGTACACTATCATAGCTCACTGCAGCCTTGAACTCCTGGGCTCAAGTAATCCTCCTGCCTCAGCCTACTGCATGCCTGGCTAACTTTCTTTTCTTTTTTTTCTTTTCCTTTTTTTTTTTTTTTTTTTTTTTTGAGACGGAGTCTCGCTCTGTCGCTCAGGCTGGAGTGCAGTGGCGGGATCTCGGCTCACTGCAAGCTCCGCCTCCCGGGTTCACGCCATTCTCCTGCCTCAGCCTCCGGAGTAGCTGGAACTACAGGCGCCCGCCACCACGCCCGGCTAATTTTTTGTATTTTTAGTAGAGACGGGGTTTCACCGTGTTGCCTGGCTATCTTTCTTAAAAACTGTTTTTGTAGAGATGGGGTCTCACTTTGTTAACCAGGCTGGGTTTTATTTGTAAGCCTAACTAAAACTTCTCTTTTAATGGAAAATTTATGCACATTTACATTTATTGATATAACTTATATGTTTGGTCTCAAAATTCTGTCACACAGTATTGAATAATTATGTCTTTTATGATTTTCCTATATGTCACTCTCTATGAACTGTTTATTCTTTGTTTTTTAATCTTTCTTTTTTTTTGGTATGTAGGAAGATTAAGATTTATATTTCTGTTCTAATGGTTACCTTTGTACATACACTTTTCTTAGTGTCTTTCATCTCCTGTTTTCTTATTTAACCTGTTATCTGGTTTATCCAATTTTATTGGTATCCTTTAACTGCTTCTGCAACAATCAATGATCTAATTCTACTTTTCTTCTTTCTCCCATTTTTAGTTTCATTATTTTTATAAAGAATTCTTGCACACCAATATTAAAAAGCCAGATAGTAAAGTTGTTTAAAAAATGGAAATATACAACTAATGGAAGAAAAATTACAGTGGCCAATGTGTATATGAATAGAAGCTCAAATTCCCTAGTAATTAGAAAGGCACAAATGAAAATGACTTGGTATTTTTTGCCTGTCACTGGAAAAAATTAAAGCCTGGCAAGTGTTTCATATTTGGGAAAATGAGGCTCTCATTTATTTCTGTTAGGAGTCTAAATTGGTCTGACTGTGTGATAATTTTGTACTGTTACACCTCTCAGCTGTCCCACTTTATGAACTACATTATAGATAAACTGCTCCGGGGGCATATATAGGAATATTAATTTAAGTACTTTTGCCAGAAGCAAACAATTAGAAATGACCTAAATATTTAACAATGGGTCTATAAAGAAATTCAATTATATTTGCATATGATATAATTCTTTCCAGCAATTAAAAAGCATAAACTGGAGGTATAGACTTTACACTTCCTATGTTAGTACCGATGCTTTTTAATCCTGAACAATTTCATTTCCATTTATATGATCAGAGGGTTTTCTCTTTGAAATAGCAAAAATTATACCACTTATCTCATGCTTTTGTTGTGAGAATTAAATGTGTAAATATATGAAGTGTTTTAAAAAGTGATTAATACATAGAAATTATTCAGTAGTGTTAGTTGTCATTATAATCTAAAAACAAAAACAAAAAATCATAATCTTAAATAACAAAAGATGCAGATTATATTTATATAAATCAAAACACATACCAATAATTACTATATACTTTTTATGAATTCATATTGTCTTAGTTTGTGCTGCTATAACAAAATACCTGAGACTGGGTGCTTTATAAACAAAAGAAATTTATTTCTGGCAGTTTTGCAAGCTGAGAAGTTCAAGATCAAGGTGCCAGCAGGTTCGGTGTCTGATGAGAGCTGCTCTCTGCTTCTCCAAGATGGTGCCTTGTTGCTGTCTCCTAACATGGCAGAAAAGCAGAAGAAAATGAACCCCCTCCCTCAAGCCCTTTTATAAGGGCTCTAATCTCATCCATGAGAGCTTTGACCTCATGGCTTAATCACCTCCTAAAGGCCCCACCTCTTAATATTAACACATTGGTGATTATTAAGTTTTAACACATGAATTTTGAGGGAAACGTTCAGATCATAGTACATATGTATATGAGGACATTAAAAAATGACCTGGAATACCATACACGAAAATCTTAACAGGTACTAAGTGTGATGAAAGGGGAAAAATAATGGACATGAGAGTCCTCTTTTTTTCATTAAAAAAATCAAAAAGCAACATAAACTATATACTTTTAATGAATCCATATTGTCTTAGTTTGTGCTGTTATAACAAAATACCTGAGACTGGGTACTTTATAAGCAATGGAAATTGATTTCTCACAGCCCTGGAAGCTGGGAAGTTCAAGATCAAGGTGCCAGCAGGTTCAGCAGGACTATATTTAATATAAAGTCCAGGGACTTTAGTTTTATCCATTGCCTCTTTATTTCTTTAAATAAAAAAAGGCAGGGAAGCAATATCACAACCTATTGACAGTATATATTTCTGAGTGGTAGAATTATAAATTGAGCTTGCTTATGGTTTAAAACATTTAGCAGAAAGACAGAAATCAAGCAACATGAAGGTGAAGACCTTGCCTCTGTTTACTCCATGTGCTCCTAGCTGGCTTTAGGGTGAGACTCTTACTGTGAGTAGCGAGATTAGTGAATAGACGTCTGTTCACCATGGATCACATAGTCCAAGAGGTCCCCAAATTAGAAGTGATAAAATGCATCTCAATAAATATATTGCTAATAATAGTTAAAATAAAGACACTTACACATGATTTAAGGAAATGAATTAGAGATGAATCAGAGCAGTTGTGTGGGCAGGAGATCCTTTTCATCTGATGAAAATGTTCAATGTCTCTCACTGCTTCCACTTGCACAGCTAACTCCTTCCTTCTGTAGAACTGTAATATCTAGTGCTTTGGAGCCCAAACCACTGTGGCATCCTCCAGGGCAGATGGATATCTCTTTGAAGCACCCCCCTGAATTCCCTCCCCTGTTTCATTAGGTACCACTCCTACTCACCTCTTTTCACATTCCATGAAGAAGTGGTTGAAATCACTCAGAATATGATGGCTTGTTTCTCTTTTTCTTTGCTATTACAGATTTATACCTTTTTCATATATTTACTGTCATTTCTGAGGGATTCTCAGGAGGGAAAGGAGATTTTAAAATAGTTCAATTTATTTTTTCAGACTTCAAATTTATTTTACGTAGTAGGCTCTCTCCTTTTTTTTTTTTTTTTTTTTTTTTACTGTGGTTAAAAAACACGTAACACAAACTATTCTCTTCACAGATTTTTAAGTGTACGGTACAGTATAGCTAACTATGGGCACAATGTTGTATAGCAGATCCCTAGAAATTTTTCATTTTGCATAACTGAAACTTTATACCTATTGAAACTTTATTGAATAGGAACTCCTCCATTTCTCCCATTTCTAACCTCTAGCAATCACTATTTTACTTTCTGCCTCTAGAGCACACTCTTTTACATACTTTCTGGCTATCCCATCCTTACAAAGTTTTAAAAACAAATAAGTGTTGGATTTAACATTATTTCTATTGAATTTTACATTTTGGGTTCTAGTCCATCTTTTAGTAAATTGAGATAATTTTTATTCTTGAATAGTCCATCACATGAACTCCTTTGGGACAGTCAGAAACATGCTTTGATTTTTAGCCCTCGCCAAGACATCACCCTCCATTGCTCTACGTTAAACTTGGGGTTTTTCTTTTCATATTATTATCTCCTCAAGGCCCCTTGGTATCAAATAATGATTTAGACTCTTGTCCCAAGGAGTCTCTTCTACTTGTTTTATATTCCCTTTATTAGATTTAATAGTCAACAACAGTGTCCACATGTCTCAAAAATGATAATTAATTGATTTGCTGATGTTTACTCAGTCAATAGATGGCGGAACTTGGACAGTTTGTTTAACTCATTCAGTATTTACAGATGTCTATGTGCCTGACATTGTGCTTAGTGTTTGGAAGGCTGAGGCAGGAGGATTGCTTGAAGCAAAGAGTTCAAGACCAGCCTGGACACCAAAACTAGACCCTGTGTATTCAAAAAATTTAAAAACTAGCTAGGCATGGTAGCAAGAGTCTTTAGTCCCAGTTACTTAGGAGGCTAAGGTGGGAGGATCGCTTGTGCCCAGGAGTTTGATGATGCAGTGAGCTATAATCATGCCACTTCACTCCAGTCTCTGGTCTGGGTAACAGAGCTAGACTCTGTCTCAAAAACGTGTGTGTCTGTGTGTGTGTGTGTGTGTGTGTGTGTGTGTGTGTGGTTTAGAGCCACAGCTTTCAAACTTTTTTGATTATGATCCATAGTAAGAAATATAGTTTACCTGATGACCCTGTGCACACTTACATATTGATAATTAAAGTCAAAATTTCAGAAAACAATACTTTTTACATCCGATGCACTTGGATATTTGTCTATTCTATTTATTACATTAAAAACATCAGGTCATAATGCACTGCATTGACTTTACAAGCCAGTAACAGGGGTTGATCAACCATTGCCTAAAAAGGGTATATAAAGAGGGAGTCATTTAAAACAACTAATTTCAGATAACAGAGAAAATTATGAGAGTACTGTTCAATTCCAAATTCAGAGCTTTTCTTACGGATTATTCAGTGCCACTTTTTTTAAAGCTTGGACTCATGCCTACCTTTTAGGCATTTATTTACAGATTAACTTATCAGCACCTTGGGCCCCGACAAGATAAGACACAATTCAGGTAAATTTTGGTAAATATTCCTTGAGTGATAGGAAGCAGGAAAAGTTTGAAGGAGAAGGAAAGACAAGCCTAGGCAAGGATGGCTATGGTGGGGAGGTACAAAGAATTACAAAGCATTAGTCATCCAAGCAAAGTATAATCAGAAGACCACTGACAGAATTAACAGAGTTCAGAGATAATATCATTATACTCAATCCCTACTAAGATTTTGGTGTTTGGTCTCCTAGATCACTTTTTTAGTACCTTCACAGACATATGGATTCATAAAGAATATATAGTAATTATTCATATTTGTTTTGATTTATATAAACAGTAATCTTGTCTCTCAGCTCCAGAAAACCTTGCCTGGTGCTTCCTGAAGGCTCACAACATCCCAGCCCGGCCTCCATCACTTACTTATAATGTGTTTTGGGGTCTTGAGGGCAGGGAGCTTTCTCTTTCTTCTCTGAATTCCTAGCATCCAGCTGAGTGCCTGGCACTTGGTAAGTATTCACATACACATTCCTTGAATTCCCTAGATTTCAGTTTCCTTCACTGTGAAACAAAGTGGGCTAAACGATCTCCAGGAGCCCTTACAGTCCTAAGAATCTATGACTTTGACCGATCTGAAGTGGTCCAAGACACTTTGCTTCACAGGAAGCTCACATCTTCCTTGTGATTGGCCTGAGATTAGGAGTTCAAACAACCAATGACCTGTGCACAGTTTAGGGCCTAACCCTGCCCTGGCCGGTTAGCAAGAGAGTGTTGTGATAAGAGCAGATGAAAGCCTTATGCCACAGTAGTGCCTGTAGCAGAGAAAGGATTCCCTCCTCCACCTCAGGGCCCACTGCTGCTGCTCTCCAGCCTGCAGTTTCCTCTAAGGCTCTGGATTGGCTGGAAGAGCAACAGAGGGCTGGGAAAGAGCTTCTATATATACCTCAGGAGGAAAGGCATCCCAGACAGTTTTGAAGTTTTCAAAGACTGGCTCTGCTGTTAAGAAGTTGTACTTAAAGCGGAGGAGCTAAGCCACCTGCCAAAATGTGCAAAGGACTTGCAGCTTTGCCCCACTCATGCCTGGAAAGGTGAGAACCAAGTTATTTTTGTTTAAGAGATGCAGATATGGAGAATCTTTACTCAAGGGAGGCTGCCCAGTGGTAACAGAGGTATTGTAGTTTATGGCTAAGCTGAGGTGAAACAGGTGCTTGACTGTAGATTGGGTATTATCTCTTCTCTGTAAACAATATAGAGATTTTGAAAGATCCAAGCTAGGAGATTAATACAATATAGAGTATTTCATACATCATTTAATATCCAGAACATCATTTCCTTCAAGGAGATGCCTATTCTATAAGTCCTTATTTAGAGTAAAAACTGTATGGTTAAGGATATAGATTCCAACATTAAACTGTCTAGATTAGAACCCTGGCTCTACTACTTACTATTTGTGTAAGTACTATTTGGGCAATTTATTTAACCTCTATGTAGCTCAGTTTCCTTATCTGTAAAATGGAGATACCGAGAGTTCTCTACCTCACAGGCTGGTTATGAGGACTGAATGAATTAATATATATGAAGCACTCAGAACCATGTCTGGCACCTAGTAGACTGTATAAATGTTAATTTTTATTAATGTACAGGGACTGGGAGAGGGAGGCAAGTTTGCAGTGAGGAAGAGGAAATTTCCCATTGTTCTTTGTTCTCTGACCTCATTAGATAGAAGTAACTGGATGGCTAGACAGAGAAAAAGCCCTTGGGACACAGGGGTTATTTATTAGCTAGCATTCTTTTTCAGACAAATGCATCAAAATCTTTGAGGCTCCCTGGTTGTCCGTAGGCTGGACAATATTCTGGAGAGAATCCTAGGTATCTAGGCTAAGCAAATAGAAGAACAAATATCTTACTTGTTAGAAAACTTAACCCAACCATCCTCTCTGATGGAGAGAAGTAGGGATGTTTCTCCTTTTATTGAGAATGGATTTGATTAAATTGGGTTTGATCCCTCGTTATTTAAAGTAAATAAAGAAGATCCTTGCACAGATGTTCAGCCCTAAAGGCATTAGCAGTGTTTGTCTCGGAAGATTTTATTGTTTAAAGGGCCATCTATGACTTCTGTCTCTTACAAGTTCAGGTCTTCTTTTTGATGCCTTCCACTCTAGAAATAACCTAAAAATAATTTTTAAGGAGATAACATTGTAGCATATAATTTTTTCTCCCAACAATACTATCTAGTAACTGAATATGAAACCTCCAGGGAGACTTACTCTCTGAATTATGGCTTCCAAACTTTTTTTTATTATGATCCATAGTAAGAAATATAGTTTACCTAATGACCTTGTGCATACTTACATATTGATAATTAAATAAAAGCATAGAATATTATTATTGTTTTTTAAATTTACATAAAAGAAACTTGTAGCTGTTAAGTTGTAGAAGTTAGATTGTAAATAAGGGATCAATATTGTCTATTGTACCAACCCTGGGGAAGAGGATAGGTTTTAAAGGTGGATACTATTTATTGCTATTAGCCTGTTCTTTCCTCTTACCTAGTATATAGAAAGCCTAAGAAATAGGGAAAGTTTTCTGTGCCTTTCCAGAAACGCACAGAAAACTTGAATATGGGACAATGTATAATTATTTCCTTTGCCATTTTTGCAACTATGAGAATTGCAACTTGACTTTAATGGATGCTTTTAGCATACTTATTGTTTGAAATTGTGTACTCTTATGTAGTGAATAAATCTTATTAATTGGCAAACAATTGACTTTAGAATGATTGTAACATCAGTTTGCCAAGCATTTTGTGATTCTATGACACATTGCTTGGCATTTGGTGAGAAATCAATAAAATTTCTGTTGAAAATTTGCCATGTTAATTATTTTGCTCTATGTTTTCTCATAAGTATGCATAATATTCACTGAGATATATGGATGGAACATTTCTTTCAATGATTCCTATTACTGTATTATATCTGATTCACTAGCAACATTAATATTGGATCACTTTATTTTTTGATGCACAGTAAATTCTTATGCACCAGGATATAACTAATGTTCATGTAGAATATTGAAGAGTGGTGAGTGGTAAAGGAGTGAGCTTATTTTCCCCATAGGTTGACTGAGTCTTTTATTTATTGGGATGTGGTAGAATACGCAATTATTGTGAGCTATTACATATTGTTTCATAATCTGTTCTCATCGTAAATAGGGTCATTGTAATTTCTAATTACCATGCTGCCTGAGAAGAATGTTTTGGAGAAATGGAATTGTGGAGCTGTGAAGCTGTTAGTACTTACCCATGGAAAGGGTCTAACACTGTCTATTCTAAGGGGAAAATGACACTTGAATAAATGCTTCCAAACCTGCCTTCCATGGCTCTATTATCTGACTCCCACCTTCCTCCCCCACACAGGCTCCTGTCTTTGCATTTCTTCTCTCCAAGCCACAAAAGGAACATGGATATGCTTCAATGCTTAGATAAAAATATTTAAAAATTCATATAAAATAAATTAGGGCAACAAATACACATTATGAAAAATCTGCTTTAAATGAAAAGCTCTGCTGAAGAGTTCAGTTCTGACTTCCATATGGCATTAGAAATATAATTCACTTTACAAAAGTCTGAATAGCATATCATTATTTATCAGAGTGGAAAGAGTACTAGTTAAGGAGTAAGGTGCAGACTCAATTTTGTCATTATCTGAATTTGTGTCCCTGAGCAAATTATTTCACTTCCCCAGGACTCTATTTGCTAATTTAATAGGTAAAAGTTGGATTCATTGTTCTCTAACATGTTTTCGAGTTCTAACCTAATGTAAACGAAGTGAGGTACACTTAGTCTCAATGACTACTAAGAGATGTGATTAAAGGAAAATTTTCCTATTTTTCTATAAAAGTTTGAGAGCAGGTGGGGCATGGTGGCTCATGCCTATAATCCTCGCACTTTGGGAGGCTAAGGCAGGAAGATCCCTTGAGGACAGGAGTTTGAGGCTGCAGTGAGTCATATTGCACCACTGTACCCCAACCTGGGTAACAGAGCAAGAGCCTGTCTCTAAAAATCAATTAATTAATTAATTTAACATAAAAATAAAGTTTGGGAGGAATGAAGAATCAAATAATGAAAAATAATCAAGGACCCAGCCCTGTGCTGAAACCACTGGGCCATGGCAGAAGCAACCTGCTCAGTGATTCTAATGCTGATTTATAAGAAAGCAATTATAAGAATAATTTGCTTCCTGTAAGGGGAATTGTTTTTGACAGCAACTCTTTATTAGCAAAGAATATAAAATAAACTTTTTTTTAAACAACAAAAAGAGAAGTTTTTTTCCATAAGATTAAAGGGTGGAATATATATAATGGGTAAGGATATCCAAAAATCTGCCGCATAAAGTAAGAAAATTTCAACAATTAACAAAGATTAACTTTTCCATGACATGTAAGGAGAAATCTAATCCTAGAAAATATTCCTTTCTGAATGTCCAGGGAAGCTTTCAGCCAAAGTCAACTTTGATATATTTGTATAAACTATTCTTTATTTATTTAGATTTTTAAGACTATTGCTTATTGAAATTTTAAGTAGGACTCGCATACTTTTATATGTTTAAAGAGGCAAATAATTCAAACATTTGGGCAATGAATAACCATAAGCACAGAGTTTCTACCCTCTGGCATATTGAAACCTGTACTATATGGGTGAGAATCTTATACTGTCAATGAAAAAGAAAAGAGTCGCGTCAATTTAATACCTTATTTTTACCCATGATTTTCAAGTTTGAATTTTAGGCTTCTTTTGAAAATTTATTTTATTTTCAGAGTCTGTTGAATTTCTCTAAACAAGTTTAAATTTTAAAGTAAATATTGCTCTTTGGGAAAAGATGAATGTATTATGAAACAAAAAATGTTACTATTGGCCAGGCACATTACTCCTGCCTGTAATCCCAGCACTTTGGGAGGCCAAGGTGGGAGGATCACTTGAGGCCAGGAGTTTAAGGGCAGCCTGGGCAACACAGGGAGACCCTGTCTCTAAAAACAAACAAACAAACAACAACAAAAAATAAATAAATAAAAACACCACAAATATTAGCCAGGCACAGTGGATAGCACCTGTAGTGCCAGCTATTCAGGAGCTGAGGTGAGAGGACTGCTTGAGCCCAGGAGTCTGAGGCTATAGTGAGCTATGATTGCTACTATTGCACTCCAGCCTGGGTGCAGAGTGAGACCCCATCTCTGAAAAAAGAGGATTATTTTAAAAAACTGATAATACTAATAATTGAACTGGTTGCTTTATGTTATGATGACAACTTTGATTTTTAGGCTTAAAACTGTGTGCTTATGGTTATTCATTGCCCAAAAGTTTGGATTATTTGTTTCTTTAAATATATAAAAGTATATGAGGCCTCCTTAAAATTTTAATGAGCAATAGTCTCAAAAATCTAAATATCATCATAATATAAAGGAACCAGTGCAGTTATTAGTATTTTAAAGAGCTACAAGCCCTTTGCTACTCTGGGTGACTGGCATAGATCTGATTTCTGTTTCAGACTGAGAAGGGCTAAGGGTATAATGTGTTTAATCCACAGTTCACACAGGGGCTTTTGGCCATCTCAAGGGTGTGTCAATGCTAGGAATTTCAGAAGCCATAGGAAGTAAATGGGAAAGGTAATTTTCAAACATTTATTATTTTTAAATTTATTTTAAATTTTTGTTTTTAAAAATTTTGTTTTTAAAATGTATTATTATTTTACAAAACAATCATTTTTTTCCCCATGTTCTCTGATTTATGTGGGTCAAGTGTGGACAATTTAGAATAGAAAGGCAGCTAATAAGCAGGACTACTAATGAACTAATCTGAGGTTGTTAAACCTTTAAAAGCACTAGAGTGAGTCAAGGTTCCTGGGTTTTCAGGATTAATAAATTCAAAGGCATAAGCACATCCTTGGGCTAATTGTAGAGAAAAGGCAAGCACCAAGTGAATTAAAGACTGGCAATTAGCTTGAACAACTGATAGCTCAATTGGAATGAATTGAGGACCATCAAAGAAACCTGAGAGAGGTCCTAGCAGAGCTTCTGGTTGGGTTTAGGATCATGCTTGCTGAGAATAAGTATGAATTTCAAGCTTACTATACCTGATATTCTAGAGATGTCATTGAAA
The DNA here is from genome assembly GCF_000001405.40 of Homo sapiens. Lineage (NCBI taxonomy): Eukaryota > Metazoa > Chordata > Mammalia > Primates > Hominidae > Homo > Homo sapiens. Next base: position 163,197,725 of record NC_000001.11, on the reverse strand, counting down.
GCATTGTAGTGAAACTTTAGAATGTTAAGAAAGTGAATGAACTATTTAATAAAATTTGGAGGGGGATCACTAAGAAAAACATTTATTTTGATTCCTACTGATGAAACAATATCAGTGATTTCTCTAGATTGCCTTTCAAACCTGTGTACTTGCCTTAGGCATATGGATGAAAGACCCATGCCCTGCTCCCATGGAAATTTAAGCCCAGTTAGGGAGATAAATAAGAAAAAATTAATGCTCAGTGTTGCAATCCACTACGAAGGAATATATCCATAAAGTGCCAAGAAGCACAGAAGTTGGGGTGGTAGGCGGGGCCCCTAGAGCTTTTAGTGGGCAGGGAAGAATTTACAAGGTTATACGGATGATGCTTGAAGAAAGTCTAAGAGGACAGAGGAGTTAGCCAGGTCTAGACAGGAAGAGGAGAGAGAAGGAAGGCCATCTAGGTGAAGGGGACAGGCCTGTGTGTGCAGAGACCCAGAGATGGGCGGGCACAGCCAATTTGGCTGATGTTGTGACATCTATGTACAACCTGTATTATCTCTCAGAGGCCAGCAAGGAGGGAAACCGCTGAGTTTCTAACCACAGTTAACCTCCTGGGCAGCAAGTCCTGCATATGGTTCTCTGGGAACTTCTCCAGTGCTCATCTGTTCCCAACTCTGAGGATGGAAGAGATTTATTCAGGGGAAAGATAGTCCTCCCCTTCACCTAAATGATTTTATTACTAAAAGGATAGACTGTATTTGGTATAGTAGACACCAAATAAACATTTTGTTGAAGGAATACATGAATGAAGTTACAGCAAATAGAGACAAGAGCACTTCTAGGACAGCTTGGTATTTCCTCTGCTTTCCTTGGGTATTGGGGAGACCAAGAACAGTATCAGTGTTGACATTTTAGGCCACAATCGGAAAAAGAGTGTGTGTTGCTAAATAAAGAGAGGTGCCTGCTATGGGAGAAGGGGAGTGGGGATTAGGAGAAAAAGAAAAGTGAAGGAGACTGTCTGCATTTCTATAATGAGGAAAGCCTTGTTAAAGAGGTGAGTCTTCTTTTGGCTGCAATGATGGTATCCCTTAGGTGAGCTCTAGGAAGTTGTACTGCCTGGGCTGTTCCTCATGCAGTTACTGTTGAAGCTTCTTTAGTGAATTGCATTCTGTATTCCAGCTAGTTGCCCCTTTCTATTCTTTCTTTCATTTAGTCTGGGTTATGCTGAATCACCAGATATCAATTCATAACACTTTTAGATCCCAGAATCTTACATTTTGAAACATCCCAGAAAGGTTATCTAATTTGTTTCTCCTTCTCTAGCAAGGACTACACAATATTACGGGATAGATGATATCTAGGGAGAGAGTTTATTTATGTCTCTGGAGCCATTGTTAATGGTTTTTGTCTGTACTGCTGGCCAGAGAGAAAAGGGGCTAAATTTTAATTAATTCAGTCAGGATCAGTCATTAGTAACAGGAACCAGAATATGGCTGGAGGCCAGAAGATAACAGTTTCCTATCTCTTTCCTCCCTTAAAGTTCTAATCAGTTCTCAGATAACATTGCATCTGCACTACTTTGAAGGCTGAGTCACCCAGAGGATAAAGACAGTGAAAGCCTGATTGTTTCTAACGATCGAGGAAGTTACTCTTAAGATTACAGGATTCAGGAATAGGAAAGAAAATGTTCACAGTAAGGAAGGATGTGAGCTCACAGTCTCTCCCCTGCCTCAAGACCAGCGCTTGAATTGCAGTGTGGCGGGGTAGAAAGAACAGTGCTCATAACTTCCTCTATTTCTTCCTTACTGTGTGAACTTTGGGAAGTCACCAAACCTCTCTGAACTTCATTTTCTCAGAAGTGCTAAAAGAAATAAATGAAATATTATATTTAAGGTGACTAGTTTTTAGTAGAAGGACCCCTATTAAACAATTATTTTCCTTTTATCTCTCTTTTCCCCTTTGTAGGCAGTGAAGGAAACATAATTTAAGTCAGTCAATTATGTGCTAAGGCCTTTGATAAAACTTACTCCTTTTTATCCTTCCTCATCATAACCTCATCTTTTAAAAAAAAATAAAGATAAATTTTAAAAATGGTACAGTATTTAAAAAATACTTTATCCATAATTTTTTCAATATATATATATTTTAAATTATTATTGTTACTTTTGTTTCAGTAGTTTTTGGGGTACAGTTGATGTTTGGTTACATGAATAAGTTCTTTAGTGGTGATTTCTGAAATTTCAGGGCACCCTTCACCCAAGCACTGCACCCTGTAGCCTATAGGCAGTCTTTTATCCCTCATCCCCCTTTCACCCTTGCCCCCTGATTCCCCACAGTCCATTATATCACTCTTATTCCTTTGCATCCTCATAGCTTAGCTCCCACTTATAAGTGAGAACATGCAATATGTGGTTTTCCATTCCTGAGTTACTTCACTTAGAATGATAGCCTCCAGCTCCATCCAAGTTGCTGCAAACGACATTATTCCATTCTTATATACAACATGGTATATGTATACCACATTGTCTTTATCCACTCACTCACTGGTCGATGGGCACGTAGGTTAGTTCTATATCTTTGCAACTGCAAATGGTGCTGCTATAAACATAAGTGTGCATATGTCTTCATATAATGACTTCTTTTCCTTTGGGCAGACACTGGATTGGGATTGCTGGATCAAATGGTAGTTCTACTTTTAGTTCTTTAAGGAATCCCTATACTGTTTTCCATAGAGGTTGTACTAATTTATATTCCCACCAGCAGTATAAAAGTGTTCCCTTTTTACCACATCCATGCCAACATCTATTGTTTTTTGACTTTTTAATTATCAACGTATATTTCTTCTTACAAAACATATCAAGTCTTTACAAAATGATAAAGCTCATTAAAAACCATGATCATACTTAAAAGTTAACAATAATTCTATAATTCATTGAATATCCGGTAAGAATCGAAATATTTTCAATGCTCTTTTCTCAATTGGATTGTTTGTATTAGGATCCAAAAATGTTCACACATTGAGATTTCTTAATCTTATATCTCTCTCAGTCAATAGGCTTCCTGTTTATTCTTTCTTTGCAATTTATTTGAAAAACACAGTCTTTTTAGACACAAGTATAAGAGGCTATATAACATGTGGGAAAGGTACTAGATAGGGAATACAGGCACCTGAGCTGTAACACTGGCTTCTACTACCTAGTGGAGGATAAGTCATGTGCCAGTTCCCCTCTCCAAGTATCACTATTACATTTGTAATAGGACGTGATCAATTATATGGTCTGTTATACTCCTTCCAGCTCCAACACTTTCTTATTCTGAATTGGGACACCATGTATTTTGAGAAAATATTCCATTTTTATTATAATTTCTTATCTCATCTAAGTCATATAGGAAGGCCTGGGAAACAAACTCCTGAATGTAGCTTAAAAGATGCAATCAATTACATATGTGCAATTTTCTTCCCATAATGTTTAAAAATCTCAGTGGACTCAATTAAGAACCCCATATTTCTTTAAAAGACTTGTGATAAGTTCAGAATATACTCCCAGTTTGTGAAAAGTATATATTAATATGCAGTGGAAAGTGATTCTGTTTTATTTTGGTGAATTCTATGAAGAAAAAGGGTGGTCTCGGTTTCTTGTACAATTTGAGGATGAATTAGAATCTGAATCTAACAGTGTATGATGCTTGCACTTTATTTACAGTTAACTTCATTTTTTCCTCTTCAAGTGTATAATGTCACTGAGGGCAAGATAAAAAAGTAAACACAGACGCATGTGACTTTGGGGGTGTGGCACCACTGACTACATTTATACTACACTACATTTTCTCCAGTGGGAAAGGGTGGCCCACTCCTGCCCTTCTGAATGTTGCTTAGAGGTAAACTTGTCATTTGCCTTAACAGTGGAAAAGTTTTCATCCTTGAGGATGGGATGAGAAGGGTATGTCAGGGTTTCCAGGTCTTTACATAATTAACCAATTTTCATCTGCCATCTGGGTAGATCATGGAGTACTGACAATTCTTGGAAGTGCTATGAAGACTGCTGACTGCATAAATCCATGTCAGGCGTGTATATGCTCAGCAACTGCAAATTCCAACCAGATTAGGAACATATAGTTTGCCTCCAGACTAGGCATTAGAAATTGGGTCTTTCCTGGAAAATCTGTAGGTGTGATCAACCTAATTATAGGATGCATGCATTATCAACACAGCTAATCCATGTGCGTTTTTAGGCTTATTTACCCTGACCATAGAGCTCCTGAAAAGTCCAAACAGAGTATTTATTTGCAAGGCATTCCATTCAGTTGCCATGCCTAGGTAGAATAACTTAACCTGAATTTTTGTTCTCCTTCAAAAAGAAAATATTTCAGTGTTTAAAGGAATTGGCCAAGCAGCTTTTGAATACTTTGGACAGTAGATACTTGATGACCATGTTGGTTTCATGAATAGTAAATGAGGCTAAGACCTTTATTCTATATTCTCCATGTTTTCCTTCCTAACTGTTTCCCCAGGCGCTGCTCAAAACAGCACCTAGCCCATCTGGACAGATCATTTAGAGACTTAAAACTCTACATTCTAGAAAGACATTGGAACTATCATATTAGAGTCAGAAGAAGAAAAGCAACACGAAATAAAGTACTTGTAAAAATGTGAAGTGCTCTCCTTTGCAAGTGTTTGTTATTATTAGCGAAGTATGTGGAGCTGTTTTGGTCAAGCTTCCACTTTTTGATATTTTCTTGTGCCGAACATCTGTTTCTTGATGAGGCACTTGTCTATGGGATTCAGGAAGTTTAGAAAGAATCAAGATGTTCCATTAAAAAATAGCTTCCTGTATTTTGGCAAGTTATTTTAAGTGATAGTTTATGAGAGATATCCAGTGAATGGGAGTGTGAGACCACATAACCTGTGTACTTGGGACAAGGTCAACAGTGCAGGTCACACTGAAGACTTTCCCAGAGGATCTGGTGGTCTGATGCTTGCTGGATGACAGACTTTCAGAGTCTTAAATCTTGCTTCTGAATCACCGAAGTGCAAAACAAGATGTCATTTGAACACACACATGCATGTGCAGGCATACACACTTACACACATATACCCTCAATATTGTTTATGACTTGGATAAAAGATGGATTGTTTGTTGAAATCAGAGATTTGTGCACACAAACTGAAAGTGTACCTGGGCCTGGTAGGAAGAAACATTTTTCTTTCACAAAGATGAACGTAGATTGATGGGAATTTTTTCCACTTTAAGGCGAATAGGTCTTTTCTATCTCCATAGTTTGGATTTTATACTAAGTGGGAAAAACAAACTTTTTCTCTCTCCTCACACAACACTTCACTTCTGACACCCAATGTGTGGGATTTCCCCACCAAGAAATTCTCCAACATTTTGTAGGCACCAAGGGTGTGTTCTACAATTCAATTCAACTCTGACACTATCTACTTGGAGTTAACGTCATATCCCATAGGTTAAGGGCTCAGCCCCACAAGACTGCCCCCCACTTCAGATGCCAGTTGTAAGTTCAGCTATAAATTGGGGTTTCCTGTAATCCCTTCTTTAGCTTCAATAATTTATATAATGTCTCATAAGACACGGGAAAACATTTTTACTTTTACTGATTTATCGTAAAGGCTATTGCAAAAGATACAGTTGCAAAGGATACAGTTGAACAACCAAATGAGGAAGTACATAGAGCAAGGTATATGGGAAGGGGCACAGAGCCTCTGTGACTTCTTCAGGCACACCACCCTCCTAGCCCCTTGATGCATTTTTGTTCACCAACCCAGAAGCTCTCTGAACCCTGCATTTTAGAGATTTTTATGGGGGCTTCATTACTTAGTATATTTGATTATTAACTCAAGCTTCAGCCCCTCTTCTCTCCCCAGAGGAAGCTTTGTTGAAAGCTCCAAGCTTCTCATCATAGTTTGGTTTTTCTAGTGACCAACCCTTATCCAGGAGGCCACCAAGAGTTGCCTCATTAGAGCAAAACGTGGTCCTCTTACCCAGGAATTTCCAAGGGATTTAGGAGCTCTGTGTAAAGAACCAGGGTCAGAAACCAAGTATTAGAATAAAAGGTGCTCCTAGCACCATTATCACTCAGGAAATTAGAAGAGTTTTAGCAACTTTGTGCCAAGAGTTTATGGCCAGAGACCATGGGTTAGACTATGGCATAATAAGAAACGCACTCATGAAGGCAGTAAGCCAGCCCTTCACACCTTCACTGCTCCCATTTTAGACAACCAATGTTTCAGTTACTTGTTTCACTTCTCCATTAAACTGTTACTCTGAAGAGGATATCTATCTGCTCATTGTTGGACATTACAGGCTATACTGTGTGTTCCTTGGTCTGAATAAATGATGGCTGGCTACCCAAATTGCTGCACTATCTTTTTTTTTTTATAGCATTTTGAGCATTTGCATCTGACACTTCATAAGCAAAACGCACTCTAGGGTCAGTGGCTATTCCTGTCAAGACCCATTTGTAGCCCTCCAAGGCTACTGGCGTCAGTCTCACTTGCCAGCTATGTTCCTGCCCTTCCCACCCAAGAATCTGCCACATAGCCATCGGCAGTCTCTGTCTCTTTTGCTGACAAACAGGACAGTTCTTACTGGCATTTTGTTTTTCAGAGTGTGCAAGAAGAGTATGTCCAGATTTAGTCCATCTCTGCCTTGCTGTAGTACTCCCATGTCCACTCATTTCATGGACCCAGGTGGCCGTCACAGGAGAGCACACAGGGATATATATATATATGTATTGATCCAATCACCTTTCAAACCTGAAAGGGACTTCTGATGGTCATCAGCATGTCCTACTTTAATGAACCCCTTGAATTCCCATAGTCATTTCCATAAAGCTGTGCCCCATGTGGGTATCCCTTTAATGGGCTAGGCTTCCACTGACCATATAGCCAGGCAATTGGCCACTGCCCATGAGTCAGTAAAAACTGAAACACAGGGGCTTTCATCATTGTTAAATTCTTCCGTCATTGCTAGGAAAACAACATGCAATTCAGCCCACTGGGCTCACCTGTTTTTATCTTCTTTGATAGGAGTGACAGCCTTCCAACAGGATGCTGTCCATACACCGTGGAACTACTGTCCACAAACCAAGTAACTGTTAGTCAGTCGAGCACTGTTTATAGGGTATTGTCTAAATGATGATAGAGTTTGGCAGCTCCTCACGCAGTTCCATAGTCAGTCCTAAGGGAAAAGGGGCTCCCTGCTGGTATCTTCTCCTTGCATTCTCCAGGTAGTATGATCTTGTGTAAGATCCTGTTCATTTTACTATGGAACTTTTCCAGGCACTGCCATCCCCATTAGAGTGTTTCTCTGATATCACCAAGACACCATGGGTATTTCAGGTTTCAAGATTATTTTATGTCCTTCAGTTATAAAGGTAGTTTAAATTAATGTCCAATAGCAAGCTAATAATTGACCCTCAAATGGAAATTCTCTAGTCCAAAATCCTCATAGTTGTCACGGGGAGGCACTCACAGGCTTTTGCTATAAGCCTCAGTCTAAGCTCTGTATAGGGCTTTCAAACAAAGAATATGTGCATTCAGCCTCTACTCTATATTGCTTGGGCTTGAGCAATCTTATTGGTTCTAATTTAGTGTGTTCAATTAGCATTGTTTGGAGAGCAGATTTACATGTCTTCTGTGTTACAATACTAGGTAGGGGAAATACTCCCCAGTCAGAGACAATGTTGATCCCCATAATATAACCACTTCACACAGAGCCTGCTTAAACATTCCAACTTTCATAATTCTATCAAATTCAAATATTTTCATAACTATCAAATTTCAAATTCTATCAAATCTCAAGTTTTTCTGTTCTCTCAATTTCATTGTAGCTTAAGTGAGGACTTTACCAGTGGGTTTTGGTACCACGGTGCATGAGACTCCTGTTTCTAGGAGCTCTGGAAACTTTTCTTCTCTACTCTCTGACCATTTACCCACTCATAGCAAAAGGCTTTGGGTTCCCACAAGGGGGTCAAGCCCAGAGACCCTGACCCCTTTATTAATCTTTATCTCAATTGAGTGGTCTAACTTTTGCTCCAAGCAATTGCAGGTCATATTTCTCCTTGTAATCTTAGTCTTCTGGCTTTTTAACCTTCTCCAAACTGGGGTAGATGGAAGGACTTAGTTAAGGTCCTTTAATCACCAGAGATCACTTTGACCCACACCAACTTTGACAGTGTTGTATTAAGACCCTTGTTTTAACCCCATCAATGTTTGCTTTATTCATCACACTTCTTAATAACCCTCTAAAAATTTTATCGTGCTTGCATGAGTACCATTTTACGTCTCTTTATTTTTCTGTTTATTTTGCTCCATTGAATCACCTAATGCCTTAATAACTTTTTGAACATTTTTACCTTGTTGGGAAGAGTTCCTTGACTCTTCCTTCTGCCCTTTGCCATCCTCTTGTTAACTACTCTTATCGTTTTTATTAGCATATGTACAACCCATGAGGGGAAGCCAAGATAGCAAATTCAATAAAACTTCCCAGATTGTCATTTAATTTTGCCACGGTAAGATTATATGGAGTGCCCATGCAAATGGTGCTTTCTTACCCACAGCATTTACCATGTCCTGGGAATACAGGCATATTCAGTGAGTGAATAACCTGATTATCACAAGACAGTCCCACGTGGCCTGCACTCTAAGCAGAACAGCTGCTTCATCTGGGCTGTTCTACATGGCATTTATGTGGGGAAAGGAAGAGTTCATTTCTTGGGATGACAGACCTTACAACCTTACAGTAGCTTTTTTTTTTTTTTTTTTTTTTGAGATGGGGTCTCGCTCTGTTGCCAGGCTGGTATGTGGTGGTGCGATCTTGGCTCACTGCAACCTCTGTCTCCCAGGTTTAAGCGATTCTCCTGCCACAGCCTCCCAACTAACTGGGACTACAGGCTCGTGTCACCACGCTAATTTTTGTATTTTTAGTAGAGACGGGGTTTCACCATGTTGGCCAGGATGGTCTTGATCTCTTGACCTCATGATCTGCCTGGCTCGGCCTCCCAAAGTGCTGGGATTACAGGCGTGAGCCACTACGCCCAGCCACAGTAACTTTTTTCTAGTTCGCCAGGTTGCCTCTTCCCTCAGGAATAACCTCCTGTGTCTCTGGATCCTGTTTTACCATCTGTGATTATCTCATTTTGAGCTGTGGGTCCAGAATCCACCCCAAATCCATTTTAGTAAAGATTCTTCAGGAAGCTGATGATACCAATCTATAAAATGAAGGAACTCCTTCACACTATATGCCCTGGTTTCAGCAGTTCCTGGGTTGTGCCCTCTCCCTGTTGACTATCTTTTGGGTGACCAGAGGACTCACAGGTAGTTCTGTTGTTCTGCGTAATTTTTCCTTTTGTGGGTGCCTTTCAGGATAGTGGCTAAAGCTCAGACAAACTTATGCCTGAACTTGGTCCAACACTGAGGTCTAACCCAGCACTTTGAATTTAGCTATTAAAGATAACAATGACCGTGGGATTGTATGTTTAGCATGCCTCATCTTAGTTTGTATTTCCTTACATATCCAATGAACTAGCTCCTCAGGAGTCAGATCTACCATCATTTCTAAACTCCATTGATAACTCTGGCTTTTAGTAACTGAGTGCAGTGCAGCTGCAGTTTCATACTATGTCGGAAAAACTCTCCTCAAGCCGTATTTTCCGTCTGCTCTCACACCACCACAACAATCATCAAGAAGACTTCTGCGACTTCTGGAAAAACTCCCACACACCAAGCAGTGGACACCAGCTGAGAGTCCTCCAGTTCAATTCCGGCACTATCTATGCAGAGATAACATCAAATCCCACAGGTTGAGGGCTCAGTCCCACAAGACCACTCCCCCTACCAGTGGTAAGTTTGCACCTCCGGAACTTCTGACAAACTGGCTTCAAGTTAAGGTTCCCAGGACCCCTCTTTGGGTTCAGTTAATTTGCGGGAGTGGCTCACAGAACTCAGGGAAACACTTAACATTTACTGGTTTATTATAAAGGATATTGGAAAGGATACAGAGGAAGAGACACTAGGGTGAGGCATGGGGGAGGGGGTGCGGAGTTCCTATGCCCTACCTGGTACACCATCCTCTGGGAACCTCCAGGTGTCCAGCTATCCGGAAGCTCCCTGAACCCACTTCTCTTGGGTTTTTATGGAAGCGTTTCTTCTGCCAGCGTATGAGGCGGGACCTGTCAGGGGAGTGTCTTAAGACCCACAATCACAAAGGTGGGAGAAGATTAGAGTCCTGCCTGTGATAGGTGAAAGGAAGGCTGGAAAGAGATTCTGTTTCCTGAGGCCTAACACACCCATTATCACAAAAGACTGTAACAAAGGCTGAGGGAGTTATGAACCAGGAACTGTGGACGAAAACCAATGTATATCATAACACCACACATACTATATGTGACTAGGGGGCCATAGCCATTCTCATTTAGCTGGCAAGATTGAGAAAAATGCAAATAAGGTTTTCTCAAATTCTAATCTGAGGGTTAAAATAACTTTTATTTTATTTTTTAAAATTTCCCTCTAATCTGTTATCTTCTGGACCCACTAAGTATAGCTCAGCTTTTATCTCCCTTCCTGGTCCAGATTGGGCCCTGATGTTTGTAATTATGCTGAAATGTGAGTGCAGATGGCTGGAGTGCAGCTGAGGGAAAGGGATACATAACTGCCATTAGCTACTTATGGAAAACATTTTATTAAATGGATACTGGCTCGAGAGCATGAAAAAGAAAAGAATAACAAAGCCAGTTGACAATTATGACAGACTAGGAATGAGTGCCTAGCACAATTTTGATCACACAGAGGCATGTAATAAAAGTCTATTGAATTCAATTGATAGATTCTGCTCCACATACGGGGTGTGATTTTTTTCCCCTTTCTCTAATATGACCAGCTTAGAATCACAGACTGAGAATTGATTCAGGGTAACGGACCAATTCCTTCTTGTATAGATGAGAAAAGAGGTCCAAATTGTTTTGGGGACTTGTCTAAGGTCACATAGTTGTGAGTTTGAGCTTATGCAAGGCCTCTGGATTTACATTTCATCTTCATTTTATTTTATCAGATGAACTTTTACTTAAGAATTTTGGTCATATATTCATAATTTTGTCTGTCTTTGCTTTTTTTCTTTTCTTTTTCTTTTTTTTTTTTTTTTTTTGAGACAGAGTCTCGCTCTGTCGCCCAGGCTGGAGTGCAGTGGTGTGATCTCGGCTCACTGCAAGCTCTGCCTCCCAGGTTCACGCCATTCTCCTGCCTCAGCCTCCCGCGTAGCTAGGACCCTGTCTTTGCTTTTAAGATATTTATTCTTCCATTAGCACATCTTTCACACAGTTTTGGTTACTACACTGCAATCTTTAAAAAGAAATGGGGCTGGGCGCAGTGGCTCATGCCTGTAATACCAGCACTTTGGGAGGCCGAGGTGGGCAGATCACGAGGTAAGGAGTTCAAGACCAGCCTGACCAACATGGTGAAACCCCGTCTCTACTAAAAATACAAAAATTAGCCAGGCGTGGTGGTGGGCACCTGTAATCCCAGCTACTCAGGAGGCTGAGGCAGGGAAATTGCTTGAACCTAGAGGTAGAGGTTGCAATGAGCCAAGATTGCACCACTGCACTCCAGCCTGGGTGACAGAGCAAGACTCTATGTCAAAAAAAAAAAAAAAAGACCTTTTTTTTCTCTATTTCTATTTGCCAGATGCATATAACTGCCAGTTAGAATAACTGAGCAACTGAGAGAGGTGATATTGCATGATAATAATTAAAAGCCCATATGCTGACATGAGACCAGGTTGAATTATACCTTTATCATTACCTTGTTTTAACCCCATCAATGTTTGCTTTATTACTTGGTGAATTTGAGCAAATTATCTAAGTTCTCTGTGAGGTCACGGGGTCACAGTAATACCTGTCTCATAGGATTATTGTGAGCACTAAATAAGTTTATGCATTGCATGTGTTGAGTGAACCATGCAGTTAACTGAGAAATGTGTGGTTTCTCTTAATGTTTGCTTTTTCTTAGTTATCTTCAGGTTGCAACAACCTTGCAGCCAAACCTCAGAAAGGATCTAGAACAGGGAACTGGAAAGCATCAGGAATCATCTTCATCTCCCTACAGAGGTGTAAGAATGGGACTCCCATGAAAGGGCCCCTTGCAAGGAACATTAGAAAGTAAATGAGACAGCTGGATGACAGGAGGAAAGAGAGAAGGGAGGATCACAGATAACCAAGTTGAGCCTGGGGGGTTGAGAGGATAACTGGACTCTTGATGGAATATGATTACGTGAAAGGGAAGCTATTTGTAGCAGATGATGAATTCATTCTTCTGAACTCTCACCTTGTCTTTTAGGAATTTTTAGATGATTTCAAGTCAAAAGCCCTGATCTTCCTGGACAATTTTATAGTTGTTAGTTATTAATTTGATTTAAAAAAGCAGCCATGACTCCCATATGCAAGACTCCAGGGAATAATTCATAGGTAACATAGCCATAAAAATGAAGCCCACTCACACCCCTCTGCGTGTGTGTGTGTGTGTAAATAAAGACTATAGGACCCTGTCTTGCCTGGTTTGAGCTTTTGGGTTTAGGAGAGAAGGAGCAATATTGGAACAAATAGCTGGTTCAGGAGAGGAAGATTAGATAAGGCTGAGAAACAGATAATTCAAAAGAGGTTAAAAGAATTAGGATTATCTATTAACTGAAAATAGAATGGTAGAATGAGGATCACAGAACAGTCTGACTGGTTTTAAGTCTATTTTCTATAGTTAACTAAGTTTAAAAAACAAAAGCTAAGTGAGGTGTATTAGTTTCGTATTTGCTGCTATAACAGTTGCCACAAGCTTAGTCACTTAAAGCAACATGAATCCATTCTCATACAGTTCTGGAAGTCAGAAATCAAAAATGGATCCCTAGGGCTGCATTCCTCCTGGAGGTTCTGGGGGAAATTGATTTATTTGCCTTTTCTAACATCTAGAGGCCACCTGCATTCCTTGACTCATGTTACAGCCAGCAGTATAGCATTTTTTAATCTTTCTGTCTGATTTCATTGTCATATTGCCTTCAGACTTGACCCTCCTGCCTTCTTCTTACAAGGATTCTTGTAATTATATTGGGCCAACTTAGATAATCCAGGATAAATTCCCACTTCAAGATCC